>NC_000023.11:44785837-47285837 GCF_000001405.40 Homo sapiens
AAGACTGCAGATGATTCAGCATGACTAGGGGGTGAGGGTGTCTCTGACGGAAAAGCAAGAGATGAACCAGAAAAAATGTCTAAGCCAGTCCTCTTCCAGCACAAAACTCGGTGACTAACAGCTCGGAGGGAGTGATTCCACACTAGCCCATGCCTACTTCTTCTTTCCAGACAGTGAACACCAAGGCAAGCCCATATTGTCTACTTGATTTGGGTTCTAAACAAGATTGCCAGATAAAATACAGAATGCTTAGTATTCTGAACCCATCCCCCAGGTTAAAGCACTTCTCCTGCCTCAGCCTCCCAAGCAGCTGGGATTACAGGTGCGCAATACCTCGCCTGGCTAATTTTTGTTTTTTTTGGTAGAGTCGGGGTTTCACCATGTTGGCCAGGCTTCAAAACCCTTTTAAATGAGGATGAGCTTGGTATTCTACAATAGAGTGATCCATTCTGCAGTGGAGTGAAAAAGCAAAGAGGGATGGGAAAAGAAGAATATTCATATGTAGCAATTGCTTCTATTTTTAAAAATAAATAATGAGGCATCATCAAAAACTAATTTTAACATAACTCACAGGGGAGGAAAGGGTAACGATGGAAGTAGATCTTTCTGAATAGATCTTGTTTCATAGATTTGACTTTGGAAACATGCAAATGATTTGCATAATTTTTAAAAATTAAATCAAGAAGAAAGAGAGGTACTCCCTATATATAAAAAATGGAACAAATGAATCTGATGAACCTGATTACCTCTGCCAGAATCACAGATAATTATTTTAAGTGTCTTTAAAACAGTGTTTTGTAAGCGGTACTTCTGGAATGGCAGAGTGAGGACCTCCACAAATCTGCACTTCCATAAAGGCAATGAAAACAAAAGCAAAAATTGTCAAAATCAACTTTTTTCAGAACTTTGGAAATTCATCAAAGGCTTACCACAATTTGAAGAGCATGCATTCAGAAAAACTACTAAACTCAGTAAGAATAATGAGTTTGTGAACATTTAAATTGTCATATTCCCATCTATCTCTCCTCAGCAGCAGCAGAACACCTCATCCAGCAACAGCAGAATGCACGTTCTTCTCAAGTGCACGTGGAACTTTCTATAAGGTAGACTATATGTTATGTAAGGTATATCATAATACAAATCTCAATACATTCAAATGAAGTGAAATCATACAAAGCATGTTCTCTAACTGCAAGGAAATGAAAAATAGAAATCAATAGCAGAAGAAACTTGAGAAATTCGCAAATATATGGAAATTAAACAACACATTCCTAAACAATCAATGAGCCAAAGAAGAAATCAGAAGGGAGGTTATAAAATACTTTTAGATTAATGAAGACTGGCCAGGCATGGTGGCTCACGCCTGTAATCCCAACACTTTGGGAGGCCGAGGCAGGCAGATCACCTGAGGTCAGGAGTTCGAGACCAGCCTGACCAACATGGCTAAACCTTATCTCTACTAAAAATACAAAAATTAGCCAGGCGTGCTGGCACGTGCCTGTAGTTCCAGCTACTCAGGAGGCTGAGGCAGGAGAATCACTTGAACCTGGGAGGTGGAGGCTGCAGTAAGTACTCCAGCCTGGGCAATAAGAGCAAAACTCCATCTCAAAAAAAAAAAAAAAAAAGAAAGAAAGAAAAGAAAAGGAGAGAGATACCAGTATAAAATTAAGGACAATGTAATCTTTTTATTTTTTTTGAGACAGAATTTCCCTCTGTCACTCAGTCACTCAGGCTGGAGTGCAGTGACACCATCTAGGTTCACTGAAACCTCTCACTGCCAGGTTCACACGATTCACATGCCTCAGCCTCTGAGTAGGTGGGACTACAGGCTCACACTACCATGCCCAGCTAATTTTTTGTAATTTTAGTAGAGACAGGGTTTCATCCTGTTGGCCTCAAACTCCTGACCTCAAGTGATCTGCCCACCTTGGCCTCCCAAAGTGCTGGGATTACAGGTGTGAGCCATCATGCCTGGCTGTAATCTTAAACTTTTATTGGAAATATCAATGTGAATTTTTTTTTTTTGAGACAGTCTCACTGTCACCCAGGCTGAAGTGCAGTGGCACGATTTCCACTCACTGTAACCTTCACCTCCGGGGCTCAAGTGATCCTCTTGACTCAGCCTCCTGAGTAGCTGGGACTACAGGCACAAGCGACCACATTCGGCTAATTTTGTTTATTTTTTGTAGAGACAAGGTCTCACTATGCTGTCCAGCCTGATCTCTTGAAGTCCTGGCCTCAAGAGATCTTCCCACCTTAGCCTCCCGAAGTGTTGGGATTACAGGCGTGAGCCACCATGCCTGGCCTAAACGTTTAATTTCTTTTTCTCTTTCTGAAAAATACACATTTCGCAGTTCTGTCCACTAAGAATGGAGTAGAAATCTTGAAAACCCAGTGCCCAGGCCAGGCACAGTGGTTCAAGACCAGCCTGGCCAACATGGTGAAACCCCGTTCTACTACAAATACAAAAATTAGCTGGGTGTGGTGGTAGGTGCCTGTAATCCCAGCTACTCAGGAGGCTGAGGCAGAGAATTGCTTGAACCCAGGGGGCAGAGTTTGCAGTGAGCCAAGATCGTGCCACTGCACTCCAGCCTGGGCAACAGAGCGAGACTCTGTCTCAAAAAAAAAAAAAAAAATCCAGTGCCCAGATTGTGATCTCTAAATCTACTTTTCACTGAAAGGAGCCAGGGGCCGGGCGCGGTGGCTCACGCCTGTAATCTCAGCACTTTGAAGGCCGAGGCAGGCGGATCACAAGGTGAAGTGATCGAGACCATCCTGGCCAACATGGCGCAACCCCCTCTACTAAAAATACAAAAAATTAGCCGGGTGTGGTGGCACACGCCTGTAGTCCCAGCTACTTGGGAGGGTGAGGCAGGAGACTCGCTTGAACCTGGGAAGCAGAGGTGGCAGTGAGCCGAGATCGCGCCACTGCACCCCAGCCTGGCAACAGAGTGAGACTCCGTCTCAAAAGGAAAAAAAAAAAGAAAAAACGGAGCCAGGGCTCCTTGAAGAAAGAGCTGATTTCAGTACTGGGGTAGGAAATGTTCAAGGTTAACCTGAACACTTTGTGTTATAGCAAAGGAAGCTATCAAAGACTACTGAGATCTTGTCAAAATGACACAGGAACCAACTTGAAGGCATTTCTCTTGACCAAACATGGAACAGTTTGAGCATCAAAAGAATAGTGAATATAAAGGGTTAAAACATCAACTATATAAAAATCCATGTGTCATATTTTATACCTCTAACTCTTTATTTTTGGCAAATTGTTACGGGATAATAACATCAATAAAATGTTAAACAGATCAGGCGCGGTGGCTCATGCCTATAATCCCAGCACTTTGGGAGGCGTAGGCGGGTGGATCACTTGAGGTCAGGAGTTTGAGACCAGCCTGGCCAATATGGTGAAAACCCATCTCTACTAAAAATACAAAAATTAGCCAGGTGTGGTGGTGGGTGCCTGTAATCCCAGCTACTCCGGAGGCTGAGGCAGGAGAATTGCTTGAACCCGGGAAGTGGAGGTTGCAGTGAGCCGAGATCGCACCACTGCACTCCAACCTGGGTGACAGAGTGAGACTCCGTCTCAGAGAAAAATAGATAAATAAATAAACAATAGAGGTATTAGTCGGCATAATTTCCTGTTACTGACTTTTGTGAAAATGCCTCTAATGTTTCCTCACTAAGGATGTGGTTGGCTGCATGTTTTCACCTATAAATGAGAGCTAAACATTGAATACGCATGGACATAAAGATTGCAACAATAGACACTGGGGACTACTAGAACAAGGAGGCAGGGAGGGGGGCAAATGTTGAAAAACTAACTATTGGGTACTGTGCTCACTATCTGGGTGACGGGATCAATCATATCCCAAAACACAGCATCACGCAATATACCTGTGTAACAAACCTGCGCGAGTGCCCCCGAATCTAAAATAAAAGGTGAAATTATATATAAAAAAAGACGCATGTGGTTGGCTTTAGGGCCATGTTAAGATGATATTCATATTTTTCTATTTTACTGTTATTGTTTCAAGAATGGTTGTTGAATTTTTCTCACTTACATTTTCATAATGAATCTCACTTGATTGTGTTGTAAAAAATATTTAAAAAATAGGCCGGGCACGGTGGTGGCTCACGTCTGTAATGCCAGCACTTTGGGAGGCCAAGGCGGGCGGATTACAAGGTCAGGAGATCGAGACCATCCTGGCAAACACAGTGAAACCCTGTCTCTACCAAAAATACAAAAAAAAAAACTAGCCGGGCGTGGTGACGGGTGCCTGTAGTCCCAGATACTTGGGAGGCTGAGGCAGGAGAATGGCGTGAACCCAGGAGGCGGAGCTTGCAGTGAGCCGAGATCGCACCACTGCACTCCAGCCTGGGTGGCAGAGCCAGACTACATCTCAAAAAAAAAAAATTTTTTTTTTAAAATAAAACCCAGGCCAGGCGCGGTGGCTCACGCCTGTAATCCCAGCACTTTAGGAGGCCGAGGTGGGCGAATCACCTGAGGTCGGGAGTTCAAGACCAGCCTGACCAACATGGAGAAAGCCCGTCTCTACTAAAAATACAAAAAATTAGCTGGGCGTGGTGGCGCATGCCTGTAATCCCAGCTACTCAGGAGGTTGAGGCAGGAGAATCACTTGAACCCGGGAGGCGGAGGTTGTGGTGAGCCAAGATCGCGCCATTCCACTCCAGCCTGGACAACAAGAGTGAAACTCCGTCTCAAAAAAAAAAAAAAAATTCCATGTTTCATAAAGATGCTAATGGAAAACAAACTTCATGAGTCATCTTTGCTAGATTATCAAATTAATACTTTAAAAACTGACATATAGTCTGGACACATTGGCTCACACCTGTAATCCCAACACTTTGGGAGGCTGAGGCAGGTGGATCGCTTTAGGCCAAGAGCTCGAGACCAGCCTGGCCAACATGGTGAAACCCCATCTCTACTAAAAACGGAAAAAATTAGCTGGGCGTGGTGGCGGGCACCTGTAGTCCCAGCTACTCAGTAGGCTGAGGCAGGAGAATTGCTTGAACCCGGGAGGCAGAGGCTGCAGTGAGCTGAGATTGCGCCACTGCAGTCCAGCCTGGGTGACAGAGCAAGACTCTGTCTCAAAAACAAACAAATAATAACAACAACAACAACAACAACAAAACCCACTGACATATACAGCTGTGATAGGCAGAATTCTATGATGCCCCTCAGCCCCCTACTACCACCAAGTTTCTATCTCTGGATTATTCAAATACTAATCTTGGTACTGCTGTGAAAGGACTTTGCAGAAGAAATCAAAATTCCGTTAGGTAATCTTAAAATACAGAGATTTATCGGAGTGGGCTTGACCCAATTCAGGTGAGCCTTTTAAAAGCAGAGCATTTTTTTCACCTGGTGGCAGAAGAGAAAGCGCTTCAAAGTGTGAGAAGGGGTTGGGCACAGTGGCTCACGCCTGTAATCCCAGCCCTTTGGGAGGCCGAGGTGGGCAGATCACTTGAGGTCAGGAGTTTGAGACCAGCCTGGCCAACAAGGTGAAACCCCATCTCTACCAAAAATACCAAAATTAGCTGGGTGTGGTGGCGTGCGCTTGTAATCCCAGCTACTCGGGAGGCTGAGGCAGGAGAATCTCTTGAACCCGGGAGGCAAAGGTTACAGTGAACTGAGATCAAGCCACTGCACTCCAGCCTGGGCGACAGAGTGAGACTCCATCTAAAAAAAAGCGTGAGAAGGAGTTGATGCTATTGCTGGTTGAAGATGGAGGGCGCCACATACATGAGAAGGAATGTACCCATGGTCTCTAGGAGCCGTCCCAGCTGCCAACCAGCAAAGGGACCTCAGACCTATAATAGCAAGGAACTGGATTCTGCCGAAACCCCAATGAGCTTGCAAACTGATTCTTCTCCAGTACCTCCAGATAAGATTCAAGCCCAGCCAACACCTTGATCTTAGCTTTGGGAGACCCTAAACAGAGCCTGACCGCCAGAGCAAGGAGATAATAAGTGAGTGTTGTTTTAAATTGCTACATTTCTGGTGGTTTGTTATGTAGCAATAGAAAACTAATATAAGCAGGAACAAATCAAGAATGTATCCTGGTTTTCCTGCACAAGCTGTATTTCAAGGTAACCGAATAATTTGTGTGAAAAGATTCTTTTTTTTTTTACACACTCAGGGAAGTGAAAGCATACTCAAGAGAGTGAATTGCTGAGAACATTCTTCTTTATAAAATAATTCTGGGCTGAGTGTGAGATTTGTGCCAAATTGAAAAATAAAATAAAAATAATAATTCTGGGTAATAAATGCTAAAGGAATGCTAGAATTAGGATGTTATCATTCTGCAACCCCCACTGAAGTCATGGATCTAGACAATGATCATCAATAACTGCTAAAGCCATTAGGTGAAAGTTTGTACCAAACTGACAGTACCTAAACTCTCTGGTCAATCTTAACATGACATAAAGTGAAGTCTCCTTATATGACACAATGGGAGGTACACAGGACCACCTATGTAGTATTTGTGCCAAAATAATCAAGCCTGAATCTAACCAAGCTTCCATAGGAATATGTGAAAATATGGGGATAGGGCTAGAGAAACATGTTAAATGACACCACAGGATGGAATGAGCCAAATGTAGAACATAAGAAATATCTTAATGACCCAGAAAGAGACGTAACAGGTTTATCAACCAAATAAAATTGTGTAGACTGAGGTTGAATTCTGATTCAAACTGACCATAAAGATTTTTTGAGGCATTTGGGGAAAGTTGAACACAGATGGGATATTAAGACATTACAATTGCTTTTTTTTTTTTTTTGAGACAGAGTCTTGCTCTGTCGCCCAGACTGGAGTGCAGTGGCTTGATCTCAGCTCGCTGCAACCTCTGCCTCCCGGGTTCAAGGGATTCTCCTGCCTCAGCCTCCTGAGTAGCTGGGATTACAGTCATGTGCCACGATGCCCAGCTAATTTTGTATTTTTAGTAGAGACGGGATTTCTCCATGTTGGTCAGGCTGGTCTCGAACTCCCAACCACAGGTGATCCGCCTGCCTCGGCCTCCCAAAGTGCTGGGCATGGTAGCTCCCACCTGTAATCCCAGCACTTTGGGAGGCCGAGGCAGGTGGATCACTTGAGATCAGGAGTTTGAGACCAGCCTGGCCAACATGGTGAAAGCCCGTCTCCACAAAAATACAAAAAAATTAGCCGGATGTGGTGGCCCACGCCTGTTATCCCAGCTACTCAGGAGGCAGAGACAGGAGAATTGCTTGAACCCAGGAGGCAGAGGTTGTAGTGAGCTGAGATTGTGCCATTGCACTCCAGCCTGGGTGACAGAGTCTCGCTTCATCTCAAAAAAAAAAAAAAGAAAAGAAAAAGAAAAAGTCCCTATCTGTTAGAAATACTTACTGAAGCTTTTATGGGTAAAATGATACGGTGTCTGGGATACATTTTAAAATGTCCAGAGGAAAAAAAGAAATGGGAGTGGGATAAACAAAAATGTTAAAATGTTGATGATTGTTGAAACTGAATGATGAGTAGTATTTTTGTGTATGGCTGAAAATTTTCATAATATAAAGTCTCTAAAACAAAAAACAAAAAAAGCCTTTCACTCATGTATATTAGTGTAAACCAAAAAGTGTCCGAGACAGATCTTAATCAGTCTAGAAGTTTATTTCGCTAAGGTTGAGAACACACCCAGGAAAAACAAACACAAGTTGCAGTAGGATCTGTGGCCTGTAGTTTTTTCCAAAGAGGGTTTTTTGTTTTGGTTTGTTTTTGTTTGTTTGTTTGTTTGTTTTGAAATGGAGTCTTGCTCTGTCACCCAGGCTGGAGTGCAGTGGTGTGATCTCGGCTGATTTATTTTTATTTATTTATTTATTTTTGAGACGGAGTTTTGCTCTTGTTGCCCAGGCTGGAGTGTAATAGTACGATCTTGGCTCACTGCAACCTCCACCTCCCAGGTTCAAGAGATTCTCCTGCCTCAGCCTCCCAAGTAGCTGGGATTACAGGCATGTGCAGGATAATTACAGGCATTAGCCTGGCTAATTTTTTGTATTTTTAGTAGATACAAGGTTTCACCATGTTGGCTAGGCTGGCCTGGAACTCCTGACCTCAGGTGATCCACCCACCTTGGCTTCCCAAAGTGCTGGGATTACAGGCGTGAGCCACCGCGCCCAGCCTACATTACACCCTTTCTTGACAAAACCTAACTTTCACAGAAAGCGAGATGAGATTGGCATGGCTGTATTTGCTTTTTGTTTGTTTTGTTTTTTGTTTTTGTTTTTGTTTTTGGCCTGATTCAGGATTTGAAAACTGGAACGGTGGAGGTGACAGCAGTCGGTTGACACAAGCATTCCCCAAAGTTCTACAATGTGGCCAAGGACTTTGATTGTATATTGTTCTTTTTTTTAATAGTCATTCCAAATATCATGAGATGCATTATTACAGGAAGTCCCTTGCCCTCCTAAAAGCCACCCCACTTCTCTCTCTCTCTTTTTTTTTTTTTTTTTTTTTGAGACGAAGTCTCACTCTTGTCCCCCAGGCTGGAGTGCAATGGCACAATCTCAGCTCACTGCAACCTCCACCTCCCGGGTTCAAGCGATTCTCCTACCTCAGCCTCCTGAGTAGCTGGGATTACAGGTGCCTGCCACCACGCCTGGCTAATTTTTGTATTTTTAGTAGAGACAAGGTTTCACCACGTTGGCCAGGCTGGTCTCGAACTCCTGAACTCAGGTGATCCACCCACCTCGGCCTCCCAAAGTGCTGGGATTACAGGCGTGAGCCACCTCGCCTGGCCCCACCCCACTTCTCTCTAAGGAGAATGGCCCATTCCTCTCCCAAGTCTACTCAGGGGAGGTGATAGCATTGCTTTTGTGTAAATTATGTAATGCAAAAGTTTTTTAATCTTTGCCTCAATACTTTTAAATTTTATTTTATTTTATTTTGAATGATCTGCCTTCATGGCACCCCCTTTTTTGTCCCCCAGCATGAGATGTACGAAGGCTTTTGGTCTCCCTGGGAGTGGGTGGAGGCAGCCAGGGCTTACCTGTACACTGACTTGAGACCAGTTGAATAAAAGTGCACACCTTAAAAAAAAAAATAGGCAACTCACGCCTGTAATCCCAACACTTTGGGAGGCCGACGCGGGCAGATCACAAGGTCAAGAGATCAAGACCATCCTGGCCAACATGGTGAAACCCTGTCTCTACTAAAAGTACAAAAATTAGCTGGGCGTGGTGGTGTGTGCCTGTAGTCCCAGCTACTCGAGAGGCTGAGGCAGGAGAATGGCTTGAACCCGGGAGGCAGAGGTTGCAGTGAGCCGAGAACGCCCTACTGCACTGCAGCCTGGCGACAGAGCGAGACTCCATCTCAAAATAAATAAATAAGTAATAAAATAAATAAAAAACAAACAAAAAAAGTAGAACAGTGGTTGCTAGCGGTAGTGGAGAATGGAGGGTTGTCATTTAATGGGTATAGAGTTTCAGCATTACAAGATGAAAAATTCTGGAGATACATTACACAACCATGTAAATATGCTTAACACTACTGTACACTTAATAGTTAAGGTGGTAAGTTTTGTGTTATGTGTTTTTCTTTACCACAATCATACATTTTAAAAGTAAATCTAAACATAATTTCAGATAATAGAAATGTTTATAAAGAGAGAGAAGGAATAAGAGAAAACTTTAAAATGAGCATTTCCCAAAAGAAGATAATTCAAGCAACCAGTAAACATTTGAAAAGATGCTAAATCTCATTTGTAATTAAAAAAAAATCAAGTTAAAATGAAAATACCTTGACATTATCGAGTAAAGTTGAGATGTATATGCCCTATAAGTCCACATTTCCACTCCTACATACATGAAACTCAACACATGTACACCAGTAGACGCAAGCAAGGACATCAGAGGGGTGTGGTTTGTATTAGCAAAAACCTGAAAGTAATCTAAAAGCTCTTCAACTATGGAATATGATATACATAAAATGGAATACTACTTATTAGTAAGAATGAATCAGCTACAGCTAGACATGTCACATGAATGAATCTCACAAATATAATGCTGAATGTAAAAAAGTACGTATGATACAAATTAATTTACATAAAGTTAAAAAAGCAAAGCCAAAAAAGGAAGAAACCATTGACAAATGAATGGATAAACAAAATATGCTATGTACATACAATGGAATATTATTCAGCCTTAAAAAGGAAGGCAATCTGACACAGACCCAAACATGGACAAACCTTAAAGACATTATGCCAAGTGAAATAAGCCAGTCACATAAATACTGTGTGATTCCCCTCATACGAGATATCTAGAGTAGTCAAATTCTTAGAAACAGAAAATAGAATGGTAGTTAAACAGAAAATAGAATGGTACTTACCAGGGGCTGGGAGAGGAGGAAATGGGGAATTGTTTAATGGGTACACAGTTTCAGTTTTGCAAGATGAAAATGTTCCGGAGCTCTGTTGTGCAACAATGTCAACATACTTAATACCACTGAACTATACACTTAAAGGATACGAAATTACAACTACAGAAGAGGAATAAATTCTTTGTTCTAGGGTAACTATAGCTAACAGTAATTTATTATATAGTTTCAGATGGCTAGAAGGAGGATATTGAATGTTCCCAACACAAAGAAATGGTGTTTGAGATGATGGATATGCTAACTGCCCTGATCTGATTACTGTACTTCAGATGTATGGAAACATCACTGTATACCCCACAAATATATACAGTGATTATGTGTCAATTTAAAAAATAATAACTAAATGATTCTGATGCAGACAATCCATGAAACAAAAAAAGTACAAAATAAGAATTTTAAAATGAGATGAAATAAGAGTTATAAACGTTTGGAAAAGATAAAGCAAAATTATCATTATGTATCTACCTGGAAAATCCAACCAAATCAACTAAAAGCAACTATTGACATTTAAAAAAAAAACTATGGCAGAATGTTTTGTGGGTTTTGTTTTTATTTTATTTTATTTCGAGAAGGAATCTTGCTCTGTCACCCAGGCTTCAGTCAAGTGGTGTGATCTCGGCTCACTGCAGCCTCTGCCTCCCAGGCTCAAGAGGTTCTTCCACCTCAGCCTCCCGAGTAGCTAGGATTACAAGTGCACGCCACCATGCCCGGCTAATTTTTGTATTTTTAGTAGAGTTGGGGTTTCACCCTGTTGGCCAGGCTGGTCTCGAACTCCTGACCTCAAGCAATTTGCCCGCCTCAGCCTCCCAAAGTGCTGGGATTACAGACATGAGCCACCTCACCCAGCCTCTTTTCTTTTCTTTTTTCTTTTCTTTTCTTTTCTTTTCTTTTCTTTTCTTTTCTTTTCTTTCCTTTCCTTTTCTTTTCTTTTTTTTTTGAGGCAGAGTCCCTTTCTGTCACCCAGGTTGAAGTGCAGTGGCACTGTAACGATTCACTGCAGGCTCAACCTCTCAGGCTCAAACGATCCTCCCACCTCAGCTCTACCCTACTCCCCACCACCTCATCCAGTAGCTGGGACTATAGGTGTGCATCACCACCCCGGCTCATTTTTGTATTTTTTTGTAGAGATGGAGTTTCGCCATGTTGCCCAGGCTGGTTTTGAACTCCTGGGCTCAAGAGATCTGCCATCCTCAGCCTCCCAAAGTGCTGGGACTACAGGCATAAGCCACTGCACCTAGCCGGGTGTATTTTAAAATATTCAAAAATCAATGAATTTTCTATGTAGTATTAAAAATAATGAAAAAAAATCAAGGCCGGGCACAGTGGCTCAAGCCTGTAACCCCAGCACTTTGGGAGGCCGAGGCAGGCGGGTCACCTGAGGTCGGGAGTTTGAAACCAGTCTGGACAACACAGTGAAACCCCGTCTCTAGTAAAAATACAAAAATTAGCCAGGAGGCTGGGCACGGTGCCTCACGTCTGTAATCCCAGCACTTTGGGAGGCCCAGGTGGGCAGATCCTCTGAGGTCAGGAGTTTGAGACCAGCCTGGCCAACATGGTGAAACCCCATCTCTACTAAAAATAAAAATAGCTGGGAGTGGTGGCAGGTGCCTGTAATCCCAGCTACTCAGGAGGCTGAGCAGGAGAATAGTTTGAGCCCAGGAAGCAGAGGTTGCAGTGAGCTGAGATTGTACCATTGCACTCCAGCCTGGGCGACAGGGCAAGACTCTGTCTCAAAAAAAAAAAAAAAATTAGCCAGGCGTGGTGGTACGTGCCTGTAATCCTAGCTACTCAGGAGGTTGAGGCAGGAGATTCGATTGAACCTGGGAGTTGGAGGTTGCAGTGAGCCGAGATCACACCACTGCACTCCAGCCTGGGCAACAGAGTGAGACTCCGTCTCAAAAAAAAAAAAAAAAAAAAAAAAAAAAAAAAAAAAAGATGCTTACGCAGAAGTAAAACTAGTTTTAAAAAAGCAAGGAGGAAGAGGGAGATATGATTAGAGAGGCAAAAGAGGGGAATTTTTAAGATAGTTTCTTAACTTGGGTTTTAGTTACAGAGGTTCCCTTAGTAATTATTCTTTCTTTCTTTCTTTCTTTTTTTCTGAGATGGAATTTCGCTCTTGTCGCCCAGGCTGGAGTGCAATGGCGCGATCTCGGCTCACCACAACCTCCGCCTCCCAGGTTCAAGTGATTCTTCTGCCTCAGCCTCCCAAGTAGCTGGGATTACAGGCTCCTGACACCATGCCCAGCTAATTTTTGTATTTTTAGTAGAGACGGGGTTTCTCCAAGTTGGTCAGGCTGGTCTCGAACTCCTAACCTCAGGTGATCCGCCCGCCTCAGCCTCCCAAAGTGTTTGGATTACAGGCGTGAGCCACAGTGCCCGGCCTTTTTTTTTCTTTTTCTTTTTCTTTTTCTTTTTTTGAGATGGCGTTTCGCTCTGTCACCCAGGCTGGAGTGCAGTGGCATGATCTCGGCTCACTGCAACTTCTGCCTCCCAGGTTCAAGCAATTCTCCTGCCTCAGCCTCCCAAGTAGCTGGGATTACAGGTGCCCACCACCATGCCTGGCTAATTTTTTTTGTATTTTTAGTAGAGACCGGGTTTCATCATGTTGGTCAGGCTGGTCTCGAACTCCTGACCTCAGGTGATCTGCCTGCCTTGGCCTCTCGAAGTGCTGGGATTCCAGGCGTGAGCCACCATGCTCAGCCGTAATTATTCCTTAAAGTAAATATTTGTTGTTGTTGTTTTGAGACACGGTCTCACTCTGTCATCTAGGGTGGAGTGCAGTGGTACAAACACAGCTGACTGCAGCCTTGACTTCCTCGGCTCAAGCAGTCCTCCCACCTCAGCCTCCCAAGTAGCTGGGACCACAGGCCTGTGCCACCATGCCCTGCTAATTTTTAAATTTTTCGTAGACACGGGGCTCTCACTATGTTGCCCAGGCTGGTCTTGAACTCCTGGGCTAAAGGGGTCCTCCCACCTCAGCTTCCCAAAGTGCTGGGATTACAGGCATGAACCACTGTCCCTGGCCAAAAATATAAAAGAATTTATATAAAAATTTACAGCCGGGCACGGTGGCTCAGGCCTGTAATCCCAGCAGCACTCTGGGAGGCTGAGGCGGGTGGATCACAAGGTCAGGAGATCGAGACCATACTAGCTAACATGGTGAAACCCCGTCTCTACTAAAAAAAAAAAAAAAAAAAAAAAATTAGCCAGCGTGGTGGCGGCCACCTGTAGTCCCAGCTACTCGGGAGGCTGACACAGGAGAATGGCGTGAACCCGGGAGGCGGAGCTTGCAGTGAGCCAAGATCACACCACTGCACTCCAGCCTGGGCGACAGAGCGAGACTCCATCTCAAAAAATAAAATAAAATAAAGATAAAAATTTACCTAAAGTGCTAGATATAAAAACAAGATGCAAAAATCAATTATATTTCTATACGTTAGCAATAGACATTTAGAAAATGAAAAGTTTAAGACATATCATTTACAGTATCATCACAATACATGAAGTACTAAGGAATAAATCTAATAAAATACATGCAAAAGAGGCCAGTGTCAACTCATAGAAGACCTTGAATGCCATGAATTGGATTTACAGAGATATTCCCTGTATAATTACACTTTAAATGGTATGTTTGTGTGGTTTATACATACACCAGGGTGATGAGGGCCTAAATTAGGTCAACAGCAGCAGAGATGGAATTTTCATCAACTGAGAGAGAGAAGAAATCAGAAAGGGTCATTAGAGATTTGAGTAGGCAGAAAGCTGGTATGAATCAAATCAGCAAGTAGAAAAGCAAACTGATTACATAGAGGCAGTGGCACTGCAAGTCACTGCTGCTGAGGGACCCACCACCTGAACTTAGTGGTGACATATTTAAAGTGAGACCACTTGTCACAATTGTGTATGTTTCCCCAACCATGCTCAGCTTTGAAGGCAGGTGTAGGGTAGGCAGTTTTACCAAGAGTTGAGTTTTTGTCCCTCAAGTACCATAGAGGACCATAAGTCAAGGCTTCATGTTTTTAGGCACGAGAAAGAGTGACTGTGGTGCAGTAGAGTTTAATCGCTCAGGTTGCAAAGATCTAGGGTTTTGAAGGCACAGGAGAAGTCAAATGCTCTGTAAGCAGCAAGAAGGGGTGAGGAAACCATATAACCCATCATCAAACCCAGTGGTGAGAGGGGTGGGGAAGAGAAAGCACTCGCACCCCTTTCTCTAAAGGGCTGCAGGTGGCTCATGCCTGTAATCACAGCACTTTGGGAGCCTGAGGCAGGAGGATCTCTTGAGCCCAGGAGTTTGAGACCAGCCTGGACAACATGGCAAAACCTCATCTCTACTAAATTTTTTTTTTTTTTTTTTTTTGAGACGGAGTCTCCCTCTGTCACCCAGGCTGGAGGGCTGGAGTGCAGTGGCGCATTGTTGGCTCACTGCAACCTCCACCTCCTGGGTTCAAGCAATTCTCCTGCCTCAGCCTCCTGAGTAGCTGGGATTACAGGCACATGCCACCTTGCCTGGCTAATTTTTGTATTTTTGGTAAAGACAGGGTTTCACCATGTTGGTCAGGCTGGTCTCGAACTCCTGACCTCATGATCCACTCGCCTCGGCCTCCCAATGTGCTGGGATTACAGGCGTGAGCCACCGCACCCGGCCTCTACTGAAAATTTTAAAATCATCCAGGCGTGGTGGCTCACGCTTGTAGTCCCAGCTACTCAGAAGGCTGAGGTGGGAGTTTCACTTGAGCTCAGGAGTTTCAGGCTGCTGTGAGCTATAGTGTCTACAGCAGAATCTCTGAGGTTCACAGAGATGAGATTCATCCTGATGATCTCTTAAGGAGAAGGTAGGTCATCAAAAGGAGTTACAACCTCCTTCTTGGGACTGGTCTGGTCTGAGGTGATGAGGCCTCGAATGAGGTCCGTGGCAGTGGAGCAGGGATGCAGACATGGATGACAGAGTCACTGAAATGGTACAACCAGCATTATGATAAAACAGAGAAAAGTCAAATGTGGGCCTGGTGCGGTGGCTCACGCCTGTAATCCCAACAATTTGGGAGGCCAAGGCGGGCAGATCACGAGGTCAGGAGACAGAGACCATCGTGGCCAACATGGTGAAACCCCCTCTCTACTAAAAATACAAAAATTAGCTGGGCGTGGTGGCGCGTGCCTGTAATCCCAGCTACTCCGGAGGCTGAGGCAGGAGAATCACTTGAACCAGGGAGTCGGAGGTTGCAGTGAGCGGAGATCGCGCCAGTGCACTCCAGCCTGGCGACAAAGCGAGACTCCATCTGAAAAAAATAAAATAAAATAAAAAATAAACATGCCCATAACACGGACTCCACTCCTAGGTATAATACGTCACCATAGCAGTACTTTCTTGGTTTTTTTTTTGAGACATGGTCTCGCTCTGTCACCCAAGCTCGAGGGCGGTGGCACAGTCACGGCTCACTTCAGTCTCCAACTCCTGGTATCACTGCAGCCTCCAACTCCTGGGCTCAAGTGATCCTCTTGCGTTGGCCTCCCAAAGTGCTGGGATTACAGGCAGGAACCATCACATCCGACCCATAGCAGCAGTTTTCCTAAAAGCCTTAAGCTAAAAATAACCCAAATGCTCATTGACAATGGAATGGATAAATATATAAATACATATGTGTGTGTGTATATATATATATATATATATATATATATATATATATATATATATTTTTTTTTTTTTTTTTTTTTTTTTTTTTTTTTTTGAGATGGAGTCTCATTCTGTCGCCCAGGCTGGAGTGCAGTGGCGCGATCTAGGCCCACTGCAAGCTCTGCCTCCCAGGTTCACGCCATTCTTCTGCCTCAGCCTCCCGAGTCGCTGGGACTACAGGCGCCCGCCACCACGCCTGGCTAATTTTTTGTATTTTTAGTAGAGACGGGGTTTCACCGTGTTAGCCAGGATAGTCTTGGTCTCCTGACATCATGATCTGCCCGTCTCAGCCTCCCAAAGTGCTGTGATTACAGGCGTGAGCCACCGCTCCCGGCCAAATAAATCTTTAATTAATTCATATTAAGTAATAAGAATGATGAACTACAACTATGCATAATAACATGACTGAATTTTACAAACATAATATTGAGCAAAAGAAACCAGACTATAAAAAATAATACATATGGCCTGGCGCAGTGGCTCACACCTGTAATCCCAGCACTTTGGGAGGCCGAGGCAGGCAGATCACGAGATCAGGAGTTGGAGACCAGCCTGAGCAACATGGCGAAACCCCGTCTCTACTAAAAATACAAAAATTAGCTGGGCGTAGTGGCACGTGCCTGTAATCCCAGCTACTCAGGAGGCTGAGGCAGGAGAATTGCTTGAACCGGGAGGCAGAGGTTGCAATGAGCTGAGATCACGCCACTGCACTCCAGCCTGGGCAACAGAGCAAGACTCCATCTAAAAAAAAAAAAAATACACACTACATGATTCCATTTATATAAAGTAGAAGTTGTGAAAGTACAGCCCATGGGTTGGCCACCTGTTTTTATAATTAAAGTTTTATTGGAACACAGCCATGCTCCTTCATGTGTGTATTGTCTTTGATGGCTTTAGTGCTACAACTGCAGAGTTGAGTAGTTGTGACAGAGGCCATCTGGTCTGCAAGCCTGAAATGTTTGCTATCGGACTCTTTTAGAAAAAGTTGGCCAACTCTTTTTTAAAAAAATTTTTAAGTCAACCTCATTGAGACATGTTGACATTCAATATATTACACTCATATTAAGTGTAGAGTTTGATGAATTTTAAAAGATGTATACATCCGTGTAACTACTACCTCAGTCAGCCAACTCTTGATATAAAGTTCAAAAACAGGCAAAATTCATCTATGGCATTAGAAGTTAGGATAATGTCTAGGACCACAGAACTTTAAACATTATTATGAGTTTGTCCTTTCCTCAAAGTCACTAAAGAAATTTCACCTAGAGCAGAAAAGTGACAACTACTACAAATAAGAATTTTTTTTTTTTTTTTGAGAGGAATGTCGCTCTGTCGCCCAGGCTGGAGTGCAGTGGCGCCATCTCGGCTCACTGCAAGCTCCGCCTCCCGGGTTCACGCCTTTCTCCTGCTTCAGCCTCCCGAGTAGCTGGGACTACAGGCGCCCGCCACCACGCCTGGCTAATTTTTTTTTTTTTTTTTGTATTTTTAGTAGAGACTGGGTTTCACCATGTTAGCCAGGATGGTCTCAGTCTCATGACCTCGTGATCCACCTGCCTCGGCCTCCCAAAGTGCTGGGATAATAATAAGAATAAATTCTTACTATTACAAATAAGAATTTCTAGTATTTGGTCAGGGGCGGTGGCTCACGCCTGTAATCCCAGCACTTTGGGAGGCCGAGGCAGGTGGATTGCTTGAGCTCAGGAGTTCGAGACCAGCCTGGCAACATGGTGAAACCCCATCTCTACAAAAAAATACAAAAAAATTAGCTGGGAGTGGTGGCACGCAACTGTAGTCCCAGCTACCTGGGGGGCTGAGGTGGGAGGATCGCTTGAACCTGGGAGGTTGAAGCTGCAGTGAGCTGAGTTCATGCCACTGCACTCCAGACTAGGGGACAAAGTGAGAGAAACCCTGTCTCAAAAAAAAGAATGTCTAATTTTTATTCACTAATATTGTGTACATCACCGGGACCTCCTTGAGATAGGTTTCTATGGACATGCTTGTAAGAATTGAAGTAGAAGTAAAATATTAATTCAGAAAATAAAGTGTCCACAGGGCGCGGTGGCTCACACCTGTAATCACAGCACTTTGGGAGGCCGACGCGGGCGGATCACGAGTTCAGGAGATCAAGACCATCCTGATTAACACGGTGAAACCCCGTCTCTACTAAAAAAATACAAAAAAATAGCCGGGCATGGCGGCAGGCTCCTGCAGTCCCAGCTACTCGGGAGGCTGAGGCAAGAGAATGGCGTGAAACCGGGAGGCGGAGCTTGCAGTGAGCCGATATTGCACCACTGTACTCCAGCCTGGGCGACAAAAGGAGACTGTGTCTCAAAAAAAAAAAAAAAAAGAAAGAAAGAAAGAAAGAAAATAAAAAGTTTCTCTGTAAATTTTAGACTAAATTGAACTGTAAATTTCATCTATGACAGTGAGTTATTTTGATTGGTGGTTCTCAACTAAGAAAGATTTTGCTCCCCACCCCCACCCCCAGGGACATTTAGCAATGTCTGGAGACATTGGCTGTCACAAGCTGGGGTGGAGGGATGCTCCTGGTATCTAGTGCGTAGAGGCCAGGGATGCTGCTCAGCATCCTACAGTGCACAGGACAGTCTTTCGCAATAAATAATTATCCAACCCAAAATACCAACAGTACTGAGGTTGGGAAACTCTATTTTGATGAATGTAAAAAAAAAAAATTTAGGGCGTCTAGAAGAAAAAAGTCTGATATAAAGAAATAATTGTAGGCCAGGCTCGGTGGCTCACACCTGTACTAAAAATACAAAAAATTAGTACTAAAAATACAAAAAATTAGCTGGGCATGGTGGCACGCACCTGTAATCCCAGCTACTCAGGAGACTGAGGCAGGAGAATTGCTTGAACCTGGGAGGTGGAGGCTGCAGTGAGCTGAGATCACACCACTGCACTCCAGCCTGGGCGACAGAGCAAGACTCTGTCTCAAAAAAAAAAAAAAAAAAGAAAAGAAAAGAAAGAAAGAAATAATTGCAATAATAAAACCAAAGCAGTACTGTCCAATAGCCATTAGCTATATGTGGGTATCGAGTACTTGAAATCTGGCTACTGCAACTTAGATACTGAACATTTCATATTATTTAACTTTAAGAAATTTAAATTTTTTAAAATTCAATTAATTAATTAATTTGAGACAAGGTCTCACTCTGTCACTCAGGCTGGAGTGCAGTGGCATGATCACAGCTCACTACAGCCTCAACTTCCTGGAGTCAAGCGATCCTCCCACCTCAGCCTCCCAAGTAGCTGAGACTACAGGTGTGCACGACCACACCCAGCTAATTTTGTTTATTTATTCACTTAGGGACAGGGTCTTGCTTCGTTGCCCAGGCTGGAGTGCAGTGGCACAATCATAGCTCACTGCAGCCTCAACCTCCTGGGCTCAAGCAGTCCTCCCACCTCAGCCTCCCCAAGTAGCTGGGACTACAGGCTCATGCCACCACGCCCAGCTAATATTTTTACTTTTTGTAGAGACAACGGTCTCACTATGTTGCCCAGACTGGTCTCGAACTCCTGGGCTCAAGTGAACCTCCTGCCTCAGCCTCCCAAAATGCTGGGATTACAGGCGTGAGACACCACACCTGACAATAAATTTAAATAAGGCTAGTGACTACCGTATTGGATAGCATAAGACTAGAGCATAGACTTAGAGACAAACTCCTTGTCTGCATCACCGTTTGAAGGTTGTTACCAGTTGTATGATTTTGGAAAGTTATTTAATCTCTCTATGCCTTCATTTTCTCATCTGTAAAATGAGGCTTAGTGTAGAAGTAGGTCAAAAGGTTGTTGTGAGGCTGGGCAGGGTGGCTCACGCCTGTAATCCCAGCACTTTGGGAGGCCAAGGCGGGTGGATCACCTGAAATTAGGAGTTCAAGACCATCCTGGCCAACATAGTGAAACCCTGTCTCTACTAAAAATACAAAAATACATGGTGGCGCTCGCCGATAATCCCAGCTACTCAGGAGGCTGAGGCAGGAGAATCACCTGAACCCGGGAGGCAGAGGTTGCAATAAGCCGAGATTGCGCCACTGCGCTCCAGCCTGGGCAACAGAGCAAGACTCTGTCTCAAAAAAAGAAAAGATTGTTTTGAGTATTGAGTCAGTATCTGTAAAGCACCTATAACAAAAGCCTGCTACATACCGGTGCTACATAATTATGAAATATATATTGCTGTTATTGTTTATTATTATTTTTACAATATACTATGTGTAGCTTCTTTTTCCCAATCTTTTGGTCGCTCTCAATTTCCCACAGCAGGAAATCTAATTTTATTATCATGATACACAAAACCCTTAAAGATCTTCTCCCTTCCTACCTCTCCAGTATTGTTTACCCTTTTTTGTTGTTTGTTTGTTTGTTTTGTTTGTTTTATTTTGAGACGGTGTTTCGCTCTTGTTGCCCAAGCTGGAGTGCAATGGTGTGATCTCGACTCACCACCACAACCTCCACCTCCCGGGTTCAAGTGATTCTCCTGCCTTAACCTCCCGAGTAGCTGGGATTACAGGCATGCACCACCACACCTGGCTAATTTTGTATTTTTAGTAGAGACGAGGTTTGTCCATGTTGGTCAGGCTGGTCTCGAACTCCCGACCTCAGGTGATCCGCCCACCTCAGCCTCCCAAAGTGCTGGGATTACAGGCATGAGCCACCTCACCCGGCCTATTTACCCCTGTTATCTGACCCCAGACCAAATAATTTATAGACCCAAAGAAATCTTGTTTCGGGCTGGGCACGATGGCTCACACCTATAATCCTAGTATTTTGGGAGGCTGAGGTGGGCAGATCACTTGAGGTCAGGAATTGGAGACCAGACTGGCCAGCATGGTGAAACCCCGTCTCTACCAAAAAATACAAAAATTAGCTGGGCATGGTAGTGCATGCCTGTAATCCCAGCTACTCAGGAGCCTGAGGCAGGAGAATTGTTTGAACCCAGGAGGCAGAGGTTGCAGTGAGCTGAGATCCTGCCACTGCACTCCAGCCTGGGCAGACAGAGTGAGTCCCTGTCTCAAAAAAAGAAAATAGAAATCTTGTTTTGGAAGATTCTGTGACTTTTCTTTTGTGTTAATTGTTTTTAAATTGTGAAATATTTCAAACATCAAAAGTATAAAGAATAATATCTCAAACATCCATATACCCACCTACCATTTTGCTTTAATTGCTTTAGATTATTTTTTAGCTTCTGAGTATCTTTTTAACTTTTTTATTATGGACAATTTTGAACATACACAAAAGTAGATAGAATACTGTAATGAATCTCCACCACCCAACTTCAATAATTATCAACATTTTACCAGTATTGCTGTTCCAGGTCGTTTAAGGAAATTAAACATGACAGATTCAGTTGAAACTAAATGAATTAATTTTGAAATTTTATTTTCTGCATCTACTGGACTGATACGTTTTTGAGAGTTTTTTGTTTTGTTTTGTTTTCTGTTTGTTTGTTTTGGGGATTTTTTCTTTTTTTCAACAGGGTCTCACTCTGTCACCCAGGCTGGAGTGCAGTGGTACAGTCATAGCTCACTGCAGCTTCAAACTCCTGGTCTCAAGCCATCCTCCCACCTCATCCTCCTGAATAGCTGGGACTACAGGTGCACACCACCACGCCTGGCTAAATTTTTATATATTTTTTTGTTGTAGAGATGGGGTCTCACTATGTTGCCCAGGCTGATTTTTTTTAATCTGTTATTTTGGTGCATTACATTAATAGGTTTTCTGATGTGTTCTTTTCATTCCTTTGGTAAACTTACTTGGTCACTAATTATTATTATTATTTCTATACAGTGTTAGATTTTAGTTTACTTAGGATTTTTATATCACTGTTCATAAATAAAATTGGTTTATAATTTTCTTTTTCCATATCATCCTTGTCCTGCTTTGGTATGTTATACTAGTCTCATACAATGAGCTGGATATTAAAAATAATATATATTCTCCATTTCTTTTTGTTTGTTTTATTTTATTTTATTTTTAATTTTATTATTATTATACTTTAAGTTTTAGGGTACATGTGCACAACGTGCAGGTTTGTTACCTATGTATACATGTGCCATGTTGGTGCGCTGCACCCATTAACTCGTCATTTACATTAGGTATATCTCCTAATGCTATCCCTCCCCCCTCCCCCACCCCACAACAGTCCCCAGTGTGTGATGTTCCCCTTCCTGTGCCCATGTGTTCTCATTGTTCAATTCCCACCTATGAGTGAGAACATGTGGTGTTTGGTTTTTTGTCCTTGTGATAGTTTGCTGAGAATGATGGTTTCCAGTTTCATCCATGTCCCTACAAAGGACATGAACTCATCATTTTTTATGGCTGCATAGTATTCCAAATGTCCAACAATGATAGACTGGATTAAGAAAATGTGACACATATACACCATGGAATACTATATATTCTCCATTTCTTAGGCATGAAGTTTTACATTAAATATTTGCTCAAGTTTGTTGGTTGTGTTTTACAAAACTTCTAAATTCTATATTCAACCCATATATCCTATTTAATTATTTATTGAGATGGAGTTTTGCTCTCGTTGCCCAGACTGGAGTGCAGTGGCACAATCTTGGCTCACCACAACCTCCACCTCCCAGGTTCAAGCTATTATCCTGCCTCAGCCTCCCGAGTAGCTGGGATTACAGGCATGCGCCACCGCGCCCTGCTAATTTTGTATTTTTAGTAGAGACGGGGTTTGTCCATTTTGGTCAGGCTGGTCTCAAACTCCCGACCGCAGGTAATCCACCCACCTTGGCCTTCCAAAGTATTGGGATTATAGGCATGAGCCACCGCACCCGGCCTCTATATATTTATTTTTATATTCTTACTATTTTCTAGTTTGTGTAATCTATCAATAAAAATCATGAGTTTTGTTAACTTCTCACAATATAATTATGGATTATAAGTTTCTTCTTGTAATTCTATCAGTTCGAACCTGTGATGTTAGTTGAATAAGAGTTCTTGAAGCAATGTCATCTCCTTAATTTTAAATTTTCTATGTTGCTTTGTTTAGCTGTGACTTTTATAAGCTCTGTATAGCTGGATTTTGTTTTATTTACTTGAACTGATAGCCTTCGTCATTTGTTGGGTTCATCTGTAACTATTTCTGATGATTACCAATTTTATCTTCTTACTATTGTTTTCTGTTCACAATCCTTTTTCTCTTGTTTCCTCTTCCTCTGCTACTTTATGTAGATTACATTTCTATAATTTTTGTGATTATCCTTAATGTTTACATCTTTTTTTTTTTTTGAGACAGAGTCTTGCTCTGTCTCCCAGGCTGGAGTGCAGTGGCCTGATCTCGGCTCACTGCAACCTCCACCTTCCAGGTTCAAGCGATTCTCCTGCCTCAGCCTCCCGAGTAGCTGGGACTACAGGCATGTGCCACCATGCCCAGCTAATTTTTGAATTTTTGGTAGAGACAGAGTTTCACTATGTTGGCCAGACTGGTCTTGAACTCCTGACCTCGTGATCCACCCACCTTGGACTCCCAAAGTGCTGGGATTATAGGTGTGAGCCACCACGCCTGACCCAATTTGTTTTCTTTTTAAGGTATTAGTCAACAGGTAATTAAATTTTCTGACATATTTTGTCAATTTCTGTTCTCACTGCTGTTAGATACCACACCTCATCTCTAGGCTCACTTTTTTTTTTTATTGTTTTTTCTTTTTGAGCTCACTTTTGTTCTTGCTGAAGTACATCCTTTAATAATTATTTGTTTCTTTGTTTGTTTGTTTTGAGAAGGAGTCTTTCTGTGTTGCCCAGGCTGGAGTGCAGTGGCATGATCTCTGCTCACTGCAACCTCCACCTCCCAGGTTCAAGCAATTCTCCTGCCTCAGCCTCCAGAGTAGCTGGGATTACAGGCATCAGCCACCACGCCTAGCTAATTTTTGTATTTTTAGTAGAGACGGGGTTTCACCATCTTGGCCAGGCTGGTCTTGAACTCCTGACCTCGTGATCCAGCCGCCTTGGCCTCCCAAAGTGCTGGGATTATAGGCATGAGCCACCACACACAGCCCCTTTAATAATTCTTTTAGGTCAGATGCAGTGGCTCATGCCTGTAATCTTAGCACTTTGGGAGGCCGAGGCAGGAGGATTACTTGAGCTCAGGAGTTCAAGACCAGCCTGGGCAACATAGTGAAACCCTATCTTTACAAATAATAAAAAAAAAATTAGCTGGGCATGGAGGGGCACACCCATGCCACTTGGGAGGCTGAGGTGGGAGGATCACTTGAGCTCAGGAGGTGGAGGTTGCAATGAGTCAAGACTGTTCCACTGCACTCCAGCCTGGACAAGAGAGCAAGATTCTATCTCATAAAAAAAAAAAAAATCTCTCCATGAACGTGTATGGGTGACAAAGTCTCCAAGCATGTATGTATGAAAAGGTCCTTATTTTGCCACCATTTAAAAAATGATATTTTAGCAGGGCATAAATGTCTAGGTTGCATTTCCCTCCGATATTACTCCATTGTCTGTCGAGTTCATGAGGAATCTGCTATTAGAACAATTGTTGTACCTTTGAAAGCAATTTTTTGGCCGCTGTGATAACCTTTTAGATTATTTCTTCTTGGCAATTTCACTTTAATGTATCTAGCTGTAGATTTATTTATTTATTTATTTATTTTTTGAGATGGAGTCTCACTCTGTGGCCCAGGCTGGAGTGCAGTGGCACAATCTCGTCTCACTTCAACCTCCGTCTCCCAAGTTCAAGCAGTTCTCCTGCCTCAGCTGCCCGAGTAGCTGGGATTACAGGCATGTGCCACCACGCCCAGCTAATTTTTCATACTTTTAGTGGAGACAGGGTTTCACCATGTTGGCCAGGCTGGTCTCAAACTCCTGACCTCAGGTGATCCGCCCACCTCAGCCTCCCAACATGCTGGGATTACAGGTGTGAGCCACCGCATCTGGCCTGTAGATTCTTTTATGCTGTTTGATATTCATCTAAGGACTTATGCTTTTAATTTTGAAAAATTATTAGTTATTACATCTTGAAATAGTGCTTCTCTTCTATTTATTTTCTTTTTCTTTTTTTTTTTTTTTTTTGAGACGGCGTCTCACTCTGTCACCCAGGCTGGAGTGCAGTGATGCAATCTTGGCTCACTGCAACTTCTGCCTCTTGGGTTCAAGCGATTCTTCTGCCTCAGCCTCCCAAGTGCTGGGACTACAGGCTCATGCCACCACACCCAGCTAATTTTTTGTATTTTTAGTAAAGACGGGGTTTCACCACGTTAGCCAGGCTGGTCTCGAACTCCTGACCTCATGATCTGCCCACCTTGGCCTCCCAAAGTGCTGGGATTACAGGCGTGAGCCACCACACCCAGCCTATTTATCTTTCATATCTCTTAACTACCCCTTTCATATTTGTTTGGTTTTTTATATATTTTTTATTTATTTATTTTTTTTGAGTCGGAGTCTCGCTCTGTCCCCCAGGCTGGAGTGCAATCTCAGCTCACTGCAACCTCTGCCTCCCAGGTTCAAGCGATTCTCCTGCCTCAGCCTCCCAAATAGCTGGGATTACAGGTGCCTACCACCACATCCAACAGATTTTTGTATTTTTAGTAGATATGGGATTTCACCATGTTGGTCAGGCTGGTCTCGAACTCCGGACCTCAGGTGATCCGCTTGCCTCGGCCTCCCAAAGTGCTGGGATTAGAGGCGTGAGCCACCGTGCCTGGCCGGTTTCTAAAAATATATATTTTTTTTATAGAAACGGGGTTTCGCCATGTTGCCCAGTCTGGTCTCGAACTCCTGAGCTCAGGCAATCCACCCTCCTTGGCCCCCCAAAGTGCCGAGATTACAGGCATGAGACACCGTGCCTAGCCTCCTATTTGTTTCTAATCTTTTTTTGCTTTGTGCTCTGTTTTAGGGGGATTTACTGGGACTATCTTTTTTTTTCCATCAGAGTGGTTGGCATTTATGGAGCTACCTTTTAATTCACAAAATTGTCCTTTTTTTTTTTTTTGGACGGAGTCTCACTCTGTCTCCCAGGCTGGAGTGCAGTGGCGCGATCTCGGCTCACCACAACCTCCACTCCCGGGTTCAGGCAATTCTCCTGCCTCAGCCTCCCAAGTAGCTGGGATTACAGGCGCCGGCCACCGTGCCCGGCTAATTTTTGTATTTTCTTTTCTTTCTTTTTTTTTTCCGAGACAGGGTCTCAGTTTGTCACCCAAACTGGAGTGCAGTGGTGCAGTCTTGGCTCACTGCAGCCTTGACCTCCTGGGCTCAGGCGATTCTCCCACCTCAACCCCCAAGTAGCTGGGACTACAGCCGTGTGCCACCATGACCTGCTAATTTTTTTGTATTTTTAGTATAGATGGGTTTTCACCATGTTGCCTGGGCTGGTCTTGAACCCCTGGACTCAAGCAATCTGCCCACCTCAGCATCCCAAAGTGTTAGGATTACAGGCATGAGCCACCGCATCCGGCTGGCATCTACTTTTTTAAAAAAAACATTTTATTTTATCTTTTATTCATTCATTTTATTATCATAGCCATACATAATCAAATAATTAGAAATTATTGTCCAAAAGAAAATTTCCCACAATCTCATTAGTCAGAGATAACGTCCTTTAAAATTTTGCTGTATATCCTTCCATACATTTTTTCAATGATTAGTATTCTTATTTTCTACAAAATGGAGTCCAGCTATCCAAATAACTTAACCACTTTTTCCTGATAACAGTATTGCAGATATTTTTCTTTCTAACTTTTAAATATATTTTTAAATTGACGCATAATAATTGTACATATTTACGAAATACATAGTGATGTTTTGATACATATAGTGAGCAGATCATGGTAATTAGCATATCCATCATCTCAAACATTTATCGCTTCTTTTGTTGAGAACATTCAATATCCTCCTTCTAGCTATTTGAAACTATATGTTATTGCTAACTAGAGTCACAGTACAGTGCTATGGAACACTAGAAATAATTCCTCCTATCTAGCTGTAATTTTGTATCCTTTCACAAATCTCTCCCTATCTCCTCTTCTTCTGCTGTTCCCAGACTCTACTATCCTCTGTTCTACTTTTTACTTCTGTGAGATCAACTTTTTTTTTTTTTAGCTTCCACATATGAGTGAGACCATGCAGTGTTTAACTTTCTGTTCCTGGTTTATTTCACCTAACATAATGTCCTCCAGTTCCATTCATGTTGCTGCAAATGACAGGATTTCATTCTCTTTTATGGCTGAGTAGTACTCCATTGTGTTTATATATAATATTTTAAGAAATTGATGCTTTTTCATATCCACCTATGCTTATTTCTTTTCTGTTAATTTTTTATTTATAATTCCACTCTCTTTGGAATAAAAATTATTCTATAATTCTCTTTGAACATCCTAATATATGTATTTTTAAATCTTTGACAGACTATTCCATAAGTTATTGCCTGCAGTGAATTTATTATTAGGTTATTGATTTATAGTTTATCTTTCTTGGTCTTAGATTTTTTTTAATGTGTTTTTGGCATTTTGACTTGTAGGCTCTTTTGAATGATGAGTGGATGGGTCTCCATCTTCCTCTATCTTTTTCACATCCTCCCTAGCATTTTGACATTGCCTTCACCCCACCCCCAGGGACTCCAGTTCAAAATCAAGCTTTATGACAGCATTTCTAGGGTCTTTCAGATGGTATCCAGCGGATGATTTGATCCACTTCTAAGTGCCAAGGCTGTATCCGTGTCCTCCCACCTTCCTACATGCATAGTTTACTAAAAGCCATAGATTGACAATAGCTTTTCTCCTCCTAGCCTCTTTACTGGGTGAGGTGGTGCCATTCCAACCACTGACCTTAATCAGAGACCCAGATCACTGTCCTTGTATGGATTCTGTTTAGCTCCCTTTATCCTGCATAATCACCAGCAGTTTCCAGATCCAGTGCCTCCCGAACCTGAGGCTTTAGGTCCTCATCCTTTCCTATCTCTGTTCCATTTCTATCTAAGCAGTTGCTTATCCCACTTTTTTTTAAAATTTTAATTTTAATTTTTTGAAATGGAGTTTAACTCTTGTTGCTCAGGCTGGAGTGCAATGGTGCGCTCTCGGCTCACTGCAACCTCTGCCTCCCGGGTTCAAGTGATTCTCCTGCCTCAGCCCCCAGAGTACCTGGGACTACAGGCATGTGCCACCATGCCTGGCTAATTTTTGTATTTTTAGTAGAGACGGGGTTTCATCGTATTGGTCAGGCTGGTCTCGAACTCCTGACCTCATGATCGGCCTGCCTCGGCCTCCCAAAGTGCTGGGATTACAGGCGTGAGTCACCACGCCCGGATAATTTTTGTATTTTTAGTAGAAATAGGGTTTCACCATGTTGACCAGGCTGATCTCAAACTCCTGACCTCAGGTGATCTGCCCGCCTCGGCCTCCCAAAGTGCTGGGATTACAGGCATGAGCCACCGCACCCAGCCTGCTTATCCTACTTTTAAATTTGTCCATAAGTTTTTCCTGTTTTGCTTTTATATTATATTTATAGATATTTTGAATTTAGACGGGAGAGGGTCTATCATGCACTATCTTACCGGGACATCAATTCCATAACTTTTCCAAGTTCTTCTTTTGTCTACAACAAACTTCCAGCACTGGTCTGCTTCCAAATCTTCAAAACTACTCTGAGGCTACCTCCCTGAAAACTCTTTCCAGATAAATTACATTTTCATCATGGACACTGTTCTACCCTGCCTTTCACTGTATTGTAATTATTCGTCTCAGTATCTGTCCCTTTAAGGGCCTGAATCTTGTTTCATAGTTATCTTGGTACCCTCCAGAACATAGCAGATTATCTAGCACATAGTAGGTGCTCAGTAAGTTTTGTTTTATTAAACCGAATGGAATGGAGCAAAGACCCCACACAAATTCAAGAGGGCTGTGTTTTAAGCACTCATATCCAACTTCTTACAGCCATCACATTGCTTTACTGCTGCCTGAATATGAACTTAAATTAGAATGGAAATGGTGAGGACAGATTCAGGAGCTGTCTCACAGAGTCAATGGGACTAGGTGACATATTAGATACATGGTGGAGAATGAGGGTGCAAGGAAGAAGGAGATACTAAAATGAATTACAAAGTTTCTTTTTCTTTCTTTTTTTTTTTTTTGAGATGGAGTCTCACTCCATTGCCCAGGCTGGAGTGCAATGGCGCAATCTCGGCTCACTGCAAACTCCGCCTCCTGGGCTCATGCGATTCTCCTGCTTCAAGCTCCCGAGTAGTTGGGATTACAGGCATCCACCACGAGGCCCACCTAATTTTTGTATTTTTAGTAGAGACGAGGTTTCACCATGTTGGTCAGGCTGGTCTGGAAATCCTGACCTCGTGATCTGCCCACCTTGGCCTCCCAAAGTGCTGGGATTACAGGCGTGAGCCACAGCACCTGGCGAATTACAAAGTTTCTAATTCAGGTGAGTGGGCACCTGATGATAGTGTTATTCAACATGATGATCACTGAGGGAGAAGCAGATTTGTAGGAAATATAATGAGTACAGTTTAAGAGACATTGACTTTGACAAACTTTTCATATTTCACATCTATGCCGAAGATTGGCATAGGGGTTTCATATTTATAACACATTCGAGAAAAATTTCTGATCTCAAAATTTCATCTGGAATGTAAATGGTGTAATATTTTGATAAAGTTATTGGAAATTATCCACAACAATTTAGGAAATGTAATAAATAAAAACATCTTGTGTAAAATTGTCATTCTCCCAGAGTTTGCATAATTTCTCTTGATGAGGCATATAACTGTTGAAGCATTTGCTTAATTGATAATTTGTGCATGATTTTCTAAACTTTGGAACATAATTATCATCACTTGTGTCTGAGTTAACACTGAAATGAAACACTTTGGTGGAATGTTTTAGACACTAACAAAGTTTTAAAGACAGGAAATAAGGAATAAGAAAGAGAGAATTTTTGATTAACATAACAACAGCAGGCTTCTGTCAAGCACCATACAACTTAGCATGTCTCAGGGTGAATAAATTTGGACATAATCAGGGCATTAATCTAAAGCAAAATTGAGTGAGATTCTAACTAGTCAAGCCAAGATCAGAAGACTTTAGTTTGTTTTTGTTTTTTTGTAGAGATGAGGTCTCACTGTGTTGTCCAGGCTGGTCTTGAACCCCTGGGCTCAAGCAATCCTCCTGCCTCAGCTTCCCAAAGTGCTGGGATTACAGGTGTGAGCCACCATGCCCATCCAAAAGACTTTAGTTTTCATTTCAATTTTTGATTACCTATTTGAATGTGGTCAAGACGTTTAAAATCTCCATTTCTCAGTTTCCTTATCTTTCAAAAGGAATTACCATTGAGGATCCTTCCAATTCCCCTAGTCTGTAATTCAAGAATCTGGTCTACGCGTAATCTTATTTTTCAATTTCTCATTCATTAATACCTACCCTGCTTACTTCATAGGTCTGTTGGGAGGATTAGATGAAATAATGAATATAAAGGAGTTTTGAAAAGTTAAAAATGCTTTGCAAATGTAAAGTATAATAATGATATAGGATTTTAAAATCATGCTGATAAAATTGTTTTGAAACTGAACAAGACTCAGTTGGATGCTAGCAGAATCTTATTGCACAAGTGTTAAACTGGGTCATAAAGAGGATGTAATAAAAGAGTGTTTGCTCTGCAAGGGACCTTAGACATCATTCAAATCAAGAAACTGAGTTCCAGGCTGGGTGCAGTGACTCACACATGTAATCCCAGCACTTTGGGAAGCCAAGGTGGGAGGATCATTTGAGCCCAGGAGTTCAAGGCCAGCCTGGACAACATAGTGAGGCCCTGTCTCTACTAAAAATAAAAAAGTTAGCCGGGCATGGTGGTGCACGCATGTAGTCCCAGCTATTCAGGAGGCTCAGGCAAGAGGATCGCTTGAGCCTAGGAGTTCAAGGTTGCGGTGGGCTGTGATCATACCACTGCACTACAGCCTGGGCGACAGGGCAGAAACTGAGTTCCAGAGAAGGGGTACCAAATGTCACAGAGAAACAAATAACACCTTGTACTGTGGTTACTATTGATGTATAACATATCACCCCAAAATTAGAGACTTAGAACAACAACAACCATTTTATTATCTCTCATAGTTTCTGTGGGTCAGTAATCTGGGAAGGGCTCATCTGGGAGTCCAGTTCGAGGCCTTTTATTGGGTTGCAGTCAGATGGTGGCAGGTGCTGGAATGGCAGGGAGCAGGGCACTGGGGCAGCTGTGCTGATCAGAGTCAGTCTCTTCCCGTAGGCTCAGCATCTTGCCCTATAGCCTCTCCAAGTGGACTGCTTTGGCTTCCTCACAGCATGGCAGCCTCAGGGCAGTCAGACTGTTTACTAGCTACGAACAGCTTCAAGAGAGACTATTGCAGCGAAACAGCTGGGAGCTGCATTGCCTTTCATGACTCAGCCTTGGAAGTCTCACAGTGTCGCTATTGCTCTAACTGGTCAAAACCGTCATAAAAGCCCACTTTTATGGTGGAATTATTACCGCTGGAGGATGTTCAGGTTTTTGGTGTCCTGAACAAAGAATTGGACAAAACGCACAAACAAAGCAAGGAAAGAATGAAGCAACAAAAGCAGAGATTTTTTGAAAATAAAAGCACACTTCACAGGGCAGGAGCGGGCCTGAGAAAGGGGCTCCAGGGCCCAGTTACAGAATTTTCTGAAGTTTGAATACCCTCTAGAGATTTCCATTGGTTACTTGGCGTACGCCCTCTGTAGATGAATGGGCTAAGTGAAGTCACAAAGTTATTTACTTGGTGTACACCCTATGCAAATGAAGAGGATGTTTCCTGCCGTAGCTGAAGTAGAGTTGCAAAGTTATTTACTTGGGATTAGAAGGTTGGGGTTTTTCCATTTAATTTAGTTCTTAGGATCCCTGTCTCCAGGCCCTATTCTCCTGCCTCAGAATGTTTTAGACACTAACAAAGTTTTAAAGACAGCAAATAAGGAACTCCAACTCCTACAATTTCTAGGGAATGGGACATAGATCACACCTCTTGATGGGAAGAGTGTCAAGATCATGTTCTGAGAAGAGTAGGTGGGATGGTAGATATTGTGTGGCCTTCTTTGGAAAATACAATCTGCCATGCTCTGTTCCAAGCTCTTTTGCTTCTGCATACTTACATAGCATTTTGCATAAATTTGGTTATCAAATTAAGCTGAATATTAAAATATTTTCCAATGCTATTTTTGTTTGTTTGTTTGTTTCCTGAGATGGAGTTTCGCTCCTGTTGCCCAGGCTGGAGTGCAATGGCGCGATCTCAGCTCACTGCAACCTCCACCTGCCAGGTTCAAGTGATTCTCCTGTCTCAGCCTCCTGAGTAGCTGGAATTACAGGCATGTGCCACCATGCCCAACTAATTTTTGTATTTTTAGTAGAGACGGGGTTTCGCCATGTTGGCCAGGCTGGTCTCAAACTTCTGATCTCAGGTGATCTGCCTGCCTCGGCCTCCCAAAGTGCTGGGATTACAGGTGTGAGCCACCGCACCCGACCCCTATTTTCTTATAGAAAGAAAAATATTATTATCAAGTTATTTAAACATAATAATCTGATTATAGCACCAAGAGGGTGTCTAATCCCATGCATTTGATTTCCTTCTCCCAGCTTCCTCATCTTTTTTTTTTTTTTTTTTTTTTGAGACGGTGTGTAGCTTTATAGCCCAGGCTGGAGTGCAGTGGCTAGATCTCGGCTCACTGCAACCTCCGCCTCCCAGGTCCTGGTTCAAGCAATTCTCCTGCCTCAGCCTCCAAGTAGCTGGGATTATAGGCATGTGCCGCCATGCCCAGCTAATTTTTTTATTTTTAGTAGAGACGGGGTTTCACTATGTTGGCCAGGCTGGTCTTGAACTCCTAACCTCGTGATCTGCACGCCTCAGCCTTCCAAAGTGCTGAGATTACAGGCATGAGCCACCACGCCTGGTCCAGCTTCTTCATCTTACATGGTAGAAAGACAATTGTTAGCCCGAGCGCAGTGGCTCATGCCTGTAATCCCAGCACTTTGAGGGGCTGAAGTGGGGGGATCACCTGAGGCCAGGAGTTCAAGAACAGCCTGGCCAACATGGTGAAACCTCATCTCTACTAAAAATTCAAAAATTAGCCAGGCGTGGTGGTGGGCACCTGTAATTCCAGCTACTCAGGAGGCTGAGGCAGAAGAATTGCTTGAACCTGAGAGGCGGAGGTTGCAGTGGGCTGAGATGGCACCAGTGCACTCCAGCCTGGGCAACAGAGCAAAACTCCTTCTCAAAAAAAAAAAAAAGAGAGACAATTGTCTATACGTCAATAAAAAGCAAAGAAATAGCGATGCAAACATGTTATCTAGAGGTGCTCTGTCCAACACAGTAGCCACTAACCATGTATGGTTATTGAGCACTTGAAATATGGGATGAAGAACTGAATTTTTTATTTAAATGTAATTTAACTGAATTTAACTTAGCCTAATTTAAATTTAAAAATTGATATTCAATCCAGTCATTGGAAAAATTTAAGAATATTTGGAACAACTTGGGTATGTGAATCTACTTTTTCAATTATAAATTTCATGAAATCTAAATACAGATCAAGTATTGCCAATGAAAATTTAACATCTAACTTGAAATGTGCTCTAAGTGTAAAATACACAGCAGATTTTAAAGACTTGGTACCAAAAAATGTAAAATATCGAAATGATTTCTTATATTGATTACATGCTAAAATGATAATGTTTTGGTAAATTGAGTTTTATAAAATGTATTGCTAAAATTGAGTTCATATTTTACTTTTTAATGTGGCTGTTAGAAAGTTTTTAATTATATACGTGGCTTGCATTCTATTTGTATTAGACAGCTCTGATCTAGAGACAGAGAGGTAAGTACCAAAATAACCATGTAAAAGGTGAAGGTGGTTTTTCATAACAAAACTTCTAGTTTTGTAGTTTTATTATGAAGTAATTGACAGTTTAAACTACATGCACATATAACTTTGATAGAAAAATATGGAAATATGGAAGGAAGGAAGGCCCTCTGGTCCTAGATCTCACCACTTTGCTTAGGAAGTTACTTTGGTGGCTAGCTTCCATCTGAACACGAAAATAGCATGTGCATATTTATTGATGTGTAAACTGTAAACAACTTTTCAACTCTGGAGACCTCATCTTCTCTGTCAACATTTGATATCCAATTTTGCCATAAAACATTCCTTTGGCTTTACTTACAGCTGGATGAGACCATAGAAATACTCCCATTTTACAGATGAGGAAGCCAAGGCTGAGACACTTTAAGAGTCTGCTCAGCCAGGCGTGGTGACACACGCCTGTAATCCCAGCACTTTGGGAGGCCAAGGCGGGTGGATCACAAGGTCAGGAGTTTGAGACCAGCCTGGCCAACATGGTGAAACCCTGTCTCTACTAAAAATACAAAAATTAGCTGGGCATGGTGGCACATGCCTGTAATCCCAGCTACTTGGGAGGCTGAGGCAGGAGAATGGCTTGAATCCGGGAAGCAGAGGTTGCAGTGAGCCAAGATCATGCCACTGCACTCCAGCCTGGGCAACAAAGCGAGACTCCATCTCAGGGAAAAAAAAAAAAAAGAGTCTGCTCAAGGTCACATAGCTACCTAGTGACAGAGCAGTATCTTTCTCATGGTTTAGGACAGCTAGGAAAATATGCCTCTATATAAAAAATAGTGTGTGCATTATATTATTCTAAATCATCATACATTTAATGATTATATGTTTTGGACAAAGAAGTAAAATGTTCTCCTTCAATGTTGTGGATCTCCAACTTCTATAGTCAAGAAAATACACATTTCAAAAATTTTTTTTATTTCGAAAATCTTTTCATTTCCTTTTTTTTATTTTTTATTTTATTTTAAGACTTAGTCTCACTCTGTGACCCAGGCTGGAGAGCAGTGGTGCAATCTTGGCTCATTGCAACTTCCACCTCCCAGATTCAAGCAATTCTCCTGCCTCAGCCTTCTGAGTAACTGGGATTACAGGCACCTGCCACCACGCCTGGCTAATTTTTGTATTTTTAGTAGAAACGGGGTTTCACCATGTTGGCCAGGCTGGTCTTGAACTCCTGACCTCAGGTGATCCACCCACCTTGGCCTCCCAAAGTGCTGGGATTACAGGGATTGCAGGAGTGAGCTACCATGCTGGCCCCTTTTTCTTTTTTTTAAACCTAAGTCACTTAAGTGGTAAGAAAGAGGATATTAACGACATGTTTATTTCACTCATACTCCTATGAAAACTAGTTGGGGAAATAAGATCTCAACCAAACTCTAGATCAAAAAACCCTACAGAAAGCAGTCTACTTTAAAAAGCCATTTTCTTTGTGAAAATTGCCTTTCTTTCATAAGCTAAGCACATATTTAAGAATACCTACCAAGTGCAAGGCACTGCGTTGGATGTTACAGGAGATAAAGAGAGACTTGGTTCTCAGATCCCATTCACTCAATGAGTTTGTAATGTAAGTGCCACTAGAAGCAGAGCTATATCTTGCTATGCAGCAATTTCTGATTACATTATAAATAGCTTCACATAAAAACTTTATCTTAGTCCGTTGGGGCTGCTGTAACAAAATACCATAGACTGGGTAGCTTATAAAAAACAGAAATTTATTTCTTACAGTTCCAGATGCTGGGAAGTCCAAAATCAAGGTACCAGCAGATTTGGTGTCTAGTGGGACCATGCATTCTGATTTACAGATGACTGTCTTCTTGCTGTGTCTTCACATGGTGGAATGGGTGACAGGTATCTCCCAGGCCTCTCTTATAAGTGCACTGCCTCCTAATAACATCACCTTGGGGGTTAGGATTTCAACATATGAATTTTGCGGGGAACACAAACATTTGGCTCATAACAAATATTCCTATTAAATTGTATAAATAAATCATTTTGAGGATATAAAATTTAGATAGAAAATATATCAACATACTGATATGGTTTGGCTGTATCCCCACCTAAATCTCAGCTTGAATTGCACTTCCCATAATCCCCACCTATCATGGGAGGGACCCCATGGGAGGTAATTAAATCATGGGGGCAGTTACCCCAATGCTGCTATTCTCATGATAGTGAGTGAGTTCTCACAAGATTTGATGGTTTTATAAAGGGCTTTTCCCCCTGTTGCTCATTCTTCTCTCTCCTGCTGCCATGTGAAGAAGGACGTGTTTGCTTTCCCTTCCACCATGATTGTAAGTTTCCTAAGGCCTCCCCAGCCCTGCAGTACTGTGAGTCAATTAGACCTCTTTTCTTTATAAATTACCCAGCCTCAGGTATGTCTTTATTAGCAGTGTGAGAGCAGACTAATGCAGTAAATTGTTACTGGTAGACTGGGGTGCTGCTATAAGGATACCCGAAAATGTGGAAGTGACTTTGGAACTGGGTAATGGGCAGAGGTTGGAACAGTTTGGAGGGCTCAGAAGAAGACAGGAAAATATGGGAAATTTTGGAACTTCCTAGAGACTTAGAGGGCTCAGAAGACAGGAAGATGTGGGAAAGTTTGAAACTTCCTGCAGACTTGTTGAATGGCTTTGACCAAAATGCTGATAGTGATAGGGACAATGAAGTCCAGGTTGAGGTGGTCTCAAATGGAGACGAGGAACTTGTTGGGAACTGGAACAAAGGTGACTTTTGTTATGCTTTAGCAAAGAGGCTGGCAGTATTTTGCCCCTGCCCTAGAGATCTGTGGAACTTTGAACTTGAGAGAAATGGTTTGGAATTGGAACTTAGGTTTGAAAGGGAAGCAGAGCATAAAAGTTTGGAAAATTTGCAGCCTGATGATGTGATAGAAAAGAAAAACACATTTTCTGAGGAGAAATTCAAGCAAGCTGCAGAAATTTGCATAAGTAACAAGGAGCCAAATGTTAATTGCCAAGGCAGGGGGAAAATGTCTCCAGGGCCTGTCAGAACTCTTCAAGGCAGCCCCTCCCATCACAGGCCCAAAGCCTAGGAGGGAAAAATGGTTTCCTAGTCTGGGCCCAGCTTCCCCTGCTCTATGTAGCCTCAGGACATGGTGCCTTGTGTCCCAGCTGCTTCACCTCCAACCAGGGCTAAAAGGGGCCAAGGTACAGCTCTGGCCATTGCTTCAGAGAGTGCAAGATCCAAGCCTTGGTAGCTTCCACATGGTGTTGGTCCTGCAGGTGCACAGAAGACAGGAACTGAGGCTTGGGAACCTCTGCCTAGATTTCAGAGGATAAATGGAAATGTCTGAATGTCCAGGCAGAATTCTGCTGCAGGAGTGAAGTCCTCGTGGAGAACCTATGTTAGGGCAGTACAGAAGGGAAAGGTGGGGTCAGAGCCCCTATACAGAGTCCCCACTGGGACACTGCTTGGTGGAGCTGTGAGATGAGGGCTACCATCCTCCAGACCCCAGAATGGTAGATCCACTGACAGCTTGCACCGAGCACCTGGAAAAGCTGCAGACACTCAATGGCAGCCTGTAAAAGCAGCCAGGAGGGGAGCTGTACCCTGCAAAGCCACAGGGGCAGAGCTGCCCAAGGCTGTGGGAGCCTGCCTCTTGCATCAGCATGACCTGGATGTGCAACATGGAGTCAAAGGAGATCATTTCAGAGCTTTAAAATTTGACTACCCCACTGGATTTTGGACTTGCATGGGGTCTGTCGCCCCTTTGTTTTAGCCAATTTCTCCCATCTGGAATGGGTGTATTTACCCAATGCCTGTACCCCCATTGTATCAAGGAAGTAACTAACTTGCTTTTGATTTTACAGGCTCATAGGTGAAAGGGACTTGGCTTGTCTCAGATGAGACTTTGGACTTGGACTTTTGAGTTAATGCTGGAATGAGTTAAGACTTTGGTGGACTGTAGGAAGGGCTGATTGTGTTTTGGAATGTGAGGACCTGAGATTTGGGAGGGGCCAGGGCGGAATGATATAGTTTGGCTGTGTCCTGACCCAAATCTTATCTTGAATTATAGTTCCCATAATCCCCACATGTTGTGGGAGGGACCTGGTAGGAGGTATTTGAATCATGGGGGTGGTGGTTACCCGCATGCTGCTGTTCTCATGACAGTGAGTGAGGTCTCACAAGATCTGATGGCTTTATAAGGGGCTTTTCCCCTTTTTGCTCATTCCTCTCTCTCATGCTGCCATGTGAAAAAGGGTGTATTTGCTTCCCCTTCTGCCATGATTGTAAATTTCCTGAGGCCTCCTGAGCCCTCCAGAACTGTAAGTCAATTAAATCTCTTTTCTTTTCTTCTTTTATTTATTTATTTATTTATTTATTTATTTTTTAGACAGTCTTGCTCTGTCGCCTAGGCTGGAGTGCAGCGGTGCAATCTCAGCTCACTGCAACCTCCACCTCCTGGGTTCAAGCAATTCTTCTGCCTCAGCCTCCCGAGTAGCTGGGACTACAGGTGCACACCACCACGCCTGGCTAATTTTTGTATTTTTAGTAGAAACGGGGTTTCACCATATTGACCAGGCTGGTCTCAAACTCCTGACCTCATGATCCACCCACCTTGGCCTCCCAAAGTGCTGGGATTACAGGCTTGAGCCACCATGCCCGGCCGGGAGTCATTGTTTAATGGGGACAGAGTTTCAGTTTGGGATGGTGAAAAAGTTCTGGTAATAGATGGTGATAGTTGCACAACAATGTGAATGTACTTAATACCACTGAATTGTACACATGAAAATTATTACAACGGTAAATTTTGTTATGTACATTTCATCATACTAATAAATAAATGCATTAGTAAAATTAAAAAAAAAAATAGGCTGGGCGCGGTGACTCACGCCTGTAATTTCAGCACTTTGGGAGGCCAAGGTGGGCGGATCACTTGAAGTCAGAAGTTCAAAACCAGCCTGGCCAACATGGTGAAACCCCGTCTCTACTAAAAATACAAAAAATTAGCGGGGTGTGGTGGCGGGCGCCTGTAATTCCAGCTACTTGGGAGGCTGAGACAGGAGAATCACTTGAACCTGGGAGGCGGAGGGTACAGAGAGCTGAGCTCACCTCTCACCCCGGCCTGGGTGACAGAGTGAGACTCTGTCTCAAAAAATAAAATAAATAAATAAATAGCCAAAGAATACATTGCTTATGTGTGTGTGTAAACTACCAACTTTAAGATGGTGGCTTACGGTCTCTGTTTTACCAAAAACCATCTTAAACATTCCCTCCAATTTCAGCAAAAATATGTGTGTGTGTAAATGTCCAGTATAAGATCTGAAAGGAAATTTACATTATCAGTACTAATTTACCTCTGAGAAAAGCAATGGATTGGTTAGGGAAGCCCTTGACTTTTTACCCTGTAAACTCATATGGAGGGAGAGAAGGAGCAGAGATGGAGTACTGTAGCTCCAACCTTTTCTTTCCTTTTTAATTTTTGAGAAAAGAAACAAAATAGCAAGGAAACAAAATATAAAGTTAAAAAGTAGAATTATATAGATGTGTGGATTTTGTGTATGACAAAAAGGCATTTTAGTCATTTTTAGGTGCAATAATGATATATGGTTATTTATTTAAAGCATCTTTATCTTTTAGAGAAACATACTAAAACATTTACAAATGAAATAAAATGCCTGGGATTGGCTTCAAATTAATATAGGAGTCGGGCAGGGAGGTACAGACGAAACGAGACTGGGAATGAGTTGATAGTTGGTGGTTAGGTAATGGATATATATGGCGATTAATTATACTGTTTTCTCTACTTTTGTATGTTTGAAATTTTCCACACAAAAAAGTTTCTTTTTGAGGGAAAAAATTGTAAACATAAAAAACAAAACTATAAAATACTGGAAGTAGGCTGGACGCGGTAGCTCACACCTGTAATCTCAGCACTTTGAGAGCCCGAGGGAGGTGGATCACTTGAGGTCAGGAGTTCAAGACCAGCCTGGGCAATATAGTGAAACCTCCTCTCTACTAAAAATACAAAAATTAGCCGGCCGAGGTGGCAGGCGCCTGTAATCCTAGCTACTCCAGAGGCTGAGGCAGGAGAATCGCTTAAACCTGGGAGGCAGAGGTTGCAGTGAGCCGAGATTGCGCCACTGCACTCCAGCCTAGGTGACAGAGTGAAACTGTGTCTCGAAAAAAATAATAATAATACTGGAAGTAAATAAAAAGAATGCATTTATTTAAATCTTGGTGTTGGAAATCAAAAATCCAGGAGCTGCAAAGAAAAAAGATTTACAGATTAAGCAACATAATTTTACATTTATATATGGCAAAAGAGACTAAAAATAAAATTGAAAAACAAGAACAACAGATTAGGAAAAAATATGTTTAAAACATACAATAGACAAAAGATTAAAATCTCACTGTTATAACAGTTCCTGTAGGTTATTAATTTAAAAAAACTAGAAAAAAATGAACAAGATACATTAACCAGCAACTCAGAAGAGAGGATATATAAATGATGAATGCATATACAGTACAGGTGGCCCTCCATATCCATATCCATATCCATATCCATGGGTTTCACATCTGAGATTTCATCCATACACGGATTCAACCAACCGAGAATTTAAAATATTTGGAAAAAAACTAACATGGTGAAACCCCGTCTCTACTAAAAATACAAAAAAAAAAAAACTAGCCGGGCATGGTGGCAGGCTCCCATAGTCCCAGCTACTCGGGAGGCTGAGGCAGGAGAATGGCATGAACCTGGGAGGTGGAGCTTGCAGTGAGCTGAGATCACACCACTGCACTCCAGCCTGGGTGACAGAGTGAAACTCCATCTCAAAAAAATAAATAAATAAAAATAAATAAAAATAAAAAATCACAATACAATAAGAAATACAATTTTTTAAAACTACTATATAAAAGCCATTTACATAGTATTTACATTTTATTATAAGTAATCTAAAGATGATTTGAAGTACACAGGAGGATGTATGTAGGTTATATGCAACAAATACAGCATTTTATATAAGGACTTAAGCAGCCATAGATTTTGGTATCTGTGTGGGACCTGGAACCAATTCCTCAAGGATACTGAGGAATGAATTTATAAAAATAAGCTCTAGGCCAGGCGCAGTGGCTCACGCCTCTAATCCCAGCACTTTGGGAGGCCGAGGCGGGCAGATCACTTGAGGTCAGGAGTTTGAGATCAGCCTGGCCAACATGATGAAACCCCATCTCTACTAAAACTACAAAAAATTAGCCAGGTGTGGTGGCACACTCCTGTAATTCCAGCTACTCAGGAGGCTGAGATTGACGTAGGAGAATGGCTTGAACCGGGGAGGCAGAGGTTGCAGTGAGTCGAAATCATGCTGCTGCACTCCAGCCTGGGCGACAGAGCAAGACTCTGTCTCAAAAAATAATAATAATAATAATAATAATAAAATAAAAATAAGGATAAGCTCTAATTTAGTAATATATAATCAGCAAAATGAAAATTAAAAGAATGAGGTATCATTTTTCACCACTAAATTGGTGAAAATGGGCTGGGCGCGGTGGCTCACGCCTGTAATCCCAGCACTTGGAGAGGCCGAGGCAGGTGGATTGCCTGAGCTCAGGAGTGCGAGATAAGCCTGGGCAACACGGTGAAACCCAGCCTAGGCAACACGGTGAAACCCGTCTCTACTAAAATACAAAAAATGAGCCTGGCGTGGCGTCGTGCCGCTGTAATCCCGCTACTCGGGAGGCTGAGACAGGAGAATCGCTTGAACCCGGGAGGCGGAGGTTGCAGTGAGCCGAAATTGTGCCACTGCACTCCAGCCTGGGCGACAAAGCAAGACTCCGTCTCAAAAAATAAGAAAAAGAATAAAGTAAATTGGTGAAAATGAAAAGGATTGATAGTGTACAAGGTCGAGGAAGGTATGAAGATGTATGCTCTTACATACTTTTGGTAGAAATAATAATTGATACGGGCTTTTTGGTAGGCAATTCTAAATGATAATTAAAATATAAAGTATACATACCCTTTGACCCAGCAATTTTACATCTAGGAATCTACCACACTGGAACAGTCACACATTTGTACAAAAGTACATGTGCAAGGATGTTTACTACATCATTGTTGGTAATAATAAATAACTGAAAATATCTCAAATATCAGTCGAAGTGGTAATGGTAATGTACAGTACATTCATACTATGAAATACCACACAGCCTGTGAAAAAAACGAGCTCAACATGAACAGATCTCCAAGATATATTGTTAAATTAAAATAATTTTAGACTAACCTATATAGTGTGATTTTATAAATATGATACTCCTTAATTTCCTCAGCATTACCCATCCTTACACAAATAAATTATTACTCATCCTTACACAAATGAATCCCTGCTACTGCTACACATCGTGGAGAATCTTGGCGCATGATCCAAAATGACTCATCCCAGAGCATGCTGCATTGAATTGCCCACATGAGAAGCTCTGTCATTAATCAATGTCTGAAAATTGAAGGGTCTATCTCTGAGACTTCTGACTTTAATATCTTTGTTTTCTCTGAACACACTCTGTTAATACATATGTATGTCTTTCTTGTCTAGCCCATTTCTCACAGGTCCACTGACATATTACTTCGGCTCTTCTGAAAGATGACTGCTTTATGTTTTTGAGGTACCAGTGCTCTCTACCATGAATTTCAGGTATGCTCCATGGCCTATGTTTTACCTTAGATCATCTTTTTTTTCTTTTTCCTTCCACAGGACTGCCAAGTCCGAAACTTTAGACCATCTTAAATATTGCTTCCAATTTTAGTAAAAATGTGTATGTATGTATGTGTGTGTGTATGTGTGTGTGTGTGCAAAATGCTCAGTAAAATATCTGAAGGAAAACTCATCATATTATTATCAGCAGGTAATTGCTCCTGAGTAAAAAAATGGGATTAGTGGGAGAATGAAAGTGAGAATTTCACTTTTTACCTTATAAACTTATATATATGGCACAATCTCGGCTCACTGCAACCTCCACCTCCTGGGTTCAAGTGATTCTCCTGACTCAGCCTCCCTAGTACCTGAGATTATAGGCACACACCACCATGCCCAGCTAATTTTTGTATTTTCAGTAGAGACGGGGTTTCACCATGTTGGCCAGGCTGGTCTCGAACTCCTGGCCTCATGTGATCTGCCTGCCTCAGCCTCCTAGACTGCTGGGATTACAGGCGTGAGCCACTTTGACTGGCCTAAACTTCAGTATTATTAGATTAAAAATAAGCATACACTCATAAAAATAAAATATAATATATTTATAATAAAATAAGCAGGCAGGCGTGGTGGCTCACGCCTGTAATCCCAGCACTTTGGGAGGCCAAGTCAGGTGGATCACCTGAGGTCAGGAGTTCGAGACCAGCCTGACCAACATGGTGAAACTCCGTCTCTACTAAAAATACAAGAGTAGCTGGGCATGATGACATGCACCTGTAATCCCAGCTACTTGGGAGGCTGAGTCAGGAGAATCACTTGAACCCAGGAGGTGGAGGTTGCAGTGAGCCGAGACTGCGCCATTGTACTGCAGCCTGGGCAACAAGATTGAAACTCTGTCTCAAAAAATAAAATAAAATAAAATAAAATAAAATAAAATAAGCATACACTTATGTAAATAAAATATAACATACAATATTATAGAATTGTACTAAATTTCCAATTTTAAGACAATTTAAAAACACCAAACAGGCCGGGACAGTGGCTCATGCCTGTTATCCCAGCACTTTGGGAGGCTGAGGCTGGAAGATCGCTTGAGCCCAGGAGTTCAAGACCAGCCTGGGCAACATGGCAAAACCCCATCTCTACAAAATATACAAAAATTATCCAGATGTGGTGGCACATGCCTGTAGTCCCAGCTATGGGGGAGGGTGAGGTGGGAGGATCACTTGAGCCTGGGAGGTCGAGGCTGCAATGAGCTGTGATTGCACCACTGCACTCCAGCCTGGGTGATCCTTTCTCAAAATAAAATAAAATAAAATCCACCAAACAACTTATCCGAGATTGTAAATAGGATTAAGACTCTGCTACTTTTGACTTCAGGCAAGTCTTCCTCTCAAAAGCCTTTGTTCTACCTCTGGACACCTCCACAGAATTGCCTATATTACTTCAGATAAATGTTGCAAGCAATAGAACATCCTGACTCAAAACGCATAAGCAATAAGGGTTTATTATCCCCCATAACAAGGAGTCTAGAGATAAGCAAGTTCTGGGGTTAGTTAATAAATAATTCTGTCAACACTGTCAAGGACACATATGCTTCCCACCTCTCCCTTCTGCTGGCTTTGCCCTCAGGTTACCTCGCCACAGGGCTGCAGGATAGTTACCAAGATCTGGATATCACACCCAGAAATGACATGTTCAGAGGAAGAAAGAGGGGCATCTAGTACTATTGTCTTTTTCTTAGGAGCCAGGAAACCTTTCCCAGGAACTTCCAGTAGACTTTCTCTAGCATATCGTTTGCCAGATGTTGGTTAGTTGCCCATTCCTAAACCAGTCATTGGCAAGGGGCTCCTGTTAAAAGGTAGACAGGAGGGAGTGAATACAGGATAGGAGCTCCACACTGTTTGCCACAATGGCCTGGGGCCTCTCAATCTCATCCTGTTCCAAATTGTACTCCTCGTTCATCTTTCATGCTGGATCTGATCTCCCTCGTACATTTCTTATTTCAGGGAATGGTATCATTAGCTGCCCAGGCGCCCAAGTCAGAAACCAGCAAGTGATCATGATATTTCTCCTTTCTCCTCCCTTCTTAATCTGTTAGAAATTCTTGTCGATTATACCTTCTTCATCACTCTTGATTTTGTCTCTTTTTTTATTCATCCTGCGGTTGCTGCTTTTTTGTCTAATTCCATATTATCTCCCACCAAAACCATCTTATTGGTATCTTTTAAAAACATATAGTTTTCTAATTATAAACTGTTACGTATCTATTATATATATGTGGGAGAAATCCAGAAAATACAAAGCTTCTACAATAACGCTGCTCAGAGACAATGATTGTGGACATTTTTGTGTATTTCCTTCTTCGCTTTCTTCTATTCGTGAATCTACATATATAGATAGATATTACTTTATTTTATAAATTGAGATTAAACTCTTTTATAGTATTTTTCTTAACAAAATATTGTGAATTTTTCTTTGTATCCATAAATATTCTTCTAGGTTATCATTTTAAGATCTGCATTATATTTTACCCTATGGAGGTGTTGTATTATAGTTAAACAAGCCCTTATTGCTAGATTAGGTTTTTTCCAATTTTTTATATCATAAATAATACTTACAATAAAGGTGTTGGTAGGTAAATCTCTTGCAAACATTTGTAAGGGTTTCCCTAGAATAAATAAATTACCAGCAGAGAAACTGCTAGCTCAAAGCATATGTACATTTTTCCCCATTCATTTTTATTAAGAAATGTTTCAAGCAGTCCTAACAGTCTACTGGATATGATAATAAATACCCATATACCCAACATGCAGTTTGTCAGACCTTAACATTTTGCCATATTTGCTTTAGATCTATTTTATTAATGAAATAAAGTATTAAGACATATTGAAACATCCTATCTAGCCCTCCCAGAGCCCATCTTTCCCTAGAGGAATCATATCCGCAATTTTGTGTTCCTCAGACCCATGCAGGGTTTTTAACTTTTGCTATATATTATACATGTATATGCATATGCATGCATAAACAATATATAGTACTGTTCTTCTTGTCTTTAAACTTCTTACTGCACATATTCTCCTGTGATTTGCTCTTTTTCTACAGCATTACACTTTTGAGGCTTACAGGTTTACACATGTAGCTCTAGTTCATTTATTTTCATAGCTGTTTGTGTGGTGTTCATTATATGACTATGCCATCAAATTTTAATTTTCTTCTTCGTGAACATTTATATTGTTTCCATTTTTTCTTTTTCTTTTTTTTTTTTTTTTGAGATGGAGTCTTGCTCTGTCACCCAGGCTGGAGTGCAGTGCACGATCTCGGCTCACTGCAACCTCCGCCTCCTGGGTTCAAGTGATTCTCCTGCCTCACCCTCCCCAGTAGCTGAAATTACAGGCGCGTGCCACCACGCCCGGCTATTTTTTTTTTTTTTTGTATTTTTAGTAGAGACTAGGTTTACCGTGTTAGCCAGGATGGTCTCGATCTCCTGACCTTGTGATCCACCCCCCCTCCCCTTGACCTCCCAAAGTGTTGGGATTACAGGCGTGAGCCACTGTTCCTGGCCCACTTTTTCACTATTATAGGCAACATTGCTATAAACATTCTTGTAAATGTCTTCTTGTGTATATGAGCAAGAGTTTCTAACTGGGGTGGAGCTGCTGGGGGATAGAGTATGTGCACTGTCAGTTTACTGGATATTGCCAAATTGGTAGTACCCTCCTTATTCTCCCACCAAGGCCATAAGAGTTTTTGTTGATTTATATGATCATCACATGGTTTGGCCGGTGTTGCTGTACCCCACCTTCAAATCTGACAGTGCATAAGAGTACCCATTTCTCTGAATTCTTGTCACCACCACGTATTATCAGTTTTTCAACTTTGCTAATTTTATTTCATTTTATTTGAGACAGAGTCTCACTGTTGCCCAGGCTGGAGTGCAGTGGCGTGATCTCAGCTCACTGCAACTGCCACCTCCCCGGTTCAAGCATTTCTCCTGCCTCAGCCTCCCGAGTAGCTGGGATTATAGCATGGTGGGGGAGGGGTGCCCATGCCTGACTAATTTTTATTTTTAGTAGAGATGGGTTTTGCCATGTTGCCCAGGCTGGTCTCAAACTCCTGAACTTAGGTGATCAGCCTGCCTTGGCCTCCCAAAGTGCTGAGATTACAGATGTGAGCCACTGCGTCCGGCCCAACTTTGTTAATTTTATTGGCAAAAAAGAAAATAGTATTTGTTGATAACATTTAAGAACACTTGGATTCTTTCTTTTTTCTCATTACAAAATAGCACACATTATTTTAGAAAATTTGAAAATATAAGGGCCGGGTGCAGTGGCTCACGCCTGTAATCCGAGCACTTTGGGAGGCCAAGGCAGGTGGATCACTTGAGGTCAGGAGTTTGAGACTAGCCTGACCAACATGGAGAAACCCTGTCTCTACTAAAATACAAAACTAGCGGGGCGTGGTGGCGCGTGCCTGTAATCCCAGCTACCTGGGAGGCTGAGGCAGGAGAATCACTTGAACCTATGAGGTGGAGGTTGTGGTGAGCCGAGATCGTGGCATTGCACTCCAGCCTGGGCAACAAGAGTGAAACTCCTTCTCAAAAAAAAAAAAAAGAAAAGAAAGAAAAGAAAATTTGAAAATATAGACAAGTGAAAAAAAAGGAGGATTCCCTTGAATCCTACCACTCAAATATAATACTAAATAGTATCTAGCATTCACAAAAATGATACGTGAGGTGATAGATATGTTAATTAGCATGCTTTAATCATTCCACAATGTTTACACATATCGCAACAATGTTATACAGCATAAATATATACAAGTTGTCATTTTTTTGTGGGGTTTTTTTTTTTTTGAGATGGACTCTGTTGCCCAGGCTGGAGTGTAGTGGCGCTATCGTGGCTCACTGCAACCTCTGCCTCCCAGGTTCAAGCGATTCTCCTGCCTCAGCCTCCCAAATAGCTGGGATTACAGGCGCCCACCACCACGCCCAGCTAATTTTTGTATTTTTAGTAGAGACGGGGTTTCACCATGTTAGCCAGGCTGGTCTGGAACTCCTGACCTCAAGTGACCCGCCCCTCTCTGCCTCCCAAATTGCTGGGTGTGGGGGTTTTTTTGAGACAATCTCCCTCTTTCATCCAGGCTGGAGTGTGGTGGCACGATCATGGCTCATGGGAGCCTCGACCTCCTGGGCTCAAGCAATCCTCTCACCTGAGCCTCCCAAAGTAGCTGGGACCACAGGTACATGCCACCACACTCAGCTAATTCTTTCATTATTTATTTATTTATTTATTTATTAAGACGGAGTTTCGCTCTTGTTGCCCAGGCTGGATTGCGATGGTGAGATTTCAGCTCACCGCAACCTACGTCTTTGGAGTTCAAGCGATTCTCCTGCCTGAGCCACCCGACTAGCTGGGATTACAGGCATGCGCCACCACGCCTGGCTAATTTTTGTATTTTTAGTAGAGACGGGGTTTCGCCATGTTGGTCAGGCTGGTCTCCAACTCCCGACCTCAGGTGATCCGCCAGCCTCGGCCTCCCAAAGTGCTGGAATTACAGGCGTGAGCCACCGCATCCGGCCTTTTTAAAATTTTTTTAAAAGTTTTTTATAGAGACGGGGTCTCCCTGTGTTACCTACCATGCCCAGCTCAATTTGTCATTTGTCAATTTAAATAAATAAAATTCTGTCTTAATTTGAATTAATCATACAGATTGCGGTTAAAACCGACAATGAAAAAAACTTTAACAAATTGAATTCTTACTCCATAACTAGAGCTGCTTCAGATACCTAATATTTCCATAAATAGGATTCATAGCTAGGTGTTTAATATATACGATATGTACATGTAATGACAAATACCCACACATATATATTTTGCCTTTACAAAAATGTATCTAGTCTGTTATAAACTGTTTTTTTTTTTCACCTAACAAATAAGCAACAATCATTTTCTCATGTTATTTGTATTCAGGACTAGAGGGTGTTATTTAAAGACTTCCATATTCATATCCATCTGTCTCCCCACTCACCGTCCATAAACCAAGGACCAGGCTGAGCCCAGCAACAAGTCCTAGTGGAGCTGGCTTCCTGCCGGCTCTATATGTTGTTGCAACTGACCCAGCCCCTCCTCTGAAATTCACACATAACCCTCCCTTGATCATTACTCAGGGAGGCCAACTGCCACCTCTGCCTTAGGGCCTTCTGCTGGGCAACTCCCATCTTACCTGTCTGTTGGACAGCATAACATGCAGCTCCCTTTAGTTACATGGCTCTCCTGTGCCCTCACCCTATACACCTTCAGGTTTTCTCCTTACCGCCACCCTCCAATTTAAATGTATTACCTGCAACCTCAACCTCTTGCCTTAACTCTCCTTTCAGGACATCAAACTCTCCAGAGCCTGATCCATAGGAAGTTTGGTATTCCATCCTCTTATGTGGCCTAGCCCATGTATACATTTGATTAGGTGAAATATATTTGGATTTGATCCAGCTTCCATGTCAGGAAAGAGTCTGTAACAGATGTATCTCATTGCTCACCTAGACTACTGCAATAGTTCTCACTCCCTCTAGTATTGCCATTCTTCTCACTTCGCCCCTTCTCTCTACAAATTCATCCACATAGCTGTCAGTGAGCTTCCTAAAATTCTATTCTGATGATGCCATTTCCCTGCATAAAATACTTGTGTGTTGCCAGCTGCAGTGGCTCATGTGTGTAATCCCAGCACTTTGGGAGGCCGAGGTGGGTGGATCACGAGGTCAGGAGTTCAAGACCAGCCTGGCCAAGATGGTGAAACCCTGTCTCTACTAAAAATACAAAAATTAGGGCTGGGCACGGTGGCTCACGCCTGTAATCCCAGCACTTTGGGAGGCTGAGGCGGGCGGATCACAAGGTCAGGAGATCGAGACCATCCTGGCTAACACGGTGAAACCCCGTCTCTACTAAAAATACAAAAAATTAGCTGGGCGTGGTGGTGCGTGCCTGTAATCCCAGCTACTCAGGAGGCTGAAGCAGAGAATTGTTTGAACCCGGCAGGCGGAAGTTGCAGTGAGCCAAGATCACGCCACTGCACTCCAGGCTGGGTGACAGAGCGAGATTCCGTCTCAAAACAAAACAAAACAAAACAAAACAAAAAAAAACAAAAACTCATGTGTCACCTGACCTACAGGATCAAGCCCAAGTCCCTGCTTAAAGGCCCTCTGGGATCTCTAGCCAACCTTCCTATGACTTCTACAGCTTCACTCTGTATACACTAGCAATTCTGAGTTGTTCTTTGTCCTTCTGACAGTATTTCATACCTATATACCTTTGCATATGCTTCCCTTTCTGTCTAGGATATCCTTTCCTCTTTGACTGGAAAACTCCTTTTCATTCTTCAAAGTTCTATTCCAAAGATAGTCCTACAAACTCAAAGCACCACCTCACATACTCCTTATTAATTATTAATACAAAGAGGGCTAGGTGCGGTGGCTCACTCCTGTAATCCTAGCACTTTGGGAGGCCGAGGTGGGCACATCACTCGAGGTCAGGAGTTCAAAACCAGCCTGGTCAACATGGCCAAATCCCGTCTCTACTAAAAATAAAAAAAATTAGCCGGGTGTGGTGGCAGGCACCTGTAATCCCAGCTACTCGGGAGGCTAAGGTGGGAGAACTGCTCGAACCTGGGAGACAGAGGCTGCAGTGAGCTGAGATCACGCCACTGCACTCCAGCCTGGGCGACAGAGTGAGACTCCGTCTCAATAAAAAGTAATAATAATAATAATAAAATAATTCATACAAAGGGGAAAAATCGCATTCACACTGGAGAAGCTTAGCTAATGCCACCATAGCCAAGTGGTCAAAATTATCATCATTCACACAGATAGTTCAACATATGCAAGTCAATAAATGTGATTCATCACATAAACAGAATTAAAAACAAAATCCACATGATCGTCTCAATAGATGCAAAAAAGCATTTGATAAAATCCAGCATCCCTTTTTGATAAAAACCCTCAACAAACTAGGCATAGAAAGAACATACCTCAAAATAATAAAAGCCATATATGACAAACTGACAGCCAACATCATACTGAATGAGGAAAAGTTGAAAGCATTCCCTCTGAGAATAGGAACAAGACAAGGATGTCCACTTCCACCACTGTTATTTGGCATACTACTGGAAGTCCTAGCCAGAGCAATCAGGCAAGAGAAAGAAATAAAGGGCATCCAAATTGGAAAAGAGAGCTGGGCACGCTAGCTCACGCCTGTAATCCCAACACTTTGGGAGGCTGAGGCGGGTGGATCACCTGAGGTCAGGAGTTTGAGACCAGCCTGGCCAATATGGTGAAACCCTGTTTCTACTAAAAATACAAAAGGTGTGGTGGCACATGCTTGTAATCCCAACACTTTGGGAGGCCCAGGCGGGTGGATCACCTGAGGTCAGGAGTTTGAGACCAGCCTGGCCAATATGGTGAAACCCTGTTTCTACTAAAAATACAAAAGGTGTGGTGGCACATGCCTGTAATCCCAGCTACTCAGGAGGCAAGGCTAGAGAATTGCTTGAGCCCAGGAGGTGGAGGTTGCAGTGAGTTGAGATTGCGCCACTGCACTCCAGCCTGGGCGACAGAGTGCGATTCTGTCTAAAAAAAAAAAGAAATTGGAAAAGAGGAAGTCAAACTCTCTGTTTGCCAATGATATGATAGGTAGTATATCTAGAAAATCCTAAAGACTCTTCCAAAAGACTTGTAGATTTGATAAATGAATTCAGTAAAGTCTCAGGTTGCAAAATCAATGTATACAAATTGGTAATCACTGCTATACACCAACAATGTCCAAGCTGAGAATCAAATCAAGAACTCAATTGCAGCTGGGCGCAGTGGCTCACGCCTGTTATCCCAGCATTTAGAGAGGCCAAGGCAGGCAGAACACGAGGTCGGGAGTTCGAGAGCAGCCTGGCCAACACAGTGAAACTCCGTCTCTACTAAAAATACAAAAACTTAGCAGGGCGTGGTGGCAGGCACCTGTAATCTCAGCTACTCAGGAGGCTGAGGCAGGAGAATCACTTGAACCCGGGAGGCGGATGTTGCATTGAGTTGAGATCATGCCATTGCACTCCAGCCCGGGCGACAGAGCGAGACTCCGTCTCAAAAAAAAAAAAAAAAAAAAAAAAACCCTCAATTGCTGTTACACTAGCTGCAAAAAACCGAACAACTTAGGAATATACTTAACCAAGGAGGTGAAATATCTCTACAAGGAGAACTGCAAAATACTGCTGAAAGAAATTGTAGATAACACAAACAAATGCAAATATATCCCATGCTCATGAATTAGAAGAATCAGTATCATGAAAATGACCATACTGCCCAAAGCAATCTATAAATTCAATACAATTCCTATGAAAATACCGACATCATTTTTTCACAGAATTAGAAAAATGATCCTAAAATTCATGTAGAACCAAAAAAGAGCAAATAGCCAAAGCAATCCGAAGCAAAAAGAAAAAATCTGGAGGCATCACATTACCACACTTTGAATTATACTGCAAGGCTATCGTGGTACTGGTATGAAAGTAGATACATAGACCAATGGAATAGAATGGCGAAGCAAGAAATAAGGCAAAATACTTACAACCAACTAATCTTTGACAAAGCATATAAAAACATAAACTGAGGAAAGGACACCCTATTCAATAAATGGTGTTGGGAAAACTGGATCCCACATGTAGAAGAATGAAACTGGATTCATTTCTCTCACCATGTATAAAAATCAATTCAAGATCGATTAAAGACTTAAATGTAAGACCTGAAGCCATAAAAATTCTAGAAGAAAACCTAGGAAAGCTCTTCTGGACATTGGTCTAGGCAAAGAATTCATGACTAAGACCCCAAAAGCAATTGCAACAAAACAAAAATAAACAAATAGGATATAATTAAATTTATAAGCTTCTGCACAGCAAAAGAAACAATCGCCAGAGTAAACAGACAACTCACAGAATGGGAGAAAATATTTGCAAACTATGCATTCAACAAAGGACTAATATCCAGAATCTACAAGGAACTCAAACAAATCAGCAGGAAAAAAACATAATCTCATTAAAAAGTGGGCAAATGACATGAATAGATATTTCTCAAAAGAAGATATACAAATGCTCAACAAACATGAAAAAATGCTCAACATCACTAATCATCAGGGAAATGCAAATCAAAACCACAATAAAATGCCATCTTACCCCAGGCAAAATGGCCATTATTAAAAAGTAAAGGCCGGGCACGGTGGCTCATGCTTGTAAGCCCAGCACTTTGGGAGGCCGAGATGGGCAGATCACCTGAGGTTGGGAGTTGGAGACCAGCCTGGCCAACATGGTGAAACCCCATCTCTACTAGAAATACGAAAATTAGCCAAGCTTACTCGGGAGGCTGAGGCAGGAGAATGGCGTGAACCCGGGAGGCGGAGCTTGCAGTGAGCCGAGATGGCGCCACTGCACTCCAGCCTGGGCGACAGAGTGAGACTCAGTCTCAAAAATAAATAAATAAATAAATAAATAAATAAATAAATAAATAATTAGCCAGGCTTGGTGGTGCGCGCCTGTAATCCCAGCTACATGGGAGGCTGAGGCATGAGAATCGCTTGAACCAAGGAGGTGGAGGTTGCAGTGAGCTGAGATGCACCACTGCACTCCAGCCTGGGCGGCAAGAGCGAAACTCCGTCTCAAAAATAAATAAATGAATAAAATAAAATAAATAAAATTGAAAAAGCAATAGATGTTGGCGTGGATGTGGTAAAAAGGTAACACTGCTAGGGGAATGTAAATTAGTACAATCTTTACAGAAAGCAGTATGGAGATTCCTTAAAGAACTAAAAGTAGATCTACCATTTGATCCAGTAATCCCACTACTAGGTATCTACCCAAAGGAAAAGAAGTCATTATATCAAAAAGACACCTACACGCATATATTTATTACCGCACAATTCACAAATGCAAAGATACGCAACAAAACTAAGTGCTCATCAACTGATAAGTGGATAAAGAAAATGTGATATATATACACCATGGAATACTACTCAGCTATAAAAAAGAACAAAATAATGTCTTTTGCAGCAACTTGGATGGAACTGGAGAACATTATTCTAAGTGAAGTAACTCAGGAATGGAAAACCAAATATCACATGTTCTCACTTTTTTTTTTTTTTTTTTCTGAGACAGAGTCTCACTCTCTTGCCCAGGGTGGAGTGCAGTGGCACGATCTTGGCTCACTGCAACCTCCGCCTCCTGGGTTCAAGCGATCCTCCCATGTTCAAGCAATCCTCCACCTCAGTCTCCCAAGTAGCTGGGAGTACAAGCGTGCGCCACCATGCCCAGCTAAGTTTTGTATTTTTAGTAGAGACGGGGTTTCGCCATGTTGGCCAAGCTGGTCTCGAACTCCTGACCTCAGGTGATCCACCTGCCTTGGCCTCCCAAAATGCTGGGATTACAGGCGTGAGCCACCATGCCTGGTCGCATGTTCTCATAAGTCGGAGCTAAGCTATGGGTACACAAAGGCATGTAGACTAGTATAATGGACATTGGAGACTCATAATGGGCGAGGATGAGAGTGGGGAGAGATTTAAAAACTACATATTGGGAAGAATGTACACTACTCAGGTGATGGGTGCACTAAAATTTCAGACTTTGCCATTATACAATTCATCCATGTAACCCCAAACCGCTAGTACTCCTAAAGCTATTGAAAGAGAAAAGAAAAAAATTCTCATCACCATTAATGGAACAGACAAATAACATATGCCCCTGGTACGATGTACTGAGAATCACACACTCTGGTGGTCTTCTTGCAAAAAAAATTTCACCTGAATCTAATCCCGAGGGAACAGTCAAACAAATACATCTTGAAAGATGTTCTGCAAAACTGGCCTGAACTCTTTTTTTTTTTTTTTTTTTTTTTTTTGGAGACGGAGCCTTGCTCAGTCGCACAGGCTGGAGTGCAGTGGTGCAATCTCGGCTCACTGCAAGCTCCGCCTCCTGGGTTCACACCATTCTCCTGCCTCAGCCTCCCGAGTAGCTGGGACTATAAGCGCCCGCCACCACGCCCGGCTAATTTTTTTGTATTTTTAGTAGAGACGGGGTTTCACCGTGTTAGCCAGGATGGTCTCAATCTCCTGACCTTGTGTTCTGCCCACTTCGGCCTCCCAAAGTGCTGGGATTACAGGCGTGAGCCACCGCACCCGGCCAAAACTAGCCTGAACTCTTAAAAATGCCAATGTCCAGCAAGACCGAAACAAAATAAAAGACTCAGCAACAGCTCCAAATTTAAAGATGCTAAAGAAGCATGACGGCTAAATGCAATGTGTGATCCTTGATTCAATCTTGGATCAAAAGAAAAAAACAGCTATAAATAATATTATTAAAAGACTTGGTGAAATTTGAATATGGATTACGTGTTAGATGATAATATGGGGCCAATGTTAAATTTCCTGAGTATGGTCATTGTACTGTGGTTATGGAAGAGCATGTACTTGTTCTTTGGAGATATGTGCTGAAGGGCTAAATTGTTGCTATATCTACAAGAAACTCTCAATGTTTCAGCAAAAAGAAACAAGCAAATAAATAAATATGTGTGTCTGTATATCAAAATAGATAAAGCAAATGTGGTGAAGTGTTAACAATAGAACTATAGGTGAAGGGTAAACAGATGCTCATTGTTCTGTTCTTGCAGCTTTTATGTAGGTTTGATATTTTTCAAAACACAAACTTGGACACTATAAATAATAAGTAATAAAAACAAAAAGACTTTTCCCAGTCACGTTTTCTATTAAGCCTTCCATGACATACACCTACTGCCCCTGGCCCCCAAACACTCACCTAAAACAATGAATCATACCCTCTCTTCTGGACTCTTCCAAGGTTATCTATCTCTCTGACCAAAGTATAAGCTCTTGGAAATCAGGCCCTGTATTGTGATGGATCTACACTGCTAGGACCATACCTGACACAGATTGGATGCTCAGTTGATCCCGTTTTTAAATTAATCAAGCTGAGTCTTGAAGCTCGGATAGAATTCAGGAAGCAGAGAGGAGTCAGGCTTCTCAAGAGAGAGGAATGGCATGAGCAAAGGTAAGGAAACAGGAATGTACATTTTGTATTTACCAAAAGCGTTTGCTTTGTTTGGTCAGAACTGAGGGTTTATATAGGTGAAAATGCCTAACACACTATAGATTCTTAATAAAAATCTGATGAATAAATGAATGAATGAGATTTGAAAGGCAGGCTTAGATTAGAAAGGGCTTTGACTACTGAATTGAGAAATTTGAACATTAACTAGTTCTTAACATCCAGGGTGTTTTCCCAGCGGTGGAAAGAGAGTGTGTTATTGGGCAAGTCCATTGCACATTTTCTTCACTAAATAACAAGGAAAATTGCCTCCATCAGTGTGTTAAAAAAAAAAAAAAAAAAAAGGAAAAGTAGAGACAAGTGGGATCTGAAAGTGACCTGCTTCCAAACTCAAGGGGAGAAAACGTTATCTATCCAGGAAAAGCTCCATAGCGGAATTTTAAAACATCCAACATCCCTCAGACTAACAGGTGTCACAGAATATGAAGAATAAATAAATGAATCTATTTAACACGGGTCATGCTTGTCTTTGAAAATAGTGTCTGAGGCCGGGCGCGGTGGCTCATGCCTGTTATCCCTGCACTTTGGGAGGCCGAGGTGGGTGGGTCACCTGAGGTCGAGAGTTTGAGACCAGCCTGGCCAACATGGTGAAACCTCGTCTCTACTAAAAATACAAAAAATTAGCTGGGCATGGTGGCGCGAGCCTGTAATCCCAGCTACTCATGAGACTGAGGCAGGAGAATGGCTTGAACCTGGGAGGCGGAGGTTGTGGTGAACCAAGATCGCGCCACTGCACTCCAGCCTGGGCAACAAGAGCAAAACTCCGTCTCAAAAAAAATAAAAATAAAAAAAAGAAAAGAAAATAGTGTCTGAAATTATTTTGTTAATTGTACTTAGTTTTAAAGTTTAAGAAGTGTATACTTATGAAATAAGTAGACTCCAATACTAGTTTAGGGCCTCCACATTACTACATAGATTACAAAGCTTCTCCGTTAGCCCAGCTGAGCTGCCCCCAACAAACAGTTTTCATATTTATTTAGTATTCGTGTTCTATTTTCTTCCAGATAGCTTTGTGGGGACTGACAATTTAAGTAATGCAAAATAATTTGATTATGACAACTGAGAAAAGAAACGTGTGTTGTGTTTTGAGGTTATCATTTCCTTGACCATCATAAGCAGCCTGGTATCTATTTCATCTTTGTTCGTAATCACAGCACACCTTTGAACACATACCAAAATGATGATGGAATGAGAGCAAAGTATGTGAGTCAATTGGCTACTCTGTGAAACAATTTGTTAGTTTTAGGCTATAGTTCTTTTCAATTTTCAGCCAAATTCTATAAAAATCTTAGCTGGAAGGAAATGCAAATGTCAGGTTACATTTTAGAAATTAATTTTTGGGCTGAGTGCTGTGGCTCGTGCATGTAATCCCAGCACTTTGGGAGGCCGAGGCCGGTGGATCACCTGAGGTCAGGAGTTTGAGACCAGCCTGGCCAACATGGTGAAATCCTGTCTCTACTAAAAATACAAGAATTCGCCAGGTGTGGTGGTGCGTTCCTGTAATCCCAGCTACTCGGTAGGCTAAGGCACAAGAATCACTTGAACCCAGGAAGCAGAGGCCTGGGACTCTCCAGCCTGGGTGACAGAGCAAAACTGTCTCAATTTTTGGCCCAATTACCATGTAGCATTAACTTGTTTCAGAATGTTTAATATTACTGGGAAGACAGCATCGGTAGTGGTCAAAGTGATTTGTAGTTCACAAAGCATGTAGGCATTTTTTTTTGAAGAAAGTAAACAAAATAATTTGAACTGTTGTTTCAGGTAATAAAATAGACTCATGCGGTAAGTCATTTGAGCTGTATGTACAAATGGACTATGACACAGCTAAATTAGTCACAACTGTCCACCACAGGCCAACTTCAAGATAAAGGGCTATATATCAGTTAGCAATGCTCTCTTACAACCAGCCCTGATGTGTTTGTAAGCAGGAAAATAATTTTATGGTTACAATCAACAAAGAAGTATCAGGCCAGTCCACCAAGCCCAGCCAAATCCCATATCTCGCTCCAGTTTTATAGAGATTAGCATATCACATGAGCCAAATGCTGTTCCCCAACTTAGAATGTGATATTGCTATTTTGCAGGGAAAGTGTAAGCCCTGTTCTGCAACACTGATGAAATAGAAGTATTCATAGATCTTGTTTAACGTGGTCCAATAATTGAAACATAAAATAGATATCTTGTAACAGAACATTTTTAAAAGTCAAGAAAGATAAGAATTAGGCCTTGGAAAATAAATGACTATGAAGAAAGATAAAAAGAAAAGAGACTGGGGTGTCTCTGAAGACCCTGCTTAGAGGCCCTGTCCTCCTTGCGGCAAGCGGCCATTGCCATGGAAACCGGAGCCGCAGGGCTATCTGTCCGGGATTGTGACGCCCAGATGGGAGTGGTGAGAGGAGACAGAAAGAGGGTGGTGGCCGATAGCTGGTCCTCTTTCTCCAACACCTAGCCTGAGACTTGGCGGCGCGGCTGCTATCCTGAACTAGCTTGGTAAGTGTTGTGTCCCGAACCAGCGTAGAGAGACCTCGGACCAGCCGCCTTGATGACAGCATCCGCGTCCTCCTTTTCATCATCTCAGGGTGTCCAGCAGCCCTCCATCTACAGCTTCTCCCAAATAACCAGAAGCTTGTTTCTCAGCAATGGTGTGGCCGCCAACGACAAACTCCTTCTGTCCAGCAATCGCATCACCGCCATTGTCAATGCCTCGGTGGAAGTGGTCAACGTATTCTTCGAGGGCATTCAGTACATAAAGGTGCCTGTTACCGATGCTCGTGACTCGCGTCTCTACGACTTTTTTGACCCCATTGCTGATCTTATCCACACCATCGATATGAGGCAGGGCCGTACGCTGCTGCACTGCATGGCTGGAGTGAGCCGTTCCGCCTCACTGTGCCTTGCGTACCTCATGAAATACCACTCCATGTCGCTGCTGGACGCCCATACATGGACCAAGTCGCGCCGCCCCATCATCCGGCCCAACAACGGCTTTTGGGAACAGCTCATCAATTACGAATTCAAGCTGTTTAATAACAACACCGTGCGCATGATCAACTCGCCGGTAGGTAACATCCCTGACATCTATGAGAAGGACCTACGTATGATGATATCAATGTAAGCCATCCCGGCCAGCCCCTGACATCTGCCATCGATCTTGCACCAAGACTGAACTTGAACACTGACATTTTGTTAGTAAAGAAAACCGGATGGTGCCTTGTTAAAGGGCAAGAAAAAAGGGAGGGGGTTGGAGTTTTGAACGTAGTAAGCCTTACCTTAATAGAATTAAATTCATGAAACATAAGATAGTGAAAATATTTTTTATATTGTGAGGTCAAGCTATTGGGGCCTGGCTGGAACCAGGGTGGGGCAAGTAATGCTCAGCTCACATAGACCTGCCAGCAGCACCCAATACATGTGGCAGACCTGGAATCCTGAGCCCTGCCAGAGGCTGACTAACCCAGGAGTGAATCCCCTAGAATCTCACCCGGTTCTTTCCAACCCAAAGTCAAAGCCTTAGACATCTTGGCATCCCTTGCACTTCTCCCAGTAAGTGCCAACCTAGTGGATAAGTGGCTTTCATTCAAGCTGTGCTCCAGGAGCTCTGGAGGAGTCTCAGGCTACCCTTGCCCACCTTCAATCACAGTGGCCCATCTCTGGTTTTCTAGATCGGATTTATACATTAGTTAAAAAAAAAAAAACTAGTTTTTTAAAAGACCATTCCACTCCATAAAGTTTAAAAATATTGTATTTTTTTGACTGCTGTACTTGATGGCAAGTTCTCAAGGTGTCTTTGGTGATCTCCCACCGGCCTTTGTGAAAAGGGACATAGTCCTTTTCCCAGGGCATATACTGAGAGAGAACAGGCCTGACACCAGGCCTCAGGGGTTCCTCTCATGAGCCTTGGCTTAAGAGGCTGGAGCTGCTGGCCATGACCCAGCCCTGTCACCTCTAACATCTCCTTTCATTGTGACCTTGGTCCTCTCAGAGCTTCACTTTCCTCACCTGTCAAAGCAACTGTCTCCCATAGAGTTGTTGTGAGGACTGGGTTCCTTAGCATAGTACCTGGCACATGAATGGTTTCATGCTTGGAGTAAAAGGCAATGATACTCTTTGACCCTGGTTTGAGGTCAGCACACTCATCCTCATAATGGCATTTCCCCCATCTGTGCACAGTCCTTTGTTATTTACAAAATGTTCTTCCAAAAAATCTAAAAACAAATGGCTTAAGGTCCTTTTGGACCTTACCTTAGAATGGGCCTAGATTCGGGCATGGTGGCTGGCACCTGTAGTCCCAGCTACTCGGGAGGCTGAGGCAAGAGAAGCACTTGAACCCGGAAGGTGGAGGTTGCAGTGAGCCAAGAGCACGCCATTGCACTCCAGCCTTGGGTGACAGAGCGAGACTCCGTCTCAAAAAAGAAAAAACAAAGCGGAGGGGGCCTAGATTTAGAGCCTTTATAGAGGTCCCATTGTGTTTAATCCATGTGCATCCAAGGGGTCGTGTAGAAGCACAATTTCTGCTTCCCTGAAACACTTGTTTAGAGTCACTAACCGTGAGAGCCAGCACCCTGGTTTTGCTCATTACCAGGATGCATGGGGGCATTCACCGAAGGGATGAACAAGTGACCCCCAACATATAGGCCCTGGAATCCAGGATCATTCTAACTCCCTGGATACCTGGGCTCTGGCTTGTGTTCAGTTATTCTAATCCAGAGGTTTTTAGACCAAAAAAAAAAAAAAAAAGAGAGAGAGAGAGAGAGACAAAAGTACAACTGCTCCATTTGAAGAAGACCTGTGTGTCCACAGCCCAGTGACGTCCAAATGTTTTCTCTCTCCAAACACATCGAGACACCACCACTGCCACAAAGGGAGTGCCTAGGGTGCAGTATGGGGGCAAGGGGGATAAAATCACTGCTCCAGGCAGATCCACTACTTTTACAGATGGAAAAACAGGCCCACAGAATGCAAGAGTTGGTGTGGCAGAGCCCCGACAAAGCAGCCTTTCTGGCAGCGACCCAGATGGAAACTTTCTTTTAAAGTATTTTTTAGAAGAAAATTATTTGGGTGTGTGTGTGTGTGTGTGCATGTGTGTTCATTTTTAAAAATATCTAAATTAACATACCATGAAATTACTCTTTGTGGATAAACAGTTCCACGAGTTTTAACACATGCATAGATTTAGGTAACCATCACCATAATCCCAAAATTTCCCTCATGCTTCCCCTTTCTAATTAAACCATCAAACCACCCCAACCTCTGGCAAACACTGATGTGTTTTCCTTCCCTATAGGTTTGCCTTTTTTTTTTTTTTTTTTTTTGAGACAGAGTCTCGCACTGTCGCCTGGGCTGGAGTGCAGTGGCGCAATCTCGGCTCACTGCAACCTCCGCCTCCCGGGTTCAAGCGATTCTCCTGCCTCAGCCTCTGGAGTAGCTGGGATTACAGGCACCTGCCACCACGCCCAGCTAACTTTTTCTATTTTTAGTAGAGACGGGGTTTCACCATGTTGGCCAGGCTGGTCTCGAACTCCCGACCTGGTGATTTGCCTGCCTTGGCCTCCTAAAGTGCTGTGATTAAAGGGTTGAGCCACCGTGCCTGGCCAGATATGCCTTTAACTGAATGTCACATAAATGGAATCATACAGGATGTAACCTCTGGAGACTGGCTTCTTTCACTTAGCGTAATGTCTTTAAGATTCACCCATGTTATACAGTTCATTGTATGCATGTACCACAGTTTGTTTTCCATCCACCTGTTGAAGAATACTAGGGTTCGTATTAGCTTCCTAGGACATGCTGTAAGAAATACCAAAAACTGAGTGGTTTAAAACAATAGAAATGTATTTTCTCATAGTTATGGAGGCCAGAAGTCCTAAATCAAGATGTCAGCAGGGTTGTGCTCCCTCTGAAACCTGCAGAGGAGAATCCTCCTTGAGTCTTTTTTTTTTTTTTTTTTTTTGATACAGAGTTTTGCTCTGTCACCCAGGCTGGAGTGCAGTGGCGTGATCTCCGCTCACTGCAACCTCCACCTCCCGGGTTCAAGTGATTCTCCTGCCTCAGCCTCCCCAGTAGCTGGGATTATAGGCACGTGCCACCATGCCCGGCTAATTTTTGTATTTTTAGTAGAGACGGGGTTTCACCATGTTGGCCAGGTTGGTCTCAAATTCCTGACCTCAGGTGATTCACCTGCCTCAGCCTTCCAAAGTGCTGGGATTACAGGCATGAGCCACCGCGCCCGGCCCTCCTTGACTCTTTCTAGCATCTAGTGTTTGCTGACACTCCTTGGCATTCCTTACTTTGTAGATGCATCACTCTAATCTCTGCCTCTGGAGTCACAGAGCTATCTCCCTTAGTGTGTCTTCACATCTGTCTTCCCTCTGTGAGAATCTACGTCCAAATCTTCCTCTTCTTATGAGGACACCAATCATGTTAGATTAGGGACCCACTCTACTCCAGTATGAGTAATTATTAATACATCGAATGACCCTATGTCCAAATAAGGTTATATATTCTGAGGTTGTGGGGGTTAGGACTTCCACATATTTTGAGGGGATACAACTCAACCCATAACAAGGTTATTTCCAGTTTTGAGCAATTATGCATAAAGCACGATACAGAAGAAAAGAATCATGTCACCTGAAAAAACAACGGTAGCAGTTTAAAAGTGCAAAATGAGTTAGAGTGAAAAATAATAATAACCACTATTTATTAAGAAGCTATTAAATGCCTAACACAGTACTAGGCACTTTACAGTGTCTCTACCCCTTCCAACAGCCCTTCAAGGTAGATATTGTTCCCACTGTACTAATGCGTTTAAGGAATTTGCCTAAGGCAACACATAGGCCAGTGACATACAGACTAGACTCCATTTTCCTGCATTTCTTTTGAAACAAAGGTAAGTAGATTGAAAGAAGGAGATTTTTTTTTTTCTTTGGGACGGAGTTCCGCTCTTGTTGCCTAGGCTGGAGTGCGATGGCGTGATCTCTGCTCACGGCAACCTCCGCCTTCCGAGTTCAAGGGATTCTCCTGCCTCAGCCTCCCGAGTAGCTGGGATTGCAGGCATGCGCCACCACAGCCGGCTAATTTTTGTATGTTTAGTAGAGACAGGGTTTCTCCATGTTGTTCAGGCTGCTCTCAAACTCCTGACCTCAGGTGATTCACCTGCTTTGGCCTCTCAAAGTGCTGGGATTACAGGCGTCAGCCACCGCGCCCGGCCAGAAGGAGAGTTTCTAGTCATACCCTTGCTTTCCAAATAGTGTGATTACAAGTCATTAGGGGAGTTTCATTTTATTTTATTTTATTTTTGAGACAGAGTCTCGCTCTGTCGCCCATGCTGGAGTGCAGTGGCGCGATCTCGGCTCACTGCAAGCTCCGCCTCCCGGGTTCACGCCATTCTCCTGCCTCAGCCTCCTGAGTAGCTGGGACTACAGGCGCCCGCCACCACGCCCGGCTAATTTTTTTTTATTTTTAGTAGAGACGGGGTTTCACCGTGTTAGCCAGGATGGTCTCCATCTCCTGACCTCGTGATCTGCCCGCCTCGGCCTCCCAAAGTGCTGGGATTACAGGCGTGAGCCACCACGCCGGGCCAGGGGAGTTTTATTTCTTTATTTCTTTTTCTTTCTTTTCAATTTTTTTTTTTATTTTCTTTTCTTTCTTTTTTTTTTTTTTTTTTTTTTTTTTTTTTGAGACGGAGTCTCTCTCTGTCGCACAGGCTGGAGTGCAGTGGCGCGATCTCGGCTCACTGCAACCTCCACCTTCTGGATTCAAGCGATTCTTCTGCCTCAGCTTCCGAGTAGCTGGGATTACAGGCGCCCGCCACCACGCCCAGCTAATTTTTGTTTTGTTTTGTTTTGAGACGGAGTCTCGCTCTGTCGCCCAGGCTGGAGTGCAGTGGCGCAATCTCGACCCACTACAACCTCCGCCTCCTGGGTTCAAGCGATTCTCCTGCCTCAGCCTCCCGAGTAGCTGGGACTACAGGCGTGTGTCACCACGCCTGGCTAATTTTTTGTAAATTTTTGTATTTTTAGTAGAGATGGGGTTTCACCGTATTAGCCAGGGTGGTCCTGATCTCCTGACCTCGTGATCTGCCGGCCTCATCCTCCCGAAGTGTTGGAATTACAGGCGTGAGCCACTGTGCCCAGCCTAATTTTTGTATTTTTAATAGACACAGGGTTTCACCATGTTGCCCAGGCTGGTCTCGAACTCCTGAGCTCAAACGATCTGCCTGCCTCGGCTTCCCAAAATAATTATAGGGGAATGTTTATTATACTGACTCCTGGGCCTCAATTTAAATACGGTAGGTCCAGGAAGCCGCATTGTAATTTTAATTTTTATTTTTATTTTATTTTATTATTTTATTTTTTAGATGGAGATTCGCTCTTGTTGCCCAGGCTGGAGTGCAATGGCGTGATCTCTGCTCACCGCAACCTCTGCCTCCCGGGTTCAAGCGATTCTCCTGCCTCAGCCTCCACAGTAGCTGGGATTACAAGCATGCGCCACCACTCCTGGCTACTTTTGTATTTTTAGTAGAGACAGGGTTTCTCCATGTTGGTCAGGCTGGTCTCGAACTCCCGACCTCAGGTGTTCTGACTGCCTTGGCCTCCCAAAGTGCTAGGATTACAGGCATAAGCTACCGCACCTGGCTGAAGCTGCATTTTCCACAAGCATCTCAGACGATTCTGATGAAGGCTGAGAAACTTCAACCAAGCAGTTGTTAATACTAAAAGTATTTCATAACTTCTCACCTTTGCCCTTCTTTTTTGAATTATTTATTCATATCCTTAGACATTTTTTTTCACTGAGCTCATTCTTCTGCAGAACCTAGACATTTTTCTTTTAGAGTATAAATCTTTTATTTCTTTTCAATTGTAAAAACTGAAAAATAGAATAAGGATATTTAGTTTTTCTGTTCAGATATATTTCATTTATTTTTCCCAGTTTATTGTGTGTCATTTGTCCATGGTGCTTGTTTGTGATTCAAAAGTTTAAATTTGTATGTAGTTAAATCTATGAGTCTTAAACTGTATTTACTTTAATCTAGAACAGTGCCTCTACTCTTACTTCCCCCGACATTGTCTTTTTGATGAGTCCAGAATAATTTTGAGGTATAACATCCAGTACGCTGGATTTGTCCAATTATTTCTTCATGCTATTGTTTATCTTGTTCCTGTATTCCCTGTATTTTCTTTAAACTGGAAGCTAGGTCTAGAGGTTTGATTAGATTTGGGTTAAAAAAAATTTTTTTTTTTTGAGACAGTCTCACTCTGTCACCCAGCTGGAGTGCAAGGACATGATATCAGCTCACTGCAACCTCTGCTTCCCGGGTTCGAGCAATTGTCATGTCTCAGCCTCCTGAGTAGCTGGAATTACAGGCGTGTGCCACTACGCCTGGCTAATTTTTGTAGTTTTAGTAGAGATGGGGGTTTCACCATGTTGCTCAGGCTGGTCTTGAACTCCTGACCTCAGGTGACTCGCCTGATTCGGGCTCCCAAAGTGCTAGGATTACAGGTGTGAGTCACTGTGCCCAGCCAGATATGGGTTAAGAATTTTTGCTAGAATATTTCAGAAGCATTGCCATGTTGCATGTGTCAGGAGGCACAGATGTCTCTTTGTCCCATTAGCAGTGATGCTAAGTTTGATCATTTAATTAAGGTGGTGACCACCAGATACCTGCCTTTAATATTAATAAGTACAGAATTCTGTGGGGTGATACTTTAGCACAGTGTGAATATCCTGTTTCTTTTAGCCAGTGTTATTAGCATCCATTAATGATCCTTGCCTCAATCAATTATTACATTAGGGGACATCTAACTCTTAAATCTATCTCAACTTAATTTGGGTATATCGTGTAAGTTGGAAGATATTTAATTTTTTGAAATAATTTTGAGATGTCCAACACCATCAGAAATATTTGTGTCTCCTTTTGTTCCTTCCAGTTTGCTACATTGTCAATCTTTTCCTGTGCCAGTATCACATTCCTTAAGATTGGTGCAGCTTCATAATAGACTATTATATTTGGTAGAGCAATGACATTCCCACTGTTATGTTTCTTTTTCAGAGGCTGGGGTGTTTCTTTTGTTTGTTTTTTCTTAGATTCTTTTATTTCTCTTCTAAATGGATCTTAATAGTTGTAGGTTTACAAAAAATTCCCATTAGGATTTTGATTGAAATTACTTTTTTTGGTGTAGCAGTCAAGGTCAAATAAGGAAAACAGAAACCACGCTAGTCATTTAATCAGAAAATATTTACTATTAAGAACTGTTTACCAGGTATTGGCGAAGTGAAGAGGCAAAATTAGGACACACATAGTATATATTTATACATATATAAACACTTAAATAAAAGATCATCTACCCTGAATGCCTGCAACTTGATTAGTTAAGCATTAACTATATTTCTGGAGTGTGCATATCTTAATTCCAAAAGCTCATAATGTTAGAAAATTGTAAGTTAGTATACTAAAGCACAGACATGCTTATACACACATACACATACTCATTCACTTCCTTGCACTTCAATTCTTTTTTTTTTTTTTCCGAGACGGAGTCTTGCTCTGTCACCCAGGCTGGAGTGCAGTGACATGATCTCGGCTCACTGCAACCTCTGCAGCCTGGGTTCAAGAGATTCTCCTGCCTCAGCCCCCCAAATAGCTGGGATTACAGGTGCCCACCATCGTGCCCGGCTAAATTTTTTTTTTTTTTTGTAATTTTAATAGAGACAGGGTTTCACCATGTTGGCCAGGCTGATCTCAGACTCATGACCTCAGGTGATCTGCCCGCCTCGGCCTCCCAAAGTGCTGGGATTACAGGCGTGAGCCATTGCGCCCGGCCTCACTTCAATTCTTAAGAACATTTTGTCTGCTAAAACATTTACAACATATCTGTTATGTTACCAATGAGACACCCATGACATCCATGACTACTCATTCTTATCTAAGCTGTTAAGGTAAAGAGGTAAAGATATCCAATATATCCAATAAGAGCGTTGCATTTATCTGTGGATGCTTGAGAGCCCATTTCCAGCTACCTTGGTGTCTCTTTCCCACACACTCACCATTCCCCTAATAATGAGATACAGGGAGGTGGGGAAGTGACCTTTTGATCACCTTTTGGGAACTGCCTGATAAGCAGGGAGAAGGCAGTGAAAACGAATCTTGGGGCAATCTTTTGGTACTTGGGCTCCTTGCTGAGTTCTCTCCATCTGGAAAGATGGATCAAGGCCTCAGTCACATAGTTGTGTTTGAAAAGTGTATTGTAGTAAGATTTTCTGAAACAGGGCTCTTAAAAGTATTGGAATCTGAACTTGGAATTAGCTTCTCGCCTCAACAGACTTTAAAGTGAGGGAAAAAAAAGAGCATGGGACCTGACCAAGTTAAGAAGGCCTCTGTGATCGATTTGGTTGAATTCTGGAGGCTCCAAGTTGAGGCAGGACTGGGGCCTGTGCTAGACACAGAGAGAGGTTGCATTCATTTGTAGCTTTATTGCACAGTGGTCCAAGAACGTGGCCTGCATAAATTTTGCTTCACAGAATTGAGATTTTCTTGTTAACTGTCTCTTGAGCAGTAAAACAGATGTATTATCTATTGGTAGGATTCTAAGTTTATATATAAGTCTTACAATTTTTTTTTTTTTGAAACAGAGTTTTGCTCTTGTTGCCCAGATTGAAGTGCAATGGCGCGATCTTGGCTCACTGCAACCTCCGCCTTCCAGATTCAAGCGATTCTCCTGCCTCAGCCTCCTGAGTAGCTGGGATTACAGGCATGCACCACCACGCCTGGCTAACTTTTTGTATTTTTATTAGAGAAGGGATTTCTCCATGTTGGTCAGGCTGGTCTCAAACTCCCAACTCCAGGTGATCCGCCCGCCTTGGCCTCCCAAAGTGCTGGGATTACAGGCTTGATCCACCACGCCCAGCCAAGTTTTACAATATTTTATTATTTAAAAAACGTAAATGTTGAATAAGTAACACAATCATGATTCAACAGTCAAAGGGCACATAAGGATATATAGAGTGAAAGGCTCCTCACATCTGTTCTCTACCAAACCAGTTCCCCTCCCCAAAGGCAGTCAATATTATCAGTTCTTCCTGTATGTTTCCACGATATTATTTTATGCATATATAAGAAATCACATTTGTATACATATATTTTACATTTTTCTTTCTTTCTTTTTTCTTTTTTTTTTTTTTGAGACGGAGGCTCGTTCTGTCACCCAGGCTGCAGTGCAGTCCAGCCCTTTTTCATTTTTCAACAAATGGTAGCATACTTCATGCTGTTCTCTACCTTGTTTCTCTTTGTTTACTAATACATGTCACAGATCATGCTAAGCCAGTACAAGAGAATATCTTCATTTTTTTTTACAACTGCATAGTATTCCATTGTATGGAAGTATCATAATTCATTTAATCTGTTCCTATTGGTGGACTTTTAGGTTTGTTGCCAAAATTTTGCTACTACAAATAATACCCCAGTAAATAAACTTGTAGTTAAGTTTAGGTATATAAATTATTTTAGGCTGGACTCGGTGGCTCATGCCTGTAATCACAGCACTTTGGGAGGCCGAGGCAGGCGGATCTCGAGGTCAGGAGTTTGAGACCAGCTTGGCCAAAATAGTGAAATCCCGTCTCTACTAAAAATACAAAAAATTAGCTGGGCGAGGTGGCGGGTGCCTGTAATCCCAGCTACTTGGAGGCTGAGGCAGGAGAATCGCTTAAACCAGGGAGGCAGAAGTTGCAGTGAGCTGAGATCGCGTCACTGCACTCTAGCCCAGGTGACACTGTGAGACCCTGTCTCAAAAAAAAAAATTATTTTATACATATGCAAACATATCTATAGGACATTATTAGAAATAAAATTAGTGGGTCTAATTTCATAATTTCAAATTTTCATAAACATTGGCAGATTAATTCCTACGGATGTCATCAAAACCTGTCAGCAATATGTTAAAGTGCCTGTCTCCCCACAGAGTCAACAACACTGTATAATATTGCACTTTTATATCTTTGCCATTCTGACCAGTGAAAAATGGTGTCTCAGTTTACTTTTAATTTGTATGTCTTTTATTATGAGTAAGTTCTAGCTTCTTTTCATTCCTCTAAGAATAATTTATATTTTTCTCTCTATGAATTGGCTGCTTATATCAATATTTTATTAGGTTGTCAGTCTTTTTTAAAAAATTGGTTTGTAAGAAGTCTATTAGGGAAATGAGGCATTCATTTATGATAAAAATTTCAAATATTTTCCACAAATTTTCATTTATCTTTTGACTTTGCTTAGAGTGGCTTTGCCAGGCAGATTATTTTTATTTAGTCAAATTTATTGTTTATTTTTACAGCTTTAGGATTTTGTGTCATTCTCGAAAGGCTTTATGCACTCTAAAATTATACTTTAAAAGTATCCCACAGCTGTTCAAGTACTTTTCTTTCTTTTATTATTATTATTGTTTGTGTAGAGACTGGGGTTTCACCATGTTGCTCAGGCTGGTCTTGAACTCCTGGGCTCAAGGGATCCGCCTGCCTCGGCCTCCCAAGCTGCCGTAATTACAGGCCAGAGCCACTGCACCCTGCCTCTTCAAGTACTTTTTTTTTTTTGAGACGGAGTCTCCCTCTGTTGCCTAGGCTGGAGTGCAATGGTGCGATGTAGGCTCACTGCAACCTCTGCCTTCTTGTTTCAATCAATTCTCCTGCCTCAGCCTCCAGAGTATCTGGGATTACAGGCACCTGCCACCATGCCCAGCTAATTTTTGTATTTTCAGTAGAGATGGGGTTTCACTATGTTGGCCAGGCTAGTCTCAAACTCCTGACCTCGTGATCTGCCTGCCTCGGCCTCCCAAATTGCTGAGATTACAGGCGTGAGCCACTGCGCCTGGCCTCATGTACTTTTATATTTCAATTTTAACATTTAAATGTTTGATCCAGGGCCGGGTGCGGTGGCTCACACCTGTAATCACAGCACTTTGGGAGGCCAACGTGGGTGGATCATGAGGTCAAGAGTTCGAGACCAGCCTGGCCAACATGGTGAAACCCCGTCTCTACTAAAACTACAAAAATTAGCTGGGGTTGTTGGCGTGCGCCTGTAGTCCCAGCTACTCGGGAGGCTGAGGCGGGAGAGTTGCTTGAACCCAGGAGGCAGAGGTTGCAGTGAGCTGAGGTCGCGCCACTGCACTCCAGCCTGGGCGACAGAGTGATACTCCATCTCAAAAGAACTAAATAACTAAATAAATAAATGTTTGATCCATTTGGAATATATCCTGGAATTTCTCTTTCAGATTGCTACCACCATTCTCATCTATTTATGTAGCTTATAATTTAAGTTAAAATATGTTATATTAATATGTAGTTTATGTATAATCCATAGTATATTGTATATAGTCTTATTAGTGTTGAAATTCTCTGTATTCATATTTATTTTTTGGTTGGCTTGGTATGTCCAAGACTAAAAGTTATGTTACTCTTTTTTTTTTTTTTTTTTTATGAGACAGAGTTTTGCTCACTGCAAGTTTGTCTCTGCTCATTGCAACCTCCACTTCCCAGGTTCAAGCGGTTTTCCTGCCTCAGCCTCCCAAGTAGCTGGAATTACAGGCGCCTGCCACCACACCCGGCTATTTTTTTGTATTTTTAGTAGAAACAGGGTTTCACCATGTTAACCAGGCTGGTCTTGAACTCCTGACCTCAGGTGATCTGCCTGCCTCGGCCTCCGCAAGTGCTGGGATTACAGGCGTGAGCCACTGTGCCCGGCTGAGTTATGTTAGTCTTACATTGCTTTGTTTCTCTGTCAATTCCTCCTTATATTTCTGTGATGGTTAATTTTATGTGTCAATTTAGCTAGGCTATGGTGCCCCCAGTTGCTTGGTCAAACACTAGTCTAGAAGTTGCTGTGAAGGTATTTTGTAGAGGTGATTAACATTTACTATAAATTGATTTCAAATAAAGTGGACTGCCCTCCCTAATCGGAGTGGGGCCCATCCAACAAGTTGAAGACTGTCTTCCCAAAGAAGATACAATTCTGCCTTAAGACTGAAACATAGAAACTTTACCTGAGTTTCTGCTGCCCTGCCCTGCAGATTTTGGACCCAAGACTGCAACATCTACTCTCACCTGAGTTCCCAGCATGTTGGCCCACCCTATAAATTTCAAACTTGCCAGTCCCCACGATAGCATAAGCCAATTAAATAAAATCTCAATTTATTTTCTTTTTTTTTTTTTGAGACGGAGTTTCGCTCTTATTGCCTAGGCTGGAGTGCAATGGCACGATCTTGGCTCACCGCAACCTGCGCCTCCCAGGTTCAAGCGATTCTCCTGCCGCAGCCTCCTGAGTAGCTGGGATTACAGGCATGCGCCACCACGCCCGGCTACTTTTGTATTTTTAGTAGGTACGGGATTTCTCCATGTTGGTCAGGCTGGTCTCGAACTCCCCACCTTCAGGTGATCTGCCCACCTCGACCTTCCAAAGTGCTGAGATTACAGGCGTGAGCCACCCCGCCCCGCCAAGAACCCTAATACAATTTCTAATAGTTTTTCTGTATGTATTTTGGTGGTATAAGAGTCTGGCATTGAACTTTAAGACAAAGAGAATTTTAGTTGTACCCTTTTTACTAATATAAAATTAACTCTCTTTGTCTGATTAATACTTTTTGTCTTGATGTTCTAATATTGTTTTTTCCTGCTCTGTGTTTGTCTAATATGTCTTTTTTTGTAGTTTGTAACTTATTATGTCATTTTTTTAATGGTATGCCTCTTGTAACTAGATACTTAAATTTCTTTTACTCAACCAAGTCTTTTAACAGGGGAGTTACATTTTTGTAGTTCTAAAATCTTTGGTTTATGACCAGGCACGGCGGCTCATGCCTGTAATCCCAGCACTTTGGGAGGCCGACACGGGTGGGTGGATCACCTGTGGTCAGGAGTTTGAGACCAGTCTGGCCAACATGGTGAAACCCCATCTCTACTAAAAATACAAAAAATTAGCCAGGCATAGTGGTGCGTGCCTGTAAACCCAGCTACTCGGGAGGCTGAGACAGGAGAATCGCTTGAACCCGGGAGGTGGAGGTTGCAGTGGGTCGAGATTGCGCCACTGCACTCCAGCCTGGGAGACAGAGAGAGACTCTGTCCTCTCAAAAAATAAAATAAAATAAAATAAAATAAAATTTAAAAATAAAATAAAGAAAGCTTTTGAAAAACCTAAAGGTACTTACTAGGTAGTATATTTACCGTATCAATGCAGGAAATAGAAAGATACATGAAGAAAAAAGCACTAGTTTCCCCTTCCACCAGGTAGTCACTTTCAATTAATAGAAAGAAATACTTTCTAAAACAATAGAGAAGATAAAAACAGGAACCTGGGGCCGGGTGCAATGGCTCACGCCTGTAATCCCAACACATTGGGAGGCTGAGGCCGGTGGATTACTGGAGGTCAGGAGTTCAAGACCAGCCTGGCCAACATGATGAAACCCCATCTCTACTAAAAATACAAAATTAGCCAGGCATGGTGGCTTGTGCCTGTAATCCCAGCTACTCAGGAGGCTGAGGCAGGAGAATCCCTTGAACTCGGGAGGCGGAGGTTGCGGTGAGCTGAGATCGTGCTATTGCACTCCAGCCTGGGCAAAAAGAGCGAAACTCTGTCTCAAAAATGAAAAAACAAGGCCAGGCGAGGTGGCTCACGCCTGTAATCCCAGCACTTTGGGAGGCCGAGGCGACGGATCATGAGGTCAGGAGATCGAGACCATCCTGGCTAACACGGTGAAACCCTATCTCTACTAAAAATACAAAAAATTAGCCAGGCGTGGTGGCGGGTGCCTGTAGTCCCAGCTGCTCGGGAGGCTGAGGCAGGAGAATGGCGTGAACCCGGGAGGCAGAGCTTGCAGTGAGCCGAGATCACACCACTGCACTCCAGCATGGGCGACAGAGCGAGATTCTGTCTCAAAAAAAAAAAAAAAAAAAGAACCTGGAAATAAAGGAAATGGCAGAGAAAGTCACAGAACAAAATGACAACAAAACCAAAAACCATGCCTGGCTAATTTTGTATTTTTAGTAGAGATGGGGTTTCATCATGTTGGCCAGGCTGGTCTTGAACTCCTGACCTCCAATAATCCACCGGCCTCAGCCTCCCAAAGTGTTGGGATTACAGGCGTGAGCCATCGCGCCTGGCCCCAGGTTCCTGTTTTTATCTTCTCTATTGTTTTAGAAAGTATTTCTTTCTATTAATTGAAAGTGACTACCTGGAGGAAGGGGAAACTAGTGCTTTTTTCTTCATGTATCTTTCTATTTCCTGCATTGATACAGTAAATATATTACCTAGTAAGTACCTTTAGGTTTTTCAAAAGCTTTCTTTATTTTATTTTATTTTTAAAATTTATTTATTTTGAGACAGAGTCTCGCTCTGTTGCCAGGCTGGAGTGCAGTGGCCAGATCTTGGCTCACTGCAACCTCTGCCTTCTGAGTTCAAGTGATTCTCCTGCCTCAGCCTCCCGAGTAGCTGGGATTACAGGCGCGGGCTACCAAGCCCCGCTAATTTTTGTAGTTTTAGTAGAGACGGGGTTTCACCATGTTGGCCAGGATGATGTCGATCTCTTGACCTCGTGATCTGCCCGCCTTGGCCTCCCAAAGTGCTGCGATTATAGGCGTGAGCCACCGAAACCGGTCAGAAGTTTACTTTAACTTAATCTTTATGTAATTGATAAGTCCAGAGTGAAATGACCTTTTTTTCTTTTTTTTTGAGACATAGTCTCACTGTCACTCAGGCTGGAGGGCAGTAGTGTGAACATGGCTCACTGCAGCCTTGACCTCCTAGGCTCAAAAGATCCTCCCACCTCAGCCTCCGGAGTAGCTGGTACTAATGGAACACACACCACATCTGGCTAATGTTTTCATGTTCGATAGAGATGAGGTTTCACTCCTGGGCTCAAGTAATCCTCCTGCGTTGGCCTCTCAAAGTGCTGGGATTACAGGCGTGAGCCATCGTGCCCGACCAATGGCATTTTTATTTATTTATTTATTTATTGAGACAGAGTTTTGCTATTGTCGCCCAGTCTGGAGTGCAATGGCGCCATCTCGGCTCACCGCAACCTCCGCCTCCCGGGTTCAAGCGATTCTCCTGCCTCAGCCTCCCAAGTAGCTGGGATTACAGGCATGCGCCACGACGTCCAGCTTATTTTGTATTTTTAGTAGAGACGGGGTTTCTCCATATTGTTCAGGCTGGTCTCGAACTCCTGACCTCAGGTGATCTGCCTGCCTCGGCTTCCCAAAGTGCTGGAATTACAGGCTTGAGCCACCGCACCCAGCCGACTTCTCCATTCTTGAGCTTTTATTTTTACTTTCTCTCATAGTTGGAATAGATTGTAAACCATTATTTTTTTTCAATAAGGTGATATATTTTATGATCCTTTAAATAGCAGTGTTTTCTGACATTTTTACACTTGAAAAAACAACTCAGATATATATTTTGGGGTCATACATTTTTCTCTCTAAAGCTCTACATAAGAGAAATTGGAAACACTGACTTTTGTTTCTATCTGGGTAATCAGATTTAATTTTTTTCCCTGAACAATCATAGAAACTTTAATATTGTAGCTTAAAACTTTTGCCATGATGTTTCCAGCTGTGTGTCCCTTTGTATTGACTTTGCCTAAAACATGGTGGGCTCTTTCAATCAATATATGATGTTCTTCAATAAACGAAAACTTTTAGGCTGGGTGCGGTGGCTCACAGCTGTAATCCCAACACTTTGGGAGGCCGAAGCAGGCAGATAATGAGGTCAGGAGTTCAAGACCAGCCTGGCCAACATAGTGAAACCCCGTCTCTACTAAAAATACAAAAAAAAATTAGCCTGGCATGGTGGCGGGCACCTGTATTCCCAGCTACTTGGGAGGCTGAGGCAGAAGAATCGCTTGAACCCAGGAGGCAGAGGTTGCAGTGAGCCAAGATTGCGACACTGCACTCCAGCCTGCAAAATAGAGCGAGACTCCATCTCATAAAAAAAAAAAAAAAAGGGAAAACTTTTCTGTTTCAGTTACTTTCATTACTTCTCTTCCATTTGCCTTCGTTCCTTTTTTAGGAACACAAATTATCCATATGTCGGTTCTCCAGATTCTCCATTCTTCTTTTTCCACAGCTATCATCTTCTCTCTCTTTGTTTGTCTTTGTCCTTCACATTCCATTCAATTTCTTAGCATCAGCTTTGCTCTTGACATCAAATTCAAATTTTTTTTTTGCTGTATGAATATTGCTCTTTACTATCTCCAATGTGTACTTTAATTTTGTTCCTACTGTTGGGGAGTACTGCTAATTTTCCTTACCCTGTCTGTTTCTCATTTCATTCTGTTGAATTTTCATCTCAGTCCCCACCTCTTCCTTCCATTTACAGAAGGAAACCTTAGGACTGCTAACGGGTTTCCAAAATTTTTTTCTGGGCCCTGGTGAAGAAGAGTTCTCATTTCCTCTAATGTTTCTGAATGCTACGTTCTTCCCCTAGCTCTGTATTTTTTATTCTCTTTACCCTCAAATAAAACAAGGTTTCTCTTTTCTCTGTCCACAGGTAAGTGAGCTGGTTACGCTTGGATCCATCATGTGCCCAGGGAAATCGAGGCAGAATCACCATCTCAAGTCTGTAGCTGGAGGACAGATTAATGTACACATAGTTTGATTTCACTTTTTGTACCTCTTATTTACTAATGTGATACACAACAAAATATAGTTCCCAGCACAGACTTCTTTAAGACCTTCAAGTAGTTGACCTCTTCCTAAAGTTTTGGGCAGAACCCACTACATAATTTGCAAGAAAATTACATGTAAAATGAGAATGTGGGGCCTCTTGTTAAAAAATTAAGAATTTCCAGACAGTGACAGCAAAGCATTAAACCAAGAATGGGGCCTTCTTTCATGGGGTCCTGGGTGACTGCACAGTGCAAACGCTCGTGAAACCAGCCATGTATGGGGACTGTACCTCTCTAAATGTATCTCCTCCTTTTTTCTCCCAAATTCTCCCTTACTTCTTGCCAACTTATCTATCTTCCTAGATAAGCAATAGGAAATAGAGGGATTCAGGGGATGTGGAGTGGAGGCAGAGGTGGGGATCAGTATTCTGGTGAGCAGCTTTGAAGGGTAGAGAAACTGATGTTTCTTGTTGGTTTAGGCACCAAGTCTTTGAGATGGGAGACAGATTGTAGGTCATTATGGAATGGCGGTATGAGCTTTAAATAAGAGGCTTTCTACCTTTTTCAGTCAGTGTCTGTTTGAGGAAATAAAGCCAAACTAAAGCATGACTGGGGTTTTCTCAATCCAGCCCTTTAGGGCCATCCGCCTCTTAATTAACACCTATTTCACCCAGATCCAAGCCTTGGGTTACCTGTTAGTTTTAGTCCTTAATATTGTGAAATCTTGTCTTTTTTTTTTCTTTTTCTGTATTTGAGGGAATTTTTGTGAAAAGTTAGGCCCGGATGCATTTGGGGGCAAATAGCAATACATTATTTTGAACTGGAAGCCCCCAGGGAACCAATTAGTCGGGTGAGGGATTGGCAAACTTTTTCTGTATAGGGACAGATGGTAAATATTTCAAGTTTTGCTGGCAGGCCAAGAGGCAGAATCGAAGATATGATGTAAGTACTTATATAACAATAGAGAAAACAAATGTCCACAAATACTTTATTGATGAAATTCAAAATCTAATAGTAGTTAATTGGGTATAATTTTTGGTAATACAGGTCTACTAGTGAGAAGAATAAAATTCTATGCTTTTGGAATACATTTTACTTGACGGAGGTTCAAAGTTAATGTTCCCTATCATCAGATTACATTGCAAATGTTCATTTGTTAATGCTAATCTGTAATAAGATTTTATGTATTTCACTTTTGAAAATGTCTTCTCACATGGCCGGGCACGGTGGCTCACGCTTGTAATCCCGACCACTTTGGGAGGCCGAGGTGGGTGGATCACCTGAGGTCAGGGGTTTGAGGCCAGTCTGGCCAACATGGTGAAACCCCATCTCTACTTAAAATACAAAAATTGGCCGGGCATGGTGGTGGATGCCTGTAATCCCAGCTACTCGGGAGGCTGAGGCAGGAGAATAGCTTAAACCCAGGAGGCAGAGATTGCAGTAAACTGAGATTGTGCCACTGCACTCCAGCCTGGGAGACAGAGCAGAAAAAGAAAAACCCTAAAAAACAGAAAATGTCTTTTCACACAGAAGGACACTGCCAAACATTGAATTGATCTATGTTCATGTGATTTTAACTAAGCATATTCATCACATGAAAGGAATTTATAGAATTCTAGTAGATTCTTCTCTTGATATTTGCCTTTTAGTATGTCATTACACTGCAGATTCATCATTTCCAATTGATGATTAGGCAGAAACTCCTCAACCGCACAGTTAAATGAATTTTGAAATATGGAAATTTCCTTTAGATTTACATTGAGGTCTGAAAAATGCTGCTTGGAACCATAGTTTGAGCTTGGAAAATATATCTGCTGCAAATTTATATAAGAATGAATAATTCACTTGAAAATTTTTTTTGACAATTCACTTCTTGTTTTAAATTCTGACAGCATGAAAGTGTATAAAGTGGCTTGACATTACTTGTAATTCAAGCAATGTTAGTTGTCATCAAAATGACTTTACTATGGTATAAATTTCACACATAAGTGCTGTTTTGCCTTATAATTGGTAAAATTCATGAAGACACATTATCAAGTCTGCAGCAAAAAGTAATTTCCTTTTGATAATAGCTGTACAGGGCAGCTCTTATAATTAAAACATTTTCAATCTTGGTCTTAAGCTCAAAAGAATCACAATAGAAATTTGCCACTGCTAAGACATCAAACTGCTATGTGATAGGGCAAATCTGGATATTCATTTCTACTTCTGACAAAAATTCACCAAACTGATGATGGTTAAATCCATGAGACTCAATGAAGTTATCACTGACACTACTGGTTCAATAACACATGATAGATTCAAATATTACTGCAAAGTGACTACTGATGAATGAGACTATGAATAGCTACAGGGTTTAAACACATTACATTCTCACAACCTTTGTGAATTTGTTCAACTAAGCATTTTTCTTCTCCATATATATTTTTACTACCATCAGTTGTAACACATCTTAGAAGATTCCACTTCATGTTGTACTGAACCAGTGCATTCTCAGCTTTTTTGAAAATATTTTCCCCCTTAGTTGTTCCCTGCAGACTATTCACAGAGGTTAATTCTTTTTTTTTTTTTTTTTTTGAGCTGGTGTCTTGTTCTGTCGCCCAGGCTGGAGTGCAGTGGCACGATCTTGGCTCACTGCAACCTCCACCTCCCAGGTTCAAGCAATTCTCTGCTTCAGCCTCCCAAGTAGCTGGGATTACAGGCACCCACCACCACACCCGGCTAATTTTTGTATTTTTAATGGAGATGGGGTTTCACCATCTTGGCCAGGCTGGTCTTGAACTCTTGACCTCGTGATCCACCTGCCTCGGCCTCCCAAACTGCTGGGATTATAGGTGTGAGCCACCGTGCAGGGCCAACAGAGGCTAATTCTTCAGTTACTTCAAACACAGCATTGATTCCTCTAATAAACAACAACCGAATTGTATCAGTAATATCTGTTAACTCATAAAGAGCCAAGGAAAACCACTCAAAGCTAATTGCCTTGGACTATTGATGTTGCTCCCAATGTCCTCACTCTTCAAGCAATTGTTCTCCCTGAAAGGCTAATAGCCTTTAGCTATTAGCTAAAAGCCTTCAGTTTATTTTCTCTGGACATATTTGTTTGGCCATTGTAATCAAACACAGTTCAATTGAACAGCTTTTCCTGTTTGTTTGTTTGTTTTTTTTTTTTTGGAGGCGGAGTCTCACTCTGTGGCCCAGGCTAGAGTGCAGTGGTGTGATCTCGGCTCACTGCAACCTCCGCCTCCCAGGTTAAAGCGATTCTCCTGCCTCAGCCTCCTGAGTAGCTGGGACCACAGGCACGCGCCGCCATGCCCAGCTAACTTTTTTATTTTTAGTAGAGACGGGGTTTCACCATGTTGGCCAGGATGGTCTCAATCTCTTGACCTCGTGATCCGCCCACCTTGGCCTCCCAAAGTGCTGGGATTACAGGCATGAGCCACCATGCCCAGCCCTCATTTTCATTTTTTATTTTTGTGAAGAAATTCTGCTGTGATGAAATATTCTGTTTTAAATTCTCTAATTGTTCTCACTGTTGCTGTTCTGTCAGTTGGGAATATTATGATGAGTGCTTAGTTTAATAATGTTGACATATATTGTATTCTTTTAGCAAAGCTATAGTGTTATGGCATAATAAATGCTTTGCCATGAAATTTAATAACAAAATAATCGTTAAAGGCATGACATCTGAAGTCCATATTTCTCTCTTTTCTTGTTTTAACATGATAAGTATGCACCAATTATTTATTTATTTATTTATTTATTTATTGAGACAGAGTTTTGCTCTTGTTGCCCAGGCTGGAGTGCAGTGGCACAATCTCGGCTGACTGCAACCTCTGCCTCCCGGGTTCAAGTGATTCTCCTGCCTCAGCCTCCAGAGTAGCTGGCACTACAGGAGCGTGCCACTACACCTGGCTAATTTTTGTATTTTTAGTAGAGACAGGGTTTCACCATATTGGCCAAGATGTTGTCCATCTCCTGACCTTGTGATCCGCCTGCCTCGGCCTCCCAAAGTGCTGGGGTTACAGGCATGAGCCACTGTGCCTGGCCTGCACTGGTAATTTTAAAAAGTCTCAGTGTTGTATGTAAGGCACTGGAAACACTGCCAAGTTGTAACAGTATCGTTGTGATTTGTAGGGAACCCAGCGGCAGGGCAAAATGATGTGAGTGCCATGTACATTTTCTGTTGCAACTATTCCATTCTATACTGTTGCACGAAAGCAGCCATAGATAATAGTTGAATAAGCATGACTGTGTTTCAATGAAACCTTTTTTATATGGAGACCAAAAACTGAATTTCATGTAGTTTTCATCTGAGATAAAATGGCTATATGAAAACAGGTAGTGGGCTGGATTTGACCTATAGAGTATAGTTTTCTGACGCTTGGTCTAGCAAAAGGGTCAGGCTGCCAGCCAGTTAGCCAGTATTCACTAAACTTGGTGCCAAGTGCAGAGCCCAGGTGAAAGCAAATCTGTTTACAGCAACAGCACTAACACCAAGAGCAACCCTACAATTATTATTTCTCTCTCTAAAATCTTTTAATAGTCCACTGTAAACTTTCGCATGATTCTTTAGCATTCCATTCTAGACTCTTCATGGTGCTGCCTAATTTTTCAGCCTCAACTCCTGATTTTTCCCTTATCCTCTTGGCCGCAACCACACTCAACTTCTTGAATTTATCAGAACTCCCATATTCTTAGCCTTCTGTGTGCTTGCAGGTATGTTGCTGCCTCTGCCTGGAATATAAACCTCCCTATACTCACTTTCCAGCTCCTACCAATCTATCTTTTTTTTTATTTTTTATTTTTTTGAGACGGAGTCTCGCTCTCGTCAACCAGGCTGGAGTGCAATGACGTGATCTCGGCTCACTGCAACCTCTGCCTCCCGGGTTCAAGCGATTCTCCTGCCTCCACCTCCCGAGCAGCTGGCGCCCGCCACCATGCCTGGCTAATTTTTGTATTTTTTTGTATTTTTATTTATTTTTTTTTATTTTGTAATTTTTTTGTATTTTTAGTAGAAACGGGGTTTCACCATGTTGGCCAGGCCAGTCTCAAACTCCTGACCTCAGGTGACCCACCAGCCTCAGCCTTCCAAAGTGCTGGGATTATAGGCGTGAGCCACTGCGCCTGGCCTATCTTCTAATCTCTAGGATACTTCCCTGGTCCCTCTAGGCTGACAAAGATGCCTCTTCTGTGTGCTCCCACAGAAATTTGGGCATAGGTCATGGCACTCATCACTCTGGATTATAGTATAGAATTTGTTTATACAACTCTCCAAGAAAGAGTAGCTTAATTACAAGGATGATGTGAATTTTGGACATTTTCAGCTATTATTTCTTGACGTACTTTTTTTGGCTATGCCTAATTTCTCCATTTCTCCTCTCCTTCTGTGACTTGATGACATAAGTGTTGTGTCTTTTGTTACAGTGCCACAGATCCTTGAGGCTCTATTTATTTATTTATTTTTCAGTCTATTCTCTCTCTGTTGTTCAGATTGGGTATGTCCTTTTTTTTTTTTTTTCTTTTTTTTTGAGACAGGTTCTCACTGTCACCCAGGCTGGAGTGCAATGGCCCAATCTCAACTCACTGCAACCTCTGCCTCCCGGGTTCAAGCGATTCTCCTGCGGCAGTCTCCTGAGTAGCTGGGATTACAGGTAGGTGCCACCATGCCCGGCTAATTTTTGTATTTTTAGTAGAGATGGGGTTTCACTATGTTGGCCAGGCTAGTCTTGAACTCCTGACCTCAGGTGATCTACCCGCCTTGGCCTCCCAGAGTGCTGGGTTTATAGGTGTGAGCCACCCTGCCCAGCCAGGTATTTCCTATTGTTCTGTCTTGAGGTTCATGGATTCTTTCCTCTGTTCCCACCATTCTGCTATTGAGCCCATATGTGAAGTTTATTTTGATCATTCTGTTTTTTTGTTCTAAAATTTTCGTTTGATTCCATGGGTGCAGTCTTTTGCTCCCCTATCAGCCACATGAGAATAGGCCTTGAGCCTGGAACACTTCCTTACCAAGGGATGGAGAGTTCTCACAGCCTGTACTAGACTTGTTACCTTGTGTGGGAATATCTGTCTTTGTTTCAGACTCAATGTGTGCTCCTTTGTTCTGCTTAAATATATGTGTCACGTGGCATCTGGGCCACACCACTAGTATATCTGTCCACTGCAGGGAGAGGATGAGATCTTTCTGCTGCAGCACAAGAGGAGTGTGTTGGCTGTTGGAGGGACCTGTTGGCCAGGGAGAACTAATGTCCACTACTGAAGCCGATCTTGCTGTGTGTCTTCTCTATGTGAGTAAAGTTATTCTACCCGGGGCTTGACTGAATTGTATTTTCCTTGGAGATCCTGGTACCAAGATGCAGTGGGCAGAAGTGCTTGGACATCTCCTCCTGACAATAGGGCCACAGATGCCACTTGCTCAACAATACTTTGTGTCTTTTTTTTTTTTTCTGAAACTTCTTCTTGCTCTTCTGAGGCCTTCTAGTTTTTTAGTTGTTTGTTTGCTATTATTTTTATTTTATTTTATTTTTTTTTTGAGACAGAATCTCAATCTGTAGTCTAGGCTGGAGTGCAATGGCGCGATCTTGGCTCACTGCAACCTCCGCCTCCCAGATTTAAGCAATTCTCCTGCCTCAGCCTCCCAAGTAGTAGCTGGGATTACAGGAGTGCGCTATCATGCGCAGCTAATTTTTGTATTTTTAGTAGAGACAGGGATTTACCATGTTGGCCAGGCTGGTCTCAATCTCCTGACCTCGGGTGATCCTTCTGCCTGGCCTCCCAAATTGCTGGGATTACAGGCGTGAGCCTCCATGCCTAGCCCTTGTTAGATAATTTAAACATGTGATTCACTTTAGTGTTTGCATCTGTTGACCTTTTCTCATTTGAAATTATCCTGGGTCTTGCTATGATGAGTAATTTTTTTATTGAAACCTGGATATTTTGGGCAGTGTTCTGAGACTCTAGATTTTTTTTTTTTTTTTTTTTTTTTGAGACAGAGCTTCACTCTGTTGCCCAGGCTGGAGTGCAATGGCACAGTCTTGGCTCACTGCAACCTCCGCCTCCGGGGTTCAAGCAATTCTCCTGCCTCAGCCTCCCAAGTAGCTGGGATTATAGGCATGTGCCACCATGCCCAGCTAATTTTTTTTGTATTCAGTAGAGATGAGGTTTTGTCATGTTGGTCAGGCTGGACTCCACCTCCTGACCTCAGCTGATCCACCCGCCTTCGCCTCCCAAAGTGCTGGGATTACAGGCATGAGCCACTGCGCCCGGCCAAGACTCTAGATCTTATTTAAATCTTGTATTTTAGCAGGCCTCCTCTGACATTGCTCTAGTGGGGGCAAAGGGGGCATTCTCTTGTTACTGCCAGGTGTGGGTGGAAGTCCAGCTTTCCCCCTCAATCTTGGTTGACAATGAGTGCAATGTCTCCTTGTTACTGCTTTGTGGGGATGGGAGTTCTCGCTCCCTACCAGGCCTAGATTGAGGCCTCCATTCACCCTAGCTGGGCAGTATAGGAGTCCCTCATTATTGTTCCCTACATTGCTCCCCCTCCACTGATACAATGGGGGGGGTGGTAGTATACCACTGGGCAGTGATGAAAGTTTTGACGACTCTGACATTAATTCAGCAGGGATGGGTACTGACCCCTCACAACTGCTGGGTGGAAGTCCAGGCTGCCTAGTGCAGTTGTGTGTGTGTGTTGGCGGGGGTGGGATGTGAGGTGCCTCATTACAGCCTGGTGAAGGTAGGAGTCCAGGCATCTTCTAGCAGTCCTAACTCTATTCTCACAACTGAAGTTTTCATAACAACTGAAAGTCCATTTATCCTTGGCTCCCTGTCTCTGCTCAAACCTAACCATATATCTATTTCTGTCATTTTTGTGTTCTGGCATCAGCTGGATAGTCTCTATGACAGTGGTAAGTATGGGAAGAACTGGTAAATTTTTTTGAACCTATGTTTGATCGTAACATTTACGTATAGTTCTATTGATAAGACTAGATAAACTATGACTCTGTTATGTGACTTTTTATTATCTGTAAAGGTTATATGGCACTAACATTATAAACACACTAAATATTCCTAAGTGCTTCAGGTTAAATATTTCGTTGTTTAAAAGAAAGTCACATTATTTTCCTATACTTAAATGGGTTCCTTCTCTAATTAGTTGATGGTACTTACATAAATATTAACATAATATTGCTACAAATTATGTACTTAGTCTGTAATCTGACTTAGCTAGATTTTATATAATTTTATAATATTGATTTATCTATACATATATTAGTCGTATTAATTTGCTAAATTCAGATTAAACTTTCCCCAGCTCCTGGTGTATTTAGAATTATGAAAAAGAATCAGTACTAAGTGATATAAGGATGAATGTTCTATTTTCTTTTTTTTTCTGAGATGGAGTCTTGCTCTGTTGCCGAGGCTGGAGTACAATGGCATGATCTTGGCTCACTGCAACCTCTGCTTCCCAGGTTCAAGCGATTCTCCTGCGTGAGCCTCCCAAGTAGCTGGGATTACAGGCATGTGCCACCATGCTTGGCTAAGTTTTGCATTTTTTTAGTAGAGATAGGGTTTCACCATGTTGGCCAGGCTGGTCTGGAGCTACTGACCTCAGGTGATCTGCCCACCTCAGCCTCCCAAAGTGCTGATATTACAGGCGTGAGCCACCGCACCCGGCTTATAAGGCCGAAGTTTAGAATAAATGAGAGATGTAGCAATACTGGGGTTATATGCCTCAAGTATAAAGTACTTAGGACTGCTTATGTGTTGGGCTTATAGTGAGGTTGTGGAGGGAGAAGGAGGAAGTGATGGGTAGAGTAATAATAAATTTAGAACCCAGATTGTGAAAGCAAGAAAAAATTTTGGAAATTCCAGCCTTCCTATTTTATTGAGATTTTTGAATCTATGTGTCTGGCACTTTACCTACCTTATGGCATCTAAAATAATGTTATAAAGTGGCTGTATTTTCTCTTTTTCACAGATGAGAGAACTGAAGCTCAAATTAGACTAACTTGTTGAAGTCTGCCTAGCTATCAAGTGGTAAAGGTAGGATCTGAACCTAGAGCTGTATGATTCCACAATTCATGCTCCTTTGGCTGCACTACTCTGCCTTCCGGTGGGGTTTTCAGATTCACTTTTCATGGAAATTTATTATAAAATCATTTATTGTATGTCCCTATTTCTCTCTCCAGTGAAATATGTAAACCTTATAGGCTCTATATCTATTTTACATACATTTGACAGATAACACACTATGTAACATGTGTATGATGTAAGGACTTATGTTACCATATGAAATTTGTCCCATGCTTGATGATAGATCCTTGTAGTTGTAATAGACATAGAGCACTGGCCTAGAGGATAGGTAATGTTCTCAAGGTCGCACAGCCTGTGTAGAGCAAGGATTCGAATCCAGGTCTGCCTCACTCCAACTCCCACCCATTGCATCCACTCCTTGCTGTTCTGCTATTACATAGTAATAGCGGGAAGAAAAGTGTTGAGGTGTGGAGAGTGGGTAGCCTTTTTTTTCTGAGACGGAGTCTCGCTCTGTCACCCAGGCTGGAGTGCAGTGGCGCGATCTCGGCTCACTGCAAGCTCCGCGCCATTCTCCTGCCTCAGCCTCCCGAGTAGCTGGGACTACAGGCGCCCACTACCACGCCCGGCTAATTTTTTGTATTTTTAGTAGAGACGGGGTTTCACCGTGGTCTCCATCTCCCGACCTCGTGATCCACCTGCCTCGGCCTCCCAAAGTGCTGGGATTACAGGCGTGAGCCAAAGCGCCTGGCTGCCTTTTTTTTTTTTTTTTTTTTTGAGACAGAGCCTCACTCTGTCCCCAGGTTGGAGTGCAGAGGTGCAATCATGGCTCACTGCAACCTCCACCTCCCGGGTTCAAGCGATTCTTCTGCCTCAGTCTCCCGAGTAGCTGGGACTACAGGCGAGCGCCACATGCTCGACTAATTTTGTTTTTTGTATTTTTAGTAGAGGTGGGGTTTCACCACATTGGCCAGGCTGCTCTCCAACTCCTGACCTCGTGATCCGCCCGCCTCGGCCTCCCTTTGCAGGCGTGAGCCACAGAGCCCGGCCGGGATTGAGTAGCCTTATAATCCTTGAAAAGGACCTGAGTCAGGAACTGCTAACTTCAGGGAGATAGTCAAATACCAGCAAAATGTCTATCTGTGCTTGTGCAAGTGTGTGTGTATGTGTGTGTGTGTGTGTGTGTGTATGAGAGAGTGTGCGAGCGAGTTACTGGGGTCAAAATTTCCTTGGCTTTAAATGTCACCATTTGTGACAAAGTTAACAATGTATTAATTTAGCCGTAGAAAAGATTTGGCCCTTTGTACACACTCATTCAAGCAAAATGGAGTATCATAAAGGGAAAGGTGTTTCAGAGGAAGTAATTAAACATGAACTATAATCTATACAAAACTACAGTTTGTTCGTCTAGTTACTAGTCTCAGGGGAACAATTTAAAACTGTGTGCAAAATCAGTTGGGATTCCCATAGCTTCCCGCTGAATACTGGTAGGAATTACTGGGTCAGCACTGAATTGTCTTCGTCATATTTTGAAATCCAAGTTTAAATATATAATTTTTATTGGTTACAGGTGGAAAACCTATTGAAAATATAAAAAACTCCGTTTATAAACAGAATCTTGTCCTTATATGTCTATCAATTTTTTCCTATCCCTGTTATAAGACATACAGCTTAGTAAATAAATTTGCCTTTTGAGAAGAGTAGTCGAAAGGCCTATTTTTTTTTCACCTATAGTAAAGATTAAAAGTCAGACTAAAGCCTTTCCCCTGCACCTGAGAGACAGAACAACAAAATGTTACTGTTGTCTAGGGGTTACAAACCTGCAGGTTTTGGGGGATAGAAAGGATTTCTTGGGCCACCAGCTGTGATGATTTAATTATGTCTTCTCTCAGGTCTGTCCACAAGCAGCCCCTACTTTTGTAAGAAGGCTCCACTGAAATCATGGCAATAGAACCCAACATTCTGCAGATCCCGCTTCACAATTTCTCATTGCTTTTTCTTGTAAGACTGTAATGAACTACTGATAAGACACAGGGTAAACACAGCACGAAAATCTGGCCCCAAAGTGCCGCCAACAGACAGACCTTTGGCGGTGGGGAGCCATGGTCGGCAAGCCAGGCCCCGCGGGCGACTCTTCATTCCCTCCGGCCTGGGGCGTATGGGCGGGGGTCAGGGGAGCCCTTCCCCCTTCACTTTCGGCGCGGGTGAGGTGATCGGGGCTGCCAGCGCAGGTCTGGCCTAGGGCGGCACCCGGACCGCGGGGCACGGGACCGGCAGCCGCTCCCCGAGCGCCCTCCTCGCGGAGGCCATTATTTCCAGCAGTGCCAAAAGTCTGAGCCTTCTTCGGAGGGCAGAGGTCGAGGGCCGTGCGCCGCCTCCCGGCTACGCGACCTGTACCAGGCCCTGTGGGGTCCCGGGACCCCTGGAGCGCGCGCGGGACGGCCGGAGCCGCGGTCTGGGCACATCCCAGAGCTCGCGGGCAGGCAAATGCCGTCCTTGGCGTCTTCGCCCGCCGCTCGCGCCCGCCGCGGGCGGTGCCGGACCTCGCCCTTCCCCACCACTCCCCTCCCCCTCCAGAGCCCGCCGCGGTTCCCGAGGTGACACGGCCCGGACCCTCCATTCTCTGCCCCAGTGTATTTAACCAGCACAACCTAACAGGAAGCTCCCTCTCGGTGACAACCCTTCCCCCGACAGACGCGCCCAGCAGCCAACCACCGGCTAGAATTGGCCTGCGTCCCGCTCCCATCTCGGTGGCGGCCTCGGTGGGCGGGGCTCGGGCAGCTAGCAAGTTAAGTGGAGCCACGGCTGACGTGAGTCAACAAAGGTCACGTGAGGCGTGCGGGCCGCGCCGATTGGTGGCGCCAGCCGGGCGGGGAGGGGGGGTCACGGCGGCGGCGTGGGGTTCGCTGTGTGACACAATTACAACAACTTTGTGCTGGTGCCGGGGAAGTTTGTGTCTCCAACGAATCCCCTCAGTGCTCCCCAGCCCCGCGCGCTCCGGCCGTTCCCGCCGTCCCCGCCTGTGGCTGCCCCCTGCCCAACCCCGCGATGTGACCCTACAGCCGAAAGCCGCCGCTGCCGACCCGGGGGCTCCGCAGCCCCTGCCGCCGCCGCCGCCGCCTTCACCGCCGCCGCGTTGGGATTTTTCGTCGCCGCCGCCCGCGGCGGAGGAGGAGGCGGCGATAAAGTTGGTGTGCTGGTCCCGCGCGCAGATTGGGGGCGTCACTGCGGGCCCCGGTCCGAGGGGGGGTGTCGGCGTTGGAGTTGTGAATTCGCTGCGTTTCCATGAAATCCTGCGGAGTGTCGCTCGCTACCGCCGCCGCTGCCGCCGCCGCTTTCGGTGATGAGGAAAAGAAAATGGCGGCGGGAAAAGCGAGCGGCGAGAGCGAGGAGGCGTCCCCCAGCCTGACAGCCGAGGAGAGGGAGGCGCTCGGCGGACTGGACAGGTACGGGCCGCCGTCACTCGCCCGGTCGGCTCCGGACGGGCAGTAGCCGCTCTCCCGGGAGGACCGAGCGCGGCTTGTCTCTGGCGGCGGCGGGGCGGGCACCTCGGTTTGGCGCTCTTCGCGCCGCCTCCGCTGGGGCCTCGGGCTCGGGCAGGGACGGGTCGGTGGCGTTCCCTGAGCGTTAACGAGTAAACTGTGTCTGTCTCCACAGCCGCCTCTTTGGGTTCGTGAGATTTCATGAAGATGGCGCCAGGACGAAGGCCCTACTGGGCAAGGTAAGGCAGCTGCGAGTCGGAGCGCGGACACCGTCTCCCTGGCCGGCGCCGCGCTCGCCCCGGGCCCCGCGGCCGGGTCTGTGCTCATTGTGGCCACGGACGATGGTCGAGGGGCTTCCGGAAACTATTTCCTGCCTCTGCTCTCCCCCCACCCCCGGGTACCCTGCTTGCTCCCTTGCGAAATCGCTCTTTTCCTCTTGTAGCTGGAGGAACAGAGACGGGATCGCTTTGGGGCCGGGCTCAACTGGGTCGACACAACTGCCTGCTATTTTACAGCTTTTTGAGGGTAGGCCGATGATCTTCGAGGTGCCTGTTTAGGGTCAAGGGATCGTGAGTGTGTTCAGATTTTCCCAAATTTCGGACTTAACTTGCCTCTACGGGTTTAAAAAAATTCTTTTCCTTCAAGCAGGCTGTTCGTGATGCCTACTGCTAACCAAATGTTTTAGGCTTTCTTGTGTCCCCGCTCCCAGAAGGGGGAAGTTTCACGGAGTTTAGGTCGGTGAAGAGTTTGCATTGGGCTGTTGACATGTATCTCGATTGCAGTGTGTGTTACCTGAAGTTAGGTGACTTGTTTACTTTTTGGGTCTTTTTGGCATAGAAATACCGTAGTTATTTGTAAACGTGTTCTCTTCCTGGAGCCTCATTTCCTGTGTGTCTGACAGGGGAGGCTGGGGAGGATTCGGGGTGTAGTCTTTTTTTATTTGTGTGGAAAGTTGTTGGCACTGTCATTTAGTTAAGTAATGGCTGCTCCTATCGGCCCAAGATGGCGGGACAGGGTGGGAGGAGAAAGTGAAGGGGGGGGTTAGGGGGAGGGTGTAGAGGTAAACATGGAAATAAATAGTAGCCGTGAATAAGCCTTTCCTTCGGAGTGTGTAGCTCAGTGGTGTTTAAAAAAAATTACCCAAGATTATTTGCATATAGAATTCTTATACCTTTCATAAGCTTGGAAGCAGCATGCATAAGCCTGGTAAATGCTTATCAACCTGTAGCACATTTAGTTATCCATCTGTAAGCTATTGAACAAAGGCTGGAGTCTCAATCTGTATGCATCAGTTTATATTTCCTGACCAAAATCTGATTGCAATGGTATTTGAATACTTTCTTCGTAATTGGGACCGTGAAAGTTGGAGTGTGTGCTATGGGTGTTGTATCCGTTAGACATTTTCTTTTCTAGCTGAAATCATAGCTTTGCATTTGACACCTAGCTTTATTGTTGCAGTTGAGACGCAAGTTTGAAATAAGTCTAACATTTTATTCTTAAGTTGATTTTTTTGTTGTTCTGAATTTTTGTCTGTAGCTTGGTTTCGCAGAGTCATCAATTCCTTTTTATCTGTAATTACACATTTGTTTTTATTTCAAAGTAATTATAAGGTGTTATATTGCATATAATCAGAAAACTAAATGGAAATAATGCTTTTCAGTAAGCCCGGCCCCTTTGACCGATACAGAAAACTTGAATTAAACTTTGACTACGTAGGTATTAATTGGCTTCATTACAATTATTGCTGTAAAAATGAACAGTGACTAGCTCTGGAAAGATTTAAGCGTCAGTAATTGTTGGTCTCCTGCCTTAAAGTTTTTTTTTTTTTTTCCAATTTGAGTATTTAAAGTATTTTATTTAAAAATATTTGACTGCTGTCAAAGTTGTCATTATAAAAGATTAAACATGATTTAAATTAAAAGAGCATTATTTTGTTTTGGAGGGATTATTGTTGGTCTAACATGGGTTAATAAAATTGCTTGCAAAGATAATTCACGTGGAAAAGTTTGGCCAAATCGATTGCTTTTGGTTATGGTGATGAAAAAATAAATGGAATCTGATGTTTTATGTTGAGAATGTGTAAAATGCTAGTTGATTTTATGTCTTAGAATGCTCATATTCATATAGATTCACTGCGAATAGTGCTTAACATTGGATTTCGGATTGTAATATTAAACCCTGCAGTTATGCACTAACGAGTTTAAATTTTAAAAAAGTAACCATTTTCAAATATTCTTGGCAAGTTGTGCATTACTTGATGTTTGAATACATCTTAAAAATGAAAAACTAGTGAAGCTTCACTATGTTTGGGGCCTTCATGATATATGGGGTAATTTGATGAACGATTAAGCAGTTTGTTAAACTAAAGAAAAAAAAATCTTCACTGCTTCAGACTCAGTGCTTGTGAGGTGTCCTACCTGCTTAGGACAAGATTCATCAGCCTTAACATTAAAATAAAACCTTCTGTAATATGTGCTTGCAACCGCATATAGTTCTTGGTTGCATCTTTGTGAGCCTGAACATACCAGTGGGGTGTGTAATGTAAAGCCTGACATTATATAACTTCGCACCCTCTGTTTGAATTGGGTTCTGAATGAAGTGAATGAGCTGGAGTCCTGCTGTAGGAAGTCTTGAATTATTTAGTTTCATCCTTCTTTTAACAGTCCTCGAAGCAGTATTTTTTTGTTTTTTATTTTTATTTTTTGTGGAATGTTGAGCTATGTTGGTTTCAGAATTCTTATTCCCTGAAAGTCTTAAGAGTTGGCTTTCCTTTACTGGGCAGGTTTAGGCTACTTACCTGAGGGCAGATAATGGAATTGAATAACTCCCAGAATTCCCTTTTTAGCTTTGATTTTTGTCCTGCCATGCCCCCCCACCCCCAACCCCCCGGCCCCAATTTAGTCTGCACTTTGTATAACGTTTTCCTTTCTGGCAGAAATTTAGCTATTACTACTTGTTTTCAAAAATTCTTATTCCTATGTATATTATTGGATTTTCTTTCAAGTTTTTAAAATTCACATTTGTATGTTAAAAAAAACTCTTGACCTAAAAGCTTTAGAAAGTTGAAAGCATTAAATATGTCTCTTACTTGTCCCTTAACATATGTACGTATACATATATACACACGTGTACATATACATATATACACACGTATACATATACGTATACACACATATACATATACGCATATACACACGTATACGTATATACGCACGTATATGAATACGTATATACACGTATACGCATACGTATATACACACGTATACGTGTATACATATATACATGTATATACATACGTATGTATATGCGTATACACATATATGTATATATATGCATATGCGTATGTATACGTATGTACATATCTATATGTGTATTCCTTTTCCAGGTGTGCAGTTTATTCAAACCACTGATTTCTCATCGTCTCCCGAATGTTTTTGTCAGATTCAGTTATATTAGAGTCATTGAAAGAATTTTTTGTTTGTAGGATGGCCATTTGATATACAATGCCTGGGGTTTTGGATTAAAAAAATAAGGTAGTTAATACAATGTATTATTTTTTGGTAATGTCTTTAAGGTTGTAAACAGCTAGAGCCTGCGTAATTAGAGTTCTTGTGATATAGGGTGATCTTGAACAGTGCTCTTGAATGCTGACCCTTAATCTTCTGGTAATGTAATAATTCAAGATTCTTATTTTTAAAATTTCAGTGGAGTTATCGAAAACTAAGCAAAATATTTTAACAGAAATTAACTTGTGACTTTTTTAGTACATTTTTGAAAACCTTTTGGGTTTTTTTTTTTTTAAGTAGGGTAAGGATTTGAGTTAAAGTAGAATATATACGAATATATACCATAAATGTAGTAAGTTTAAATATAGTAGTACTACCAAGTATAGTTATAGTAATAATGCTAGGGGACTGGGGAATCTTATCTGCGTCAGGGAACTATTGCTAAAATACACAGTTTTGAACAAAGTATCTTATTTTTAAGTTTTTCTTAAATACTCTTATTGGAAATTTTTTTGGTAATTCTATTAGTAGAAAGATTATACAAAATACTTAGAAGTTATAGATTGTATATCACTTAAAAATGTATGTGCTTTTTTCCGTAGGACATATTAGCATTAAAACAGTTGGTGTTTTAAATTTTTTTGATAATAGAAGTAGTTTAAGATCCATTGAAACATATTTTCTTAAATTTGGTTTGCTGGCGTGTTTGGTAGGGGAAATTATTAGGTCAGTTCTAGAGGTGGCTTTTTTAAATTGTAATATTTGGATGTTGATTAAAAACATTCTCATTTATGTGTGTTTTTTGTTTGCTGGCACTTAAAGGCATACAGGTTGAGTATCCTTTATCCAAAATGCTTGGAACCAGATGTGTTTTGGATTTGGGATTTTTTTGGGTTTCAGAATATTTGCAGAATACATACCAGTTGAGCATCCCTAATCTGAAAATCTGAATTCCAAAATGCTCCAATGAGCATTTCCTTTGAGTGTCATGTTGGTACCCAAAAAGTTTTAGATTTTGGATTTTCAGATTAGGGATGCTCAACCTGTAAATTCATTTCCAGTGCTAAAGATGGCTAGTGTTTTGGTTAGAAAAGTCATGAGAGCCTGTCTCAAAAAACAAAAACAAACAAAAAAAGAAAGTAGCCATGGAAATAATGTCATGCTTTGTGTTTTAAAGAGTTTTCTAGTTTGGAAGATTGTCTTCTGAACACTTGCAGTCTTAATTTTTTACGTGGACAAAGTCTTATATACTTGGTATTTCCTAAAGTTTTGATTTGTGCCTGGTAATAAAGATATACTAAGATTATAGAACATATTTGCATATTTGGTCACAAATTAGAACTGCAGCAATACATAAACAGGCACTTTTAAAGTTCTGGTTTTCTTTTTCAGTAAATAGTTCTTTCTGTCGAATCAATTACAAATTGAAATAACTAGAGAGCATTTGACTGCCACCTCTAGATACTTTTTGTTTTTTTTTTTAATTTGAGACAGTCTCACACTATCCCCCAGGCTGGAGTGCAGTAGAGTGATCTCGGCTCACTGCAACCTCGGTCTTCCAGGTTCAAGTGATTCTTATGCCTCAGCCTCTTGCGTAGCTGGGATTACAGGTGCCTGCCACCACACCCGGCTAATTTTTGTGTTTTTATTAGAGGTGGGGTTTCACCGTGTTGGCCAGACTGGTCTCAAACTCCTGACCTCACGTGATCAGCCCACCATGGCCTCCTAAAGTGCTGGCTTTGCAGGTGTGAGCCGCCGCACCTGGCCAATATCTTAAGCTGTTAAGAAAAACTGCCTGAGAGATGAATTTTTGTGACTTAGGTGAAGTGATAGGTCATGCACTTTAAACCAAAATGAAAGTTCATTGCTTGGCTAGCTGCAGAGTAAGTCTTTTTCTGACTTAAATTATGTAACATTTAGTTTTTGTTTACATAGTACCAATATTCTGCATCTTTGAAAGGATTTCTGTTAAGTTTATTTTTACTTTGAAATTCATTGTGATGCGTTGAACTCTTTGAAATTGATGTTAATGACTGCTAACACTGCATTATTAATAATATTTTTGAAATGTGTTATCTAGAGAGCTAATTTATGTTAAGAAAACACTACCAGCTTGTCTAAGAATTGAAATGGTGGTTAGGCTGTTTAGGACTCACATGTATTATTTGTAGATTAGTTAATTAATAAAGTTTATTTAATGAATGCATAATTGACAGTCTTAAGTACTCATATTGAAACTTCACATATAATTTTATCAGTTTTCCACATTGGTTTGTAAATTATCGTGACAGTAAATTAAAACAGTATATTAATGTACACTATGTGCAAGCCTTCTATGTAGATAGTATGAAGATAGCATAGATATTTCTTGCCCGTGTTGAACTTAAATTCTTTAAGAGGGGTGAGATAAGTTTAAGGGTGACTAACACAGGACCATCTTTGGGAGAAGAAAAATGTGAAATATTCTGAAAGTTTATGAGAAAGGTAAATTTAACAATTCACAAGTTAGAATGGCTCTTAAAGATGGGGATTGTTTGTTGATTGTGTTTCTTGGAGATGGTATTTCTTGATTTAGATGTTAGCAAGGCATCTTATAATTTTGTTTAGGAAAACATGATTTAAAAATCACATTTTAAGGCTGGGTGTGGTGGCTCACACCTGTAGTCCCAGCACTTTGGGAGGCTGAGGTGGGCGGATCACTTGAGGTCAGGAGTTTGAGACCAGCCTGACCAATATGGTGAAACCACGTCTCTACTAAAAATATAAAAATTAGCCGGGCGTGGTGGCGTGCACCTGTAGTCCCAGCTACTTGGGAGGCTGAGACAGGAGAATTGCTTGAACCTGGGAGGCAGAGGTTGCAGTGAGCTGAGATGGTGCCACTGCACTCCAGCCTGGGCGACAGAGCGAGACTTCATCTCAAAAAAAAAAAAAAAAAATCACATTTTAGCTTTTAGCAGATGTTCAAAGGATGATCTGCTGTGTGTTCTGTCCTTCTTTGATTTCATTTTGTAGTAATATTTACCTTGTTATGAGTTCTTAACTTGAGATTCTTAAATGAGTGTTCATGGGTCAATTTAAATTCTCTGACAGAGTTTGGAAGGACACTCAGGATGACTTAATGGTCATCTTGGAGTACAAGACACTTTTGGGGTGAGAAGGAGGGGAGATTTTAAACTGTTTTATAGATTTCTGTACTGCTTTTTTTTTTTTTTTTAACACCGTAGACATATATTACCTTAAAAATAATACAATAAGGCCAGGCGTGGTGGCTCGTGCCTGTAATCCCAGCACTTTGGGAGACTGAGGCGGATGGATCAACTGAGGTCAGGAGTTCGAGACCAGCCTGGCCAAAGTGGCAAAACCTCATCTCCACTAAAAACACAAAAAATTAGCCAGGCGTGGTGGTGGGCGCCTGTAATCCCAGCTACTTGGGAGGCTGAGGCAGGAGAATTGTTTGAACCAAGGAGGCGGAGGTTGCAGTGAGCCGAGATCGCGCCACTGCACTCCAGCCTGGGCAACAGAGCATGTCTCCATCTCAAACAAACAAACAAAAAAAAGTACTCTGATAGTACACCAGAATGTTATATTTTGGTTGACTAAAAATGGGTTTAAACTACCATGTCTATAGTTAGAAGAGATACTTGTAAAGGCCTTTCTTGCATTTTAATTACAGTCTGAAGTTGGGATACTTTTGAACTTGATGTTCCTTCAGTGAGGGTAGGAGTGAATGGAGTAGAGATGTACCCAATTAGGTCCTATTTCTTTGTGTTTTAGATGGCTTTGTGACAGTCACTGCGCTCATTCTTCATTTTGATCTTTAGCATTTCATTGCTGACTTTATTTTGAGTCTGATTTGGCACAGGCTGATACTTGGGACCTGATTAAGAACTGTAACCTGGGCCGGGCGCGGTGGCGCATGCCTGTAATCCCAGCACTTTGGGAGGCCGAGGCGGGCATCACGAGGTCAGGAGCTCGAGACCAGCCTGGCTAACATGGTGAAACCCCGTCTCTACTAAAAATACAAAAATTATCTGGGTGTGATGGCGCGTACCTGTAATCCCAGCTACTCGAGAGGCTGAGGCAGGAGAATATTGCTTGAACCCAGGAGATGGAGATTGCAGTGAGCCGAGATCGTGCCACTGAACTCCAGCCTGGCGACAGAGCAAGACACCATCTCAAAAACAAAAAACAACAAAAAAACTGTCACCTGGAAGGGTGGGAGTAATCCCTTGTTAGACAGTTTTAGGTTTCTGAGCTAATTTGTAGACTGCTTGCAACTTTCTTCTATAAGCTTTTATTATTTTTTCTCTTACCTATTTCTTCCTTATATTCCATCATTTGTTTACTTCTGTATATTATTAAAACTGTTGGTGGTGTTCCATTGTGAATGTATTCTTGTATGCTTTTTGTAATTTTCTCTGTGGTACTATTTTGTCTTTTTTTTTTTTTTGAGATGGCATTTCACTTTTGTTGCCCAGGCTGCAGTGCAATGTCGCAATCTCGACTCACTGCAACCTCCGTCTCCAGGGTTCGAGCGATTCTCCTTCCTCAGCCTCCTGAGTAGCTGACATTACAGGTGTGCACCACCACGCCTAGCTAATTTTTGTATTATTAGTAGAGATGGGGTTTCACTGTGTTCGCCAGGCTGGTCTCCAACTCCTGACCTCAGTTGATCCCCCCGCGTCGGCCTCCTGAAGTGCTGGGATTACAAGCGTGAGCCACCATGCCTGGCTGAGTATTTTGCCTTTGTTAGAATAAATAGAAGATGCTGCTGCTAAGTTTATTCTCAGGAAGAAAGTTGGGGTTATACTTAAGGGTATTATATAAGGTCATCTAATTCATTTTAGTTTAGAACAGTGGAAGAAATTGTTTTAGACAAAGGGTTATTTTTAAACTACAAATTTATTACGTGTTCATTAGATTTTTCTCTCTTTTTGAAAAAAAAGTTTATTAGGAAAAATTTTCAGTGTTTTCAGAAAGTATTGCAAATCAACCATCACCCAGCTTTAATAGTTTGCAACTCATGACCAGTCCTGTTTCATCTATATATATTTTGCCCCTCACTCATGTTATTTTGAAGCACATCTCAGCAATCAGTCACAGCATTTAATCCATAGATGTTTGTTTCTGAAACATAACCGTGATGCCCTTATTACATGTAAAATAATTTCTTAATCTCAAATATCTGTGGACCTTGTTTTTTGCTGTATGGAAGTTAAGAAATAATTGCTTGGAAAATGAGTAGAAAACATGTTTAGCTGAGTATGTGATGTGAATTTTGTTTGTATTTTGATACTGCTATAGTGTTCTGTGATAGAATATTACATAATATGTGACACAAGAGGTAATTTTTCCTGAGAACTTTATGAATCATAGTTGCTTGAGTCTGGATAGTTTTTATTTTTAGGGAAAATTTGTTTTCAAGATACAGTAGTTAAATAAATATTTTAGGTTTCTGAATTTCAAATATCAGAATGAGAACTACAAAAGCTTTTGCTTTGCTTGATTGATTGGTGAAACATTTGTTGAGCTGCTGTGGGTGAGGGATTGTGTCAGGTTCTGGGGCAACCAATAAGACCTGGCCTCTGTCCTGCAGTCAGTCTGTTGGGAGAGGCTGACAGACTGAGTGATCATATGATGTATTAAGTGTAATAATAAAGATACATGCAAAGTGCTGTGAGCTCTGAAATGATGGAGTAATTAAAACATTTAAAACTTTTTATTATGCATCATTTAAAGTATGTACAGGTATTGAAGGTAGTTTAATGAACTCCTGTTTTCAACGGTTCTCCACATTTTGGAGCAGTTAAGTTTTTTTTTTTTTTTGAGGCAGGGTCTCACTATGTCAGCTGTCACCCAGGCTGAGTGCAGCGATGCTATCTCGGCTCACTGCAACCTCTGCCTCCCAGGCTCAAGCAATTCTCCTGTCTCAGCCTCTTGAGTAGCTGGGACTATAAGCGTGAACCACCAAGCCTGGCTACTTTTTTGTATTTTTTTGTAGAGACAGGGTTTCATTATGTTGCCCAGACTGGTCTCTAACTCCTGGGCTCAAGGTATCTGCCCGTGTCAGCCTCCATAGGTCCTGGGATTACAGGTGTGAGCCACTGTGCTGGCTGGAGCAGTTAGTTTGTTTTTTGAGACAGAGTCTCGCTCTGTCGTCCAGGCTGGAGTGCAGTGGTGTGATCTTGGCTCACTGCAACCTCCACCTCCCAGGTTCAAGTGATCCTCCTGCTTCAGCCTCCCGAATAGCTAGGATTACAAGCGTGCGCCACCATGCCTAGCTAATTTTTTTGATTTTTAGTAGAGATGGGGTTTCACCATGTTGGCCAGGCTGGTCTTGAACTCTTGGCCTCAAGTGATCCTCCCGTCTTTGTCTCCCAAAGTTCTGGGATTACAAGCGTGAGCCACCCCGCCTGGCCTGGAGCAGTTAGTTTTGACTGGAGAAGTGACTGAGGGAAACTGCACAAAGATTCAGCATTTAGCCTTGGTTATGAAACATGTAGAAATTTACCAGACATGTAGATGTAGCAAGAGGAAAAAGAGGGTAAAGAGTTAGAAGTATAAACTGAGCGTGGAGGCTCACGCCTGTTGTAATCCCAGCACTTTGGGAGGCCGAGGCTGGTGGATCACCTGAGGTCGGGAGTTCGAGACCAGCCTGACCAACATGGATAAACCCCATCTCTACTAAAAATACAAAATTAACCGGGTGTGGTGGCGCATGCCTGTAATTCCAGCTACTTGGGAGGCTGAGGCAGGAGAATAGCTTGAACCCGGGAGGTGGAGGTTGTGGTGAGCCGAGATTGCACCACTGCACTCCAGCTTGGGCAACAAGAGTGAAACTCTATCTCAAAAAAAAAAAAAAAAAAAAAAAAAAGAGTTAGAGGTATAAAGTTAAATGGTGTTTGAGGAATTGTGAATAGTCAGGTATGGGTAGAGGGTAGCATGTTTCAGTGGGATTGGGAAAAGATAACTGAACATGTGAGAAGCCCCATCACTATAGGCCGTAGGATGTTTTGGGGCATTGTTAAACTGAACTCTCTAATCAGGTGAAGTGACATGACCAGAAGTAGGTTTTATGGGAATATTACTGGCCACTGTGAGAAGGATATGGTGTAAGGGAAAGGAACTTCAGTACCGATGGGTAGATAGCAATGCATGAATTTTAGGATAGAATTCTGTTCCTACCACTTACTAGATGTGTGATCCTTGGGCAAGCAAGCATCTTTCAGAGCCTCAGTTTTCTTATCTGTAAAGTAGAAGTAGTAATACATTTCCCGCAGACTATTGCATTTTGTGTTAGGGGAAAAAATGTAAAGTGTGTGGCATTGGGCTTGGTGCATGAAAGGTGCTCAGTATAAGATAATATCTTGGATAATGGTAACGTCTTGGAAGAGACGAGTTTAAACTAAGGCTGTGGTTTAGGAATGGGGTGAGATGGAGGCAGACTTAAGAGCTCTTGAAAAAGGCCTTTTCTTGGCTTTCATAACATCCTTGCTACTTTGACTTTGTATCTGACAACATCTCAGTCTTTGCAAGGATGCTGTGTTTTAGGTCCTCTTTACTCACCCTGTTCCCAATTTACATACATGTTTGACTGCCTACTTGACTACCTTGGTATCTTGAAGGTATCTCAAACTGAACATATGCAAACTGAATTTATAATTGTCTTTAATATTCCTTGTCTTAGTAAATGTCACTTACCACTACCCATGCCAGAAACCTTGGAATAGTTGTTGACATCTCTTTTTCTCAATTCCTAATCACCCGACCTCATCATTTCTATTTTTTTTTTTTTTTTGAGACAAAGTCTCACTTTGTTACCCATGCTGAGTGCATTGGCATGATCACTGCTCACTACAGCCTGACCTCCCAGGCTCAAGTGGATCCTCCCACTCCAGCTACGTGGGACTATAGGCATGTGCCAGCACGTGCAGCTAATTTTTTTTTTTTTTTGTAGAGATGAGGTCCTTCTTTGTTGCCCAGGCTGGTCTTGAACTCTGGAACACAAGTGATCTTCTGGCCTTGGCCTCCAAAGTGCTGGGATTACAGGCATGAGCCGTTGTGCCTGGCCTACATTTCAAATCTCAAATCCGTTTCCCTCCATCCCCACTGCCCCCATCCTAATTGCAGCCATGATATTGTCTTTGACTTTTGAAATACCTTCATGCAATTTTTTGAATATAGGTATACTTGCACATAGTACAAAATTGAAAAGTGACAGAAAGGATGGTACAGTGAAAATCACCCTCTGTGCTTGCTTTGGCAGTACATATACTAAAATTGGAACAATACAGAGAAGAGTAGTATAGCCAAATATTAAAAAAAAAAAATTCTGGCTGGGCGTGGTGGCTCACGCCTGTGATCCCAGCACTTTCAGGGGCCAAGGCGGGCAGATCACATGGTCAGGAGTTCGAGACCAGCCTGGCCAACATAGTGAAACCCCGTCTCTACTAAAAATACAAAAAAAATTAGCCGGGCATGGTGGCGGGCGCCTGTAGTCCTGGCTACTTGGGAGGCTGAGGCAGGAGAATCGCTTGAACCCAGAGGCAGAGTTGCAGTGAGCTGAGATCACACCACTGCATTCCAGCCTGGGTGACAGAGTCAGACTCTGTCTCAAAAAAAAAATTCCTACGTCATCTCTCACTTACTTAGTTCTTTTTTTCAGAGGCAGCCACTGATAAAAGTTTATTGGGTAGCTTTTCACTTTTAAGCATATTCTGTTAGATATTTTTATCACACAAATGAGATCATATTGTATATTGTTAAAATGCTTTGTTAATTTTACCTCTTGCTATATGAAAATACTGGTAGTTTTTTTTTTTAGATGGAGTCTTGCTCTGTTGCCCAGGGTGGAGTGCAGTGGTGCAATCTTGGCTCACTGCAGCCTTCATCTCCCGGGTTCAAGCGATTCTTCTGCCTCAGCCTCCCGAGTAGCTGAGATTACAGGAATGCGCCACCCTGCCCGGCTAATTTTTTTAGTAGAGACGGTTTCACTGTATTGGTCAGGCTGGTCTCGAACCCCTGACCTTGTGATCCGCCCGCCTTGGCCCCCCAAAGTGCTGGGATTACAGGCGTGAGCCACTGCACCTGACCTACTGTGAGCTCTTGATTGGAAGAATTGGCAAATTTTGCCTTCATATTTTGGTTTTATTGCTCTGACTGATTACCAGGCCCCATGAATATTAATTCATTCCGTGAATGTGTATAGAAGTAGCCATAGTTATACTACTTACTATCTTTTTTTTTTTTTTTTGAGACAGAGTCTTGCTCTGTTGCCTAGACTGGAGTGCAGTGGCAGGATCTCGGCTCACTGCAAATTCTGCCTCCCGGGTTCAAGCGATTCTCTTGCCTCAGCCTCCCAAGTAGCTGGGATTACAGGCACCTACCACCACGCCCTGCTGATTTTGTGTATTTTTAGTAGAGACAGGGTTTCACCATGTTGGCCAGGCTGGTCTTGAACTCCTGACCTCAGTTGATCCACCCGCCTCTGCCTCCCAAAGTGCTGAGATTACAGGCATGAGACACCGCGCCCGGCCTACTTACTATCTTGTATTTGTAAGATTCATTTATTTTCATTATTTCTTCTTGGTTTTTATTATAGAAAAGAGAAAATAGGTAAATTTGGGTTCTTGATTAGTTCAAAAAAGTATAGCCTTTAGTTTGTTAACTTATAGATGAATATCTTTTTTTTTTTTTTTTGTAGGCAGGGTCTCACTGTCCTCCAGGCTGCAGTGTAGTAGTGCAACCTTGGCTCACTGCAGCCTCCGCCTCCCAGGTTCAGCCTCAGCCTCCCGAGTAGCTGGGACTACAGGTGCATGCCACCACTCCTGGTTTTTGTATTTTTTGGTAGAGATGGGGTTTTATCATGTCGGCCAGGCTGGTCTCAAACTCCTAACCTCAAGTGATCCACCTGCCTCGGCCTCTGAAAGTTCTGGGATTGCAGACAAGAGTCACCATGCCCAGCCCAGAATATGTTTATTTTTGTTATAAAGATGAAAAATTTGGTGATAGAGCTAGGACAGTAGTGCTTTTTTGGAGTCATTTACCCCTTGAGTGTCAGTAACCCTTTAGCTACAAACATTTTATATATGATTTCAGAGAGTATAGGGAATCTTCCTTGAAGCTCAACTATGGATATTAGTTCAATATTTTCAGCTAGTTTAGTTTACTAATTCTTGGGTAGAGGTGTAAATGATGTGAGTATGTCAGGGAGAAAGAAAAGCTTTAGAACTACTGGCTTGGTTAGACTAAAATGGCATGGATTTTGCCACATAGTTTTGTGGTGTTCCGTGGCCACATCACATATTCTCTCAAAATCTCTATTAATAATAAGGATGCTAGGGGAAGACAATTTGGATTGATCCTGGAGAACCTATGGCTTTAACTGGAAAAATATCCTAAGCACAGTCGCCATTAACATAGTTAATAGGCTTTAGTATTGTTTCTTCAGCCTGAGTGCTCAAAATGCTGGTTTGCTTGGGAGGGTAAGTGTTATACCTAGGAAGAACAATAGATTGGAAAACTGAAGACCTGAGGCCAAGAGTTCAGGACCAGACTGAGCAATATAGAGTGACCCCTGGTCTCTAGAAATTTTTAAATTTAGATTAGCTGGGCATGGTGGCATTCGTTTGTAGTTCCAGCTACATGGGAAAACCGCTCGAGCCCAGGAATTTAAGGCTGTGGTGAGCTGTGATTGTGCCAGTGCACTCCAGCCTGGGCAACACAGTGAGACTCCGTCTCTTTAAAAAACAAACAAACAAACAAAAAACTGGCAGAGGGCAGTGGCTCACCCCTGTAATCCCAGCACTTTGGGAGGCTGAGGCGGGTGGATCATGAGGTTGGGAGTTCAAGACCAGCCTGGCCAAGATGGTGAAACCTCGTCTCTACTAAAAATACAAAAATTAACCGGGCGTGGTGGCGGGCACCTGTAATCCCAGCTACTCGGGAGGCTGAGGCAGAGAATTGCTTGAACCCGGGAGGTGGAGGTTGGCGGTGAGCCGAGATCCTGCCACTGCACTCCAGCCTAGGCGACAGAGCGAGACTCCCTCTCAAAAAAGAAAAGAGAACTGGAGACCTGAGTTTTAGGACCTGCTGTGTATTTCAATCACTTAATTTTTATGTTTCACCAGTTTTGCCGTTTCTTAAAATGAAGGGCTAGGAATTAGGAATTTCCAAAATGACTGTATAGCACCACAATTTTGTAGCTAGTTTTTCATTTGTATTTTTAGGGTTGACTCAGTTCTTGAAGATTTTGACCTAGAAGGAGGGCACAATTAAACTTTGTTTTAGATTATAATTTTCTTTGATTTTAGCCTCAAGCTTTTAAGACCAGAAACTGAATGAATGCACATAATGAAATTGAGATTTGTATGCTTTTGTTAATCTAGGTTGCATGTTTTTGTTAATATAAGATTAACCATTTAGTTAGTTTTAGACTGGTTTGAAAGTATTTCTTTAGTGTTTTGACTTCCCCAAACCACTTCTTTCTTACAGTTGGGATTGTTATTTCTTAGGTCAGATCTGATGTTTAAAATTCTAGGCATAATCACTGTATATTCCTGCTTGCTAGAACTCATGTGATGGCAAAGTTAAGTGAATTCTCAGGTATGAATTGATAAGAAATATCACATTGAATAAATATATATTAGGTACTGGGCATGTAGATATTACAAAGATGAGTAAGGATCCTTAGTTTGCCTAAGAGTAGCAAGAGTCGCTTGGCATCAGCTGAGACACTTTCTGATCTATTGAAAGTAAGCATTTATTTATTTATTTATTTATGATGGAGTCTTGCTCTGTTGCCCAGGCTGGAGTGCAGTGGCACAATCTTGGCTCACTACAACCTCTGCCTCCCGGATTCAAGCGATTCTCTCACTTCAGCCTCCCAGGTAGCTGGAATTCCAGGTGCTGGACACATGCCTGGCTAATTTTTGTAATTTTAGTAGAGACAGGGTTTCGCCACGTTGGCCAGGCTGGTCTTGAACTCCTGACCTCAGGTGATCCACTTACCTTGGCCTCCCAAAGTACTGGAATTGCAGGTGTGAGCTACCGCACCCTGCCAAAAGTAAGCTTTTGTTGGATTTTGCTGTGTGAGTGTGTCTGTGTGCATATGATTATACTTTTATTATAAATCTATCAGTTAAAAAGATAGATTTGGAGTTTGTAAGTTAGATTCAGAGTATAACTCATAACTCTTAAGGAAACACTTAAAAAAAATTTTTTTTTAAAATCGGCTTTTCAAAGATGACAAATGGATAGAAAAAATTAAGCAAGTCTTCTGTCCTTGAGGTTGCCCAGGTTTGTGCATTGACCCTATTGGCCAGGATGTTGTAAACAGCATTCAGACATTCAGAGGATAACTTTTAATAGGCTATATAGGTTATCTAATCCTTAAATAGTCATGATTCTATGAAAAGAGGTGAGTCCTATCTGAAGGAAAGTTGGAGTCCTTAACAATCTAACGTAAGTTTTTTGGCTCTTTGTCTTGTTGGACTTGGTTGTCCTTACTTACAGAAATGGACATCACATGACAGATTGGATATCATGCATATATTTCTGTAAATGGCAACACTTATGTATTGACTTACTTTAAAAATCTGACTTTTTATTTTGAGAGAATTGTAGATTTATATGCATTTTTAAGAAATAATAGAGCTAGTGTGTGCTTTACCCAGTTTCCCCCAACTGTAGCATCTTGCAAAACTGTGGTACAGTATTACAACCAGGATGCTGATATTGAAATATAGTCAAGGGACAGAGAAGTTCCACACCAAAATATATGTCTTGTTCCCCTTTTATAGCCATATCTACTTCCTTCCTTCATCTCTTCCCACCCGCTGGCAACCACTAACCCATTTATCCACAAATCCATTTGTATAATTCTGTCATTTCAGGAATGTTATATAAGTGGGATCATACAGTATATATCCTTTTGGAATTCCCTTTGATCATTGAGCAGATATCCTTGGAGAGTTATCTAAGTTGTATTGTGTATCAACAGTTTGTTCCTTTTTGATGCATCACAGTTTCTTTAATCATTTACCCTTTGAAAGACATCTGAGTTATTTCCGGTTTTTGGCTGTTGTGAATAAAACTGCTATGAACATTTGTGTACAGGTTTTTGTGTGAACATAAGTTTTCTCTGGGCTACGTGCCCAAGAGTACAATTGCTGGTAGTTGCATATTTAGTTTTATAAAAACCATCAAACTGTTTCCCGGAGCTGCTCTACCTACATTTCTACCAGCAATGTATCAGTGTTCCAGTTTCACTGCATCCTTGCCAGCATTTGGTGTTCATGCTGTTTTTATTTTTGACATTCTTGTTAGGATGTATTGATAGGTCATTATGGTTTTAATGTGTATTTCCCTAATGGCTAGTGATGTTGAACTTTTTTTTTTTTTTTTTTTTTTTTTTTGCGAGATAGAGTTTCGCTCTTGTTGCCCAGGCTGGATTGCAGTGGCGCGATCTCGGCTCACTGCAACCTCCGACTCCTGGGGTTAAGTGATTTTCCTGCCTCTGCCTCCTGAGTAGCTGGGATTACAGGCGCCCGCCACTACGCACATCTAATATTTGTATTTTTAGTAGAGAGGAGGTTTCACCATGTTGGCCAGGCTGGCTCGAACTCCTGACCTCAGGTGATCTGCTTTCCAAAGTGCTGGGATTACAGGCGTGAGCCACTGCACCTGGCCTGAACATCTTTCATGTTCTTATTTTCCATCTGTATATTATCTTTGGTAAAATGTCTGTTCGTGTCTTTTGCACATTTTCTAGTTGGATTTTTTTTTTAACTGTTCAGTTTTGAGATTTCTTTATATTTTCTAGAGTGTAGTCCTTGTTAGGTACGTGGTTGGATTTTCTCCCGCTCGCTCTATAACTTTGAATGATTTTAACAGTCTTTTGCAGTGCAAAGGTTTTTAATTTATTGTCCAATGTATTAATTTTTATTTTATGGATCTTGATGTGAAGTATAAAAACATGTTGCCTGGCCCTAGATCCCTAAGGTTTATTTATTTATTTTTCTAAAAGTTTCATAGTTTTTTATTCATGTTTTATATCAGGTGTGAGGTTGAAGTTGAGCTTTGTTTTTGCTGTAGATGTTCAACTGCTCCACCATTATTTGTTGAAAAGGTCATTTTTTCTCCACTGAATTGCTTTTGAATCTTTGTTAAAAAATAGTTGCGTATATATTTGTAGGGGTTTATTTCTGGGTTCTCTATTATGTTCGATTTGTCTACGTGCTTATTCCTCCACCAGTATCACATTATCTTAATTACTGTCATTGTATAGTAGGTCTTGTTTGAAATGCTTGTTTTCCGGTGCTGTAAAGAAATAGCACTTGAATGTAAATTTAAATTCCTTAGCAAGGCCATTTTTATACTTTCTGCAGAAAGGGTACACTTGCCAGCAGTTTTGCTATGAGACTACACCCACAGAACAAAGGAGGCAGGGTCATTTATAACCTGACGCGTCCACCCTACTGCCGTGTCCAGTTTCCATTGGCTGGAACGGGACTTCACATTTTTTATTTGGCCCGATTGGCTAGCAACTTAGAACTTTTTTAAGGAGGCAAAGGCAGAGGAGAACAAAGGAAGGAGGAAGTAACCTGTGGAATGTTGAGAAAGGTAAAAACACCTTTAAATAAGGAAGAGGAACAGGCTATGTCCTAATGCTTGCTTAGACCAGTATAAGCATGCCAGGGCAAATAGGCTTAATTGTGGGAGCTAAGAACATAAAGTACATTGATTTGTTTATTATGGCTAGCAGATATTTAAGAATGTTCGCACAGGTCTTTCAATAAATTTTGCTTCTAAGAGAAGTTACTATTTATTCCTAATTAGATGGGGAGGAAAGTCTTTGAAGAGGAACCTCTACGTTTTACAGCCTTAATATCAGGTGTAGTGAGTCTCACCACTTTATTCTTCTTTGTCAAGGTTGATTTAGCTATTCTGAGATCTTTGCCTTTTCATATAGATTTTAGAGTAAGTTTGTCTATGTCTACATAAAAGCTTGCTGGGATTTCGAGGCCGGGTACGGTGGCTCACGCCTTTAATCACAACACTTTGGGAGGCTGAGGCAGGTGGATTACTTAGGGTCAGGAGTTTGAGACCAGCCTGGCTAACAGTGGAACCCTGTCTCTACCAAAAAAATACAAAGCTGGGCGTGGTGGCTCACGCCTGTAATCCCAGTACTTTGGGAGGCCGAGGTGGGTGGATCACGAGGTCAGGAGATCGAGACCATCCTGGCAAAACATGGTGAAACCCCGTCTCCACTAAAAAATACAAAAAAAATTAGCTGGGCTTGGTTGCCGGCGCTTGTAGTCCCAGCTACTCAGGAGGCTGAGGCAGGAGAATGGCGTGAACCCGGGAGGTGGAGCTTGCAGTGAGCCGAGATCGTGCCACTGCACTCTAGCCTGGGCGACTGAGCGAGACTCTGTCTCAAACAAAAACAAAAACAAAAAACAAAAGTTGTCTGGGCATGGTGGCTCATGCCTGTAATCCCAGCACTTTGGGAGGCCGAGTGGGTGGATCAGCTGAGGTCAGGAGTTTGAGAGCAGCCTGGACAATATGGTGAAACCCCGTCTCTACTAAAAATACAAAAGTTAGCCAGGCGTGGTGGCACACACCTGTAGTCGCAGCTACTTGGGAGGCTGAGGCAGGAGAATCGCTTGGATCTGGGAGGCAGAGGTTGCAGTGAGCTGAGATCGTGCCACAGCACTCCAGCCTGGGTGACAGAGTGAGACTCCATCTAAAAAAAAAAAAAAAAAAAAAAAATAGCCAGATGTTGTGGTACACGCCTGTAAGTCCCAGCTACTTGGTAGGCTGAGGCAGGAGAATTGGTTGAACCTGGGAAGCAGAGGTTGCAGAGAGCCGAGATCGCACCACTACACTCCTTCAGCCTGGGCGACAGAGCGAGACTGTCTCAAAAATCAAAAACAAAAACAAAAAAAACCTTGCTGGGATTTTGATAGGAATTGCATCAAATCAACCTGGGCATAATTGATACATATATATTTTTTGCTATACTGAGCTTTCCAATTCATGAACATGAGTTGTCTCTTTGTTTACTTAGGTCTTCTTTGATTTGTTCCATGAACATTTGTTAAGTTTATACCTATGAATCTCATTTTCTTTTGAGCAATTGCAAATGATGATGCATTTTAAATGTAAATTTCCAGGTCTTTATTGTTAGTATGTAAATTTTTGTGTGTTGATTTTTGTATCCTGCAACCTTAGTGAATTCATTTGTTGTGGGAGGTTTTTTTTTTTTTTTTTTGATATGAAGTCTTGCTCTGTTGCCCAGGCTGGAGTGCAGTGGTGCAATCTGGGCTCACCACAACCTCCGCCTCCTGGGTTCACGCCATTCTCCTGCCTCAGCCTCCTGAGTAGCTGGGACTACAGGTGCCCGCCACCATGCCTGGCTAATTTTTTGTATTTTTAGTAGAGACGGGGTTTCACTGCATTAGCCAGTATGGTCTCCTGGGAAAGCATTCAATATTTTGTCCTAAAGTTGTAGATTTTTTTGTAGATGCTATTTATTCAGTTGAGGAAGTCCATCTCCACCCCACTCCTTCCTAAGATGCTGAGATTTTTAATCTTGAATAGAGGTTGGGTTTTGTTAAATGCTTTTTTCTGGATCAACTGATGTGATTATATGATTTTTTTGCTTCAGCCTGTTAATATAACATTGATTTCTGAATGCTAAACCAGCTTTGCATACCTAGAGTAAAACCCAATTGGTCATGGCATATACTTCTTTGTGTACATTGTTGGATTACATTTGCTAATATTTTGTTGAGAATTTTTGTGTATAAGATCATGACAAGAATATGGATGAGTGTATCTCATATGTAATAATAGAGTATGAGTATGCTAGTATTTTGTTGAGGATTTCTGCCTCTAAGTATCATGAGAGATACTGGTTTGTAGGTAACATTTTTTGTACAGTATCTGGTTTTGGTGTCAGGATAATACCAGCCTCCATAAAATGAGTTCCCTTCTATTTCTGGATGAGAATGTGTAAAATAGGTTTAAATTCATCTTTAAATGTTCATTAGAATTGTTTGGTAAAACCATTTGAGCTTTATCTTTTTGGAGCTTTTGATTAGAAAATCAATTTTGGTAGTAGTTATAGGACTCTTCAGATTGTCTTTTTGACTGAGTTTTGGTAGTTTGTAGTTTTGAGGAGTTGATCTGTTTCTTTTAAGTTGAATTTATGAACTCAGAATTGTTCATAGTATTATTCCCATGTTATTCTTTTAATGTTAGCAAAATCTGTAGTGTTCTCTTTGTTTTCATTCCTGACACGATGATTTGTGTTTTCATGTCTGTGAGTCTTAGGTTTGTCAACTTAATTAATTAATTAATTAATTTTTTTTTTTTTTGAGACAGTCTTGTTTTGTCCCCCAGGCTGGAGTGCAGTGGCGTGATCTCGGCTCACTGCAACCTCCGGCTCCTGGGTTCAAGTGATTCTCCTGCCTCAGCCCCCGAGTAGCTGGGATTACAGGCACCCGTCTTCATGCCCGGCTAGTTTTTGTATTTTTAGTTGAGACGGGGCTCAGGCTGGAGTGCAGTGGCGCGATCTCGGCTCACTGCAACCTCCGGCTCCCGGGTTCAAGTGATTCTCCCGCCTCAGCCCCCGAGTAGCTGGGATTACAGGCACCCGCCATCATGCCTGGCTAGTTTTTGTATTTTTAGTTTAGACGGGGTTTCACCATGTTGGCCAAGCTGGTCTCGAACTCCTGACCTCTGGTGATCCACCCACCTTGGCTTCCCGAAGTGCTGGGATTACAGGTGTGAGCCACCACGCCCAGCAACTTTTATTTTATTTATTTATTTATTTATTTATTTATTTATTTATTTATTTATTTTAGAGACAGAGTCTCGCTCTGTCGCCCAGGCTGGAGTGCAGTGGCACGATCTCGGCTCATTGCAAACTCCGCCTCCTGGGTTTGCGCCATTCTCCTGCCTCAACCTCCCAAGTAGCTGGGACTACAGGTGCCTGCCACCACGCCTGGCTAATTTTTTTTATTTTTGCATTTTTAGTAGAGATGGGGTTTCACCGCGTTAGCCGGGATGGTCTCATCTCAATCTCCTGACCTCGTGATCTGCCCGCCTCGGCCTCCCAAAGTGCTGGGATTACAGACCATGAGCCACCGCTCTGGGCCAACTTTTATTTTTTTAAGAACCAACTTTTTATTGATTGCTTTTTTTTTTTTTTTTTATTCTGCTGTTCTCCTGGCTTCAATTTTATTGATTTCTTCTCTATTTCCTTCTTTCTGCTTGCTTTGGGTTTATTTGCTCTTTATATTTTCTAGGTTCTTGAGCTTGGAAGTTGGATTATTAATTTGAATCATTTCCTTTTCTCTGATGTAACAATTTGGTGCTATAAATTTACATTTCAGCACTACTTTAGCTGTGTCTCACATACTTTTGTATTTGTATTTTCATTTTGATTCAGTTCTGTGCATTTTAAAATTTCTTTGATCCATGGAGTATTTAGTAGTGTGTTAAGTTTCTAAGTATTTGGAGGGTTTTCTGTTTTCTTTCTATTATTACTTGCATTTTTTGTGTGTTTCTCATTCATCTGCTTTTTTTTTTTACCTTCTTATGGGTTATCTTAATATATTTTAGGATTCCATCTTGATTTTTAATGTTTTTGAATATATTTCTTTGTATAGATTTCTTAGTGGTTGCTCTGGATATTGCAGTATTCATATGTAACTTACCACTGTCTACTGGTATTGGTGTTTTACCACTTTCAGTTAAGCACAGAAACTTTTCTTCCACTTAGGTCCTTTTGCCCTCTTTACTTTAAAAATAAATTTTTTTTTTTTTTTTGAGACAGAGTCTGGCTCAGTCACCCAGGCTAGAGTGCAGTGGCTGGATTTCCGCTCACTGCAAGCTCCGCCTCCTGGGTTCATGCCATTCTCCTGCTTCAGCCTCCCGAGTAGCTGGGACTACTGGCACCTGCCACCACGCCCAGCTAATTTTTTTGTATTTTTTTTAGTAGAGACGGGGTTTCACTGTGTTAACCAGGATGGTCACGATCTCCTGACCTCGTGATCCGCCCGCCTCGGCCTCCCAAAGTGCTGGGATTACAGGCGTGAGTCACCGCGCCCGGCCAAAAATAAATTTTCTTAAGTGTACTTACATTCTCTACATACATTGAACAACACATCAGATGGTGTGATAAATTTTGCTTCAACCAGCAAATATGATTTAAGAACTCTTCCTTAGTAAGCAGAACTAAAAAAAGATAAAAAGAAACTCATGCGTAGTATGATAGTCTGTTATATTTACCTCTATTTTACCTATTCCAAAGTTCTTTTTTTTTTCCCTGAAGTTTCAGCATTCTTCCATTATCATTTCCTTTTTTTTTTTTTTTTTCAGACAGCTTCTTTAGCTGTTCTTTCAGGGTAGGTTTGCTAGCAAGAAATTCTTAGTTTTTCTGAGACTGTCTTATTTGCCTTCATTTCTGAAGAATATTTTGCTGTGTATAGAATTCACAGTGGACAGTTATTTTCTTTAAGTACTTGACAAGTGTTGTGCTATTTTTTTTTTTCCTGTCTGGTTTAGATGAGAAATTTGCTGTCATTTGAATTGGTGTTCCCCTATAAAGTAATGTATCATTTCTCTCTGGCTGTTTTCAAGATTTTTTTGTCTTTAGTTTTCAGAAGTTTAATTGTGATGTATTGGTGTGGGTGTCTTTTTTATTTGGGGTTTACTCACCTTTTTGTATCTTTAGCGTATTTCACCAAATTTGGGAAGTTTTCAGCCATTATATCTTTGAATACTTTTTCAGTCCTATTCTCTCTCATCTTCTGGGACTCTGAGAAGAGTCTTAGCTTTTTCGATTTTTGTCCATAGGTCCCTGAGGCTTTGTTCTTTTTTTTTTTTTTTTTAGTCTGTTTTCTCTCTTGTTTAGATTGACATAATTCTACTGATTGGTTCACTGACTCTGTCGTCTATCATTTCCACTCTTTTATTGAGCTCATTCAAAGAGTTTTTATTTTAGGTTTTTTTTTTTTTTTTGGTTTTATAATTTCCATTTGGTTCTTCTAAAATAACATTTGCTGAGATTTCTGTTTATTTGTTTTAAGAGCAGTTGCAATTGCTTGTTGAAGCGTTTTGTTGACTGCTTTAAAATCTTTATTTTTGTCAGGTAATTAAAAAATCTGATTTACCTCAGTATTGTGTCTGTTGATTGTTTCTCCTCATTCATAATATACTTTCCTGGTTTCTGGTATGGCATGAGATTTTCATTTGTACTCTGGACATTTTGGATATCATACATATTTTGAGAACTGTGCATCTTGTTCCTTTTTTCTTTTAAGAGACAGGGTCGTGATCAGTCATCCAGACTGGAGTGCAGTGATGTGATCATAGCTTGCTGTAACCTCAAACTCCTGGGCTCAAGTGATTCTCCTACCTTGGCCTGCTGAGTAACTAGGACAACAGGTGTGTGCCACCATGCCTGGCTAATTTTGTTTTTTTGTTTTTTTTGAGATAGGGTCTTGCTCTGTTGCCCAGGTTGGTCTTGAACTCTAGGACTTAAGTAATCCGCTGCTTCAGCCTCTTGAGTAGCAGGAGTCACAGGTGTGCACCACAGCACCTGGCCTATTCTTTTTTATACTAGGCAGTTCCCTTGTTGAAGTGTAGTGCAAGGGTTAGGTGGGTGTGTTCATTCAGCTTCTTGCTGGGTCCTGCTGATAATTACTGTGGAAAAAGTGGGGCACTAAGTCATATGGCCTTAATGCAGACTGGTGGGATGGAAGTTCAATTCCTCCCTTACCCTCACATCTTCCTAACAAAAGTTGGGCACCATTTTATGCCACCTTGTTGCCTCTGAGTAGGGGTATAAGATGAACTTTCTGACGGGCCATGCTGCCTCAGCAAGAGAGAAGTAGGGAGGCTATCTCACACTGCACTGATGCTGCAGGGTGAAGAAAAAGCTCCTTACCTCATACCACTTCCCCTGAGTTGATGCCAGGTGGGGAATGGAAGCTCAGCCCCCTCTGGGTACCACTGGCATTTGAGAATGGCTGAAATGGTTGTCAGCTACTCTGTCTTACACTGCTTCATTTAGCCTTGATACTGGGTGAATGTGGAGGTTCAGCTCTTCACTGGTTACCACTGATACCAGGGGTTGGGGCAGGGAGTAGAAAGCTGACTGACTCTAACTCACATCTCCTTGTTCAGTCTTGTTGATGGCTGGGTAGGGGTGCAGGTTCAGGTTCTTGCTGGGTCCTGTTGACACCAGGCCTGTGTGTGCAGGAGGGAGGTGGGAGTGGAGTGGTGGTGAAAGGTAGTGGTGACTAACTGCTTCACGCAGCTTTATTAAGCCTCCTTGCTAATGGGTGGTGGTGGAAGCCTAGCTTGCCCCTAGACCCCACTGACACTATCTTAAATGGGTGAGTCTGAACACCGCTTGCTCTTACTGGGTGGAGTATGGAAGATCAGCTCCTCTTTTAGGCTTGCCACTAACCCAACAGGGGAACTGGAGCACCCCTGTGTGGGGGATGGAAGATCAATTCCCTGTTTTGTCTTGCCAACACAACCCTGGTAGGGGCTCCAGTCCCACAGCCTGCTTTTGCTGGGTGGAGGGTGTAGGAGCACTTATCCACTCTGCCCTTCCAGTACCACCTGGTGCAAAGCACCACCTGCTTCTTCTGCTTGGTGGTGGTGGTGGGGGGGTGTTAGATTAGCTGTATGCTTGGCTCCACTGAAACTGCGGAGGGAGGGAGAGGGAGGGTGTGTGTGTGTGTGTGTGTGTGTGTGTGTGTGTTTGTTTGTTTTCCATTGGTATTTAGCTTGAGTAAGATGGGTTTTGCCAGAAAGGTTTCTTTGGTAAGCTTACCCTTTTATCTGCTTCTGCTTTGTGGTGGGGTGTGTGTGTGTTTAGATTAGTTGTATGCTTGGCTCCACTGAAACTGTGGAGGGAGGGGGAGGAAGGGAGGGTGTGTGTGTATGCGTGTGTGTGTGTGTGTGTGTGTGTGTGTGTGTGTGTGTGTTTTCCATTGGTATTTAGCTCAAGTAAGATGGGTTTTGCCAGAAAGGTTTCTTTTGGTAAGCTTACTCTTTTACCTGCTTCTGCTTTGTGGTGGGGGGTGTATGTGTTAGATTAGCTATATGCCCGGCTCCACTGAAACTGGAGGAGGGTGTGTGTGTATATGTTTTCTTTTGGTACTTAGCTGGAGTAGGATGGGTTTTGCCAGAAGGGTTTCCTTTGTTAAGCTTACCCTTTTCCCAGCCTTTTGACTAGGAGGAACAGGCTTTTCTTGGAATTTTTTTTTTCTCTGTGACAGTTGGTGATACTGTATTGGGGTCTTCTGAAGCAGCATCCTGTCTTGGAAATATGGGTGGCAATACGAAAACCCAGGGATCTCATTGCCTTATTACTCCTCAAATTATGAAGTCTTTAGGAAATCTGCTGCTTTCTTTCCACTTTTCAGATACTTTCTATGCTTGTTTGTTGTATTATGTTCAGGGTTTTTTAGTTGTTAAGAGGGAGGACCTGGGAAGAATGAAGCTATGGTACTCCATTTTGGTGGAACTGGAAGGCTTATAGTAATTCAATTTTGAATTATGAAAGTTTTGTCTAAAGATATTATGTCGTGAACAAAATAAGTCAAATTTAGGAGAATCTTGTGACAAAATCACAACATATCCTCATTTTAAAGCTGTTTCTATTAGGGCGTGACCCATAACTGTTATTTCGGGGATATGGTTTAAATAACTAGAAGGCTTACTTTTGAATATCAAATGCTTTCTGTCATATTCTTTAAAGGAAGTAGATATTTACATGCAAAGAAAGAAACTGAAAGATAAACTGGATTATAGCAGAATGTCACTGTTATGGTTTGCCATCAAACAGCAGTTACTCTTTAGTTTCCTATGCCAAATATACCAGTATAACATAACATTCTGCTCCTTTCAACATATTAAGGCCAGCCAAACAAAATTTTTTCCCCAAAATTCTTAAAATGCTTAAAATAGGCAAAGTGATTCAGAAGTTTTTAGGAGTAGGAAGGAGAGGCGGTACGTACAGATATGTTTCTGTATGAATTTCAAATGAATAAGCAAGGGAAAACTTAATAGGTAGGAGGCATTAGTCTTCCTTAGGCAGGGAATAATTATTATTTCAGCAATGTACATGTAGTAAAGTTCTACAATTTTAATTCATTCTAGCTCTAAAAATTCTATGATTTTATCCTTTTTTCTGTTCTTTTAAACTTGTTCCTGTACAATTTATAGACTTTTTTTCTGAGAAAAATCTTCCTGGAGAAAAGATTGTTAGGCCCTTCAATAATAGGGAGTTTCTCTTAAAATAAGTTTAGCCGTTTTGTTATTTAAGAAATGATTTGGCCGGGCGTGGTGGCTCACGCTTGTAATTGCAGCACTTTGGGAATCCGAGGCGGGCGGATCATGAGGTCAGGAGTTTGAGACCAGCCTGGCCAACACAGTGAAACCCCATCTCTACTAAAAATACAAAAATTAGCTGGGCGTGGTGGCAGGAGCCGGTAATCCCAGCTACTCGGGCGGCTGAGGCAGGAGAATCACCGGAACCTGGGAGGTGGAGATCGTGTCACTGCACTCCAGCCTGGGTGACAGAGCTAGACTTCGTCTCAAAAAAAGAAAGAAATGGTTTGTTTATTTTCTGTGTAATATGTTTAATAATAATATTCTGCATTTTTCTTTGATCCATTAGTTATTTTGGAGTGTTTAAAGTTTTTCATATATTTGTGAATTTCTCCAATTTGTTCCTGTTACTGATTTCTAATTTCACTACATTTTGGTCAGAGAGCATAGCTTTTAAAATTTTAATTCTTTTAAAATTATGAGGACGGCCAGGTGCAGTGGCTCACGCCTGTTATCCCAGCACTTTGGGAGGCCATGGCGGGCAGATCACTTGAGGGTCAGGAGTTTGAGACCAGCTTGGCCAACATGGTGAAACCCCATTTCTACTAAAATACAAAAATTAGCCAGGCGTAGTGGCAGGCACCTGTAATCTCAGCTGCTCGGGAGGCTGAGGCAGGAGAATTGCTTGAACCTGAGAGGCAGAGGTTGCAGTGAGCCGAGGTGACAGAGTGAGACTCCATCTCAAAAAAATATATATATATATATACGGGGACTTGTTTTAGTGGCCTAACGTGGTTTGTCACGGATAGTGTTCCATATACACTTGAGTAGAATGTGTATTCTGCTGTTGTTGCAGGGAGTATTCTATAGGTGGCTATTAAGTCTTGTTTTGTAGAGCTCTTGGAGTCTTCTATTTTCTTGTGATCTGCTGTCTGATTATTGAAAGTTAAGTATTGAAGCCTCCAACTAATGTTGAATTGTCTGTTTTTCCTCAATTCAGCTTTTGCTTGTATTTTGAGTTGTTTGTTTTTACCTGTTATATATTCTTGATAAATTGATCCTTTCATCATTATAGAATATTCTGTGTCCCTAGTAACAATTTTTGTCTCAAAGTGTATTTTAAAAATTAATAATTTTTGTGACTACATAGTATGTGTATATTCAAAGTTCATTTTGTATGATATTAGTATAGCCACCCAGCTCTATTTTGGTTATTGTTTGCATGGTACATATGTTTTACATCCTTTTAGTTTCAACCTATTTTTGTCCTTGAATCTAAAGTATGTCCTTTTTAGAAAGCATATAGTTGTGTTATGCCTTTAAAAAAATTCAGACTGGGTGTGGTGGCTCATGCCTGTAATCCCAGCACTTTGGGAGGCCGAGGCAGGCGGATCACCTGAGGTCAGGAGTTTGAGACCAGCCTGGCCAACATGGCAATACCCCTTCTCTGCTAAAAATACAAAAATTAGTTGGGTATGGTGGCGCACGCCTGTAGTCCCAGCTACTACTTGGGAGGCTGAGGCAGGAGAATCACTTGAACCTGGGAGGCGGAGGTTGCAGTGGCCAAAATTGTGCCACTGCACTCCAGCCTGGGCAGTGGAGTGAGACTCCATCTCAAAAAAACAAAAATGATTTCATTCTGTCGATCTTTGTCTTTTAATTGTAAGTGTTTATTTGCATTTTATGTGATGATTGATAAAGTAGGATTTACATCTGCCATTTTACTGTTTGTTTTCATCATATCATCATCTGTTGTTTTTGTTCTGTATTCTTCCATTTCTACCTTTTTTTTTTTGAGATGAAGTCTTGCTCTGTCGCCCAGGCTGGAGTGCAGTGGCATGATCTCAGCTCACTGCAACCTCCGCCTCCTGGGTTCAAGCGATTCTCCTGCCTCAGCCTCCGGAGTAGCTGGGATTACAGGCGTATGCCACCACACCTGGTTAATTTTTGTATTTTTAATGCAGATGGGATTTCACCATGTTGGCCAGGCTGGTCTTGAACTCCTGACCTCAGGTGATCCACCTGTCGGCCTCCCAAAGTGCTGGGATTATAGGCGTGAGCCACAGTGCCCGGCCTATTTACATTATCTTTTATATTTACCTGGTGTATCAATTTGTTCTGCTATGACAGAATACTACAGACTGGATAATTTATAAATAATAGAACTTTATTTCTCACAGTTCTGGGGATTGGGAAGTCCAAGATCAAGGCACTCCCAGATTTAGCATCTAGTGAAGGCTAGCTTTCTGTCTCCAAGATTGCTGCATCTTTATGTGACAAAAAGCAGTAGGGCAAAGGGATGAATAGCTTTCTCAGACCTCTTTTAGGTTATTAATCCCATTCATGAGGGCTTTGCTTTCATAAGTTAATCACCTCATAAAGGCCTTACCTCTTAATGCTATCACATTGGCGATTAAGTTTCAATATATTAATCTTGTAGGGACACATTAAGATCATTGCACCTGAGAATTACTTTTACTGGTACTCTTGTTTTTTCTTGTGAATTTTAGTTATTGTCTAGCACCCTTTCAACCTGGATGACTGCCTTTTGTATTTTCCTAGTGACAAATTCAGTTTTTGTTTATATAGTAATGTCTTAATTTCCCCTTTGTAATTAAGGATAGTTTTGCTGAATCTAGAATTCTTGGTTGACTGTTTTTTCCTTTCAACACTTTTACCACGTCATCCCATTGCCTTCTGGCCTCCACAGTGTTTGATGAGGATCGCTTGTATGTGATGAGTCACTTCTTTCGTGTTTTCAAGATTCTGTCATTGTCTTTTGACAGTTTGACTATAATGTGTCTCAGTGTAGAACTGTGAGTTTAATCTGTTTGGAATTCATTGAGCTTTTTGGACGTGAGATTAATTTTTTTTATTACATTTGGAAAACTTTCAGCCATTATTTCTTTAAATGTTTTTCCCCTCTCCTTCTTCTGTGACTTCAATTTTGCATGTTTTGGTAAACTTCATGGTGTTGCTCAGGTTTCTGAGACTCTGTTAATTTTTCTTTCTTATTTTCTTTCTGTTACTGGACTAGATAATCCCAGTTACCTCTCTTCAAGTTCCTGGATACTTCCTGCCTGTTCAAATATTCACTAGAATATTTGAGGCTGTCGAGCCTCTTTAGTGAATTCTTTATTTCAGTTATATTTTCTATTTTGTCCTATTAAAATATAATTTCTCTTTGTTGATATTCTTTATTCTTTGATATATTGACCTTATACTTTAGTTCTTGAGACATATTTTACTTTATGTAAAAGATGTTTTTCATATTTTTGTTTACTTGAGGTCATGTTTATAATAGCTGACTTTTAAAGTTTTGTCTAGTAAGCTCATCTGGGCTTTCCCTGGGATGGTTTCTGTTGATTGCTTTTTGTTCTATGGCTGGATCGTTTTATGTCTCACAATTTTTGGTTGAAAACTGGACGTTTTATTGTAATGTAGAAACTGAAAGCAGAAGGTTCCCCCTTTGCAGTATTGGCTTTTGTTTCTTGTAGTTGTTTCTTTGTTTAGTGACTTCTCTGAATTAATTTTTAAAAGTCTGTGTTCTTTGTTATGTATTACCACTGAATTCTCTCCTTGTTTATTTTAGTGAGTGACTTCCTCAACTGTCTGGGACCACTAAGTCTCCCAGTCTTTGCTGAAGGGTGTTCTGTGCAGTCAGTTGACAACATTGCCATAGCCATTATTTTGATTGTGCAGAGCCTCATGGTAAAGCGGAGGTGAGCACCTGGGGACTTCTCAGATTTTTCTGGGCGTGCACACAGCCCCTTATCTGTGCTTGGCTTTCTTGATTATTAGGTTTTTCATATTTTTGTTGGAGCTTTTAAAACTCTTACAGACATCTCAGTCTCCTGCTTTTCCTTCTGAAGTTTTTGGTTGGTCTTTTGTTTGTCTCTGTTGTTATCCACTGCTTTAGCCAGCCTCTAAGCTAAACAATTCCCTGGAATTCTTTTCAACAAATGGCCTTCAAGTAAAGGGATTTCACACTGGTGAACTCTATTTATGTGAAATACCTAGCTTTGCAAGAGGGATCTTCCAGGGAACATTTATACAGGTGAATTTTCTGGGAATGAGGCTTTGATGGAGCTTCAGCCTCATTGTACTCCCTCTGCTGGCTTTTCAGGCTGCTGGATTTTACCAGAAATCTATTATGCTGTTTGTTTTCAAGTCTACTGCAGAGCTGTATGGAGAAAATGGGACTAGGGCAAATTAAAAAGCCACAAAGCTTTCTGTTTTTACTAAGATTTGGCCATTTTTCTTCACTAAACGCTTCCAAGATTCCTGCAAGCCTTTGATTCGTTTCCAGAGTTATTATAAAGTTAATTCTGAAACTATTTGCTCGTTTTCTCATGGGAGAGGAATTGTTAGAGGTTCTTAAGCCACCATTTTTGCTGATGTCACGCTTCATTTCTTTCTGAAGGTTTTAAAATTATGATTTCACACAGATCTTTCAGTTCAAATTCAGGACTACAATGTTTTGTTATCAATTTTAAATATGTCTTTTCTTCTATGTTGAAAATTTTGGTTCTCAAAGACAACATAATGACTCAGTTTCTTTATCACATACTACATACATTAACAGTGTTGGAATAACAGTACCAGCACTACCATGAGCTACAGTCATCTGCCATGTAACAATATTTTGGTCAATGATGGTAAGGTTGGTTCCGTAAGATTATAATACCATATTTTTACTGTACCTTTTCTATGTTTAGATATGTTTAGACACAAATATTTACCACTGTGTTACATTGGTCTGTTGTATTCAGTACAGTAACATGCTGTGCCAGATTTGTAGCCTAGGTGTGTAGTAGGATATACCATCTAGGTTTGTGTAAGTATACTCTATTGTGTTTGCAGAGGGATGAAATTGCCTAATGTTGCATTTATCAGGATATATCCTGGTCTTAAGGGATGCATGACTGTACGTGGTTTCGAATTGTAGCTTGAGGATTTTTTTGTAGTTCTTTTATTTTTGTCCCTAAGGTATTTTCCACTGGGAGTATTTGGTTAAATTGCTGTTTTAAAGTTCTTTGAAATAATTGTTCTATGTCTGGTTACGTTATCAGCTGGCTACATAGTAAGGTTTGTTTGTTTCATTTTGCTTTTGGCTTTATAAAGATTGCTTTTTTAACTTCATAAAGATTGCTTTATTTATAGTGTAACATTTAAAATACATATATGATTGTGAAATATTTACATTGTTCCAGAACCAAATCTACCATCATATTCCCTCCTCAACCATTTAAAAACAAGTTTATGACTTTTTGTTTTAAAAATTAAAGGCAAATATATATATGCACACTTGTGCCTGTATATGTGGCTATAATTTTTTTTCCATTCTCTTTTACTTTGCTCAGGTAGTACAGTAGCTAATGCTTCTTGGGTTTGGTCTCTACAGACAATCATTCTTTGTACTCCTCTCAGTGATAGATTTTTACTCAAAAATCTTCTCAAAGAAAAGTAAAATTTGATGTCCCTCAACATTTGGGCCTCCATATAACTTTTAAACCCCATCCTCAATACTTCTCCTCCATCTTTTCTTTTTCTTTTTGGACACAGTCTTTCTCTGTAGCTCAGGCTGGAGTGCAGTGGTGCGGTCATGGCTGACTGCAGCCACACTCTCCCCGGATTAAGCTATCTTCCTGCCTCAGCCTCCTGAGTAGCTGAGACTACAGGCATGTACCACGCCTGGCTAATTTTTTTTAAATGTTTAGTAAAAATGAGGTCTCAGTGTGTTGCCCAAGGTGGTCTTGAACTCCTGAGCTCAAGTGATGCTCCCACCTCAGCCTCCCAAATTGCTGAGATTACAGGTGTGAGATACCGTGTATGGCCCTCCATCTTTTCTTCTTATTTTTATTTCAAGACCCTTAAATGGCTTCCTTTCTCTTTTTATGAAGCTTTCCCTTAATCGTTTAGAGGTAGAACCAATTCCTCTTTGTGCTTCCAGAATAAAAAAAAAAATTCATTCATCTTTTCTTTTTTAATTTTATTTTTAAATATTGTGTGTGTATATATATATGTAGAGAGAGAGACTGTATGTGTATGTGTGTGTATGTGTGTGTATATAGAGAGAGAGAGCGAGAGAGAGAGAGATGGGGTTTCGCCATGTTGCTCAGGCTGGTCTTCAACTCCTGTCCTCAAGTGAGCCCACCTCGGCCTCCCAGTGTTGGGATTATCGGCGTGAGCCACTGTGGTGCTGGGCCCATCTTTTCTTGTTAGGAGCAGCATTATTGATACATAATTTGCATAAAGTGTACAGTTCTAGTTTTACTTTTTAACTTCTCTTTCCACTTCCCATTCTTTAGCGCTTTCTTCTCTTATTTATCATCACATTTCACATTGCCAGTGCTGACATTTCTTCATTTTTCTATTTTAGACATTTTCCTACTATGGAAGGTAACCTTTCCCCCCCACTCTCTTCTCCATTTGCCCCTGCATTTCCCTTCTTGTCCATAGTGTTGTATCTTTGTGTTAAGTCAACATTTAGATTATTAAAACTACATAAATAAGTGCTGTTCACTATGGTTACTTTTCCTTTCCGTGTACTTTTTTTGAGGCATTAGTTGGCTTTTTGTTACTGTTTTAATTTTCTGTGTTTTCTCTCATATGTATGTAAGCCCCAATATGGTCAGACACATCAGGTAATTTATCAGTTCCTTTTTTTGTTGTTGTTGTTGAGATGGAGCTTCGCTCTTATTGCCCAGGCTGGAGTGCAGTGGTGCCATCTCGGCTGACTGCAACCTCTGCCTCCCGGGTTCAAGTAGTTCCCCTGCCTCAGCCTCTCAAGTAGCTGGGATTACAGGCGTGTGCCACCACGCCCGGCTAATTGTGTGTGTGTGTGTGTGTGTGTGGTTTTTTTTTTCTTTTTTTTTTTTTTTCTGAGACAGCGTCTTGTTCTGTCGCCCAGGCTGGAGTGCAGTGGCGCGATCCTGGCTCACTGCAACCTTCACTTCCCGTGTTCTCAAGTGATTCTCCTGTCTCAGCTTCTAGAGTAGCATGTATTTTTTTTAGTAGAGATGGGGTTTCACCATGTTGATCAGGCTGGTCTCGAACTCCTGACCTCAAGTGATCCACCCGTCTTGGCCTCCCAAAGTGCTGGGATTACAGGTGTGAGCCACTGCTTCTGGCCTCCATTTTTTTTTTTTTTTTTTTTTTTAAATTACCTGTATCCTTCAAAGGTGACTGTTGTTGTATAGGTCACTGGGCCTGTTGGACAGCTGGCATTCTGGGACTTTCACTCATCCTGGGGCTGCAAGAAGCATAAGCCTGGCAGCTAGTGTTTTGATAGCCAAACTGTGGAAGTGGACTTGGGCCATTCTGCACCCTGACCTGTGCTCAGTGTGTCTGTTTTAATTTAACATCTCTGTTGAGTTAAATGTTTAATTTTTTATTGGGGTAGGGGAAAAAGTAATAGAGGAGGGACAGTTCCCTGGTAGTGTTTTCTGGAGGAGTAGGTCTAGAGGACTAATTAGTTCTTATTCAGTTTTTTTCATTAGTCTTCAGTTCCTGCCATCATTTCTTTCCAGGATTCTGCTGCTTGAAAGGGCTTTTGTCTTGGTAGCTGAAATCTAAGACACTTGGCATTTCATGTACTTTTTGTGTTTCATAATTTATGGACCTGCTTTGTCTGTTGTTGTCTTCTCTCCCTTTCTGGTCTGGTTATCTTGTTGCATAACAAACCACCACCAATGCCACCATTTTATGATGTTCACAGGATTTGTGGGTCAGGAATTTGGAAAGGGTACAGCAGGGATATCTTCTTTTTGCTGTACGTGTTTGGGGCCTCAGTTGTGATGACTCATGGCAGAGAGAGACTGAAGGATGGCTTCATCACATGTGTGGCACCTTGGCAAGGATGTGTAGAAGGGTGGGCTCAGCTGTGTTGTCAACCCAAGGGCCTGTATATGGCCTTCCCAGCGTGGCTCGTTTAAGGTAGTTATATAGAAGCTCAGGGATCCAAGAGTGAGTGTGTAAGAGGACCAAGTAGAAAGCTGCATGTCCTTTTAAGTGACCTGTCGTCAGAAGTCACACAGTGTCATTTTTGCCCTAACCTGTTGGTCAAAGCCTACCCAGATTTTAGGAGAGGGGACAGAAACCCCATCTCTTGATGTGGAAGAGGCAAGGCCACACTGCAGATAAGGATGTGACATGGGGGATATTGTGGCCATTTTTAGGAAGTATTGGCTGTACTTCTAGGGTTGCTGTCTTTTAATTCCTTCACTTTCTTTTCAGAGATGTTGGAAGGGAACAGAGATAACTCCATTTTCAAATTGTCATGTTTAACCAGAAGTCCTTTGCGTGATGATTTTTGTTTTTAAGGAAACTTGTTGAAGTGTAACATGAACCCATTTGAGTTCACATATCACAAGTGTGCCATTCAGTGAATTATCACATAGTAAACACATTTGGTAAATGCTACCTCAAATCAGGAAGTGGAACAGTAGTAGCAATTTGAAGCATCTCTTGCCCCTTCATAGTTAATACCTTTATCTTCCTCCTCAAGGGTAACCATTACACCGACTTCTATCATCATAGATTAATTTTGTTTATTTTAGAATTTTATATAATGGAACCGTATAATAGGTACCCTTGTGTTTGGCTGCATTTGCTCAACAACACATTTGAGATTCATCCTTCTTATTCATCCTTGAGTTTGCAAAAACAGAAACATCATTTGTTTTTATTGCTGAATAGTATTCCGGCGTTCAAATACATGAATTTATCCCTTTTGCTGTTGATGTCTCCTATAGTGGTTAAAGGTCTCTGGATCTTCACTCTTATTTGTATTGTTTACTTGCATGGTGGGCACTTTAATAACTTTCATTTAATAGCTTATCTTTGACTTTGCTGCCACCCTTCACCCCCCCACCCAAATGATTATATTTTGATCATGTCTTCTATACTATATGGAGGACCTTTATTTACCATTCTCTGTTTTGAAATGTATAGTCACCTATAGATAACTATACATTTCAAAATACTAATACCGTAGAGTATTAGTCATCTATACATTTCTGTAATGTACTGTGAAATAAGAAGTAGGACAAAAAGGAAAGGTCTTTAAGTCAAAATGTATCTCACAGTCCAGTTACTGAGTTTATTTTTATTTCAGATGCTAGTCTAATAAAGATGGCTGCTTATTTGGTTTCCTTTCCCGTAGAAGATTAGAACATGTGGATTAGGAGAGAAGTTGTTGCATGCTAGTATACTGATGTCAAGTAGTGTAGTAGTGAAAAAAATTAGGTGACTGTGTGAAAAGAATAAAGGAGATAAAAGCATAGCACTTTGTGGCTGTTTAGGATCAATTCTTAATGGTCTTGTTTTTATTAAAATAACACAGTATAATAACCTTTTTTTCTTAATGATTATTTCGTTAAATTACACTTAATTTAACTGAAGAAATGGTTCAGTTGTGTTTTCTATACTCTGTTTAAGAAGACGAGGAAATCTTCAGGAGGTCATATTTGTGATGGCTTGAAGTAGCTATAATGGAAGCTTTCAGTCATCTTTGTCTTCCTAATTAGAATGTCTCATTCTCTAATATAGGAATGAAGGTTACTCTTATTTTTTTCATAAACTTTTTTTGAGACGAAGTCTCGCTCCTGTTACCCAGGCTGGAGTGCAGTGGCGTGATCTTGGTTCACTGCAACCTGCGCCTCCCGGGTTCAAGCAATTCTCCTGCCTCAGCCTCCGAGTAGCTGGGACTCACAGCCGTATGACACCATGCCCGGCTAATTTTTTTGTATTTTTAGTAGAGGCGGAGTTTTGTCATGTTGGCCAGGCTGGTCTGGAACTCCTGACCTCAAATGATCTGCCCGATTTGGCCTCATTTTTTTAATAAACTTTTTTTTTTCTTTAGCTTATTTATTTTTGCAAGTAGCTTCATTTTTTTTTTTTTTAATTGTTCATTCTTGGGTGTTTCTCGCAGAGGGGGATTTGGCAGGGTCATAGGACAGTAGTGGAGGGAAGGTCAGCAGATAAACAAGTGAGCAAAGGTCTCTGGTTTTCCTAGGCAGAGGACCCTGGGGCCTTCCACAGTGTTTGTGTCCCTGGGTATTTGAGATTAGGGAGTGGTGATGACTCTTAACGAGCATGCTGCCTTCAAGCATCTGTTTAACAAAGCACATCTTGCACCGACCTTAATCCATTTAACCCTGAGTGGACACAGCACATGTTTCAGAGAGCACCGGGTTGGGGGTAAGGTCATAGATCAACAGCATCCCAAGGCAGAAGAATTTTTCTTAGTACAGAACAAAATGGAGTCTCCTATGTCTACTTCTTTGTACACAGACACAGCAACAATCTGATTTTTCCATCCTTTCCCCACATTTACCCCTTTTCTATTCGACAAAACCGCCATCGTCATCATGGCCCGTTCTCAATGAGCTGTTGGGTACACCTCCCAGACGGGGTGGCGGCCGGGCAGAGGGGCTCCTCACTTCCCAGAAGGGGCAGCTGGGCAGAGGCGCCCCCACCTCCCGGACGGGGCGGCTGGCCGGGCGGGGGCTGGCCCCCACCTCCCTCCCGGACGGGGCGGCTGGCCGGGCGGGGGCTGCCCCCCACCTCCCGGACGGGGTGGCTGCCGGGCGGAGACACTCCTCACTTCCCGGACGGGGCGGCTGCCGGGCGGAGGGGCTCCTCACTTCTCAGATGGGGTGGCTGCTGGGCGGAGGGGCTCCTCACTTCTCAGACGGGGCGGCTGCCGGGCGGAGGGACTCCTCACTTCTCAGACGGGGTGGCCGGGCAGAGACGCTCCTCACCTCCCAGACAGGGTCGCGGCCGGGCAGAGGCGCTCCTCACATCCCAGACGGGGCGGCAGGGCAGAGACGCTCCCCACATCTCAGACGATGGGCGGCCAGGCAGAGACGCTCCTCACTTCCTGGACGGGATGGCGGCCGGGAAGAGGCGCTCCTGACTTCCCAGACTGGGCAGCCGGGCAGAGGGGCTCTTCACATCCCAGACGATGGGCGGCCAGGGAGAGACGCTCCTCACTTCCCAGATGGGGTGGCGGCTGGGCAGAGGCTGCAATCTCGGCACTTTGGGAGGCCAAGGCAGGCGGCTGGGAGGTGGAGGTTGTAGCGAGCCGAGATCACGCCACTGCACTCCAGCCTGGGCAACATTGAGCACTGAGTGAACGAGACTCCGTCTGCAATACCGGCACCTCGGGAGGCCGAGGCTGGCAGGTCACTCCGGGTTAGGAGCTGGAGACCAGCCCGGCCAACACAGCGAAACCCCGTCTCTACCAAAAAAATATGAAAACCAGTCAGGCGTGGCGGCGCGCGCCTGCAATCGCAGGCGCTTGGCAGGTTGAGGCAGGAGAATCAGGCAGGGAGGTTGCAGTGAGTAGAGATGGTGGCAATACAGTCCAGCTTTGGCTCAGCATCAGAGGGAGATCGTGGAAAGGAGGGAGAGGGAGAGAGGGGGAGAGGGGGAGAGGGGGAGGGAGAGGGAGAGGTTATAAACTTTTTTTTTGTTTGTTTGTTTTTTGAGACGAAGCCTTGCTCTCGTTGCCCAGGCTGGAGTGCAATGGCGAGATCTTGGCTCACTGCAACCTTCGCCTCCCAGGTTGAAGTGATTCTGCTGCCTCAGCCTCCCGAGTAGCTGGGACTACAGGCCATGCCACCATGCCCAGTCAGTTTTTTTGTATTTTTAGTAGAGACGGGTTTCTCCATGTTGGTCAGGCTGGTCTCGAACTCTCGACCTCAGGTGATCTGCCCACCTCGGCCTCCCAAAGTGCTGGAACTACAGGCATGAGCCACTGTTCCTGGCCTTTTCATAAACTTTTAAACAGTGTTTATTAGAATTTTCTTTTCCAATCATGACAGTGGGAAGAAATGCATTTTACATCATGATCCACTACACAACACACGTATGTTTTATAGTTGGAAATCCTTTTTCCATAAAACACTACTTGGGAAAAACAGTGCTTCAGAGTGCCAAGGTAATCTCTGTTCATTTGGATTATCATGAATTGCATATCATTGGAATCTAAATTAATGACCTACTGAACAGAGAGGGTTGAGCAAGACATTTGTGGAAAGGACTGTTGAGAAGAATATTTATATTAGGTCCAAAGGCCCTCAGTGAACCTGAGAGAGAATCAGCTTATTTTCCTTTTAAAATAGGTACTAAAATTTCAGAGCAGTTGTCTTTCCTAATAGCTTCGTCTACTTCTGATTGTCACACACTCTCTCTGCACTCCTGCATATTGATTATTATATTGTAACATTTTTACCATCTACCTGGAGGTGAATTAATACATGATTGTGCTAAGAATAAATATACCATGTGTTATACTCAAAGTTTGCAATGTTATCTGCCCTCATTGCTTTTAAGTAAGCCTTTTAATGCTCTAGGCCTTACTTTCCTCATCTGTAAAATAAGGATAATAGTACAGTTGATCTTTGGATAACAAGGGTTTGAACTGCGTGGGCCCACTTACATACGGATTTTCTTCCACACATGCTACCCCTGTAAACAGGAAGAGTAACTTCTCTTTCTGCTCCTCCTCCTCTTCAAAATGGAGATGACGATGATGAAGACCTTTATGGTGATCCACTTCCACTTAAGAATAGAAAATGTATTTTATGTTGCTTATGATTTTCTTAATAATATTTTCTTTTCTCTAGCTTATTGTAAGAATACAGTATATAATACATATACCAAATATGTGTTAACTGTTTTTTTTTTTTTTTTGAGACGGAGTTTTGCTGTTTGTTGCCCAGGCTGGAGTGCAGTGGTGTGATCTTGGCTCACTGCGACCTCCGCCTCCTGGGTTCGAGCGATTCTCCTGTCTCAGCCTCCCGAGTAAATGAGATTACAGGCACTCGCCACCACGTCTGGCTAATTTTTTGTATTTTTTTTTGTAGAGACTGGGTTTCACCATGTTGGCCAGGCTGGTCTCGAACTCCTGACCTCAGGTGATCTGCCCGTCTTGGCCTCCCAAAGTGCTGGGATTACAGACATGAGCCACCATGCCCGGCTGTGTTAACTGTTTATATTATTGGTAAGACTTCTGGTCAACAGTAGGCTATTAGTAGTGTGAGAAATGGGAAAGTTCTTCAAAGACTATAAAAAGTCACAATTTCTTACTATAAGATTGCTATCCACTATTTGTGTGTGTGCGTATATATATATATATGTATACGCACACACACATATATTCCATATCAGCTGTCCTAGCTTGCTCCAGCATGCCTGGGCAGAACTAGACAAGTCCCAGCCCATAGTGCATGCCATTCCTTATTTGAAGATGCGTCCTTAACTATCCCTGGACAACTTCCTTTTCTTTCTTTCTTCTGTTCCCCTTACCCAATTAAAAAAGTTTTAAACCAGTAGCCAATTGGGTAAAGTGTAAAATGTGAGATCCTATTTCAGCCAATGGAAACTGGACACAGCAGTAGGATCGATGTGTCAGGTTATAAATAACCCTGTCTCCTTTGTTTGGTGTGCTCTCCTGGCTGGACAGCTTATTTAGTAGCACCCTTTCTGCAGAAAGTAAAGCTCGCCTTTCTGAGAGATCATTTGTTCCCGCATTAATTCTTTTTTTGTGACACCAAAAACTTTATTCCCAACACTAGTTATGTTTTGGGGGAGTCAAAAGTTACATGTGAATTTTCAGCTGTGCTGGGGGGGTCAGCACGCCTATCTGCCTCGTTATTTAAGGGTCATTTGTACTTACCTCATAGGTTTCTGTGAATTAAATGAGCTAAGGCATGTAAAGTGCACCGTACTTAGCAGTGAGTAAATGTTGTTAATAATTAACAATTCTGATAATCTACTTGGTGAACAAGAATAGGATATGTTAGAATGATGTCTCATATATGTTAATGCAGAAGTTTTTTATGTCTCAGATAAGTTTTTTAGGTAGATAAAGGAAATGAAGGAAATGATTCCAGGAAGAGCACTGTGTCAGGAGTGAATCATAAGAAAGATGTTACTATTAGGTTGTGGATTCTAGGTATTCTTTGGGATGTTTCTTTTTCATATGTTCCCTGACCCTATCCCTAGACTTTGCCACTTACCAGCTGTGAGACTGTGGATAGGCTAAACTACTCATCAAAGTACCAGTTTTTGTAAGTTATTTACTTTTGGAAAAGAACCAGATGTAATTCAAAGTTTTCTCTGTAATACCACCCTTCTTATTTACATCTAGTATACTTTCTTGAGTGGTTGGACAAAGTGGGTGGCATTAGCAAAGCTAGCTTGGAACTGAGCATAATACTGGATACTCTTGTGAGAGTATGTCTGAAGTGAGAGCATTCTGTGGCCAAAAAGTCATACAGCCACTGTCTTACACTATTTTCTTGGGTTAATTTTTGACCCATAGTGGTAAACCTAGTTATGAGTCTGTCCTGCTACATTTACATTCTGTGTTGATAGAAACATTTGGAGCTGGCTAGGCTTTTCTAGAATCTAGACAACTGCTTTAGTCAGTTGTACATTGTGGATGTTTCCTAAGCATTGACCCTAGCTCCAAGGTTTTTTTCTTGCCATTAGTCATCTGCTTAGTATGAAAATTCTGTGAGCGGTGATAATACGGTGAATATGTAGAAAAATGGCTATTTATTTTAACCTTTTTTAATGTTGCTGGTCATAAGTTTATGTTGCTACTTCTTTTTAAATGAACAAGAACAGAAAGGGCACAAACTTTAGTTTTGGAAAATGTAGGTATTGTAGCTAAAAATGACATCCCTCTGTTCCAATGCTGGAAAAAGTGACATTTCTCCTTTTCTGAGACCTAGCCCAATTTATTGCTTGTGTTCATCACCCTCTGGTATTGTACACCAGTGGCTGGCCTTGGATCTGTATTCTCCCTGTTGGAGATAAGAAATATCTGCTGTCATGAAAAAACCTTTTATCGTAGAAGAGCGGTATAGCTAATCTGCTTTGTAATAGAGTAGTGTACGCTCTTATCCACGGTTTCACTTTGTGTGGTTTCAGTTGACCTGTGGTTAACTGCAGTCAGAAAATATTAAATGGAAAGTTCCAGAAACTCCTAAGTTTTAGATTGCACCCTTTTCCGAGTAGCATGATGAAATCTCGCACTGTCCTGCCTAGGAGGTGAATTATCCCTTTGTCCAGCTTATCTACACTGTTTACACTGCCCACTGTTAGTCCACTTAGTAGCCGTCTGAGTTATCAGATTGACCGTGGTGGTATCAAAGTGCTTGTGTTCAAGTAACCCTTATTTGACTTGATAATGACCCCAAAACACAAGAGAAGTGATGCTGTCAATTTGGATATGACAAAGATAAGCCATGAAGTGCTTCCTTTTAATGAACAGGAGAAAGTACTTAATAAGGAAAGAAAAAAATCATATACTGAAGTTCATCACAAGAAGAACGGTGAGTACAGTGCAATACAATATTTAGAGAGAAAGACCACATTGACATAACTTTTATCGTAATTTATTGTTATAATCGTTCTATTTTATTAGTTATTGTTAATCTATTGTGCCTAGTTTATAAGTTAAATGTTATAGGCATGTATGTATAGGAAAAAACATAATATATATAGGGTTCTGTACTATCTAAGGCTTTAGGCATTCACTGGGGTCTTGGAACATTTCCTCTGTGAATAAGGGGGACTACTGTATTTTTTGATGCCCTTTTTCCCATAAAGGACTGGGGCATCTTTCATAAACATATACTTAATGTTCATTGTTGACCAAGCAGGCTAGAAATAGTAAGTAGTCTTCTGTGGGGAGGAATACTTGTGCCCTTATGACTATATTCTGTCAAAAGGATAGATTTCATAGTAATGTTTGAGGGAAGAAAGAAAGGAAGGAAGGAAAGAAGGATCTGTAGCAATTTACTTATCAACACTGAACTTTTTGAATTAAATTTTCCCCCTATGCTTTGGCTGCCTTTACTGTTTAAAAGAGGAAAGAATGAGAAAGTTAAAGAAAAATGCAACTTTTTTCTTGCTAATGTGTGTTTCCTTAGACTGCCCATCCCTCACTGCTATATACTTTAGTAGTATACCATATTTTCTCTGTAGTGTCATGCATTTTTCTATTTTTTAAAAAATTATTTTTTTTATTTAGAGACCGGGTCTCACTGTCACCTAGGCTGGAGTGCAGTGGCGTGATCATGGCTCACTGCAGGCTCGACCTCCTAGGCTCAAGCAATCCTCCCACCTCAGCCTTCCTAGTAGCTGAGACTACAGGTGCACACTACAACACCTGACTAATTTTAAAATTTTTTGTAGGGACAGGGTCCCACTGTGTTGCCCAGGCTGATCTTGAACTCTTGGGCACAAGCGATCCTCCTGCCTCAGCCTCCCCAAAGTGTTGGGATTACAGGCTCATGAGCTATGGTGCCCAGCCCATCTTACCATTTTAAAATTTTGTCTTTCCTGCATGATTGCTATTTCTGTGATGACACGGTCTGTCTATATACTCACTTTTTTTTTTTTTTTAATTTAAGTAGAGTTGCGCTCTGTTGCCAGGCTAGAGTGCTGTGGCCCGATCTTGGCTCACTGCAACCTCCACCTCCCAGGTTCAAGCGATTCTCCTGCCTCAGCCTCCCTAGTAGCTGGAATTAACAGGCACGTGCCACCATCCCCGGCTAATATTTGTATTTTTAGTAGAGATAGGGTTTCACCATGTTTGCCAGGCTGGTCTCGAACTCTTGACCTCAAGTGATCTGCCTGCCTTGGCCTCCCAAAGTGCTGGGATTACAAGGGTGAGCCACGGAGCCCAGCCATATTTTCTTGATCATATTTGTGATAGCACAGTAGAATTGTCTCTTTAAGTGTCCCCACCCCTCAACACACACATACCTTGAGAGAGCATGAATCTTTTATCCCTTTATTTCCTCAGTTTGTTGTAATAACAGATGTGTTATATCTGTGTAGTAAATGTTCAAACGTAGGTTAAATTCTTTTTCATTTAAAAATGATGACAAGATTGTTACATTTTGGTCTTTTTCTGATGTGAGCTGTTTATATGAGTTGACCTTTTCTGTCCAGAAGGAATAGAAAACATACTGGCAATGTGGGTAGGTTTTATTCCTCCTGCGCTTCCTTATATGAGATAGGCAGAAGAAATAGTATAGTATTCTTATTTTACATATGAGGAAACAAAGGTTCAGAGTGTTTTAAGTGGCTTTACTAAGATCTCACAGTTACCAGATGGTGGAGCTGGAACTTAAACCAAGGTTTGTTAAGTTTTATTTTTAATCTGAGTTTTAAGGCTGTTATTGGGGTTTTATTTTTAATCTGAGTTTTAAAGCTTTTAGTTTAGTTAATAATGTCTAGTTAAGCAAAAGTATCGCATTCTTGCAATTCTTAAAATTAAGTTTGTCTTTAAAATTACATGTAAAGTTACATTTAAAGTTAAAGATATTAAAGTGTGAAACCTAAAGCACAACTGGACATATTCTTGAGTGAATGTAATGGCTTTTCTTTGTGACTTTACAGTGTCTTATACCAAGGGAAAGGTAATGGTAAAAAGATTTCTTCCAGAAACTGTGTTGGCTTGTTCAAACATCTCTGAATAAATTCCTTATGTGTATTTTTTCTACTACTAGAAAACAGATTTATAAATGTAATTTATAAATTAAATATAAACTGAACTAAACCCAGTACAAAAATTGAAAGTAACATTAATATGATGGGGATGATATTTTGTCATAATAAATCACTTGATTAATGTTAGAATTATGACAGCTCAAGTTTCTTTTGGCATGCCTTTACTACTGTGTGCTACTTCATTCACCTATAGATTTTTTTCCATTATAACTTGTATGAAACTCTTCTATTTTGCATATTATCTCTTTTGGGGAATGAACAATTTGCTACTAAAAGTGGCTTTGCTTGGCATCAGTATGGTTGTGAAGGTAAATATGGGTGTTAGCATTGCTTGTCAGTATTTTGATATAGGGTTATCAAAATATGAGAAGAATAAGAATGCTTTATCAGGCATTTCTAAATGATAGAAATTTAAAAATTAAAAATTTTTCCATAGTGAAAATTCTAGGAGAATACATGTGGACTCCAGTTTGAAAGACACTGCTTTATATAAGTGAAATCTCATTTTGATTCTATTAGTATAACAATACAGTTTTTGTGTGGTTGAAGAATTATCAGTTTGAACTAATAAACTAGAATAATTTGTAAGGAAATACAGTTGAAAGGTATCTCAGATTCCTGATTTAGCCATTAAATGTTATTTGCATATTAGGAAACAGGCTGTATATTTAGGTGAAAGTGGGAGAGGAAATGGCAGTTTACATGCTTACATTTTTCATGTTTACAAGTTTTACATGTTTACAAGTTTACAGTTTGCATGTGTGATTCATGATCTTTGCCATGATGTAACTCTTAAAAATGTCAAAGAGGTACGTCATAAACAGTAGAAATAAATATTCTGACAGATCATAAAAAGGGAGGGAGGATTGAAGTTTTCCTAGGTGTAGTATAATTTTTAAAATAGACTTTACTTTTGCAACAGTTTCAGATTTATAGAAAAATTAAAGACAGAGCATTCCTGCACTCAGTTTACCTTGTTATCAGTATCTTAGTATGATCTATTTGTTACTATTAATGAACCAATATTGATACTTTATTATTAGCTTAAAGTCCATAGTTTATTTAGGTTTCCTTAGTTTTTACTGTTCCAGGATCTCATCCAGGATACTACATTACATTGAGTTGTCATGTCTCTAGGCTCTTCTTGGCTGACATTTTCTCAGACTTTCCTTGTTTTTGATGACCTTAGTTTTGAGGAATACTGGTCAGGTGTATTAGATGCTCCTCTACTGGTATAGGTCTGATGTTCTGATGATGATTAGACTGGGGTTGCGAGTTTTTTGGAGGAAGATCACAGAAGTCAGGTAACAGTTTCATGTCATCAAAAATTATACTCTCCCTCCTTCAGGGCTAGAATAATACATACATTATTTGGGAGTTTTCTGAACAGGAGATTTGTCTTTTTTCCATTTATTAAAGCACTCCTTTAGCTTCATTCACAGATTTTGCTATATTGTGTTTTCATTTACATTCATTTCAATATATATCTTTTTTTTTTTTTTTTTGAGATGGGGTCCCGCTCTGTTGCCCAGGCTGGAGTGCAGTGGCACGATCTTGGCTCATTGCAACCTCCACTTCCCAGGTTCAAGCAATTCTCCTGTGTGCACCACCATGCCCAGCTAATTTATGTATTTTCAGTAGAGACGGGGTTTTACCATGTTGACCAGGCTGGTCTTGAACTCCTGACCTCAAGTGATCCACCCGCCTGGGCCTCCCAAAGTGCTGGGATTACAGGCGTGAGCCACCACGCCTGGCCCAATTTGCCTTTTGATTTCTGTTTTGACTGGTGGGTTTTTTAGCAGTACGTTAGGGGATTAGTATCCAGATATTTGGGGGGATTTCCAAAATACTATTGTTCAGGAAACATACTTTGTATGATTTGAATCTTTTCAAAAACTTTAAAAGTTACTTTATGGTCTAGCATATGGTCTATGTTGGTGAGTATTTTCTGTGCACCTGAAAAGAATGTATATTCTCCTGCAAAAATAGCAGTTAGTTCAACTTTGGTTGATTGTATTTCTCAAGTCTTCTCTATCCTACTGATTGTATATCTACTTCTAGTCTTTCTGTGCTGTCAGTTTTTGCTTAATGTATTTTCAAACTCATTTATTAGGTAGATGAGTGTTTAGGATTTATTATAGCCTCTTGATGGATTGATTCGTTTATAGTTAAAAAAATGGCCCTCTTTATCTCTGGTTATATTTTTTGCTCTGAAATTCACTGTGATATTAATACAGCTTCTCTAGTTTTCATTAATGTTAGCATAATATATCTTTTTACTTTTATTTTATTTTTTTTTTTTTGAGACGGAGTCTCGCTCTGTCGCCCAGGCTGGAGTGCAGTGGCGCAGTCTCCGCTCACTGCAAGCTCCGCCTCCCGGGTTCACGCCATTCTCCTGCCTCAGCCTCCCGAGTAGCTGGGACTACAGGCGCCCGTCACCACGCCTGGCTAATTTTTTGTAGTTTTGGTAGAGACAGGGTTTCACCATGTTAGAGGATGGTCTTGATCTCCTGACCTTGTGATCCGCCCACCTCGGCCTCCTAAAGTGCTGGGATTAGAGGCATGAGCCACTGTGCCTGGCCTACTTTTAACATTTTTGTGTCTTTATATTTAAAGAGAATTTCTTGTAGGGAGCAAGCATATAGTTAGGTCTTGCTTTCATGTCAAAACTGATGAACTCTGTCTTTTGCTTTTTAATTTTTTCTTTTTTTTCTTTTCTTTTTCTTTTTTTTTTTTTTTTAAGACAGAGTCTCGCTCTGTCGCCAGGCTGGAGTGCAGTGGTGTGATTTCGGCTCGCTGCAACCTCCGCCTCTCGGGTTCAAGCAATTCTCTTGCCTCAGCCTCCCCAGTAGCTGGGACTACAGGCGTGCACCACCATGCTCAGCTAATTTTTGTATTTTTAGTAGAGACAGGGTTTCACCATGTTGGCCAGGCTGTTCTCAAACTCCTAACCTTGTGATCTGCCTGCCTCGGCCTCCCAAAATGCTAGGATTACTTACAGGCGTGAGCCACTGTGCCCAGCTGCTTTTTAATTTTTTCAAAAACTCTTTTATTTTGAAATAGTTGTAGCTTCATAGGAAGTTGTGAAGAAATGGACGGGGAGGTCTTGTGCACTCTTTACCCAACTTTCCCCAATGTTAGCATCTTGCTTAACTACCGTACAATATCAAGATAAGGAGATTGACATTGGTAAAGCTTATTTAGATTTCACCAGGTATGTATGTACTTATTTGTGCGTGTTTGTATGGCTCTATGCAATTTTATTAGGTGTAGTTTCGTGTAACCACAACTACAGTCAAGATATTTAGCTGTACCATCACAAGATTCCTTTGTGCTGTCCCTTTATAGCCACACCAATCCCCACAATCATCTCCCCACCCCATACCTAACCTCTGGGAACCACCAATCTGATGGAATCATGTAGCATGTATTTTCTGATGGTGGCATAGTCTCCTTGTTGTTCATCCAAATTACTGTGTATATTAGTAGTCTGCTCTTATTGCTGAGTTATATTCTATGGTTATGGATATACCACATTTTGTTTAACTACTCATCCAATGAAGGACATTGGATAGCTGCCAATATTTGGCTCTTATAAATAAACTGCTCTGAATATTCACATGGAAGTTTCTGCTTGAAAATTTTTATTTCCCTGGAATGAAGGTTAACCCAGAATGTAATTGCTGGGTTGTATGGTGAGTCCGTTTTCAGTTTCAGAAGGAACTACAAAATGATCTTCCCCATTTTATATTCCTACTAACAATGTATGAGTGACCCAGTTTCCTTGTATACTTACTAGCATTTGTTATTATCACCGTTTTTTTAATTTTAGTCATTCTGATAAGTGTATGCTGATAAAATTCATTGTGTGTGCCTTTTTTTTTTTTTTTTTTTTTTTTTTTTTTTTTTTTAAGAGACAGAGCCTGTTGCCCAGGCTGGAGTTCAGTGGCACAGTCTTGGCTCACTGCAGCCTCTGCCTCCCGGGTTTAAGCAATTCTCCTGCCTCAGCCTCCCCTAGTAGCTGGGATTACAAGTGTGCACCACCATGCCCGGCTAATTTTTGTGTTTTTAGTAGAGGTGGGGTTTCGCCGTGTTGCCCAGGCTGGTCCAGGCTGGTCTTGAACTCCTGACCTCAGGCGATCTACTTGCCTCAGCCTCCCAAAGTACTGGGCCTCATTGTGATTTTAATTGTGCTTCTCTAATAGTGGATGAAGTTGGACACCTTTTCTTGTGCTTATTCTTGTGCTTATTCGCCATCTGTATATTTTATTCAGTAAAATGTCTGTTGATGTCTTTTGTCCATTTTCTAATTTGAATTTTTTTTTGTTTGTTTGAAACAGAGTCTTGCTCTGTCATCCAGGCTGGAGTGCAGTGGCGTGATCTCGGCTCACTGCAACCTCCGCATCCCGCGTTCAAGTGATTCTTATGCTTCAGCCTTCCGAGTAGCTGGGATTACAGGTGCCTGCCACCAGGCCCAGCTAAGTTTTGTGTTTTTAGTAGAGACAGAGTTTCGCCATGTTGGCCAGGCTGGTCTTGAATTCCTGACCTCAGGTGATCCTCCCGCCTCAGCCTCCCAAAGTGCTGGGATTACAGGCGTGAGCCACTGCGCCCGGCCTAATTTGAATATTCTTAAAATGTTGAGTTTTGAATGTTTTAAAATGTATTTTATATACTATTTTATATTTGCTCACATGTTTACTATTTCTATTGCTTTTTATGCCTTTATGTAGATTTAAATTTGCCTGAACGACTTTAAGTTCTTAAGTGAAGATTAGCTAGTAATTAATTTTTCTGTCTTTTGTCTGCAAAAGTTTAATTTTCTTCTTTATTTAAAAAAATATTTTGGCTTGTTATATAGAATTCTAGACTGACTTTTTTCTCTCCTGTATTCATAAAGATGGCACTCTACTGTTTTCTCCTTTGCATTGTTTTTGAGGTGAAGTTTTCTGTCATCCTTATTTTTGTTCCTCTGTAAGACGTCTCCTGCCTTTGACTGCTTTTGAGGTTTTCTCTTTATTGCTGGTGTTAAGTGATTTGGTTACGTTATGTGTTATGTGTTGTAGTTTCTTTTTCTTTTTGATGTTTATTGTGCTTGAGATCCGTTGAGCTCCTTGGGCATGTGGGTTTTAAATTTTCACCAAATTCGGAAAATTTTTTGCTCTTGTATCTTTAGATATTTTTCTGTGTCCTCTATACTTTCCACTCCTACCCCCATTCTAATTATATGTTTATCAGGATATCTGAAATTATTCTATCACTTACTGTGCTCTGTTCATTTTTTTTTCAGTCTTTTTCTTTGCTGTATCTCGTTGTGGATTATTTGTATTGCGATGTCTTCAAGTTCACTAATAATTTTTTTCTTTTGCAGTGTCTAATCTTCTCTGCTTTTTTTTTTTTTTTTTTTTTTTTGAGACAGAGTCTCGCTCTGTCGTCCAGGCTACAGTGCAGTGGTGTGATCTTGGCTTACTGCAGCCTACACTTCCCGGGTTTGAGCGATTCTCCTGCCTCAGCCTCCTGAGTAGCTGGGATTACAGGCATGCGCCATCATGCTATCATGCCTGGCTGATTGATTGATTGATTGATTTAAGACAGTCAGTCTCCCTCTGTGGCCCATGCTGGAGTGCAGTGATGCAATCTCGGCTCACTGCAACCTGTGCCTCCTGGGTTCAAGCAATTCTAATGCCTCAGCCTCCCAGGTAGCTGGGATTACAGGCATCTGCCACCTCGCCTGGCTAATTTTTGTATTTTTAGTGGAGACAGGGATTTGCCATGTTGGACAGGCTGGTCTCAAACTCCTGGCCTCAGGTGATCCATCTGCCACGGCCTCCCAAAGTGCTGGGATTACAGGCATGAGCCACTGTGCCCGGCCTAATCTCCTCTTTATTTCATCAGTATGTTTTTTACCTCAAGACATTGTAATTTTTGTTTAGGCTGTTTTATATTTTCCCTGTCTTTAACATGTTTATGTTTTTCTTTATTTTCTTGAGCATATGAAATACAGTTTGACTAATGCTGCTATTTGTATCATTTGTGATTAATTTTCTATTGGTTGATTTTTCTCATTGTGGGTTATAGTTTCTTGATTGTTCTCATGCCTGGTAACTTTTGTCTTTGATTCCTGGTACACACTCCTATTGTTCGCATCTACGTTCAATATTCCGGCCGCATGCTAGACAGTGAATTTTATCTCATTGCTTTCTGTATACTATCATTTCATTTTAAGTATTTTTGAACTCTGTTCTGGGATGCAGTTAAATCACTTGGAAATAGTTTGATGCTTTTGAGGCTTGCTTTTAATTATACAAGCCTCTGGGAATAGAGCAACCTTTAGTCTTGGGCTAATGTTGCCCAGTGTGGAGGCAATATCCTTGTTAGGATTCTTTGGGATGCCACTTGTATTACAAGTTTTTCCACTTTGACTTGTGGGAGCACAACTGTGTTTGGTACTGTTTGAGCCATGTGGATATTTCCAGTGTTTGTTTTAGGTGGTCCTGGGTGTGTGTGTGTGTGTGTGTGTGTGTGTGTGTGTGTGTGTGTCTATGTATTTATTTATTTATTGAAACAGGGTCTTGCCCTGTTGGCTGGAGTGCAGTGGCACGATCATGTCTCATTATAGCCTTTACCTTCCAAGCTCAAGCTGTGCTCCCACTTTGGCCTCCCAAATAGCTGGGACCACAGGTGTGTACCACCACGCCTGGCTAATTTTTAAATTTTTTGTAGCTATGGAGTCTCCCTATGTTGTCCAGGCTGATCTTGAACTCTTGACCTCAAGCGATCCTCCTGCCTTGGCCTCCCAAAGTGTTAGGATTACAGGCGTGAGCCACTGTGTCCAGCCAATAGTTTATTTTAAGAAAATTTTTAAATTTTTATGGGTACATAGTAGGTGTATATATGAGATACATTAGATATTTTGATACAGGCCTACAATGTGTAATCGTATCCGGGTTCTAGGGTAATTTCTTTACCTCCATGTACTCATTTATTTGATGATTCAAGAGGGAGCCTGTGTAGAATCTCCAGAGTCCTCTCTCTGCAGCCCCCTTCTCTCTCACTTCCTACCTTGTGAACTCTAAACTGCCTTGGCGTACCCAGATTCCCAGTCCATTTTTGCCTCTGGGAAACAGCACTTCTGCCTGCATTCCCCTACCTTTGCCTTTGTGTCGGAACTCTCTCCATGGAGTAAGCTGGAATAGTAGTAGGGGTCACCTCGTTTGTCTCTCCTCTCTCAGAGATCAATGCCTTGTATTGTGTCTACTGTCTGAAAATGTTGTTTCACATATTCTGCTTGGTTTATTGGTTAATGTGGCTGGGTAAATCTGGTTCCCTTTTGGCCAGAAGCAGAAAGCCTTGATAAATTTTTAGTTTTGATTTTGTGTTTATTTAAAATCTGCTTATGCAGAGTACTTTTTACAAAAGAACAATTCGTAATTTATCTTTACTGTAAGAATGTCCTATTTGCTTAAATTTGAATAGTATGTGACATAAAGTGTAATACACCATGAAAGGGAGTAAGGAATGGTATAGGAGTGAAAGGATCAAGTGCCACATAGAATAAGTGTCCTAATGCAAACACACGTATTTCTAGTTTTGAGGCCATAGATTTAATTGTGGTTAATGCATGCTTCCATTCTGGCTTTCCACCTACATTCCATGGAACACTGTTGTCCCACTAGATTTTAATTGGTTTTTACAACAAACAGGGTTTCATGGACCACATGTATTTAGGACATTTCAGAGTAACGAAAATTAAATTTCGATTGCAGTGCTTTTCAAAATTAGTAATACACTAATGAATTCTGTGAATCACCAGTGAAACAGTGTAGAGTTATCCAATCACTGGACTTCAGTGATCCTTTTCTGGAAATTCTTTAGAGGTAGGTTGTTATTAAGTGTTTAAGGATCTTTCCCTCCCTCCCTCCCTCCCTTCCTTGTTTTGCAGCAGAGTCTCACTCTGTTGCCCAGGCTGGAGTGCAGTGACATGATCCCAGCTCACTGCAGCCTCCATCTCCTGGGTTCAAGCGATTCTCGTGCCTCAGTCTCCCAAGTAGCTGGGACTACAGGCTCACGTGCTACCATGCCTGGCTAATTTTTGTATTTTTACTAGAGACAGGGTTTGGTCATGTTCGCCAAGCTGGTCTTGAACTCCTGGCCTCAAGTGATATGTTCGCCTCGGCCTCCCGAAGTGCTGGGGTTGATTGCGGGTGTGAACCACCACTCCCGGCCAAGGATGTTTTAATACTGTTTAAATAAGATGTATTTAATTATCATGGGTTACTTACCTAAGCAGATTCAAGAGTTCATATATTTAGTAAGCCTACTGATTCCTCTTGATGGCTGTTCAGGCTCCTTTCAGTCTTCTGTTAGTATAATCTTACATGTTATTTTATGAAATGCATACATTTATATATAGGATGAATTCTTAGAATTGCTTGATTAAAGGAGGATGATACGTATAATAGGACCATACATATATATGCATGCATTTGTATTTTTGATAGATATTGACACTTTTTCTCCATTGAAATTATGTCATTTTGTTGTTACACCCCTTTGAAAGCCTCTGTTTAGAGACATTTGATAAATATTCTCTAGTTGCCCTCTAGTATTATTCATTTGTTCTCCTACCACCTGTGTTTGAGTGTCTGCTTACCGTTCCTACCAAACTGTTTATTTCCATTTCTACCTAATAAGTTTTGAGGCAGTTTAGAATAGTAATGAAACATGTGGACTCTGGAGTTGTCTTTTTCCAATCCTTACTTGGCCAGTAATTGTGTCTCGGTTTCCCAGTCTGTAAAATGAGAGAATAAATAGTTACCTTGCGCAAGGGCTGTTGTAATTAAATGAATTAATACATATGTAGCACTTAGTGTCTAGCTTATAATAGATGCCATGTAAGTATTGTCTATTATCATTGCATTTTAAAATTTCACTTACAGGGCTGCCTCCCACCCCCGTCATATTTACTGGCCAGTAATGTTTCTTTTTCTGTGAGTTGCAGTTAGTCTTTTCTTTAAATGTTAGCAAAGTAGTACATGCATATAGTTTAGAGTCAAAAAAATCCTATAAAGTTTACAAAAAGGGAGCCCTTATCTCCCTTCAGTAGAGACGCAACCTTCCTTTTTTATTTCCTGAATATTTTCAATATGCAGTTGGTTGAGTCCATGGATGCAAAACCCATTGATACGGAGGGAAAACTATATATAAAACAATAGCAATCTGAACATCAAATGACTAAAGGATAACATTATAGCTGCCTGAAGCTGCAGTGTTGGCAGGGGCAATCATAAGACTAGCTGGAGATTTTACTTGGTAATCTGGGGAATGGAACAGCCATAGTAGACCTTGATAAGCTCCCACATATTCATGGGTGTCTGGAGAGCTGCACATGCTCAGGAGAGAGCAGAGAGGCCTCCAGCTGTCTACTCACCTGGCTCAATGTGCAGCTTTGCTCAAGCAGAAAGTAGAAGTCAGAACTGATTCATAAGCCACCTGAACTTTGAGTGGGGTCCAAACCAACACAGAGGGAGATGCTTTGGTAAAGGACAGAAGCCTTACTGGCACAATATGTTTAAACATAACCTCTTATTTATCATTAGCCGGTCACCAAACTATACTGACCTAGGAGTGACTTCTAGAAAGCCAAGCTTAAAAATAAAAATTGAGGAAAAAGTAAAAAACAGAAGACAACTAACCAGAGACATCAGTGGTCATACACTATTGAGAAGACTATAGAAATAGTCCAGGCAAGTCTGTAAACAAACAGCAACCACAATAATCTGGGAGGTGTCAGGAGTCAGAATCTCGAGTTGTTATATTATGGAAAATGTACAATTTCAACAAAAGTTTTCGAGCCATGCAAAGAAACAGACTGAAAAAAAGCCTAGGGGACTATAAAGGAGACTAAAATGACAAGACAATACAATGCAAAACATAATTCCTAAAATGATTCTGTATTTAAAATACAACAGCTATAAAGAACACTATGGGAGAGTGAAGAAATTTTAATATAGGCTACATAGTAGATAACAGTATAGTCAATGTTAAATTTCTGAAAAGTGATAACTACATTGTGGTTATTTTGGACAATGCCCTTGTTCTTAGGAAATGCATGCTGGAGTACGTAGGTAACTTTCAAGTGAATTAGTAAAATAGAGAGGGAGTGTGTGCACACATGTGGCAAAATGTTAACAATTGGTGAATCTAGTGTATTACAGTTCCTTGTACTATCTTTTCAACTTTTCTGATGGCTTGATATTTTTCAAAATTAAAAATATCAGAAACAAACATCCGACGATGGGGGTTTAATGAGATTCCAGTATGTAAAATATTCTAGAATGGCTGAAAATAATAAAATAGTAATATTTTTGATATCGGAGAGACCTTCAAGCAATGTATTAAAAAGGCAAGCTATTGAACATTGTTTACATTTTGTAAAAGCAGATACAACCGCAAACACATGCAGAAGCACTGGGACAAACTTTAACAGAAATTGATAATAATAAGGAGACGGGGAAAAGCTTTTGTTTTTTTGTTTCACATTATAGCTTTCTTCACTATTTGAATTTTCTACACATGTGCTACCTACCTTTTTATGTCAGCAGCAGTTATCTGGGTGGTAGTTGGGGGGCATTTTTTGTTTACTTTATACTTACGGGAATAAAAGAGAAAAGAAAAAGGAAGAGTGGATAAAGGGAATTCAGCAAACCTCAAATGCACTTCTTAGTGAATACTTTCAAATACTTGTTCTATGCTTTCAGTACTATAACCTTCAAAGTCATTTTACTATATATTTTTTTGAGACGGAGTGTCGCTCTGTCACCAGGCTGGAGTGCAGTGGCGCGAACTTGGCTCACTACAACGTCTGCCTCCTGGGTTCGAGTGATTCTCCTACCTCAGCCTCCCGAGTAGCTGAGACTACAGGTGCGCGCCACCACACCCAGCTAATTTTTTGTATTTTTAGTAGAGACAGGGTTTTACCATCTTGGCCGGGATGGTCTCAATCTCTTGACCTTGTGATCCACCCGCCTTGGCCTCCCAAAGTGCTGGGATAAGTCATTTTACTATGTTTTAAAAAGAAATGTCTAAGGGACTTTTTTTTTTTTTTTTTTCTTTGAAAGGGGTTGGGGAGATATTGTCATTGTTTTAAGTTCCTCTGTTTTGGAATTTGCTTCTCTCTGCCATTCTCAAGCAACCACTGATTGGCTTTCTACCACGTTAGATTAGTTTGCATTTTCTAAAGTTTTATTTAAATGGAATCATACAGTATGTATTCTTTTTGTCTGGCTTCTTTCAGCATAATTTATGAGATTCAGGCATGTTGTGTGCATCAATAATTTATTCCCCTTTATTGCTAAGTAGTAATTGAGCATATGGATATACCACAGATTATTCAGTTATTGATAGGTTGTTTCCAGTTTTTGGCTATTAAAAGAAAGCTGCTATGAACATTCTTGTATAAGTCTTTGTATGGACACGTATTTGTTTTTCTTTGGGTAAATACCTAGGAGTGGAGTGGTTGGATTGTATGGTGGGTATATGTTTAACTGAATAAACTCCCAAACTACTTTCTAAAGTGGTTGTACCATTTTAAATGCATTTCTACCAGCAGTGTATGAGAGTTCCAATTCTTCTACATTCTTGCCAACATTTGGTATGATTACTCTTTTTTAGACACTTTTTTTTTTTAACCTTTTAAGCTCAGGGGTACATGTACAGGATGTGTAGGTTTGTTACATAGGTAAACGTGTCATTGGGGCTGGTTGTACAGATTATTTCATTACCCAGGTGTTACACCTAGTATCGATTAGTTATTTTTTCTGCTTCCGTCCCTCCAATTTTAGACATTCTAATGTGTGGTGTAGTAGTATCTCATCCTCATTTTGGTTTTAATTTGCATTACCCCTTGATGATGAGTGGTTTTTCATGTGCTTATCTGTCATTTGTATATCTTCTTTGGTGAGTACCTATTCAAATATTCTGCTTACTTTATAAAAATTATTTTTTTTCCTTTTTCCCCCTATTTTGAGAGTTCTTTATATATTCTAGATATAAGTGCTTGATCAGATAGATGCTTTGCAAATATTTTCTTCAGTTTGTGGCTTTGCTGTCATTCTCTTAACAGTATAATTTTTAAATTTTGATAAAGTCTAATTTATCATTTTTTCTCTGATGTATTGTGCTTTTGTGTTGAAACAGAATATTAGTTTTTGTTTAGAATTCTATTTTTATAAATTTGATATTTTGTTCTAAACCTCCTGTAGATGAAAAGTACCATTTCACAAGTGAGACAGGTAATAGGCTTCTCTAAGTAGCTATATTCAGGATTTCACTATAGGAACTCTACCTTTTTACATGTTCTGTAAATTTTGGTTCATTGTCTGAAAAGGGTTGTTCTATTCAAGATATACTCTTATTAAAATGTATTGGTTCTGTATTTGCCACAGTGCAGTTTACTACATGGTATCTTATAATTTACTCTTATTTGGAATTATACAAAATGATTTTCAGGGGTATGAAATAGTGTTAATTAAAGCTATTTTTAAAGTATTTTGGTTAAGTTGAAAGATACGCACTTTTAAAAATACATATGACTGTAGGTGTTCATCTTTTGAAGCAATCTGAAAAATTATGGATAATCTCTTATGTACCTGGAATTAAAACAAATGCCACAAGCATGTATAACAAATGTAATACTAAACAGAAAAGTTTCTATCCCCATACCTCCAGTCTGAATAATATATGCCACCTTTACATTTGAATTTTTAATACTTTATTTTCTTATCTGAGGACCATCCCTCCCCTCCTTCATGTTTTGACCCTCTGCCTTATAAGCAGAAGACATTTAAAAAATTGATCTTATCCAACAACCCCACTTCTGTGTATATGTTCAAAAGAGTTCAAAGCAAGATCTCTATTCTACTTTTTTTTTCTTTTTTTGGAGACAGAGTCTCATTCACTCCGTCACCCAGGCTGGAGTGCAAGGCTCACTGCAACCTCCGCCTCCCGGGTTGAAGAGATTCTCCTGCCTCAGCCTCCTGAGTAGGTGGGACTACAGGCACGCACCACCATGCCTGGCCAATTTTTTGTATCTTTTTTTAGTAGAGACGGGGTTTCACCATGTTGGCCAGGCTGGTCTCGAACTCCTGACTTCAGGTGATCTGCCTGCCTCGGCCTCCCAAAGTGAAGTGCTGGGAATACCGGCGTGAACTACACACCCGGCCTCCAAAGCAGGATCTCAAAGAGGTATTAATGTACCTATGTTCATTGTGACATTATTCAAAACAGCCAAGAGATGGAAACATCCCAAATGAGCATCAGCAGATGTGAATGGATAAGGAAAACGTGGCATATACATACAGTGAAATATTATGCAGCCCTTATAAGGAAATCCTGTCACATGCTACAGCATGGATGAACCTTGAGGACGTTATCCTAGATGAAATATGCCAGTCATAAAAGGACAAATACTGTATGGTTCTACTCATATGAAGCATCTAAAGTAGTCAAAATCATAGAAACAGGAAGTAGAAAGGTAGGTGTCAAGGGCTGGGGGGAGTTGTAAGAGAGGATTAGTGTTTGATGTGTATAGAATTTTACTTTTTCAAGTTAAAGTTCTAGAGATCTGTTGCGTAACAATGAATATACTTACACTGCTGAATTGCACACTTAAAAATGGTTAAGATTGTAAATTTAATATTAACAGGTTTTTAAAAATCACAATTAAATGATACAGTGTGTCTGAGAATCCTATTTTAAAAATATCATCTTATTTGGTGTTCTTTTAGTTGGGGAACCTTGGAATCGAGAAATGGATGCCTGCTTGAACCTGCTGATTTGTCTTGAACTGAAGAGCTTGCTTGAATATTCCTGTGATATCTTTTAGATCATTGCTGTTTTAGCTAGATTGCTGGTCCTGATTGCTCTAGGTAGCCTTTTTTTTTTTTTTTTTTTTTTTTTTTTAAGATGGAGTCTCGCTCTGTCTTCCAGGCTAGAGTGCAGGGGTGTGATCTCGGCTTACTGCAACCTCCACCTCCCAGGTTTAAGCAATCCTCCTGCCTCAGCCTCCCAAGTAGCTAAGACTACAGGAGTGTCCCACCACACCTGGATAATTTTTGTATTTTTAGTAGAGATGGTGGTGGGGTGGGGGGTGGTCTCACCATGTTGGCCAGGCCGGTCTTCAACTCCTGACCTCAGGTGGTCCGCCTGCCTGGGCCTCCCAGAGTGCTGGGATTACAGGTTTGAGCCACCACGCCTGGCCATCTACGTAGCCTTTTGCTATTATTATTTGTGTTCCAATGATATTTAGGCATGTGGCAGGTTGCTTATATTTTTCTTATATCTTAGTTGACTTTTAAAAAGCAACATAATTCATGATAGACTATGCTTGCATTCTTTAAAAACTTTTTTCTCCTTTCAGTTTCTTTGACATACCAAGGTCTCTTGATTTTTCACTTAACTGCCCTTTCTTTTTCTACCTACTTATTTCACTTAGTCCCACAGCTTTCTCCCCATTTAATTGTAAATATTTATTAAGCCCCTTATTCACATGTCTTATCTATGTATTGTTTTTCCTAATTTTTTTAAATTAAGAAAATGCTGGTACAGAATTTAAAAAACAAACCTGGAGTGGTTCTATGAGACTTATCGTGAAAAACAGCAGTTTTTCGTAGTCTCAGAGGTGCTACCTTCAATGCATAGCTGTTACTTTGGTATTTGCTTCTGTATTTCTTTTTTCTTTCTTTTTTTTTTTTTGAGATGGAGTTTCGCTCTTGTTGCCCAGGCTGGAGTGTAATGGTGTGATCTCGGCTCACTGCAACCTCTGCCTCCCGGGTTCAAGGGATTCTCCTGTCTCAGCCTCCCGAGTAGCTGGGATTACAGACATGCACCACCACGTCCGGCTAATTTTTTTATTTTTAGTAGAGACGGGGCTTCACCATGTTGGCCAGGCTGGTCTCGAAATCCTGACCTCGTGATCTGCCCACCTCTGCCTCCCAAAGTGCTGGGATTACAGGCGTGAGCCATTGCTCCCTGCCTTCCCTCCATATTTCTAGATAATGTGCTTATAATGCTGTTTCTGTGTCCTTCTCTTCCCTCACAGTTTATGTTGATTTTTTTTTTTTTTTTTTTTTTTTTGAGACGGAGTCTCACTCTGTCGCCCAGGCTGGAGTGCAGTGGCGTGATCTCGGCTCACTGCAACCTCCGCCTCCTGGGTTCAAGCGATTGTCCTGCCTCAGCCTCGCAAGTAGCTGGGACTGACTACAGGCGCCTGCCACCACGCCCGGCTAATTTTTTGTGTGTTTTTAGTGAAGACAGGGTTACGCTATGTTGGCCAGGCTGGTCTTGAACTCCTGACCTCATGATCCGCTAGTCTCAGCCTCCCAAAGTGCTGGATTTACAGGCGTGAGCTACTGCGCCTGGCCGATGTTTTTGTTTGTTTGTTTTTGAGACGAAGTATTGCTCTGTCGCCCAGGCTGGAGTCTAGTGATGCAATCTCGGCTCACTGCAACCTCTGCCTTCTGGATTCAAGTGATTCTCGTGCCTCAGCCTCCCAAGTAGTTGGGACTATAGGTGCCCACCACCATGCCTGGCTAATTCTGGTAGTTTTAGTAGAGATGGGGTTTCACCATGTTTGCCAGGCTGGTCTTGAGCTCCTGGCTTCAAGTGATCCGCCTACCTCTGCCTTCCAAAGTGCTGGGATTACAGGCGTGAGCCACCGTGCCTGGCCTTTGCTTTCTATTATAAAGGATAATGTCGATATTTTAAAATCATATTTTCCCATTTCTGTATCTTTTCAGTATAACAGCTTTAGTTAAATAAACAATGTTTACTATGTTATTGATGTTTCTAGTTAATAAGCCAAGAAATATTAAGATGTCTGTTTACTTTAAATAATTTCCCTAATGCTAATCGCCTTTTATCATTTTATTGTTTTCTATAGGTTCCTATCACAAATTCTTGCCCAACAACTGTAAGAGTGCTTCTGGATATTTTTCCTTACTTTTGAAATATATAATCTATCAGTTCTGGTGAACTTCCTCATAATCCTTCCAGGTTCCCTCTTTGCTTTATATTTGGCATGCCATCATCTTTAGGGGAATGGGGCTTCACTATTGACTAGTGTCGAGCTCTGTTTCTTGGATGCTTTGTTTTTCTGTGTTCTTCTACCCTCTTGATTGAGAGTTTGTCTGGTATTAAGTTGGAAATAATTTTCCTTCAAAATTTTGAAATTACTGTTCTTTGTCTTCTGTGTTTGGGGTGGGCCATTTTGTATGTAATATGATTTTTATTTTAACTTTCTTCCTCCTCCAGTTTTAGGATTGTATCTATACCTGGTATTCTGAAAAATCATGGTAATGTGCCTTGGTCTGTCTGGAAACTTTCGTTCCTCCGGTCTGGGAAATGTATGTTGGATTAAGCTTTTCATTATTTGGTGTTAACTTCATGGGAAAAAATTAGGTTCTACTCTTTATTACCTATATCTGTTTGGTGAAATTACCAGTAGATAGCCTACGCCCATTAGAGGAATTTCTGATGATTTAGAATGGCAACCCTCCATGTGACTTGGGGATAGATCTATGAATGAGAATTAGAGAGAAGGGGAGGTGATAGAGGCATACATGTTAGGGGTGGTGGTATGATATGAAGCAAGTGATTATGTAAATGTTAGAATTCTAGATAGGAGTAGATCCTATATAGATGAGTCAGGAAAAAAGAATCATTTTGGCATATTAGGCTTTATAAACCAATGCATGGAGCTAAGAAAAAAATGATATGTCTAGGGAACTGTTAAAGGGAAAGCAAGGATTTTGTAAGGGTGTTCGGTAGTGTTATATCACGGAGGTCCTTGGCATTTTCTCTTATTGTGGTGCAGGCCAGTAGTTCTCCATTGTTTTTACCCCCCTCTATTAGGATACATGCAGTACTTACTTGGCCTTTTCTGGGATTATGCACAATCCTAGAAAGCCAGGTCTTTCATTTAATGAAACATTCAAGAGGGTGATGTTATAGTGAATGCATACATATGTACACCTTAGTCGAAGTGATTTGTGGTACAGCATTTAAAATGTGTTCTTAAAGAAATCCGAAAATTGGTTTTGGAAAGAGCTAAATACACATACTTCTAGTAAGGCTTAGGGAGAGGGCAAAAGGGGAGCATAAATATAAAATATCAAGAATGAGAAAGGGATATATACACAGTTATAAATAGAATATGATGTACAGCCAAACTGTAATTAACTTCAGAGTCTTGATGAAATAGGTGGGTGGTGACAACAATACAAATTGTGAATTGTGATTCATAAAGTTCACGGTGGCGATGGGTACAAGTTTTCAAAAATTCTGATTTTTCCTTAAAATCTTAAATTATGGTATGTATTCCTTTAATTCTTACAATAATCCTTTGGGGTAGTTGCTATAAAATCTTCCTGTTTTATAAAGCACAAAGAGATTAAGTGACTTGCCCAAGGCCAAACAGTACGAAGCTAAAATTCAAAACCTAGCCCGTCAGGTTTCAGAGTCTATCTACTACACTTAGCTCTCATGGCATTAAAAAAGGCAAAGCATTTGGATACTTTGGCACTATAAATATCATTAGTAACTGCAGTTGTCCGCTAGGGAACTCTAGGCTAAATAGTCATTCAGACAAGTAAGACCTGATCAGGTCGCGCTTGGCATCATATTGACATAGAAGGATATTGCGCAGGAAACAGCATGCCAGCAGAGCAATGCCTTGCTCTTGCAGGATTCCTGGGGCTTATGTTTGGTCCATGAGTGACAGCTCAGGTATGTGAGAATGAGAATCACAAAGGTGGTTGCAGAGCTACTCTGGTGTATTAGTTTCCTCCTGTGGCTTCTGTAACAGATAACTATAAACTGGGTGATTGAAAACACAGAAATTTATTCTTTCACAGTTGTAAAGGCTAAAAGTTTGAAATAAATGTGTTGGCAGGGCCATATTCCTGGAGGCTCCAGTGGAGAATCAGTTCCTTGCCTTTTTCCACCTTCTAGTGGCTGGTCTTAACATCACTGCCTACTTTGTGTGCCTGAAAACTCCTGCTATCTTATAAAAGGACACATACGATTGTATTTGGGGCCCACCCAGATAATGCAGGACAAGCGCCTCCTTTCAGGATCCTTATCTTAATCCCATCTTTTTACCAGATAAGGTAATATTTTTTTTTTCAGCCTACCATACTTGATTTAGAAACACCCTCCCTTGCCCCATCACCCCCAAATAGGAACCAATATCTTTTTTAACAGTTTTGTGGTCATACTTTCCATGTTTTCTCTATAGAGATATGCTCAGTTAAATAGTATTCTGAGGAAATCCCAAAGCTGTGGCATCCTAGCAGATATTTATAGTTCATTTGCAGTTCTCTGACTCTAGATTTATTTCATTAATCAGGGATAATTTTCACCATAATCATTGTTACTACTACAGGTTGAGTATCCCTTATCTGAAATGCTTGGGACCAGAAGTGTTTCGGATTTTGGAGTATTTGCATATGCACAAAGAGAGATCTTGGGGATGGAACGTTAAGTCTAAACATGAAATTCATTTATGTTTTACACGCACTTTATATACATAGCCTACAGGTAATTTTATATAAGATTTTAAATAATTTTGTTAAACGAAATTTTGGCAGTGACCCATCAAGAGGCCAGGTGTGGAATTTTCCACTTGTGGCATCATGTCATTGCTCAAAACATTTTGGACTTAGCAGCATTTTGGATTTAGGATTAGGGATGCTTAGCCTGTAATACAACTGACATACAACCTTTATCAGGCTTTAGAAGTAAAGGATGCCAAGGTCAAATTTGTTCATAGAAGAGAAAGGTTTTGTTGACCCTTCGCAAATTATTTAGGATACACCATGATTACTATAGATTGCATTAGAACTTTTCATGATTTACTGATACTATCCTAGGCCCTGGGAGTAGCAGTGAGTTTGATGATACATTGACCCTTTTTTTTTTTAAAGTGAGGATGTGGCATTATAAAATTTATGTTTTAGATTTTGTAGATACTGAAATGATACTATAACCCTGAATAGTAGGGAGGAGATGTTTTCAATGGATTAGAGAAACATAAATTGTAATATTTTTGGTTAGGGGCAAATGGATTAACATGAAAGAAGGAACAGGAGAGTTATAGGCACACCTTGCTTTATTGTGCTTTGCATATATGTATATATGTAAACAAACGGAAGGTTTGTGGCAGTCCTGTGTATCACAAATCTATTGGAACCATTTTTCCAACAGCATGTGCTCACTCAGTGACTGAGTCACATTTTGGTAATTCTCACACTATTTCAAACTTTTTCATTATTATTGTATCTATTATGATTATCATTGATCAGTGACCTTTGATGTTACTGTTGTAATTGTTTTGGGGCACCATGAACTGTGCGCATGTGCAATAGTAAACTTAATTAATAAACATGTATGTGTTCTGACTGCTCTACCGACTGGCCATTCCCTGGTCTCTCTCCCTCTCCTCTCCTATTCCCTGAGACACAGTATTGAAATTAGGCCAATGAATAACCCTGTGGTAACCTCTGAGTATTCAAGTGAAAGACAGAGTTGGACATTCTCACTTTAAGATCAAAGCTAGAAATGATTAAGCTTAGTGAGGAAGGTCAAGATAGAAGCCAAGATAGACTGAAAGCTAGGCCTCTTAGACCAAACAGCCAAGTTGTGAATACAGAGGAAACTTTGTTTTTAAAGAGACAGAGTCTCACTTTGTTGCCCAGGCTGGAGTGCAGCGGCATGATATGGTGTAAGCTAGGCCTCTTACACCAAACAGCCAAGTTGTGAATGCAGAGGAAACTTTGTTTTTAAAGACACAGGGTCTCACTTTGTTGCCCAGGCTGGAGTGCAGGGGCATGATCTTAGCTTACTGCAGCCTCAAGCTCCTGGGCTCAAGCCATCTTCCTACCTCAGCCTCTCAAGTAGCTGGGATGACAGGTACCCAGCTATTTTCATTTTCGTAGAGATGGGGTCTTGCTATGTTGTCTAGGCTGGTTTTGAACTCCTGACCTCAAGCCATCCCCTTGCCTTGGCCTCACAAAGTGTTGGCATTACAGGCATGAGCCACCGCACCTGACCGAAAACATTCTTGAAGGGAATTAAAAGTGCTACTCCAGTGAACACATGAAAGATAAGGAAGCAGAACAGCCTCACTGCTGACATAGCAAACTTTGAGTGGTCTAGGTGGAAAATCGAACCAGCCCCACAGCATTGCCTTAAGCCAAAGCCAAACCCAGAGCAAGGCTTTGATTCTCTTTAATTCTGTGAAGTCTGAGAGAGGTGAGGAAGCTGCAGAAGGAAAGATTGAAGCTAGCAGAGGTTGGTTCATGAGGTTTAACGAAAGAATCTATCTCCATAACATAAAAGTGCAAGGTGAGGTAGCAAGTGCTAATGGAGAAGTGTAGCAAGTTATCCAGAAGATCTACCTAAGATCATTCATCAGTGATCTGCACTGCACTAAACAGATTTTCCATCTATATGAAACAGCCTTCTGTTGGAAGAAGATGCCATGTAGGACTTTGATAGCTAGAGGAAAAGTCAAGGCTTAGCTTCAAAACTTCAAGGGACAGCCTGACTCATTTGTTAGGGGCTAATGCAGCTGGTGATTTTAGGTTGAAGCAATTGCTCATTTACCATTCAGAAAATCCTAGGGACCTTTTTGAATTATGCTGAATCTGCTCTACCTATACTTTATAAGTGAAACAACAAAGCCTGGATTACAGCACATCTGTTTACAGCATAGTCTACTGAATATTGTAAGTCCACTGTTGATACCTACTGCTCAGAAAATTTCTTTTCAAAATATTACTGCTTATTGACGATGCACTTGTTTACCCAAGAGCTCTGGTGGAGATACATAAGGAGACAAATGTGTTCATGCCTGCTAACACAACATCCATTGTGCAGCCCATAGATCAAGAACTAATTTTGACTTTCAAGTCTTATTATTTAAGTGATACATTTTGTAAGGCTATATGGCTGCCGTAGTTAGTGATTCCACTCATGGATCTGGGCAAAGTAAATAAAAAACCTTCTGGGAAGGATTCACCATTCTTGATGCCATTGAGAACACTTGTGATTCATGGGATGAGGTTAAAATATCCACATTAGCAGGAGTTTGGGAGAAGTTGATTTCAACCCTCATGGATGACTCTGAAGGGTTCTAGACTTGAGTAGAAGTAGTAAATGCAGATGTGGTAGAAATAGCAAAAGAATCAAAATTAGAAGTGAAGCCTGAAGATGTGATTGAATTGCTGCTATCTCGTGATAAAACTTGAATGGAGGAGTTGCTTCTTATGGATGAGCAAAGAAGGTGGTTTCTTGAGATGGAACTCACTCCTGGTGAAGATGCTGTGAATATTGTGGAAATGACAACAAAGGATTTAGGATATTTTGTAAACTTAGTTAACAGAGTAGTGGCAGGGTTTGAGAGAACTGACTCTAGTTTTGAAAGAAGTTCTACCATGAGTAAAATGCTTTCAAACAGCATCACATGCTACTGAGAAACCTTTCATGAAAGGAAGAGTCAATCCATGTGGCAAACTTCATTGTTGTCCTAAGAAACTGCCACAGCCACCCTAAACTTCAGCAACCACCACCCTGATCAGTCAGCAGCTATGAACATTGAGTCAGGACCCTCCACCAGCAAAAAGATTACAACTTGCTGAAGGCTCAGATTTTTAAATTAGGTATGTACATTTTCTTTGACTAAATGCTACTGCATGTGTAATAGACTATTGAATATTGTTAACATAATTTTTATATGCACTGGGAAACCAAAAAATTCATGTGACTCACTTTGTTGTGATAATTCTATTGTGGCGGTCTCCAATTATCCCCAAAGTATGCTTGTACTATCAGTTATTACTGATGTCAACAAACTTTTTTTTGAGGTGGAGTCTCACCCTGTTGCCCAGGCTGGAGGGCAATGGCATGATCTCAGCTCACTGCAAGCTCTGCTTCCTGGGTTCAAGCAATTCTAGTGCCTCAGCCTCTCTAGTAGCTGGGATTACAGGTGTGCACTACCATGCCCGGCCAATTTTTATATCTTTAGTAGAGACGAGGTTTTCACCATGTTGGCCAGGCTGGTCTTGAACTCCTGACCTCAAGTGATCCGTCCGCCTCAGCCTCCCAAAGTGCTGGGATTACAGCCATGAGCCACCATGCCTGGCTGATGTCAACACACTTAATTATACATTATCAAAAAGTTACATTCATTGATATCACCACCAATCTCATCAGAAAAAACTTTTAAGTTTTGCGAAGCTGTCAAGCTCACAGTAGTGGTGGGTTGAAGTTTTCCAAAATTCTGATTTTTGCTTCAAATCTCAAATTTGATCATTGGCAGTAAATATTGTTATTTGCTTTTCTTTAAATGATGGGCTCATCACTCCCATTTTTGAGAAGATGTCTTCTAACTACCCAAATCTGGATAGACATATTTTGTCATTCATTCTTTCGAGTCAAAGTGATGCTCCATGAAAAAAGAGGCCAGTTCACTTAATTAATCATTGTACAAAAATGCTTTAAAGTTCCCATTCTGTTACACAGCTTATTAATACAACATGTACTCGGCAAGGTACGGTGACTCACGCCTGTAATTCCAGCACTTTGGGAGGCCGAGGTGGGCGGATCACCTGCGGTCGGGAGTTGGAGACCAGCCTGACCAACATGGAGAAACCCCGTCTCTACTAAAAATGCAAAATTAGCCAGGCATGGTGGCGTATGCCTGTAATCCCAGCTACTCGGGAGGCCGAGGGAGGAGAATCGCTTGAATCCAGGAGGCGGAGGTTGCGGTGAGCTGAGATCATGCCACTGCACTCCAGCCTGGGCAATAAGACCGAAACTCTGTCTCAAATAAAAAAAAAATAAAACAACATGTACTCAAGGGTTGACATTTAATAACATAACTTTTTAACTGTTTTATTGAGGATATTATTAAATGAAACTGGCATTTTCTTTTAATAAAAAAAACAAGGTGGTATGATTACTGTAGTGTTTAGCTCTGTTTGATTTTTGCTGATGCCAGCAGTTTTGCTCACCATTGCTTTTGTATCAGTTCAAATAACATCTTAATATTAATGAAAATAATTTTGACCTAGCAGACCTCTTGAAAGGGTTTTAGAGACTCCAGTTGTCTGTGAATCATACTTTGAGAACAGCTGACTTAGGGATTACAGCATGTATTTTTGGCTTATCAAAGTCTAGTTGGTACTTCTGCCCTTTTCTTAGGCAATGCAAGATTCTTAGAGCCTTTACCCCTCCCCTCTTCCATCGTTGTATATATGAATTCTGTACCAGTTTTTTTTTTTTTTTTTAAAATAGAGTCTCGCTGTGTTGCCCAGGCTGGAGTGCAGTGGCACGATCTCGGCTCACTGCAAGCTCCGCCTCCCGGGTTCACACCATTCTCCTGCCCCAGCCTCCCGAGTAGCTGGGACTACAGGTACCCGCCGCCACACCCGGCTAATTTTTCTTGTATTTTTAGTAGAGATGGGGTTTCACCATGTTAGCCAGGATGATCTCCATCTCCTGACCTGGTGATCCACCTGCCTCGGCCTCAAGTGCTGGGATTACAGGCGTGAGCCACCGCGACTGGCAATTCTGTACCAGTTTTAAACACAAGTTATCTTTAATGTTGTTACCCATGTATTTAACACCCCCCCTTTTTTGCTTGCCATTTCTTACTGCATCACTGACCTTCCTTTTGAGATATTTTTCTGCATGTGAGTCTGCTATATTTATATATCTGAAAATATTATTATCACACCTTCATGAGGTATGCATTGAGAGGTTCTTTTTTTGAGGGGGTGGAATTCGAGCATATGAACTTCCAGTTCTACCACCATTTGTTGAAAGACTTTTTTTTTTTTTGAGACAGAGTCTCACTCTGTCGCCCAGGCTGGAGTGCAGTGCCTGCAATCTCGGCTCACTGCAACCTCTGCCTCCTGGGTTCAAGCGATTCTCCTGCCTCAGCCTCCTGAGTAGCTGGGATTACAGGTGCGCGCCACCACGCCCAGCTAATTTTTGTATTTTTAGTAGAGACGGGGTTTCACCATGTTGGCCAGGATGGTCTTGATCTCTTGACCTCGTGATGCACCCGTGTTTGCTTCCCAAAGTGCTGGGATTACAGGTATGAGCCACCATGCCTGGCTTTTCTGTTTTTTTAAGAAATTGTCTTTGCACATTGTCAAGAACCAGTTGGCTATATTTCTGAGGGTCAGTTTCTGGGTTCTCTGTCTTCTGTTGATCTGTATCTTCTGTTGATCTGTATCTTCTGTTGATCTGTGTGTTTGTCTTTTCACGAATACCATACCGCCTTGATTGTTGTAGCTTACTGTATTAAGTCTTGAAATTAGGTAATATATATCCTCTGACTTTGTTCTTTTTCATAATTGTTTCGGCTATTCTAGTTCCTTTGCCTTTCTGCTTGCTGATACATACAAAAAAGGCTCACTGAGATTTTGATTATGATGGCCTTTATATCTCTATATAAATATATATAAATAAAAATTAGGGGGGATTGATATTAACAATGAGTTTTCCACATGTAGATCCTGCACATATTTTGCTAGATTTATACCTAAGTACTCCTTTCTTCCGGGGGTTGGGGCAGGTGTTACTGTAAATGTTTTTTTAAAATTTCAAATTCCAATTGTTCATTACTAGTATATTGGAATATAATTGACTATTGTATATTCACCTTGAATATTACACTTATCGGTTCTAGTATTTAATTTCAACTTTTAACTTGCCACAGTCTACCTTCAAATAATATTTACACTATGTCATGTGTAGAATGGACTTTACAAGAGTATATACTTCATTTCTCTCATTGTGGTCTTTTGTATTGTCATACATTTTATATCCGTATATGTTGTAAACCTCACAGCACATTGTTACTATTTTTTGCTTTAAACAGTCTCATTTTAAAAAATAAACTCTTTTTGATGTATAATTTACATATACCGGCATACCTTGGAGATATTGGGAGTTTGGTTTGGTTCCATACCACCGTAAGAAAGCAAATATTGCAGTACAGTGAGTCACACAATTTTTTTGGTCTCCTGGTCCATATAAAAGTTCTGTTTACACTATACTGTTGTCTCTTAAGTGTGTAATAACATTACATCTAAAAGAAGTGTATACCTTAATTGAAAAGCAATATTTTATTGCTAAAAAAAGTGTCAGCATTTTTTAGCAATAAAATATTGCTAAGCACATGCTGTTGGAAAACTGGTGCTGATAGACTTGCCACAAACCTTCAATTTGCAAAAATTTGCAATAAAGTGAAGTGCAATAAAATGAGGGATGCCTGTTTGTAATTTCACTCATTTTATGTATTTGATATGTTTAGACACATGCATATACTATGTGATCTTTTGAGACTGGCTTCATTCACTCAGCATGTGTTCGAGATTGACCCATGTGTTACGTCAGTAGTTCATTCCTTTTTATTGCTAAATAGTATTCCATTGTATAGATGTATCACAGTTTGTTTATCCATTTATTCATTGAGGGATTATTTGGGTTATTTCCAATTTTCACTGATTATGAATAAAGCTGCTATAAACATTCATGTATAGGTTTTGGTATGAGCATAACTTTAAACTTCTCTGGGTTATATATTTAGGAGTGGGATTGCTGAGTCATGTGGTAAATGTATGTTTAACTTTATATTTAACTGCCAATCTGTGTTCTGGAGTGACTGTAATATTTTGCATTCTCACCAGCAATGTATGAGAGTTCCACTTGTTCTGCATCCTCATTAACACTTGGTATTGTCACTTTTTGAAAATTTTAACTATTCATATAGATAATATAGTGGTACCTCATTATGGTTTTAATTGATTTCTGTAGCTTTATAATAGGTCTTAAATTTAGGACATGTGGGCCGGGCATGGTGGCTCACACCTGTAATCCCAGCGCTTTGAGAGGCAGAGACTGGTGGATCACTTGAGGTCAGGAGTTCGAGACCAGCCTGGACAACATGGTAAAACCCCATTTCTACTAAAAGTACAAAAATTAGCCGGGCGTGGTGTTGGGCGCCTGTAATTCCAGCTACTTGGGAGGCCGAGGCTGGAGAATTGGTTGAACCCCAGAGGTGGAGGTTGCAGTGAGCCGAAGTTGCCCCATTGCACTCCAGCCTGGGCAACAGAGTGAAACTCTGTTAGGACATGTGAATTCTCTAGCCTTACTATTTTTCAAAATTGTTTTGCTTATTCTAGTTTATTTGCCTTTCCATATACATTTTACAGTCATCTGTAGCTACAAAAAAATCCTGCTGGAATTTTGATTGAAATTTCATTAAATCTGTACATCACTTGGGAGACTTCTCATCTTAATGCTATTGAGTCTCCCAATTTCATGAACACAGTATCTTCTCTGCGCTTATTTAGGACTATTTAGGACTTCTTTGACTCTTTTCACCAGGGTTTTGTAGGTCTTCTAGCATATACAGATTCTGTTGCACATATTTTGTTATATATTTCATATTTTTGGAGCTGTTGTATGCGATAAAAAAATTTTCTTCCAATTGTTCATTGTTAGTTTATAGAAATGTAATTTATTTTTGTATGCTGACTTTGTAGCATATGTCCTTGCTAAACTCAGTTACTAGTTACAGGAGGGTATTTGGGGATAGATTTCTTGGGTCAGTTGTGTTTTAAGGAGACTTTCAAAATTGAGAAAAATGTCTTATAATTACCCATGAGCTACCATTTCAGGTACTCTTTATTTTGTTGTGTAGATCAGTATTTCCATTTGGTATAATTTTCCTTCTGCCTGAGAATTTCCTTTAACATTTCTTAGACTGTAGGTCTTCTGGTGATGAATTCTTTCAGCCTTTGTATATCTGAAAAAGTATACTTTCATCTTCATTTATGGAAGATATTTTTGCTGGGTATAGAATTGTAGGTTATATGGTGTCAGTTGGCATTTAGAAAGAAAAAAATAGGACTGTAGGTTGACAGAGTCGCCTTCCCCTCCCATTTATTAACTATAAGGGTATTGTTCCATTGTATTTCAGCTTGTATTGATTCCTCCAAGAAGTTTTCCCATACATGTGCTGTAGCCTGAAAAGTTTCTTTAGGCAGTAAGCTTGGGGTAATTAGAGCTCACATTCATTATTTTCTGTTTATTGTCATGTGTTCTGATATTCAATGTCTAAAATTCTTTGTTTCACGTTTCTTTAGTTATTTAATTGTTATATTCAGGAGTAAATTTGGTCCCTTTTACTGCACCTTGGCCTGAAGCAGAAGTCCGAAGACTTAAGAAGTTTTAATCTCGTAATGCCTTATAGAGTGGATGATTGAGATGCCAAGAATATCACTTCAGTAATTCAAATGTATGCCTTGTATGGAAAATGTTGGGTTTAAGGTTTCTTCTGACACTAGTGGGTTGGTATTTATTTCACTGGTTTAAAATAAAAAATTTGAATACGAGCTTAGACATTCAAGCTAAGTTGAAATGGTATTTTGGATGGTCAAATTTCATATTTTATATGAAAGTATTTGAGTATTTAGTGTGATAAATTATGAGTAGTTATGACAGTTTTCCTTTAAATTCAGATTTTTGGCAAAATGTGATTTTAGGACTGGTTTTTCAGATGAGCTTTTTCAAATTAGTGGAGCACATTGTTAAAACAGCCACTAATAATGAGAGATACTTAAATTTGCCCAATACCGTATTACCTTTACCCTTTCACTTCCTAAATGAACAACCTTCCTAGTCATATTGGAAAAATTTATAGCTGTGATAGACTGGAGCAGGGCTACCACCTAGTGGTTTAAACAGACACGGGCCCTTATGGAGCATCTGAATGCGTAATGCAACTATTTGTCCTTTGATCTTTTATTATGAAGAATTTGTGTTTTGCTTTGTTATTCATTCTTGCCATTTGTGGATCACAGTGGCAGATCAGATTTTCTTTTCTTTCGAGATGAAGTCTTGCTTTGTCGCCCAGACTGGAGTGCAGTGGCACGATCTTGGCTCACTGCAACCTCTGCCTCCCAAGTGATTATCCTGCCTCAGTCTCCTGAGTAGCTGGGATTACAGGTGCACACCACCATTCCTGGCTCATTTTTGTATTTTTAGTAGAGATAGGGTTTCACCATGTTGGCCAGGCTGGTCTCGAACTGCTGACCTCAAGTGATCTGCCTGCCTCAGCCTCCTAGAGTGTTGGGATTACAGGTGTGAACCACTGCACCTGGCCCAGATTTTCCTCATTAGTATTTTTAAAAACAAATTTGATTTTTAGGAGTTCCTTATATATTCTAAATATGAATCCTTTGTCACTACATGTGTTGAAAGTATATTTTCTCAGTTGTGGCTTGCCTTTATACTAATTTTTTTTTTATAAACATAAGTTCTGAGCATTGAGGTAGTTGAATTAATGTATCAGCCTTTTTTAATGACTTGTACTTTTTGTCTAATTTTAAAGAAATCCCACGCTATCCTAATGTCAAAGCCATTTTTCCGTGTTTTCTTCTTAAGGATTTATATAGTTTCACATTAGGGCCTTTAATAGGTTTTTTTATATGTAGATATAGGAGTCCACTTTATTTTTTTTCTCCCGTTAGAAATAACTTGCAGGCTTGCCACCACTTTTTTGTTAGGTTATTGTTTGCCAGTTGCGTTACCAGGTTTCCACACGTACAAGTTCTGTTTCTGAGCTCTTTATTGCTAAATATATGTATTCATGCACCAGCTCTCTTGATTTCTGTATCTTTATTGTGACTCATGGTATCTGGCACAATGCCAACTTTCTTTTGATTATGTTTGTAGTATTTTTCTGTCTTTTTTAAGTCTTTCTATGTTATATTTTACGTGTGTCTAAATTGCATAAATCTGGATTTAAAAATTTTGTTGAAAGCCATTTTCGTAGCATATTTATTCCATTTACATTTGTTGTGATTAAAATATTGCATTAAATAAATATTCATTTAAATATATCTACATATTGATTACCTTCTTTGCTCTGCCCTACCCCCCATCTCCCCACCAGATATACTGAGTTTTTGAATATAAAGACTTTTGCGGGGGAGATCTGTAGGATTTCTTTTAGGCCAGGAATGTGATAGTACTGTGTTTGATTTTGGCCTGTACTTTGGATTGTTATTAGTTGAAGACCATCTATAGTTAAATTCTCGTCTGAAGTTTGTGTTCTACCCAGGTCAGATGAATTCAGGCTTATGGTTGTGTAAATAATCAGAATTTTTTTTTTTTTTTTGAGTGTCTCCCAGGCTGGAGTGCAGTGGCGTGATCTTGGCTCACTGCAAGCTCCGCCTCCCGGGTCCATGCCATTTTCCTGCCTCAGCCTCCAGAGTAGCTGGGACTACAGGCGCCCGCCACCACGCCCGACTAATTGTTTTATATTTTTAGTAGAGACAGGGTTTCACCGTGTTAGCCAGGATGGTCTCGATCTCCTGACCTCATGATCTGCCCACCTTGGCCTCCCAAAGTGCTGGGATTACAGGTGTGAGCTACCGCGCCCAGCCAATACTCAGATTTTCTTTTCCACTCATTGCCATCATGGATTGGCAGTTTTCTTTGTCCTTCAAGAACAGTTTTAAAATAACATTTAAAAAATTGGTTTATTATTACATTTTAGTTTTTACTTAGATTGAAGGTGTTCGCTCATTGAGGCTCAGTGTTCTGAGCGGTTATCTTATTTGACTCTTCTTCTTAGGTGGCTTTCAGGCCTTGTGTTCTGTCCCCCAAATAAGACCCCAGAACCCAACACAGGCTTTCAGAATGTCATACAAAAAGTCACTTTGATATTCTGTCTGTCTCCACTTCTCTTAGTTCTGGTTCCCCTGACCGCCCCCAAAGTCCATTCTTTGTAGAGCTTAAGAACTTAAGAACTTTGTGTTGGTCGCCTGCCATTGTGTTTAATCTGACATCTTTAGTTTTCAGCACAAGGTTTCAGTGGTTGTCCTGAAGTGGAAGCCCTTCCCAACTCTTCATTTTATGGCTTACATGGAAGATTGATAGTAGCAATTACTGAGAGAATTTCTTGAGGGCTCTTAAGATTGGTACATATACAAGGGCTCTGTTTGAAAGACTTTGGCTGCCCTGGCGTCCTGGCTGTTTTATGCCTGGTAGCTCTAGCGGTTAAAAGCTCTCTCTGTCTTGCCACTCCTATTACCCATTACCAGTACATTTGTTGGAGAACTTTGGTTGTAGAATATAAATCCCAGAAACAGAGCTGTGTGTGCATGGTTAAGTTTTTTAGTTCATGAGAGAAGGGGGAAATTAAAGATCTTGACTCATACCTGGCCAGTACAACATTGCACAGGGAAGAAAAATGCAATTAGGTGCTTGCTTTACAGTAGAAGAAAATATTGGTAAGTGTTTTACATCGGGTCAGATTCTGGGGATTTTCTAATTCTGAGCCGAACTTATGTACTGTGAAGGAAATGGTGGGTGGTTTTCAGAAAATAGGGAAACTTTTACATCAAAAACTCTGTAAAGAAGTCAAAGATAAATGTAATCTGGGAAAAAATATTCTGTAACATTATATATAGAAATCCTTTATGTATAAATAGCACCTGACATCATTTAGGAAAAGAACTATTTATGATGTAGTATACTGAGAACTGTGCACAATGTATGGACAGGTCTAGTAAATATTAGGGAAAAAGTAATGAAAAAACTTGAAACCAGCACCGCTGGTGGAAGGTTATATTGGTTCAGCTTTGCTGGTTGGCTTATCAGAAGCTTAAATTGTGCTTTTAATTTGACTGTGAGGAACTTATCCTAATAATAGCAAAAACTTGGTTAACAGATACTCTTCAGTAGAAACAAATTATAGTTTAACTGTTCAATAAAATGCTATGCAGATGTTAATTTTGAGATCTATATGTTTTGACATGATAATATATTAAATCAAATAAAAATTTTATAAAATTGCATATAAAGATTTGTACTAGGCCGGGTGCGGTGGCTCAGTTCTGTAATCCTAGCACTTTGGGAGGCCGAGGCAGGTAGATCACTTGAGTTCAGGAGTTTGAGAGACCAGCCTGGTGTACGTGGCGAAACCTTGTCTCTACAAAAAAAATACAAAAATTAGCTGGGCGTGTTGGTGCGTTCCTGTAGTTCCAGCTACTTGGGTGGCTGAGGCAGTGGATCGCTTGAGCCTGGGAGGTCCAGGCTGCAGTGAACATGATGGTGTGCCTCTGCACCCTAGCCTCGGTGACAAAGTGAGACCTTTCAAAAGAAAAAAACAAAAAGATTTTTACTGTTTGCATATATGCATAGAGAAAAGTCTGAAAGGGTATATTCGGGCCTATTAAAAAGTTTTTTTTTTTTAAAGCACTTATTTTGGGGGAGGGTCCTTTATCATGTTGCAGTTTCTCTAGATTTAAGGTTTTTCATATGTTCAAGAAATAAATCTAAGTGCCTACATTTTAGAAGTTGTAGAATTCAAGGCATATTTTCAGTGGAGCTCATGCTCATAAACCCTATCTCTTCCACCTTTTCATGCAACCTGAAGTGCTTGCTTTTTCCTTTTTATGTGCATTTATTTAAAAATGTGTGTAAGGCAAAGGAATGCATACTTTGCTACCAAAGATATTAATTTGAACTACATATTTAACCAGGGTACAGCATGCAGAATAATGTAGTCTTTTACCTTCATAAAGATATGGTCTACATAATTTTGCTGCAGGCGGGCTTTCTTTATACATGTATCTTTTTGGAATTCTGAGTTAAATGTGTGCAGCTTAAATGACAGGCATAATGATTGCTGTAAGACTGTTTCTGTCAACCTCTAGGTAAATAATAGACCCTGTGGAGTAGCACAAGCAAATTAAATTAAAAAATAAAGGGTTATAATGCCAACTTTTTTTTTTTTTTGAGATGGAGTCTCGCTCTGTCACCTAGGCTGGAATGCAGTGGCGCGATCTCTGCTCACTGCAAGCTCCGCCTCCCGGGTTCAAGCGATTCTTTTGCCTCTGCCTTCGAGTAGCTGGGACTACAGGCGCGTGCCACCATGCCTGGCTGATTTTTGTATTTTTAGTAGAGATGGGGTTTCACCATATTGGCCAGCCTGGTCTCGAACTCCTGACATCGTGATCCACCCGCCTCGGCCTCCCAAAGTGCTGGGATTACTTTACAGGCGTGAGCCCCTGCGCCCGGCCTTGCCAACTTTTTCATATGGAAAATCACAGGATCATTCTGAAGTGAAATTATCTCTCATACTGTCCTTGGCCCCAAAATACAGTTTTTAAAAGATCATTTAAGGCTTAATTCGTTGCTTAATTTGAGTAAGGAGACTTTATAATGTACTTGAATGTATTCCATCTTTACAATGTTACATTTAGGATGCTACAAAAAAATTTGGAAAATAACTCAGCTGTTGTGTCAATACAGCTTCTTTTTATTTAATGTATACCCTGGGTGTGAGTGTGTGTGTGTGTGTGTGTCTGTGTGTGTGAATATAGAATCCATTAATTCATGTGGTTGCATGCATCTGAGATAAGTTTTGGAGTTAGTAGTAAACTAGCAACTTGTTGACTATTGAGACAGTACAGCTTAGTTTGCTTTGTTGCAGCTGTATTTGTCATTTCTTTGCTGTGGGATATGATGAGGTTTCTCTTCAAATAATCTGATCAATCTTTTATTCTTTAATTCATAGTACCCTCCCTTCCCCCTTTTTCCTTTTTCTCCTTTTTTTTTTCCTTTTTGCCTTTGTTATAGATGCCCAGGCACGCAACAGTATCAGGCGTTATCAGTACCAGCTCACATTCCTTTCCTTATTTGGAAAGAGGACTAACTTTCTACCTCATTACAGATACCTCTTCCCCTTTCCTCTCCACTTTCTTTTACGTGCCCATCTTACCTAAAAAAATTCAAATGTTCAGCCAACCGGGATTAGTTTAGATTGTATGACCCGACCCCGGCCAATGAGGAAAGGGTACAGGGGCAGGACTTGCATCAGGAATAAAGGCTCTCGTGCCCCTTTGTTCAGGTGTGCTCTCATGGTGACTGGCCAAGGAGGCACCCCTCTGTGCAGAGGTAAAATTGCTTTGCTAAGAATCCTTTGTTCGAGTGTTCAATTTCCTTAGGATTTTGAGCGTTATTCCTAACATTTGCCAAAAATACTAAAGAGAGAAAAATCAGCAACACAAGGTAAACTAAGGAGTTGTCATTCTGAAGCTGCAAAAAGTGGGATAAAGCTGTTTAACATTTTCCAGATACATACCACACTTAGTCTGAACTGGTGTATTATTTTATACATATACATATGTATATATGTAGTAGTGTTTTATTTTTCTGTCACAGTTGTCTTTTGAATATGGGAACTTAGTTTTTTTTGGTTGGGTTACTTTTGTTTTGGATATGTTTATGTCTGTTTATTTTTTATTTTTTGTTATAGTGATGATTGCTTTTTATAATGATTTAAAATAAAGAGGGGCGAAAAAATATGGTAGAGAACTGAGGCTAAGTCTGGGAATGGTTTGTGAGAGCTGGGAGTTGAAATTTTATGTGTTGCTTTTCTGCTTGGTGTGGAGTTGGGGAGGAGGAGCTAGTGTGTAGGAGAAAAAGCTGATTATGGAGAGGGTCGTTCTTGCACATGACTTTAGGTCCCTGGGCATGACCTGAGTCAACTACCTTACTGCTCAGAGGCTGTGAAGCCATACTGTTTGAATCTTTGCTAGTTTGTAGCTTTGTGACCATGAGCACAGGATTTATTTAGGCCTCAGTTTTCCTGTCAGTGAAGTAGGGTTAATTACTGTAATAGACCCCATTTCATAGTAATTGTGAGGATTAAAGAATAAGTATATGTAAGTTGCTTAGAATAGTGCTTGGTACATATCAAGAGCTCAAGTATTAGCTATCAACACTTTACTAAGTTGTCTAGTTTGATTTCAATAGTGTAATTCTTTGAGAGTATTTTGCAATAGCAAAGTGTTTTAAATAGTTTATTTGAAAAGAATGGTTCTTAAAGTGCCAGTGATGGTTTCTTGAATGTTGAATGATGCTTGTTTACTCATTAGCATTCAACACATCCCATGAATGCAGAGTAGTAGGCCCAAAGAGACTGAAAAATCTGGGATTCAGACTGGCATCTAACTTTCATTCTACTGACCTTTTTTTTTTTTTTTTTGAGACGTAGTTTTGCTGTCATTGCCCAGGCTGGAATGCAGTGGCGCGATCTCGGCTCACTGGAACCTCCGCTTCCTAGGTTCGAGCGATTCTCCTGCCTCAGCCTCCTGAGTAGCTGGAATTACAGGCGCCCACCACCACGCCCAGCTAATTTTTTGTATTTTTAGTAGAGGCAGGTTTTCATCATGTTGGCCTGGTTGGTCTCAAACTCCTGACCTCAGGTGATCAACCCGCCTCGGCCTCCCACCGTGCTGTGATTATAGGCGCGAGCCACCGCGTTCAACCCCTCTGCTGACTCTTTTGACAAAAGATGTGTATTAATTGAAAGTAGGAAATAGAGAGACAGACAGGGTAGAGTGACAAATGTTTAAGTTCCTTTATCATCTCGAAAATGTTAGATATGGGTGACGATTAACTGGGTTTCCTTTTTTCTTCCCTCCATCCTTTTTGTGTGTGTTAATGATTATTTCATTAGGCAGTTGTTTTGTTGTTGTTGTTGTTGGTTTTGTTTTGAGACAGAGTCTCACTGCATTGCCCAGGCTGCAGTGGCGTGATCACAGCTCACCGCAGCCACCACCTCCTGGGCTTAAGTGATCCTACCACCTCTCAGCCTCCTGAGTAGCTGGGACCACAGGTGTGTGCCATCATGCCAGCATAATTTTAAAAATGTTTTTGTAGAGATGGGAGTCTCCCTATGTTGCCCAGGCTGGTCTCCAGTAATCCCCCCACCTCAGCCTCCCAAAGTGCTGGGATTACAGGTATGAGCCATTGCACCGAACTTTGTTTTTTTTTTTGTTTTTGTTCTTAAGCGAGGAAAGAGGGTTACACACACATCTGTCTCTTAAAGAATTCTCAAAAACAGTCAGTTCTGGGCTGCACTGGAACTCTACTGTTCCAGGAACATGGGCTTCCATTTCCTACTCTGCGGATCTCAGCTATGGCATCTACCTCTTAGTCCAGGAGAGTTACTGAAGTTCTTGCCATCTGGATGATTCTACCCAAGTAGGCAGAGGAGGGGATGAAGTGGAGCCTGTCTTTCCCTTATATTCCATTGGGCAGAATTTAATCACCAAGCCACACCTACAAGAATGGCTGGGAATCTCAGCCTTCAGTCTGTGTAAAAATGTGCCTAATTAAATTTACGGGTTCTATTAACAAAGAGGAGAAAGGGTATCTGAGACACCTAGAATCTGAAGCAAGTCACAAAACAGTATTTATAGAAATATTAATCAGGTAGGAAAAGTATATGTGCTTACATCTGCATGATATAATCTCTTTTTTCTTTTTCTTTACAATATAATCTTGAATATGTTAGAAATTTTAAATATTTGTTGCTCCTGGGAAATGGAACTGGGCGGCTGGGGTCAGGACTAGGAGAGAGACTTTTTAGTATATATGCCTTTTTGAAGTGGTGATAAATAGACTTTCAAAAATAGTAAATGAAATTAAAAGGAAAAAGTCTGCAAGTTTGATATATAAGTTCAGGAGTAGATATGTCATTAAGAATCAGCAATACTTTATGCCTGTAATCCCAGCACTTTGGGAGGCCAAGGCGGGTGGATCGTTTGAGACCCGCCTGGCCAGCATGGTGAAACCCCGTCTCTACAAAGAGTACAAAAATTAGCCAGGCGTGGTGGCGTGTGCCTGTAGTCCCAGCCACTTGAGGGGGTTGAAGTGGGAGGAGCACCTAAGCCTGGGAGGTCAAGGCTGCAGTGAGCTGTGATTGTGCCACTACACTCCAGCCTGGGTGACAGAGTGAGACCTTGCCTTAAAAAAAAAAAAATAATAATAATACTTAAGATTATTTTAATTGTAACTCTTTCCTCATTAAAAAAAAAAAGTATAATGTGTTGACGTTTCAAAAATGGTTTAGATTCAGGTAGTTTCAATCCTTTTAAATTCTTAAGTGTATTTATGGTGTTTTAAAAGCAGCCAGGCAAAGGCATTGCCGAATACCCGCAAACAGGAAGAATTTCCTTCTGATTTACGACACATCTTTCTGGAAAGGATATCAAGTTTAATGATGCATACACTTTTAGGGATTTGTTGGGAACAGGTCAGAAGAATAGTAATATTATACATTAGATACTATGTCTCTTTATACATAATGTAAAGTAAGAAAACACTCTAATAACTAAGTCGGTGGTGGTGATGGTAGTGGTGCAGTAGAGAAACATCTTTTCTTGATATTGTCTGGATTACTGCAACAAATTCTTTTACTGATCTGTGTCAGAAGTACCAGGGGTGATCTGCTATAGTTACATAGTTTGCCACCTCTTTAGGATGTCTGAATAACAAGCTGTTAAAAATGTAGGAAGTTAGTGGGATGAGAGTTTGATGTGGGGTTGGAGTAGAGTGGGCTTTGTGTTGGGGAACAGGGAAAGAAAAAATATGGATGTGTAGGCTGGGACTGGAGCCAAGTACTCACTGTTATAGGCAGTAGGAAATAATTGGAAGTTTAAGAGCTGGGAAGCATGACAATAAATAGCATTGCTGGAAGAGTGGGTTTTGTTTGTTTAGGGTATGAGTTGGGCTGTAGAAACAGACCAGTCAAGGAGCAACAAGTGGCAGTAACGGTGTAGTACGGGCATTCATTGGAATTTGCGGAAATAATAGGTAAAAAGAAAAAGGGGAATGGTTATGGGAGAAGTGTTAGGGAAGACTTAGCAGTAATCAATTAGATGTGTAGGCATAAAGAAATGATTTGACTAGGTGCTGTTAATGAAAAGGAAAGTTAAAGAGAGAATTTTTGAACAGTGCCAGAAACTTAATTTTTACTTGGTGAATTTAAGATGATGTTGGGATGTCCAAGTGGAAAAAGTCTGATAAGTTGTTTAGAGTTAAAAGATTTCTTCTTCCTTCTTTGTCTTTCTTCTTATTCCCTCCCCACCCCTGCTTCTCTTGTGTAAACAGAAGTTTATAGTGCACAAAAGTGACTCTTGGGAAAGTATCTTTAGTTAAGGATCAAGATAGTAAGGTAGAACCAAGGAAGAAAGAGGAGTGAGGAAGGCAGATGGGTTAGAAAAGAGGATCCAGGAGAAAAAAAAGATATACAGGAGAATAAAGGAGACAGGAACCAGTTTGTCTTCACTTTGGATACCTAGCAGCCAATAAAAGTGACCAGGATGGAGTAGGTGCTCATTGATGAGTGACTGGTATAATACTAAGTATTTTTAATTATCCACAGGTATTATCTAGTTTAGTACCTTAAAAAAAAACTAGTGCAAAATATACATAACATGCAATTTACCATTGTAACCTTTTCAGATGTACTGTTCAGTAGTGTTAGTCTCCAGAACTCTTTTCATCTTGTAAAACTGAAACTTTATACCCATTAAACAACTGCTAATATTTCAGTGATTTTAATAAAAATGTTTGCAATATTTATCCCCATTAGGTTAATATAGGGGTTTTTCTTTTTCCCTAAAATAGTCTTATTTTAAAACTGCGTTGTCTTGAGTAGTCTTTTATTGAGAAAGTTGTAAGCTTCTAAAAACCATAATTCTTTTTTAATTTTTAATTTTATCTTATTTTTTATTGTATAAATTTTACAGGGTTGTACTTAGAATCATAGAGTCCAAGGATATTTTTTTAAAAATGCAAATTAGAATTGTATCCAAAATAAGGTATCTCCTTTGTAACTCCCACTAAAATAGCTTAGTAATATATGCTTTAATTCTTTGTATTTATATGAACCAGTGATGGCCCATTTAATTTTTGGTGTGTTTAATTTTTCCTACCTTCTGAATGAGCTGAATTAAGTTATACTCATTCATTGGCACTATCCAAAGTGCAATTAATCTTCTCATCTAAGTGACTGCTTTTTAAATATTTAAGTAAAGCTTCAATCCTGTTGATTTTCCTCAGTTAAACTTAGTTAAGGTAGTTTTCATATGACAGTTTCCACATCCTTTACCAAACTTGTAGCCCTCTTTGTGTTATCACCTGTTGAAATGTGCTATTCAGAACTGATAATGCTAGAGATCTGATCAGACTAGACCTTGGTGAGCTGATTATTGCTGTTGATATGTATAATATAATTTATTAATTTGGGCCATGAATATTTTTTAAATTTCCTTCCGTTTCCTTTTCTTTTTCCTCTTCCTCTTCCTCTTCCTTTCCCTTTTCCTTTGACAGGGTCTTGCTCTGTCGCCCAGGCTGGAGTGCAGTGGTGCAATCATGGCTCATTGTAGCCTCATCTTCCCAGACCCAAGCCATCCTCCCGCTTCAAGCTTCCCACGTAGCTGGGATCACAGGCATGCACCACACCATGCCTGGGTAATTTTTTTTAATTTTTGTAGAGACGAGGCCTCGCTATGTTGCCTGGGCTGGTCTCGAACTCCTGGGCTCAAGGAATCCTCCTGCCTTTTGCTGGGATTATAGGCGTGCTGGGATTATAGGCGTGAGCCATCGTGCCTGGCCAAATAGCCATATTTCATGGATGATACATTGACCTGTTGTCTGCTTAAATCCCTTAATCTATTTTAAGGAGTCTGCTGGTTGCTGGATGCTCAACCATTGTGTATGCGTATGGTTGGCTTTTTAAAAATTACGGGTAGGGCTCATAATTGGTGGCTCACACCTGTAATCCCACTACTTTAGGAGGCTGAGGCGGGCGGATCACTTGAGGTCAGGAGTTCGAGACCAGCCTGGCCAACATGGTGAAACCCAGTCTCTACTAAAAATACAAAAATTAGCCGGGCATGGTGGTGGGTGCCTATAATTCCAGCTACCTGGGAGGCTGAGGCAGGAGAATCGCTTGCACGCAGGAGGCCGAGGTTGCAATGAGCTGAGACCACACCGTTGCACTCCAGCCTGGGCAACAAGAGTGAAACCCCATCTCAAAAAAAAATAAATAAATAAAAATAAAAATTATAGGCAGGACTGCATATTTGTTTTTATTATATTCAGCCTAAAAGTTTCACTCATTTAAAACCATTGGGGTATTAAAATCTGTATTTTCTCTACCATTTGTAGTCACCCAGCTACTGCAGTTAATCTTTTAAGTTGAAAAGAAAAAAGTTTAAATGTTGCATATATTTAACAATTCTAAAATATTGACAGCGTCCTGTTTTAGCAAGGCACTGACCAAGTTCATCATAAAAGATTAATACTGCACATGAAAAAAATTAAATTAGTTACATGTCTGTGTTCACAAGCTCAAAACTTCACCTGTCAGAGTTTAGAAATACGGGGTAATGGTAACGTTACTTTTCTGGGATAGCTGATTTTTAAAATAATAACAGTGCAGCAGATACCAAGCACAAGTTATATTGAATGTTGTGGAATATGGCACTATGATGGAAATAAAAAACACACCTAAGCTTTCTACGTAGCTGGGAGGATCTTAGTTCATTTATTTCCCTTTTCAGTGTTTTTTTCCCTAGTAGGTAGTAAGGATTATGGATGTGCAATCCACCAGCTATAAACAATTAGAGGATGTAACAATTTTTGTGGAGGGTATTGCTTTTATCCTCCTTGCTGCAAGATATTTTATTAGGCTTTTCATTTATAAACATAAGAAATTTTGCTTTCCTAATATTTAGTATACGGATTGAATATTAAGTTGTTTTTAGGCTTTAAGAATTATCTAGGTCTGTACTGTCCAGTATGGTAGCCATTAGCCACATGTTTGTTTAAATATTAAAATGAAATAATTTAAAAATTCACTTGTCCACTTGCACTAACCATGTTTCAAAGTGCTCAATAACCACATGTGTCTAAATGGCTACTGTATTGGACAGCACAGATCATAGGGTATTTGTATCATTGCAGAAATTGCTCTGTTGATTGCTGATGCAACCACAAATGATTTTCTTTCAAATTTCTGACAATCCTTACACTAAAGGTATAGGATGAGTCCTCAGGGGAAAGCATAATAATTCTTTAATGAATTTTTTTTTTTTTTTTTTGAGGCTGAGTCTAGCTCTGTCGCCCATGGCTGGAGTGCAGTGGCGCAATCTCGGCTCACTGCAACCTCCGCCTCCTGGGTTCAAGCAATTCTCTTGCCCCAGCCTCCTGAGTAGCTGGGACTACAGGCGCCCACCACTACGCTTGGCTCATTTTTTGTGTTTTTAGTAGAGACACAGTTTCACTGTGATAGCCAGGATGGTCTCCATCTCCTGACCTTGTGATCCGCCTGCCTCAGCCTCCCAAAGTGCTGGGATTACAGGCATGAGCCACCACGCCCGGCCCTTTTAATGATTTTTATAAGAATGGAAATGATAGAGGTTAATTATGAAAAAAATCTAAAAAATATAGAAAAGTAAAATGAACAAAATACAAGGAAGATTCTGTGTGGGACAACTATATAGACCTTTTTTTTTTTTTTTTTTTTTTTTTGCTGTGACACAGCCCTCAGGAGATCCTGAGAACATGTGCCCGTAGACTTTCTTTTTTTAGTACCTGTTTTATATTCCAGTCCTTCTTCTCTGCAGTTGTGTACAAAGCTACTGTACAGGGATAATTTTACTTGTGTACATTTAAAATTTTAAAAGCAAGAAATAAAAATAATCCTATTGACTGGAGATATTTTTGCTTTATGGAAGTTTATCTGAATGTTGTTCTGAATCTAAACAGTATGTATCTTCTGTTATCATTAGCCTTTTGAGTAAAAATATAAAAATTCTGTGTTTTATTGTAGATTATTGTATGAGTTAGGAATATTGGAAATTATCTCAAGTTATTTATTTTCCTTTAAATGTTCTTTAAAAAGTGTGTTAGATATTTGGCTGTATCTGATATTAGAATTACCTGAGATACTTCAAATAAATTCATGAAGTTTCACTATGAAGTAGTAATACAGAGTGCTTGGCAACTTTCTTCTGCCTTTTTGCTCATTTTCATCTCATTTGATGTTTGGCTCTGTCAGCATCATTGACCACCAACGTTGTTTGGTAGGTGCATGGCAGCTTTATGGGGAAATTATTAAGAATTTGTTAATCAGGCCTGAGTGTATGGGTACCTGAATTTAAAATCAACCATTCTGGTTTTTACCTGATTTTATATTTCATGATGATCAGCATTATGTATAATATTAATTTTGGTGTGTTCCTTAGTTTTATGACAAGTAGAAGATAGGCAATTGATGATCAAGGCAGTGGCATGAAGGGTGATAAGAGGAAGTAGAGAATGTTGGCATCTTTTTTGTTTATATCATTAAAGTAAATTTGTGTTTATGTCTTGAATCCTTTTTACCATGAAAACATAGTTGCTTATAAATTTAATGTTAATCAGCCATATGAAGCTCTCAGAGGAGTAGGAAAGGTTTATAAATAACCTAAGAGTTTTAAAAAAAATACGCTCACTATTATGAGAACTTTATTTACAATATTCTTATTCATTAATGTAAAATTAAGAATTGTAATGTATCCCAATAATGTTATGAATTTCTCTGATATTATAAAGCACTGTAATAAATTGTATTTTTATACTCTAGCCATCTGCCAGATAAGAATTATATATGACTTAAATAAAAAGGATTTTGAAATTTCATACCTTCAGATTATAGTAATTTCTGAGACTTCAGTGTAGCATTCAGACTTTTTTAATTATAGGGAAGCAGAAAGATTAATTTTCAGTGATTGTGATTTGGTACATATAGCTAAGAGTAGAACAGGAATTGAAGACAAGTTCTTTTGTAAACCCTTAGGCTTTAAGGATAATAGACTCAGCCTAGAATTCGCCTTGTTTAGAATGGATTATCCAAACTTGTTGAATATTTATGTGCTTAGGATAGGTAAATGTTAGGATATAAATTTTTAAACTCTATATTAAAGGCTCTGTATTTCACAGGAGAGGAAAAATGAAGGCATTCGAAGTGAGTACTCTGTCCCACATCACATTTTCTTATCTCAACAAAGTTCTTGAAATGGTAGTGAAAGTTTTTTATTGTGATAGAAACTAACCAAGTTTCTTTCTTTGTGGATACCAAACTTGCAAGTGTTCCTGGGAGTATATCAGAGATTTGAGAATTCACACACATTTCTTACTTTAATGACTCTGGGACACATTATTAACAGAGCAATGTTACGGAGCACTTAATTGTTAATGGGAGAAATTTTGACAAAATTATTGGGAACCTTGAGAGAATTAGAGCTTTGTTATTACCCGTGAAGATAAAGAAACAATTAAGTACCTATTGTGTCCTGAACACTGAGATAAAGCCTTAGAGAAGTTTTCTAGTTTTAATCCTTTTATCAGCTCTTTGAGTGTTACTAAAATAGAAAGGATAAATTCCCCAGGATCTCCTGTAGCAAATGACAACTGGAATTTGTCATCAAGCCCTAGAACTGGGTTCTTTCCGTTGTTCATTTTCTCCTGCAGTTGTCCTGTGTTATAAAAACGAATTTATATTGTTAAAATAGTGTTATTTTTTTCTTTGGGAGAGGAAATGTGAGAGTGAGAGCATGTGCATGAATTGGAGTTAGGAAGTAAGATCAGAAGCAGTTGGTGTGTGAAGTATATCATGTGGAGAAGACAATGGAAAGGCAGTATATGGTAGTTTAAAACTGGTAGAGGTCTGGCAAAAAGTCAGTAAAAGCAGTTCAGTGTAAATTGTAGGTATTTTTATTACTCTAGAGATTCTGTGAGATCTCACATAATTCAATAAAGTTCTTCTCACCTGTGGGAAAGATGCATATTATTTATATTTGAGAGCAGTTTTGTTTATATCAACAGGGACCACAGTAATAATTTAGACTTTCAACTTATGAATAAAATTATCAAAGTGCTCCTATATTATCTTATTTGGCAAGTATTGTTTCCATGTATAGATGGGAAAAGCACTTATGCCATAACTAGTGGCTCTTTTAATAAATACATAGGGAAGCTGTTCCTTCTATAGAATGTTGTATTGAATATGTCTAAGATAGAAGTGAAATTTTCAATATTGACTTCTTAGGTGATCGAATGGAGGCTATATGCATTATCTTGGGGAGGAAATGTATTTTAGGGCTTTATTTTTTGCTTACATATTTGTATTTTTTTATTTCTAGGCTGTTCGCTGCTATGAATCTCTAATCTTAAAAGCTGAAGGAAAAGTGGAGTCTGATTTCTTTTGTCAATTAGGTCACTTCAACCTCTTATTGGAAGATTATCCAAAAGGTAATTTTTTTCTTGTTCATTATTGTTTGATTTATACATGTGTTGGATTGTAATTATTTGTGCTTTATCAAGAGGATTTTCCTAAGAAATTGTAAGTGCATGAGCAAACTAAACAATGAGGAAGAAAAGTAGAGTAGATGGAAATGGAAATCATCAATAAGTTGGCTATTCAGTAAAAGTGAAAACCACCTGCATGTTCAGTGCAGTTTTGTTCTGCCTTGTGAAAATCCTTGCTCTTGAAAGGCCTTCCCATAGTAGAAAGTGACCCAGTTTGATATAGATATTTGTACATTGATGGATACTTTGGAAAGGTAACAAAAACTCACCATTTTTCTTTATCCTATTTAAAACGTTTCCATTTTAGCTCAAAAATATTTGAATGAAAATCTGATCGTTAAGTAGCCATGTTATTGTAAACAAGTAATACAGAGAGATGATCACAGATGAGCCTTGGATAAAACCAGTTTTTAAAATTTACTTGAAATGTTTTTCCTTTAAGAAATAAGTGAGTTAAATAACTGAAAGTAGTCAGCCCCCTAAGATTTGCCCTTTTTATGGTACCAAGCTGCCAACTCAGACCATTACTCAGGAAGTTAAAAGCACCCGGAAACCCCGCCCTTCCAATACCAAAGAAAAAATCCACATTAAAAGAAAATTATTATTATGACCAAGAACATTTTAACCTTTTGATGATAGTAAACATTTTGATGTGGAGTGGATGGATGTGTTATGCTTGTTTTCAACAAGTGTGTTTAGAGGGCAAAACACCTGGCAGATAGTTTCAGGGCTAAAGTGAAGGATTGTTAGTATTTCATATTGATGTTTTATTATGCGACTTTTATGTTAGGTCAAGTGAATGTTTTCCTAATGAAAATGCAATTTTAGTCTGAGACAGGCATATTCTGTGAGGTTTGAAATTAGGCTTATTTCTCAGCTTAGCTCTGTTATATACAGCTGCACTACCTTTAACAGATTATATATAAACATCGCTGAGTATCTGTTGTCTGATCTGTAAAAGGGGAGGAGGTGAGGGATGACGCCTCATGGATTTTCAGATTGTGTGACACTGGTTAGTACTTAGCAAAATGGTTTCAGTCCAACAGGGTAATGGGTGTTAATAGTTACTTAATACTCCGTTAGATATTTTATTTTTAATTAAAACTGGAAACTTATTTAAAGGAAACTATTGTACCAAAAAATAGATAGAGGCATACCTGGGAGATATTGCAGGTTTGATTTCAGACCCCTGCAATTTATTGCGAATATTGTAATAAAACCAATCAAACAAAATTTTTTTGTTTCCTATTACATATAAAAGTTATGTTTGCACTGTAAGTGTGCAGTAGCATTATGTCTAAAAAATGTACATACTTTAGTTAAAAAAAACTTTCTTGCTAAAAAGTGCTAACAATCAACTGAGCTTTCATCAAGTTCTAATCTTTTTGCTGATGGAGGGTCTTGGCATCGTTGTTGATATGTGCTGAGTGATCAGGGTGGTGGTTGCTGCAGGTTGGGGTGGCTGTGGCAGTTTGTTAAAATAAGAAAACATTGAACTTTGTCGCATCAGTGGACTCTTCCTTTCATGAAAGGTTTCTCTGTAGCATATGATGCTGTTTGAAAGCATTTTACTCACAGTAGAGCTTCTTTCAGAAATGGAGTCAGTCCTCTCAACCCTGCCACTACTCTGTTAACTAAGTTTACGTAATATTCTAAATTTGTTGTTATCATTTCCACAGTGTTCACAGCACCTTTATCAGGAGTAGATTCTATTTCAAGAAACTCCTTTTGGCCAGGCACGGTGGCTCACGCCTGTGATTCCAGCATTTTGGGAGGCCAAGGCAGGAGGATTACTTGAGCCCAGGAGTTCAAGACCAGCCTGGACAACATAGCGAGACCCCCTATCTTAAAAAAAAAAATTTAGCTGAGTATGGTGGCATGCACCTACCCTGGAGGCTGAAGTGGGAGGAACACTTGAACCTGGGAGGTTGAGGAGGTTGAGGCTATGGTGAGCTGGGATCATATCACTGCACTCCAGCCAGGGTGACAGAGTGTGTGTGTGTGTGTGTGTGTGTGTGTGTGTGTGTGTGTGTGTGTCTGTCTGTCTGTCTCTGTCTGTCTGTCTGTCTCTGTCTCTCTCTGTGTCTCTTTTTTAAAGAAACTACTTTCTTTGCTCATCTATAAGAAGCAGTTCCTTATCCATTCAGGCTCCACTTCTAATTCTGTTTCTTTTGCTGTTTCCAGCACATCTACAGTTACTTCCTCCATTGAAATCTTGAACCCATCAAAGTCATCTATGGGGAGGGATGGGAATCAACTTCTTCCAGACTCCTGCTAATGTCGGTATTTAGACCTCAAATGTTCTTGTTGCCTAGGCTGGAGTGCAGTGGCGTGATCTCAGCTCACTGCAACCTCCGCCTCCTGGGTTCAAGCGAGTCTCCTGCCTCAGCCTCCTGAGTAGCTGGGATTACAGGCATGCGACACCATGCCTGGGTAATTTTATATTTTTAGTAGAGACAGGGTTTCACCAAGTTGGTCAGGCTGGTCGCGAACTCCTGACCTCAGGTGATCTGCCTACTTCAGCCTCCCAAAGTGCTGGGGTTACACAGGCATGAGCCACTGCGCCCGGCCTTTTGACCTCAAATGTTCTTAATGGCATCAAGAATGATGAATCTTTTCCAGAAGGCTTTCAATTTACTTTCCCGAGATCCATGAGAGGAATCACTATTTATGGCAGCTATATAGTCTTACAAAATGTATTACTTTAATAAGATTTGAGGCCGGGTGCGGTGGCTCACGCCTGTAATCCCAGCTCTTTGGGAGGCCTCGGTAGGTGGATTACCTGAGGTCAAGAGTCGAGACCCACCTGGCTAACCTGGTGAAACCCCGTCTCTACTAAAAATACAAAAATTGGCTGGGTGCGGTGGTGTGTGCCTGTATTCCCAGCTACTCAGGAGGTTGAGGAAGGAGAATCACTTGAACCCAGAAGGGGGAGGTTGCAGTGAGCTGAGATCGCACCATTGCACTCCAGCCTGGGTGACAGAGTGAGACTCTGTCTCAGAAAAAAAAAAAAAAAAAAGACTTGGAAGTCAAAATTACTCCTTGATGCATAGGCTGCAGAATGGATGTTGTGTTAGCAGGCATGAAAACAACATTAATCTGCTTGTACATCTCCATCAGAGCTCTTGGGTAACCAGGTGCATTGTCGGTGAGCAATAATATTTTGAAAGGAGTCTTTTTTTCTGAACAATAGTTCTCAACAGTGGGCTGAAAATATTCAGTCGACTGTGCTGTGAACAGATGTGCTGTCATTCAGACTTTGTTGTTCTATTTATAGAGCATAGACAGTAGATTTAGCATATTTCTTGAGGTCCCTAGGATTTTCTGAATGGTAAATGAGCAATTGCTTCCACTTAAAGGCACCACCAGCATTAGTTCCTAACAAGAGTGTCAGTCTGTCCTTTGAAACTTTGAAGCCAGATGTTGATGAAAGTCCTACATCTGAAAGTCCTACATGGCATCTTCCTCAATAGAAGGCTGTTTCACGGAGATTGAAAATCTGTTGTTTAGTGTAGCTACCTTTATCAGTGATCTTAGCTAGATCTTCTGGATAATTTGCTACACTTCTCCATCAGCACTTGCTGCCTCATCTTGCGCTTTTGTGTTATGGAGATGGCTTCTTTCCTTAAACTTCACGAACCAACCTCTGCTAGCTTTACACTTTTCTTCTGCAGCTTCTTCACTTCTCTTGGCCTTCATAGAACTAAGGAGAGAGTTAGGGCCTTTCACTGGAGTAGGCTTTGGCTTAAGGGAATGTTGTGGCTGGTTTGATGTTTTATCCAGACCACTCAGACCATGTCCATATCAGCAGTAAGGCTGTTTTTGCTTCCTTGTCTTTTGTGCATTCACTGGAATAGCACTTCAAATTTCCTCCAAGAATGTTTCCTTTGCATTCGTAACTTGGCTGTTTGGCACAAGAGGCCTAGCTTTTGGTCTGTCTCAGCTTTCAAAGTGCCTTCCTCACTAAGCTTAATGATTTCTAGCTTTGGATTTAAAGTGAGAGATGCGTAACTCTTTCTTTCACTTGTACACTAAGAGGTCATCGTAGGGTTATTAATATGCATAATTTCAATGTTGTCATGTATTAGGGAATACAGAAGCCCAAGGAGAGGGAGAGAGACTAGGGAATGGCCTGTTGGTGGAGTAGTCAGAACACATGCAACAGTTATCGATTGTTTACTGTCTTATGTGGGCACAGTTAGTGATTCCCCAAAACAATTACAGTAGTAACACCAAAGATCGGTGATCACAGGTCATCATAACAGATAACAATAATAATGAAAATGTATGGAATATTGGTTTACCAAAATGTGACACAGAGCCATTAAGTGAGCACATGGCTGTTGGAAAAATGACACCGATAGACTTGCTCTACACAGGGTTGCTGTGAGCCTTCAATTTGTAAAGAACGCAAATATCTGTGAAGCACAATAAAGCAAAGTGCAATAAAACAGGGTATGCCTGTAGAATTCTATGCAATCTGCTACTTTTTTATTGCTGCACCTTTATGTAGTTGGAGGACATGCTATTTTGAGAGCATGTAAAGAGAGACCTAGACTTGAAAATTAGGTTTACATATGAGGCTACGTGTACTTGCTACTTAGTGGTTGTTAAACAATAAATCTTTTAACTTTTAACACTATGTTAGACTGTGACTATAGCTTTATTTTTCACATATATATATATATTTTTTTTTTAATTTTATTTTTTGAGACAGGGTCTTGCTTTGTCACCCAGGCTGGAGTGCAGTGGCAGAAACATGGTTCACTGCAGCCCCAAACTCCTGGGCTCAAGTGATTCTCCTACCTCAGCCTCCTGAGTAGCTGGAACTAGAGGTGCGCGCCACCACGCCTAACTATTTTTTGTACTTTTTTTAGAGACAGAGGTCTTGCTTTGTTTCCCAGGCTAGTCTTGAACCCCTGGGCTCCAGCGATCCTCCCGCCTCAGCCTCCCAAAGTGTTGAGATTACAGGTGTGAGCCACCATGCCTGGCCACTTAAAAATTTTGGTTATGAAGGTAATGAATCCAAGGAGATTGATCTTGGATATGTGTTTTCTTTTTTGGAAGGGAGGGCATGTGGCAACTAGACTGTGTTAGCAAACTAGCTGGTGAGAGTAATCTAGTAAGGTGAGAGAAGAGAAGGATAATCTAAGGATTTAAGTCCTTGAAAACATGTGCTTCATTTAGTGTTGTGTAGATGACCTGGGCATTGATAGGTAGTTAGCAGCTTGATTAATGTGTAATAGGGGGAAGAGGAAGGAGAAAATGGATGCAGGGGTATGCAAATGTATTCAGTATATTTTAATATTTCAAGCTGGTGGTTTCTATTTCCTAGATGTGTTTTGTTATTTATTTTTTGAAATCCTCTTTGAGGCTTTTTAAGGCATGTTGCCACTTAAAATAAATTCTCTCTCTCTCTCTTTTTTTTTTTTTTTTTTGAGACAGAGTCTCGCTCTGTCGCCCAGGCTGGAGTGCAATGGTGCAATCTCGGCTCACTGCAAGCTCCGCCTCCCGGGTTCACGCCATTCTCCTGCCTTAGCCTCCCGAGTAGCTGGGACTACAGGCGCCCGCCACCACGCCCGGCTAATTTTTTGTACTTTTTAGTAGAGACGGGGTTTCACTGTGTTAGCCAGGATGGTCTTGATCTCCTGACCTTGTGATCCGCCTGCTTTGGCCTCCCAAAGTGCTGGGATTACAGGCGTGAGCCACCGCACCTGGCTAAAATAAAATTCTCTATCTGTTCTCTTCATTGTCTTTCTCCAAGTCCAAAACTAGAATCTGTCTCTAATAGCCCTCTCCCTTCCTCTCCAACACATACTCATACCCTCAAGATTACCAGTTTATAGAGACATTTGTTACCTTTGGCTACCTCCTTCTCCTCTCTTTGGATCTAGTACAGGATAAGAGAACTACTAACCCTGGGCAAATAGACATTTATTTTTAGAGAACACATTATAAACCATAACTTCCTGGGAGTAAACCATGTAGTAAATGTGTAATTCTGTGAGTGAACTGCTCAGGTATATGTACATAGGCGACTTACTGGCCTTGTTCTTCTGAAGACAGCCCTGTAATTATTTGCCCTGATTCATAGTCATCTTTTCTGTGTAAAGTTTTCTGAGCTTGGCATTTCTCTTGAGTTTAGTTCCTTTAAAAAAAACAAACAAAAAAAGGCTTCTATTTCTATAGTAGAAAATGGTAGAACCTGTTTTGTGTGTGTTTTGGGCTGTGGTTTTTCTTACCCTTAATTGTCATTTTGCTCTCATCTACTTTCTGTCTTACAAGAATTCCAAGAAACAATTTTGGTCTGAAGATGGTATAATTTGGTAATCATTTATCTTTTCTGTGATTCCAGATGAATTTGATGCAGAAGGAAAAAAGGCTTTGTAAAATATTTTCTTAGCTTTTCTGGCTGGTGATATGAATGAAGAGTTTAAAAAAATGTCATGTCACTTTATTTGGTCATTTTACTTGTAGGAATTTATTTTAAGTCTTAAAATAGTAATTGGATAGGGGATTGTGGGAAAATGGAGGCTCACTGCAGTCAGTCTATTGTTGTAGGTTATGTTCCTCAGTAAGGAGTTTCCTTTATGTTCAACAGCTTTGGAAGGTGGAGGGTAGAACCAGTATTGGACAGAAGGAGAAGTTAAGCTGTGACAGCCTTTACTAACTTCATGGGATGCTCTGGAGCCAGAATGGCCCTTGAGAGCTATACCAAGTTGGGCCAAGATAGCCAGGCCTTTATACTCCAATTATTCCATATTGAACATGGGCCAGCCTGAGAAGAACTGTGACCAGGGACAAGTTGGCTCTCTGCAACTGAGGCAGCTTCTGTAGAATCTCACAGATAGAGGCTTTCAGCAAGCAGGATTCCCAGCAGTTCTTTCTTGAAGTGGGATATGAGTGCTTCTTTACAGTGTCTACTATACCTCCTTTTTACTCCTAACTCTAAAGCTAACCCATGAACCTCCGAAGCCAAATTGCTGATGGGGCTCTCAGATAGCTTATAAGCCTTAAACCATGGAGATTATGCAGTGATTTCACTTCTTTGGGTTGGAGGACACCCTGAGAGATACATAACCCTGGGCTGAAGCCCAAGCATATGTATTTAGATGAATATATGTGATGGATCTTAGGAGCAGTTAATAGAAAATAAGTGTAAATATCTATAAATATGTGGTAAAATATAGGTAAAGAGAGTCACGGAGGTTAAATTAGTTGATTAGAAAATCAGGTAGCAGCTGGGCACAGTGGCTCACTCCTTTAATCCCAGCACTTTGGGAGGCCGAGGCGGGCGGATCACCTGAGGTCAGGAACTCTAGACCAGCCTGACCAACATGGAGAAACACCGTCTCTACTAGAAATAAAAAATTAGCAGGGCGTGGTGGCGCATGCCTGTAATCTCAGCTACTTGAGCGGCTAAGGCAGGAGAATTGCTTGAACCCAGGAGGTGGAGGTTGCGGTGAGCTGAGATCACGCCATTGCACTCCAGCCTGGACAGTAAGAATGAAACTCCATCTCAAAAAAAAAAAAAAAAAAATTAGGTAGCAGATTATTTCAAAGTACATAGCAAAATTATAAACAGAAATTACGAGGCAGGAGACTTAAAGGATAGACAGTAAGAACTTCAGAAGTAAAAAATTAGAGGAGTGTAATAATCATTCCTGACATTAATATGAAAACCTTGAAACTCTTAAAAATTGTTTCTTCATATTTTTGAGCTGGAAGTTTTCCCAATTATAAGTTCCCTGAAATTCTAGCCAGTGATAGATTTTTCTTGCATTCTTCCTTCCCTCAAGTAATTGGTCGTTTGTTGCATTTCTGTCACTTTTGGGCAAAATATGCTTTGGTTGTTTCAATTCTTAAGCAGTTACAAATGGCCAGGGCAAGTTACATGCCAAGAGCTGCCAATGTGGAGAAGCCTTAAGTTAGAGCTTGGAGGGTTTTCTTTCTCTTTTTATCTTTTTTTTTTTTTTTTTTTTTTTTGAGATGGAGTCTTGCTCTGTTGCCCAGGCTGGAGTCCAGTGGCGCGATCTCGGCTCACTGCAAGCTCTGCCTCCCGGGTTCACGCCATTCTCCTGCCTCAGCCTCCTGAGTAGCTGGTACTACAGGTGCCCGCCACCACGCCCGGCTAATTTTTCTATTTTTAGTAGAGACAGGGTTTCACCGTGTTAGCCAGGATGGTCTCGATCTCCTGACCTTGTGATCCGCCTGCCTCGGCCTCCCAAAGTGCTGGGATTACAGGCGTGAGCCACTGCGCCCGGCCCTCTCTTTTTGTCTTTTGTGGGTTGAATGACAGTACTCTATCCTGGAATATTTATAGTATAAGAACATGAAATGTGTGTTTTCCAATCATAGATTTTGTTTGGCTTCTCCAAAATTGTCAATTTTTTAATCCATTTTCTGTAATCATTCTAAAACAGGTTTTAAGCATTGTATGAGGATGTCCAAATAAATGATTTCCCTCATTCTGTATTAAGGACTTTAGAAAATTCTAGTTACAGTAGACTAGGAATTTTTTTATGGATAACTACCTTAAAGATTAGAAATAAGGACTGTGCTTTGGTCAAAAGGATTTTACTAGAGAGACTTTGGTGAGGTGATGGGTACTTGCATACTGCACCTTTAGAGTTTTAATGATTTTTTTTCTGATTAAGAAACAGCACGTTAAGATCCTTCTTAAAATAAGATGCTAAGCATAATGAGGGTAGAGTATAATTGTTTATAAAATGTGTAAACGAGTAGAAAGATCACTATGGAAGAAATGGAACAAATGCTCATGGAAGAAATGGCTCAATTACAAATCTGTTCCTGCCATTTAGAGTATTAACTTTGTGACTTTGAATTTGAGCATTCATATTTATTTCTCAGTTCACCATATTTTTGTATGGATGCCATGTTTCTCCCAACTGATAATTACATGGACTTCTTTTTTAAAATATTTTATTTTTTCTCTTTAATTTTTTATTTCTTTGGGGGTTTTTTTGTAACATCTTTTCACATCACATGGACTTCTTATACTTCAGTTTTATTTGCTTTAGAAGACATCATACTGTCTTTTTAAAGGTTCCCCAATCCTAAAAGAGAATTTTATGAAGCCAGATGATATATATAATTAATCAAATTATTGAAAGTATGCCCTCCAAATTTGTGGAAATTCTGTAATATCATTACAAGGGCAATCTCCAGGTTTGATATGGTGACTGCACAAAATTGTCAGGGACCAAGTCTTCTGTTTTCAGCATGTTTTTAGGTACAAGTATTAAATACCTGATTCTAGCTTAAACAATAAGGACATTTATTACCTCACATAATAGGAAGTTCATAGGTGGATTTTTCTCCAGGCATGGTTTGAAGTCTAGAAGGATCCAGTTACTTTTCAGTCTGTTTCTTCTGTGCTGTGGGCTTCATCCCAAGATAGTTCCCTCGTGGTGGCAGTTGGTAATATATGCTTCCTTGTTCACATCCATTAGTAGACAGAGAACCTTTTTCATGTCTGTCATCTATAAATCAGTGGTGATTGGGCCACCTGAGCTCATGTGCCCATTTCTGGACTAAAACAATCACCGAGATTGCCAGGAAACTGATAACCTTTTCAAATCAATAACGGGGATTGAGAGTGTGGTTAGAAATGAATGTGAGAAAATCAGCCACACCATTGACTACACAAACTCTTGCTTGACTATTTTTTTTCTACAGCTGGTTTGATAAATTTGGTTTGCTTTTCTTTTTAGAAGACCATTAATTAATGACCTTTATAAACTAGCTACCCTCATGCATGAAGAACTAGGAAATGGGAGATGGCTTAAAACCAGTTCTTCACCACAACTGGAAAAATTTCTCATAGTCTAACGTCCTTCCAGTGATAGGTTGGTTGGCATCATCTTTATGCAAAAAAGATGAGCATTATTCATATGTAAAAGTTATTTTTTCAGATATGTGATGATGTTTTTGGGTAATGTTTCTGTAATTTGAACATATTCAGAATGTTCTTTATATGATTTTATATATATTTTGGCAATTTACAGTAAAATGAAAACATTTCATATAGAGTTTCAGAAAACATTAACTTCCATTTTTGGTAAATCTTCTTTTATTCAGCATCTCATATATTGTAAGGTCAGCCGAGAGAAAGGAAAAATAGACCCAAAGTCAGGCGAGTAAGTTTATTGAACCTGCTGGCTGCTCCACCACAGACAGAGGAGGCAGCCCTGAGCTTACAAAATGAGGGGTTTATATGGGGGAGAGAGACCCTGGGGTCGTTTGTTGGTTAACTTTGCCATATATAACCTTGTGACATTTATGGTAGCAGCCAGATGAAGGAACTTACAGGAGGGTTTAGGTAAAGTTTGTTTATGCTTCCCACGACCTCCCCTGTGCAGTCTGGATGGTTTGTAATTGGGGTTTGCTTATCGCAGCAAGGTCTGATAAGTGAAGTCTGCTGGCTCCACTGGGGCGCCTGGATAAGAGCTTAGAAAAGTAAAGAGGCTGGGGGAAGGGTGAACGGCACAGAGAAGGGTTGCAGGGCGTTAAGGCAAGGGGTGGGCAGTACGCAGGGGTTTGGGGGGAGTGTTGGCAATACCAAGAAGCTTTTTTGGGGCGGTTTGTCCCTAACATATAGTCAGAAGATAATGTTTTATTTACTGCTTTGTTGAAGAAACAACTTGGTCACTAGTGAAGGGTAACATGCAGTGTGTTGTAAAATGTTTTTTGCTAGTTTCTGATCCTTAAATTGAGCAGCATATTATACTTAAGTAGAATGTCTAAAAACCTATATATGGTTTAAAGACTATTAAAATTGACACCTGTCTACCTACTCTACAAGTTAAGAAATAGAATGATACTGCTACCACAAGCCTGTGTTCTCTCCAGTTGCATCCTCCTCCCTTCCTCTGTAGGTGTAACCCATGCCTGGCTGTGATGTTCAGTGTTCTCTTGCCTTTCTTTCTTTTTTTTTTAATCCACTGATAAAAGTATCCCTGAACAAGATACCGTTTATCTTTGGAAAGCTGAATAGCAGGCACGAACATAGCTATGTAAGGAAGGGGCCATATTGTCACTATTTAGAGGAGGCTCTTGGGAGAAGTAAAACTAAAGAAGAGATTTTAGCGTTATAATGTGGCTTCTGGTTCCTCAATAGTTTACAAGAGCCACTTTTGGGGAAGGCAGTGTGCTGGGGCATGTGTGACTCTTGGCAAACATAATACCCATAATTAGGACATATGACATGACCAATATGAACCAGGAAAATCTGGTCAGGAATATGAACAGAGAGAGTGGGTTATTCAGAAGTAAATCAAATCAGGCCGGTCATGGTGGCTCACACCTGTAATCCCACACTTTGGGATGCCAAGGCAGGTGGATCACTTGAGGTCGGGAGTTCGAGACCAGCCTGGCCAAAATGGTGAAACCCCGCCTCTACTAAAAATACAAAAATTAGCTGGGCATGGTGGCACGCGCCTGTAATCCCAGCTACTCAGGAGGCTGAGGCAGGAGAATCACTTGAACCTGGGAGGCGGAGATTGCAGTGAGCCAAGATCACCCCACTGCATTCCAGCCTGGGCAACAGAGTGAGACCCCATCTCAAAAAAAAAAAAGTAAATCAAAGCAGAACACTTAACACTTCTGGGAGCCTTCACATCATCTATTTTGTAGAATATAGAGGGGAGAATAGAAACTTTATCAGAACATGGTCAAAAAAAAGCCAAGCCCAGTTAAGAATCTGGGCCAGGTTTATCTGGGTATTTGGTCCTCAGGTTGAGAAGAGGTTACAAGAGCAGCAGAATTTTAATGATAAGCCTCAGTGACTTGGATCTGGGGCATAGCTGCTGTCCTGGGATCACCCTTTTTCTTCATCTTGGGTATTCCCATGGCCTCTTGTCTCTGTTGTGTCTCCTGCTTTCAATAAACCATATCTTCTTCTTTCTTGTATATACTCTCCTTTAAGGGGAGCATATTTGTCAGATTTTTCTTCAGGAAAGTTATTTGGGAGATAATTTTCTTTGGAGACTTTGCGTATCAGAAAATACCTTTATTCTAGCCTCCTAATAGATCGCTTGACTGGATATATAATTTTAGGTTGGAAATAATTTTCCTTCAGAATTTTGAAAACATTGTTCTGTTGCCTTATTTCTAGAATTACATATCTGTTGTAGGACCCTTCAAACTACCAAGTCATAGCCTTCTTTTCTGGGAATATTTTTGGAATTATTTCCTGAATTTTCTTTTTTCCTTTTATTCTTTCTTTTTGGGGCTCTATTATTGATATGTTAGACCTCCGGGGCACAGTTTTTCTAATTTTCTGTTTTTGTCCTTTTTGTTTATTTTTTGAGAGATTTCTTCAAATTTAATTTTAATCTTTTTATTGAATTATTTATTTCTGCTATCGTACTTTAATCTACCGAATTTAATTTTTTTTAGAGCATCCTGTTTGTTCTCCTGCACACACCCCCTTTTCATCCCCCTCAATGAAAACAATATTTTCCCTTACCTAAGACTAGTAAGAATTTTTTGAAGTATATTTTCCCCTGCATAGTAGTCATTATTTTTTCTTTTAGGTTGTCTTTTTTTCTTTTGTGTTAGTTTCTTCTTGGTTAGAGGCTTTCTTTAGATGTCTGATAATTCTTAGCTGTCCATATTTCATAATTGGAATAATTGAGAACTGGAGGCTCTGAACATGGGATTGCGGATCTCTGAATATGATATCCATGGCCTTTTGTTGGAGAATCTCTGCATTTTTTGGTCAGATTGCCTGAACAACATCAAGTGTTGAGTGAGAGAGTTGAGGGAGCCAATTGCTTCTCAAATAGTTTTTATCCTGGTCTTCCATATCTTAGCTTGTGAATTGTAAACCACAAATTAAAAAAATCCTTTTCTAGCTGATCAGAAAAATATTATGCCCCCATGTTTTCATCTAGTAGTCTTATGGGCTTCTTTTTATATCTAACTCTCTTAATCCTCCACGAGTTTTGATCTTTGAGGAAGGTCGAGTTGATCTAAGGGGTTAGCCTAGATGCTGTTCAAGTGCAGATCTGAGATTTGACCATGGTTTTACGTTTCTGAACTGAGGGGGGCCCAGAATTTTAAGTTGTTTGGTCTGAAATATCACTATCTACTGGGAGGTGGGTGTGGTGGGAATCTTGTTACCGTGTTTGTTAAGTGTATTATTGACTTTAAAGTGAGACATAATTATGACTCATAATTATTTTCCTTTCAGCATTATCTGCATACCAGAGGTACTACAGTTTACAGTCTGACTACTGGAAGGTTAGTGTACATTTGCATGCTGATTTCATGTTTGTGTTTTGGGCAGATTATTGCCAATTATACTCAAAATTAATTGAGCTCTTGCTTTTTTTTGTTAATTACTTAAAATATTGCTTCTAGGGGAAAGGTATTGGAAAAGGGTTGAGAGTATTTATGTTTGTGCTGTCTTGTATGACTCTCCTTGTATTTTATTAAGAATTAGAGTCCTCTGACACATTTTACTGGTCAAATGTAATAGAAGTGTGATAAGTAAAAATCAAGCAAAACTAAACAAATAACAATAACAAAATGATTCCTTGGTTTTCTTTTCTAAAGTTGGTACCTGGGAGTAAAAGAAGGCTGAAGACGTGTATATCAGGCTAAAATGGGAAGGTGTAATGGGAAAGTTATGATAAACTCTTTCTTGGTGTACTCTGTTTATAATTGGAGCTTTGAGGAGAGCTGAACCTATTTTTTAGAAGACCTACCTAAATGAAAGACTGTGCATAGCAGTGAAACAATTAATCATCCACTTTCTTATCTTAATTTAAGCAGTGATTAAGCATGATCTTTTACATCATGTTTACTTTTAAGTTTATTGAGCAGTGAGTTTTTTTTTTTAAATCTGAATTGCTGTTTCAGATTTTTTGTGGATTTTATTTTTCTATTGGTTAATTTGTCTTTCTTTTTGAAGTAGGTACTTATTCCAGTCTTATATAGACTGGCTTTGTCTGGAAAAGCCCTTCAACAGTCAGCCTATGCAGAGATTTTGAGAACACCGTGTAGAGGTTTTAGACATATATGTATATATATTTTTTCTTTTTTAAGTCTTTTGAAAATATCTTCTCTAATCTCTGGCTTTTTTTTAAAAGCTTTATCACATGCTATAAAATTATAGCTTAATTCACATGCTATAAAATTATAGCTTTATTCACATGCTGTAATTCACATGCTATAAAATTCAGCTGTTTTAACTATACAAATCAGTGATTTTTAGTAAATTTTCAGAGCTGTGCAGCTGATAGAGGCAGGAGGCAGACAAAGGTCTAGACAGATAGGGAAGGGTCCCTGGAGAATCACTGATCCACCCAGCCCACAGGTGTTTACACCAGATGTTTTGTGCAGATAAGGGAACCTGCACAGGGGGCTTGCCTGGGCATGCCTGCAGTGGACTGGAGGTACACATGCACTGGGGGAATGGGGTGGAGCCACCAATAATTTGAGCCTTATACAGGGGAGGATCCTGGCCTCTTCAACTGTGTGCTGGGGCCCTGGTATTCAGTTTGTGAGGTGGAAACCTGCTGGCAGGACCCCCTTTCTTTGCTGATAGCTTTCCTTTTGCTTAATAAATTTTGTCTTCCTCACCCTTCAATGTGGCTGCATGCCTAATTCTTCCTAGTTGTGAGACAAAAATCCAGATTAGCTGAGCTAAGGGGCAAAAAATCCTGCATCACAGCCATCATCACAGTCTTATTTATCTCCCTGGAATGAAACCTCACATATATCCCCAGCCCTGGCAACCACCAGTCTACTTTCTGCCTTTATATATTTGTCTTTTCTGGATATTTCATATAAATGGAATCATATAATATATGGTCTTTTGTGGCTGGCTTCTTTAACTTAGCATATGTTTTCAAGGTTCATATATGTTATAGCATGAATATTTTATTCTTTATTTCCTGATAATATAGTCACCCCTCAGTATCCGTGGGGCATTGGTTTCAGGACCCCTCATGGATACCAAAATCCATGGATACTCAAGTTCTTTATATTAAATGATAAAGTATTTGTATATCACCTCTACACATCCTCCCATATACTTTAAATCATTTCTAGATTACTTATAATACCTAATAAAATGTGAATGCCATGTAATTGATTGCTATACTGTATTGCTTTTTAGTTTGTATTATTTTTTATTATTGTTATTTTTTTCCTGAATATTTTTGATCTGCAGATGCGGAACCCATGGATACAAAGGGCTCACTGTATTCCATTGGATCAATATACCACAGTTTGTTTATCCTTTCATCAGTTGATGGGCATTTGGGTTGTTTCATTTTTTGGCTATTGTGAATAATACTGCTGTGAACATTTGTGTACAGGTTTTTGTGTGACATAATATTTTCAGTTTTCTTGGGTAGGTACTGAGAAATGGAATTGTTGGATTATAGGGTAAATCTGTGTTTAGCATTTTGGGAAACTGCCAAAACTTTTTTTCCCTATGTCTGTACCATTTTACATCCCTGCCAGTAATGTGTGAGGGTTCCAGTTTCTCTGTATCCTACTCAGCACTTTTAATTATCTAATTTTTGAGTGTACTAGTTTTTTAGTGTGCCTAGTGGGGTAGAAAATAAAGTTTTAAACTTTGATAAAGTCCAGTTTATCAGCTTTGTAACACAACTTTTTATTGCTTGTGTTTTTGTTGTTGTACCTAAGAAATCTTTGCCTAACTCAAGGTCATGAAGACTTACTCCATAGTTTATTTAATCAGGTGCTTCAGTGCTTTGCTTTTACAGAGTGCTGCAGTAAATAGTCTAGTAAAAGTGTCTCTCTCTCTATATATATAGTTTTTTAGAGACAAGGTCTTGCTCTCTTGCACAGGGTGGAGTGCAGTGGTGCAATCAGAGCTCACTGCAGCCTTGAATTCCTGGGCTCAAGTGAATCCTCCTGCCTCAGCCTCTCGAGGAGCTGGGACTGCAGATGCACACCACCATGCTCGGCTAATTTTTAAGTTTTTTTTTTGCAGAAATAGAATCTCACTATATTACTCAGGCTGGTCTCAAACTCAATCACTGGCCTCAAGTAATTCTCCCACCTCGGCCTCCCAAAGTGCTGGGATTACAGGTGTGAGCCACCGCACTTGGCCTGTCTTTTAATACTTTTGTTAGTGATTCTTTAGTATAGATTCCTTTAAAAGTGGGATCATTGTGTTGAAGGGTATTTGCTCCTTTGGGATTGAACCATTTGCATTTATTTCAACAATGTATGCAAGTGCTTGTTTCTTCTTGGTCTTAATCAAGAACCTTTTTGTCAGCAGACTTGCCAGTTTGATAGGTGAGAAATGGTATTTTATTATAATTTAAATTTACATTTTCTTAGTTGTTAGTGAGATTGAACTTTTTAAAAATTGAAGTGTAAAGACTATTTGAATTTCTTTTTCTTTGAAATATTTGTTCATGTCTCTTGCCCATTTTTTTTATTAGGTCATTGTTTTACTGTTTTATGTAGCTATATAACATGTATTAGGCATATTTATCCTTTATCTGTGACATTAGTTGAAGCTACTGTTGCCCAGTTTGAGATTTGTTGTTTTGCTTTGTTTTTGTGTGTTTGTGTTTGCCTGTGCAGAAGTTTTCTATTTCTGTGTAGTCAGATTGATCAGTCTTCTACATTGCCCTTGTATTTTGAATCATAGGATGGGTTTTTTCCTCATTCCCAGGTGTTAGAGAAATTCACCCACATTTTCTTTCAGTACTTGAATGGTTTAATATTTTACATTTAAATTTCTGATCCGTTTGGGTTTTATTCTTGACTTACAGTGTGAACAATATTTAAGATTATCTTTTTTCTTATGACTGGTTATCCCAAAGATATATTTTTTAAAAATTCATTTTTTCCTCTGCTGATTTGAGATGTTGCCTTAATTGTATACTAAATATTCATATGCAGTTTTGTCTGTGCATTTTGTGGCATGCTTTGTTCATGAACTAATACAAAAGTATTTTACTAACAGAGATTTTATAATATGTTTTAATGTATGGTAGTGCTAGGGCACCCTTTCCCCACTGTTCTTGCTTCTAGGATTTTCCTGGCTGTCGTTGGTGGCTTGTTTTTCCAAATAAACTTTCTAATTAACTTGTCTAGCTTCACAAAAAATACCTGATAATTTATTTTCTGTAGCTTTTTTGAGATATATTTAGCATTATTTTAAGCATTTTTTGAGATATGATTTACATTATTTGAGATTTGACAACTTAAATAGTTGTATAACCATTACCATAATGAAGATATAGAACATTTTCCATCACCCAAAGTGTTCCCTTGTGCCATTTTCCTACTCTTGATCTCTGGTCCCAGGCAACCACTTCTCTGCTTTCATCCCTTTAGTTTTGTCTGTTCTGGAATATCATGTAATGGGGTTTAAACAGCATATATTCTTTTGTTTTTGATAGCTTTCATTTGGCATGCTTTTACTGAGATTCATCCATGTTGTGTGTATCAGTAGTATGTTCTTTTTCATTGTTAAGTAGGATTTCATAGAATGGATATGCCACAGTTTTTCTCAGTTGATAAGTATTTGGGTTGTTTTCAGCTTTTGGTTATGAATAAAGTGCTGTGAATATTATTTGTCTTTGTGTGGACATGGATTTTCATTTGTCTTGGTATATATACCTATGATTTGGGAATGCTGAATTGCTTTGCAGTTTTAGGTTTAACCGTCAGACTTTTTCAAGGTGGTTATACCATTTTATATTCCAACCAGCAGTGAATGAGATTTCAGATGTTCCATATCTTCGTTAGCACTTGGTATTGTCAGTCTTTTTAACTTTAGCCCATCTGCCCATTCTTGTTTTTTCTTCTTTCTTGTTTTCTTTCTTTCTTTCCTCCTCAGTCTTTTTAACTTTAGCCCGTCTACCTATTCTCCTTCCCTTCCTCCTCTCCCTCCCTCCCTCTTCCCTTCTTCTTTCTTTTCTTTCCTTCTCTTCTTCCTTTCCTTCCTGTTGTTCTTCCTTATCTTCTTCCTCTTCTTCATTGAGTTTTATGGGTTCTTTATATACTCTGGATAAATGCCCTTTGTCAGATACTTGTTTTGGAATTATTAGTCTCTGGTTCATCTTTTCATTTTCTTACTAGTGTCTTTTGAAGAGCAAATGTTTATTGTTTCAATGAGGTCCATTTAATTACTTTTTTTTTCTTTTACAGTTTGTGCTTTTTGTGCTAGGAAATCTTTGTGTATCCCAAGATCATAAAATATTTCCTCACCTTTTAAATTCTGTTTTGGCCTGTGATACATTTCAAGTTGTTTATGATGTGAGATAGCATCAGTGGTCCCCCCACCCCCTACCCCAATAGCTACCTAGTTTTTCCAGCATTATTTGTTGAAAAGACTACACTTTGAAAATCTAGCATTTCTTCTTTGAAAAATATCAACGTACAATTTAGTTTTCTGTTTCTAGATTCTCTGTTACGTTCCAGTGATCTGTGTGTCTGTTTTTAAGCCAATATCATAGTTTTGTTTACTATGTTCTTGAAATCAAGCAATGTAAGTTCCCTGTATTATTTTTTTCTTTCTTTCTTTCCTTTTTTTTTTTTTTTTGAGATGGAGTCTCTCTCTGTCGCCTAGGCTGGAGTGCAGTGGCACGATCTTGGCTCACTGCAACCTTCGCCTCCCGGGTTCAAGTGATTCTCCTGCCTCAGCCTCCCCAGTAGCTGGAACTATAGGCCCACGCCACCACGCCTGGCTAATATTTTGTATTTTAGTAGAGACAGGTTTCACCATGTTGGCCAGGATGGTCTCGATCTCCTGGCCTCGTGATCCGCCTGCCTCGGCCTCCCAAAGTGCTGGGATTATAGGCATGAGCCACCGCCCGCATCTGGCCCCAAGTTCCCTGTATTCTTTTTCAAAATTGCTTTGGTTTTTCTAGGTCTTTTGCCTTTGCATATAAAGTGCAGAAACGGTATAATTCAGTATAATTCTGCTAGGATTATATTGGAACTACATGTGCTAAGTTAGGAAGAATTTGTCATCGGTAATATTGCATTTGCTTGTTCGTGAACATGGCGTATTTCACCCTGTATTTAGCCTTCTTTAAGACTCTACAGCAATACTTCATAGTTCTTATCACATATGTTTTACGTTTGTTTTTTTTTATGCTATTGTGATTGGAGTGGTTGTAAAATTTTATTTCCAATTGTTTTATTGCTATTATATAGGAACATTTATTATTGCATGCTGATCTAGTATCCTACTGTCTTACTAAATTATATTGTTCTAGTCATGTTACTCTAGATAGGATTTTCTACATACATTATGCGGTCTGCAAATAAAGAAAATTTTATTTTTTGTTTTCTTATTTGTGGATGCCCGTTAGTTTTTTTCTTGCCTTGTTCAACTGGCTAGGACCTCCCATACAATGTTGAATGGAAGGGGACATCCTTGTTTTGTTTCTCTGGGGAAAACATTACATTTTTACTGTTGAATGTGATACTACCTGTAGGGTTTTTGTAGACTAATATTGAAGATGTTCCCTTCTGTTGCTAGTTTACTTCGAGGGCTCTTCCCTCTTCCCCCTACTTCATGTTTTTATAATGAATAGTGTGAGGATATAGGAAAAAACTCAGTTCCTCCTATACTCTCACAACACAGAACATTTCTGTAACAAAATGTGTGTGGGTTTTCCCCCTGCATACCTGGCAAGCAATCAGTTCTGCAGTGGCTGCTGGTGTCCTCTAATTCAGTTCAATTCTGACATTATCTACCTGGAGATAGTTTCAGATCCCACAGAGTGAGAGCTAAGTCCCACAAGACTACCCCCACTTCAGATGCCATTGCAGGCCTCCGGAACTTTTGAATGACTGGCTATATAAATCGGGGTTCCCATGACCCTCTCCTTGGTTCCATTAATCTGCCAGAGTGGCACAGACCTCAGCAAACAGTTAGGGTTTACTGTTTTATTATAATGGGTACAGATGAAGAGATGCATAGGATGAGGTCATGTGGGAAGTGGCATGGAGCCTCCATGCCCTCTCTGGGCATGTCACCCTCTAGGGACTTCCGCTTGTGCAGCTATCCAGAAGCTCTCCAAACCCTGTCCTTTTGGGTTTTTATGGAGGCATTATTATGTAGGCATGACTGATTAAATGATTGGCCACTGGTGATCAGCTTAACCTTCAGTCCCTTTCCTCTACCCAGAGGTTGGAGAATGGGGCTGAAAAGTCCCAACGTTCTAATCATGCTTTGCTCTTTGCTGTGACCAGCCCCCATCCTGAAGCTACATAGGGGGCTGCCTGCCCTGAGTTATCTCATTACAGCCCCCAACCTGAAGCTACATAGGTGGCTGCCTGCCCTGAGTTATCTCGTTAGCATAAAAGAGACACTCAGGGCTGGGCGCAGTAGCTCACCCAGTAATAATCCCAGCACTTTGGGAGGCCGAGGTGGGCACATCACCTGAGGTCAGGAGTTTGAGACCAGCCTGGCCAACATGGTGAAACCTCATCTCCGCTAAAAATACAAAAATTAGCTGGGTGTGGTAGTGCTTCCTTGTAATCCCAGCTACTGGGGAGGCTGAGGCAGAGAATCGCTTGAACCCGGGAGGCAGAGGTTGCAGTGAGCCGAGATCATGCCACTGCACTCCAGCCTGGGCAACAGAGTCTAAAGTAAACAAAACCGACCTTTTTCTTATTTTTTTTTTCCACTTTAAGAAAAGAAAGAAAAGGTTTTGAATTCTGGAAGCAATGCCTATCTGAATAGAACCATTGATTAAACGTTATGGTAACATGGAAGGATGGAGAACAGTGTTTCAGTTTGAAAAACTAGTTGGTCTGTTACAAGATATGCAGGATATGTATTTTTTTGTACATTGATTGATTAAAGTATTTGTGGGTACAGTTTCTTAAAATAGTGATCAATTCATTATTTTTTTATAACCCTAATTTTATAAAGGGTTTGATAGAGTTGTGCTAAAATTTAGTTTGGGACACCGAAAAAAATTGATTATTAAATTTAACATACATACTATCTATATGAATGTAAATATCAGCTTTATAATATTACTGCTGAAGAATATCACATAGTATTAGGTTGGCGCAAAAGTGATTATGGTTTTTGCCATTACTGCAGTTACTTTTGCACCTAAGATTCAGTTTGTTGAAGAGATTAATTCACATTTTTTGGGTATGCTAATTATAGATAATTCTTATCCTTAAAACAGTTTCACTAAAAAGTTCTAAATAATACTGTTTTACTGCCTGATTCAGCATATGCTTGAAAATTATACTGTACTTCTTACCAGCCCTGAATTTGTGCTGGCCGTATTTTCCTAATTGGGCCTGATTGGTAAGGTTTTCTTCTGTATGGTCTTATTTTTTCATCAGTATTGTACTGGTGTGGGATTATGGGTTAATGTCAGGTAGGAGAGAAATGTTGAAGAGAGAATTTTTGTAACAGGAGAACTCAAGGTTCTTCTAATTCAGATTTGTTTTTTGAATTCAGAAATATATTCAGTATTTAAATGTATCAGTCTGGAAATGCTTCATAATATGAAAATATTTAGAACCTGTAAGGAAGACAGAACTATAATTAATATTTCAACAAGTTTATTGCTTAACCTGAATTTTTTTTAAAAGCCTAACTTTTTTGCTTAGAAGAGACCAAGAGAGTGAGCTCTTTTAAAGAAAAGTTAAAAAGCAGTATATTTTGGAATAAGGATTAGATTCTTTGGAAATTTTACAAGTTTAGAAGCAGAACACATCTTAGAAATTATTATCTAATTCCTTTACTTTATGGACTAGACATGGTGCATCCCGGTGATTAAGGAAGCCCCCCAAGTCAGCACAAATAGGTAGTGGATAAACTAGTGGAATCTGTGCTCATTTTCTGACTTTCCGGTGGCTTTTTCAGTTATACAGTTTAGGCTAGTCTGGCTTTCACATTTGTTGACAGGGTCTCTTTTGACAATGCAGAAATGAATAAGATAGTTCCTGCTCTCCCTTATTTATTTATTTATTTATTATACTTTAAGTTTTAGGGTACATGTGCACAACGTGCAGGTTAGTTACATATGTATACATGTGCCATGTTGGTGTGCTGCACCCATTAACTCGTCATTTAACATTAGGTATATCTCCTAATGCTATCCCTTCCCCCTCCCCCCACCCCACGACAGGCCCCGGTGTGTGATGTTCCCCTTCCTGTGTCCATGTATTCTCATTGTTCAATTCCCACCTATGAGTGAGAACATGTGGTGTTTGGTTTTTTGTCCTTAAGATAGTTTGCTGAGAATGATGGTTTCCAGCATCATCCATGTTCCTACAAAGGACATGAACTCATTTTTTATGGCTGCATAGTATTCCATGGTGTGTATGTGCCACATTTTCTTAATCCAGTCTATCATTGTTGGACATTTGGGTTGGTTCCAAGTCTTTGCTATTGTGAATAGTGCCGCAATAAACATACATGTGCATGTGTCTTTATAGCAGCATGATTTATAATCCTTTGGGTATATACCCAGTAATGGGATGGCTGGGTCAAATGGTATTTCTAGTTCTAGATCCCTGAGGAATCGCCACACTGACTTCCACAATGGTTGAACTAGTTTACAGTCCCACTAACAGTGTAAAAGTGTTCCTATTTCTCTACATCCTCTCCAGCACCTGTTGTTTCCTGACTTTTTAATGATTGCCATTCTAACTGGTGTGAGATGGTATCTCATTGTGGTTTTGATTTGCATTTCTCTGATGGCCAGTGATGATGAGCATTTTTTCATGTGTCTTTTGGCTGCATAAATGTCTTCTTTTGAGAAGGGTCTGTTCATATCCTTCACCCACTTGTTGATGGGGTTGTTTGTTTTTCTCTTGTAAATTTGTTTGAGTTCATCGTAGATTCTGGATATTAGCCCTTTGTCAGATGAGTAGATTGTAAAAATTTTCTCCCATTTTGTGGGTTGCCTGTTCACTCTGATGGTAGTTTCTTTTGCTGTGCAGAAGCTCTTTAGTTTAATTAGATCCCATTTGTCAATTTTGGCTTTTGTTGCCATTGCTTTTGGTGTTTTAGACATGAAGTCCTTGCCCAGGCCTGTGTCCTGAATGGTATTGCCTAGGTTTTCTTCTAGGGTTTTTATGGTTTTAGGTCTAACATTTAGATCTTTAATCCATCTTGAATTAATTTTTGTATAAGGTGTAAGGAAGGGATCCAGTTTCAGCTTTCTACATATGGCTAGCCAGTTTTCCCAGCACCATTTATTAAATAGGGAATCCTTTCCCCGTTGCTTGTTTTTCTCAGGTTTGTCAAAGATCAGATAGTTGTAGATATGCAGCATTATTTCTGAGGGCTCTGTTCTTTTCCATTGGTCTGTATCTCTGTTTTGGTACCAGTACCATGCTGTTTTGGTTACTGTAGCCTTGTAGTATAGTTTGAAGCCAGATAGTGTGATGCCTCCAGCTTTGTTCTTTTGGCTTAGGATTGACTTGGCAACGCGGGCTCTTTTTTGGTTCCATATGAAGTTTAAAGTAGTTTTTTCCAATTCTGTGAAGAAAGTCATTGGTAGCTTGATGGGGATGGCATTGAATCTATAAATTACCTTGGGCAGTATGGCCATTTTCACGATATTGATTCTTCCTACCCATGAGCATGGAATGTTCTTCCATTTGTTTGTATCCTCTTTTATTTCATTGAGCAGTGGTTTGTAGTTCTCCTTGAAGAGGTCCTTCACGTCCCTTGTAAGGTGGATTCCTAGGTATTTTATTCTCTTTGAAGCAATTGTGAATGGGAGTTCACTCATGATTTGACTCTCTGTCTGTTATTGGTGTATAAGAATGCTTATGATTTTTGCACATGGATTTTGTATCCTGAGACTTTGCTGAAGTTGCCTATCAGCTTAAGGAGATTTTGGGCTGAAACGATGGGGTTTTCTAGATATACAATCATGTCATCTGCAAACAGGGACAATTTTACTTCCTCTTTTCCTAGTTTGAATACCCTTTATTTCCTTCTCCTGCCTGATTGCCATGGCCAGAACTTCCAACACTATGTTGAATAGGAGTGATGAGAGAGGGCATCCCTGTCTTGTGCCAGTATTCAAAGGGAGTGTTTCCAGTTTTTGCCCATTCAGTATGATATTGGCTGTGGGTTTGTCATAGATTGCTCTTATTATTTTGAGATACATCCCATCAATACCTAATTTATTGAGAGTTTTTAGCATGAAGTGTTGTTGAATTTTGTCAAAGGCCTTTTCTGCATCTATTGAGATAATCATATGGTTTTTGTCGTTGGTTCTGTTATATGCTGGGTTACGTTTACTCATTTGCGTATGTTGAACCAGCCTTGCATCCCAGGGATGAAGCCCACTTGATCATGGTGGATAAGCTTTTTGATGTGCTGCTGGATTCGGTTTGTCCGTATTTTATTGAGGATTTTTGCATCGATGTTCATCAGGGATATTGGTCTAAAAGTCTCTTTTTTGGTTGTATCTCTGCCAGGCTTTGGTATCAGGATGATGCTGGCCTCATAAAACGAGTTAGGGAGGATTCCCTCTTTTTCTCTTGATTGGAATAGTTTCAGAAGGAATGGTACCAGCTCGTCCTTGTACCTCTGGTAGAATTCGGCTGTGAATCCATCTGGTCCTGGACTTTTTTTGGTTGGTAAGCTATTAATTATTGCCTCAATTTCAGATCCTGTTATTGGTCTATTCAGAGATTCAACTTCTTCCTGGTTTAGTCTTGGGAGGGTGTATGTGTCAAGGAATTTATCCATTTCTTCTAGATTTTCTAGTTTATTTGTGTAGAGGTGTTTATAGTATTCTCTGATGGTAGTTTGTATTTCTGTGGGATCGGTGGTGATATTCCCTTTATCATTTTTTATTGCGTCTATTTGATTCTTCTCTCTTTTCTTCTTTATTAGTCTTGCTAGAGGTCTATCAATTTTGTTGATTTTTTCAAAAAACCAGCTCCTGGATTCATTGATTTTTTTGAAGGGTTTTTGGTGTCTCTATTTCCTTCAGTTCTGCTCTGATCTTAGTTATTTCTTGCCTTCTGCTAGCTTTTGAATGTGTTTGCTCTTGCTTCTCTAGTTCTTTTAATTGTGATGTTAGGGTGTCAAGTTTAGATCTTTCCTGCTTTCTCTTGTGGGCATTTAGTGCTATAAATTTCCCTCTACACACTGCTTTGAATGTGTCCCAGAGATTCTGGTATGTTGTGTCTTTGTTCTTGTTGGTTTCAAAGAACATCTTTATTTCTGCCTTCATTTCATTATGTACCCAGTAGTCATTCAGGAGCAGGTTGTTCAGTTTCCATGTAGTTGAGCAGTTTTGATTGAGTTTCTTAATCCTGAGTTCTAGTTTGATTGCACTGTGGTCTGAGAGAGAGTTTGTTATAATTTCTGTTCTTTTACATTTGCTGAGGATTGCTTTACTTCCAAGTATGTGGTCAGTTTTGGAAGAAGTGGGGTGTGGTGCTGAGAAGAATGTATATTCTGTTGATTTGGGGTGGAGAGTCCTGTAGATGTCTATTAGGTCTGCTTGGTGCAGAGCTGAGTTCAATTCCTGGATATCCTTGTTAGCTTTCTGTCTTGTTGATCTGGCTAATATTGACAGTGGGGTGTTAAAGTCTCCCATTATCATTGTGTGGGAGTCTAAGTCTCTTTGTAGGTCTCTAAGGACTTGCTTTATGAATCTGGGTGCTCCTGTATTGGGTGCATATATATTTAGGATAGTTAGCTCTTCTTGTTGAATTGATCGCTTTACCATTATGTAATGGCCTTGTCTCTTTTGATCTTTGTTGGTTTAAAGTCTGTTTTATCAGAGACTAGGATTGCAACCCCTGCCTTTTTTTGTTTTCCATTTGCTTGGTAGATCTTCCTCTATTCCTTTATTTTGAGCCTATGTGTGTCTCTGCACATGAGATGGGTTTCCTGAATACAGCACACTGATGGGTCTTGACTCTTTATCCAGTTTGCCAGTCTGTGTCTTTTAATTGGAGCATTTAGCCCATTTCCAATTAAGGTTAATATTATTATGTGTGAATCTGATCCTGTCATTATGATGTTAGCTGGTTATTTTGCTCATTAGTTGATGCAGTTTCTTCCTAGCCTTGATGGTCTTTACAATTTGTCATGTTTTTGCAGTGGCTGGTACTGGTTGTTCCTTTCCATGTTCAGTGCTTCCTTCAGGAGCTCTTTTAGGGCAGGCCTGGTGGTGATAAAATCTCTTAGCATTTGCTTGTCTGTAAAGTATTTTATTTCTCCTTCACTTATGAAGCTTAGTTTGGCTGGATATGAAATTCTGGGTTGAAAATTCTTTTCTTTAAGAATGTTGAATATTGGCCTCCACTCTCTTCTGGCTTGTATAGTTTCTGCTGAGAGATCAGCTGTTAGTCTGATGGGCTTCCCTTTGTGGGTAACCCGACCTTTCTCTCTGGCTGCCCTTAACATTTTTTCCTTCATTTCAACTTTGGTGAATCTGACCATTATGTGTCTTGGAGTTGCTCTTCTCGAGGAGTATCTTTGTGGTGTTCTCTGTATTTCCTGAATTTGAATGTTGGCCTGCCTTGCTAGATTGTGGAAATTCTCCTGGATAATATCCTGCAGAATGTTTTCCAACTTGGTTCCATTCTCCCCGTCACTTTCAGGTACACCAATCAGACGTAGATTTGGTCTTTTCACGTAGTCCCGTATTTCTTGCAGGCTTTGTTCGTTTCTTTTTATTCTTTTTTCTCTAAACTTCTCTTCTCACTTCATTTCATTCGTTTGATCTTCCATCGTTGATACCCTTTCTTCCAGTTGATCAAATCGGCTACTGAGGCTTGTGCATTCGTCACATAGTTCTCGTGCCTTGGTTTTCAGCTCCATCAGGTCCTTTAAGGACTGCTCTGCATTGGTTATTCTAGTTAGCCATTCATCTGATTTTTTTTTTGAAGGTTTTTAACTTCTTTGCCAGGGGTTCGAACTTCCTCCTTTAGCTCAGAGTAGTTTGATCATCTGAAGCCTTCTTCTCTCAACTCGTTGAAGTCATTCTCCATCCAGCTTTGTTCCGTTGCTGGTGAGGAGCTGCGTTCCTTTGGAGGAGGTGAGGCGCTCTGATTTTTAGAGTTTCCGGTTTTTCTGCTCTGTTTTTTCCCCATCTTTGTGGTTTTATCTACCTTTGTTTTTGATGATGGTGACGTACAGATGGGGTTTTGATGTGGATGTCCTTTCTGTTTGTTAGTTTTCCTTCTAACAGTCAGGACCCTCAGCTGCAGGTCTGTTGGAGTTTGCTGGAGGTCCACTCCAGACCCTGTTTGCCTGGGTATCAGCAGTGGTGGCTGCAGAACAGCGGATATTGGTGAACAGCAAATGTTGCTGCCTGATCGTTCCTCTGGAAGTTTTGTCTCACAGGAGTACCCGGTCATGTGAGGTGTCAGTCTGCCCCTACTGGGTGGTGCCTCCCAGTTAGGCTACTCGGGGGTCAGGGACCCACTTGAGGAGGCAGTCTGTCCGTTCTCAGATCTCCAACTGCACTGGGAGAACCACTGCTGTCTTCAAAGCTGTCAGACAGGGACATCTAAGTCTGCAGAGGATTCTGCTGCCTTTTGTTTGGCTATGCCCTGCCCCCAGAGGTGGAGTCTACAGAGGCAGGCAGGCCTCCTTGACCTGTGGTGGGTTCCACTCAGTTTGAGCTTCCAGGTGGCTTTGTTTACCTACTCAAGCCTCGGCAATGGGGGCGCCCCTCCCCAGCCTCACTGCTGCCTTGCAGTTTGATCTCAGACTGCTGTGCTAGCATCAAGTGAGGGTCCCTGGGCTTAGGACCCTCCGAGCCAGACACGGGATATAATCTGGTATGCCGTTTGCTAAGACTGTTGGAAAAGCGCAGTATTAGGGTGGGAGTGACCTGATTTTCCGGGTGCCGTCTGTCACCCCTTTCTTTGACTAGGAAAGGGAATTCCCTGACTCCTTGCACTTCCCGGGTGAGGTGATGCCTCGCCCTGCTTCGGCTCACGCTCAGTGGGCTGCACCCACTGTCCTGCACCCACTTTCTGACACTCCCCAGTGAGATGAACCCAGTACCTCAGTTGGAAATGCAGAAATCACCTGTCTTCTGTGTCGCTCACACTGGGAGCTGCAGACTGGAGCTGTTCCTATTCAGCCATCTTGGCTCCACCCGCTCTCCCATATTTCTATGAGGAGGAAACACGTAAACATAATTAGTTTTTGGTAAGTAATACATTGGAAGTGTTGAGGGCTGTGCCGGAGGCAGAAGTGCACATGCTTTGTTTGAGGGGTTTGGGAAAGTCTCAGTGGGGATTAGGAAAGACTTTACAGAAAAGGTGAAACTTCAGGGAAGGATTAGTGGGAGTTTTCAAGATACAAGACCTGGTCAAGTTTTCCAAGAAGAGAAGTGAGAGAGCAGTGCATAGCAGTACAGTAGGTGTTTTGGAAACTCCCACGTTCTCGGTCTAGAGCAGAGGTCCACAGACTTTTTCTTACAGGGCAAAATAGTAAATATTTTAGGTTTTGTGTACCAAGAGGCAAGATCAGGTAATATATAGGTGCTTAGATAATCTTTTATATAAAAATCATTTTTAGCTCCCAGGCCTTAAAAAAAGGATTTGGCTGGCAATAGTTTATAGACCACTGTCTTAGAGCCTGTCATGATTGTTGGGCGTTATAGGACTCAAACTGGGGAAAAGGAAGGCAAAGGCCAGATCATAAATGCGTTTGCAACAGTTAGCACTGTTTTGCAATCTTAGATTTGTCCATATCTTGTGAAATACGATAGTGCTGGAGATCAGATAAAGTTAAATAAAACACAGTTATTTTTTAGGGGTTGGATTGGGATTGCATTGACTTTGTATTTTAAAAACAAACTGTCGCTGGGCACAGTGTCTCATGCCTGTAATCCCAGCACTTTGGGATGCCAAGGTGGGCGGATCACCTGAAGTCAGGAGTTCAAGACCAGCCTGGTTAACGTGGTGAAACCCCGTTTCTACTAACAATACAAAAAATTAGCCCAATGTGGTGGCACGCGCTTGTAATCCCAGCTACTCAGGAGGCTGAGGGAGGCTGAGGCAGGAGAATCGCTTGAACCCTGGAGGTGGAGGATGCAGTGGGCCGAGATTGCGCCGTTGCACTCCAGCTTGGGCAACGAGCGAAACTGTGTCTCAAAACATAAATAAATAAATAAATAAATAAATAAATAAATAAAAGCTGTCATCTTTTGTCAGTAAAGTTTTGTAACTTCCTCACAAAGTTCTCGTGCTTCTTATAAATAATGTATTTTACATCTTACACTTCTATTGCTATTATACATGCCATTTTAATTTTATTTTTTATCTCTGCTGGTATATAGAACTGCAGTTGACTTTTATGTGTTAAATTTATCAAGCAACTTCACTAACTTTCACTAATTTGGGTTATTTGACTATGTAACTTTGGATTTTCTCTGTAGACTATCCTACCTTTGTAATTAGTGACAATTTTGTTTCTTCTGTTATCAGTATTGTAAACATTTCATTAAAAGTGTTTGGAATGTTCTCATCTTGTATTTTCTGAAATAGTAAATATTTTAGGTTTTGTGGACCAAGATATAATCTTGTAAAAGTGGTTTCTTGCATGTTTGATAAAACCAACCTGTTAAACTCTCTGGGATTGGTAATATGTCTTTTTGGGAAGATTTTATACTACTGGTTTTATTAGTTACCAGTTACTTTTTTAGGTTGTAAATCTCTGCTACATTTGTTTATGGTCACATATACCTATAGTTAGGTCCTTAATTAATTTCTGATTCTTAGTTGTGCCTTCTGTTTTCTTCCTTGCTTCAATCAAAGGTTTGTAAATTTTAATACTGATTTCAAATAATACAGTTTTGACATTGTTGATCATCTCTAGTTTATTTCCTTCTTTCTTTGGACTTATTCTCTTTTTTTCTTTTTCTCTTCTCTCTCTCTCTCTCTTTCTCTCTTTCTCTTTCTCTCTTTTTCTCACCTAATTTACTCCATAATGCCTCCTACAGTCTTTTTGTCCAGACCACTATCTAGTTCAGGACCATAGGTTAGAACTGAGTATGTCCCTTAGGTGTCTTTTTAAGCATTGTCTTCCCTCCACTCTCATCCCTTTTGTGTTTTTGTTTTGGTCTCTGGCTTAAAGAGACCAGCACAGTTGTCTTATAGTGTGCCATTTTCTGACTTTGTTTTATTGCTTTCTTTTGGTATTGTTTAGCTCATTTCACTATCTTCTGTATTTCTTTTAATTAAGTTGATAGTTAACCAACAACTGTTTGCTTAGTGGGTGTTTTTGTTGTTGTTGTTGTTGTTGTTTTGAGACAGAGTTTCACTCTTGTTGCTCAGGCTGGAGTGCAGTGGCACAATCTCAGTTTACTGCAATCTCTGCCTCCTGGGTTCAAGCGATTCTCCTGCCTCAGCCTCCTGAGTAGCTGGGATTACAGCTGTGCACCACTACGCCTGACTAATTTTTTTTTTGTATTTTTAGTAGAGACGGGGTTTCACCATGGCCAGGCTGGTCTTGAACTCCTGACCTCAGGTGATCCGCCCGCCTCAGCCTCTCAGAGTGTTGGGATTACAGGCGTGAGCCACTGCACCTGGCCTGGTTAGTGGTTTTTAATGCCCCATCAGGGCTTATAAAAAAATATTTTCCCTCCATATATATGTATATTCCTTCCTGGGTATACTTTAGAGTAAATTACAGATAACATGACATTTCAATCCTTAATATTCTAAATACCTTTCTACAAAATAAGAATGATTCCTTAAATAACTGTCAGATCTTTACCACCTAACGAAATTTAGCAATACTGTCTTCTTCTTTTTTTTTTTTTTTTTTTTTTTTTTTTTTTTTTTGAGACGGAGTTTTGCTCTTGTTGCCCAGGCTGGAGTGCAATGGTGCGATCTCGGCTCACTGCAACCTCTGCCTCCCGGGTTCAAGCAATTCTCCTGCCTCAGCCTCCCGAGTAGCTGGGATTACAGGCATGCGCCACCACTTCTGGCTAATTTTGTATTTTTAGTAGAGATGGGGTTTCTCCATGTTGGTCAGGCTGGTCCCGAACTCCCAGCCTCACGTGATCTGCCCACCTTGGCCCCCAAAGTGCTGAGGTTATAGGCGTGAGCCAACGTGCCTGGCCAGCAATACTGCTTTTTATTCCTTCAAAGATGCACTTTTTTTTTTTTGAGATGGAATCTCACTCTGTTTCCCAGGCTGGAGTGCAGTGGCTTGATCTTGGCTCACTGTAACCTCCACCTCCTGGGTTCAAGCGATTCTCCTGCTTCAACCTCCTGAGTAGCTGGGACTACAGGCGCATGCTACCATGCCCGGCTCATTTTTTTTTTTGTAGAGATGGGGTTTCACCATGTTGGCCAGAATGGTCTCAATCTCCTGACCATGTGATCCACCCACCTCGGCCTTCCAAAGTGCTGGGATTACAGTCATGAGCCACCATGCCCGGCCTACCCTTTTTGTTTAAATCTTTGGAGCAAGGTATCTAATAATATTTTAAGTCTTCATTGGCTGGGTGGTAGTCATGATATATAGTTGTCAATGCCTATGCATACTCATCTTTGTTGTTTTTCCTCCTGTCATGATTAGATAGCTGTAGCCTATTGTTTCAGTAGATAAGTCACTTATGGAGCATCTGAGGAAAGAATATGAGTTTTGATTGCTGACTAAAAACTTTTCATTGTCAGCTTCTGGTAAGGTCAAAAAAGTGATGTCAAAACTTGCAGAAATGGGGTTTGTAGACAACAGTGGAAGAATCTTCTAAGAAATGCTATATCACCACCTTTTTTGATGTCCCAGTAGTTGATATTGTGTGGAAAAACATGGACGAGAGTATGGTTAACAGGATTAAAAAATTATTCAGAATTGGACACTAAGGATATCTTAATGAAATTTTTTCACTTAAATTTTCCTTTATGTGTGAAAAAAAGAATGTGATAAAAATTTATCTTTACCATTAAAAATAACTGAAAATAATTTTAATTGCTTTTTTTTTATTTGAGATGAGGTCTTACTATATTGCCCAGGCTGGTCTCAAACTCCTGGGCTCAAGTGGTCTGCCCACTTCTGCCTGCCAAAGTGCTGGGATTACAGGTGTGAGCCACTGCACCCAGCTTCTTACTGAATTTTCACTGACTCCTAGTTTTCCTGGATAGTTTTAAAAAGTTGTTAGTGTTGTTTTAGCTCTTTTGATGCTGTTTTGAAGCTGTTTTATAGCTCTTTTAATGTCTTTTAAAAGCTCTCCTCGCGGATCACGAGGTCAAGAGATCGAGACCATCCTGGCCAACATGGTGAAACCCCGTCTCTACTAAAAATTCAAAAATTAGCTGGGCATGGTGGCGCGTGCCTGTAGTCTCAGCTACTTAGGAGACTGAGGCAGGAGAATAACTTGAACCCAGGAGGCAGAGGTTTCAGTGAGCTGAGATCACGCCACCGCACTCCAGCCTGGAGACAGAGTGAGACTCCGTCTCAAGAAAAAAAAGCTCTCGTCTTTTTCTTCTGCACCTTCCCTTTGTGCATAGGATTTGTCTTCCTTTATTCATCTTTCTGCATCTGGGGAGTATTGCCTTCAGCACTAGAAAATTTTCAGCCACTACATCTTCAAATATTGCCTGTGTTCCATTTTATTTTTTGACTCCATCTACATTTGGTTTTAGAGATATGATAGATTTTCCCACATACCCATAACCTCACTTACTTGTTTTTCTTGGTGAATATTTGAAATATACTCTCATCAATTTGAAATATACATGATTATTAACTATAGTTACCATGCTCTGCAATTGATCACTAGAATTTATTCTTGTCTAAGTGAAACTTCGTACCCTTTGAATAGCATCTCCCCAATTCCCTTTCCCCACCCTCCCTGAGCCTCTGGTAACCACTGCTGTTCTCTTTACTCCTATGAGATAGATATTCTTTGAGTTTGACTTTTTTAGATTCCACATGTAAGTGAGATCATGCCGTTTTGTCTTTCTGTCTCTGGCTTATTTTGCTTAACACAAGGTCCTCCAGATTCATCCATGTTGTCACAAATGACAGAATTTCCTTCTTTTAAAGGCTGAATAGTATTTCAAGGTGTATATATACCACGTTTTCTTAATCCATTTATCCTTCAATGGATACTTTGGTTGATTCTGTATCTTGTCTATTGTGAATAAGGCTGAAATGAATATGGGAGTATAGATGTTATAAATAAAGTTTTAGTGCCGCAAAAGAAATAGCACTCGAATATAAAGTTTCCTTTTTAATTCTCAACAAGGCAAGGTACTTCTATAGAAGGGTGCACCCTTACAGATGGAGCAATGGTGAGCGCACACTTGGGCAAGGGAGGGGAAAGGGTTCTTTCCCTGACACACCTGGCCCCTGCTGCTGTGTCGTTCCCCTATTGGCTAGGGTTAGACTGCACAGGCTAAACTAATTCTGATTGGCTAATTTAAAGAGAGTGACGGGGTGAGTGGTTTGGCAGGAAAAATGGTTATGACAGGGCAGGTAATTGGAATGAGTCAGGGTGGAGCAGGTAGTCGAAAAACGTTGCTTTACGAGGAAGTGAAGTTTAAAAGTAGAAGGCAAAGAAATGAACATACTGATTCCTTGGAAAGAAATTTAGAACTCATATATAACATAGATATCTCTTTGAAATTTTGATTTCAATTTCTATGATTTATAGCTAGTAGTGGGACTGCTGGATCAAATGGTGGTTCTATTGTTAGTTTTTCGAGGAAATTCCAACATTTTACTAAGAAAGAATCCCCAGGGGTTCAGATTTATGTGGGAAATCTTGGGTACAACTCTGTGTGGTACCTAATTTGTTTCCTAAGTCTCAGGGCATTTTATTGGCTTTCAGTGTTGGCTTACCTTTCTGTATTCTCCTTTTTTTTCAGCCTTTTTCCTTTTGCGGCCAGCTCAGCCATTCATTTATAAAGATCCTTTTAAAATATGTCATCTAATATTTTAAATAATTTTGTATTAGGAAGGTTTTTCAGTATGTATACTGCTTGCCATTGGCCTTATTTTTGGAAATTATACTATAATTTAAGGAAATATAAATGAAATTGTTGGGATACTATTTATTTATTTTTATTTATTTATTTGAGACGGAGTCTTGCTCTGTCTCCCCCAGGCTGGAGTGCAGTGGTGCGATCTTGGCTCACTGCAGCCTCTGCCTCCCCTGTTCAAGCAAGTCTCCTGTCTCAGCCTCCCGAGTAGCTGGGACTAAGGCTACCACACCAGGCTAATTTTGTATTTATTTTTTAATAGCGACTGAGTTTCCCCATGTTGCCAGGGTGGTCTTGAACTCCTGACCTCAGGTGATCCACCTGCCTCAGTCTCCCAAAGTGTTGGGATTACAGGTGTGAGCCACCAGGCCTGGCCTGTTGGGATACTTTTAAAAAATCCTTTGTGCTTTAATTATAATCATTTCTGTTTTTGAACCAGTTTGTGGTTCAGCAGCACGGGGAAGGAAGTTGTTGATGTTATTAGATGCATTGCCCCGTTGTCACAAAAATTCTAAATGCCAGGTAGTATTTTTAAGTATTTTACATGTATCATCTCATTTAATTCCTCAGACAACCCTTTGAAATAGGTACTGCTTTCTCCATTTTACAAAGATGAAGACATTGAGATCAGCTAACTTGTTTCATGAGTCTTTCTGAAATTATTTATTTATTTATTTATATTTGTTTATTTGTTTTAATTTAAGAGATAGGGTCTTCCTCTGTAGCCCAGGCAGGAATCCAGTGGTACAATTGTAGCGCACTGCAGCCTTGAACTCCTGGACTCAAACAGTCCTTTTTAGCCTCTCAAGTAGCTAGGACTACAGGCCTGCCCCACCATGCTCAACTAAGTTTTAAGTTTTTTGTAGAGAATGAGAGTCTCACTATGTTGCCCAGGCTGGTCTCGAACTCCTGGTCTCAAACAATCCTCTCACATTGGCCTCCCAAAGCGGTGGGATTACAGGTGTGAGCCACTGTGCTTGGCCTTTCATGATTCTCATAACTAGTAAGTGACAAGGCTTTGATTCTGACTCAGGTCTCTACAGTCTTGGGTCAGAATCACAGCCTTGTCACTTACTAGTTATGAGATGACTTCTACAGTCTGATTGCATTATTGCTGTACAATACTACACATACACTTTGGAAGCAGAACTTCTGCTTCAGTGTTGTGATTTGGGCATGATGCATATAATAAAGTTTTGCCAACCTCTTCTGCTAGATTATCTTAACTGTAAATGTTCTTTTAATTGTCCAGAAGGTAATTCAGACTATAATAAGGAAATGATTCTGTATAAATTGAATCAGCAAAGTATCATTCTTCTATGAAAAATATGTAACAGGTTATTAAAGACTGTAAGATACTGATTTACTCAGCGGCAAGACTTTCCTAATTAACTTACATATGCTGGTTACTTTGCTATAGGGATCAAAGCATGACTTGGGTTCGTTTTCTACCATTTATAGGGTCATATTCTAGTGGAGGAGATAAATGACATACTTACAAAAGATGTGAGTATTCATTTGGAAGTGAAATGGGAGAGATTCCCTTGCCCCCCTCGCAGGGCATGTGATGGGGGTGTGGCTCGCTTCTTCAGTGCCCCACTGCTCAAACCTCTAGGGGAGCATACAGACTGGCAGGCTGTGGGGCTCCCACCCCACGGCAATGTCTGTCTAGGGGTGAATGTTACAGCTGAATCCCCAGTGGGCATGTGTTAGAGGGTGCTCTTTTAGTTTGCTGTCTGTAGGCGGCTTGTGTTCACCAGCTCAGTTAGACCCTATACCTTGTCGCAAGGACAGAGGGTTTCCTGTATCCCGGGTTCTTGCCTTGGTGTACTGGAAGAATCGGATCACATGTGGGCTTGGAGAATTAGTGTAAAGTTTTATTGAGTGGAAAGTAGCTTTCAGCCTATGGGGTAGCCAGAGGGAGATGGCTGCTTGGCAGCCCCAGCTCTCCTCCGACTGCGCTGGCCAAACTCTGCCTAGTCCCACTGGTCAGTGGCCTGCCGGTGTGCCAGCGTTTGTGGGTGTGCTCTTCCGCCTGCATGCTCCCCTCAACATCCTCTCGATGTCCAGCCACTTGTCTTCTTCCACCGATGTGTTCCTCTCGCCATCTAGCAGTTTCTGTCTCTGCCTTGCTAGGGTCTTGGGTTTTTATAGGCCCAGGTTGGGGGCGTGGCAGGTAGGCAGAAGTGCCTGTCTTCACTTAGGTCTGAGGGGGTAGAGCCCTAGCCAGGGACCACACCCTCCTCTACCCAGCACTTCCCTTCTCCCATTCTGTATCATTTAAAGGGACCACACTCTTCCCTTCCCAGCAGTCCCGTATCAGAAGCATGTATTAGAAACTATAACTCACTCTGGGTTTTTGGGAATATGTCAAATAATACTTCTGGAAGGAAGAGGTGAATGTTGCTTTTTAAAGGATAGACAGGAATTTGCCCGATTAAGGAGTGAGTTGAGGGAAAGATGGCAATGGCTTTTTTAAGGCAGAGGAAGCAAACATGGTTAAAATCATAGAAATGTATAAGGTTGTATTTTATTCACAGATCTGCATGTTATTTGTCCTGACTGAAGTGGTGGTTATGAGATTGGGAACATTTCAGCAAGAGTCATAAAATGAAGGCCCTTATAAATCAAGCTAGATTGTGGGGACTTTTCAGAGGAGTTTAAAATAGAAAGTGCATGTTTTGCACTTCATGTTTGAGTTTTCGAAAGCTCACTGGCAGTGGTTTGGAGGGCAGATTGAAAGAGGAGGAAATGGAGAGAGAGCCTACAGTTTGGGAGACAAGTTAGAAAACTGTTGAAATAGGCCAAGTATGTAAAGTTGAGGTCCTAACTAACCTGGAGAAACATAGTAGGAATGGAGAAGGGGTGGATTCAAAGGCTTTTAGATTGTAAAATGAACTCTGTGAATAGAAGGAACATGGTTTATTGGTGGAGAAGAGGTGAGAGAGGAAAAGTAGGACTACTGTTTGGCTTGGTCAACTGGTAAGATTGTTACCACTATCTAAAATCTGCAGTACCATTAGACTTTCTTGTTCAGTGTTAAGATTCATGTAATTTCAGATATTCATGGTATATGTAACAGATGGGGGTAATTATAAAGAAAGTATTTGGAAATTCATACCTTTATAACCTTCATTTCTATACCCACCTTCCCCCTTTTTTTATTCCCCAGTAGGTTTTGTTTTGTTTTATTTTATTTTATCATATTGTGTTTTTCTTTCCCAGATCTGGTAGACAAAGGTACTCAGAGGGTTAATAGCAGATTTTTTTCCCCAACTGTGTATCACTAGGTTTGTGAATTAGAGTCATGATACAGTAAAATTAAGACATTTGATGTTTTTGTAATATTTTGGCATGGTTTTATTTGTTAATATCCTAGCATAAAAATATAATAGTCTTCAAAGATGATTACTGGGGTATGGGGTGCTTGGTGGTGGCTACAGTCAAATTCTTATTCCAACCCCAAATTGGCAACGTTATAACAACATAGAATCTTATTATTTAGAACCTAATTACTGTTGTTCCCCTTACCCATGAGGGATATGTTCCAAGACCCGCAGTGGATGCCTGAAACTTCAGGTAGAACTGAACCTTATTATATACGTTTTTGTCAACAAAAAGAGTCAAACTCTGTAAAACATTTTAGCTGGGAGTTGTGGCTCATGCCTCTAATTCCAGTACTTTGGGAGGCCGAGGCGGGTGGATCACATGAAGCCAGTCTGGCCAACATGGTGAAACCCCATCTCTACTAAAAATACAAAAATTAGCCGGCCATTGTTATATGTAAAGTTTCGGTGCCGCAAAAGAAATAGCACTTGAATATAAAATTTTCTTTTTAATTCTCAGCAAAGCAAAGTACTTCTATAGAAGGGTGCGCCCTTACAGATAGAGCAATGGTGAGCGCACACTTGGACAAGGGAGGGGAAGGGGTTCTTACCCTTGACACACGTGGCCGCCGCTGCTGCTGTGTAGTTCCCCTATTGGCGAGGGTTAGACCGCACAGGCTAAATTAATTCTGATTGGCTAAAGAGAGTGATGGGGTGAGTGGTTTGGCGGGAAAAATGGTTATGACAGAGCAGGCAATGAGTCAGGGTGGAGTAGGTAATCAAAATGAGTCAGGGTAGAGTAGGTGATTGAATAAGGGTGGAGCAGGTAATTGAAAAAGGTTGCTTTATGAGGAAGTTAAGTTTAAAAGTAGAAGGTAAAGAATTGAACATACTGACATATTGATTCTTTGAAAAGAAATTTAGAACTCATATCTAACAACCCCTCCCCTTGTATTTCCTCACAGCTTTCTTTTCAAACTTTTTTTAAACATGTCTTGGCTTAGTTGTTTGGCTTGATTTTCCAAAAGAAGATGCTTCTCTGGATAAGGTGGAGGATAGTTAAGGGAGGTTTGAGTAAGTGCCATTTTTATGAGCCTCTGCATCAACCTTTGGAGGCATGGTATGACACAGCACCTGACAAGAATAAGTACACCCATTACGGCTGCGAGGGAAGTAAGAATTGAGGCTATTATTCCTTTCCATTTACTGAACTACTTTTCTAGCCATCCTGTAAAGGGGTCATTTACCCCTGAGTTGTTGGCTAACTCATTGGACAGAGCAGTCAGACCTTGCAATGCCCTTGTTATACTTCCATCAGTGGTGGTGGTGTTTGGGATGAAAGTACAACATTGAGTTTTCATCATGACGCAAACTCCTCCTCTTTCTGCTAATATCATGTCTAAGGCTATCCTGTTTTCCCCAGCCATCTGGCTAGTTGCCCCTAGTTGTTCAGCTATTCCTTTAACAGCATCTCTAGTGTAGTTAATAAATTATTGTTGGTTGTAGTAGATGTGGTTTATCCAATCTACATTTTTATTAATTGTCACCTACCAAAATATTGACTTAAATCCTGCAGCTATTTGATTTCAGGTTTTAAATTGATCTGGTATTCCCCGTGGGACTCCAGTTGCGTCTAAATAGACATGAGAATCGAAAGACCCATAAGGGGCTTCTCTCACTGTACGATGTCTTATTTTTCCTTCCTCTGGTTGATGAAGTGCCAGGGTGAAAGGGGTTGATGAAGTGCCAGGGTGAAAGGGATAGCCAGTTGGACTAAAGCATAAGTGCCACTCCAGTTATTTGGCAGAGTGTCCAGTAAAGGTCCACCACAATACCACCACACATCTGCTCGGGGATGAACAAGGGCTGACTGACTGATAAGCTCTTGAAAATTCTTAAGCTCACTGCATCCCTTCAGGTCTCCAAGGAACGCCGTTTCTTCCCTGTCGTGAGAGACACGAAGTGAACTTAGTGTTGGGAGACGGAAGTTGGATGGCCCTCGGGGGCTGGGAGATGGAAGCTGGATGGCCCTCGGGGGCTGACCCGCAGGGTGCCGGACTTCGGGATATAGCAGAGAGAGCTTGGCATGACTTACTACTCCAGGCTGTAGAATCCTGGAAAAGAGCTACCATGCAGCCCACACCAGGTCAACTGGAGGACCACCTTAGTGGAAAGGGGACAATCTGGGCCTCTGGCCTGCTATGCGCACAAGCATAGCAATTGCTTTTGTTCAACCTGTGGACGGAATATTTGATCCATTCCAACCAGGCATTTGCATCTTGATATCCTGTCTTAATTGCCAAAGTTTGTTTTAAGTCTTTAACTTTTACTATAGCTATCTTGGTCTTGTCGTTAGATGGAGGAGGAGCAATTGTTCTGTTGTGAGAGGTTTTGGAAGGAGGCTTAGAGGAAGGTGCAGGCAGTAGGGGATCAAAGAAACTCATTTTAAAGAATTTAATAGGGTTTGCTGAAACCTCAGCCCCCATACCATAAAACCGGCTTAAAGAAGGGAACTGGCTTAGAAAAGGGGAAGAACTTTGAGCGTTTGAGATAATAACCTGTATAGAATTACACTGGTTTAGCTGACAGTGGGGAGGGCTGTCCTTCTAGTAAAATGTATGGTTTTAGGAAATTACAAAAACCGGTTGGGGCAGTCCATTCTTGTTCTTTAGTGCTCCACAGAATGTTGGACTAACTACAGCATAAAAGCTCTGCATTGGGGAGCAAGACTCCTGGTTGACACCGGGGTCTTTATCGAAATCTTTCTGGATTAAGTGGTCCCAATTTACTAAGGCCCAGTCTGAGGAGAGTCAGGAGGGACAGAGGTACTTTTCTGAAGTAGAGAGCTGTCTTTGACTTGGCAAGCACCCACGGGTATAACAAGGCAAGCATCAAATGCAATAGTTTGAGGCAAAATTGACTTGGTTATGTTATAACTAGATGGTCAGCAATAGAACGGGGAAAGAAGAAAGTAATAGAATAGATGAAAGAGAGTTAAATTTTTCTTAACTTTAGTTTGATAGTGTTTTCCCCTGAGACTATGGCCCACGACTCTTGAGGGAGCGGTGCTTTCTTGCCTCGGGTGTGATGAGTCTATCCCCCTTCCGCTGTAGGAACAGCAGTCTCCGTAGTTAGCAGCACAAGGTAGGGTCCTTCCCAGGCTTGCTTGAGTTTTCCTTCTTTCCACCCTTTGATGAGAACGTGATCCTCAGGCTGGTGCTGGTTTACCGGAAATTCTAGGGGTGGTGCCTGTGCTAAAAGACTTTTAGTTTTGAAGGAAAGGAAAGTGGAAGATAAACCAAGTATATAAATTCTAAGAAACTGATCTTTTGTTTTAAATGTGGGGACATCAGCAGTGGTCTTTATAGCCCTTGGTGCCTTCTTACTGAGAAATTTCCCTTAGCACCTATTTTTGTTAGTTTTTAGACCGAAGAAAGCCAAACACCGTTTTATATTTGACAGTGCTTCCTGTATGATTTTTATACTAGATAAGCTAAATTTCACCTTTATATTAGTGTGTTATTAATGTTAAACTCAGTTTTAATAAAACCTTGTAGACATATTTATCCAATTTTAATGTCTGACCATAAGGTAAAATTTTTATAGACTCTGTTTAACCTTTTATAATTTTTGTTAAAGAGCAGGTTAGTGCTTTAAGAAAAACCTTTTGTGCTTTTATTTTAATGTCCAGTTCACAGAAAGACTGGATGATACCTCTTTAACTTTAGCCAGTATGTTTACACACAGAATTTCCTTTACAATTAACATTTTAAAAATTGCTCAAACCTTTAAAACAAAATATATTTCTTTAACCTTTTAATGTAGGTAAAAATGCACATTCTTATGCCTCCTTTTAATCCTTTTACCAAAGGTATATTTTACTTTCCTTACAAACCTTGCACATAAACTGTTTCTTCAATAGTTTTACATTCAGGAGGCCTAATTACTTTTAAATTATATAACATTTCTTGCATAAATTCCCTTTTATAACATTTTTTTTCACGACTTTCACAGACAATTCTTTGACATACCTCAACTTTCTGACTTGTTGCAAACATCCCTTTCTTTAAACAACCAGTTAATTTATTTTAGGACAAGAATTTACCATATAACATTCTTTTTATATAAATTCTTCCCCTCCCCGCCCCCCCCCCCCTTTTCATTCTTCTCCAAAGTGAACTTCCTTTATGTCTGTGGACTAGACTGCCTAAGGCCACAAGATTAGAAGTTAGGATAATACATGTTACACTGTTAATTTTTAGCAAACTTTACTTTTGTTGAAAACCTTGTAAGTTTGGGATTTCAGTTATCCTTTGCTATTAATAAGACCTTGTTTAGTCCAAATTAACTTAGAATTGGTATAGATGGTTCCTTCCTGGTTCTGTAAGTACTTTAAGGCTTGGCTGAGTGCAAACAGCTCCCATATTTGAGCAGACTAATTATTAGGCAATTTTCCTAATTCTGCTTGTACAAGAGTTGCCCTATCAATTACTGAATACCCATTGTGTCTTTTTCCGTCAATCACCCAGGAGGAGGGAGGAACTGTCTATCGTCCTGTCCTGAAGGGAGTTCCTCCTAGGTCTGGTCGGACCTTTGTACAGTAATTAAGATTTAGATCCTGTTAGGAAACCTGCTGGGTTAAGGGAATTTTTAGTGGTTAATGTTGAATTATCCTTCTTTTTTTTTTTTTTTTTTTTTTAACAGAATAGCCTCATACTTTCTTGTGTTAGCAAAACAGTTGTCGCTACAGATTGAATGTATTAGGGCCATCTGCGGGTTACTGGGTTAAGGATTTTTGATAGGAAGGCTACGAGTTGTCAGTGGCCTCAGTGCTTTTGGGCTATGCCCTTGTTTACACTGACAAGGTGGTATTGGAGTGTTACAGTGTCACGGAGAAGACCTTCAATTATCAATTATAGGTTTTAAATTTACCCTGGCTTTTAAAGGAATAGGGTACACTGTTTTTTCCTTTACTACTTATCTCTCTCTCTCTCTTTCTTTCTCTCTTTGACTGTCTCTCTCTTTGACTCCCTCTTTGTCTCTGTCTCTTCCTCTCTCTGTCTCTCTTTGACTCCCTCTTTGTCTCTCTGTCTCTTCCTCTCTCTCTCTGCCTTTTTTTCCTCTCTCCCCTGCCTTCTCCTCTCTCTCCCCTCTCTCTCTCTTCTCCCCCTTCTCCCCCTTCCACCCCCTCTTCCACCCCCGCTTCTCTCTCTCTCTTTCCTTTCTGCTGGTTTTTCCCTGCCTCTGCCAGACGCTTATGCTGCTGTTCTCCCCTCTCTTTCCCCTTTTACCCCGGAGAGGGACTCAAGATAAAAGAGACAGAGCCCCTGACCTCCCTATTCTTCGTTGAAAGTCATGAGCGGAAGGGCTTCTTTTGTCCTTTCTTAGTTCAGGACATCCTCTCTTGAAGTGGCCTGTTCTTCGACATCAATAGCACCTATCTTGTCCTTCCTCCTTAGTTCTGGGATTCTTTAACCCTGCTCCACCATACTCTTTAGGGGGCCTGGTAGATGAGGACCTTGGTCCTCCAGATGGAGACTGGGGTCCTTTAAAAGAGGGTTTGGACCCTTTATAGTTTCTAGCTCCCTGGAAACTGTCTAGAAGTACCTGGGTTTGGAGCCATCTGTTGGAAGGTAGAAAACGTAAGTTTTGTCTTTTGTTTCTGTTTTTCTTCATCCCTTTTCACATATACTTTCTGAGCTTCCCTGAGAAGCTCACTTAGGGGACGGTCTTCTCAACTGTCTATGTTTTGTAACTTTTTTGAAATGTCTGGCCAACTTTTAGTGACAAATTGGAGTTTCAACATTCCTAGCCCAAGGGGATCATCCAAATTGAGGCCTGCATATTGCCTCATTTGCTCCCTCAGTCTGTCTAGGAATCTCATAGGCCCTTCATCCTTTTCCTGTTGTATGTCAAATGCTTTAGAAAGATTTCGGGTTCGGGGTACTGACTCCCGAATTCCTTTTATTATTGTCTCTCTTAGATCCTGCATATTTTCCTGTTGATCTGCTTTGTTATTGTCCCACCAGGGGTCTCAGGCGGGGAATTTCTGGTCCGCGGTAGGAACGTTTTCACCAGGAGGATGCTCACATTCCCAAACTACCATAGCAGCCCTACAAATCATACTCCTTTCTTCTCCTGAAAAGAGGATGCCCAAGATGGACATTAACTCGACCCAAGTGTATAACTGAGGTCCTAAGAATTGGGCAATTTGGTCTGCCACTCCATAAGGGTTATCTAGTAGTGGTTTAAGCTCCTTTTTAAAATTCTAGACTTTGGTTAAGGGAGCATTTACAAAGCCAGTGGCCCCCCCCTCCTTATGGTACCTCTTTCAAAGGGAAGAGGGTTGGGCCTCTTAGGTATGGAGGGAAATGGGAAATTCTGAATATCTTTTTTACATTGTTCTACCTCACGCTGGAGTCCTTTTAGAGAGGGGTCTTTAGGTTGGGAGGGAATGGGCTGGTGGGACGGTAATTCCCAAGAGTCAGAGTTATAAGGAGGAGGGATAACGTGAGTGGAGGTGGAATTTGGAATGGGATCTGAGGAGGCAGTGGCTGTCTGAGGGGAAAGATTGGGGACACTGAGTGGGGGAAGATAGTCTAGGGGATCCCATGCGCTGGAGTCTTTAGGCATGAGAGCTGGCTCCTCTGACTTTTCATTTTGAGGTGCCAGATTGGGTTCTTCCCTATTTGTTTTTAAGGGAAAAAGGAGGGCAGGTCCATGCCTCCAACAGAGGGCATAGCCTAGTTCTTCTGAGACACTCGACTTTTATCATTAACATGTCGGATTAGAAGCTGACACATTACATCCTCATTCGATCTAAACTTTGGCCAGAAGATTGAGGGTTTGAGGATGGGTCTTTGAGTCTAAATTAAACAGCAATATTTTATCATTTGTTGCTTTTTCCTATGTTTAGTCCTTTCGTTATCCTTCCAGTGTTTTAGCTTGAGACCTAGGGGGCTATCTGGGGGGATATCTTTGTTACCATCTTTATCCCTCTTGCTCCCTGTCTTGCTTGGGTTATTTCCCATCTTGATGGTTTTGGGGTAAGTTTCAAGGTTCAATTTCCCTTACTGAAAATTTGTCACCTTTTGTGGGGAGGCTCAATTTCCCCCACTGGAAATTTCTCACCTTTTCTACTACTGGAGGTTCGTGTGAAGTTCAGTCCCCTCCAATGGGCATGTCTCACCTCTTTTTAACCTGTAAGCCACCCCAACCAAGGAGTACTTCACCTCACCCCCCCACCCCCCCACCCCCCCCACCCCCCACCACCCACCACCCACCACCCACCACCCACCACCCGGCTTTCTTACCTTGGTCCCTACCACCAAGGAAATACTTTACCGGCTCCTGTGGCTTCTCCTTCCTTGGTCTGTGTACAGTCATCAGTGTGGTATGTGAGAATCCTTTAAGCTAGGTTACTGGCCAGTCCCCCCCAGCCCTGCGCCCCCCCCCGCCGCCATGTTGCCAAGAGCTTGGGTTATTCCTCGCACTGGGTGAGTTCTGATTTCTCACCCCTGAGGTGACCACAAGGGGCAGGGCATGCCTCCTCATGAGGGAGAACCAGAGACTGTCGGGAGGGGAATGTAATCATGGGTGAGCCCCCAAATTGTTATACATAAAGTTTCAGTGCTGCAAAAGAAATAGCACTCGAATATAAAATTTTCTTTTTAATTCTCAGCAAGACAAGATACTTCTATAGAAGGGTGTGCCTTCTATAGAAGCAATGGTGAGCGCACACTTGGACAAGGGAGGGGAGGGGGTTCTTATCCCTGACACACGTAGCCCCTACTGCTGTGTCATTCCCCTCTTGGCTAGGGTTAGACCGCCCAGGCTAAACTAATTCCAATTGGCTGATTTAAAGAGAGTGACGGGGTGAGTGGTTTGGTGGGAAAAATGGTTATGACAGAGCAGGTAATGAGTCAGGGTGCAATCAGTAATCAGAATGAGTCAGGGTGGAGCAGGTAATCGAAAAAGGTTGCTTTGTGAGGAAGTTTAAAAGTAGAAGGTAAAGGATTGAACATACTGACATATTGATTCTTTGAAAAGAAATTTAGAACTCATATCTAACAGCATGGTGGCACACACCTGTGGTCCCAGCTACTTGGGAGGCTGAGTCAGGAGAATTGCTTGAACCCCGGAGGTGGAGGTTACAGTGAGCCGAGATCACACCATTGCACTCCAGCCTGGGGACAAAGCAAGACTCTATCTCAAAAAAAAAAAGATCCTGAGCATTTCTTCAAAGGATTGTAACAGGAGGTGAAACTTGGCTTTACCAGTATGATCTTAATGACAAAGCACAATCAAAGCAATGGCTACCAAGAGGTAGAAATTGATCCAGTCATAGTGAAAGTGGACCGGTCAAGAGCACAGATCAAGACAACAGTTTTTTGGGATTCTCAAGGCATTTTGCTTGTTGACTTTCCGGAGAGCCAAAGAATGACAATAACCTCTGCTTATTACGAGTATGTTTTAAGAACGCCAAAGCTTTAGCAGAAAAATGCCCAGAAAAGCCTCACCATGGCAGTGCCTCTACTCAGTCCTCTCATCAAACAAGGGCAATGTTTTGAGAGTTTTCATGGGAAATGATACAGTCTTGATTTGGCTCCTTCCAGCTTCTTTTTATTTCCTATTTTAAAAAATCTTTAAAGTAAAATCTTTAAAGGGCACCCACTTTTTTCTTCAGTAAATAATGTAAAAAAGACTGCATTGACATGGCTACATCCCCCAGGACCCCTCAGTTGTTTAGGGCTGGACTAAATGGCTGGTGTCATTGCTTACAAACGTGTCTTGAACTTGATGGAGCTTATGTTGAGAAATAATGTTTATATTTTTATCTTTTAATTCTGTTTTTTTCCATGAACTTTTTGAAGTCCCCTTGTACTGGGTGATTGGATTAGTAAATCTTTGGGCATCTACTCTATGGAAGTGCGCCCTGTGCTAGGTGATAACAAGGAATACAGGCAGTGATCACTCCTGCCTTTATGGCATTTTTATTTGATCGGATGGAGTTTAGTCAACACACAAGTAACAAATATATGGTGTAATAGTTAAGAGTGAGCTCTGGAGACTGACCTAGTTTCAGTTCCTATGTCTGCTAGTTAGTACCTGTTTCCTTGAGTAAATTGCTTATTCTCTGATGCAGTTTCTTCATTCTATAAATGAAGCCCTCTACCACCACATAAGGTTTTTTAGAACCTTTTGAAAGAGTTGATGTTAGATATTGCATAAAACTAAGTTTTTACTGTTACATAATAATGTCAGATGATAGAGACGTTGCAGTAAGACCAAATTTAGAGGTTGGAAAAATCACCTCTAGTTTGAGGTGGGACAAGAAGCAAAGCTTTCATGGGGAAGGTGGCATTTAAATGGATCTTGAATGATTAATAGAATTTATAGGGTGGTGGGGATTGAATAAGATTTCCTAGAGGGAGAAGAATGAAGTTGGGAGAATGTACAGTGTGTCCTGAAATCAGAAATGCCCGTCTCTACTAAAAATACAAAAAATTAGCTGGGCGTGGTGGCGGGCGCCTGTAGTCCCAGCTGTTCAGGAGGCTGAGGCAGGAGAATGGCGTGAACCCGGGAGGTGGAGCTTGCAGTGAGCCGAGATCGCACCACTGCACTCCAGCCTGGGCGACAGAGCGAAACTCCATCTCAAAGAAAATAAAAAATAAAAAAAATAAAAATAAACTCATATTTCTATAGTACGCTCACTCCACCCTGTCCAGGCAGTTGCCTAAATAGATGTTAAGATGTTGCTCCCTTTCCTTTCACAACCACCCTCACCCCCACACCCCCATTGTCTTTCAAATCTTGACTTTTTAGGTAGAACACTAAATGACTCTGGATTAACTATTACCACTTTTACCACATTCTGAATATCCATGCCTCCTCTCCCCCACCCTCTAGATTGCATACTTCTTGAGAGCAGGGGAAGTATATTTTATTCAGATTGGTTTGTTTAACCCTTGAGAATTGTCCCTGGCACCAAGTAAATGCTCAGATTATTTCAGGGGATGGGATAGTAGATGAATGATCCTGATTAAAAACAGTTTCAACTAAATTTAAAATTAAAAAAAATTTAAACAGGAAATTTAAAAATGGATGTTGTCTGAGACCTTTGTGACTCCTGGAATTTGTGAATACTTCTGTAATATAATTTCCTCATTCGGAAAATTGGGGGTAATGAGGACTTAATAAAATGAAATTACCATATTTTTACATTTGACAATGTATTTAAGAAACTTAGTGTTTCTAGAAAGATACTTAGAATTCAAAGGAAATGCACAATATAATTTTAGGACAAACTTTAGCATTTTTAAAAAGCAAGAAAAGTCACTCAGCTTGTTACTGGAAAGGGGTCCTGATCCAAACCCCAGGTTGGATCTCACGCAAGAAAGAATTCGAGGATAATCCAGAGTAAAGTGAAAGCAAGTTTATTAAGAAAGTAAAGGAATATCTGCTCATCTGACAATACTTACAGTTATTTCTTGATTATATGCTAAACAAGGGGTGAATTATTCATTAGTTTTCCAGGAAAGCAGTGGGCAATTCCCAGAACTGAGGGTTCCTCACCTTTTTAGACCTTACAGAGTTCTGACGTTGTGATAGTGCTGCTAGGAGTGTCTTTTAGCATACTAATGCATTATAATTAGTGTATAATGAGCAGTGAGGACGACCAGAGGTCACTTTTGTTGCCATCTTGGTTTTGGTGGCTTTTGGCTGGCTTCTTTACTGCAACCTGTTTTTATCAGCAAGGTCTTTGTGACCTGTATCTTGTGCCAACCTCCAGTCTCATCCTGTGACTAAGAATGCCTAACCTCCTGGGAATGCAGCTCAGTAGGTCACAGTCTTACGTTACCCAGCCCCTATTCAAGATGGAGTTCTTCTGGTTCAAATGCCTCTGACAAGCTGTTTACATTTTGGGCTTTAAACATCATTGGTTCTTTTTCTCAACTAATGAATTACAGAAGTTGTAGTATAATTACCCTAGTTCCTTCATACTTAGGGCAAGATGACTCTGAGAAATGTTCCATACTGTCTCCCAGAGATCTCCAGCAGGCTTGAGTCCCAGTTGCCTAGAGTCATAATCAGCTCCATAATGCATCCTTTATTGGCATACTTTCCTTTCCTGACTCACTTCTTTACTTCATTAAAGGTATTTCCTCAGATACTTCTCAAATAAACTACTTGTACAAAAACCTTTATCTCACAGTCTTTCTTGGGAGATGCAACGCAGGCAGCATGACAAGCATTGTAATAATAGTTAAAATTTTGAAGTTTTAGAAATCAGAGACATTTGTAATTTGAAGCTTATAATTTCGAAGAAGAAATTTGTTCACACAGATCAGTATGAAAGCTTTACCTTCTTTTTTAATAGGGAAGATTTACTAAAATAGATTTGCTTGGTTATTGATAAAACATATACTGGGTACTCAAACATTTGCTGTTTTTGAAAATAAGGAGTAGGATCTGGGCATGGTGTCACATGCCTTTAGTCCCAGCTACTTGGGAGACTGAGGTGGGAGGATTGCTTGAGCCCAGGAGTTTGAGGCTGCAGTGAGCTGTGATCGCGTTGGGGTGACAGAGCGAGACCTTGTCTCTTTAAAAAAAAAAGAAAAAAAATCATGGAGTTATATAAATATAAATTATATAAATAGCTGGATCCTATTAGGAGTCCAGAGGTCAAAGTTAGTCAGGATAAGTGTTGACACATGTCTTGTTTCATACTGCAAAAGGAGTCAATGATATTTAAAGCACAAGATGTTAATGCCTAGGTGATGATTGGCATGATGCTATTTTTCTTAAATACTAAAATTTGTTTTAGGTTTATACTGTGCATTTCCTTTGAATTCTAACTACCTTCCTGGCAGTACTAAATATAAAATTAAATCCAATTCAAGAAACAAAAAGAACCAGAGGAAGAATGTAGATACAAGCAAGAGAGAATAGGATAACATAGGCTGAGCATTCTCTTATTCCTGAAGAATAGATTTTTAATTTTAGATTTGACCATAGAATTTCTGCTAGTAAATATTTTTATTTCAGGGCTGGAATACCTCTCTAAGTTGATTGGAATCTGTGCCATCTGATCACTGTTATTTTGGTGTTTTAAAAATATATTGTAATGCATGATAGAATTTTAGGACTTAAAACATCTTGGATACCGTATTTTACAATAATAACATCATATATGTTAGATACAAGTATTTTTCCTAAAAATCTTTTTCCCTTCCTTTACAGAATGCTGCCTTTTTATATGGTCTTGGTTTGGTCTACTTCCATTATAATGCATTTCAGTGGTAAGTTGACATAAAACCAGTAATTCAGTCATTTTCAGTAAATGGCTTGTTTGCTTGTTTTGTTTGTGCTTGATTTTTTGTGTGTGTGTGTAATAAATAGAAAATTTAGTGTCATTAAACCTACACTTTTCAGTAATCTTTTGAAATGATTAGATTGTTCCTTGAAGGGTGTTGGCTCACCTTAGATTTTTAGAGTTGTATGTTTTCCTGAAAGAATCTAGTATAAGATTCTGTTGAAGAAGGCTTAGATTAGAAAGCTTTTTGGAATTTCTTAGTCATTCATTATGGACTGGTGTTCCCCAAGTTATTTGAACTGGTGAATCACTGTGATCTCAGAAGTCAAGATATGTGGGTAAATGGTCTATGATGGCTAGTTTTCAGACTTCTAGACAAGATTGACCACTTCTCCCTTCCACATACCAGCTAGCACTTTCCAATATCCAGTAACTAGGCACCAACTCATAAACTCTCAGTTCTCTGTAGAATAGTACCACTTCAGAGTTGGAGATTAAATATAATAATAGTAATATATAAGATTTTCTAAACTGTAAAGTGAAGTACCCTGTAATATTATGGCCTTTGCCCCATTGTTGTTTTTCTGTTTACCAGACAATAGTATGCACTAATGGGGTAAAAAGGCATATAGTTTTAGTTGAAAGATTGGTATTGTTGTCACAGCATTGCCACTTAGTTTGATCTTGAATTAAATAACTTCTCTAGGTCTGTTTCCTCTTTAGTTTGTTTATTTATTTATTTATTTATTTTATTTATTTATTTATTTTTTGAGACAGGGTCTCACTCTGTTGCCCAGGCTGGAGTGCAGTGGCGAGATTGCAGCTTACTGCAGTCTCAATCTATTGTGTTCAAGCAGTCCTTCCACCTTAGCCTCCCAAGTAGCTGGGACCACAGGCACATGCCACCATGCCCAGAGAGTTTGTTTTTATTTGTAGAGATGGGGCCTCCCCCTATGTTGCCCAGTCTGGTCTTGAACTCCTGGCCTCAGGGCATGCTCCCACCTCAGCCTCCCAAAGTGCTGAGATTTACAGGCATGAGCCCCCACGCTGGCATCATCATTTGTTTAAAAAACAAAACTACATAGCAGTCACTTGCCTTTCCTATAGAGTTTTGATGATCAAGTGAGATACAGTACATTTTATAAAATGTCAACCCAATGTAGATTTTTTTTTTTTTTTTTTTTTTGGTCAGAGTCTCACTCTGTCGCCCAGGCTGGAGAGCAGTGGCACGATCTTGGCTCACTGCAACCTCCGCCTCCCGGGTTCAAGCGATTCTCCTGCCTCAGCCTCCCAAGTAGCTGGGATTACAGGCGCCCGCCACCATGCCTGGCTAATGTTTTTGTATTTTTAGTAGAGACGGAGTTTTACCATGTTGGCCAGGCTGGTGTCGAACTCCTGACCTCAAGTGATCCGCCCACCTCAGCCTCCCAAAATGCTAGGATTACAGGTGTGAGCCACCACACCTGGTGACATTTTTTATTTTTAGTGTATCTGACCTTTTCAGAGTCCCTTCTGTGCTCCAGAATTTTAAGCTCACGGGTGAGTTCTGTGGGAGTCCAAAGGAAGGTGATTGAGTGGCAAAATGTTACAACTCTGTCATATACCTATTGGGCACCCTGAATACTTATTACAGAGCATTTACATATGCATTGACAGTGATTTTATATGGTTTCCCTAAAGAGGAGGCTTTATACATGGATGGTTTTTCCTAGTATCCTTTTTCTTCCCTCTTAGCTTTTGGTCTTGTTGGCTTTTGATCATGTGTGGAAGCACTGCTTTGTTAGAGAATACCTGTGTGTATATAGTGTATTATAATGATTCAGATCACTGGTTTTCTTTGTAAATCTTAGGAAGGTATAATTGATTTTTATGAAGAAGCTTTGTAATTTTATTCTCTATTAAATTATCCTAAATAAAGCCTCCTAACTTCATGTTCAGTGTATTGTATTTAAAACCAAAGATAGATTAGGACTGTTTTAAAATCTTTCAGTTTCTTTAATAGCCTACTTATAGAATTCAAATTCTAAACTTCTAGAATTAGAAGTAGTCTTAGAGATAATTTAGTTTTTCCCCCTTAATTTTGTAGATGGAGAAAGCAAGGGGGTGTGTGTGTGTGTTAGTCAGTATTACATAACTGTTGAGTGGCAGAAGCAAGCTTATGCTCATAGTCTCCAATCAAATATTTTATTGTACTCTGTCCCCAGGTTTTAAGATTGAGAGGTGGTTATTATTTAATCAGTATTTGTCATTGTTCACTTGAGCACATTGATATAATCTTTATGGCCAACTAGAAATAATTTAGGTGACACCTGAGGGGAGGAACTCTTCTGTTCTACCTCATACCAGCCAGTTTTCGCATACCTATGGCAATTTGTAAGCCTCTCTGTGTACTGGGGTTAAGAACATAAAATTAGTAATGAGGTGAACCTGTCAATAGTTCAAATGTTGATTGCTTTAATAAGCATGTGGCCATGTTAAGTTAGCAGGCTTGTAGCTGTGATTCCTTATCTACATATGATTTCTATATTTTTCAGTTGACCTAAGAAATGAAACTGAATGATATAAGGACAATGCAATGTCTACATTAATAAGTGCCCCCTGCTCTGTTGATCCTGTTCTGGTTACCATCATTTTCTCATGTCTTGAGTTTCAATTCTTATAGCTGCTTCCTAAAATGATACATCTCACACCCTATCTTATGAATTCACTCTGGCTGTGTTTTTCTCTTGCTAATCAAATGTTCTTTCACAAATTTGCCTCACATTTTTGCTTTAACTTGATATTTCTTTAACAGCTATAAAATTAGAAAGTATGGGGTAGGTGCTTGGTGATAGTTTTAGAGTACAGCCTTAATTGATTGGAGCTTATTTAGGTTAAAACTACTTTTGTGTTTTATTTGTAGATACTTGCTGATTACTGGGATCAGGAATGTTTTAGTTACATGTCAGGTTCTTTGGGATCTATTGAGAAATGTTTCTGGGGATGAGTATGGGTTCTTGTTTTGTATTGTCAGCATGAAGAATCTGCCTATGATGTTTCAGAGTGTTGTATCTCTGGTACATTTATAATTTAAGTAAAATTTGGTATTTGCTAATTGTGTCTGTTGGCATTTGTTGAGGTTAAGCATTTTATGATAATGTGTGTGACCAACGTGTGTCTGAGTTGGTGACTTAAAATATTGAGAGCAATTTTATTAGTTATAGTGTTACTCTTAACCTATTGTCATCTTATGCTACCTATTTTTTATTTCAGAGTTGATTTTATTGGTCAGCCTCTAGATAGTTCAATTATTTGGTCAGTTTTTCCAGTATCAGTTGCAGCCTCTTCTTAGACAGAGGAGCCCAGTCAACTGTTCCATCCTCATTGGACTTACGGTAACAGCTATGCTGTTATTTTACTCAGTAATCTGGGACCAAACTTAAAAGATGCCCAGAAGGATAAAGGAAGACATAGAAGCAGAGTGTAAAATATATGCAGCAGAGTGCTAGAAACCAGTCTCTAAAAAGCCATTGCTTTACATGTGCATGCATGCAAGCCCCTGCATTCACTTGTTCTTATTCATTAAGGTGGCTCTTTGCTAGGGGATACCTTGAACTGAGCTCCTTGCCTTTGGAAGGAAACCTATATCCTAGGGTGAGAGTAAGTGAAATACAAAGCAAGGAAAAGTTAGACTAAAAAAAGATAGTTGGGGGAAAAGATAAAGTCAGTACAATAGAAATCATTCTTCCTTGTATAGCTTATAGCCATCTCTCTAAATATATCTTCCTAAGAATCCTTATTAACTATCTCTGTCCTGTAACCTTTTTCCTTCTTTCCATTCCATTGATCAATATCAGAATGGTCTTATGGCAGCAAATGTAAGAGATACTGTGCTAGAAGCATAGGATTTTGGAAATTAAGCCCCCAAATATAATTGACAGGCTTAATAAGGAAATGTGATAATTATTACTTTGACATAAAAAAGGATTAGGAGAATGAGGTAGAAATGAATTCAGAAAGACAGAAATATTAACAAATTACTACTAAAGTTTTCTTTTTTCTTTTCTCTTCTTTTTTCTTTCTTTTCTTTTCTTTTCTTTTTTTTCTGAGACAGGATCTCAGTCTGTCACCCAGGCTGGAGTGTAGTGGCACAATCACGGCCCACTGAAGTCTCAACCTCCCGGGGCTCTAGTGATCCTTCTACCTCAGCCTCCCGAATAGCTTGGACTACAGGCTTGAAGGCTTGAACCACTATGCCTGGCTAATTTTTTGTATTTTTTTTTGTAGAGATGAGGTCTCACTGTGTTGCCCAGGCTGGTCTTGAACCCCTGGGCTCAAGCAGTCCTCCTGCCTTGGCCTTCCAAAGTGCTGGGATTATAGATGTGAGCCACGGAGCCTGGTGTAAAGTTTCTGTAGGATTCATTTTCATAGCACTGTACTAGTCACAAGTGTTCTTAGGGGTGTAGGAATTTCTACTCTCCTGTATAGTCACTGCTTTGGGTTCAGTAAAGAAAAAGAATAGTGGTTTTAATGATGTTCTTACAGCTTTTTGATGGAACGAAAGAATAATGCAACATAGACCTAATGCATGGTGGTACCATTGATTCTGAGGCTTGTCTAGCATGGAGCCTGGCAAACGTTGTATTTTTGAGCTATCATGATACAAACATACTCTTACATTTCCATTGAAATTAAGCAGTTAATGTTAACATGTTTTGAGTTTATTATATATACTTTTATTTTGGAAAATAGCAGATTTAAGGCAGTTCTGATAAAGTTACACTTAAACAGTGATACATAGATTGCCAGATAAATTTTGGAAGGGCTTTGATTAATTAGGCTTCAGGGAAATTGTGAATAAAAACATAAATCTTGCAATAGGGTAGGGGAAAGAAAATAATCCCACTCCTGAAGTGATGAAATGAAGAGTGGCTAGAGAGGAGAAAAGAACCAGGACAGGTGATATATTAGCAACTGTCAGTGTGAATAATCCAGGGTATGACATTTCTAATTTAGCCTCACATTTAAGGTCATTTCTGATTCAACCTCAAATGATCCTTCTAGCCTACTGCTCCCCTAAATATTAATATATTCTTTGTGCCAGTCACAGTGTATTAACATTTCCCTGAAAACATCTTAAGCATTTTTTTTAACCTATGTGACTTTTGCCTTCTTCCATCTCAACCTTTTAAAATCTTACCTACCTGTCCCTTACTTCATCAAATGTTTCTAATTATTTAGAAACAACTTCTAAATTTCCTAATATATATGTATATCTGTGTTGTGTATGTATGTGTTATAACTAAATTAGAGCTAAAATATTCTTTTATTAGTATGAAAATTTGTGGAATTAGTTGATTTATCCCTTCATATATCTCTGTGAGAAATCTCTTGTTCAGCCTGTTAGCCTCAGAGAACTTAAAGTTTTATTGATTTTATTTTATGTATGTATGTATGTATGTATGTATGTATGTATGTATGTATGTATTTGTTTATTTATTTATTTGAGACAGAGTCTCACTCTGTCGCCAGGCTGGAGTGCAGTGGCACAATCAAGGCTCACTGCAACCTCTGCCTCCTGGATTCAAGCTATTCTTCCGCCTCAGCCTCCTGAGTAGCTGGGACTACAGGCGCGTGCCACCACGCCCAGCTAATTTTTGTATTTTTAGTAGAGATGGGGTTTTACCATGTTGGCCAGGATGGTCTCTATTTCTTGACCTCATGATCCACCCACCTTGGCCTCTCAAAGTGCTGGGATTACAGGTATGAGCCACCATGCCCAGCCAACTTAAAGTTTTATTATGTGTCTTTCCAAATGTACTGGAACTGTGCTAAGAATATTAATACTATTATTTTTACTATAGTTTTAGAGGAGGCTTTAAAAATGACTTTGTGGAAGTCTTATTAAAAATGACCATTGTGAAATATATTCAGCACATGTATATGTTTTTTGTAGGTAGTGTTATTGAGGTTTTAGCTTTATATCATTTTCTTTTTAAAATGGTTAACAGTGGCAAACATTAAATGAAAAATCCTTTAAACTGAAAATCTATAGAAACTATTTTGATGATATAAAAACTATATTTTTCAGATTTTAAGAAAAATGCCAATGATACCATGCAGAGCAATGTGCATTTCTTTTGTTTCGTTAGAGAATATGCTTTAAGTATTTGAAAACTGTAAACCTTTCCAGGGAATTGTATCATAAAAGTATTTATGGTTTCTGGTAGCTATTTCTCATGTTCTAAAATTCCATCAGTCAGAATTCTGAGGTTACAGAAATTGAATGTGTTAATGATTTAGTCTAGTTTGTGCCATAGAGATCATGTTGTGGCCACCTGCATTTTGGTGAAATATGAATGCAGTAAGCTGATGACCAAAATTAGAATGTAGTCTGAGTGTTACCTATTTTCTCTACCCTCCCACTCCCTCAACTCTTAACTCTAAACTCTTAACTCCAAATCCACCTTCCCTTGTACTTCCTTCTCCCCCTCCCCCAGTGTTTTTATTTCTTATTTATTTACTTGTTTTTCTTGGGATGGATAAACCTGAAGACGCACACAGGAGAAGAACATGGAAAAGTTTAGAAAAGGAAATGAACTTACATGTTCGAATAATGTGTTTTGTGTTAGAAGAACTGATCAGTAAAGAAGTCCCATCAATTAACTGTAAATGTGATGGCACCAGTAAACATCTATTAAATTTAAACCCTTTGCTGTATTATTTTAGGATATTAAACATAGAAGAGAAATATAGGCCTCAAGGAATACACTTGGAAAAACTGGAGACAGCACACTGATAGGTAGTGAATGAAATGATTTGATCGTAAAGTAGACCTAACTGCTGGTTTACACTAAGCAAAAATTGTCGTTGACCAGTTTGGGTGGTGTGTCTTGACGATAATAGTGGATTTAGAGGGCAGCAGATGAATCAAAATATTAGAGATCAGGAGAATTAGTAAGGAAAAGCAGTGAAGTCAGGAGAACCAGTATTTAAGAATTCCTGAGATAAGCCAGTTTATAGCTGAGGAGGAGCAATAATAGGGGTAGAAGAAGAAATGGAGTTGAATAAGTACTGCTCACCCATCTTAAGTGCAACATGGAGATTTTATTTATAGTATCATAATTGTTAGGCAATCACAGGAGCCACACGTTTGAGGGAATATGTACAAGCCAGAGCAGAGCAAGGAAAGTCCTTAAGGAGACTATTTCAGTAATCTAGTAATGAGATACAGAAGCAGAAGATTGGGTCTATAAGGTTTTCGATTAGAGATAAACTTAGAAAGAACAACGAGGAGAACTTTGATTATATATATATAGGTTGCACCTTGTCCTGGGCACTTAATAGTCCCTAAAGAGTAAACGTAGACAACTGCTGTTATTTGGAACATGTGTTTTTTGCTTATAGATTAACAGTGTGTTTTTTTAACCTCAGTTTGTTAACAGACATAGAGAACATGTTAAACCCATGTTTCTTTGCGCCCGTGTGACATTGTGAACTAAGTGGAAAAGATGTCTGTGCTAAAGGCACCCATGGAGTAAAACATATCCACAAATACTGTGTTTAGGGAAAAGGCTAGAAATAGAAACTGAGAGTAGGAAATATTGCACCTGAGGGGCTGTTATTGTACTGTGTTCCTTCTCCTTCTCTTCCTGACATACCCTTTGTTATACCTTTTTCCTTTCCTGAATTCTTTGTTATTTCTTTATTCTTTTCCACTTTCATTCTTTTTCTTTCATATCTTTGACTCAGGCCTGCCTGGGTTTTTTATTGGCATGTGTGGACATTGCTTAGTTCTGACCCATTCCATTAGAGAGTTTTCTGGTCCTATAAGGTAAGGTTAAGAAGCATTATCCATAATTTTATTATTATAAAATATAACATACCTACAGAAAAATGCATAAATCGTCATTGTATATCTTAACATGTTGTTATAAAATAAACATTCATGTAATCACCACCTCCATCAAGAAATAAAATACTGCTATCACCCCAGAAGCTTCTAAAAGTCTTTGTATACCCTTTCCCAGTCACACCATATGTTTTAATTGGCAGCATTTATTGCTGCAGTTGTCCTCGTCCTAACCCTTTTGATGCCTTTTCCAAACATGTGACTTGCCCCAACCCCTAAGTGTACATTGATTAAGTAGGAAGCTGCCTTTAAATGAGAATGGTAATTTACCACAGTTTTTGCCTGTCAGTGCTTTAACTCTCCTCTCCTGCCTCAAAGCCTATATACATCAGATAATAACACACATACCCCACCTACTTAAAAATCCACCTAACAGATGGATACCCAGCTCCCCTTCAGAAGAAAGTACTGTCATAATCAGGGTAAAGGTGTCTGATGCCAGACCTGTGTTCCACCCCTCACTGCCATCTGCAATAAACACTACCTTTTAGGACTCTTAATTTTATAGCAAAAGTGTACATAACCATTCACACTTTTTTGGGAAGTAAATAATGTATGAATTGATGAAAGTAAAGTTACTAAATACATGAAGTATTATTTTGCTCTATTTTGTGGCTATGATGTTTCGAACTATTTTATACAAAAGATTGTTTTTGTTTTGAAAGCATCTAAGATTCTAAATAGCCACTTTAAGGTCTGTAGGGGTAGAGATAATTGATTAAAAGTTTTGCAAATAATATATTAGCTTGTGCTTGGAAGAAGCTTTAAATCATGTAGAGGAACCTAAAATGATACTGAATATACTGTTATATCTGATATAACCTTCAAAATTCAAAGTAGACATTTTTCTTTGTCATTATTTTAATATTTATTTTTGAGTAGGCAATACAGTCATATGATCAAATTAAACAATATAATAATGTATTCAATGAAAAGTGTTTCTTTCCCCAACCCCTGAACTTGTTCTATTGGTGATCAAAACCTTTTATAAAAGATACAATGTGAATTTGGGGCAAAGATGAACTGATAGACGAAGAAAAGCGGAATGGAATAGAGAAGTAGACCTACACAAATATGGGTATTTGATTTAGGACACAGTAGCAACATAGAGTTTTGGAGTAAGGATGGTCATTTCTACAAATGGTGCAGGTACTATTGGATATCAGTTTGGAAAATATGAAGACCGTCTCTTAACCGCACATAGTATAAAAGATAAGGTACAGATGGTTTGTAAGCCTAAATATGAAAGACAAAAATGTAAACTTTTAGAAAGAAGACTTATTTTTATAGAGTAGACCAGAAACAAGATTAATCCCATATCCTTAAAAACTTTCCTGTTTGCCCCACCCTGTTTTCCTCTAGGAAATTTCAGAAACAATGAAATCAGTTATTTCTACTGATAATTTGATTAAACCATGAAATACTGTCTGTTTGAATAATTTAGAATAAATTCAACCTATCTTCCTTCCCCTTTATATCAAATTAGATTATATACGTTTAATTATATAAAAGGTCCATATGCCCCTTTTCAATTTTACTTTTTTAGTATTTATTAACATCATTTTTATAAAACCAACATTTCCTTTAAAACAATATTGCATAAAACAGAAGTTTCAATGTACTACCAAGCAAGAATTCATGCACGTGTTAAAAAGTTAAGATATCTTATGTCTATATTCTTTCAGGGCAATTAAAGCATTTCAGGAGGTGCTTTATGTTGATCCCAGCTTTTGTCGAGCCAAGGAAATTCATTTACGACTTGGGCTTATGTTCAAAGTGAACACAGACTATGAGTCTAGTTTAAAGGTAGGTTGTTGGGTTTTTTCAAGATACAATGTTTAATTTTGTGGTTTTTTTGTTTTTGTTTTTCTTAAATATTAGAGCATTGAGAAATGTTGGAATTTATATTGGCACTTTAAAAGAAAATTTGAAAATTCAGGTGACAGAACTGTTTATCAACTGTGAAGTAGAGTTTCAAGGTACAAAGTAGTTATGCTAAGACTTCCATGGTAACATTATACAATTACACTTTAAAAAAATAGTTTTAACTAAGATCTGTCATCAGGAAAGGGTGAAGGTTTCAGTCTGTTTGGATATGTAAATAACTCCTCTAGAAATGATTTGCCACTGTAGAGTTCAGAACCAGCTGAATGGTTCTGAAAGGATGTTTTTCTGTGACCCAATCATTGACCCTGTTTCCATGGGTCTCAGTACTTCTACCAGCAGAAGCACATCTTATATTTAAATTAGAAAAAAGAGTGTTCTCTGCAAGGCATTTGGACTGTTGGTTTGTGAGCATAAACGTTGTGGGAAAAGATGATATGTTGTTGATTAACTTCGTATCCATGGAAATGTGATATTTCTCCAGTTTTTAATTTTTCATTGAGTTTTTTATGCTATCTGAACCATCAATTTAGGTCTTGCTGGGCTTTTTCTGAAAATAGTGCTTTCCTGCCCAACAGAGGAATTATGTTTTGAAAGGAGTAGCAGTTGTAGGAAAAAGTTTAAGTTTTTGTGAATTTATGTTTATTGTTTATAATGGTTGTTGTATTCTGAATCTCCATTGCAGACTATCTTGATTCTAAAGGAAGGGTGGTTGGGGAGATAAAGAATGACATTCAAGTAGATTGTAATTTGAGCTCACTAATAAGGAACTACTGAAGGTTAAAAATAAAAAAAACTGTACTCAAGAGTGTCTAATTGTTCTAGATTTTTAAAGTAGAAAACTATGCAAGTACTGTTTCTACCTTACATGAGTTAAAAGAACAATACTGATGATGTTAAAGAGAGAGGGAGGTACAACCAAAAACACTAAAAACAGTAGATTGCGAAGAATTTAGATCACACAGTGGTTGAAGGTAAGTGCAGTCGAGGAATAAGTTCCAGGGTAAGTGCAGGGTGCAGGTAGTGTGGAGAATGAGGGATGCCTGGAAGTTACCACTTTTCCTCAAGCTTAGAGTAGTAGCATTTCTGACACCATACTGTGGGACGTCAGCGGATATGAACTGGAAAATAAGTTTATAAAGCTGCCTCACATTTTTTTTGCAGTTTCTATTAGCTATCAAAGACTCTTTAAAATGTCTTATAATACAGAATAAACATTTAAGCATTTCACATGCTTATTATGTTGCAGAAGTGTTTTTGGTAGCAGTTTGGTAAATGTTGCTTAGGAAATACATTTGAAGGGAAAAGCAATCAGATGTGTCCCACATTATGGAATGTGACTATGCGTGTATCAGTACAGTGATACCTTAAGTAATTCTAAAGATGCAAAATTCCATTTAAATGAAAGTGGCGATATTTAAAATCTCCTTTAATCAAGGGAAACAGTGTTTCATGGCCGATTGAAAGTGTTCTACTTAACTTAAGCTTGGTGGGAACATTCCTGCATACCACTTTTATTTGTTCAGGTAGAAAGTCTAAAAAGTCAAGTCATGGTGATCTTAGCAAAATTGCCTTAAGTGAGGGCAGCCTTCTTTTGGGGGACTTTTACCTTTAACGAGTCCATGATATTTCTCGTCCCTAGAGTGTGAAGGTTTCATTTGATTTTTATCTCATCCTGACTTTGGCTTTTTCAGCCCTCTCTCTAGTATTCCTTATCTATTTTAAGAAGAATTTGGGCATGAACATTTTTAGTCAAAGAGGAGGAGGTATTTTAGTTTATTACTAAAGTGCTTAGCATTCAGAATGAGTGAAGGTAGGAATAGAAGGAATGATATCCCCCTTTAGGTGGTTTTCCATTTTTCTAATACTTCACCTTCATCTGGATAAATGTGGAACCTCTGATGGCTTTTCCACAACATTAAGCTGTTTTGTAGCACAGTGTGTTGGTATAGATGCTTTTTAGGCTGTAACCTCAGGGACTCCAACTCAAATTGGTTAAAATAATAAAAAATATGCTCCTATGTGAAGTCTAGCCTTCAGGATTGGTTGATTCAGCTGATCTAAGGTTTCATCAAGGATTCATTTTCTTCTCAGTTCTGTATTGGCTTTTTCTAAAGGCTGGTTGCTCTGCTTAGTGTAATGCTGGCATATAAGTGCATAGTAAATGATGATGATCATTTCATGTAGGAGAAAGATCCTGGTTGCCTGTTGATCTCTTCAAAAATACTTCACCTTGCATCTTATTGGCCAGAAATAGGCCACATGGCCATTCCTAATTGATTTCTTATCAAAGGAAATGTGGTTGCTCTTAGACTAGTTATGCCCAGTCTTTGAGAATTGTTCAAATCTGTAAGTAGTTGTTATCCAGTGGAGGGATAGGGTGGGTAAAAAGGATATTTTGGTATGGGGAGTGGTGTGAACAGTCTGTCCGTTACAGATCAGATCTTCTCTATCCCATTTCCTTTCCCTCTGCCCAAGTGTGTATAATACTTTTTGGATGGTAAACTATTTAAATAAAATACAGCGTATTTTCATAATAGATTCCTTTTTTTTCCTCCCAATATGAAATGAATTGTAGGGCCTCCTGTTGTGTTTCTGTCACTGGTGATAACTTTCTCACAAAATGTGTCTCTGAAATTCTGTGTTGGTGCTGTGTAAACAGCTCTCAGAGCAAACCAACTTGGTTTTCAAAACTTTGACCCTGCCGCATATCTTCGTGACCTTGAGTAAGATTTCTGACTCTTGATTTTCTCTGTGTCTGAAGAACTAGAATAATTATAGCCACCCACATGATTGATATAAAGGTGAATATATGTGTGTGTTTGTTTTTATATGTGTGTAGTTTTATATCACTAGTTTTGGGGGAACAGGTGGTGTTTGGTTGCATGGAAAAGTTCTTTAGTGGTGATTTCTGTGATTTTGGTGCACCCATCACCTGAGCAGTGTATACTGTACCCAATGTGTAGTCTTTTATCCCGCACCCCCTTGCCTCTCTTCCCCGAGTCCCCAAAGTCCATTATCTCATTCTTATACCTTTGCATCCTCATAGTTTAGCTCCCACTTCTAAGTGAGAACATGTGATGTTTGGTTTTCCATTCCTGAGTTACTTCACTTAGAATAATGGTCTCCAACTCCATTCAGGTTGCTGCAAATGCCATTCTTTCCTTCCTTTTTGGCTAAGTAGTATTCCATGATGTATATACCACATTTTCTTTATCCACTCATTGGTTGATGGGTATTCAGGCTGGTTCCATATTTTTGCAATTGCAAATTGTGCTGCTATAAACATGTGTGTGCAAGTGTCTTCTTTATATAATGACTTCTTTTCCTCTGGATAGATATCCAGTAGTGGGATTGCTGGGTCAAATGGTAGTTCTGCTTTTAGTTCTTTAAGGAACCGCCACACTGTTTTCCATAGTGGCTGTACTAGTTTACATTCCCACCAGCAGTGTAAAAGTGTTCCCTTTTCACCACATCCATGCCAACATCTGTTATTTTTTGATTTTTAAATCATGGCCATTCTTGCAGGAGTAAGGTGGTATCGCATTGTGGATTTGATTTGCATTTCCCTGATCATTAGGGCTGTTGAGCATTTTTTCCCTATGTTCGTTGGCCATTTGTATATCTTCTTTTGAGAATTTTCAATTCATGTCCTTTGCCCACTTTTTGATGGGATTATTTGTTTTTTTTTCTTGCTGATTTGTTTGAGTTCCTTGTAGATTCTGGATATTAGTCCTTTGTTGGATGCCTAGTTTGCGAACATTTTCTCCCACTCTATTGGTTATCTGATTACTCTGCTGATTATTTATTTTGCTGTGCAGAAGCTCTTTGGTTTAATTAGGTCCCATCTACTTATCTTTGTTTTTGTTGCATTTGCTTTTGGATTCTTGGTCATGAACTCTTTGCCTAATGTCTAGAAGAGTTTTTCTGATGTTATCTTCTAGAATTTATATCTTACAAATAAATAGTTTCAGCCCTTCTTTAGTCTCAGTTATCTATCATGTAAAACAACCATAATTGGGGGCCAGCATAGATACTGTTGGAGAAATAAATGTTCCTGTCTTAGAACTTAATCCTTGTATTTTTGTCCCTCTGCCCATCCTCAGAAATGTGAAGCTAATGCTCAGCAAACTTTATGATCCTATGGTGTTATTTTTACATTAAATTGACCAATAAAGATTGTATGTGTTTAGTGAGCAGTGGAGATACCAATTCTTAATTCGTGAACTAGTTTAATATTATCTGAACCAGAGTCCATTTCAGGGTGACAGGTATTTTGTTGTTTTTCTTCTCTGCTTCAGCTAATATCCCCTAAGGTGGGTTTGGTTGCCTAGTTAATGCCATACAGTTAATTCAGGATTTTTTTTTTTTTGAGACGGAGTCTCACTCTGTTGCCCAGGCTGGAATACTGTGGTGTGAACTCGGCTCACTGCAACCTCCGCCTCCCAGTTTCGAACAATTCTCCTGTCTCAGCCTCCCGAGTAGCTGGGACTACCGGCATGTGCCACCACACCTGGCTAATTTTTGTATTTTTAGTAGAGACGGGGTTTCACCATATTGGTCAGGCTGGTCTCGAACTTCTGACCTCAGGTGATCCACCTGCCTCAGCCTCCCAAAGTGCTGGAATTACAGGTGCAAGCCACCATGCCCAGCCTAATTCAGGACTTTTATTTCATTATCCTTTAATGATATTAATGACAGTTACTTATTTTCAGTATATATTTGAAGCAGTGTGCTACCATTACTTTAATAAAAGGATATTACTGTTGACAGATAGTTTTATATAATGTCCCTAATTTTCACATCCTGGCAGACTATTAAAATTATTTCCTTCATGTGAAGAATAAGATACAATGACACCCTTATTCTTCAGTCAGTTAATGCCTGTGCATCTATTTAGAGGAAGCTTATATAGGAATTTTCCCTAATGTTTACATATTTAAATATTCCTAAACTATGTCAACTTAGAACTCTTTTGGGATTTTAAAGTTAGGTAACCAAAAAGGGTGCCTTTTTTATGGAAACCTGTAGATCATTGGCTGAGATGCCAATTTAAGTCCCCTTTTATAATTTGGTATTTGAATATGATAAGTGCTGATTGAAGGGGTTAATGTGAAAGGGATAGGAAGATGAGAATTATGGAGACAGTAAATGTTTCAAAGGAAATGGATTGAACTCAAATGAGACTTGTGTGTTAGCTTGCCATTTTACTGGGTGTTGGTGTTTCTTGAATGGGTAGATAAATAAAATGGAAGAGGCTATAAAATGAGAAAATGCCTACTTATAGAACAGGCTGGAAAATTTGAAGAAAAGAAAAAAAGCTGGTTTTATTCATCATCACTTAACAGAATTTTTTTCTATACAAACTGACACTGCAGTTGTTTTTTCCAGATGGCTCAGTTCACCAATTCATGCAGTATGCTTGCCATCTTATTATACTCGACATGAAACTTCTGAGTGAAGTGGCAGCTCCACTGTCTTTGTACCATACTCTTCTTTAGGAACTACTTCATTACGAGGTGTCTCATTTGATCTTCTACCCTGTATAAACTCAGGAATTTTATTGTAATATTTTTGATGCCAAGATATTTAGGCAGAAGGAATACATGAAGACATGATCATGTATGTGTACCTCCTTTTAGAAACCGCTTTTGAAATCTGAAATGCCTCCTGTCTTTTATTATTTTATTCATGTAGAATGCACAGATCATTTGTTTCATATAATTAAAATATTGTGGGCCGGGCGCAGTGGCTCACGCCTGTAATCCCAGCACTTTGGGAGGCCAAGCGGGTGGGTCCCCTGAGGTCAGGAGTTCGTGAACAGCCTGGCCAATATGGAGAAATCCCGTCTCTACTAAAAAAAAAAAAAAAAAATTTAGCTGGGCATGGTGGCGCGCCTGTAGTCCCAGCTACTCCGGAGGCTGAGACAGGAGAACTGCTTGAACCTGGGAGGTGGAGATTGCAGTGAGCTGAGATCGCACCATTGCACTCCAGCCTGGGCAACAATAGCGAAACTCCATCTCAAAAAAAAAAAAAAAAAAGATACTGTGAACTTTCTGTATTTTAGAAATAACTTGCTGAGTTTGAATGCTAGCTATTAAATTAATTTTATCCATGCCTTATGTTTCTAGAATATTTGTAATGTTTCTTTATTGACATTTTAATAGTATATTTTTGTTAGTTCAGTAGTCTGAAGATAATGAAAGTTTAGGGCTGGGCACCATGGCTCATGCCTGTAAACCCAGCACCCAGCACTTTCGGAGGCTGAGGCGGGTGGATCACCTGAGGTCAGAAGTTTGAGAGCATCTTGGGCAACATAGTGAGAGAGAGACACACACACACACACGTTTGTTAGTTCAGTAGTCTGAAGATAATGAAAGTTTAGGGCTGGGCTCAGTAGCTTATGCCTGTAATCCCAGCACTTTGGGAAGCTGAGGCAGGTGGATCACCTGAAGTTAGAAGTTTGAGAGCAACCTGGGCAACATAGTGAGACACACATACACACACACACACGCAACATAGTGTGAAACACACACACACACACACACACACACACACACCCGCCCGTCTCTTAAAGAAAAAGTTATTATTTCTCCATACTTGCTCTGCCCTATTTCCTTTATGATGCTCAATAGCTCTCACCTCTTTCAGCTGGCATTTTGAAAATTTTAATCTTGAGTGGTTTGATTTGAGAGAAAGAATGGAGGAAGGCATCTCACTCATATGACTCAATTTTCTTAGGGGATTAGAAAAGTCCTATCCCCTTGCCACCCCCAACAGCTTGGAATAATTGGTGGTAGTTATAAAACTATAAGATTTGGTGTTTATCCTGAGATTTGGCTTAGAACATGGGACCGGGAAGGGAAAGAAATTCTTCAAGAAAGGATCTACAGAGTATTGGCATATCATGGAAGCTGCATTTGTAGAATCTTCATAGGAATTGGTTGGGATGTAAAAATGGTGAGGCCTAATCGTTGTTTTTTGGTACTTTTTTTTTTTTTTGAGACGGAGTTTCACTCTTGTTGCCCAGGCTAGAGTGCAATGGCGCGATCTCGGCTCACTGCAACCTCTGCCTGCCAGGTTCAGGTGATTCTCCTGTCTCAGCCTCCCGAGTAGCTGGGATTACAGGTGCATGCCACCACGCCCGGCTAATTTTTGTATTTTTAGTAGAGATGGGGTTTCATCGTATGGTCAGGCTGCTCTCAAACTCCTGATCTTAGGCGATCCGCCTGCCTTGGCCTCCCAAAGTGCTGGTTGGTCCCTCAAAGTGCTGGGATTACAGGCGTGAGCCACCACGCCCGGCCTGTACTTTTTATTTAATGGATTTCCTCCTGGAGTAACAGCAACACCACACAGCAACAGCAAACTAAGTTTGGGGCCAGAACCACAAATTAACATCATTTTTCATTGCTACCATGTTTAACATTTAAAATGCTTCACTGAGGCAGTTCTTAATACATACTATTTTTGGATAAACCACCAGGCAGATACCAAAAAATATTAGCACACTATTCTGGTCATCTTAAGAAAAGAAGAACATTCTTTTTTAGTATTAGTTACACTGTGTATTTCTTCCTTTGGTATAACTGTTGGTTCTTTATACATAAAATTCATATAGTCAGATTTTGCTTGGCTTTTTATGGTTAGCAGTAGATTGGATTATGATTGAGGAAACTGCAACCCAGTTTATTTTCTTTGATTTAAATCTTCCTTTTCCTTTCAGTCATTGACAGTAGAACTCAGTTTCACCTGAGTGTAACATCACTGTTCCTTTTGGCAGAGGATGGTCATTGCTGTTTATTTTGTTTTCTACTTTTTCTCACTTGTAGAAAATAATCATCCTTTCTCTGTTCTTTTCTCTTTGTACTACTCGTCAGCTTGTACTTTACCAATTTCCTAGATAATAGTTTCTGATACGAGGCAACCTCCTAATTAATTTATCTGGCCACTTAATAATGCTTTCTCTATTTCACTCTGCCTGCCCAACTTTGGTTTTCTGTTTGATATTATTTCTGCCCTGAGTTCTATAACGTGCCTTCAAGTGTGAATTAGTAAAAGTGGCCGAAATACTTCAATACCTGCAAAATGCATGTTTGAAAAGTACATGGCTGCTCATATATGTGCAGTAACACCATTCTTTCTCTTTGAAACTGAGGAGTTAGGGTGATTCTAGGTTCCCTGTGTTACAGTTTCTCTCTTCTAGTATATTTTAACTACAGAAGTCATTTCTAAAGTGATTTCTGGTGCTAACTTACAACAACTTAAGGGCGTTATAGATATTTGGTCTTCAAAGGCAGCTTTATAAAGCAGTCACTGTATTGTCACATTTAGAAAAAGGTTGTGTGGCTGGGCGCAGTGGCTCACACCTGTAATCCCAGCACTTTGGGAGGCTGAGGCGGGTGGATTGCCTGAGGTCAGGAGTTTGAGAGTTGCTTGGCCAACATGATGAAACCCTATCCCTACTAAAAATACAAAAAATAAGCCGGCATGGTGGCAGGTGTCTGTAATCCCAGCTACTCGGGAGGCTGAGGCAGGAGAATCGCTTGACCTGGGAGGCGGAGGTTGAAGTGAGCAGAGATCAAGCCATTGCCCTCAGCCTGGGCAACAAGAGCGAAACCCCATCTAATAAATAAATACATACATACATACAAAATTTAGTCGAGGGTGCTGGTGTGTGCCAGTAATCCCAGCTACTCCAGAGGCGGAGGCCCAAGAATCGCTTGAACTGGGGAGGTGGAGGTTGCAGTGAGCCGAGATTGCACCACTGCACTCCAGCCTGGGTGACAGAGTGAGATTGTCTCAAAAAAAAAAAAAAAGTTATATTTTAAAAGGATATTCTACAGTGCAAATTTTTGCAGTATCCCCCTTTATAAAACATCATATTCACCTTGTATTAGTTATTTGTGTACATATCAGTCTCAAATATGAATACAAATTGCTCACTAGATAGAAATACCTTGGAAATTAAGTTGGCTCATATTCTGATCATTTTGTGTACATAGGTTAGATGCAAACTAGGACCAGTTTTTAAAAATTTCTAGTCAGTTGCATACCTATACTTTTGTAAAGTATGATAGAAATGAAGAGTTGGAAGACTAGGTAGGATACAGCTACAGGAAGAAAGATGAGCAAGAGCTGTAAGATAAATGGTTGCTCATAGGATGGATGGGGGCAAGGTAATGAATGTATCCTAGAGATCTTAAAGAGATTTATTAACTGACTTGATGTGGGAAGAGATTCCCATTTACGGGCTCAGACCACTTTACTATGTTAAATAAAGTAGGGGATAAAGAAAGTAGCAGCCGGTTTTGGGTTTAGGAGGTGAAAAGGCTCTGAATGGCGATAAGTCATTTGGGAGTAAATTGATTTGGAGGTACCTGAGGGATATCAGATATTCATGCACACAGACATAAATCTGGAGCCAAAAAGAAGAGCTAGAACTAAGATTTTGAACATCTTCAGTATACAGTGCGTTTTGTCCCCCACCCCCCACCCCTTTTTTTTGTTAAAGAAATTTTTAGAAAAGACCGGCTGGTAAACTTCAAAAAAGAAGCCTCTTTTTTGAGCGAAGATTGTCAGGATTTGTTAGCTATTAGCATGTCATTGGTATGCAGTAGATTCCCTCCTGGAAACAGTTGTAATAACCTTGTATTACAAAGAGTATCAGAACTGAGTTTTGAGGGCTTTGGGAGAACCTCAGTCAGATCATCTTGACCAGGAACGTGGCTCACAAGCCCTACCAAAACTTAGCCGTTTTCAGTTCTGTATCTTATTTTAGAGACCACATTTTTAAAGTAAGTACCATGGCATCCTAGGGCATTTCCCTATTCTTACCCATAGACTATTCATTTTAGGAATCAAGTTTGTTGGTTTTAATTTATACTTTTATTTTATTTTTTAATATTAATTTTATTTTTTTGAGACAAAATCTCACTCTGTCGCCCATGCTGGAGTGCAGTGGTGCGATCTTGGGTCACTGCAACCTTCGCTTCCTGGGTTCAAGCGATTCTCATGCCTCAGCCACCTGAGGCATGTGCCACCATACCCTGCTAATTTTTGTATTTTTAGAGGAGACTGGGTTTTGCCATGTTGGCCTGGCTTGTCTCAAACTTTTGGCCTCAAGTGATCTGCCCGCCTTGGCCTCCCGAAGTGCTGAGATTATAGGTGTGAGCCACCATGCCCTGCCCTAAATTCATAATTTTAGAAATGTGGCAGTCTGTAACAATGAATAAGAAAAAAATGATTTATCTTTGACATGCAACAGTACCTGGCACACCTTTCCTTTTCTCACTTAAATGGTCATTATAACCCTGTTTTATAAGGCTCTGTAAAAATAACTTCAGTGGTTTCCTCAGCCTGAAGTAACTCTTTTCTTACTTTCCTCATCTATATCTTTTTGGATTCTGTTATGGAGTTGTCTTTCCTGTGTATTCTCAGAGCAGGTTAAAATTTTAAAAATCCTATTAAGGCATTAATTTCAGTGAACATTGTATTCTGTAGATGTATAGCCATAGAAGCGTGCCTGGCATAGATAAAAGCTGGTTGCCAGCATGTCAGTCCTAAAATGCCATGTTTCTACCTTAATTGGATATAGACAGCAGTATCAACTATACATACCTTGTTTATATAGTCTGAAATAAAGGTTTCTGGGGCAAGCACATAATTTAAAAACTTCAAAATAGAATAGTGTGGTTTAACTCTGTATATTAGAATAGCTTGCATAAGTTTTTTTTCTGGTTTGCAGGTTGTTGCCTACAACCCACTGAATCAGAACATTCTAGATTGGTACTGGAATCTAAACATTGCTCCAAATTAATAACTTATAACCAAATACATAATTTGTCAATTGCAAAAAGTTATCCCATTGCTTGTTTTCGGGATTGGGAATATAGTTGAAGGGTTCTACAAGTAAAAAGATTCATGAGGTAATCAGACTATATACAGCTAGAAATAAAACAATTTAAAGGGAAATAAAGTCTTGAAACTCAAGTTTTATGTGTTAATTACATGAATATAGATTTCTCCCCCCTCCCCATAGAAATCAAGTTCCATTGGCTGTATTAGGCAAAATACTATAACATTATTTTGAAATATTGAACACGTTGAAGGCTTTTAAAACAAAAGGTGACTTTGGTGATAAAGATGTCAACAGAAATAGTAATGAATCAAACTTTGCGTTAAATTGGGCCAGAAGTGCTCCATAAAAAGAAAATCTCTATAACATTAAAAAAAAAAAGTCATAAGTAAATCTTCTTGCTTGGAAACTAATTTTCTGTAGACTGCTTTCCGCCTTCAGGTTTGTATATAGTCTTTGAACTGCAGAGGCCTCTTCTGCATAATAATTATTTCACACAGCAGTAGCCAGTTTCAGCACTGCAGTATTTCAGTGTGAGGCACAGATGTTTCCTAGCTGCCTCTGTTGGTTGCAGGGAAAGGTGCTGGATATTTTACCATGGTATTTTCAGGTTTGTGGGCTGGTTATCATAATTGATAGTCCTTTCTACTGGTGTATATGTTAATAGGTATATCTATTTTGCATCTGGTTTAGGTCCTGGAAATGAGGCTTTGTGGTCATGTTATCCCTACCCCGGTTCTTCATCTCTCTTGAGAGTGCTGAACGGCATATCAGTGTTTTTCTTTATGTGGAACGGTGTTGTTAGTTTCTTATAAACACTTAGTAATTATTCTGTAAGTTCTTTCATTGTCATAGTGGATGTTTTTGAATGTGTATTCGTGTTTTTTTTGTTTTTGTTTTTTGAAACGCATTCTCATTTTTTCTGCCACAGGCACCCGCCACCATGCCGGCTAATTTTTGTATTTTTAGTAGAGATGGGGTTTCATGATGTTGGCCAGGCTGGTCTCGAACTCCTAACCTTAGGTGATCTGCCCGCCTCGGCCTCCCAAAGTACTGGGATTATAGGCGTGAGCTACTGTACCCAACCAATGTGTATTCTTTTGCTGAGTAATTTTCCTATGTCTTCACTGTTTGGAAATGTTTGGTATTTCATAGTGTTGTGGGTTTGAAATGGTGCATCAGTAACTTGATTGCTGCGTTTAAGATTGTTTTATAATTACACAAAACATGGTCAAGAAATACTCCTGCCAGGTTTCACTGCAGAATCTTAAATTACTGATAGATGAAATGTAGGCTAGGCTGTTTGAATTCTACATCTCTATTCTTCCTTGTGGGGTTTCAGTGAAATAGTAAAACTAAAATATTGCCATATTGAAGGCCGTTTCTTCTCATTTCAGTTTGTACCCTTTGATGGCTCAGTTAGGAATGGTGGTCTGTGTTCTTCTATCTAAATATTTATGCTTACAGGACAAATTAGACTTAGAAATATAGTACAGTCTGAATGTGTGACTACTCTTGTGCTCTTTTTGTCTAGAGGAAAGCAATTGATTATAAAGCATGCTTTGCTTTCATAGTACTCAAACGTTTTAAAATAGTCTGTTCTCTATTGCTATGGTAGCACACTAAAGGGATGTTTGAAGACACAGTCTGCTTAGTAGGCCAAGGGAAAATAAAAGCAGTTTTCAAAGTGTTCAAATGTTAGATTTTTTTCATTCAGTCAACTATGGCAAATGATTTTTCAGTTTTATTTTGTTGACCATTGCATCCCTAGTGTCTGCATTGTCCTTAGGGCATTATAGACTCTTGACCCATTGAGAAGATGTAATCAGCTTTAAGTTTAAGAATATTACAAGTGTTGGTCAGCCTAATTATGCATGCACATCAGAGACTTTTATTTTATTTTATTTTTTTTGAGGTGGAGTCTCTGTCGCCTAGGTTGGAGTGGAGTGGCACACTCTTGGCTCACTGCAATCTCTGCCTCCCGGGTTCAAGGAATTCTCCCGTCTCAGCCTCCGGAGTAGCTGAGACTACAGGCTCTCACCACTATGAACGGCTAATTTTTTATTTTTAGTAGAGATGGGGTTTCAGTATATTGGTCAGGCTGGTCTTAAACTCCTGACCTCAGGTGATCCACCCACCTAGAACTCCCAAAGTGCTGGGATTACAGTCGTGAGCCACCGCACCTTGCCAAGAGACATTCTTGAGTGAATACATTAATAATAGCCAGTGTTCATACCAAGTGATGTTTTCTAATTTTCCTTCTTTGTGACTTTTGGGTAGCCAACATCAATAACTCTTTAGATTTTTGGATTGTGGATAGGAATGAATTTATTATGGTCATTTTTTTTAATGCTTTCCACTTTAATTACTTTTAATGCTAAAAATTTGTGGAGGCTCAGAAAATTTGAATATATATTTGTAGGAATATTATTTAGAAGAGTTTAAAGAGATTTACTCATCTTTTTTAACTTAGATTTTATACCAACTCTATTACTTATCTTAATTTATATACCTTGTTTAATGTTGATAAACTAGATATTAAATGTCACCCAGTGTTCTTGATGATAATATGCGCTCCTAAAAATTAGTGTTATGCATTGATGTTAACGTGCTTATATGATATTATTACAAGTGGATTCTGTATTAGTGGTTTATTGTTGACTGGAAAATTATACAAATTCTATGCATATAATGTCACATTGTAAAAGGACAGTTATATTTGGTAGATGAACTTGGACACAGGCTATTTTAAAAGGCACTTAAGTACAGTGATTATTGAAAGATCAATAAAGACAGAAAGTTTTACCCTCTATGACAATACTCATAGTGATTTTTTTTGTTTCAGAAGTCCATGTCTCATTTTGAGATAAGCAGTGGTGTTCTGACAATACCATTAGACTTCTACTTGGATTTTCAAAAATAATGATATGTTCTCTAAATATTTAAACTGTTGTATAACACTTCCTGTTTACTTGACTTAAAAATCTTCACCTTTTTCACATAAATAAAAATATACATAGGATAACTTGATAAAATTAATTCTTTTTCAAATTCTCCATTCTCAGCTGTCTCAAGAAAATAACCCCCACAGCATGTCAGTTGTCAGCAGTAAATGTTCAAAGTATTTCTAGTTGGTAGGCTAGTGTATTTTATTTGCATAGCATGTATTTATTATTATTTTAGACCTTACATACCTGAAAAGTATCTTAAGATGCTTTTGTGTGACTCTAAATTGACTGCATTAATTTTCTCACTCTCGTCTTGCAGCATTTTCAGTTAGCTTTGGTTGACTGTAATCCCTGCACTTTGTCCAATGCTGAAAGTAAGTATTATTAAGTACTGTAGTTTTCTACATGTATTCCGATCACTTCATGGCAAATAACAATAATGTTAGTGATAAATTCTGTGCAATTTTTTCTTTTAGAATTGTTTAATGTAACTGTATTGGTTGCCATGGCTACTTACATAAATGGAACCTGCAAGACCAGATATTGTGAACAGCCTGTGTCTAAAATAGATAGGCCAGTGAAGTGAGTTGTTGAATTAAAAGTATCTTCACTAATAAACAAGATTGATTTTTCTCTGTCGTGTATTATATTGTAGATGACTTGGTAGGATTAAAAACAGGTTTTGCTGGTCTTTTAGGAAACATGAGTATATAAAGATTCTTATCTGATAGCTTACTGATTCCTACTGCGTGGGATAAAAATTATTGGTAATTATGAAGACATTTGTGACTTTTATGATAGTTTTATATATCATTTAGAAAGCTTGAGTTGACATTTTTCAATTAATTAGAAAGGAATACATTTACGAAGCATGTTCTAACAAAGTATTTTTTTCCAAACAATTATTTTCTGCTTCTATGTAGGTGTCTTTTCAAAAGCAGATTGGGTTGATTATATGTTTATCGATATGTATTTAGGTATATTTATTTAATATACACTAAAGTATCCAGTAAAAAGGTTTAAGAATATTCGTTGATGCTAAATTTCTTAAAAACCTTCTTACTTGAAAAATAAATTATTATTATTATTATTATTTTCTTTTTTTTGAGATGGAGTCTCACTCTGTTGCCCAGGCTGGAGTGCAGTGGCGCGATTTTGGCTCACTGCAAGCTCCGCCTACCGGGTTGACGCCATTCTCCTGCCTCAGCCTCCCAAGTAGCTGGGACTACAGGTGCCTGCCACCATGCCCAGCTAATTTTTTGTATTTTTAGTAGACATGGGGTTTCACCGTGTTAGCCAGGATGGTCTCGATCTCCTGACCTCGTGATCCTCCCACCTCGGCCTCCCAAAGTTCTGGGATTATAGGCGGGAGCCACCGCGCCCGTCCGAAAAATGAAATTTTTAATTGGTATAAGAAAAATCGAGCAATTAATGACAGTTTCAGTCATACAAAGGATTCCGGGTTTTAGAAAGTCAGTGTTTTGCTGTAAGTTACTTTTTTGTTTTTGTTTTTTGTTTCATTTTGAGATGGGGTCTTTCTCTGCCACTTAGGCTGGAGTGCAGTGGTGTCAGAGTAGCTCAGCTACAGCCTCCAACTCCTGCACTCAAGCGATCTTCCTGCCTTAGCCTCCTGTAAATCACTTGAAAGAGTATAGAGAGATATTAGTGAAAAGTAGTCTTAGTCTTTAGAAATGCCCTAGGAAATTGTTGAATCAGCGAAAACTCTGTAGAATTTTCAGTATAACGTGGATTAAGAAATAGTATGGATTAAATCATCATTTAAGCCAGATGAATTATGTCATACTTTTACTAAAGGTAATTTCCTGTGAAAATCTAAAGGATTTTTACTTTCTTAAATGAAATTCAGGATCCAGTACTGATTAGGGTGTTTGTAGAATAAACGGTAGAATAATAACAAATGCAGCAGTATTTTATAGTTTCTAATATAAGGTTAGATTTGAAAAAATTGACTCATTGGTTTAGTAATTTATAAAGTTTTAATTTATACCTTTTTCTTAATTATATATCCAGGTTATAAACCATCTAGAATATATAGATGCTTAAAATTCTTTTCAAATTAGTTTACGAGAATAAGAAAACAACCGATTATCTTTTAATTCATTATGGTCTAGTACCTAAAAGGTAACTTTGGTAAGTCAGTTGAATGATAACTTTTATGGATGTCTCATAAATATCAAACTAAATATTTTGGTAAATCCTCATTTTATTCTACTCTGTTTAAATCTCAGTTGTAGATCATTACTCTTGAGAGAAAAATGTCTGCATAGGTAGGATGAGTGCCACATGGCATAAAACTGTTGAATTTGAAACAGTTTGAACCATCATGAGTGCTACAAGGTGGTTGGTCACTCAAACGGGAGAGCATATTTTCTATTTAGAGACTTTAGGCTATTACAGTTTAGTAGATTTGGATAGTTTACTTTAGACAGTCTACTTGATTACTTGATAGCTATAATAATGCCTGATGTCACAACAAATGTAGAGTACCTACTTTGAGCCAGTATTACTCTTTTCAACACCAGGCTCCTTATTGTCTTTGTAAAACTTATTTTTCTTTGAATTTTTACATCATCACTGATTTGTACTTTGGTTTTAATATTTTTTAATTAAATATTGATTTTACTCTTTTTTGACTTGGGATTCAGTTTTTAAATACTGTGTTTTGAAATGTATAGATTATAAAGGTTTTCTCTCTTTGCTTAATGTTGCCATTTTGAACTTTGTAAAACATATATTCACTTGCTATAGATTTAATGCTAATTTTAATAATTGCATTGACAGAAATTTCATTTGATAATGACCAACAATGAATACATGTGGTTTCTTATCATGATTGTGTTCTTTAGTGTGTTTGTTTGTATATTCTATTTTAGTAAAAGCAAATAAAAGTTATGTTTTTCTATTACTTAAATCTATATAGTGTAGACTGTGATAATGTTTGATGCTTTGTTATTCTTACTTAATTTGCCCCAAATTCTGCTGTATTGTTACTGATTTTTTTGTCTTTCCTCATCCTTTGCAGTTCAATTTCACATTGCCCACTTATATGAAACCCAGGTAAGTATTTTAACTTATTCTATTTAAAACAAAAGCAAACAAAAATCATTACTCCTATCATGCTTTACTGAAATCAGAAGTGTACAGATAATTTAATGGAGTTCTGGGCGTTACTTCTTAGGTAAATTTTGTATTTTATACTCATTAAATGTGATCAAGATGCTGCTTAGTAAAACAATTATTCCAAGGAGTGCTTGCTGTGTACAAATTAATTCCATTTAATATTTTCCTTTAAACTTGATCCATTTGCGGCTGGGCGCGGTAGCTCACACCTGTAATCCCACTGGTTTGGGAGGCCAAGGCGGGTAGATCACTTGAGGCCAGGAGTTCAAGACCAGCCTGGCCAACATGACGAAACCCCATCTTTACTAAAAATACAAAAAATTAGCTGGGCATGGTGGCAAGCACCTGTAATCCCAGCTACTCGGGAGGCTGAGGCACAAGAATTGCTTGAACCTGGGAGGTGGAGGTTGCAGTGAGCTGAGATCTCGCCACTGCACTCTAGCCTGGGCAACAGAGTGAGACTCTGTCTCAAGAAAAAAAGAAACAACTGAACTTGATGTAGATCATTTGCAAGCTCAAATGGCTATATTTAAGATTTATCTTATTCTTGATGCCAGATGCCTTCCTTTCTTTTCAGAATGTTTATAGATGGTTGTTGTAATGCGTTTTTTAAAGAATTCTTTTGCTTTTTCTTAAGACTGAAATAACTCTTCTATGTGTCATTATTGGAAAGGCATCAAGAGTCACCTCTTGATGTCCTTGCCATTAATTTCATGGCTCCTTCACTTTAAAAAACTTTTAAATTTTAGAACATCTTGGTTTTGTGTGTGTTGATTAATACACGGTCAAGATTGATACATCTTGATTTTGCTTAGTTGTATGATAAAAGTATAACACATTTGGGGGGGGGTGGTTGGAGGCAAGGGGAGGGAGAGCATTAGGACAAACACCTAATGCACGTGGGGCTTAAAACCTAGATGATGGGGTTGATAGGTGCAGCAAACCACCATGGCACATGTATACCTATGTAACAAACCTGCACATTCTGCACATGTATCCCAGAACTTAAAGTAAAATGAAAAAAAAGTATAACACGTTCATTTTAGGCAGTGGTATGGAAAATCAGGAATAAATTTGTATGAGACTCAAAATTAGGTCATCATAGTTTACATAAATTTTTAACAGCTTTTTAGGAAACAAATACTGTTGGTTTTTTTTTTATGCCTACATAATTTATAAGGTCTGTTTTGATGTTTTGGCCCAAGTGTTACAATAAGGCATATATGTGCCATGCAGAGTTCATACCCACCAGATACAAGATCCTGCTACATCCCGTTATTTATATTGTTATAGGATGTAATCAGACAGTTTGAGATCATTTATGCTGGTGGTTCCCAAACCCAGCTCTATGGCAGAATTATTTGGGAAGCTTTATAAATCAGCTGTCATGGGGAGTTTTAAAAAATTAACATCAGATTTCTGGGTACCTCAACCCTCCCCATCTGCACTTTGCCTCCCCATCCCCCCTCTGCCTCCCCATCCCTCCTCTACCCCATACTCTAGTTTTTCTAGTTCTCTATGAGATCACTGGTCTGTCATTAGCTAAAGAAGCAGAAGTTTTTTTAACCTTTATTTTTAATGAGTATTTTTGCCGGAGATGGAATTCTGTTTATCTGACTGCTTTGAAATTCACAATACATTGTCTTTTGGCTTTCATTGTTTCTGATGTGGAGTTGTCTGTTGGTCTTACTGTTTAATCCTGTGAAGGTAATGTGGGCACAGGGCCCTCCTCCCATTGATTCATTTGATAATTTTTTTTTTTTTTTTTTTTTTTTTTATTGATCATTCTTGGGTGTTTCTCGCAGAGGGGGATTTGGCAGGGTCATAGGACAATAGTGGAGGGAAGGTCAGCAGATAAACAAGTGAACAAAGGTCTCTGGTTTTCCTAGGCAGAGGACCCTGCGGCCTTCCGCAGTGTTTGTGTCCCTGGGTACTTAAGATTAGGGAGTGGTGATGACTCTTAAGGAGCATGCTGCCTTCAAGCATCTGTTTAACAAAGCACATCTTGCACCGCCCTTAATCCATTTAACCCTGAGTGGACACAGCACATGTTTCAGAGAGCACAGGGTTGGGGATAAGGTCACAGATCAACAGGATCCCAAGGCAGAAGAATTTTTCTTAGTACAGAACAAAATGAAAAGTCTCCCATGTCTACTTCTATCCACACAGACCCGGCAACCATCTGATTTCTCAATTTTTTCCCCACCCTTCCCGCCTTTCTATTCCACAAAACCGCCATTGTCATCATGGCCCATCCCCAATGAGCCGCTGGGCACACCTCCCAGACGGGGTCGTGGCCGGGCAGAGGGGCTCCTCACTTCCCAGTAGGGGCGGCCGGGCAGAAGCGCCCCTCACCTCCCGGATGGGGCGGCTGGCCGGGCGGGGGGCTGACCCCCCCACCATCCTCCCGGACGGGGCGGCTGGCCAGGCAGAGGGGCTCCTTACTTCCCAGTAGGGGCGGCCGGGCAGAGGCGCCCCTCACCTCCTGGATAGGGCGGCTGGCCCGGGGGGTGGGGGTGCTGACCCCCCCACCTCCCTCCCGGACGGGGCGGCTGGCCGGGCAGAGGGGTCCTCACTTCCCAGTAGGGGCGGCCGGGCAGAGGCCCCCCTCACCTCCCGGACAGGGCGGCTGGCCAGGCGGGGGGCTGATCCCCCCACCTCCCTCCCAGACGGGGCGGCTGGCCGGGCGGGGGGCTGACCCCCCCCACCTCCCTCCCGGATGGGGCGGCTGGCCAGGCGGGGGGCTGACCCCCCCACCTCCCTCCCGGACGGGGCGGCTGGCCGGGCAGAGGGGCTCCTCACTTCCCAGTAGGGGCGGCCGGGCAGAGGCGCCCCTCACCTCCCGGACGGGGCGGCTGGCCAGGCGGGGGGCTGATCACACCACTTCCCTCCCGGACGGGGCGGCTGGCCGGGCGGGGGGCTGACCCCCCCCACCTCCCTCCCGGACGGGGCGGCTGGACGGGCGGGGGGCTGACCCCCCCACCTCCCTCCTGGATGGGGCGGCTGGCCGGGCGGGGGGCTGACCCCCCCAACCTCCCTCCCGGACGGGGCGGCTGGCCGGGCGGGGGGCTGATCCCCCCACCTCCCTCCCGGACTGGGCGGCTGGCCGGGCGGGGGGCTGACCCCCCCACCTCCCTCCCGGACGGGGCGGCTGGCCGGGCAGAGGGGTCCTCACTTCCCAGTAGGGGCGGCCGGGCAGAGGCGCCCCTCACCTCCCGGACGGGGCGGCCGGCCGGGCGGGGGGCTGACCCCCCCACCTCCCTCCCGGACGGGGCGGCTGGCCGGGCAGAGGGGCTCCTCACTTCCCAGTAGGGGCGGCCGGGCAGAGGCACCCCTCACCTCCCGGACGGGGTGGCTGGCCGGGCGGGGGGCTGACCCCCACCACCTCCCTCCCGGACGGGGCGGCTGGCCGGGCAGGGGGCTGACCCCCCCCTCCCCCCTCCCGGACGGGGCGGCTGGCCGGGCAGAGGGGCTCCTCACTTCCCAGTAGGGGCGGCCGGGCAGAGGCGCCCCTCACCTCCCGGACTGGGCAGCTGGCCGGGCGGGGGGCTGACCCCCCCACCTCCCTCCTGGACGGGGCGACTGGCCGGGCAGAGGGGCTCCTCACTTCCCAGTAGGGGCGGCCGGGCAGAGGAGCCCCTCACCTCCCGGACGGGGCAGCTGGCCGGGCGGGGACTGACCCCCCCCCACCTCCCTCCCGGACGGGGTGGCTGCCGGGCGGAGACGCTCCTCACTTCCCAGACGGGGTGGCTGCCGGACGGAGGGGCTCCTCACTTCTCAGACAGGGCGGTTGCCAGGCAGAGGGTTTCCTCACTTCTCAGACGGGGCGGCTGGGCAGAGACGCTCCTCACCTCCCAGACAGGGCGGCGGGGCAGAGGTGCTCCCCACCTCTCAGACGATGGGCGGCCGGGCAGAGACGCTCCTCACTTCCTAGATGGGATGGCGGCGGGGAAGAGGCGCTCCTCGCTTCCTAGATGGGATGGCGGCCGGGCAGAGACGCTCCTCACTTTCCAGACTGGGCAGCCAGGCAGAGAGGCTCCTCATATCCCAGACGATGGGGGGCCAGGCAGAGACGCTCCTCACTTCCCAGACGGGGTGGCGGCTGGGCAGAGGCTGCAATCTCGGCACTTTGGGGGGCCAAGGCAGGCGGCTGGGAGGTGGAGGTTGTAGCGAGCCGAGATCACGCCACTGCACTCCAGCCTGGGCACCATTGAGCACTGAGTGAACGAGACTCCGTCTGCAATCCCGGCACCTCGGGAGGCCGAGGCTGGCGGATCACTCGCGGTTAGGAGCTGGAGACCAGCCCGGTCAACACAGCAAAACCCCCTCTCCACCAAAAAAAAACGAAAACCAGTCAGGCGTGGCGGCATGCGCCTGCAATCGCAGGCACTCGGCAGGCTGAGGCAGGAGAATCAGGCAGGGAGGTTGCAGTGAGCCGAGATGGCAGCAGTACCGTCCAGCTTCGGCTCGGCATCAGAGGGAGACCGTGGAAGGAGACCGTGGAGGGAGAGGGGAGAGGGGAGAGGGGAGAGGGGAGAGGGGAGAGGGGAGAGGGAGAGTCATTTGATAAATTTTAATACTGATTCAGATTAAACAAAACAGAATAAACTCATGGCAAACAGTATATAATTATTAGGTGACACTGTAAGTATATGAAAGGATTAAAAAAAAACTCTACACCAGTGATTATAATATGGATTTTCATTTTCAAGTGAAAAATTAAGAGAAGCAAGATGGCCTGCTTACCTACCTATTAAAAGTTAGTTTTTATAGTTCCACCAATTTTTACCAATGGACCCTATTTATGAATATGGATTTAGGAAATTTAAGTGAGATGTATTTAATGGCTACTGCTAGGTAAACAATAGTTCAAGGGAAGTTTCTCTACTTCTCTACATAGGAAGAAGTTTCCCCACTTCTCTACATAGGAAGAAGTTTCCCCACTTCTCTACATAGGAAGAAGTTTCCCCACTTCTCTACATAGGAAGAAGTTTCCCCACTTCTCTACATAGGAAGAAGTTTCCCCACTTCTCTACATGGGAAGAAGTCTTCCCCACTAATAAATGAAGAAGGATCATTTCATAATCCCCGAGGGCCCTGTCCCGACATTACCTTCACAGGTTTAAATACTAAGATCATAATTAAAACTAAAGTTATGGAATACCACTTTACCTAGAATGGTGTTAAAGAAATGTTAGCAAGTACAATGGCTTTGTGGTATTGAGCTTATAATGTTTGAAAGGCAAAAAGGTCGTGGCCGAGCGCAGTGGTTCATGCCTGTAATCCCAGCACTTTGGGAGGCCAAGGTGGGTGGATCACTTGAGCTCAAGAGTTCCAGACCAGCCTGGGCAACATGGTGAAACCCCATCTCTACCAAAAATACAAAAATTAGCGGGATATGGTGGTGCATGCCTGTAGTCCCAGCTGCTTGGGAGGCTGAGGTGGAAGGATCTCTTGAGCCTGGGAGGTGGAAGTTGCAGGGATCTGAGATCTCGCCACTGCGCTCCAGCCTGGGTGACAAAGCGAGACCCCGTCTCAAACAAAAAGGAAACGAAAAAAAAGGTCTTTTGTAGAGATATGAGTAAAGGATTAAAAAAATTTTTTTGTTGAATTTAATAATAGGCATTTGGGTTTGTTTAATTTTAATGAGAGCTCATCCCCTAACCCTGTATTTTTATCTTTTATGATCTTATAGACAAAGCTGTTAATACTTTAGTAGATTAAAAAATATTTTAGTAGATTGGCCGGGTGTGGTGACTCACACCTGTAATCCCAGCACTTTGGGAGGCCGAGGCAGGTGGATCACTTGAAGCCCAGAGTTCAAGACTAGCCTGGGGAACATGATGAAACCCTGTTTCTACTAAAAATTAAAAAATTAGCTGAGTGTGGTAGCATGTGTCTGTAATCCCAGCTACTTGGGTGGCTGAGGCAGGAGAATCGCTTGAACCCGGGGAGGCGGAGGTTGCAGTGAGCCAAGATGGCGCCACTGCACGCCAGCCTGGATGACAGAGTGAGACTGTTTAAAGAAAAAAAAAATGATTCTCATAGGTTTCTATGTATATTGTCATACCATCTATAAATAAAGATAACTTTGCTTCTCTGTACATGTGCCGCACAATGATGTTTTGATTAACAAAGGATCACATATATGATGGTGGTCCCATAGGATTATAATAGCATATTTTTACTGTACTTTTTCGGTGTGTGTTTTTTGTTTTAACTGAACCTTTTCTATGTTTAGATATTTACCATTGTATTGTAATTGTAGTATTCTGTATAGTAACATGCTGTACAGGTTTGTAGTCAGAAGCAAGAGGCTATACCATATAGCTTAGATGTGTAGTAGGCAATACCATCTAGGTTTGTGTAAGTATACTCTGATGTTTGCACAACGATGAAATTGTTAAGTGACACATGACTGTATAATGTCATATCTCCAAATATATTGTCAATTATTCTTGAACATTTATATTGATGAATTAATTTACCTTCCCTGTTTTATTAGCTGGGACCTCCAGCTCATTTTTTCTACAGTAATAATAGTATTAACGGGGCTTCTTTTCTTTTTCTTGAATTTAGTGAAATAATTTGAGCAGTTCACTATCTTGATTCTTATAGCCTTTAAGGTTTCAAGATAGAGGATTTCTCCCTTTTCATTCTGTTACTGAAATGTTAGTTATTTTTGAATAGATAATCCAAAATGAAAAGTTTTGAAAGAATACACAGTGAAGTATCCTCTTCCTTCCACTTCCTCAGGCATCTACTCCCCTCCCTAAAGCCATCAATGTTACCAGTGGTTTTTAAATCCTTCCAGAGAAACTCAGTGTATATATAAGCAAGTCCACATATGTTTGCATGTTTATTTCTAGTATTTAATTTTATTCAAATGATAGCCAATAATGTATGTTCTCTTCTGACCTTGCTTTAAATTTTAACTTAATCTTGTATCTTGGAAATCATTCTGTATCAGTACGTGTAGAGCTGCATCATATCCCTTTACATATAGATGTACAGTTAACTAATTTAACTACTCCCCTTTGAGGAATAATTACAAATAATAATATTTTGAATAACACTGTTTATAAGAATTGTTTCATTTTTAACACTTTTCTGTCAAGCATTAATATATTACCAAAACACTATAGACTTGTGTATGTTATTATACTATAGCAAAATAATATAGATAAGTGCTATAATACTTATCTATATTAGACATCTATAATATAAGTATTTTACACGAATCCAAGAACTCTAAATAAAGAAAAAAATTCCAGCTGATACATAAGTTTGTGATAAATATGTAGGGTTTATTTCATGAATACATAGGATTTTACCATTTTGACCAGTTTTAAGTGTACAACTCACTGACATTAAGTAAATTTGTATTGTTGTGAATCTGTCACCACCATTCATCACTAAAACTATTTCATCATCTCAAAGTATCCATTAGGTAATAATTCCCCATTACTCCCTTCACTGGGCTCCTAGCAGCCACTATTCTACTTTCTGTCTCTGTGAGTTGACCACTCTAGGTATCTCATAAAAGTGGAATCTGCCAGGCGTGGTGGCTCATGCCTGTAATCCCAACACTTTGTGAGGCTGAGGGATGGATCATTTGAGGTCACGAGTTCGAGACCAGCCTGGCCAACATGGTGAAACCCCGCTTTTACTAAAAATACAAAAATCAGCCAGGCATGGTGGCAGGTGCCTGTAGTCCCAGCTACTCGGGAGACTGAGGCAGGAGAATCGCTTGAATCCAGGAGGTGGAGGTTGCAGTGAGCCAAGATCCCACCACTGTACTCCAGCCTGGGTGACAGAGCAAGACTCTGTCTCAAGAAAAAAAAAAAAAAAAAAAAAGTGAAATCATACAATATTTGTGCTTTTGCATCTGACTTATTTCACTTAGCATAATGTCTATATGGTTTAGCATGTGTCAGAATTCCATTCCTTTTTAAGACCGAATAATATTCCATTGTATGGATACACCACATTTTGTTTATCCATTTCATCTGTTGATGGACACTTGGTTTGCTTCCAGTTTTTGTCTGTTGTGAATAGTGCTGCTTGACCATGGATGTGTATATAAGTTGTTAGAGTTCCTGCTTTCAGTTCTTTTTGCAATATATCCAGAAGTGGAATTGCTGGATCATATGGTAATTCTATGTTTAATTTTTTGAGAAACAGTCATACTGTTTTTCCTTTTTGTTTTGAAGCAAGTATTACATCCGAACCTAATAAAAGACAGTATAATAAGAGAGTCAATATACAGACTGATATCATGATGAATATTGGTGTAAAAATGCTAATAAAATATTAACAAACAGAATACCTTATCTCATTAAACACAGCAATATACTATGACCAAGTGTTATTCATTTCAGGAATGCAAGGTTGACTGAATCTTCGGAAATCTATTAATATTGTAATAATAGAGCTAAAGGTAAAGTCAAATTATTATCACCATAGATTCTGAAAAAATCTTTAAATTCAATACCCATTTCTAATAAAAACACTCTTATACATAGGAATTGCAGGTTACTTTCTTATCGTGATAAAATGCATATGCTTTAGTTTCAAAGTCAGAATTTTACTTAAGGCCAAATTCTAGAGACCTTTTCACTAGAATCAGGAGCAAGGTGAAGATGCCTACTATTTCCATTAGTCCTTGGTATTATACTATAGGTATTAGCCAGTGTAGTTAGATAAGAGAGAGAAGTCAGTTACAGGCACAAATTAACATACAGAATTAATAAGCTTCAACAACAATAGTCAGAACATAACAGGAAAAAATTCTATTTAGAGTGTTCAGCAAAGTATATTAAATACTTAGGAATAAACTTTAGAGAGATACTGTGACTCAGCAGTATAAAGATGTTGATTCTCCTTAGTGTAACAGAAATGTAATACAAAAATACCAACAAACTTTTGTTAGGAGTTAGCTAAGTTGATATGGTAAAACATGATAAAACGGGTGGGAGGATTGTGTAGGATATACTAACCCAATAAAACTTGTATAATTAAAAATGTGGTACTGGCATGTGAATAGACAAATTAGTGAAATATCCTAGAAAGCCCAGGAATAGACCCAAGTACATGTAGAAGCTGAGTATATCATAAAGGTATTGTTCTTAAATTCTTGGGGCCTGTAATGTCCATCCCATAAGTATAATGTTCTTGGCTCTTACTTTTGTAGCTCTATTCTGGCAGTCTCTTTTATTGGTGGTGATGATGGTGGTGGTGGTGGTGGTGGTGGTGGTTTGGAGTGTCTAGTTCATTTATACTTAATTTGATTATTGATATGGTTGGATAAAGTTAGCTGTCATTCCTGTTGTATTCTTTGTATTGTATTGTTTTTCTCTGGTTGCTTTTAAAAGGTTTTTCTCTTTATATTTGGTTTTCAAAAATTTGACTTCAATGTGCTCAGATATTTTTTTTCTTTATAATTATACTAATAGTATTTTAAGTCTGGGGTTTGATTTTTTTTTTATCAGTTTTGGAAAATTCTCAGCCATTGATTTGTCAAATATTTTTTCTGCTCCACCGTTTTTCTCTTCTTCTCGGACTCCAATTACATGTATGGTAGACTATATGCTATTGCCTCAAACATCTTAGATGCTTTCTTTTTTTTTTTTTAACTTTTAACTTTTGTGTGTTTGTATGTGTGTGTTTCTGCTTCAATCTGTATGCTTTCTAGTGACTTGTTTTCAAATGCATTGATTTCTTTTTTTTTTTAAATATACTTTCCAATCTGCTATTCAATCCATATAGTGATTTTCTTTTTTAAATTTCAGATTAACATTTTTTCAATTCTGGAATTTCCTTTTGTTTCTCTTTCTGGAGTATGATTTTTTATACATTAATTCATTAGGATTATGTTTTTCTTTTGTCCACATTCTTCAAATATCTGCTTGCTTTTTTTTTCTTTTTTTTTTTTTTTTTTTTTTTTTTTTTGACAGGATCTGGCTCTCTTGCCCAGGCTGGAGTGCAATGGCATAATTTTGGCTCACCACAACCCCTGCCTCCCAGGTTCAAGCGATTCTCGTGCCTCAGCCTTCCAAGTAGCTGAGACTACAGGCGCGTGCCATCACACTCAGCCTGAATATCTGCTTTAAAATTATCTACAGGGCTAGGCGCAGTAGCTCATGCCTGTAATCCCAGCACTTGTGAGAGACCAAGGTGGGCAGATCACCTAAGGTCAGGAGTTCAAGACCAGCCTGGCCAAAATGGCGAGACCCCCATCTCTACTAAAAATACAAAAGATTAGCCAAGTGTGATGGCGTGCCTGTAATCCTAGCTGTTCGGGAGACTGAGGCAGGAGAATCGCTTGAACTCAGGAGGCAGAGGTTGCGGTGAGCCAAGATTGTGCCACTGCACTCCAGCCTGGGCGACACAGTGAAAGTGCGTCTCAAAAAAAAAAAAAAAAAAAAACTACAAATTTCAACATCTGAGTAATTTCACAGCTGGTTTTCATTAATTTTCTTTTCTTTTGAATATAGGTGAAATTTTCCTGATCTTCATAAGTTTAATAATTTTTATCCTGCATATCATGAGTAATACATTGTGGAGATTGACTATATTTTTCTGAAGATTGATATATTTTTGCTTTATTAGCCAGTTAACTCACACTCTAAACTTTGTCACCCTTGTAATGGCAGCAACTGAAATCTCTCTCTAGTTCTTTTAGGCTGCTCATTATCTGTTCTGTTCATGCATAATTCGGCAGTCAGAGCTTTGGGCAGAGTTTATGTGTGGAATTTGGTGTTTCCACTCTCTGTCTCCTGACTGGGATTTCTCCCCTCACTTCCAACTCTTTATGGTAGCCTCAAAAGCTGTCCTATGATTCTTCAGCCTAGTAAGACTGCCATTTCTATTTGAGTTCTAGCCAGCCAAAGTACCAGTTGAAGCCTGCCTTCAGGTGAAAATCCAAGAAAAAGGGAGTTACTCATCTAGTGCCGTTTCCTTCCTTTAAGTGTGAACTTTTCCTTTGGTTTTGCCTGATTTTGGTCTCTCTCCAGTGCCATCTGGTAGTTGACTTTTATATTTTATCCAGAATGTGAAGCTGTGTGTGGAATGTCACTCCAAATATTGTCAGAGGCAAAACTTCTACTCAACACTATTAAAGATAAACTCAAGTTACTTTTTTACACATCGTTTATAATTGCTAATTAATGTACTACTATAAGCATCCATTGTATTTTGCTTCTACTTGTCTAGTGACAGACACTTAGGTTGCCCCCCAACTTCTCCATACTACAAGCAGTACTGTTCAGAACATTACCTGTGGAAAGGTTTCCTTGGCATACATATTCCAAGAGTAAGATTGCTAGATTGTAGCATATTTGTATTCCTAATTTTTTGAGTAAATCCCCTTCCACCAGGACGTGAGTGTTCTCCTTTACTCACATCTCTACAATACTTGGAATTACTCAAATTTATGTTTGCCAGTCTTAAAGGTAGAAGCTGTTGTGTCATTTAAACTTGTATGTTCTGATTTCTAGAGGAGTATAGTTACTCACATTGTTTTTCACCTTTTATGTGTTGGATTACTTATGTCCATTGCCTGTTTCTCTGCCTATGCTTTTTGAGTCAGATCTTTACTCTTCCTTATGATTTGTGTTTTTTTGGTCATGTCCAATAAATTCTCTCCCATCTCAAGGAAACATTCTTCTACATTTTCTTCTCTTAACTTTATACTTTTACCTTTCATATTCAGGTCTTTAATGCAGTTGCTGGTTTTGTTGTATATGGTATGAGGTAGAAATCTAATTTCATATTTCCAAATATGATGCTACCATTTTTTCAAGTAGATCATTGTTTTTATTACAGTGTTGGGAGGTATATTTTAACATTTGTTAAGATAATTCATGAAGGTGGTTTTCCTAAAATTTAAATCTGATTACATTACTTGAAATCATTCAGTGGTTCTCCATTGTTTTAGGATACAGTCAGTAGTCTTTAAATGGATTAGGGAGGTCTTTGTGAAGTAGTCTTTGCATTTTCTGTCCAGCCTGCTAGTACTCTAAACTTAATATGCGCTCGTTCTTCCTCTGAGAAGTATTATAATGTTATCATACACAGCACAATATGCTTAATTTGTTTTTCTTGTATATATTTTTCACTACTGTGTAGTCTTAGCAGTTCCTGTTATGTATTAGGTGTTTAACAAATATTTATCAATTGAAGGAATTGAATAACTTGGCCCTTATCCTTGGCCTAACTATCTAATTAACTTTTTTTAGACCAGATGAGTGTTTTGGGGGAACTAGTTTAGCTGATAAGTAAAAGTTGATTTAATAACTCTGGATCGCTGGACGCGGTGGCTCACGCCTGTAATCCCAACACTTTGGGAAGCCAAGGCGGGCGGATCACCTGAGGTTGGGAATTCGAGACCAGCCTGACCAACATGGAGAAACCCCATTTCTACTAAAAATACAAAAGTAGGCGGGCGTGGTGGCACATGCCTATAATCCCAGCTACTCGGGAGGCTGAGGCAGGAGAATTCACTTGAACCCGGGAGGCGGAGGTTGCAGTGAACTGAGATCGTGCCATTGCACTCCAGCCTGGGCAACAAGGGCGACACTCCGTCTCAAAAAAACAAACAAACGAAAAAACTGATCATCTCAATAGACAGTTCTTTCAAATCTTCCTTATGTTAGCGGTGTGTGTGTGTGTAGCTCCTTAATTGTTTCCATCATTAGGACAACCCTGTAGGTAGCAAGATTGGATATTAGCTCTTGTTTTATTGCATCAGTTTTTTATTGATGTTGAATCCTAGTTTAAGTGAATTGCCTGAGGTTCATACAGCCTAGTTTTGTATTTCTACCTACTTTTTTTTGAAAATATTTGTTTGCTCAGGCAGTTATATACTGGTAATGATATGAATAAAAGCCACTTCAATCCATTGTTCTGCCAAGTATGTTTTACAGGTAATATTTATGAGCCTTTCTTTTGTTAGTTTTTTCCTTTTGTTTTGGGGGAGTTGTCTTAAGGTTTGTAACCATAGCAATAAAGAGTTTCAGTTATATTAGTACTCTTGAGAACTGTGGCTAAATGGTTTCATTTAGACATTTGCCTGTGAAATCCTAAGTCTTACAGACATTGTTAGGCTGTAACAGAGTTTTGATGTCTTTAAAATCATATGTATTATAAATATTTTTATAAGATATTTTATATATACTAGAAACTGTATCTTTAAAATTTAGATTTTTAACTACTTTTGTACTTATTTAGATTTTGTCTACAGCATTTTTGACATGTGCTTTATTTATTTATTTAGAGACAGAGTGTTGCTCTGTTGCCCAGGCTGGAGTGCAGTGGTGCAATCTCGGCTCACCGCAACCTCCGCCTCCCGGTTTCAAGCGATTCTCCTGCCTCAGCCTCCCGAGTAGCTGGGACTACATGTGCGCGCCACCATGCCTGGCTAATTTTTGTATTTTTAGTAGAGACGTGGTTTCACTATGTTGGCCAGGCTGGTCTCGAACTCTTGACCTGGTGATTTGCCTGCCTCGGCCTCCCAAAGAGTTGGGATTACAGGTGTGAGCCACCACACCCAGCCTGACATGTGCTCTATTTATTGAGTTGCTTGGGAGCTCAGTGTTTCTAGGCAGACAGATATGCACTTGGAGGTAGAATACGTCTAATGTTATTAAATAAAATTGAGACCACTTATGTTATTAAATTTCAGATGATATTGGCATTTGGAAAATTCTTAAAAGTCATACTTTAATGATACTTCGTTATAGTGAATGTCAGTTTTACTGGTGTTAGGTACTCTGGAACAAGGCTTATTACTCAACTGTCTGATGTTAAAGAAACATTCAATAATGGAATCAGCACTTTTTTCTTTTAGTTTTAAAAAATATGCTAAAACATCAGTATTGTATAATTCTTAATATATGAAGTAGTTCCTTAAAGATTATGTTAATTTTTCTCCAAATCTCTTTTTCTGTTCTTTAGAGGAAATATCATTCTGCAAAAGAAGCTTATGAACAACTTTTGCAGACAGAGAATCTTTCTGCACAAGTAAAAGCAACTGTCTTACAACAGTTAGGTATGTAATAGTATACATTTAGTGTATTATAAGTGCTTCTCTTTATGTTTTTTCCATGTCGAGTGTGGCAAATATGTGGCTCATATATTCTATTCCTTTGCTCAGAGTTGATAAAATTATTCTGAACCCAGCATATTTGTATCCTCTGCCCAGCATTGTCCTTCCCACAGTCTGTCTCAGTGTAATTCTTTAGTACAGCTGGTCCTTTTAAATTATCAAAATTACTCCCTAGTATTTAACCCAAGGAGGATTGAATACTTCGTTTGTGCCAGATATATGCTTAAGCACTTAATGAAGTTGTGATTTACCTAATGTCACTTAATGGTTGGGGAGCTTGCTTTCATAGCTTTATTAGTTATAATGACTACAAAACAATTTATCTAAAAACTGTAGAACGTCTAACACTGTGAGCATGCAGTTCTATTCTAATGTGGGACATGAGGGAATCTATTCATTTGGATGTCATGTGTAACTATCACCAAAAAGATAGTGAAAGAACTCCCCAGCCTTTAATTTTGTTGCTTAATTATTGAGTCATGTTTCTTGTTTGTATTTGATATTTGGGTTGTTTTTTCAGTTTTGTTTTTGGTCTGGGCAAATCATTTATTCTTAATTTTTAGCCAGCATTGTAGCAGTATGAATGTTTTCATAATGTAACTATTTTTACATAGTTTTAAAGTCACTTAAGCTTAGATTTTATCATTATCTTTAGATAATATACATACAAATTTAATAATTATAAATCACTGAATAAAAACAAATATTTTGACACTTTTATAACTCTTAAAAGTATAGACAACTTGAGTAAAATCCTAATGGAAAAAATTATAAACAAAACTAAGGCTTTATTATGAAGGCAATGTTTGTTTTTTCAGTCATCAAATACTTTATAGTTTGTTTGCTTATTTATTTTAGACAGAGTCTCGCTCTGTCCCCTAGGCTGGAATACAGTGTCGTGATCATAACTGCAGCCTCAAACTCCTCGGGTCAGGTGATCCCACCTCAGCCCCCCGAGTAGCTAGGGCTGCAGGCGCATGCCACCACGCCTGGCTGATTTAAAAAATTTCTTTTGTAGAGACAAGGTCTCTCTCTGTGTTGCCCAGGGTGGTCTCAAACTCCTGGCATCAAGCGATCCTTCTGCCTCAGCCTCCCCAAATTCTAGGATTACAGGTGTGAGCCACTGTGCCTGGCCTATAGTTTTATATAGGGTGCGAATATATGTAGTCAGGGCCAGTGAGGTAGGATTGTGTGTATATTTTTTAATCTGAATTATCGTTGATTCTATAGCCTTATATTTATTCCTTGGAAATAAACATTTTGTTAATGGGATATCTTGGAGATTCTTAATTGGCTCGGTGTGGTGGCTCACGCCTGTAATCCCAGCACTTTGGGAGGTCGTGGTGGGTGAATCACATGATCAGAAGATCAAGACCATCTGGGCCAACATGGTGAAACCCTGTCTCTACTAAAAATACAAAAATTAGCTGGGTGTGGTGGTGCGCGCCTGTAGTCCCAGCTACTCAGGAGGCTGAGGCAGGAGAATTGCTTGAATCTGGGAGGCGGAGGTTGCAGTGAGCTGAGATCATGCCACTGTACTCCAGCCTGGCAAAAGAGCGAGACTCTGTCTCAGGAAAAAACAAAAAACAAAAAACACACATTAATTTAGTTTTACATGGAATAGTAAATAAGACGTAACATCTTTATATTTTTTGTTTCGTAACTTGGAATTTTTTCAGATATCAAAATTAGAAAAGTCTGATTTATAATCTGTTATATCAGTACTAAAAATTGTTTTAATTTCTCTTGAATGAAAGCCCTTTGTAGCTTTTACAGTACCTTACTGTGAGAAACTGACTTTCTTAATGGCCAGAATTGGCAGTTCTAAATTTTGGAAATATGTACTCCAAACTAAATTAATAAATTGACAGAAAAGAGTACTTTTTTGGTTTGTTTTCTGCTTCGTATTCTTAAACATAGAAGAACAATTAAGTCATTTATGTAAATTTTTTTAAATCATTTACTGTAGGTTGGATGCATCACACTGTAGATCTCCTGGGAGATAAAGCCACCAAGGAAAGCTATGCTATTCAGTATCTCCAAAAGTCCTTGGAAGCAGATCCTAATTCTGGCCAGTCCTGGTATTTCCTCGGAAGGTGAGACTTACCAGACATTTATGTTTGATTTTGTCTATTCCAGCTAAGAGATTTGAATTACAATTTAAAATGTTAGTTTACATATGTAACCTGATCAGTGTATTTTCTCTTCTAAATACATTATTAACCAAGATTCCTGAAAGTTAAACAACAAGATAAAGTTTCCAAATATGGTGGTTTTTTTATAGCATAATCTGGTCTAGCAGGACGTTTCTTATTTTGGTTATTGGATTTTTATTTGATTTGAGTTACTGCTAGTTTTAAAAAAGTCTTATCCAATAGTAACTTTTAATGAAGTATTTAAATGCCTTTCCTTCAGACTTCCAGTATTTTTTTCTATATGTCTGTTTTATAAAACAGAGGATTAATTTCTCATCTGCCTGATGACTACTGGTAGTCAATGGAACCTTTATAATTTATAATTTTGATTCATGATATTTACCTTAGAATTGACATAATAGTAAATCTCAAATCACAGTTATACTTGAAATCTTACAGTGAGAAAGTGAATACATTATTAGATTTGTTGGAATGGAGAAGTGTCATGTAACAAAAATCATTTTCTGCAAGTCTGTAACCATTTCTCCATACTATTTATCCATTGAATGTCTGAATTATGCTTAGTGATGATCTGAACTATACCTCATGCATAAGTATCTGATAGATTATAGTTTTAGACTATCATCAGGTTGTATTTTGATTCCTAATCACTTTTCGCTTTCATGATATGGTGAAAAGATCAATGTACTAGGAGCCAGGACACTTAGATTCAAGTCCTGATTCAGCTACTGTTTGTGGAATTGTGGATGGTTTAGTTAAACCTTTTAAAGCCTCAAATTTTGTTTAACGTATTTAGAGAATTGTATTAGATCAGTGGTCCTCAGGGGCAGGCTATTTTGCCACTCTTGCCCCGGCCAAGGACAATTCACAATGTTTAGAGACATTTATTTCTTTCATCACAGCTGTAAAGTGTGCTACTTTCATATAGTGGGTAGAGACTAGGGATGCTGCTAAACATCCTACAATGCGCAGGACAGTCCTCTATAGCAAAGAACTGGCTGGCTCCAAATGTCAATTATGCTGTAGTTGAGAAACCCTGAGTTAGATGATCTGTTACGTATCTTCCTGCTCTAAAGGTTCCAATTTTATGACTTCTTTAGAAATTATCCTGTTTTAATTTTAAGTTTTGTTCTATTATTGTTTACATAGAATACTTGATTGTAAGTAAATTTGCCATATAATCACATTAAATTTTAATTATATGGCTTCATTTTTCCTTTAAGGAAAGTATGTTTGTATGAGACATTAATTTTAATTAATGTAATTTTAATTAATGTAATATTACTTTAATTAAAGTAATATTAATATGGTTCCTTCCCTAAAAATATTTGATTACTCATAGTATGCTTAGAAGGTTAAGGAAAAAAATTTTTAAAAACATTTGATTAACTCATTATTAACATACAATAAGAGTTGACTGAAAAGGTATCTAATTTTTGGTGAGGATTTCCTAATCCCTCCCCAGGCTTATAAAAGAGCCTAATTTGGATTGCTTCTAAATAAAGCTGGAGGGTCCAAACTTTTGTGTTTCTCTTCTACAGTAGCAGAAACTGGATTTTATTATTTTTGTATCTTTTTGCCTGACAAAGTGGCTATTCGATAAATGGATGACATGAACTAACTAAACTCCATTTGCTTTTGGAGCTAGCACTATTACTGTTAGTGTTGTGGAGTGTGAGGCTTTATATAGTGACTGTAAAGGAGGTCTGGAACTGGGAAACAGTAGGTGCCTGTCTCTTGTTTTCAGGTTTATATATGAAAATTTCTTTTAGCATAGATTAAAACGAATGTATACTAGAAAGTATGTTCCTTCTGACCTAAGATAGTTTAATACAGTAGTGTGTAGATGTCTTTTTAGTATAGGTTTTTAAATTTAAATTCTAGTTACGTAAAATTATAATGAACCATGTGTAGAATTAACTATCATAGTCATGCTGTAATTTTCAGCTTCGATGAGCAGTATTTAATCATCAGTATTTCAGTGAGCAGTATTTTATCATTTTTTTCCAGTTAACTAATTTTACATTGTAAAACATTATGATGCTTTTAATTTAATCTTTTTGGGTAAATTTTTCCAAATATACAATATACTTTTCCTGACTAAATAAAGGATACTTATCACAATTTAACTTGGTTTCGGGTTCAAGGTTATCATTTTAGACATATTATTTTCCATCTGTAATAATAAAATTCTAAATCTTTTAGACTTTTCATATTCTCTTTCACTGCCTTCTAATGTGTTGCTTCTAATCTGTTTCTTGTAAGAAACATTTTATGAATGAATTATGTTTTAGAAGTTTTTAAAGCTCCAAATGAAGACCTCAATTGTCAGTAAGAAATTTTGGGGTTTGATGACCCTCATATTTGTTAGGATTTCTATTAACCTCTGCATTCAGGTCTGTGTTGAAGATGGACTTTGCTTGTCATTTGGCACTTGTATTTCAAAGTAAAATTGTAATGTGATATTCTGTTTTGCTAGCACCAATCATTGACTGTGTTATCACAGAACTATAGAATATTACAACTGGGAGGGACCAGGGAGGTCATCTAGTTAACCTTGTAAATCCTGTCACTTCAAAGATTTAGAAAGTGGGTTCATAATCACAGATAATTAGTATGAGAGCAGGGATTAGACCCTAGATTCACCCAGGACTTTTTTAGTTACATGAGACTGTCTCAGAGGAACCTACTTTCATTAGAGGAAAAGTGGTTGATGGTTGGAGTGGGACATCTGTATCTGGGCACATTGGTTTCCTACTTTGACTTTGTAGGAATGGAATGTTAAAACATTGGTTTTGGGAAGAACTGCTTATTTCTCCCAGCAGTTAGGCAAATTTGTCTATAAATCTGAAATGGCTTTGATTTCACAACAACTACAGAAGAGCATGTTTTCTACTATCTGTTAAGCATTCCCTTTCACGCTGGTGTCTGTTTCTGTTTGGCATTGTAGCTGATCTCTTCTTATGAATTTTTCCTTCATAAAACAGTTTGTAGATGCTCTCTGAAACTGCCTTCTCTGTCTCAATCACGGACATTTCTTACATCTTTCAAACCACAGGATTAGTGATTCCTTAGGCTTTTACTTCTCCCTTTAGATGTCCTGTGTTTTTACAGCCTCTCTTCCATATGGATGAATTCCAAATCTAGATTTCAACATTTAAAGGTATCTTAAACACCAGGACAACATCTCCTATTCTTTACTTAACATTTCCCATTTTAATGTCCTCACATCATGTCAAAGTCAGCATATTTCAAACCATGTTCACCATATTCTTCCCCAGACCAGCTCTTTTCTCCTTTTACTTTTGCCAAAAGATCACCATTTTCTTTTTATCAAGGTTAAATACTAAGTTACAGCCCCCACCCTGTGAACATCTAATCAATTAATCACAAAGCCTTTATCAATCTTTTGGTTTCTTGTTTCTCTTATCTTTTTTTTCTTGCCGCTTCCAGTACTTTCACTCCAATTTTGGCCTGTTCTAAACCAGTGAATGTAGCCACCCTCTTTTTTCACTGTCCATAACTATTTTCCTTTCAGTCTGCCCTACATATTGTTAGAAAATTAATATTCCTATAAAGTGCTTTCAGTGTGCTATTCTGCTTGTTAGAAAAGCAAACTTTAGGGTAATCTTTGGCTGGATTTAAAATTCTCTACTGTTTTGTGTCTGTGCTTTCTTGTATATACATTAGGTTTTGCTCATGCTGTTCAAACCCATTTAAAACGCCTTTTCTCATCTTCTCTGCCCGAATCAGTGGTTCCTAGAATTTTAGGTTACATAAATCAGTAAAATTTCAAAGAATAATTATGAGGATAGAAATATGGTGTTTGGGCAAGTAAAAACATTAACTTTTTTTGCAATTTACTGTCAGCCAATAATATCCAAAATAAGAGAATTACAGCATAAATATTAATTCATTTATTGGAAAAACTTTATGTATGTATATGTGTGTGTTGTCTTTCCAATTTGTTTGCTTGGCAAACGTGCCATATACTGGCTGGCAATTAGGAATCACTAAATAATATGCATCTTTACATATTCAAATCCCTTACTCTTACTCTCCCCCCCCCCCCTTTTTTTTTTTGCCTTTCCTAAATCTTGCAGAATATGATGGTCTCTTCTTATCCTAAATTCTCAGGCCAATTATTGTCTATACTGGCCATTTGATATGACATCATGACATTTTTAATGTATCTTCAGTCCTCAACTAAATTGTAAGCTTCATGAAAATAGGGACTGGGTTTTTGTTTTTTTTCTTTTTCCTTTAGTGCCAAGAATAAGAAGATAATTTCAGTATTTATAATTTCAACTGTTATCTGTGTATCCATCATGTCCATCGTGTATATTCACATTAAGAAAATTACAGTCCTTGAATCGTTAATCTTACCTTGCTAACTTTACTAGTCATAAAATATTATACTTTATATTATTTTTACTTTTTACTTTATACTATTTTTGATACTTAGTTTGAGATTAACTATGTCTTACATGTGCATTTTTTTTATGAATTAAAGAATTATTGCCCTCAGTGTTGTTACTTGGGAAAGGAAAATTGAAATCTGATACAGCAAATCTTACCAACGTATATAGTGTTTTTGTTTTTAACTCTGTATTTTGACCATATAGGAAACTAGAGGTCAAGCTGTATAAGAAGAGTGGAAGAGTGCCGTGTGTGTGTGTGTGCACATGTGCATGCAGCTCTCAGTATTATAATATTGAAGTGATATGTCCCCTAATCATTTTAATAGAGTTCATTAATGCAGCATGCTTTTTAGCACCTATAAGACAGACTATAATATGGTTTGTTGGAGGGCAAATTATAATATTCATTATAGTTAACAAGTATATACATACATACACATAAATATATTAACTTATTAGGGTTTTAAAAAAATTTGCTGTGATATATAGTCCATCCTTTCAGCCGATTAATTTGTTTCAGTATTAATGGAATTCTCTTGATTTTTTTTTTTTTTCCCTTCCCTTCTCAGGTGCTATTCAAGTATTGGGAAAGTTCAGGATGCCTTTATATCTTACAGGCAGTCTATTGATAAATCAGAAGCAAGTGCAGATACATGGTGTTCAATAGGGTAAGCCTTTGTATAAAAATAGTAGTAATTTAATTGATATACAAAGATGGTTGCATCACATATAGTACTTCATAGTTTAAATCATTATAAAACCAAGCAGTTCTTCTGAGTTGACTTATTTTTTCTTAATTTCTCTTTCCAGTGTGCTATATCAGCAGCAAAATCAGCCCATGGATGCTTTACAGGCCTATATTTGTGCTGTACAATTGGACCATGGCCATGCTGCAGCCTGGATGGACCTAGGCACTCTCTATGAATCCTGCAACCAGCCTCAGGATGCCATTAAATGCTACTTAAATGCAACTAGAAGCAAAAGTTGTAGTAATACCTCTGCACTTGCAGCACGAATTAAGTATTTACAGGTAAAATTTTTAAATGGCAGTTTTTTAAAGCCACATATTTCCCCAGAACACTCAGGCAGAAGGAGGGTGGCTGGAAAGTTTGTCTAGTTGTGTTTTGATGTCTATAATCTGTTTCCATATTTTGTAAACATACCATAGCTTGTAATATTATTTTACTTTTCATTTTAAGTAAGATATGCAGTATTTTTAAAGATGCTCTTTTGCACATTTACTCTGTTGATGCATATTAATTTACATAATTTTTTTCTATGTACTGTCTACATTTTTAAGTTGTCATAGCATTTTATAGAAAACACAAACAGTCTTTCACTCTTGCTTGGAGTTTCTTGAGAAGACAGCTATGAGAACTCTGAAAACAGAGCTCAGCTTTGTTTTGATTCTCACAAAGGTTTATATTCCGGTTACCCTGTTTATACTTAGTGTCTTCTAAAGCCCCAAATTTAGAATCTATTTTCTTTTAAAAACAATTAGCTATAGCATTTAGGAAGATTTAGTGGACTTGCTCTTACTCAAGTAGGCTTGTGTTAAATTTGCTTTTTACATAATTTTTCCTAGGCTCAGTTGTGTAACCTTCCACAAGGTAGTCTACAGAATAAAACTAAATTACTTCCTAGTATTGAGGAGGCGTGGAGCCTACCAATTCCCGCAGAGCTTACCTCCAGGCAGGGTGCCATGAACACAGCACAGCAGGTGAGAAGTTGGGTTATGTTCTGCAGGTGCCCAGCTTTAAGGGTTCTTTTCAATTCTCTAGTGGTCAAGCTTAATTTACTAAGCACAGGAGGCTTTTAGTAATGAAAAGCCTTTTGATTTAATTGCAAAGGGAATCTAGATCAAAATAAAATTCCCTCTAATATGGGAAGAGATTTTGGGGTACCAACTTAGAACCTTTGTGCATTTTCATGATTTTGAAGGAGATTTCTTAAAATAATGCTACAGTGGTTTGTTTAATTTTTAAGGCAAGTTTTTCAAAGGAAGGTACACATTATTCCATTGATGAATCATTTAATTTTGATTTTCAATCATTGCAATCAGCGATGTCCACATAGCTTTGAAAAGTATGCAGCTTGTAAAGTTTTATAATTTGAAGGAATGAATTAAGAATATATAGAACCCTATTTTTGTCTTCCTTCTGTGATTCTTAGGCATGTAAACCTCATCATCCAAATACTGAACCTGTATTAGGCCTCAGTCAAACACCAATTTCACAGCAATCCTTGCCACTACACATGATTCCTTCTAGCCAAGTAGATGACCTGTCCAGTCCTGCCAAGAGGAAAAGAACATCTAGTCCAACAAAGGTATATGTTTTAGAGAAATAGAAAATCCCAGTCAAAAAAGAAGTTTCAGCTGCCCTGAAATTGTGCAGTTTGAACATTTCCTGTCCTTTATTTTAAATTTGTGGACATCAAAGAGTGAAAGGTTTGAGTTTTTCCATCCCAAACCCTTAGTATCATATTAAATATAGAAAGTAGGGATAAATTTGCATTCATCAAATCATTTTATTCATCTCCCTGCCGTTAAGATCCCAGCACACTTTTCATCATCACTTTTTACTGACATTGAAATAAATTTAATGTTGGATCTAGTGGACAGTGTGGTGTTTAGGCTAGCCGTTTGGGCCATAGTTTGAGGGTGGGCCTTTTTGGGTGGCTTATTAAATAGTCAGTAATTTTTAAATGTATGATTTCTAAGTTTAATATGCATGTAAAATTATTTTTTAAAGAATTTAATGTTATAACATCTTTTTAACATGTAAATATTCCAATTCATAGTCATTTGGCCTCCTCTAACCATTATTATTAACTGTGGATTTAACCAAATATTCTTTAATTTTTTTTTTAAATCGATTTTCCTCAGAATACTTCTGACAATTGGAGTGGTGGACATGCTGTGTCACATCCTCCAGTACAGCAACAAGCTCATTCATGGTGTTTGACACCACAGAAATTACAGGTATGTAAGATGTTTTTGACAAATTGTTTATTAAAAAGGAGTAGAGGTAGCAAACAAGTATTAATTTTTTTTTTTTTTTTTTTTTTTTTTGAGATAGAGTCTTGCTCTGTCACCCAGGCTGGAGTATAGTGGCACGCTCTTGGCTCACTGCAACCTCCGCGTCCTGTGTTAAAGTTATTCTTGTGCCTCAGCCTCCAGAGTAGCTGGGATTACAGGCACGCACCATCACACCCCGCTAATTTTTATATTTTTGGTAGAGACTGGGTTTCGCCATGTTGGCCAGACTGGTCTTGCACTCCTGACCTCAAGTGATCCACCTACCTCAGCCTCCCAAAGTGCTGAGATTACAGGTGTGAGCCACTGCACCCAGCCCTAAGTATTAATTCTTATAAGTTAAATGGCAGTACATTCAATTAAAATGCACAAAAGTAAAATGAGCCTGCATTTACCAGAATAATGAAGAGCATTCATTCTTGTTTTTAATTTCTTTTTTTTTTTTTAAACAGGACATGGTTTACACTACATAAAGTATAAATATAGGGTATATAGGGTAAAGTTTTCTTCTAACTCTGGCCCCTACCCACTCAAAATGTGGCTGGTATTACTAATTTCCTATCTATCATTCCAGAGGTATGTTATGTATGTACAAGCAAATATACATCCCCCCCTTTCTCACATGTATTATTATTTTTCTTCTTTTTTACACAAATGATAGGATTCTTATTTGCTGTTAACAACATATTTTACAGACTTCTGCATGTCAATATGTGAAGAGCTTCCTTGTTCTTTTATGGTTACATCATATTTCTTTATATAGATGTAACACCTTTATTTAAGCAGATCAGTAATTTTGGACATTCAGGTTGTCTTCAGACTTTGCTTATTCCAGACAGTGCTGCTTTTAGCATACTTGTCAATATATTTTTAAGCTTCAAGAGTTTTCTCTGTGAATACCTAAGAATACTGTATGGATGAGTAAAATTTCATGCCCATCTATTACAAAGAACTCATAGTAAATCTTGTTCAGATGAATGCTTAGTTCATTCTTATATTTCTCAAGCTTATTAAAGGACTTCATCTTGGAGTGTGTGACTGTTGGTCAGAAGACAGTGTGTTTGACCAGATAGTGGTTCTGAGTTTAGTCATTTCAGGGAAAGGTTGCTTAGAATAATGATCTTATTTCCTAAATATATCTTTGACTATATTCTCTTTTTGTTCTTCTTCTAGCATTTGGAACAGCTCCGCGCAAATAGAAATAATTTAAATCCAGCACAGAAACTGATGCTGGAACAGCTGGAAAGTCAGTTTGTCTTAATGCAACAACACCAAGTGTGTATAGCATATTTTTCCCTGAAATTTGTTAGCATTTTGAGTATTTTTATTGACTCTAATGTCATTTTAGAGCATGTTTATGTTCATTTTTACTTTCTACTGGTATTTGACAGAATTTAGTAATCTCTGTATTTTAAAATACTGGTAATTGACGGAGATTTTTAGACAAAAGCAACTATAATTTTGAAGAAGATACTTTGTATTTTATTTATTTACATGATATTTCACATGTATTCTAAGGGTTTGTTTACATTATTTAGTACTGAGGCAAGGTTTTTAGGGCTTATTTAGTTTACAGGATCTGGCATATATGTAACAGAATGAAATTTTGAGATGTCCCCTCTTTTGTGATTGAGAGAAGGACCTATAAGTTCGGGGTCGTTTTCTATAATTTTCAGCTGCTTCCTTTTGTCATTACTAATGGGATTTTTTTTTTTTGAAACCGACTTTTGCTTTTTCAAGGAAGTTTATTTTAAAATGAACAAATACAATTTCTTGTTTTTAAAGTATGTATTTCTCAACTTAGAGAAATTAAGCATTTGGGTAAAATCACACATTCCCTAATTATACATCTTCATATTCATCTGGGGATTCATAGAGAATCCCCTATAGATTCTCTTCCCTATAGATTACACAACCAGCATTTACTTTTCCTTTGTTTTTTTGACAGATGAGACCAACAGGAGTTGCACAGGTACGATCTACTGGAATTCCTAATGGGCCAACAGCTGACTCATCACTGCCTACAAACTCAGTCTCTGGCCAGCAGCCACAGCTTGCTCTGACCAGAGTGCCTAGCGTCTCTCAGCCTGGAGTCCGTCCTGCCTGCCCTGGGCAGCCTTTGGCCAATGGACCCTTTTCTGCAGGCCATGTTCCCTGTAGCACATCAAGAACGCTGGGAAGTACAGACACTATTTTGATAGGCAATAATCATATAACAGGAAGTGGAAGTAATGGAAACGTGCCTTACCTGCAGCGAAACGCACTCACTCTACCTCATAACCGCACAAACCTGACCAGCAGCGCAGAGGAGCCGTGGAAAAACCAACTATCTAACTCCACTCAGGTAATAGGAGGACTAGCTTCCTTGTTGGCTTTTCACATAAATGTTTTTACTGGGTTTTATACACTTTGAGAGAAGAAGAGAGAAGTGTTTGGGGAACTGGTTTTATAAGAATTTTGTGGCACTACAATGTTACTACATTGTGATTCATTATGTACATACATGAGTATATCTTTGTTCCCTTTGTACAGTCTCTACCGACATAGATAACTTAGCAAATTTACAAAGGAAGAAAATAGATCATATAAATCACCCAAAATGCACCATTAATTTACAGTGGCATCATAAGCACATTTATGTAATATTACTTAGTTCATTTCTGCATAAACTGCCTACTTAAGATCAGGCACTAAACTAGGTGTTAGGTATTTGCTTTAGTGGGAGAAAAAGACCAGTGAATAAGTATTTACCATAATGACTGTGAAGTGTGACTTTGGTGGGAAAGTTCTATCAGAGTACCTACGAGAGCACATAACCAAGATGTCAGAGTCTTCCAGAAGCTAGAGTTTAGGGGAGGAGAGGGCTGGTGAAGTGTGCCTAGAAGATAGGTTATGAAGAGGGGAGGGTGAAATAAGAGGCTGAGGGAGAGGCCAAATTTATCTTGAAGGCAAAGTTGATCCACTAAAGTTTTTGAAACAGAGTAATGAATTGCATGCACATTATTTTTGTCAAGGAAATGGGTCATAATGTATTCAACGTTAGCACATTCGTTAGACATTTAATTTCTAAGTTTTTACTTCTGAATGTTTATGTGCATAGTATTTCCCATATTTTGGATTGTTTCCATGATATGGGTACTCGCTGAGGTGAAACTGAAGGGCCAAAGAGTAAGTTTTAAGAAAATGCTCTCAATATGTATAGCCAAATTGCTTGTACTTTTATTAATTTACTATGAGAAATATTTGACTTAAAAAGAGAAATATTTGGCTGATTGTCGGTTAGTCTTATATTATTGATAAAACTGAAATAAGTTCTTTTTCTAAGATTTTTAAGTTTATTCTTGAATTAATATCCTTGGTGGGACCCTGATCTAAAGTGATTAGTACTTTATTCATTCTTAGAGAAATACTGAGTACCTACTAGGTTCATTTCCTACTCAAGGCTCTGGGAATACATCAATAAAGAAAATATACTGAGATGTCTCTACTTGGTGTAGGTAAATAGATAGTAAACAAATAAGCAATACATATATAACATTAGATGATGGTTGTGATTAGTGCTATGGAAAAAAGCACTAATAGAAAGGGAACAGCAGAATACTAGAGATTGGTGGTAGGAGAGTTGCAGTTATAAATCAGAAGGGCAGGGAAGGCTTCTCTGAAAGATAGCATTTGGATGAGAGTTACAGGAGTGAGCCTTGAAGCTATTTGTGATAAGATTGTTCCAGGTCTAGGGAGCAGCACGGAGCAATGGACCCTAAGGTAGGATTGTGCTGTGCACATTTGAGGAGAATCAAGGTGGCAAGCATGGCAGAACAGGACAGGCAAGGAGTGAGAAGAGAGAGAAATGTGCTCCAGCTGGAAACAGGATGGCTAAATCATGATCAGCCTTATAAGGATACTGGATTTTATTCTGAGTATCCAGGAAACCGTAGGGGGATTTTGAACAGAGGAGTGATGTGATCTAACTTTGTTTTTGACTAGGTCCTCTTTGGTACTCTGTGGATAGACTGAAAGAGGCAAAAGTAGAAATGGTATGACCATTTTAGAGATTATACCTGTAATCCAGGTTAAAAGTTGATGATGGCTCCCAGAGTGGTAGTAGTAGATGGTGGTCAGCTTCTGGGTATATTTGGAAGGTACAGCCAACAGGATTAGTTGATATAGAGTGATGTGTGAGAAAGGAGTCCCAGCTGGCCTGACCAACTAGAAGGATGGATGAAACTGGATGGTATCACCAATCAGTGAGAACAGATTGAGAAAAGAACTCAAGATTGAGCCTTAGGGCATTCCAGTGTATTAGGCTAGGAAATTGAAGAACTAGCAGAGAAGAATAGAAGAGATTGACCTGTGACATAGTAGGAGATCAAAGACAATGTGAGTGATGCCCTGGAAGCCAAATGAAGAAAGTTTCAAGGAGGAGGACATGATCAAATAATGCTCATAGGTCATATAAAGTGAGGACTGAAAACTGACCATCTGAGATATTTGCTGACATTATTGGAGTAAGGAAACTACAGGTTACAGGCAAAATTTACCCCACGACCTGTGTTTTTTATAACCCGTGAGCTAAGAATGATTTTTATATTTTTGAAGGGTTGTAAAAAAAGAATAATATATGATACTGGGTGACCCACAAAGCCTAAAATATTTGCTATCTGATCCTTTACAGAAAAGATATGCTGACCATTGGATAAGGGCAATTTCAGTGGATTGTTGGGGTGCAAAAGCCTAATTGTAGTTCGCTTCAAGATAATATAAAATCGGCAGAGAAAAACTGAAGTAGCAAGTATAGACAGTTCCAGCACACATGCTTACAGTTGTTTGGGCTACACACTGCACAGTGCCAAGGCTTCCATTTCCATATACCGTGGCATAAAAGAGAACAACAACCGGGTGTAGCTGACAGGGAAAATGGGATTAGGAGTTGTTGTCTTGTTGTTGTTTTAAATTTAAAATGAGAGAAATAACAGTAAAAGTCAATGGGAAAGATTCAGTAGAGAGGGAGAAAATGGCAAAGGAGAAAGGGGAATTGTTAGAATGGGTGAGAGGATGGGATTTTGGGGGTTCATTGTCTTTAAGCATTAAACAGTTGTTAAAAGGATAACACGAGATTTTTGTTAAAATGCCTATCATAGTTCTAAGGTATAACTGGCAGTTAATAAGTGAAAGCCTTTGTTATGATTGTAAAGCATAGTTCTATTTTCTTTTCTCTCACATCTACTTCTTTGGCTCACTTAGTTGCTGAAGTTTTCAATACTCTCTTAACCCTGTTTTGGAAATGTGGGATTCTTTAAAAACGTAATTCGTAATTCTAATAAAAAGGAACTCCTCAGTTGGCAGGCCACGAGGCTTCTGTAATTTACCATACTAAGTAGCAGGGAGCCCCCAGCCTTTGCTTCACACGCCCTTCAAAGCCATTATCTGTAGGAACTTTACAATTTAAGTAATGAGGTTGAGAGAGTTGTTTAGAAAATGATGTTGAACTGATTCCAGGTCAAAAGTTTCCCAAATGAAGTTTCTGCATATCACTACAGCTGGGAAGCCTCTGTCTCTGCTGTTGATATATGGTATTAATATCATAGACTCTAAAGAGGCCTTTTTGGTAACTTGTCTTATACAAACCTATTTGAATAATTTTTGAAATTGTAATGAAAACTAGACAACTGGTAGACCTATATGGTATATCTACCTTTTAGTTTTTGATCAAGGGAGGAATTTACATTACAGTGTGGAATGGGTTTATTCAGATTGCTTTTGGTAGCAAGGGTATAATTTAAGATATGAAAGTAAAATTATATTAATTGTAGGTGATTATTCAGCAAGTACTCTAAAGAATTTGTAGCTTAAAATACCTTGATTTGCAGATAGAGAAGATGTAATAAAATAGTTACTTTGTCACATTTCTGCATATTGTAATCAGTGTATTTGTTAAATAATTGGCCTCTGAATTAAATATTTTACATTTGATGAAATTTTAACTCACCTACCCAGACTTTCTTGGATAATATTTTAAATATTGATATGATTATAATATGCAGTGTTTTTGCTTTATGAGAAATTTTCATGTAACTTACAAATTTCAACCTTCCTTTATTATGATTGAACTTTGTTACTTATTAAATCATTTACAACTAATTGCACTCCTTTACACACTCACTGGTGTGTATCTTTTTTTTGTTTTTTTTTTTTTTTTTGAGATGGAGCCTGGCTCTGTCGCCAAGCCTGGAGTGCAGTGGTGCGATCTTGGCTCACTGCAACCTCCGCCTCCTAGGTTCAAGTGATTCTCCTGCCTCAGCCTCCCGAGTAGCTGGGATTACAGGTGCCCACCACCATGCCCGGCTAATTTTTGTATTTTAATAGAGACAGGGCTTCACCATGTTGACCAGGCTGGTCTTGAACTTCTGACCTTAGGTGATCTGCCTGCCTTGGCCTCCCAATGTGCTGGGATTCCAGGTGTGAGCCACTGCGCCTGGCCAATGTGTATCAACTTTTAATATATCTAGTGTTTTAGGTAGATAAGCCTATTGAGTAAAAACATTAGTTTAAAATTTTCAGCTTCAGAAACTGATTTTAGGGGCATGCTAGCTGACTTTAACTAGATGATTAAATGCACCTTTTAGTATATAAATATCTTGTTATCAGCTATAGTTTTATTCTTTTATAGCTTATTACTGACAAAATGCTCTAACCTTGTTGCTGAAGTAATCTCAACTCCAAATGTAAACTCGTTTTATGATTCCAATGTTACTTTAATCAGTGTTGCTGAAAAATTGGCTGTCCTATTTAATTATTTTGTAAGTAAAATGAAATGAAAATATTCTTCTTAAAGAAGTTTCTCTGTGACACCAGAGGCAAATTTCAGGTAAAAATTAGTTCCAGTTATCATATTTTCATTCTATTAAATGCCCTAAGTGATCTTCCTCTAGTCTTAAAACTTCTATTAACTGTTAGTATACTGCCCCCTCAGATTGCTTTAACAGTAGCAGTGTATTTTTCTAAGTTTTCAAATTCAGGTGATGAAAAATAAAGTTTATCTCAAAGTCATTAGTGGAGACTTAAAATGTCTTTTTCTCCCCTTTTTTTTTAAAAAAAAAAAAAAAAAAGAGAGACACAAGGTTCTGCTCTGTCACCCAGGCTGGAGTACAGTGGCACCATCTTAGCTCACTGCTGGCTCAAACTCCTGGGCTCAAGAGATCCTCCCACCTTGGCCTCCTGTGTAGCTGGACTACAGGCACACTTGTCAACACACCTAGCTTGTCTGCCTGCTTTCCTTCCCTCTCTCCCCTCTCTCCCTCCTCTCTCCTCTCTCTTCTTTCTCTTTCTCTTTCTCTTTCTCTTTCTCTTTCTCTTTCCCTTTCCCTTTCCCTTTCCCTTTCCCTTTCTCTCTCTCTTTTTCTTTTGTGGAGACGGAGTCTCATTGTGTTGCCCAGCCTGGTCTCGAACTCCTGGCCTCAAACGATCCTCCTGCCTCGGCCTTCCAGAGTGCTGGGATTACAGACATAAGCCACTGCACCAAGCCTATCTAGTCTTCTAAATATGTGTGGATGGATAGATGGGGAAACTTTAGGTATTTTTTGAAATATTTTCATAGATTTAATAGTTCTGCCCTTAATTTTGAGGATAGCTACTTTAACAATAGGATTTGAATTACAGAAGATTATATTTTAATGATAATTTTAAAGGCTTAATGAACTCACTTTCTATATTAATCTTTTAACAGATCACAGACCAGTGAGAGTTGGTTTATGTTGATCCATGGTCATAGCTTTTAATTATTAATGATGATATATGTCTATCCATGTCTGATTTTAGAGATGAAAATATGTATATTGGAACTTAAAATTTGTAATGCTTCATCTGAAGTAGTTTATTCTACACTAATAATGGAGTCATTTTAGATAGCAAGGAAGAAAAATTTCTCTAAAGATGTTAAATACTGATTAGCTAAGTTGCAGGTACTTTTTGATAACTTTAGGACTTGGGTCAAATTATCTTATACAGTTAGATATTTATTTTTAGTGGCTTTTCTCTTTAATATTTTAAATTCTGTATATTCTGAGTTTGCTTAATATTAGATTTAAACTATTTTTCTTTCTTTTTAGGGGCTTCACAAAGGTCAGAGTTCACATTCGGCAGGTCCTAATGGTGAACGACCTCTCTCTTCCACTGGGCCTTCCCAGCATCTCCAGGCAGCTGGCTCTGGTATTCAGAATCAGAACGGACATCCCACCCTGCCTAGCAATTCAGTAACACAGGGGGCTGCTCTCAATCACCTCTCCTCTCACACTGCTACCTCAGGTGGACAACAAGGCATTACCTTAACCAAAGAGAGCAAGCCTTCAGGAAACATATTGACGGTGCCTGAAACAAGCAGGCACACTGGAGAGACACCTAACAGCACTGCCAGTGTCGAGGGACTTCCTAATCATGTCCATCAGATGACGGCAGATGCTGTTTGCAGTCCTAGCCATGGAGATTCTAAGTCACCAGGTTTACTAAGTTCAGACAATCCTCAGCTCTCTGCCTTGTTGATGGGAAAAGCCAATAACAATGTGGGTACTGGAACCTGTGACAAAGTCAATAACATCCACCCAGCTGTTCATACAAAGACTGATAACTCTGTTGCCTCTTCACCATCTTCAGCCATTTCAACAGCAACACCTTCTCCAAAATCCACTGAGCAGACAACCACAAACAGTGTTACCAGCCTTAACAGCCCTCACAGTGGGCTACACACAATTAATGGAGAAGGGATGGAAGAATCTCAGAGCCCCATGAAAACAGATCTGCTTCTGGTTAACCACAAACCTAGTCCACAGATCATACCATCAATGTCTGTGTCCATATACCCCAGCTCAGCAGAAGTTCTGAAGGCATGCAGGTTAGTGTGGGAAAGTTCATCAAAGTGAAAATGTTTGACTTACTGGCATGATCAGAATGCTGAAATTTGGACCGTTTAAGATATGGGAAGTAAGCAAAAGATGGTGTAGTCATTCATCTAAGAGTTTGACAGAAGCTTTATTTTGCTTAGATGTTGTAGTCAAATCAGATGTGAGAAGTATTCCTGTAAATTGCTTATTTTGAGTGGGTGTGTCTGATTGTGCTGTTACTGCCCTCTACTGGTTACTAGGTTGTCAGCTTCAGTGTGATTGACTTCGCTCTGGGGATTTAAACAAGAGAATGGGTTAAATCATATTTGGCCAAATACAGCAAGGCTGGAAAACCCTATGGGTTTTTTTTTTTTTTTTATCAGAGCCTATTAAATGTTAGGCTAGGAATGGACCCCATCACTTATCAAGGCTAGTCTTTGCTTACAATTGAGAAAACTGGACTGTTTGAATCTAGAAGAGGTTATAAAGCAGGCAGAAGAGGAAGGAAGAGGTCAGGGGCAATGGGCAGTGGAGAGACATGACAGACTGTCAGCCATTCTGGAAGGAGCCAGACATATTCTGCTAGTCTAGGAAGGGCAGGGCCTCAGAAATTTATGAAGAAATGAACCTCCTCTGTCCCACAAAAGAAGAATCAAAGGATCAGGCAGCATCATCTTTCTCTGATATTTGGAGGACATATAGATTCTTACTGGCCTTTTCATTGTATATGACACATATATAATTTTTCTCATTTACTTGTAGTTGTTGTCCTCTATAAGTGACTAAATCTTGAATGAAATTTAGTTAACATAACTGGAACAAACAAATAATTCTGTAATATTTTCTGATACATTAAATGTTAAGTTTGAGCAGACATATAGTAGATTTTAAAAAGATCTTTTTTTGGTTGTAGATTGTCATGATATATAGAAAATAACCATTCTATAAATAGAAATTATAAACATTAGTTCTAGTTTGGCTACATTGACCATTTAATATAGCTTTTACATTTTAAAGTTCAAAACAATTCTTATTTATAGCCATATAAACCTCTTCCTGCAGTTGCTAGTACTTATATGTCTTATTTATTGTTATGTAAAAGTGTGATTATCTTTTCTGTTGTTCAGATTATTTTATTAGAAGGTATCCTGGGTCTACCGTTAAATGTTTGTCACTGACGAATGATTGAGGTGAAATTAAATTTTATTTATATATAAGTTTGCTGCTTGGGAGGGATGTGGGGTAGGAGCAATGGAGTATGGAGAAGAAATTTCAATTAATTTAAATTTATCGCTTTAATTGTGACACTAGAACTTTACTATAAATTACACTATAGTCATTTTTCTTTAAAGAGTTTGAGTGTTAAAAATACCTTTTGGTCTGTGTTTTCTTTTCTTTTCTTGTCTTTTCTTGTCTTTTCTTGTCTTTTCTTGTCTTTTTTTAAGACAGTTTCGCTCTTGTTGCCCAGGCTGGAGTGCAATGGCGCGATTTCAACTTACCGCACGCTCTGCCTCCCAGGTTCAAGCGATTCTCCTGCCTCAAGCCTCCCAAGTAGCTGGGTGGGATTACAGGCATGCAGCACCACACCTGGCTAATTTTGTATTTTTTAGTAGAGACGGGGTTTCTCCATGTTGGTCAGGCTGGTCTTGAACTCCCAACCTCAAGTGTTCCACCTGCCTCTGCCTCCCAAAGTGCTGGGATTACAGGCGTGAGCCACTGTGCCCAGCTGGTCTTTGTTTCATTTTCTATTAGTTTCTATTTCTGTTAGTTTCTATTTCATTATTTCCTGTCAAATTTTAACTATTTAGTTGTTATTCTGACATAGACTAGGGCAGAAATTACATCCTTTTTTATATTTTATTTTTTTCTTTATTGGGTCCACGTTGTTGGCAGCATTTTCCTTAGTGACCTACAACATGGTGATTGCTGTAATTAATCTTAACTGTCTTACAAGATTTTTTAAGGTCAGTAACTTAAGAGGACATTGGATGATCTCTAAATGAAATTCTTCTAAAGCATATAGTGAGGTTCTTGAGTTCCTAAAATTTGTTTCTTTAGAAATTTTTATATTATAGGTTTTTATATTAGTTTTTTTTTTGAAGTTAGGCTATCATTCAGTTCAACTCTGGGCCTACAGAAAATAGGGAGTGTTCAGATTAAATGCTACACTTGGCTCTCCTTAGACAGTGCCTTGATTCACTGCCAGTTTGACTGTCTTCTACCTGCTCCTCACTCATCTGCTGGGGCCTCTGTCCTGTTTCCTAGGTACTGCTGCTCTAACTGCTGGAGCAGGGGCTTTCTCTCTCATCCACTCTCTGTAGACTCAGGACAGTTGCTAGAAAATGGGGAAGATTTGGAGGTTCAAAACTAACATCATGAACTGCATGGGACCTAAGGAGGAATATTGTCAGAAAGAGTTCCATGGAGCTATGTTCTGTTCCCCAAGTTACAAACTGTGTATAGTAGCAGTTTTCATAAGTTTGTATTAATAAATTGTATATTATTTAAAAAAATATAATAATATATATATATATACATATATATACTTTAAGTTCTAGGGTACATGTGCACAATGTGCAGGCTCGTTTCATAGGTATACATGTGCCATGCTGGCCAGCTGCACCCATCAACCTGTCATTTACATTAGATATTTCTCCCAATGCTATCCCTCCCCCTGCCTTCCACCCCACAGCAGGCCCCGGTGTGTGATGTTCCTCACCCTGTGTCCATGTGTTCTCATTGTTCAGTTCCTAGCTATGAGTGAGAACATGCAGTATTTGGTTTTCCGTCCTTGTGATAATTTGCTCAGAATGATGGTTTCCAGCTTCATCCATGTCCCTGCAAAGGACATGAACTCATCCTTTTTTATGGCTGCATAGTATTCCATGGTGTATGTGTGCTGCATTTTCTTAATCCAGTCTATCATTGATGGACATTTGGGTTGGTTCCAAGTCTTTGCTATTGTGAATAGTGCCACAATAAACATACGTGTGCGTGTGTCTTTATAGTAGCATGATTTATAATCCTCTGGGTATATACCCAGTAATGAATGGGATTGCTGGGTCAAATGGTATTCTAGCTCTTGATCCTTGAGGAATCTCCACACTGTCTTCCACAATGGTTGAGCTAGTTTACACTCCCAGCAGTGTAAAAGTGTTCCTATTTCTCCACATCCTCTCCAGCATCTGTTGTTTCCTGACTTTTTAATGATTGCCATTCTAACTGGTGTGAGATGGTTATCTCATTGTGGTTTTGATTTGCATTTCTCTGATCACCTGTGATGATGAGCATTTTTTCATGCGTCTTTTGGCTGCATAAATGTCTTCTTTTGAGAAGTGTCTGTTATATCCTTTGCCCACTTTTGGATGGGGTTGTTTGTTTTTTTCTTGTAAATTTGTTTAAGTTCTTTGTAGATTCTGGATATTAGCCCTTTGTCAGAATGGATAGATTGCAAAAGTTTTCTCCCGTTCTGTAGGTTGCCTGTTCACTCTGATGGTAGTTTCTTTTGCTGTGCAGAAGCTCTTTAGTTTAATTAGATCCCATTTGTCTATTTTGGCTTTTGTTGCCATTGCTTTTGGTGTTTTAGTCATGAAGTCCTTGCCCATGCCTATGTCGTGAATGGTATTGCCTAGGTTTTCTTCTAGGGTTTTTATGGTTTTAGGTCTAACGTTTAAGTCTTTAATCCATCTTGAATTAATTTTTGTAAAAGATGTAAGGAAGGGATCCCGTTTCAGCTTTCTACATATGACCAGCCAGTTTTCCCAGCACCATTTATTAAATAGGGAATCCTTTCCTCATTTCTTGTTTTTGTCAGGTTTGTCAAAGATCAGATGATTGTAGATGTGTGGTGTTATTTCTGAGGCCTCTGTTCTGTTCCATTGGTCTATATCTCTCTTTTGGTACCAGTACCATGCTGTTTTGGTCCAAAATCTGCTTCTTTCTTCAACTCCTTTCTCCACTTTGGATTTTTATATGAAAGTTTTATTATTTGGCTTGAGGTGTTCTAAACAGTGTTGGGCATTTACATAGAAGATAAAGTCTATTCCTGTTATCACAGCCCTGCCCTTTGCATTAGGATTGGTCAATATATTTTAAGTGGAAATAGCTTATATTTGCTATGCAGAGCACTATAGATACCATCAGTTCCTTCAGGGAAATTCCTATGTGTTTGAAAATTGACCTTAATAGGCAGGTAGTCAGCATTTCAAACACAATAAGAAACTGCTAGGTATGACTTGAATGCACTATTGGATACCCCTTTATTTCCATATATGTAGTTAAAGTGCTGGTTATTTTTAAATCTGATTCTTGTTTAGTTTATCTTATTGTTGCAGTGGTCAGTGGTATACATTAAAAGGCAGTTATAATACTTTTGCTTCTTTCATGTCTAAAATTGTAATTGCAACATTCAAGTGATTGAATTGTTGTCAGCTCCCTTAGTCATGCCCCACCTTTTTCTTTTCTATTTTAAAATATTGGCAACAACATTTTCCATTGTTTTACTTTGTCATTTGTCTCTTTTTTAATTGTTACAGATCTGTGTAAATGACAGAGACAGAATTCTACTAATCTGTCAAACCTTGTTTTCTAGTCTCATCTCTCAATGTCCAGTATGTTGTAGAAGCTTAAATTTAGGTGCCACATTTAATTAGTTTGAGATGCTCTTGTATAGCACAGTTTTAATACATGGTTCATATACTTCAATTTCTTCAAAATAGTAACCATTTACTCTACAGTAGTATATCCATCTCCTTTCCTAAAAGACAGTTTCTGTATTCTGAGTCATATTTTGCTTATATTCGATAGAGTGGCAGATACACAATTCAGCATGAAAACTATTATTTATGTAGATATTGTAACTGTTTTATCTTGCATTGGTTTAATGATAATACTTGAGTTGTTTCTTTCCCAGTCTCGCCAAAAATTTTCTACATGTTAAAAGCAAAAATTTGATGGAGTTTATAAATTGGTACCAACTTTATACCCAAATCTAAAAGCTTAAGTGTATATCTGTCTTTAAATGTACAAGGCACATGTGCTTTGTGGAAAGAGATTGAAAACTAGTTTTGGACAGAAAATTTATTCAACCTTTAACCTTACTTGTTAGCTGAATGTAAAATTTCAGTTTAATAATATTTTCATGTATTTTTATTTAAAAGTCAATTATTTTAAATGTAAATCATTCCTTTGAGACCTGCCATGAACTTTGTTGTTTTTACTTGGAGTTGTAGTTGAAAAAATTAAGAAAGTAACACCCATGATGCTATTTAGTATAACATCTTAAAAGTCTATGGCAGTGAAGGTTTAAGCCCTAGTTTTCATTAGTATCAACCAAAACAGGCTAATTTGTAACACTTTGTTCAGTGTAGCAAGATAAGGAAAATTAATTTTGTTTCAACCTGTTTTATTCTTTGTGATGAAAATAGCTAATTCCTTCTTAAGTTACTGAGTTTTTGAGTTCCCAGAATAATTGAAAATTTCAAATTATTACTTGAAATTTAATATATTAAGAGTACTTAATATTTTAATGCATTGATTGCTTTTGAACTTGTAATAATTCGGTGGGGTAAGTTAGTTAAACTGGAGTGGTTTGAAAGCTCAAAATTATTTCTTGTTGATTTTCTAAGTTTAGTAGAAACATTGGAAATATCTTGCTTGTACTGAAAGAATTATTGTTAGGGAATAATTCTACACTATCTTAAGAATTTATAATTTTAACAGAGTGATACCTTCATCAACCTAAATACCAGTAAGTAATAATTATATACAGTGTCAGAGAGTAGATAGCAGTTATATGCATTGTTTAAAAAGAAGTAGCATAATTTGCTGTATAGTCAAGGAGTTGCATAGGAAATTTTTTTCTGATTTGAGAAAAAGGAAAAAATCTCAGGTTTGAGAGTTGTTACAAAGATATTCTGATTATAATTGCTAAGATGAGACACAGGAAAAGAGACATTCTGTTTTTTACTATTACCTAGAACTTTTTTTGGTCAAGTTAATATTTTAACATTGATGGAAAAGAATGTGATGGTAGAGAGGAAATTGTAAGCTCATGTTTGTTGTTTAGGTGAAAATAAATTGGAAAATTACGAGCAAAATAAGGAATGTCATCAATAATTTATATGTTGTGATATCTTTTATTTTCCTTCAGTGGAGGATATATAGGAATCAAGTCTTTGCTGAAATTAATAATCATTCTTAGTGTTTTTCCTGATGGATCCACATCCCACATCTCATGGACTTGTGCAAATGCCTAGTAATTTAATTAGGACTTAATTCAGGATTCTTTTTTTTTTTTTCTGTTTTCCAAATAAATGTACAACTGATTATCCCTTTTTTTTTTTTTCCAGGAATCTAGGTAAAAATGGCTTATCTAACAGTAGCATTTTGTTGGATAAATGTCCACCTCCAAGACCACCATCTTCACCATACCCTCCCTTGCCAAAGGACAAGTTGAATCCACCTACACCTAGTATTTACGTGAGTCTGAATTGACTGACTAGAAATAAAACAGTGTTTGCAACTACCTGTCTTTCATAAAATCTTTAAATTTACATGGATGCCCTTTAGGAAACATTACAATTATTGGCAGCAGATTAAATAGTTTGGGGGCGGGGGGGAAGATATATTCAAGAAGATTTTGTAATAGCATTTTTAAAGGACCTTCTCAGCTATTAACTGTGATGATATTAGAATCATGAGAAACATTTTTTATTGCCCTAATTTTGAGCAGCGTTAGGAAAAAGCTACCTAAAAGTGTAACTTTTTTTAGTAAACTGGGTTTTAAATCCACATTCTACTTAGTTATGTGGACCTTAACATTCATTCTGTTTTATACATCTACCCCCCCAAAAAAGATACTACCTTCAAAATAAGTGTTTGAGAACATAAGTGTGATAGTAGATATATGTGACTAAAAAAACTTAATAGGTTATTTAAAACATTTAAAACTAGATACTAGTTTTACTTTATAGAAATATAGGAATCTGATATAGGAAGTCATTAGCAGTTCAATCAAAACAATTCCTATTTCTGTTTCTTCCAAATAGATCTTCCTATCCTATTTCCTTTCATTTTCCTGCTTCTATCCCAAATTAAAATTTTGTAAGTATAAAGTTAGGGTAGTATATGTATAATGATCTTGCATCTATAAAATGGTACTAGAGTTTGTTTTATAGATTTAACCCCCTTGCCCTCTAGAGGCCAAATATTATCATATTAATTCTTCCTCCAACCAGTTGTTGTTTATCCCTTACTATGTAAGGGAAGCACTGGGATAGACATGTAAAAAAACTTGTAAAGTGAGCTCTGAGGAGAAAAAAAAATGCAAAATTAAGTTTTTATCTTTTATGGGTCCTCTTCAGTCTGCTTTCTTTGATAATATTTGTTTAGGCATAATTTTTTTTCTTTTCCTCTCTTATATTGTGATTTTTTAAAAACACATAGCATAAAATTTACCATCTTACCCATTTCTGAGTGTGCAGTTCAGTACTGTTAAGCATATTCACATTGGTGTCCAACCAATCTCCAGAACTTTCTCATCTTGACAAACTGAAACTACACACTGAACAACTACCCATTTCTCCCTCCTGCCAGCCCCTGGCAACTACCATTCTACTTTCTGTTTCTATAAATTTGACTATTCTAGATACCTCATGTAAGTGGAACCATACAATATTTGTCTTTTTGTGACTGGCTTATTTCACTTAACATAATGTCCTCAAGATTCATCCATGTTGCAGCATGTGTCAAGATTGTCTTTTCATTTTAAGACTGAATAATATTTAAAACACTTTGATTTTGAAGTTTAATTTCAGTTTCATTTCTCCTACATATTTTTGTCATGATAAAATGGAAAGGAGAAATGTATGTGGTTACTATCTGATTAAAACTAGAATCAAAAGTCACAGTGATAAGATACTGTCAAATAGAAATATCACCCCATAAAATGCGTTATTTAAATTGTGAAAAATAATGAATATTAATTTGGAGCATAATATTTAAATAAAAGCTCTGTTTTCCTGAGATCTAACCACATATTTTAATTTTACAGTTGGAAAATAAACGTGATGCTTTCTTTCCTCCATTACATCAATTTTGTACAAATCCGAACAACCCTGTTACAGTAATACGTGGCCTTGCTGGAGCTCTTAAGTTAGGTAAGCCTTAAATTAAAAAAGGAAAACGTTTGTCTCTTTGTTTTGCTATCTTTTAACTTTTCCAGCACTGGCAGATACTTTTCTTTTTTTTCTTTTTTCTTTTTTTTTCTTTTTTTGTATTTTAATTTTACTTTTTTTTAGTACTAAGAATGAGAGAGAGTGTGTGTATCACTTCTTTAATCCATGATGTGAATATATTGTTGGTGATACTGGTTACTGACAATTTGGTGGAGGTTTTTAAATTTAGCTATTACTTTGGTCCGTTTACATAATTGTGATTTAGGTTAATAGAAAAAATTTGATTATAAAATGTAGGTGAAATTTGATGCTACTAATAAATACTATAGCCCCATAAGTATTTCCTGGCATCTGCAGAAATTAAATAAATAAGTGAAATTTCAGTCCTTTCACACTTAATTCTTTCTCGGATGGGATGACATAGCAGTTAGATTCAGGGCTTCAGCGTATGGTTCTGCAAACTTGGCACATAGCTCAGGTTGTGCAGAGGCCCTAGTTTTTTATGGGAACTGGATACAGTGCCGTAAAATGCTTTACCTTCTTCCTTTAAAAAAAAAAAGCACTTAAAATATTATCCCAAATATAATTTTCATTTTTTAACTACATTTATGTATTCATGAAGACCTGGGACTTTTCTCTACTAAAACTTTGGTGGAAGCTAACAATGAACATATGGTAGAAGTGAGGACACAGTTGTTGCAGCCAGCAGATGAAAACTGGGATCCCACTGGAACAAAGAAAATCTGGCATTGTGAAAGTAATAGATCTCATACTACAATTGCTAAATATGCACAGTACCAGGCCTCCTCATTCCAGGAATCATTGAGAGTAAGTATTTGTATCCTAAAGATTATTTTAGGATTTTAAAGATGATTTTACTTTGGAGTTTTGAAAGGACACATTACTTTTATATGCATCTCATCATTTTATGTTACATAAAATACTTTGTAAGTGTTCTCCAGTTGTCTCGTATGTATATATGTATGTATGTATGTATGTATGTATGTATGTATGTATGTACGTACGTATGTGTATTTTGAGACGGAGTCTCCATCTGTCGCCTAGGCTAGAGCGCAGTGGCACGATCTTGGCTCACTGCACCCTCTGCCTCCCAGGTTCAAGCGATTCTCCTGTCTCAGACTCCTGAGTAGCTGGGATTACAGGCATGTGCTACCACGCCCAGCTAACTTTTTTGCATTTTTAGTAGAAACTGGGTTTCACCATGTTGGCCAGGCTGGTCTCGAACTCCTGACCTCAAGTGATCCGCCTACCTCGGCCTCCCAAAGTGCTGGGATTACAGGCGTGAGCCACCGCACCCACCCTCAGTTTGCTTTTAGTAAAATCTAAACAAATTGATGGATTCATGAAGTAAATAGCATCATGGGGAAATAGAATTACTGTCTAGTGAAATGTCTCATTTCTGGGATACTTTTTTTAGAGCAGGGTTTCTTAACTTCGATACTATTGACATTTTGGACTGGATAATTCTTTGTTGTGGGGGGACTGTCCTGCACCTTGCAGGGTATTTATTAGCATCTCTGGCTTCTCAAAAATATCTCCAGACATGTCATATACCCCCTGAAGGGCACATTCACTCCTGGTTGAGAACTACTGATTTAGAGGATAAACTAAGTCTCAAGTTTATTTTATGCTTGTAAAATCCGGTTTGGTCTTCTCATTTTTTTCTTTAGTGCTATCTCATAGACAACTCCTGCAGGAAACATTAGTGTTCTTCTTACCAATCTTAGGCTGTAAGAGAAATCTGAAGGAGGAAATTAAAAAACAAAAATGTAAAAATAATCAGGATTATTATTATTAAAAGACCCATATAGCCCTTTCAGCACTGAAGCATTACAAAAATCCTCTAGCACTATAATGAGAACTTTGTGAATTCTCTTACAAAGTGAACATAATACATCCAAACAAATGAGTTTATTAAACGTATTACTCAAATACTTGTCTGCACTAAGTTGTTTTTTCTTCAAATGTCCTACCACTGACAGTATGTGGCTGAAAGTCTTTAATTTGTGATTCATTAGATTTGCTTGTTGTCTTTGTTTAAAATTCTGCCAACTCATATTTTCAATCAAGATAGCATTTCTGCCTGTAAATTGTATATTTGTCTTCCTTTCCCCCTGCCGCTCCCTATATATTACAAAGAAATTCTTCTAATAAAAACTATCCTGTGACTTTACTGAGTTGCAGTGAATTCATTGTCCATATAACTCTGTAGTTCAGACTTTCAAGATACTTCAAGTACCTGGTAATATTATAGTCAGAAGAGAATAAATAGTAAGAAGGAGTCAAAGATCATCAAAGAAAAATTTGGAGGAAGAGTTGAAAAGCAAAGATAGTAAGAGGCAGTCTATTTAAATGGGGAGGGTTCCATAGCCAAAGAAAGCTTGGGGTTTTGTTGTTGTTTTTTTGAGACGGAGTTTCGCTCTTGTTGCCCAGGCTGGAGTGCAACGGCATGATCTCGGCTCACTGCAACCTCCGCCTCCCAGGTTCAAGCAGTTCTCCTGCCTCAGCCTCCCGAGTAGCCGGGATTACAGGCATGTGCCACCACACCCAGCTAATTTTGTATTTGTAGTAGAGACGGGGTTTCTCCATGTTGGTCAGGGTGGTCTCGAACTCCCAACCTCAGGTGATCTGCCCATCTCGGCTTCCCAAAGTGCTGAGATTATAGGCATGAGCTACCGTGCCCTGCCAGCATGGGGTCTTTTAGTATGCTTTAAGACATGGACCATTACATGTGAAAAGTTTGACAAATGTTCAGACACTATACATTTAAAGGAATGGAAGCCAAAGGTCAGAAGTATTGCTAACTCAGAAATCATAAAACAGTGTTAACAGATATCATGTCTGTGACTCAAGAGTTGTAAATAAAAGTAATATTTGCATTGAAAAATACCTATATGTATCCAGCAATGTTCTAAACATTTTGTCATTTGTGTGTAATTCATTGTGGAATAAATATCCCCTGGAAGAACTTTTCCTTTGTTCATAATCAAGAATAAAAAGTATCTTATCTTCCACTATTACACATATATAGCTATGTACACATACATACACCTCTGCTAGCTTATATCATTTATAATCAAGATTGGGATGCCCTAGGCCTTTCAGCTTTCCTCAAGTTTTCTCTCCTCTTGAAAATGGGGCAGGTATGAGAATCTGTATTATAACTTTGTGGCTAGTGGAGGAAGTTGGATACCATGCCGGTGAGATTCAACTTTTCTTGGGTATTTATTTATTTTTTATTTTTTATTTTTTTTAGACGAGTCTCACTCTGTCGCCCAGGCTGGAGTGCAGTGGCGTGATCTCAGCTCACTGCAACCTCCACCTCCCGGGTTCACGCCATTCTCCTGCCTCAGCCTCCCAAGAAGCTGGGACCACAGGCGCCTGCCCCCATGCCCGGCTAATTTTTTTGTATTTTTAGTAGAGACACGGTTTCACTGTGTCAGCCAGGATGGTCTTGATCTCCTGACCTCGTGATCCCTCTGCCTCGGCCTCCCAAAGTGCTGGGATTACAGGCATGAGCCACTGTGCCTGGCTTTCTTGGGTATTTATTTATTTAATGTGGTGTTTGAAGAAATTTTCATGTGTAAGAGGCCTATAGAAACTTAGTTTCAAGGCCAGGCATGGTGATTCACGCCTGTAATCCCAGCACTTTGGGAGGCTGAGGCCGGTAGACAGCTTGAGCACAGGAGACTAGCCTGGGCAACATGGCAAAACCCCATCTCTACCAAAAATACAAAAATTAGCTGGGCGTGGTCATGCGCACCTAATAGTCCCAGCTACTGAGGAGGCTGAGGCAGGAGAATCGTTTGAGCCCAGGAGGCAGAGGTTGCAGTGAGCCGGGGTCGCACCACTGCACTCCAGCCTGGTCAACAGGAGTCAAACCTTGTCTCAAAAAATTAAAAACATGAAACTTAGTTTCAAAACACAAATAATACTATTCAATCTAGATATGAACTTTTTTTCAGTTGTATGGTGGAAAGGATTGCCAGTTGTAGAACACTAAACTAGACTGCTTTTTGCTTAATCTATAGGAAGAAAATGAAAAAAGAAGTCATCATAAAGACCACTCAGATAGTGAATCTACATCGTCAGATAAGTAAGTCATTTTTAATGTCCACTTAGTATTTCTTTTTAAAAGGCATGTTTCTAATACTGTGTCTCTTTTTTAAGTTCTGGGAGGAGGAGGAAAGGACCCTTTAAAACCATAAAGTTTGGGACCAATATTGACCTATCTGATGACAAAAAGTAAGTCCTTGTAGTAATATTTCTGTGAACTGATGCAAAGAGTTATCCTGTGCTAGATTGGGAATTCTCTACAATTTCCTCTTCTGTTTCATTTATTGTCATTTTTTTTAAGTTGACATGAATTTAAGCTAAACTTTTTTTGCTACATTTTACAATTAAAATTTTAAAATTTTTTTTTAAAAATAGAGATGGGGTCTCACTGTGTTGCCCAGGCTTGTCTTGAACTCCTGGGCTCAAGGGATCCTCCCACCTCAGCCTTCCAAAGTGTTGGGGTTACAGTTGTGAGCCACTGCACCCTGCCAAATTTTTTTTTTTACTTAAAACTTTTCTGCAGTTTTTCATCAAGACTCTGACTATATGCTAATTACATAATCACAAATTATATTTTTAATTATATGAAATAGTTACGTGAAAATGTATTTATAAAATATAATTGTACAACTATTAAAATAGTTTTTTTCTTTTATTGGTGAATAATTTTTATGCCTATTTTTTGTTGGGAAGTTTTCTTTGGAAAAAATTAAAAATTTAAGCATTTTCTTATGGAAAAGTAAAATATTTATAGACTTAATTGTTTTTTCTGATTGGAACACAAGGGTTTTGAAGAAATGGTAAACTTCCACAGGTATTTGTAGCAGAGTTTCACTTTTGATGTGTTATTTTATTGCAGGTGGAAGTTGCAGCTACATGAGCTGACTAAACTTCCTGCTTTTGTGCGTGTCGTATCAGCAGGAAATCTTCTAAGCCATGTTGGTCATACCATATTGGGCATGAACACAGTTCAACTATACATGAAAGTTCCAGGGAGCAGAACACCAGGTAATTTGTATGAACTAACATATCTTGTTAAAATGGAAAACAAAATCAAAATATGAAACATGCAAAGACAGCCAGAATCTTGTCATTTATAATGAATAAAACTGAGAGTTGTTCCTGTTATAAGACTTTTTAACTGGGCTCAGATTAAGATTTTTCCCCTTTTCATTATCTTTTTTTAGTGTAATAGCCCAGAAACATTATAACAATTTAATCTGGAAAGGGGTCATTGGAGCACCACTGGGAAATAAGTTCTTTTGGCCTGAAGACTCTGTTGTCAATCCCATCTGTTGCAGAGAGTGATGGGGTGCAGTGTTTTTGAATTTTTCTTTTAACCCAAGTAACAATAAAAAGTATGTTTTATATGTAACCGAATGCACATGTATGTATACAGCAGCAGTTTTATTGAACAATACGTTTTCCAATCTATTCTATTCTGTTTCATTTAAAAAATAAAGTGTAGGTTGCAGTTTTCTAAGTGGATCACAACTCACGGTTTTAAAAAAACTTCATCATGTGGAGACATTACTAGACTCATTCTAATAACTAGTCTAGACTTTGCCACTAATTAGGCTTGTCACTTTTGGCAAGTTACATTTCTTCTTTAGGTCTTTTTCTTCATTTATAAAGTGAATTACATTGTTTTTAGACTTAAATTTTCCATCCAGTACTGAAGTACCATCTTCTTTGTGCTCTTTTGCATTGACATGAAATTTCACAGGGTGATATTCAAAATATTTAACAATTGCCACAATCGCAGCACTGATCAATTAGAAGAGATACTGTTGATGACCAGTTCAGCTGTACCAATGTACTTGGGGCTGCAGGTCTCCCTCAGGTGCTTCTCTTTGCTACTTGATGCAGCCATGGTTTGAAAACCAGACTGCTTCCTTCTTTGTTCACATTCTTACTGAGTCGTGCTTAAGAATTTTTTCAGAATAGGGCTATGCTTGCTTCTGGGTAAAATGGGTCAGTGGTTCCCCATCCTGGCTGCTGATTTGATTCTCTTGTCCTTTTTTCTTTTTTCTTTTTTAAGAGACAGGGTCTTGCTATGTCACTCAGGCTGGAGTGCAGTGATGTGATCATAGCTCTCTGTAACCTTGTTTAACTCCTGGGCTCAAGCAATTCTCCTGCCTCAACCTCCCAAGTAGCTAGGACTACAAGTACATGCCACCATGCCTGGCTAATTGTTTTGAGGTTCACATAATGACTTCAAGTTATTCTTCCCTCTGGACCTCCCAAAGTGCTGGGATTATAGGCTTGAGCCACCACACCTGGTAGCTTTTTAAAAGTATGTAATTAATTAATCTCTAGGATTCAGATCCAGGCATGAGGGTAGGTGGGTGGGTTGGTTGGTTTTTAACTGAGGTCCCCAGAGGATTCTAATATACAGCCAGGATTAGAACTATTGGTTATAATTGTTATCCTCAGACCATTAGAAGCCCAATTCTGTGATATTTTATCCATAGTCAGGTAAAGTGCAAAGAGTTCTGGAATAAATGATAGAAGAACTATGTTCTGCTCTGTACTCTGTCATTGGACACTGATATAAATGTTGGGCAAAAAACATTATTTTGAGTACCTTGTTATGGGGTAAACACTGTTCCTGGAGATTAGTTCATAAGGAAAAAAATGGTAATGATATCTATAATAGCTAATATTTATTGCTTACTGTGTACAGATGGTCCCTGAGTTGAAATGGTTCAACTTACCACTTTTGGACTTTATGGTGGGTTTATCAGAGTATTAAATGCATTTTCAACTTAAGGTATTTTTCAACTTACTATGGGTTTATCAGGATGTAGTCCCATCTGTAAGTTAAGGAGCATCTGTATTAAGCACTGTTATATGCATTCATTAGTTTATCCATCTTCAAAACAACCCAACAATTTATAGAGATTATTATTATCTGTTCTTACATATAGGGAAACTGAGTCAGAATGGTTTACCAACTTGCCCAGGTTCAATTAATGACTAAGCCAAGGAGTCTGGCTCCAGAGCCTAATCTCTTAACCATGATTATACTGCCTATCATAGAAGCTCTTACTGAGTATGTTAGGAGTTGACACAAAAATGCTACAGTGATGAAGAACTAAATACTACTAGAGTGTTCTCTGTTGAGCATTTGTAAGGTTTTGTTTCCAAAGACCCATTTTTCTATAGAATTATAGTGTGATGATTAATTTTTTTCTGTATAAGTACCGTGTGCTAACCAATTGCACCACTGGAGCTCCAATTTTTTTTCTTTTCACATTTCAGGTCATCAGGAAAATAACAACTTCTGTTCAGTTAACATAAATATTGGCCCAGGTGACTGTGAATGGTTTGTTGTTCCTGAAGGTTACTGGGGTGTTCTGAATGACTTCTGTGAAAAGTAGGTTTCCAAAGTAAATTTTCTTAAAACATATATTAGAAAGCAGTAATTGTAAACGACAACTTACCAAGCTGGATCTCCTAATGGATACATTGCCAGTATTCACTTACCATTCAGCGAAGAATTCATTTTAAATTATTTGATTCCAAACCTCATATTTTGTGTTATTGGAAATACTTTAAGAAAGATGCCATGAAACAACTTCATGCAGTAGTAGTACCCATGAATTAAGAAGATAGAAAAGTTGAGTTATTAGTTTAATTTTTAAAATGATGCATACTTATTCATTTGAAATGTGTGTATTCCAAGAAAAATTGTTTTGTTATAAATGGTTTTAGGAAGTAGAAGGAATTCTTTATTGAGCACCCGTATAGGCTGTGAATAACTCAAGCTTGACCATAATACCTTTTGCCATATCATGATATAAATTCTTTTTAAACTGACAACTTTTTCTATGAAGAAATTTTATAAAATGTATTATTTATTTTTTATTTTTAAATAGAGATGGGGTTTCACCATGTTGCCTAGGCTGCTCTTGAACTCCTGAGCTCAGGCGATCCACCTGCCTGGGCCTCCTACAGTGCTGGATTACAGGCATGATCCACCACATCCAGCCCAGATTTTGTTTTCTCTAGTTGAAAGAACTTGGATAGTTCCTTTCCTTAAGATCCCAGAAATAGCTTTTATTTACTTCTGTGTCTTGTGTTAAAAAGTACTTTGGAATTTTTTTTTAGTTGGTTTCAATTTGATCATTTGTCTAGATAGAACCTTACTCTCTTCTTTTCTAGAACCTTATTCTCTTCTTTTCTAGAAAGTACTTCATTATATAAGGACCTGGTATTTTCATTTAGTAATAACATTAGCAAATTAGTATAGGATGAAAATATACATTATATACACATTTGGTGTTATGCCCCCACCCCAATTAAAGGGGGAAAACACCCACAGAAAACATTTACATGAGATTACTTTGAAAACTAATTATACACATATTCCACATACTACTTTATTTTTATTTTTTCCTTTTTTAAGACGGAGTCTTGCTCTGTTGCCCAGGCTGTAGTGCAGTGGCACAATCTCAGCTTACTGCAGCCTCCGCCTCCCAGGTTCAAGCAATTCTCCTGCCTCAGCCTCCTGAGTAGCTGGGATTACAGGGGTGTGCCACCATGCCCTGCTAATTTGTGTATTTTTAGTAGAGACAGGGTTTCACCATGTTGGCCAGGCTGGTCTCGAACTCCTGACCTCGTGATCCACCCACCTTGGCTTCCCAAAGTGCTGGGATTACAGGCGTGAGCCACCACGCCCAGCCCCATACTAACTTCTAATTTCTTACTTTGGTTTAAGAATCTTTGCTGTAAATATTTGGATTTAGTAAGAAGTGCATCGTAGTTGAAAAACAAAAAAATATATTAATCCACAGTTTCCTTATATAAAAGCAAGAGATAATTACCTTATGTTGTCTTCTCTATTCATATATTGGTTTCCTTCAATGTAAGAAAGCCAAAGATACAGAGTTTTAAAGCTTCTAATGTACTGATGAAATAACCTGATTACTTTAATCTGTACTTTTTTTATGGACCAGTAGCAGCAGAGAAAGAACATTGTTATATGGGAAATCTCCATTGTGCTATAGAAAGATTTTTATTTCTTAAACTTTGAGTTAATACTATATTGTTGCAGCTATAGTACAGGAATCCTTGTTCATTGTTTCTGAGTAGGGACTGGCTATTTTTAGGGTGTAGTTTTGTTTCCTATCTAAATGGAGAGGTGTCTTGGGAAAAAAGATAATTAGAATAAGCAGATGATGTCCAAAAAGCTTGAGCGTAGGGATAATAAAAATATCAAGTTAGAAGGAAGGGTTAGGTAAATCTAATAACTCAGTTGTGAAAGTAGTACTTGCTTCTTCAGCATTTCACTGTAATTTTGTTTCACATAAAGATTGTTGCTTTTGATAGTGACTGTATACTGTATCTGTAGTTTATTTTATGGCTTTAAATAATACCTGTCTTGAAATAACCATTCTTTTGAATATATGATTAAAATGATGCATGCTTTTTGGTAAGTTTGATTTTTGGGGCGGGGGGTGTCTGTTTGGGATTACTTGCTTGCTTTTGGATAAAAAGTTTTCTCTAATTTTGTAATGGCAATACATGGGTGAAATAAGGCTAGGATTTGTGTCTATAGCCATTTTTTGCTTTATAGGCAACTTTTTCTGGACTGTATCTACTTGGCCTTGTCACACACAATAAGCCAATCCTTATCCCTTTGCAGTTAGGCTACCATTTGCACTCTAGTCTAAACTTTCAAGAGTAGCCTTGCATTTTTCAAGAGAGAAAAAGAGAGACTAAGGTTCTTTCTAGATCATAGTTTGGCGATTTCTTTTCCATGAAGGGCCAGATAATAAATATTTTCACCTTTCCTGGTCATGCGCTGTCTGTCACAACTGTGTCATTATAGCACAGACACAGAGATAGTACGTAAGTGAATGGACATAGCTGTATTCTAATGAGTTTTTTTTACAGAAACAGGCAGTGGGCTGAATTTGGCCCGTGGGCCATAGTTTGCCAACCCTTGATCTAGATAAAAAATTAAATTTAAACCAGTAAAAACAATTGTAAAGTATACTTTATCATGTGCTATAGCACAAGACAAATAAAGTAAGATTATTTCTTAGATCTTAAGGAAAGGAACATTTTTACTGTGTAAGTTCTTCCTTCCCCAAAATATGAAATTTGAAGTGGTTAATTCAATTTTATAAAGTTCTTTTATGGGAAAGGTTGCTATGTTGTTTAAAAAGTACTTCATATCATGATGGAGAATAAGAAGCCAGATATTAAAATAAAAGCTTAATAATATCTAAGGAATGTTTCCAAAGTATATTGGTAGTAGTGGTCATGATTATTTGTGCATGTGCGTGATTGTTTGTTTTTGCTGAAGTTGTTTTGAACTGCATAGTTTTAATCAGCTAATCATCAAACTATATGGAGTCTGACATCCAGTCTCCTTTTCCTCAGAAATTAAGGGAAGTTCCTGGTACTTGTATTGCCACAGTGTTCCTGTTTATGGATTTAAATGACTTGATGTCAACTCCACCTTCCATTTACCTTTTAGGGATTTCTAGGTGCTCCAGGGAGAAGGCTTCAGTCAAAAATAGTCTTTGTTGAAATGAAATTGAAAGTGAATTTATGTGTTACTTGAAAGTAGCTTTGGATTTCATTTGGATCTTTGAAAAATCAATTTAAGATGGTAATGCTGGGCCGGTCCACTTACTACAGGTATTATAATTCCTGTAATCCCAGCACTTTGGGAGGCCGAAGCAGGCGGATCTCCTGAGGTCAGGAGTTCGAGACCAGCTTGGCCAACCTGGTGAAACCCCGTCTGTACTGAAAATACAAAATTAGCCAGGCGTGGTGGCAGGTGCCTGTAATCCCAGTTACTCCAGAGGCTGAGGCAGGAGAATTGCTTGAGCCCAGGAGGCGGAGGTTGCAGTGAGCCTAGATGGAGCCACTGCACTCCCGCCCAGGCAACAGAGCAAGACTTTGTCTCAAAAAAAAAAAAAAAAAGTAACACTGATCTTTAGTAATTTAGTACTCAACCATAATTACACACTCTATATACATACAGCAGATCTTTTTGCACAAGCAATTATGTTTCAATAAAATGAACAAGTGTTTATTTAAAAAATTTGTGACATTTTCTTCCAGTCTTACTAGGAGCTTCTTAATGTAGTTGATCCATTTGCATTATTTTTTTCTTATTTCAGAAATAATTTGAATTTCCTAATGGGTTCTTGGTGGCCCAATCTTGAAGATCTTTATGAAGCAAATGTTCCAGTGTATAGGTTTATTCAGCGACCTGGAGATTTGGTCTGGATAAATGCAGGCACTGTTCATTGGGTTCAGGCTATTGGCTGGTGCAACAACATTGCTTGGAATGTTGGTCCACTTACAGGTATTATAAAGAATATGCTTTAAAAAAGTTAATTTATAAAGGATTATATCCAATAGGACTGTTCCTTTTTTCTTGAAATATAACTCACTAAAAGTTGTAAGAAGAATGACTCCTTGCATAGAATTGTAATTCGTAGTACAACAAATTAAATTCAAGTTAACAAATAGAAATCTAAGAGCATAGATGTTAGCAAATAACAAGTTTATGGCTTTAATATACATGAAGGTTATAATAATAAATTTTAGAGTGCTTGGTTTTATTTTAAAAAAACCCTTATGAGAGAAAACAAAGTAGAAAAATTATTCTTTCACATTTAAAAAAATCTAGTGTTTCATATGAATAGCTCTGTAATGTCAAAATCTGTTTGAATTATGCCTGCCTTCAGGCAGTACTCACTTAAGGTTAAGAATGTGGAGTTTAGAGCCAGAAAGACCTGGATTAGGACCAGGATCTGGCTCTTGTAACTTTGGGCAAGTTATTTAACCTCTCTGGTCCTCGATTTTTTCATCTGTATAATGGAAGTAATGAAATTAATAAGGTGATGGTGAAGAGTAAATGAGATAATGGGTAAAAATAAAAACACAGTGCTTGGCACATAGTCATAGGAAGTGCTCTTTATATGATTGCTAATATTATTACTACTGTAATTATCATAAAGCATAAAAATTATTTTTATAGTGTTTTGAGGTTTTCAGAATTGATGTTGAAGATATCACCTGAGCAGGTGATAATGGTTATCTTCATATCTTTTGGTACTTTGGGTTGCTTTATAACTGTTTTTTTTTTTCCTAGCCTGCCAGTATAAATTGGCAGTGGAACGGTACGAATGGAACAAATTGCAAAGTGTGAAGTCAATAGTACCCATGGTTCATCTTTCCTGGAATATGGCACGAAATATCAAGGTCTCAGATCCAAAGCTTTTTGAAATGATTAAGTAAGTCTTTTCTAAAACTGCTGTAGTCCCTCTCTTTTTGGGGAGTGTTAACTATTAAGTTTTTTTTCTCCCTTAGAATTACGTTGACATCAAAGCAAAATGGTGCAAAAGTCTAGCAGAATGTATTATGAGAATCCACATGTTAAAAATATTTTTCCCTTTCAAATAGCCCACTATGGTACAGAAAGGAAAAAAAGACCTATGATTATAAACCAGTAGAGTCACAGACCTGTGCTTCTTTCCCATTTCCCTCTGAACCACCTGATATCCCAGGATAACTTTAGTTTTAATATGAAAATCTACCATTAATAACTTGAGGGGAAAATGGCATCACAGAATATTTGTTGTCACAGACAAATTAGCAGTTAATATAGGGATTTGACTAAAATGCTGATTTTTTAATTTTTAATTAAATCATCTATTTTTTAAGTATCTCTTTTCTGAGCTACTTAAAAAAATTTAGTATAAGTTATATAAATTCTTACCTAGGGACCTAGTTTGAATACATATATACCAGTAAGCTTCACATTTGTTTTCACAGTTTCTATCTTAGCCATTTTGTAAATCTATTTAGAGGTACTATTTTCAAATAGTGCTATATAGCAGTGTTTCCCTAAACTGTGTTTTCCACTACTAGCTCTGTCCCCAAAAGATGGGGAATTCTGGCTATGGAAATATGGGAAATGATAGATTAAAGTTCAGCAAGTGGACAAGTCCTTTATTTTTTGTAAAATATTTCAGATACTGTATATGTTAATGTAATTTGTGAATGAGGGAGAAGAGTTATAGTGTATGGTATTTCCCAAACTTATTTGACCAGTATCTTTTGAAGAATTAGTTTTCTCAAAAGCTCATTTTGGGATACACTGCTTTATATTAATTGATAAAAATAAGTTTGTCTTAGTCTTTGTTAAAATAGAGTTTACATTAAGTATTTCTCCTGCAGATATATTAATTTGGTCAGCATGTGTTGTTTTCAAAATACTGTATTTTGAAAGTAATCCTGGTTTGTTAAAATGATTTCAAATCTAGATCGAAACTTTTATTTAAACAAAAGTTGTGTGGCCAAGGTAACATGCCTATAAATTATTTTATGACAGTCTTTTCTCAGTTGCACCATTTTACCTAGTTATAGGTAGAAGGGTAGGGGAGACAAAAAGGACCAAAAGCCAAATTATAGCGAGTAATGTACTACAAATTCTTTAGAACATTGGATCTTAGGTACCATACTCTCGATAAATATAATTTATAGTGGGGTGGGGAATTGTCTGTCCATTTATCCTGTTATATGTCAGAATGGTACTTTACCCTGAATAGCAAGTTCAGTGTTATTTTTTGAAACAAAAATGACCTAAAGTCACTGAAGGTGTTTAGTAGATCACTTAAAGGTAGTTCAAGGTACAAGCCATTTATCTAACAGCTATATAGACTGAAAGTAACTCATTACATTATGAGTAGATTAGGATTTTATAATTGGAAAGGATTTTAAGGTCACTTAATCAGCTCCTACTTAATATAGTAATCTCATCTGTATTCATAATTTGTGGTCATCCAGTGACTTCTTAAACATTCTTTTCACCTCACTATAATTCTTGCAAGTTCTTTACAAAATGGCCTAAAGTCTACCTGTCATTTGGTCCCAATTTCCTAAATATATTTAGGATTTCTGCAGAATAAATCCCATTCAACAAATGTTTGAAAACTCACTCTATGCCAGACACTGTTCTAGGCACTGATGATGGACATACCAATGTTTAAGATGAAATTCCTGTCCTCTGGAGACTTCAATTCTAGTAGAACAAGACAGAAACCCCCAGTATAATTTATTTATATGAATAAGATAAAATACAATAATATTTGGGAGGAGGGAAGGTCGGAGTGCTCCTTTTGCTTAACTGGTCTGAGAGTGTGAGTTTTCTGCTTAGCCCTGAATAATGAGATGAAATCAACTACACAAAGATCTATGGGTAGAACCTTTCATATACAGAGAACAGATGAAGGCTAAATTGGGAATAACTTTGGCATGTTTATGGGACAAAAAGGCCAGGGTGACTATAGCTGAATGAGAGAAAGGAAGAGTGATGGTGATAAACTTAAGCAAGCAGGAATGAGATCATACATGGGCTTTCTGGACATGGTAAGAAGTTTATATATTAATTCTAGGTGTTACAGCTTGCCATAGAGGATTTTAAGCAGGAAAGGAATAGGTTTCACTTTAAATTTAGAAAATGGATCTAGTGGGTGCAGTGGCTCATCCCTATAATCCTTGCACTTTGGGAGGCCGAGGCGAGCCGGATCACTTGAGGTCAGGAGTTTGAGACCAGGCTGGCCAACATGGCGAAACCCCATCTCTACTAAAAATACAAAAATTAGCCGGGCATGGTGATGGGCACCTGTAATCCCAGCTACTCTGGAGGCTGAGGCGGCAGGGGTGGTGGGGCGGGGGGTTGCAGTGAGCCAAGATGGTGCCACTTCACTCCAGCCTGGGTGAAAGAGTGAGACTCTCTCTCAAAAAAAAAACAAACAAACAAACAAACAAAAAAAAAACGGATCTAATTGCTGTGTGTGGAATGAGTTCCAAGGGGTAAGCTTAGAAGTAGGGAGGACAAATTAGGAGGCAATTGTAACAGTACAGACCAACCTGGACAGAGATTTCCCTGTAAAAATAGAGAGAGGGGGTCAAACTAGGGAGTCTTATGGAACTAAAGCTTGTAGAACTTGCTCATAGATTAGGTGGTTGAGTGAGAGGGAAAAAGGAACCAAGGAAAACTTATAGTCTTTTCTTCTTGTTGCCTGATTGTCATTAATGTAAACATTAATCACCTCTATCATCTTTTCCATTCCCTACCCCACCCTCAATATTCTTGATACCCTTTGAGACTCCTTCCAGTTTATCATTAAAATGTTGAGGTATCGACATTTATGTTGTTATAAAGTTGTCTTGTGTTGAGGTTGGACACACAAAATTTGTGTGTTTTTCTACTTATAATTTATAGTGATACTGTTGTTTCTTATACATTTCTTTTTTTTAACCTAGATGCACTTACATTCTTATCTATACTCCATTTTGCCCTACGCTACAAAATGTCTCATCATTTAAATCTTGATTGCATTCCTGTGATATTAACAATTCTTCTCCCAGCTTGAGTACCTATTGACACACCAATTGAAAATGTTAACCACAAGTCTAGACCCCTAGGCCTTGCTTTATAAGCCTCCCTTTTTGAAATAATTGTCATTGAGCCATTGCTAAAAATGTACTTTTCAGCAGCCAACATGGCTCCCTTTCTTTGATTTAATGAGTCTTTGCTTATTGTATGCAAGGCTCTAGGCTAGGCCCTGAGGGTTTATAAATACATGGTATAGGTCCTTTCTTCAAGTAACAGTTAGTGCATATAAATAAAATAGATTGAAAGAAATTCGGTGATAGATCCACTGATGTTTCCAGCCCAAGGAGTCAGGTCTTTTTAAAAAACTGTGCATTCTGGGGAAGAATGTATTTTGTGTGATGGGTGAAAATGAGGAGGCAGGGAGAAGAGAAAGGAATAGCACTTAAGCCAGCTTAAAACCAAACTCTTGCACCATGAGAAAGATGCCCCAGTTCATCCATAAAATAGCATACATACCATATCTCCTTAAGTCCAGCACAGTTACGTTTTCATCCAGTGAAAGAATAAATCCCTTTTCTTCACTTGAGCACCAGGCAAAATAGTTGGCTTGTGTAGAGAGGCCATGTTGTATGAATAACTTCAGTCTTCAACCGCTAAAGTCATACTCAACATGGTAATTTTGAAAGGCTCGGAGGAACTCTGTAGAGGAATAGCAAATGTATACTCCAAGTAATGTTCTCTTCCTCCTGCTGTCATTCTCTCCACTATACCTCTCTTTTTTGCCCTCCCTCCTGATTACCCTCCCTGCTGTGCATTTGCGTGAGCTTAAATGTATATACGATACAACTGCTATATGTTTATTGTCCATAATTGGTGGTATGTTTTGGCTTGAGTGCAATGTGTGATGAGTAGTAAAATAAGATACAGTTGTAAAAGTTGGTTAGAAGCCAATTATGCTTTGTGTACCAAACTTAAGACTTTCTTCTGTCAGAGAGCTCTTGGTGGGTTTTTAATTAATATGATCTAATTTAGGTTTCGTAAAGGTGTTTCTAGCTATTAAATAGAGCAAACTTTTGGATAGTAAGAGGAAGGAGTGAATGAAAGATTCTTTGGCTTTTAAGTCTGGATACTTAGATGGTTTAATAATAATGCTAGTTAATAAATCGGGCTCAGTACTTAGCCAAGCACTGAGCAAAGTGCTTCCCAGACTGTATTATTTCTCACAGCATCCCAAGGTCATTCAATTGACTAGAGGTAGAGCCAAGATTTAAACCCATATCTGTCTGTGAAAGTGCTTGAGTGAATCTATGGCACATGACTTCATTTGGGGGCAAGTTTGGGGAGCCATTAAAAGAGTTAGATAGAGCTATTTAGAAGAAGCTGACTAGGGAGTCTTCTACCTAGGAGTTGCTGACTGTCTTGAGAGGAAAAGGGAAGAAAAAGTTGGGGATAGCACTTTGTGGGGGATATGCCTGTTTAAGAAAAAGAAATACGTGAGCTATATAACAGGAGAGCATGGAGACTGTATTGTTGCAGAAATAGAGAAGGAGGTCTTTTTCCACAAGCACAGTTTTGCCGTATAATTGTTATATCCATATCATTGCTCTGGTCTTCAAGTCTAGTAGTTCCTGCCAAAAAATGAAGTGCTGTTGGTTTTTTCTGGTTTGTGAGCTGTGCCAGTTCTTAATAAATGGTTTTCCCTTGCCATTCCTTCCCTCTGCTTTGAGTTATTTTCTTCATCTCCTGTTCACTCTGCCACCCACAGCAGTTTGGCTTTCTACCCTTGGTAAGCCCAACACTTCTCTTGTTGAGGTCACCAGTGACCAACTGTTGTACATCTGCAAAGGCACTAATGTACACTTTCTTCAGAAATCTACCTTTTTTAAGCCTAGCATGTGAATGCCTCAAATCTGATTCCCACTTGCCTTGTCAGCCATTTCTCCCACTGCTGCTTTTAAATGTGTGCTTGAATTGTTTTCTATTTATTAATATTTTTACCACTCCATTTGCTATTTTAAACCATCTTTAATATGAACTGCAGTTTTTACATCTCCCCCTTTTTTTCCTTTGAATCATCTTTTAATAAAGCATTAATTCTGTATATGTTGAGCATACGAATTATAGGCTATATTAAAAGAAAAAATAACAGCTAAATGAAATGAAATAGAGAAGATATACAAACATAGTCTTCTTCCTTAATTCTCCCCTGAATTGTTATTTTTAATTCTTAAATACTGTGAATCTACAGTGTGTAATTTTTAGGCTTTCATAGTTAAGTGGTAAGCCCGCTCAACCAAAAAGAATGTAAGCAAAATTTACCTTGTGCCTTCTCATCCGCTCCCTCCCTCCCTCAGCTCTACCCAGTTCTTTTTATTCAGTGAATGTTTATTGTGTACTGCATTGGTACCCAGGTTTGTGCTAGGTGAAAAGGATTTGATCACTTCTCAGACTGCTCAAAGTGAATTGAGAAACCGTCAAACCATTAAAACATGTGATCTTTAATGATAGAGATATTGGTAAGAAACCATGGTGGGGCAGCATAGAGGAAGGTTCTTCCGAAAGAGTGGAAGGTTCAGTAAAGGCTTCACCAGAAGTACTACAGCTTCGCAGTCTCTTATTGTAAACCCTTTAGACTAAATGTGTTTTGGAGCTAAGAATTTTTAGATTTAGCAAAAACCACAGTGAGATACCATCTCACACCAGTCAGAATTACTATTATTAAAAAGTTAAAAAATAACAGGTGCTGGCAAGGATGTGGAGAAAAAGGAACAGTTACACACTGTTGGCGGGACTGTAAATTAGTCCAACCATTGTGGAAAGCAGTGCAGTGATTCCTCAAAGAGCCAAAAGCAGAACTACCATTCAACTCAGCAATCCCATTACTGAGTATATAACCAAAGGAATATAAATTATTCTATCATAAAGACACATGCACACATATATTAATTGCAGCACTATTCACAATAGCAAAGACATGGAATCAACCTAAATGCTCATCAGTGGTAGACTGCATAAAGAAAATGTATATATACACCATGGATTACTATACAGCTATAAAATAAGAATGAGATCATCTTTTTTCCAGGAACATGGATGGAGCTGGAGGCCATATCCTCAGCAAATGAATGCAGAAACAGAAAACCAAGTGCCACATGTTCTCACTTATAAGTGGGAGCTAAATTATGAGACCACATGGACGCATAGAGGGGAACAACAGACACTGGGACCGATTGGAGTATGGAGGGTGGGAGGAGAGAGAGGAAAAATAACTAATGGATACTAGACTTAATACCTGGGTGACAAAATAATCTGTACAACAAACCCCCATGACACAAGCTTACCTATAACAGACCACATGTACCCCTGAACTTAAAAGTTAAAAAAAAGATAATGTTTTTTAGATTTAGAAAGGTAATTGAGTACATTTATAATATATCGTACCTTCCCAGCAGGGTCTGTTGCAGTATCCTGGGAACGAACATATTAGTATTTCAGCACTAAAACATAGAAATAGTCACTCTAATGAGCTAAGTGAATACCGTAAGTAGCCCCAGGTCAAATTTCAGCACCACATGAGTTTATGCAAGATTTATGAAAAATTTGTGGGATTATAATAAGGGATTATGAACCTGTATTTGCACTGGGTTATTTAATAATGGGAAATGGTGTTTTCTTCTGTTGTCACCTCCTGATTCCTCATTATCATTTTGAGAATAAATCGCCTGTACTTCCTTAAGCAAATCAGTATCACTCTTGCTTTTTCTCTGCACTTTCAAGTTCAAGTCTGGTCTTTAAGGACCCTGTGATTCCATAAAGTTCTGTTTATCTGAGTAAGTCATTTAGTAAATCTCTTCAAATTTCTACAACCTAGCCATTTTGCTAAAATACATTAATCATATTCTGCTTCACATTCTTCCAGATATTTCCTATGTTGGCATAAGTCAAAAGAATATATATTATCTTGATTACTTCTTTCATTTGATAATGCAGTGAACTTGACTTAAAAGTTCACAACCTAACTACTTAGGAAAATTTAAGTGGCAGCTCAGTGGATAACTTTCTCTTTTGACTTCATTTAACTATTTAAATGAAATAACTTTTCTCTGCAAATGAACTTAATTTCTCCTTTAGACCAAACTTTAAGTGTCTTTCCCTGGTTTATGCCATACTTGTGTGTTCATATTAGCTGAAGATAGATTTAAACTTTTGTTGCTAAAAATTTCAGGTAGACTTCACATTGGCAATGACTGCCAATGAGAAGTCTTTATCATTTTTAATATTTTAAATAATGGTCAAATTTGCATGTTGGATCACTTGGTAGCAAGATGAAGCATTAAATGGAAGGCAGAAGATTTAGAGACATAAATTAGAAGGTAATTGCTCCAGTTCAGACAAAAGGAGAGACAAAGATTAGAGGGTAAAATAGACTACACTTGGTAATTGATTGGTGGTAGAGTTGAGCGAGAAATCTGTATCGCTGGACTTTGGCTTGGGCCAGACAGTGGAACATTTGTGCTTGTTGTTGAAACTGGAGATAAAGAAGAAATGAGTTGGGTGTAGAGAATGATGGTTATCAACTTGACTAGCTTTAGACATGCAGAACTTGAATTGCTCCTACAAGATTTAAGTTGAAATTTCTATTAAATAACAGCTAGATGGATGTATGGTTCTATTGCTTAGAAAAGGAGTCTGAGATAATACATTTGTAGCCCTCAGCTGGCTGATAGGCAATCACTGCTAAGGTATTAGCTGTTGAGTTTTCCGAACCATTAGTTATTTTTAAGGTAGAGCAGTGCCCATACAAAGAAATGAATAAAGGAAAACTTTAAGATCAAGGGTACTGATCTCCTTTAATTCATTCAACTATGATGGTTTTTCTAGGTTAATATATCTAGTCTCCTTTAAAATATATAAAATTTACATGTATAACACATCACTGCCCTCCTCCCCAACTTGTTTATACTTTTTCCTCCAACTTTTACTTTGAAATTTCTTAAACCTACAAAAAAAGTTGAAAGAGTAGTACAGCGAATACCTGTGTAACCTCATCTGGATTCATCAGTTAAGTTTTTGCCACATTTATTTAGCGGTCTCTGTATACACATACATGCTTGCACGTGCTTTTTCATATGAGCTCTATGAAAAAGTAATTTGCAGACATCATGACATATCACTTCAGATACTTCATCCTGCATCTTAAGAATAAGGTTATTCTCCTACATACCTGTAATACGATTTACCATATCTAGGAAATAAGAAATTCCATAGTATGAGTTAATACACAGTCCACATTTAGATTTCCCCAACTATCCAAAAATGTCTTTTTTTTTTTTTAAGCACTTGCCTCTCCCTATTGAATTAAGGTTCACATTTAATTGAATATGTAGTCATTGTGTCTTCTTTAGTCTCTTAAACCTACGAAAGTCTTTTTTTAATGACATTTTCTTCTTGAAGACAGCAGACCTTTGTGTTGTGCAGAGTTCTACATTCTGGATTTGTTTTCTCATAATTGTATTTAGGGTAAATTTTTGACAAAAACTACTAATGATGTTTACTTTTGTTAAACTCCTGCCTCACTCCAGTATAAACTATGTCAGAGATATCTTCCTTAGTGGGTCCTGAGTAAATTAAGTTTTACTTTAAAAAGGCAATTTTAAAACTTAAAATTAGGGGTGAGGAGATTATTGTTACTTTCTAGTCCATCTTTTTCATAGTATATGGTTTTTATCCTGTGGCTTTAATTTTACGACTGGTAGATTAAGATTTAAAAGAAACCCTCACTGGGTGCGGTGGCTCACGCCTATAATCCCAACACTTTGGGAGGCCAAGTCGGGCAGATCACAAGGTCAGGAGATCGAGACCATCCTGGCTGACATGGTGAAACCCCGTCTCTACTAAAACTACAAAAAATTAGCTGGGTGTGGTGGCACACGCCTGTAGTCCCAGCTACTTGGGAGGCTTAGGCAGGAGAATCACTTGAACTCGGGAAGTGGAGGTTGCAGTGAGCCGAGATTGTGCCACTGCACTCTAGTCTGGGCGACGGAGCAAGACTCTGTCTCAAAAAAAAAAAAAACCCCTCTGCAAATTCATGATTCCCATTTTAAGGTATTTGAGATACAGTACTTTGGGTTATATTTTATTTTTCTCTTTGTACAATACTAAGACGCTTTACGTCATTTTCATAAGACTCATACATTCCTTGTTTTGCCTCTGAAGTATTTTTTTTAACAGGACATTTGAAAGGAATCAAGTGTTAGTGCAGGAGATGAGCTCTGCAGACTGTTGGTACTGATGAGAGTTCCCTGTAGATAACAGGCTTTCAGAATAAATAGACTTACAGGTGCAGTTGATAAAGCCGACCCCCAGCAAATATGCCATAAGTTGTTACAGTCATGTTGGACTGTTGTCAAGTTAGTGCAATGGTAGTATGTTTTCAATACATTGGAAACTTTGGTTTATTCACCAGCAACTTTGTGAGTTCACTTAAATCACCACGATAAGTAATTTAGTAAATTTTAAAATATGTCAAAAACAGAATGCCAAGGAGTGCATTTTCCTCTGAAAAGTTTAATGTTAGGAAGTCTCAGATTTAGGAGGAGCATATCAAATAGTATGCTGAGGAGTAGAAAGTTAATTTTGAGGATACACATTCATTTGTCTTACGCCCCTGTAATCTGCCAGACACTAACACATTCTAAAAATGCTAATAACATATAAGCCAATGTTTGAAAATAAATTCTCTTCAATTTCAACAGTGCCAAGCTCATTGAAAACCACTCTTGCACAAACTTAATTTCTTGTCATATTATTTTGTTATTCTTTTGACCATCTTATAAAGCACTGTTTTATATTTTTTCTTTTTCTTTCTTCTTTTTTTTTTTAATTAAAAAAATAAAGACAGGATCTCCCCATGTTGCCCAGGCTGGTCTCAAACTCCTGGGCTCAAGGGATCCCCCTGCCTCGGCCTCCCAAAGTGCTAGGATTAACAGGCATGAGCCACCATGCCTGGCCAATATTTCAGTTTTTAAATGTGCCATCTTATATGCACAATGTTAATGTTTTATGTGCTTTCTCTGTGCCTTTTGTGTATATGTGATCACTATGTGTTCGATGTTTGCCCATCCATTTTTATTTTCCTAAGTCTTAGAGTCTATGCTATTTAATATCCCAGTAAGATATTACAGGAAGGGCAGCATTGTGTAGTTTCTGGAATCCAATCTGCCTTCATATCTTAGCTTCTTCATTTATTGGCTGGGGAACTGCGGACAGATTGCTAAACCTATTAGTCTTTATTTCCTCTTCTGAAAAATGGGGATAATACTGTCTTTCTAAAATAACTTTTATGACTGTTATGTGAGTCTTAGCATACGATAAGCATTCAGTAAATGGTAGTTGTTGTAATTATTATTATTTTATAGAAACCCCAATTACCTTCTATTTTTTTAATTAATATTCTTGGACCTAGTGTAGTGCTTCTCAAATGTGGACAATTTTTCCTCCCCCCACTTTCCTTTCCCAGGGGACATATGCCAATATCATGACTTGAGTGGGAGAGATGCTACTAGCTTTTTTGAGTAGAGATTAGGAATGCTGCTATTAAATATCCTGCAGGGCACAAGACAGCTCCCCATAACAAAGAATTACCATACCAATAGTGCTGAGATTGAAAAACCCTTATCTAATCTAATGGAATCCAGACTAAACACCTTTTGAATAACTTTATTTCATTTTCTTTTTGGTGTGTTAACTATTATACTTTGAGTTGGCATTCATCATACAATTTTTTCAAATTAAATAACTTTAATTTAGTAATTATATGATTATTTTAATACAGTTTAGGAATTTGACATGTCAAGTTCAAATAATTAACATTTATTGAGCATTAACTGCCAGGCACAAGTCTAAGCATTTTATATAACATATGTAATCCTCATAACAGCACTGTAAGTTAAATATCCCCTTTTTTCAGCTGAGGAAACTGAGGCACAGAGGTGTGCAGCTGGAATTTGAACCCAGACAGTCTAGGTATAGAATCTGCTCTTGCCCACTCTACAGCTCTTTCTATGGTCTCTTAAAGGCTCTAATCCTAAAAACACAGTGATTCGTGAAGTTGATATTTTACCAGTCTATTGAAAAATACACTACAAATCTGAGACATTGGTTTTAATTTTGACACTTACGAAGTAAGAGGTTTGCACTGGTTCTCTCACTTGCTGATCACAAGAATCACCTGGAACTCTTATTAAAATAGGTTTTCAGAGCTCTATGCAAAGAACTCTGGGAACCTTTTTCATGGTGGCCTAGTGAATCTTATCAGACAAATTAGGTCTTTTTTAGAACTAAGAATTTCTTTGCTCCCTTTTCTTTCACATACATTATAGGTTATTACCTTACCTACCTACATAAAATATACTTTATCACAAACACAGAATTTCAAAATGTAAATTAAAGCGAACTCATAAGTATTAACTCCCTTTTCTCTTTGATTCCCTTATTTAAATGGATAAATATGGTGTTATACAACTCTTTAGTCCACACCCATTTGACCTAATAATGGACCAAGATTTTTCCAACACTATGCGTAGATAATGGTATAGCCATAAAGACCAGTCCATAGTTAGCATTGATCCTAGTGATGTAGTGCTGTAGTCCTGGTGGTCTTCTAATACTCTGTTGGGTTTGATATATAATGCTTTTTGATAACAATGACCAAACAAAATCTAAAAATTCTAAAACTGCATTCTCATGGTTAATATATATGTATTTGCTTTCATGCTTTTTTCCCCCCATCTAGGAGCTTAAAGTTCTTAAGATATGCGTTTTTTCATTGACTGAGACCTTGATTTTCAGCCATGTGGTTGGTGTAAATAAAACTGTTAGATGCCTTATTGACATTCATATACCCACTATTGTCCTAGGAGAACACAACCCTGGAGTGACAGGTGGCAAGAGAGTTTTCAGAGCTCATATGTTGGCTTGCTTTTCCTGCATGGCTCTTTCAGTAAGGGAGACTAGGCAGAGCAAGGCACCTCTTGGTGTTCGTTAAGTTATCTACTTCTCAGTGGCTGAGACTGTTACCATAAAGCATTTAAAAGTGCAGTACCAAGTTAACCCATATTTCATCTATCTTCACATTGATATTTGGTAACTTACTTTGGAAACTGAGTCACATTGCCATTAGAATGTCAGAGTAACCCCCAGTGTTGTCTTAACTTTGATGTAATATAATATTATTATGGCTTCATTCCTGTTACTTCCTGCCCCAGAAACGTCATGCGAAGATTAAAATCTTGTAAGAACAGTTGTTTGTTCCCCAAAGAAGCCCCCATACTACCTTCTTGTGGCATTCTTTCTGTACCGAGTGTGCCTTCCCCCAACTCTTTTTCCTGTTCATAATCAATTAAGTAAATTGATTCAGAAATTTCAACTTCTGTTTGAAAACTTATGTGATTCTCTACCTCCCCTCACCTGAAGATGATCTCTCGCTCTCCTTTTAGTATCCATAGCATACTATGTTTATTTTTTGCCTAATGTCCTCATGTATTGATTTATGAATATATTGTGCATTAATTGCCCATAAATATAAGGCTTTTGATAATTTGTCTACATATTATTTTATTCAGTTCTCTTGTTCTAATATTGCAAGTGTATTTTCATTCTATTCCCTGTGTGAAGTTGTTCTCTAAAATTCTATCGCTCTTTAAGCTTCATCTTTGCAGATCACTTTTTGGTTGGATTAGATTCTAGTATATAACCTCAAATATGCCAAGCTCTCAATCAGCTTCTTCCTCATGGTTTTCTTCCATTCTGGAACTTCCTTTGTCCCCTGCCTTTTTGTGTAGTCTTTCATCGAAACAACTAAAAACAGGGATTGGGTCCTGAAACCAATACTGATCCTTAAACGTCAAAGAATTTCCTGCTTTTCTAGCTGTTGAAATCATTTTTGACCTTGTTTCTAAAGTACACGTATGCAAAATAGCATTTTCCATCTTCTATGTGTTTACACCTTTTGCAAATGATTTATTCTTCTGTTTTTAGCAAATTGAATTCTTTTTTTTTTTTTTTTTGAGACGGAGTTTCGCTCTTGTTGCCCAGGCTGGAGTGCAATGGTGCGATCTCGTCTCACCACAACCTCCACCTCCCGGATTCAAGCAATTCTTCTGCCTCAGCCTCCCCAGTAGCTGGGATTACAGGCATATGCCACCACACCTGGCTAATTTTGTATGTTTAGTAGAGACGGGGTTTCTCCATGTTGGTCAGGCTGGTCTCAAACTCCCAACCTCAGGTGATCACCCGTCTCGGCCTGCCAAAGTGCTGGGATTACAGGCGCGAGCCACCGCGCCCAGCCCTCAAATTGAATTCTTAATTACCATAAGGTAAACTTACAGAAATTCAGCAAAACTAAAATTAAGAGGAAATGAGAATCCTGATTTTGTTTAGCTTTTATTTTTTAGCTCTTTAATGTACTTAAATGTTGTCTTTGTATAAAATCAGTCTGGGGCTAATCAAAGCAGAACAGGTTATCATTTAAGTCTTAAATATTATATGTTTCTTTACTACGATCCTTTCCCTAAATCACTTTGCTTTCTATTTTTCCCTATCCTTCAATTGAATCACATTCTTTCTTTTTTAGGACTTGCTCATTACTGTGGACTCCATAAGAGCCTCTCTCTCTCTAAATTCTTCTGTTCCAAGTGCTGCCTTTTGAAAAGGCGAAGGAACAAAAATTTCCAATGTTAAAAAAGTAAAGGCAAGCAGAAATCACAGTTTTGTTATTCATCATCAGATAAGATTAATAGAACTGTCAGTTTTCTAAGATTTTGGTATCACACAAAATATAAAATATAAATTCTGGAGCAGAATTTATTCCAGAAGCAGACTGACTACTTATGGCTTAATATTTATTCTTAGCAACCTTATCTCAGACCCCTTGTTATTTGCAGGAAATCAGTATACTGCCTTTTTTAAGATGAAACTACCAAACTAACAATACATTGTAAATTTACAGTCTAAGTGCCAGTGTAGTCAGTGGCATTGAAGATGAAAATTTATCTGCTGAGTAACAAGTAGCCTGATACTCCATAGAACCAAGGCTCTGTGTTTGGAAAAACTGTGCTTCCTGAGCCCAAGAATCTCATCTTCGAGGGGGAGTGGGTGATAATAAGATGTGAGGAGACCAAAAAGAAGGGTTACAGTGTGAGATAGTAAGGGGGAAGCTTGAGATTTTCTTTTAAAAACTCATAGCTCAACCACTTAAATAGCTTTATGACATTAGACAAACTTAACTTCTCTGCGCTCCTTTTTCCCCATTTGCAAGATAGAGATAACCTTTCTCCCAGGGTTGTTAGGAGGCTTACTTGGCATAATGTATATGAAATAGCAAATACATGGCCCCTGTCTGGTTCTTATTTTTTATTTGCTTTTATTATATTATTTTTGTTTGGCCATGTGGAAGGACAGTTGAGTTTGAAGTCTTCCAATGGTATCTACAGAGTTTTAGGCATTATTTTCCTGTAAGAGACCTTATTTTGAAGCCCTACTTGGAAAACTTGTTCAGTAAGATCTGTATCTTTAGAAGTGAATTGTATGGGACATGAGGAGGGACAAAGAGGAGCAGGTGCTATTCAAGAGCTAGAGACAGAGTCTGAATTATATTCTCTCTTTGCTATGATCTAAATTTTTACTTGCTACCTTCCCTGGTGCCCTATACAGGCACGCATGCACACATCAATAGCTGTCCTAACCTTGACACACAGCCACAGGCTAAAGCAGGGGTCCCCAACCCCTGGGCTGCAGACCAGTATCAGTCCTTCGCCTGTTAGGAACCGAGCTGCACAGCAGGAGGTGAGCAGCAGGCAAGCTGGCATTACTGCTTGAGCTCCAGCTCCTTTCAGATCAGTAGTGTTATTAGATTCTCATAGGAGCAGGAACACTACTGTGAACTGCACATGCAAGGCATCTGGGTTCCTTGCTCCTTATGCGAAGCTAATGCCTGATGATCTGAGGTGGAACAATTTCATCCCAAAACCATTCCCCCCCGCCCCTTCCCCTAGGTCTGTGGAAAAACTCATCTTCCACGAAACTGATCTCTGGTGCTAAAAAGGTTGGGGACCGCTGGTCTAAAGCAATGTTTTTGTTTCTAAATAAGTTAAATATGCAAGAATTGTTGAAGCCAAGCTGAGAGTGCAATCTTTGAATATTGCACTTAAGGAATTGACCTACAACTATAAAATTGATATTGTTTTATATTTGTTAAGTAAGCTAACAGGTTTTACAAATGTTTTTAGTCATTCCCCACCTCCCCACCCACCACCAGGTTAATATACACGGGTTCTGATACATAACAATACTTTAACATAGTAACGTATAAAATAGCAAAGAAATATAAAATAAGGTATATTAAATATTTTAGTACTTATTTGAATTTTAGTTGTGTATTGATTAAGCTACTATATGCTAGGCACTGCCCTAGGTGGTGAGTAGATAAGTAGATAGCAGGAATAAAATAGATAAGACCTTTGCTTTCAAGACAACACTCAGTTGCTAAACCCATTTCCTTTTCTTTAGGATATTTTCATTGTCTCCGAATTTTAGAGCTGAAAAGTGCCTTAGAGATCATCTAGTTCAACCTCTCCGTTCAAATGGAGAACCTGAGCCACTAAGATTCACAGGAGAGTAAGATAATTGAGCAAACAACTCCAAGTAATGACAGAAAATTATAGGAGAATCAGTACAAATTGTGAGAATTTACTATGTTGTTAGCATCCTAAGTATGAGTTTAGAAAAGGTAGAAGTTATAAGAAAAGTTAAATTGTTTTAATATGAATGGATTCCACTGTTACCTTCAAGATAAAATGAAGACATACTTTTTTCTTTAGTATTATAGTTAAACGAATATTGTATCCTGTAGTGACTAAATTCATAAATATTTTTTCTGCTTATAGACTTGAGTTTCAAAAGCAGCTGTACAGATGATGCTGTTAATGAGTGTTTAGGTAGTGTTGATTAAAAAAAAAATAATGTGCCTTCCTGCCTTACTAGAATCATAGAAGTTCATATCTGGAATTCATACCCCTTATTTCACGGATGAGGAAATTGACTCCCAGAGAGGTTAACTGACTTGCCCAAATTAAGAGCCAAAATTAGCAACTCACATTTAAGCAGGGAGTCAGTTTTTATGTACTAAGACCATTATATTTTGATATCCAGATATTACTTTTCTCAACTTTAAATGTTTTAATATTGTCTTCATCAGGCCTGCTGAGCATTGTCATTTTAAAATCTGAGAATATTTGATAAATTGATGAAAGAAAAATTATGAAGTCATAGACATTAGAATCAAGTCTCTTGGCATTATTTCTAGTTGGTATATCTTTTATGCTAAAAATATTCAATATTCAGTTGCTGGTCACAAATAATTTCTCCCCCACAATAGGTATTGTCTTCTAAGAACTCTGAAGCAATGTCAGACATTGAGGGAAGCTCTCATTGCTGCAGGAAAAGAGATTATATGGCATGGGCGGACAAAAGAAGAACCAGCTCATTACTGTAGCATTTGTGAAGTAAGTAATTGTTTTTATCCACAGTTGTTTTATAAAGCCTCTTCCCTCTCCACTGTTGGTTTCTCTTTATTTTTAAAAAACTTTTTTATACTTTTATGTAATCCAGTTTATAGTAATTAACATTGGATTCAATTTTGTTGCTTAGCCATTATATTAAAATTCAGTGTGATAATAATGATATTTCACTGTGAATTAACCTTAAAAGTATCTACTGCAGAGTCATTTTTGTGGTAGATCTTCAACAGACAATAATCAGCAAATTTAGTCTGAGATTTTAAACTAAGAACAATCTAGATGTACACAGATGCCAATAAACTGGATGTTTGGTGTAACTCTAGGCAGATCGATTATCAGTCCTCTCTGGTGCAATTAACAATACATTTGTCAATCTTGTGTGGCCAAGGCTTGCAAGAGGTGCAGGAACAAAGATGTGGTGCCTCCTATGAAGGAGCTTAAATTCTACTTGGAGCAGACAGATTATAAACAACTAATTGTAATGTACATGAGACTATGATGAATGTGAAGTTGGACTTCCTGTTAATGATAACACTGAGGGGGAAAATGACCTAATTTTTTCTTCTAGTATTGGCATAAGAACTCACAAACGTATTAGCATTTGAGTCCATCCTTGGAAAAAAGAGTATGATATCAAGTAGACTAAAAAAGTGATGAGAATCGGAGGTAGACTGTCATGGGCTATAGGCACAAGAAGAGAACAGGGAAATGAAATGGTTTTAGAAAAGGTTGAATGTGTTCCGATTTGGCTGGAACACAGACTGTGCAAATTCCGCTCATAAGTCTAGGTGGCATTTAATTTATAGCACATCTTGAATGGTTTTAAGGAATTTGATATTCCAAGGTTATTGAAGCCATTAAAAGGTTTTGAGCAGGCAACTAAGGGTAAGTAAGATATGTGTTTCAGGGAGAAAAGTGGTTGGAAAGGACAGCGATATATAAGCTATTGCAGTGGTCTTAAGAGTTATGGGACTGTAAACTAGTTCAACCATTGTGGAAGTCAGTGTGGCGATTCCTCAGGGATCTAGAACTAGAAATACCATTTGACCCAGCCATCCCATTACTGGGTATATACCCAAATGACTATAAATCATGCTGCTATAAAGACACATGCACACGTATGTTTATTGCAGCATTATTCACAATAGCAAAGACTTGGAACCAACCCAAATGTCCAACAATGATAGACTGGATTAAGAAAATGTGGCACATATACACCATGGAATACTATGCAGCCATAAAAAATGATGAGTTCATGTCCTTTGTAGGGACATGGATGAAATTGGAAACCATCATTCTCAGTAAACTATCGCAAGAACAAAAAACCAAACACCGCACATTCTCACTCATAGGTGGGAATTGAACAGTGAGATCACATGGACACAGGAAGGGGAACATCACACTCTGGGGACTGTTGTGGGATGGGGGGAGGGGGGAGGGATAGCACTGGGAGATATACCTAATGCTAGATGATGAGTTAGTGGGTGCAGCGCACCACCATGGCACATGTATACATATGTAACTAACCTGCACAATGTGCACATGTACCCTAAAACTTAAAGTATAATTTAAAAAAATAATAATAATAATAAATAAATAAATAAATAAATAAATAAATAAAGTACCTGTAAAAAAAAAAAAGTTATTTTAAGGCCTAGACTAGAACCTGGCAATGGGAATATTAAAGAAGGGAAAGAATTCAAAAATATTTAGAGGGTAAAATCAGCGAGACACCTCATTAAATGGCAGAAGTGGAAGGACAAGTTGAAGAATGCTCACCAATTTTCTAGCTCAGGTCACTAGGTTTGTATTGCTGCTTGTTGACAGTAATGGATAACATGGTGAACTCTAGGATTGTAGTTAACTGTTAAAAGAAGACATGGGATCATAAGAGTTTTCTGTCATTGAAGAAATTTAAGGATAAGCCAAAGACAGGATGTTGATGGTCCATTTCAAACCTTGAAATTCTGTAATTCTAGCATCAACCTTTATTTGAAATGATAGAATCCATTGATTTTTTTTTTAAATGTCATATGGCCTGACCAAAGTGAGTCATTAGGAGATCAGATAGATTCCAGTTAGGTGTGTTGTTCCTTATCCTACCTGAACCCTAGCAACTCATCAATCTTTCTGTATAAGATAGAGGTATTATTTCTAAAATCATGCTGTACTCATGAATACATAAAAATGATCACTTATGTCTGATTGTATACTAATGTTTTAGATTTAAAAATAGGTTGACCTTTATCAAACTTTTGAACTGGGCTTTGCCAGTGGTTGTCATGAGTATGTCATTCCCTTTGATTATTCCCCTAAATATGCATTACTACCCATGTCTTTGGATTTGGTGCAAAATAAACCTGGTCTGTTAAAGATTCTCAAACACAGCCATGTTTTTCTTACCACCTACTCTTAACCAGAGATCACTGTCCACAATTTCATTCAAGTAGAATTCCATGATTATACTAAAGCAGTACAGTAAATACCACTATCTCTATTGAATACGTTTTTCTCTTGTATAAAACAGGTGGAGGTTTTTGATCTGCTTTTTGTCACTAATGAGAGTAATTCACGAAAGACCTACATAGTACATTGCCAAGATTGTGCACGAAAAACAAGCGGAAACTTGGAAAACTTTGTGGTGCTAGAACAGTACAAAATGGAGGACCTGATGCAAGTCTATGACCAATTTACATTAGTAAGTCAAATCAACATGTGAGTACATAGTTAGCTGGGTTATGAAGCAGCAGTGTTTGCTCTGCCACCTGATAAGTAGGAGGTAATGAAATATTTTAAATTTTCCTTTGGCTCATTATATATTGCATGAGGGTATATTCATATCATTCCCCCCTCCATTTCCAAGTATTTATTCCTATAAAATTGGCATATATCATTTTCAGTTTTCCTGGGTGAGACCAGCCTAAATAATTTTACAACAATTACATTTAAAAATCTTTGCGTGCTTTAGATAGAACACTATCATATCCTTTATGTCATTTTATCTCAGTTGATAAAATGTTTGTGTACGTAGGTTATTAGAGCCCACAAAATGAATCAGTAAGTGTGCTTTTAAATATACTTCTGCTTTTAGAGCTAATTGTATTTGTTTAAAATTTTGTCCTTGCCAGAAGTATTAACCTCATGGGAGTATTTAATGGAGCTTAACTTCCTGGTATATTATGTAACCTTATGAAATTCAAGTATACTTATAAATTGCACAGTTTTTAATTTCAGACAGCAGATGCTTGGGGGAAGCATTTTACTTTCGCAGATCAATAGCTTTATGAATAGAAACACAGAGATAATTTATGAATTGTTGATTTTCTCCAGTACTTGTCTCCCACACATATGTGATCAGAAACTAACTTTTTGAAATTTACTTTCTGATATTTTCACTTGAATGGTCTTCAAGATTGCTTGAAGAAGAAAATTATCTGAAATATGTTGAAGAAAATATATTACCTAGCTGAGATAGATTCTGAAGGCAGTCACTAGTGAAATTGTAATTTGTTAAATTATTTTGCAAGAAGCCCCCTTTTTTTAAGCAATCTTAAAAAATGGTAAACGTAATAACATTCCAAGAGTTTTTGACTAATTGGTGAAGAAGTATAGAAAATTGCAAGTACACTGAGTAGGATAATGGTCTTAGATTCTTAGGAAGATTGGCTGAATGGGAGATAGTAAGGTAGGCTGTACTTTTATGTTGCATAGCAGGCTGTTGAACTTTTTGAGAGTTATTTCCCCTAACTTCACAAGCAGACTATATGTTTGTAGCCATGAGCTATTAACAATTTGTATATCAAAATAACCTACCTTACTTTTATTTTCAGGCTCCTCCATTACCATCCGCCTCATCTTGATATTGTTCCATGGACATTAAATGAGACCTTTTCTGCTATTCAGGAAATAACCCAGTTCTGCACCACTGGTTTTTGTAGCTATCTCGTAAGGCTGCTGGCTGAAAACTGTGTCTATGCAACCTTCCAAGTGCGGAGTGTCAACCAACTGGACGGGAGAGAGTACTGCTCCTACTCCAGGACTCTCACAAAGCTGATGAGCTGTACTTCAGAAAAAAATAATAATTTCCATGTTTTGTATATATCTGACAAAACTGGCAACATCTTACAGACTACTGACTTGAAGACAACCTCTTTTATATTTCTCTATTTCTGGGCTGATGAATTTGTTTTCATCTGTCTTTTCCCCCTTCAGAATTTTCCTTGGAAAAAAAATACTAGCCTAGCTGGTCATTTCTTTGTAAGGTAGTTAGCAATTTTAAGTCTTTCTTTGGTCAACTTTTTTTTAATGTGAAAAGTTAGGTAAGACACTTTTTTACTGCTTTTATGTTTTTCTGTCTTGTTTTGAGACCATGATGGTTACACTTTTGGTTCCTAAATAAAATTTAAAAAATTAACAGCCAAGTCACAAAGGTAATGGATTGCACATAGACTAAGGAATAAACTTCAGATTTGTGATTTTTGTTTCTAATCTTGATGTAAATTTACACTATTTATAAATACATATTTATTGCTTGAAAATATTTGTGAATGGAATGCTGTTATTTTTTCCAGATTTACCTGCCATTGAAATTTTAAGGAGTTCTGTAATTTCAAACACTACTCCTATTACATTTTCTATGTGTAAATAAAACTGCTTAGCATTGTACAGAAACTTTTATTAAAATTGTTTAATGTTTAAAGAGTTTTCTATTGTTTGAGTTTTAAAAAAGACTTTATGTACAGTGCCCAGTTTTTGTTCATTTTTGAAATCTGATTATATATATTTTATATATACTTATGTATGTATATATAATATATATAGAAATCTGGATATATATGTATAAATCTTTAGAACTTAAATTTTTCTCGTTTTAAGTTTCACATCTATGGTAGATTTTTGAGGTGTCTACTGTAAAGTATTGCTTACAAAAAGTATGATTATTTTTAAAGAAATATATATGGTATGTATCCTCAAGACCTAAAATGTCAGACTGGTTTATTGTTAAGTTGCAATTACTGCAATGACAGACCAATAAACAATTGCTGCCAAAATGTAGTATAATAGTAGAAAACAAATAGTGATTGAACTTAAGATTTTAAAGGGACTGTTATATGGGCTTGACAAATCCTGTACAATACTTAGTACCATTTTATATGGAAAAGGGGATTCAGGATGAAGGGCTCTATTTTAGAATGCAAATAAATTAAGAGACTTATTTTTTAATGTTAGGCAGTTTTGAAATCTCATGCTTTTTTGCTTGCATGACATGATTTGGGGGAGGAGTGCTGCAAATTCCCTATCACTAGTAAAATATAGCAATCTATATTAGCATTCACAAGTCACTGCTAATTAATGATAGTATTTCATTTTGTAATAACAGCACCTTGCATTTGTACCTCCATTTTCTGACGCATTTGACACATACTCTCATTTAATCATATTGTTCTTTGTATGAATTTTCCAGGAAGCATTAGTGAAGAAGCATAGAGAATGCTGTAAATCAAGATTATATATATATATGGCTAAAGAGAGCTTATTCTATCTAGTGAAATGCCCTGCTGATTGCATTAATCACATACTCTTTCAGATTTAGAGTATGTTATCCTCTTAGAAACAGTTTGAAGGTTGAAAGCATGGAGATACTTTTTTCGATTAGTTAATAATTTGGTAAATATTGGCTATCTACTAGAAGTAATCATCTCTTATTTATAATTTAAGGGAAAAATGCCAAATCTATTTTAATTATGGAGCAAGAATGCTTGTCTAAATGCTATTCAGGACATTTAATCACTAATATTTTTAAGTGGTTTTCTTGTAAAATCTCCTATCCAAAGGTTATTGAGAACTCAAGACAAACATTTTTGCAAACAAAAATTGCAAGCCAACCATCAAGAAGCAAAGATTATAAGAATGCTGAAGCACCACCTAAATGTTTCTTAACCTGTTCTAGTTTATCTTACTGACACAATGTCTTATTTTCTATGATTTTAAGATAGTTTATTGCCAAGATTAATTTATCTGACATTTAAGAGAATAAGTTATCTGGCATTTAGATAAATTATCTGACATTTAAGAGAAATTTAGTATAATTCATATTTGGATTCTATGTCAAGAATAATAATTATTCAGGAACCTAGTCTTTGAATGGGTAGAGGATAGGGAGTAGAAATCAAAGACATCAACATTACTCTGAAATATAATTAGATAATTGAAATCCTATGTAAACTGCTTTTTTTATCTTCAGTTGAACATCCTTTATAATTGCATTTTTAAGGTTTTAGAAGACATAGAATAATTTTTTTTTCTTTTTACTATTTGTATAGGCAAGTCCCATTAAGGCGCACTCTATCTAGGTGCCTTAATAATGAAACAAGTTTACATCCTAACACACACATTTTTAGAGAAAAAAGCTAATCACACAGTGCATAGAAAAAGTAGATGTGATCCAGAAAGTGGGAGCTAAATCATACTCTTTTCCCATTGCCACCAGTTAAATAGGAACTCAAGAACTTACCATCAGTATAGCAATTGAACTTAATAATCAGTGTAGCAATTGAACTTAATATGTTAAACCAGTTTAAAACGTTTGGCTTTTGTATTTTGTCTTTTGTGGGGGGAGGGGAGAGGGGAGAGGGTTGGGCAGGGTCTCCCCCAGGCTGGAGTGCACTGGCACAAACACAACTCACTGCAGCCTCGACCTCCTTGGCTCAAGCCATTCTCCTACCTCAGCCTCCAGAGTAGCTGGGACCACAGATACACGCCGCCACACCTGGCTAATTTTTGTATTTTTCGTAGTGATGGGGTTTCGTTACGTTGCCCAATCCTGGTCTTGAACTCCTGAGCTCAAGTGTTCCTCTCGACCTCCCAAAGCGCTGGGATTACAGAGGCTTTTGTATTTTGAAATAAGGTCTAAGTAACTTTCCCAAAGTAGTAAATTGACAGGTTCTTCAAAATACTAGTAATTGGTCAAGTGAAATTTAAGGTCATATAATATTACGAGTTTAACTCAAATGAAGTGTCTGCTTCTCAAAGAGAACCTGGTTATGAATTTTAAGTTGTTGTATGGATTTATATATATATAAATAGTCTCACTCTGTCACCAGGCTGGAGTGCAGTGGCGCAATCTCGGCTCACTGCAACCTCCACCACCCAGGTTTAAGTAATTATCCTGCCCCAGCCTCCTGAGTAGCTGGGGCTACAGGCGGATGCCACCATGCTCAGCTAATTTTTGTGTTTTTAGTAGAGATGGGGTTTCACCATGTTGCCCAGGATGGTCTCAATCTCTTGACCTCCTGATCCGCCCGCCTTGGCCTCCCAAAGTCCTAGGATTACAGGCGTGAACCACCGTGCCTGGCCGTATGGATTTTTATTTAGCCAATATTAATTTAGCATCCCCTGGAAACCAAATATGAATAAGATATTATCCCTGCCTTCTCTCCGTACACACATCTAAGATGGAAGATTTGTGTAAGTATGTTATGCAGAACCTGGAAGAGGTAAAAGATGGGTATTTTGGGGGTTTGCATTGCAGCAGGGGTTACATCATCACACCTTACAGAGCAAGATCTGGGAACTTCTAGTAGTTTGGCCCAAAGGGTGGTGTGTTAAAAGAAACTGGAAAGGTAGGAAGGACCCAAAATTTCTAAGTTTCCTTGGCTGAGAGATGTTTAGACTTCACCCTGTAGTTAATATGGAACCAGCCACTGGATTTAAGCCAAAGAAGACCATTGAATTTGCAGTAGTCTTCCTACCTGTTTTAACAGATTCCATCTATCCTCTACATTGCTGCCAGGATAGTTCTAAAGCATAGAAATTCAGGGGAACAGATGATTTAGGCTTGAACTTCGGATATGGTGAAGATTAAGAGCACAAATTTGAAAGAAGTAAAGTCCACAAACTCATTAGATGTTTTTCACATGTGTGAGGGTGCTTCTAACTGGAATAGGAAATAGAGAAGTGGAGTTCTGGAGGCAGAAGATAATGAACTTCCTGTAGGACATCTAATTTGCTTAGAGATTAGCAGTTGGATATGCTAGCCTGGAATTGGGATTGGCCTGGACCAGAAGTATGTATCTGGCTGTTCGTTGAGGTTGTGCTTAAAGCCAGTAAGATCATACAGGATCAAGTGAAGAGAAAAGTGAACCAAATACCTGCTAAGAAACAGCACATAGAGGGCAGACAGACTGCAAAGAAGGAAGCTTAAACAAGCCATGGTGGTGGTAGACAATCTAGATCTTTTGAAAAAATAACCACAGCATGCTGCAATGAGGATTAAAGGGATTCCATTGAGTTTCCAACAGTTGGTGACATTTGCCAGAGTTCCTTCAGTGGAGCGACAACCTGATTGTCATGGATGGGAAAAGGTATTGAATTTGAGAGTGATGGGTCAATTTGGTCTTCCCAGGAGCCCAAGATATGAAATTATGTTGGCCTTTGGTGATCTCACCCATTTTAAACATTGTGTAGCATTATCCTAAAATGCTTTACAGAGTAATAGCTTTCTAAATACACCTTGAAGCAACCCATGTGATGTTTTACTTACGGTTGAACAGGAAAATGAGAATGGCATTTTTTAGTGTGGCCTAAAGATACCTACCATTTACTGAGAATTTGTGCAAAGCACAGTGCTAAGTATTTTATTACATTCTGTTTAATCCTTACAATGTCTTAAGTACTGTTTTATTCCCATCATTACAGATTAAGTAAATTGAGGCAAAGAGAGATTGTGTAAATTGCTCAAGGTTTCATGGTTATTAAGTGGTGAAGCCAGGATTCTAACTCCAGCAATCCAACTCCAGAGCAAGTACTATTCTACCTCTGTAGAGAAATAGGAATTTCTGAGTGCTTACTCCACAGTCATGTTTGGAAGAACCTTTTCATTTTGAGTCTTTCTTTAGCAAAATTAAGATAATCTTTAAACTTGTATAATTAAGCTGACCATATCTTTTAGAGTCCAAACCAGGACCCCTTTGAGATTGAAAGGAGGCATTATTAATAATTGGCCTGGGCAACAGCTATAAAACGGGGCTGTCCTGGGCACATCATATGTGTAGCATAGTGTTTAAGTTATCTTCAGAAGCAGTATTTTGGGAGTCACATTTACCTCCTCCCAACATCATTATCCTAGATTTTTACACTCTTTGAATGGAAAGGACAGATGAGTTGACGTGCATTAGGACCCACAATAGTGGTTGAAACAGGTGGTGAATTATCAAGGTAAAGCTGTATACAATGAATTAGAAAATGGAAATGATAGAGAAGGGGAAATTTCTGTTTTTAAGTCTTAGCGATGTTTGTTGAGTTTTTCCCACCCTAAAACAAGTAATGGCAGGTGAAAAAAAATGTAACAAAAAAGTGAGCAAGAATAGGATATTCTCAGTGTAAAGATTTTATTAATATGCATTTTTCTAAACTCTTGGTCCAACGGCAATTTACCAATCTAAGATGGGAATCTGATTTAACATATGCAAAATAAGATTTTTAAATGTGTCAATTTGAAAAAAATGTAGTCACTGTTTTCTCAGGATTTTAAAACCTTTCAGTGCCATGTAGTTTACTTCCAAGTGATTAAACGTGTTTTAATATGAAAGAACAAAGATTTCTAATGAACATAAGGACTATGCTAATGGATTTAAATTATAACTGTGTGTGAGAGAAAGATGACTTCAAATAGATTCAAGGTATGATTAACACAAAGCAGTACTCTGAACCACACCCTCTTTCAAAAATGCACAGATACAACATCAACTAAAGAATGGAGAAAAGAGGAATAAGTGAATACGCTGATTTTTGGAGGCTTGTATAGTTTATTGTAGTTAAGCATTAACTTCAGCTCACTACTTTGTGGTAGAATAATACATTTGGCAGGGTGAAACTAGATAAGAATGTTATCTTTAGAAAACTAGATACAAGTGATTCAAATGCCATTATCCTATGAAATGTGGTCGTTGGATGCAACTTTTGAGATGACTGCACGTAGAGAGGAATCTGTTTAATAAATGGGAATCAGTACCCAAATCTATGATCAGCAAGATTTTCTGTGCTAAGGTACTTAAAACATTTGGGTGGGGGAGGGCAATTTCAAAACTACATGAGATACTGTTGCATCAAATGTTTCAGGAAAAAAAAAAACTACCAAAGATTTATAAATACAACTGCTGTGTACAAAACCTGTATAGTGTAAAAATATTGGTCAACCTGCAAGTTATATAACATTCTAGATCAGATGGAGTTTGTAGTCCATGCGTTAGAATTTCTCTAAAACTGTCTCCATCTCCTTCAGAAAAGATCAGTCTGCTGAAAGTCTCATGAATAAGAGCCGATCGAAGAGCTGTGTGTCTAACAGTAGGTAATCTAGCTAACCTGGAAAGGCCACAAGATGCTAGCATTCTGAAACTTGCCTTTTAGGCTTACTTCCACTTCTCTCTGGCTCCCTTCTTCTCACTACTTTCATCTTACCTTTTTATCCCCTCTTCCCTCCCAATTCAACTCTCCAGTTATTCCTATTAAATAATCATGACAATATTTAAATTTTTATTTGAGCTTTTTATCTTAATTTTTATAAACTGTATTGAAATATGACATGCATAAAGTGCACAAATCATAAGAGCACAGCTTGAGTTATTGCAAAGCCAACACCCATGTAACCAGCCATATAAAGAAATAGAACATTACCAGTGCCCCACGGGCCCCCTTATTTAACCTTCCTATTACTATGCCTTCTACAAAGGTAATGCCAGCCTGGCTTCTAACACCATAAATTATTTTCACTGTTTTTGAACTTTACATACGATACGTATTCATTTGTTTCTGGCTTCTTTTATATTTGCTTTATCTTCACATTTTATAGATAAACACATTTTTATTATTATTTTTGCTTAACAATTTAAAAATTGGTTGCAGACTTCATGTTGCTTGCCCCTAAATATTCAACATGCATTTTGTAAAAACGCAGAAGCTAAAAATGTAATTACATATATAAGAGTAATTCCAGTGTCAAATATTCAGTTCAAATGAAAAAAATCTCAATTGTCCCCAAAAATGTCTTTCTGTTTGGCTTTTTTGTTTATTTAGAGCTAAGATCCAATCAAGATAGATGCATTGTATTTTGTTTTTATTTCTGTTTAGTCTCTCTTAATCCACTGACCCTTTTTTTTTTTTTTTTTAAGACATTGACTTAAAAGTCCAGGACGTTGTCTTTTAGAGACTGTCCTGCATTCTGTATTTGTCTTATTGTTTCCTCATGGTATCATTTAACTTAGGTGAGGTTTCATATAGATGATGTTGTATACCTGATATTTATGTCCCATCAGGAGGCACATTATGTCAGATTGTCTTACTCTTTGTGATGCTGTTTGATCATTTGGTTAAGGTACTGACTATCAGGTATTTCCACCATACAGGTACATTTTTCATTTTCTGAATAGGTAATTATGAGGGTGATACTTTGGCACCAGGCAAATATCCTGTCCTCAACAAGATTTTACTTAGTATTTTAACCCATTGATCATTTTTGGCTGAATTGGGGATTGAAAATGCTTATTTTCTAATTACATTGTTCTAGCTATGTTAGCTAGTACTCTTCTCTAAAGAAGAGTATTATTTTTCTTCCCTGACTTATTCTCTATTACCATAAACTCATTGATTTTTCAAAGTTTTACCATCAGTTACAGTCATTACACTTTTTTTGATGCTCAAATTGTCTCAAGCTGGTTTCTGTGTCAACAATTCTGACATACCCCTCATAAGTCTATCAGCTAGTTTTGCTGGAAAGCAAAACAAGGTGTCCCAGGCTTTCTCACCTTTTATTTTCCCTGCCTCAGCCCTGGGATCATTTTTCAAAGAATCTTGATTTGGCTTCTCTTTTTTTTTCTTTTTTTTTTTTTTCAGTGTAAAAGATATTTAGAAACCAAGGTCTGGGTTCATCATTGTTTCTAATCCTTTTTTTTTTCTAGACAGCTTTTATTTTTAAAAATTGAGGCTGGGCACAGTGGCTCATGCCTGTAATCCCAGCACTTTGGGAAGCCTAGGCAGACGGATCGCTTGAGCCCAGGAGTTCAAGACCAGCCTGAGAAACATGGTGAAACCTCATCTTTACAAAAAATTTAAAAAATAGAAAATTAGCTGGGCGTGGTGGTATGTGCCTGTAGTCCCAGCTACTCAGGAGGCTGAGGCAGGGGGATTGCTTGAGCCCAGGAGGCAGAGGTTGCAGTGAGCCGAAATGGTGTCACTGCACTCCAGCCTGGGTGACAGAGTGAGACCCTATCTCAAAAAAATAAAAAATAAAATTAATCGAGTTTATGTTGGTATTTTAAATTCACATTTAATATTACAGGATTTTTCTTTTGTATTTTTCCCTCTTATGTGCAAACATTCTATAATATAAATTTTGAAATTACAATGCCTAATATTATTACCAACCATAAACCTACTGATACTTGAGATTTCTCTGCAACTGTTTGGTTGTTAGAATATATACCACTAAGGATGAAACACTGTGTTCAAAAGTTACTTATAATTTTCTTTCGTCTATGGTTATGTTACCAATTTGATATACAATTAAGTTTTAAATTTTTTTCTACCTTATGTTTTGTTTTTTTCTTTTAACTTTATTTTCAAAATGTGTAACATTTGCATGGTTCAAAATGCAAAATTATATTTAAAAGTACTTTTAGAGAAGACTTGCCCTTTCACCTTCAAATTGCCTCCACCTCCCATCTAGAGGTAACCATTTCCAACTCATTAGGAAAATTCCTTTCCATTTTCTTTTCCAAAAGTAAATTTGTACATATAATCTTATTTCTCCTTTTTTTACATAAGACGTAGCATGCTATATATGTTGACACCTTGATTTTTTTCATTGACTTTATCCTAAAAAGCCACATGACAATTCATTGGTGCTTCTTTGTTGTGTGCATGTACCATTTCCTAATGATGGACATTTGAGGTGTTTGCAATCTTTTGCTATTTCAAATAATGTTGCAGTGACCGTATACCTACATTGTTTTGTATTTGTGGAGCTATATCTTCCAGGTAGAGTCCTAGAAGTTTGATTGGTAGGCCAAAAGGTAAGTGCAGATATAGTTTAGCTCAATATTGCCCTTCGTAGATGTATGATGTTGCACTCACTGCAGCAATGTGTGAACATGACTATTTTTCCCACAGCCTTGACAACAGACTGTATTATGAAACATTTGGATTTTTGCAAATGTGATAGGTGAAAATGGAATCTTAGGATAGTTTTAATTTGCATTTCTCTTATTACTAAGGTTGAACATCTTTCCATATATTTAAAGATCTGTTTTTTAAACTTCATCTTTTTTTAATGAGGTGTGGTGGTTACATACAGTAAACTGAACAGATCTTTTTTATTTTTATTTTTATTTTTATTTATTTTTATTTTTGAGACGGAGTCTCGCTCTGTCGCCCTGGCTGGAGTGCAGTGGCGCGATCTCGGCTCACTGCAAGCTCCGCCTCCCTGGTTCACGCCATTCTCCTGCCTCAGCTTCCCGAGTAGCTGGTGTAGACTACAGGCGCCCGACACCACGCCTGGCTAATTTTTGTGGTATTTTTTAGTAGATACGGGGTTTCACCATGTTGGTCTGGCTGATCTGGATCTCCTGACCTCGTGATCTGCCCGCCTCGGCCTCCCAAAGTGCTGGGATTACAGGCGTGAGCCACTGTGCCCGGCAACTGAACAGATCTTAAGTGTACAGTTTGATGAGTTTTGACAAATGAATACATTTGTGTAATCTATATCCCAATCAAAAACAATGCATTGCCATCACCCTAGAAAGTTCCCTTGTGTCTTTTTTATTCTATCTCCTTCCTCCCCTGCCCCTGGAGGAAATCGCTTTTTGATTTCTATACCTATGGATTAATTTTGCTATTCTTAAAGCATTAAAATGGCAGCATGGAAAATGTACTTTTTTGTGTTTGACTTCTTTCACCAAGCATAATGTTTTTGAAATTCATCATCTATGATGATGTGTGCCTATTGAGTTAACCTTTTCTTGCACATGCCGCCTGCCACAAATTTGGATATGATATCTTTTCATCTTCATTTATTTCATAATACTTTGTAATTTCTTCTTTGATTTCTTTTTTTACACGTAAATTATTTAAAAGTGTGTTTTTTAGCTTACAAATGTTTAAGGACTTTCAAGATATTTTTCTTACTGGTTTCTAATTTAATTCCATTGTAGTCAGAGCTCCATACAATGCTAAATATTCACACTCTTATATTTCAAACATACTGTTAACAACTAACCTCAACTTGCATCAGCTAGGTTTATTTTTTAGACTTCAGACTGATGTTTCCTTAGAGGGCAGTCATGGGGAGATGTTGCACAAAAGGTACAAAGTTTCAGTTAGGTAGGATGAATAAGTTCTGCAGGTCTAGTGTACAGCATGGTAACTATATTGTATATTTGAAATTTGCTAATAGTAGATCTTAAATGTTCTCATCTCCCTTTCACTCACACACACACAATGTGAGGTTGTAGATATGTTAATTAGCTTGATAGTGATAATCATTTCACGATGTACACATATATCAAAACATCTTCACAATAGCCAAGATTTGGAATCAGCCTTCTATTCTCTATCTCCAAGAGTTCAATTGTTTTGATTTTTATATCCCACAAATAAGTGAGAACATGCAATGTTTGTCTTTCTGTGCCTGGCTTATTTCACTTAACATAATAACCTCCAGTTCCATCCATGTTGTTGCAAATGACAGGATCTGATTCTTTTTATGGCTGAATAGTACTTCAGGGTGTATATGTTCCAAATTTTCTTTATCCATTCATCTGTTGACAGATACTTAGGTTGCTTCCAAATCTTAGCTATTGTAAACAGTGCTGCAATAAACATGGGAATGCAGATATCTCTTTGATATACTGATTTCCTTTCTTTTGAGTATATACCAAGCAGTGGAATTGCTGGATCGTGTGGTAGCTCTATTTTTAGCTTTTTGAGGAACCTCCAAACTGTTCTCCATAGTGGTTGTACAAGTTTACATTACCACCTACAGTGTACAAGGGTTCATCTTTCTGCACATCCTCACCAGCATTTGTTATTGCTTGTCTTTTGGATATAAGCCATTTTAACTGAGGTGAGATGATACCTCTTTCTACTTTTGATTTGCTTTTCTCTGATGATCAATGATGTTGAGCACCTTTTTACATACCTGTTTTCCATTTGTATGTCTTCTTTTGAGAAATGTCTGTTCAGATCTTTTGCCCGCTTTTTAATCTGATTATTATACTTTTTTTGTATAGAGTTGTTTGAGCTCCTTATGTATTCCAGTTATTAATCCCTTGTCAGATGGATAGTTTGCAAACATTTTCTCCCATTCTGTGAGTTGTCTCTTCACCTCGTTGATTATACCCTTTGCTATGCAGAAGTTTTTTTTATACAGATAGGGTCTTTCTATGTTGCCCAGGCTTGTCTTGAAATCCTGGCCTCGAGCGATCCTTCCATCTCAGCCTCCCAAATTGCTGGAATTACAGGCGTGAGCCACCACGCCTAGCCCCAGTATGCAGAAGCTTTTTAATTTCATGTGATCCCATTTGTCCATTTTTGCTTTGATTGTCTGTGCTTGCGGGGTATTATGCAAGAAATCTTTGCTCAGTCTAATGTCGTGGAGAGTTTCTCCAATGTTTTCTTGTAATAGTTCCAGAGTTTGAGGTCTTAGATTTCAGACTTTAATCCATTTTGATTTGATTTTTGCATATAGCAAGAGGCAGGGGTCTAGTTTCATTCTTCTGCATATGGATATCCTGTTTTCCCACCACCATTTATTAAATCCTTTTCCCAATATATATTCTTGGAACCTTTGTCAAAAAATGAGTTCACTGTAGATGTATGATTGATTTATGTGTTCTCTATTCTGTTTCATTAGTCTGTGTGACTGTTTTTATGCCAATATCATGCTGTTTTGGTTGCTATAGCTCTGTAGTAAAATTTGAAGTCAGATAATGTGATTCCTTCAGTTTTGTTCTTTTTCTTTAGAATAGCTTTGGCTGTTCTGGGTCTTTTGTGGTTCTATATAAATTTAAGGATTTTTTTTCTACTTCTGTGAAGAATACTACTGGTATTTTGATAGGGATTACAATGAATCTGTAGATTGGTTTAGGTAGTATGAACATTTTAACAATATTGATTCTTCTAATCCATGAATATGGAATATCTTTTCATTTTTTGGTGTCCTCTTCAATTTCTTTCATCAGTGTTTTATAGTTTTCATTTTAGAGATCTTCGACTTCTTTGATTAATTTCTGGGTATTTTGTTTTATTTGTAGCTATTGTAAATGGGATTACTTTTTCAGATTGTCTGCTGTCAGCATATAAAAATGCTACAGATTTTTCATTCTATAAAGACACATGCACACGTAGGTTTATTGCAGCACTGCTCACAATAGCGAAGTCTTGGAACCAACCCAAATGTCCATCAATGATAGACTGGATAAAGAAAATGTGGCACATATACACCATGGAATACTATGCAGCCATAAAACAGGATGAGTTCATGTCCTTTGCAGAGACATGGATGAAACTGGAAACCATCATTCTCAGCAAAGTAACACAAGAAGAGAAAACCAAACACCACATGTTCTCACTCAAAAGTGGGAGTTGAACAATGAGAACACATGGACACAGGGAGGGGAACATCACACACTGGGGCCTGTCGGGGGGTGGGGGGCTGGGGGAGAGATAGCATTAGGAGAAATACCTAATGTAAATGATGAGTTGATGGGTGCAGTAAACCAACATGGCACATGTATACCTGTGTAACAAAGCTGCATGTTGTGCACATGTACCCCAGAACTTAAAGTGTAATAAAAAAAATGCTACTGATTTTTGTATGTTGATTTTTGTATTCTGCAACTTTACTGAATTTATCAGTTCTAATAGTTTTTTGGTGGAGTCTTTAGGTTTTCATAAATATAATATCATATCATCTGTAAACAAAGATAATTCGACTCTTTCCTTTCCAATTTGGATGCCCTTTACTTCTTTCTCTTGTCTGATTGTTCTAGTTAGGACTTCCAGTAATGTGTTGAATTACAGTGGTGAAAGTGGGCAACCTTGTTGTGTTTCAGATCTTAGAGGAAAAGCTTTCAGTTTTTCTCCATTCAATATGATACTGGCTGTGGGTCTGTCATATGTGGCTTTTATTATGTTGAGGTATGTTCTTTCTATACCCAGTTTTTGAGAGTTTTTATGATGAACAGATGTTGAATTTTATCAAATGCTTTTTCAGCCTCAATTGAAATGATCATGTGGTTTTTGACTTTCATTCTGTTGATATGATGTATCTCATTGACGAATTTGCTTATCTTGAACCATCTTTGCATCTTTGAACCAAATGGGCTAAATCCCACTTGGCCATGATGAATGATCTTTCTAATGTGTTGTTGAATTTGGTTTGCTGGTATTTTCTTCAGGATTTTTGTATCAATATTCATCAGTGATATTGGCCTGTAGTTTTCTTTTGTTTGATGTGTCTTTGTCTGGTTTTGGTATCAGGGTGACACCGGCCTTGTACAATGAATTTGGAAATATTCCCTCCTCCTCTATTTGTCAGAACAGTCTGAGTAGGATTGGTATTAGTTCCTTTTTAGATATTTGGTAGAATTCAGCAGTTAGGCCATTGGGTCTGAGCTTTTCCTTGCTGGAAGGCTTTTCATTATGGCTTCAATCTTATTACTTGCTATTGGTCTCTTCAAGTTTTGGATTTCTTCATGGTTCAATTTTCGTAGGTTGTATGGTCTATGAAATTTATCCAATTATTCTAGATTTTTCAATTTATTGTCATATAGTTGCTCATAGTATCCACTAATGATCCTTTAAATTTCTATGGTATCAGTTGTAATGTCTCCTTTTCCATCTTTAATTTTATTTATTTGGGTCATCTCTTTTTGTTGTCTTAGTTAGCCTGGCTAAATTTTGTCACTTTTATTTTTTTCAAAAAAACAACTTTTTGTTTCATTGATCTTTTGTATTGTCTTGTTCATTTTAATTTATTTCTGCTCTGATCTTTATTATTTCTTACCTTCTACTCATTTTGGGTTTGCTTTGCTCTTGCCTTTCTAGTTTTTTAAGATTCAGTATTAGGTTGCTTATTTGAAGTTTTTTTTCTTTTTGATGTAGGCACTTATAGCTCTACTAATATTGCTTTTGCTGTATCCCTTAGACTTTAGTATGTTGTGTTTGTATTATTATTTGTCTCAAAAAATTTTGCAATTTCCTTTTTAATTTCTTCGTTGACTCACTGGTCATTCAGTAGCATATTGTTTAATTTCTATGTGTTTGTATAATTTCCAAATTTCTACTCATTATTGTTTTCTAGTTTTACTTCACTGTGATAAGAGAAGATGCTTGATATTACTTCAAGTTTTTTGAAAGAACACCTGGGAAATTCATCGCAAAAAGATCATCACCTAGGCACATCGTCGTCAGGTTATCCAAAGTTAAGATGAAGGAAAGAATCTTAAGAGCTGTGAGACAGAAGCACCACGTAACCTATAAAGGAAAACCTATCATATTAACAGCAGATTTCTCAGCAGAAACCCTACATGCCAGAAGGGATTGGAGCCCTATCTTCAGCCTCCGTAAACAAAACAATTATCAGCCAAGAATTTTGTATCCAGCAAAACTAAACCTCATATATGGTGCTTAGCTATTTATTTTGTTATCTATTGTTGTTGCTCAAACTGTTCAAGCTTTGGCCATTGGGAGCTCTTTCACATTGGCTCTTGTGTACTTTTGGCATGCCCTCATCCACTTTGTTTGGAGCACTTCCTCTTTCTGGCACCACAGGATGCTCCAGGCTCATCTTGTGTTTTCTTCTCTGCATTGGCCCTAGACTTAGTCATTTCTCCTAGGAGCCCTGGTTCTTTTTTTTTTTTTTTTTTTTTTGATGAATGGCCTTAGAAACCAAGATCTTGGTGATGGGTGTGCTCATTGCTACTGTGATGACACTGCTTCTACACATTCTAAATGAACAGAACTAGGAAATATATGTATGTGTACTACCACATGTATATACATATCCATAATTATGTTCCTATATGCATATATATTAAACTAAACATTAGTTCACTGACATTAAAAATGTATGAGGATATTGATGTAAAAAATTAAAATCATGCCTTATCTTCCCAATCTTCTATAATTGTTTTATTTATAACAAAAACAAATGTCATTATTAAAAAACGAATAAAATAAATATAAGTTCATACTAATATTTCTAACTTGAATCCAGAACTGTAGAATTTATTCTAGCCTTCTGCCTCACCACTTTGTTTATTTGTAACTACTTACTCTGGTACCATGACTCTTATAATCTACAATTTATTTACTTATTTGTTCAATCCTAGAATACATGTAAAATAATTTCAGAATTGCTATCCTGTAGCTCCGTGAGAAAGAAAAACTTCACAAATTATAGTATTAATTCATGATTCTTTTTGTCTTTCATCTTGGAATAGCTAATTAAAGCACTGTTTTTCCAAATTACTTTGGTCAGCTCCTTTTTTCCTCACCCTCTTGAATGAAGTTATGTCATACATTTGTAATACAGTTAGATTCATTTGTCACAGTCTGCATTCCATTCTGGGATCTCCTGACACCTTTATTGATTTTTTAAAATGTACACAAAGTGTACTCTGTATGGGTAGAGTCATGTATCCACCATCCTAGTACCATATAGGACAGTTCAATCACCCTAAAAATTTCCCTTTGTCCCACCCCAAGGGCTATTTTTTTTTTTCAAGATGGAGTTTCACTCTTGTTGCCAGGCTGGAATGCAGTGGTGCGATCTTGACTCACTGCAACCTCTGCCTCCTGGGTTCAAGCGATTCTCCTGCCTCAGCCTCCCGAGTAGCTGGGATTACAGGCATGTGACACCACGCCTGGCTAATTTTTTTTGTATTTTTAGTTGAGATAGGGTTTCACCACATTGGCCAGGCTGAACTTGAACTCCTGACCTCAGGTGATCTGCCTGCCTCGGCCTCCCAAAGTACTGGGATTACAGGCATGAGCCACCAGGCTTGGCCCCAAGGGCCATTTTGAAAGACTGGTTTACAAGTATGTAGAAACCATAACCCTGACCTACTGAAACTGCTGAGATCAGAGACAGCTGGGAAACAACACAATAGAAGAATGTAATTTCTTCTTTCTGGCTGCTTTCTAGAGGCTGAATGAGAAACCTGCAATGATTCCCTGAAGAAGCAGAAGAGACAGTGAATCTAGGAGACCTGGGTAGTCTCTCAAATCTTCAGCTGGATGCTTATCTTTGTTATATACTGTATTTCACTTGTTTAAGTGGCAAATGGTTGGGATTGTACGTCTTCCTTCTGGGAAACCATAAAGATGAAAAGGCTATTCATATAGTCTGGTGGGGAAGAAATCTCTCAATATTAAGAACATGACCTCATGACCTAATCTTGAAGCAGCCCTGTGGGAGACCAGTGAGGAGACCTATGCCTATGAATAGAGACCTTGCAATTGGCAATTAATGAAGTACGTGAAGCATTTTTTCTTATATGACACTAAATTCAACCGAAAACATTTCATTTGGTATTTTTGCATCTCTAAGCTATTAGTGAGATTGGTTTATAGGTTTCTTTCTTTTTTTGCTATTATTGGCAGACTTTGGTATAAGGATCTTGCTCCTTTTGAAAAATGCATTAACCAGGCGTGGTGGCTCACGTCTGAAATTTCAGCACTTTGGGAGGCCGAGGCGGGTGGATCACCCGAGGTCAGGAGTTTGAGACCTGCCTGGCCAACATGGCAAAGCCCTGTCTCTACTAAAAATACAAAAATTAGCTGGGCGTGGTGGCACGTGCCTGAAATCCCAGCTGCTCGGGAGGCTGAGGTAGGAGAATTGCTTGAACCTGGGAGGCAGAAGTTGCCGTGAGCAGAGATTGCACCATTGCACTCCAGCCTGGGCAACAAGAATGAAACTCCATATCAGAAGAAGAAGGAAAAAAAATGTATTAGTTAGAATTCTGTAAAGATGACAAACTGGATATGAGTAGCAATTAAAATCTGATCCACTTCTGGGACTGATAGTTGGGGGCAAATGAGGCTTTGACTTTCATGGGAATCCTAGCAGGGAGAACTTGGGTGGAGCTTTCTCATGGATAGACTGGACAAACCTTGGAAACCAGAGTTGCAGAACCCCAGGGAGAGAATTAGAATGAGATAGATACTGAAAAAAGCTCAGGCTACCAAGACATGAATCTTAAGTGAGAGAGAGGTGAATGACATTAGATCCCTTCAGGTGGGTTTGATTGTCTGGGCTTCCAAGAGGCAAAAGGGAGCTGAAAGGGTGGACTGTGTCCTCTCTGTATATACCTTATACCTCTGGGTATAAGGAACTGTGAGGAGAGCTGACGGCAGGACATTTTCTCCTGAGGCCTTAGTGGGGTACTGGTATCCTGCCTGCTGCTATGGTGAGCTCATGACGGGTGAGGCCACCATGTCTTCCACCACTTTGGGGCCCACTTCCCCCGTTCTTTAATAACTGGACCTCAGTAGTCCCAAGTAGAACTGACTCATCTAATGGGTCCCAGAAGCTAGAGAAAGAAGGTCAATCGAAACAAGTATAACACATGTCCAATAAAGCTTGTTCAAGATAAGCACTTGAGTAAAAAGATATGAACACTTAGAAATATGTACTAGGGTACAAAGTATTTTCTGAGTCAGCATAACCTTCCAACTATCCAATGCAGTAGCTGGTTAGAAGAAAAATGTGGTCATTACTAGGACACAACTTGGTGGCCTGCAAACTCATATGAAAGAAATACTTTAAAGCATAAGCTTTAAAGTATTTAAAAGAGCAAAAAGACAAAGATGAAAACCATGAGGAGCATGTACATAGTATTGGGGTAAATGTATGTATGAGTTTCTGTAGTGGATACCCAAGAGTAGAACTACTGGGTCTTAGGGTGTGTGTGTCTTCAACTTTGCCTAATATCCTAAACCATTCTCCAGAGAGATGGTGCCAGTTTGCACACCCATCAGCAGTGTACAAGAGTTACCTTTGCTACACAACATCTCCAACATTGGGCATTATCAGTCTTTTAAGTATTTGCCAATATGATACGTGTCTAGTGGTATACCATGGTATTAATTTGTATTCCTTCTTTAACAATGAGGTTGAACAGTTTTTCATATGTTTATCATCTACTTAGATTTCCTTGTTTTTTTGAAATGCATATTTTAGTGTTTTGCCTGTTTTTCTATTGAGTTATCTTTACCTACATATCAATGTGAGGGTAATTCTTTATATATTCTGGATATGAGTACTTGGTCAATAAGTGTGTGGCAAATATATTCTCTCTGTGACATGTCTGTCTTTTTCTTAATTTTTATTTTATTTTTAAATTTTTAAATTAAAAAAATTTTGTTGAGATGCAGTCTCACTCTGATGCTCAGGCTGGATTGCAGTAGTGTGATCATGGCTCACTACAGTGTGGTGTGTCTCTTGATGAATGAGTCTTTTGATGAATAAAATTTCTTAATTTTAATGTAGTCAAATGGATCAATCTTTTGCTTTATAGTTACTACTTTTTGTGTCATGAGTAAACTCTTCCTGGTCCCACATCATGAAGATACTTTTCTCTATTGTATTCTAAAAAGCTTTAATGTGTTGCCCACATTTAGTTTTATAACCCACCAGAGTGTTTATGTAAGGTGTGAGGTAGGGATCAGGTTGTTAGCCTCTTTCAAGCAGACAAATCTCACATAAGCAGTGATCTTTTATTATTTCCCCTTACATCTAATCAAGGACCTCAACTGCGCACTCTCTTGCACTTCTCCCCACTTCTATATTCTCATTAAATCAACATAGTTCAGATCTTATCTTTTTCTCACTTGGGATGGAGATTTCTCTGCCTCACTCAAACACCCATCATACATAATACCTACACATAATATAATATTCATCACTTTCTAAAATTCAGAATTCATTGTATTATCCCTCTTGCCAACCTTACCTATGTTTCCCATGGCCTTAAGGATAGAATTTTAGCATACTAGTTTGTCATCAACTTCTAGGAAGGCTGTGGTCTTTCCACATTTCTTGCCTTATATCCTCCTCTGTCCCTTTATAAACACAGTGCTCTGGCCTTTCTATTTTATCCAATGGCTTTGACCTTTCTTCTCTCATATTTATTTTTGAAGTATTGGTGCTTAGCATTGAGTAGGCATTCAATATATTTCTGTTAAAATAACAATTGAGTCCAACCTACACAAAGCATATGTTCTGGTTAGTGGCACATCATAAATGCTTAATAAATGTTTGCTTGTTGAATGAATGAAAGACCATCTCTGCACTTAGTATCTATATCACTTATTTTGCTTACTAACATACCAAAATAAAGTGTCCTTTCCTATAATTTACATATGTATTTGTGAGATCAAGTCCTTGGGGCAATGAAACAATAAGTTACCGACAGTCATAGATAACACAGCAAAATGTTTTGTAGAGACAGCAAGCAAGATAGCAAACATGGGGCTGATTGTATAATATGAATAGTAAATATAAGAAGTGCTTAAAAAGAGAGAGTACTGAGAGGCAGTGGCTATAGAAAAGGCCTCCAAAAGGAGGTAGGTTTCAGCTGAATTTTGAAGGATGATGAGGCCTAAGGAATCCTGAACAGGGAAAAGAGCAAATGTAGGAGTGGGCTTTGGCATGGGATCTGGTGGGACATTCAGGTTAGTGGCCATGGCCCCTGCAATCTGACCTTGTGGCTTGGCACATGAAGATTTTCTGGACTGTTCTAGGATGGAGCCCATCCTGGGAGTTGATGGTGTGACATGAGCATGAACAAAGGTCCTGATATCATTAAAGCAGTATAGCATGGTGGTTAGGCACATGGACTCTAGAGTCAGACCTAAGCTCAAATTCCAGGTCTACTGCTGCCTAGCTGTGTCCACAGGCAAGTTACTTACTGCTATGGACTAAATTGTGTCACCCCAAAATTCATATGATGAGGCCCTATCCCCTAATGTGATGATATTTGGAGATGGGGCCTTTGGGAGACAATTAAGTTTGGATGAAGTCACAAGTGTGGGGCCCTCATAATTGAGATTAGTGCGCATATATGAAGAGACACCAGAGATCTTGCTTCCTTTCTCTCTGTCTTTTCCATGTAAGGACACAGTGAGAAGGCAGCCCTCTGCAACCCAGGGAGATGGCCCTCACCAGAACCCAACCATGTTGGTATCCTGATCTTGGACTTCCAGTCTCCAGGTCTATGAGAAAATAAATTTCTGTTGTGTAAGTCAGCCAGTCTATGATATTTTGTTATAGCAGCCTGAGCAGACTAAGATATATACCTTCTCTAAGCCTCAGTTTCCTCACCCATGAAAAAAATATAATATTTACCTTCAAGGGCTTATGTGGGGAGTAAATACAGGCAAAAAACAAACAAGCAAATAAACAAAAGTCAGAATGGTTCCTGGCACACAGTAAATACTCAACAAATCTGCTATGAGAGGTTAGGTGAAATTACTGTTAGGGACTAGAAATAGGGGGCAGGCTGAATATCCAGGAATTATAGTGAATGCAGGGTACCCTCTTTAGCATCAGAAATTCTGCAAAGGAGACTAAATCAATCTCCTTGGTCTCCATGGCATGGGGAGTAATCGGTAGTTTTTATTCCATACCCATCATTAATGATCCCTTCTTGAGTGCCATAGGACAGCTAAGAGACAAATGGATAAGACAGGGTCATCCATGAAGACGTTCTGTCTTAGTCCCTTTGTGTTGTTATAAAGGAATGCCTGAGGCTGGGTAATTTAGAAAGGAAAGAGGTCTATTTGGCTCACAGTTCCGTAGGCTGTACAAGAAGCATGGCACCAGCATCTGTATCTGGTGAGGGCCTCAGGAAGCTTCCACTCATGGTGGAAGGTTAAGGGGAACGAGAATCACATGGCAAAAGAGAGGGAGGAAGAAGTGAGAGAAGAAGGGAGGAGGTGCCAGGCTCTTTTTAACAACCAGCTCTTATGAGAACTAATAGAGTGAGAATTCATTCATTACCACAAGGATGGTACCAAGGCTTTCCTGAGGGATCCACCCCTATGACCCAAACACCTCCCACCAGGCCCTACCCCTAACACTAGTCATCAAATTTCGAGATTTGGAGGGGACAAATATCCAAACTATATTAGGTTGGTTGAAACTCCACCCATGGTGTCCAAGTCATTGACACTAGACTTGTCAGGCTACAGGCTGAAGAAACTCAGCCAAGCACAAAATTTTAATTAAAAATTAAAAATTTGAGCCCAATCACAGCTCCCATTGCCATCGCGTTTTACCGCCACAAGACCCAGATGCCTTTCGACTGTTAGAAGAACTGGACAGCTTACTTGATTGGGACAAATCAGGACAGCTTCTTTGACACTCTAAATTTATCTATGAGCTGGACCTCTGGACATGAGACCATGCCCCCAGTGTTCTGTTGCTCTTGATGGACTCAGACTTAACTGCCATGGTTTTCCCCCTGGAGAAATGGATTCGTCAGTAAAACAGCGGTGTGCATAAGTCACACAAAGACCTTTACAAGAACATTTGTAACAGCTCATTTTTTAAATTCTTTAAACATTTTTTTATTTTTAATTTTCGTGGGTAGATGTATATATTTGTGGAGTTCATGAGATATTTTGATACAGGCATACAATGCATAATAATCACATCAGGGTAAATGGGGTACCCATCACCTCAAGCATTTATCTTTTCTTTGTGTTACAAACAATCCAAGTTTGCTTTTAGTTATTTTAAAATGTACAGTAAATTATTGTTGACTATAGCTACCCTGCTGTGTTATCAATAGTAGGTCTTTCTCATTCTAACTGTATTTTGTACCCATTAAACATCCTCACTTCCCCTCCCCAAACCACTACCCTTCTCCACCTCTGGTAACCATCCTTCTACTCTCTGTCTCCACGAGTTCAATTGTTTTAATTTTTAGATCCCACAACTAAGTGAGAACATGCGATGTTTGTCTTTCTGTGCCTGGCTTATTTGACCTAGCATAATGACCTCCAGTTCCTCCCATGTTGTTGCAGATGACAGGATCTCATTCTTTTTGATGGCTGAATAGTACTCTGTTGTGTATATATGTACCACATTTTCTTTATCCATTTGTCTGTTGATTGATCAATAATAGGTCTAAACTGGGAACAACCCAAATGTTCTGGAATGGCTGAATAGATAAGCAATATCTGATATCTCCATACGACAGAATTCTACTCAGCAAGAAAAAGGAACAAAGTACAGATACTTTGTTTTGAGGATAAACCTCAAAAACATGCTAAGTGAAAGAAGCTAGATCCAAACGAGTACATACTGTATGATTCCATTTATGTGAAGTTCAAGAACAGGCAAAACTAATCCGTAGCACGAGAATCCAGAATTACTGTTACCTCTGTTGGAGATGAGAGGGGACACAGTATTGATTGGGAAGTTGCATGGAAGACATTTCTTGAGGAATGGAAATGTTCTATATCTTAATTATGTGTGTGTGCATGTGTGTATATATGTGTGTGTGTATATATATGTATATGTACGTGTGTGTGTATGAAAAATTCATCAGACTATATACTGAAGAAGTACACCTGTTATGGTGTCTAATTTATACCTCAATTAAAAGGAGAAGAAAAGAAAGAACAGGAGTAGGAAGTGGGAAATTAAGCCATCAATAAACCCAACAAAGCACAAAACAAGGCTAGCAGGATCTGCCATGCAGGCTTATCCTCTGCAGTGGGGAGACAGGCAGCTGTAGCGTGGCGCTCCTGTGAATGGAGCCAGTGTTCTGGGCTCAGAGGCCTTGCTTGGCCGCTTCCTGCTGGGGCCTGTTGCAGAGTTCACCCAAGGTTGGTGGGAGGTCGGCTTGACTTGATCTTGTGGCAGGATTGGCTCTAACAGGCCACAGGCTCCTCAGCCACCAGAAACGGTTATCAGACAGTCTTTCTGGGAAGACAGATAATTTTGTAAAAATTACAGGAGCTTTTGCCAACCGCATTTCGGCCTCTTAACTTTCTGGCAGCTGCTTCAGGAGCATCACAGAGCTGGCTGAAACAGTTTCCAGAGCACAACAGAGTGGGCATTAATCCCACAGATTTGCTGCCAAACAGGGAGGAAAAATGGCAACTTAAAAAAAGACAAAGAAATTAGTCGGAGGCTGAGATTGCTTTAATGAAGGGCCAGAATATCTCCCAAAACCACAGCTGAGTTCTGTATTGGGTGCAGTGTCCTATTCTCAGAGGACTTGGCTCTTCTGATTTTCTAAACCATAGATGAGGAAGAAATTATTGTGAACACAGCTCTCGATTTTTCTCCCCTCCCCTTTCCTCTATCCTGCCACATTCCTAGCTCCCACTAACACTGTTATGTTGCTTGGTTGCTCCGTCTACAGTGAGCTACATGTTCAATGAGCAGACATCATTTGTTCCCTTTCATTCAGCCTAGAGTTGTCCCTGCTTCTGTTTGATTCCTCCTGTTGGTCCTGATGGTGTGATGGCAAGTCGGATTTCTCTCTCCCTCTGTTTTTTCCTCCTTCTCTCCCATTTCATGCATTCAACATGTATTTTTCATGCATCTATCCATGAAAAGCTCTATTGTGGACATCTGTGTGGACAATTACTCTTAATAGAACAGTAAGCAAAAATTGTCCATATGCAACCTAAACAAAAATTACTTTATATATATCAGTCTTGCCCCCTCCTCCCTTTCTATGAATACGCGAAGGTGATATAAACTCTAGTTCCCCATACAAGTTGATATGGTTAGGCTGTGTCTCCACTCAAATTTCATCTTGAATTGTAGCTCCCATAATTTCCAAGTGTTGTGGGAGGGACCTGGTGGGAGATAATTGAATCATGGGGGCAGTTTCCCCCATACTGTTCTCATGGTAGTGAATAAATCTCATGAGATCTGATGATTTTATAAGGCGTTTCCCCTTTCATTTGGCTCTCATTCTCTTGTCTGCCACCATGTAAGACATGCCTTTTGCCTTCAGCCGTGATTGTGAGGCCTCTCCAGCCACGTGGAACTGTAAGTCCATTAAACCTCTTTTTCTTTATAAATTACCCAGTCTCAGGTATGTCTTTATCAGCAGAGTGAAAATGGACTAATAATACATAAGTCATGACTCTAAGAAGCAGCATACTATCAAATGGAAATCCAGGAAAAGCAAGCTGCAGATTTAAGACTGAAGCAAGTAAAACAAAACGAATGATCAATGTGAAAATCATTTTTTCCAGCTTTCATTGTTAGTTACCCAGTTTCTGAAATTTTTCTGAAACTTTGTGTTGTTGAGTTTTTTTTTAGTTCCTGGGACTTGAAAATAAATGTCAAAACTGGTTCAGACTTTTTTTTTCATATTTGGCCATTATGAAGGCATGCACAACAATTCTATCAGGTTTTATCTCAGTTTGAAAAAATAGTAATGTTGCTGCCTTAGATGAAGTCTGTCTCAATGTCAAGGCTAAGGCCTTGGTCAAGTCTTCATTGGCCAAACTGTCGCGGGTATGGCTGCTTTTTTCTCACCATGGAGAAATTCCCATGCTTCAAAAATGTCTTTATTTTTTTCGTAATAAAAGCAATACACCTGGATGATTTTCATTGTTTTCTTAGACCATGTTGACATTTTTATATAATAAACACATTAATATTATTAATATATAATAAACAAAAAATATTTTTTGGCTGGGTGCGGTGGCTCATGTCTGTAATCCCAGAACTTTGGGAGGTTGCAGCGGGAGGATCATGTGAGTCCAGAAGTACGAGACCAGACCAGTCAACAAAGCAATACCTTGTCTGTTCTCTTTCTCTCTCTCTCTCTATATATATATATATTTATATATATATTTTTATATATATTTATATATATTTACATATATTTATATATATATATTTTTATATATATTTATATATATTTATATATATATTTTATATATATTTATATATATATTTACATATATTTATATATATATTTTTATATATATTTATATATATTTATATATATATTGATATATATATTTATATATATTTATATATTTATATATATTTATATATATATTTATATATTTTTATATATATTTATATATTTATATATTTATTTATATATTTATATATATTTATATATATTTATATATATTTATATATATTTATATATTTATATATATTTATATATATTTATATATTTATATATTTATATATATTTATATATATTTACATATATGTACATATTTATATATATATTTATTAATATATATATTTATATATTTATTAATATATTTATTTATATATATGTATATATATATTTATTTATATATATGTATATATTTATATATATTTATATATTTATATATATATTTATATATATGTATATATTTATATATATTTATATATATTTATATATATATTTATATATATTTATATATTTATATATATTTATATATATTTATATATTTATATATATATTTATATATATTTATATATATTTACATATATGTACATATTTATATATATTTATTAATATATATTTATATATATTTATTTATATATTTATATATATTTATATATATATTTATTTATATATATTTATATATATTTATATATATTTATATATATTTATATATTTATATATATATTTATATATATTTATATATATTTATATATTTGTATATATTTATATATATTTATATATTTACATATATTTATATATATTTATATATATATTTATATATTTACATATATTTATATATATTTATATATATTTATATATTTACGTATATTTATATATATTTATATATGTTTATATATTTATGTATATTTATATATATTTATATATGTTTATATATATTTATATATATTTATGTATATTTATATTTTTATATATATTTATATATATATTTTTATATATATATACATGCACACACACACACACACACACACACACATAATATGCTCCAAAAGAATACTTGTTAAAGACAGAAGAGTAAAAATAATTTTTAAAGAATCAAAAGCCACATGATCTAAATCCAACCACTGTTAATATTTTGATATCTTTACTTCCAGTCTTATTTCTGTGCAAAAATATTTATTGAAAAAAAAGAAGCCAAACACAAGAAACAAAAACAAAAAGAGCTTGACATCTGTAGAACATTTTGTGACTTGTGGGTTTCATTTAGCATTTGGTCATAAGCATTTTCTTATTGCATTATAACTTCTGTATAAGAAGTATTTTAATTTAGTTGTATATGTAATTGTGTGGATACCACTATAATTACTTAGCCATTTCTCCACTCTTGGGTATGTAAATTATATACAACTCTTTGTTATCTAAAATAATGATGTAATTATAGTTTCAATGCATAGATCTCCTGTTTATTTTATTTGAAAAATTTTTAGTGTTGCATTTACAAACTTTTTTAGCAAAGTTATAGATAGTATATAGTCTGGAGAGACATACAGATCTGCAGTGTTTGTTACAAAACCCAGCAATCTCTCATCTCTCCTTCACCATTTGCCTTGCCACACGGCATCTTTTAGCTAATTACGTTGCATACTTACTTGCCACTTTTCTAAATAACGGGTTTGAACGGAAACTTCTCAATTTTTTTCCATTGTAGGCATTGTCTATTGAATCTCCCCATGGAAGATGATTTGTTTTGCTTTATTTTTCTTCTTCCTGGCCCCCTCTTCCCATGCACATCCTTCCCATACTCCCAATATCAATATATCATTATTTGGTTAAATCAGTATTTTGTGTTTAAATAACTACGGTTATGTCAACACCATCCAAAGCTGGGCCATGAGGTCTACAAGGCCCACTTTTTCTTTCCTGCATATATTTTTGTTTCTCAGAAGTTCTTAATTGTGTTGTTAGTGCCTTACTTGGTTTTCTATGTATTTATCATGAGTTCAAATCCAAATTCTTCACTAGTTGTCTAAATCTTCTCTCAAAAAAGTCAGACATAGGTCAGGCATAGTTCATGCCTATAATCACAGCTCTTTGGAAGGCTGATGTGGGAGGATTGCTTGGGGCCAGCCTGGGCAACAGAGCAAGACCGCATCTCTACGAAAAATTAAAAAATTAGTTGGGCCTGATGGTGTGTACCTGTGGTCCCAGCTACTCAGGAGGCTGAGGCGGGAGGATCCTTTGAGCCTAAGAGTTTGAGGTTACAGTGAGCTATGATCACACCACTGTACTTTAGCATGGGAGGTAGAGCTAGACTAGACCCTGTCTCTATAGCAAACAAAGAAACAAATAAACAAAGCCTTCAGATATATTGGGTTTTTAACGGTTTCATCTTTCTGAAGGAATGGCTCTTGAAGCCTTCTGACCTGCTCCCCTGTGGATGGGGTGGTCCCATGCCTGGTACACAGCTGTCTCCTAGGATCCCATTCCCCTCTCTCCTGTGTTGGAGCCCTTGTTTCCTACAACTCAGGTCTCCTTTATCTTGGTCTACTGCACACTTTTTAAAAAAATTTTTTTTTATTTTGAGACAGAGTTTCACTCTTGTTGCCTATGCTGGGGTCTAATGGCGTGATCTCGGCTCACTGCAACCTCCCCATCCCAAGTTCAAGTGATTGCCTTGCCTCAGCCTCCTGAGTAGGTGGGATTACAGGCATGAACCACCACGCCCAGCTAATTTTGTATTTTTCGTAGAGATGGGGTTTTCTCCATGTTGGTCAGGTTGGTGTCGAACTCCCAACCTCAAGTGATCCGCCTGCCTCGGCCTCCCAAAGTGTTGGGATTACAGGCATGAGTCACCGCACCTGGCCTACTGCACTCTTTTGATAAAGCATATCTTCCAATATCCTTAGCAATCCTTCCTAAGACAGGAGGCTTGAAAACAAAAATATTTGTGAACTTAGATGTCTGAAATTGATAGTTAGCATAGATATAAAATTGATTGATAGTTTGCTTGGAAAAGTAAATTCAAGGTTGAAAATAATTTTCCTTCAGAATTTTGAAGTCATTGTCTTCTGGCTTCTGGTGTTTTTGACACCCCTCCAGTCCCTGCCATATCTATTGTGATGGGCATTCCAAAAGTCCTTCCAATGGAAACACTAATGGCCTTTAATTATGGGAAATCAAATTTTCTTGTTGATTATTTCCTTCTGTGTGTGTGTCTGTACGTTTGTATCTCTGTGTTTATGTGTGTCTGTGCATGTCTTTGATGTTTATGTGTCTTTGTGTGTGTGCCTCTGTCACTTTGTGGTGTCTGTGTTCATGTACACATCTGTGTCTGTGTGCGTCACTGTGTTTGTGTTTGTCACTGTGCGAGTGTGTTTGGAGCTCCTACTATTTGGACTAATTCTGTAATTTTTTTTTTCCTCTTGCTTTTAGACTGACTTTTTGCTCTACTTTCTGGGAGTTTTCCCACTGGTCAAACATGGGAAAATTTGGAGCATCGAAATAAATGGTAAGAATATATTATAATCCATCAAGTAAAATAAGAATCTGCTACTCCATACTTATATAAATGTATTAATAAATAACTAAGTAGGGGAAAGGAAAAGTTTTTTTTTTTAAAAAAGAATGTCGACTAATAAATGTAGAAGGAGTAATAGAATTAGAAAAACACCATTTTGCAACATCATAGTAATAATTGATTCAGGCAAGAATCATCAATGATGTTAAAATGAATGGGTAGAAGTTTGATGAATACAGGATATTTACAGAGTCTCAAAGTATTTTCTCTTCAGTTATGTATTAACTTTAAGTGGAGAAACCTAGCAGACCTCAGCTTAACCAAGTGAACATCACCAAAAATGGGACAAACTGACCTCAAATATCTTCTGTTAGGACTGAGAAACTATTCTAGATTAAAGAGAGAGAGACTAGAGAGACACAATAATTAAATGCAATATGTGATCCTGGATTGGATCCTGGGCCAGGAAAAAACAATTTCTATGAAGGACATTATTGGTGAAATTGCCAAAATTTAAATAAGGGCTTGTTAAATTAAGTTTAGTCTAAAGCTGCCTCCTTACATAGTTTATGTTCGCTCTGTCGCCCAGGCTGGAGTGCAGTGGCACAATCTCGGCTCACTGCAACTTCCACCTCTAGGGATGAAGCCATCCTCCTGCCTCAGCCTCCCAAGTAGCTGGGACTACAGGCATGTGCCACCACACCCGGCTAATTTTTGTATTTTTAGTAGAGATGGGGTTTTGCCCTGCTGGCCAAGCTGGTCTCGAACTCCTGGCCTCAAGTGATCTGCCTGCCTCGGCCTCCCAAAGTACTGGGATTACAGGCACGAGCCACCACACCCAGCAATTTAGGTTTTGCCTAAAGGTTTCTCTCTACACAGTGAACTGTAACCTAACTGGATGTGTAAACAGACTGTAAAGTACTCTTGTAACAAGTAGCCCGCGTTTCAACCAGTCACAGCAGCTGAGTTTCAGCCAATCACAGGTGGCCAACTGTTTAAGCCTATGCAAATAAGGGAAACACTGAGCTGTAACCAATCCAGTTGTTTCTGTATCTCACTTCCGTTTTCTCTACCACACTTTCCTTTTTCTGTCCATAAATGTTATCCAACCATATGGCAACCCTGGAGCTGCTCTGAACCTATTCTGGTTCTGGTGCTGCCTGATTCTCAAATTGTTGTTTGCTCAGTTAAACTCTATGAAATTTAATTTGTCTAAAATTTATCTTTCAACAGGCTGTAGTTAGATAATAGCATTGTATCGATATTCATCTCCTGATTCTGACAATCATACTGGTTAGGTAAGACTATATTTGGTTTTTAGGATATATACTCTGAAGTATTTAGGCGCACATCTGTCACTTCTCTAAAATGGCTCAGAAAAAAATGGGTGGGAGTTGGGCAGGGTGGTCGGGGGAGAGCATGAGGAGGAACATACATGGAGGGAGAGCGAGATGGAGGAGGGGAGGGAATGATAAAGCAAACACAAGAAAGAAGCAAACAATTGGGAATATGGATTTGTATTTTTCCTTCAACTTTTCTAAAGGCCTGAAATTATTTCGAAATAATGTTAGAGGGGGGGAAAACCCCAGAAAATAAAAGGAGTGGGAAATTAAAAAGATGACTGGGTGCTCTGGACAGCCAGTGGGGTTTGCTAGCTGTGACCTTCCCCGTGAGGACCTGGCTGGGTAGGAGGGGTGGTTGAGGGGCTTCTGATGACAGGTCTTTTGCTCTTTACCCTGGGGGCTCTCTCTTCCGTTCTCCTGCCTGGAGGTGAAGGCCCGGCTGCCAGTGCAGGTGAAGATGGGGAGCCCACAGCCAATGTGCACACAAGTCCTTGATCCCCTAGTTTTCAGTGTGACTTGCCACCCCGATATCTCCTTATTATCCCTGAAGACCTTTGATTGACTCTCTCTAGGAAAGGAGACTCCAATCTTTTGTTGGTCTTGGAGGACCATTACCTGGCTAGGAGGAGTAGGGAGACCGAACCGGATCCAACTGCTTAGAACAGCCTTTTGAATTTCATCCATATTTCAGCTACCTCTTCCCCCTCATTTCCTGAGGGATCTAGTGCCATTAATTCCTTAACCTTTTGAGGGATTTTGTGGTATAAATCAGGTTGGTTCTCAGCATTCTTTGCTGCCAGTTTAGGATTTAGTTTTTTTGGTCCTGCTAAGTTATTTGCTTTCCAGCTTTCAAAATTGTGTTTCTATTTTTCTCCTCTCTCATTTTCTCCTGTCTTGTAGTTTATGCCTATTAAAAATTCCACTTACTTTCATTTTAGTAGGGGTTACAAGTGTTCAATCCATGATTTTTAACAGCCAGTCTGTGCATAAATCTCTCTGCATTCTTGATGACTTCCTTTGGATAGCATCCCAGAAGTGGAATTACTGGGTAGAGTGTGCCATCCTTTTTGAGGCTCTTGATGAACTTTGCCAAATTGCTTTTCAATAGGATTATATTCTCACCAAGTTTCCATGACTTGCCTCTTTTCCTGAATTTTTGCCTGCCTTGCATAGGATCCCTTACACAAATGAAATATTAAAATATTTGTTATTTTGACAAGAGGAATATGAACTCAGCTTGGCACAAGCCTCTTTAAAGGATGACTTTTTAAGAGAGAAGCTCCAGGTATGGGCAGGAGGCAGAAAGTCGGATTCTGCTAAATGGGCCGAGGTGGGGTGTGGGGTGAGTTTCAACTCATTCTCGGTGTCCTGTCTACAAGAGGCACTGTGGTCTGTGTGTAGAAGGGAAGGAATTGGAAATGAGCATGTGGAAGGCCCAGGTCTCTGTTGCTTTCCAGGGTGGTAGGGGTAGTCCTGGTTCTAGCATGGGCATATTCACTTGGGCAAATTAAATAAAAGAAAGGGAGAGAAAGAGCAATAACAGTGAAAATGAGGCAGTGATGAATCTACTCAAGGAGCATTACCCTAGAATAAGACCTAAATGGGAGCCTGGAATCTTCCGTTTAATCCTACTCAATTTCTATGTGTTGTCGGGACCATCTTGTCACACAGGTAATGCTTTAGTGTTTTGAGATATGCATTTGCTTTTATACAGCATGGCCCAGATATACAAGTCAACCTCTTCCACTTCATACACTGATTTTTTTTTAATTTTTATTTTGGAATAATTTTAGACTTACAAAAAAGTTCCAGAATAGTATACAGAGTTCCTTTATACCCTTCACCCAACTTCTTCTCTTTTTTTTTTTTTTTTTTTTGATTCAAATAGAGATGGGGTTTTGTTATGCTGTCCAGGCTGGTCTTGAATTTCTGGGCTCAGGGGATCCTCCTGCCTCGGCCTCTCAAAATGTTGGGATTACAGGCATGAGCCACTGCTCCCGGCCAACTTCCCTTCATCTTAACACCTTACATAATCATAGTACAATGATTGAAACTAAGAAATTAACACTGATAAAATGCTATTTACTAATCTATAGACTTTATTCAAATTTCACCAGTTGTCCCACTGAGAAAGAGAAAAGCAGCTCATGCCAGCTGGGAACTGACTTGGCATTATCAGTTAGGCCTTACCCTCGGTGTCACTCAGAGCTGGCTTGGCCCTTGTAGCTTGGCCTTTGTGGTCTCTTTGAACATAAACAATTTCTCAGAACGCCATCAAACAAAGCTGTTCTGTGACCAAGATAGATCAAGACAAAACAAGGCCACTCTGTACTCTTGTCTGAACACAAACAACAATGTGAACATTGTTCAAACAGAAATTACCGAAACATCCCCTTATCCTGGTTAGTATGAGAATAGGAGTGACTGCTGTGACTTTACTAATTAGAGCTTTAGCCATGCTTCATTTCCCCTGTCCTATAGATAAGATTTATTGATATATTCAAGCATAGAATTACCCACACTCCCTGACAGCATCCAATCCAGAGCATTACAAATGAGCAGATATATAAATTATTTATTTATTTATTTATTTTTTGAGACGGGGTCTCACTGTCACCCAGGCTGGAGTGCAGTGGCATGATCTTGGCTCACTGCAACCTCTGCCTCCTGGGTTCAAACAATTCTCCTGCCTTAGCCTCCTGAGTAGCTGGGATTACAGGCTGGCGCCACCATGCCCGGGTACTTTTTGCATTTTTAGTAGAGATGGGGTTTCGTCTTATTGGGCAGCCTGGTCTTGAACTCCTAACCTCAAGTGATCCACCTGCCTCGGCCTCCCAAAGTGCTGGGATTACAGGTGTGAGCCACTGTACCTGGCCTAAATGATTTATTATATCCCCTTCTTTTTTATATGAGAGGTAACATCCTGTAAATATGCTTTCGCGTTTTGCTTTTCTCCCCCTCACTTAGCACTGTATCCTGCAATTCATTCCCTATCAGGTCATAGAGCTTTTCCTCATTCATTTGTACGGCTGCACAGCCCTCCATTGTGTAGATGAACTGTAGTTTTTTCAACCACTCTCCTATGTACAGCCATATAGGTTGGTCCCAATATTTTGCAGTTACAATGAATAACTTTGCTTATTCATTGCAAATATTTGCTAATTCATTACTCAATTGCAATGAACACCATGGCAATAAACAACTTTGAAGCACTGACTTTTGAAGAGGGACTGGTGCGGGATCTGAAGGCACACGTGTCTGCTTCCAGAGCCAATGCTCCCTCTGCAATGGCACACTCCCTCTAGAGTCATTGTCCAGGACTGACACTATTCCCTGGTCCCTTGACTGGGACAGGAGTGTTCCTGTCTCCTTATTTGATTCTAAAAGAGCTGTAATGGGTGGGCCACTTGCACAGGCTGCCTAGCCTACCTTTGCTGGTCGATTACTTTGTTACCTTTTTTTCATTTTTTATTTTTAGAGACAAGGTCTTGTTCTGTCACCCAGGCTCCAGGCTAGAGTGCAGTGGTGCAGTCACAGCTCATTGCAGTGTCAGCCTCCCAGGCTCAAGGGATCCTCCTACTTCAGCCTCCCGAGGAGCTGGAATTTCAGGCACATGCACCACCACACCTTGCTAATTTTTTTTTTTTTTTTTTTTGGTAGAGATAGGGTCTCACTATAGTACCCAGGCTGGTCTCGAACTCTGGGCTCAAGTGATTCCCCCGCCGTGGCCTCCCAAAGTGCTAGGATTATGGGTGTGAGCCACCATGCCTGGCCTAAGCTGCCTTTTTTTTTTTTTTCAAATTATACTTTAAGTTCTGGGATACATGTGCAGAATGTGCAGGTTTGTTACATAGGTATACATGTGCCGTGGTGGTTTGCTGCACCTAAGTTGCCTTTTTGAAGGGTCATTATATCTGTAAATGCCATGGCCCCTTCCTGTGTGTTGACCCTTCCACACAGCCCACGACCGTCTTTCAACAATGTCATAAAGAGAGGCAGACATGGGCGGGTGCTATGGCTCACATCTGTAATTCCAATACTTAGGGAGGCCAAGGCAAGAAGATTGCTTCAGCCAAAGAATTTGAGACCAGTCTGGGCAATAGAGTGAGACCCTGTTGCCTCTACAAAAAAATTTTAAAAAATTAGCCAGGCGTGGTGCTACCACTGCACTCCAGCCTGGACAAAGCCCTGTCTCAAAAAAAAAAAAAAAAAAAAAGAGTGTGGACAGGGCAGAGAGTATACTTGTGTGCATGTGAGCATGTGAGCTCATCTGTGCCAATATATGTGAGCAACAGGCCCCAAGGTGGGCAGAAAAGTCACATCATCATGAACTGGCAGTGAGGCTGTGGTTTTCAACAGGCCAAACTGCATTCCTCGTTTCTCTTCACGTACTGAGCATGGATGGACTTCTTCAGGCCCCCAACATTACCTGCTTAAAGAGGATCCCCTTCTGAGCCTGGCTGAGGGCTGGGCTGGGGAGCTAAGGTTAGTGGCTGCTCTGCTGCCATTCATGATCCACCCAGAATTTAGCTGAGGGAGGGAAGAAAAATGGCCCCAGTCAGACTGTCTAGCAGCCTGAGGCTTCCTGGTGGCTCCTCTGAGCGGAAGTAGAGGCTTGGGGTGGGGACAAGAGTCCCTCCCAAGATGCTGCTGCGCTTGCCTTGGCTGGGCCAGGAACCCTTTCTGCCGCGGGAGACCCTCTGCTCTTTCCCTACATTTGCCTTCAAATATCGACCTCCCGTGTGTGCCGGGCTCTTGAGGGACATTATGTTATTTACACAGGATAATGACTCAGAAAGGATAAATCTTTTTCTCCACGTTTTATGGATGGGTAAATGGAGGCTCAGAAAGACTAAGTAACCTGCCCAAAATTACACAGTAACCAGCAAAGTCATGATTTGATACTAGGTCTGTCTGATTCCAGAGCTCTAGATCTTTCCAAAAAAGACCACACATCTAACAAAGTATTTATTTTAACTCCAGAAGAAATGTTCAGGCTCATGGAATCACTTATAGGCAGAAGTCAGATGCTACAGGGGAGGACTGGGAAAGCAGGAGACCTAAAAATTGTCATTTCGTGCAAATCACTGAAATCACTTTCCTTGTTTGAAAAGATCTTGCCTGCAGGGCTGTGGTTTGGCTCTCCTGATGGCTGCAGCTGGTGAAGTCTGTTTTCAAAGGTCAGTTCCTTTGCCCCATGGTGGTTGTTATTTTTATTTAATTTTAATTTTTTTTTTTTTGAGATGAAGTCTCACTCTGTCGCCCAGGCTGGAGTGCAGTGGCGCAATCTCACCGTAGCCTCTGCCTCCCGGGTTCAAGCGATTCTCATGTCTCAGCCTCCTGAGTAGCTGGGATTACAGGCAGGTGCCACCACGCCTGGCTAATTTTTGTATTTTTAGTAGAGGCAGGGCTTCACCATGTTGGCCAGCCTGGTCATGAACTCCGGACCTCAGGTGATCCTCCTGCCTCAGCCTCCCAAAATGCTGGGATTACAGGCGTGAGCCACCATGCCCGGCCTAAATATTTTATATATTGCTGCTAGTCCCACACCTACTCCCCTGGGATGTGGAGGTCAAATGAGACCCCAGCAAATGCTGAGAACACTCTATGCCAAGAGTAGGGAGAATTAGTATTTACAGGCACCCAGGGTCAGCTTTGTGGACCTGCAACCAATGCAATCACAGGCGGCTTGAGCTTGGTTTAATGTTCTGCTGTCTTGTCTTGCGATTCTTAATAATTGTTGGACAAGGGACCTCACGCTTTCATTTTGCACCAGGTGCCACAAATTACGTAGCCTGTCCTGCAGGCTTAAAGACAATGGCTGACATAATTCAGAAAAATACCCTAACGCCTCGAATCAAATTCCAGGGGACTGAGAATACACAACACATAATTTCGTTCTACCTGAAGTCACTGGAGTGTTGATTCTCCTGTCTCCTGGCTATTGAAGGGAAGGCACAGTTCCTGAGGAAGTGGTTCTATCCCATGTAAGGCCAGTACGGTGTATGAAGTACTCCAAGTGAAAACGGCTAAAGAACTCAATCATTATCCTCAGCAAGAAATTTCCCAGCATCTGCTCTGGTTGCTATGGGGAACACTTGAGGCCAGGAGTTTGAGACCAGCCTGGCCAACATGTTGAAACCCCATCTCTACTTAAAACAAAAAACACAAAAACAAAAATTAGCCGGGAGTGGTGGCACATACCTGTAACCCCAGCTACTCAGGAGGCTGAGGCATGAGAATCGCTTGAACCTAGGAGGCAGAGGCTACTATGAGCCGAGATCGTGCCACTGCACTCCAGCCTTAGCAACAGAGTGAGACCCTGTCTCACAAAAAAAAAAAAAAAAAAGAAGAAGAAAGAAAAAGAGAAAAGAAAGAAAGAAAGAAAAAAAGAATGCAGAGGAAGCAGGATGGGCAGAGGGACATTAAACTGTGAGGCAGGCTCATGAGTCTTGATCAGCTGGGTGGGGAGTTCTGGAAGGAGGATTGCCTATTAGAGTTGTTGCTCAATGGGCCAAAATTGCGGGGCCTTCACACCTCTGCATGCCTAGTCACTGGGTCTAGATATGCCCTAGGAAGGGTGTGACCTCGAGTGAAGGTGGCTGAGGCAGAACCCGAAGGACCTGATGGCTTAATGCTGTGTGCCAACCATGCCATGCTGGGAAGAGCATTGTTTCTTGAAGGGAGAGCTGGGTGGCTCAGCTCTGTGTCCACCACAGGGTGGGTGGGGGAGGGTTAGCAGGTGGCTGGCGGGAGGCAGGAAAATGTTCCCTGAAGGCAGCTGAGTGGGGCCTGTGGTCTTCAGGCATGTTGACAAGAACATCTGCTCTGTCGTGAAGGTGTATGAGAAAAGGACTCTGTGATCTCCTGAACCTAGGAAAAGCCACTAGCTGGGGAACTATTTCTAGGCCACTCCTAAGCATATGTAGGGCCTGCCTGACATCTGCCCTGCTCCTTAGCACTCAGCTTGTATTAGCCCATTTTGTATTATTATAAAGAAATACTTGAGGCTGGGTAATTGATAAAGAAAAGAGCTTTATTTTGGTTTATGGTTCTGCAGGTGGTACAGGAAGTGTGGGGCTGGCATCTGCTTCTGGTAAGGGCTTCAGGAAGCTTCCAATCATGGTGGAAGGCGAAGGGGGAGCAGGTGTGTCACATGGTGAGAGCGGGAGTGAGAGGGAGAGTTGGGGGAGGGACGTGCCACACTCTTTTAAACAACCACATCTTGAGTGAGCTCAGCGAGAACTCACTCATCACTTCCAGGAGGGCACCAAGTCATTCATGAGGCAACTTCCCCCATCACCCAATCACCTCCCATCAGGCCCCACCTCCAATGCTGGGGATCACATTTCAACATGAGATTTGGAGGGGACAAACATCCAAACCATATCACAGCTTACACTGTGGATGTGAACACAGCTGTACACATACACAAAATTTTATTGTAATTTATACTAAAAACCAATCTCCCTACAGCTCCTCGGGGGACAGCTCGCCGGTTTTCTCATTTGCTCCGTTCTGGGACTCGGACAAACGGGGCACAAGGCCTCTTTCTGCTGATACAGGTGGGTCCCAAGTCTGCATTTCCTGTCTGGACTCAGCATCACCAAGGGTTACATGATAGTCTTGAAGGAATGTTGCTCAGAATTTCAGGCGACTGGTCTGGAGGAGAGAAGGGGGCAAGTGCTTACCTTGAACCCGTGCAGGTGGACAGATGTGTGGTGGAGGCATTTGAGGGTTACCTCAGACCACATGCTGACCCACGCAGGGCCAAAGTCGCTCATTGTGTGGAGGCATTTTGCGGTGGAAACACACCTGGATGCAGGGAGAAGGGCTGGGGCCTGGCTCATGCATCAGAGGGTCTCTCTGGTAAGCCTTCTTCCTCCGTGGGACTCTGGAGGGTCTGGAGGCTGTGGCCTCTCTCCTGGTCTCTGGTCAGGTGGCCAGCTGGGAGGACAGCTGCAGTCAGGCCAGCAGGAGAGGGACTGTGACTGTGCAGGTGAGAAGGGTGGTCAGTCTTCACCCTCAAGACCAACTCAGAAGGCAGCCATTTCAAAGCGTCTCAGGCAGCCCAAGCTTGCTGGCCAGTCCACAAGCTTGGCCAGTCATCTTCACTGTCATGGTTGCCCTGGGGCAATGCCCGTAGCAGTCAAGAGACAAACCCAAAAGGGAACTAGGTACTCCACAAAATAAGGCTTTTCTGGGGTCCATTTTTGAATGGGAGTGAAGGAACCAGAATTGGGTAGCACAGGTGAAAGTCAGAGGCTGAAGGGGAGGGCAATAGGAGCCTCCTAATAGCAATGGGGCTCCTCTGATGGCTGCCATTGCTTTGAGGTCACCCTGACAGTCTTGCTGAACCTTTCTTCGATTTTGAGCTTAGCAAGCTCCTACTGGACCTTCTCTCCTTCACTGGGGCTCAGCTTGCAGGGGTTCTAGAAATATCTCCACAGATCGCTCTTCCTCCCTGGGCCTCAGTTTCCTCATCTGCACAGTGAGGCCTATTAAGCCAGGTGTTCTGACTTTATTTTTATTTATTTATTTTGAGACGGAGTCTCGCTGTGTCATCCAGGCTGGAGTACAGTGGCGTGATCTTGGCTGACTGCAAACTCTGCCTCCTGGGTTCAAGTGATTCTCCTGCCTCAGCCTCCTGAGTAGCTGGGATTACAGGTGCCCGCCACCACACCTGGCTAATTTTTGTATTTTTAGTAAGGATGGGGTTTCACCATGTTGGCCAGGCTGGTCTTGAACTACTGATGTCAAGTGATCCACCCACCTCAGCCTCCCAAAGTGCTGGGATTACAGGCGTGAGCCACCGGGCCTGGCCTGTTCTGACTTTAAAGGTAGGGATTCAGAGGCAGAAAAGAGGAGGTAGACTGAGAGGTTCCTGGGGTTAAAGGCTGGCAGGGAAGCTGGGCAAATGTACAGAAGAGCCCCCTGCTTATGTTTCAGGGGCCAGGGCAAGAGTGTACATGGAAGCCTACATACCATGTGGCTAAATATTTAAAAAGCAAACTAACAAACTGTTGAATAAAGTATGTTCTATTGGTTGACCTTGAAAAAAGTATTTTTCTGATGAGTGACCTGTAAGGCCAAGTTTGAATGAAAATTCCTAGACTCCTTAGAGTCCCAACTCGGAGCATGCGGTGTGGAGAGAGCTGGTCCAGGGCCTCAGCTGTGGCTACAACAAGAATGTTCTCCCACTCAAGATCTCCTGCTCTAGGGAGCGGGGCTGACCAGGGACCCCTGCTGCTGTGCTCTGAAATCTATCTTTGCTGTTTCCGCCAACCACTGAGTGCAGCAGGGATGCTAACGGGGTCTATTTGTGGGAGACACGGGGCTCTTCTGATGGCTGCCTTTGTCTTGAGGACACCCTGACAGCCTTGCTGAACCTTTCTTTGATTTTGAGCTTAGCAAGCTCCTGCCAGACATTCTCTCCTTCACCGGGGCTCAGCTTGCAGCTCGACTTACTGGTCCTCCCAATCTTCTCCGGCTCCCTCCTTCTTTCCTTACACACAATCATTTCCCCTAACAAATCTTTGTTCCATTCACTCTATCTTGACACATATTCTTGGAAGACTTGGGCTAACACATTGGTCCCCCGCCGGCCCCCCTTTATCTTCTTACCCCTGGCTTCTTCCCACACCACGAGAAGCCCCATGCGCAGGTGTATGGAGCCTCAGGTACCAGGCTCTAGGTGGTGGCAGGCATGTCCCCTTGGCCTGCAGTCTCCTCATCCCGCGATGGTGTGGGGAGTGACGCAGGGCCATAGGGAGCAGGAAGGGGGCCCCTCTTGTCCGAGTCTAAAGTGGTAGTGGCAGGGAGCCTGTCCTTCCCCTGCCTTCCCTCCACTCCAGCCTCCTGACCTGAGCAGCTCTTTCTCATGCTCCCCGCCTCTGTGCTTTTCCAGAACACACTTTGTAACCACCTGGGATGGAGGTGGTGAGCATGTGTCCCAAGACCCATGCTTGGGATATATGCTCAGTGGTGGCTCCATCTGTGTCTTCTTTCACCCTCAGGAGAGTCTGGTGGAGAACAGAGGAAACTGAGGCTCAAAGACATTGAGTGAGCGTCCACACCCAGGTCTTCTGATGCCCACCGCGGGCTTTGCCAGGACGTCCCAGCCAGCAGAGACAGCCACGTGGTATCTCACAACTCCCCTCTCAGTCCCTAAGAAATGAGTGTGCCTTTCTTCTCATCTTTAAAAAAGAGCTGCTTCTTTCTACCTTGCAGCAACCCGACTGGGAGAATGGAGAGCCAAGCGTGTTGTCCCCAAGGCCAGCTAGACACCAGCCCTTCAGAACTTATCGTTATATTTGCAATCTGGGTAACGATAGGCAAATCTGGAGTCACACGTTCTCAGGGGCCTCAAGATGTCTTTCAGCTGGCTGGCGGCCCCAAGGACTTCTGGGTCTGGGCGGATGCTGTCCCCACACTGAACAAGGATGGAGTCTATGTCGTCTTGCACTGGGGAGGGGAACCTCCCCTGGAGAAGTCGAGGCAGCAACTTCTGACACACCAGCACCAGGCTCTGCTTCTCAGAGATGCTTTCGCAGGAGGGCAGCTGGGCCTGGCAGCCGGAAACCAGGCAGCTAAAAATGTCTTTATTCTCTCCTGCCCTGTTGGCTTCTTGGCTGCCTAGAAAAGAAATGGGAAGTATTACACACCCTGCCACCAGTGCTCCTTGAGGGAGGGCACCACTAATTAGAATTCCTGGGTGGGGCCGGGCGCGGTGGCTCATGCCTGTAATCCCAGCACTTTGGGAGGCTGAGGCGGGCAGATCACTTGAGGTCAGGAGTCCGAGGCCAGCCTGGCCAATATGGTGAAACCCCGTCTCTACTAAAAATACAAAAATTAGCTGGGTGTGGTGGCATGCATCTGTAGTCCCAGCTACTCAGGAGGCTGAGGCTGGAGAATCGCTTGAACCTGGGAGGCGGAGGTTGCAGGGAGCCAAGATTGCACCACTGCACTCCAGCCTGGGTGACAGAGCGAAAAGCCATCTCAAAAAAAAAAAATTACTGGGTGAACTAGTATAGTCTCCTAGCATTTCCCTGTCACCAGGAGATTTAGGACTCAGGGACACAGTGGCTCCTTTTGAGAACCACGTGGAAAGAATCCACTCTGCTACAATAGAGTGAGGCCTGGGCATGGAAAACCCACTTACCCCTACCAGAAGTTAGGCTGATAATTGTAGAGATCACATTCATATTGTTAGACTCTCATTATTACTAAATTAGTGAACTCAGGAAATTATTGGGACTGGTTTCATTTGCGCCTTTAAAATGCAAAGTGAGGGCCGGACATGGCAGCTCACACCTGTAATCCCAGCCCTTTGGGAGGCTGAGATGGGTGGATCACCTGAGGTCAGGAGTTCGAGACCAGCCTGGCCAACATGGCGAAACCCCGTCTCTACTAAAAATACAAAAATTAGCTGGGTGTGGTGACAGTCGTCTGTAATTCCAGCTACTCAGGGGGCTGAGGCAGGAGAATCGCTTGAACCCGGGAGGCAGAGGTTGCAGTGAGCCAAGAATGTACCACTGCACTCCAGCCTGGGCGACAGAGTGAGACTCTGTCTCAAAAACAAAAATAAAAATGAAAAACAAAATAAAATGCAAAGTTAGGAGAAAAAACAAGTAATCCCAAATATGTATTCAATGAGTTGTAGTGTGACTGACGTTTCATGATTTACATATCCGGAATATTCTGGAATCAGCCTCATTTCTTCTAATTTGATTCTTTTTAATAAAGGCAAATCAGGAAATAAATGTGTGGTTTAATTTGTCTATTTTTGTAGGCTTTTGCATACAAACAAAATCAGAAATTAGAAAATAAAATCCTTTGTCCTCTTATTGGGCTCAGAAAATTTGGTTAGCATTAGAGATTAGGGTGTTCGAAGGGTTCTAGATCACTGAATGAAACTTTACACATAGTGAGAAACACGATTCAGTCATCCACCTCATTTGGTTCCATGCTTTTTTACTTTGAAAACTTTATAAAGAGCAATTGTGCCAAAATGGATTGCAAAATATACCAGTGAATCAGCCTGATATTTAAGTTTTAGATAAAGGGTAAAAGCATCTGATGAGAAAGACTCTGAGTGGGAGATGGACCCAAAAGTTTTGTGTGTGTGTGTGTGTGTGTGTGTGTGTGTGTGTGTGTGTGTGTGTGACAGAGAGAGAGGAGAGAGAGAGAGAGTGAGAAAGAGAGAGAGAGAGAGAGAAAGGAGGGTCAAGGCAGGTCCCTGGGCCACATAGACCCAATTGCACAACAGCACTGCCCTGGGAGGGTGCAGCTGGGGCTGTGCCACTATGCACAATGCTTCTCATGGACAAGGCCAAATCCACTTCCCCTTTGGAGATGGAGTTAGAGTAGAAATTCAAATAGGAGTGAGGGACATTTTACATGAAATCTAATATTCTCCGAACTTGAGTGGCTCTCACTATGACATGCAGAGATGGGAAAGGCCCAATAGCATGACCCCTGGCCACCCCTCCCTAGCTCCTGTCACCCTGACTTTCCCTCTGACAGCTGCTCAGCCAGGCCCATGCTGAGTACCTTCCTGCTTGTCGATGACGCCCACTGCACTGGCATCCCGGATGAACAGATGCCCGTTGTTAAAGACGCCGAACATGCCTGCATCAATGTGGGTGAAGTAGAAGAAATAGTTCAAATCGTTGCTCCTCAAAGACTCCAGGACACCCAGGAGCTGGTAGGCAAGGTCGGCTGCCTGATCTGGGGGTGCATCATAGAATTCCTGCAGCGGTCTGGTGCTGGTGCTGACGAGGAATCTGCCACAGGAGCCCAGGTACTTGGGCAGCGGCCATCCCTCAGCCCCAGGGAAGATCTGCCAAGCCAGAAGGAGGAGGATTAGAGAGAAAAATCTGGTGACAGCTCTCTATCTGTCTATTATCTCTATCTATCTCCCTATCTATCTATCTATCTATCTATCTATCTATCTATCTATCTGTCTATCTATATCAATCATCTATATCTATCATCTATCTCTATCATCTATCTATCTCTATCTACCTATATCTATCTATCATCTATCATCTCTCTATCTCTGTCCCTCACTGCAAGTACAGAAAGATCAGCATCTCAAAACACATCAGTGAAGTGTCTCTCAACCTTTTTTATACCTCTTGGAACATGGCAATGCCCCATCCCTCCCCTTCCCCATTTTTTAATTATATTACTGATGGGAAGATTCAGAAAAGGAGGCTGCTCTCATTTCTTTGTAGTAGAGTGCATTTCAACAGAGTTCCTCCAAGCAGGGTATGAGAATGTTAATGGACTTGCCACAATTTTAGATAGCATCAGGGATTCAGGGAAATATGTTTAAGAGTTGCATAGTTGAAACAAATAGGATTATTTGAGATTTCACAGATATCACTGCTTAGGAAGAGGCTATGGGAAAAATAATAGAGGATCAACTTAAGTCTGATTTAAAGCAAAACTTTTTTTTTTTTTTAAGAGACAAGGTTTTGCTCTGCTGCCCAAGCTGGAGTGCAGTGGCATGATCAGAGTTCACTGCAGCCTCAAACTCCTATGCTCAAGCAATTCTCTCACCTCAGTCTCCTGAGTAGCTAGGACTTCAGGCACGTGCCACCATGCCTGGCTACTAAAGAAAAATATTTTAAAAAATAACAGTGGCTGGGTACAGTGGCTCACGCCTGTAATCCCAGCACTTTGGGAGGCCGACGCAGGTGGATCACTTGAGGACAGCAGTTTGAAGCCAGCCTGGCCAACATGGCATAACCTTGTCTCTACTAAAAGTGCAAAGATCGGCCAGGAGTGATGGCACATGTCTGTAATCCCAGCACTTTGGGAGGCCGACGCAGGTGGATCACTTGAGGACAGCAGTTTGAAGCCAGCCTGGCCAACATGGCATAGCCTTGTCTCTACTAAAAGTGCAAAGATCAGCCAGGAGTGATGGCGCATGTCTGTAATCCCAGCTACTCTGGAGGCTGAGGCAGGAGAATCACTTGAACCCAGGTGGTGGAGGCTGCAGTGAGCCGAGATCGTGCCACTGCATTCCAGCCTGGGCGACAGAGCGTGACTCTGTCTCAAAAAAAAAATATATATATATATATATATTTATATAAAAATAAAACAGTACAGGTACCTTGTTCTCGGACAGGGCAAAAATCATAAGGGTGGTCTGTGGGTGACTGAAGTTTTGGGAACTACTGTACTGGCCTTAAGCCCCTCTTCTGCCAGCCGTGGGTGAATCTGTCTGGCTGGGGTAGCTATATACATCGTACAGATGTTCCCCAACTAACTGGAACCTTCCAGACAGCCTAAAACTGGCCTAGGGAAGCATGAAGCCCCGACCTGTCTCCTCTGCCTCCTTGTAAGAGGTCCAAACCTGTGGATTTGTAGATGAAAAGTGGGGAGGAATCCTGGCTAACCTTTTCTTGACTATTTCTTAAAGCAGCTATATCTAGAATGGCTATATCAGCACTTTATTGCTTGTTTTCCTTCTTTAAAAAATAAAGTCATCCCCATCTCTGATGGTTTTTTGCAGTCCTCTGCCCATTTTAACGCACATACTGCATTGTGAAGAACCCGTGCCCATTTGAGTTTCCCCTGCCTAAAGGGGACCTCTTTTTTTTTTTTTTTTTTTTTTTTAGACAGAGTCTTGCTCTCTTGCCCAGGCTGGAGTGCAGTGGTGTGATCTTGGCTCACTGCAACCTCCACCTCCCGGGTTCAAGCGATTCTCCTGCCTCAGCCTCCTGAGTAGCTGAGATTGCAGGTGCATCCCACTGTGCCTGGCTATTTTTTTTTTGTATTTTTTAGTAGAGACTGGGCTTCATCATGTTGGCCAGGCTGGTCTCGAACTCCTGACCTCAGGTGACCCGCCCACCTCAGCCTCCCAAAGTGTTGGGATTACAGGTGTGAGCCACAGCACCCGGCCCAGAGGGGACCTTTCTTACTGTGTACCGCGGAGGGAAGTCCTGGGCCTACTGTCGTTGTCTACAGGTGCGGCCACACAGCCATTCCCGGGTTCCATGACTTGCCCTTCCTGGGCAGAGCCCAGGGCTGAGTCCCAGCCCCATGCTCTCATCCCACGCCTCTCAAGAGCCAGGCCTAAAAGTAGCCAAGGTCTTTTCTGGGAGAAAAGATCTGTGAGAGTGCAGGACAACCCGCAATTCCTTTTCCTCTTCTAGTATTTCAAAGGCCAATGTCGCCAGGCAGGTTTTAGTGGGAAGAGTGTGGCCTTTGAGGGCAGGCAGATGGCTCTGCATTTGGGTTCTATTGCTGACGTTGGCTAAAAGTGACTTGGGCCAAGTCACTTCACATCTCAGAACTCCACTGAATCTCATCTGGAAAAGGGGACAATAATAATATTCTCAGGGGGTGGCTGTGAGCATTAAATGAGATAATGTCAAACCTTCAGCCAAATGCCTGGCACATAGCAGGTGCTCAGTGAATGAGAGCTGTTATTATGTATTCAATCATCATGCCTTTGGCCGGTGTTTATTAACTGTCTTTGCTGTGGCTTCTTCCTCCTCTACCTGCACCTTTTCCCCCTCCTATTCCTTCTCTTCTCCTCCTTCCTTTCCCTCTCCTCCTCTCCCGCCTTCCTTCCTCTTCCTTTTCTTAGTCCTCTTCTTCCTCCTTCTCCTCCTCACCTTTCTCTTCTTCCCTCTTTCTCACTCTACTCCCCCTCCTTTTCCAGCTCCTCTCTCCCAATTTCTAGTTCCCTTTGTGTCCTTTATGTGACCCCTGTGTCCTTACCCTTGAGGTCAGGGGTCAGTCGGAGTGATTGGGCTCCACATATTTTATGGGTGTTTGTTTCCATGATAAGTGTCTGTCTCTACCACTGGACTGGAAGCTGCATGAAGGCAGGAGACACCATACTTGTCTTGTTGACCAGTGTATCTCCAGGCCCTTAATGCATCTTCATTTATTTGACCATTCCCCTGTGTATGGACATTTAGGAGTTACTTCCTTTGTTTTCCTCTCCTTCCAAGCATAGATGCAAGGTACCTCTCTGGGTGGGTCATTCTTTGGCTATTTCTCCACTTCCTGAGCTCGGCCCCATCTGACTAATCTTTGAGGCACAGGTCAAAGTCGGCCTCCTTCACAAAGCCCTTCAGGGCCACTCAGGCAGTGAAGGTGGCTACTGTTCCCTCCTATCCCCATCCCGCTCCCAGCTCTGGGCTCCCACACCTGTTTCCTCTACAGCAGCCACAGCACTTTCACACTGCAGAAGCCAACACATGCCAGAAAGGTCCTAACACGGGCTAGTGGCCCAAGACATGCAGTAAAAGGAGGGAGAGAGCTCAATCCAGGGAGGCTTCTGGGAGTCCAAGATTGACCCCCAACCTAGAGGGCTTGCCAGGTCGCTGCATACCTGTAGGAGGATGGGGTGCGAGTTGACAGCCAGCGTGTAGAGCAGGCGCAGCTTGTCACGGTCGGTGAAGTGGTCCATGAAGATGCTGCCGGCGTCGGCCACCTCTGCATAGCGCCTGACCACGCGATCCAGGAGTCGCTGCGAAGGGCAGCGCAGGAGCGGGCTGGCCAGGCCCTACGCGCAGGTGGGAGAGAGGCGGGAGAAGAAGGGGGCGGGGCGCTAAGCTCTTGTGGGGGGTTAGCAGGAGGGGGAATGGGCAGATCCTGCTGTTGGGGGTGAGGGAGATCTTGAGGCTGGGGGGCCAGGTGGGGCGTGGGGAAAAGACCTGCAGGAGTGGGGATTGTGGGGTGGGAGGGGTTGGGTAGCTCTGCCCAGGCGGAGCAGGGGGCAGACCCCTGTGGCTGGGAAGAGGGGCCAGAGCACTTTTCGGGGGTGGGGTGGGAGGCCCCCTCCCCCACCACAGGCTACACTCGGGGCGGGGCCACAGAGACCCCGGGAACAGAGAAGGGAATGAGCTCTCTTGGGCAGCACGGCAGGAGGGCACTGGGCAGGCTGAGGGCAGGGCAGGGGAGAGGAAGAAGGGGAGAGAAGGCGGACTCCACCTTTCTCCACCCCTCAGCTGGCCATCTGAGTTTTGCATTACCTGTGTCTCTACCCACCATTGCACCCCCACCCTGCCCTTGGAAAGAAGGCTGATCCCAGGCTGAATTCATTCCCTGCCATGGGCTCTTTCGATTCCTTCTGCCATCTGACTTGGATATCACAACTATGAGGCTACACTTGAGCGTTTTTATATGCACCACTGTGTTCTTGGGATAAGACTTGGAGATACGAACCTAGGCTTTTTTTTTTCTCTCATGACTTTCTAGCCAGCCCCTACACCTTTTTCCCCATGCTGAACAAAGAAGAGCATGAACCTCCTGATAAAAAAAAATAGAGTTAAGAACAAGGCCCTGAGGCCAGCCTGCCAGAATTTTACCCGCTTCCACAACTACCAACTGTGTGACCTTGGACAAGTTACTTAGTCTCTCTGTACCTCCGGTTCCAGTTTGAAGTGAGGAGGACACTAAGAGATCATGAGGATCAAGTAAATTAATAGATGTTAATTCACATTTGGTACCTCATTGAATCCTCTCAGGCCCTCCACGAAGTAGGTGCTATTATGAACCTCATTGTGCAGCCAAGGAATTGGAATGCAGAGTGTAGGTAATGGTTGGAAAAATTGGATTCAGGATTTGAACCCAATGGGTTAGACTCTAATATCTGTGCCTTTTCCCCGTAATAGGCCCTGCCCTGCCCCCCTCTCCATAAACTACCCAGGTGGAGGCCATAGAAAATGATTTGAGGCTATGAGAAGGCCTCTGCTTCTGATCATCTTCTCCTACACAGCCTGAAATTCCACCATTAGAGATGATCATTGGGGAGCAGGGGGCGGGGGTGGGGATAAGTAATTTTTTCTCTTCTCCAAGAGCCAGTTCTTAAATGAAGGTATCTCTGGGAGAGATAGGACACTAATTGACCAGAGCAACAACAACAATAATACGTAATAATTATTGAGTGCTTACTACACAACAGGAGCTGCTCTAAGCCCTTCATAGGTAGTGTATTCTTTCATTTACTTCACAAGAACTTATTATTGCTCCACTTTTCAGATGGTAATACTGAGATGTAGAGAGATTAAGTCAGTTGCTCCAAGTCACATATACCTAGCATTAGAACCAAGACAGTACACCGGGTGAGAGGTAGGTAAGGATAGATAAAGGTAAATAAAGATAAGGGAGCCAGGCAGGACCTGCACCCTTATCTTTACTGGGAATGAGAGGATCACATCATATAACCCTGCAGTTAGCACCAGACTGTATTCAGACTGTATTTGTGGACACAAAGGGAACAAAACAGGACCTGCCCTCCGGGGTGTCTCTCAGCTGGGAGAGACCATCAGGTGCCCAGCAGTTAAGATGTGGCACAGGAAGGGCTATGACTGCAATGAGCTATTGGAGCCAACAGGAGGAGGGCCACATTACAACTTTCATGGGCCCTTAGTACCCTTGCTTTCACAGGCCCCTTCCTCCATGAAAAATATTACAAATTATATTTTACAACTGCATTGATATGAAGACAAATATATTAAAATTATACATTCAAACATTTTCTTGGAATTAAAAGTTTGCTTTTTTCTTCTGATTTTGAAAGAAATCAAAACATTTTTGTGGGACCCTGATATGGTTTGGATCTGTGTCCCTGCCCAAATCTCATGTGGAATTATAATCCCCAGTGTTGGAGGTGGGGCCTGGTGGGAGGTGATTGGATCATGGGAGCAGATTTCCCCCTTATTGTTCTTGTGATAAGGAGTGAGTTTTCATCCTTCCTCTTCGCCTTCTGCCATGATTGTAAGTTTCTTGAGGCCTCCCCAGCCATGCTTCCTGTACAACCTGAAGAACTGTGAGCCAATTAAACCTCTTTTCTTCATAAATTACCCAGTCTCAGGTAGATCTTTTTTTTTTTTTAATGAGACAAAGTTTCACTCTTGTCCCCCAGGCTGGAATGTAATGGTGCAATATCAGCTCACTGCAACCTCCGGCTCCCAGGTTCAAGCCATTCTCTTGGTTCAGCCTCCCAAGTAGCTGGGATTACAGGCATGCACTGCCATGCCTGGCTAATTTTTTTATATTTTTAGTAGAGACTGGATTTCACCATCTTGGCCAGACTGGTTTTGAACTCCTGACCTCAGGTGAACCACCCACCTCAGCCTCCCAAAGTGCTGGGATTACAGGCATGAGCCTCAGGTAGTTCTTTACAGCAGTGTGAGAATAGACTAATACAGACCCTAAAAGATTTCTTGAAAGATAGTGAGGTTTAAGCTGAAGCCTGAACCTGCAAAGAGGGTGGAAGAGTATTTTATGCAGAGGGAACAGTATATGCAAAAATCTTGAGAGGAGAGAGAATGTGCTAGAAACTACAGGGGGTTAGGGCTTTTTGAAGCTAGAAGTGAGAGTAAACAGGAGGAATCCCAGAATGGAAGACAGATGAAGTCATTTTAAGGAATTTTGATTTTATCTAGAAGGGATAGGGGACAACTGAAGGCTTTAAGCAGATACGCATTTTATGCTCAGCTATACATTTTAGGAAAGTGATTCTGGGTTGTTATGTGGACAATAGATTCAGAGGAGTGTGGCCAATACTGCTAGTTATTAGCCCCTGCATTTTAGGTAGGCATATGGCCACCCCAAATAAAGATTTCATTCCCAGCTTCCTTTGCAGCTAGGTGTGATAATGCGACTAGGTACCAGTCAATGAGATATAAGTAAAAATTTCTGGGAAGAGTCCTTAAAGGGAGAGGATGTAGCTTTCTTCACTCTTTTCTTCCTGGCTGGAATATGGATGTGATGGGTGGTGCTCAGGCAGCCATCTTGGACCAGGGCACACTAAGGGCTGTGAAGCAGCAGAATAAAAGTAGCCTGGATCCCTGACAATCATGGAGCCACTATATTGGCCTTCGACAGCTATGTATCAGTTTCTTTTATGTTTTTTAAAAAGTGTATTTTGGCCAGGCACGGTTGCCCATGCCTGTTATCCCAGCACTTCAGGAGGTCGAGGTAGGCAGATCCCTTGAGTACAGGAGTTCGAGACCAGCCTGGGTGACATGGCAAAAGCCCACCTCTACAGAAAATACAAAAACTAGCCAGACATGGCAGTGCATGCCTGTAGTCCCAGCTACTTAGGAGGCTGAGGTAGGAGGATCACTTGAGAACAGGAGGTGGAGGTTGCAGTGAGCCATGATCGTGATACTGTACTGCGGCCTGGGCAACAGAGTGAGAACCTGTTGCAAAGAATAAAAGTGTATTTTGATCTTGTTTAAGCCACTGTTACTTGGATTTGTTGTCACATGCAACTGAACTTAATCCTAAATATCACAGGAAGAAAGAGTGGAGGCAGGAAGGCCAGTTAGGAAGACGCAGTGATTGACTGTGAGATGAGAGAATGCAAAGATTTGAAGATATTTGTTGGTAGCAGAATATACAAGTCTTGGTGATAAGCTGAATGGTTGGGGGCTGTTGGTGAGAAGAAAGGAGGTGTCAGAGATAGTACTCAATGTGAGAGTGGACAACAGGAATATTGTTTGCTGAGGTGATTTTAAAACACGTTTGTAAACTTTTTGTCACTTCTCCCATCAAGGGATAGAGTCTCATTTCCCTCCTGTGGAATATAGACTGGCTTTGGTGACTCACTTTTGGTGGATAGGACGGTACAGGAGTGAAGATGCAAAAACATTAAGCCTAGGTCTTAAAAGGTGATACAGCTTCTACTTAATTCTGTCTTTGGATGCTTGCTTTTGTACCTAACCACCATGCTGTAAGGAAGCCCAGGCCACATGGAGAGCCATATGTGGAGAAAAAAACCAAGATCCCCCACTCACCACAGCTGGGTTCCTGACAGCCAGCCCCAATTTGCCAGCCATGTGATTGAGCCATCTCGGAAGTGGAACCTCTATGCCCTATAGAACCACCCCAGCTGATGCCATGTGGAGCTTGGTGAGCCTTTCCCACCAAGCCCTGCTCAAGTTGCATATTCATAAGCAAAATAAATGATTGTTGTTTTAAGCCACTATGTGTTGAAATGGTTTAATACACAACAATAGATAACTGCTATATTTGCTGAGAAGGTTCTGAGCAACCTCTATAACTGTAGCAGGAACAGGCTTAAGAGACCATTTTTACTAACCCCTCCCTTTATGATGGAGGCAGCTCCTCCCCAAGGTCCCACTTACAGAGTGAGACCTTTGTCTACTTCTGTTTGGCATGTGCTGGCCATGTGCAAACCCACAATTATATTGGCCAATGGCAAACAGAATTGGGAAACCAACCATTTCCAATAAAATAAGGTTTCATTTCAAACCAGATACACCCATTTTGGGGATTACCAATTGCTTTGGAGTTTCTAAATCACTTCTCCCATCTGCATACATGGGCAACAGGGCTAACTTACCACCTCCCAGTGAAAAATAAAAAGATAACCAAACCCTGGACCTCTGTTGCCCCTCTCTCTCCCGTGCCTGGTTTCCTCATCCTTGCATTTCTTGTCTGGTGCTATCCCTTGGGAAGCCAGCCAACCAGTCAATGTCTCTATTGACTGGAATTTTGCTTGGCTATATTGTTACTTGATAGGGGCCTTTGGTTCAGGGTGATGCTGAGAGTGGCTGTCACAGTTCTCTACCACAATCCTTAACAGTCTGAAGACGGTCGATAAAATTTAGCAGGCATGTTGCTGTGATGGTTAATTTTATGTGTCAACTTGGCTAGGCTGTATTCCCCAGTTATTCAATTGAATGCTAATCTAGGTGTTGCTGTGAAGGCATTTCATAGATGTGATTAGCACCTACAATCAGTTTACTTTAAGTAAAAGAGATTATCTAGGTAATCTGGGTGGGCCTGATCCAATCATTCAAAGCCCTTAAGAACAAAAACAGATTTTTTTAAGGAACAAGGAATTCTATCTGCAAACTACAGCATCAGCTCCTGCCCAAAGGTTTACAGATTGCAGGCCTACCATATGGATTTTGGACTTGCCAATCCCCACAATCATGTAAATCAATTCTTTGAAATAAATCTGGACATGTATATGTATCTCCTACTGGTTCTGTTTCTCTGGTAGAACCCTGCCTGATACACTAGCTAAAGGAAAAACACTCGTTCATTACAAAAATGGACAGCAATGAAGACCGAAATCTAGATTTGCTTTCATCTTGGAAGATTTTAGTGAAATCTGAATAGAGGAGAAGTAGCTTCCCCAAGGAGTCATTTGACCTGCGATTGGCTTTCATCCATACCCCCGAGTGTTTGCTCAAAAAACATCACCAGCAATCAGCAGTGTCCTCATTTAAAGAGTTCTTACCAGAATGGAAACATAAAAGATAGATAGTCTTGACAGGTGATTTCATGACTCTGATGGAGGTACTTAAAAAGTAAAAGAGGTATGCTTTTTTTTCCCTCTAGAAGCCAGAGATAAGAGAGTTCATCCATCACTAGGGCAAGAACAGGTTTTCCTTCAGACCAGACCAAAATTTAGAAGTTATGTGGGCCTTTGGTAATGTTGTCAGAATTGCCCTAGCTCCTTATCAGGTTCTATCTCATAGGGAAGACCTGTCCAGACTGAGAATCTTGCCAGAAGTAGATCACAGGGGGATCACATCTGGATTGGGGTGGGCTCAGCAACAGCCCCATCTAGGGGACCACAGTGTGGTGGAAAGAGCCGGGGCTTTGGAGTTGTCATCAGAGAATATTGTGCAAAGGTAGCCTGTTGCTGGTGGGCCTGTGTGTTGGTGAATTCTGGAGGGTGGCATGGGAGCTGCATGTGAAGGTTTGATGCAGAAGCCTCTTTAATGATTACTATTTGAAAATGTGGTTGGTATAACACAGTTGGGAGAAGGCTAACACTTTCTGGAAGTTCTCAGTGCTGGGCTCCATGCCAGGCTTTTTCACTGGTGTTATCTCAGCATACACAGGAACTTTAGTTCTCTCTGGCCCTGGTGACAGTCCTGAAAATTTAAAATGATTGATTAAAAAAAGGCTTCAAAAGATTTGTGGAAAATGTGACATTAATTTTCGCAGCTCTGGCTGTTAAATGCAAATGGCAGATAGCATTATCCAGTGATCTAGTAAAATACTCCCATGTTCCAGTTGGGAATAAGGACCAGGAAGGAAGTGGCTTATTAAAGATCATGCTCCTGGCCAGGTGTGGTGGCTCACATGGATGAAGCTGGAAACCATAATTCTCAGCAAACTAACACAAGAACAAAAAAACCAAACAACACATGTTCTCACTCATAAGTGGGAGTTGAACAATGAGAATACATGGACACAGGGAGGGGAACATCACACACATGGGCCAGGGGCCTGTTGGGGGTTGGGAGGCTAGGGGAGAGATAGCATTAGGAGAAATACCTAATGTAGGTGACAGGTTGATGGGTGCAGCAAACCAACATGGCACGCGTATACCTATGTAACAAAACTGCACTTTCTGCACATGTACCCCAGAACTTAAAGTATAATAATAACAGAAAAAAAAATTAAAAGTTAGCTGGGTGTAGTGGCACATGCCTGTAGTCCCAGCTACTCAGGAGACTGGGGCAGAAGGGTCACTTGAGCCCAGGAGTTCAAGACTGCAGTGAGCCACGGTCATTCCAATGCTCCTTATTGGTGTCCAAGCTTGCTTTCATACCCAGATTCCAGTAGGGTATTATATTGATTTAATCAGGAGAAAGATGGGGGGACAAGCCTGTGATTTCAGAATCGCACAGTGTGTCCCAAACTTGGCTGACAGTCCTGGCCTTCAGAATGCTATAAACATACAGATTCCTAGGTCCCCACCTAGAAATTCTGGAAAGGTAGGTCTGATGGAGGCTTAGAACTCTGGATTTAGACAGATAACATGGGCTGTTCTTGTTATCAGCCAAGCCTAGGGAACAGAAGGGGAGCAAGGGACTGATTGTGCATTCTTGATGGTAAAGACAGTTGGTAATGGCTTCCCCATCACTCCTCAGATGGCTATCATCTTTCCCCAGAAGGTTTGGCTGGTAAAAGCCCAAAGTTAACCTTTAAAAAGGGGATGTGCACACTGTAATAGGGGTGCTCCAGAAAACCAGACAATCTTCAAAACCACTCTAATGAATCTCTCAGGAGGAAATCATAGCTGCTTGAAGGAGAGATGGAGTTGCTGACTCCTCACATCACATCACATCTCGGAGCCCACTCCAAGGAGGGATTGAGCAGAAAGAAGAATCAGGAGTGGCAGGTGGCAGTTGGAAAGTAATTGACTGTCCAAGGGCCATGTACTGACTCCCACTGGCCACTAGCCCCATGCTGCAACATGGGGTGACAAGAACCAAAGGAGAGCTGGCATCCTAGACACCTCCATTTTTAGACGTCCTATATTGGGTCAGTGAAGATACTGTCAAGCTATCCATTGTGTGACAATACATAGCTATTTACCATGCTAAAATAGTCCGTTTTAGCATGGTAAAAAGAACCAGAGACACTGCTGGAGTTCTCTACTGCTGCTTCTCCAGCTCTCTCTTTGGAATTTCGGCACAAACTCGGTTTACAAGCCTCACAGAACACGCATGCAAAAGCCTTGGCCTGGTGAGAGGCACGTCCTCTGCATTCAGTACATTAGTACGTATCATTGTCACTGCCATGTGCTAGACGTGCCTTCCATAAAGAGCCATGGTACTCTCCATGCCCTATGTCCCCTTATAGCTGAAGCTTCCCCTTCCATGGCCACTTGCTTAGGGCAGCAGGGCAAGGCCATCTTTGATGGATAGGGGGTACCTGGTGTGAAAGGCTCTACCTAATGAGCTGTTGGTAAAGAGTTAAGCCAATTATTCTGATTCCCTTTTGGGATTTTGATTTGGGATCTATCTGAGAAAGAGAGGATGGGGCAATGCTATGGAAAGAAGCAGAGATGCCATGAGTGAGGGTGATTGGGGGCCCATGAAACAGTGACCGAAGCACCAGATGCATGGTCGCTGGATGCCAGGGCTGCTTCGGGTCTTAAAAGCTTCCGTGCCAAGTACTGGGCCAGGGATGGCCTTACCACAAACACCTTTTCCAGAGAGTGGGCTCATGGAGTCTTTGTTCTTTGTCTCCAGGAGAGCCAGGCAGCCCACCAACCCAGAGAAATGGGGTTTTATTGAGGCATGAGGGAAGGGCAGCGGGTTAGGATTGGATGTCCTGGGCCTACTGAGACTCAATTTCCGCCTCTGTAAGAGGGGGGATGACAGTGTCTTTTCTGAAACCTCATGGGAATGGCATGGAAGATAATGTGCGCGAACCTTGTCATAGCATTCACCATCCTGTGCCCCGGTATAACCACATTATCCTCAAGCCCATCTTCCATCTTAATTGTCCAACTTGCTTCTGCCTGACTTCTGGCAGTTTCCAAAAGCAAATGTTTCTCAAAAGACAAAGATTTGCCACTACTGAACATATTCGAATATTTGCTCAGATGGAAACAAGTGTGTGAAAAAAAGAACATGAACTCCTCTTAGAAAGAAAATCTAAGACCAGAAATGTGGCTTTTCCAAGATTAAAAGTCAGCCCGTCTCAGTAAGAAGGTTTTCCTTGCCAGCTACATTTGGAAGGCTGAGGGAAATCTTGAACAAATGAATTTTTACTTTGAGTGGACTTATTGTTCTCAAGCTCACCCAGGGAGAAGAAGAGAACGTGCTAATGCTAATAAACCTATGAGTTTCCTTTCTGGTTACACACCTGAACAACTTTCACATGATTTAGTTGTTAAATATGCATGTGAAATGGGACTTAGGTTAATCATGCATCATAAGTTAATCAATGCTTTATAATTAAAACAATGTTGATTCAATAACTGTCTCAGCTGTGGATAATTAAACCAAAAGTTACTGAACATTTCTCCAAGCTGTATTGTATTCAAAATAATGAAAACTCTTTTTTGGTTTGTGTCATTAAGAGAAACATCTTGGCTGGGTGCAGTGGCTCATGCCTATATTCCCAGCACTTTGGGAGGCCGAGGTGGGAGGATTGCATGAGCCTAGGAGTTCCAGACAAGTCTGGGCAACATAGGGAGACCATGTGTCTACAAAAAAATGAAAAATTAGCTGGGCATCGTGGTGCCACACCTGTAGTCCCAGCTACTTGGGAGGCTGAGGTGAGAGGATCGCTTGAGCCTGGGAGGTTGAGGCTGCGCTGAGCTGTGATTATGCCATATGCATGGCACTCCAGCCTGGGCAACAAAACAAGACTGTCTCAAAAAAAAAAAAAAAAAAAAAAAAGAGGAGAAACATCTCACAATTGTTTTCCTACTACAGTACATGAATTTTTTTTCTTTTACTAAAGGTCTTTCTGATTATTTTTTCCACTGAAACCCAGACACAGCACAAAGCTTTTTGGTGTGTTAACTTTGGATTCTACAAGTGTCTGGCCGCCAGAGTGATTCTTTTTTTTTTCTTGTTTTTGAGATGGAGTCTCACTCAGTCACCCAGGCTGGAGTGCAGTGGTGTGATCCCAGTTCACTGCAACCTCCGCCTCCTGGGTTCAAGTGATTCTCCTGCCTCAGCCTCCCGACTAGCTAGGATTACAGGCGTGTGCCACCACGCCTGGCTAAGTTTTGTATTTTTAGTAGAGTCAGGGTTTTGCCACTTTGGCCAGGCTGGTCTTGAACTCCTGACCTCAGGTGATCCGCCTGCCTTGGCCTCCCAAACTGCTGGGATTATAGGCGTGAGCCACTGTGCCCGGCCCAGAGTGATTATTTTTGAGAAACCACTTGGATGATTTAAAAAGTTGACACCTCATAACTCTCAGTCATGTTTATAAGGCAAAGCTTACCCTCTTAGCTCACTGTCCCAGGTACTGAAGGAGGGAGGAAAATCTAAGTAGATAGCTCCCAAATCGTTTCAATGTTGCTTTGAAATCCCTAAGATATGGCAGGTTTATGATAGGTCACTTCCTCCTTTTTGGGAAGTTTCTCTCTGTTACCGTTGGCTTAGGCTGATCAGTTCAGGTTCCCTGAAACTCAATCACTAAAGGAAGAAAGTCAGGTGCAAAGGGTAGAAGCAGAGACAGGAATGAGCTAAGAGTGGGCATAGAATTTGGAGTTTTCCTTGGATCATCAAAGAGTGAATAACATATCCAGGAGGGTTGAACAGATGTTAAAACCACATAAAACAGAGTTGGTGGGGTGGGGTCAGGGATATGAAATGTTTTCCTTGCAACAGAAAGCCTGTCTCGTAGGCCTACAGTTTCTATGGAAGACAGGTCTCCTAACTCCGGGTGACATCCTTTCCTTGGGCGGAGCTTCTTTTTGCTTAGATTCTTGGTATTCTGCAGAGGTTCTGGGTTGAGCCCTGATGGAATGTTCTCTCAGGAGCAGAAGGCTTGAGAGAAGTTCTGTTTCATTCCCTGGGGAGGGTTTTCAGGAGAGGAGTCCCATATGTGGCTTTATCCACTCTCCTGTTTCCCAGCGCCTCCCGCATGTCTTCTCCGTGTCTCCCCTCTTCAGGCCAACTGCCTGCGTCCCTTCATTCTATCTTGTATTCCCATCGGCCTGCGGAGCGGTCTCTGCTGGATGGATGGACAGCCTTCACCCCAAACTTCAAAGGTGAAAAATGAGATTCAACATCCCCTTTGGGAGGCAGTCCAATCAAGTAGTTAACAACCATGTCACTGAAAGTCAAGCTGCCTGGGTTCAAATCCCAGTTCTGTCACTTAACGATGGCATGACCTGAGGCAAGTTCTTTAATTTAGCTATGCCTCAGTTTCCTCACCTATAACTGATGGATAGGATTCATGTTCTGAGCCAGGGGACCCATTAAGGGGACCCATAGGACTCATGTTCTGAGCCAGGATATTTTTGAGAGTGAATGGGGCTGGTTTTAAGAATTAAATCAGGACAACAGGCATCCTGTGGGACTGTCTCAGGCAAACCTAAAAAGATGGTTATCCTCATAATTACGGTACCCACCTCATGAGGGCGTTGAGAGGGTCAAGGTTGTGAGAACAGTGTCTGGTACATGGGAAGGCTCTAGAAGCATTTTCTATTATCATTTGTCCCAAACGCAACACCTTTTTCTAATTTTTCCATTTCTGTAAGTGACCCCACCATTCTCCCAGTCTTCCAGGTTAGAATATCTGAAGCTATTTTTGACTTCCTTATCTTATTGGCTGATCTCTTGGATCTTTGGTCCCCCGTATCAGTTTGCAGTGTCATCATTGTGACCTGTAACATATGCATTGTGTCATGTTCACTTGTGACCTTAGTCACCTCTCCTCCAGCTGGCCCAGGCTGGTTCCTTCCCTTCCTGAGCCCCTGTTCCCTCATCTCTCAGGTGGGGACGATGGTATTTGCCACCAAGGACACCCCAATTGCCAGGCTCTGGCATGGTCTCTGGACATCATAGACACTGTTACTTCCTTTCTGAATGCATGATAAACATGTCACTGTGCTTTACAGGCTGTGGCGTGCTTTGTAAACACAAAAGGTAGTGTGGAGGGCCAAACAAACAACATCCACACCATGACTATAACTGACACAGGACAGTCTTGAAATGTGTGAAAAATATTTGGGAAACCCTAGTCAGGAAATCATTTCAGGCAGAAGGGTTGGGGAGTGAGTGTTATCAACTTTTCAGCCATTTGAAGAGGCTTAATGAACACAAAGCATTAATCAGACTGGACATTCAGACAGGAAAACCCAAGGGTCAGAAGTTGGCCTTGGGAGGCCGGCGCGGTGGCTCACGTCTGTAATCCCAGAATTTTGGGAGGCTGAGGCGGGCAGATCACTTGAGGTCAGGAGTTTGAAACCAGCCTGGTCAACATGGCGAAACCCTGTCTCTACTAAAAATACAAAAATCAGCCAGGCGTGGTGGCAGGCGCCTGTAATCCTAGCTACTCAGGAGGCTGAGGCAGGAGAATCACTTGAACCTTGGAGGCAGAGGTTGCAGTGAGCCAAGATTGCACCACTGCACTCCAGCCTGGGCAACAGAGCAAGACTCCGTCTCAAAAAAAAAAAAAAAAAAAAAGGAAGTTGGCCTTGGGATCCGGAAAGAGGATGCCCCAGCCCATGGCCTCCAGCACTGTGGCCCAGGGACAGGTGGCCAGGCCACTGGCACTCACCCACCGACTCCTGTCTTAGATCAGCACCCACTCACCAGCCTTCTGACTACTCAGAAGCTTGCCTTCGTGCAGAGAGAGGTGCATTCCACTCTATGGGAGGGTGATGCTTTGTAAATACCATTTCAATTGCTGGTTCTGTGACTTGGCCAGTGTGAATTGGCTTCTTTTAGAGTGTGCTGTTAAGACCACCAAATGTGAACTCCAAGAGAGCAGGAACTTTGTCTGTCTTGCTCACCTCTGTGTCCCTAGCACCTTGTAGAAAGTTCATACTCAATACAGTGTTGTTAAATCAGAGGAGGAACTATTGAAACCCCAACTCTGGACTGTGGTGAATTTACCAGGGTAAATGCCAGCCTGAGACACCCTTTGGGAGCCAAAAGAAAGGATGGCTTTTCTAGTGACACACCCATGTGTTATTGCATAGTACAACCTTTGAAATGATGGCAATTGAAAACCAGTTGCTAACATTATTGCATGCTTGCCTGCTCTGTTTCAGGCCCAGTGCTCTGTGCCTTGCATGTGGTACCTTGCTTAGTTCTCACACTTCCATGAGAGCAGGTGCTGTGCTCGCCTGCAATGAGAATTCTCTGTGCCTGGAAGTTGAGCAACACATCCAGGTCTTTGTACATAGGGGTGGAGCCAGGATTTGAACCCAGGTCTGCTTGAGTCCCAGCCCAGGCCATACTGTCTTCTGGGGCGTTGAACCTGCAGCCTCCTTGTTGGGTCTTCTCTCTCTGGCACTGTCAGGTGGTCTGTGCCTCAAGTGCAGGAAGCAGATCTCACGTGCTGTCACCTTTCCAGGAACCCTGGACATCATCGGGCTTATGGCAGGTGTAACGAGTCTTGGATGTGCCCTCCCTTTCCCTCTTTCTCCGGTAGCCTGTGTGAGCGTGACCCTGCCCTACTTTTGCCATGAAGATTCAACACCATTTCCCTGACCCCACTCTGAACCCTTGCCGGTCCCTGCAAACCATGTTTAGACCCATTTCTGAAAAGATCCACTGTCTTCGAGTCATTTTTCTTTAGAAATGCAAATTCTCAGACTCTGCCCCAGACCTGCTGAATTAGAACCTCTAGGGCAGGTGTGCCAATAAGCCTTACTGGGGATTCTGGTGCCTGCTCAAGTGTGAGAACCACTGTCCTACAGAATGAAGTTTAGCTCCCCACCCCCAGCCCTCACCCTACCCACTGCTCTCTGACACTCTAATGGAGGGCCGTGACACTTGCTCTACTTCCCACAGTCATGCCTTATTCTCACTTCCACGTCTTTGCCCTGCCTGTGGAAAATCTGTCATTGACATTTCCCTGTCCCATCCTTCCTCTCCCAGTTTAGGCCACACCCCCTCCAGGCAGCTTTCCTGGCCCTTCCAGCTCCCATTTTCTTCCTTCTTTTGCATTCTGTGCTATATAGGCCTTGTGCTATGCACATCGGGTCTCTCCTTAGCTGTTCGGTGCACAGGAACTTTGAATAATCATGCCTTGGTAATCATACCTCTGCCTCGGCAAATAATAGTGGGTGGGTACCTAAGAGATCTTTAATAAGCAAATCTTGTCCACACACTGATTGGTGTGCTGCAGTGGACTTACTTGGGGTGTGTACCCCAACCCACAATTCCTGAGAGGCTGACTTAGGCAGCTGGTGGTCAGTCCAGGAACAGTACATGAGGTAATGTTGGAGGAGCAGGGACCATGACTAACAGAGAGATCCAGTCTGCTGAGAGATAATGGAGCAGACACCCAAAAGGGAGCAGAGATGAGAAGCAAGGCAGGACTGGAGCCAGATAGGAACTTACAATTTCTTTCTTACCAGGAGGGCTGGATGGATGTACTTCTGGCACAATAAACCCCTTTTTCACTTTAATTTCTGAGGAGGTTTCTGATCCTTGCAACTACTGCTCCCTGATTAAGATACAAGCAAATGGTTGCTTTGGGGGACTTGTGTTGTCTTGGTTAAGTAAGTGACCATCTTAGCTGAATACCACACAGTGTCATGCATGGTATCTACGTAGCAGTAGCCCAGGTCAAGGCTACTTCCCTTGCCTACCTGTGCCCCTTGCTGTCAAACGTTTGGCAGCCAGAGGCTCACTTAGTAGTGATTATGGCCTCCTCTTCCATTGGGTAGCCCACACCTTGGATGACCCCTCTGGTGGAGGTGGTAGCTAACTTTCCCTTCCTATTAAAGACTCTTTCTTTCCTCTCGCCTCCCACTTTGTCCACCATCTTCCTCCATTCCAGGGCCCCTGGAACCTTGTCACTGAAGCATTTGTGGGTTGCTCAAAGATTTTCACTGTGGCAGATGAAATAATCATTCTGGCAGGCGATTCAGCTAATAGTTGGGGCTAGCAGGGAAGCTGACGCAGAGTAAAACACATTATTTCATGGTCTGTCATTTCGATTCAGGTGTGCTAAAGCTTGTCATAATTCTCCACTGGGTCATTTCTTTTTATATGGGCTGTTGGTTTTCTTTTTTCTTCTTCTTTCTTAAATCAAAAGACAGGAAACCAAGTGCTTCTGACAACTCATTCGTGCATCCAAGCTTGCAGAAATATCCATAGGAGGTCAGTGGCTTCTGCTGTGCAAAGCTCCTGTTGGCCCAGGAGGCTCAGGCAGAATTCTGATTGTCAGGAAAACCCTCACACTTGCCTGAGAGCAGGCGCTGCCAGGCTTCTAGTTCCCCCTAGCCCTTCTGTTGAGATTGCATCACCTGTATGAGTCAGGGTTCAATCAGAGGCAGAAGCATCAGGAGATTGTTTCTGTTTTATAGGGTTTTGACTTTATACAGTCATGGGAGCTAGCTAAGCAGTCTCTGTAGGGCTGCTTGACACATTACAAAGCTGTCACATCACCTTTGGCTTTCTTTGCATATCCCTTGGTGACTTTTTCTTCAACTAGACTGAGCTAGCTCACTGGAGCCTAACTGCCCTGAGTCTATATTTGGGGTATGGAGGTTTACTGTCCTGAGAAAAGGCTGGATAGAGGAGCAGGCTTGGGTAGGCAGCTTCTGGGCCAGGTATTGGGTGAGGAGCTCTCCAGCAGATGGACATAGTGCAGACAGAGTTCATGGAGGAGCCGGTGATGCATTCTCTGGGTACCTGAGAGAAGCTCCTGGTACACTGAACATCCTTTTTCTTTCTTTCCTTCTTTCTTTCTTTCTTTTTCTTTCTTTCTTTCTTCCTTTCTTTCTTCTTTCTTTTTTCTTTCTTCTTTCATTCTTTCTTTCTTTTTCTCTTTCTTTCTTTTTTTTTTTGGTGGAGGGGAGACAGGGTCTCATCATCTTGTCACGTGGGCTGGAGTGCAGTGGTGTGGGCTCAAATGATCCTCTCCCTCAGCCTTCTCTAAGTAGCTGGGACTACAGGCATACACTACCACACCCAGCTAAATTTTTGAATTTTTGTAGAGACAGGGTCTTGCTATGTTGCCCAGGCTGGTCTCGAACTCCTGAGCTCAAGCGATCCTCCCGCCTTGGCCTCCCAAAGTGCTGGGATAACAGGTGTGAGCCACTGTGCTGGGCCTGAACCTCCTTTCTATCTCCCATCCCAACCCCTATTTCCCCCTCTTCACTGCCCTCATTCCTCTGCACCCTGGGTGCCTTCATGAGGTACTGTCTACCAGGTCCTTTCTGCGGTAGAAGGAAGGGTCTGGGGAGAAAGAAAAGCAGGCAACTTCCTAGAGGCTGGGTGTGAGAAAGTAGCCACAGAGGCCCTAGAGAGAGAGGCCGCAAAGCCCGGAAAGGCCTGAGCTGAGAAGGAGGTGCTGGCAGTTCCAACCCAGGTCTGTCACTAGGCTCAATGGTCCTTCGGGACCATTGCAGGGAGACACAAAAAGAATTTGGGGACTCTTCCGTCAAACCAAATATACTGCTGTAACCATGCGTGTGTGTTAGGAAACTTGTAACAGCTCCTGTCTGAGGTTGTTGTAAGTGATTTATTCAACAAAAGTTTATTAGTGCTCTACTTTGTATAAGGTGTTGGACCTTATATAAAGTAGGACCTTCTGAGGTCAGAGAGATAAATAAGAGAAGGCCCCTACACCAAAGAAACTGGTACCCTTGTGGGGCACAGTGACATATATACCACAAAGTTCAATGCGGGGCAGAATATGACAAATGCTATAAGAGATGTAAACAAGGTGCTATGGGAATACAGAAGAGAAAGCAGTAGGGAAATCCAGGTAGGCTTCACAGAAGAGGTGGTATGAGCATGGCCTTGAAGAATGAGTAGGATTTTGGCAGGTGGAGATCTAGTATCAATGCATTTTAACTGAAGGATCAGAATTGAGCAAAGGCAAGGAGCAGAGTTAAAGGCCATGTCTGGTCTATGGGATACAGACATGGGTTCCTCAGGGGAGAAGATTGGAAAAGTAGGTTGGGAGAAAACTGTGGGGCTCTTGAACATCACATGTAGGAATTTAGATTTTATTCTATAGATAATACGCATAATGTTGTAGGCAAAGATGATTGTTCATGAAGATGCCATGTGTATCCCCCCAAAAATCTCTTTGGAGGGAGTTAAATTCAATATGGCAATATGTATTCAAAAGTGTAAAAACATTTATACCCCTTGACCCAGTGGTTTCACTACAGGGAAGTAGAGAAGCCACAAAGCATAGTATTTAAGGGCGTGACTTCTGCATTCAGGAGACAGGCCTGTGTTCAAATCTCAATTCCAAAATTTACTAGCTGGGTAACCTTGGGCAACGTATATAAATCTCTCTAAGCCTCAGATTCCCCATCTGTAAAATGGGAACAAGAATATCTTAGAGGGTTTGAAGATTAACTGTGACAAATGTATGTGAAGCATGCCGGGTCCATAGAAAGTAGCAGGTATGTGGTAGTTTTTTAAAGGAAATTTGTCTCAAAGACCTAACATGAAATTCAGACAAAGACTCTGCAAAAAGATGTTCATCAAAGCATTATTTATGATAATAAAAATAAAAAATGTAAACAGTCAACAACAGTGAATAAAACTATGGTCCATACATGTGAGGAAATGATGTATGTGAAGAGTTTTAATGATATGGAGGCTATTATGAGATATAATATTAAGCCATAGAAGAATATGTAATATTACATATACAATTTACTTTTAACCATGTTAAATATGACTAGAAAAAAGACTAGAAGAAAAAACACCAATGTGTTAACAGTGGTTGCCTCTGTGGCAACCCAGTGGTGAGTTATATGTGATTTTTCCCACCTATTTTTTGTGTTTAAATATATATACGTATATGTTTAAATATATATATACACACATATATGTGTATATATATATATGTGTGTATATATACACATATATACTTAAAGTGATATGGACTCATTGTAAAAATGTATAAAGTATACATACATATATGTGTGTATATGTACATATATGTATGTATACTTTATACATTTTTACAATGAGTCCATATCACTTTAATAATAACAAATAAAAGTAAAAAAAATTGAAGAAAAGAAAGTTTTTGAACTGGAAAGGGAAACGATCCATTTTTTGGGAGGGTAGCAGGTGGCCAGGTTAAGCATGCATTTGAGAAATGAAAGGTGAGAAGCAAGGAAATGGGTCACATTGCTCTTTGAAGCAGGCCTGAAGTGGTGCTTTTCCACCTCACAATGAATGGGGTGATTCTGAGGGTGCTGTAGGGGAGGAGCACTTTGTTGGAAGAATTCTCTGTACGTAGCCAGGAGGTCTATGCAGAAGGAAGGGGGTCTGTAATGGGGACCTCTTGCAGGAAAATATGCTTAGATAATCTGACGGCCCCCTGAGCTGTGAGAGGTTGAAGTATTAAGGTAAAACAGACAACAAAAAGGTAGGGGGCATAATTTTTTCACCACTGGGCTATGGACAGGACCTCAGGAAGCCAGAGAGATCAGATGGATCAAAGAACAATGAACGTCAAGAATGAAGTGAGCCTCATGAGTTTCCACACATTACTGCAGCCCTCCTGGCCATATAGAGAATTCTTTAGATCCAGAACCCTGAGGAAAGGACTATAGTTTTAGGATGAAAAGAAAGCATCAATCTCAATATGCTATAAGGTAGTTATATTTGTTGGTTAATTAGAGAGTCATTTATATTCTACAGTCCCTTCCCCAACCCTGGCATACATAGTGTCCACTGTCTTGTCCCTAGAATTGGCAAGTGCCACAGGTAAATGACTACCTGCTGGATCTAAAAACATGATGGTATGAAGAAAGTCTCCACCACAGTTAGCACATGTTGGGGCTCTAGATGCAGGGTAAGCCTTCCGAGAAGGTTATTGGTGGGGAGACAGTTTTGATCCTAGAGAAACAATGTTGGAAGGGAAATCAGTATTTGCCCCTTGCCTTTCTTTTTGGTGTCTTACCTTGCGTTTGAAGCACAATCCTTAGAAGCACTTGGGCCAGCTTACTAGGCAACCCCCTGGAGAAATCACCCTTTGTTCTCCTGAGCAAGAGGCTCCCCATCAACTTCATCTCCTGCCCTTGGTCAAAATACCTCAGTTGTCTCTTCTCCAAGATAACTATGGAGAGATCAATCTCTGAAGAATGCTAATGGATCATTGTGCCACCAACCCTTCTTGCCCAAATTGGGTAGACATTTCTGGTATCAAGAGTCATATTCCACGGAGTATGAACTGTGGGACTGATATGGTTTGGATATCTGTCCCTCCAAATCTCATGTTGAAATGTGATCCCTGCCAGGTGCAGTAATTCCAGCATTTTGGGAGGCCGAGGTGGGAGGATTGCTTGATCTCAGGAGTTCGAGATGAGCCTGGGCAACATGGCAAGACCCTGTCTCTACAAAAAAGTACAAAAATTTGCCAGGCATGGTGATGCACACCTGTAGTCCCAGCTACTTGGGAGGCTGAGGTGCTGAGGTGGGAGTATCTCTTGAGTCTAGGAGGTCGAGGCTGCAGTGAGCTGTGATTATGCCACTGCACTTCATCTTGGGTGACAGAGCAAAACTCTGTCTCAAAAAAAAAAGAAAAAAGGAAAAGAAATGCAGTTTCCCCTGTTGGAGGTGGGGCCTCATGGGAGGTGTTTGGGTCATGGAGGTGGATCCTTCATGAATAGATTAATGCTCTCCCTCAGCAGTGAGTGAATTCTCACTCTATTAGTTCCCACGAGAGCTGGTTATTAAAAAGAGCCTGCCACCTCCTCCCTCCCTCTCTCTTGCTCCCTCTCTCTCCATGTGATCCCTGCTACTGCCTCCCCTTCCACCATGAGTGGAAGCTTCCTGAGGCCCCACCAGAAGCAGATGCTGGCACCATGCTTCTACAGCTTGCAGAACTGTGATCCAAAATAAACCTCTTTTCTTTATAAAGTACCCAGCCTCAGGCATTCCTTCGTAGCAATGCAAGATGGACTAATACAGGGGTTTTCTGCTTGTTAATGCCTAAGATAAGCCAGTAAAAATTCTCACTTGGGGAAAGACAAAAATTTCAGGGACTCTAAAATCAGAAGGTCTCCAGTGAAACTGTATAGAGTTGGCTCTATCAGGAGTTAGAACAGGTATGGATCAAGGGTCACCTTTAAGTTATGAATAGTGAATAGTGAATGATGTCATATCCATTCATTTATTCTTTTCTTTATTTCCCAAACATTTATGAAGTGTTTACTTTATGTCAGACATGTGTGAGAAAAGACACTGATAAAAGATCCAATCCCTACCCTCAAGGAGCTGCCTATATGATTGGAAAGGCAAAAACAGAAAGAAAGCCATCATGTACTCTATATAAAGTGCTTTTCTTATCTGCTGTAAGTGTGTTATTTAAGTCAGACTCTCCTCTGGATCCCATGCCCAGCTGGGTCCTGGCCAAAGCAAGGAAGGCCTCAGTTCCCTTGGTATATGCTGGGCTGAAAAACCACAGGAGTTCCTCACACATTCTTCAGCCTTGAAATAGTATCCAAAATGCCAAAGCATTTTAGAATAAAGCCGGATTCTCAAAATTAAGAAAGATGGCTTTAATAGCTATATTTAGGATTTTGATATGTGCATGCAGTAGCATTTTTTTTTCTTTCTTTCCTGGAGAGTAGATAATTCTGGGATTTTTGGTTCTGGCCATGACAGAATATACCTGGTATCAGACTTACCCTTCTGCTGTAAATAGCTCTAAAATCTGGGCAAAATACAAAACAACTCTTTGCAGGTATTGAACCATAACCAACATAGCACAATTATCCTTGTGAGAAAGGATACACACGAGGTAAGCCCCATATTCACACTATCTTTTTCCCTGAGAGCATTTTCCAAGCTGCAGTGCAGGTTTGTGCTAGGTAAAGGAAACACAGATCAGCATTTGGGGCTGCCAAAATGGCTGGGATTTGGGAGACATAGTCCTGTAAAAGGGAAATTCACAAAGAAGGAGCCCCCATAACTTTGTAAAAATTTCCCTCAGGTCCTTGACCAGCTCCTAAGCAGCATGTGAGTAGGGTAGGCCTCTAGAGACCTATCAGAGAACCACATTAAAAGAATGTATTGCCAAGCAGATATTTCAGAGGCTGCATGGTGCTGGAGAGATGAAAGCTGAAGTTTGGCTAGACATCTTAGTGAATATCCTGGGCTTTCAATCGGACCTCAGAAAGTCCACATTCTAGTAGTAAGGATCATGCCTTATCAGCAGGGACCATGTCTTAGGAGTAAGGGTGAGACCAAGAAAACTACACAAACAAAGCCTAAAATCCATTCTCAACAGAATTAAGGCAGTGGCTCTCAACTGGAAGAAATTTTTCTCCCCAGGGGATATTTTTGACAACACCTGGAAACATTTTTAGTTGTCACAACTGGGGGGTTGTGGGTAGAGGCCAGGGAGGCTGCTAAACATTCTACAAGGTATAAGCCAGCCTCCTTCCCCCAACAAAGAATGATCCAGCTCAAAATGTCAATAGTCTTGAGATTGCAAAATCCAGGCTTTAAGTGATTTGAGAGCAATTTAGTTGGCTACTAGAACAAAACTCAACAATTTTTAAAGGAAGATGACATAATTCAGAAACTTTATAAGGCATTACAGTTAAAATTTGGCATACAATAAAAAATTACCCAATTAAAAATTACCCCTAAAGTGTGAAGAAGCAAAAAAACGGAAAACTATCAACACAAACAGAAGTGGAAGCAGAGATAATCCAGATATTATAGTAGAAACAAGGAATTAAAAGTAAGTCTGGTTAAGATTTTAAGAAAATAGAGGAAAAGAGACAAAATGAATGAAAAAGGGAGAATTTCAAGAAAGTTGGAATCTATAAAACATTAAATAGACATTCTAGAAATGCAAAATGCAATATCTGAAATTAAGAACTTCTTTACTGGGTTTAACAGAAAACTGGGCGCAGCAGAACTTATTAGTGAGCTAAAACAAGGCAAAACAAAATAAATCTAACAACAGAGAATGTCCAAACTAAGAACATAGAGAAAAAAATAATTGAAAAAAATACTAGAATTCAAGGTTGGTTTAATATTTGGAAATAAATCAATGCAATTTACCACATTAATAGAATAAAGGAGAGAAAATACATGATCATCTTAATACATGCAGAAAAAGCATTTTATAAAATTTACGAAAAAAATTCTCAATAAACTAGAGTAGAAGGAAACATCTTTAATCATACTGAGGGTATATTAAAAAACTTATAGCTAACATTCCTGTGATACCTGTGAATTTAATCACAATGCTTGTTCATTGCCCAGAAAGAGTGTGTGAGCAAGTCCCCCCACAGCTCATCTTTTTCCTTTAAATGATGGAATAACTCAGTGTTGGAACCACTGGAACATCACCTCATCAGCATTTGTGTTAAGGGGGTTGTTTGAATGGGACAAAGAATAACCTATCAATTTCCAGGTCTTCATCATATTATAAGATTATTTAAAAAGGGGGGAACAACAAATCATTTGGTTTGTCTGCTAAAATAGATACCTAATTATAATTCATAGATCTCATTAATGAAAAGGATTCCAGAAAAGGCTCACCCAGCCTTGAAGCAGATAAGTTGAGAATAAAAGATGAAGGCAAAAGAGGACTAGGGGAATACTAGACATGAGATAGGTCACCAGTGGATTCTTTCTTGATGAGTCTCACATACAGAATTCTTTTTCTCTAAAGTTTGGAACAAAATGATTATGCTACTATCACCACTCTTATTTGTCAATGTATTGGAAGCCCTAGCCAGTACAATAAGGCAAGAAATAGAACATATCTTAACGTGAGAAAAAAAGAAAACTACAATTATTTGAAGATGGAATGATATAATGGTATACATGGAAAAATTCAAAAAAAATCTATAGCAAGCTATTAGAAATAATAGGTAAATTTAACAAGATTGTTGGATATAGGATAAATACACAAAAATCATTTGTACAGTAGTTCCCTCTTATCCATGGGGCATACGTTGCAAGACCTCCAGTGGATGCCTGAAGCCACAGATAAGTACCAGGCCCTATATATACTATGTTTTTTTCCTATTCATACATACTTATGATAAAGTTTAATTTAAAAATTAAGCACAGTAGGTGATTAACAATAGTAACTAATAATGAAACAAAACAATTATAACAATATACTGTAATAAAAGTTATGTGAATGTGGTCTCTTTCTCTCAAAATGTCTTATTGTATTATACTCACCTGTTTTCAGACTACAGTTGACCATGGGTGACTGAAACTGTGGAAAGCAAAACCAGGGATAGAGGGACTACTATATTTCTATATGTTAGCAACAGAGACTAGGAGAATAAAATTTGAAGCCATGCAAATTATAGTAACAGCAAAAATATCAAATATCCAGTGTACCTAACAATATCATTTACAGTAACATCAAAAAACATCAAATATCCAAGATAGCTAGCAAAACGTGTGCAAAATAGCTATGCTGAAAACCATGAAACAGTGAGATAAATTAAAGAAGACCTAAGGAAATAAAGACCTAGTCCATGTTCATGGATTGGGAGTCTCAATAATGTTAAGGTGTCACTTTTCTTCAAATTGCTCTATATATTTAATGAATCAAAATTACAGCAGGTTTTGTGGAAACTGACTAAATGGCACTAAAATTTATTTGGAAATGCTAGAATTCTAATGCAATATTGAAGAAGGATAAATCTGAGAGGCGTACACTACAGGACATCAAGGCTCACTATACACCTACAGTAATTAATACAGTTTCATATTGGCACAAAGCTAGATAATACACCAATGGAATACAACAGAGATTCCAGAAACAGATTCACTCATGTATAGTCATCTGATTTCTCACAAACACTCTACTGAAATTCAGTGAGGAAAGAATGGTTTTTCTAAAATATGCTTGGTCAATTGGATATTCATATGGGGAAAAAACCCTTAACACCTACTGTACATCACTCATAAAAAATAATTTGGGATGTATTATAGATCTCTATATGAGAGATAAAATATTAAAGCTTCTAGAAGTAAACGAGAGAATATCTTCTTGACCACACGATAAACAGAACATTAAAAGTGCTAACCATAAAATAAAATATTTAAAAACTGGGCTTCATTAAAATAAAGAATTCCAATTCATCAAAAGAAACAATTATGGCAGCCTGGACAATACAGTGAGACCCTGTCTCTACAAAAAAATAAAAGTAGCTGAGCACGGTGTACACCTGTAGTCCCAGCTACTTGGGAGGCTGAAGGCAGGAGGACTGCTTGACCCCAGGAGTCTGAGGTTATAGTGAGCTATGATCATGCCACTGCACTCCAGCTTGGTGACAGAGACACCCTGTCTCAAAAAAAAAAAAAAATACCATTAAGAGGGTGAAAAGGCAAGCCCCAGCCTGGATGAAGATATTTGTAATACACAGCTCACAAAGAGCTTGTATCCAGAATATAAATATAACTTGTATAACTTGTACTAATTAATAAGAAAGACAATCCAGTAAAAATGGACAAACTAAACCCAGTACTTTACCAAAGATGAGATCAAAAAAGCCAGTAAATATATGAAAAAGAATTCTATATCATTAGTTATTAGAAAAATGCAAATTCAAACCATACAATGATATACTGCCAAACTCCCACCAAAATGACTAAAATTAAAAACTAACAATAGTAAGTGTTGATGAAGATATGAAACAATGGAACTCTTTCTCCCATTGCTAATAGGAGGAAATCAGCACAACTACTTTGGAAAACTACTTAGCAGAATCAACTAAATCTTTCCATATGTACATGCTATGACTCAACAATTCCACTTTTGTGTGCTTATGTTCACCAATAGATATGTACAATAATGTCTGTAGCAACTTTAATTCACAATAGTGCAAACTAAATACAGCCCAAATGTTCATCAACAGCAGAATGCATACAGTGTGAAACCATCACAGAGCGGTGTTGTTTCACACACTGCAGTGAAAAAGAACACCAACCACGGATTCACGCAACAACATGGATAAATAGCATGATGTGTTGTGTACATATTGTACGATTCCATTTAAATGAAGTTCAAAAACAGGTAAAACTAATCCATGGTGAGTTAAGTCAGAATAGCAGCTACCTTTGGGAAGGGTCAGGGTAACCAACTGTTCAGGTTGTCCTGCAGCTGAGAGGTTTCAGTGTGAAAGCTGGGAGAGTCCTAAGCAAACTGGGATGGTTGGTCACCCTAGAATGTGGTCTTTTTTGGGAAGGCACATGAAGGAGCCTTTTGAGGGGCCAGAAATGTTCAGTATCTTGATATGGATGGTGGCCACGAGTAAATACACGAGTGAAAATTTATCCAGCTATGCACTTAAGATATATGTGTTTATGTATGCAGTTTATACTTTAATTGAAAATCTTTAAAAATAGCTATATGTTACAAAGCACAGAGTATGAAGAAAGCAAAGACAATAGGGCCATTAGAATTTTGGTGGATAACAAAATGAAGGCCCGATTTTCATTTCTAATGTTTGCTTGTTTTCTCTTTCAGGTGTTGGGACTTTGATGGGAAAAAGGTGAAGCAAAATGTGGTAAACAGGAATGAAAAGCCAGAATGAATAAAGGAAGCCTTCATTGTTCTGAGTGAGTTCCCCAGCCTGAGAGATTCACAGAGACCTGGCAAATGATATTGCTGAACCATGGGCAGTGAATGCAGAGAACAGAAAAGGCATGAAAATCCATTTCTGATATTTAAAAAGAGCAAGAGGGTAGATTTCACAAATTAGTGATTAGTGGGCTGATCCTGGATCACAGGAAATATTCTAAAACAGGTTATTCATAGGATAATTTGTGAGCCTCCAGATGGGGAAATGATGATCTTAAGGAGTCACTGAGGATTCTTTTAATCAAATCATTCCAGACTAACAACTTTTTTTTCTTTGACCTGGTAGTTTGATTTTTAATCAGAGAAATTCAATAGACAGAATATATGAACTTTAGTGAAGCATTCAACAGTGATTCTCATGAGACCCCTATAAAACAAAAGGGGAAACAAGATTTGGGCTGCATAGAAAAATTAAGATGATTAGTAATTGGTTAACTGAGTTTACCTAACAACTAACGGATTAACCCCTATAGAGAAAGAAAGCTTTTTATTTGGCCCTGTTCTGGTTAACATTTTTATAGAGGACTAAGACATAGATAAAAATTGTGTTCATCAAAACTGAGAATAATATGTACTTGGGGTGATACGGGGTATGATAAGTATCAGAAACAAGTTGACAGGCTAGAATAATGGATTTAATATAAGAAGATCATATATAACAGGATAAACAAAAGGTTCTGTCCTTGTGAACTAAAATCTAGCTACAGAAGGGGTTTCAGTTGACATAACATTTAAGAAGCTTCAATATGAGAGGAATGCCGAGATGAAAAAGAGAACTGGGGATGTTTACAATGGGGAAGCCAGGATTTAGGAGCTGCGTGTATGGGAGGGCATATGTCATGTATAATCTGTATGATTCCAGGGCGTAGAAATACTTTACATAAGTGAGAGCTACAAGAAGACAGATTTGGGATGAACTTTCCAAGTATCTGTTCTGTCCAAAGAAGGCATAAGCTGAAGGTAGTGAGTTTCCTGTCACTGTATGATACGGTAGATGACCCTTTGCCTTACAGAAAGGATGCAAATATGTTAGAGTTCAAATTGCTGAGCTTTCAAATTTATTTCAACCCCAAGAATCTATGACATATGTGTAATTCAGTAAGTAGAAATAGATTTTGATCTTTAACAAATTGATATATTGCTCTGTGGTTTGCTCTCATATATAAACCAGGAATAAATATATTTATTCCCTGCTTAACCCACACAAAAGGTTTATAAATTATGCCTTCCACAGACCTCTTGATAATCCTAAGAGAGAAGCGCTAACACAATTGTAAAAATTATTACTGCCATAAGTGGCCTTGAGTTAGGAACAAATTAATATGCGTTTTTAATATCTTTTTGTATTATTTCTCCACATTAATGACCGAACTTGTGTCAACAGCAGCCTAACAGAACCCTGGATTGATTTTCAATTTTCCTCTGAGCAGTGATTTGGCAAAGGCTAAATCATAGTTTGGGGAAATATAGAGTTTTCATCATTGTTATTATCCTGATATTATTACAATTTCAATTATTTGCTCTGTGGCTCAAAAGATAATGTTTTTACATTTCTGCTTTGGTATTTTTTTTTCCTATTATAGTTAATGTCTGATGTGATTCTCTTTTGATTAGATAAAATGATCTTTAATATTTCTACTTTAAAAAATGTATTGAGGGGTTTTGTGGCTTAATACACAGAACACAATCACGGTAGCACAATCAATTGATATAGTGGTTAAGTTCTGCTTATTAGGCCACAAATATTGTGTTAGAACACAATCACTATATTAACTGATGTCTTCCAAGTGACTTTCTTTATAGATAAATACTATATATTATATAGTTTAACCTTTGATTCCTTCATAGCATGTGGACATGCATAGAGGGACAGCCAATCCAGAGGCCTCTGGGCCAAGTCACACTTAACGGCAAAAGCATTTTTTTCTGAGTACATCAGGATAGAGGTAATGAGATATCAAAGGAAGAATTGTATAGAACAAAGGATGCCTTGATTTTTTAAAAAAGGGGCTTGATTGGTAACATCTAAGTTTAGGGAAAGCTTAAAGCCCTGTAAAAGCAAAGCTTGCTTTGTATTGTTTGTTCTGATGATTATTCAGGCTTCGGTTACGTTTTGGCTGGGGGCGGCCTGTATTCTGTATTTGAGCATCATCTGGAAGGAGCCACTGGTGACTTGTCTCATGTCTATCTTTCCCCTAGTCTTCTCTTGCCTCCTTTTTCTTTCTCAACTTGTCTGTGTCAGGACTGGGGAAGCCTTTCACTGTCTCATTTTCTTTCTTTTCTTTTCTTTTTTTTTTTTTTTTTGAGATGGAGTCTCGCTCTGTTGCCCAGGCTGGAGTGCAGTGGCGCAGTCTCGGCTCACTGCAACCTCCGCCTCCTGGGTTCACACCATTCTCCTGCCTCAGCCTCCCGAGTAGCTGAGACTACAGGTGCCTGCCACCACGCCTGGCTAATTTTTTGTATTTTTAGTAGAGACAGAGTTTCACCATGTTAGCCAGGATGGTCTCGATCTCCTGACCTCGTGATCCGCCCGCCTCGGCCTCCCAAAGTGCTGGGATTACAGGCGTGAGCCACCGCGCCCGGCCGACTGTCTCATTTTCATTCGTGAGCTCCATCAAGAATAATTTAGGGGTAATTTGAGTGGGCACAGTGGGTGATTATTAGTCCCTTTTCTATGAGACTGTGACACAATGGAATTTGGAAATGAGCAGGTTAGTCTCTGACCCATTCCAAGTAACCTCTTTGCCACAAATGTTGAGATAGCAAAGTTTTCATGGTTGTAATCTTAAATAAATTAGATGATTCAAAATCTTAGTTGTTTCAACTCTGAACATTTCCAATTCCATGACTGGAAGGAGAAAATGGGCTGAGAGGGGACTTATCTATTCCATAATGTCTGTCCAGTTGGTTCCCCAAACTCCCACGGGCAACAAACACAGCACTCTGAATACCTCCCAAGGGTCACAGGAACGGGGTCTCATGATTTCAGTGTTGATGTACCTCTGAAGGGGCTCTGTTCCTCCAAGACCATTCAGCCAGAGGATGTGCGCTGATATCCAGGGAATATTGCCTTGTGTGATACTGTGGAGGCATTCTTAGCTGCTTAAATTTCCTTTTCCACTAATAGTCATTTCATCTTTGACTCCAATGTTAGATGTGTGTGAAAATAATACAGCCACCAGTCAGCCTATTTTTTCTTTTTCAGCACCAATATAGTCATGTTCTTTGTTAAAACAAACAAACAAACAAGCAAATGGAAATTTTTTGAAGCATCCTTGACCTAGTAGCCTGTGAGGCATTAAAATATTTACAGTCTGAAAACCAGCTGTGAATCCAACATAAAATTTTCATTTTCATTAAAACACTTTATCACAGGGTGTCTTGTATCAGAACGAATCGAATATGGTCTATCTCCCTCACTGGGGTGTCATCTCCCAGAGTGCAAAGACCTTGTCTTGATACCCTTATGCCCTCCTAGCGCCTAGCACAGGTCCTATAACCATCCCTTACATATTTTTGAGTTACATTTAAACAAAAGTGAATTTCACTTGTTTACTAGTTCATCGGAACCCACATTTAGATTATATAATGAACATGCATTTTGGTTAATTTGCTGATTTCCCTTATTCTATGCATTTTAAAAAATAATGGAAACATAGGAAGTAAAATAGCCAATCATCCTCGTTTAAACAAAGCTGACTGAACACTCTGTACTGCCATCTAGTGGGGGGAAAGGCTCTGCGGCCATCTAGTGTATTCCCGTTTGGAGGAACACACTGCTTAGAACAATGTCAGATCGGATCGTAGTTGAGGGGATGGGAGCGGGACACAGTGGAGGATATGTGTTTTCCCCTGATTAGCCTCCAGCTGCCTAGGGTGGTTGCCTCTTTGCCCTTGGCATAAAAGCAGAGGAAGCCTTCTTTGTGGTTTTGTGAACAAGCACCTTATCATAAACTCTGAGCAGTGTTCTTGGCTGTGTTTCTGTTTGTGGGCTAGTAATTTAGGCTGTGGGATATTCCCATCAGAACAATGCAGCTTTTAGAGGAGAAAAGTCACGATGTTATTAGCATAAGTGCTACACATGCTCGAGGGCGCGCGCGCGCACACACACACACACACACACACACACACACACACACACTGCATCGTTTCACTTTCTTCCTAATTCTTGGTCCTGTCGTCTTCCTTAGCAGCCCTGCCGTAGCTGTACTGCACTGTGGCTCAAGATGCAGTGTCCTTAAATACAAAGCTGCATTTGGCCCTGCAGGAGGGGAGCCCGGGACTCCCTGGCTCAGCCTCTGATGATGACTGCTGGGGCTTTTCATCCAACTTGACTTTATTTATTCATAAGCAGGGCTGACAGTCAAAGTTCTGAGGCCCCTGAACCGGCCAGATCCCTCCTCCCTTTCGTTTACTTTTATTTCTTTGATTTTTTTTCTCCTCTCATCTCTGCCTTGTCAGTTCTCTGAAAAGAGCCCGTGAGCTCCTTGTGGCATCTTTTTCTTCCCCTAAACACACAGCAACACACACAAGCAGATATGCACAATTGAAGGCTCTGGCTTAGATCCCAGTTGGAAAACGGCTCTTGAGGAAATCAGAGAAAAGCCACTTCAGTCACACACAGAGAGAATCCCAGGATACTGGCCTGACAGGTAGGCTGAGCCGACACTGGGCCATTTGGTGTGAGTTGAAGAATGAGGCAAATCTCCCAACCACGCATCCTATAATAGCTCCCCAGTTGGCTCTTGAAACTCCCATATAAATACAGAAAGATCATGATTTCCAAACAAGAAATTAGGACTCATGTCTGATGGGTTATCAGAAAAACGGGGTGGAGCTGTTTGGCCAAATCTGGGATGAATGATCACTCAGAGGTTTCATCTCTTATTCCAGCTGAGATCAAAGACAGAGGCTGCTAACTTAGAACACTATTGAGAAGAATTCTGGGGCCACATCTGGGTTTAGTAGGGGAAGAATGCAAGAATATATTAGGAAGAGCTGAGATAGTCATGCATGAACTAGTGAAAGCATCGCAATATTGGCTTTACATGCAAATGGCTTCTTAGAGGGCTAACAGTGAAATGCCATTAGCTGTTAACTTCCCGGCACAAATTAAATTATGACATTAGCTGCCCATCACAAGGCTCTAAGTGAATGGGTCACAGAATAGGGGAAGTTGTTTCTATGGCTTATTCTTTTTAAAATTGAAGTAAAATTCATATAACATAAAATTAACCATTTAAACCATTTTAAATTATACAATTCAGTGGCTTTTCATACATTCAGAAGACTGTGCAACCATCACCACTATCTAATTCCAGAATCATTTCATCACTCCAGAAAGAAATCCTGTACCCATTAAACAGTCACTCCCAATTCTCCCCTCCCCTCAGCCCTTGGCAACCACTGATTTCCTCTCTGTCTCTATGGATTTGCCTATTCTGGACATTGCCTATAAATTGAATCATATGTGTCTTTTTGTGTTTGGCTTTTTTTTTCACTGAGCACAATGTTTTCAAGGTTTACCTATGTTGTAGTATGTATCAGCACTTAATTCCTTTTTATGGCTGAATAATATTCCACTGTATGGATAGAATATATTTTGTTTATCCATTCATTGGTTGACGAACAACATTTGGGTTGTTTCTACCTTTTGGCTATTATGAATAGTGCTGCTATGAGCATTCATATACAAGTTTTTTTAAAAAAATAGATTTTGTCTCACCATGGTCCCCAGGCTCATCTTGAACCCCTGGCCTCAAGCAATCCTCCTGCCTCAGCCTCCCAAAGTGCTTGGATTATGGGCGTGAGCCACTATGTCCATCCCACATAGAAGTTTTTGTTTGAACACTTGTTTTCAATTCTCTTGGGTGAATAGGCGAGGGTATTTTTTGGCCACCTTTGGTGAAGACAGATCCATTTGAAACTGATAGGTGAGTTTTGCTACAAAGAAAAGAGCAGGTGTGGCTGGGCATGGTGGCTCATGCCTGTAATCCCAGCACTTTGGGAGGCCGAGGTGGGCGGATCACCTGAGGTCAGGAGTTTGAGACCAGCCTGGCCAATATGGTGAAACTCTGTCTCTACTAAAAATACAAAAATTACCCGGGTGTGGTGGCGGCACCTGTAATCCCAGCTACTCAGGAGGCTGAGACAGAAGAGTCACTTGAACCTGGGAGGCAGAGGTTGCACTGAGCCGAGATGGCGCCACTGCACTCCAGCCGGGGTGACAAGAGTGAAACTCTGTCTCAACAAACAAACAAACAAACAAAGCAGGTGCTTGGGTGCAGCCTGGATGAGGCATGAAAGTGAGAAAGAGTGTGGCAGAACACCCTGGGCCCGCTGTGGAATCCTAAGGGCAAAGGGTCTCTGGAAAGGAGGTGAGGAGAGATAGAGAAGATGGTGCCAAAATAAGATAGTAATGACCTTGAGCTTAATGGCTAGGAGAATGGGTTGGTGCAGAATTTACAAAATGGCTGCTAATATTTCCTTTTTTATAAGGAAGGGAAAAATCTATGGTGGAGATGAAAAGGTGGGTTAGGGGAGGGCCAAAGTAAAGTAAAAATTTTTCTGGTTTTGGCTGTGTCTTACCAGCATGTTGTTAATAGATGCTGTTTTGGCAGAAAGAAGAAAAGCTTGTTTAGCTGCATGTAATGCAAGATGACAAAATTGCTAGAGAAAATTTTAGCATAACAAATTAAAGAAAGGGATTCACTTATTATGAGAATACTGCTGTGCATTTCTATAGTGATGGACTTCTAAAGCATATTCTTGTCTATAAGCTCATTAGGATAAATGAATCAGATAGAGCAGGTATTATTTTCTGTCATTTGAGAAATAAGAAAATGAAGGCACCCAGCACCGCTCCTGATGAGTAGTAGGTATTCAGTCAGTATTTGCTAAATAAATGAAGCAGAGTCATATCAAGTTAAAGAATATCAGAGCTTGGAGGGTCTTTGAGATCATCCAGAAGCCCTCTTCCCACCTCAGTTTTGGAGAAGGAATGTCAGAGCAGATTGGGGAAATTTTGGGCTTAAATCCAAGGTCAATTGGTCAGGGAGTGAAGGACACAAGTCAGTAGTGTGTCCTTTGTCTCAGTACAGAGTGTCAGCATATCAACTATAATGCCGGGTGGTGATTTGTGCTCTTGTCTGTCTCTACCACTGAGCCACACGCTTCTGGGGCCAGAGCTTGTGTCTGATTCATCTTCGAATACCCAGGATGTTGCAGCACAGTTGATGAAACTTGTATGGATGAACAGGAATGGAAGCTCTGTGTTATTACTGTGTCTCTGCTCCTTCTTCTCACTTTGCCATAGCTTTTAGTGGCAGATACAAAACTCAACCATAATTTCCAGGCTCCAGGAATCTTTTCCCTATACCCTAGTGTCTACATTCATCAAAGTAGGTGACACAAGATGTACTCATAGAGTGCAGACTGCAAAAGATGTACCTGGCAGGTTGCTTTGGACTTGTTAGGCCCCCTGGGATAATCTCTACTGTACTGTTATTACGGAAGTATCTAGAAGGTGAGAGAAAGAGGACATTTTCCTTAGTTCAAAGCCCAATGCCAATCTAGCTACCTTAGGTAGAATCTCAAGTGTATCTTGCACACCAGAAAATTCCTTCCTGGCCGGGCGTGGTGGCTCACGCCTCAGTCCTCTGAGGTGGCATCTTCTGCGCAAAGGGGCTCAGCTAGATATGTGTGGAGGGCCATGGCTGTGCTGGTTGGAATGAAGAAGGATTGTACTTGAGATGATAGTACAGGAGGGAACCAATGCAGAATATGATGATGGCACCAGCAAGGTGCTGAAGTTCCCAGCACAGCATGCCCATGGGAGTGGGTGGGAGGCTGTCAGGTGGGAAGAGGATGCTGTATTGTCAAAGTTGGCTTCTGTAATGGCTGAGGTTTGGTTATTCTTTACAGTGGGAGATAGAAGAGGAACTTGGCTTTCAAAGTTGTCTCTCTGTATTTTGAAACAGGATATATATGGGAGCTTCTAAGAGAGAATACTCAGCTAGCCTGGCGGCTGGCAAAGAGCTGTCAGAGAATGATGCAGGTGAGTTGAGCCCTGGCAGAGGGGTGGACTGGCAAGGGTCATCCTGTCAGATCTTCAGGCCAGAGGTCGCAGCTAGGAACTTTCTCGAATCGTCACTGAGGATCACATCAGAGAGAATGAGAAATGACAGTGGGATGGAACCTTATAAGTAAACCTTGTTTAGTTCCTGTCTTACCGTAAGCCACTGTTTTATGACAGTGTTTTGTCACACTTCAGACAGACCACAGCTTCTCCTTTTTCTCAAACTGAGATATGAGATGGGAATGAATCTCTCTCTCTCTTTCTCATCATCCCCTTCACACCCCCTTCCCATGGCCTTCACACTCACCTGCACCAGGTCCGGCGTGAGGCGCTTGGCCTGCAGCCATTTCTGGAACCTCTCTGTTTTCCGCAGGACACGCTCAATGCTGCAGGTCTTTGGGGCTGATGCAGAGGCACAGATTCTCCTGTCTGAGATCTCGTTTTGATATTTGCTGACCAGTCTAAAGATCTCCACAGGGCGCCAGATTTTGGAATCATCTGAGTAATTTGCAGGATAAGAAAGCAAGGAATCGGGAGGCAGTCCAAGGTGGGAAGCCAGCCAGTTGTCAGATCTGTTGGAAGAATAGCCCTTTGAGGATTGGCCTGTGAGCTGGAGGCTCACAGAGCCCAGGGACAGGAAGACAGGGGACAATAGCCCAACTGATCCATTTCTCCTACTTAGACTGAGGTGTTCGAAATTCTTTCTGTGAGAGGACTATTTTTGCTTCTTCAAACTTACGGTAGTGTATATGTCATATCAGAAAAGGTGAGGGAGGTGTGAGTCACGCACAAACATTATCCTCTTCATACAACTGGCACAGAAAGACTAGCCATAGCTCTCTGAACTTTTACTCCCTGTAAAGATAGCAGCTTTACATACACTGACATTTTTGATTCCCCTAATCCCCAATTTCCACTTTACAAGGGTGGAAACTCAGGCTTATAGAGCTTAAGTACCTTGGCCAAGGTCAGACAATATGTTGCCAATCAGAGGTGCGGACCCCGGGCTGTCAGTCAGCAAACCCCAGTATCTCTCCCTTTCCCTACACTGATTCCCCAAACTGCTTACCCTCTGACCAATGGCTGGGTCTTGGAACCACAGAGGTTCTTGAAGAGGCTCTTGGGCCTGCACTAGGGAGACCACTCTACCTCCATACCCAACCCCAAGCAGCCCCATTAGTCTAAAAATTTAAGTCTTCAGCACCAACAAAGTCTCAGGCAAGAGTGACTACTAAATGGTCATCAACTTGGAAGCTACCTGGGCTCCAGGAGGTGTGTGATTCTACATGATGGCCTGGCCAGTCCTTAATCCTCCTGGGGGAGAGGCATTGGCTTATTTATTTATTTATTTTTGAGATGGAGACTCACTCTGTTGCCCAGGCTGGAGTGCTATGGCTCAATCTCAGCTCACTGGAATCTCTGTCTCCTGGATTCAAGCGATTCTCCTGCCTCAGCCTCCCCAGTAGCTGGGATTAGAGGAGTGCGCCACCACGCCCAGCTAATTTTTGTATTTTTAGTAGAGACAACGTTTTACCATGTTGGCCAGGCTGGTCTTGAACTGCTGGCCTCAGGTGATCCGCCCGCCTCTACCTCCCAAAGTGTTGGGATTACAGGCGTGAGCCACTGTGCCTGGCAGGCATTGGCCTATTATCACCTGCCAATTTCCTAGGCCCCACAGTTATGTTTTCTCCATAGTCATTTATCCAGCTGTGTGCTGATATTTCCGTTAGGGAAGAATGTTAAATCTCTTTTTGATTTGTGTATGAAAAACTACTCAGAAAAAGTTTACCTTCATTATTATTAACAATTGAAGGTCATACTGCAAATGAAAATCAGGCAGCATGTGACATGTTATATATTTAATTTAAATAAGAATATTTAAATTCTTATTATTGGGCATTATTGGGCCACCCCATGATAATGAGTTTTGGATAATGCGTTTTGGAAGAATTAGCATTTTGATTAGACCCAAACCCTAGACTGTGTTGTTTTTTTCTCTTACCTGACACAACTTTACCCTAAGAGACTGCAAGCTTTTCCTACTGTTTTGATGGCAAAGAAAGTCACACAAAAAAATTACAAGGGCAAAGAGGTCAAGGGACCTGTCCAGGAAACTGGACAGCCCAGGCCTCTGAATCCTTGAGTTATGCACTAGAGCTCCAGCCTCTCACATCTGGGAAGGTGCGCCAGTGGAAACTGTCAGAGAGCAACTTCTGCAATGCAGGACAATGCAAATTGCAATGGAAGTAGGCACAAAGGATTCTGTACAAGAACACTGGCATCAATGTATTTAAAAAGATGAAACAGTGTAACATTGTAATGAGTCCATTTTACTGGAAGTTTCAGGACAACTATGGGAAAAGATCCTCCCCTCTAGGTGGATAAGGAAGGGCCCAGGACCCAGAGACTGGCCTGTCTGCCTGTATCCTGCAGCTGCTCCTGCTCATGGAGTTTCAAACCCACCCCTACTCCCCACCCCCACTCCCCGGCCACTAAAGGGACTGGAGCTGGAAAGTTATCACTAGGTGGCTCTTTTAGATAACGATAAGAGTAACACGCATTTGTGAAACACTTAAGTGTGCCAGTCACTTTACTAAACACTTTATATGTACAGATTCATTTAATTGTTTCAATAAACCTATGAGGCTGATACTATTGTTAACATACAGATGAGGAAACTGAGGCACAGAGTGATTATGTCATTTGCCCAAGGTCACATGACCAAGAATTGGAGGAAGTGGCATTCAAGGCTCCAGGGCTTGCAGTGGGGACACCACTGGACCTCCATACCCAACCCCAAGGAACCCATTAATTTTTTTTTTTTGAGAGAGAGTCTTGCTCTGTCACCCAGACTAGAGTGCAGTGGCGCAGTCTTGGTTCACTGCAACCTCCACCTCCTGGGTTTAAGCGATTCTTCTGCCTCAGCCTCCTGAGTAGCTGGGATTACAGGCACACGCCACCATGGATGGCTAATTTTTGTATTTTTAGTAGAGACGGGGTTTCACCATGTTGGCCAGGCTGGACTCAAACTCCTGTCTTCAAGTGATCCACCCGCCTCAGCCTCCCAAAGTGCTGGGATTACAGGAGTGAGCCACCGCACTTGGTCCCATTAATCTTCATTTTGTTTCCTTCACCACTTTGTGGTTGCTTATTCCTTTATCACCCATTTTATGAATTAGCTCATAGAAACAGATTGGTAACATTATTAGGGGTTATAGGTGGCAGGATCCTTGAAGATTATTTTGTCCCTTCCCCATCTTGTTTTGAGGATGAGAAAATTGAAAAGAGAATTGAAAAGGATGAGAAAATTGAAAAGATAAAATTGAAAGCAGAATATATATGTGACCTTTCTGAAGACTCACAGACAATTAGTGGTAGAGGAGGGCAGGTCTCAGGGCTCCTGTTCTCCCAGTTGGTGGGGGTGGTGTGGGAAGAGATTTCTTGCCCTGTGAGACAAGTTCATTGTCCTTTTTTTCTGTCCCCACCTCCTAAGGAGGCTCCGCTGAGACGACAGCACTGCCTTGGCAGATGACTTGTAATGAGTGCCTGGGCAGGTTCAGTGATGGCTTGAGGCATTCCATAAGGACTAATTGAGACAAACAAGATTGCAGGATGCACTTCTCCCCTTATTCAAAATGGTAATAAATTTATTGCATTGAATGGGAAAAATGTATACTCTTACAGTGTTGACTACCTACTTTATTAAATAGAAGAATGTCAGTGAGAAAATGTCAGTGCTTTTTATTCACTAAAATGTTACTATCCTGGAATTTGGACAACCACAAAACAGAGACAGCATTCTCATCTTCCTTCTAAATTGAGATCATGGGCCTGACTGAAGTGAGGCTGGCCAAGTTCCTGATTGTGTTGAAAGATGGACAAGCAGAATTACAGTTTCTCAGAGCTGGAAAAAAGCAACAAGGCCATGTGGTCCAATCCCCCCAAGTCCCTCAACATAGGGTGGGGGTGTAGAGGAGAGCAACAGCTTTGGAATTAGAATAAAATGCCCTCTTCTCGTGCATTCTTCTCATGCTTGCATCTGGTCAAACATAAAGCCTGTAGATATGCCTTTCTAAATAGTTTTTCCTCCCTTCCCTCTTCTTCATCCCATAGCTCTGCACTGAACCTTTAACCCATTTAGTACCTTTCCAAAGCTCTCAGGCTACAGTTCATGCTCCTTAATTTAACTTAGAGCTTAAACTTAGTTAAGCTTAGAGCTCCTTAGTTAAGCTTAGAGCTTGGTTCACAATGCTCTGCCTGCTGCATTGCCTGCTGCATTGCCTGCTGCATTGCCTGCTGCTCTTCTTACAAGTTTGCTTTGGTCTCACCAAACCACTGACTATCCTTGGATAAACCACATTCTTTCAGGCCTCTGAGGTTCCAATCACCTGTCATATGCTGACACCTTTGTCTGAGACAGTTTCTTCCTCTTTCTTGTCTGGAAAATCCCAATGTAGCCCTTTAAAATCCAGATGGATAGCACCTCTTTGGAACTCACTCCCTCATCCCCCAGTTGGGACCTTCCCACACACTCCCATGATACCCTGTGTAAGACATTTAAAAATATTTCCTATACTCTATTTTAACCACTGATTTACTTCTTTGTCTTCCTAATAGAAAGTAAACTCCTTCAGAGCAAAGATTTGACCTCTTTTAACTTTGTAACTCAGTGTTCAGCAGAGTACCAAGTTAGTGCTCAACACTTTACAGGTGGATGGATGGATGGGTATTTAGATGTATAGATAGATAAGGGAGTAGAGAGATGCATGGAGGGCTGGATGGTGGGATGCACAGTGTGATGGTTGGGTAGAAGAATGCATGGAGGGTCACCTGAATGAATGGGTGGATGGATGGTGGATGGATGGGTGCATGGATTCATATAAGGCTGACTGAACGTGTAGATGGATGCTTTTGTCATAAGCTCTTGAGCCCTGTATTTCCCAAGGCCCCTGAGTTGATGTGAAGAAGTGAGTTAAGACAGTAATTATTGTCAACTTCTGAGGGCAAGGAGACAGACAAGAGACAAGGGAGAAGGGAAGGCAAAATCAGGCCTGACGATTTAGTTATTTTACTGTGAGCCCTCCACTGCTCAGTTGGAAGTGTTTAAACATTTTTTTTAGACTTTGATAGTGGAGGTGGTACATAAGACCAAGTGTGTCTAGTAAGGAAGGTGAGATTAAAGCATTAGCCCTGGTAAGAGCCTAGGAACTCCTAGGAATTATTGTGATTAGAGGTACTGCCACTATTTACTCTCCACCCCCACACCCTGCACGCACAATACTGACCAACCAGATCATGGGAGAATCTTACCAATTGATGTGACTTCTCAGGGTTTCATATATAGGTATATTGTCAGTAAGAAGAGTATGGCAATCAGACTTACTCATTTCCCTAGCTTCCCTTAACTTTTCATTCAGGATTTAAAAGTCAACATGGAATGCATGGGAAAATTAGTAATGAAAACATTCATAATTTTAAAGGTCAATGGTTGAGTATGGGCAGTATGTGATTCATCCTTAGCATTCTTGCCAAAGGAAAGATAAAGGAAAAAAGGAGAGGTGATGTCCATCTGCTAATCATGTGTGTTCAGCATATCCAGCCAGCCTGGGATACCCATCTACGATTTGTTGCTGAACAGATGCAAGCATTGTCCAGTCCTTAGTGAGGACTAGGACCTGGCTGTAGCATTTCAACCAAACAACTGAGAGTTTTGGATGGGCTTTCCCCTAAGATGTCATAGTAATCACCTTTTTTTTTTTTTGAGAGAGAGTCTTTCTCCTAAGGTGTCATGGTAATCACTTTTTTTTTTTTTGAGACAGAATCTTGCTCTTTCACCCAGGCTGGAGTACAGTGGTGTGATCTCAACTCACTGCAGCCTCCGCCTCCCGGGTTCAAGCAATTCTCCTGCCTCAGCTTCCCGAGTAGCTGGGACTATAGGCGTGCGCCGCCATGTCCGGCTAATTTTTGTATTTTTAGTAGAGACGGGTTTTCACATTGTTGGCCAGGATGGTCTTGATCTCCTGACCTCGTGATTTGCCCGCCTCGGCCTCCCAAAGTGCTGGGATTACAGGTGTGAGCCACCTCGCCTGGCTGGTAATCACTTTTTTAAAGTGGGAAAATGTTTGGAGATCCAAAAGAAGACAACGAACAAATACACCATTAGAAAGAGAGGCAAAGGATGTGAACCTGTAGACAGTTTAGCAAAGAAGAAATACAAATGGTCAATAAATCTGAAAAAGGGTTCAACTCAGAAGAAATTCAAACTAAAAAAAAGTACTAAATATTTGTAAGTGTGCAAGAAGTGAGCTTTATAAGTAGAAGCCTCCATTTAGATATATATATCTCCTTCAATTTTGTCTTTTTGACCCAGAAATTTCACTTTTAGGAGTTTGTCATAAGGAATTCGTCACTCATGTGCACAAAACATAGCTACAGGGATGTTTGACATAGAACTGTTTATAATACCAAAAAATGAAATAAAAAAACTCTAGTTTCACAGTGGTGGTTTTAATAAATTATAGTTAAATAATTAAATAAGTTATGCTTAAATAGTTAAATAAATTATGGTTGATTGATGCAATTGAATACCATGAACCTGTTAAAAATCAAAGTGTGTGGAAGATCATTTAATAATGTGGAAAGATGTTCCTGATATACTGTTAAATAGTAGTTTCCAAAAAGTATACACAGCATGTTCACATTTTTGTTAAAAAATTTCTTAATTCACACTTAGAAAAAGGGTGGCAAGGAAATGCAACAAAATGTTGACTAAGGGGTGATCTCTTGGTGGAAGAATTATATGTGATTTTATTTTGTGCTTTCTTTAATCAACCTTTCCTGAAAATACTAAAATAAACAGGCACGACTTTGATAATAAGAAAAAAGGTATTTATATTGTAGAGAAAAGGACTCTAAACAGGACCACCTCCCCAGACCCACTGACTGCCTCTCTCTGCCTCTTTGTGCTGAGGATGACCATTCTCAATGTGCAGAGCTATAAACCCCAATCTGCCCTGCCTGGTGTTTTCCTGCTTGTATCTGCACACTTCCCTTTCACGGGCACATGGAACATGAATTCTAAGGGAGATGAAGTAATATCCTGGACTCTAACGGAATGCAAACCTATTTAGGGAAATGCTTTCTGATTTTGGCTAGCATCTGCCAAATGCTAGTAAGAAAAACTTCATTTATTGCCCTTTGGTGAATATGCAGTCATCCTAGAGCTCTTCCTCAGTTGAATCCTTAAATTTCTCTCCCTCCTTTTAAAAAATATGTCTGCCTTCTTATTGCCTCTCTCCAAGGAATCAGCATTGCTTCACCTGTGTTCTTGGTCCTCTTTATCTCTTTTCCTAGGCGGAAAACCTTGAGTTCACATCCAACATCTGCATATTTATTTCCTCTCGCATAGTGTTGGTCAACAGGATGACTCTATAGCTGAACTGACCTGTATCCTTCCTGTTCTACTTTGTTCCCAGTGACTTGTGTCCTGGACTATGGCAACTGGTCTCACAGCCCCTGCCAACACCACCAGTCCGTCCTGTCCACTTTGCACGAGCTCTTCCCAAATCACAGGTCTCATGTTGCCCCTCCCCAGCCTAACACTCTCAGCATGGCCTGCAGTAGAGATTCCTCAATCAGTGGTCTTTCAAAAATGCCTTTAAAAACGCTTAATATGCCTTTAAAAAGGCTTAATAGGAAAAGTCCACACCAACTCCATAAAATACCTCACAAAAGAAGTTTAACATTTTTGATTGGTATTTCTATCTATTATTTCTATTTAGTAATTTGGTTGAGTAAGCAAAGATGTCTTTGATTAATACAGATTGCAAATAAAATCATTGTTAATTAATGCCTTTTGTTTGGTCACCAAATCTTAAAAGCGTAAGTTAGGTCCTTTGAGGAAGATGGAGGAGAAAGGGCATATATATGACAAAGGGTCTTTGGTACTAAAAAGACTGGAAACCACTGGTCCACAAGATTAAGGCCCCAATTCCTTGGCATGGCAATTAAAGACCCCCTGCCCCATATATCCCTTCAACCTCCTCCTCTGTCATGCCTCCACATACACCCCATGCTCTAGCTAAGCACCTCTCACTTCTTCCCACACCTTTGCTTAAGATGTTACTTCCACCTTAAGCCCTTCACTTCCCGTTACTTTTCAGCTCATCCTTTAAAAGGCTTTGCTCAGAATACCTTCTCCTGGGGAAGCCCTTCCCCAGTTCCCATTTGGAATTAATGGAGCTCCTGGAGGTCCTTTACACTGCCCTGCATCAGACAAAGCCTTATTATTATTATTTATAACATGACCCCCTTGTCCTGACCTCCAGGAAGGCAATGACCAGAGTTATAGTTGCTGTCACCCCAGTACCTGCTAGAGTTTGGCTGTGGTAAAGGCTCATGGACTGTGTGTTGATAGGCTTAAATTCCAAGTGTGATGCCATTCTTTGCTGAGAGCCATGTGCATTGCAATTTACTAAGCTCCAGTTTTCCTCTGATCAAGGCAATCTCTCACAACAGAAAGCTGGCTCAGAAACTTTGGAGCAAACCGTCCTGGTTTGAATTCCACAGCTGCTACTTATTCGGTGGTGACCTTGTGCAAGTTACTTAATCTTTTTTAAAAAATAAATTTTATTGTGTATATTTAAAGTATACAACACGATGTTGTAAGATACATATATATAGTGAAATGGGTCCCATCATCTCACAGAGTTACCCATTTCCCCCCACTGAAGTCACTTTATCTGGCTATGTCTCAGCTTACCACCTCAATAATGGGGGAACACCATTAACTCTCACAATGATTTAAAATAGGTGTCACATTGTAGGCTTTCTATAAATTTTATTTCCCGCCCACTGTGAGAAATGAACTTGATAAACTCAACAGTCCCAGGCTACTCCATTCATAGGAAAGAAAACTTCAAGCTTTCAGTTCAAAAGGAAATGTTGGATTTAGCATTTAGGGCTGGAATTTGGCTTCACATCTTGCCCTCTTACCCACCCCAACTTCAGACCATTACCACTCTGATTAAATGGATTTGTTTCAGCTCCCACCCATATTACATCCTGATTCCTTTTCAACAAATTCCTGGACATCTTCACAAGAAGGGAACAGAATTTTGTGATTCAGAGTTATTTGATTGATATTCTGACCTTATTTCTTCTTTAAAGAACTTCTTGCAAATAGATGTCCCGATGCAGGCATTGCATTTATCAAGACCGAGGAAAGTCCTTCCAAAATTGTAGCTGGTTCTGACTTGGGGCACCAGAGAAGAAAGGGAAGAAGCTGGCAAGGAGAAAGAACAGCTCAGGGCTGAGACCCACAGCAGCAGGGCCAGCCAGCCAGGGCGGAGGGCGGCAGCCTCAGGCCCCAGCTGGGGCTCCATCTTGGGCTCTGGGCTCCAGCTGCAGCCTCTGGCTGTCCACTCGAGGCTGTACAGAGGCAGGGCTTGGCCAAAGAGGAAGCTGTCAGAGGGGGCTGGCTTCTGGGTGCTGACCCCATCCCAGCCTCCCAGGTTTCTCTTTGAGGATGCTGAGGAGCTTGGGGCTAATGAGGCTGGGGAGGAGGTGAGGAAGTCAGTGGAGGATGCTGATAACGCTGTTTCCAGAGTTACTCTTCCTTTGCCGGGGGTGGCTGCTTCAGGCTGGGGAGGGGCTCGCTGGCAGATTTCGGGAAGGACAATTGTCAGGGCTTCCCTGTGTGGTCCTTTTGACAAACACAGGATATCCCGGCAGGGCAGGAAAGGTCCATGCAGGATGTGTGTCCAACCTGCGTTCCACCTGGGAGTTTCAAAGGATCCTGAAAGCCTCCACCCTCCACTGTTTTAATTCCAGGTTTATCTGTCCCTATGGATTACACGTGCACCCCAATTTTTGACCCCTCTGTGCTAGGTCATTTGTCCTGCCCCTTAATCAGCCCTCCTTCCCCCACTTTTACCATATTTGCCTGTGAAATAACTAGAGGTTAGCTTGCTTGCCATTAACTGGCACATTTAGCACTGATTTGAAAGCTTTTTGCTGCTTAGGGAAGAGAAAACCTCAGGTTAGTCCATCTTCTCTTGCTGGTCTGAGAACAAGAGACCAGAAAGAACCCGGTGGCCTCTGTGGCATGATGAGGGGAGCACCAGAAAGAGCCCTCTGACAGCACACAGCTGTGTCTATCCCTCTCCCACAGACCTGAAAGCTTCTCTTCCTTTACCAACTTGCTTCACTTCTCGGGGTGGCTTGGCCGGATTTGGTAGGATTTAACTGCCCCAGGATTGCCTTCCTCAGGATACCAAGATAAGGTCCGCAGCATGGAGTAGATGGAAGTGCTAATTTGGGAGTAGAGAGAACCTCTGAGAACCAAATCAGGGAAGTCAGGCTGCCTCACATTCTGTGAGAGGGTGGAGGTGGGGAGCGGGGCACGGTTTGAAAATATGAGAAAGTGCATAGGAAGATGGGGCTGGGGGTGAGGAAAAGGGAGGTAAGAGGGAGTGGGGATTGCCTCTGGACAATTGACAAGTTTTGCTAAAGATTGGTGGGAAGAGCAGGTAAAGGCAATTTTCTGATGATGAAGCACGTGCTTATTAGCATTTGTATAGCTTCCTCAGTAAAATGTCTGGTCATGTTTGCTTTTTATTGGTGAGTTTTGACGCTTGTTTATATATTCTAGATCCGAGTCCTCTGTTGGATATGTGGCTTGCAAATATTTTCTCCCCAGGGCTAACTTGTCTTTTATTCTTTTAACAGAGTCTTCTGCAGAGTGAAAGTTTTGATTTTGAAGTCCAATTTGTTAATTTTTTCTTTTTGAATCATGCTTTTGGTGTCAGGTGTGATAAAAGAAAAACTTAAGCACATTTAAATTTTAAAGAGTTTATTTGAATATTCAGCGATTCATGAATCAGGGCAGTATCAGACTGCAAACATTCTGCTGGGAGGGGCAAGAAAGGAAACTTTTATAGTGTTTGCAGAAGCAGGACAAAGAAAACAATTTTTATTGGTTAGAGTGGAAAGTCCCTAGTTAGAGATTAATTGGTGATTTTTTTGATTGGTACAATTTCTAGTTTAAATTTACTATTTACATTAGGCTTTGGTTTGTTCACACAGGAATTTAAAGTGCCAGAGCCACCTCAGTCTAATGGCCTTCCAATTAGAATTTTAAAACATAATTCATCCTTTTTGATCAGCCTCTCATTTAAGAGATATTGACTAAAACTTGGGCATAAGCTCCACTCTCTGTGACCATCATGGCTAAGTTGTCCTTGTCTCAGTGTGAAACTCATAAGTCACAACATCAAGCTCATTGAGGAAAGATTCCTTTTGTTGTTCATCTCATTTTTGTTGCTCTAATTACAGTGAGATCATCTGGCATACCGTTGATGACTGTGAACACACATTTAAGACCCTCAAGTGAATGTAGTTCACCAGGGAGATTATGATGACTACCAGGAGGATAATACTGAAAGACTGCAGTATGTTCCTTAGCCAAGGTCCTCACAAACCAACTCAACTAACATTTCTAGAGAAACAAAAGAAAACCAAAGGTCAATGACTAGAGCAAACTATAAATTCAGTCTGAGTCCAGAGGAAATTTAGTTAACAAGATTGCTAGATTTGAGCTTGAAACATATTTTTCTGGTTTGCAGTTTGAATGTCTCTGGTTATGGTACTGAGGGTTTCAATGATCTTCCTGAGTGGTCCACATATCAGGCATAAGGGTTGTCCTCAGAAGTCACATCAAGTTGTCTATAACTGCCTGGCAGGGTTTCAGGAACAGAGCACATCTTGTTCTGAGTGATTTCAAGTCTGAAAAATGGGAAAAAATTGGATTGGAGGAATAAAGATGAATTCAGAATTCAGTCCAGTCTACAAATAGACAATAAAACTCAAAAACAACAAATATGGCTACAATCTACTATCAAAAATTATGCACAGATCTTTTCAGACATTACAGGGGTCCTCTGGAATGTCCCAAAGTTAGTTCTAGGTCAAAAAGACTTAATTTAGAAGCTTATTTTGGGAAGTTTGTAAAAAATATCAAAAAGTCTAAAACACTTGATTAAATAGGATCATTAGTCATTATGAAACAATGAGAGGCAAATACAGAAAGGTTATATAGCTGTAAAAAAACTTAGCTCTTTTAATGTTGAGAATACTCATTTTTATATATATGTATATAAACAAAGACCTAGTAAAAGACAACACGAAGCACAAGAAATTATCCTGATAAAACACAAATCTTTGTAAGGTAGATCACTTAAAAGATAAGAAAAACCTTTCACCAAGAAAACTTTGTTCTTTCAACAGAAAAAAAGCCAGTGTCTAGCTTTGTATCAATGTACTTTTGATATTAAAGCTAATTTTTAAAAACCCTTCTAATAAATTTCATTCAGTTTTAGCGAGCTTGACAACACATGAAGTTCCTTTTTCAAATTTTAAACTGTCTATACTTTCTTATATCAATTTAGTTTGTCCTATACTCTTCCTCTCTCCCATTGTAGAACAATTAATCACTCTAATTTAGGACAAAAATTATTCTTTTTTTTCTCTTAACAAAAATACACCCTTATACTTAAACTTCCTTGACAAAACATGCCTTACTTCCTTCACATATACAGTTGTTGCCCTTATTATTTCTAGAAGTTTTAATTACATATATTAATTAGAATTTTAAATTCTTAGTAACCTTAATTTCTAGTGAAAACTAGTAAGCATTATAAACAGTTTCATATCAGCATTTTGTAAATAAACATCATGTCATATATAATCTTTCATGTTTATTAGCAGACCCAAATATATTTAGCTTCTCTATACTGTATAAAAACAAGACGCCAAAGTATATATACTTTAATCTTATGTTCAGCAGTTAATGTTTTAATGTTTTAACTTACTCAGAAATGGCTTCAATATTTATTGAATATTTATTACTTAATTGAACATAGCATAACTTTAAGATTTCAAGTTACCGGCCGGGTGTGGTGGCTCATGCCTGTAATCTCAGCACTTTGGGAAGCGGAGGCAGGTGGATCACCTGAGGTCAGGAGTTTGAGACCAGCCCATTATGGTGAAACCCCGTCTCTACTAAAAATACAAAAAGTAGCCAGGCATGGTGGCATGCACCTGTAGTCCCATCTACTTAGGAGGCTGAGACGGGAGAATTGCTTGAACCCCAGAGGCGGTGGAGGTTGCAGTGAGCTGAGGTCACGCCACTGCACTCCAGCCTGGGAGACAGAGCAAGACTCCATCTCAAAATAAAAAAAAAAAAATTAGAAAAAAAGATTTCAAGTTACAAAAAAAGATTTTTGGAACAATTTTTAGTAGACATATTTCATAAAACATAATTATTTTTGAAGTTTATAGACTTTTATTTCATTTACATTTACCCAATTCATTGTTTTTTTTAATTTTTAATTTTTGTGGGCACATAGTAGGTATATATATTTATGGGGTATATGGGATATTTTGATACAGGCATATAATGTGTAATAATCATATAAGGGTGAATGGGGTATCCATCCCTTCAAGCATGTATTCTTTGTGTTACAATCTAATTATACTTTTTCAGTTATTTAAAAATGTTCAATTACATTATTATTGACTGTAGTCACCCTGTTGTGCTACCAAATACTAGATCTTATTCATTCTTTGTAACTATTTTTTGTACCCATTAACCATCCCCACTTCCCCTCCCCCGACACCCTCACTACCCTTTCCGTCCTTCTACTTTCCGTCCTTCTACTTTCCATCCTTCCTTTCCATACTTCTACCCTTTCTATCTGGTAACCATCCTTCTACTCTCTATCTCCATGAATTCAACTGATTTTATTTTTAGATTCCCACAAATAAGTGAGAACAAGTGAATTTTGTCTTTCTATGCCTGGCTTATTTCACTTAACATAATGATCTCCAGTTCCATCTGTGTTGATGCAAATGACAGGATCTCATTATTTTTAATGGCTGAATAGTATTCCACTGTGTGCATGTACCACATTTTCTTTATCCATTTGTCTGTTGATGGACACTTAGGTTGCTTCCAAATCTTGGCTATTGTGAATAGTGCTACAGTAAACCTGAGAGTACAGATACCGCTCTGATATACTGATTTCCTTTCTTTTGAGTATATACCCTGTTAGGGTATATAGTGCAATTGCTGAACCACATGGTAACTCAATTTTTAGTTTTTTGAGGAACCTCCAAACTGTTCTCCATAGTGGTTGTACTAATTTACCTTCCCACTAACAGTGTATGTGGGTTCCCTTTTCTCCACATTTTCTCTAGCATTTGTTATTGCCTGACTTTTGGATAAAAGCCATTTTAACTGGGGTGAGAAAATATCTCACTGTAGTTGAGCACCTTTTCATAAACCTGTTTTCCATCTCTACATTTTTTTTTTTGAGAAATGTCTGCTCAAATCTTTTGCCCATTTAAATAATCAGATTATTAGAATTTTTTTCTATAGAGTTGTTTGAACTCCTTATATATTCTGATTATTAATTCTTTGTCAGATAAATAGTTTGCAAATATTTTCTCCCATTCTGTGGGTTGTCTCTTCACTTTGTTAATAGTTTCCTTTGCTGTGCAAAAGTTTTTTAACTTGATGTGATCCCATTTGCCCATTTTTTGCTTTGGTTGCCTGTGCTTGTGGGGTATTATACAAGAAATCTTTGCCCAGTCCAATGTCCTGGAGATTTTCCCCAATGTTTTCTTGTAGTAGCTTCATGGTTTGAGGTCTTAGATTTAAGTCTTTAATCCATTTTGATTTGATTTTGACATACAACGAGAGATAGGGGTCTAGTTTCATTCTTCTGCATATGGATATCCAATTTTCACAGCACCATTTATTGAAGAGATTGTCCTTTCTCCAATGTATGTTTTTGGCACCTTTGTCTAAAGTGAGTTTACTGTAGATGTGTGGATTTGTTTCTGCATTCTCTGTTGTGTTCCATTGTTCTATGTGTCTGTTTTTCTGCCGGTACCATGCTGTTTTGGTTACTATAGCTCTGTAGTATAATTTGAAGTCAGGTAATATGATTCCTCCGGTTTTATTCTTTTTGCCCAGGATAGTTTTGGCTATTATTTGCTTTCTATATCTGGGTGCTCTAGTGTTGGGTGCACATATATTTAAAATTGCTAAATTGACCCCTTTATCATTATATAATGACCTTCTTTGTCTTTTCTTATTGTGTTTGACCTGAAATCTATTTTGTCTGATATAAGTATAGGTACTCTTGCTCTTGTTTGTTTTCCATTTGCATGGAATATCTGTTTCCATCCCTTTATTTTCAGTCTATGTGTGTCTTTATAGGTGAAGTGTGTTTCTTGTGGGCAATAGATCATTGGGTCTTGTTTTTCTATTCATTCACCTGCTCTATAACTTTTGATTGGAGAATTTACACTATTTACATTCAGTGTTATTATTGATAAGTAAGGACTTACTCCTGTCATTTTATTAATTTTTTTCTGATTGTTTTGTGGTCTTCTCTTCTTTCTTTCCTCCCTGTCTTCCTTTTAGTGAAGGTAATTTTCTCTGGTGGTATGTTTTAATTTCTTGCTTTTTATTTTTTGTGTATTTGTTGTATGTTTTTTGGTTTGGGGTTACCATGAGGGTTGCAAAGAACATCTTATAACCCGTTATTTTAAACCAATGACAACTTAACACTGATAGCATAAACAAACAAACAAAAACAAAACTAATAAAAACTCTACACAACTCTGTCTCCCTGCTTTTTAACTTTTTGTTGTTTCAATTTATATCTTATTGTACTACATCTTGAAAAATTGTTGTAGTTATTATTTTTGATCAGTTTATGTTTTTGCCTTTCTACTTAAAATATGAGTTTACACACCACAATTACAGTGTTATAATATTCTGTGTTTTTCTATGTACTTATTATTACCAGTGAGTTTCATACCTTCAGATGATTTCTTATTGCTCATTAATGTTCTTTTCTTTTGCTTGAAGAGCTCCCTTTAGCATTTCTTGTAGGACAGGCTTGGTGTTGATGAAATCTTTTAGCTTTTGTTTGTCTGGGAAAATCTTTATTTCTCCTTTATGTTTGAAGGACATTTTCACCGGATATTACTATTCTAGGATAAAAGTTTTTTCCTTCAGCACTTTAAATATGTCATGCCACTCCCTTCTGGCCTGCAAGGTTTCCACTGAAAAGTCTGCTTCCAGATGTATTGGAGTTCCATTGTATGTCATTTGTTGCTTTTCCCTTGCTGCTTTTAGGATCCTTTCTTTATCCTTGACCTTTGAGAGTTTAATTATTGAATGACTTGAGGTAGTCTTCTTTGTATTAAAATTTCTTGGTGTTCTATAAGCTTCTTGTATTTGAATATTGATGTATTTCTCTAGGTTTGGGAAGTTCTCTGTTATTATCTGTTTGAATAAACTTTCTATTTCCATCTTTCTCTCTACTTCCTCTTTAAGGGCAGTATCTCTTGGATGTGCTCTTTTAAGGCTAATTTCTATATTTGTAGTCATGCTTTTTTTAAATTCTTTTTTTCTGTTGTCTCCTCTGACTGCGTATCTTCAAATAGCCTGACTTCAGGCTCACTAATTCTTTGTTCTGCTTGATCAAGTCTGCTGTTGAGAGACTCTGATGCATTCTTCAGCATGTCAATTTCACTTTTCAACTCTAGAATATCTGCGTGATTCTTTTTTAATTATTTCAGTTTTTTTGTTGAGTTTATCTGATAGGATTCTGATTTCCTTCCCTAAAAATAAATGTTCCCTCCCCCAAGGACACAGATTCTCTCTCCACATGATGTGGCTGCTGCCATGGGGATAGGGGTGGTGGTGTAAGCCATTCAAGGCTGATTTTCCTACCCCCTTCAGTGCCTCTTTCAGCAATGTGAAGTTAAAACCAGGTACTTTGAAAAGAAATGTTCAAGAATGTTATCTTGAATTTCTTTGAGTTTCCTCAACACAGCTATTTTGAATTCTTTGTCTAAAAGGTCACATATCTCTGTCTCTGCCAAATTGGCCCCTGGCACCTAATTTAGTTCACTTGATGAAGTAATGTTTTCCTGAATGGTACTGGTGCTTATAGATGTTCTTTGGCATCTGGGAATTGAAGAGTTAGGTATTTATTGTAGTCTTCACAGTCTGGGCTTATTTTTACCTGAAGTTCTTGGGAAGGTTTTCCAGGTTTTTGAAGGGACTTGGGTGTTGTGATCTAAGTTTTTGGTCACTGCAGCCATATCTGCATTAGGGGGCACCCCAAGCCCAGTAATGCTGTAGTTCTTGTGGACTCATAGAGTTACTGCCTTGGTGGTCTTGGATAAGATCTGGATGAATTCTCTAGATTACCAGAGACTCTTGTCCTTTTTCCTTACTTTCTCCCAAACAGAGTTTCTCTCTCTGTGCTGAGCTGCCTGGAGCTGAGGGATGTGTAACACAAGCACTCCTGTGACTATACCACTGGGACTGTGCCGGGTCAGACCTGAAGCCAGCTCAGCACTGGGTCTTGCCCAAGGCCCGCTATAACCACTACCTGGTTACCATCTATATTTGCTCAAGGTCCTAGGTCTCTACAATCAGCAGTTTGTGAAGCCATTCAGTCTTGTGTCCTTTCCTTCATGGTGGCAAGTTTCCCAGGGCCCTAGGAAGATCTAGAGATGCTGGAGTCAGAGTCAGAAACCTTAAAAATCTACCTGGTGCTCTACTATACTGCAGCTAAACTGGCACCAAAAACCACAAGATGAAGTCCTTCCTACTCTTTCTTCCCCTTTCCTAAGGTAGAGGAGTCTATCCCTATGTCCACCACTATCACAGGCCCACAGAAAGTACTGCCAGGGTACCACTGATATTCAGTTAAGGCCAAGGGCTCTTCAATCAGCTTGTGCTGAATGCTGCCTGGCCTGGGACTCACTCTTCAGGGCAGTGGGCTTCTCTCTTGTCCAGGGTCAGTCCAGACATACCATCTAAGAGCCAAGACCTGGATTAGTGACCCTAAAAAGCCTGCTTGGTGCTCTACTTCTCTGTGGCTGAGCTGGTTCCTAAGATGCAAGACAAAGTCTCCTTACTCTTCTCTCCACTTCTCTCAAATAGAAGGAGTTTTGCCCCTTAACCACCTCAGATGAGAATGTGCTAAGTCTCACCTGAAGCCAGCACGTCTGAGTCTCACCCAAGGGCCACGGCGTATACTACCTGGTTACCACTACTACCACTACCACTCGGTTATTCCGAACCCAAGGGCTCTTTAGTCATATGGTGATGAATCTTGCCTGGACTGGGTTCTTCCTTTCAAGGCAGTGGGTTCCTTTCTGGCCCAGGGTGTGTACAGAAATATCTGGGAGCTAGGGTCTGGAATGAATCTCACAGCTCTGCTTGGTGCTCTATTCTACTGTGGCTGAGGTGGTATCCAAGTTGCAAAGCAAAGTCTCATTTACTCTTCCCTATTCTCTCCTCAAGTGGAAGGAAGGGGTCTCTTTTGGAACTACAAGCTGCACTGCCTTGAGGTGGAGGAGGGGTGACGAAAGCACTCCCTTAGCCACCTCAACCTGTGTCTCATCAGGTTGCATGCCCCCCACATTCACTGGCTTCGAGCCCAGCACAGCACTAGGATTCGCCTAGGAGTCGCAGTTCTTGTGGCCTAGATAGCATTTCAGGTTTATTTAGGATCCCATAGCACTTTAGCCCACGGTGGTGAGGCTTGCCAAAATTCATATTTTGAGCACTAGGATGGGTGGTTCCCCTCTGCATAGAGCTGATCTAAATGTTTCCTCTGTGGGCATTGGCTGAGTTCTGCCTGATGTTGGCAGGACTGAGTTCCAATGCAAAGTCCCACAGTCACTGATTTTCCCTCCCCTAAGCACACAGATTCTCTCTCCACATCATGTGGCTGCTGCCATGGGGATGGGGATGGTGGTGTCAGCAATTCAAGACGGGTTTTCCTACCCCCTTCAGTGCCTCTTTCAGCAATATGAAGTTAAAACCAAGTACTTTGATCATACACCTGATTTTTTGCTCTTATGAAGGTACTTTTTTGTGTACATAGTTGTCAGATTTGGTGTTACTGTGGGGAGGATGATTGATGGAGGCTTCTATTTGGCCACCTTGCTCCACCTCCTCCTTATCACTTGTTCTTAACAATTATGCTTGAATTGGTCATGAAAAATTTCATGAGACATTAAACAAAGCTAGCCACTGAAGGACTTCAAGGAAGGCCACCGCGAAATATGCCACTTTGGTATATAATCACTTCAGGCTGAAGGTACTTAAAAAATAGCAAATGCAGGGAGAGCTTTTCTCTGGATTCCCCTTATCTGCCTAAATAGAGATCCAACACCCAGAGAAGATCAACTCCTATCAAAGGAGAGAAAACTAGAAGTTGACACTATATCCAGACAAACTATCACAAACTGTCATCTATTCCTCTTGGGGCCTATTTATCTTTCCCTCAAATCATTTAATCTCCCCTAAATTGTCTACATTCTCCCTCCTCTCTTCCCTATGAAGAGGACATACAAGCTCCTAAATCTCACTGCTTTTTGGTGCGGGGTGGGTGAATTTGTTTTCTTTCCTGTGATAACTGCCACCCCCATCCCAATAAATCTGTATACCTTTTCTTCTGTTAATTTGCCTGCTGTCAGTTATCAAAGCCTCAGAGGAAAAAGTCTTCTCTCCTCTACACTATCATCTTATTTATTATATTTTTGTCGACAAATCAGGCAAGTATGAAAAATATCACAGAAGTGAAGAAACTTAAAAAGTTAAACATCACTGTTCCCTTTTTAAAATTTTTTATGTCTGTGATTGATGTGCATTCATTTTTACTGCATGTTTTGCTCTTAGTTTGGATTTATGGTTTTGCGGTCTTAAACATCTAGCAGACACAAACCTGTCTGACCAGCAACCCAGGAAAAACAAACAATTTTGAAAACATTCCTATTTTTATTTTATCAACAATTTTAAAACAAGCTTTATTTACCAATGATCTACCTAAATCATGTGAACTTAGAAAAAATACTTTTGGGTTAGTTTTATATTTCTGAGATTTTTGAAATAGTTAACTTACATGAGCCCTCATTTATGCCCCAGCCAATTTGAATGGAACACCCTTAAAAGATTTTATAAAATGGTTTAGTAATACCATAAAATAGAACATATATGTAATGTTCAGACGTACATACATTCATACAAAGACATATATAAACATATGAACAGAAGCAGATAAGCAGCCAATTTAAAAGTCGCTTATTAGGAGAAGTCCAAAGGTCATTCTAGGCTGCTGGTTGACCTGGAGTTGTTATTGTTATTGCAAGGCAATTAATTTGAAAGCCTTTTGTTTAATATCTTTTCCTTTGAAATGTTCAGCTAATTTAGCTAAACCTGTAGCTTCCTTCTCTATTATTTGTCGTTGTTGTTTTTTTAGGCAAAGCATTTTCTATGTTGAACAGGGATACGTTTCATTATTGTTCTGAGCTTAAGATTCTGTCCAAGGCATAAGAGTGGTTAAAAAGCGTATCTGGTTGTTCTAACTTTTGTAAGTGCTTATCTAGGTTTCTTTTTTTTTTTTTTATGAAGGATGTGTAGGTAACCAAGTAAAAAAGTCAGAGGATTCAGAGTACACAGAGGAGAACAGAGAGAAAGACACCTTAGAAGCCTCTATGTGCCAATTCAAAATACATCCAGTTGTTTCTGAAGTATTCAGGATCTCTCCCCCTTTTTTTGTGCCCAGTAGATAAGCAATTTTGTTTAGGTTAAAACTTCCACACTGCAGCCATCAAAATTCTAAATTATTTTTGATAATAGTCACCCATTTCTCTAGAAAGGCACAGGTTCTGACATGAAGTCTCAGACTCTCCGTATTTAAATAAATTCATTATTTTCTGTCTTCTTGGAACCTTTCCTACCAGAGTCCTTTACTAAACCCAATTCAGTTTCTGTTTGACCCAATCAGACACCTGAAGCCTCTCTACAGGACACAGTCTAGTTTCTATCATGACTTCTGAAACCAATCTGGATTAAAAAAATGCTCAAATAAACTCTGTGAACTTGACACAAGTTGTAGAGCTAGTGCATCTGAGAGGTCTTACTGGTGATGACCTCCAACTACAAAGCAAGAGGCAATGAGCACCAGGAGTTCAGTGGGGTACCTATATCTGTTTGCTTGTTCCTCCTAGAGATCATCATCAGGCAGTCTCCCTGGGATCCAACTTCTGACACCAGATCTAATAAAAGAAAAACTTTGGTACATTTCCATTTTAAAGAGTTTATTTGAGCATTCAGTGATTCATGAATTGGAGCAGCATCAGACTGCAAACAGCTAGCACTCTGCCAGGAGGGGCAAGAGGGGAAACGTCTATAAAGTTTGAGAATAGAGAGGAAGATAGATACCTTAGAAGCCTCTATTGGCACATAGGTTATACAGTTTGAGAACAGAAAGATAGATCTTTCTATTCCCCTCTGTATACTCTGATTCTCTGACTTTTTTACCTGCTTGTTTGCAGAAGCAAGACTAATAAACAATTTTGATTGGTTAGAGTGAAAATCCCTAGTTAGAGGTTAGTTGGTGATTTCTGATTGGTACAATTTCTAGTTTTAATTTACTGTGTACCTTGGGCCTTGGTTTGTTCATGTAAAAATTTAAAGTGTCAAAGCCGTAGTCTAATGGTCTCCTAATTAGACCCAGTCTAATGGTCTCCCAATTAGAAATATTTAACAAGTGTAAGAACTCTTCACCTAACCCTAGATCCCAAAGATTTTCTCCTATGATTTCTTATGAAATTTTTATAGTTTAAAGTTTTATATTTAAATCTATGATCCATTTTGAGTCAATTTTTGTATCAGGTATAAGGTTAAGTCAAGGTTTATATATTTGCTGATAGATGTCTAATTGTTCCAGCACCATTTTTTGAAAAGGGTATTCATCCATTGAAATGCTTTTGCATCTTTGTCAAAAATTACTTATCTGTACTTGTATGTTGCTATGTCTGGGTTCTCTAGGTTCTCTACTCTATTCCATTGATCTATGTGTCTACTCCTCTGTCAATACCACACAATCTTGATTACAGTAGCTATATGAAATCTTAAAATTGGGTAGAGTGATTTCTTTCACTTTATTCTTCTTTTTCAAGATTATATTAGCTCTTCTAGTTTATTTGACTTTCCATATATACATTTTAGACTAATCTTGTATATATCTGTAGAAAATCTTCTGGAATTTTTACAGGAATTTAGATAAATCTGTGTATCAGTTTGGAGAGAATTGACATCTTTATTATGTTGAGTCTTCAAATCCATGAACACCTTTTGTCTCTCATCTTATATCTTCTTTTATTTTTTTTCCATCAGTTATTTGTAGCTTTCAGCATCCAAATCCTATAAATAATTGTACTGAAAAAAATTATTTGGTGGGACTGGCCGAGATGGCTGACTAGAAATAGCTAGGGTGCCTGGCTGTCATGGAGAGGAGTGAAAGGGGTGAGTAAATACAACACCTTTGACTGAAACGTCCAGGTACTCACACTGGGACTAATAAAGGAAAAACTTGACCCATAGAGAATGGAGGAAAGTCACGCAATACAACAACCCACTCAGGAGCAACATGGAGCCAAGGGAACCCCTCCCACCCAGGGAAGCAGTGAGTGAATGTGCAACCTTGGGAAACCACACTTTTCCCATGGATCTTTGTAATCCTTAGGTCAAGAGATCCCCTTGTAAACCCACTCCACCAGGGCCGTCAGTCTGACACACAGAGCTACATAGAGTCTTGGCAGAGCAGCCACTCAGGCACACACAGAGACCCAGGAGCTTTTCATACTCCAGCTCTGGGCTTCCCAGCAAAAGTAACTGCAACTCTAATGGAGCAGAAGGTTAGACCTCCACACATACCCCCTAGGAAATAAGGTGAATCCAAAGGGCTGAGCAGCGATGGTCTATGGGCCTCACTTCCATGGCACCTCACAGGATAAGACCCACTGGCTTGCAATTCCAGCCAGCTACCAGCAACAGTGTTGTGCCTACCTGGGATGGAGTTTCCAGAGGGGAGGGGCAGGCCACCATCTTTGCTGCTTGGATGACTCAGCCATTCCAGCCTGTGGGCTTTGGAGAGTCCAAACAGACGGAAGGCAGAAGGGGTCTCCCAGCATAGCACGGTTGCTCTACCAAAATATGGCCAGACTGCTTTGGTAAGTGGGTGCCCAATCTGTTCCTCCCATCTGTGGCCTCCAGTCACCCCCACTGGTGTTTTTTGGCTGACAGAGATTTGAAAACTTCCTGGGACAGAGCTCCCAGAGGAAGGGGCAGCCCACCATCTTTGCTATTTGAGTGACTTAGCTGTTTCAACCTCCAGGCTTTAGAAAGCCCAAGCCAACTTGGGGTGGAAGTGGTGCCCCAGCACAGCAGAGCTGCTCAACAAAAGTGTGGCCAGATTGCTTATTCATTTATTTATTTTGGAGGCAGAGTTTCACTCTTGTCACCCAGGCTGGAGTGCAATGGTGTGATCTTGGCTTACTGCAAACTCCACCTCCCGGGTTCAAGTGATTCTCCTGCCTCAGCCTCCCAAGTAGCTGGGATTAGAGGCATGTCCCACCATGCCTGGCTAATTTTTGTGTTAGTAGAAATGGGGTTTCACCATATTGGCCGGGCTGGTCTCAAACTCCTGACCTCAGGTGATCCACCTGCCCTGGCCTCCCAAAGTGTGGGCATGAGCCACCGCACCCAGCCCAGATTGGTTCTTTAAGCAGATGCCTGATCCTGTTCCTCCTGCTGGATGAGAACTCTCAATTGGAGTCTCCAGCCACCTCCTACAGGTGCATTCAGGCCAGCAACAGTTCCTTACCTTCCTGGGACAGAGCTCCCAGAGGAAGGGGTAGGCTACCATCTTTGCTGTTTTGAAGTCTTTACTGGTGGTACCTCCAGGTACTGGAAAATCTGAGGTGACTAGGGACTGGAGTGGACCCCCAGCAAACTACAGCAGCCCTGTGGAAAAGTGATGAGACTTAAAAAAAAAAAACCATCCAAAGCAACCTTGAAGATTGAAGGTAGATAAGACCACAAAGATGAGAAAGAATCAGCATAAGAACACTGAAAACTCAAAAAGCTAGAGTGGACTCTTTCCTCCAAATGACCACATCACCTCTCCAGCAAGGATTTGGAACTGGGCTGAAGCTGAGATGGCTGAAATGACAGAAGTAGAGTTTAGCATATAGATAAAAACAAACTTCACTGAGCTAAAGGAGTACATTATAACCCAATGCAAGGAAGCTAAAAATCTTGATAAAACATTACAAGAGCTGACAGACAAAATAGCCAGTATAGAGAAGAATGTAACCAACCTGATAGAGCTGAAAAACACACTACAAGTATTACATAATGCAATCACAAGTATTAATAGCAGAATAGACCAAGTGGAGGAAAGAATCTGAGATCTTGAAGACAAGCAGACAAGAATAGAGAAGAAATATTGAAAAGGAATGAACAAAACCTCTGAGAAATGTGCGATTAGGTAAAGAGACTGTCTATGACTGATTGGTGTACCTGAAAGAGATGGGGAGAATGGAACCAATTTTAAAAACATATTTCAGGATATCATCCATGAGAACTTCCCCAACATAGCTAGACAGGCCAACATTCATATTCAGGAAATGCAGAGAACCTCAGTAAGATACTCCATGAGAATATCATTCCCAAGACACATAATCATCAGTTTCACCAAGGTTGAAATGAAAGAAAAAATTTTAAGGGTAGCTAGAGAGAAAGGCCAGGTCACCTACAAAGGGAAACCCATTAGACTAACAGTAGACCTCTCAGTGGAAACCCTAAAAGCCAGAAGAGATTGAGGGCCAATATTCAACATTCTTAAAGAGAAGAAATTCCAACCCAGAATTTCATATCTGGCCAAACTAAGCTTCATAAGTGAAGGAGAAATAAGATCCTTTTTAGACAAGCAAATGCTGAGGGAATTCATTACCATCAGACCTGCCTTGCAATAGCTCCTGAAAGAAGCACTAAATATGGAAAGGAAAGACTGTTACCAGCCACTACAAAAACACACTGAAGTACACAGATAAGTGACACTATAAAGCAACCACATGTAGAAGTCTGCAAAATAGCCAGCTAACATCATGATGACAGGATCAAATCCACACATATCAATACTAACCTTAAATGTAAATGGGCTAAAGGCCCCAATTAAAAGACACAGAGTGGAAAGCTGGATAAAGAACCAAGACCTGGCTGGGCGCGGTGGCTCACGCCTGTAATCCCAGCACTTTGGGAGGCCGAGGTGGGCGGATCACGAGGTCAGGAGATCGAGACCATCCTGGCTAACACGGTGAAACCCCATCTCTACTAAAAATACAAAAAATTAGCCGGGCGAGGTGGCGGGCACCTGTAGTCCCAGCTACTCAAAAGGCTGAGGCAGGAGAATGGCGTGAACCCGGGAGGCGGAGCCTGCAGTGAGCCGAGATCGCGCCACTGCACTCCAACCTGGGCGACAGCGAGACTCCGTCTCAAAAAAAAAAAAAAAAAAAAAAAAAAGAACCAAGACCTATTGGTATGCTGTCTTAAGAGACCCATCTCACACGCAATGACACATATAAGCTAGAAATAAAGGGGTGGAGGAAAATCTACCAAGCACTAGAAAACAGAAAAAAAAAAAAAAAAAACAGGGGTTGCAATTATAGGCTCTGAAAAAATAGACTTTAAATCAACAAAGGTCAAAAAAGACAAGGACATTTTTACATAATGGTAAAGGGGTTCAATTCAACAAGAAGATCTAACTATCCTAAATATATATGCACTCAACACAGGAGCACCCAGATTCTTAAAGCAAGTTCTTAGAGACCTTCAAAAAGACTTAGACCCCACACAATAGTAGCTGGAGACTTTAAAACCCCACTGATAATATTAGACAGATCATTGAGACAGAAAATTAACAAAGATATTCAGGATTTGAACTCAGCACTGTATCAAATGGATCTGATTGATAGCTACAAAACTCTCCACTCCAAAACATCAGAATATACATTCTTCTCATCACCACATGGCACTTATTCTAAAATTGATCACATAATTGGAAGTAAAACACTCCTCAGAAAATGCAAAAGAACTGAAATCATAACAAATAGTCTCTTGGACCACAGCACGATCAAATTAGAAATCAAGACTAAAAAATTCACTCAAAACCATACAATTACATGAAAATTGAATAACCTTCTCCTGAATGACTTTTGGGTAAATAATGAAATTAAGGCAGAAATCAAGAAGTTCTTTGAAACTAATGAGAACAAACATACAATATACCAGAATCTCTGGAACACAGCTAAGGTATTGTTAAGAGGGAAATTTATAGCACTAAATGCCCACATCAAAAACTTAGAAAGACCTCAAGTTTACAACTTAACATCACAACTAAAAGAACTAGAGAACCAAGAACAAACAAATCCCAAAGCTAGCAGAAGACAAAAAATAACCAAAATCAGAGCTGAAATGAAGGAGATAGAGACACAAAAAAACATTCAAAAGATCAACAAATCCAGAAGCAGTTTTTTTTTTTTGAAAAATAAAACCAATAAAATAGACCACGAGCTAGACTAATAAGGAAGAAAAAAGAGAAGATTCAAGTAAACGCAATCAGAAACAATATGGGAGAGTTTACCACGGACCCCACAGAAATATAAACAACCATCAGAGAATACTATAAACATCTCTATGCACATAAACTAGAAAATCTAGAAGAAATGGAAAGATTCCTGGACACATACGCCCTCCCAAGACTGAACCAGGAAGAAATTAAATCCCTGAACAGACCAATAATGAGTCCTGAAATTGAGGCAGTAACAAATAGCCTACAAAGCAAAAAAAGTTCAGGACCAGACAGATTCACAGCTGAATTCTACCAGATGGACAAAGAAGAGTTGGTACCATTCCTACCGAAACTACTCCAAAAAATTGAAAGGGAGAGACTCCTCCCTAACTCATTCTATGAGGCCAGCATCATCCTGATACCAAAACCTGGTAGAGATACAACAAATAAAGAAAACTTCAGACCAATAACCTTGATGAACATGGATACAAAAATCCTCAAGGAAATAGGGGCAAACCGAATCCAGTAGCACATCCAAAAGCTTATCCACTACCATCAAGTAGGCTTCATCCTCAGGATGCAAGTTTGGTTCAACATATGCAAATCAATAAATGTGATTCATCACATAAACAGAACTAAAGACAAAAATCACATGATTATCTCAATAGATGCAGAAAAGGCTTTCAATAAAATTCAACACCGTTTTATGTTAAAAACTTTCAATAAACTAGGTATTAAAGGAACATACCCCAAAATAATAGAAACCAAATATGACAAACCCACAGCCAACATCATACTGAATGGGCAAAAGCTGGAAGCATTTTCCTTGAAATACTGGCACAAGAGAAGTGTGTTCTGTCTCACCACTGCTATTCAACATAGTATTGGAAGTTCTGGCCAGGACAATCAGGCAAGAGAAAGAAACAAAGTGCATTCAAATAGGAAGAGAGGAAGTCAAACTATGCACATGACATAATACTGTATCTAGGAAAACCCATAGTCTCAGCCCAAAAACTTTTTAAGCTGATAAGCACCTTCAGCAAAGTCTCAGGATACGAAATCAATGTGCAAAAATCACTAGCATTCCTATACATCAATAACAGTCAAGCCAAGAGCCAAATCGTGAATGAACTCCCATTCACAATTGTCACAAAAAGAATAAAATACCTAGAAATACAACTAACTAGGGAGGTGAAAGATTTCTACAAGGAGAACTGCAAAACACTGCTTAAAGAAATCAGAGAGGACACGAGTAAATGGAAAAACATTCCATGCTCATGGACACGAAGAATCAACATCATTAAAATGGCCATACAGCCCAAAGCAATTTATAGATTCAATGCTATTCTCACTAAACTACCATTGACATTCTTCACAGAATTAGAAAAAATTATTTTAAAATTCATATGGAAGCAAAAAGAGCCTGAATAGCCAAGGCAATCCTAAGCAAAAAGAACAAAGCTGGAGGCATCACCCTATTCGACTTCAAGCTGTACTACAAGGCTGCAGTAACCAAAGCATGGTATTGGTACAAGAACAGACATATAGACTAATGGAATAGAATAGGGAACCCAGAAATAAGACTGCACACCTACAACAATCTGATCTTCAACAAACCTGATAAAAACAAGTAATGGGGAAAGGATCCCCTATTCAATAAATGGTGCTGGGATAACTGGCTAGCCATATGATTGAAACTGGACCCTTTCCTTATACCATATACAAAAATTAACTTACGATGGATTAAAGACTTAAATGTGAAACCCAAAAGTATAAAACTCTGGAAGACAACCTAGGCAATACCATTCAGGATTCTGGCACAGGCAAAGATTTCATGATGAAGATGCTGAAAGCAATTGCAACAAAAGCAAAAATTGACAAATGGGATCTAATTAAACTTAAGAGCTTCTGCACAACAAAAGAAACTATCAACAGAATAAACAGACAACCTATAGAATGTGAGAACATTTTTACAAATTATGCATCCAACAAAGGTCTAATATTCAGCATCTATAAGGAACTTAAACAAATTTACAAGAAAAAAGATCCCCATTAAAAAGTAGGCAAAAGACATGAACACTTTTCAAAAGCAGACACATGTGGCCAACAAGCATATGAAAAAAAAGCTTAACATCATTGATTACTAGAGAAATGCAAATCAAAACCACAATGAGATACCATCTAACACCAGTCAGGAATGGCTACTATTAAGAAGTAAAAAAAAAAAAAAAAAAAAACAGATGCTGGCAAGATTGTGGAAAAAAAGAAATGTTTTATACACTGTTGGTGGGAGTGTAAATTAGTTCAGCCATTGTGGGAGGACAGTGTGATGATTCCTCAAAGACCTAAAGACAGAAATATGATTTGACCCAGCAATTCCATTACTGGGAGGAATAGAAATCATTCTGTTATAAAGACACATGCACGTGTATGTTCGTTGCAGCACTATTCACAATAGCAAAGACATAGAATTAACCTAAATGTCCATCAATGATAGATCGGATAAAGAAAATGTGATATATATGTACACCACAGAATACTATGCAACCATAAGAAAGAATGAGATCATGTCCTTTGCAGGAACATGGATGGAGCTAGAGGCCATTTTCCTTAGCAAACTAACAGAAGAACAGAAAACCAAATACCACATGTTCTCACTTATATGTGGGAGCTAGATGATGAGAACACACGGATGCAAAGAGGGGAACAAGACACACTGGTGCCTTTCAGAGGGTGGAGTGTGGGAGGAGGGAGAGGATCAGGAAAAACATCTAATGGGTACTAGGCTTAATACCTGAGTGACGAAATGATCTGTACAACAAAGCTCCATGACACAAGCTTACCTGTGTAACAAACCTGCACTTGTACCCCTAAACTTAAAATAAAAGTTAAAAAAACTATTTAACTATTTAAATTGACAAAATTATACATATTTATCACTTAAAACATGATGTTTTGAAATATGTATACATTGTGAAATGGCTAAATAAAGCTAATTGTTATATGCATTATCTCATATACTTATCATTTTTGTGGTGAGAACACTTAAAATCTCTTAGCAATTTTCAAGAATACGTTGTTATTAACAATAGTTACTGTGTTGTGCAATAGATTCCTTGAACTTATTCCTTTTATTTAACTGAAATTTTTTATTCTTTATCTCTCCAATACCTTCACCACCACCCACAACCCCTGGTAACTACCATTTTACTCTGCTTTTATGAGTTCAACTTTTTTAGATTCCACATATAAGTGAGATAATGTAGTATTTGTCTTTCTGTGCCTGGTTTAAGTTAGCAGTGACATCAAGTTTCATCCATGTTGATGCAAATGACAGAATTTCCTTCTTTTTAAAGGCTATGTAGTATTTCCTTGTGTATATATACTAACTTTTCTTTATCCATGCATCCGTTGATGGACAATTAGATTGCCACATGGGAGGGCAGATATCTTTTTGACATATTGATTTCATTTCCTTTGCACATATACCCAGAAGTGGGATTACTGCCTCAAACAGTAATTCTCCTTTTAGATTTTTGAAGAACCACTATATGGTTTTTGAAATGGCCATTCCAATCTACATTCCCACCAGCAGTGTACCAGGGTTCCATTTTGTCTACATTCTCACCAATACTTGTTGTCTTTAGTTTTTTTGATAATAGCCATTCTAACAGGTGCAAGCTATTATCTCATCATAGGTTTTTTTTTAATTTTAATTTTTACTTTTTCTGGGTACATAGTAGGTGTATATATTTATGGTTTACATAAGATGTATTGGAGTTGCACTAAATGTTATTTGTTTTTTTTCTTACTGCTTTTAGGATCCTTTCTTTATCCATGACTTTTGGGAGATTGATTATTGAATGCCTTGAGGTAGTCTTTTTAGTGCTAAATCTGCTTGGTATTCTGTAATTTTTTTGGTATTTTAATATTGATATATTTCTCTAGGCTTGGGAAGTTCTCCGTTATTATCTCTTTGAATAATTTTTCTATCCCCATCTCTCTCTGTACTTTCTCTTTAAGGACAATATCTCTTAGATTTGCCCTTTGGAGGCTATTTTCTAGATTTGTAGGCTTAAAAAAATCTTTTTTTTCTGTTGTCTCCTCTGACTGTGTATTTTCAAATAACCTGTCTTCAAGATCACTAGTTCTTTGTTCTGCTAGATCACTTATGCTGTTGAGAGACTCTGATGCATTCTTCAAAATGCCAATTGCATTTTTCAGCTCCAGAATTTCTGCTTGATTTTAAAAAATTATTTCAGTCTTTTTGTTGAATTTATCTGATAGAATTCTGACTTCCTTTTCTGTGTTCTCTTGAACTTCTTTGAGTTTCCTCAACACAGCTATTTTGAAATCGCTGCCTGAAAGGTCACATATCTCTCTTTCTCCAGGATGGGTCTCTGGTGCTTTATTTATTTAGTTTGTTGAAGTCGTGTTTTCCTGGATGGCGTTGGTGCTTGTAGATGTTCTTCGGTGTCTGGGCAGTGAAAATTTAAGTATTTATTGTAGTCTTCTCAGTCTGGGCTTGTCTGTACCTGTTCTTCTTGTGAAGGCTTTCCAGATATCCAAAAGGACTTGGATGTTGTGATCTAAGGTGTGTTTGCTTGAAGTTACTACCATGTATTATGAGTGTTCATCTGATTTTTGGTTCTTATAAAGGTGCTTTTTTGTGTAGATACTTGTTAAATTGGAGTCCTTTTGAGGGGGATGATTAGAGGAGTCTTCTATTGCTCCATCTTGCTCTGCCCCAAATCTTCATCATAGTTTAATTTACATTTCCCCCAATGATTAGAGATGTTGAACATTTTAACATATACCTGTTGGCTACTCATATGCCTTCTTTTAAGAAATGTTTTTTCAGGTCCTTTGCCCACTTGTTAATTGAGTTATTTGATTTCTTGCTCTTGTTGTTTGAGTTCCTTATGTATTTTGGATATTACCCCTTATCAGACGTATGGTTGCAAATATATTCTCCCATACCATAGATTGTCTCTTTACTTTGCTGTGCAGAGGCTTTTTAGTTTGATGCAATCCCATTTGTCTATTTTTGTGCTCGTTGCCTGTGCTTTTGGGGTCATATTAAAAAAAATATTGACCAGACCAATGTCATAGAGTTTTTCCCAATGTTTTCCTCCAGTAGTTTTATAGTTTCGGGTCTTACATTTAAGTCTCATTCTTCTGCATGTGGATATCAACACCATTGTTGCCTCAATACCATTTATTGAAGACACTGTCCTTTCTTGATTGTGTGCTCTTAGCACCTTTGTCAAAAATCAATTGACCATAAATGTGTTAATTTATTTCAGGACTCTCTATTGAGTCCCACTGATCTATGTATCTGTTTTTATGCCAGGAGGGCTGAAGTCTGTATAACAAGGGCCAGTTTGGAGGCTGAGTCCATGAGTGGTGGCCTAATGACTAGAGCTGTGGGGACCAGCCTAGTTCTGGGGTTGGCCTGAAGTGTCAGGGCCATTGGTGTTAGCTTGGTGGTGGAGTGAGCTGGTGGCTCAGTCTGTGGGTACTGGCATAGAGTGTGGGACTATTGGGGCCTGCCCAGCCCTGGGGTTTATTGAGGCAGACCCAGTGTTGGGGTCCAAGGCAAAGTCCAGTGCTCACTTCCCTCTCCTTTTTTCCAGGTGAAGGGTATCCTTTTCTCCCATTCCCCTGCAGTATCAGTGGAGGTCACCGACACTGCAAGGGGATGGTGATCTTGTTACTACTGGGCAGTAATGTAAGTTCTGACTCTTCACTAAGCCTACTCTGATACAACCCTAGCAGGGAGATAGAGTGAGCACTCCATTACCACTGGGTGGAGGCTAAAGTCCAGGCTCCCTACATGGACTCCACTAATGATGCGGGAAGAATGGTATTCCTTGCTACTGCCTTTGGGGCAAAGAAGATCTTAGCTTCCCAGTAACCTCTCTGACACCACCCCGGTGGGTGGGGGGTTGCGGGGAGGTTGGGGTGCCTCGTTATGGCCTGGCAAAAATGGAAATCTGGGCCCTCCTCTTGGCCTTGCTGGTGTGAGTAAGGCCACAGTTTTTTCTGTCCTTCTAGGCTATCCCCTTTCCTAGTCCTTTGGCAAGAGAGATATGGCCTTTGTTGTGGTTTAAAAAAAATCTCCATCCATTGGCATTTCCAAATTGCCAGCTTCTCCAGCACTTATTCAAGACTCTCCAAGTCTTGGATATATGAAACAAAAAGAAAACAAGGAACTCACAATCATGTCATTCCTTGGATCCCAAGGTCCCTAGCCCATCTGTCCTATTTTCACTTTTCAGTGTCTTCCTTTTTTTAAAAAAAATTATTGATACATATTTGTACATATTTATGGGGAACATGTGATATTTTATTACAATGATCAAATCAGGGTATTCAGGGTGTCCATTGCCTTGAGTATTTATCATTTTTATGTGTTGGGACCATTTTAAGTCCCCCCTTTTTAAAATTTGAGACAGAGTGTCACTCTATTGCCCAGGCTAAAGTGCAATGGCGTGATTATAGCTCACTGCAGCCTCGAATTCCTGGGCTTATGTGATCCTCTCACCTCAGCCTCCTGAGTAACTGGGACTATAGGCATGCTCCACCACTTCTGGCTAATTTTTTAATTTTTGTAGAGATGGGGGTCTCACCATGTTGCCCAGGCTGGTCTTGAACTCCTGGACTCAAGCAATCTGCCTGCCTCAGCCTCCTAAAGGGATGGGATTATAGGCATGAGCCACCATGCCTAGCCTTCAAGTCCTTTCTTCTAACTATTTTGACATATGCAATATATTGTTAACTGTAGTCACCCCACTCTACTATTGAACGTTAGAACTCATTCCTTCTATTTAACTGTATATTTGTACCCACTAATCAACCTCCAGTATCTTCTTATGTTTGGTTTACATATACAGTCATCCCTCCATATCCATGAGTTCTGTATCCTTGGATTCAACCAACCTCAGATAAAAAACATTTGGAAAAAAAATTAGGGATGAGTAAGAGGAATAAAAAAATTAAAAAATTAAACAAAGGAAATAAACTAAGAACAATACAAAATAAATAATACAAATAAAAAATACAGTATAATAACCATTTACATAGCATTTACATTATATTAGGTATTATAAATAATCTAGAGATAATTTAAGACATACTGCAGGATGTCTGTAGGTTTCATGCAAATACTATGACATTTTATTTAGGGAACTTTAGCATCTGCATATTTTGCTACCTGTGGGGGTCCTAGTAGATACTGAGGGTTGACTGTAATGTCCAGGATTTTTAGTTGTACTTAGCAGAAAGAATCGGAAAAAGTACTTCTACTTCATCTTTAAAGTACTTCTACTTCATCTTTCTGCAAGCAGAAGTCCCTCACAGTCTTTTACAGCCCAATCTTAGTAGCAACATCCCATCACTTTTGTTGCATTTTATTTGCTAGAAGCAAGTCAATAGGTCCAACTCACACACAAGAGAACAGGGTTATATAAGGGCATGAATACCAGGAGGTGAGAATCACTAGGAGCCATTTTAGAAATATACCTACCACACCAGAGCTACTCAAATTGTGACCCCTGGTTCAGCAGCATCAGCATCACTTGAAACTTGTTAGAAATGCAAATTCTTGGGTCTCACTTGAGACCCACGGAATCAGAAACTCTGGGGCTAGGACCGACACTATGTATTTTTAACAAGCCCTCCAGGGAATTCAAATGCACACTAAAGTTTGAGAATCACACCTCTAAGCAATTTACTAAGCCTTTTTTTCTAGCTTGTGTTTGATTACTTCAGGTGACAGGAAAAACCCACCTATCCTGCAAGGCAGCCCGTTTCATTTTTTTGCTCTCAGTATTTTATTGTATAAATAATCTATATTTATTTTAGTAAAATCAGATAGTATAGAAAAAATCTGCCTTACCATTACCACCAAAAGATAACCACCACTGAACTTCTGGTATATATTATGATTCTAGATTTTTAAAAAATATAGCCTTTTCTTTTTTTTTTTTTTAAGAGTTGAGTCTCTCTCTGTCACCCAGGCTGGAGTGTAGTGGTGTGATCATGGCTCACTGCAGCCTCAAACTCCTAGGCTCAAGTGATCCTTCTGCTTCAACCTCCTGAGTATCTAGGACTACAGGCACACACCATCACACCTGGTTAATTAAAATAATTTTTTTTTTGTAGGGATGGGATCTCCTTATGTTGCTCAGGCTGGTTTCAGACTCCTGGCTTCAAGCAATCCTCCTGCCTCAGCCTCCCAAAGTGCTGAGATTACAGGTGTGAACCACCATACCCGGCCAACATATCCTTTTAAAAAAGGGATTGCACCATAAATACAAGTTTATAATTGATTTTTTTACATAACCTATTCTGTTTTTGAGTGGTTTTAACAGAAAGTGTGTCCTTATACTGAGTTCAATTTTGCCTCTTTGTAATTTCCAATCATTGGCTTTAATTTTGCCTCTAGCACTACAAAACCCATTTGTTTTGCCACAAAAGTCTTCAAATATGAGTGTGAAGTTACCATGTAATTCCTATTCAAGATAAATATATACAGATCTTTTAAAATTTCCTCCTGTCACAGCTTCTAGAACATTCACCATTGTATGGTGTTTTTTCTGACAACATTCTTAGTAGTTCTCAAAGTGTGGTCCCCGGGCTATTTTCATCTGAGAACTTGTTAGAAATACACATTCCTGGGCCTCACCCCGATCTACTGAATCAGAAACTGGTGGGGCCCAGCAATCTGCGATTTAACAAGTCTTCTGGATGATTATGATGCATAATGAGAACCAAAGACATAACTCATTGATTCCTATCTTAGGGAGTAAATGTGGATTTTACTCCTAATTCAGGCACTATATTTCTATTGATGTATTGAAAGATTGTATTTCCTTTTCTGGACAGCTGCAGATCATCTTGTTTCATATGAGCTTTCAGCAATTAAAATCCCAGGTTATTTTCCATATGAATGGCTTCATCAGGTGTCCTTAGCCTATACATGTACTATTGATTTTTTTAAGAAAGCCTTAACTTGTGATCTTGATATTTTCCCCTGTTTAATAATATCTTGTGTTTGGCTTTAGTTTCAACTGTTGGAGATATTTTGGACTTTTGAGTCTGTTAATTCTAATTTCTGGCATCTGTGACTCTTACAGGCATGTCTTTTTTTTGAGTCATTGATAAAAAGAACAAAAGTACTGAAAAGGTACAGGCCCAAGTTCAGAGCCCCAGGCAAAGTGCTGGAAATGGTGCTCCAGGTTCAATGTGGTGTAATAAAATATGTATTGGTACTTACTATGACTTTAAGGCTTTGTTTTAGGCCCTGAAGTTCGACTCTGCAGCAGAGGAGCCAAGGGCTCAGGGAAAGCAGCAAGGACTGACTCAGTATATGATACATTGGACAGGGCACCAGCTAGGATGAATAACCGTCCCAATTTGCCCAGGACTATTCATGTTTTAGCCTTGAAGATCTTGCATCCCAGAAAAACCTGAATGGTTGATCACTCTAGCATTGGTGGACCTTCTGTATGAAGTGTATGAGATGGGACCTCAGGTGTGCCATTTGGCGATTAGATGAACGAACAATCTTTGAGGTTAGACAGCTTGGGAGACACCTTGGAGGCAGATCTGTAGATTACACACATGCACGTTTACACATACACACACACACAACACACACACGTTTTCTTTTAAATTAAGTTAACTTTAGCATTTTCTTATGTCATTAAACATTGTTCTATAGGTCCATTTATAAGTACTATACTCCATTATATAGATGTAGCACAATTTATTTAATAGATCCCTTATTGCTGAACATTTTGGTTGCTGATGGGTAAGATTTTGACAGCTGAAAGTCCTGAAAATGATGAAAACCAGCATTTTTACTCAGTTCTAAAATGTTACCAATTGTAAGATGCACCATTAATTTAAATAAAAGCTTTTAAGGAGAAAGTATAAGAAACTCTGTATCAAATATACATTTAAAAGTGACAGCATAAATTTATTCATATGATTTTAAATAGACTGCTTTCCCTTTTAGAATCATGACCAAATTTTGAATTTTTTTCATAGACTCTTAATATTTTCCTGAATTGCTTTTCTCCTCAAACATTCCAAGTGACTTGCTGCTTTCCATAATGTTCTCATTGTTACAGGATCTTTGGGGTGTCACTTTTCTGGCTGGAAACCTGTGGCAGTGGCACCTTTGCCCAAGTTTTGCTTGGGCCCACTGGGCTTGTTCTGCCCACTCAGCCTGGCAGCTTGCACTCAGCTCATGCTATTGGCATAGATCCCATGCCTCCACAAGAGACTGTGATTCAGGCGTGGAGTGGCAAGGGGTGTGTGAGTGAGCATGGGGTCTGGCCACTGTGCAGTCAGACACAACAGCTGTTGCAGCAGGGTGGGCAGCTCCAAATACCGGCATGGGTGCCAGCTCTCTGCAAGGCTGTGTGGGTGGACCAGGCGCACTGCAAGCAGCTTCTCTGGCTGGCACCAGGGAATGCAGTGGTGCCTGGAAGCTTGGAGACACTGGAAACTGCAGGGCCCCAAAGAGGAAGTCACAGCCCTGGCTCGGGGAGCTCCCAGGTCTGGGCTCCCCGAAGGGCCACAGCTCTTCTCTCCTTCTCTTTACCTGCAACATGTCAAGCAAGGGGCATGTTTCAGCCCTGTTTGTGTTACAGTTCTTCTAGCTTCATCATTTGGCAGGTCCTGAGTTCTTGTCCTGTGACCGTGAAGAATGAGGTATGCAGAGAAGTGAAGGATGAGCCAGATGAAGTGGAGCTTTATTGAGTGATAGAACAGCTCAGTCTCCCACAGGGGGCAGCTCATTTCTGCAACCAGGGTGTCCCACTGAGTGTTCAGCTCCTAGCAGAGAGGGTAGCTCCTCTCTACAGCTTGTCACCCCATCATCTGTTCCAGCTCTCAGCCAGAGGGTAGCTCCTCTCTGCAGCTGGTTGCCCCATCATCTGTTCAGCTCCGGCTGAGCCCGGGGCTTTTATGGGGCCTTAAAGGAGAGGAAGCATGTGTGCCAATTGGCTCATGGGCAGCCACTGGGGGACCTGAAAAAGGCTCCACAAGTTCCCACTTTGTCCATGGGACTAGCAGCTCCAACCCGCAGCCTTCAGGCCGTCTCTGACTTGAGGGTGGGGCCTCACTGGGGACCCACCCACTTCCACCCAGAAGCCTGTCTGCCTTCCACTGCCATTCATGGCACCCAGGATGTTTGTGCCAAGGGGTGCCTTCAGGTCAGCACCAAGCTGCCCTCAACACCCTCTTGGCTTCCCTCCCATGCTCATTGGTGCCCAAAGTCCAGAAGGGGCCAAGGTGGCAGGGACCTGGCATGTCAGCACTGCCTTGAGCCTGCACACACCTGGCCAGGCTGTGGCAGCACCTGGGATCACTCCAACCAAGATTAGAGTGGCTGCCAGGAGCGGGAAGGGGCCAGGCAGTGGGAGTGGACACCTCTGAGCTTGTGGGGTCAGAGAGAGCCACCCCGGGTCCCCGAGAGTGCAGAGATGCCTGGCTCTGCAGCTGTGGCTTGGGTGGCTGTAGCTGCACACAGGAGGGCTGGGCTCCTGCCTGCTCCATGGAGCAGGAGGCCCACGTCTGCAGCCGTGACTTGGGTGGTTGCAGCTGCACTCAGGAGTGTGGGGATCCTGCCTGCTCCCACTACCCCAAAAGCACAGGGAGGCCTGGGTCCCAGCCATGACTTTGGGCAGCTGTAACTGCACCTGGTAGGGCAGGGCTCCTGCCTGCTCTGTGGAGTGGGAGGCACAGATCTGCAGCCACGACTTGGGTGGCTGCAACTCTGTGCAGGAGGGCAAGGATCCTTAGTGGAGCAGGGGCCCAGGTTCTCAGCTGTGACTTGGGTGGCTGCAGCTGTGCCTGGGAGGGCCAGGCTCCCACCCACTCCCAGCCCACGAGCACAGGGATGCCCAGGTCCACAGCTGTGGTTTGGGTGGCTGCAGTGGCACTCTGGGAGCTCCCACCTCAACTTGGAAGGGGCAGGTTGTCCCTAGCTCCCACCAGCTCCATGGAGCATGCGGCCCTGGAAGGGCCTTCCTGCTGCAGCCGGTGTGATGGCAGAAGCCACTCCAGATGGCCTGCTGCTGCCATAATCATGATTCTTGACCTCTTTGACGACTTTAATTTCATGACATGGCAAATATAGCAGATTTTCAGTGTACAAGTTCAGATGTGTAAGACATATAACTTTACAGTTTATAACTTAATTTCCATTTTAAGCCTCCTATTTTGGATTGGTCTGCAATACTAGCATGGCTTTTTCTTGAGTTCCTTCTCTGAAGGAATTTTATTGAGGTTCTGGGGGGATTTACTCAAGGTGCAGCCACTGGGTAGGGCTGTTTGATATCTGAGTCCTTGCTGCATAAAGGTGCTCAGGGAGGAAACCCTACTGTGCCCCTTCCAAGTGCCCTGTCATGTCCAGTTTCAAGTTACTCCTAAATCCCTTTGAGCTCCACTTGGGACACGGGCTTTGGCTTTCCATGTCTTTAGATGTACCTAAGTACCTTTTCTTTTCTGGGGGGGTCCTGCCACTTCCTTCCCCCTGTGTTCCTCTTATGGCCAAGACATAGGGCCTAGATCCCCTCTCTCTAAGGTTATAGCTGTTTTCTGACTTGCCACATTCTTCCCTGGAGGAAGTGAGAAAGGGAACAACTCTTTGCTTGAATTGGTGGTGGGGTATGGGGTGGCAGAAAGAAGAAGTACAGAAGTAACTAATGCACAGGTTATTGTCTCCAAATGTTTTTCTGCCACACAAAGTATAACAGGTTTTATCTGCATGTCTATATGGTTGGAACCAGAGTTTCATTTTTTCCCCCTTATTGAATTACTTGTCACTAGAAGTTAAAGAGTTTCTCTTAACAGTCAACCAGATCCTGTGACAGATAGATTTTTCAGAACCTGGCAACGGTTCTTCATGATATATACTCCACCAGGGCAAGGATTTATGTCTGCTTTGCTTCAAGCATCCAGAGCAGTTTCTAGCATATGCTGCCTCATTTTAAGTAAAAATTAAGGATCCAAAGTTAATATACAGCTTTAACGGCAATTAGATGAACTGATTCCTTCCAAACATTACAAAATTTTTATAGTCACAGATAGCAAGGACCCTTTTATAACTTCTTCTTCAGTCCTGAGACTAACAGTTTTCTTCTGACCTTGATCATAAAGTACTTCCTAATTTCAGAAACATTGGAAGATTCTAAAAATATGTGTCTCAGCATGGAGGAAATCTGCAGTGCAGCCAACAGCCAGGAAGAGGCACAGTGAGGGCAGCAGTTTGATTTGTCTGATCCCAGGGGTGGAGCATCTGGGCAAGTGGTGGTCGGGGTGCATAAATGGAGGGCCCCATTGTGGGACCATTGGCTAGCATGCTGATTATTTGGAGAGGCAGAGAAGACCAATGTGAACAGAGTGTGGGATAGACTAATGTATTAAGAGCATTTGACAGACCATGCATGGGGTCAGTTTGGAAGAATGGTGCCTAGGGCCAGAGACATGGCAGTGGGAATAAAAGTGAAGGAATGAACATGAGAAGTTAATAAGAAGCCTACTATGCCTGACTCAAGTCAACAAAGGGAATAAAGGAGAAACAAGAATCCATGAACCTTAGAGCTTTCAAATCTAGATGTCTAGGAAAATATAGTACCATTGCCTGAAGCTAAAATGAGGAAGAGGAGCTTGTAGGGGGAGAAGACTTTAGCTACTAATATAGATCTTATTAATTAGTCTTCATAAATATGATTGCCCAAGAATATAAAACTTTTCCCAATTAACTGTTACCCGGCTCCAATGTTTTCATCTTGATGATAACGATTTTGATAAATATCTTACTGAAATCCAATTATACTGTATCATCTGCCTTTTTTTGGTGTGCCAATTGGTAATGCTAAAAACAGGAAGTGAGATGAGCCATCATGGCATTTTCTTGGTGAACCCTTCCTGGTCCCTGGTGATCTTCAGTGCCTGTTATAAGAGCTCACAAGCAGTCCATTCAATAATCCAGTCTAGACTTTCTAGAGGCCACTTGAAAAAATCCACAGTATGTCTGAACATCTTCAGACTCTTGGCACCTCCCTTATTCCACATTGTGGCAGTCATGGAGGTGCACTCTATGCAGGTCAAGAAAGAACCGCAGGTCAACCATGAGAAGTACGGTTAGCTGATGGTCTCCAACTGTTAGCACTTCAGAATCCATCTTGGCTTTTGAGCTGAGAACACACTCTTCCTGGGCATTTCCCAGCCAATGACTGAGCATGATGGCGGTGTTAAGGTTTGGCCATCTCTCCCCAACATGAGATTCCTTTAATGGGTAATCTTTGCTTCTGAGCTGCCTGGGTTGGCTGAGGCTTTGTCAGATCTGCATGTGGTTTGACGCTGTCCCTGCCCCAGACTGCTTCCTTCCCCTTTATCTTTCATAAGCATCTCCTACCAATAAACCTCTTGCACTTTTAACTGCATCACAGTGTCTGCTTCCTGGAAGACCCAACAAACACAAGCATTATTCTTTTATGCTCTCCTGACATTGGTCTCGGGATCAAATGTCTAAGTTTTTTCAGGGACTCAAAAATAATTTGTTAAGCATGGAATCCCAAGGCAGAGGTCTCATATAGCTCTCTCAGATTGCTTGGGCTTTAATTCTTTCCCAACAATATTGGTCCTACTCTTTAATATTTGAAAATTATTCTCCTTGATGTAAAAGATGGCAATCCAATAGGATTCAACTTTCTCCCTGCCAGCACCATCTACTCCAAGGGGTTCTGGTGGAATTTGAATTCCCAGATGTGCAGAAGTGACATTGGGCTCTCAGAAGGCTTTCCACATATTCTGGCAACACATCCAAGAAGACAGCATACTTCTGAATTGGCCACATAAGGCTGACCTGTGGCCTCTCTACTCTACCTAGCAGAGATCACTGTATGAGCTACTGGTGCCTACAAAGAGTTCCATATTGCCGTGTGTCAGAAACTTCAAATGTCCAGTCTCACCCTTCAGAGGCAGCCAGAGATCTGGCTTCTTGGTACTATTTCTCCTTCTTCTTTTTAACTGTGGATTTTTTTTTTTCCATTCAACCCTCACGACCTTGGTTTTAATTGCTCTCTACTCCCTGATTCTGGCTTTACTTTTGGATATTTTTCTTCCATCCTACAAAAAAATCCCTACTTTCTTTCCAGTAAGTTAGCTCACGCAAGATTCCTCAACCCCTGCCACCTCTCCTGATGCCAGGAGACCAGCTTGTATCTACAGCATCCCCAATGGTGAGTGTCTTGGGCAGGAAGACAAACATAGATATGTACGTTAGGTTGTTGGAAACCTTCTCACATTGTCCATAACTCTTGAGTAGCAAGATAAATGGCTATCTTAATAATTCTGCCCTGAATATTTGTCCCACTCAAATCTCATGTTGAATTGTAATCCCCAGTGTTAGAGGTGGGAACTGCTGGGAGGTGACTGGGTCATGGGAGTGGATCTGTCATCACTTGGTGCTGTCTTCCTGATAGTGAGTGAGTTCTCACAAGATCTGGTCATTTAAAAGTGGTGTGATACCCCTACCCGCTGACCACCTTTTGTTCCTGTTTCTACCATGTGGGACACTTGCCCCTCCTTTGCCTTCCACCATGATTGTAAGCTTTCTGAGGCCTCCCCAGAAGCAGATGCAGGTGTTACACTTCCTGTACAGCCTGCAGAACCATGAGCCATTTAAACCACGTTTCTTATAAACTACCCACTCTCAGTTATTTCTTTATGGCAATGCAAGAATGGCCTAACACAATGAGTCACTTTTTCCTCTAAGACGGCTTCCCTAGGCACAAGTTAGTAGCTGCAGTTCTGGGCATTATATTGAGACATGTCAACTTCCAGTGGAAGAATAGGGGGTGTCTCTGTCTTTCTGTTTCTTATTTTGGAGCAAGGAACTATTTCCCAGAATTCTCCCTTCAGGTTTCATTGGCTAGAATTGGATCAAATCCTACCCAATCACTGGGAAGAGGACTAAGATTAGTGTGGTTGGTTTGGCTCTGTCCTTAGAGTTAGGGATATAATTATATATTTTTTGCAGGGTGGGTAGCTAAACCAGAACAAGGTGTGGATGCAGAGGAAGAAAGTGAGGAGGGTCAGGTGGAGGAATGAATACTGGCTAGGATGTTGGTTTGGGTTCCCTAGAAACAAAATCTGAAACAAGAATTTGAGTGCAAGTAGATTATTTGGGCAATGATCCCAGAAATACTGGTAGGGGAGAGGACAGCTGAGATAGGGTAGTAAAATAAACCAATAAAGATGATTATCCAGCCAACTACCACTGCAGACAACTAGGGTTCTATCCTTCTGGGGATTTTTGGAGACAGTGTGGAGCACACACCTCAGAGTTATCCTGATTGAGGGGTAAAGAGCTGGGGTATTTAAAGACCAACTCTCACCAGTCATTGGTTGAGGGCAGTACTAAAGAATATGAACTCTGGGGCAGTTCCAGGCTGCTCCACCTAGGCTGAGTGAACTCTGATGGTCAGAAGAAGACTTCAGACAAAGTGTTGCAGTGTCTGAAGTTGGAAGCCATCTGTTAGGTGGAAAGTATGGGAATGAAGGAAGTGCCAGGGGTATGTGGGTGGGCATCCACAGTGCCTACTTAGGTGAGAAGCCGACAGTGTGTACTACAGTCGGCTCCTGGGAAGTCCTCCAATGTCATGTTGAATACCAAGGACTAGTTAATGCAACAGGAGGAATCACAGAACTTTAGAGCTGGAAATCATATCAATAATTATCTAGCCTAGTTTAATCTATGCCATTTTAACTGAGGCCAAAAAAAGTGAATTGATAAGCTTGGGGTCAATGAATAGCAGATGCTGGGATAGAAATAATGGCAATATTAGTAACCCAACACAGACTAAACATGTGCTTAGGGCACCAGCAAAGCAGGTGTATTAATGTTTTGAAAATAATTTGATATTTAAATGTTGAAGCTGTCATTATGGAACCATTCAGAATTCTGTTAAGCTTGCTTATATTTATCTTACAAATTAGAGTTGAATTTATTTGGAATTATTTTATATATATATGTATATGTGTATATATGTGAGTATATGAGTATATATATGTATATGTATATGTGTGTGTGTGTGTGTGTGTGTGTGTATATATGGTGGAACTTTTAATGTTTTTAGGGCTTTGGGCTTCTTGTGAAATTCCTGATCTGGACCTAGTGAGCACTGCATGACATCAGGCTGACTCTTCCCAGGGAAGAACTTCCATTACTCTCCTCATGGCTGGTGTCAACACTAGGCTCGTATGAGTGGGCCTGGAGCGACCTTGCTCTTTTGGGAGTATTGCCCTCCAGATTGACTCAGCATCTAGATCTGCGCTATTTAGTGGGAAGATACATGTAGAGGAGTTTCAGTATTTCTTAAAGTGTGTTCTATGGAAAAACAAATCTGTAAGAATGTGCATAGGTCTTACAATAAAGCCTTTCATGGTTGCATAAGTACGGTTTTTGTTATTGTGTGTAACTGATGAGCTTTTTAGAATCCTTGGAATGTCAAAATGTTCTACCAAATTCCAAGAAGGGGAGTAGTATGCAGTATTTTCCACAATTTTTTGAACAAGGAACACTTTCTAGCAGAAACTCCCACAGGCTAGTATTCCTCATACCACCTCACCCGTTACAAATGTTAATGTGGTCTTTACCTGACCAGTTCTCACGGTCTGAATATGTCCTCCAAAACTCATATGCCAAAACTTAATGCCCAGTATGACAGTATTAAGAGGCAGGGACTTTAAGAGGTGATTATGTTATCAGGAGGGCTTTGCCCTCATGGATGGGATTAGGACTCTTATAAAAGGGCTCAAGGGATTGGATTTTCTCTCTTCTGTACTTCGGTCATGTGAGGACACAGCATTCATCCCCTCCATAGGATGCAGCAGTAGGGTACCATCTTGAAGCAGACAGCAGCCCTCACCAGACACTGTACCTGCCAGCCCCTTCATAGTGGACTTCTCACCCTCAAGAACTATAATACATTTCTGTTGTTTATAAATTACCCAGTCTTGAGTATTTTGTTATAGCAGCACAATGGACTAAGACAACAGTCTTCCTGTGAACATTTTAGGTTGCCTGATTTCATCTTGTAATAGAAAAAGCCCTGAATAAGGAATTGAGGCTTGGGTTATGCCATCTTTCCCATAGGGGCATAATATTATTGATGCTATCATAGAGAATGTTTTTGCTTAGTTTTCCAGGAATGGTTGAGGGTATGTGTCAATCCAGTTATACTCACTTATTCTTCTTACCTTGTGATCAAAACCAGTTGACTTGAACCAGGCAAAATGTGCAATCAGATGAGCTACAGAGGTTGTGTTTGAACCAGTAAAATAAATGTCAATAGCCCCTGAGATCTGAATACTGGGGACGACTCTTCTGGCTTCTTCTTAGTTATGTTTCCTAAGTGTCTTCCCTTAGAAAAGGCTTCTGTGGTCTACGTGAGATCGATCAATTAATCCCTTCTATTTGCAAGGCTCTTTGCTGGCCATAGATGAGAGCCAACAGGCACACTCCCTGCAGAGTTGCCAAGGATGGTTGAAATGTGGTCCTTCGTGGCAGGTTGTCAGACTCAGATGAACACCCTCAGTGCTTTCTTTAGAAGTCTTCTCATTCCCAAAGCATTTTTTAAACTGCAGTTTCCTTTCCTTGCTTGTGAAGTATCAAGGGAGGCACCTTTTTATTGTGGAGGAGCAAAGCTGGCTTCTGTGCCTTGACCCTTTGTTGGAAGAGGAAGAGTTGAGTGAATTAGGCTGTCTCAGCCAGCTCCTCACAGGCCCAAACTATGAGATACACAAACAACGTGAGGGTCTCCTGGCAAATGGTCACAAGTACACATTCCCAATATGGCCTATTATCACCTGTAAATTTGACCAATATTGTAATTGGAAAAACTTTTACACCTTATGGCATTTCCATTAGTCATGGTCCATGAACTTGGCAAAGATTCTACTGTGTGAGAGAAAGAAATGCAGCATTTCACAAGGCAGCCATTACTTTTTGACGTAAAACATCAGATCCCATTGGTAACAAGCCCAAGTTCAGACATCCTTGGCTCACATTAAATCAATGCAGGATGAAGAAGGAGAACCAAATGGTTTTTTGAAAAGGAAATACTTTGGGGGCCAGGAATGAACAGGCTCTTAAAGTTTTCCCCAAAGCAACTGTGGTCAATGAGAGGGGAATATGTGTGTCTTTAGGAAGAAATAAGATACACTTCACACACCTGCAGAATTAAAATGCAGGTAGATTTCATCAAGGAGTAGTAATTTTTCAGATTTAGAATTGTCTAGAGACTCATTGACTTGACCGATGAGGCTTTGGAGGATAAACAGCAGTGATTTCAATGGCACCTGGAGATGGTCTGTGTTTTTTGTCTCTCTGACTCCTCTACCTACCTTTTAAAGGCGTTTATAAAACAGGATGAGTCCCAGACAACCTCCAATAGTCCTTTGAAAGTGTGTTTTTTTCTAATAAGTGGATTAAATGCAAATGTTTTATGCTGGTGAGAACCTAATGAAAAGCATACCAACTAAAACAGAGTGTGGGATTGGCAGCAAATGAGAAAAGCAAGTAAAAATCCCTTCTGTCTTGTCCCTCTGGAAATTATTGGAACTTTTAACCAAAATTCTCCAAACTCAGCTGGTGAGTTTTAAGCAGACTCCTTCTGGGTGCAGAGGGGTGGGGGAATAGGGGTCTTCAGAGGCCCTATGAGAACATTTAATAAGCGGGCAATACATTTTCCTAAGTTCTTGTGTTCTCCTCCACTCCCAATCCAGTCAGCTCAGATTCTCCCTGAGGAGGTTTTATTCCCTCTCTTGGGGATCCTCTTGGACAGGATTTAAATGATTCCAGGTCAATTGTATCTCCAACACCATCCTCTCTTCCCACAAACTCTGGGAGTGTGGACTACCCCAACACAGCAAGCTCTTCCAGCTAGCAAATTTCTCTCTATGAAAATTCTTTGGAATGAATTGGACACTGGACCATTGTTTTCTCCCCCAGGTTCCAGGGAACATACTCCAAGTGGACATATTACAAGCCTTTCATAGGCTTGACGTGAGAAACAGGAAACCTTACCATCTCTTTTGGGGGCAAGGTTCGGGGAGGGGCTATGCAGAACACAGTTATCTCTAGAATAATTCTGTATAAATTACTTCTTCTCTTAGTCTTCAACAACCCAACTGTTTTATGCACTCACTCAATGAAGGTGAGTCATCTAATTGGTTTTCAGAATCTATCTTGAAATCTCACAATTCACTTTGAGTGTGATATCTATCACCTTATGGTCTTGGAAGACATTTCCATTTAACATCCTGCTCTGGTAGATTATTTTGAACTTGGGGGAAATATTTTCTTCTCTAAAACTGTTGCAATTTGCTTTCTCCAGGAAGCAGATGCTGAGACAGAGGTAGGAGTCAAGAGGTTCCATTGAGGAGTAGCAGCTGTGCCAGGAAAAGAGAGGAAACAGAACGGGGCAGGGGGAGCCATCAGATTGTGACGAGACCTCTACCAGTTCAGGGGGGAACTCTGGGGCAGAGATTGCACACTCAAGGAGTCCTGCATTGTGTGGAGATGGCCAAGCCCTTTTAGCACTGCTTTGCTCAGTCTGTTTCTGAAAGCTGCCCCAAGAAGAGTGTGTCCTCAGCTATCACCTCCTTACTCAGTCATTGGCCAGGCACAATGACTGTCATACCTTGAGAAAGATATGACCTCAGCTTGAAAGCTGAGTGAACCCTGACAAAGCTAATAGGTGGAAGCTGCCACTTAACCATACTCCTCATAGTTGGATAGCAAGTTCTTTCTAGAGGGAGGGTCTGAGAGTCACATTCCTGTATCTGACACATAACCCAATATATTTACTCTAAGAATGAATAGTGATCTTTTGGCTTTCTCTCTCTCTCTCTCTCCATGTGCTAGGATGCTTTCCTATGACCCTTACATGGCTCCCTCCCTCACTTCATTCAGATTTCTCTCAAAGTCATCTCCTCAGAGAAGCTTCCTCTCACCATTCTGTTTTAAATATTACCCCTTCCTTACTCTATTTCCCCTTTATTTGTTTTTTTTTTACATTGGCATTTGATGACTTACAATTATACTATATATTAATTTCATCATTGTCTCTCCCTTCTACTGCAATGTAGGGCAGGGACCTTGTCTATTTTGTTTCTTAAATAACCCGATAACCGAGTACACTGTGTTACACATGACAGGTGTTCAATAAATATTTTTGACAAAACAAATACATGAATCTGGATCACTTGAACCCCTTCCTTTCTCATTTCCTTGCTGTGGCACATAGTGGGGAGGGGGCTTGGGTTATGTGGTTGAGTGTGCTGCTCTGGCAGTCCTGCCTCTGCCTACTATGGCTGTCAGCTCTTCCAAGAGAGGATCTCTTTGTCCAACTGCGCTGGTCCAAGCACTGGCTCTTCAACATGGTCTCCTTTATAATCTGCTACTTTTCCGCTACTCAGAGTCAGCAAAAGGGTGAATGTGGTAAAAATCACACTTTTTTTGCTTTTCTTTCCTTCTTTTTTTTTTGAGACAGAATCTCACTCTGTCACTGAGTCTGAAGTGCAGTGACATGATCTTGGCTCACTGCAACCTCTGCCTCCTGAGTTCAAGCGATTCTCCTGCCTCAGCCTCCTGCATGGCTGGGATTACAGGCGTGCACCACTACACCTGGCTAATTAATTGTATTTTTAGTAGAGATGAGGTTTCATCATGTTAGTCAGGCTGGTCTCGAACTCCTGACCTCAGGTGATCCGCCCACCTCAGCCTTCCAAGATGCTGGGATTACAGGCGTGAACCACCGCTCCCAGGCCACAGTTCTTTTTCAACAATACCAATGTTAATTACACTTTTCTGAAGGCTCAGGGGTAAAGAAGAAAAATAAGAACATAAATATTTCAAGTATCTGTCCTTGTGCTTCAAAGAAAAATACATTAACTCTTTCGTTACGGGCTGAATTTTGTCCCTTCAAAATTCATATATTGAAGCCGTAACCCTCAGTATCTGAGAATGTGACTGTATTTGGAGATAGGGCCTTTACAGAGGCTATTAAGGTAAAATGAGGTCATTATTGAGGAGTCCTAATTCAGTATGACTAGTGTCCATAGAAGAAGAAGAGGTGAGGACACAGACAGGCACAGAGGGAAGACCACATGAGCACACAGGGAGAATATGGCCATCTGCAAACCAAGGAGAGAGGCCTCAGACAAAACCCTGTTGACACCTGGATCTCAAATTTCTGGCCTTCAGAACTGTGAGAAATTATATTTCTGTGTTGAAGCTGCTCAGTCTGTGGTATTTTGTTATGGCAGCTTTAGCAGATTAATATACCTTTCAAGTAGGGAGATACCCTGATTCCTGGCCTTGTACCCTCAGGGGCATATTCCACTTCCTGACCATGCTTCCCTATTCTTAGATCTGCCCTTCTGAAAGGAAAGCTTTTTTTCAGAAGTACACTATGAATCTTCATCTCCTTCACAGAGGCCCTGCCAGAAGTTGATCTGGTCTTTAGATTCATCCTCTGGCGCCATCATGTGCTCTCTAGGACATGGTAGTATGCAATGGTACGTTTCTTTAAGTCAAGAAGTATTCTCGACACAACAATTTGGAACATTGCGGGGTGCTCCAAATCCTATTTCCATTGGGACCTCCCAGTTTGTATGAGACACACAGTAAGGATTCTTCCAGGTCATCCGGAAGGATACTATGGAGTCAGTCACATTTACACATACCTGTGGCAAAAGGAATATCCAATGCAAAGACCCTGAGGGAGCAATAATCTTGATGCATTCAAGAAACAGCAAGAAAGCCAGTGTGGTTGGAGCATAGTGACCCTGGGTAGGGAGTTATATAGAAGATGAACTCAGAGAGTTATCAGGGGTCAGAGGAGTTTGGGTTTTGTAAGAAATGTAGGAAGTCATAGGTCTACTCTGGCCTCAGAGTACATACATGTTTCTGAGATCACTCTGTTTGCTGGAGGAGGGAAGACTGTAGGAGGGCTAGAGTAGAAATTGGGAGATAGAAAGAAGACAATCATAGCAGTCCAGATAAGAAGTGATCATGGCCTGGATCAGGATGCAATGGAGAATTCAAAGGAGAGAAATATAGCAAGAATGTGTGCAAAAGAGAGGACTCAGGTTATCCTGAGCAGCTGGGTGAATGGCGATGCCATGTACTAAGAAGGGAAAGCCCTGGGGAGGACTGGGCTTTGGAGGGAAATTAAGGCTTTGGCTCTGGACGTGTTAACACATTGCACTATCAATTTGATATCCAATTGGTTATGTCAAATAAGCAGTTGGATATCCTAGTCAAGGTCAGGAAGGGAGTCCAGGATGGTGACTGGTGATAGTATTTAAAGCCAAGATTATTTAATTATTTATGAGATCAACTAGGGAACAGATGTAGAATGACTGCTAGGACACTCCAAAATGTAAAGACCAGGAAGAGGAGGAGAATCCAGCAATTAAGAGGAGCAGCTAGTGAGGTAAGAGGAAGGACAGGAGGTGGGCTATCTAGAGTTAAATGGGGAAAATGTTTCCAGAAAGAGGGAGTGATTGGTTGTGTCAAATGCTGCAACAGATGGTTTTCATTTTTCACTATTTCAAACATTGGTGCAGTGAACATTCTCATTTCTCTGTTTTCATGCACATGTGTGACAGTTTCTCTAGTGTAGATATCTGGAAGAGAAATTATTGGTGATGGGGTAGGAGCATCTTCAGTTTTAATAGGCAATGCCAGACTGTTTTCCAAAGTGATTGGTCCAATTTACCCTACCACCAGTACTGTGTTCTCCCTTCCTTGAAATCCTCACAACCCTTGGAGTTATCAGGGACTGATTTTTCCAATCTGATGAGTGCAAAACGCTGTCTCCTTATTCTTTTTAACTTTCATTGTCTTCAAGACTATTGTCTTGGGAATCTTTTAAAATGTTTTTTGGCCATTTGACCTTCCTCTTCTTAGAGTTCTGTATTTATAGCCTGCGCCCATTTTTCTATTTGACTGGTTGGTTGGTTTAGGAGTTCTTTATATATATTCTGGGTACCAATCCTTTGTTAGATATGTGAGCTGCAAATATCTTCTACCAAACTGGGGCTTATATTTTCGCTGTATTTATGGTGACTTTTATAATTTTTTTTCTTTCTGGTTTCTCCTTTTTACATTATTATTAAGAATGCCTTCCTTGCTCCAAAGTTATAAATATATTCTCTTCTAAAAGTTAAAAGATTCATTTTTCATATTTAGGTATTTAATCTATTAGGAATTAATGTTTGTATTGGCATCTATTTCTGTCTTTTATAAGAATAACAGATTATCCCAGTATCATTTATTGAATCCTTACTCCATACACCTATATCACCCTAACCCCTATCAAAATACAGAATATTATAACTCCAGAAAGCTTTCTCATGTCTCTTCCCAGTTAATCCCCACTCTCCAAAACCTCTTCTGATTGTTTTCTTTATGAATTAGTTTTTTCTATTTTAGACTTCATTTACATGGAATCAAGCAGTATATATTCTTTCGTGTAAAATTAATTTTATTTAGCATGATGTTTTTAATACAATTACTTTAACTGTTTATCATCTTTTGTAAATTAAAAAAGCATAAGAAGATAGCAAGAGGAGAGATATAAAATTATTAACAAAAATTTCTGGGCCAAGATTAATGAAATTAAGATATACACTTCGGGTTTTGCATATTGTTATTTGTTTAGTTTAATTGTTAATACATATTCTTTATTAAACTTAACTTTTATTTTAAGTTCAGGGGGACTTGTGCAGGTTTGTTTTATAGGTAAACTCGTGTCATGGGGGTTTGTTGTACAACTTATTTCATCACCCTTATATTAAGCCTCGTACCCATCAGTTATTTTTTCTGATCCTCTCCTTCCTCCCATCCTCCATCCTCCAGTAGGCCTCAGTGTGTGTTGTTTCCCTCTATGTGTCCATGAGTTCTCATTATTTAGCTGCCACGTGTGTGAAGAGGCGGTATTTGGTTTTCTGTTCCTGTATTATCTTGCTAAGGATAATAGCCTCCAGTTCCATCCATGCTCCTGTAAAGGATATGCTCTATTTTTTATGGCTAGCATGATGTTTTTGAGATTCATCCATATCATTGTGTGCATCAGTTCATTCTGTTTTATTACTGAGTAGTATTCCATTATATGGATATACCACGGTTTTTTTAAATGATTTCCAAGTGTTTTTTAGAACCTTTTAATGTTTTAATTTAATTTAATTTTACTTTAAGTTCTGGTATACATGTACAGAACGTGCAGGTTTGTTACATAGGTATATATGTGCCATGGTGGTTTGCTGCACCTATCAACCCATCATGTAGATTTTAAGCCCCGCATGCATTAGGTATTTGTCCTAATGCTCTTCCACCCCTTGCCCCACACCACCCCCAACAGTCCCTGGTGTGTGTTGTTCTCCTCCCTGTGTCCATGTTAGAACCGTTTTTTAAAAAAAATTTTGTGGGTACATAGTAGATGTATATATTTATGGGGTACATGTAATGTTTTGATACAGGCATGCAACGAATAATAATCACATCATGAAAATGGAGTATCCATTCCATCAAGCATTTATCCTTTGAGTTGTGAACAATCCAATTACCTTCGTTAAGTTATTTTAAAATGTACAGTTAAATTACTATTGACTATAGTCTCCCTATTGTGATATCAAATAGTAGGTCTTATTTATTCTTTCTATTATTTTTGTACCCATTAACCATCCCCACTTCCTCCCAGCCCCCCACCACCCTTCCCAGCTTCTGGTAAACATCATTCTACTTTCTATCTCCATGAGTTCAATTGTTTTAATTTTTAGATCCCACAAATAAGTGAGAAAATGCAATGTTTGTCTTTGTGTGCCTGGCTTATTTCACTTAACATAATGATCTCCATTTCCATTCATGTTGCTGCAAATGACTGGATCTCTTTCTTTTTAATGGCTGAATAGTACTCCATTGTGTGCATGTACCACATTTTCTTTATCCATTCATGTGTTGTTAGACACGTAGTTTGCTTCCAAATCTTAGCTATTGTAAACAGTGCTGCAACAAACAAAGGAGTGCAGATATCTATTTCATATACTGATTTCCTTTCTATTGGGTATATACCCTGCAATGGGATTGCTGGATAATAGGTAGCTCTATTTTTAATTTTTGAGGAATCTTCAAACTGTTCTCCGTAGTGATCGTACTAATTTACTTTCCTACCAACAGTGTACAAGTGTTCCCTTTTCTCCACATCCTCGCCAGGATTTATTGTCTGTCTTTTGGATATAAGCCATTTTAACTGGGGTCAGATGATATCTCATTGTAGTTTTTGCATTTCTGCAGTTCTCTGATGATCAATGATGTTGAGCACCTTTTCATATGCTTGTTTGCAATTTGTGTGTCTTCTTTTGAGAAATGTCTATTCAAATCTTTTGCCCATCTTTTTATTGGATTATTAGATTTTTTCCTATAGAGTTGTTTGAGCTCCTTATATATTCTGGTTATTAATCCCTTGTCAGATAAGTAGCTTGCAAATATTTATCCCATTCTGTGGGTTGTCATTTTACTTTGTTGATTGTATCCTTTGCTGTGCAGAAGCTTTTTAACCTGATGTGATCCCCTTTATCCATTTCTGCTTTGCCTGTGCTTGTAGGGTATTACTCAAGAAATTTTCTCTCAGACCAATGTCCTGGAGATTTTCTCCAACGTTTTCTTGTCATAGTTTCATGGTTTGAGGTCTTAGATTTAAGTATTTAATCCATTTTGATTTGGTTTTTGTATGTGATGAGAGATAGAGGTCTAGTTCCATTCTTCTGCATATGGATATCCAGTTTTCCCAGCATCTACTGAAGAGACTGTCTTTTCCCCAGTGTATGTTCTTGGCACCTTTGTCTAAAATGAGTTCACTGTAGATGTGTGGATTTGTTTCTGGATTGTCTATTTTGTTCCATTGGTCTATGTGTCTGTTTTTATGCCAGTACCATGCTGTTTTGGTTACGATAGCTGTGTGGCATTATTTTCAGTCAGGTAATGTGATTCCTCTAGTTTTGTTCCTTTTGCTTGGGATAGCTTTCGCTATTCTGGGTCTTTTCTGGTTCCATATAAATCTTATGATTTTTTTTATTTCTGTGAAGAATGTCATTGGTATTTTGGTAGGGATTATAATGAATCTGTAGATTGCTTTGAGCAGTATGGACATTTTCACAATATTGATTCTTCCAATGCACGAACACAGAATATTCTTCCATTTTCTGATATCCTCTTCAATTTTGTTCATCAGTGTTTTATAGTTTTCACTACAGAGCTCTTTCGCTTCTCTGGTTAATTCCTAGGTATTTAATTTTATGTGTGGCTGTTGTAAATGGGCTTACTTTTTTATTATTTTTTCACATTTTTCACTATTGGCATATAGAAATGCTACTGATTTTGTATGTTGATTTTGTCCTATGACATTACTGAATTTGTTGATCAGTTCTGATAGTTTTCTGGTGAATACTTTAGGTTTTTCCAAATATAAGATCATATAATCTACAAACAAGGATAATTTGACTTATTTCTTTTCATTTGGATGCCCTTTATATCTTTCTCTTATCTGATTGCTTTAGCTAGAACTTCCATTACTATGTGGAATAACTGTGGTGACAGTGGGCATCCTTGTCATCTTCCAGATCTTAGAGAGAAATCTTTCAGTTTTTCCCCACTCAGTATGATACTAGCCATGGGTCTGTCATATACGGCTTTTATTATGTTGAGGTATGTTCCTTCAATATCCAGTTTTTTGGGGGTTTTTATCATGAAGTGATGTTGAATTTTATCAAATGCTTTTTCAGCACCAATTGAAATGACCATATGGTTTCTGGCCTGTTGACATGATGAATCACACTGATTGATTTGAATATCTTGAACCATCCTTGCATCCCAGGGATAAATCTGACTTGGCCACGATGAATGGTCTTTCTAATGTATTATTGAATGCGGTTTGCTAGTATTTTGTTAAGGGTTTTTGCATCAGTATTCATTAGAGACGTTGGTCTGTAGTTTTCTTTTTTTGATGTGCCTTTTTCTGGTTTTGGTATCAGGGTAATACTGGCCTCGTAGAAAGAATTTGGAAGTATTTCCTTTTCCTCTATTTTTTGGAATAGTTTGAGTAAAATTGGTGTTAGTTCGTTTTAACCATTTGGTAGAATTCAGCAGTGAAGCCGTCAAGTCCTGGGCTTTTCTTTACTGGGAGACTTTTTATTACAGCTTTGATCTTGTTACTTATTATTGGTCTGTTCAGGTTTTGGATCCCTTCTTGGTTCAATCTTGGTAGGTTGGATGTATCTAGGAATTTGTCCATTTCTTCTAGATTTTCCAATTTATTGGCATATTGTTGCTCATAGTAGCCACTACTGATCCTTTTAATTTCTGCAGTATCAGTTGTAATGTCTCCTTTATTTCTGATTTTTAAAATTTGGATCTTCTTTCCTTTTGTCTTAGTCTGGCTGAAGGTTTGTTTGTTTCATTTAACTTTTCAAAAAACCAACTTTTTGTTTCATTGATATTTTGTAATTTTGTATTTAAATTTCATTTATTTCTGCTCTGATCTTTATTATTTATTTTATTTTACTAATATTGGATTTGGTTTGCTCTTGCTTTCCTAGTTCTTTAAGATGCATCATTAGATTGTTCATTTGAAATTGTTCTTCTTTTTTGTTGTAGGCACTTATAGCTATAAACTTCCCTATTAGTACTACCTTTGCTGCCTTATTTAGATCATTTGGTGAAGTCATGTTTTCCCAGATGGTGCTGATATTAGTAGATGTTCTTCAGTGTCTGGGCATTGAAGAGTCGGGTATTTATTGTAGTCTTCACTGTCCGGGCTTATTTGTAGCCATCCTTCTTGGGAAGACTTTTCAGATATTTTAAAGGATTCGGGTGTTGTATTCTAAGCTATTTCTGCTTTAGAGGGCACTCCAAGCCCAGTAATGCTGTGGCTCTTGTAGACTCTTAGAGGTACCACCTTGATGGTCTTGGAGAAGATACAGAAGAATTCTTTGGATTACCAGGCAGAGACTGTTGTTCTCTTCCCTTACTTTCTTTCAAACATACAGAGACTCTCTCTCTATTCTGAGCCACCTAAAGCTGAGGCTGGAGTGACAAAAGCACTCCTGTGGCCACCACCATTATGACTGCACTGTGTCCGACCTGGAGCCAGCACAGTAGTGAGTCTCGCCTAAGGCTTGATGTAACCACTCCCTGGCTACTGCTGTGTTCGCTCAACCTTCTGGGGCTCTGCAATCAGAAGGTGGCAAAGTTAGCCAGGCCAATGTCCTTCCTATCAGGGCAGTGAGGTTCTCTAGGTCCTGAGTGGTTCCAGAAGTGCCATCTGGGAATCAGGAACTAGAGTCAAAAACCTTAGAAAGTCTACCTTGTATTCTATTGTATTGTGACTGAGCTGGCACTCAAACCACAAGATGCATTCCTTCCCACTCTTCCTTCCCCTTTCCAAAGGCAGAGAAGCCTCATCTCATAGCCACCACCACCCCTGGCCATGAGTAGTACTGCCAGAGTACCACTGATGTTCCCTTAAGGGACAAGGTCTCTTAAGTCAACTTATGGTGAATGCTCTCTGGCCTGGGACTAACCCTTCAGGGCAGTGGGCTCCTCTTTGGCCTAGGGCAGGTCCAGAAATGCCATTCAAGAGTCAAGTCCTGGGATCAGGACCCTAAGAGCCCACTGGGTGCTCTACCCTTTTGTGACAGTGTTGGTACCTAAGGTGCAAGACAACGTCCCCTTTACTTTTCCCTCTGCTTTTCTCAATTATTATAGAAGGAGTGTTGCCCCATAGCCACCTCAGCTGGTAATGTGCTGAGTCTCACCTGAAGCCAGCAAGTCTCAGAGGCTCACCAAGGCCCTTGACATAGTACCTGGGTATTGCTGCTGGTAGGACTCTTCAATTAACAGGTGATGAATGCTGGCAGGCCTGGGTCCTTTCCTTCAAGGCAGCAGGTTCCCTCCTGGCCCAGGTTGTGTCTAGAAATGTCATCTAGGAGCTAGGGCCTGGAATGGCAGCCTCACTATTCTGACTGGTGCCCTATCCTGCTGTGGCTGAGCTGGTGTCCAAGATCCAAGACAACGTCCTCCCCACTCTTCCCTCTCCTTTCCTCAAGCAGAAAAAAAGGGTCTCTTTTGGAGCCATGAGCTGTGCAGCCTGGGGTTACAGGAGGGGAGATGCCAGCAATCCCCTGGTTTCCCCAGCTGGTGTCTCAGTATGTCATGTGGCGCCCCCCCCAACCCAGTCCACTATCTCTGGGCCTAGTTCAGCCCTAAGACTCTCCTAAGAGTTGCAGTCCTTGTGGCCTAGACTGCCTTTCAAGCTTACTTAAAGACCCAGGGCACTTTGGCCCTCAGTGACGAGTTTTTTAGACACTCGAGTTTGGACTACTGGGATTGGAGATTCCCCTCTGGCTAGGGCTGCTTTAAATTCTCCCTCTGCGGACAGGCATCAGCTGAGTTTGGTCTGTTTTTCCTTTCTGCTCTAACAGGACAGCACTGAGTTCAGTGCCTCACAATTGCTGTGTTCTGCCTCCCCTAGCACCCAGAGATACTCTCTCCACCACGCCACCACTGCCAGGGACGGGAAAGGGATGGCATCAGTGATTCATGACTGTTTTTTCTATCTCTTCAGTGCCTCTTTCAGCAATATGAAGTTAAAACAGGTACTATGAGGGCTCATCCGATTTTTGGTTCTTATGGAAGTATTTTTGTGTGTGTGTGTTTATAGGAAGTTGTTAACTTGGTGTCTTTATTGGGGCGAGGGGATGATTGGTGGAGCTTTTTTTTCCCCACCATCTTGCTCTACCTGCTCTATTTAGAACATTTTTACACATTTTAAATTAATTATAGGTTCACAAGAAGTTACAAAGGGGGTATAGAGAGGTCCTGTGTACCCTTCACCCAGTTTCCCACAATAATTACATTTTACATAACTACAGTACAATATCAAAACCAGGAAATTGGCATGGCACAAGCTATGTGTAGAAATCTATGTGATTTCATTATATGCGTAGATTTGTTACTACCATCATAATCAAGATACAGAACTATCCCATCACCAAAAAGATCTCCCTCTTCCTACCCTTTTATAGTTACACCACCATCCTTAAACCCTAGTAACTACTTATTTGTTTCTCTAGAAGTCTTTCATTTTGAGAATGTAACATAAATGAAATCATACAGTATGGGACTTTTTGAGACTGACTTTTTTCACACTCAGCACAAAGCTCTGATATCTAGCCAAGTTGTTGTGTGTATCAATAGTTTGTTCCTTTTTATTGCTGAGTAGTGTTCCATGGTGTAGATGTACTACAGTTTGTTTAACCACTCCCTGTTGAAGGATATTTGGGTTATTTACAGTTTTTGGCTTTGTGAATAAAATGGCTGTAAACCTTTGTGTACAGGTTTTCGTGTGAATACAATTTTCATTTCATTCATCTCTAGGATAAATGCCCTCGAGTGCAGTTCCTGGGTTATACTGTAATTGCATATCAGGATTTTTGTTTGTTTTAAGAAATTGCGAAACTGTTTTCCAGAGAGGCTGTACCATTTTGCATTCCCATTAGTAATGTGTGAGAGATTCAGTTTCTCTATATTCTTGCCATTATTTGGTATTTTCATTATTTTTTATTTTAGATGTTCTAATTGGTATGTAGTAACATCTCATTTTGGTATAAATTTGCATTTAGCAAATGGATAGTAATGTTGAACATCTTTTCACGTGCCTATTTGCCATCTGTATATGCTCTTCAGTGAACTTTCCCTTCATGCCTTCTGCCCATTTTAAATAAGATTTGTTTTTCTTTTTGAGAGCTTTGAGAATTCTTTATATATTCTAGACGTGAGTTCTTTGTCAGATATGTGGTTTGCAAATATTTCCTTAGAGGCTGTATCTTGTCTTTTAATCTTCTTAACGAGGTCTTTCAAAGAGCAAACATTTTTAATTTTAATGAAATCTAACATCAATTTTTTTTCTTTTATGAATCATACTCTTGGTGTTATGTCTAAAAATTCTTCATCAAGTTTCAGGTTCTGAAGATTTTCTCTTATGTTGTCTTTTAAAAATTTTATAATTTATGGTTTACATTTAATGAGTTTACTTTTGTATAAAACGTGAGGTTTAGGAAATGTATGTGTTTTTGCCTGTGAATATCCAATTGCTCCAGCATTATTTGTTGACAGGACTATCCTTCCTTCATTGAATTGCTTTTGCATCTCTGTCAAAAATCAGTTGTCTGTACTTGTATTTGGCTGAGTTCTCTCTTTTGTTCCATTGATCTATATGTCGATCCCTCTGCCAATACCACACAAGCCTTTATTGTAGCTCTATAATATGTATGACAATTAGGTAGAGTAATTCCTTCCATTTTATTCTTCTTTTTCTAAGTTGTCTTAAGCTATTCTATATCCTTTGTATTTCCATATAAATTTTAGACTATTATCTATATCTATAAAACCTTGTTGGGATTTTGACAGAAATTACATTAGATCTGCATATTAATTTGGGGGAGAATTGACCTTTTTATTATGTAATGTCTTCCAATCCATAAACACAGTATGTCTTTCCATTTATTTTATCTTTGATTTATTTCAAAAGCATTTTGTAGTTTTCAGCAACCAAGTCCTGTACATGTTCTGTTAGATTTATACTGTCTTAGTGTGTTTAATGCTGCTATAAAGGAATACCTGAAGCTGAGTAGTTTATAAAAAAAAAAGAGGTTTATTTGGTTCATGGTTCTGCAGGCTGTACAAGAAGTATGCTGCCAGCATCTGCTTCTGATGAGGGCTTCAGGCTGCTTCCACTCATGGTAGAAGGTGAAAGGGAGCTTGTCTGCAGAGATAACATGGTGATAGAGGAAGCGAGAGAGAGAGAGGAAGCAAAAGAAAGACAGAGAGAGAAAGAGAGAAATCCAGAGAGAGGGGAGAGGTGCCAGGCTGTTTTTAACAACCAGGTTTCATGGGAACTGATAAAGTGATAATTCACTCACTCCCTCCCCACCCAAGCATTAATCTATTTATGAGGGATCTGCCCCTGATGTCCCAAACACCTCCCATTAGGCTCCACCTCCAACATTGGGGATAAAATTACAACATGAAATTTGGAGTGGACAAGCATCCAAGCTATAACGTTCTGTCCATGGCCCCTGAATCTTGTGTTTTTCCCACATTGCAAAATACAATCATCCCTTCTCAATAGTCCCTAAAAGTCTTAACTTGTTCTAGCATCAATTCAAATGTCCAAAGTCCAAAGTCTCATCTGAGACTCAAAGCAAGTTCCTTGCAGCAATGATTCTGTAAAATAAAAAACAAGTTATTTACTTTCAAGACACAATGGTTGTATGGGCATTTGGTAAACATTTCCATTCCAAAAGGGAGAAATTGGCCCAAAGAAAGGGGTAAGAGGCCCCATGCAAGCCTAAAACACAGCAGGAATGACATTAAATCTTAAAGCTCCAAAGTAATTTCCCTTGACTCCATGTCCAACATCCTGGGCACAGTGGTGCAAGGGATAGGCTCTTGAGGTCTCAGGCAACCCTGCCCTCAGGTGTGGCTGGGTGAAGCCCATGTGACTGCTCTCACGAGTTGGAATCTGATGCCTGCAGCTTTTCCAGACTTAGAGGCTGTATCTTGTCTTTTAATCTTCTTAACAAGGTCTTTCAAAGAGCAAACATTTTTAATTTTAATGAAATCTAACATCAACTTTTTTTCTTTTATGAGATGCATGCTGCCAGTGGCTCTATGATTCTGGGATCTGGAGGGAAGTGGTCCTGCTCCCACAGCTCCACTGGATACTTCCCTAGTAGAGGTTGTCTGTGGTACTCAACTCTTGTAGCAAGCTTCTGCCTGGGCATGCAAACTTTCCCATACTCTCTGAAATTTAAATGGAAGCTGCCAAACTTCCACTATTTTTGAGTTCTCAATGCCTACAGACTTAACACCACATGGAAGTCACCAAGGCTTATTTCTTGAAGTCTCTGGAGTGGGGGCCTGACCAGTACCTGAGGCTGTTTGAGCCATGAATGGAGACTGAACAACCAGAATGTGAGGAGCAGCATCTCCAGGAGTCTCAAGATAGTGGTGCCCTGGGCCAGTCCCTCAAGTCATTCTGTAATCCTAGGCCTCTGAGCCCGTGATGGGAGGGATGCCCTCAAAGATATCTAAAATGCCTTTGGGGACATTTTCCCATTGGCTTGGCTATTAGCACCTGGCTTCCTTTTAGTCTTGCTAATCTCTTTAGCAAGTGGTTTCTCTATAGCACTCCTAGATTCCTCTCCTGAAAATGCCCTTTCCTCCTCTGCCACATGGTCAGCCTGCAAATTTTCTGAATTTTTATGCTCTGCTTCCCTTTTGATTATAAATTCCAGCTTTATATCATTCCTTTGCCACTGTATCTGATTGTAAGCTGTTAAAAACAGCCAAGATGATCAAACTTCTCTTATCAAATGCTTTGTTGTCTAGAAATTTCTTCTGCCAGATACCATAGGTTGTTAAGTTTGGCCTTCCACAAAACCCTAGGGCATGGACACTATGCAGCCAAGTTCTTTGCCATGGGATACCAAGGGGGAGGGCAGTGCCAGTGGGTGGAGACTGCATGAACTACTTACACCTCAGCCCCAGAGGTGTGCATTTCTCAGGCCTTGGCCCCATAAGCAGCAGCCAGTGCTTCTCTTGTGCTTCAGCCTCAGTGCTGCTGGGCCCCAGGACAGTGCATTTTCTTTTGGGGGTGGGTCTCTAAAATGGTACCTTTCTGAACCTGTTTAGTTCTCAGGGAGCATGTGGGACCAAGCATGAGCTCCCTCCTTGTGTGACAGAGTAGTGCTGGTACCCAGTCTCTTGTGGCACCTCCGTTTGTTAGTCTCTGGCCCTGCAAGGGTCGAGAAGCTCTCCTGTCATTAGGATTACAAGAGGCCACAGTGGAAATGTGGACCATTGGGGGTCTCTCACTTCCATTTTCTCCACATTGGGAAGTCTCTCTTGGATCTCAGCCAATCCTGGCTGAGCAGGCTGCTTCACTTCCCTCTCCTTTGCTTTAGGTGTTTCCTGTCACTTTTCTGTTGCATTCTCATGTTCTTTCTTGGGTGATCTATTCAAAGTGTGATGATCTAGTCACTATTTTGGTTCTTCTTAGTGGAGGAGGTGAGTATGAAATGCATCTATTCAGCCATCTTGAACTTCTTTCTAAAATGTATGTCATGTCCAGGGGTTTTCAGTTTACATAGCAGGAAAATAGGGAAAAGGGTGTCCACTTCATTGTCCTGAACATGGAAGTGCCTCTGGTTTTAAAGGTAATAATAAAAGTCTTTAATGTATATAAAATGTATTTGGACTTGCATTGGAGTTAGACCAACATGGATTTGAAACTTCACTTGACCATTGACTAGAGGTGTAACTTAGTCTAATATCTTAACCTCTATGTGCCTCAATTTCATAAACAATAAAATGAGAATAACAGTATCTACTTGATAAGAATTTTGTAAGGGTTAAGTCATAAATGTATGTAAAATACTTATCACAGGGCCTAGCACAGTGTAAGCATCCCATAAGTGGTAACAAAATTGTGATTATTTCAAAATAACTAGATAATTTGTTGCGTTCTTCAATAAATAGTCCCTTCCTCACTGATATGTGATCCTACCCTCGTCATGGATCTTTTTTTTTTTTTCTTGAGACAGAATCTGGCCCTGTTATTTAGGCTGGAGTGCAGTGGCACAATCTCAGCTCATGCAACCTATGCCTCCATGGTTCAAGCGATTCTCCTGCCTCAGCCTCCTGAGTAGCTGGGATGACAGTCACTCACTACCATGCCTGGCTAATTTTTGTATTTTTAGTAGAGATGAGGTTTCACCATGTTGCCCAGGCTGGTCTCGAACTCCTGATCTCAAGTGATCCACCTGCCTTGCCCCCTGCAAAGTGCTAGGATTACAGGCGTGAACCACTGTGCCCAGCTGCATCATGGATTTTATACTAGGAAGTTTTTGGATCAGCTATATATTTTTGGTGATAAGCATGTCTATACTTGCATCACTATAACACTGTTCTAATTATTAGAGTTTTATAATATGTTTTAATATCTGGAAGTGTAAGTAACCCATCATTACTTTTCTCTATGTTTTTTATTAGCTTTTTAAAGTCTTTTTTACATTTTCCCCAATGGTTTTTATATATTTTTCTTGGTGTTTATTCTCTTAGATATTCTTTAATAATCTTTTGGAAAAATTTGAAAGTAAATCCCATTGGGACTTTAACTGGAATATTTTTTGACCTTTGAAATAATTGGGATAAAATTGTTATGTATATTCTACAAAAGTATTGTTGTATAAGAAAATAGTATGTTTTCAAACACCACATGTTCTCACTCATAAGTGGGAGTTGAACAATGAGAACACATGGACACAGGGAGGGGAACATCAAACACCGGGGCCTGTTGTGGGGTGGGGGGCAAGGGGAGGGAGAGCATTAGGACAAATACCTAATGCATGTGGGGCTTAAAACCTAGATGATGGGTTAATAGGTGCAGCAAACCACCATGGCACATGTATACCCATGTAATGAACCTGCACATTCTGCACATGTATCCCAGAATTTAAAGTAAAATTAAAAAAAAAAGAATTTTGGAGATAGGAACATATTGAAGGAGTAAAATGGAGTAATAAATTTGTATTATGTTTCAAAATATCCAATCAAATTTTTTTCTAAAAAAAAAAGAAAATGGTATGTTTTTCTGGCCATGAAAATACTATTTCAGCAATGTTTTGAAATTTTTCATAGAATTTTATGGATTTATGTTGTTTATTCCTAATTATTTTAAGTTTTAATGATTATTTTTGGATTTCCCATTGTACTATGAAATTTATAACTGTATATATATTTTTTTGTAATGGGCTATGCTGCATAATTTGTTGATTAGTTTGAACAGTATATTTTATTGATTTCTTAGAATTTCCAGCTATACCACCATATTGTGATAAATTGATCTACTGCTTTCTAGTAGTTATAGCTCTTTTTTTTTTTTAATTGAGACAGGGTCTCACTCTGTTGCCCAGGCTGGAGTGCAGTGGTGCAATCCTAGCTCACCATAACCTTGAACCCCTGGGCTCAAGTGATGCTCCTGCCTTAGCCTCTCAAGTAGCTGGGACTACAAAAGCTTTTTTCTTTTTAAAAATTATTTACTTATTTATTTTTGTAGAGACAAGATCTTGCTATGTTGCCCAGGCTGGTCTTGAACTCCTGGCCTCAAGCAATCCTCCTGCCTCAGCCTTCAAGTTGCCAGGATTATAGGCATGAGCCACCACACCTGGCTATAGCTCTTATTTCTGTTTTACATATTATTGCCTTGGTCAGAACTTCTAGAGTCATGTTAAAGTTAACAATAGACAGGGACTATCATTGTCTTATTTCTCCTATTTATAGGAATGCTTCCTATTTTTTCAGTTGAGTATAAAGTTAATTAGGTTAAGGTAAAAAGCATTTATCCTATAGAGTAAAGGCTATTAGATTTTTTGGATGATAGACTCCTTTGAGAATCTGATGATAGTTTTATTCATTTTATTTCTAGAAAACACTTGCTGACACACATACTCAATTTTTCATACAATTTCATGGGATCACAGCCCCCCTAACTATTATCCATGGACTCCTAAAACCCTTAGTTAATAACTTTTAATATCAAGGAAATATCCTTTTATTCTTAATTTAAAAGAGTTTTGATATTTTAAATCATGAGTTAGGTTTGAATTTAATTAAAATGCTCTTAAAGCATTCTTAGTGGTGATGAGTTTTTTATTTAATCTATTGACGTGACATATGCTATTTATAGATTTCCTACTATAAATTAAGTCTTGCAAGACTTGGAATCAACTCCGATTAGGTGTGGATGTGGTAGGTTATTATTGTACTATTCTGTTGCATTTGATTTTATGTGTTTTTAATGCATTCTAGCTATTTTATTTTATAAGCACTAATGGTCTATGTCTGTAGAATTTTAGCTGTACTTTTCAGATTTAGTGTCAAACTTATTTTAGTTAAATATGACAAACTTAGTAGGTTTCTGGGTTTTTTTTTTTTCTGGAGCAATTTATGGAACATTACAAATTAGCTTACTGAAAGTTTGAAAAGACTCACTGGTAAGATTATTTGGTCCCCCAGCCTTCCTTTGAAGGTACTTCCTTGCAAATGCTTTTCTTTTTTTATTGTTATTGATCTGTTTGAGTTTTCTCCTTCTTCATTATATTTTCCAGAAAATTCTTTATGTTATCAAGATGGTCAAACCCACACATCTGTTTGCTCTCTTTTACCCATTGTGTCTATTTATTTGTGTTTTTTTCTCTCTTTAAAATTGTATTTGACAAAATTCAATTTTTAAAGAAAAATTTTATTTTCCTTTTTTAAATTTATGATTTTCAATTATTTCTATCATCCTGATTTTCCTTGAGTTGTTTTATTATCTTCTGATACGTGTCTTGAATAGACTCTTTAATTAATATTTTAAAATTTATGTTTTAAAACAATAAAATCTATTAAAGTTATGGCTTTTTATCTGAGAGTAATTTTGACCCCATTTTGTAAAATCAAAGATACAGTTTTGTTGTTTTTACTCTTTTAAAATATCCACATATCAGGGGTGTATTTTCTCTTGACCCAATAAATACCTAGGAAGGATTATATGCTAATGGTTGATAAAGATTGGATAATCTATTTCTTTCCACTATAGGGTTTCTCAGAGATAGTAATATGGTAATGTGCATTGTGAATATCTACGACGGTAATGCATATGCAGCATTTGCTATATTTATTCCCTGTGGAACCCTTTCTCTGTGGAACACTTAATCACATTTTGCATGATATTAGGGGCAGAGGTAGGGGAGCATTACTCCAGAAGACTGTATTTCAAATAATAGAAAGTGACCCATTAATTGAGTATTGTGAAATCAGTTTAGGCTGTGATCAGCTTAAAAGAAAAAACTAGTCTAAAAACAGGCTCAACAGTGTTCTAGTTATACATGTATCCTTGCTCCTTTATGATCTAGGCTGTCGAGCTTCATCAAAAACATTTTCTTCCAAGTTTTGTTTTTTATACTATTTATTGGGGAGTTTTTAATATTGTATTTAAGTTTTCATAAAATCACACGTGCTATTAACTTTATGTCTTTACTTTATCATATGTTACAGCGGTATTATTTAGTGAAACAGTTGTTTAATTTATATGTAGGAGCCATGACGTAAAATAGATTTGTTACTCAAAGTCATGGTTGAAAAAGTTGAAAAACGCAATTCAAGGATATCAGTCCAAAAGCATGGGAAATAGTTGTGAGGATGAAATGAGATGATGCAGGGAACATGCCAAGAGCTCAACATATTCAGCTGTTGTCAGGGTTGGCTACAGAATTTTCGAGGCTCAGTTCAAACAGAAAATGTGGGAGCCCCTTGTTCAAAAAGCAGGAAAAATGTGCCATTAAAGGTACCAAAATATAAAGCTTGTTCTTTTCTTTCACAGATAATCTCTCTCTCCACCTGTCTGTCATGTTATTTTTACCTGCTGTTTAATGCTGTGCTTCGTTGGGCATATATCCTGTGTGTTAAACGCAGACTCTCACAGGCACCGGGGGGCTCTGTCCTGACACTGGGATGCTACCAGCTGCCAGACTGATATGCAATGTGACAGGAACAGGGAAGCCTTCAGGCATCTCTCCTTCCAGTGGGCCCACTGCCTCAAACCATGAAAAAGGGCCCCCACCTGCAAAAGGCACTGCAACCTCTGTACCTGGACCTGCTGAGTACATGGATGGAGGTGGACAAGAGCCTTGGCCTCTGCCAAGTCACCCCAGTGTCTAATCTTTCTAATCTCCACAATATGCTATTGACTCACTGGACTCCGTTATAAGAAACAAAAATCAATAGCAACTGGTATAACTTTTAAATTGGATTCTAATCCATTGTAGGGTTGGGTGTTCATTTATTCCTTTAGGAAAACTTAGTCATTTTTTTTTTTTTTTGAGACGGAGTCTCGCTCTGTCGCCCAGGCTGGAGTGCAGTGGCATGATCTTGGCTCATTGCAACCTTCGCCTCCCAGGTTCAAGCAATTCTCCTGCCTCAGCCTCCTGAGTAGCTGGGACTACAGGCACACGCTGCCACGGCCAGCTAATTTTTTGTATTTTAGTAGAGACAGGTTTTCACCGTGTTGCCCAGGCTGGTCGCAAACTCCTGAGCTCAGGCAATCGGCCCGCCACGGCTTCCCAAAGTGCTGGGATTACAGGCGTGAGCCACCGCGGCCAACCCAACTTCGTCATTTTAAGGAAGACTGAATTGAATATAAGAACGCACAATGGAGTTGCTAGCCTTGGCAAGGGCCGTGGCCACCATGCCCCACCCAGAGACCCTCAGGGCAAACGTGCTCAACCCCATTTTTTTGCCTAGGGACATGCTGGTGGCAGAATGCAGCAGCAATCCTGGGTGGTGAGGTGGTATGGAGGTGGGAATCATTCCTGGGAGATGGGGAGAGGTGAGGGTGAAAGATTTAAAGTCTCTGGAGCAAGCTCTGTTGTTCATAATACTAATGTACCATTGGCCAAAGGAAGTTACATGGCCAACCCAGATTCAACAGATGACTTCACTTAGTAAGCACAAATTCAAAGATAAAAATGAAGAATGTAAAAATGGTGACTGCAGAGCATTAAACTCCAAATGTGGGTCTGGGTCTGGGTCTGGGTCTGGGATCCCCAAGACCATCTGTGGGTTCAATGATTCACTACGAGGGCTCACAGGACTCAGCATATAGTCACACTCATGGCTATTACAACGAAAGGATACAAAACAAAGTCAGCAGAGGCAAAAGGCTCATGGGACAAAGTCCGGGGCAGGCCAGGTGCAGTTTTCTAAGAGTCCTCTCCCCGTGAAGTCACAATCAAGTTGTGACAACACGTGAAATGTTGCCAACTGTGGAATACTCATTACAGATTCAGTGCCTGGGGTTTTGATTGGGGGCTGGTCACATAGGCACCCCTTGCTTGGCATGTACCCAAATTCCAGATTCCCAGGAGAAAAGCTGCTGTTCAGCATAAACCTCATTATTTGTATGAACAATATAGGGGCAATGAACCATCTTATCAGTTAGGGAAGGGTGGGAACCCTCCTAAAATCCAACTTCCCAGACATCAGCCAACGGCCAACCTTGTAAGCAGATCTTTTCAAGGCTAAGCAGTCAGGCCTGCTTTGTTAACTCTTTCCACCACAGGGGCCTTTCTGTCTAAATGTGAGGCCCTGTACAACTGCACTGATTGCATGGCAATTGGCTGTTGTACTTCTGTTCCTGTAACAAACCCTTATGGAAAGAGGCCCATGGGGGCAGGGAGTGCAAATTGCACCCCGAGGACTGAGGACACAGAAAGGAGCCTTGAAGTCTTCAAGGTCAATGGCTGAGGGCAGGGAGCTTTGGCCACTTGGCTGCTGTGCCCTCCAGTGTTGGGTCAAAAACAGAGGCTGAAAGTACCCAGCTTCACGTTCTGCCCTTCAACTGCTGGCCACACCCTTGATTTAACCTAAACCCTACCAACTGACACTGTTGCCATGGGGAGATGCAAGAGGAAATATGTTTTAAAAATCAAAAATTCTCTTTCCAGAGGGAAAAAAATAAAGAAAAAAAATCAAAAATGATAACAATTCCAAGTATCATGAGATTAAATGGACACTGATATTATTTGATACATGTGCCCTTTGTTACCTCTTTTATTAAGAAATTCATCAGGGAAATAAACACCTGTGAGTCCACGTGTGTTAGTTAACCACTGCTGCATAACAAACCACTCCAAAATATAATGGCTTAACATATCGACCATTTACTTAGTTCACCAGCCTGTGGGTTGGGAACTTTGGCTGGGCTCAGTTGAATAGTTCTTCTGTTGGTCTCAGCTTGGGTCACTCACTCATCTGCAGTTGGCTTCCCATCAGTTAGTGGCTCTGCTTCCAAGGGTTGGCTGGTGCTGTTGGTGGCTGTGGTGACAGGCGTGATTGAGTCACATGTCTCTCAGGCCTGGGATTGTTCAACACAATTGCAAGTAAGTTTTTAAGAGAAGCTCCAGTGTGCAAATATTTTGGAAATCTCTCCTTGTGTCATAATACTAACATCTCATTGGCCAAAAGAAGTTACATGGCTAACTCAGACTCAACAGATGAAAAAATAAACCCCACTTCTGGATACAAAATCTGCAATGCACCTTTCAGTGGCATGGATACTGAGAGGGGAAAAATTTGTAGTCCTCTTTCTAATCTGCACAATATGTTATTGACTCACTGGACCCCATTATAGGAAACAAAAATCAATAGCAACTGGTGTAACCTTTAAATTAGATTCTAATCCATTGTAGGGTTGGGTGTTCATTTATTTCTTTATGAAAACTTAGTCATTTTAAGGAAGTCTGAATCAAATATAAGAAGAGCAAACAGCTCATTATCAGGAGGCCTAAACAGATAGCCTGATGATGACAACAACAATAACAAAATGCATGCACACCACCATTGATTTAGTTTTGAATATAGGAAAAAACATGAAAATAAAAATTTTGCTTGAAAATTGACCGGCAGATGTACCCGCAAACCACCCTGGAACTCTTTTAACTTTTTCTGACTTGCCTACTTTGTGGAAACCATTAATAAGGCCTATTTGTCAGTTTCGTATCCTTCTCTTTTAGTTGCTATTCTTATACTATATTGTGGGTTGTTCTCTCCGCTCACTACTCAGGCTTGAAATACAGAGCTAAAAGGTGGCTTTCTTCTTTTTTTTTTTTTTTTTTCCACAGCTTTAACAAAAGAATCAAAGTCACACAGGTGTGTGCTGTCCCCTGAGTATTTAAGTTTTAAAAGAGACAGAGCTTCATATCTCTAAATTTCCCTCAGGGATCTTAATTTGGCCTTGAAAACCCCCACACAAAGGGATTTTGATGCTTTTACTGTCACTGAACTTTAAAAATATATCTTCCAATTTTGTATTTAAAGCCTCTGATTGCTTTTCTTCTTGCAAATTATGTTTGTACAATGGCATGTGGGCTAGCTCTCACACACATTTGGAAGTCAGGTGCATTTAGGGCCTTGACCTAAAGAGCTCTTGGCCTCTGCCCCTTCCAAGACAAAAGCACCCTAGGAGGGAATGCTTCACCAGGGATCTGAGCAAACAAGCCTGAAGTTTCTGTGGCCAGTAACTGGAGGCTCTGGAGTCCTTCCCAGGGATTGGTGGCCACCTTAGATAGTGATCAGAGGGAAGGCACCCCCTCCCAGTGCATGCACTACTGTGGGCACGTGAGGGGATTCACAAATACTTTTACTTCTTTCCTTTGGGCATGATCTCTATGGGAGAAGTTGTCTTAGTCTGTTCAGGCTGCCATAACAAAATACTACACAGACTGGATGGCTTTAAATAACAGACACTTATTTTCTCATACTTCTGGAGGCTGGAGGTTCAAGATCAAAGTGCCAGTGTAGTTGGATTCTGGTGAGGGCCCTCTTCCTGGCTTGTAGGTGACCACCTTCTCACTGTGTCTTCACATGGTGAGAGGAGGGCAAACCTCTTCCTTTTCTTAAAAGGAGGCTATTCCCATCATGAGGGCCCCACCCTCATGACCTCATCTAAATCTAGTCATCTCCCAAAGGCCCCGCCTCTAAATACCATCCCACTGGGGTTAGGGCTTCAATATGTAAATTTTGGGAGGACATAAACATTCAGTCTATAACAGAAGTGTTGATCAGGGGAAGGAGGTAGGGAGGAATCAGAGCTCCTGGGGGATGAAAATCCTCACTCCATAGAAAAACAGCTTGTTTCTGGTCCCCATTGTCCAGTCGTTGTTCGGGTGCCCAAGATCATCCTAAGGGCCCTCAGGACTTTGGGTCTCTCTTCTTGCCCAGAATTTCTATCCCCGTGCCTCTTCACAGCATCACAGGGCAAGCACCTAGGAATCTTGAGGGGGCTGGAGATCATGCTGAGGCGTGGGAGGTTCTCCAAATTTCTTCTCACCTCCTCTGGAGACATCCTGTTGCTTGTGTGACTGTGGCAGACCATATTTTCCAAAGATGCCTGAAACAAGGTCTTCATTCTACATGCTCTTCTACACCTGTGTTAGTCACCATTAAGAGGTGGAGTCTCAGTCCCTTTGCCTTGAACCTGGTGGGCCTTTCTGACTGCCTCAACCAACAGAATATGGTCAAAGTGATGGCGTATGCTTGTATTAGTCTGTTTGCATTGCTATAATGGAATACCTGAGGCTGGACAATTTTTAAAGAAAAGAGATTTATTTGGCTCACAGTTCTGCAGGCTGTACAAGCATGGCACCAGCATCTGCTCGGCTTTTGATTAGGCCTCAGGAAGCTTACAATCATAGTGGAAGGCAAAGTGGGAGCCAGCAGGTCACATGGCAAGAGGGAGCAAGAGAGAGAAGAGAGCAAGAGAGAGGGGAGGAGGTACCAAGATCTTTTAAACAATCAGCTCTCATGTGAACTCATAGAGTGAGAACTCATTCGTTACCTTGAGGACAGCATCAAGCTATTCATGAGGGATCTGCCCCTGTGACCCAAACACCTCCCACTAGACTCCATCTCCAACACTGGAGGTCACATTTCAACATGAGATTTGAAGGGGACAAAGCATCCAAACCATATCAGTGACTTCTGAGGCTAGATCATAGATGCTCCACACTTCCATCTTAGTCTCTTGAGATGCTCGCTTTTGGAACCAGCTGTCATGCTCTTAGGAAACCCTAACTAGCTCATGCAGACAGATCACATAGAAAGACCATGGAGAGGTATTCTGGCTGACAGCCCAGCTGAGGTTCCAACCAACAGCCAAGTCACCCTAGCCTTTGAGTCTTCCCAGCTGAGAGTCCAGATATCTTCTGCATAAATTCCTGACCCATGAATTCCAAAGACATATTAAATGGTGGTTGTTTTACGTCACCATTTTGGAGAGGTTTGCTATGTAGCCATAGTAACTGGAATAGGGACACTGCCCTGGGGTCCAGAATCCAAAGAAATGGCACAGTCCTCTTCTAGAGAAGCAGCATTACAAGTAGGTTGACCAACTATCCTGGTTGGCTGGAACTGAGAGGTTTCCGGGGATGTGTGGCTTTCAGTGCTAAAATCAGGAAAGTTTGAGGCAAGCAGAGATGATTTGGTCACTTTAATTGAAGGCATGATCAGCGTAGCAGGCGGGTCTTCCTGGGAGCTGGAAGATTTTAAGATGTACAAAAATGTATTTATTTGGTTAATGGAAAACAACTTTTAAAAACATCTTGGCTGGGCGTGGTGGCTCATGCCTGTAATCCCAGCACTTTGGGAGGCTGAGGCGGGTGGATCACCTGAGGTCAGTAGTTCAAGACCAGCCTGGCCAACATGGTGAAACCCCATCACTACTAAAAAATACAAAAATTAGCCAGGCATGATGGCGTGCACCTGTAATCCAAGCTACTCGGGAGGCTGAGGCAAGAGAATTGCTGGAACCCGGGAAGCTGAGGTTGTAGTGAGCCAGGATCTTGCCACTGCACTCCAGCCTGGGCGACAGAGCAAGACTCCGTCTCAAAAAAAAAAAAAAAAATCTTAATCTCTAATGATTGACAATTGGGGTTGGAGATTGGGAAAGGAAAGGGATTTAAGGATGTATCTGTGTGTATGTTGAGGGGGTAGTTGTCACAGGAAAGAAATCCTTGCATGCTGCCCACTTCTCAGGAAGTTGTTACTCCCCTGAGCAGGGCTGGGACTAAGGTGAAGTGAGTGAGGAACTTGCCTCTAGTGAAAAATTTATGGGAGCACCAAAATTCTTAGCAATTAAGACACATAATATTTTAAAGCACTATTAAAAAAATCAAAGTGGCAAACTACAGCCCACAGGCCAGCCTCCTGTTTTTGTCACTAAAGGACCAGGCTGGGCTAGGATTAGGGTGAGCTGAATGGGGCAGGGGAGGGCCGATTCTTTATTTAAAATATTGATATTTTTTCATCATGAATTTTTTCTGTAATTTTATTTTAAAAAGTAATTAATTAAAATATTATTTGTCTTAATTCTTGAGATTTTTGGTGCTCCCTTAAATTTTGTGCAAGAGGTGAGTGTCTTCCTTGTCTCACTCTGGTCCTGGCCCTGCTACCTGAGAAAGACCTTAAGGAAATTGATGTCTTTGAGAGGGTGGATGGTCAAATGGTAGTTTTCATGTTGTTTAGCAAGTAGCTTGGCCATATTTAAAGAGGACACTGTGATGCCCCCTTGAATTCCCTTGGACCTCCTTTATTAGTGCATTATGTCTCTTCCCACCTCCTGTGGGCTTTGTTGCTAATGGCCTGCACCTGTAGTTCCTCTGCAGCGGTTTCCCCTGGGACTACTGGTGCCAGAAGTGGCTGAAGGTTTACATTCCTGGGGTGACCCTTAGCCAACAGCTACAGAATTATACAATTCGAGTTCGCTTGCCTTCAGACCTACCAAACTCTGAAGAGCAATTTTTTTCCTTAGAGCTCCCTGCAGGATCAGCTGATGCTGGGATATCACCTAAACCTGCGTGGTTTTTTTCCCCATTCCCTTACCACTTTCTCTGGGAGCACTTCCTTCATAAATCACTTGTACCCAAATCTTCATTCCAGAGGCTGCTCCTGGAAAAAACCCACTACTCAGTAGAACTTAAGGCCCCAAACTTAAGAGCCCCGCAGAACTTTTTTTGTTTTTTAGTCTCTGTCTATAAAATCAGATTTCCTATGCAACCGTACTCATCACTATGGCAACTATGAGTTATGGTTACCAAGGCAAACTCGACTTTCTGAAAAGAGAGATTGGCACTGGTCGCTTCTTTTGGTGTCTTTTTTTCCCCTCAATTCTACTTTTTCTCTCTATGGCAGTTGTGTGTGGGCTATAGGGTTCTTTGCTTCTCTTAAAATGGTTGCTTTCCATGAAGCTTGCACAAGGCAAATCAGGCATGTTGTCAGAGATACTGTTTCTCGGCTTCCCCTTGGCTTGGTCAAGAGGCTGAGCTCCGTGTTCCCAGGCTAGATGCCAAGGGGCAGAGCGCCCACAGACGCTTTTGATTTCCGGAGTGCGGCCAAGATGTAAAACAGAACTCAGTGCCCCAAGGGTCAGTTTGCTCTGACCATCTCTCCCAAAGTGCCCAGGATAGGGGGTGATGGAAGGCTAGTACATTTGCGGCACTTCAACCTGTGAAGCTTTACCATAATTTCAAAATGTTGCTTCACTGAAGGATGCAGTTTTTTCTCTAAGGCACATACATACTTTTTTTTTTTTTTAAGTCAAAAAGACATGTAAAAAGCAGCTAGCTCTTTGCATAAGGCTTTGTTCTCCTTGGAAGTAACTGTTCTTGTTTTCTTCCGAAGTCACCCCCTCTTCAGGGTGGCTGCCATTGTGTGGTGCCCCGCCAGGTCAGGCTGCCTTGGCTGGTGGGGAGGCTTAGTGGGTGGGCAGGTACCCTCTTGCCATTCTGTTCTACTGCCTACTGGTTGCTCTGGAGAGCAATGTAGGGGTCAGGGCTGAGAAAACGGAGGCGCCTTGCTGGCTTTATTTTATAAAAAGCAACTCAAAACACAAAAAATAATTCTGAAAGGCCTTTCTTTTTCCTGTTCTGCTTTCTGTTTCCATGGAAATGGAGCTAGTCACCAGCCAGTAGGTCAATGGCTGTAATGGCTGGATATTGTTCTTTGTTCTCTTCTCCATGGAAGAAACACCTTGATTCCTATTTGTCCCCTTTGTTAATAACAAGGTGCTGTCATTGTGAAGACTCCCTGGTCAGACACTGAGTTATGAATGGGGCCAAGTAGGGAAGAATGCACTGGCTTTCAGAAGAAGGACCTTCTTCTTCCTCATTGCCACCCAGCCTGTGAGTAAATGCATCTGCGGGCACAGACCTGAGTGGCAGGTATAATTTATCCAGTTCTCCTATCTTCCAAGTAAGTGATGGAGGTACTCCCCAGGTTCACATCAAGTCTTGCATGTTCAGCTGTTTTTTTCCTCAAAGATGAAAGAACTCATCTTTGAGTTCTTTATGGTGGGTCCATATTTAAGCAGAGTAGATTTGTGCTGGTGTAGTAGACACTACTGGCACCCCACCCAGACCACCTCTATTCCTTTTACTAATGCTGTGTGTCCATCTTCCAGCTTCTGCAGGCTTTGCAGCTAATGGCTGGCACCTGTGACCTTCAAAGGATTGTCCCTAGGCACAAATATCACCTCAGCTGTACAGAATTGGAAGCAGTGGTGTGTTGGTAAATGTTTAACAACTATTTCTCTCTCTCTAAAAAAACCCCTGACATCCTGGTTTGTAGTATTAATAATTTTTTATGGCATAAATATGCGTACTATGACTGATTTCAACCTACCAATGAGACTTTATTGAATTCAGAATTGGGAATAATTACCTCTGGAAAGCCAGTACAAACTGGCTCTAGCACACTATTGTTTGGAAATGCCTGGAACTTACATCCCCACTCCTGCCCCTTGCTCAGTAGCCGATGACAGACTGGGGTGGGAATACAAGACCCAGCTTCCCTGTCTCCAGGCAAAACAAATTCTGACATGTAATTTACCCACCAGACCTCAGGCTGAGTCTGGAATATCACATGAAATTATACCCTTGACTGATTTCCTCCCTTTTCTCACCCTGTTTCCTCTATTCCCTTAATGGTTTCTTCTGGGAGCACTTCCTTGGTGAGTCACTTGCACACAAATTCTCTTCTCAGTGTCTGCTTTTAGGATAAACTGGTCTAAGACAGCTGGCTACAGAGAGAGACCCTTCTTTTAAAAGTTTTGCTTAAAAGGTGGTCAGTGATGGAGAGGAATATTATGGTTACTTTTGGGTTTATATTTGTTAAATTTGGGGTTCTGTGGATTAGGAATGGGAGGATACAAAGTACAATAAAATAATTATAATCCTTCCTTGATAATTCTCTGAATGAATCCTGCCATCTTTTACAAAATTTTGATTATTTTCCAGCTATATTGAGATATAATTGATGGATAAAAAAATATATATATATTTAAGGTGTCCAATGTAATGCCCTTTTTAAAAAAAGTTTTAATTCTATTTTTGTGGGTACATAGTAGGTGTATATATTTATGGGGTATATGAGATATTTTGATACAGACATACAATGTATAATCATCACATGAGAGTAATTGGAGTATCCATTACGTCATGCATTTATCCTTTGTGTTACAAACAATCCAATTATACTCTTTCAGTTTTTTTTAAATCTACAATTAAATTATTATTGACAATAGTCACCCTGCTATGCTATCAAATACTAGGTCTTATTCATTCTTTCTGTATTTCACACCCATTAACCATAACCACCTCTCCCCACCACCCCACTACTTTTTCTAGCCTCTGGTAACCATCATTCTACCCTCTGTCTCCATGAGTTCAATTGCTTTGATTTATAGCTCCCACAAATAAGTGAGAACATGTGATGTTTGTCTTTCTGTGCCTGGCTCATTTCACTTAGCATAGTGACCTCCAGTCCCATCTATGTTGTTGCAAATGACAGGATCTCATTCTTTTTGTGTGGCTGAATAGTACTCCATTGTGTAAAAGTACCACATTTTCTTTATTCATACATCTGTTCATGGACACTTATGTTGCTTCTAAATCTTGGCTGTTTTGAGCAGTGCTGCAACAAACATGTGAGTGCAGATATCTCTTCAATATACTGATTTCCTTTCTTTTGGGTGTATACTGAGCAGTGGGATTGCTGGACCATACGTTACTTCTACTTTTAGTTTTTTTCAGGAACCTCCAGATTGTTTTCTATAGTGGTTGTACTAATTTATATTTCCACTGACAGTGAACAAAGGATCCCTTTTCGCCACATCCTCACCAGTATTTGCAATTGCCTGTCTTTTGGATACAAGCCAATAAGGCATTCTAATTGAGGTGAGATGACATCTCATTGTAGCTTTGACCTGCATTTCTCTGATGATCAATGATGTTGAGCACCTTTTCATATGCCTGTTTGCCATTTGTATGTCTCCTTTTGAAAAATGTCTGTTCATATCTTTTGCCCAGTTTTTGATTGGATTATTAGATTTTTTTTTCTGTAGAGTTGTTTGAGCTCCTTAAAACTCTGGTTATTAACCTTTTGTCAGAGGGGTAGTTTGCAAACATTTTCTCTCCCATTCTGTGGGTTGGCTCTTCACTTTGTTGATTGTTTCCCTTGCTGTGCAGAAGCTTTTTAACTTGATGTGATCCCATGTATCCAGTTGTGCTTTGGTTGCCTGTGCTGTGCTGGAGAGTTTCCCAAAAGTTTTCTTGTAGTAGCTTTATAATGTGGGAAGTCTTTAATCCATTTTGATTTGATTTTTGTATATGGTGAGAGATGGGGATCTAGTTTCATTCCTCTGCATATGGATATCCAGGTTTCCCAGCATTTATCAGAGATTGTCTTTTCCCCATTGTATGTTCTTGGCACCTTTGTAGAAAATGGATTTTCTGTAGGTGTCTGGATTTGCTTCTGGATTGTCTCTTCTGTTTTATTGGTCTGTGTGTGTATTTTTATGTAAGTACCATGCTATTTTGGTTACAATAGCTGTGTAGTATAATTTGAAGTTAGGTAATGTGATTCCCTCAGTGTTGTTCTTTTTTCTTCGGATAGCTTTGGGTATACTGGGTCTCTTGTTGCTCCATATAAATTTTAGGATTGTTTTTTAATGTAATGTTTTGACATACATGGACATTGTGAAATGATTACCACTCTTAAGCTAATTAACATATCCATCACCTCACATAGTTACCATTTTTTGTGTGTGGTGAGAACATTTAAGATCTACTGTCTAAGCAAATTTCAGGTGTACATTACAGTGTTATGAACTATAGTCCCCAGGCTACATTAGATCTCCAGAACTTATTCATCCTGCAGAACTAAAAATTATACCCTTTGACCAACATCCCTTTTCCCTGACTCTCCAGCCCTTGGCAACCACCATTTTACTCTCTGCTTTCACAAGTTTGACATTTTTAGATTCTACATATAAATGAGATCATGCAGTAATTTGACATTCCAGGCCTGGTTTATTTCACTTAGCATAATGTCTTCTAAGTTCATTCATGTTTTTGTTAATGGCAGAATTTTCTTCTTGTTGAAAAGCTGAATAATTTTTCATTGTCTAGGTGTGTGTATACTCTCTTAGCAATTTTTAAGAATGCAATACATTGTCAATTATATTCCCCATGTTGTACAAAAGATCTCTTGAACTTATTCCTCCTGTGTAAGCTAGAATTTTGTAGCTTTTGACCATCATCTTCCCAAGCACCTAACTCCCACCCTGGTAACCATCATTTTACTCTCTGCTTCTATGAGTTTAACTTTTTTGCAGTCCACATATAAGTGAGATCATACAGTAATTTGTTTCTGTGCCTGGCTTATTTAACTTAGCATAATGTGCTCTGGTTTCATTCACGTTGATGCAAATTAGAGAATTGCCTTCTTTTTAAAAGCTGTATAGTATTCCATTGTGTATGCCACATTTTCTCTATTCATTGATCCATTGATCAACACCTAGGTTGATTCCATATCATGGCTATTGTGAATAATGTTGCAATAAACGTGAGAGCGCAGATATCTCTTTGACATACTAATTTTTTTTCCTCTTGATATATGCCTAGAAATGGGATTGCTGGATCATATGGTAATTGTCTTTTTTGATTTTTAAGAAACCTCTATAGTGTTTTCCAATTGGCTGTACTAATCTATATTGCAACCCACAGTGGACCAGGGTTTCATTTTCTTCACATCCTCACAAACATTTATGTTTCATGTTTTTGATAATAGCCATTCACACAGGTATGAAGTGATATCTCATTGTGATTTTAATTTGTATTTCCCTGATGACTAGTGATGTTGAGCTTTTTTTTTTTTTTTTTGTACATTTGTTGGCCATTCCTATGTCTTCTTTTGGGAAATATCTGTTCAGGTCTTTTGCCCACTTGTTAATGGGTTATTTGTTTCTTGCTATCGAGTTTTTTGAGTTCCTTATAATTTTGGATATTACCCCTTATCAGATGTATGGTTTGCAAATATATTCTCCCATACCATAGGTTGCCTCTTTACTCTGTTAATGGTTTCATTGGCTGTGTAGAAGTTTTTTAGTTTGAGGCAATCCCATTTATCTATTTTTGCTTTTGTTGCCCGTGCTTTCCGGGTCATATCCAAAAAATTATTGTCCATCAGACTAGCAGCAGATCTGTTAGGAGAAACCCTACAAACCAGAAGAGACTGGGGTCCTATATTCAGCATTTTCAAAGAAAAGAAATTCCAAGATGTTCTCAGCAGTCAGATTTGATTAGCTTGCTGCCACCTATGAGGGAGTGAGGTCTGCATAAGACTGTGCAACGGGATAATGTGGTAGTTAGAAAATATACCTACAAATTCTTTAATCTTCCTCCCATCAAGAGGTAAAGTCTAACTGCCTTCCCCTAGAATTTAGGTTGGTGTTAATGACTTGCTTCTAAGGAATAGGTTGCAGTATTACTTTTCAGTCTAAGTCACAAAATTGTATACAGTTCCTGTTTGATTCTTTCTCCTTTAGGGCATACACCTTTGGATCTCTGAGCCATCATGTAAGAAGTTCAGCTACCCTGAAGCCACCATGTTGGATTTGCCACTTAGAGACAGAGATATTTGAGGAACCCCAACTGTTCTGGGCTCCAGCTGTTTGAGTCTTTCCAGTCCAGGTACAGATCTGTTAGTCAGGAGGCTTTGGGAATGGCCTCACCTCCAGCTGCTGACTGCAACTATGTTGAAGACCCTAACTGAGGAACCACCAAACTAAGCTAAGCTAACCACCAGACAGGGAGAGATCAAAACAAATGATTGTTACTGTTCTGCACCATTAAATTTGAGATAGTTTGTTATGCAGCAATAGATAACTGCAACAGATGAGTGTATTTTTGTGGTGACTGGGGCAGTGGAAAAGGAAGGAAAATGAATGGACTATGTTCGGGTAGTGGAGGTGTGATGGGATGTAGTGCGCTGAGAGATTTTGCAGCTGGAGAGCTCTGAATGGCTAGCAAAATAAGCCATGTTTGGTATTCATTCATCATTCATTCTTCATTCATTCATGTTTATTGAGGCCCTACTTTGTAAGGCACTGGGAATATAGAAATAGACAAGACACTGCACCTCCTCTTAAGAAGCTTACAAACTATTAAGGTAAACCAGGGTAGCAAACACAATATTACAAATGTACATGTATAGAAGTAACACAGGAGTGAATAATCATTTTTATCTGGGAGTAGGAAAGGGACGTCGGGGAGTCAGGAAAGCTTCTTTGAAGGTCAGAGTTTGAAAGATGAATAGAAGTAGAGGTAGATTTACTATGAAGCTAATGAATCTTAAGCTCCAGGGACCCTCATATGCATGGACACTTTCTAAGGTCCTAGTAATGTACTCATATGGCTTTACATTTTTGTAAAATTTGAAAAAGTAAGATATTTTGACTGTGATGGATTAAGACCTTATATTAGTCAGGGTTCTCCAGAGAAACAGAACCAATAGGATATATAAAGAAAGTGACAGACAGAGAGGGAAAGGGAAAAGGAGAGAGAGAGAAAGATATATATATATATATATATATATATATATATATAAAATAAGGAATTGGTTCATGTGATTATTGAGGACCCCAAAGAGGTTGTTTGCTGTTATTTTCCTGAGTGTCATAACTATTGATACTTATCATGTTGGAAATCGAAAGTTTGAAATTGTTTAAATATGTAAATACTTACAGATTCATTTGAAGACAGCATTGATGAACATGTTGCATGTTAACGATATCTTAGTTTTTTTTTTTTTGTTTGTTTTTGTTTTTTTTTTTTGAGATGGAGTCTTGCTCTGTCACCCAGGCTGGAGTGCAGTGGCGCGATCTTGGCTCACTGCAACCTCTGCCTCCCGGGTTCACGCCATTCTCCTGCCTCAGCCTCCTGAGTAGCTGAGACTACAGGCGCGCGCCACCACGACCAGCTAATTTTTTGTGTTCTTAGTAGAGATGGGGTTTCACCGTGTTAGCCAGGAAGGTCTCGATCTCCTGACCTCGTGATCCGCCCGCCTCGGCCTCCCAAAGTGCTGGGATTACAGGCATGAGCCACCGTGCCTGGCCAGTATTGTTTTTAAATTAGTTCTAACCTTGCAAGAGATTTGCCCTGAAGTGTCAGCTTATTCCAGAATATAAGCAATCCTAACAAAGGACAAAACTTGGAAAGTGAATTTTAATTACTTTGGTTTAATTTATAGTACTTGAGTCTGAAAAGCTATGATATTTGTTAAAATCTTAGCAAAGTTTGCTCAGTTATGATGGGCTTATGGCTTTAGTTTACTGTTTGCCTATAGTGTGAACTGTTCCTTTCCTCTGTAATTTGCCTAAATGACAGTTTTCTATGTTGGATGTTGACATTTTGTGCTTTTGAGCACTTAAGAAAATGAACAAAATCTTCCTCACGTATTAAAGAGCCAAAATTTTTTACAGCCTTGCTAAAATCTATATATTTAGAAAATGTTTTGTTCTCACTTTGGTTAAATGGGTAATGAGGTATGGTTTCTCAGTTACCCATTATCCCATCCGAATCGTGTCCAAATCTCTAAAAAAACTTTTTTGATTTTTGCCTTCTCTAAACCAAATCTAATAAAATAAAATAAAACTTTCAGAATATCTTTCTACACATAAAATGATCTTTGAGATTTCCTAGAGAGCTCTAGGAAAATTACAAAGATTTGCTCTTTCACCCTACAAAAAAGATATGTTCAAAGTAATTAGGTTTATTTGATAAGTTACAACTGATGAGTTGGATTGGAAGAGCTGTCAAATCAGAAAAGATGCTTAGCTTTGCCTAGATTAAATTTTCATAGGTAAAATGTGTTCAATAAAAATATTTCAGAAATTGATTGCTGCTTGGGAAGTTCCTAGAAATTTTTCAATGCCCTTGCTCTTTAGAATATGATTCTATTTACCAGAGCCCTGATGTTGCTTTGTGTGATGATATTAGGCAACAATAACAACAAAAACAGCATAGTATTGTCAGATACAATTTAGCTTGTAATTTAAAAATGCTTACTTTGCCACAGCCCTTTTGAATCTAGTCCAGTGATTTTCAATTGATTTACTTATGGAATTTAATAAAAATACAGATGTCTAGGACCTACTCCATGAAGTCTCTTTACTTGTTATTCTCGGTATATTCTTAATATATGCTTGGTATATTAATGATATATTGTGTTTTATTATATTACATTATATTATCATTGTATTATATTAATATTGTATTATATTATTCTATGGATAGAAAGGTGTGGTGCCTTTCCTTACCCAGCATTAGGGTCATGGCCGACACCCCTATAACAAGGGAAAGGTTAGCAAGAGAAAAGCATAACAAATTTATTTGATCAAAGTTTTATGTGACACGGGAGCCTTCAGAAATGAAGACCCAAAGGCCCAGGTCAAATGATTATTTTTGTGCTTAGGTTTGATGAAGAATGGGCAGGTATATGGAAATGGGATTGGACAAAAGGGTGTGATCTGTTGGTAATAAACTGAGGGAGAAACCCAACAAGTGCTGTCTGTTCAGATTCTCCTTGGCATCTCTGTGTAGCATTCCTTCCTCCTAGGTATGGGGCAGGATCTTTCTGGAATGAGGGTCTTCAAGGGAGAAGGGAGAAGACTAGAGAGTGATCTTTCCAAGTTTTATAGCTTGCTTTGCGGAAGTGGAGTCTTAGTTTCTATGACTCGCCATGAGGAAGAGGAATTCTGGTTTCTATGACTTGCTTTGGGAGAGAAAGAAGGATGAGACAGGAGGGCAGGAGGAGGTCAGAGAGAGACATTACTTCTGAGGACTTCTAATCTGTCAGTTCGAACTACTCAGCATACTAAGGTGCCGTATTTTGGGGTATTGTGTTCTAAGCCCCAGTGTTATATTATGGCTGAAGATTTTTTTCTCTGCAAAAATATGTTTATCTATTTTTATAAATCAGATGTGATGTTTCTTCTTTTCTTTGAAAGTAGTTTTAATTATTATGCTTACAGACACTTTATCTAAAACTTTTTGGATTGGCTTTATTATCTTGTTTTTCATGCCACAGAAATAAACAAATTTATTTGTCGTTTGTGTCATTCTTGTTATGAATTCTTGTCAGATCTTTCACTTTTAAAAGTTATTAGCAGCCAATTAAACACAGCTATTTTAAGTCTCTGTCACCTACAGATAGTTTTATTGTTGTTGTTATTTTATTCTGATACTCCACTGAAGGCTTTCCAATTAGCACAGGGCCAAAGCTCTTGTCCTCAACAAAGAAGGAATGTCTCACAGCCCCATGGACAAGGGCTGTCCCAGGTATTTCAAAGGATAGGATTGGGTTGACACAGAATTTCTCTTTGACTAAATTTTAGTCAGGCTCTTCTGAATTCTCTTCCCAACCAGGTCTTGACCTTTGGACTTCCTTTTTCATCTTTGTGTAGCACAATTTTAGCAGGGATCCATTAAGTCAGTTTAGTGAGAATCTTCTACCTTCAATATCAGATCCCCCTTGATTTCTGATCAAATTCTTCACTCCTCACTATCTTCCAGGTGATATTTGATCACCATGGCCTGGCTTCAGCAAGAATTCTGTCAAGTGGTTTAGCCAGAATACCCCTTACCTCTGATGTTTCTTCTCAGTAATTTTTCATTCGTTGACTCACTACACTGCTCCATGGCTGTAAATTCCCACTTGCTCATGCTGTATTTGGAATAGAGCCCACTTCTACACTGATATCTCTTTTCCTCTATTGCAATATTTGTCTGCTGTTAGTCTGATGGCTTTCCCTTTGTAGGTGACCTGGCTTTTCTCTGGATGCCCTTAACATTTTTTTCTTTCATTTCAACCTTGGAGAATCTGATGATTATGTGTTTTGGGGTTGATCTTCTAATGGAGTATCTTACTGGGGTTCCCTGCATTTCCTGAATTTGAATGTTGGCCTGTCTTGCTAGGTTGGGGAAGTTCTCCTGGATAATATCCTGAAGTGTGTTTTCCAACTTGGTTCCATTCTCCCTGTCTCTTTCAGGTACCCCAATCAGTCGTGGGTTTGGTCTTTTTACATAGTCCCATATTTCTTGGGGGTTTTGTTCATTCCTTTTTATTCTTTTTTCCTCTATTCTTGTCTGCCTGTCTTATTTCAGGAAGACAGTCTTCAAGCTCTGAGATTCTTTGCTCGGCTTGATTTATTCTGCTATTGATACTTGTGATTGCATTGTGAATTTCTTGTGTTGTGTTTTTCAGCTCCATCAGGTCAGTTATGCTCCTCTCTAACCTGGCTATTCTGGTTATCAGCTCCTGTATTGTTTTATCATGATTCTTAGCTTCTTTGAATTGGGTTACAACAGGCTCCTTTAGCTCAGTGAAGTTCATTATTACCCACCTTCTGAAGCCTACTTCTCTCAATTCAGCCATGTCAGTCTCAGCCCAATTCTGTGCCCTTGCTGGAGAGGTATTGTGGTCATTTGGAGGAGAAGAGGCACTCTAGTTTTTTGAGTTTTCAGCATTTTTGTGTTGATTTTTTCTAATCTTTGTGGGCTTATCTACCTTTGATCTTTGAGGTTGCTGACCTTTGAATGGGATTTTTGTGGGGCCTTTTTTGTTGATGCTGTTGTTGTTTTCTGTTTTGTTTTTTTGTTTGTTTGTTTTTAACAGTCAGGCCACTCTACCTAGGGCTGCTGCGGTTTGCTGGGGTCCCACTCCAGACCTCAGTTGCCTCAGTTTTTCCTGTACCCGGAGGTAGCACCAGTGAAGGGCATGAAACAGCAAAGTTGGCAGCCAGCTCCTTCCTCTGGAAGCTCCATCCCAGGGGAGTGCTGACCTGTTGCTGGCCGGCATGCACCTTTTGGGATATCTCACCTAGTCAAGAGGAATGGGATCAGGGACCCACCCAAATTAGCAGTCTGGCTGCTTTTTGGTAGGCCAGGTGTGCTGCACTGGGGCTGGGGAGACTCTTCCTTCTCTGAACTGCCTGTGTTTTCCACAGCCAGTAGGCTGGAGCGGCTGAGTCAACTGAACTACAGAGATGGCAGCCACACCTCCCATCCAGAGCTCCTTCCCAGGGAGAGATCAGAGCTCTATCTCTAGAACCCTCGCTGGAGTGGCTGAAGCCCCTGCAGGGAGGTCCCACCCAGTGAGAAGGAATGGATCGGGGTCTCGCTTAAAGAAGCAGTCTGGCCATGATTTGTCAAGGCAGCTGTGCTGTATTGTGGGGGATTCTTCCTCTTCTGGACTGTCTGTATTCTCCACAGTTGGCAGGCTGGAGTGGCTGAGTTGACCAAACCAAAGAGATGGCAGCCACTTCTCCCACTGGAAACTCGGACCCATTTCAGGTGGATTCCAACCTGCTGCTTTGGCTGGCTGGGATTCCAAGCCAGCGGGTCTTAACTTGTGAGGTGCCATGGAAGTGGGGCCCACAGAATAACACTGCTTGGCTCCCTGGATTCAAACCCCTTCCTAGGGATATGTACAGATGGATTTCCTGCCTTGCCAGGGATCCTGGGGCCAGAGTATGTGAAACCGCTGAGTATGTGTGCCTGAGTGGCTGCTCTGCCTGGACTCCACACAGCTGTGTATATCAGACCCAAGACCCTGGTGGCATGGGCTCATGAGGAGATCTCCTGATCCATGGAAGAAGTGTGGTTTCCTGGGCGGGGTTGTACAATCACTTGCCACTTCCCTTGGCTGAGGGTGGGAGTTCCTTTGGCTTTGTGCCACTCCCAGGTGGGCTGTCACTCCCCACTGCTTCATTCTCAGTGGGTCAGGTTGTTTGCTTAGTCAGTCCCAATGTAAGAACAAGGATTTTTCAGTTGAAGGTGCTGAATTCACTTGCCCCTTTTCATTCCTCTCTCTGAGTGCTGTGGACTGCAGCTGCTTCTAATCGGCCATCTTGGATTGATCAATAGTTTCTTTTGCTGTGCAGAAGCTCTTAAGTTTAATTAGATCCCACTTGTGAATTTTTGTTTTTGTTGTAATTGCTTTTGGTGTCTTTATCATCAAACCTTTGCCAAGGCCTATGTCCAGAATAGTATTTCCTAGATTTTCATCTAGGGTTTTTATACTTTTAGATTTTACATTTAAGTCTTTAATCCATGTCGAGTTGATTTGTGTATATGGTGAAAGGTAGGGATCCAGTCTCAATATTCTACTTGTGGCTAGCCAGTTATCCCAGCACGATTTATTGAATAGGGAGTCCTTTCCCCAGTGCTTGTTGTTTTCAACTTTTTCAAAGATTAGTTGGTGGTAGGTGTGCACCTTTGTTTCTGGGTTTTCTGACTTGTTCTATTGGTCTATGCATCAGTTTTTGTACCAGTACCATGCTGTTTTGGTTATTGTAGCCTTGTAGTATAGTTTGAAATCAGGTAGTGTGATGCCTCTGGCTTTGTTCTTTTTACTTAGGATTGCTTTGGTTATTCAGGCTCTTTTTTGGTCCCATATGAATTTTAGAATAGTTCTTTCTAATTCTGTGGAAAATGTCATTGGTAATTTGATAGGAATAACATTGATTCTGTAAATTGCTTTAGGTAGTTTGGCCAATTTAACACCATTGAGTCTTCCTATCCATGAATATGGAATGTTTTTCTATTTGTGTCATCTCTGATGTCTCTGAGTAGTGTTTTATAATTCTCATTGTAGAGATCTCTCACCTCCCTGGTTAGTTATATTTCTAGGTATTTTATTCTTTTGGGGGCTGTTGTGAATGGGATTGTGTTCTTGATTTGGCCCTCAGCTTGGACATTGTTGGTGAATATAAATGCTACTAATTTTTGTACAATGATTTTGTATCCTGAAACTTTGCTGAGTTGTTTATCAGATATAGGAGCCTGTGGGCAGAGACTCTGGGTGTGTTCTAGATGCAGAATCATATCATCTGCAAAGAGAGATACTTTTACTTTCTCTCTTTCTATTTGGATCCCTTTTATTTCTTTCTTTTGCCTGATTGCTCTGGCAGAGACTTCCAGTACTGTTGAAGGAGTGGTAAGAGTGAGCATCCTTGTCTTGTTTTGTTTCTCAAGGGGAATGCTTTCAGCTTTTGCCTGTTCAGTATGATGTTGGCTGTGGGTTTGTCATAGGTGGCTCTTATTATTATGAAGTATGTTCCTCTGACACATAGTTTCTTGAGGGTTTTTAACATGAAGGGATGTTGACTTTTATCAGAAGCCTTTTCTATGTTTATTGAGATGATCATATTGTTTTTGGTTTTAGTTCTGTTAATGTGATGAATGACATTTATTGATTTGCATATGTTAAACCAACCTTGCATCCCAGGGACAAAGCCTACTTGATTGTGGTGGATTCACTTCTTGATGTACTGCTGGATTCAGTTTGCTAGTATGTTGTTGAGGACTTTGCATCTATGTCCATCAGGAAGTTTTCTGTTTTCATTATATCTCTGCCAGGTTTTGGTATCAGAATGATGTTGGCCCATAAAATGAGTTAGGAAGAATTCCCTCCTCTTCAATTTTTTGGAATAATTTTGATAGGATTAGTTCCAGGTATTCTTTATGTCTGGTAAAATTTGGCTGTGAACCTGGTCTAGGACTTTTACTGGTTTTAGGCTATTTATTGCTGATTCAATTTTGGAGCTCATTATTGGTCTATTCAGAGATTCAATTTCTTCCTGGTTCAGTCTTGGGAGATTGTACATTTATAGGAATTTATCCCTTCTAAAATTTCTAGTTTTGTGCATAGAAGTATTTGTAGTAATCTCTCAGGTTTTTTTTTTTTTTATTTCTGTGGGGTCAGTGGTAATGTTCCCTTTGTCATTTCTGATTGTGTTTATTTCAATTTTCTCTTTTTTATTTATTAATCTAGGTAATGGTCTATCAATCTTATTTATTCTTTCAAAGAAACAACTTTTGGTTTTGTTGAACTTTTGTATAGTTTTATGTGTCTCAATTTTGTTCAGTTCAGATTTCGATTATTTCTTTCATTCTGCTAGCTTTGAGATTGGTTTGTTCTTGCTCTTCTAGTTCCTCTAGGTGTGATGTTAGGTTGTTCATTTGAGATCTTTCTTTTTTTTTTTTTTTTTTTTGAGACAGAGTCTTGCTCTGTTGCCAGGCTGGAGTGCAGTGGCATGATCTCGGCTCACTACAACTTCCGACTCCCTGTTTCAAGCGATTCTCCTGCCTCAGCCTCCCTAGTAGCTGGGATTACAGGCACGCACCACCATGCCCAGCTAATTTTGGATTTTTAGTAGAGATGGGGTTTCACCATGTTGGACAGGATGGTCTCGATCTCCTGACCTCGTGATCCACCCACCTCAGCCTCCCAAAGTGCTGGGATTACAGGCATGAGCCACCATGCCTGGCTGTTAATTTGAGATCGTTCTAACTTTTTGGTGTGGGCCTTTAGCGCTATAAACTTTCCTCTTAACACTGCTTTAGCCGTTTCCCAGAAATTCTGGTACTTTTTTTAAATTTTCAATAGAGTCAAACAATTTCTTGATTTCTGTCTTAATTTATTGTTTACCCAAAAGTCATTTAGGAAAAGATTGTTTAACTTCCATGCAATTGTATGATTTTGAGCAATTTTCTTGGTATTGATATCTATTTTTATTGTGCTGTGGTCTGCTAGTGTGGTTGTTATGATTTCTGTTTTTTTTAAGTTTGTTGAGAATTGCTTTATGGCCAAGTATTTGGTCACCTTTAGAATATGTGCCATGTGCAGATGAGAAGAATGTATATTCTGTTGTTATTGGGTGGAATGTTCTGTAGATGTCTTTTAGGTCAATTTGATCAAGTGTTGAGCGTAGGTCCCAAATATCTTTGTTAGTTTTCTGCATTGATGCCAGTGTGGTGTTGAAGTCTCCCACTATTATTTTGTGGTTATCTTAGTCTCTTCATAGGTCTCTAAGAACTTGTTTTATAAATCTTGGTGCTCCAGTGTTGGGTGCAAATACATTTAGGATACTTAAGTCTTTTTATTGAATTTAACTCTTTATCATTATGTAATGTCCTTCTTTGTCCTTTTGATCATTGTTGGTTTAAAGTCTGTTTTGTCTGAAATAAGAATAACAACCCATGCTCTTTTTTACTTGTTTGTTTTCTGCTTACTGGATTCATCTTTCTCCATCCCTTTACTTTGAACCAATAGGTGTCATTCCATGTGAGTTGGGTCTCTTGAAGAAAACAGCATACCATTGGGTCTTGTTTCTTTACTTAACTTTCCACTCTGTCTTTTAATTGGGGCATTTAGCCCATTTACATTCAAGCTTAATATTAATATGTGTGGATTTCATCTTGTCATTGTGTTGTTAGCTGGTTGTTAGGTAGACTTCATTGTGTAGTTGCTTTAGAGCATCAGTGGTCTATGTACTTAAGTGTGTTTTTGTGGTGGCCAGTAATGGCTTTTCATTTCCTTATTTAGCACTCCCTTAAATACCTCCTGTAAGGCTGATCTGGTGGTAATAATTTCCCTTAGCATTTTCTTGTTTGAAAAGGATCTCATATTTTTTCTTTGCTTATGAAGCTTATTTTGGCTGGATATGAAATTCTCTGTCAGAATTTCTTTTCTTTGAGAATGCTGAATATAGGCCCCTAGTCTCTTCTGGTTTGTAGGGTTTCTCCTAACAGGTCTGCTGTTAGCCTGATGGGGTTCCCTTTGTAGGTAACCTGCCTCTTCTCTCTAGCTGCCTTTAATATTTTTTCTTTCACACTGACATTGAAGAATCTGATGGCTATGTGTCTTGGGGATGGTTGTCTTGTATAGTACCTTGCAGGAATCCTGTGTATTTTCTGAAGTTGAATGTTGGCCCCTCTAGTGAAATTGGGAAAATTTACCCTACAAACCAGAAGGGATGATATCCTGAAATATGTTTTTCAAGTTGATTGCTTCCCCTCCCTCTTTTTCAGGGATGCCAATGAGATGTAGATTTGGTCTCCTTACATAATCACACATTTCTTGGAAGTTTTATTCACTCTTTTAAAAAAATTTTATTTTAGGTTCAGGGTTACATGTGCAGGTTTGTTATGTAGGTAAATTGCATGTCATGGGGGTTTGCTGTACAGATTATTTCATCACCCAGGTAATAAGCATAGTACCTGATAGATAGTTTTTTCATTCTCTTCTTCTTCCCACCCTCCACCCTCAAGGACTCATGTGTCCGTGTGTACTTAATGTTTAGCTCCCTCTTATAAGTGAGAACATATGGTATTTGGTTTTCTGTTCTTGCATTGGTTTGCTTAGGATAATGGCCTCCAGTCACATCCACGTTGTGTAAAGGACATGATCTCATTCTTTTTATGGCTGTGTAGTATTCTGTGGTATATATGTACCACATTTTCTTTATCCAACCTACTGTTGATGGGCATTTAAGTTGATTCCAGGTCTTTGCTATTGTGAATAGTGTTGTGATGAACATATAAATGCATATGTCTTCATGGTAGTAGAATGATTTATATTCCTTTGGGTATATGCCTAATAATGGGATTGCTGAGTCTAATGGTAATTATGTTTTGCATTCTTTGAAAAATTGCCACACTGCTTTTCACAGCGGTCGAACTAATTTGCATTTCCACCAGCAGTGTATAAACATTCCCTTTTCTCCACAACCTTGTAAACATCTGTTATTACTTTTTTTTTTACTTTTTAATAGTAGCCATTCTGACTGGTGTGAGATGGTATTTCATTGTGGTTTTGATTTGCACTTCTCCAATGATTGGTGATATTGATTTTTTTTTCATATGCTTCTTGGCCTATATATGTTTTCTCTTGAAAATTGACTGTTGATGTTTCTCTTGAAAATTGACTATTGATGTCTTTTGCCCACTTAAAAAAATTTTTTACTTTAAGTTCTGGGATACATGTGCAGAACATGCATGTTTGTTACATAGGTATACATGTGCCATGGTGGTTTGCTACACCTATTGACCCTTCCTCTAAGTTCCCTCCCCTCACCCCTCACCCCCAACAGGCCCTGGTGTGTGTTGTTCCCCTCCCTGTGTCCATGTGTTCTCATTGTTCAACTCCCACTTATAAGTGAGAACATGTGGTGTTTGGTTTTCTGTTCCTGTGTTAGTTTACTGAGGATAATGGCTTCCAGCTTCATCCATGTCTCTGCAAAGGACTTGATCTCATTCCCTTTTATGGCTGCATAGTATTCCATTGTGTACCACATTTTCTTTATCCAGTCTATCATTGATGGGCATTTGGGTTGATTCCGTGACTTTGCTATTGTAAATAGTGCTGCAATAAGCATACATTGTGCATGTGCCTTTATAGTAGAATGACTTATATTCCTTTGGGTATACACCCAGTAATGGGATTGCTGGGTCAAATGGTATTTTTGGTTCCAGATCCTTGAGGAATTGCCATACTGTGTTCCACAATGGTTGAACTAATTTACATTCCCACCAACAGTGTAAAAGCATTTCTATTTCTCCACAGCCTTACCAGCATCTATTGTTTTTTGACTTTTTAATAATTGCCATTCTGACTGGCCTGAGATGGTATCTCATTGTGGTTTTGATTTGCATTTCTCTAATGATCAGTGATGTTGAGCTTTTTTTCATGTTTGTTGGCCATGTAAGTGTCTTATTTTGAGAAGTGTCTGTTCATATGCTTTGCCCACTTTTTGATGGGGTTGTTTGTTTGTTTGTTTTCTTGTAAATTTGTTTAAGTTCCTTGTAAATTCTGGATATTAGGCCATAACTTCCCTGTTTCTCTTCTAACCCACTTTTCCCCTTTAAGTATTGAAGCCTCAAAATCATCTTTGGAGAAAGGCACAGACCTCCTTCTCTGGCATGTTCTCAACCTTGGCAAAATAAACTTCTAAATTCATTGAGGCCTGTCTCAGATACTTTTTAGTTTATATTTATTTCTTGGCAATAAATCTATTAATTGCTATTTGTTTTTTAAAAACTCATGAAGTGAAAACTAGAATAGTGGTTACCAGAGGCTGGGAATGGTATGTAGGAGCAGAGAATAGGGAGAGGTTGGTTAATGGGTACAAAACTATAGTTAGATAGGAAAAATAAGTTCTGTTGTTCTGTTTCACAGTAAGGAGACTATAGTTAACAATAATGTATTATTTGTGAAACCAAAAGTATCTAAGACAAGTCTCAATCAATTTAGAAAATTTGCTTTGCCAAGGTTAAGGATGTACCCATGACGCAGCCTCAGGAGGTTTTGATGATATGTGCCCAAGGTGGTTGGGGCACAGCTTGGTTTTATACATTTTAGGGATACATGAGACATCAATCAATATGTGTAAAATGTACATTGGTTCAGTCCAGAAAGGCAGGACAACTCAAAGTGGGGTCTTCCAGGTTCATCAGTAGATAAGAGACCAAAGGTTGAATTATTTTGGGTCTCTGATGAGCCTTTCGCTGGATACACAATTTACATGTGAGGCAGGGTAGGGGGTAGAGGAATCATTACTTATGCCTTAGTCTGACTCAGTGAATCTGTATTTTTACATTAACAATAGGGCAGAGGAAGTAATCAGGTAGCATTTTCTCAGGTGAGCACAGAAGGACGATTTTGAGTTTTGTCTGTCCTTTGTCCCACACCTGTGAATAAGCTATCAATTTACATTGCCAGGTTGAAATTCAACAGATTTTAGGGTAAAGGTCTTGAAACCCACAAGGAATTTCCTTGTGTGCAAATTGTGAGGGAGGTATGTAGCTTCAAAAGAAAAATCTTTGTAGCTATCTTATTTAGGAATAAAATGGAGGCAGGTTTGCCTGATGCCGTTCCCAGCTTGACTTTTCCCTTTGACTTAGTGATTTTGGAGTTCTGAGATTTATTTTCCTTTCACAGTATATTTCAAAATAGCTAGAAGAGAGGATTTTGAATGTTCTAACTACAAAGAAATAATAAATGTTTGAGGTGATGGTTATACTAATTATCCTGATTGATCGTTACACAATGTATTCATGTATTAAAATATTACAGTGTAGCCCATAGATATGTATAATTATTATGTGTCAATTAAAAACAAAATAAAACTTTAAAAACTGTATGAAGAGGGAAGGAGAGAGAGAGACAAAGACACAGAAAGAAAGAGACAGATAATTCTAAAAATAAAGTTGTTAGAATTCATGTACTGAAAAATCTAAGTTGTGTTTTGGTCACAGCCTCAGCTTCCTAAATTTTTACCATTTTTGTTTATTTTCAGATATTTATAGTAGGTCTTAAGTCTTCATCTGGGGTCAATGAAGTATAAAAGCCTTGGACTAATTGTGCATGCAAATATTAGAGAAAGAAAACTTTGGTCCATTAATAATTGTGAATCTCTTTTTTTGGCCTTAAATTCTTTTTGGAACAAGTTAGATTTTTTAAAAATCATAATTTCTTTGAGTTATACTTTACATATCTTAAATGTTACCCTTTTAAAGTGTCCAATTTCTCTGCAGCATATTTAGAGTTGTGCAACCATCACCAGTATCTAATTCCAGAACATTTTCAACACCCCAAAAAGAAACCTATATCTATTGTCATTTCCTATTGCCTCTTCCCCCCAGCCCCTGGAAACCTCTAATTTACTTTCTGTCTGTATGAATTTGTCTATTCTGATATATATATATATTTCATATAACTGGAATCATACAATATGTGTTTTTTTATGACTGACATATTTCATTTAGCATAATGTTTTCAAGGTTCATTCATTTTGTACCATGTATCGGTACCTCATTTCTTTTTATGGTTGAATAAAAGGAATATCAAAATATACATGTTTGCAGGAATAGACCACATTTTGTTTATCCAGTCATCAGTTGATAGACATTTGAGTTCTTTCTACTTGTTGGCTATTATGAATAATGATGCTATGAACATTTGTATACAAGTTTTGGTGGGAATGTATGTTTTCATTTCTCTTGGGTATATAGCCAAGTGGAATTGCTGGGTCATATGGTAACTCTATGTCTAATAATTTGAGGAAGTACCACACTGTTTTCCAAAGTGGTTGCACTGCTTCACAATCTTACTAACAATAAATGAGGATCCAATTTCTGTGTATCTTGTCTGACACTTGCTATAGTCGGTCTTTTTTATTTTAGCCATCCTAGTTGTTGTGAAGTGGTATGTCATTGGAGTTTTGATTTCCCTAATGTGAGCATCTTTTCATGTGATCTTTAGTGATTTGTGTATCTTCTTTGGTGAAATGTCTATTCACCTGAAATCCTTTGCCTATTTTATTAATTGAGTTATTTGTTCCTGAACTGTTTCATTGTAAGAGTTCTTTATATATTCTGAATACCAGTCTCTTAACAGACATATGATTTATAAATATTCTCCAATTCTGTGGATTTTCTTTTCATCTTTTTGATGGTGTTCTTTGGAGTGCAAAAGTTTTTAATTTTGACGAAGTCCAATTTATCTATTTTTCTTTTCTCACATATGCTTTTGTTGTCATATCTAAGAAAACATTACCTAACCCAAGGTAATGAAGATTTACCCCTGTTTTCTTATAAAAGTTTTAGAGTTTTAACTATTACATTTAGATCTATGATTTGAGTTAATTTTTGTATATGGTGTGAGGTAGGGATTCAACTTCATTCTTTTGCATGTGGATATTCATTTGTCCCAGTGCCATTTGTAGAAAAGATATTTTTTGCCCAATTGAATTGTCTTGGCACCCTTGTTGACAAATTAGGTTTTAAATAAACACACAAAATATGAGAAGGTATAGTATTAAAATATAATAGAAAAACATTTGTAGAAATTACTGCTCAGATCAATGGCCAGATATCATTTTAAAGGGTCCATTCATATGTTTTTGATTTTGTCTATACAGTTTTCCACATGTATGCACCACATTCTTGGAACTGCACAAGACAGCAAGATGTTTCTAGTTCTTTCCTAATATTTGAGCCTGAGCCTGTTCTGTTCTGGAAGGATCTCAATTCTCTTCTCTGTAAGATGGGATACAATGATACCTTATACTGTTTTGTAGATATGGAATCAAGTGATTAGGTGGCATGCTTAGGAGACTGTTTGACATTTCTTAGATGCTCCATAAATATTAGTTCCATTCTCATACCCTGAGCCCCTATCCCAGTGGCTTTACTCACACAGAATGTTACCATAACTTTCCCTGTAATCTCCTTATCCCCAGCATCTGGGAAGCTCTTTCAGGGGCATTTGTGTGGGTTTGTCATGTAGTGGTTCTATGACCCAAGAGACCAAAATGCAGTCAAAGGTAACATCATGTACACAACTGTGTGACACCCCTCAGAAATGCTGGACTTATAGGATAATAATGGTGGACCTGCTTTGCAGCCCTGCAAGTAAGTCCAAACCAAACCCTGTTTTCAGGGTTTCAGTTAGTTTCCATAACTCCATGGTCCTATCCTAACCTCCCTGGTTATTTCCCCATCCCTCTTCATTTAATTCCTTTATTCTGAAGCAGGTAGTGGGTTCAACAAGTCTCCCTAACATTCCTGACATGTGTCATTCTTCAATTTACCACTGTGTTCCTGCTCTCTGCATCTCCCAGTTCTTTGCCCCAGGTGCCGAACAAATTGTGCAGTCAGCTGGATAATGCTCTGAATCTGTCAAGGGACTTGCTTCAGCAGTTCAGGGTCCTGGTGGATTATTAGCATGAGAAAGGGCTGCTGAGATCGAAGATGAGGTCTGAGGAGGAATTAATGGCCAGCATGGGTAGCAGTATTACAAAGAACATCCTGAACATCCAGGATTTGGAAAATTCAATAGACATCAGTTGAGACTTCCATTTTAATATATGTATCTTTCAAAAAACCTATTTTTTTTGCAGTCAACCATCTCTTTTTGTTAAGATAATTCAAAGGGGCTGATATGCCTTTGTGTGTGTGTGTGTGTGTGTGTGTGTGCATGTTAGCAAATGCTTTCTTCATCAATCTGTGATTGTGTATGACTGTGTTTGGGAAGGAGGGAAGGTCTGATGAACATTTTTAATTTAACTTCAATTAATGAATCAATCAGCAGTTTGCTCTAAAGCAGGATTTTTAGGTTATGTATCTGAAAAAGGCTTCTCTCTTCATAAGTGCACCAGCTGGGATGCTCCAGCATGATTCTGCACAGCCCGTTCTACAAGAAAGGAAATTGGGAGCTTTGATGAAACTAGACATTTTTCTTTATCTTTTTAATTTTTTCTCTTAGCAAATAATATGTATGTTTTTATTCACCAATCAAGTTACATATGCTGGCAACCACTGTCATGTGAAATAATCAATCGAATAAATAGGAATTTTGGAGAAAAGATATTCAATCATATTTAGGCTGGTTTGAATGAATATTTGAGTAGCAATGGAAATCTCAAAAAGACAGCCATAAAAACTTTATAAATATATGAAAAAATGAAGCAGTCAGAAAAACCCTAACATTTTTCTAGCCCTTCTAAGAGAACCTGCAAATATGTATTTGTGGTCTTTGTTACTTGCTCAACCTAAATTGTGAGTCTTCATGGGCATGTGAGTAAGAAATCCTTTGCAAGGCTGGATGGCACATACTGCAGATCGAATGTTCTGAGAAGTAGAACTTCTGAGTATGTGTCTTTGAATGATTCTTGATGCCTGTGGATTAAGGTATTAGTGTTTTCTAAGTCTCTGGATGATGACAAAGTCATGGTGGACTTTCTAGTTAAGGACTTCACTAGAAGAAAGTACTAATCCATTGGAGTCATACATGAAGTCCCCTAACATATGGCAGGCACTGTTAATGGCATTAGACATTCAGGATTGAATAAAGTTGACAATGCCCCTGCTGTCAATAATGATAGGTAACATTTGCATAGTGTTTATAATGTGCTAGTTTTATAAATGCTTTACACATATTAAGTCACTTAATCCTCATGAAAACCCTGTGGGAGAGGTGCTATTATAATCCCCACTTTATAGGTGAGAAAACTGAGGCACAGAGAGATTAGATAACTTTATTCCAAGGTCACAGAGCTAGTGTTGGGCTGGTACTAAACCCAGTGTGGCTCCCAAGGTTGGTCTTCCAATTGCCAGACCGCACCACTTCTCAGGGAGCTTATCCTTGAGATGTAGGGGAAGACAGATCATAAACACATAAACAGGGAAATAGTAAGATGACTAAAGATACATGGAAGTACTCTGAAGAAAATAGAAAAAAGGAAGTGTTCTTCAAAAGAATAACCAGTATGTTTTGACCAGTGGTAATTATTTAAGCAAATGTCTTGGGGGTATATTTTAGAATAAAAGGAACTAAAGCAGTTTGTTAGTGCTGCCATAGCAAAGTATCACAAACATGTTTATTGCCTCAGAGTTCTGGAGATGAGAAGTCTGAGATCAAGGTATTGCTAGGGTTGGTTCCTTTTGAGATACCGTTCCATGCCTCTGCCCTAGCTTCTGGTGGTTTGCTGGCAATCTTTGGCATTCCTTGGCTTGTAGAAGCATCACTCCCATCTATGCCTTCATCTTCACATGTTCTCCCTGTGTGTGTCTGTCACTAAATTCCCCCATTTTACAAGGACACCAGTCATACTGGATTAAGGGCCACCCTTCTCCAGTATGACCTCAGCTAATTACATCTGCAACAAATTTATTTCCAAATAAAGTCACATTCTGGGGGGTTAGGACTTCGAGATATGAATTTTTGAGGTACATAATTCAGTCCATAGTAGGAACCCACAGAAAATGGTACCCTGATGGTGCCTTAGAGATAGTTATTTTAAAAGTCTTGCTGCTGGTAGGATCTCCTAAGGGAAATAAGCTGAAAGGCAGAGTTATCTTTGAAGAGAAAGTCCACCGCTGAATGAAGGAATAAGCAAATTACCTTTGTGTTAGAAGTTGACATGATGGACTTACCAGGGGCCTGCACTTGGGATGTTGTTTCAGTTGGCCTTTAAATGTGAAGCCTCAGTCACATTTCCTTCCTTAGTTCTCTTTGTAAGGAACAGTCAGCACTCATGAGAGTAGTGACCAGGGCTTAAGGGGTAGGCTGAGGGGTGACTGACCCCCAGGGATCAAACACTTAGCTTGGTGCTCATGAGCCTCTGGCTCCATCAGCTTAGGCAGATGGAATGGAAGAAAGCAGTCTAAACCTAGAAGTTTGTGGGTAAGGCTGTGGTTGGAACACTGAAATTTTCCACAAAAAACAGTGTCTCACATGATTGTGAGACCACTGTCAGCCCTTTGTCTTAGTCCATTGGTGCTGTTATAACAAAATAACCAAGACTAGGTAATTTGTAAACAATAGAAATTTATTCCTCACTGTTCTGGAGGCTGGGAAGTCCAAGATCAAGGTGCCAGCAGGACTGGTGTCTGGTGAGAGCTGCTCTCTGCTTTCAAGATGGTGCTTTGTTGCAGCATCCTCTGGAGGAAATGAATGTTGTGTCCTCACAGGACAGAAGGGACAGAAGGGGCAACGTGGAACTGTAAGTCCAATTGCAGCCTGTTTATGAGAGCACTAATCCCATCCATGAGGGTTGATCCATCAACCCTCCTAAAGACTCCACCTCTTAATACTGCTGCATTGGGGATTAAGTTTCAACATAAGTTTTGGAGTGGACGTAAATATTCAAATCATAACATCCCACTTGCACTGTTAGTTCACCTGTTAACCAAATAATGGCACCAAAGTAAATACAGTAAATCTGATTCTGAGCAGTAAACTATGAGGAATAGGAGCTAAAGGCAGAGTACAAGGTTTCTGTTATTTGGCTGGGTATGGAGATGGCCCAGACATTAAAAATAGTGGCCTTTTCATTAAAAATAACATTAAAAATAATATCTTTAACATCTTCTCTGCACCCCCTACTATCTCCTAGTCCCCCTCCCTTTTTCTTCAGCTTAGCATGTGTTCCCACTGGTCTTGCCCTTCTTCTAAGATTGTTCCTTAAATGGAAATTGCCATCCTCCCCAATTAAATTTTCCAAATCCTCAGTAAAAAGCAACTCTTCAGATGGGGATTTGGATCAATAAAGTTGGGCAAATCCACTTGAATGTAGTATTCTCAACCTTGGCTCTACATTTAAAAATTACTGATGCTTCGGTTTCACTTAAAGAGATTTTAATTTAATTGGTGTGAAGTGTGGCTTGGGCTTCACGATTTGTAAAGCTCCTCAAGTGATTATAAGGAGCGGCCAGAGTTGCAATCATTGCTCTAATGTGAAAGCCTCAAATGAAAGTTATTGTATTAGTCCGTTTTCACACTGTTGATAAAGACAAACCCGAGACTGGGCAATTTATAAAAGAAAGAGGTGTAACTGGACTTACAGTTCCACGTTGCTGGGGAAGCCTCACAACCATGGCAGAAGGCATGGAGGAGCAAGTCCCGTCTTACATGAATGGCAGCAGGCAAAGAGAAAATGAGGAAGATGTAAAAGTGGAAACCCCTGATAAAACCATCAGGGGTGAGATTTATTCACTACCACGAAAACAGTATGGGGAATACCGCCCCTATGATTCAATGATCTCCCACTGGGTCCATCCTACAACACGTGGGAATTATGGGAGTAAAATTTAAGATGAAATTTGAGTGGGGACACAGAGACAAACCATATCAGTTATCATTAGCCCTGAGGGATCTGAACAGGCTGAAAAGTTAAACTGTGTGACAAAGTAAACATGATATTGGTAGTCTTGAGATGGAAAGTGCCTTGGGGACGGGGTAGACAGGGTACTTTTTGTCAATGAGAATTCCACATGGGTGAGTTAATGGGCCTTTGGGGCCACTTATCCTTGGAGCAGTGCTCTTAATATATCCCTACATTGCATGACTTTCCCTCCACCTCTATTTCTGAACCCACTAATTCCCTAGATCAGCTTTTAGGAGATTCTGGGGCTCTGGAGTTTTGATGGATAGCGTGAGTATGTGTGGGTGTATGGAGGTGGGAGGCACATTGCAGTGGCAGGCAAAGCCACAGATGTTTCTGTGGCTGGCTTGTTTGATAGTCAGATGTTTACATCAGGGGCTTCTTGTGTAGCCTAAGTAAACAGTGGAGAATAATCAGCTTGTATACCTTGGGAGTAAACCAGGGTGGAACCTCCCATTTCAAATCAGAGTCTCTCGAATCACGGATGTCCAGCTGATGTAAAGAATGAAAAATTGTATCCTCTACAAATGAAATTCAATTTCGATTGGAGCTGAGAGTCAACTAAGAACTGCTAGGATCCTAATAGCAGGTAGGAGCAGGAGGGATAGGGAGATTAGGTTTGCCTCTGCCTTTAATTAGCATCTTCTTTAGTGCTGTGAAGAAGGGTTATAGGACATTAATTAAGTTTGCAGCTGATTTTAAATTGGAATACATTTCAAGGGCTAATGAGACCTTGGAGTAACACACAAGAGCTGAGGGAGGAAGAAAACAAGATTCCTTTGAAGAAAGCATCCTTTCCCAGCTGGAAGCATTGTACCCAGTGAATACAGATCCTCACTAAGAGGACAGTGCCAGAAAGGAACCAGGAACCATGGTATTCGACAAAGTCTGGAATGAATAAAAGCCTGCTTCTAGGGATCTTTCATCTTGAATATCTCTGTTAGTTTTTGTAAAAAAAATTTCTTTATTTTTCCTTAAAAATTATCTTTTAGTAGGCTACAATATAATAAGGTAGTGGTTCTCCAAGAATGATCCCTGGACCAGCAGCATCAGCATCACCTGGGGAATTGTTTGAAATGTATATTCTCGAGTCCAACCCAGACCTAGCAAATTAGAAACTGCATTTTAACTGTTTTAACAAGCCCAACAGGTGATCTCAAGTTGCAGAATCTCTGTAATAAGAACTCATGCCAGGCACTAAAGAAGTAGGTCTTTTCTGGGGGCAGCTGTTTCCCCCCGACTGAACATTTATATTAGAACAGTTTCAAAGAATTTCAGGCCCCTTGAAATAGTGCTTTAGTTATTCCAGCCCTGTCCATGGGGTCGTGGCCCAGAAAGCTGAAAACAGGAATAGATGCTGATGTGATCTGTATTCGTTTAAACTCGTGTCTGGATCAGCCCTGAATGTGAGAGCTGGAAGGGGCCTGGAGATGACCTTGTTCCAGCCTCCCCACCTTCAGATGAGAATTCAGAGAAGCAAAGTGTTTTTGCCTGTGGTCACCTGTGAGTGTAAAAGGATGTATCCTGGTACCAGTGCAGAAAAGTCTTATTAGGGCTGAGTTACAATGGAAATCCTTGTCTCTTGACTCCTGGTCCAAGGCCTCCCTTCCCCATTAGAGGGAACCCATCTTCCAGTTGATAAATATAGGTGTTTTAGAAATTTCAAGTATCTTCTTCATTCCACATTGTTTGTGGCACATCCATGGGCTGATGGAGGGGGAGGATGGGAAAAGCGTGGTTTTGCCATGCTTATGTTCTGAGCTTTCCCTTGCTTTTATAACAAGTTCCCCCTCCTCAGCAAAGAGAAATCATACACACTAAAGTACTTATTTCTACAACTTGTCATTACACATTTATTGATCACCTGCTAAATGTGCCTGGCACTGTGCTAGGTGCTTTGGGAGTTACATGGATGAATGAGGCTCAGATTGTATCATAAAAATGTTTATTACTAGGGTGACCATTTCATTTATCATCCAAACCAGGACACCTTTTGAAAGCCAAAGGAAGCGTTGATAATATATGCCCTGGGACAATAGATGTAAACTAGGATTGTACTCAGCAAACCAGGATGCATGGTTACCTGCTTACAGATGAATAGGAAATGCTGAAAAATACATCATTCCTAGTTGAATGAAGAGAGTGTCTGTACAAAGCATTTGTATATAACAGACATACACAATGTTATGAAAACATGAAGGAGGCAAGGGTCAGGACAGGCTTTTCAGAAGAGGGGGCATTTGAGTTGGGCTTTTAAGTTTGGATAAAATTTCAATTGGTATAGTGTTTGAGTAAGCACATGTGCATATATGTGTTTTCTGTGCACAATGGCAATGAAGTTAAAAATTCAGAGTATGGGAGGAGAGTGATGATTGCCTGGTGTAGCTGGAGGGTATGCAGGTCATCAGTGTGTGGGATGGGACAACAGAGGAAGGTGAAGAGTGGGAGAGTGGTGGGTGAGGCCATTGGAATCTAAAATGCTGGAGGATCATCAATTGGATATAGCAATTTCCTCCAACACATGTAGCTCAATGACTGAGAATAAGTAGCAGAAAATGCGAATTATTTATTTCATGGGTTACTTGAGGCTGATTCCATGGTTGGTCTGTGTTTATGGCTGTAGATTGGAAGGAACTGGGTCTACTTTACAGAGCTTAGTTCTTTACAGCATACGTTTAAGTACTTCATTGATGTCTCCCCAGTCTGCCAGCACTGAAAGATATCCTTGGAATGGAAGTGTCTGAAAAATGAGCTGAATGGAATGCTAATTTATCATCAGCTCCTCAAGGATAAGGAAGTAAATGCTATTATTTCTATAGTGAATTTTTTTTTTTTGCTTAAGTTGTGTTGTCTTCTGGGTTTGAAAAATTTTCTGGGGGAGTAAGTTTTCAAGAAAGGATCCTTATTTTGATAGATGTATATATATATTTTTTCTTTTTTTTGTCTGATAGATGTATTTCTGATGAAGAGATAGGAAGCAAAACATGAAATTTTAATATTTCTTCTCTTTTATTTCAATGATTTTCATTCTCCTCTCCAACTGCTCCTGTCAATGCCACCCAAGCTCTCTACATGGCTGTTTCCATTGCTGGTCTCAGTCTTAATCTTCCTTGACCTACCAGCAGCATATTTGATTACATGTTTTTCACTTGGTTTCCAATACATGGCACTCTCTTCACTTTCCTCCATCCTTAATGGTTGCTCCTTCTCAGTGTTCTTTGATAGTTTTTCCCCTTCTGTGAGAAGTCTCAACATTGGAATGGGCTGGTCCTTGGGCATCTTCTCTTATGTGTCTTTACTCACTCCATTGGTGATTTCATTCAGTCTGAAAGGTTTAAATACCATGTTGTCTCCTAATTTCTTTCCTAAATGCTAGGCTCTATTATCAACCATATATTAGATATCTCCACTTAAATAAATAGAGACATCCCAATTTTAACATGCTCAAACACGAATCTTCTCTTTTCCACAGATTCTTCATCTAATCCGCCAGGAAATCCTAGAAAGCTTGCTTTACCCTTGGAATGTCTCTAAAATCTGATCATTTCTCTCTAACTCCATTGCTACTTCCCTGGACCAAGCCACCATCATCACTCCCCCCGGGATTATAATAGTCTCTTACCTAGACTCTTGCTTCCATATTGCCCTCTACACTGTATTCTCCACACAGCTGTGGTGATTTTTCAGAAGTGTGACAGATCATGTCATACTTCTGGTCAAAACCCTCCTGTGATTTTTCATCTCATGTTGAGTAAAAGCCAAAGACCTTGTTTCGTACTAATTCTTTTGAACTCACTCCACCCCAGCCTCACTGGCCTTCTTCCTATTCTTTCACCACTTCAGGCATACTTGGCATTTGCATTGGCTGTGCCTGTCTGGGATACTTTTCCTTCAGATAGATGTGCGGCTCACTCCATTCCCTCCTTTGTTTCAAGCATTGCTCAAATGTCACTGTTATGGGTTGAGTTCTATGGAAATCAGACTCTGAGATGATGTTTGGCATGCAAGATATTATTAAGAAAGCTCTTGGAATCAACATGTATGGAAGGGAAGAGAAGGAAGCAGGAGTGGGCAGAAGGAGAAGTCAAGCTGTGACCAAGGCTTAATAACAGCCTTGCCCAATCCTACACGGAGCTCTAGAGCTAAAATTGCCTGTCAGAGTTGTCCCCCATTGGGCTGAAAAGTGCCACCCCTTTATGTAACCTTCTATCGGGACTGACCCTAGGTGAGGTGGCTTTCTGCTGCTGTGGCAAGCCCTGAAGGGTAGTCAGCATTTCCAGAAGCTGGGCCACAACTCCTCCTTAAAAGAGAATCTGGACATAATGTGTCCATCATTGTCAACTTCTCAATAAGTCTTATCTTGACCACTCTATGTCTGCTTGCAAGCTGCATCCTACTTCCTGCACCTCTAGATCTCTCTTACCTCATTCTGTTTTTCGATAGTACTAAACATGATTTAACAAACCATGTCATTTATTTACTCTCTTTTGTGTTTATAGTCCATCTCTCTTGATGATAATGTAGGGTCCATGAGGGCAGATATTTCTATCATTTGTTCATGAGCATATAACGACTGCCTAGAACTGTGCCTGGCACTAGTGGACAGTTAATTGATATTTGCAAATGAATGATGTTTGGTGAATTCTAGCTAATAATCAATGCAGTATGAAACATGGTCAGAAGTCAGTGCTGAAAATAGATGAACTTTGTCTTTAGTTTCTGATGTTCACTGCTATCCCAAAGAAGAGAGATACCAAGAGGTGTTGATTATTTCTAATAATTATTTCTATTTTCTACAGCTATTCACAAGCCTCTGGTATTTGGTGACCTGTTTCTGACCTATACTTGATTAACTCAGCTTTGGGACCCCAAGGGAAAGATGAGTAATGACATGTAGAAGTCTGCTGACCCATACCGAGTGTGTGTCTAATATGTATGAAGACTGGCATTTTGTTTATATGAAGTTATTATGTACAACATATATATTTTTTCATAGTATGCTAATGCTAACAGGAATGGCATATTAAGATCAATAGATATCTTAACGATTGGCCCATTAACCCCTGATGGTCAACATAATTTGGTAATGTAGACAGCAGTTCAACAATAGCAGGGATTGTGATAGGAAGGAAAGAGAGCGTTTAGCAGAGCAAAGATATAAATTCCTTTTGTTACCACTGACTGCACTTGCAGGTCATGTCAGGTCAGGTTTTATTGCTCTTGGCTAAAGGCCAGTGCAAGATTTACAGAGCAAGAAAGAGGCTCCAGGGGAGACCAGTGTGAATTATAGGGTCAGCTGGAGAGAGGCATGAAAGTGGTTAGCATGTCAGAGGTAATTTTTATAAAGGGAATCATCAGACCACTGCATCACTGTCAGTTTTATTATGAAGTTTTTTATTTTATTATGAAGTTTTTTAAACATTTAGAAATATGTGTTCAAATATTGCTGATGGGTTCATTGAAGAAAATCTAGAGATATAGAAAATCATAGAGGAAAATAAAAATCACCCATTGAAAACTCCTGTTAATATTCTACTATATTTCCTTCTAGATTTTTTTCTACGTACCCATTCACTTGGACTTTAATACTTATACAAATATGTCTTTTCGTTTTCCCTAAAGCTGCAATCAAACTGTGGATACTACTGCATGTCCTGCCTTATTTACTTTTAACATTTTCTCTTTAGCATATTCCCATATTATTAAATGTCTGTGAACATGATTTCTAATTCAAATAGCATGAAAAGGGGTAGCATGTGCGCACCTGTGTATTCCTTTTTACGAGTCCTCTATTTATACATTTATGCTGTTCTCAAATATTTGGTATTAAATAATATTGCTATGATCATTCTTGTATGTACACCATTTTGTACATCTTTGAATATTTTTTAAGGATGATTCTCTAGAAGTGGAATTACTGGGTTAAAGAATGTAGGTACTTAAAAGGCTGTTTATGCCCATTGTCATACGACCCCCTGAATGGCTGCTTCCATTTGTACTTCCACTAAAAAGTGTATCAAATTGTTTCAATACCATAGATAACACTGGAAATTCTCAGTATTTGTATCTTTGCCTGTCTGGGTTAAAAAATGACATTTTTATTCTAATTTAAATTTCCACTTACAGAGTGGATTTTTTTTTCACATTTTGATGGGTCGTTTGAATTTATTCTTCTGTACAATGTCTGTTTTTGTCCTTTCGCCATTTTCTTTGGAGGAATATATATTTTTCTTATAGATTCTTGTAAGTTTTTCCTAACTTAAGTATATATGTATTTATTATAAAATATTCAGAAACTACAGGACAAACACAAAGAAAAATACTGTAGGGGATAAGGGAAAACTTCTTCATTCTCTGAAGGCTTACTGAAAATCAACTGACAAAAGGTAATTTAATAGGAGAAAAGGCACACAAATTTATTAATGTGAACACGGGAGAATCACAGAGTGATTACTCCACCACACAATGGGGTACAGATGCTTATATATCCTTCTTAGAGGAAAGGGAGATGGGAAAGTGTGGATGATTTTAGCGGGATAGTAAATGATTTTTAGGGGAATTCAATGGGCTTGAAAAACATACAGTGGCCCACGACAAAGTTTGTTTGGCCTGCAGAGCAGATAATGATTTGTGACAAAAGTCTCTCCAGGTGCATTGACAGACATCAGTCTTTCTTCCTGTGATATGAGCTTAGTTAATGAAAACTCCAGGAAGGGAGCAGAGGTAATTGTTTTTCCTTTGATGAGTTTGTTCTTTAAGCAGATAAGGAAACTTCAGAGAACAATTTCATCCTATGTTTTGGGAAAGACAAAGGATTGAAAGACAGGAGGGGAAGGAACATCAGAGAGCCCTTGAGGTTTCTTTAGCTCAGCATATCAAAACACCATACTTTGGAGGCTCAGAAACTGAGCCATCCCCAATCCCATGACCAGAGATAAAAAAGTCAATATTTTGATTTGTTTTCCTTTTAGATGTATATGCACTTTTTAATATTATATATATAAATAATTTTACAACTTTAGAATATAATATACATTTTGTTTTTATCTTTCTTTGTTTTCATACTTCCATCAAAATTTGCTATTGATTACTCATGGATACAGGAATAATATACTTTTAAAATTAAAAACATTATAGATAAGATCAAAATCCCCTTTGACCACTCCCTCTCCGAATCCTGGCCCCTGTCCTCTGCCTTCCCTCCCCAGGAGCCACCAAAGTCACCACTATTGTCAATTTGACTGGCATCCTTTCAAACAGATGGCGTACATTTATGTCACAATTGGAATTTTGTGTGTAAGTCTATATGTGTGTATCCTTTTACAATTTTTATTGTTATATAAGCTCAAAGAAAAGTTGTGGAATGTAAATGTTCAACATGATGAATTATTATGAAGTGAGAACCTACATTACCACACCCAGGTCAAAGAATAGAATATTTCCAGCACTCCAACCTCCTTGGGGTCCCTCACCAATCACACCATTCTTCTAATTCTTCCTGAATGTTATGATACTCACTGTCTGGCCTTTTTTAAAAAGTAATTTTATTATTTAGGTTTACATCCCTAAACATTATAGGTTTTTTTTTTCTGTTTTTAAACCTTATGCGGGTAGAATTATGCTGTGCATAATATATATTTTTTTTGCGCCATGATTCTTTCACTTTCTTCTTTGTGAGATTAATCTATATTTTTGCCTGTAGGCATTCTTTGCTCATTTTCCTCACAGTGTAGTATTCCATTACATGAATACAGCACCATTTGTTTATCCCTTCTACCATTGATGGGTATTTGGATTGTTTCCAGCTTTGGACAATTACAAATGATGCTGGTATAAACTTTTTCTTTATTTTTATTTTTTTTACATGTGGCTTGGTACATATGTGAATAAGTTTCTGTAGGTTATAAATATAGGAGTAGAATTCCCGGATCATTGGGTATGCATATCTCCAGCTCTATTAGAAAATGCTGAAGTGTTTTTCAAAAGGTTTGTGCCAATCTACTCTCCCATCACTAACGTGTGAGAGGTTCCGTTGTTCCACATCCTCTCCAACATTTGGCGTTGTCATATTTTTTGAGTTTTGCCAATATGGTGGGTGTGTAGCAGTAGTTTTTGTAATTTTAATTTACATTTTTCTGATTACTAATGAGGCTGAGTGTTTTTTAATATGTGTATTGGCCATTTGGATTTACTACTTTATAGAGGTACTTGTTTACATCATTTTTTTCTATTAGATTGCCCATCTTTTTCCTACTGATTTGTAGGAGTTCTTTACATATTTTGAATACAGTCCTTTATCAGTTTATATGAGTTGCAAGTATATATACCTTAAAATTTTCACTCTGTGGTGTCTTTTGAGAAACATAACTTTTTAATTTTAATATAATCAAATTTATGAATGTTTTTCTTTATGATTAGTGTTTTTTATTACTTGGTCATGTGCTTTTACTTATACATCATATCATATTTCTATCATTTTGCAATTTGATTTTTTAACTCATCAATATGTTATCCATTCTTGTTAATACATATAAAATTATGTATCATTCTGAACTAGTGTATAGTGTTCTAAATTGTGACTATTCCACAGTTAATTTAATCATTTCTTCATTGAAGGTCATTTAGATTGTTTTTAGTTTTATTTACTTTTTGCTGTTCTTAAAAAATGTAATACTTAACATATTTTTATATAAATCCTTTTTTGTCACCCTCACTGCTTCCTTGGATGAATTCTTGGCTGTTGAATTATTTGATTGAATATATGAACTTTAAAAAATTTGTTGTTTGCTAAATTAACCTTCAGAAAATTTCTAATAGTTTATATGACCATTAGCATTATATATGTCCATTAGTCTAGGCAGTTGCCAACACTGAATTGTATTTAAAAAATCTTTGTCAATAATATGACCATAAAACTTTTAGAGAAAAACATTGGCAAATATGTTTATTACCTTGTATTGTTTAAACAAGGCTAATAAAGGGCTGACCATAAAATAAATATTTTAAAAGTGCTGTATATTAAAATTAAAGACTTCTGTTCATTAGCAAAAGGGAAAAGGCAATCCAAAGAGTAGGAGACGATACTTATAATACACATATCTGACAATAGACCCATATCCAGAATATATAAAGAACTCTGACTAATCAGTAAGAAAAAGGCATACAACCTAAGAGGAAAATGGACAAAAGACTTGGATGGATGCTGTATAAATAAGTATACCCATGGCCAATAAACATAAGAAAAAGTGCTTATTTTCATTATCTTCAAGGAAATGCAAATAAAATCCAAACTGAAACAGCACTACAAACCCACTAGAATGGCTATTTAGAGCACTTGAAACTCTCATACATTTTTGTTGGTGGTGTAAGTTGAAACAAATATTTTGGTCAACTATTTGACAGTGTCTACAACCCTGAAAAAGTACACACCTATGACCGAGCAATATTATTTCTAGGTGTATGCTGGAGCACCAAAAGACATTGTGAAAAGAAAATAAAAAGTCAGGGCCCCAAATCACTATGCCAAAAGGAAAAAGTTAAGCTGAGAACTGAGTCATGCAAGAAACTGCCTTTCCTTTTGTTTCTAAGCAGATAGCTGCAGGTAAAAGTCTATCTATCTCCAGAGGTTGGTTCACTTTATCCTAGGTAAAGTGTGGATTTACTGAGTGCCAGATGAATACATAATTGACTATTCCCCTATCCGCTTCTTTTCTCTTCCAACATGTGAATTCAGTAATATGACCATACTGTCGCTCTTTCCCCTCCAGTCTGCTCTTCCCCTTTAAATATTGAAGCCCTCAAAATCACCTTTGGAGAAATGGACAGATCTCCCTCCCAAGCATGTTCTTAAACTTGGCAAACTAAAATTCTAAATTGATTAAGACCTGTCTCAGATATTTTTGGTTTACAAATTGGTGACCAACAGAAGGGATTCTGAGTGGAGGTGGCCATGATCTCTGATGAATCTTTTATCAGTGCTTGATACCAGTGAAGTGGTGTCATTGTCTGGGGTAAATACCCAAGGTTTGTTGTCTCACACCAAGGGAATTGAGGACATGGACACACACAGTAAGTGAGTTTGGGAGCAGTGGTTTAATAGGCAAAAGAAAGAGAAAGGAGAACAGCTCTCCTGCGAGAGAGAGGGGCACCCAAATGGGACTTCTGGCCCATGGTGGAGTGCACAGGGTTTTATAGACAGGCTTGAGGAAGTGGTGTCTGATTTATGTAGGGCCCAAAGATTGGTTGGACCATGTGTGACATTTACATAGCCTGCAGGGAAGCTGGCTGCCCCACCCTAATCTGATTATGCAAAAGGAGTCTTTGCTTGGCTGATACCATGTTGTCTGCTCCTGACTGCGCATGTGATTGAAAAGGAAAAGGGAAGATGGAACCACCATTTTGAACATGCCTAGTCCCAGGTAGCCTTTTTCTATTGGCACAGCTGCTGGCATTCACCAGTACAAGCTTCCAGCTTGCTTGTCTATGTCTGCAGCTTGATTTTACAGGCTGGACTTTGTTAGAAAAGTATGATTTGGGGGCTTCTTTTCATTAAAAGGAAAGCATTACTGAGGACTTCCTTACCCTCACTATCTGCCTAAATAATTTCTTCTTAGCTCCTATATCACCAGCTTGAGCTATCTCTGTTGTTCAAACCAACAAGACAATTTGCTGAGGCCTGGGAGTGCCCCTCTCCAGAGAATCCTTGATGTCCCAAAATTTGGTTGAGATCTAAGGCTTATTTTGCTGTGTAACTCCCTTTCTGGAGTTTTATTCACTTCCAACAAGGAAGGTGAGTTTTCCTGCTTCCCTGACGATTGAGAGCTGCTCCATCTGGAGCTTCAGCTCACTTTCAGCTTGCTTCCAACATGGAAGGCAAGTCTGAGTTTTTCCAGCTTCTGAGATAATAGAGAGCAGTTTTCTGCCTGGGCCCCATTCCTAGGTAAGTAGTTGAATTGGAGTTTTGTCTGGGAAATTATCTTTAATGACTAAAAGTTAAGATAAACAACCAGCTGATCTTAATTCCTCCTTACCATTAGGACGCTAAGTAATCATATACATTGTGTGATCATTTGTTTGTTTTGCTTAACTTTTTTCTTTAGTTTTATTTTCTTCTGTTTTTGTTGTTTTGTGGTTTCAGTCTTTTTCCCAACTCTACCTGACTTGGTCAAATTCGAAGGAAAGTTCCAAATTATGGGGAAGAAGGCCTCTGAATTGGCTAAATTTCCTGCAGCTAAAAAGTAAAAGGGGGGAAAACCTGGCAAGCAAAAGAAAAAAAAGATCCTGATTACCTGAGGGGCTTTATTTACACAACAAGACCCCCATTTGCTAGCCAAGCACAAACTGAAAGAGCAATGGCAGCCTCCCTATGCTATTGTTCATTAGCTAAGATTCTGCCATTTTTTTCACCATGACAGCATGGATTTTGATCCTAAATCAAGTCCTTTCTGATTTGATATTTGTGTTACTTTTGAAATATCAGCAGGTTGTCCCAGCTAAAATATGGTAATAAGAGATTTAAAAGGATTTTTTGTAAAGAGCTCAATGGTATGTGTATATATATATATAGAGAGAGAGAGAGAGAGAGAGGGAGAGAGAGAGAGTCTTTATGCTTTTTTTTTTCTTTCCTAGGATCTTGTGTTTTGATAAAAAGTTTCTTTTTCTACTCAGTTGACCGAATTCTGTTTTCTCAATGTACTTCTGCCTGTCTTTCCTTCCTCTTACCACCCTCTCCTGCATGAGGGAATCTAAGACAATTTCTAACAGCCTGGGATTGCTTAAAGAAAACAGAGAAGGTGCCAAACTCCTTTTTGGGAGAAACCTCTGTTTTTCATTATGGACCCCCAAGAGTGTAAACAGACAAGGTCCTCTCATATCTGAAACTGCTTGCTTTTTGTATTGTATTACTTGATTTTTTTTTTACTAAAATAGTTACTACAGGGGCCATTCTGTGTTTAAGATAAGAATGGGCACAGTTTAAAGGGAGAGAAATGTTTTTGTAACAAAGTGCACTGTAAAAGCATTACATGGCCTGGTCCCATGATATCTCTTTTTGGATTTACTGGTCAAGCAGTTTTATATTTATCTCTGCTGGAGATTATAAGGTGTCAAAATTTGGCATGAGGGTTATAAAGCTATAAATGCAGTCCAAAAGAGAATTATTTTTGTTTGTGTAATTTTTCATAAATAAGGCACTTAATATTGTTGGTTTAATAAAAACAGCTAAATCCTGAATTATCAGCCAACAAAAAGAACCATTTATTTAACCTTATATTCTTACTTAGTTGAACACTTGGAATTCACAGGCTATAAAAATGGTTAACAGGAAAGTAACTTTAAATGATGACTATCAGTTTTCATAAGTAATCTAGGTAAACTCTTAAAAAATAATTAAGTAAATGTAATGAAATAAATGCTTATATATAAATTCATCATATAATTTAGAATCTAAGGCTATATTAAATTAAAAATAGATATTCATTAAATGTCTGGATCACTTCCATTTTTTTTAATTATATTACAGGAAAACATTTTTCTAAAAAATGTGTTCTTATTAAAAGGAAATAATTTTTGTCTAATTCAAAGGTTATTTATGAAACAAGATAAAAAGCACCAGTAAATAAGAGAGATGTAAAGGAAGTTATAGAAATAAAGATGTATTTTTGGTAAGAAAGGTTTAAAAGAAAGTAATTTTATATGCGATAGAATCTTATATGGTAAGTTTTCCATCCTAAGATAAAATGACTGGTTATTTAAGAAACAAGGATGTTTAAGATAAAGCAGGAAATCCAAGCATATCATAAATGTTTTGCATAAATCATAATAAGCTTTGTAAAAAGAAAACTTATGAATAAAACTTTATGTGATCCAGTTGGCTATAATTAAAAGGAAATTATATAAATGTTTTGTGTAAATCATAATAAGCTTTGTAAAAAGAGAATTTATAAAAAAACTTTATGTGATAAAGTTGGCTATAATTAAAAGGAAATTATTTATAATAGTCTTCCCAGACATTGGTCTTTGATATTAAAAATACACTAATACACTAAAGAATTGGTTAGAACGACAAAATGTTCTTATGGTATTGATTTACTCTTAATAAAATTGCAAGAGATTTTGATTTTTCTTAACCTAGAAGTTTATCTTTTATTGCATCTTACTGTTTTCAGCTTTCTCTCCCCTTTGAGAAAGCCTGAGATAATAACTCACTCCAACTTTTTCATCAGCTCCTCTAAGGTTTTTTTTCCTCAGATTCTAACTGCTGTCGTGGCCTGATGCTAAAAATGTTTTATCTTAAAGGTCTAAAGGAAATGTTTTTCTTCCAATATGACATTCTGTTCTCTTGGCTTTCCTTAATATGTCTAGATTGTTTTATGAAATGGAAAACCTTCTCTTATGATCCAGGATACACCCTTCCTATGTCTAATTAATTCAAATACCCTTTTCATTAATTTTGACTTGCAGTTTATCTAAGTGGACTCCCCACAGGGAACAACAATCACACTGCAGAAGGTCTTTTTTTGTTGCCTTTTGGTAACTGGCCTAGCAAACAGATTTTATGTTTTATCAAAATAATTCCTATGTCATTGTTATTAAGTTTTGATTTACTTAGGAAAACAGATTAAATTTTTTTTAAGACTAAGATTATTACATTTGTGTAACTTTCTGTATTGCCTTTAATGTTTTTGCACCGTTAAGTTATAGGGCTTTGACTCCTGGGTCTAAAAAGGACACCAAGTCCTGCTAAATCTTCAACACTAACAGCAGTTAAAACCTCATTTTCAGACACAGGAGAGGATAACAAGCAAAAGAAACTGTGTTCATGAAACAGAGGGCCAGAAATTAAATCATTCAACCCCTCTCGGCCCAGGGACTATTGCAGAACAGATGGGTACATGAGATTGTGAGGGCTGACTTTGAGACAGAAAATTAGTTCAGAGTTTCTATAAATTAGACGTCAATATCAAAGGCACACTGATGCGAGACCAGCATGTGGGCCCCTGTGTCAGAATAACAAGATTTTCATGGAGCATTAAGCCATTCTTTAATAAAAAAGTTTAAAAAAGTTTTATGAAATTATATCTTATGGTCAAGATGATTAAAATTTAATAGATTCATTTATAAAATTTGAGAGACAAATTTAATTGGCTTCATGCTGTCTTTATTAGAGTTTATTATTTGAGAAATTAAGTCTCCCCCCTCAAAGAATAAAGGTTTTGCTTTTAAAAAATATTTGAGTTATCACTTTGGCTAAATGAATGACTTATTTTATAATGATCTATGATTCTATTTTGTGATATCAAATATTTGAAACTTTTGATATTTGACAAACTTTCCAAAATCAAATTCCCAGTCCTTTTGACCTCATTAATTGTGTTTTGGTATTAGGTCCTCTGAAGTCCAAAAGAGACATATTTAACTTATTTGGTATAATAAAATCAGACAGTAAACATTGTCAAATGTGAAATGATATTTAACCTTCTTTGGATTTTATTTATATAAATGTGTTATTAGTATGTATTCCAAAATTATACGAGAGTTCTATGATTCTGATATGTCTTAGTATATGTTATTAGTAGTTATTGTGATTATTATGTAGAATTGTTGTACGCCACAGAAATAACAAAATTTCCTTGTCAATCATGTCTTTAACCATGGCTCTTTTAAGAACTTTGTCATCCACAATTGTTGCTTTACTTTGATCTTTTTATATGGTGATATATAATCAGCTATAGAACTCTGAGGAGTACTCTTAAATATAGGTTTCTGATAACTTTAGAAATTGTGCCATTGGAAGAGAGATAATAACTTCCAGGACTCTCATGAAGAGGTGATGTATTAATGAGGATTGTTGATCCAATATCAAACAGAACAGGAGTTAGTTGCAAGGACAAAACTGACAGAAGACTGAAATAATCTTTTATGACCTTTTGTTTAAAACATTTGCTGATTCTTTTTGTTTTGCTTTTCAGGGTCAAGAAAACTTTCTGTTCTTTTTCTTTTTTTTGAGACAGAGTCACTCTGTCACCCAGGCTGGAGTGCAGTGGCATGATCTTGGTTCACTGCAACCTCTACCTCCTGGGTTCAAGCAATTCTGGTACCTCAGCCTCCCAAGTAGCTGGGACTACAGGCACCCACTACCATGCCTGGCTAATTTTTTGTATTTTTAGTAGAGATGAGATTTCACCATGTTGGCCAGGCTGGTCTTGAACTCCTGACTTCAGGTGATCTGCCTGCCTTGGCCTCTCAAAGTGCTGAGATTATAGGCATAAGCCACCACGCCTGGTCAACTTTCTGTTCTTTTAAGCTATTTACAGCTTTTAATAATTGAGTAAAGTGTACTCTAGAGAGAAAAATTTAAGACATAATTCCTTTCTCTCTACCTAATTTCTCCAAAATTTGGAAGCTATTTGTGAGTATTCTTAATGTGTGGCAATATGGTTATTTGCATAAGTTCAATAAGAACCTGTTTCCTTTTATAACAGGGCATAATTGGAGACACTAGTTATTTTACTAAGGCTTTGACTGGAATAACATTTTCAGATTTCCTTGAAAAAAATGAGTGTGACCTATAGAGCCGATAAAAGCCCCTTGGAAAAACTGGCCTCATACTTTGTCCTTTACAGGGTCCTGACCTGTGGTAAGTATAGAATGCCACTTTCTGACAGGCCCAGGGACCCCAAGTTTTCTTGGGACCTTGAAAGAGGGGAATTCACCCAATTCATAAAGGTATCTGCAGACACAGATAAATTCTTGGCTAGGTTTGAGGCTTTTAAAAGGTCTAATCTTAGATTCCTTATGGAAAAGATTCTAGCAAAGCCAATTTTTTTAAAGAGAGCCTATAATAGCAAATGATTATTCTCACTTATTATTTGATTATGCAAATAATCAAGCCGAGAATAATAGGACTAAAACTTGTTTTACAAATAAATTGGTCCTACTATTTTGTCTTGAATACAATTGAGGAACTGGAGAGAGAAAAATTATGTTTCAAAATAAACTATCGTACATCTGTTATTAGATTCTAGACTTGCCTAATGTTTTTCAATTTGTGTTATTTTCTACAATTTGGGCTGAATTCTAAAATTTTTCTTGGCTACAAGTCTCCAAAATAATGTTTTCAAATTTTTTCCTTCTTTTCCTTTTTTAATTCATTTTTCCTAATTTGAAATCACTAAAAATTAAGCTGTGCTTTTCTTAAAGCCCTGCAAACTGAAGCTAGACAACTGAAACTTTGGAAGAAATAACAGCAACCTATTTATATATAGAAACCACTTTCATACCTGCCTACCCATGTATGGACTTCAGAGTAATATGGCCTGTGTGGTTTTCCAGGAATGTTTTCACATTTTTTTTGTGTGTTGTTTTCATTCTCTCTTCCTCCCCTTATTTTTTCTTTGTGGGATGTGAGACTTCACAACCTGTTAAAAATGATTACTCCTAACAATGTGGGCTATATCTGTCTAGGATAAACCATCCTAGCCAAGTGAGATCAAACAAAACTCAAGACCGGAGACTAATTTCCTTCTAAAATGTTTTCTCCAAAGATGTTTTAAAAGATAAGGGGAGAGAAACAAGAAAGGAAAATAAAATCTCCAATTCACTATGCCAAAAGGAAAAAGTTAAGCTGAAAGCTGAGTCGTGCAAGAAATGGCCTTTCCTTTTGTTCCTAAGCCAATAGCTACAAATAAAAGGTTAAATACCTCCACAGGTAGCTACTCTATGTTCACCTTATCTTATGGAAAGTGCCGATTTACTGAGTATGAGATTAATACGTAATTGACTATTCCTCTATTTGCTCCTTTTGTCTTGCAACCTGTGGATTCAGTAATGCCACCATACCTTCCTTCTTTCCCCTCCAGCCTGCTCTTCCCCTTTAAATACTGAAGCCCTCAAAATTATCTTTGGAGAAAGACACAGACCTCCATCCCAGACATGTCCTTAACCTTGGCAAAATAAACTTCCAAATTGATTGAGACCCATCTCAGGTATTTTTTGGTTTACAACATGTACTAAATATTCAAAGGTAGACTCTTCATAATAGTCTCAAAGTGGAAACTATCCAATAATCATAAACAGTAAAATGAATAAATTTTATTATATCCACAATGGATTATTTAACACAGCAATGAGAATAAATGATCCTTGACTACACTCTATAACATAAGTGAATCTCACAAAAGTAATCTGGGTGAAAGAAGCTAGGAAAAAGAGTACGTAGTATATGATTCCATTTTTATGTAGGATTAAAAGGGGCAAAACATGCTGTTAGAAGTTAAGAGTAGTGGTTACCCTTGGTCAGGAGTGGAAAGCTGTGACTGGCAGGGAAAATGAGGGGACTTCTGGGATGTAGGTAAATTTTTTTTTTTTTAAACAGAAAACAGTTTATTGAGTAGCGAAGCCAGATTACAGTGGGTTATAGAATTTAGAGGGTGGTAGAGAATTATATATGTGCAAATATTGTGTTGTCATCTAAGGCAAATCCGATATTTATTGGTTAAATTTATAGACTTTTCTTTCTCCCTGAACTACTCAAATGTAGTTATTTACTCCACTTCAGTGCTCAGTTCTGTGCTCTTTTCTAGATACTCACTGAGTGAGCTCATACATTCTCATGGTTTTAACTGCTTATATGCGAATGATTTCCAAATTGACATTGTCAGTCTTTTTTCCTCAAACTTCAAATTCTTACAGTCCATTGCATAGCACACAGATGCAGGTAATGTTTTGTTTCTTGATCTGAGTACTATTAAGTAGTTATAAGGATAGCTTTAGCTTGTGAAAATCCATCTAGCTATATACTTTTGATATGTACTCTTTTCTGTATGTATAGTATATACTTCAATAAAAGGCTATTTTTAAATGTATGTGATAGACCACAAGTCATATGCTATCATTGCTTCCATTTGCATTTCTTTGATTTTTACAGAGATGGAACATTTTTTCATATGTTTATTGGCACTTTGCACTGTTTTCTTTTTCACATTATTTATTTATGTTTTTACTAATTTTTATATGAGGATATTTGCCTTTTTATCTTTGACATAAAAGCCAAGAATATTAACTTTTTGTCATTTATGTTGCAAATATCTTTTCATTTGTCATTTTCCTGGCATAGAAAAGTGCTTAATTTATTTTTATGTAATCAATTCTATCAATCATTTCCTTCATAATTTCTTAGTTTTCGCTTATGCTTAAGTAACTCAAATGTCCTCAGACCTCTTTAGTTTGTGAGTACAAACACAATCACCGTAACACTTCCAGTTTTTTTATTTGTAGCTCCCACCTACTGAATTGGAGGACCTCAGTCTCTACCTTGTTTTTGCACACTCCCATGTCCCCCAAGTTATTTTTGGGACTCCCTGTGCTCCGCAGCCTCCTTGTTGAGAAGGGTATTTGTATCTCTCAAACTTCTGAGGGTGCCACTTCACCAGGCATGACCTCTGCTGCGTACCTTACTCTGGTACTGCCTCCTGATGTTCTTAGGGACTCACACCCTGGAGTGAAGGTAGATGCTCTTCAGTCCTAACCATGCTGCAGCCCTATGTGGTCCAGAAATGGGGAGAACGTCACTTGCTCCCTAAACAGCGTGCTGTATGATCATTAAGTCGATATATATAAATAGAAAATTACCTCTGTCATCGTGGTTTTCAAACTCATTAGCATCAAAATGTGTATCATTTTATAAGTTTTTTGTGTAAAGTGTTTTACCCAACAAACAGCTGGCTTTGGTTTTTCCATGATGGCTTTAGTGACTCATGAGCAGGCTTGCTAGTTTATAAACATAACTTTGTAAGTGGCAGGAAGGTAGAAACTGCTTAGACTCTTCTAAGAAGCCTGTATTCTTGAACATTTATTTACTTCATCTCTGAAATTAAGCTTACAGTGTCTACAATGAGTAATTAATATATCCATTTGTGCAAAGTAGTGTTGATAAGAATAACAGGCATTTCTGAGCATTTATTTAATAAAATAACTTTATGCTTTAAAAAAGTCTATATTGCAATCAAAGCTTTTAAAGTATTAAGGAGGCTAAAAATGGCAAATTGAGTACAAGAATCTTAAGAAACTGTAGATGAAATGCTATATGTAGGTTTAAAATATTAGTAAAAATGCATTAGTATTTTTATCAACTACTCTAAGATCTGCCATTTTATGTTATGCCAGTTTTTATATTTTCATCCATATTTAATTGTATGTTTTTGTGTTCTCAAGTCTTTTCCCTGATAAAACCGGTCAGAAGTTTGTCTACCTTATTAGCATTTTTTAAATTGACTTAGCAGTTCTTTGATTGACTTAGTAATTATGTTTTCTTCATTCAATGCACTGATTTCTGTTTTTGTTTAATCTTAATTCCTTTCCCTTTCATATGTTATTTATTTGTGATTTTCATGACTACTTGTGTTAAATCTTAGCTTAATTCATTTTTATCCTGTTTTTGCTTAGTAAGGTATTTAAAGCTATAAATTTGTCTCTGAACATTGGAATCAGCCATTAATTTTTAAAGTAGTGTACTTATTGTAATTATTTTTCCCTTAAGTGAAAACATGTTCACTATAAAAATGTAAACACACACACACATATATGGAGGATAAAAGTGATATTCTAATCTCTTTTTGCATTCCTTCTCCGTAATACTTCTTTCCTTATCCAGAGATACTGTTATTGCTTTGTCTATCCTCCCAGATCCATTTTTATGCATTTATCAATGTATGTGTATGTGTTCATTTACATTTATATACATTACACATGTATATACACATATATAGCTTACATATTATAAGTATTGTTCACATTATACAGGTAATTCTATAAATTGATTTCTTTTAATATGTCATAGATATATATTAATTTCCAGTTGCCCTCTAATAATATTTTACCAGTTTACACTAGCTGTAAGAGGTTTGCTTTCCAATATGCTATCCAATACTGCAGGGAATTGGTCTTTTCTAATTTTGGCAAAATTGATAGGTAACAAGGTATATTATTATTTTTATATTAATGTACACTTCTTTGATTACCAGTGAGATTAACGTAATTTAATTTGCCTATTAGCCACTAATATATCTTCTATAAATTGCTTTCCATAGTCTTTGCTCAGTTTTCTTTTCTTTTTTTTTTGAGACAGAGTTTTGCTCTTATTCCCCAGGCTGGAGTGCAGTGGCAAAATCTCGGCTCACTGCAACCTCCGCCTTCCAGTTTCAAACTATTCTCCTGCCTCAGCCTCCCAAGCCACTGGGATTACAGGCGCCTGCCACCACGCCCAGCTAATTTTTTTGTATTTTTAGTAAAGACAGGGTTTCACCATGTTGGTCAGGCTGGTCTCAAACTGCTGACCTCGTGATCCACCCACCTTGGCCTCCCAAACTGCTGGGATTACAGGCGTGAGCCACCACGCCTGGCCTTTGCTCAATTTTCTGTTAGGTTGTTTATCTTTTTCTGTTTTGTTTGACTAGCTCTCATTATTTTCTGAGTGGTTGATAAATAACATTTGATATCCCACTTGACCCAAGAATTATTGAGGAGAGTGGTTCTATATTTCCAAGCAGTTGGGGATATTTTTTTGTTTGAAATGTTGCTATTTCTTTTCAATTTTATTGCACTGAGGTTAGAAATGTAACCTGTATAGTAACTACTTTTTGGAATTTATTGAGGTTTACTTCGTGGTCTAATGTATAATCAATTAAAAAATATTTCCATGGATATTGATAGAAGGTGTATTTTCTTTTGTGAATTATGTAGTACACATCTACCAAATCAATCATATTTCTTATAAATGCAGAACCTTTACATTATCAGATTTTTTTTTCCTAAATACAAGATAGGTCAGTTAGTCTCCTGCTGTTATTTGGTTTTGTAACTGTATCCTTATATATTTAAACAGTTTTTGCTTACAATACATTACATTAAATAGCACAACTATTTTAAATGCATTACATTCAAAAGTACAGCTTTTTAATGTAATGTTATTTAGCACAAATATTTTATAACTACTGTATCTTCATTTGAAGTTGCATATTTATTGTAAAATACCCTGTTTATCTTCTATTTTTCTACCTTCATTTGTTTTTTTTGTTTGTTTGTTTATTCTTTTCTTTTGAGATGGAGTCCCACTCTGTCACCTAGGCTGGAGTGCAATGGCACGATGTCTGCTCACTGCAACCTCTGCCTCCTGGGTTCAAGTGAGTCTCCTGCCTCAGCCTCCTGAGTAGTTGGGATTATAGACACCCACCACCACGCCCAGCTAATTTTTGTATTTTTAGTAGAGACGGGGTTTCGTCATGTTGGTCAGGCTGGTCTCGATCTCCTGACCTCAGGTGATCCACCCGCCTCGGCCTCCCAAAGTACTGGGATTACAGGCATGAGCCACTGCACCGGGCCTGTTCTTTTTTTTTAAACTTTGATAGCTTTAATCATTTTGTTTTAGGCTTATCTCTTTTAAATAGCGTATGTTTTGTTGTTGTTGTTGTTGTTTTCTGAGACGGAGTTTCACTCTTGTTGCCCGGGCTGGAGTGCAATGGCGCAATCTCGGCTCACTGCAACCTCTGTCTACCAGGTTCAAGCGAGTCTCCTGCCTCAGCCTCTCGGGTAGCTGGGACTACAGGCATGTGCCACCAAGCCCGGCTAATTTTGTATTTTTAGTGGAGATGGGGTTTCATCATGTTGGTCAGGCTGATCTCCCAGCCTGACCTCAGGTGATCCGCCCACCTTGGCCTCCCAAAGTGCTGGGATTACAGGTGTAAGCCACTGCGCCCGGCCAACAGTGTATGATTTTTGGCGTATATTATTTCAATATAAGAATCTTTGTTTTTGTTTAAATAATGACTATGTGAGGTAATTCATATGTTAATTAGCTCAATTTGGCCATTTGACAGTGTATGCATATTTCAAAACATGTTGTACACCATAAATATATACAATACTTACTGGCCAATTTTAGAAAGAATCTTTACTTTTAAAATATAGGTGCTTAACTCGTAAATATTTGTTGTTATGTCTGCTGGGTTTGCTCTTACCTTTGCTATTTTTTTCTTATGGTTCCTTTGTTTTATTTAATTTACTTTTCTTTTGTTACATAGACTTGTTTCTTTGCTTTTTCCTTTCCAGGAATTTGGAACACAGAATATTTTATAAATTCTTCTTATTTTTCACATTTCAATATTTCTAGAATTAAAATACATCTTATAATTTAGGATATGCCATAGTTTAATTTGCAACAGTTTTTCTTTCTTAACGGTACAGAAAAAAGATGTTTCTCAAAAATGGTGTCACCCTTAGGTTAGATGACATACAGTATGTCCCATTTTTATTTGTCTTTACCTTATTTTTTTCAAAGGATTTGGAAAACATATTTTTCTAATTGAGTCAAAAACAAAATGACATTTTATTTAATTAATTTTTCTAGCTTTCTTAAGGTATAATTGACAAATAAAAATTGTATACATTCAAAGTGTACAATATGATGTTTTTATATATGTATATATTGTGAAATGATTATGACTATCAAGCTAATTAATATATTCTTCACCTCATATGGTTACCTTTCTTTTTATGTGTGTGGTGAGAACATTTAAGATCTACTCTATTAGCAAATTTCAGGTATACAATATTATTAACTATAGTTACCACACTGTGCATTCATTCTCCACAATTTATTCATTTTAATGGCTTATTTCATTAACATAATGTCCTCCAGGTTCATCCATGTTGTCACAAATGATAGGATTTCCTTCTTTATAATAAGCAAATAATATTCCATTGTGTGTGTATATACATACATACATAGCACATTTTCTTTATTCATTCATATGTTGGCAAACATTTAGGTTGTTACCATATCTTGGCTATTGTGAATAATGCTGCAGTGAACACTTGAGTGCAGATATTTCTCCGAGATGCTGATTTTATATCCTTCGGACATACACCCAGAAGAGAGATTGCTGAATCATATGGTAGTTCTATTTTAAATTTTTTGAGAAAGTTCTACACTATTTTCCATTATGGCTGTACCAATTATATTCCCAACAATAGTGAGAACAAATTTCCCTTTTTCCGCCCCCGACCATCATTTCTTTTTTTATTTGACATTTTTATTATTGATTTTTATTTTTTATAATTACTTTTTAATTGACAATAATTGTGTATATTTATGGGATACAATGTGATATTTTAATCTATATGTATGTTATGGAAAGATTCAGTCAACCTAATTAATATATCCATCACCTCACTGATTTATCATCTTTTTGTGGTGAGAATGTTAAAAAATCTATGTTAGCAATTTTGAAATATACAATACATTAATTGTATTGTCATCATGCAGTGCACTAGATCACTAAAACCTTTTCCTTAAGTCTAACTGAAACTTTATACCCTTTTATCAACATCTTTCCTATCCCCATCCCTTCTCCTCCTCGCTAAGCCCCTAGTAATCACCTTTCTACACTGGACAGATCATCTAGACAGCAAATCAATAAGAAAATATTGGACTTGAACTATATGTTAGACTAGACACTTGTTACCTTTTAACTTTTTGGATAATTGCCACCCTAATGGGTATGAGATTATATCTCATTGTGGTTTTAATTTTCATTTCTCTGATGATTAGTGATATTGAGCATCTTGTCATATAATTCTTGGCCATTTTATGTCTTCTTTGAAAAAATGTTTACTCAGGTCCTTTGCCCATTTGTAATCAGGTTATTTGTTATTTTCACTATTGAGTTGTATGAGTTCCTTACATATTTTTAACTGACCCCTTATTGAATATATGGTTTGCAAATATTTTTCCCATTCCATGTGTTGCCTTTTAATTTTGTTGATTTTTTTTCTTTTGTTGTGCAGAAACATTTTAGTTTCGAGTAGTTCAATGTGATCCATATAAAAACTGTAATTACATTTTTCACAAAAATAGAAAAAAAATCTAAAATTTGTATGAAATCGCAAAAGACCCCAAGTAGCTAAACCAATTTTAAGCAAAAAGAACAAAGATGGAGGAATCACACTTCCTAAATTAAAATTATATTACAAAGCTAGAGTAATCAAAACAGCATGGTACTGGCATAAAAACGGACACAGAGAACAGTGGAACATAGAAAGCCCAGAAATAAACCCATGCACATACGGTCAACTAATGTTTCACAAAGGCACCAGGAATACACAGTGGAGAAAAGATAGTCTCTTCAATAAGTGGTTTTGGGCAAACTAGATATCCACATGTTAAAAAAAATGAAATTGTATCATCAAACCATACACAAAAATCAACTCAAAATGAGTGAAAGCCTTAAATGTAAGGCCTGAAATTGTAAAACTCCTAGAAGAAAACAGGGGAAATGCTCCAAGACATTAGTCTTGACAATAATTTTTTTGGACATGACATTGAAAGCACAGGCAGCAAAGGCAAAAACAAACAGGTGGGACTAAGATGACATTTTAAATGTTTCCCTCCATTTAAAAATAAGAAACTTTTCAAAAGGCATTTACCACCTTCTTCTTTGATCCAATTACTTCTTAGTCTGAAGTCTTTATACCTCAATGGTTGCTATGGAAGTATTATTTTATATTATATATTTTGTCTTTTAAGAATGACTTTTGACTATTGCATATAGTTTTGCAACCAAATTCATAAGAATCATTTACATTAGTTTTTGGTTTAATAGGTTTGATGTTTCCTAATAGTCCTTTTGTTATACAACTTGCCTATTCTTGTCATACTCATTTTCTTTACTTCTCAATTGGATAGAGTTTATTTTCAACCAAATTTTTCAGAAGTGCATATATAGTGAATATAGCTTTTGAACCTTTGCATATGTGAGCTGACTTTCTGTTGCCTATGCATCCATATATAACAACTATGCATCATATAAAATAAAGATCATATTCTTTTTCCTTCAAATATGTCTTCTAGTATTTTACATTGCAGAAAAGGATTCTAAACCCAGCTTCGTTTTTGTTCTTTTTTCTTTTGTAATTTGTTTTTCATGTCTGGGTGTTTGTACAATTTCCTTTCCCCTTACAATGAAAAACAGAATGACCAAGATTGATATTTCTAGAGATGTAGTGAGCTCTCTATACCTGTAAATGTAGGGAATTAACTTTCATTGGGTGCCTCTTTAACATCCACTTCTTTCTCTCCTCTTCTTAAAATGACTCCACATGTCCTAGCTATTTGATTTGAGTAGATTATTGATATGAGACCTTTCTTCTTTTTAAAGATAAACATTTAATATTCTAAATTTTCATCTAAGAATTGCTTTAGCTGTACCCTACAAGTTTGATGTGTTAATTCAAAATATTTCCTTATTTCCATTGTGACTTCCTATTTGACTCATATTTAAAAGCTTACGAAAACATCTTATAGATATAACACGTTATTTTAAAGAGATGAAACCTTATCTTAGATCACAAAGAATAGAACAAAAAAAATGCAAAAACTAGCTCTACTCTTTAACTCCACCCACACACAGTTTGGCTTTATGTTTTCTCAATTTTCATATTTTTAGTTTGCCTATCTCTTAACAGGTTTCTATAGATTTATCATTTGGGGCCCATATTAGAGTTATTTGTGGATTGCACATCACAATTACAGAGTTAGAGAATTATGCGTATGTCCATGTACCAAATTTTACTAGTGGTTAGTGGTTCTTATACCTTAAATTTTCTTTCCTTTTTTTTTTTTTTTTTTTTTTGCATGTTAGTGTTTTTTTCTTTCAAATTGAAGAACTCCCTTTAGCATTTTTTCTAAGATGGGTCTGGTGGCGATAAATTTTTTCAGTTTTTGTTTGTTTGGGAAATAATTTATCTTTCCTTAATATTTGCAGATTAGCTTTGCTGGATGCAGTATTATTGGATGTTCTTTTTTTTTTCTTTCAGGACTTTGAAAATGTCAACCTACTCCCTCCTGACCTGTATGGTTTCCATTGAGAATACCAAATGAATTGGAGCTCCTTTAGGTTATTTGCTAATTTTCTCTTGCTGCTTTTAGGATCTTCTCTTTATCGTTGTCCTTTGAGAGTTTGATTATATCTTTTGAGGTAGTCTTATTTGGATCATACCAAAAATCAGTAGCATTTCTATATGCCAACAGTGAATAATCTGAAAAAAAAATAAAAGGGTAATCCCATTTATAATAACCATGAATAAAACTAAATACCTTGGAAATAAACTTAACCAAAGAAGTGAAAGATCTTTCTATAATGAAATCTATAAAAAACTGATGAAAGAAATTGAGGAGGACACCAAACATGGAAAAATATTCCATGTTCATGGATTAGAAGATTCAATATTGTTAAAATGTTCGTACTACCCAAAGCAATCTACAGATTCAATGTAATCCCTATCAAAATACCAATGTCATTCTTCACAGAAATGGAAAAAACAATCCTAAAATTTATGTAGAACCACAAAAGAACCAGAATAGCTAAAGCTGTCCTAAGCAAAAGGAACAAAACTGGAGGTATCACATTACCTGACTTCAAATTATACTACAGAACTATAGTAACCTAAACAACATGGTACTGGCATAACAAACACATAGACCAATGGAACAGAATAGAGAACCCAGAAACAAACCAAGACATCTAGAGTGAACTCATTTTCAACGAATGTGCCAAGAACCTACACTGGGGAAATACAGTCTCGTCAATAAATGGTACTGGGAAACCTGAATATACATATGTGGAAGAATGTAACTAGACCCTTATCTCTTTCCATATACAAAAATCAAATCAAAATGAATTAAAGATTTAAATATAAGACCTCATACTATGAAACAACTGTAAGAAAACATTGGAGAAACTCTCTAGGACATTTGTCTGGGCAACAATTTATCGAGTAATATCACATAAGAACAGGCAACCAAAGCAAAAATGGACAAATGGAATCACATAAATTTAAAAAGCTTCTGTGCAGCAAAGGAAACAACAAAGTGAAAAGATAACCCACAGAATAGGAGAAAATATTTGCAAACTACTCATCTGACAAGGTATTAATAACCAGAATATTTAAGGAACTCAAACAACTCTATAAGAAAAAACTAATAATCCAGTTAAAAATGGGCAGAAGATTTGAACAGACATTTCTCAAAAGAAGATACACAAATGACAAACAGGCATATGAAACAGTGCTCAACATCATTGATCATCACAGAAATGCAAATCAAAACTGCAATGAGATGTCATCTCACCCCAGTTAAAATAGCTTATATCCAAAAGATAGGCAACAGCAAATGCTGGCAAGGACGTGGAAAAAAGGAAACCCTCATACACCGTTGGTAGGAATGTAAATTAGTACAACCACTGTGGAAAACAGTTTGGAGGTTTCTCGAAAAACTGTAAATTGAGCTACCATACAGTTTAGCAATCCCATTCCTAGTATATACCCAAAGAAAGGAAATCAGGATATTGAAGAGGTATCTGCACCTCCATGTTTATTGCAGCCCTATTCACAATAGCCAAGATTTGGAAGCAACCTAAGTGTTCATCAAGAGATGAATAAATAAAGAAAATATGATACTTACACAGAATGGAGTACTATTCAGCCATAAAAAGAATGAGATCCTGTAATTTGCGACAACATGGATGGGACTGGAGGTCACTATGCTAAGTGAATTGAGCCAGGCACAGAAAGACAAACATCACATGTTCTCACTTATTTGTGGGAGCTATAAATCAAAGCAATTGAACTAATGGAGACAGAGAGTAGAATGATGGTTACCAGAGGCTGGGAAGGATAGTGGGTGAGTTGGGGAGGTGGGGATGGTTAATAGGTAACAAAAAAATTAGTTCAAAAGAATGAATAAGATCTAGTATTTGGTATCACAACAGGGTAAATATAGTCAATAATAATTTAGCTGTACATTTTAAAATAACTAAAAGAGTATAATTGGATTGTTTGTAATACAAAGGATAAATATTGAGGGATGGATATCATATTTCCCGTGATATGATTATTACGCATTGCATGCCTGTATCAAAACAGCTCATGTACCCCTTAAATAAATATACCTACTATGTACCCAGAAACATTAAAAATAAGAGGTTTTTTAAAAAATAAAAATAAATAACAGTCACATTACCGGGGCCCAAATGAATGAAATTTTCAAAATAGTATTTTCAAATCAAAATGCAAATAGGCTAATTTCCTAGATCCAAGTGCATGCATTTTTTTCTTCCTCTTTATTATACATCTGCTTTTTCTTAAATTTTAGCTTTTAAAGGTTCATTTGACTGTCAGGCTCTATTTTATTACAGGCTCTTATAAATGGTTTCCTCACTGTTCTAAGAACAGGTTATTTCTCCTGCATTATTCTCTGTGGGAACAGTTTCCTGCAGTTTGCTGAGAATTGCTGTTTAGTTGATGACATTTTCACTTCTGCCTGGGTCTTGCTTCACAGTACCAAGCTGAAAATTACCTCTCAACTTAAAGTCATCGGTTTAAGAATTTGATATTTCCAGAAAAACCATTCCCAATACCCACTCTCTCCTTCCTCTTTTCACCCAGGTCCCCTTTCTGCATTTCTACTTTGTGGATTAGAGCCTGACAGTTACAACAGACTTTGGAGTTTAAACTTTGTATCACAATTTGGTGTTCTTTTGATTACATGTTTAAGGTTCTTCTGCCTTTCCATAAAGCTAGGATTTTACACTCCCTCTCGGGAATACCCTTTTATTTTAGTCTTTGTTAAATGAGATTATACCAAAGTTATGTGCTTAATATAGCTGTTCATCAATATAATATGAATGTCAGGTAAAATCCTAAATGTAAGAAAATATAGCTTCAGTAACTATATCAGTCAAAATCTAGTCAAGAAAAAGAAATTCCACCAAGTAGTTTAATTGAAGGCATTTAATAGTGGTGATTAAATGGCAAAAGTGTTAGAAGAGCCTGAAGAGCAAATTAAAGAAGCACCCCTAGGGCTGAAGGCACTATGAAAAAGATAATGTTAACAGAACACAGGAGCCAAGGCCACCTCGAGGGGACAGAATCATGACAGGAGCCTCCCAGCAAAAGCTGGGGCCATGGAGGGACACAATCACCAATTATTGCGAGGGATACCACCTAAAGAAGGATTGGGGGATAGGCGGGAGATTGAGCTGGCAAGCATGAATGAGCATGGGAGAAATACATTGGTTTCCCCCTCTTTTATCTCTAGTCTTTTACCAGGGCCTCCCACTAATTGAATCTAACCAGAAGCCTGGGCAGTATAATTTGCACCCTTCAAACCACCATGATACAGAGCAAAGCAAGGGAAAAATGGGGAGTGGATTGGAAAAACAAATACACAGTAATGGTAATCACTTTGTTGAGCCTACTCCAGCCATAGAGGTTATTAGCAAAGGTGAAGAAGTGGGTGTTTGACAGATAAGAGATGTCTTGGGTAGGAGAGCTGCATTCTTTGTAGAATCAAGTACTTACATGCTGTTCACTATGGATGGGACAGGAAACAGAATGAACAACCCTTGCACTTAGAAAGCTAATAGCCTAGCAGGAGAGTCAGGCCATTAAAATCTATAATAAACTTATATATATATACACAAAATAATGTATATTATATATTACTTATATTAGACTACTATATAGGTATAGTAATGTATAATATAAAATATTTATTATGTATTTATAATAGATAAGGCACTATGGGAACATATAGTTGGGAGACCTAATCTCCTGGGACAATCAGAAGGTTTCCTGGAGGAAATAATTAAGAATGAGTGGGAGATGGAAGCAGAAAATGAAAAGTACAAGAAAGGGAGGAGATGAATTCAGACCAAGGAACAGCATGCACATTGTGGCTTGAAGTGGGAAGAGAGGAAATGCTGAGACAGAACAATGGCTGTGGGGAGAAGCAGGGGATGTTGCTGGAATTGGAACTGGGGAGGAAGGCTAGATGATGTCACAAAGGGCTTTGTGGGCTGTGTTGGAGTTTAGACCTTATGCTAAAGGAGATAGGATGTTGCTGAAAGGTTTGAACTAGGGAAATAACAATCAGATTTATGGTTTAGAAAGGTCGTTCCAGACTGGTGGTTGGGAGAGCAGGTAGGACATTATCTAGGTGAAAGAGGATGCTACCCTGGACCAGTATAGTGAATGAGGGTGAAGAAAAGTTCTAGAGATACTTGGAAGGTTGAAACAGCAATGCTTTAATTGGTGATTGATTGGCTATATGGGTAGGGTTAATAGGAGAGAAGGATTACGTTTGGGTCCCGGATAGATAACAGTGCTGGCTGTTAAAATGAAGAACACAGTCAGTGAGGCAATCTGGATGGTTACGAATCAAGGGCTGGGCAAACATTTTCTGTAAAGGGTCAGATAGCAAATATTTTGAGCATGGTGGGCCAAAGAGCCTCTGTTGCAACTACTCAGCTCTGCCATTTTAGTGTGAAAACAGATGTAGACAATATGTAAACAAGTGGGTATGGCTGTGTCCAAATAAAACTTTTCAAAAACAGTTGGTGGGCCAGGCGCCATAGTTTGCCTACCCCTGGTTAAGAAGTGAGTTTCCTATTGTATTTTAAGTGAGTTTCCTGGTTAAGAAGTGAGTTTCCTTGCATTTAAGGGGATAGAAGACATCCAGGTAGAGATGTTGAGTAGACTCTAGGCATGGGAGGGAGTCCTCCTACTCCTCTCTTGGCCTCATCTTCCACCCTGTTAAAAAAAGTAGCTACAAAAGCTCAAAACCAAACTTCATTACAAAATGGTTATCTTCCTGTGGGATAGCTATTAGAAGTTTTTTTGGGGGTGGGGGGACAGGGGCAGGGAGGAGAAGAAGGTTGACTCTTAAGAAAACCCAGTACCTTATATTTTGACTTTTTTTTCCTGCCTTTTTGTTTCTCCTTCTATTCTTATACCAGATGCTTCATATGTACATCATTTAGTTATTGTGCTAATACTATTATTTTCTCTTGTTGGTAAGACAGCATTGTCTTCTGACATATATTATGTGTCCACAGTCTGCTGAACACTGACACAGTACCTGGAGATACACAGATGGATATGGTGGTACCCAAGAGTGCCCACACTCTAGTGTGGGAAAAACTACATTAAAAATTGTCCCATGATGTCATGTGAAGGAGGTAACAATGGAGGTTTGACCATAATTCTATGAAAAGACACAGGGAGAAGCTTGTAGTTATTCCTGCTGAGTGGCTGGGTGGGTGGGTAGAAGGTTTCTTAAACTATATGCCTTGCAAAATTAGTCAGATTAATCAACCAATTGTAATGTTGATGGAAGTGGGACGGGTAGGGTTGTGGGATTCTCACAGAAGAAACATCATGGATAAAGGTATGGAAATGTGAAGATGCAGGGTCTGTTCAGAGGAGAGTAAAACCGGGGTCTCCTAAAACCCTGGCACAACTGGAAAGACTTGGGATATTTCTTGGGTGAGAAGGTTTCTGGTATTGAATTTCCACTTTCTTTTTCATGAGTCAGACAGGCAGAGCATTTGGCTGGTAGGACAAGGGCTTTGTTAGTGGGGTTGGGGGGTCTGGGGTGCAGTAGAGTGCTTAGTTGGTCCAGGGGTTTGATGCCACGAAGCTTGCCCACATCCATCTGGGGAGCTGAATCATGGCTTACATTTCTGGTTGATCCACTGGAAGTAGAATATTGCTAAGGGACACTCAGAGGACTTTAAGCAGGGTCTCAGATCTCTGCGCTTTCTGGTGGAACCCAGTAATTCAGATAATGTGGCTTCTGAGAATTGTTCCCAAAATGGGAGAAAATAGCTTATGGTAAACACGAACAAATCAATGACTTCCATGCTGTGGTTATGGTTAAAAGATTTTTAATATTTTTTTGTTAGGAGGAACCATCATATGTAAAAAGGAGTTCATTGTATCTGCTCAAACCCATGTCACTGTCCTATAGTCTGAATTTTTGCTGTGAACACTAAAGAAAACATTTAGCAAATTGAAGTCAACCATGCAATGCAGCAAAAATTCTAATAATGCTTTGCATCTCTTCCCCAACTCAGAGGCACTGAGAGAAACAGAATGTGCCTCAAGATGGAGCCCTTGAACCACAAAGTTTAGAAGCAAATTCAGTGACTTTGTAAACTTGCCAGGCACAGGCAAAGTTGCAGCTGCTGGTCAAAGCTGGTGGCATTTCTCATGTAGAAATCAGAAGGTGTGGGAAAGCGGTATCCCCTATCCCCTAAAGCTTTCACGAGGGCCAGGCAAACCTGAGGGGCAGGCTGGTATGGCAGTTTTCAGACTTGGGCTCCAACAGCTCACAGGGTTATAAAGTTAAATCAACAGGATAAATAATTTTACTTGTATTAATAAATATACTTATTTCTCTAACAAAGTACATATTTCCCTCTTCTTAAGCCCATCTCAAATGGTAAAATCACTACTTGAAATTTTAATAATCCTCTGTGATCCCTAGTAGGTTCTTACTGGTATATAAGTACTTTCCTTAGACATGAGGGAATGACACACAAAGGAAGCATCAAGTAGGAGGCTACTGCAATACCCAAGTAAATGGGATGCTCCTCACAGCAGGGCAGTTTCCCTGCTGCCTAGAGAGGAAGGTGGCTCAATGCAGGAAGAAGAGCTAGGGCCTCAGCATCTGCCATGTCTAGGCTAGAGTCTGTCTCTGTCCTTTCCTAGCTATGTACTCTCAGGCTGGCTTCTCAACCTAATGATAACACTTCCAGATCTTAAGGATTGAAGATAATGCATTAAAGTGCCTGAGGCTTGTGCCTATGAATAAAGTGCCTACTACTGGTTACTGTTGGAGCAGCCATGTCTACATGTTCAAGCTGTGCACTGAACAAGACATCACATGTATGGAGGTGCCATTCACACTTTAGACATATGATGTATATCAATGCAGGTGAGCCCCAGAGCAACACCCTTTACATCGACCCACACTGGTCCATGCAGCCATGTGCTTATGGGGCAAGCATGTGGACAGGCATGAACTATTGCACATGTTTGCAAAGCTGTTACCTGCCCTGACTATACCTATTCTTTCGCCCCTCCCACCTGCAGACCCAAATAGAAATCTGATACAGTCACCCCTCCCACTTTGGCAGGGAAGGTTCAGTAAATAGGCTGTTATTACCAGGAGCCTGCATGACTCAAGCAAGCAGGTAAGCAGGGGTTCTTGGATAACAGCTCAGGCTGTGCAGCGTCTTTGCCTGGTTCCTCACAAGCCTTTCATGCTCTAGCCAATGGCTTAGGAATGATCCATGGAACTGCCTTTGGGGAGTTTTCAGCTGGATGGTAGCAATCTTCCCAGCATTAACCCCATCCCCACCCTTCCCACTCTTCTACAAGTGGACCATCGGCCACATAAAGGGCCATATGCCACACTTTTTCTGGCCCAGCTGTGTAAGCTTGTCCACCTTAGCTACTGCTAAGTGACATCAGGGTCTATCACATTATCGATAGCACAGACTTTTGTTTGCTGATATCCTATTAATTAATTACACTTAGTAGTGCTTTGTACAATTTTTAGATATTGTTATCCTTGTGTTCTTTCTACTTCTCATCTTCTTTCATTTTTTCCTTTTTTCCCCTAATAATCCTCTTTGCCTTTTTTCTTTCTTACTGAGGTTATGTCTTTCTTATAACTTTGTCCTTCCCCATCTTCTCTTCATTCCTCATGTCAGTTTTCTCTTCTCAGTCCATAGCTCTTCTCTTCTCCATGTTTCTTCTTCTTTCTTGTTCAATTCCTTCCCCTCTCTCTATGCTTTCCTTCCCACTCAGTTTTTTCTTTCATTCAGTTTTATTTCCTCCTCCACCCTCACAAGCACCTTCTCGATTTTTCCCTCCCTTATTCAATAGCTTAGTTTCTCCCAGGGATACTGGCGTTAAAGAGTTCTGGTAGATGGAAAGTCACAAAGGTGGGGGCGCTAGGTGCCCATTTGGTCCAAGCCAGGTCCTGCAAATGTCCATTTCACTTCAAATCCTTAAAACAAAGACTAATGGAATCCAGAGAAGTGGCCATCATGGATCTAGTCTATAGAAAATGTGTAAATTCCCTGTAGCACTGGAGCTGAGAATTTAGACCTAGCCCAGGTTCAAATCAAAGTTCATGGCTCTTTTCCGCTTGAAATTACAGAGAAGTCATAGAGTCTCTTTAGGACTAGCCTGATGGTCTTGACCTTTTTTGAATGTCAGGGTCTCCTTTGAGAGTGTGCTGAAACTTTTGAATCCTCTTCTCAGAAGAATGCACATGAGCTTAAGATTTTGCTTACAAAGTTAAGGAGTCCACAGACATCCTGAAGTCCATTCATGGGTTCTCCAGAAGCCCTTTGGCTGGAGGTTGGACCATATAAATTCAAACTCCAAAGGATGACTTGTCTGCTTGGGCCGGCAATTGGTGTGATAAATTGTAAGGTGGAGAACTGAGGCAAAATGTTGCGTTTCAATACTAGAGCTAAAGACTCTGGTAAGAGTTTTCTAGATTGAGGAGATAGATATTGGTCAGGTTTTGCCTGCTCTATGAATTTCCTGCTCAAAGTGAAGACAGGAGCCTTCACATTTCATAGTTTGTCCTTTTCTGGCCATTTGGAAACCTGACTGTTTTGACTGTACAAACTTACAGCTGGGGCCTGAGCAGTGAGCAGAATGGAATGTCTATCAGGACAGCCGTAGATTTCCACAGCTTCCTGCTTTCGTCAGCTTCAGCTTAACATCTATTATTGTGAAGAGTAGGGTAAGGAGGTCATTTTCTTTGTCCAAACTTTTTGATTCAAGGTGGTTTTTTCCATGTGAAAAATAAACGTGGGAGGAAATAATCCCATTTATCCATTTTGGGGAATAATTTATTTGAGAAGTCTGAACTCTGGGCCCATTTTATTGAATCAGTATGGCCCTGTGAAGTATATTATGGTTTAATTTTAGTCATGGTGCTTATGCTTTGTTTGTACCCTTGGTGCAAATTTAGTGTTTTCTAATTAATTTGTTTTCTTCTTCTCTCTGCTAATTAGGTCTTCCAAGTTTATAAGAAGAATCAGATTTCCAAGAGCAATTTACCCCTTTCTTCATTCTGTTAGGCATTATTTGGAATGGCTTTTCTTCGATGAATTCAATTAACAGGTATTATGAGCATTTCTGTGTAACATCCTGTTCCAAGGAAACAGGAGCTGAAGAGAACAACACACGACCCTTGCTGTACCCAGGGTGTGTGTGTGTGTGTGTGTGTGTGTGTGTGTGTGTATGTGTGTGATGCAGATGATGCATATGTGTCATGTGAGTCATGTGTGTGTATGGGGATGGGGAATTATTGAGAAGAGAAGAAAGCAAGGAGTAGGAGAGGCAAGGGCAGGTGGAAATTCACCAGGTTGAGAGACTAGTCCCTAGGCTGGCAGTTAAAAATCTGATGTACCCAGTCCAAAAGGGTTGGGTGAAAACAGAAGGTGCTGGGAGAGCTCAATTTTACAGCTGGAGACACCCAGAATGTTAGGTTGATGGCTGCATCAGTAACTCTCGACTCACTTGTTGGTGGCAGAGATTCCCATTTCTCTCTAGCTGACAGTGTGTCAGGACTGGGTGAAGGTATCCTGGGCTCACACTGTACAGTGCTGAGGAAGGCAGAAGATGACTGGCTAATGATGTTAAGAGACTTGGAGAACAGTGGAGTGGGAGGAGCAGGTATGAGGGAAAATTATAAGTTCCATAGAGCACATTTTCTTAAAATTTACAAGTGATGAATTATTCATGCTTCACCAAGAAGAATGCTGTATCTTAGGACTTTTCACAATTGTCTTCAGTTATTGTTATCAACACAATTACAGTTTTCTCCTTTTAACTGTCTACTAACATGGCATGTTGTCTAAGTGAATCAGGTATGTTTAATCATGATTGCAAACGCCAGTGTCATGTGAATCCTTCTGAGTATAGATAGCAGTGTGGGCTGGGCACGGTGGCTCATGCCTGTAATCCCAGCACTTTGGGAGGCCGAGGCGGGCGGATCACAAGGTCAGGAGATCGAGACCATCCTGGCCAACATGGTGAAACCCCGTCTCTACTAAAATAGAAAAAAATTAGCCAGGCGTGGTGGTGTGCACCTATAGTCCCAGTTACTTGGGAGGCTGAGGCAGGAGAATCGCTTGAACCCGGGAGGTGGAGATTGCAGTGAGCTGAGATCACGCCACTGCACTCCAGCCCAGCGACAGAGAGAAACTCCGTCTAAAAAAAAAATAAAAAATAAATTAAAAAAAGAAAAGAAAAAGCAGCATGGAGAAACCCTTCCTCAGCTAACAGTGGAACTTTAGGGTCTGAGACTTTTGGAGAAAGTTATTTCTAAAAGACTTTAGAGTAAACTATTGTTGAGAATCTTACTCACCTTCATAAATACCTCCTCCAATAGAACTTTTTCATGGAAGTGCAAGAACCTCTTTTATCCCTTTTAGACTTGCCATTTTTCAGATTTCAGTTTGGAAGAACAGTGGCAGGGTGGGGTGGAATCCCATGTCTACACCTGGGTAAGTAACCTGTATGTGTGTTGAAGAATCAATGTGGATATCTTCAATTTTGTTTGCATAAGAAATTCTATGTAGCAAATACTTCCCCAGCCTTCTGCCACTTAGCAGTCACTCCTGTAAAACAAAGATGCTATTAGGCCTGTGGTAAGGTATATAAGAAGAGTACCTACCCAAATATCTGTACAATGTTAAATACTCTCAAGAAAAATGGACATGTTTCCCATACTTTTTTTTCTTTGAGCAAATGGTTTTATTGGATCACAAAGATTTTACAATCTTATGTAAGGACAGGTGTGAGTTAGTATTACTTGCATATATTAGTTTGATCATCATGTTGGTTCCATAACTCTCTGGTATGTGGCTGCTGGTATGGACTGACCTTTGAATGATGACTAGCAGGACCTGGAGTGGGTACAGCTCTAGGTTCCAGGATATCTTGCTCAAATCCGTGCTCCACATCCATTGTCTGTGCTTGAAGTGGATCATTTGCTTATTGTCAGTATCAGGGCAACATTCTTTTGTGGGAACCAAAGACAATTGACAAGGAAGGAGAAATGGGAAAGCAGGACTCAAAATCGCTTAGATCTGCCTAAAGTGATCAGACATCCCAGTGTAAATATCTTTTCCAGGACCTTCCTCCCCTAGGAACATAGGGTCAGATTGCAGTGAAGGATTCTGGCTGAAATTCTACCAGGGTGTCTGAGCCTTCCTGCCTATTCTCTTCTTCAAATTCTACTACGTTTTCTCATATAAATGCGTCATTCTATCTACTGAATGGGAAGCATACCAAAAGACCAAGTGTCTCCACTTCTTCTGAATATCAAGACAATTCAAGTTAACTAGAAACAACAATGAAATAGAAAGCTCTCTTCCCCAGTCAGTTTCTCTCTGCTACTCTGCCCCAGGAAACAAGAAAACCTACCAGAGGCACCAGATGACAGCTCTCAGCAAGTCACTTTACCAGTCACTCAAGATTGGTGCTAACTTTCAAAATTTTTCCTCATGAGCAGTGTGCCATCCTTCCTTCCTCCCATTGACAGCAGTGTGTAGATCCTGGCAACAGCAGTTTTAACAACTGTTTTGTACTGGAAATGATAGGGTAATTTATTTTCGAAACTGGAGCACATTCTTTCCTCTTTAACCTAGACATTGGGAGAGATTTTGTTTTTACTTTTTATTTTGAGATAACTGTATATTCACATGCAGTTTTAAGAAATAATACAGATAAATTCCTTACACCCATCACCCAGTTTCCCTCAGTGGTAACATCTTGCATAACTATAGTAGAATATCACAGCCAGCGAATTGACATTTATACAATCCATTTAACCTTATTCATATTTCTCCAGTTTTACAGGCAGTCGTTGTGTGTGTGTATTTTGTTCTTTGCAATTTTATCATTATGTGTAGAATAGTGTGACCACCACCACAGTCAAGATACAGAAGAGTTCTGTAACAAGGATCCCTTGTACTGCTCTTTTATAACCACACTCACCTCCCTTCCATGCCCCATCTCCACCCCAACCCCAAACCTTGGCAACCAGTAATCTGTTCTCCATCTCTATAATTGAGTCATTTCAAAAATGTTATATAAATAAAATCATACAGGATGTAACCTTTTTGTTTACCTTATTTATTTATTTTAGCTCAGCATAATTTTCTTGAGATCCATTTAACTTGTTGCATGGTATTGATAGTTCGTTCTTTTTACACCATTCCATGGTATAGATACACCATATTTTGTTTATCCATTCATCAGTTGATGGACATTTGGGTTGTTTCGAGTTTGAGGCTATTATCAATAAAGGTGCTATGGCTATTTTATTACAAGTCTTTGTGTGGATATAAGTTTTCTTTTTTCTGGGTTAAATGCCCAAGAATGCAATAGCTAGGTTGCACAGTAAGCACATGTTTATTTTTTTAGAAGAAACTACCATACTGTTTTCCATTGGTTGTACCATTTTACATTCCCACTGGCAATGTATGAGTGCTCTAATTTCTTGGCATCATTGCCAGCATTTGGTGTTATCACTATTTTTTTTTTTATTTTAGACATTCTGATAAGTGCGTAGTGATATGATGCACAATCCTACTTCCAGTACCAATTGTTTAGTGGTTGCCCCATGGAGAGCAGGACCAACCCCCTACTCAAAATTGGTTCAGATGTTGATTGAGACTGATCTCTCTCTATCTCACACACACACACATTAAGAGGGTCTAAAAAGTTTTATTATTCACATAATTGGACTTTTGGGGGAGAGCAGGGCAGACACCCAAACCAGTCTGAAATGGCTTGAGTAAGGGAAAGGGCCAGTAACTTTGGATTTTATTATGGTCCAGGGATGGGGCTGGGATGAGGATTCCTGTGTGTGAGCAGAAATTTTTGTGGTTTGGCATTTCCTGGTGGTGCCAAGGGAAGGAGTGCTCAGGCTTTCTTATCAGCTCACCTAGATATCAAAGAAAAACGGAAGGGAGAGAGGTAGGGGCTGAAAGCTGTTAGTGGTCAAACATCAAAAATAGACACTTTATTACAAGTTGCTTTTGCACCTTTGCCAAAGATCAGTTAAGCATATTTGGGTAGTTCTATTCCTGGGTTCTCTATTTTGTTCCATTGATCCATGTGTCTATTCCTCTGCCAATACTATACTATCTTGACCACTATAGCCATGTAGTCAGTCTTAGCACATGGTAGAGTGGTTCTATCCACTTTATTTTCCCTTTAAAGGTTATTTTAATTATTCTAGGTTCTGTGTAGTTCCATGTCAATTTTTGAATACACTTCTTTATGTCTACAGAAATCCCTGCTGGGACTTTGATAAATATTGCATTAGTCTGTAAGTCAATTGAGGGAGAGTTTACATTTTTACTTTTTTGAGTCTTCTGGTCCATGAACACGGTATGGTGCTTCTTTTATTTAGTTTTCCTTTGACTGCTTTTATTAGCATTTTGTAATTTTCGGGACACAAATACTGTTCATGTTCTGTTAGATTTATATCTACATATTTAATTTTCTTTGGAGTAATTGTACATTGTATTCAATTTTTAATTTCAGTTTCCACATGTCTGTTGCTAGTATATAGAATTGAGATTAATTTTTGTGTGTTGATTTTGAATCCTGGGGCTTTGAAAAGTGCACTTACTATCTCTAAGCTTTTGTATTTTGTTGATTCTTTGGAATTTTCTACATAGAAAACATGTCATCTGCAAATAGGGACAGTTTTATTTTTTCCTTTTCAATCTGTGTGCATTTCATTTCTTTTTCCTGCCTTATTGGACAGAACTTGGACCTTCTAGCACTATGTTGAATAAGAGTGGTGAGAGTGGACGTCCTTGGCTGTTGCTAAGCTATAAACAGTGAAATATTCAAAAAGACTATAAATAAATCAAGATAAAAACCTAAAAAATGTTCAAGCAACCCACTGGAAGGCTAGAAAAGAGAAACGGAAGAATAAGATATATAAGAAAGAATTAAAAAAGAAATAATAAAATGTCAGTAAAAGCCCTAACATATCAATAGTTAACCTTACATGAAAATAGTCTAAATACCCCAATTAAAAACAGAGACTGGCAGAATGGATTTTAAAAAGCCATGATCCAGCTATATGCTCTCTACAAGAACCTCATTTTAAATACAATAGCATAGGTTGAAAGTAAAAGGATGGAAGAAGATGTACCATGCAAATATTAACAAAAATGACAAAAACAACAAAAGCAGGAGTGGCTATATTAATATCAGGTAAAGTAGATTTCAAAGAATGTAATTTTCATGTAGTAGTGTGTAAGATGTATGGGCAGGGTACAGAGTTCTCTCTATAACACATGGTTAAATGTGAAATATGACAACGCTATCCAGATGCAATGTAATGAACATTTCTGTTACAAGGACAGCCTGCAAGGATCTTGTTTGAAGAACAAAGTTCTCTTGGACTCCATTAGTTAGAGATTGCTAACTCCTGGCCTTGCGTGGTATATTTGACGCTTTTGCATCTGCTGGTCAGTTAGTGTACCAGTTACTTCTGCTGTGGCACATGCCATAGCCAGCAAGATGCATAAAGCTGCCAGGTTAATAGTTTAAAGAATCAGGAAATGTGAGAAACTTTGGGTTAGCTATAAGAGAGATGCACGTGACAAATGGAAGCTTAATAGTCCTACTGCAGAGCACAGAGAAAACCAAGTAAACACTCCTGCTGCATTTGTTTTATTATTTATGTTAAGGCATAAGTCTACAACTATCTACTTGTTTTGTTTGGTTATACCTCGGTGTTTTGCAAATGTACCCTCTCCATAGCAATGAATTTCAATAGCAATGGGTAAAAGAACACATGTTCTGTAAATAATTAAGTACTAAATTTCTATTTCTCAAAAGTAAAGATGGTGATTGTGTAAACTGAACAAAATGTTTGTTAACATTTACCATCCAACTGGAAGCCTTAGTAATATCACTGACCATGTGAAAACCAGAAGACTCAAACCTGCTTACAAAACAGGAGCATCTATTTCAAAAGTTAGCTGCAGAAGGTGATTTACATAGCATTCTGTGAAGCATGGCTTTTCAATTAGATCAAATGATGGGTCCTCCAAATTAATTCTATTCATTTTCAATTCCATGTTTTCCTGTGCATACACAAAGAGTGAAGTGATAGGTGGTAAAGGGTTGACTCCATTAGCAGAAAAAGATCTTTGCAAACAGTTAAATGATGCCAGTCTGATATTAGCGACATCAGATGCTTCAAACAGAAAATTGGTTAATTTCAGTAATGACTTAATTTTTTCATCCAATTTATGCAAAGTATGATTTTGGGAAGTTCATTTTGTTAGAGGTGAAACATATGGATTTAATGGTAATACTGATTTGTAAATTCAGTTAAAAATCTAATATTGAAGATAATTTTTTTGTGATAATCCAAATACAAATTGAGATGGAATATAATTATCTTAGTAAAAGCAATGTTCTTACTAAATTAAGAAACCTATAAGGCAAAACTGTATTTGGAATTGGTTGTGGGGCACATATAATTCATCATTTCATCTACACTGTGACAATCTATGAATTGAAATAGAAGCAATAGTTTTCAACATTTACAAATGTATATACATATATACATTTAGAATAATTGAATTGCAAAGTTTTATGATAAATGTGATGTGGAGCATAGAACAGAAAATTTTAGCATGGCAGTACGTGATCCTCTTTTTGTTTCCAGTCATCACTCAGATTTTTAAAATGTTTGAGCCTTTACAGAAGTACTTTGTTAATTAACTCAAGTGTTCTAGAGAGTATTGAATATTATTGTAAACAGGTCCTTTAAATTTAGGTTGCATTTTGTTTAAAATCATTTGGAAATCTTTAATTAAAGTACTCAAGGAATGAAGTACCAAAATTTTCAGCTTTTGAAGCTCTTAGCAAATTGTAATTATGGAAACAAAGCTTGTATATAAGAAGACATTGAAATGTATCATTTAACAGATTACATGATGAGAGCCCAAACTGTGTACAAGGTTTAATTTTGACATTTTATAACTGCACTTTGTGATATCTTAACTCGATGCATCTTATTTTTAACTAGAGAGTTTATAGTTTGTACTGGAATGGAATAAGCTTAAGAAGGCTTTGATTTTGTAGCATTTAAATATGGTGAACCATTCAGAAAAAACATAAACACAGGGAATTACTTTTAGAGACAGGGTCTTGCTATGTTGCCCAGGCTGGAGTGCAGTGGCTATTCACCGGTGCACAAGTAGCACACTACAACCTCGAACTCCTAACCTCTAATGATCCTCCAACTCCAGCTTCCCTAGTAGCTGAAACTACAGGCATGCACCACCATGCCCAGCTAATGAGTTTTATCATGTAAAAATATTTGTTGAAGGACCCAAAATGGAAGCAAAAAGACAGTACCCTTCAAAATGTTTATTCCAAAATATTTAAATAATTAGAATTGAGAATATTCTCTAATTAGCAGAATTTGCTTGAAATTGACCAGATACCTTAGCATCTGTAAAGAGAATATTTTTCTTTTTGTTCCCAAATTAAATCTTTTTTGGTATTTGTACACATTTACGGGGTACATGAAAATTTTTTACAAGTATATAATGTGTAGTGATCAAGTCAGGATATTTAGGGTATCCATTGCCTGAGCACAATACATTTTTTTTGAATATAGTCATCCTACTCTGCTATCAAACATGGAATGGAATTTATCTTTTCTATCTTATTGTAATGTTTGTGCCCACCTAAAAAGAATATTTTCTTTTTTTTTTTTTTTTTTTTTTTTGTTGCCCAGGCTGGAGTGCAGCGGCGTGATCTCGGCTCACTACAACCTCCACCTCCCGGGTTCAAGCGATTCTTCTGCTTCAGCCTTCTCCTGAGCAGCTGGGATTACAAGTGCGCACCATCATGCCTGGCTAATTTTTGTATTTTTAATAGAGACGGGGTTTCTCCATGTTGGCCAGGCTCGTCTCAAACTCCTGACCTCAGGTGATCTGCCCACCTCGGCCTCCCGAAGTGCTGGGATTACAGGTGTGAGCCACTGCACCCAGCCTAAAGAGAATATTTTCTCAATTAAAAATACTATAGTCTTCAGAAAAGAATCAATTAAAGTGATGAGAAATTTCAAATATATTAACTACAAACTGCAACTTTGAAAAATATTGCAGGCAATTTTATTAAGTTCTACAGAGAAATGTCAGTAACATGGTATTAGAAATAAATATAGCTGATAAACAGATTAAAGTTTATGAATATATACCAAGAATAATTATTCTGCTTATGTAATTTTAATTTTGGAAAACCATTTTGAAAAGTTTGTTACATGAAATGTTATTTTTAAAAGAATTTCATATTTGAAAATAGTTTGAATATATAATTTTTAAGTATTTTCAATGCAATTAGTCCAATTTTCTGATCAATAAATATCTTTTAAAAGTATGTAACTTTATTGTTTTCATTTCAAAATGTTTCAGTTTGGAAATTATACAATCATCCTACATAACCAGGCAACACAAATCACATAAAAATACGTATGCCCTCAGCGACACTGTGCTATCTTCTAACTAGGTTTCCTTCTGTGTGTACTTAAGTGTGTGTGATATCAAAAATTCACGTGAATGGCTTTATATTTGACTTGATGACCCAGAGTACTATTGAGCAAGAAATAGCATTGCCCTGGGTATGCTATTTGATCAGAATCTACCTTGTCTGTCATTCCTTCTTGCATACTTGCTTTCTGTTTTTCTGAACTTCTCTGACTATAAGGTTCTATCTGTTTTCTTTTCTTGCTTGTACTTTGTCAGAAAACTAATTTGCAGTCATTCATACTAGTATTTACTGAGTGAGGTGATTCTAACATCATGTAGAAACAGTTGAATCAAATCCTACCATACCATTGATTAACTGGGTAAACTTTGGTAAATCACTTAATGTCTCTAAATGCGATGTTCTTATTTGTGAGACATGGATGATAATATCTGCCATGTACATTGTTGCAAGTATTTTAAAAATGATATTTGTAAGCATTTAAAAATATTATATTTTAAAATATAATATAATTAATATAAATATATTATATTTTAAAATATAATATAAATATATTATAAATATATTTATATTTATAATATAATATATTTATATTATATTATATATAATTATATTATATTATATATATTATATATTATATATAATATAATATAATTATATTATATTATAATATATATATTTATATATATTAATATATAAATATAATATAAATATATTATATTTTAAAATATAATATAAATATATTATATTTTAAAATATAATATAATATAAATATATTATATTTTAAAATATAATATAATATAAATATATTATATTTTAAAATATATTTCAAAATATAATATAATATAAATATATTTTAAAATATAAGATAATATAAATATATTATATTTTAAAATATAATATTTTAAAATATAATATAATATAAATATATTATATTTTAATATATATTTCAAAATATAATAAAATATAAATATATTATATTTCAAAATATAATAAAATATAAATATATTATGTTTTAAAATATAATATTTCAAAATATAATATAAATATATTAAATTTTAAAATATAATATTTCTTAAAATATTATATTTTAGGAAAATATAATATTTTTATACATTAAAATCATACAACTAATTGGATGTGTGTTCACTTTAAATTAAAGTTGACTAAGCTCATCTGGGCTTTGAGGGTGACTGGCCAACTGACTTTATTTCTCTGGTCAATTTGTCCTCCAGTTCTTTTCAATAATTCATGCATTCTCAACTCTCTTCTCAGATCTCTGCTGTTCTTCACCTCCTTTATTTTAACAGATGACAGTTTGCACTTTGCAGAGAAAATAGAAGCCATCCCATCAACTTCCTGTCATATTTACAAGCTCACCGGCAACACATTAAATCCTCCCCCTTCTCACTTATTACCATGGTTGCGGGAAGGGTAGTTCTCTTTCAATGAAAGGACAATCTCTCCACTTCTTTCTGCATCAGCTCCCTTCTCACTTTCCCAGAAACTTAATATGATCCAAAGATATCTCTCTCCATGCTGGATATCTTCTCTTTGTCCCAAAGCAATTCTCTATCCTTCTCCACTGTGCTCCATACCCAGGAAGGGCTGATCTTAATAGACTATGTCAATGGTCCTTCTGGCCCTCTGCCTTTGAGTTGGATTAGACCAAGGGGAGGCCCTAACAAGATATTAAGGGGGATCTTATGGTCTTTCGTGTTTTGGCTGACTTTCTCAACTGAAGTTGACATCACCTATTAGGCAGCCCTTTCCTATAGCTAGTCTCTGTAATTAATGATAACTGTTCCCCCCTTACCCCCTAGAGCCTAATGGTAGTAATGTTTCTCTTGTTGTTGCTAAGCATGGGCTGCATCAACATCCTTTGTTGATTTTCCTATCCCTTGCCGACAACTTTGTAAATATTCTGTTTATTAAACTCTTCTCATTTACCTAATTTAAGTGTGCCATATGTTTCATGACACCATCTTGAACACAGTTCAAGATGTGTCACCATCTTGAAAACACTTGTCCCTCAGTATCTATGGGAGAATGCTAAAATTCATGGAGGCTCAAGTCCCTTATATAAAATGATATACTATTTGCATATAATCTATGCACATCCTCCAGTATACCCCAAATCATCTCTAGATTATATATTATACCTAATACAATATAAATTCTATATAATAATTGTTATACTGTATTGTTTAGAGAGTAATGACAAGAAGAAAAGATTGTACATGTTCATTACAGATGCAACCATCCTTTTTTTTCAAGTATTTTCTGACCCACAGTTGGCTAAATCCATGGATGTGGAAACCATGGATATGGAGGGCCGATTGTACAGTCCTTTATGTTCAAATTCATTCCTGAATACTTCCTATCCACATTTAAAACTATTCCAGTGAAACTTCTCTTGTTAAAGTTGCCAGTAACCATCATATTCCTAAAAACTATGGACAATTTGAAATCCTCATCTTGGTCTCTGTCACAATTTTGGCTGGTTCACATCTACACCCCTTTCTACATCTGGGGAGCCCACCTTTGAGAAGCTTCTGAGAGAGGTAGATATCTGCTCCAGCATAGATGCACAGACATAGAAAACAATAGATTTTCAAACTCTATGTGGCAGATACCATACAGGCCCAAGACTCAAGTGTTCCTAACTGGGACTTCACCTCTGAAGTCAGTAACAAGTGGAAGCCATGACAGCTTAGACAGGGTTTCACAAACTGTCTGTGCTGAAGGACTAGGATTAAAAAATTTCCAATCTTCTGAAGACATATACTTTTATAATAGGCAATAAAAAACAAATCATTAGAAAAATAACACATTAAAATGTCCTAAAACTAAAAACCCCAATTTTATACAATTGGGTTCTCAAGAGAGAAAATTACTCTGTCAAAGTACTATAAAATTTCTAAATGTTTATTTTCAATTTCTGTGCTGGTTACATAGTAACATTTCAGATACCACCTGTGAGTGGCAGTTGTTTATACTTCATTCTTGGAGGAAGATAGTGGTAGGAATATGATGCTCAGCAGCAGAGCAGTAGGAGAGGCATATTAACCAGATCTTTCCTGCCATTCACTTGGCACTTTCTGGCTGCTGAATCCCTCACCCCACTTGATTTTGTTCACTCTTCAAACTGGGCTCTCCAGCCTTTTTTTGTGGATTCTGTGAACTACTCAATATCTTTCCAATAAAAATATCTTTACTACTATGCACATTTTAACAATATTAATTCTTCCAATCTATGAGCAAGATATCTTTCCATTTTGTGTGTGTCTTCTTCAGTTCCTTCCATCAATGTTTTACAGTTTTCATTGTAGAGATCTTTCACTTCCTTGGTTAAATTTATTTCTAGATATTTTATTTTTTGTAACTATTATAAATGGAATTACTTTCTTGATATCATTTTTAGATACTTTGTTATTGGTGTATAAAAATGCTACTGAATTTTATACTTTGACTTTGCATCCTTTAACTTTACTGAACTCAGTTATTAGTTCTAACAGTTTTTTGGTGGTTTTCTATATACAAAATCAAGTCATTTGCAATCAGGAACAATTTGACTTCTTTCTTTCCTATTTGGATGGAGCACTAAATATGGAAAGGAAAGATCATTACCAGCCACTAAAAAAACACACTGAAGTACCCAGACCAGTGACACTATAAATCAACCACACAAACAAGTCTGCATAATAACCAGCAAACATCATGATGACAGGGTCAAATCCACACATATCAATAATACTAACCTTGAATGTAAATGGGCTAAATGCCCCAATAAAAAGGCAGAGTGGAAAGCTGGATAAAGAACCAATACCCACTGGTATGCTGCCTTCAAGACACCCATCTCACATACAATGACACCCATGGGCTCCAAATAAAGGGATGGAGAATAATCTACCAAGCAAGTGGAAAACAGAAGCAGGGGTTGCAATCCTAATTTCAGACAAAAAAAGACTTTAAATCAACAAAGATTTTAAAAAAAGACAAAGAAAGTTATTACATAAAGGTAAAGGGTTCAATGCAACATGGAGATATAACTATCATAAATATATATGCACTCAACACAGGGGCACCCAGATACATAAAGCAAGTTCTCAAAGACCTTCAAAGAGACTTAGACTCCTACACAATAATAGTGGGAGTCTTCAACACCCCACTGAAAGACAGATCATTGAGGCAGAAAATTAACAAAGGTATTCAGGACCTGAACTCAGCACTGGATCAAATGGACCTGATACACATCTACAGAACCCTCCACCCCGAAACAACAGAATATACATTCTGCTCAATCCACATGGCATGTAACTCTAAAATTGACCACACAATTGGGCATAAAACAACCCTTAGCACATGCAGAAGAACTGAAATCATACCAACCACTTGGACCACGACACAATAAAATTAGAAATTAAATATAAAGAATTGCTCAAAACCAGACAATTGCATGGAAATTGAATAACCTGCTCCTGAATGACTTTGGGGTAAATAATGAAATCAAGGTGGAAATCAAGAAGTCATTTGAAACTAATGAAAACTAAGATACAACATACCAGAATCTCTGGGACACAGCCAAGTCAGTGTTAAGAGGGAAATTTATAGCACTAAAGGCTCACATCAAAAACCATGAGACATAAAAAATAAATAAAAATAAATAAATTCCTGAATACATATACCCTCCCAAGATTGAATCAGGAAGAAATTGAATCCCTGAACAGACCAATAACAAGCTGCAAAATTGAATCAGTAATAAATAGCCTATCAAAGCCCAGGGCCAGACAATTCAGCCCAGGACAGCTGAATTTTACCAGAGGTACAAAGAAGAGTTGGTACCATTTCTACTGAAACTATTCCAAAAGACTGAGAAGGAGGGACTCCTTTCTAATTCATTCTTTGAGGCCAGGATCATTTGACTACAAAAATCTGGCAGAGACACAATGGAAAAAGAAAACATCAGGCCAATTTCCTTGATGAACATCAATGCAAAAATCCTCAACAAAATACTGGCAAACTGAATTCAGCAGCACATCAAAAAGCTTATCCACCATGAACAATTAGGCTTTATCCTTGGGATGCAAGGTTAGTTTAATGTACACAAATCAATAAATGTAATTCATCACATAAACACAATTAAAGACAAAAACCACATGATTATCTCAATAGATACAGAAAATGCTTTTGAAAAAGTTCAACGCCCCCTCATGTGAAAAACTCTCAATAAACAAGGTATTGAAGAAACATACCTCAACATAATAAGAGCCCACATATGACAAACCCACAGCCAACATCATACTGAATGGGCGAAGGCTGGAAGCATTCCTTTTGGAAACCTGCACAAGACAAGGATGCCCTCTCTCACCACCTCTATTCAACACAGTATTGGAAGTCCTGGCCAGAGCAATCAGCCAAGAGAAAGAAATAAAGGGCATCCAAATAGGAAGAGAGGAAGTCAAACTATCCCTGTTTCCAGACAACATGATCCTGTATCTAAGAAATCCCATTGTTTTGGCTCCAAAGTTCCTTAAACTGATAACTTCAGCAAAGTCTTAGGATACAAAATCAATGTGCAAAAATCACTAGCATTTCTATACACCAACAGCAGTCAAGCTGAGAGCCAAATCAGGAATGAAATCTCATTCACAAAATTCTCAATTGCCGAAAACAGAATAAAATGCCTAAGAATACAGCTAACCAGGGAAGCGAAAGATCTCTACAAGGAGAACAATAAAATACTGCTGAAATAAATCAGAGATGACACAAACAAATGAAAAAACATTCCATGCTCATGGATAGGAAACATCAACATTGGGCTGGGCATAGTGGCTCATGCCTGTAATCCCAGCACTTTGGGAGGCCAAGGTGGGTGGATCACCTGAGGTCGGGAGTTCGATACCAGCCTGGCCAACATGGTGAAACCCCGTCACTACTAAAAATACAAAAATTAGCCGGGCATGGTAGCACACGTCTGTAATCTCAGCTACTTGGGAGGCTGAGGCACGAGAATTGCTTGAACCTGGGAGGCGGAGGTTGCAGTGAGCTGAGATTGCGCCATTGAACTCCAACCTGGGAGAGAGTGAGACTCCATCTCAAAACAAAACAAACAAACAACAACAAAAAAACACACAAAAATCAATGTTGTTAAAATGGCCATACTGCCCAAAGCAATTTATAGATTCAATGCTATTTCTATCAAACTACCAATAACATTCTTCACTGAACTAGAAAAAATATATGGAATGACAACAAAAAAGAGCCCAAATAGCCAAGGCAATCCTAAGCAAAAGAAAAAAAAAACACAAAGCTGGAGGTGTTACGCTACCCAACATCAAATACCACAGGGTTACAGTAACTGAAAGAGTATGGTACTGGTACAAAAACAGACAGAGCAGTGAAACAGAATAGAGAGCCCAGAAATAAGGCTGCGCAACATCTACAACCATCTGACCTTTGACAAAGTGGACAAAAACAAGTAATGGGGAAAGGATTCCCTATTCAATAAATGGTGCTGGTGTAAGTGCCTAGCCATATGCAAAAGATTGAAACTGGACCCCTTCCTTACACCATATGCAAAAATCAACTCAAGATGGATTAACAACTTACACGTAACACCCAAAAGTATAAAAACCCCAGAAGACAACCTAGGCAATACCATTGTGGACATAGGAACAGGCAAAGATTTCATGACAAAGATGCCAAAAGCAATTGCAACAAAAGGAAAAATTGAGAAATAGGATCTAATTAAACTTAAGAGCTTCTGCACAGCAAAAGAAACAATTAACAGAGTAAACAGACAACCTACAGAATGGGAGAAAATTTTTGCAAGCTATGCATCTGACAAAGGTCTGATATCCAGCATCTATAAGGAACTTAAATTTACAAGAAGAAAACAAACAACCCCATTAAAAAGTGGGCAAAGGAGATGAACAGACAATTTTGAAAAGACATACATGTGGCCAAAACAAGCATATGGAAAAAAGCTCAACATTACTGATCATTAGAGAAATGCAAATCAAGACCACAATGAGACAGCATCTCACACCAGTCAGAATGGCTATTATTAAATAGTCAAAAAATAACAGATGCTGGCAAGATCTTGGAGAAAAGGGAGTGCTTAAACACTGTTGGTGGAAGTGTAAATTAGTTCAACCATTGTGGAAAACAGTGTAGTGATTCCTTGAAGGCCTAAAAACAGAACTACCATTCAACTCAGCAATCCCATTACTGGGTATGCACCCAAAGGCATACAAATTGCTCTCTCATAAAGACACAGGCTCACATGTTTATTGCAGCACTATTCACAATAGCAGAGACATGGAATCAACCTAAACACCCATCCATGGTAGACTGAGTAAAGAAAATGTGGCACATATGCACCATGGAATACTATGCAGCCATAAAGAATGAGATCATGTTCTTCACACGAACATGAATGGAGCTGGAGACCACTATCCTCAGCAAACTAACACAGAAACAGAAAATCAAATATTGCATGCTCTTGCTTATAAGTGGGAGCTGAATGATGAAAACACATAGAAACCTAGAGAGGAACAATAGACATTGGAACCTATCAGAAAGTGGAGGATGGGAAGAGGGAGAGGATCAGGAAAAATCCTCATATGCTTAATACTTAGGTGATGAAATAATCTGTACAACAAACTTCCATGGTAGAAGTTTACCTATATAACAAACGTGCACCTATAACCTTGAACTTAAAATAAAATTTTAAAAAATACAACTATCATATAATCTAGTAATCCCACTGCTGTGTATATATACAAAGGAAATGAAATCAATATGTCAAAAAATATCTTCGCTCCTATGTTTATTGTAGCAGTATTGTCAGTAGCCAAGATGTAGAATCAAACTAAATGTCCATCAGTAAATAAATGGATAAAGAAAATGTGGTATATGTATAGAATGGAATACTAATCAGCCATAGAAAATGATAAAATAATCTCACTCATATATGGAGCCAGAAAGTTGTTCTCATAGAAATAGAGAATAGAATAGTAGTTACAAGAAAATGGAGAGGGTGGGGAAAATAAGGGGAGGGTGTGAGGCTGGTCAATGGGGAGGAATAAGTTCTGGTGTTCTATTGTAGAGCAGGATGGTTAGAGTTAACAAAAATGTATATTTCAAAATAGCTAGAAGGAAGTTTTTGAATGTTCTTATTACAAAGAAGTGATAAATGCTTTAGGTGATGGATATGTTAATTACCCTGATTTGATCATTACACAGTGTATACATATGTCAAAACATAACATTGCACCCCATAAATATGTATAATTTTTTAAAAGTTTAAAATGTTTCTACTAAGATTACTCACAACTGTTGTTGATAATCTGTGGCCAAGAGCCCTGACAAGCCCAAATACTTATCTGCAAGATTTCCAATAGGATTATGTGAGCTAATGGGAATAAAGTACTTATATAAAGCCTAGATCTCAATAGTAGCTCATTAAGTAATGTGGTGGGCAGACCTCATGGTGACCCCCAATGATTTCCACCTCCTGGGATTCATGCCTTTTTGTAGTCACCTTTTTTTGAGTGCCAACAGAACCTATTACTTGCTTCTAATCTATAGATTATGGCAAAGATGGTGGAATGTCACTCCCATGAGTACATTATGTTATGTAGGATTTTCCTTGCTGGTTTGATAACGTAAATGGTCATACGAGAAGTACAGGTAGCCAGGAATTTGGAGAGGGGTGTGCCTCTAGGACCCAAGGGCAGCCTCTAGCCAGTAGTCATTAAAAAGCAGAGGCCCTCAATCCTATAGCCAGAAGGAAATAAATTCTGCCCAAAATCTGAGGGACTTTGGAAGTGGATTTTTCTCCAGTGGAGCCTCTGATGAGAACTCATACCTGGCCAAGACCTTTATGCAGCCAGTGAGAGACATGAAGCAGTGTGCTCAGCTAAACTGTGCCTAGACTTTTTATCTATGAAAACTTGAGGTAAAGAATGTGTGTTCTTTAAGCTGTTAAGTTTGTGGTAATTTGTTATGCAGCAATAGAGAACTAATACTGGTTGCAACAATTTTTATTACAATTTCTTAAAGAAATAATTGTGAATATTAGCCCTAGTAACTATAGGGTACTTGACTAAAAATAAATACCACCTTCCCAGCCACCCAGTACAAAATCTTGAAAAAAAGTCAGAGTATGGATACCTTTCAAAGACATAGTGAAAACATCAACCCAATGATGAAATTTATCTGGAGTCTCCACTTAAAATTTTTTAAAAAATACATGGAACTTGATGGTTGGGTGCAGTGGCTCACACCTGTAATCCCAGCATTTTGGGAGACTGAGGCAAGAAAATCGCTTGAGGCCAGGAGTTCGAGACCAGCCTTACCAACATACTGAGACTCCCCCCCCATCTCTAAACATATTTAAAAAGTAAAAAAATTTAAAATGAAAAAGAAATGGAACTTGGTATAAGTGCCCAAGAAGGTTGTTTTGATGTCTACTGAAGCTGAACATATGCCTACCCTATGATCTTACAATTCCATTCTTGGTTATACATTCTGAAAAAAATGACTGCTTACTTCTATCAAAAGGCACGTAAAAGAATATTTACAACAGCACTATTATTAATAACTTTAAACTGGAAACTGCTTAAATGGCTATCAACAGCAGAATAAATTGTGGTATATTTTCACAATGGAATACTAGACAGCAGCAAAAATGAATGACCTTCAACTGAACACAGCAATAAATGGATAAACAAATAAGTGGATTTTACAAGGATAATACTGAGCTGAAAAAGCCAAATACTAAACACATTGTATAGCTCCATTTACATAAAGTTAAATGAAGAGAGAATGGTTACCCCTAGAGGAGTAGCATCTGGAAGAGGCACAAGAGTGGGTTCTGGGATGTTGGTGATGCTGTACTTTTTGATCTGGGAGTTGGTTCCATGTGAAGCAGGAAAATAGGTTTTGGAGACAGGGAACCTAAGGCCAATTCACACTTCAGCTATGACATGAAATATCCTCTATATAGGGTGTACATTGAGTAAATGACTTTGTAACTTTACTTAATGCTCTCTATTTACATAGGGTGTACACCAAGTAAACAATGGAATTCTCTAGAGGGTATTTAAACTCCCCAAAATTCTGTAATGGGGCCCTTGAGCCCCTATGCTTGGGCCCACTCCCACACTGTGGAGTGTACTTTCATTTTCAATAAATCCCTTCATTCCTTCCTTGCTTTGTTTGTGCATTTTGTCCAATTCTTTGTTCAAGATGCCAAGAACCTGGACACCCTCCATCAGTAACATATTTTGGAGAGCCAGCCAGGAGAAATTCTAGGAGAAGATAGGCCCAAAGCTTGGGATTTATTTTTCATCTTTCTCCTTTTCCTTTCTGCTCCATACAGGGGACTCTCTCTCTCTTTTCCTTTTCAACTCGGGATCCTTGGTGGGCAGCGCCTAAACACAGAAGCAACTGCAGATTTTTGCCAGTAACACATGGATGTACGAAGTATTTTTAAAAATCCATCAAACTGTATTCTTATATCTGTACATTTCTGTGTGCATGCTATATCTCAGTAGAGACTTAAAAATGAATGTCAAGGTTGAATTCCACTCTGAAATGTATGCAGATTTGTTTAAGTATGCAGAGAATATGTTTCTCCTCAAATCTTCAAGTAAAACAGATTCTCAAGGGAGATGTGTCACCTTATTCTGTGGTTTTGCATCAGCTGTGGCTTACTTCCAGGGCTCCACATATTCTGGCTGGGAAGCAAAACCTTGATCCTAAGGGATAAAGCTTTAATGTTGGAATTAGGAATGCTACAGACTGCGCCAGAGATGTCAAGACTCATTTCTGGTCTTCACTCTTAAACCGTATTACAGAGTTGACTGATGACCATCTCCACTCTCCTGGGATCAGATTTGCCTGTTTATTGCACACATGCTGGTCTCTGATAGATGTAATTGGTCTGACTTATTGATATCAACTCTCTTCCAGTTTAAGCCATGCTAGTCCTTCATGCAATGAAGAGCTGTGACAGAATCATGATCACTTTTGGATACAAACGCCAAGAAAGTGGTGTGGGAAGGTTTTAGTAGCCCAGTCCAAAGGGGTCAAGCCACCTGATTTATCCATTAGCTCTTTGCTTCTTAAACATCTGCTCTATTCTAGGTGCTCCACACCTGTTTGTGTGTGTGTGTGTGTGTGTGTGTGTGTGTGTGCGCGCGTGTGTGTATCATTGTTGAGCTGCAAAGAAGTAAAAATATTTCTGGGCCAGAAGAAAAGTTATTGAATTAAAGAAAGCATCAAAGTTTAGTAATGGCAATTGAAGTCATTTCTTTATGTCTTGAATTGAATGAAGTGGAGTATTTGGTGGGCATTTGCTTGTATTTCTATAAATGCAAATATATTTAAGTAACCTTTTCTACTCCCTACACTGGTGTGTAAAATGTTGGAGGGTAGAATTCTCTTCTTAATCATCTGCGAATTTTAAGAGCTAAGCAAGAATGAGATACATAGTTGGCTAAAGGCAATTTCAGAATTTTTGCATAGAAGGGAGGTTTAGTTGCAGCTGAAGTGGGGTGAGAGGAGGTTAGGAAACTTGCCTTGAATTTGTGTTTGCTTAGTAACAGATTTTACTTAAGCTTTATGTTAATTTGGGATGATTTTGGTGGGTACTGATAGAAATGATAGGGCAGATCCCATCACCTGGCCAAAACTACCCCTTAGTGGAGCCAGTAAAATAAGCAAATAATTGAGATGGTCTCTATTTCAGTAATACCACTTTGGAGCTATTCTACAAACATGCCTTCCAGGATCTTGCTGCCTTCTGGGAAAGATATTGGCATCAACAATTACAATAACAGACCTCAAATAAAAGTGCAGCATTGGTCTGGGTCCAGTTACAGATCATGAAAAGTATTCTAGTTAGTTTAAGAATAAAAGGACTTAGGAAATTTAAAAAATACTTGCAAGGGTTGGAGGAGCAGACTCTAAGCTGAACTTCCAGGAATGATGCTCAGCATACCACATAACTGGCCCACCAAGGGAGGTGCTGCCTTTACTGGAGAATGATCAGAAGCTGGGGAATCAGGACGCTATTGGCCTATCTCTTGACTGCAGGACCACACCACCTCAGCTGCCTCCTGGGGATGAGAAAGCCACTGCCATAACTCTTGGCTTTAGGGCACAGTGCCTCATATGTGATTCATGCCAACAAAAGGAGGGTCTGTACCCTGCCTCTACCCCCAGAATAGGAGTCAGTCACTGGAACCTCTGCTACCACTACCACAGAAAGATCAACTTCCTCTACTGCTGTACTTTCCAAGAGAAGTGTAATCACCCTTTTATTTCTACCTTCCATACCCCACAGAGGTTCATCTAGTTGGCAGAAGGCAGGTCACAAGAAGAACATGAGCTCTAAGACAGAATAGGAAAGGTAGTCTTTAGCTTTCTACCCTCTAGCTCTGAGTAAGTCATGTTATAAGGCATTGGTTCTCAAACTTGAACCTGCATCAGAAGCACCTGGGGGTATGTTAAGACATAAATTTTGGGGCCCCACATTTAGAGTTTGTGATTCAGTAGGTCTTGGATGGGGGCCCCCAGAGAATTTGCATTTCTATCAAGTTCCCAGGTGACGATGATGTTGCTAGTCAGAGACCATACTTTGAGAACCACTGATCTAAGGGACTTGGAATAGATTTGAGAAAGCTAATCTGCAAAGTATGTTAAAACATGCATAAGAATCACCGGTGTAGGGTTTGTTACACTAACAGATTTTCCAAAACACCCATTGACTAGGTCTATGGTAGAAGCCAGAGACATGCACTTTTAACCAGTTCTCCCGGATAGTTTTATTTTGGTAGTCCATGGGAACAATTTGAGAAATATTATATTGAAGCAGTGATTCTCACCTTCGCCTGCATATTACATTGCTCCAAACAATGGTAAAAATTACTGATGCCTTGGTCCCATCCTCTGCATTCTGATTTGTTGAATGGACATCCACCAGAGCTCTGAGTGAATCTCATGTGCAGCCAAGAGTGGGATGCACTGGCCTAGAAGGACCTGTTGATTGAGAATGCTGATAGGTTACCTCAAGTTTGTGAGCTAAAGTGTATCTTTTCTAGGGCTAGTCATATTGGAGGCCACTTTTAGAGGCTTAGATGGTTTGAAGTAATTTACCTACATGGATTCCACTGCACAAAGAAGCATAAAGAGAGATGGGCTAATCTTTACATTGCCATATTTTTAGTAATAGAAATGTATTTTCACTGTCCTGGGAAGCCATTTGAATCTTGGGACTTCCAGAGCCTTTATAAGTCCATCGGTTTATTCAATCATTCGAAATCCTTCAAAGTCTGCTTAGCACAGAAAAATTTCTTCAAAGAGTCTATAACTTTAGATAAATGAACATATTATTAAAAGAACTTATGAGTCTATAATATAGATCATGAATTAAAAGACAAAAGGCAAATAGAAGGAGGCAAGAATATCTACATCCATATTAATCTTAGATGAAGCTTCAACTCATGATTACAGCTTTATCCAGGATATTCTAGAAAGAGTGAATAAAAATGTGGCCCTTCCTGAAAAGATTAATCTTTTCTAGCTTGTGTTTGAACTGTAAATTCTCCTAGAATAGGGATTGAATTTATCTTTTACTTTACATTGATCTATTATTCAATAGGGAGCTGGATATCTAAGTAGAAGAGAAAAAGGGAGCAACCCCTTTTTTGAGTGACTTATCTATTTCTAAAAAGAAGGAAAAGATGCTGGTATTGAATTGGGCTGGGTACTCCCATTCGGTTAATATGCCATCACCACTCTAGGGTATAAACAGTGAGAAATTTCTGCTTCTGAGATTATGGCCTCTTGATTCTCAATTTCTCTCTGGCTTCTTCAATACTACCTCTTTTCCAGGCAAACTAATACATGAACAATCTAAGAAATGTGCTGCATAACTGAAGTGTAACTGCAAATTTTAGATCCCAGGGGAAAGAGATTGAGAGTGAAAGAGAGAGTGTATGGTGTATGAGAGAGAAAGAGAGAGAGAACTGATTCATCAATCATATTTTGGGTGGAGAGGTGAATAAGTAAATATTTAACCTTTAAACATAAGCACTTTGGTATTTGAATCACTTGAGAAATGGAAATCTTTCCAAAACATGACATGCCTGTCTCTACTTTCTTGGGCCAATGATACTCATTTCCAAACTTTCTCTTACCCATGAAACTTATTCATTCATTCATTTTTTCATCTATCCAGCAAATATTAATTTGGCATCTCCTGTATGCCAAGCACTGTGCTCAGCCCTGGGGATATAAAGATACAGAAGATGTAGCCCCTGTCTTCTCCTGCACTTTGAACATAGTAGATATGGCTGTAGATAGATATACTGTTGGGTGAGACTAAGAGGGAGTTGATTCTAACTTGGCTCACAATGGCCTTGCATAAGAAAGTCAATGAAGTCAGCTTTTGTTTTGATCATTTGCTCTCTACACATAATGAATGACTCAATAAAATATGTCCAGTTATATGACCATCTAGGCAATGTGACATGACAGTTTGTCTACAAATTAAAGAAATATACCAAAGACTGAAGCAACTTTTCTCAAAGTATTCTCACAAGGCTAAAGAGACTTTTCTTTTTTTCTTTGTGGTTAAAGGGTCACCTTGGGTGGGCCAACTGAATGGCTTTTGGAGGGAATATGATGGGAGCTGGGCTCAGTTGAGTCAACTCATTCCAAGTCAAGACTCTGTGCCTTTAGGCCCAGGGATGTATAAATTGGCTTATGTTCCTGAAATCCCCTATTTAGCATGTCTCTAACTTGATATCCTTAGAGAAGAGGAGTATATGGCTGGATCTAGAGTTGAACAAACCCCATGAGACTGACTACCATTAACCCAAGTTGCAGGAGGCTGGTACACAAACTAGAACACTAATATGTAAATCTATAATGAGAAACTTAGGTTTTGCTTTTTTCACTAGTTAATAAATTCTATCTGGGTGAGAAGTTCCAGCAGAAGCCCTGGTGTGACCAGAAGGCTGCTCATGGGCAAGGAAACAGAGAGGAGGTGGCTGAATGATTTTAATATCAACTAGCTTCAGTTTCTATAGCTAAATGCAGCAACCTCCAGCCCAGAGACTACCTGCTGCAAGGTCTGGTAAGCTATGTTCATGTGCAAGGGTCCCTTTTCTCCCTTGACAATGCTGAGTAGACACTGCCAATTTTGATCCTGACCCTCCTTTTTGATTCTGTGTTTCCATAATCAACCCCCTTTGGCTATTGCCAACCCTAGTATAACTGAGATTTTTTTTCCTGTTTGGAAATTAACCTTTGAAAAAGCATGATGTATTAATTTCATCTGTCAAAATCTCAGAGTTCTTTTGGTAGCTTTTTCCTGTAGTCCCATGTTCTTGGTATCCCATGTTTTGTTAGCTCAGTGAGACAGCTTGTCATCTGATAACAAAGCAGCTTTGCACCTCATTTAAATGTATAATTCTGAAATAATCTACTTCTGAAAACGTTTTTGAGGTGCCCCAAAATGATCAAAATAGCTGTAAAAGCAGCCTACCTATCTCTTAAAAAACTTTGAGGGCTCAAAGTAAGTGTGCAATGACTGGGGTTCCAGGGTATTAAAATCTTCCAATTTTATGAGAACTTTCAGTTTTACCAGAAGCATTAAATCTACATATCTTTTCGTCTTTGACAGCTTGGCACCATGGATTCACTGGACCCAGCTAGGGTAGAAGTAGACCGATACAACCAAAAAGAACCACTTTGAGCATCATTATAAAACTCTCCAGAAGATAAAATATGCTCAGAAACAGATATTCTGTAGCATTCACAAAAAATATTCTGTAATAATAATTTGAAGACCTTTCTACAGGCTGAAATAGCTTTCTAAGGACATCTATATGTGAAACATCAACACCATATACCTGAGGAATGCAGAGCTCAGGAAATTGGCAGTGCCATCTTTTAAAAACAAGTAATTTACTTAGGCATAATTCCTATACCATGAAATTCACACTTTTGAATTGTATAATTCAGTGGTTTTTATTATGTTCACAGGGTTGTGTAATCATCACCACTGTCTAATTTTAGAGCATTTTCATCAACCCCCCAAAAGAACTTGGTATCCACTAGCAGTCACTCCCCATTCTCCCTTTCCCCACGCCCTGGCAACCACTAATCTACTTTCTGTCTATGGATTAACTTGCTGTGGACATTTTATATAAATGAAATCCTACAATGTGTGCCTGTTATGTCTGGTTTCTTTAAGTTACCATGATGTTTTCATGGTTCATCCAATGTTGTAGCATGTATCAATATGTATCAATACTTCATTCCTTTTTATGGCTGAATAATATTTCATTGAATGGATATACCACATTTTGTTTATCCATACGTCACTGGATGGACATTTAGATTGTTTCCATCTTTTGGCTATTGTGAATAATGCTGCTATGAACAATTGTGTATGTGTTTCTGTGTGGACTTATGTTTTTATTTCTCTCAGGTATATACTTGGGAGTGGAATTACTGGATCAAATGTTATCTCTGTGTTTAACCTTTTGAATAACTGCCAAACTGTTTTCCAAAGGGAGTGCACCACTTTACATTCCCATCAGCATGAATGAGGGTTTCAATTTCCCCATATCCTTAACAATATTTGCCATTTTTATTTTATTTCATTTTATTTTAAAAAACTTATAGCCCTCTTGGTGGCTATGCCATGTTATCTTTTGCCTTTTTAATCACATTAAGTAGAGGAGAACTGTAGTGGATGCAGTTGGTACCCTACCTAAATCTCCTTTGAACTCCTTCCAAACTTATCCCCTTAGCTGTTGACAAATCACTGGTGCCACCTTCTCTGGAGATTTGTCCCTGAAAACCTCTGCCAATGAATGACCAACAAGGGGATACAAAAGGCAGCCCCCATAAGTCAAGGTGGGACTAATTCTGTGGTACCACCTTGTTCCAGAGCTTCCCCTTGTGACCAGATCAAAACTAGTCTCTAGCTGAGACCACATCCTTGTTTAACTCCTCTGACTTCCTGCTCAATTCTACTTTCCTCCTTCCCCTTCTTCCAGGAGCACTCCCCCAACAAATCATTTACACAACAACTCCTTCTTCTTTCTGGCTCTGCTTCCTAAGATGGGAGCTTTAAGCTATTTAAATAAATTAATTTACATATAGACTATGATCAGTTAACATATTCTTTAAATTGTATGTGTATTCCTTTAGAGTTTTTTCAGTTACTGCTGGTTGTTAGTTATTCCCTCCACCATCAAGCACATAATGGAGGGGTTTAATGCCTATGATTTGAAGGGCTAGAGGTTATAGGTGGCTGATTTTCTCCAGATGAAGAAGTTGTGGACATTCTTCTTTCCCATTTTAGGTTGTCTGCCTCTATCTGTCCCTGCTGTTTCTACTCTTCATGGTTATTGTTGCTGAGCATTCCTTCTCAGAACATTGCCTATCTCCTCATTCCACCATCTTCTCTTTTTTTATTGCTTGGCCTCCAAAGCCAGTATCACTGATGTTGAGTACGGGGACATGATTAGAATTATCATGGGGAAATAGACCAATTTCAGCATACTAAGGCTCTCACTCAGATGGAATGTAAACTATTAGGCATTTGTCCAAGTGGTTTCAAAGGAGCAGTGCCTCATCTATGCCAGGCGCTTGGAAAACACTCTGCATATCTCTTTTAAAATGAGCAGATGGAGAGGGGCCTATAGCCACCCTGAAACAGCTGAAAAACTAGCTTTTTGCTCCTAAGTGTCTCCAAAGACCTAGGCTGCATCAATGTGATGCAAATTGGCAACAGGGCCACTACTTCACCATAAATGCAGGGTAATCCTCTGCACTGAGGGGACGTCACTCTGGTTCCATGGTGTGCCCCACGGTTTGGTTACTGGGCTCCCAGGTACCAGTGGGGCAGGCTTGACAGCTGCTCAGTCAGCATGGTTCCTTGGTGCTAGGCTGGTGGCAACATTTCCTCAAAGCACATTCCAACAGGTCCCCTTACCAGCTTGTCATGAGATAAGACTTTTCCATTGCTTGGTGGATAGCTCTGCTGGCTTGTGTTCAGGTGCTGGCCTCCCTTGCTGTTAAAGATTTTGCACAAGGTAGTCCTCACCATTTTAAAGAAACCTTCCTTTTTTTCCTCTCTCCTCCCTTCAAGCTTGGTCCAGAGAGATGGATCTGCTGAATTTGTCACTGCTCTTTGACACTGATTTAGACTGTATATGGCCTTACATAGCTGGAGTAGAAACAGGAGGTAGGATTTTCCCGGTTCAGACCTCGAGGCTCAGGGACTCTTGGTCTGTCCCTCTCCTATATCTAGAGACAGTCGTTTAGGTCTCAGCATGGACCTGCACAGAATGCAGTGAAAAACAAGTTTCTTTTGCTCCTCTGTAGTTTAAGAGTCAAAGATCTCAAGCGACATTCTTGAAAAGGATTCCCCGGTCAGATGCCCAGGGAATGTAGCATCTGGATGATTGCCACAGTTTGCAGGGTAGCACCTAAGGCTGCGCTCTTGGGGTGGGTAGTGTGTGCCTTGGGGCCTATGTGAAAGGCCTGGCTATGGGGGTCCTCGTGTTTCAAAAGCACTCAGGGAAGATAAACAGTAACTGTGTGATCTTTATTGTTACATCAAGGAATTCACTTGAGAAAATTCAGCAGGAATAGAGTTGGCTGAGGACAGAATTTTCGAAACCCTTTTCTTGTTTTCACTGAGCAAAGTCCCAGTTGCAGCAATAGTTTCTGTCATTTGCACTTGAGCTTGGGAGGAGTAGAAGACACTTTGCTAACATTCCAAAAGCCTCAGACAATGTTGGTGAGGGAGAGAGGATGAGGGGCTGTGTGGTGTTGATTTCTTGCAGAAAATGAAATCATAAGAGAGACATACAGAAAGGGCCCTGTGAGAAGAATGCATAGAGGAGATTCTACATGAGTAGTTCCTGCAGCTGGTGCAGCTGAGTGCAGAGGAAAGTCACTTTTCCAAAGGCCCTCATGCTATAGTTGGGGTTACAGTTTCTACGGGAGAGAACCCACAGCCTTCCCAAATGTCTTCTCCTTCTCCTCCTTTGGTTTTTAAGTATCTCTTTATCCCCAAGACTTTGTCTGGAAGATCGACAAATCAATAGAAAAGTTACAAAAGCAGTATAATGAACAATTAGATAGGCATCTTCAATTAGATTTACCAATTGTTAGTATTTTGTGACATTTGCTGAAAGTTAGTTGGAGATATTGTATCACTTTTCTTGCAAATACTTCAGATGGCATTACCTAAGAACAAGGACATTTTCGTACATGCTCTGTACACAATTATCAGACTCAAAAAAATTAGCATTAATACAATTCTGTTATATATATAGATACATAGTTGATGCTATGGGTTGAATTGCATCTCCTACTCCCACCCAAAAGAAGATATGTTGGAGTTCTAACCCTCAGAATGAGACCTTATTTGGAAACGGGATCACTGCAGATGGAATTAGTTAGGATGAGGTCATACTGGGCCCCTAATCCAATATGACTAGTTTTCTTATAAGAAGACAGCCACATAAAGACAGAGACACACAGGGAGAACGCCATCTGACCAAGGAGGCAGAGACTGGAGTGATGTAGCTGCAAGCCAAGGAATGTCAAGGATTGCTGGCCAACTACCAGAGGCTAGGAAGAGGTAAGGAAGAATTCAAAGAAGAGAACATGGCCCTGCCAACATCTTGATTTTGGACTTCTTCCAACCAGAACTGGGAGACGAGAAATTTTTGCCATTTTAAGTCACTCAGTTTGTGGTACAGTATTTTTTTTTTTTACAGCAGTCCTAGGAAACTAATACAGTCCATGATTGCCATAGTTTGTATGTTTGTCCCTGCAAACCTCAGAGTAAAATTTGATGACCAATATTGGCAGTGGGGCCTAATGGGAGTTGTTTGAGTCATGGAGGTGGATCCTCATGAACGGATTAATGCACTTGGTTGGAGGAATGAGAGTTCTCACTTTTATTAGTTCTAATGAGAGCTGGTTGTTAACAAGAACCTGACACATCCTCTCACTCTCTCTTGCTTCCTCCCTCCCTCCTTTTTAAAACTTTTTTAAATTTTTGTGGGTACATAGTAGGTGTATATATTTATGGGTTATATGAGATATTTAGATACAGGCATGCGAAGCATAATAATCAAATCAGGGCAAATAAGATACCCATCACCTGAAGCATTTATCTTTTGTGTTTGAAACAATCCCATTATATACTTTCAGATATTTTAAAACATACAATTAAATTATTTTTTACTATAGTCACCCTATTGTCTTAGCAAATACTAGATTTATTTATTTTTCTATTTTTCTGTACCCATTAACTACCCTTCATCCCTCCCCCATCCCCCATCTATCCTTCTCAGCCTCTGGTAGCCATCCTTCTACTCTCTATCTCCAGGGGTTCAATTGCTTTAATTTTTGGCTCCCACAGATTAGTGAGAAACTGCAATGATTGTCTTTCTGTGCCTGGCTCATTTCACTTAACGTAATGAACTCCAGTCCCACCCATATTGTTGCCAATGACAGGATCTCATTCTTTTTATGGCTCAATAATCTACATTGTGTATATCCGCCACATTTGCATTATCCATTCATCTATTGATGGGCATTAAGTTTGCTCCCAAATCTTGTCTATTGTGAAGAGTGCTGCAATAAGCATGGCAGTGCGGATATTTCTCCAACATACTGGTTTCCTTTCTTTTGGATATATATCTAGGAGTGCTGGATTATATGGTAGCTCTATACTTAGCTTTTTAAGGAACCTCCAAACTGCTCTCCATAGTGGTTGAACTAATTTACATTCCCACCAACAGTGTACAAGGGTTCCCTTTTTGCTGCGTTCTCACCATTTTTTTTGCCTGTGTTTTGGATAAAAGCCATTTTAACTGGGGTGAGACGGTATCTCATTGTAGTTTTAATCTGCATTTCTCTGATGATCAGTGATGTTGAGTGCCTTTTCATATGCCTGATTGCCATCTGTATGTCTTCCTTTGAGAAATGTCTATTCAAATCTTTGGCCCACCTTTAAATTGTATTATTAGTTTTTTACCTATAGAGTTGTTTGAACTCCATAAATATTCTGATTATCAATCCCTTGTCAGATGGGTAGTTTGCAAATATTTTCTACCATTCTGTGGGTTGTTCCTTCACTTTGTTGATTATATCCTTTGCTGTGCAGAAGGCTTTTGGCTTGATGTGATCCCAATTTGTCCATTTTTGCTTTGGTTTTCTATGCCTGTGGGTTATTGCTCAACATATCTTTGCCCAGTCCAAAGTCCTGGAGGGTTTCCCCAATGTTTTCTTGTAGTAGTTTCATAGTTTGACATCTTAGATTTAAGTCTTTAATCTATCTTGACTTGATTTTTGTATATGGTTAGAGACAGTGGTCTAGTTTCATTAATCTGCATAAGGATATCCAATTTTTCCAGCACCATTTATTGAAGAGATTGTCTTTGGTTACCATAGCTCTGTACTATAATTTGAAATCAGGTAACGTGATTCTTCCAGTTTTTTCTTTGTGCTTAGGATAACTTTGACTATTCTAGGTCTTTTGTAGTTCCACATAAATTTTAGGACTTTTTTTCTGTTTGTGAAGAAAGTCATTGGTATTTTGATAGGGACTGCATTAAATCAAGATTCCTTTGGGTAGTATGGACAGTCTAACAATATTGAGTCTTCCAATACATGAGCATGGAATATCATTCCAGTTTTCTTGTGTCCTCTTTGATTTTTTGCATCAATGTTTTATACTTTTTAATGTAGGAATCTTTCACTTCTTTGATTAATTTAATTTCTAGGTATTTTATGTTATTTATAGTTATAGTAAAAAGGATCACTTTTTAAAATATCTTTTTCAAATTGTTTGCTGTTGGCATGTAAAAATGCCACTGATTTTTGTATGTTGATTTTGTATCCTGAAACTTTACCAAATTTATCATTTCTAATAGTTTTCTTGTGGAGTCTAGGTTTTTCCAAATATAAGATCATATCTTCTACAAACAAGGATAATTTGACTTTCTCCTTTCCAATTTGAATGCCCTTTATTTCCTTCTCTTGTTTGATCACTCTAGCTAGGACTTCCAGTACTATGTTGCACAACAGTGGTGAAAGTGGACATCCTTGTCATGTTCCTGATCTTACAGGAAAGGCTTTCAGTTTTTCCCCATTCAGTATGATAATAGCTTTGGGTCTTTCATATATAGCTTTTATTATGTTGAGATATGTTCCTTCTATATCCAGTTTTTTTGAGGGTTTTTATCATGAAGGGATATTGAACTTTATCAAGTGTTTTTCAGCATAAATTGAAATGATCATATGATCTTTGTCTTTCATTCTGTTGATATATCACACTGATTGATTTGTGTATGTTGAACCATCCTTGCACTCCTGAGATAAATCCCACTCGGTCACGATGAATAACCTTTTTAATGTGTTGTTGAATTCAGCTTGCTAGTATTTTGCTGAGGATTTTCACATCAATACTCATAAGTAATATTGGCCTGTAATTTTATTTTTTTATGCATCTTTGTCTGGTTTGGGTATCATGGTAACACTGGCCTCACAGAATGAGTTTGAAAGCATTCCCTTCTCTTCTATTTTTTGGAATAGTTTGAGTAGAATTGTTATTAGTTCTTTAAATATTTTCAGTGAAAAGTCATCAGGACCTAGGCTTTTCTTTGCTGGAAGCCTTTTGATTATGTCTTTTGATTATGATCTATTCAGGCCTTGGATTTCCTCATGGTTCAATCATGGTAGGTTGAATGTGTCTAGGAATTTTTCTATTTCCTCTAGATTTTCCAATTTATTGGCATATAGTTGTTCATGGTAGCCACTAACAATCCTTTGAATTTCTGCAGTATTGGTTGTAATATCTCCTTTTTCATCTCTGATTTTATTTACTTGAATTTTCTTGTTTTTTTTTTCTTAGTCTGGTAAAGGTTTGTGAATTTTGTTTAATTTTTCAAAAAACCAATTTTTTGTTTCGTTGATTTTTTTATGTTGTTTTCTTCATTTCAATTTTACTTATTTCTGCTCCAATCTTTATTACTTATTTTCTTCTATTAATGTTGGATTTGGTTTACTATTGCTTATCTAGTTCATTAAGATGCATTATTAGGTTGTTTATTTGATGTTTTTCTCCTTTTTTGATGGAGACAGTTATAGCAATAGGCTTCCTTGATAGTATTGCTTTTGCCTGTGTCCCATAGGGTATATTGTGTTTCCATTATAATTTCCTTCAAGAAATTTTTCAGTTTTCTTCTTAATTTCTTCATTGACCCACTTGTCATTCAGGAGCATATTGCTTAATTTCCATGTGTTTGTATAATTTGCAAAATTCCTCTTGTTACTGAGTTCTAGTTTTATTCCATTGTAGTCAGAGAAGATGCTTGATATTATTTCAATTTTGTTGAATGTGTTAAGACTTGTTTTGTGAGCTAACATAGATATGTCCTTAAGAATGAGGAAAAGAATATGTATTCTGCAGCTGTTGGATGAAATGGTCTGTAAATATCTATTAGATTCATTTGGCCTATAGTGCAGATTACATCTAATATTTATTTGTTGATTTTCTCTCTGGAAGATCTGCCCAATTCAAAAAGTCCGGTGTTGAGGTCTCCAGCTGTTATAATATTGGTATCTATCTGTCTTTTTCACTCTAATAATATGTGCTTTATATATCTGGGTGCTCCAGGTCTGGATGCATATATATTTACAATTGTTATATCTTTTTGCTGAATTGACACCTTTATCATCATATAGTGACCTTTTTTACCTCTTCTTACAGTTTTTGCCTTGAAATCTATTTTGTCTGATGTAAGTATAGGTATTCATGCTCTGTTTCGATTTTCATTGGCGTGACATATCTTTTTCCATCTCTTTATTTTCAGTCTTTGTGTATCTTTATAAGTGTTCCTTTTAGGCAACTGATCAGATCACTGGATACCTTTTTTTTCACCCATTCACCCACAGTATGTCTTTTGATTGGAGAGTTTAGTCCATTTACATTCACTGTTATAATTGATAAGTAAAGACTTATTCCTGCCATTTTGTTATTTGTTTTGTGTTTGCTTTGCGATCTTTTTCTTCCTCTTTTGTTTCTCCCTGTCTTACTTTTAGTGAAGGTGATTTTCTCTGGTGATTAATTTAGTTTCTTCCTTTTTATTTTTTGTGTGCCTGCTGTATGTTTTTTGGTTTGAGGTTAACATGAGGCTTGCAAATACTATTTTATAACCCATTGTTTTAACAGCTTAACACTGTCTCCATAAACCAACAGATGAGAAAGGAAAAAGAAAACTAATATAAACTCTATACCTTAGCTTTGTCCCCCTGATTTTTTTCAACTTTTTGTTGTTTCTATTTATATCTTGTTGTACTCTTTATGTCTTGAAAAGTTGTTATAGTCATATGTTTGGTTGGGTCATCATTTAGTCTTTCTATTTAAGAATAGTTTACACATGACAGTTACAGTATTATAATATTCTATGTTTTTCCATGCACTTACTATTACCAGTGAACTCTGTACCTTCAGATAATTTCTTATTGCTCATTAACGTTCTTATCTGCCTGACTGAAGTACTCCTTTTAGCATTTCTTGCAGGACTGGGTGTGTTAAAATCCTTCAGCTATTTTTTTTTCTGGTCTGGGAAAGTTTTAATTTCTCCTTCATGTTTGAAGGATATTTTTGCTGGACATACAATTGTAGGACAATAGTAGGATAATTTTTTTCCCCCTTGCAGCACTTTAAATGTGTCTTGCTACTCTCTCCTGCCCTGTAAGGTTTCCACTGAAAAGCCTGCTGCCAGATGTATTGGAGCTCCATTGTATGTGATTTATTTCTTTTCTCTTCCTCCTTTTAGGATCCTTCCTTTATGCTTGACTTTTGACAGTTTGATTATTAAATTCCTGGAAGTAGTCTTGTTTGGGTTAAATATGCTTGGTATTCTATAACCTTCTTTTACTTGGATATTGATATCTTTCTCTAGGTTTCTGACATTCTGTTATTATCCCTTTGAATAAACTTTCTACACTTATCTCTTTCTCTACCTCCTCTTTAAGGCAAATAACTCTTAGATTTGTTCTTTTGAGGCTGTTTTCTAGATCTTATAGGCATACTTCATTCTTTTTTCTTCTTTTTTCTCTTCCTTCTCTGTATTTTCAAATAGCTTGACTTCAAGCTCACTAATTCTTTCTTCTACTTGGTCAATTTTGCTATTAAAAGACTCCAATGCATCTCCTTTCTGTCAATTGCATTTTTCAGCCCCATAATTTCTACTTGATACTTTTTGTTTCGATCTCTTTGTTGAATTTATCTAACAGAATTCTGAATTCCTTCTGTGTGATTTCTTGATTTTTTTTTTTTTTAGTTTCCTCAAAATAGCTATTTTAAATTCTCTGTCTCAAATGCCACATATCTCTGTTTCTCCAGGATTGGTCCCTGGTACCTTATTTAGTTCATTTATTGAGGTCATGTTTTCCTGGATGGTCTTGATATTTGTAGATGTTTATCTGTGTCTTTGCATTGAAGAGTTAGGCATTTATTGTAGTCTTTGCCCTCTGGGCTTCTTTGTCCCCAGTATTCCTGGGAAAGCTTTCTAGATATTCTAAAGGACTTCAGTGTTGTGATCTAAGCCTTACCTGCTTTAGGGCACACCCCAAGCCCAATAACATTGTGGTTCTTGCAGACTTGTAGAGGTACTGCCTTGATAGTCTTGAAAATATTTCAAAACAATTCTCTGAATTACCAGGCAAAGACTCTTGTTCTCTTCCTTTACATTTTCCCAAACAAAACAAATGGATTCTGTCTCTCTGTTCTGAGCCACTGGGAGCTGAGGTGGAGTGACACAGGTAAACTTGTGGCCGCCATCACTAGTACTGTGCTGGGTCAGACCTGATGCCAGCATAGCACTGGGTCTCACCCATGGCCCACTGTAACCACTCCCTGGCTACTGTCTATGTTTTCTCAAGGCCTTGGTGCTCTATAATTAGCTGGTGTTAAAGCCAGCCAGGCATGTGTTTTTCCTTTCAGGGAAGCAAGTTTCATCAGATCCTGGATGGGTCCAGAGGTGCCATCTGGTAACCAGGGACCAGAGTCAAAAATCTAAAACGTCTATCTGGTGTTCTATTGTACGGCAGCTGAGCTGATGCTTAAACTACAAGATGCAGTCTTTCCCACTCTTCCTTCCCATTTCCAAAGGCAGAGGAGCTGCACCCATCAGCCAATGCCACCACAGGCCTGTGAAGAGTACTGCCAGACTACCTTTAATGTTCTCTTAAGGCTCAAGGGCTCTTCAGCCAGCTCATGATGAATACTGCCTGGCCTAGGAATCACCCTTCAGTGCATTGGGCTCTGCTCAGGCCCAGGTCAGGTTCAGAAATGCCATCCAAGAGCCAAGTCCTAGAATCAGAGACCCCAAGTACCTGCTTGATGGTCTACCCACTGTGGCTGAGTTGGTACTTAAGGTGCAAGACAATGTCCCCTTTATCTTTCCCTCCTCTTTTCTCAAGCAGAGGGAGTCTTACCCCATAGCCACCAGAACTGGGAATATGCTGAGTTTCACCTGATGCCAGCAAGTCTCAGAGTGTCACTCAAGGCCCGTGTTGTACTACCTGGGTATCACTGCTGATTGTTCAGGGTCCAAGGGCTCTTCAGTTAGCAGGTGGTGAATTCTTCAAGACTGAGTCCTTCCCTTCAAGTTAGTGGGTTCCCTTAAGGCAAAGGGTGTGTCTAGATGTGTCATCCAGGAACTAGGGCCTAGAAAGATGACATGGATCTCAATTGGTGCCCTATCCTATTGTGGCTGAACTGGTATTCAAGGTACAAGACAAAGGCCTCCCAACTCTTCCCTCTCCTATCCTCACACAGAAGGAAGGGGTCTCTTTTGGAGTCACAAGCTTTGAAGCCCGGGGTTAGGGGAGGGTTGAGTCCAGCACTCCTTTAGCTGCTCCAATTTGTGTCTTAGGAGGTCACATGCCCCCTCAGTCCACTGGCTCTGGGCCCAGGTCAGTACTAGGACTCATCTAAGATTTGCAGTCCTTGTGGCCTAGACAGCTTTTCAAGTTTAGGTCCCCAGAGCACTTTAGCCCATGGTGGCAAGACCTGTAGGACCTCAAGTTCTGACAGCTGGCATCAGTGATTTTCCTCTGGCTAGGACTGGTTTAAATGCTCCCTCCATGGACAGGTGTCAGCTGAGTTTCTGCTGGTTTTACTTTCTGCAATAACAGAACAGCACTGAGCTCATTGCCACACAATTGCTGCACTCTCCCTCTCCCCAGCACATGGAATCACTCTCTTCTCTATGCCACCACTGCTCAGGAATGGGGAAGGGGTGTTGGTGGTGATTCCAGACTCTTTTTGTGATCTCTTCAGCGCCTCTGTCAGTGCTATGAAGTTAAAACAAGGTACAATGCGTGCTCTCCTGATTTTTCATTCTTATGAAGGTGCTTTTATCATGTACATAGTTGTTAAATTGGTGTCTTTGCAGGGGTATAATTGGTAAAGCCTTCAACGCCATCATCTTGCTCTGTCTCCTGCTTCCTTTCTTGGCATGTGATCTTGGCACATGTTGGCTTCCCTTCAACTTTCTCTATGAGTGGAAGCAGTATGAGACCCTCACCAGATGCAGATGCTCAATCTTGAGCTTTCCAGCTATCCAGCGTCATGAGCCAAATAAATCTTTTTTCCTTATAAATTACCTAGCCTTAGGTGTTCCTTTATAGCAACACAAAATGTACTAACACAATGTTCAAATTTCTATTTTAGATAATGACCTTTATTTAATATTTGCATAGCTATTTTTTGGATGGAGGGTCTAATTAAGAATCTCACCTTGCATATAGTTGTCATGTCTCTTTATCTTCCTTTAATATAGAAGAGTTCTTCTCCAATATTAATTTTTTAAAATATTACAGGACAATTGTCTTATAGAATGTCCTACAATCTAGATTTGTATGATTGTTTCTGCTTAATTTGATTTAGATAAAATATTCTGGGCAAGATTTCCACATATGTGACATCAGTGCTTCTTCCACTTGGGAAGCAATTTATGTCAGTTTCCCCCATCATGGGTAGGGCCAAGGTTTGATCATTGGATAAAGTGGTACTTTCTGGATCTTTCCATTGTAAAAGTTCCTCTTTCACTTTGTAATAAATAAGTGGTCTTTGAGTTGATACTTTGAGTCTCTATGTCCTTTCTTAAAGCCTGTCTCAGCCTTAAAGTACTCATCAGGAAACACTATCCTTCCCTCCACAATTTCCCAAATCTTGATTACTGAGATTCTCTGCTTTGCTTTTATATCATGCTTCCACATTTAACAATAAAACAGAGGTCCTTATCTCAGAGAGAGCTGATGTATGGTTTATACTTCAGAAAAAGAATATGGATATATGGAATACACAAAATGAGAGAGGACAAGAAGAAGACTGTGAAAATCCTTGAAATATAGGAGAAAGGGTAGGAAGTTGATGGCAAATACATCCATAAATGAAGCTTTTTCTCATGGAGGAAAAAAAAAAACTACAGACATAGGCATCACCAATGCTTCTAGGTCATGACCCTCAAAATTGCTTTCCTTGGCCAAGGGAGTAGAGCACAGCTTCTATAGACTTTGGAAGTAAACAGAAGTGGTCTGAAGCCTGCCTTCTTTTCTAGTACTGGTGCCAGATCCAAGATCAGCCTCTCTGAGCCTCAGTGACTTCTTCTGTAAAACTGAAACAATAATACTTTGTCTCATATTTATAAAGTCTGCAAATATAGAGTGAGTGCATGTAAACTTCCTGGCATGCAAGAGGCTCTCAGTAAGAATTTGTTACAATACCAGTCCCTTAACCCATAAACCTTGCCAAAATAAGAATTATGCAGTTTTCTCAATGGGCAACTCAAGGAAGCAAAAACCTCACCTCAGCAGATTTGAATCGAATATTTGAATTTTCCCTTTGAGTTCTTAGAAACTTTCCGAATCGTATTTCACAATTTTTTTTTTCATTTGTATAACTTCTAGTACTTTCTGCATGTGATTTGGTTTTAAAAGATACAACATTACCTTTTATGGTTGTTATGTATAATTTTTGTTGTATTTTATATGTTCTTGTTGTAAATAATGATGTGAGTTATAATTGCTACAAGCAAATGTGAGTGGCAGTTTAATGCAGGTATTAAGAGAGAAGGCATAGGGTTCTTTATTCTTCACTTACTAGCAAGACCCTGAGCAAGTCACAGACCTTTCTAAACATGTTTTCTCATTTGTAAGATAGGGACAAGAATCACAGCTACTCATTGAGTTTTTGAGAAATGTTAATTATAAACAAAAAACACTTAGTAGACTACTTATAGTAAGCTCTTAGTTAACGTTGGCTGTTATTATTTCTGTGGTTGGAATTTCTGTTCTGTGTTCATTTTCTCTTTAAGCAAACTAAGTCTGTCTATTTGATGGAGGCAGAATTAAGGGCATGCCAGAGTTATGGGGACTCCCATTCAATAGAACAATGAAAGGTTTCTTGAATCTGAAGGGGTCATCTTTTCAGGTCTTGGGCTGTGTGGGGACATTTGAATCTTTAGGTTGTGTACAGTTGCATCACCTTCACATAGGGAAAGCTCAAGTTGAAGCAGTTTTGGTGACTTTCCTTTCCATATGGAGTCTTACATATTCGCCCTTGTGTATGAGTCCCAGATCATCCTGCCAGATGAGCACCCACATCACAGAGTTGAATGGATGCAGAGTTGAGCTGCAGTTTGAATCCCAAAAGCGGCAGTCAGCACCTCTTGCGTGAAACCGAAAGCTGGAGCCTCATTTCCTGAAATAGATTGGTATTCTAGCTTTTTAATCTGCCAATCATAACACACAATTTGCAGCTAAAAATTTAAAACTAAAGTGTGTCTATGCATAAAAAAGCTAAACAATCATCCTTCAAAATGTGAAGGGTAGTTATTTGTGGGTGGAGGGACTAACAGTGATGTTTTGTGTTATTATTTTTTGCAGATCTGAATTTTCTGATTTCTTAAAAAGTAAATATGCTGCAAAGGTTATTCTTAAGTGACTTTGTAATGGATTCAATATGGGAGACGTGAGACTTCTAAGAGAGTTTGAACGGGTGGAGCTGCTCTGAAAGATGGGACAATTACTAGGTTAAAAGGTGAACCCTCCAGGTATGGCCTCACCTGGAAAAAAAGCCAGCTCCAGCAGGAACTCTCACCAAAAGATGAGGGATGGGAGTAGCCTTTTCTTGATTTTTTGAAAAGTCTTTGTAAACAGAATCACTCTAAAAAGAATTTTCAGGTGCTCAATAGGACTGGGAATAGGCTTAGGCAAGCCAGGTGCCTGGAGAGAAAAATGCATGGAGGTGTCATTCTCAGGTACTGACCCTATGAAGAAGTTCAGGCATCTTTTCCAGCACATGCCTGAGAGTGAGTGCTGCCTTACACTTTGCACCCTGGAGACCTCACTTGCCTCACTCTAGTCTGTCCTGGTGCCAAGAAGAAACTCCTAACTGACTGACCCCACGGAAATGAGCCAAGTCGGGTCACCACAATCAATAGTTGGATGGATCTCGGGGAGGTGGATCCTTCTCTCTACTTTTTGGAAATCTAAACTTCATTACCAATAGTATAGAATTATTTTTCATTTGTTTTTATATAATAGTTGGTGATATGGTTTGGCTCTGTGTCCCCATCCAAATCTCATCTCTTGAATTGTAATCACCATATGTCAGGGGAGGGGCCTGGTGGGAGGTGATTGAATCACGGGGGTGGACTTCTCCTTTGCTGTTCTCATGACAGTGAGTGAGTTCTCATGAGATCTGGTTGTTTGGAAATGTGTGGCACTTCCCCTTTTATTCTCTCTCTCTCCTGCTGACATGTAAGATGTGCTTTGCTTCCCCTTCACCTTCCGCCATGATTGTAAGTTTCCTGAGGCCTCCTCAGCCATGCAGAATTGTGAGTCAATTAAAACTTTTTTCTTTATAAATTACCCAGTCTCAGGTAGTTCTTTATCGCAGTGTGAAAACACACTAATACAGTTGGCATCTTTAAGTGTTTGTTGGAACTTTGTGGGGTTGGTCAAGGAAAGATAGAATAAAATACTTTACAGTTATACAGCTTGGCTTTTTGTTATAGTCTTATTAAATTACCTCTATAGAGACTCATTTATCTTATAGAGCCAGGAAATAGATACCAGACATTAGGAAGAAGACAGCTTAAAAAATTCAGAACTTAATCAAGACTGAGGAAGTTAGCTTGAACATCAGTGAGGATTACAGATTACTGCAAGCAGATGAAAGAAATAAAAAATGGCACCCCTTGAACTCAGAAAAGATCAACCTGTATGAAGAGCTCAGACACGGGATTCTATAATAGTAACTGTGAAAAGGGCTCAGCCTTAAGCTCTCATAAACTTGAAGATACTAGAATGATTTCAACATAGTGAACCTGCTTGTACTCATTGTACAAGTATAATTTTAGATGCTGTTATAAGGCTGACTTCTTAGTTTAATTAAACAAATGTTCTGAAACATTATAAATACATAAATACCAAATATGCAAAGATTCCTTACTGCAAATATATCTAAACACAAAATGGATTCTTCTTTTTGTTTTTTTGAGATGGAGTTTCTCTCTTTTTGCCTGGGCTGGAGCACAATGGCATGATCTCAGCTCACTGCAACCTCTGCCTCCTGGGTTCAAGAGATTCTCCTGCTTCAACCTCCAGAGTAGCTGGGATTACAGGCATATGCCACCACGCATGGCTAATTTTTGTATTTTTAGGAGAGACAGGGTTTCACCATGTTGGCCAGGCTGGTCTCGAATTCCTGACCTCAGGTGATCCACCTACCTTGGCCTCCCAAAGTGCTGGGATTACAGGTGTAAGCCACCACACCTGGCCACAAAATGGATTCTTTTACAGATTTATTATTTTAATTCTAAATCTACTTGAGTTTATAATAAATATACCCCCTGTGGTAGGCAGAATTCTAAGATGACCCACAGTGACCCACACTCTTGTATAATACCTTCCTCTTCAGTGTGGTTAGAACCTGGGATTATGATGAGATATTACTCCTGGATTATATGACTCATCCCTTGACTTTGAGCTAATCAAAACAGATATTATCCTGGGTGGGCCTGACTTAATCAGGTGAGCCTTTAAAAGAAGGCAAAGCGTCAGAGAGATGTGCTCCTGCTGACTTTGAAGATGCAGCTGACCCTTGATCAACAAACAGCAAAAACCAGGGACTTCAGTTCTATAACCTAAAAGAATTAAATTATGTGAGCTTGGAAGAGGGGCTTGATGTTCACATGAGAACCATAGCCCTGGCAGATACCTTCATTTCAGCCTGGGAGAGCCTGAACAGAGGACCAGTTAACTTGTGCCTACACTCCTGATCCACAGGTACTGTGTAATAGGAAACCAATATTCTCCTTATAGTGGGTTGAATTGTGTCTCCCCAAAATATATGTTGAAGTTCTAACCCCTTGTACCTGTGAATGTGATATTATTTGGAAGTAGAGACCTTACAGATGTGATCCTGTTAACATAAAATTATACTGGATTAGAAAGGACCCTAAATCCAATTACTGGTGCCCTTATAAGGTGAGGAAGATTTGAAGGCACAAAATATACATAGAAGCAAGATGGCCATGTGAAGATGAAGGCAGAAATGGGAGTGATGTAGCTACAAGTCAAGAAATGACAAGAATTGCTGCTAGTAACCACCAAAAGCTGGAAGAGGCAAGGAAGGATTCTTCTCCTCTAGAGACTTCATAGAAAGCATGGCCCTGGCAACACCTTGATTTCAGACTTTTGCCCTCCAAAACTTTGAGAATTAATTCCTGTCGTAAAACAACTGTATTAGTTTATTGTCATACTGCTATAAAGAAATACCTGAAACTGCATAATTTATAATGAAAAGAGGTTATAAATTCCTGTACAGGCTGTACTGGAAGCATAGTGGCATCTTCTTCTGGGGAGGCCTCAGGGAACTTACAATCATGGTGGAAGGCAAAGGGAGAGCCAACACTTTACATGGCCAGAGCAGAAGAAAGAGAGAGAGTGGGAGAGAGGGGGTATGTGCCACACACTTTTAAACAATCAGATCTCACAAGAACTCACTATAATGACAGCAACACCAAGGGGGGATGGTGTTAAACCATGAGAAACTGTCCCCATGATCCAATAACCTCCCACCACTGTCTCCTACTTTCAGCATGGTGGATTACATTTCAACATGAAGTTTGGGTGAGACAGAGATCCAAACCCTATCACCAACCAGTTGCAGTTACAGAAGCTTTAGGAAACTAATACACCCCCTGAAGAGATGCTATGGTACTCCTGACAGACTGGCTAGATTCTCACCAAACCCATATCCTCTTCCCAGGCACATGGCTAGACTACATTTCCCAGCCACCTTTTATGTGGCAGGACCATGTGACTAGTTCCTGCTGATAGATTGTAAACAGAGGGGCTGTAACACTTCAATGGCTGAATTAAAAGAAATTTACAGATTCAAAGCAATCCCTATCAAAATTACAATGTCATTTTTCATGGAAATAGGCAAAAATAATCATTAAATTCCAATGGAACAACAAAACACCCCAAATAGCCAAAATAATCTTGAGGTAAAATAACAAACTGGAGATATCACCCTACTCAACTCCAAGATATAAAGATTGTAATAAAAACAACATGGTACTGGCATAAAAAGAGACTCATCAACCAATGAAATAGGATAGAAAGCCTGGAAGTAAAGCCATGTGATATGATTTCACTCTGTTTCCCCAGCCAAATCTCCTGTTGAATTGTAATTTCCAATTTTTGGGGAGGTACCTGGTGGGAGGTCATTGGATCATGGGGACAGATTTCCCCCATGCTGTTCTCATGATAGTGAGTGAGTTCCCACAAGATCTGATGGTTTAAATGTGCATGGCACTTCAACACTTGCTCTCTCTCTCTCTCCTGCTCTGCCATTGTAAGTCATACCTGCTTCCCCTTCACCTTCCACTATGATTGTAAGTTTCCTGAGACCTCCCAGTCAAGCCTCCTGTTAAGCCTGTGGATCTGTGAGTCAATTAAACCTCTTTTCTTCATAAATTAACCAGTCTCAGATAGTTCTTTATAGCAGTGTGAGAATGGACTAAAACAGAAAATTGGTACTGGGAGTGGGGCATTGCTATAAAGATACCTGAAAATGTGGAAGTGACTTTGGAACTGGGTAACAGGCAGAGGTTAGAACAGTTTGGAGGGCTCAGAAGAAGAGAGGAAGATGTGGGAAAGTTTGGAACTTCCTAGAGACTTGTTAAATGGTTTTGACCAAAATGCTGATAGTGATATGGACAATGAAGTCTAGGCTGAGAACTAGAGTCAGAACTAGAGTAAAGGTCATTTTTTCTATGCTTTAGCAAAGAAACTGGCAGCATTTTGCCCCTGCTCTAGAGATCTGTGGAAATTTAACTTGAGAGAGATAATTTAGGGTATCCGGCAGAAGAAATTTCTAAGCAGCAAAGCATTCAAGATGTGAACTGGCTGTTTCTAAAAGCATATGATCATATGCATTCACAAAGAGATGGTCTGAAATTGGAACTTATATTTAAAAGGGAAGCAGAGTGTTAAAGTTTGGAAAATTTGTAGCCTGACCATGTAGTAGAAAAGAAAGCCCATTTTCGGGGAGAAATTCAAGCCTGCTGCAAAAATTTGCATAAGTAAAGAGGAGATGAATGTTAATAGCCAAGACAATGGGGAAAATGTTTCCAGGGCATTTCAGAGATCTTCACATCAGCCCCTCCCATCACAGGCCCAGAGGCCTAGGAGGAAAAAATGGTTCCATGGGCCATACCCATTGCCCAGCTACTCTGTGCAGCCTCAGGAGATGGTGCCCTGCATACGGGCTGCTCCAGCTCCAGCTATGACTAAAAGGGGCCCAGGTACAGCTTGGGCTTTGGCTTTAGAGGGTACAAGCCCCAAGCCTTGGTGGCTTACATGTGGTTTTGGGCCTGTGGGTGCACAAAAGACAAGACTTGAATTTGGGGAACTTCTGCCTAGATTTCAGAGGATGTATGGAAATGCCTAGATGTCCAGGCAGAAGTTTGTTGCAAGGGCAGAATCCTTATGGAGAACTTCTACTAGAGCAGTGTGGAGGGGAAATATGGGGTTGGAGCCTCCATACAGAGTCCCCAATGGGGCACTGCCTAGTGGAGCTGTGAGAAGAGGGCCAACATCCTCCAGACCCCAGAATGGTAGATTCTTGCAGACATCTTGCACAATGCACCTGGAAAAGTGCAGGTACTCAATGCCAGCCCATGAAACCAGCTGTTGGGGCCGTACCCTGCAGATCCACAGAGGCAGAGCTGCCCAAGGCCTTGGGAGCCCACTCCTTGCATTAGTGTGGCCTGGATGTGAGAAATAGAGTCAAAGAATATTATTCTGGAGCTTTAAGATTTAATGACTGCCCTGGGGGTTTGGGACTTGCATGGGACCCGTCGCCCCTTTGTTTTGGCTGATTTCTCCCATTTAGGGTGGGAGCATTCACCCAATGTCTGTACCCCCATTGTATCTTGGAAGTAACTACTTGTTTTTGATTTTGCAGGCTCTTAGGTGAAAGGTACTTTCCTAGTCTCAGATGAGACTTTAGACTTGGATTATTGGGTTAATGCTGGAAAGAATTAAGACTTTGGGGGAATGTAGGGAAGGCATAATTATGTTTTGAATGTGGGAAGGACATGAGATTTGGGAGGGGCTGGGGCAGAATGATATGTTTTAGCTCTGCGTCCCCACCCAAATCTCATGTTAAATTGTAATTCCCAATGTTGGGGGAGGTACCTGGTGGGAGGTCACTGGATCATGGAGCAGATTTCCTGCATGCTCTTCTCATGATAGTGAGTGAGTTCTCATGAGATATGATTCTTTAAAAGTGTGTGGCACTTCCCTACTTACTCTCTCTCTCCTGCTTTGCCATGATAATATGTGCCTGCTTCCCCTTCACCTTCTGCCATGATTGTAAGTTTTCTGAGCCCTCCCAGTCATGCTTCCTGTTAAGCCTGTAGAACTGTGAGTAAATTAAACCTCTTTTCTTCATAAATTACCCAGTCTCTTGTCATTGTTTATAGCAGTGTGAGAACAAAATAATACATCATGCATTTATGATAAATTGATTTTTTGACAAAGATGCCAAAGGCATACAATGCGGGGAGGACAGCCTAATTAATAAATAGTGTGGGGAAAACTGGTTATCCACATACAGAAGAATGAAATTGGACCCTAACCTTGCATCACATACTGAAATCAACTCAAAAAAGATTAAAGACTTAAACATAAGACCTAAAACTGTAAAAGAACCAGAAGAAAACAGAGAGGGAGAGGTTCATGACATAGGTCAGGACAAGGACTTTTTGGATATGACCCCAAAAGCTCAGGCAATGAAAGCCAAAATAGACAAATGGGGATAGTATCAAACTAAACAGTGTCTGCACAGAAAGAAAAAAAAGAACAACAACAAAAACTCCAATTAACAAAGTAAAGAGACAACCCACAGATTGGGAAAAGTTATTTGAAAACCATACATCTGATAGCTGGTTAATATCCAAAATATGTAAAGGGAGCAAGATGTCTCAATAGAAGTCTCCACCAATTGTCCCCCCAAGAAGGACACCAATTTAACAGCTATCTACACAAAAAAAAGCACCTTCATAAGAATCAAAAATTAGGTGAGCACTCACAGTACCTGGCTTTAACTTCATATCACTGAAAGAGGCAATGAAGAGGAGAAAAAAAGTCTTGAGTCACAGACACTACCCATCCTCCATCCCCTGGCAGTAGCCGTGTGGCACAGAGAGAGAATCTGTGAAGGTGGGAGAGGGACAGCACAGCAATTGTGAGACATTGCATTGAACTCAGAATTGCCATGTGGTAGCAGAAAGCAAACTGGGCTTAACTCAGCTAACGGCTGCCCACAGAGGGAGCATTTAGACCAGCCCTAGCCAGAGGGAAATCACCCAACTCAGCAGTTGGAACTTGAGTTCTGGCAAGCCTTGCCACACTAGGCTAAAGTTCTCTGGGTCCCTAAATGAACAGCAGTCTAGGCCACAAGGACTGAAATTTGTAGGCAAGTCCTAGTGCTGAACTCAACTCAGTGCCAGTGGACTGGTGGGGCACAAGACCTACTGAGACACCAGGTGGGGCAGCTAAGGGAGTGCTTGTGACAACCTTCCCCCAGCCACAAGCTGCACAGCTTATGGATTCAAAAGGGACCCCTTCCTTCTGTTTGAGGAGAGGAGAGGGAAGAGTAAAGAAGATTTTGTCTTGCATCTGGGATACCAGCTCAGCCACAGTAGGATAGAGAGCCAGTCAAAGATGTAAGGCTTCCTTTCCAGGACCTAACTCCCAGACAACATTTGTAGACACATACTGGGCCAAAAGGGAATCCACTACCTTGAAGGAAGAGACCCAGTCCTGGCAGGACCCTTCACCTGCTGACTAAAGAGCCCTTGGGCCCTGAATAACAAGGAGTAATACCCAGATAGTATGTCATGTGTCGTGGGTGAGACTCTGAGACTTCTTGGATTCAGGTGAGACTTAGCATATTCCCAGCTGTGGTGTCTATGGGGCAAGACTCCTTCTGCTTGAGAAAAGGAGAGGAAAAAGTAAAGGAGACTTTTTCTTGCACTTTACATGCCAGCTCAACCTCAGGGGTTTAGAGCAAAAAGTGGGTTCTTGGGAACCCCAATTCCAGGACTTGGCTCTTGGACAGCATTTCTGGAACTGCCCTGGGCCAGAGGGGAGCCCTTTGTCATGAAGGATGAGTTCCAGGCCAGGCAACATATGCCACAAGCTGACTGAAGGGCCTTTGGGTCTTAAGGGAACATTGGCAGTAGCCTGACAGTACTCTCTGAAGGCTTGTGGTGGTACTAGCCATGGCATGAGGCTCCTCTGCCTATGAAAAGGGGAGAAAAGATTGGGAAGAACTGCATCACATGATATGAGTGCCAGCTTAGTTATAGTATAATAGAACACCAGGTAGACTTCTAAGGTGTTGACTCCAGTTCCTGGCTCCTGGATGGCATCTCTGGACCTCCCTGGGGCCTGAGGGAACTTGCCTTCCTGAGTGGAAGGACACAAGCCTGATAAGCTTCAACACCTTCTGATTATAGAGTACCTGTGCCTTGAATGAAAATAGGTGGTAGTCAGGTAGTGTTTACAGTGGAACTTGGGTGAGACCCAGTGCTGTGCTGGCCTTAGGTCTCACCCAGCACAGTCCCAGTGATGGTGGCCACAGGGGTGCTTGTATAACCACATTACCAGCTCTGGATGGCTCAGAACAGAAACAGAAACTGTTTTTTTGGGAGGAAGTAAGGGCAGAGAACAAGTGCCTGCCTAGTAATCCAGAGAATGCCTCTGGATCTTATCCAAGACCACCAAGATGGTACCTCTATGAGTCTGCAAGAACCACAGTGTTACTGGGCTTGGGGTGTCCCTAATGCAGATATGGCTTAGAACACAATACCAAAGTCCTTTCAAATCCTTGAAAGTCTTCCTGAGAAGGGCAGGTAAAACAAGCTTAGCCTGTGAAGACTACAATAAATACCTAACTCTTCAATGCCTTTACACAGACAAATATCCCTCAGCACCAAGACTATCTTGGAAACCATGACATCACCAAATCAACTAAACAAGGTAGAAGGGACCAGTCATGAAGAAACAGATATGTGACCTTTCAGACAGAATTCAAGATGGCTGTTTTAAGGAAACTCAAAGATATTCAAGACAACACAGAGAAAGAATTCAGAATTCCATGAGATGACTTTAACAAAGAGATGGAAATAATTAAAATGAATCAAGCAGCAATTCTGGGGCTGAAAAATGCAAATGACATACTGAAGAATGCATTAGACTCTTTTAATAGCAGAACTGATCAAGCAGAGGAAAAAAATAATGTGCTTGAAGATAGCCTATTTGAAAATATACAATCAGAGATGATAAAAGAAAAAAGAATAAAAATAATGAAGCATTCCTACAGGATCTAGAAAATAGCCTCAAAAGGACAAATCTAAGAGTTATTGACCTTAAAGAGGAGGTAGAGAAAGAGATAGGGGTAGAATGTTTATTCAAAGGGATGATAACAGATAATTTCCCAAACCTAGAGAAATATATCAATATCTGTGTACAAGGAGGTTACAGAACACTAAGCATATTAACCCAAAGAAGACTACCTCAAGGCATTTAATTATTAAGCTGCCAAAGGTCAAGGATAAAGAAAGGATCCTAAAAGCAGCAAGACAAAAGAAACAAATCACATACAATGGAGGACTTCCAACATGTCTGGCAGCAGCCTGTTCAGTGGAAATCTTACAGGCCAAGAGAGGGTGACATGACATATTTAAAGTGCTGAAGGAAAAAAAAAAACCTTTTACCCTAGAATAGTATATCCAGTGAAAATATCCTTCAAACATGAAGGAGAAATAGTCTTTCCCAGAGAACCAAAAGCTGAGGGATATCATCAATACCAGACTTGTCCTATAAGAAATGCTAAAGGGAATACTTTAGTCAGAAAGAAAAACACATTAACGGGCATAAGAAATCATATGAAAGTAGAGAACACTCTGCTAATATTAAGTACACAGAAAAACACAGTATTATAACTCTGTAACTATGCTGTGTAAAGTACTCTTAAGTAGAAAGACTAAATGATGAACCAATCAAAAATAATAACTACAACAACTTTTCAAGACATAAATAGTACAATAAGATGTAAATAGTCACAACATAAGTTAAAAAGTAGGGGGATGAAGTTAAGGCATAGAGTATTTATTTGTTTTCTTTTTGCTTGTTTGTTTATGGAAACAGTATTAAGTTGTTATCAGCTTAAAATAATGAGTTATAAGATAGTATTTGCAAGCCGCATGGTAACCTTAAATGAAAAAAAATATATACAACAGATACAGGAACCAAAGAAATCAAGAAATTATGGCATACCACCAGATGAAATCACCTTCACTAAAGGGAAGGCAGGAAAGAATGAAAGGAGAAGAAGATCACAAAGCAACCAGAAAACAAATAACAAAATGGCAGGAGTAAGTCCTTACTTATCAATAATAACATTAAATGTAAATGGACTAAAATTTCTAATCAAGACATACCATGGCTGAATGGGTGATAAAAAAAAAAGGGAACCCAATGATCTATTGCCTACAAGAAACACACTTCAACTCTGAAGACTCACATAGATTGAAAATAAAGGGATTCAAAAAATATTTCATGCCAATGGTAATAAAAACAGAGCATGAGTACCTATACTTATATTAGACAAAAGAGATTTCAAGACAAAAACTATAAGAAGAGACAGAGGAGGTCACTAATGATAAAGGGGTAAATTCAGCAAGAGATATAACATTGTAAATATACATGCACTCAACACTGGAGCACCCAGATATACAAAGAAAATATTATCAGAGTTAAAGAGAGAGGCCTCTATACAATAACAGCTGGAGATGTCAACACCCCACTTTCAGCATTGGACATATCTTCCAGACACAAAATGAACAAAGAAACAATGGGCTTAATCTGCACTATAGGCCAAATTAATCTAATGGTATTTACATAACATTTCATCCAAGAGCTGCAGAATACACATTCTTTTCCTCAGCACATGGAACATTCTCATGGGGAGACCATATGTTAGCTCTCAAAACAAGTATAAAAACATTCCAAAAAATTGAAACACTATCAAGCATCTTCTCTGACTACAATGGAATAAAACTAGAAATCAATAACAAGAGGAATTTTGGAAACTATACAAATACATGGAAATCAACCAATATGCTGCTGAATGACCAGTGGGTCAATAAAAAAGTTAAGAAAAAACTAAAAAAATTTCTTGAAACAAATTATTATGAAAACACAACATACCAAAATCTATGGGATATAGCAAAAACAGTACTAAGTGAGAAGTTAATAGCTATAAGCACCTACATCAAAAAAAGAAGAAAAACTCAAATAATGTAACAATCTATCATAACAAACTAGGAAAGGAGAGTAAATCAAACCCCAAATTAGTAGAGGAAAAGAAACAATAAAGACCAGAGCAGAAATAAATGAATTTGAAATGAAGAAAATAATGCGAAAGGTCAAGGAAACAAAAAGTTGGGTTTTTTTGAAAAGAAAACAAAATTGACACACCCTTCATGAGACCAAATAAGAAAAAAAGAGAAAAAATCCAAATAAATAAAATCAGAGGTGAAAAAGGAGATATTACAACTGATACCACAGAAATAGAAAGGATCACTAGTGGATACTATGAGCAACTATAAGCCAATAAGTTGGAAAATCTAGAGGAAATGGATAAACTCCTAGACACATGCAACCTACCAAGATTGAACCATGAAGAAATCCAAAACCCAAACAGACCAATAATAAGTAACAAGATCAAAGCTGTAATAAAAAGTCTCCCAGCAAAGAAATGTCTGGGACCCAATGGCTTCAGTGCTAAATTCTGCCAAACATTTAAAGAAAAATAAAAAGCAATCCTAGTCTGACTAACCAAAAAAATAAAAGAAGAGGGAATACTTCCAAACTGATTCTATGAGATCATTGTTAGCCTGATATCAAAACCAGACAAAGACACATCAGAAAAAAAAAAAAAAAAAAGAAAGAAAGAAAACTACAGGCCAATATCATGTATAAATATTGATGCAAGAATCCTTAGCAAAGTACTAGCAAATGGAGTACTTTAATGTTGTTGAACACATTAAAAAGATCACTCATCACGACCAAGTGAGATTTATCCCACCTATGCAAGGATGGTTCAAAATATACAAATCCATCAATGTGGTACCTCATATGAATGGAATGAATGATCAAAGTCGCATGATCATTTCAGTTGATGCTGAAAAAAGTATTTGATAAAATTAAACATCCCTTTATGAGATAAAAACGTTAAAAAAACACTGAGGATAGAAGGAACATATGTCAACATAATAAAAGCCAAATATGACAGACCAACAGCCAGTATCATACTGAATGGGAAAAAAACTGAAAGCCTTTCCTCTGAAATCTGGAACATGAGAAGGATCCCCACTGTCACCACTGTTATTCAACATAGTATTGGAAGTCCAAGTTAGAGCAGACAAGAGAAAGAAAGAAAGGGCATCCAAATCGGAAAGGAAGAGGTCAAATTATCCTTGTTTGCAGACAGTATAATCTTAGATGTGGAGAAAAACTGAAGACTCTACCAAAAAAAAAAAAAAAAAAAAAACAAACCTATTGGAACTGAAAAACAAATAAGGACAGTTGCAGGGTACAAAATCAACATACAAAAATCAGTAGCATACGTATATGCCAACACTAAACAATCTGAAATAGTAATAAAAAAGTAATCCCATTTTTAGTATCTACAAATAAAATACCTAGGAATTAACTAAAGAAGTGAAAGATCTCTATAATAAAAACTATAAAAAATTGATGCAAGAAATTGAAGAGGACACAATAAAATGGAAATATATTCTACTTTCATGGATTGGAAAAATCAATACTGTAAAAATGTCTATACTATCCAAGGCAATCTACAGATTTAATGCAATACCTATCAAAACACCCATGACATTCTTCCCAGAAATATAAAAAGCAGTCCTAAAATTTATACGGAACCACAAAAGATGCAGAATAGTCAAAAGTATCCTAAGCACAAAGAAAAAATTGGAGAAATCACATTATCTGACTTTAATTTACACTACAGAACTATAGAACTAAAATGTCATGACGTGGGTATAAAAACAGACACATAAATCTGTGGGACAGAGTAGAGAACCCAGACAGAAATCCATTAATCTACAGTTCAAAATGAACTCATTTTTGATAAAGGCGCGAAGAACATACACTGGGGAAAGGATAGTCTCTTCAATAAATGGTGCTGAGAAAACTGGATATCCATATGCAAAAGAATGAAACTAGACCTCTCTCTCTCTCTCCATATACAAAAATCAAATCAAAATAGATTAAAGACTTAAATCCAAGATCTCAAACTGTGAAACTCTTGCAAGAAAACATTGAGGAAAATCTCCAGGACATTGGTCAGTGTGAAAATTTCTTCAGTAATACACCACAAGCACAGGCAGCCAAAGTAAAAATGGAGAAATGAGATCACATTAAGTTAAAAAGTTTCTGCATGGCAAAGGGAAAAGACACAATCAACAAAGTTAAGAGACAACGCACAGAATGAGACAAAATATTTTCAAACTACCCATCTGAGAAGAGATTAATAACCAGAATACATAAGGAGCTCAAACAACTTTATAGGAAAAAGCTAATAATACAATTTAACAATGGGGAACAGATCTGAATAGATGTTTTTCAAAAGAAAACATAGAAATGGCAAACAGGTATATGAAAAGGTGCTCGACATTATTGAACATCACAGAATTGTATATCAAAAACTACTATGAGGTATCATCTCACCTCAGTTAAAATGGCCTTAATCCAAAAGTTAGGCAATAACGAATGCTGGCAAGGATGTGGAGAAAAGAGAGCCCTCATATATTGTTAGTGGGAATGTTAATTAGTATAACTAGCATGGAAACCTGTTTGGAAGTTCCTCAAAAATCTAAAAATAGAGATACCATACAATCCCAATCCTAGGTATATACCCGAAAGAAAGGAAATCAGTATATTGAAGAGATTTCCGCACTCCCATGTTTATTGCAGCACTATTCACAATAACCAAGAGTTGGAAGCAATCTAAGCATCCATCAATAGATGAATGGGTACAGAAAATTTGGTACACATACACAACAGAATACTACTCATCCATAAAAAGAACAAGATCCTGTCATTTGCAACAACGTGGATGAAACTGGAGGTCATTATGTAAAGTGAAAATAAGCCAGGCACAGAAAGACAAACTTCACCCGTTCTTACTTATTTTTGCTAGCTAAAAATTAAAACAATTGAATTCATGGAGATACAGAGTAGAAACATGGTTACCAGATGTTAGCAAGAGTTGTGGGTTTGAGGGACAGGGATTGGGGAGAGTTAATGGGTACAAAAAATAGAAAGAATGAACAAGACCTAGTATTTTCTAGCTCAACAGAGTTACTATAGTCAAAAATAATTTAATTATACATCTTGAAATAACTAAAAGAGTATAATTGGATTGTTTGTAACACAAAGGATAAATGCTTGAGGTGATGGATACTCCATTTACCCTGATGTGATTATTACACATTGCATGCCTGTATTAAAATATCTCATGTAACCCATAAATATATACAACTACTATGTACCCGCAAAAATTAAGCATTAAAATTAAAAACAAAACAAACAAAGTATATAACACCTCAATAGCAAGAAAACAAGTAACCAATTTTTTAAATGGGCATGGACCTGAATATACATTTATCAAAAGAAGACATATAAATGACCAACGGGTTCATGAAAAAATGTTCAATGTCACTAATCATTTTCAAATTAATACCACAATAAGATATCATCTCACACCTTTTATAATGGCTTTTATCAAAAAGATGAAAGATAAGTGTTGACAACAATGTGAAGTTAAGGGAACCCTAACACACTCTTGGTGGGAATGTAGATTAATACAGCAGTTATAGAAAATGACGTGGAGGTTCCTCAAAAAACTTAAAACACAACTACCATATGATCCAGCAATTCCACTTCTGAGAATGTATTCAAAGGAATTGAAATCAATATGTCAAAGGGATATCTGCACTTTCATGTTCATTTCAGCATTATTCATAATAACCAAGTTATAGAATCAACCTAGATGTCTAGAAAGATAAATACTGCATTATCTCATTCATGTGTGGAATCTAAAAATAGTTAAATTCATAGAAGTAGATGATAGAATGATGACTACCAGAGGCTGAGGAAGGGGGACAGAGAGAATGGGCAGTTGAGGGTCAAAGGATACAATGTTTCAGTTAGACAGGAGGAATAAGTTTTGATATCTATTGCACAGCAGGGTGACTATAGTCAATAATGATGTATGTTTCAAAATAACTGAGAATAAATGTCAAATGTATCACCACAAAAAATGTTAAATAAGTGAAATGATGGATATATTAGGTTGATTTAATCATTCCACATTACATACATATATCAAACCATCATATTGTATCCCATAAATATAATAGTTATAAAATATTAAATAAAAATAATATTAGTAAAACAGTAAAAAAGCAAAATCTGGTAATTAAAAGCTGGTGTGCTTTGTCTAGCCTCTGTCTCTTCTCATTCCATAGCAACCTCAGAGGCCATGTGTTGATGATGACAGCCCCAAAAGACTAAATGAGCTTGGATCTCCAAGTCTTTGCTCAGAGGAAAACCACAGGCCAGGAAAATCTGCATTGGACTTCTTATGAGAGAGAAATAAATTCATATTGTGCTAAGCCACTGAGATTTGGAGGTTTTTGAATCACCCCATTACCTCATCCCAAATAAGTTTTGACTGCTGATACTACATAGTGTCCAGAGATATCAGCTGGGATGTGAAGTCTAGACCTTCAGACAGACATGGCAATTTTTCTCTTGATCTTGACTGCCCAGCCAGCTCTCTTTTTACACTCATAATGTCTTGTACTACATAACTTAAGGACGGGATGACCATGTAGACCATGTCCCCGATTTGTGTCTAATTACCAAATCAGCCTAATTATTACCAAATTCTTCTATCTACTCATGGAATCCTGCAACTTCAGGCTGCTCCTTCCTGGGACAAAAGTTGTTTTCTAAATTTTTGTGTACACATTTATGGGGCACATGTGATATTCTGTTACATACATAGAATGTGTAATGATCAAATCAGTATTTGGGGTATCTATCACCTCAAATATTTATCATTTCTATGTGCTGGTAATATTTCAAGTCTTTTAGCTATTTTGAAATACACGATACATTGTTGCTAAGTATAGTAACCCTAATTTGCTATCAAACATTGGAACTTATTCCTTCTATTTAACTGTACATTTGTACCCATTAACCAGCCTCTCTTCATCCCTCCTATCCCCACACCACCCTTCCCAGCTTCTGGTATCTATCATTCTACTCTCTGTCTCCATGAGATCAACTTTTTTAGCTCCCACATATGAGTGAGAACATTGGTCTTTCTGTGCCTGGCTTATTTCACTTAACGTAGTGACCTCCAGTTCCATTCATGTTGCTGTGAATAACATGATTTCATTCTTTCTTATGGCTGTATAGTATTCCACATTTTCTTTATCCATTTGGCTGTTGATGGATACTTAAGTTGATTCCATATCTTTGTGATTGTGAATAGTGCTGCAATAAACACTGGGGTGCAGATATCCCTTTGATATACTGATCTTTTTCCCTTTGGATAAATACCCAGGAGTGGGATTGCTGGATCATATGGTAGTTCTATTTTAAGTTTTTTGAGAAATCTCCATACTGTTTTCCACAGTGACTGTACTAATTTACGTTCCTGCATAATGTATAAGAATTCCCCTTTTCTCCACATCCTCACCAGCATGTTTTTTTTTGTCTTTTTAGTAATAGCCATTATAGTTGGAGTAAGGTGATATCTCACTGTAGTTTTGATTTGCACTTTCCTGCTGATTAGTGATGTTGAGCATTTTTTCATATATGGCTTGGCCATTTGTATGTCTTCTTTTTTTAATTTCTCTCATCTTTATTTTTATTAAAAAACAAACAAACAAAAACAAAGTCACCACCAACCACATGACAACTGGCCAGAAAAGGCCTTGCTTCCCTCCCTCCTTTGCGTCCCCTGTGCCTAGTCAGCAGGGTCAGGGAGGCAGTCGGCAGTGATGTTAGCTTTGCCCAAAGGGAGTATTACAAGAGAGGCTTGGGAAACGGAAGGAAACCTGGACAGGCTTTTCAGCATTGAGAAGTCACTTAAAACGGATTTGCTTTCAATAACTGGTATGTCTGAAATGCAGGGATGGAAGACCATGCTGTCAACAATCATAACCCGCTTTTTACAGGTTGGCTCCAGGGAGGGTTGGGTCGGAATTGTGTCTTAAGGAAGGAGAATGGTTTCATGAGCTTGCTCAGCTCTCCTGGAACAAAGACGAAGGTGCTACATGTTGTTTGTTAGGCTGATACTAGAGTGGGTTTGGGGCTGCAGGTCTGAAGTCCTTGTTAATGCATTTAGTGCTGGTGAGAAGGGTGGGCCCCAGCCTTGGACGCTGAAGTCCTCTAAAGAGAAGGCAGAGACACAGCCTCAGATCCCCGTCAACTTCCACTGAATAAGGGAGATGGGGAGGAGGTCTCAGCGGTTGGCCTCCTGCAAGCCCAGATGCCTGCCAGCCTGGGCCTGCTTCCTTAGCGCTGTGAGAGCTTGTGTCTGGTGGGCAGAGAGGACCAAGTGTAGTCCCTGCAGGGCTGAGTCTGCTCAAGGCTCCCCAGCTTTGGGCTTGCGGGGTGACCCTGCTCTGCTACCCAGTGGCGGCTTCAGCCCCAGGGGGAGCCGTGGCACAGGTGGTTTAGGCATAGCCGCCAGCCATCTGACTGGTGGCGCATTGCTGCCTACTCCTCGCCAGGCATGGTAGCTGAAGAAGTCGCTCACTCCGTAGGCGATCATCACCAAACACGCAAAGAACGAGGTAGCCGCACGCTGGTTATACGGCTGCGTGCCCTTCAGGGACGTCAGGTCAACTGCCGCAGAGCGGGCGATGAAGGCGGTGACGTAAAGAACGGTGGCACTGACGTTAAACATCATTAACACTAGTGGCCAGGGCACCATGTACAACTTCATGTGCAGCTGAAACAGGTAGAGGGTGAAGAAGACGATTGTCACCAGCCAGAGGAAGACAGATACGAACATCACCCAGCCATAGGCCGGGTACAGGTGGTACGGGGTGTCTGCAATCAGGGCCCACACCAGCAGCCCCAGCACCAGCTGCAGCAGCATGAACGCCCGAGGCGGGAGCGCACGAAGCCCAGGTCCGTGCGCAGCGCCTACACCAAGGCTCCAGCGTCCTGCGCGGGACTGCTGGTCCGCGTGCTCACTTTTGACGGGAACTCGGCCATGGCGGATCCGCTCGCCTCCCTAGGTCGCTCGGGCCGCCGTCGCCGCCCCTCCAGTGGTGGGTGCCAGCTCCCGCGCCGCTCTTCCCCGAGGCTCCCTATCCCGCTGCGGCCCAGAGCACTCCAGGAGGCCGTATGTCTTCTTTTGAGAAATGTCTATTTATGTTCTTTGCCCACTTTTTAATGGGATTGTGTGTGTGTGTGTGTGTGTGTGTGTGTGTGTGTGTGTGTGTCTGTGTAAACTGTTGTTTGAGTTCCTTGTATATTCTGGATATTGGTCCCTTGTCAGATGAATAGTTCGCAAATATTTTCTCCCATTAACAGGTTGTCTCTTCATTCTGTTGTTTCCTTTGCTGTGCAGAAGCTTTTTAGTTTAATATAGTTACATTTGTCTGTTATTATTTTTGTTGTCTGTGCTTTTGAGGTCTTAACTGTGAAATCTTTGCCTAGATCTATGTCCTAAAGTATTTTCCCTGTTTTCTTCTAGTATTTTTTAAAGTTTCAGTCTTATATTTAAGCCTTTAATTTCTCTTGAGTTGATTTTTGTATATGGTGAGAGATGGGGATTGAGTTTCATTCTTCTGTATGTGGATATCCAATTTTTCCAATACTATTTAGTGAAGAGGGCGTCCTTTACCCAATGTAGGTTCTTGGTTCCTTTACCAGAATGGAAGTTTTAATTTTTATATCTTGAGACTCTTGAAAGTCTTCATGTTTTGGTTCAAATACTTTAAACTTGACACAATTTTCCATCTTCCATCCTTTTTAACACAATTCTTACAAATTTTAAAATGATATCTGGATAAATTTCTCATAACCTGTCTGACTGCTTGCCCATAATTTTAAGGCCATTAATATGCTTGGACATGTAAGAAAACTTTAAGATTCACTGTACTTTTAATTTGTTATGTGCGTAGGAATTAAGTGCTTGGGAGGTTTTATTTGTTAGTCAGATATATAAGGGGCTTAAAAAGCACATTGAGAGTTTATGCCTGTAATCCCAGCTATTAAGAAGGCTGAGGTAGGAGGATTGCTTGAGTCTGGGAGTTTGAGACCAGCCTGGGCAACATAACAAAATCCCATCTCAAAAAAGTAAACTAAAAAAAGTAAATTGAATTATTCTATCCCCTTATGGGCAGTTGAAAATGCAGAAGGGTACTTAATTAAATGGGACCAAATATCAGTAAAAAATATTTGTGTGATTATTAAACTTTACTAGATTTATAAATAGAATAATACGATTTGTAGGTTGAACTTAAAAGCTTAGAATAAACTATGTTTGGAATTTGTATCTGTAATAAATAAGTCACTTATTATAAACCCCCTCACCTGAGAGCAAAACATTTTCTGCAAACAAACAAAAAATCTCATGTTATAGATAAAAAACCAACCAACCAAACAAACAAACAAAAAAGAGCCAGTTCCACACCACATAGTAGATAGCTTTGAACCTGCTCTGAGTTGGGGAATTAGATAATCAAGAGTTTGAGAATACTATGTAGAATAAGGGTAATGGACTCTGATCACAGTTTGAGGAACTCCTAAACAGAGAAAGAACATGAAATTTAGTGCGTATAAAAGATGTGGTATATTTAGACCGGAAAAATCATCATGAATGTTTGTTAAAAATAGGATCCTGAGTCTGTGATTCTGATTCTGTGGATTGGAGGTGGAATTCTGGGAATCCAGAGTGTTTAATACAGTGGTTCTCAAAGGGTGGTCCATGGACCAGCAGCATCAGCATCACCTGGAAACTTACTAGAAATGCAAATTATTGGAATCTCCTAATTCCCACTGTGTAAGATTCTCTAAGAATCTGTTTGAACAAGCCCTCTAGTTGACTTTGATGCTCACTACAATTTGAGAACCACCAGTTTAACAGATGATTCAGCTGAGTCTTATGATTGGATGAGTTTTTCAAACACTACTGCAGGTGACAGAAAATTCAGGGCTCAACCTCCTTATTGAAATGGTCAGTTGAAGTTCACAGAATGCGACAGTTTATTGCTAAAGGCATCTTAGGGCAAGTCTTTAGTGGAGGAATCTACAAAAACAGCAAATTGTTGAAAATAATTGAGCCCATGGCATGGAATAAGAATTACATATAGTTTACTTTACAGTTAACTTACACATATCAAGTTTAAATGATATTCAGCAGAGTTCTGAAATTAATCTGTCTATATATATTTTTTTTAACAAAAAGTGGTTTGTCTTGGCCAGATATGTCTGAAAACCTTGCTTCTGTTCAGATTCTGTCCAAATCTCTCTATTTAGGATTTGTTGATCCTTTTTTGCATTCTTTGTAGTCCTTACCCAGCACTGAGCTGCTATTACTGAATCTGCAGTTAAGGCTCCCAGCTCCGACTTATATTAAGATATTTCCTCTAATGTTCTTTGCCGATTTGAGCCAGCTATTGCTTAGGAATGGCTTCTCTGTTTGCCTGGCTTAGTAGCTGTCTCCCTTTCTGAGGAATCTCTGTCTACTGCTTCTCAATGCTGCCAATACTTCCTGGCTTCATGTCCTCTCAACACCATCATTTTTCAGTTTTCAGATTGAATATGAGCTAGAAGAAGGTCATCCATTGGGTAGACCCATGGCATTTCCTATTATCACAATGTAGCCTATTGGATGAGGCAGTCTGCTTAATTTTTTAATGATTTTTTTGTGAATTAATGCAAGTGCATGGCTGTGACAGATTGACTATTTAGAAGCCTTTGAAAATTTCTTCTTGGTTATGTTACATATAATTAAAATAGCCATGAACATGGGTGCATCTATTGTACATACTTGCAAAGTATGAAGTTCAGAAGTGCAATGAGATGCTAGAGATAAATCTTGGAAATGCCACTGTTATCTGACAATTCATAATTGTGCAAAGGATGAGGAACTCACAAGTAACTGTACTGGAATAAGTAGCAGTTTTTGCAGCATTGCCATTTACTTCCCACATGTGCTCATTGAACAGGAAGATTGTACTCCTAAGGGCAGGCCTGCCCTTAATATTTGCAGAGCCTGAGGCAAGAAGATCAGTGGAGCCCCACTCCCCAAGCCATGCAGCCCCTATCTCCTTTTCTTTCCACCTCTGGCTCTATCCTGAACCACTAGGAGCCTTTGGTGGCTATTCTAGACCATGTGACTAAATTCCATCACCCCTATCACCTCACCCACCAGTCACCCCGTAGCACACAGTTTGCTCTCAGAATAATGGACCCAAAAGACAGAACTGCATAGGTACTGGAAGTGACTTGGAAACATTGGGCAGGGAATCGCAGGATCCTGAGATCCAGAGCTGGACCTCGAAGGGGAGGTGTGGGCTTTGAGTGGATGTGGCCCTTGGTCCTATGGATTTCTTGCCTCATGTGAAGGGCACACTGGAGGAGATATAGTGCAGGGCCTTCTAAACTTTAGAGTCTGACTTGTTTGCCACGATCAGGAATGTGTGATGTAACATGGCATGAAATAAGTGTAGACTTCTCCATAGATGAGGGGCCTAGGTGAGGACCCTGGTTGCCCAGGTCTAAGGGTAATACTGGTTATGGAATCCAAAGATGGAGAAGATTATTTTGTCAGCAAGGGCGTGTCATGATTGTGGGAACTACACCAGATCCCTTACAGTACTCTTTGTCTTGTGTTTAGACGTCTAATTTTTACCAGTAGCCACAATCAGTTAATGTGGAATCCCAAATCATTATGCTCCCATTTCTCCTCTCTTATATTACCTACACCCACCCTACTGCCGGAATCTCCCATAGCAATTCGATTTTGCTATTATTTATGCTTTGCAATTTTTAATCAGTCTTTGGAGTTAAAAAGTCTCAAAATTCTTTGGGATTTTGAAATGCTTCATAAGGGAAAAATGAGTTTAGTGGTTAAATAAGTTCAGGGAATTATGCATGTGTCATCTCCCTGGCCTGGTGACTTAAAATATAGCTTAACATATTAAAGGCTCTGAGAATTTGTGAAGTAAAGAAATCTGTTTCACTTTACTTAACTCATTGATTCCTGCATGTATTTGAAAATAGACTCCACACCTTTTATGCCAAAGAAATAATTATTGGTAGTTTCTGTCTTAAAAAATTAGACTAAGGCTTTCATCCATTCATTTGATACCTATTTATTATACCAGTGACTGGACTAGAAATACGAAGGTAAACAAAATAAGACTCTGCTTTGGGGAGCTGTTAATCATTTTACCAGTGTCTTCGTATGTTTATTCCATTTAAGTTAGGGAAAAGCTTAGTTTTGTTTAGGAATCTTAGTTCAGTTATAACTTGAGGTCAGCTGCTATTTAGATGCCTGGAGAAATGCTTGCCTGTCAGAGAGTGCCTATTGCTGATTATATTTTCCAGTGTGCTTTGTATGTGAAATACACCTTTGGATTAGAAAATCAGAGATTCCTTTTATCTTGGGTCTGATGTGGGCCATCCCAAACACCCAGGGTACCTTGGGGCTGATGTAATCCAGTACTCCCTCCCAGGGTGTGTTGGGGGTGCTAATGTGGCCCATTACTACTTCCCAGAATATTTGGGGGCTATTGTGATTTGTCCCAACTTCCCAAGGTACCTTAGGGCTGCTGTGGCCTATCATTACTTCTCAGGTTACTTTGTAGCCTGTCATTTATCTTCCAGGGCCTGTACAATGTAAGGATTGATGAAGCATTAGAGTTGTTGCTACTTGGAACCATTGCTTTTGTTTTGAAGCACAAGCTCTTTTGGGAGGGTTTCAGAGCTCACTGTACATTTCACATTCTAGTTGTATCTCACCACTTGTTTACCGCAATCAGGAATGTGTGAGGTAAGTTGGCATGAAATAAGAGTTGCTTGTCTCCATAGGGGTGGTTTTAGGTACAGCCATTTTAAAAAGCAGAGAGATGACTGAGTGGCCTCTTGGCATCTCTTCAGTTACAATGACTAGCAGATGCTATTGGTACTCCATCTGTATTTTCTCCACATTCATCTCTACCTGCTGAAAGTTGTTACAGGGAACACCTGTGACACTGTCAGAGGGCTTTCTTACCCCTTTGGCTAACAGGGTATACTCAGCCCTTACACACAGTAAGCATAAAATGCCAGAGAGTTAATGCTTCTGGAAGCAGCCTTCAACCAATGACAGTGAGTTCTCATTCTTAGGATAACTATAAAGAATGTTCTTTTATTTATATACTTATCTATTTTTATTGGATATTGATGAATTATAATTATACATATTTATGGGGTACAGTGATGCTGTGATATATGTACATATTGTGGATTAATTGAATCAAGCTAAATAAAATAGCAATTACCTAAAATACTTATTTTTTCCTCCTGCCTAACTAAAACATTGTCCCCTTGGACCTTTGCTCCCATGCCCCAGCCTATGGAAATTACAATTCTCCTCTCTGCTTCTATGTGTTCAATTTTTTTTAGCTTCCACATATAAGTGAGAATATGCAGTATTTGTTTTTCTGTGACTGGGTTATTTAACTTAGCATAAGGTGCTTCAGGTTCATCCATGTCATCACAAATGACCTAATTTCCCTGTTTTTAAGGCTGAATAGTATTCCATTGTCTATATATACCACATTTTCTTTATTCATTCATCAGTTGATGAACACTTAGGTTGATTTCATGACTTGGCCATTGTGAATAATGTTGTAATAAACACGTGAGTGCAGATATCTCTCTGACATACTGATTTCAAATCCTTTGCATATGTACCTAGAAGTGGTATTGTTGGTTCACATGGTAACTCCATTTTTTAGTTTTTTGAGGAAACTTCATTGTTTTGCATAATGGCTGTATTAATATACATTCCCACCAACAGTGTACTAGAAGTCCCTTTTCTCCACAATATTTCCAACAGTTGTCATCTTTTGTCTTTTTAATGGTAGCCATTCTGACAAGTGTCAAATGATATTTCATTGTGATTTTAATTTGCATTTCCCTAATGCCTAGTGATGTTGAGCATTTTTTTTTTCCATAATACCTGTTGGCCATTTGTATGTCTTCTTTTGAGAAATTTATATTTGGACCCTTTGCCCATCTTTTAAGCAGGTTGTTTGTTTTCTTACTATTGAGTTGTTTGAGTTTTTTAAACTTTTTAAAAATATACTTTGGATATTAATGTCTTATCAGATGAGTGGCTTGTAAATATATTCTCTCATTCCATAGGTTGTCTCCTCAGTCTGTTAACTGTTTCCTTTGCTGTGCAGAAGCTTTTTGGTTTGATGTAATACCATTTGTCTATTTTTGTTTTTGTTGTTTGAGCTTCGGGGGTCAAATCCAAAAAATCATTGTCCAGACCAATATCATATAATTCCTCCCCCCCACACTGCTTTCTCTTAGTAGTTTTATAGTTTCAGGTATATGTTTAAGTATTTAATCCATTTTTTGTTGATTTTTGCATATAGTGTGAGGTAAGAGTCCAATCTCATTCTTCTGCATGCAGATATCCAGTTTTTCCAATACCCTTCATTGAAGAGACTGTCCATCTGCCATTGTGTATTTTTGCCATTTTTGTTGAAAAATCAATTTGCTGTAAATGCCTGGGTTCACTTTTGGGCTTTTTATTCTGTTCCCTTTATTGATGTGTCTACTTTTATGCCAGTACCATGCTGTTTTAATTACTATTGTTTTGTAATATACTTAGAAGTCAGGCAGTGGGATGCCTCTAGCTTTTTCCTGTGCAAGATTAGCTTTACTATTTGTGTTTTTTTGTGGTACTATATGAATTTTAGAATTGTTTTTCTATTTTTGTGAAAAATTACATTGGAATTTTAATAGATTGCATTGACTCTGTAGATAGCTATGGGTGGTAAGGAAATGTTAACAATATTAATTATTTCAATTCATGAGCATCGAATATCTTTTCATTTATTTATGTCTTCTTCAATTTCAGTTTAGTAATTTTCAGTGTACAGATCTTTCACTTCCTTGTTTAAATTTATTCCTAAATATTTTATATTTTTGTAGCAAGTATAAATGGGATTGCTTTCTTAATTTCTTTTTCAGCTAGTGTGCTGTTGGAGTATAGAAATGCTATTGACTTTCGATGTTATATCCTACAGCTTTACTGTATTTGTTTATTAGTTCTAACAGTTTTTTTTTATAGTCTTTAGGACTTTCTATACATGAGATCATGTCATTAGCAATCAGCAACAATTTCACTTCTTCGTTTCCTGTTCGTATGCCTTTTATTTCTTTCTCTTGCCTAATTGCTCTGGCAAGAATTTTCAGTACTATGTTGAATAGAAGTGATGTGAATGGATATCTTTGTTCTTGATCTTAGAGGAAAAGCTTTCAACTTTTCACTATTGAGTATAATGTCAGCTATCAGATTGTCATGTTAGCTTTTATTATGTGGAAAAATATTCCTTCTATACTTAATCTGTTTAGAGTTGTTACTATGAAAGAATGTTGAATTTTGCCAAATGATTTTTTTTTATTTGATGAGATGATTGTATGGTTTTGTTCTTTGTTCTGTTAATATGTTGTATCACATTTATTGATTTGGTATGTTGAAACATCATTGCACCCCTGAAATAAATCCCATTTGATTATAGTGAATAATTCTTTTTATATGCTGTAGAATTTTGTTTGCTAGTATTTTTGAGGATTTTTGCATCTATGTTCATCAGGGATATTGTCCTGTAATTTTCTTCTCTTATAATGTCCTTGTCTGAATTTGGCCTCATAAAAAGAGTTTTGAAGTATTCCCTCCTCTAGTATTTTTTGGAAGAGTTTGAGAATGATTGGTATTAGCTTTCCTAAATGTTTGGTAGAATTCAGCAGTGAAGTTATGAGGTCCTGGGCTTTTCTTTGATGGGAGGCATTTGATTACTGATTCAATCCTTTACTTATGTTGGTCTCTTCATATTTTTTATGTCTGTATAATTCAGTCTTGGCAAATTGTATGTATCTAGGAATTTATCCATTATTTCTACATTATTCAATTTGTTGACACATAAGTATTCATAGTAATCTCTTATGGGCATTCATATTTTTGTGGTATCAGTTGTAATTTCCCTTCTTTTACTTCTGATTTTATTGTGTCTTCTCTCTTTTTTTCTTAGTTAAGCTAAAGGTTTATCAACTTTGTTTATCTTTCCTAAAAACCAACTCAGCTTTATTGATATTCTCTGCTGTTTTTCTAGTCTCTATTTTATTTATTTCTACTCTGATCTTTGTTATTTCCTTCCTTCTGCTAACTTTGGGCTTAGTTTTTTGTTCTTTTTTTAGTTTCTTGAGGTGTAATATTATGTTGTTAGGCATTTATTGCTATAAATTTTCCTCTTAGAACTGCTTTTGATGCATCCCACAAGTTTTTGTATGTTGTGTTTCCATTATTGTTTTTGTCTCAGGATATTTTTTTTATTTCCCTTTCTTAATTTTAATTTTTATTTGTAAACTTTTATTTTAGGTTCAGGGATATATGTGCAGGTGTGTTATATAGGTAAATTGCATGTCATGGGAGTTTGGTGTACAGATTATTTCATCAACCAGGTAATAAGCATAGCACCCAATAAGTAGTTTTCAATCCTCACCCTCCTCCCATTTTCCACCCTCAAGTAGGCCCTGATGTCTGTTGTTCCCTTCTTAGTGTCCATATGTACTCAGTGTTTAGCTCCCACTTATAAGTGAGAGCATGTGGTATTTGGTTTTCTGTTCTAGTGTTAGTTCACTTAGAGTAATGGCTTCCAATTTTATCCATGTTGTTGCAAAGGACATGATCTCCTTCTGTTTTGTGGCTGTGTAGTATTCCATGGTGTCTATGTACCAAATTTAAAAAAAAAATCCAGTCTACCACTGGTGGGCATTCAGGTTGATTCCATGTCTTTGCTATTGTGAATAGTGCTGTGATAAATATATGGGTGCATGTGCATTTATGGTACAATGGTTTATGTTCCTTAGGGTAAATACCCAATTATGGGATTTCTGGGACAAATGGCAATACTGTTTTAACTTCTTTCAGAAATTGTGAAACTGCTTTCCACAATGGCTGAACTAATTTATATTCCCACCAGAAGTGTATAAGCATTTTGATTTCTTCTTTGACCCATTGGTTATTCAAGAGCATGTTGTTCAATTTCCACATACTTATGGATTTTCAAAATTTCTCCTCTTATTGGTTTCTAGGTTAATACCGTTGTGGTCAGAAAAGGTAGTTAATATGATTTTGATCCTCTTAAATTTGTTCAGACATGTTTTGTGGCCTAACATATGACCCATCCTGGAGAATGTTCTGTGTGTGCTTGAGAAAAATGGGCATTCTATTACTTTTGTATGGAATGTTCTGTATATATCTGTTAGGTTCATTTGGTCTAAAGTGTAGTTCAAGTCAAATGTTTCCTTATGAATTTTTCTTGAAACAGAGTTTTTTTTCATTAGCCAGGCTGGAGTGCCATGGCGTGATCTTGGCTAACTGCAACCTCTGCCTCCTGGCTTCAAGTGATTCTCCTGCCTCAGCCTCCCAAGTAGCTGGTATTACAGGTGCATGCCACCACGCCTGGCTAACTTTTTGTATTTTTAGTAGAGATGGGGTTTCACCATGTTGGCCAGGCTGGTCTCAAACTCCTGAATTCAAGTCATCCACCCTCCTTGGCCTCCCAAAGTGCTGGGATTACAGGTGTGTGAGCCACTGCGCCCAGGCTCCTTATTAACTTTTGTCTAGATGATCTGTCCATTGTTGACAGTGGGGTACTGAAGCCCCCTACTATTACTGTATTGCAATTATCTCTCCTTTCAGATCCTTTAACATTTCTTTTCTATGTTAAGGTGCTCCAATGTTGGGTGTGCATATATTTACAATTGTTATATCCTCTTGATGAATTGATCCCTTAATCATTATATAATGACCATCTTTGTCTCTTTTTCACTTAAAGTATATTTTGTCTGATACGAGTATAACTACACCTGTTATCCTTTGGTTTTTCATTTACATGGAATATCATTTCCTATCCCCTTACTTTTAGTCTATATGTGCTCTTCAAGGCAAGGTGAGTCTCTTATAGGTAGTATATAGTTGGGTTTTCTGGCCATTCCATGTCTTCTTATTGAAAAATTTAATTCATTTACATTAAAAGTAATTCTTTGTTGGTAAGGATTTACTACTACCATTTTGTAATTTGTTTTCTGGTTGTTTTGTATATACTTTGTTTCTTTCTCTTTTGCTGTCTTGCTTTCTGATTTGATAATTTTCTGTAATGTTATGCTTTGAATCCTTTCTATTTATGTTTTGTACATCTACTGTAGATTCTTGTTTTGTGGTTATCAAGAGGCTTACATGAAATATCTTATACTTATAACAGGTTATTCCAAGCTAATAACAACTTAACTTTGAGAGCACAAAATAGCTGTATACTTTTACTTCCCCCCAACATTTTAAGTTTTTGATGTCAAAAAATACACAATTTTGTAATTGGTATCCCAAGACAATTAATTTTTGCTATAGTTATTGTAGTAGAGTTGTCTATTAATTATTATACTAGAGATAAAATTGCTTTACAAACCACCAATCCAGAGTATTCTGAATGTGATTTTGTATTAGTTATACTATTGAGTTTTGTACTTTTGTATGTTTTATGTTATTAATTAGAGGCCTTGGCCTTTAGGTAAAGCTTAAAGAACTCTCTTTAGTAATTTCTGTAAGGCAGGCCTAGTGGGGATGAACTCCCTCAGCTTTTGTTCGTTTGGGAAGGTTTTCATTTCTTTCTCACTTCTGAAAGTCAGGTTTGTCAGGTAAAGTGTTCTTTGTTGGCAATTATTTTCTATGAGCACTTTGAATATATCATTCTACTCCTTCCTGTCTCTATTAGTTTGTTCTTGCATTGCTATAAAGAATATCTGAGACTGGGTATTTATAAAGAAAATTTATAAAGAAAAGAGCTTTGACTGGCTCATAGTTCTGCAAGTTTTATAGGAAGCATGGTGCTCACTTATCATCAAGGGGATGGCTGAAGCCATTCATGAGGGATTCACCACCATGATCCAAATGCCTCCCACCAGGTACCACCTCCAAGATTGGGGATTACATTTCAACATGAGATTTGGGCAGAAACAAATATCCAACTATATTATTCTCCCCCTACTCCTCCCCAAACCTCTTGTCCTTCTCACATTGCAAAATACAGTCATGCTTCCCAATCATCCCCCAAATTCTTAACTAATTCCGCCATTAACTCAAAAGTCCCAGGTCCAAGTCCAAAGTCTCATCTGAGAAAAGGCAAGTCCCTTCCACCTAGAAGCCTGTAAAATAAAAAACAAGTTAGTTACTTCCCAGATACAATAGGGGTATAGCCATTGGATAAACATTCCCACTCCAAAAGGGAGAAATTGGCCAAAAGAAAGGGGCAATGGGCCCCACACAGGCTCAAAACCCAGCAGGGCAGTCATTAAATCTTAAAGCTCTAAAATAATCTTCTTTGATTCCATGTTCCACATCCAGAGCACACTGGTGCAAAAGTGGGTTCCCAAGGTCTTGGGAAGCTCTTCCTCTGTGGCTTTGCAGGGTTAAGGCCTCAGGGCTGATCTCACAGGTTGGCATTGAATATTTGTGGCTTTTCCAAGCTAAGGATGCAAGCTGCCATTTGTTCTACCATTCTGGGGTCTGGAGGATGATGGGTCTCTTCCCACAGCTCCACTAGGCAGTGCTCCAGTGGGGACTCTGTATGGAGCCTCCAACCCCACATTTCCCCTCTGCACTGTCCTAGTAGAGGTTCTCTGTGAGGCCTCCACCTCTGCAGCAGGCTTCTGCCTGGACACTGAGGCTTCTCCATACATCCTCTGAAACCTAGGGAGAGGCTGCTAAGAATCCACCACTCTCCACTCTTGTGCCCTGTATGCCTGCAGGCTTAACACCATATGGAAGCCACCAAGGCTTATGGCTTGCATCTTCTGAAGCAGTAGCCTGAACTGTATCTGGGGCCCTTTCAGCCAAGGCTGGAGACAGAGCAACTGGGATGTGGGGAGAAGTGTTCTGAGGCTGCACAGGGCAGCAGGGCCCTGGGCCTGGCCCACAAAGCCATTCTTCATTCCTAGGCCTCGGCCTGTGATGGGAGGAGCTGCCACAAAAGTCTCCGAAATGCCTTCAAGGTGTTCTCCCTATTGTGGCTATTAGCACATGGCTCCCTTTTCGTTATGCAAATATCTCTAATAAATGATTGCTCCACAGCCCACTTGAATTCCTCTCCTGAAAAAGTTTCTTCTTTCTCTGCCACATCACCTGCAATTTTTTCAAGCTTTTATGCTCTGCTTTCTTTCTAAATATAAGTTCCCACTTTAAATCATTTCTTTGCTCCTGCATCTGAGCATAGGTTGTTAGAAGCAGCCAGGTCAAATCTTCAATGCTTTGCTCCTTAGAAATTTCTTCTGCCAATACCATAGGTCATGACTCTTAAGTTCAAACATCCACAGATTCCCTAGAAAATGAACAGAATGCATCCAGTCTCTTTGCTAAGGCATAACATGCATGACCTTTGCTCCAGTTCCCAATAAGTTCCTCATTTCCCTCTGAGACCTCAGCAGCCTGGACTTCACTGTCCATATCACTATTGGCATTTTGGTCACAACCACTTAGTCAGTCTCTAAGAAGTTCCAATCACTCATTCATCTTCCTGTCTTCTTCTGGGTCCTCCAAACTCTTCCAGCCTCTGTCTGCTACCCAGTTACAAAGCTGCTCCCACATTTTAAGGTATCTTTATAGCAATCCTCTACTCTTTACCAATTTTCTGCATTAGTCTATTCTTGCATTGCTATAAAGAAATACCTGAGCCTGCATAATTTATAAGGAAAAGATGTTTAATTGGCTTATAGTTTTGCAAGCTTTATAGGATGCATGTGACCACATCTGCTTGGCTTCTGGAGAAGACTCAGGAAGCTTACAGTCATGGCAGAAGGTAAAGGGAGAGCAGGCTTGTCATATGGTGAAAGCAGAGGTGAGAGAGAGAGTCAGGGGGAGATGCCACACACTTTTAAACAATCTGATCTCATGTGAACTCAACAAAGAGTTCGCTTATCACCAAAGGGATGACTGAAGCCACTCATGAGGGATCTGCCCCAATGATCCAAACAACTCCCAGCAGGCCCCACCTCCAAGATTGGAGATTACATTTCAACATGAGATTTGGGCAGGTACAAATATCCAACCATATCACTGTCCTGCAGTGTTTCTGCTGAGAAATATGCTGATAGTCATATTGGAACTCCCTTGTAGATAATGTATTTCTTATTTCTTGATGCTTTCAGAATTTTTTCTTTGTCTTTAATTTTTGATAGTTTCATTATTTTGTGCATTGGTGAACTCTGGGTTGAATATTGTTGGTGACCTCTCTGCTACCTCTACCTGGATGTTGGCATCTTTCCTAAGATTTGAGAGGTTTTCAGCCATTATTTTTTAAAATATGCTTCTGGTCCCTTTGTTCTCACTTTTCCTTCTGGAATTACTGTTATGTGGTAATTAGGTCTCTTGATAGTGTCCCAGAGTTCTCATAGGCTTTCTTCATTCTTTTTAGTTTGCTTCTTATTTTTGCTTTGTTCGTTGGACAATTTCAGATGTTTGAAGCAGGGCAATGCGATGCCTCTGGCTTTGTTCTTTTTGCTTGGGATTGCTTTGGCCATTCGGGTTATTTTTTGGTTCCAAATAAATTTTATAATAGATTTTTCTAAATCTGTGAAAAATGATATTGGTATTTTGATAGGAGTAGCATTGAACCTGTAAATTGCTTTGGGCAATATGGCCATTTCAACTATGTATTTTCTTCTAGTCCATGAGCATAGAATATTTTTCCATTTATTTGTATCATATCTAATTTTTTTCAGTAGTGTTTTGTAGTTCTCCTTGTAGAGATCTTTCACCTCCTTGGTTAGATAAATTCTTATGTATTTCATTTTTTTTTGTTGCTATTATAAATGAGTTTGTGTTCTTGATTTGGTTCTTAGCTAGACATTATTAGTGTGTAAAAATGCTACTGATTTTTGTACATTGATTTTGTATCCTGAAACTTTACTGAATTTGTTTATCAGTTCTAGGATCCTTTTTCAGAGTCATTAGGGATTTCTATGTATAGAATCATCTTCAAGCTCTCTTATACTTTCTTCTGCTTGATTGAGCCTACTATTAAAGCTTTTTATTGCATTTCCATTTCAGTCATTGTATTTTTCATCTCTAGGAGTTTTACTTTTTATTTTTTCTATTTCTTTGTTACTCTTTTTCATTTTGTTCATGCACTGTTTTCCAAACTGCATTTAATTTTTTACTTCATACATTCTTGTAGCTCACTAAACTTCCTCAAGATGATTATTCTGAATTCTTTGTCATTTTATAGACTTCCATTTTTAAGGGTTCACTGTTGAAACTTTGTTAGTTTCTTTTAGAGGTGTCATGATTTCGTGATTCTTTGTAAACCTTGTGTCCTTGCATTTGTGTCTGTGCATTTGGAGAGACAGCCACCTCTTCTGACTTTTACAAGTGTTCTTTGTCAGGGATAAACCTTCACTATTTAGCCTGGCCTATGATTCTTTGTGGGCCAACTCATAATGACCCTGGGCAGGAAGAGCTTGCTTTTGGATTCTCTAGATAGCTGGGCTACTGCCTTAGCTCTGATTTGGGATGGGGCTGCTGACTCAGCTCCACTGTCAGGTAAGACCACTGGCTGAGCTCTTTAATAAGTCAGAGCTGCTGGCAGGTTACTGCAATTGCCTTTTATTGGGCTTGACCACAAGGTGTATTCCATGGCCAGGTAGCACCACTGTTTGAAGTTTGTATTTGGACAGGGCTGTAGGCTGGGTCTTCAGGTTAGGCAGAATCACTGCTTGGGATGGATGGGACCAGCTGCTATGCTAAGTAGAAATGCACTGTTGAGGTTTGCCTCCCTGCCTAGATGGGGCCTTGTGGTGGGCTTTGAGGATGGGCCAAGCACTGTTTAAACTCCTAGGTGTGGCAGAAGTAGCCTCTGCACTTTGCCAAAATGCACTGTGGTGGGCATCTCTCTCCCTGGGCAGTGCCTAGGCAGGCTGAGTTTGAGGCTGAGTTGGGTGCTGTTTAAACTCTTGGTTGTGGCAGAACTAGCCACTGCTGTTTGCCAACATTCACTGTGGCAGTCCATCATACCTTTCCAGGACAAGGTCTTCAAGTGGGCTTTGAAGCCATGCCAAACACTGTTTAAACTCCTGTGTGTGGCAGAACTAGCCCCTGCTTTTTGCCAAATTGTGCTGTCCCTTGATGGGGCCCTGGGGTAGGGTCTAAGGCTGGGCCTGGAGGCTGGCTGTTTGGAGATTCAAGCCAGGCAGAACTTCCCACCAATTCTGGGAACAGCCAGCTCAGCTTTGAAGATGAGCTATGCTGTTGACTGTTGTCTCTGATCATGTGCCATTACTGGCAATTACAAAGAACTAACACAAATATCTGTATACTGGTCACTGTGTTCTTGCTTTGTTTCTACCTGACCCTAGGTAGTCTAGTCATGCCAATACCTCTTGTGTTCCCTGTGAGGTGAGAGTAAAGTGGGCTTCCTGGGAAGCATCTCAAAATGCTAGGGAAGCTGGATGTCCACCTCTGGTTTTCTTTCCCCACTGTAGAAACTATGACTCCTGAAGAATTCTCTCTGTGTGACACTGTGGAAGGAAGAGGGGTGACACAACCAGTGAGATCATTTCTTTTACCCTCTCTTGTGGTTTTTATTTGGTTCTGTGGTCCACACAGGTATATCAGGCTTATTTCCAAGTTTTGAGGTTTTCACAAAGGTGTTCTTAGTTGTGGATATTTGTCAGTTGAACTTTTGTGGAGGTTAGTGAAGCCTGAGATCTCCTATTCTGCCAGATTGCTGAGGTATGTTCTTTATTGTCTTTCACTGTTCCCCTCTGGAACTGAACTTCAGTTAACCACAACGACAACTAACTTAAAAACACACTCTTGGCCGGGCGCGGTGGCTCACACCTGTAATCCTAGCACTTTGGGAGGCCGAGGCAGGCGGATCACAAGGTCAAGAGATCGAGATCATCCTGGTTAACACAGTGAAACCCCATCTCTACTAAAAAAATACGAAAAATTAGCTGGGCATGGTGGCAGGCACCTGTAGTCCCAGCTACTCGGGAGGCTGAGGCAGGAGAATGGCATGAACCCGGGAGGTGGAGCTTGCAGTGAGCAAAAAACAAAAAGAAAAACAAAAACAAAAACAAAAAAACACAAGCAAACAAACAAAAAAACACTCTTTGCATTCACTTTCATTCTCATTTCCTTACACCTTATCAGTGTTTCCTGGTATTGCCTCTCAGTAAAACAAACAATCAAACAAAACCATTTTAGGAAACCAAAACCTACACTCAAATACTTGGGCTGCTTATCAGAGAAACCCAAAATCAAGCCAGTGATTCTAATACATTTGGTCATTAAGTTTGCTGAATGGGAGCTAGTGACATTTTCTTGACTTGCAACTATCATGCTGCAAAATGTTTTGTTCCATTTTTAATTTCTTTAACTGTTGTTTTTTTTTTTTTTTTTTGAGACGAAGTCCTGCTCTGTTGCCCAGGCTGGAGTACAGTGGCAAGATCTCGGCTCATTGCAACCTTCACCTTTCAGGTTCAAGCGATTCTCCTGCCTCAGCCTCCCAAGTAGCTGGGACTACAGGCATGTGCCACCACGCCCAGCTAATTTTTCTATTTTTAGTAGAGACGGGGTTTCACCATGTTAGCCAGGCTGGTCTAGAACTCCCGACCTCAAATAATCCGCCTGCCTCAGCCTCCCAAAGTGTTGGATTATAGGCATAAGCCATTGTGCCAGGCAATTTCTTTAACTTTAAGAAAAAATATATTCAGACCCTACTAGTGGTAGAGATTACAAATCCAGAAAGAAAAATGTATACTGACATTAGGAGTCAAAAAAGAAAAACACATGATCTAAATTTCCATCTGCCTTTTTTCTTTTAACTTGAATCTGGCTAAATTCACTGGTACATTATTGCTAGTAAGTAAAATAGATTTTTTAATTGTTGCATTCCCTGTATATGTCATTAAAAATGAGAAAGCTAAAAGTAGCCATAAGGAAAGGGAGAGGGATATTGTGTTTCAGTGTGATAGGTAGCTTCTAAGATGGCCCTCAAATACTCCTATCTCTTAATACGTATGACCTTGAGTAACATGCTTCTAGACAATAGACTATCTCAACTTTGTAGAGATGTAATTTTGTCATTAGCTTATAAGAGATTGTAGCCTTTGTCTTGCTATCAGACTTTCTCCTTTGCTAGCTTTGTGAGGCAAAGTGTCTTATTTAGGAGACACACGTGGCACAGAACTGAGGTGGACCTCTGGCTAATAGCCAGTAGTTAACTGAGATCCTCAGTCCAGTAATCCAAAAAGAACTGAATCCTGGCTGGGTGCAGTGGCTCATGCCTGTAATCCCAGCATTTCAGGAGGCCGAGGCAGGAAAAATCACTTGAGGCCAGGAGTTCAAGAACAACCTGGGCAGCATAGCAAGACCTTGTATCTATAAACAATTTTAAAAATTAGCCAGGCATAGTGGTCCATGCCTGCAGTGCAAGTTACTCAGAAGCTGGGGTGGTAGGATCACTTGAACCCTGATGTCGAGGCTGCAATGAGCTGTGGTCAAGCCACTGCACTTTACCCTTCAGAGTGAGACCCTGTCTTTAAAAGAAAAGAAAAGAAAAGAAAAAGAACAGAATCCTCTCTGCAATCATGTAGTGAGCTTATAAGTGGATCTTACACTGGTTGAGTTTTTAGATGAGACTCAGTTCTGGCTGACACCTTGCTTGAAGCCTTGGAGAACACCCTGAAGCAGAAGACACAGTTAAGCTATGCTTGGATTCCTGGTCCACAGAAAATATGAGACAATAAATGTGTGCAATTAAGTATTTCCACTTTCCTATTCATTCTGTTTAGAACAAATATTTGGGATTTAGAAGGAAAATTTGACTTTAACAGGGTCACTGCCACCTTGAATACTGAATCAAATTGACCTTGATAGGGATGCATTATGCTTATATTTCAGATTCGAGCTCCCACTGTTGTTAAAAGAAAAGGAAAATACTTTCTCTTTGAAAGTCTACCCGACCAAAATTCTTTGTATAAAAATGGCTTCTCATAGATTAGTTTCTGAGTACATTTTCTACCAATGGTCTTAAGTCATCCGTAAGCATATGCAAATCTCTTAGCAACAGAAGATTATTCCAAATGAGAAAGCATTATGAGCCAACTCCCATGTAAGCATCTGAGCCAACAAAGATGGGGTTTTAAGCTTTATTTTAAAAAAATTTAAAATAAAATTATCCTGAGAGAATGGAGCAGTATGTATAAATCTATGAACTGTTTGAATAAGTTCAGTTGTTTCAAGGTTACTTCTTCTGTGTCTAGTATAAATATATTTCAAAAATACATACAGTAAAATGTGAAAAACAGTTTCTTTGGGATCAACATGTCTGCTGCCAGAGAAGTTACATTTCTTGTAAAACAATGCTACATAATGGATGGTGGTGGAGTGAGGCCAGCTGGTTTTAAATATCAAGCTGACAGTGGAATGTGGTATTTAGAAGATAGTCACAGCACAACACACAAGGAGGCATAGAGACCTACTGCTTGACAACTTAACAAAAATGCAGTGTGTTCTCCAAAGGATTATTTTAACCTTATACATACCTACTTTTTACAAAGTTTCACTTCAGGCTCAGTGTGTTTTGTCTGTTGTGGGTGAACTCCATGGGAGCATCTGAGAGGTGAAATTCCTTTATAACCAGGTCCTTTTGACACTTAAATTTTTAGCTTAGAAGTTTCTGAGTTGGAGTATGTGGAATGATCCACTGTGTTGTGGGAAGAAAATATTAGGAGTTTTCTTTAGCATATAAGAAATAAATGAAGCATAATCCGCAGTTAATATACAGACTGACACTAGTGGCTTCACTCAGTCCATCTGCATAGAAGATTGTTGTGTGCTGTAAGTGTCACGGGTGTCCGTGTGAAGAGAGCACCAAACAGGCTTTGTGTGAGCAACAAGGCTGTTTATTTCACCTGGATGCAGGCGGGCTGAGTCCGAAAAGAGAGTCAACAAGGAAGATAGAGGTGGGGCAGTTTTATAGGATTTGGGTGGGTAGTGGAAAATTGCAGTCAAAGAAGGAGGTTGTTCTCTTGTGGGCAGGGGCGGGGGTCACAAGGTGCTCAGTGGGGGAGCTTCTGAGCCAGGAGAAGGAATGTCACAAGGTTAATCGCTCAGTTAAGGTGGGGCAGAGACAAATCACAATGGTGGAATGTCATCAGTTAAGGCAGGAACTGGCCATTTTCACTTCTTTTGTGATTTTTCTCTTGCTTCAGGCCATCTGGATATATAAGTGCAGGTCACAGGGGATATGATGGCTTAGCTTGGGCTCAGAGGCCTGACATTAAGCAAAAATAAAATTCTAAGCTCCCCAACTGACTGAATTAATCCCTCCTTTTAACCATTTAACTAGAAAAAACGAGTTCAGATCATGATGGGAAGGAGGGGTCAGGCAAGACTCATTATACTCTCCTCCTTCTGGAATTCAAGCGTAACTGACCAGCATTAACATTAAAACAGAGATCTTAAAAGTGACAAAAGAAACTTTGTAGCAATAAGACACCAAATTCCAACCTGACTCTAGTATAGTATCACATGACAGATAGCAGGCCCTGAAAGAAATTGAAGTATTTTACCCCAAAATATATTTATTTGGCATATTTTTATTTTTGTTTTTCATATTTTTAAACTTAGTTTATTTGTTGGTAACTTTTTATTTGAGAAGTCAAATGATTAAGTTTTGACACATATCTCTAAAGGTTGACAAAAATTTCTTAGATAAAGTTTGAAGCCTGAGTATGGGCAGTGTCATTATCCTAACACATTGGAAGACGAATCCCTCCATCTTATATCAATACCTCATTGCTTCTGAGATTCTTTTTTTTTTCATTGTACAAATGCAAAGAGTTTTAGAAGAACACATATATGAGCTTTTAAATACAAAGCAGTGAATTGTGTTCTTCTCAAGGCTTTGTTCTTCTAAGGAAGCTGAGGTTTCTGTTGACAGTTTCAGTTTTGTCTTCCTTCAAGTTTTATTTTAAGTTCCAGGGTATATGTGCAGGCTGTGCAGGTCTGTCACACAGGTAGACGTGTGCCACGGTGGCTTGCTACACAGATGAGCCCATCATCTAGGTATTAAGCCCAGCATCAATTAGCTATTCTTCCTGATGCTCTCATTCCCCTCACCCTCATCCTCTGACAGGCCAAAGTGTGTGTTGATCTCCCCCATGTGTCCATGTGTTCTCATCGTTCAGCTCCCACTTATAAGTGAGAACATGCCATGTTTGATTTTCTGTTCCTACATTAGTTTGCTGAAGGTAACGGCTTCCGGTTCCACCCATGTCACTGCAAAGGACATGATCTAGTGTTTTGCTTGTTTGTTTGTTTGTTTTATGGCTATATAGTATTCCATGGCTACTTATGTATCACATTTACTTTATCCAGTCTATCATTGTTGGGCATTTGGGTTGATTCCATGTCATTAATATTGTGAATAGTGCTGCAATGAACATACGTGTGCATGTATCTTTATAATAGAATGATTTATATTCCTTTGAGTATATACCCAGTAATGGGATTGCTGAGTCAAATGCTATTTCTGCCTCTAAATCTTTGAGGAATCACCACACTGTCTTCCACAATGGTTGAACTAATTTATACTCCCAACAATAGTGTAAAAGTTTTCCTTTTTCTCCACAACCTCACCAGCCTCTGTTGTTTTCTGACTTTTTAATAATCGCCATGCTGACTGGCATGAGATGGTGTCTCACTGAGGTTTTGATTTGCATTTCTTTAATGGTCAGTGATGTTGAGCTTCTTTTCATATGATTGTTGGCCACATGTATGTCTTCTTTTGAGAAGTGTCTGTTCATGTCCTTTACCCACTTTTTAATGGGGTTGCTTATTTTTATTTTAATATTTTAAAACTTATTTTATTTTTATTTTTGGTAACTTTTTATTTGAGAAGTCAAATGATGAAGTTTTGACACATATCTCTAAAGGTTGGCAAAAGTTTCTTAGATAAAGGTTGAAGCCTGAATATGGGCAGTGTCATTATACTAACACATCCACCCATCTTATATCAATACTTCATTGCTTCGTAGGTTCTTTTTTTTCACTGTTCAAATGGAAAGAGTTTTAAAAGAACACATACATAGGCTTTTAAATACAAAGCAGTGAATTGTGTTCTCAAGACTTTGCTCTGTTGACAGTTTCTATTTTGTTTCCTTCAACGTTTATTTTACGTTCCAGGGTACATGTACAGGATGTAGAGCTTTCTTACTCAAGTGTGTCTTCTTTTGAAAAGTGTCTGTTCATGTCCTTTGCCCACTTTTTAATGTAGTTGTTTGTTTTTTTCTTGTAAATTTGTTTACATTCCTTGTAGAGTCTGGATATTATTAGATCTTTGTCAGATGGATTGAAAAACTGCACACCTAAAATCTTCTGATCTTTGACAAACCCGACAAAAACAAGCAATGGGGAAAAAATTCCCCATTTATTAAATGGTGCTGGGAGAACTGGCTAGCCATATGCAGAAGATTGAAACTGGACCCTTTCCTTAAACCTTATAAGAAAATTAACTTAGGATGGATTAAAGACTTAAATGTAAAACCCAAAACTATAAAAATCCTAGAAGAAAATCTAGGCAGTACCATTCAGGACATAGGTACAGGCAAAGATTTCATGATAAAAACGCCAAAAGCAATTGCAACAAAACCAAAAATTGACAAATTGGATCTAATTAAACTAAAGAACTTCTGCGCAACAAAAGAAACTATCATAAGAGTGAACAGACAACCAACAGAATGGAAGGAAATTTTTTCAGAGACCTGTGCAAGACTGGGAATGGGAGAATCCCCCTGGCTCACCCAAAATGTCCCCACTGTGGTTCTATACTGAGGCAGAGAGTCATCTGGACATCTTGCGGAGGCAATTCTCAAATCCAAGGGGACCTCTACAAGCCTTAGACCCTGGAACAAACTGGCACCAGCACCATAGCCCTTGTAGAGGCTGCAGATGCAGTGCCTAGGAGCAGTAAGATTGCTCCACCACCCCTCACCAGATAAGGCTCAGCATCAGCTTCCAGCCCAGTGGTCCTGCTTCTCCCAGAAATTGGCCAACAGCTGTAGCCTCCTGTTGTCCTGGGAGGAACTTGAAGGGGAGGGTGGGTTCCTCTCTGCCACTGGTAGCCAGGCAGGCAACGCCTGCTGGAGCTTACAGACCAGTGGTCCTGCTTCTGTCTGAACTTAGCCAGTAGGCAAAGCCTCCTGTTGTCCCAAGAAGCACCTGGATGGCAGGGAGGGTGACTCCACCCACCCCCGTCACTGGTAGCCAGGCAGGCAATGCCTGCCAGATCTTCCAGCTCACTGGTTCCACTTTTGCGTGAACTCAGACAGTGGGCACAACCTCCTCTTGTCCTGGGAAGCACCCAGATGGCAGGGCAGGTGACCACACCCATTTTCACCATTGGTAGCCAGGCAGGTAACACCTGATAGGGCTTCTGGCCCAGTGATTCTGGTTCTGTCTAAACTCAGCCAGTGTTTAGACAGTGGGGTGCAGCAGCCTTTGTCCCAGGAAGCACTTAGACAGCAGGGCAGGCAACCCCAAGCACCCCTGCCACTGATAGCCAGGTGGGCAATGCCTGCTAGAGCTTTCAGCTCAGCAGTCCCACTTCTGTCCAAACTCAGACAGTGGGTGCAACCTCCTATTGTGTCAGGAAACAACCAGACAGCAGAGTAGGTGATTCCACCCACTCCCACCTCTCATAGCCAGATGGGCCATCCCACTAGAACTTCTGGGCCAGCAATCCTGCTTCTGCCTGAACTCTGTCAGCAGGCACAACCTCATGTTCCCCAGGGAAGCACTTGGATAGCAGATTAGGTGACCACCCCCACCCCACAGCTCCTGGCCAAACAGAACTTGCTGGCTTGGGCAGTGCCTATGCAGGGAGGAGCCTTCACTCCCAGATCACTGAAGGAGATGAGACACCTGGGTTCACAGGCCAGTGGAGGAGTGGGGCATGCCTCCCTCCACAGGGCCAAATATTAACAGCAGAATTGACCAAGCTGAGCAAAACATCTCAGACCTTGAAGACCAGTTCTCCAAAATAACTCAGTCAGACAAAAATAAGGAATAAACAATGAAGAAGAAGGAATAAAACTTCCAAGAAATATGGGATTTTGCATAGAGACCAAATCTATGACCCATTGGTGTTACTGACAAAAAGTGAGATAAAGCAAGCAACTTGGAAAACATATTTCAAGATATTGTTCACAAAACCTTCCCCAACTTTCCTAGAGAGGCCATGATTCAAATCCAGGAAATGCAGAGAACCCCTGTGGCATATTATACAAGATGACCATCCCCAAGACACATATTCATCAAATTCTCCAAGATTGAAATGAAAGAAAAATGTTAAATGCAGCTAGAGGAAAGGGGCAGGTCACCTACAAAGAGAACCCCATTAGGCTAACAGTGGAACTTTCAGCAAAAACCCGACAAGGCAAAAGAGACTGGGGGTCTATATTCAGCTTTCATTAAAAAAAAAGAAATTCCAACCTTTTCAGACAAGTAAATGCTAAGGGAATTTGTTACCACCAGACTTACCTTGGAAGAGGTCTTTGAGGGAGTGCTAAATATGGAAAGGAAAAACCATTATTGGTCACCACAAAAACACACTTAAATAATAGACCATTGACACTATAAAGCAATCACACAATCAAGTCTGCATAATAACCAGCTAACAACATGGCGAGAGAATCAAACTGACCCATATCAATATTAACCTTGAATATAAATGGCCAAATGGTACAATTAAAAGGCACAGATTGGCATAATGGATAAAGAAGAAAGATCCAACTGTATGCAGTCTTCAAGAGACCCATGTCACATGCAATGATACCCACAGGCTCAAAGTAAAGGGATGGAGAAAAATCTACTAAGCAAATGGAAAACAGAAAAAAGCAGGAGTTGCTATTCTAATTTTAGGCAAAACAGACTTTAAACCAACAACAATCAAAAAAGACAAAGAAGGGCATTACATAATGGTAAAGATTTCAATTCAACAAGAAGACTTAATTATTCTAAATATATATGTACCCAACACAGGAGCACGCAGACTCATAAAGCAAGTTCTTGGAGACCTATGAAGAGACGTAGATAATCACATAATAACAGTGGGAGAGTTTAACATCACATTGACATTATTAGACAGACCACTGAGGCAGAAAATCAACAAAGATATTAGGGACCTGAACTTGACAGTTGACCAAGTGGGCCTAACAGAACTGTCCACCCAAAATCAACAGGGTATGCATTCATGTCATCTGCACATGGCAGATACTCTAAAATTGACCACATAATCAGCCAAAAAAATCCTAAGAACATTAAAAAAAATCATACCAACCTCACCCTAGGACCACAGTGCAATAAAATAGAAATCATTACTAATAACATCACTTAAAGCCATATAATTACATGGAAATTAAAGAACATGCTCCTGAATGACTTTTGGGTAAACAATAAAATTAAGCAAGAAATAAAGAAATTCTTTGAAAGTAGTAAGAACAAAGATATAACATACCAGAATCTCTGGGAGACAGCTAAAGCAGTGCTAAGAGGGAAATTTATAGTGCTAAACACCCACATCAAAAAGTTAGAAAGATCTCAAATTAACAACCTAACATCAAACCTAGAGGAACTAGAGAAACAAGAACAAATCAACCCCAAAGCTAGCAAAAGACAAGAAATAACAAAAATCCGAGATGAACTGAAGGAAATGGAGACACAAAAGAACCATACAAAAGATCAAGGAATCCAGCACTTGGTTCCTTGGAAGAATAATACTATTTGTAGACCACTAGAGACTACTATGGACACCTCTATACACAAAAACTAGAAAACCTAGAATAAATGAATAAATTCCTTGAAACATTCCACCTCCCAAGATGGAACCAGGAAGAAACTGAATTGCTGAACAGACCAGTAATGAGTTCCAAAGTTGAATTAGTAATAAAAAGTCTATCAACGCCTCCCCCCCCAAAAAAAAAGCCCAGGACCAGATGAATTCACAGCCAAATTTTACCAGTTGTATAAAGAATTGCTGGTGGCTGGGTGTGGTGGCTCATGCCTGTAATCCCAGCACTTTGGGAGGCCAAGGCATGTGGATCACAAGGTCAAGAGATCAAGACCATCCTGGCCAACATAGCGAAACCCTGTCTCTACTAAAAATACAAAAAAAAAAAAAAAATTAGCTGGACATGATGGCGTGTGCCTGTAGTCCCAGCTACTTGGGAGGCTGAGGCAGGAGAATCGCTTGAACCTGGGAGTCGGAGGTTGCAGTGAGCTAAGATCCCTATCAGTATTATGCCTATTCCCTAGGTGATGAAATAATTTGTACACCAAACCTCCATGACACAAAATTTACCTCTATAACAAGCCTGCACGTGTACCCCAAACGTAAAATAAAAGTTTAAAAAAAGATTATTGGAAATTTCCATTTGCAATTTTGAATTTATTTGTTCCTCCCTTCAGTTCTGTCAGATTTTGCATCATGTATCTTGAAAATCTGTTGTTTGAGGTTTACACGTTTGGAAGTCTTATGTCTTCTTAGTGAATTGATCCTTTTATCATTATGTAATGTCAATTTTTATCCTTTGTAATTTTTCTTGTTCCTAAGTTTACTTTGATATGAATATAGAATTTTTGTGCCATGAATAGATAAAAAGAAATTTTAAAAAATATTATTCTATATTACATAATCTTAAATTTGTGTTTTGTGTATGTTATACCATGTATGTAATACTTAAGTACAATAGTGGTTGTATAATATATGTAAAATATAATATATATGTATAATAGTGCTTGCGGGCATATTATTTAAAAGTTTGGAGGCCATTTTTCTAAACTTTCATTCCTCAAACTGTACTATAACTTACACTGTTTTCACAGAATGTAAATAGATATATTATTAATAAATTAATAATGAAGGGTTTAATCACCTTGAAAGGATGCAAAATACTAGATTAAGCAAAACTGAACATTTTTTTGCTGCATGACTTTTTGGAGCCTTTGATATGCTAGTATATGTGGTGACCCTCCAAGACGGGCTACAATATACAATGTTGTCCAAGTTTCAGTTCTTGGAAGAGCTTTGTTAGCTTTATTTTGTGATCACCCTGTGTGCCTCATGGTGGTCAGACTTGTGGGAAAAATGTCACATTTGGCTCCTTCTGTGTTTGTAACATCTTGTTAGTATCAAGTCACCAGTATGTCTTTCTTTATCATAAATAAAGAGCAGCTTTATTTTATGTTTGTGAAATAAGTGAAATTGCATTATGCAGCTGATCAAATTCTGACCAGATTGGAGTATGAATTCGTTTTTCCTAAATTAATCTAAAATAAATCTAAAACAATACCAAAATAGCACTTTATTTGAATGTCTAACCAAATAATGTGATAACTATGTATGTCTAGCTTGTGAATGACATTTTCATCAAAAAATTCTGAATATTTTGATATCACATGTGAACATAACCTGGGTGAATTTTCTTCACTATTAATTGGTTCCTCTAAGTCTTGTTTATTCTACTAAGAGATGTCTTGAAGTAGCATTCCCCTTTTGCTCACCTTTTTCACTGCCCCATTTCAAATTCCCATCCTCTGTTACCTGCTTTTGTATGATAGCCTCACAACTGCTTTTTAGGCTACCTTTCTATTCCTCACTAGAGAAACTTGGTCACTAGAGTTATTTGAAAATGACGTAAATGATTCGTATTCGTTTCTTGTTTAAAAATTTCTACTGCACAGCATACTGTCCAAATTCTAGGATAATATTCAAACACATACGACCCTTAAACATCTATCTCTAATCAAATGCTCTTGTGCTGCAGAGGCTGAAAAATTAAAATGTACATTCCACATACTCCCTTGTAGCTAACATTCTGAATGTATATAAGGTTAAATTAACCAGATGCACTTCTGTAAGATATGGAAGGCAGAGTTTTTCTGAGGCAGCATTAGCAACGGTGTCAATGTCAAGTAACTAGCTTCATCAGTGTGGAGAGGCAAGATGTGGGGTATTGGCCGGGCGTGGTGGCTCACCCCTGTAATCCCAGCACTTCGGGAGGCGGAGGCGGGCGGATCACGAGGTCAGGAGATCGAGACCATCCTGGCTAACACGGTGAAACCCCATCTCTACTAAAAATACAGAAAAATTAGCCGGGCGTGGTGGCGGGCGCCGTAGTCCCAGCTACTCAGGAGGCTGAGGCAGGAGAATGGCGTGAACCTGGGAGGTGGAACTTGGAGTGAGCTGAGATCGCACCACTGCACTCCAGCCTGGGTGACAGAGCGAGACTCTGTCTCAAAAAAAGAAAAAAAAAAGAAAAAAAAAAGATGTGGGGTATTATTTTTTCTGGTGTAGATTATAGCAGTTACGGTGTGATTATGCAGGGGCACCAGTATTGATTGCATACTCATCATGGTAGCTTTTAAATTATGGCAGTGGTTATATGCTCCTGGATTTAGAAGCTTCTTGATGTAGAGGAAATAGCAGCTTCTTTGGTGGCCCAGTTTTGCAATCCAGCTTTGAAATTTACTCCAGGAAGCTCAGCTTAGAAATAGCTTCTTCAGCTTTTCCACTGATTCTTAATGATTAAAAAACTGTAAGTGCTTAATTGTCTCTGATTCTAAAGTTAGAGACAGACAAATGTAAGGGATGAAACAATTGGAGAGACAGTCAGGTCATAAAGGACTTCATATGGCTTGTCATACAAAATTTAGAATTTCTCTTACAAGTAATGGGGATCCATTGCTTATAAGAGAATCCATTTTAAGTGACATTTTAAGATTTAAATTTTAGCTAGACCAATACTACTCAAAGCATGATCCACACATCAGTGCTGGACCAAAAGCTGTTTGCAATAGATCTACAATAAATATAGAAATTGAGATTAAGTATCTAAAAATTTTTATAGCAATTTGACATTGCTGCTACTTCCAAGTTTGTAACCAGTTGAATTGGACAAAGTGTTAGTCTGTTATTTATTGGAAATTTTATAAAAAGAATAACATGATACTGCTCCTTCACCGCAGGTGGTTTGAGAAGCACCAAGCTAGATTATTCTGGAGGTTATGTGAAAGTTAAAGTGAAGGTATACACATGTTCTTACTTATAAGTGGAAGCTAAGCTATGGGTGTGCAGAGGCAAACAGGGTGGTATAATAGACACTGGAGACTCAGAAGGGGGAAAGTTGGAAGGGTTGAGGGGTGAAAAATCACTTATTTGGTACAGTGTGTACTGTTTGGATGATGAGTACACTAAAAGCCCAGACTTTACCATTATACAATTCATTCATGTAACCAAAAACCACCAGTACCCCTAAAGCTAGTTAAATAAAAAATTAACAAAAAATAAAATGAAGATATAAAGAAATAGGGAAATGTCTAGCTAGGACAACATAGTGATTTCATATTTGATATACCCCTCTGGCCTGAACACATAGCAGAGAGTGATAAAATGTAAAAATAGAAAGCAAAAATGATACAGTCAGCTCTGAAAATAAGAAAATGGAATAGAAATGTGAAGCAGTGAGTGAAGTTGAAGTCCTGAGGTGCTGAGCTCCAGGTTGAGAAACAGAAACAGCCATTCAGGATTTTAGTGTCTGTGAGGGATAAATTACTTCATGATGTTATGTTGGTACTAAATTGAGTGTTGTTCACAAACCTATTTCTTTTGAGCTTGATCTTGAAAGATAGTTTAGCTGGATACAACTATTTTCTTTCAGCTCCCCATTACCTTCTGGGTTAACCTCTTTTGGATAATGAATGTGATATCAGTATATCTTTAATCTGTCTGTTTTTTCCCAGATAGCTTTTAAGATATTCTTTTGGTCTTTGGTGTACCACAGTTTCATTATAGTGTGTCTGGCTGTATTTTCTGGATTTCTTTTTATTTATCCAGCTTGGGATTTTGTATGGTTCTTAATGTCATTATCTTTTAAAACACTGTCTCTCTTTCATGCTCTGTATTCCCTTCTTTTGGAAATTATATTAGAGAGATGGTGAACATTCTTATTCTATTCTATGTGTCTTATCACTCTGCATTTACATATTTTATTTGTTTTTTGTTTTTACTCTACTTTAAGTTATTTTTTCATACCACTCTTCCAAATCAGCAATACTCTCTTCTGCTATGTATAGTGTGTTGTTTACCGTATCCATTGATTTTTAACTTCAAAAACCGTATTCTTTTACTTCTGAAAGTTTTATTTCACTGGTTTTCAAATCTTTCTATGTTTTTTCTTGATAATTGTATATCCCTTTTCGTGATTTTCAGTTTTATTTGAGAAAGGGTCTCACCCTGTGGCCCAGGCTGGAGTGCAGTGGTGTGATGACAGCTCACTGCAGTTTCAAACTCTGAGGATCAAGTGATACTCCTGCCTCAGCCTCCTGAGTAGTTGGGAATACAGTCACACACCACCATGCCTGGCTAACATTTTTTTTTTTAATTTTGTGGATGCATAGTATGTATATATATTTATGGTATACATGAGATGCTTTGATACTGGCATGTAATGTGAAATAAACACATCATGGCAAATGGGGTATCCATCTTCTAAAGCATTTATCCTTTGAGTTACAAGAATACAATAACATTCTTTAAGTTATTTTAAAATGTACCATTAAGTTATTATTGACTGTAGTCACCCTGTTGTGCTATCAAATAGTAGATCTTCTTTATTTTTTCTGTTTTTTTTTTTTTTGTACCCATTAACCATCTCCACCTCGTCCAACACCCCCACTACCCTTCCCAGCCTCTGGTAACCATCTTTCTACTCTCTATGACTATGAGTTCAATTGTTTTGATTTATAGATCCCACAAATAAGTGAGAATATACAATGTTTATCTTTCTGTGCCTGGCTTATTTCACTTCACACAATGATCTCCAGTTCCATCCATGTTGTTGCAAATGACTGGATCTCATTCTATTTTATGGCTGAATAGTACTCCATTGTGTATATGTACCACATTTTCTCTATCCATTCATCTGTTAATGTATGCTTACGTTGCTTCCAAATCTTGGCTATTGTGAACGATGCTGCAACAAACGTGGGAGTGCAGGTATCTCTTCGATATACTGATTTCCTTTCTTTGGGGTCTATACTCAGCAGTGGAATTGCTGGATCCTAAATTTTTTTAGGAATTTTATACTCACCAGTGGAATTGCTGGTAGCTAAATTTTAAGGTTTTTGAGGAACTTCCAAACTGTTCTCCATAGTGGTTGTAATAATTTACATCTCATCAACAGTACACAAGTGTTCTCTTTTCTCCGCATCCTTGCCAGCCTTTGTTATTGCCTGTCTTTTGGATATAAGCCATTTTAATTGGGGTAAGATGATATTTCATGTAGTTTTGATAGGCATTTCTCTGATGATCAGTGATGTTGAACACTATTTTGTATGCCTGTTTGCCAATTGTATGTCTTCTGAGAAATGTCTATTCAAATCTCTTGCCCATTTTTCAATTGGATTATTAGATTTTTTTCCTACAGAGTTGTTTGAGCTCCTTATATGTCCTGGTTATTAATCTCTTGTCAGGTGGGTAGTTGGTAAATATTTTCTCCCATTCTGTGGGTTGTTTCTTCACTTTGTTGATCATATCCTTTTTTGTGTAGAAGCCTTTTAACTTGATATGATCCAATTTGTCCATTTTTCGTTGGTTTCCTGTGCTTGTGGGGTATTGCTCAAGAAATCTTTGCCCAGACCAATGTCCTGAAGATTTTCCCCAATGTTTTCCTGTAGTAGTTTCATAGTTGGAGGTCTTAAATTTAAGCGTTTAATTCATTTTGATTTGATTTTTGTATATGTCAAGAGATATAGGTCTAGTTTCTTTCTTCTGCATATGGATATCCAGTTCCTAGCACCATTTATTCGATGATATTGTTTTTTCCCTAGTGTATGTTCTTGGCATCTTTCTTGATAATGAATTCACTGTAGGTGTCTGGGTTTGTTTCAGGGTTCTCTATTCTATTTCATTGGTATATGTTTCTGTTTTTATGCCAGTACCATGCTGTTTTGGTTACTATAGCTCTGTAGTGTAATTTGAAGCCAGGTAATGTTTTGTTCTTTTTGCTTAAGACAGCTTTAGATATTCTGGGACTTTTGTGGTTCCACATAAATTTTATGATTTTTTTTCTATTTCTATGAATTATCTATTGTAAATAGAAATCCTTTTTAAATTTCATTTTCGTATTGTTCACTGTTCAAATATAAGATCACGTCATCTGTAAACAAGGATAATTTAACTTCATCTTTTCCAATTTGGATGGCCTTTATGTCTTTTCTTGTCTGATTGCTCTAGCTAGGACTTCCAGTACTATGTTGAATAACAGTGGTGACAGTGGGCATCCTTGTCATGTTCCAGATTTTAGAGGAAAGGCTTTCAGTTTTTCCCCATTCAGTATGATGCTGGCTGTTGGTCTGTCATATTTGACTTTTATTATGTTGATGTATGTTCCTTCTATCCCCAGTCTCTTGAGTGTTTTTATCATGAAAGGATGTTGAATTTTGTCAAATGCTTTTTCAGCATCACTTGAAATGATCATGTGACTTTGATCCTTCATTGTGTTGATATGAGTATCACATTGATGGATTTGTGTATTTTGATCCATCCTCACATCCTTGGGATAAATCTCACTTGGTCATGATGAATGATCTTTTAAATGTGTTGTTGAAATTGGCTTGCTGGTATTTTGCTGAGGATAATTGCATCAATATTCATCAATGATATTGGCCTGTCATTTTCTTTTCTTGATGTATCTTTGTCTGATTTTGGTATAAGGGTAACTGTTCTCATAGAATCAGTTTGGATGTACTCCCTTTTCCTTTATTTTTTGGAATAGTTTGAATAAGATTGGTATTAGTCCTTTAAATACTTCATAGAATTCAGCACTAAAGCCAGTGGGTCCTGGGATTTTCTTTACTGGGAGACTTTATTCTGGCTTTGATCTTATTACTTGGTGTGTTCAGGTTTAGGATTTCTTCATGGTTCAATCTTGGTAGTTTGTATGCCTCTAGGCATTTTTCCATTTCTTCCAGATTTTCCAATTTATTGGCATATCATTGCTCACTGTGGCCACTAAAGATCCTTTGAATTTCTGCAGTATCAGTTATAATGTCTCCTTTTGAATTTCTGATTTTATTTGGATCTTTTCTCTTTTTTTCTTAATTAGTCAGGCAAAAGTTTTGGCAATTACATTTAACTTTTAAAAAAACAACTTCTTTTTCATTGATTCTTTAGATTCTTTTTTCATTTCAATTTCATTTATTTCTGCTCTGATTATTATTATTTCTTTTCCTCTACTGATTTTTAAGATTGGTTTGCTCTTGCTTTTCTATTTTTTTAAGATGCATCATTAGATTGTTCATTTGAAGTTTTTCCCCCCTTTGATGTAGGCGCTTATAGCTATAAACTTCCCTCTTAGTATTGCTTTTGCTGTGTCCCATAGGTTTTGGTATGTTGTGTTTCCATTATCATTTGTTTCAAGAAATTTTTCAATTCCCTTTTTAATTTCTTCATTGACCCATCAGTCATTCAGGAGCATATTGTTTAATTTCCATGTATTTGTATAGTTCCCAAAATTCTTCTTGTTATTGATTTCTAGTTTTATTCCATTGTGGTCAGAGAAGATGCTTGATAGCATTTCAGTTTTTTGGAGTGTTTTAATACTTGTTTTGTGAACTAACATATCATCTATTCTTGAGAATGTTCCATGTGCGGAGGTAAAGAATGTGTGTTCTATAGCTGTTGAATGAAATGTTCTGTAAATACCTATTAGATCCATTTGATCTGTAGTGCAGATTAAGTCTAATGTTGCTTTGTTAATTTTGTGTCTGGAAGATCTGTCCAATGCTGTAAGTGTGGTGTTGAAGTCTCCAGCTATTATTGTATTTGGATCTATTTCTCTCTTTAGCTCTAATAATATTTCCTTTATGTATCTGGGTGATCCAGGGTTGCATGCATATATATTTACAGTTGTTATATCCTCTAGCTGAATTGACCCCTTTATCATTATGCAGTGACCTTCTTTGTCTCTTTTTATAGTTTTTGTCTTGATATCTATTTTGTCTGATGTAAGTGTAGTGACTCCTACTCTTTTTGGTTTCCATTGGCATGGAATATCCTTCCCATCCCTTTATTTTCAGTTTCTGTGTGTCTTTATAGGTTAAGTATGTTTCTTGTAGGCAACAGATCAATGGAACTTGCTTTTTCATCCATTCAGCCACTCTATGTCTTTTGATTGGAGAGTTTAGTCCATTTACTTTCAGTGTTATTATTGATAAGTAAGGACTTACTCCTGCTATTTTGTTATTTGTTTTATGGTTATTTTGTGGTGTTTCTTCCTACATTCTATCCTTCCTGTCTTCCTCTGAAGGTGGTTTTTCTCTGGTGATATGATTTAGTTTCTTGCTTTTTATTTTTGTGTATCCATTGTATGATTTTCATTTGAGGTTTCCATGAGGCTTGCAAATAGTATCTTATAACCCCTTATTTTAACCTCATAAAAACTTAACACTATTTGCATAAACAAACAAGCAAAAAGAAAATGAACAAAACCTCTACACCTTCACTTTATTCCCCTACATTTTTACATTTTGTTGTTTCTATATGTATCTTATTGTACTATGTCTTGAAAACTCGTTGTAGTTATTATTTTTGATTGGTTCATCCTTTAGTCTTTCCATTTAGAGTAAGAGTAGTTTATACACCACAGTTACAGCATTATAATATTCTGTGTTTTTCTCTGTACTTACTATTACCAGTGAGTTTTGTACCTTCAAGTGCTTATTTATTGCTCATTAATGTCTTTTCCTTTCTGATTAAAGTACTCCTTTTAACGTTTCTTAGGACAGATCTGGTGTTAATGAAATCCTTCAGCTTTTGTTTGTCTGAAAAGTCTTTATTTCTCCTTCATGTTTGAAGGATATTTTCACCAGATATACTATGCTAGGGTATAAGTTTTTTTTTCCTTCAGCACTTTAAATATGTCATGCCACTCTCTCCTGGCTTGTAAGGTTTTCACTGAAAAGTCTGGTGTGATGTATTGGAGCTTTTTAATAATTTTAATATTCTTAGAGAGTTTATATGTAATTCTACCACATAAATTTCAAAAGAATAGTATTCTTATCTATTTTTCATTCTGATTCTCATTCATGGTGGCTTGTGTTCTTATATTCATTGCAGTTTTTATTGTGAGCTTTTGCTTTGTAAAAAGGAAGGGGATCTTTCTGTGTGGAAATTATGCATGACCCATATTGAGGAAAGGACTTGTCAGAGAATTCTTATGTTTTTCCCTTCCAGTCCTCCTGAAGTAAAATGAACCTGAAACCACTTTTCCACTTTAAAAAATGTTTTATTAACAAATAATGACTGTATATATTTATGGGTGTAAAATGATGCTTCAGTACATATATATACATCTAGAATCAGCAAATTAGGCTAATTAATATAGCAATCACATCATATACATATCATTTATTATTTGTGGTAGAATTTTTTTCCTTTTTAATTTTTGTTTTATATTTGGAAATGTGCAATTTTTATTAGAAAACTAATAAAAACTCTACACTTTAACCTTATCCCCTCAATTTATGTCTTTTTTTAACCTTTTGTTGTTTCTTCTTATGTCACATTGTACTATGTCTTGAAAAGTTGTTGTAAAAGTTATTATTTTTCATCGGTTCATAATTTTGTGTTTCTACTTGATATATGTGTGGGGTTTTTTTTGTTTTTTCCTCTATTTTATTTTATGTTATTAACTTTTATTTTAGGTTCAGAGTACATGTGAAAGTTTATTGTTTAGGTAAGCTACTGTCATGAGGGTTTGTTGCACAGATTATTTCATCACTTATGTACTAAGCCTAGTACCCAATTGTTATTTTTTCTGCTCTTCTCTTTCATCCTGTACTCCTCCCTCAAGTAGACCCCAGTGTCTGTTGTTCCTTTCTTTGTGTTCGTGAATTCTCATCATTTAGCTCCCACTTATAAGTGAGAACATGCAGTATTTGCTTTTCTGTTTCTGCATTAGTTTGCTAAGGATGATAGCCTTCAGGTCCATCCATGCTCACACAAAAGACATGATCTTCTTATTTTATGGTTGCATAGTATTCCATGGTTTATATGTACCACATTTCCTTTGTCTAATTTGTCATTATGGGCATTTAGGTTGATTTCATGTCTTTGCTATTGTGAATAGTGCTGAAATGAACATTTGTGTTATATACCCAGTAATGGGATTGCTGGATCAAATGGTAGTTCTGCTTTTAGCTCTTTGAGGAATTGCCATTCTGCTTTCCCAATAGTTGAACTAATATACACTCCTACTAACAGTATATAAGTGTTCTGTTTTCTCTGCAACCTCACCAGCATCTGTCATTTTTTGACTTTTTAATAATCACCATTTTAACTGATGTGAGATGGTATCTCATTGCAGTTTTGATTTGCATTTCTCTAATGGTCAGTGATGTTGAGCTTTTTCTCATATGCTTTTCTAATGGGGGTAGTTTGGTGGGGGTTTTTTTGTAAATTTTTTAAGTTTCTTATATATGCTGGATATTAGACCTTTGTCAGATGCATAGCTTGCAAATATTTTCTTCCATTCTGTAGGTTGTCTGATTACTCTGTTGATAGTTTCTTGCTTTGCAGAAGCTCTTAAGTTTAATTAGATCAAATTTCCCAATTTTTGCTTTTGTTGTGATTGCTTTTGGTGTCTTTGTCATGAAATCTTTTCCTGTTTCTATGTCCAGAATGGTATTGCCTAGGTTGTCTTCCAGGATTTTTATAATTTTGAGTTTTACATTTAAGTCATTAAACCACTTTGTGTTGATTTTTGTATATGGTGCATGAAAGGGGTCCAGCTTCCATCTTCTGCATATGGCTTCTCATTTATCTCAGCATCATTTGTTGAATAGGGAGTCTTTTCCCCATCACTTGCTTTTGTCAGCTTTGCCAAAGATCAGATGGTTATAGGGGTGTGGGCTTGTTTCTGGGCTCTGTATTCTGTTCCATTGGTCTATGTGCCTGTTTTTGTACCAGTACCATGCTGTTTGGGTTACTGTAGCCATTTAGTATAGTGTGAAGACACATAATGTAATGCCTCCAGCTTTGTTCTTTTTGCTTATAATTGCCTTGGCTATTTGAGCTCTTTTTTAATTGCATATAAATTTTAAAGTAGTTTTTTCCTAGTTCTGTGAAGAATATCATTGGTAGTCAGAAATAGCATTGAATCTGTAAATTGCTTTGGGCAATATGGCCATTTTAATAATTTTGATTCTTCATATCCATGAACATGAGATATTTTTCCTGACAATTACAGTGTTATGATTTTTTCGTCCTTACTATTACCAGTGAATTTTTCTTACTTTCATATGATTTCTTATTGCTCATTAACATCCTTTTCTTTCAGACCGAAGAAATTCCTTTAGCATTTTTTGTAGGACAGGTCTGGTGTTGATCAAATCCCAACATTTTTGTTTTTCTGGAAAGGTATTTATTTTTCCTTCATGTTTTAAGCACACTTTTGGCATATGTATTATTCTGGGGTAAAAAGATTTCCTATATTAGTGCATATGTCATGCTGTTCTTTCCTGGCCTATGTTTGCACTGAAAAGTCTGCTGCCAGATGTACTGGAGCTCTGTTATATGTTATTTGCTTCTTTTCTCTTTCTGCTTTTAGGATTCATTCTTTATCCTTGACCTTTCGGAGTTTGATTATTAACTGCCTTGAAGTAGTCATCTTTGGATTAAATCTGCTTGGTGTTCTATAACCTTCTCATACTTGAATGTTGATATTTTTCTCTAGGTTTGGGAAATTATCCTTTTGAATAAACTTTCTACCATGATCTCTCCCTCTACCTCCTCTTTAAGGCCAACGACTGTTAGATTTGCTCTTTTGAGGCTATTTTATAGATCTTGTAAGCATGCTTCATTCTTTTTTATTCTTTTTTGTCTCCTCTGACAGTATATTTTCAAATAGCTTGTCTTCAAGCTCACTTATTCTTTCTTCTGCTTGACCAATTCTGCTCTTAAGAGACTCTGATCCCTTCTTCAGTATATCAGTTGGATTTTTTAACTCTAGAATTTCTGCTTAATTCTTTTCAATTATTTTAATCTTTTTGTTAAATTTATCTGATAGAATTCTGAATTCCTTTTCTGTGTTATCTTGAATTTCACTGGGTTTCCTCAAAGCAGCTCTTGTAAATACTGTGTCTAAGAAGTCACATATCTCTATCTCTTTAGTATTTGTCCTTGGTGCCTTATTTGGTTCATTTGGTGATGGCATGGTTTTCTGTATGTTTTAGATTCTTGAAGATGTTCATTGTTGTCTTGGCATTGAAGAATTAGATACTTATTGTGTCTCTGCAGTCTGGCCTTGTTTGTTCTCATCCTTCTTTGGAAAGCTTTTGACATATTTGAAGGGACTTGGACCCCAAGCCTCATAATGCTGTGTTTTTTGGAGACTTACAGAGGCACTGTCTCGGTGGTCTTTGATAAGATCCAGAAGAATTATCTGGATTATGAGGCAGTGACTCTTGTTTCTTTCTCTATGTTCTCCCAAACAAATGAATTCTCTCTCTGTATGCTGAGCTGCCTGGAACTAGGGGTGTGGTGATGCAAGCACCCTTGTGGCTACCACCACTGGTACTGTGCTGGATTAGTCCTGAAGCCAGCACAGTTTTGCATCTTACCCAAGGCCCATTGTAAGCAATTACCTGACTACCATTTATGTTCCCTCAAGGCCCTAGGGCTCTATAATCTGTGGGTGGGAATGCCAGCTAGGTTTGTGTCCTTCCCTTCAGGGCGGTGAGTTCTCTAGGCCCTGGTTGGGCCTGGAGGTGCTATCTGGGAGCCAGCAATTGGGGTAAAAAACCTTAGAAATGTACCTGGTATTTGAGTTGACTGCAGCTCAGCTGGCACTGAAACCACAATATAAAATAGGTTATGCACTTTCCTCCTCTTTCCACAAGCAGAGGAGTCTCTTCCTGTGGCCGTCACCACCACCAACCCATGGAGCTTTCTGCCAGGCCACTACTGATATTCACTTAAAGGTCAAGGGCTCTTCAGTCAGCTTGTGGTGAACGTTACCAGACCTGGGAATCACCCTTCTGGACAGTGGGCTGCCCTCTGGCCCAGGCCAGATTCAGAAATGCTATCTAAGAGCTTTGGCCTGAACTTGGGTACCTGAAGTACCTGCTTATTGTTCTACCCCACTCTGGCTAAGTTTGTACCTAAGTGCAAGACAAAGTTCCCTTTACTTTTCTCTCTGCTTTTCTCAAGCAAAAGAAGTCTTCCACAGTTAGGGATAGCAACCACAGCTAGAAATGTGCTGTCTCACACCTGAAGCCAGAAAGTCTCAGAGTCTCACCCCAGGCCCATGGCATCCTACCTAGGCATCACTGCTGGTTATTTGGGGCCCAAGGGTCGTTTAGTCACCAGGTGATGAATGCTGCCAGGACTGGGTTTATCCTTTCAAGCCAGTGGGGTCCCTTTTAGTCCAGGGTGTGTCCAGTAATGTAGTCCATGAGCTAGGGCCTGAAAAGGGTGCCTCATGACTGCACCTGGTACCCTATCTTACTGTGGCTGAGCTGGCATCCAAGATGCAAGACAAAGTCCTCCTTACTCTTTGCTCTCCTCTCCTTAAGCACAAGGAAGGAGTCACTTTTGTTGCTGCAAGTTAAGCTGCCTGGGGTAGGGGCAGGGGTGGTGCAAATATTCCCTTAGCAGCCCCTGCTCATATCTCCCTAGGTCATGTGCCACCCTAGTCCACTGGCTCTAAGCCCAATCCAGCACTAGGAGTCACCCAGGAGTTGCAGTCCTCATGTCCTAGAATACCTTTCAAATTTACTTATGACCTGAGAGCACTTTGGTGCTTGGTGGTGATGCTTGCCAAGAAACACAAGTTCTGGCCCCTGGGATGTGTGATTTCCCCCTGGTTGGGGATGGTCCAAATGATCCCTCCTTGCATGGGTGCTGACTAAGTCCAGCACAGCTTTGCTCTCCACTGTGACAGGGCATCCCTGAATTCAATGCAAAGTTTCCCAGCCACTTTGCTTTACTTTCTCAAGTGCACAGACTCCACACTGTGCAGCCACTGCTGGGATATGGTGTAGGGGTTGTGTTGGCAATTCAGGACTGTCTTGCCTGCCCTCTTCAATGCCTCCTTCAGTGATATGAAGTTAAAACCACGTACAGTGATTGCTCACCTCATTTTTGCTTCTTCTTGTGGTGCTTTTCTGTGTGCAGATGTTAAAATTTGATATTCCTGGCTGGGGGAAGGGATGAATGGTGTAGCCTTCTTTTCCACCATCTTGTTGTGCTCCTGATGTAATTATATTTCCTGTGGTGAGAAAATTTATGCTGATTTATCACCTAGGAATTTCTTGAATCAATCAGTGTATTAGAAGAAAATAGAGTATATCTTATTTATTGGTATGGTATATAACATTAATAGATTTTCTGATAGTGACTTATTATTTCATTTCTGGGATAAATGCTACTTGGTTGAGATGGGTTTTTGTTTTGCCTTCAGTACAAAGCTGGGTTTTACTTCATGAGATAGGTCTAGGATTTTCTTCTTTTATATTTTCCTCCATAAACTGTGTGTGTGTGTGTGTGTGTGTGTAGGGAGAGAGAATGAGAGAGAGCAAGTTAATTTAACAATGCTGAAATCTCAGAGGCTTAAGACAACAAATATTTGCTTCTTGCTCATAACAAATGTGCTTTACAGAACTGAATGAAATTGAGACCTGGTATAGTTTGGCTGTTTCCCCACCCAAATCTCATCTTGAATTCTAGCTCCCATAATTCCCACATATCATGGGAGGTGATTGAGTCATGGGCCAGGTTTTTCCCATGCTGTTCTTGTGATAGTGAGTAAGTCTCACAACATCTGATGGTTTTATAAATGGGAGTTCCCCTGCACATGCTCTTTTGTTTGCCACCATGTAAGACGTGCCTTTGCTTCGCCTTTCCATCATGATTTTGAGGCTTCCCCAGCCATGTGGAACTGAATCCATTAAACTTCTTTTTCTTTATAAATTACCCAGTCTCAGGTATGTCTTTATTAGCAGCATGAGAACAGACTAATACACCTACATTTTACCACATACAAAAATTAACTCAGGATGGATTAAAGATTTAAATGCAAGACCATAAACTATAAGAATCCCAGAAGAAAACCTAGGAAACACCATTTTGGACATTGGGTTGGGAAAGAATTTATGACTGTCCTCAAAAGCATTTGCAATGAAAACAAAAATTGACAAGTGGGACCTAATTGATCTAAAGAGCCTCTGCACAGCAAAACAAACTACCAGCATAGTAAATAGACAACCTACATAATGGGAGAAAATATTCACAAACTATGGATCTGACAAAGGTCTGATATCCAGAATGTATAAGGAACTTAAGCAATTCAACAAGCAAAAGACATATAACCCCATTAAAAAATGGGCAAAGGACATGAACAGACATTTCTGAGAAGAAGACATTTAAGTGGACAACAAACATATTAAAAATGCTCAACATCATTAATCATCAGTGAAATGCAAGCAAAAACCACAATGAGATACCATCTCACACCAGTCAGAATGGCTATTATTAAAACAATTTTTAAAAATAGACTCTGGTGAGACTGTGGAGAAAACGGAGTACTTATACACTGTTGGTGAGGTTGTAAATTAGTTTAGCCACTGTAAAAAGCAGTTTGGAGATTTCTCAAATAACTTAGAACTACCATTTGACCCAGAAATTGCATTACTGGGTACATATCCAAAAGAAAACAAATCATTCTACCAAAAAGACAAAATCACTTGCATGTTCATTGCAGCACTATTCACAATAGCAAAAGACATGGAATCAACCTAGATGCTCATCAGTGGTGGTGATTTGGATAAAGAAAATGAGGTACATATACAACATGGAATACAATGGAGCCATAAAGAAGTATGAAATCATGTCCTTTGCAACAACATGGATGCAGCTGGAGGCCATTATTCTAAGCGAATTAATGCAGGGATGGGAAACCAAATACTATATGTTTTGTTTATAAAGGGAAGCTAGACATTGGGTAGTCATGGCAATAAAGATGGAAACAATTGACACTGGGGTCTACTAGAGGGAGGAGGGAGGAAGGGTGTTAGGGTTGAGAAACTAATTGTTGGGTACTACGCTCAGTACCTAGGTGATGGGATCATTCGTACCCTAAACCTCAGCATCACACAAAATACCCAGGTAACAAACCTGCAAATGTAACCCCTGAATCTAAGATAAAAGATGAAAAAAAAAGTTAAAAAAAATCTGCTTCAGGTGGGGCATCTCTTCAGAGCAGATCTCCTCAAGGGGATCCAGGCTATTTTCATCTTACGATGTTGTCATCGATTCTAGATCTCTTCAGTAGGGGATGATCTCAAGGATGGTGAAGGGGCTTTTGACTTCCTCAGTCCCGAAGGGACCATGGACAAAAACTAGTCACATGGCTCCACCCAGCTCCAAAGGGGCTAAGAAACATAGTCTTTTAAATTCTCAGAAAGGAAAGGAGAACTGTATGTTGGAGAGCACAAGTAATGTCTACCACTCAGGTAGTGTAAATTTGAACCTTATGAAGGCAGATCTGCAGTTTTAAATTTTCAAGGGAGACTTTTCTTCCCACCCAAATCCCTGACCCAGATGTTACCTTTGCTGAAGCATTTATGGTCTGTCTATACTTTCAAATAAAGTAGAGAGTTTTAAGAGCTCATGTTTCATTCAGGGATCTCAATTCCATCTCTATGCCTCACAAGAACCCAAGATGTATGCTTCCCTAAGTGGCTGTTAATATCTAAGTCTTTTATTTACTGATGTAGGTAATACTTTTAGGGCAGCCAAGGCATTAATGCCTTATACAGTAGAGGTTTCCCCCTACCCCAGTTTTGACTCCTAGGAATTCCTTCATTCCTTGCACTTTTAATTTTTATGTAGCTTCTAACTGAAAGGAAAATTACAAGAACTCCTATATATCACTTATCCAGATCCACTAACTTTTTTACATTTTACTCATATGTGCTTGATCTCTCTCACACACACACATACACACACACACACACACACACACACACACACACAATTTACTAAGGAAAATGTAAGAGAAGAAAATCCTAGAACTATCTCATGAAGAAAATGTTATATCAAATCCAGCAGTACTAGAAATAATTCAAAACAGAATAAAAGCATCTTAACTTTGTGAATCATGTTTTTAAACACTTTCTCTGTTTTATAATGCTCTGACATCTTGGTTTCTTGCTAATCCTGGAAAGACTGCCTCTCCCAGGGATAGCTAATTCCTAGAGATAGTAAATAACTTGCCTGCCAGTAAGCCTTTCATAAGCAAACCAACCAATCCAAAGCCCATAGCTTCAACTACATCTTTTATCTAGCTCTTAAATACCAAGCCAATATTTTCCCTGCCCTGAATCATCCTAGGTCCAGGCATTGGACAATTAGGGACCACACCTAGAGCTTAGAGCCTGCTGAGGTTATTTAAACTAGCTAATCTTAAACTGAAGGTCCCCAGATTCTAAGTGAAGTAACTAAGGAATGGAAAAACAAACATCATATCTTCTCACTCATAAGTGGGAGCAAAGCTATGAAGATACAAAGGCATGAGAATGATACAGTGGATTTTGGGGGGAAAGGGAGGGAGGTAGGGTGAAGGATAAAAGACTACAAATTGGGTACAGTGTATACTGCTCAGGTGATGGGTACACCAAAATCTCAGAAATCACCACTAAACAACTTATTCATGTAACCAAACACTACCTGTTCCCCAAAAACCTATGGAAATAAAAAATGAAAATAAATAAATAAAATCCTAAAGTCCTTAAGATACCTTCAAATTTTGTTTTATAACACATAATACTGAGTGACAAAAGCAACTTTCGAAAAGGTTCATGTGGTTTGTTCTCATTGTTCTCATGTTACCTTTGCTTAAGTATTTATGGTCTGTCTATACTTTCAAATAGAGTAGAGAGTTTTAAAAGCTCATGTTTCATTCAGGGATCTCAATTCCATAAATATTGCCATAAAGTTTAAAATCTGAAAAATAATACTATAGATGGTGAAGGGATGAATAAAAATGTAGCAATTTAACTAAAGTTTGCATTATAATGATGAATTCTAAATGTATAATGTTGATTAGCTCTAGGGAGAGAGGGAAGGAAATGAGATTGGGGGTGGTATCACATGGGGCTTTACCTAGATATATCATCATCTTCCTTTAAAAATCAGATGCAAATACTATAACATATTAAAATTTGATCAAGCTAAGTGGTAATTGCATGGATGTACCTTATATTTATGGCGATAGTTTTCTGTGTGTAATATTTCACAACCAAATCAAAAGAGTTAGAAAGGTAAATTAGAAAGCTGTTTGGTAATTTAGGTGAAAGTTGATAAGAGTATGGTTCAGAGCAGTAGTCTGGAAAGGAAGGAGGAGAAATAAATATGTAGGCTAAACAGAGAGATTGATTGGATCAGGGCATGTGAGTAGGGAGGAAGAGTCCATAATACCTTAGAGGTTTCTACTCTTATTACTGTGTACATGGTGTTGCAATCGCTGAGATACAGGTTACCCAAGGAAAGCCAGTTTAAATACAAGACAGGAATATATTTTCTGCCATGTTGCATTTGAAGTATCTATGGGACCTCCTGGTGAAGGCATGAGACTGAAATTTGAATACATGATTCTGAAACTTGTGAAGAAGTATGGATGGACTACATGAGTATGGGAATCAATAGAATTATAGATGGTGGTGTAAACTGTGTGAGCCCATGTAAGTGATAGCAGAGTGAAATGACGAGCAGAGAAAGGAGGCTGAAGTCCTAAAAAACATTAACATTTAGAGGGTTGGAAGAGTAGGGGAAGTTCAAAGGGTAGTTGGGGTTGGAGAGATACAGAGGAGAGCCATGAAAGTGCTGTTTCACAGAGGTCTATAAAGTTAAAAATTTCTGGGAGGTAACATTTGGTGGCTTTATGTACAGCAAAGACATTCAGTAAAATAAGGATTAAGAAACATGTTTACTGAGTTTTGCAAATAGGAGGTTACTTGTTAGCAAGAATGGTTTCAGGCAAGTGAGGGTTGGAGGAAGAAGCCAGATTGAAATGAGCTGAGGAGTGAAGGGCATAGATTTCCCTTTTAGAAGCATCACCAGGACTAATATTAACAATGTAATTGTCATAAATATCACTACTATCAATTGTGATAATCCTTTCCCCCATTACTGCCTCAATTACTATCCTGTCCATTGGCCTATTTGTAATTCCTTTTCTCTTTCCTCTGCTTCTCTCTTTTCTCTTATCAATTAACCAGACATATTTATACACCCCTACTACGTTTGTTTGGCTCTGTACACAAGATAAGGCTCTTGCCCTTGAGGGGATGAGTTGATGGTGTTGATAATAATAGTTGATGGTGGAGAAGACAGGCATGCAAAAATGTATCTTTACTACATGCCCTTTGTGGTAGTCATTCCTATAGTTGACTACATATTTACAACTCTCTTCCTCTTGCCACCATAGTAAGATTATACTTCCTTGATCCCTGTAGTTGAGTGGGGCCACATGTTTAATTCTGGCCAATGAGTTGTAAGTTAAAGAGATATATGTTACTTCTAGGTTGTGCATTTAATTGTTGGTGTGAAATCCTCTAGAGCAGATGTGGCCAACTACAGTCTGTGGGCCAAACCAGCTGTAGCCTGTTTTATAAATAACATTGTGTCAGAACGCAAATGTCCCTATTCGTTTACGTATTTTCTATGGTTGCTTTCATACTACAATGGCAGGGAAGTTCTGACAGAGACTGTATGACCCTCAAAACAGGAAAAGTTTGTGGGCACTTTCTCTAGCACAATATAGCTTATCCTCATGCTCCATACAGAGGTAGGGTAATGATGTGTACACGACTGTGTAAAAGTCTATAGATGTTCAAGGAGGAGATATATTGGAGAAGACTAAAAGGGTTAGAATGTTTTCTTGGATAAGATGTAACTTGAACTGTTACTTGAAGTAGGATGAAATGAAATAGAAAAACAAATGTCATCCTTTTTTCCCTAAACCTCTAGATGTTTTTTATTCATTGTACATTACCATTTCCAAAGTGTGATAGTCAAAACTGAGTGAGAAAATTCATCCAAAACTTGGAAATAGGCAAAAAGGTGACTGAATATCTTTGCAAAGTCATACTGGAGTATTGGCAATATACTTATACTGCCTGAAGATTGATTCTCTAGATCAGTGGTTCTCAAACTCTCAGAATCCTGTGGATGACTTGTTAAAACAGAGTACTGTGCCCTATCCCAGAGTTTCTGATTCAGTAGATCTTGAGTAGGGCTTAAGAAATTGCATTTCTACAAGATCCCAAGTGATTCTGGTGCTGCTGGTCTGGGGAGCATACCTTGAGAACCATTGTTCTGGAGGAACATACCATTGTTTAGCTTACTATTTTCTGTTGATTAGCGAAAAGATTCTGTAAGGTTACATGTTACACATTAACTTATAGAAGTTGCTGATGATTTTTGTTCTGTAGAAATGCAAATAATTTCTGTACATTGAAAAAGATAATGCCCCCACATAGGGCATTAACCTGTTTTCTATTTCAGCAATTTAGCAATCTTATTTCAGCATTCTTTCTTTCAGTGTCTGTATATACTAGTCTCTCACATCCTTCTTTTTTTTTTTTTTTGAGATGGAGTTTCACTCTTGTTGCCCAAGCTGGAGTGCAATGGCACCATCTCGGCTCATTGCAACTTCTGCCTCCCAGGTTCAAGTGATTCTCCTGCCTCAGCTTCCCGAGTAGCTGGGATTACAGGTGCTCGCCACCACTTCCAGCTAATTTTTCATATTTTTAGTAGAGACGGGGTTTCACTATGTTGGCCAGGCTGGTCTCGATCTCCTGACTGCAGGCAATCCACCCACCTCAGCCTCCCAAAGTGCTGGGATTACAGGCTCTCAGATCCTTCTTTAAACAGCTCTACCACCCCTTTAATATCCTCATTAATAAGTTAAATAAATATTTGTGTGAAATAAATTTTTGACATATTTTTATGGTTGTCATGATTTTTAACTTTTTGAGAATTATGCCTTGACAGGTTTGCGTGATCAAATAAGTTCCTGAAAAGCCAAGTTGAACAAATTTACATAGAATTCTTTTTTAATAATAGTTTTTAAAATTGATACATAGTTACACAAGATTCATAACTACACACATCTCCCAGCCTTTAATTTGCTGTTTGAAAAGTAGATAATGCAACATTTCACAAACTTATTTGACACTGGACACTTTTTTTGCTCAAAATATCTTTAGAAAATACTGCCCTACATAGTGAGCATCACTGATATCACAGTCACTACCACAGTCTTTAAAAGAAATATAAGTTACCTAACTGAATCTCATCTCAGTGGGAGAAGCATATTTTTAAAGATGAGGGAAGAGAGCTTTCGTGTCATTTGGCACTAAGGAGGCCTCTATTCACGGTGAGGAAAGGTTTTTGTCCCCTTTTTATTTCATAATACCAAGCAAGATGCCCAACACCCCATCAGAAGTCCTAAGAGATGACAGAGAAGTGTCCAGTACATTGTTTTTCTTGCCCAAGCCAAATTTCTCATTGCCAAAAACCTTTCTTTTTCACCCAGCAAAATGTTCGTATATTTTTCCTTTTTCATTGATGTCTAGGATAACTATCCCACAGAGTTGGAGAACACTCACCAGTGGTTTGGGAGAAAAAGTAGCTGTGTCAGGAAATCTTGGTTCTATATCAGTAACCCTACATCATCAGAGGCCTGGATTGAGCCCAAACCCATGTTCCAACTATGGTTTCTCATTCTGGAAAGCTCTCTTGTCATTTGGGGCTTTTTTTTTTTCCCAGGAAGGCTCTCACTTTCTCTCTCTACAGCCAACTGACTCTCTTGAGTGCTAACTAAAGTTGGAGAATTTGAGGATTGTAAAGATTGTCATTTTGTGGTTGGCTTAGAAGAAAACCTCGTAGGGAATCATGTCTCTAAATCTATGAAGCAGAGAAACTGTTCTTAAGTGGGCAAGGACCCGGAAGACTGTTCCTATGGATAATTGTGTATTAGTCCAAAGTGAATAAACCATGTAGGTTTGTATTTGAAGTCCCCAGAAACATTTCCACCAAACAGGAGTGTGAGGTGGTCCTTCTAACCTTTAATTTAATCACCTCTTCTCTACCTGCTAGAATATATTCTCTCAGGCAGCTTTTCCCCAGATTTCATCAATGTGGAAAACTATTAAGGTTGGTAACCTTATTGTTAGTGGGCTCCGCAGAAATGTATGGGGATCTTAGCATCCAGAGTTCACACTCACATCACTGCCCACCAGTTCCTTTGACGTAATGCAGACTGGAACAAGTCCTTGCTATATGATTCCCTCAGGTAGGTCTCCAAGATTCAAAACTGAACCCTGGCTTTTTTCCTAACTACCATCAAACTACCCCATACTCACAGTGATGTAGATAACTCCAAGTGGGCAAACATTCCTATATTTCATCAATCATTTCTTCCTCTTTTTAGCTTACTGTTGACTGCACAAGCAAGGCACTTTTCACAGTATGTAACAAGATTCACTCTTTGGCTTGGAGAAATGTTCTTGCAATTCATTCCATTTGCATGTGCGATGGTCACTGTCTTACATCTTTTTAAATTTTAACTTTTTATTTTGAGATACTTGTAGATGTACATGCAGTTATAAGAAATAATACAGAGAGATCCCATGTATTCTTTACCCAGTTTCCTCTAATGCTAACATTTTGCAAAACCATAATGAAATATTACAAGCAAGATATTGATATTGATACAGTCCAGATACAGAACAGTTCCATCAGCACACAGCTCTATCCTGTTGCCATTATATAGACACATCTACCACCTTATGTCCCATCACCAATTCCTGAACCCTGGCGACAACTAATTTGTTCTCTTTTTCTAAAAGTTTGTCTTTTCAAAATGTTATATAACTAGAATCATACAGTATGTAACCACTTAGGATTTGCTTTTTTCCAAGTTAGTATTAATTCTCTAGAGATTAATCAAAGTCGCTACATGTATAGTCCATTTTTTTGAGCATTTTCTTTTTTTATTATTATACTTTAAGTTCTAGGGCACACGTGCACAATGTACAGGTTTGTTACATGGGTATACATGTGCCATGTTGGTTTGCTGTACCCATCAACTCATCATTTACATTAGGTATTTCTCCTAATGCTATCCCTCCCCCAGCCCCCCAGCCCCCAACAGGCCCCAGTGTGTGATGTTCCCCGCCCTGTGTCCAAGTATTCTCATTGTTCCATTACCACCTAACAGTGAGAACATGTGGTGTTTGGTTTTCTGTCCTTGTGATAGTTTGCTGAGAAAGATGGTTTCCAGCTTCATCCATTTCCCTGCAAAGGACATGAACTCATCCTTTTTTATGGTTGCATAGTATTCCATGGTGTATATGTGCCAAATTTTCTTAATCTTAGTCTATCATTGATGGACATTTGAGCTGGTTCCAAGTCTTCACTATTGTAAATTGTGCCTCAATAAACATATGTGTGCATGTCCTTACAGTAGCATTTATAATCTGTTGGGTATATACCCAGTAATGGGATCACTGGGTCAAATGGTATTTCTAGTTCTAGATCCTTGAGGAATCGCCACACTGTCTTCTACAATGGTTGAACTAATTTACACTCTCACCAACAGTGTAAAAGCGTTCCTATTTCTCCACATCCTCTCCAACATCTGTTGTTTCCTGACTTTTTAATGATCACCATTCTAACTTGCATGAGATGGTATCTCATTGTGGTTTTGATTTGCATTTCTCTGATGACCAGTGATGATGAGCATTTTTTCATGTGTCTGTTGGCTGCATGCATGTCTTCTTTTGAGAAGTGTCTGTTCATATCCTTTGCCCATTTTTTGATGGGGTTGTTGTTTTCTTGTAAATTTGTATAAGTTCTTTGTAGATTCTGGATATTACCCCTTTGTCAGGTGGCTAGATTGCAAAAATTGTCTCCCATTCTGTAGGTTGCTTGTTCACTCTGATGGTAGTTTCTTTTGCTGTGCAGAAGCTCTTTAGTTTAATTAGATCCCATTTGTCTATTTTGGCTTTTGTTGCCGTTGCTTTTGGTGTTTTAGTCATGAAGTCCTTGCCCATGCCTAGGTACTGAATGGTATTGCCTAGGTTTTTCTCTAGAGTTTTTATGGTTTTAGGTCTAACATTTAGGTCTTTAATCCTTCTTGAATTAATTTTTGTATAAGGTGTAAGGAAGGGATCCAGTTTCAGCTTTCTACATATGGCTAGCCAGTTTTCCCAGCACCATTTATTAAATAGGGAATCCTTTCCCCATTTCTTGTTTTTTTCAGGTTTGTCAAAGATCAGATGGTTGTAAATGTGTGGTGTTATTTCTTTTTTTTTTCTGAGACGGAGTCCTGCTCTGTCACCCAGGTTGGAGTGCAGTGGTGAGATCTCGGCTCACTGCAACCTCCGCCTCCCGGGTTCAAGCAATTGTCTGCCTCAGCCTCCTGAGTAGCTGGGATTACAGGCGCCTGCCACCACGCCTGGCTAATTTTTGTATTTTTAGTAAAGACGGGGTTTCACCATGTTGGCCAGGCTGGTCTTGAACTCCTGACCTCATGATCCACCCACCTCAGCCTCCCAAAGTGCTGGGATTACAGGTGTGAGCCTTCAGATGATTTCTTATTGCACATTAATGTCCTCTTCTTTTAGATTGAATAGCTCCCTCGAGCATTTCTTGTAGGACAAGTCTGGTATTGATGAAATCCCCTATCTTTCATTTGTCTGAGAAAGTCTTTATTTCTCCTTCATGTTTGAAGGATATTTTCCCAGATATACTTTTCTAGAATAAAAGTTTTTTCCTCCAGCACTTTAAGTATGTCATGCCACTCTCTTTTGGCCTGTAAGGTTTCCACTGAGAAATCTGCTGCCAGATGTATTGAAGCTCCATTATATGTTATTTGTTTCTTTTCTCTTGATCCTTTTAAAATCGATTCTTTATCCTGACCTTTCAGTCAATGTCTTAAGGTAGTCTTTTTTGAGTTAAATCTGCTCTACAACCTTCTTCTACTTGGATATTGATATTATTCTCTAGGTTTGGGAAGTTCTCCATTATTATCTTTTTGAATAAACTTTCTGCCCCATCTCTCTCTCTCTACCTCCTCTTTAAGGCCAATAACTCTTAGATTTGCCCTTTTGAGACTATTTTCTAGATCTCATAGGCATGCTGCATTCTTTTTTATTCCTTTTTCTTTTGTCTCCTCTGACTGTATTTTCAAATAGCCTGTCTTCAGGTTCGCTAATTCTTTCTTCTGCTCGATGAATTCTGCTGTTGAGAGACTCTGATGCATTCTTCAGGATGTCAATTGCCAATTTCAGCTCCAGAATTTCTACTTCAGTCTTTTTAATAATTTCAATCTCTTTGTTAAATTTATCTCACAAGATTCTGAATACCTTCTCTGTGTTATCTTTGATTTCATTTAGCTTCTTCAAAGCAGCTATTTTAAATTCTCTCTCTGAAAGGTCACATATCTTTGTTTCTCCATGATTGGTGACTAGTGCCTTATTTAGATGAGCTGATGAAGCCATGTTTTCCTGGAGGGTCTTCATGCTTTTGGGTGTCCATCAGTGACTGGGTATTGAAGAGTTGGGTATTTATTCCTGTCTTTGCAGTCTGGGCTTGTTTTTACCCATCCCTCTTGGGAAGGCTTTCCAGGTATTTGAAGGGACTTGGGTGTTGGAGATCTAAGTCTTTGGTCACTGCAGCCACATCTGCATTAGGGGGCACCTCAAGTTCAGTAATGCTGTGGCTGTCACAGACTCATAGAGGTATAACCTTGGTGGTCTTGGGTAAGATCTGGGAGTAGTGCCTGTATTACCAGGCAGAGACTCTTGTTCTCTTCCCTTACTTTCCTTCAAACAAATGGAGCCTCTCTGTACTGAGCTGCCTGGAGCTGGGGGAGGTGTGACACAAGCACTCTTGTGGATACGATAGCAGGGACTGGGCTGGGTTAGACCCAAAGGCAGCACAGCACTGGGTTTCACCCAAGTCCCAGAGTGACCATTGTTTGGCTACTTCCTATTTTACGCAAGGCTCAAGGGCTTTACAATCAGCAGGTGGCAAATCCAGCCAGGCTTGTGTCCTTCCCTTCAGGGCTGCCAGTTCTCTCCAGCTCTGGGTGGGTCCAGAGACACCATCTGTGAACCAGGGCCTAGAGTCAGGAACCTTAGGAATCTACCTGGAGCTCTATTCTACTGTGGTTGAGCTGGCACCCAACCTGCAAGACAAAGTTTGTCCCACTCTCTCCTCCCTTTTCCTCAAGCAGAGGGGTCTCTCCCCATGGCCACCACCACCCCAGACCCATGGTTAAGTATTGCCTGATTAGCACCAATGTTCACTCAAGGCCCAAGGCTTCTTCAGTCAGCTTGTGGTGAGTGCTGCCAAGCCTGGGTCTCTCCCTTCAGAGCAGTTGTCTCCCCTATGGCCCAGGACAGGTGAAGAAATGCTGTCCAGGGCCAAGACCTGGAACTAGGGACTCCACGAACCCACTTGGTGCTCTACCCCACTGCAGCTGAGCTGTTACCCAACCTGCAAGACAAAGTTTACTTTACTCTTCGCTCTCCTTTCCTCAAGCAGGAGGGGTCTCCCCTCATAGCCACCACAGCTGTGAATGTGCTTGATCACACCTGATGCCAGCGTGGCTCTGAGTCTCACCCAAGGCCCACAGCAAGTAGTGCCTGGCTAACACTGCTGATTATTCACAGCCTTCCCTTCAAGTCAATAGACTCCTTTCTGGCCCAAGGTGTGTCTAGAGACCTAGGGCCTGGAATGGGGTCCTCACAACTCTGACTGATGCCCTATACTACTGTGCTGAGCTGGTGTCCCAGACGCAAGGCAAAGTCCTCTTTACTCTCCCCTCTCCTCAAATGGCAGGAAGGAGTCTCTCCTGGAGCTGTGAGCCATACTGCCTGGGGCTAGGGAAGGGGTGGCACAAGCACTCCCTTGGCCACCCTAGCTGGTGTCTCACTAGGTCACATGCACCCCAAGTCCACTGGCTCTCAGCACAGGACAGAATCAAAACTTGCCTAAGAATTGCAGTCCTTGTGGCCTAACCTGCCTTTCAAGTGTATTTGGGATTATAGACCACTTTAGCCTGTGGTGGTGAGGCTTGCTAGAACTTGTGCTCCAACCACTGGAATGGGCAATTTGCCTCTGGCCAGGACTGGTCTATATGCTCTCTTTGTGTGTGCAAGTTGAGTTCTGCCCCTTCTTGCTTTCTGCTGTTACAGGGCAGCATTGAATTGCAATGCAAATTCTCACAATCACTGTGCTCTCCCTCCCCCAAGTACACAGATTCTTTCTCTGTGCTACAGAGCTCCTGCTAGGGGATCGGGAAGGAGTGGCATTGGCAATTCAAGATTGTCTTTCCTACCCTTTTTAGTGCCTCTCTCCTTAATATAATGGTAAAACCAGGTACTGTGATCATTCACCTGATTTTTGGTTCTTATGAAGGTGCTTTTTATTGTGTAGATAGTTGTTTCATTTGGCATTCTTGTTGGGGGGATTATGGCTGGCGGCTTCTATTTGGCCACCTTGCCCCACCTCCCCCTCTTTACCTTTTTTTTAACGGTAAGTCTGCTAGTGACAGATCCCTTTAATCTTCCTTTGTCTGAGAATATCTTTTTTAACGGTAAGTCTGCTAGTGACAGATCCCTTTAATCTTCCTTTGTCTGAGAATATCTTTTTTCCCCTTCATTCCTGAAGGATAGTTTTGCCAGACATAGATTTTGTGATTGACAATTTCTTTTTCAGTACTTGAAAAAGGTGTCATTTCATTTTTCCCTCCATGTTGTCAGAAATCTGCTGTCATTTGAATTGGTGTTTCTCTATAGGAAATGTATTGCTTCTTTCTGATTGATTTCCAGAGTTTTTCTTTGTTTTTAATTCATAAGTTTAATTCTGATATTTCTTAGCTTTGATTGTTGTTGTTTGTTGTGCTTGGGATTTACTCAGTTTCTTGAATTTGTGCGTTTATCTTTTGCTTAATTTGGTTAATTTTCAATCATTATTTCTTCAAATACTCTTTTGGCTCCACTCTTTTATCTTCTCCTTTTGGAGCTCTGATGACATGAAAACTGGATATATTGTTATTGTCCCACAGGTCCTTGAAGGTTTGTTAAATTTTTTCAGTTAATTTCCCTCTTGTTAAGATTGGGCAAATTCTATTAATATGCCCTCAATCTCATTGATGTTATCTTTTGTCATTTCCACTGTACTATTGAGCCCATTCAGTGAATTATTTCTCTTATTATAATAATTTTCAGCTCTTAATTTCCATTTAGTTATTTTTATAACTTGTTTCTTTGCTGAGACTTTATTTTTCATTTGTTTCAAATAACTTGTAATTGCTTGTTTAATCATTTGTATGATTATTGCTTTAAGACTCTTGTCACATATTTTGAACATATGATTCATCTCACTGTTGACATCATTTAAATGTCTTTTTTTTTTCATTCATTCAAGTTGTGATTTTCCTGCTTCCTAATGTAGAATGACTTTCAATTGTGTCTCAGACATTTTGGCTATTACATTAGAAGACTTTGGGTTCCACCTAACTTTTTAATTTTAGCAGGCACTCACCCTGTTTAGATTTAACATGCAAGTCCTGGCCTACTTTTTGGGCTGTGATTCCAATGACAATATCATTTCAGAGCCTTTATGGCACTATTTTTGTCCGTTTGGTTCATCTCTTCCCACTGGGGTCCCACTGATCCCTGCTTATGTTGTTTGAGAGTGCTGAAGAAGCTTGCTCAGGCCAAGCTGCCTGGAGCTTGAAGGTAAAGAAAGGGAGCCTCTTTGCTTCAGAGATGAATGGCATTTCCTGATGCTTGTTATAGAAGCCTCCTCCTGTCTGTGGAGGATGAAGAGTGCCTCTGTAGTTGGGTGCTTATTGTGGTAGGGCTCCTCTGAGTGTCTCTGAGTGGGAGCAATGAGTCTTAAGCCAGCAAGAACAAATAGGCTTCCCAGACTGGGTGCATCTCGTGGCAGTCTTCCTCACTGTCTGTGGGAAATGGAGAGCGCCTCCCAGGCCACACACTTATTGTGGCATAATCTCACTTGTCAATCCCTCCACTTCCCCACACAACCCTCAACATACGTGGTATCTCTAAGGGGCAGAGAGGAGCCTCAAGGCCAGTGGGAAACGAGAATGCTTTCCCAGCTAGCACTTGCTATGTCATAATCCCCTTTGCCAATGCCAGTAGTGGTGTGGTGTCACTGGGTGAGTGAGGTTGTAGAGTGCTTATGGTCACTTCTGGTCAGGATGGTCGCTTATTTTCAGTGTGGCTTCTGATTGATTCCCCTTGCTGGTCCTGCTAGGTATGCATAATGTTGTTGTTGGGACTCCTCTTCCATCTGGGGGACAAATGAGCTTACATTAGCTGCCCTTTCTCTTAATAGGTTAGAGATTGGGGAAGTGCCACCTCTGTGTGTCCTTCTTGGCTTTCTTCTGTTGGGTGATAGTTCATAAGATGCCCTGCCACGATGATGTTCCTCCAGTCCTGTAGTCCCTCTTCCACCTTTCAGAGCATTTCTCTGGTTGTCTCTTGAGTTAGTTTCAGGATTTATAGTTATACTTAGCAGGGAGAAAGGAATAGAGGTAGGTCTCTACCATCTTGTTCAGACCATAAATCTCATCTTTCTTTTTAATCTCTGTTTTAGTGATCTTTAGTAATCTTACAATTCTCTTTACTATCACTTTTAACTTTTTCAGCTTTTGTACTCAACAGATATTAAAGAGTTAATAATATTTGTAAAACACCTTAGAATCCAGTACAAAATCAACAAATATGCATCCATATAACAAATACTGTGAGAACAGATACTAAAATGTTGGTATGTAAACACTTAAAACACAGTACTTTTGTTGGAATAAGTCTTTATTCCCGTATAAGCTTGTAAGTAAGGAAGATTTACATATTTGCAATTATAGTGATCTTTTATTTAGTTCTTAGTGTACTCAGATAATGCTAAGGTCTTTAATATATTACATCACGGACTCTTGACAATAACCATATATGGTAGTGTAGTGAGTTGAATAGTGTCCCTCCAAAATGATAGTCCAATTCCTAACCCCCAGTACCAGTGAACATGACTTTATTTGGAAAAAGGGTCTTTGCAGATGTAATTAAGTAAAGGATTTCAAGATGAGATCATCCTGGACTATGGTGGGCTCTAAATCCAATGACTGGTGTCTTAATAAGAGGAAGGAGAGAGATTTGAGACACAGAGAAATAAGGTCATGTGAAGATGGAAGCAGAGATTGAAAGTATGTTGTTGCAAGCCAAGAAAAGTCAAGGGTTGCCATTAACCACCAGAAGCCAGGAGTGAAGCGTGGAATGGATTTTCCCTCAGAGCTTTCAGAAGAAACCAATCCTGCCAACTTCTTGATTTTGGACTTCTGTCCTTCAAAAATGTGAGAGAATAAATTTCTACAGTTTTAAGCCAGTAAGTTTGTAATAATTTGTTATGGCAGAGCTAGGTCACGAGTACAGGTAGTATTATAAATCTCCATTTTACAAATGAGGAAACAGGATCAGGAATGTTAAGTGACTGGCATAAGTTACACAGCTAGTAAGAAGTGGAGCTGGGAATTAAGCTGGAGACTATCTACTGCAAAGCTTTTATTTTTCAACCTTAACCTTTTAAAATTTCATTGATAACAAGTTAAAAACAGCATCATAACCTCCACACTTCTCACTCCTCTAACCCTTCCTCCAGGGACCTCTCCCTATCTCAAGACATCCATTCCTCTTACAGACTCTGAGTTCTTCTATCTCACGGCAAATTAAACTGGTTCTAGGGGAGAGGGCAGTGTTTAACACAAAGGCAAAACCTCTGATAAGGAGTCTTCAGATCACGAGCAACAGATCAGAGGTAGAGATGGTTTTAGGCAGAACAGGGCCTGTCAGTTCACATCATCCATGGTGATGCCTTGTTTCAACCACACTTAAAGCTAGCACATCCATCGTTTTGAGGATTAGGCTGCAGAAAAAGACATTTGCCTCATGGAACTCAGTCTGTGGACATTGAAAGTAAGTAAGGGCTGTCATCCAATTCACCCCCTGCCAAGAAACCTTGTATCAGGTGCTGGGGAGGAAAGCAGCAGTTGTTACTTCCCTGTGGATCATCTAAAAGTGTTTCTTTGTTAATAGGATGTCATTAAACATTATGCACACTTGGCTGGATATTAAAATTATAGATGAAAACATTTTTTTAAAAATGTGTGCATGTAAAAATAAGCTCATGTGTGAGAACAGAGTGGCTAAGCAGCAGACGGCACACTCTGGGGCTGGGGGCCCTGATGCCATGTGTGTCACCAAATTTGGTTTCACTAAGTCATTTCAATATCAAATAGTGAGAGCACCTACTGTGTGGCAGGCCTTGTTCTGAGTGATTCTCTGCTTGGTGTCAGCTACACTGGATACATTCTTAACTCACCATTCTCTGAATATAACTAAGATAAACAGAATGTCACTTTTTTCTTGCTTCTTTTGGCAGGAATTAGGAAAAAATAGGAACAGATAATTATACACTAGAGCCAAATAGACCTGAGACTGAATTCTGTTTTAACCTTGACCTTTCCAAATGGAATATTTCACATTCATTCAGCTAACAACCTTGAACAAATGGCTCAGTGGTTAAAAGTCAGAGAAAGAATTAACAACAGTCAGTTATTTTCTGAAAGACTAGCCAAAGAATAGTTTCCAAAATACTAATTACTTAAATCTTGCTGGAAAAAAATATTCAAACACATTTTTAAGTTTTATTGTTTGGATCAACACGGACATAAGAAAATTATCAGTGTACTTATATCTTATGATTATATGAGTCTTTGCCTCAGAATAATTCTCTCTGAGAACTTTAAGGAACAAAATATTTCCTTAGTAGCAAAACATTTCATGTGGCAAGAGCCTCACTGAGTAAAGTTCAGTGTGAGAGTAGAACCCGGTGCCATGATTGTACAACTTCTACAGCTTGTCTTGTGGTCTAGTCAGTCATGGAGAAGGTCCCCCATTCTAGAACAGACCCAATGTAAAGCCATTCTTTGGATTCCAATCTGCCATAGGCTGTCTGTAAAATATGGCATGCTTGAAGTTGGGCTGGAGGTTGACTCTGAAAGATAATGCTTCAACAACACATCTAATATCAGAAGTAGGAATATTCTTGATGATAAAGAGCTTTTTGAAAGGGTCTGTTGCATGATTGAATGATGATGGTGAAGCCTGCCTTGAATTTTATGGGGTTATCTGCCATTTGATACATGCAAGCAACAAGGATCTCCTAGGTCTGAAGGAATAGCATAAATAAAAAAGAAAAAGGTATAGATAATTACAATAATTTTTATTTGCCTAGATGAGTGGTAGACATTTATGTAATATTACTAGCATAAATCTACAAAACTCCTTTAGTGAGTCTTAGATGCCATCAGACAGAAATGATTTTACCTTGAGGGTGAGGTGAGGGGGTGCACTATGTACCAGTGAGCAAGTAAAGCTCAAAAAAGGTGGTCTTCTTCCTGAGTATCGATTTTACTTACATTTGAGAAAAGCTATTATTTTTACTAGAGTGTGGCACCCTATCAGAGCTTATGTATTTCTTCTCCAGTGGAAGAAGCAATCAGCTGTCTGCCACACACAGACAGCTAGATCCTCATAGAAGGGGTTTTGGAAGGGTTCCTTTTCATTAAGCCAATGGAAGGCAAGCCTAGGAAAAAGATATTGTGAGGACTCATTTAACTCAGCAAAGCAAACTTCTACTTCTTATTACCTAGTTCAGGTAGAGTCCTGGGAGGTGGTAGAAAATTTTGCATGAGGAGTTATGGGGTCCTCCATTTCCTTCTCTGCTATTCTTGGTCAGAGGGTTTCCAGCTTTAATCCATAAGCAGATACTTATGCACTGGCCATGCTTGGAAGTTGTCAGGAGGCTGACCTGCATGCTTCTCAGTCATTGACATGCAAAGGCAGGGCGCTCCAGCATTAGGTGTCTGCCAAAAAGCTGGGTCTCTGGCTTTCAATCCACCATCACCCTTTTCTGACTACTGCCCTGTGTCTTCCAGAGCATTTTTGTCATGTACCCTTTCTGCCTCTAACATTGGTGCATTAACACCTCTTCCTTCCACACTGCAGTTGTGCCCCCTCATAAAAAGGTTGAGCCCTCAGTGGCGATTCCTTTCAGGAACAGGGCAGATGACTTGTCCAATGGTGTGTTCCCATGCTGAGTGTGAAACTAGTGGAAGACTTGCACTGGGGAGTCAAAATCGACTTTTATCCTGCAGTGCTGGTGTGTGAGGAACCTATGGGATGTGATCAGGACTAAGGAGACTTCAGGAGAGTGGAAGAGCAGACTCCCACCACTGTGTGGCTCTGCAGATTAGAGCCAGAGACTGACCAAGCAGAGAAATGATTGCTAGATGATCCATGTTACTCCAAGAGGGGCAGTTATTCTTAACCATATTTACCACCTTAACCAGAAACCTGGCCTCCCCTGCAAGAAGCAGTAGAGATGTTCATTTTTTTTTTTAATTTTTAACTTTGAAAAACTAAATCATTGGAGGCCAGGGTGTATATCAACTTCAATAGCCCTAATTTCTTTCTATCTATCTATCTATCTAGCTAGCTAGCTAGCTAGCTATCATCTAGCTATCCAGATCAGGGTTTCTCAAACTTGGCACTATTGACATTTGGGCTCAGTAATTCTTTTTTTTTTTTTTTTTTTTTTTGACAGAGTCTTGCTCTGTCACCCAGGCTGGAGTGCAGTGGCACCATCTTGGCTCACTGCAACCTCCATCTCCCAGGTTCAAGCAATTCTCCTGCCTCAGCCTCCCAAGTAGCTGGGATTACAGGCATGCGCCACCAAACCCGGCTAATTTTGTATTTTTAGCAGAGATGGGGTTTTGCCATGTTGGTCAGGCTGGTCTTGAACTGCTGACCTCAGGTGATCCAGCTGCCTCAGCCTCCCAAAGTGCTGGGATTACAGGCGTGAGCCACCGCGCCCAGCCCGGGCCCAGTCATTCTTTGTTGCAAGGGACTGTCCTGTGTATTGTAAGATGTTTATGAGCATCATCCTTAGCTTCTACCTACTAGATACCAGTAGCATCACGCCTCTCACCCCTGACCAACAGTTAGGACAACCAAAAATATCCCCAGATATTGTCAAATGTCCCCTTGGAGGAGACCTCTATTTAAAAACCACTCATCTACATCTATCTACATAATAAAATCAGTTATTTATTGCTGCCTAATTAATCACCCCCAAACTTAGTAGCTTAAAATAACAAGCATTGCTCCACATGTTTTCAGTTAGGGTAACTCATGTGATTACATTGCAGTGAGACCTTGGCTGAAGCACCTCTTTTCTCCATATGGCCTCCCTCTCCTTGTGGTGTCTTATCCTCCAGGGCCTCTCCACATGATCTTTTTCTCTTTAGCAAGATAGCCTGGACTTCCTTATAATATGGCACCTTGGTTCCATGAGAAAGGAAGTAAAAGTTTAAGGCTTGAGAGGCCTGACACAGTAATACTGACATGGTATTACTCCTGCCACTTTTCATGTCAAAGCAAGTAACAGGACCAGCCCAGGTTCAAGGGGAGAGGAAATGGACTCCATCTCTTGATGGAAGGAGCAACATGTACATACAGGGAAAGGGACTTGTTGGCAGCCATCAACAGAACTACCTTTCACAATTATACATATATATTCCTGGGCCAGGCGCAGTGGCTCATGCCTGTAATCCCAGCACTTGGGGAGGCTGAGGTGGGCGGATCACGAGGTCAGGAGATCGAGACCATCCTGGCTAACACGGTGAAAGCCCATCTCTACTAAAAAATACAAAAAAATTAGCCGGGTGTGGTGGCGGGCGCCTGTAGTCCCAGCTACTCGGGAGGCTGAGGCAGGAGAATGGCGGGAAGTTGGGAGGCGGAATTTGCAGTGAGCCAAGATCGCGCCACTGCCCTCCAGCCTGGGCGACAGAGCAAGACTCCATCTAAAAAAAAAAAAAAAATTATATATATATTCCTCATATACATATGTATTTTATTTTTTATACTATGATTTCAACATTATTTTTATTTATGATTGGCACATAATAATTGTACATATTTGTGGGATACAATGTGATATTTTGATACATGTATACATTGTTTAATGATCAAATCAGGGTAATTAGCACATCCATCACCTTAAATATTTGTCATTTCTTTGTGATGAGAACATTCAAATACTTCTTTTCTAGCTATCTTGAAATATACAATACATTATTGTTAACTATAGTCAGCCTACTATGCAATAGAACACCAAAACATATTCCACCTATATAATTGTAGCTTTGTACCCATTCACCAAACTCTCCTTATCTACCCCAGGCCCCTACCCTCCCCATCATCCGGTAACCACTACTGTACTTTCTACTTCTATGTGAACAACTTTTTAAATTTCACATATGAGTGATCTTATGTGGTATTTGTCTTTCTATGCCTGGTTTATTTCACTTAATGTCCACCAGGTTTATAAATGTTGCCACAAATGACAAGATTTTATTCCTTATTATGGCTGAATAGTATTCCACTGTGTAAATATACCACATTTTCTTTATCCTTTCATCTGTTGATGGACATTGAGGTTGATTCCATTATCTTGGCTATTGTGAATAAGGCTGCAATTAACATAGGGGTGAAAATATCTCTTCAGTATACTGATGGCATTTCCATTGAATTATGCAGAGTAAAAATATATCCAGCAATGAGATTGCCAGATTATATAATAATTCAGTTTTTGTTAACTTTTATTTTAGGTTCAGGAGTATGTGCAGGCTTGTTATACAGGTAAATTGCACGTTACGGGGGTTAGGTGTATAGATTATTTCATCACTCAGATAATAAGCGTAGTATTCAGTAGGTAGCTTTTCAATCCTCACCCTCCTCCCACCGTCCACTCTCAAGCAGGCCCCAGTATCTATTCTCTTCTTTGTGTCCATATGTACTCAATGTTTAGCTTCCACTTATAAGTGAGAACATGTGGTATTTGGTTTTCTGTTCTTGTGTTAGTTTGCTTAGGAAAATGGCCTCCAGCTCCATTCATGTTGCTGCAAAGGACATGATCTTGTTCTTTTTTGTGCCTGCATGGTCTTCCATGGTGTATATGTATCCAATTTTCATAATCAAGTCTACTATTGGTGGGCATTTAGGTTGATTCCATGTCTTTGCTAGTGTGAATATTGCTTCAATAAACATACAAATGCAGATGTCTTTACAGTAGAATGAATTAAACTGCAAAGCTTCTGCACAGCAAAAGAAACTATCAACAGAGTAGACAACCCACAGGATGGGAAAAAATATTTGCAAACTATGCATATGACAAAGATCTAATATCCAGAATCTATAAGGAACTTAAACAATTAACAAGCAAAAAAACAACCCCATTAAAAAGTGGGCAAAGGACACAAACAGACACTTTTCATAAGAAGACATACATATGGCCAACAAGCATATGAAAAAATGCTCAACATCACTAATCATTTAAGAAATGCAAATGGAAACCACAATGAGATGCCATCTCACACCAGTCCAAATAGTTATTACCAAAAAATCAAACAATAACAGATGCTGGCAATGTTGTGGAGAAAAGGGAACACTTATACACTGCAGGTGGGAATGTAAATTAGTTCAGCCACTGCGGAAAGCAGTTTGGAGATTTCTCAAAGAACTTAAAACAGAACTACCTTCTTGCTCCCTCTTAGGAGAAAATTCTTAAGTTTGTGTGCTTTCTCTTGATCCCACAAAGGTCAGGTGCTGACAGCCTCCTGTTTTTTTTTTTCCTTAGAGTGGTGCCCTGAAATGCTCAAGTTCATGCGCCTTCCTCCAGTCCCACGGAGTCAGGCCAGCTAACCATTCATGCTCTTGAGCTATCCACAGAGGCTGACATTTGCCTTCTGTGGGAGTGTGCATAGGGAGCCAGTCATGGGTTGCAGGAGGTGAGAAATATAGAGCACTGGAGGTGCCTATGGGTCAATTGGTGGGGAGGTCATCAGGCAGGGAGTCTTCAGCACCTCATGGGCAGGCTTCCTGATGAAGTCTGTGAAGTGGTTGGTAGGATCTGTGGCCCTTTGTTGACATCAGGTGACATCAGGCCCTAATTTCTGTGAGTCTCTGCCTCTATTCCCTGTTCTCAGCCTCTCCCAACCACTCAGCTATGCCGATCACGTCAGTATTCTATGTCAGACAAGAAAAAATGTTGCCCTCTTGGGCAGCATCCTGAATGCCTGTGGAAGCTGAGCACTCACTATGTTCTCACAGTCCAAAGGAATTGTGGACCTGGGGGATCTGTCTGGGCACTGAGGTATGCTGCCTTGAGGGAGAGGTGATGGAAGTAAAGTGAAACTCTTCTTTTTAACCATCTTCAATGCATGTACTTTCAAATTTTTTGCTCCAATGTTGTGCCGGAACTTCTCCAGTATACAACTGGACTCTCATAAAGGTGCTGTCATCCATGAGTGGTTATCAACCCTTGTCTATGCTTCTGTGGAAAGATAATAATAAAAACGTCTAGTCTGCCATCTTGCTAATGTGATTCCTATCTAATACATCTATAGTGCTAAATATAAAGAAACATATTGACCCATGTAATAGCACCACACAAAAACTCTGTGGGGTGGGCAGTATTATTATCCCCTTTTTATAGATGAGGAAACTGAGGCTCAGAGAAGCCCAAGGTCTCATAGCAAGTGAGCCAGCTGGGGTTCAGATTTGAATCCAGGCACTCTGGCTCCCGATGCTGGGTGTGTTTTTAACCATTTTGTTATACTGTTACAGAATAAATGTGCACACAGTTTGTGATCCATAGTTACTGTTATAGGTAGGAAGAGAAATTGAAAAATATGAATAATTAAATAAATGTTAGACAAGTGAAGTAAAAAGTAGCTATAGAAGTTACAAAATGTTTTTCTGTCCTTGTGGTTGTGCACCTCTGGGTCAAGTGAAGCAAATATAATACCTCTTCTTTCTCCAGAAGAGTCACATGATCATGGCTTACTTTCCATTATAAACTATGTGTACTTTAGAACAAACACATTGCCACTGAGTAAAAATTACAGTGTTACTTTAAAAAAGTGAATTATTTCAGAAGTTATACCCACCAAACAAGCTATTTTTAAACAATTAATTTCACAAGAGTACCAGAAGCCTAAATATACTTTCAAAACAGCCTTCAGACACCAAGCAAATTTATACAAGGCACAGTTTGACAAATCTAACTCTAGCTTTCCATTGTTAGCCTCAAAGCCAAGTCAATATGAATGCTGGGTGGTAGAAAGCTCAGAGGGCCGCTGCATGTTTGAGCTCTTGCTGGGGCTCTGGATTCTGACCTCTGAACACTGTGACAAAGTGGAGCCCCACTCTGAAGGGAATGGGCAGCAAAGACATCTGAATTTCCTTCCCTCCACGTGCTGTGCTATCGCCTAATTTTTATCTATCTCTTAGGAGCCAACGACAAATGATTCAGGTGAATCCCAAGTTGTCTCTTTAGGGTTCTTAGAAAATGAGAGGTTTTTATGTCTGAGTACACAGTGAGAGAAAATGTAACTGATGTTCATTTTATTTATTTTTATATTTTAAGGGCTTCTAAGCCTAAAGACTTTAAGCATGCTGACCTGCCTGGAGAGCCCTGACCTATGCACAGCCTTACTTGCAAAATCCTGTGCTGATGATCCAAAGGCATTTCAGATCATAATTCTGGGGTCACCACCACTTGCGGTTATCATAAATACTTTTGAAGCAAGTGAAGAATAGGAAAGATTAAAAAATCTTTAAGGTATAAATTCTACTGAAGCAAGAAGAGATTGCATCTCATCTGAAGAAAGTCCTATAAACTTCAACCACTTAAAACTATATGACAGATACAAAAACAATCTCAAAAAAGGAAGTAGTTCTGTGTGTGACTCAGAGAATAAAAGATTACAGCATTTAGTCATAAGATACTTTGACAGGCGGTTGTTTCAGTGAAAGCACACTGAGTCTTACAGCTTGGACCAGTCATCCATTTAATTAGTGTCACTGTTTCCTACTCTTGCCAATACTCTGTCAAGCACTGAAGATATAGTGAACAAGACACCAGCTCTTCCTTCTTGGAGTTTATAGCTATTGTGGGGACAGGCAGGTAAACAGGCAACTTTAATTCCCACACTTGGGTTGAATGCATTATGGTACAGTACCACACAGGATGCCAGATGCATCTAGAGTATTCACCTGAAAGATAGAGTAGGAGAAAAAGTAGGGGAAGGTGGAGGTGCAGGTGGTGGTAGTGAAAGCGAAAAGCATTCCAGGCAGAAGCAGAAGCAACAGGCAGTTGAGAAAGAGCTTTGTGGATTAAAGCAACTGCTAGTAAGTTCAGTTTGGCTAAAATCTATAGTTGCAGAGGGGGTACTAGGTAAAGATGAGATTGAAGAAATGATCAGGGGTTAGATTCTGAAGGTTTTTTTAAAACTAGTTGAGGAGATCCACTCTATTCCTAAGGCAGTGTGGAGTCTGGATAGGTATGCCATTGATCTGGTCAGGTTTTATCCTACCCATTTCAGGAGTAGCTGGCAGGACTGGCTTCATGGGCATGTGAGCAGTATAGTTACACAGGACCCTATGCTTAGAAGAGCCCTGATCTGGGAGCTTAATGCTACCTGGTCACCATCTTCAAATTCTTAATAATTGTATTTTGGAATTTGTGTTTTGTAAATGATGTCTGAATGGACAACGGGGAATATGCAAGAAGCTTGGAGCCTCAACTCAAGGAAGGTCTTGCCTCCTGCCCCCAACCTGAGACAGCTTCTCAGCCATATGCTCCCCTGCCCCTGATACCCCATGTCGCACCTTACCTGAGCCCCAACAGCTGATACTCTTTGTCCCTGTCAAGGGCATGGGTATGAGTGTGGGGAAAGCAGGGTTGTGTGCTTTCACTCTGTGGAATCCCTGGATGGGCATGGCAGTGGCTGTCCCTGCCCTCAGCCCCAACAGCTGATACTCTTTGTCCCTGACAAGGGCATGGGTATGAGTGTGGGGAAGGCAGGGTTGTGTGCTTTCACTCTGTGGAATCCCTGGATGGGCATGGCAATGGCTGTCCCTGCCCTTAGACTGGTAGTACCATGTCATATCTGGTAGGCAATTGTGTGTCTTAGTGAGGGCAATCCCCTTGCCCACCCCTGATCTATGTACTGACTGTGTCCTGGCATGGAGGTTTAAAGATCTGTAGAGGTCATCCATCTGTTGTGGATTGGGGCAGCAGACCATGGGAAGAATACTTGCTGGAATTCCCCAGGCTCCACTTCTCTGTTGGAGTGTTGGTTAAGCAGCTTGGGGGAGGAGGAACCTGTTGACTATCAGGCCCAAGTGAGTATACCCCATGTAGCAGGCAGAGGCCCCAGGTGTCTGGGAGAGTCTGCACTTTTCCTATGAGTGTCCCATGTTGAGACTGCTGTCAACTTGCTCTGTCTTGAGGGATCCTCTTTTTCTCCTTGCAACTTCCTGAACCTGGTTTGTGTCTGTCTCTTCGGGCCAACTCAAAGCACCTTCCACAAAATACAAACTGTGAAGTTTTGTGATTCTGCATATGGGTTAAATACTCTAATATTTGCAATTCAAACTGATATTACACAATATAAAGAGGAATGGTAAAATTTATGCTAGTAACTTAAAACCTTTCATTTTTCTTTAATCAGAATGATAGTAAATTACAAATAAAAAAACACTGTGACAAGTCAAGAGAGATGGGTAAGAAAGGAAAAGGCCTCTGTATACTTTTACTGACACTATTTTCCTTCTTTTAAAACAAGAGGCCCCACATTTTCATTTTGCACTGAGCTAGCAAATTATGCAGGCAGTACTGGTAGCTGGAAAACACAAATAGACCTATAATAAGTCAGATGGGGAGATGCTAAAATCTGATATCATCTATAGTTCAGGATGACTAATGATTCTAAAGCAGTGATTCTCAAACTTCATCCTCCACTAAAATCACCTAAAAGGCTTAATAGAATACAAATGACAAGGTCCCCAACCTTAGAGTTTCTGATTTGGTAGTTCTGAATGTGACTTCACAGATTTAACTAGTTCCCAGGTGATGCTGATGCTTCTGGTCTTATGAACACTTATCTAATACTATGCGTGATGGTTTGCACCTGCATAGGAAGAGCCAGTGCAGGCTTAGATGTAGAGAGATGGTAGTGAAGAATCAAGGAGAGCTCCTTCCTTGAGTGAAGATTGACAGAGATAGAGGGGGACATAGAGGGGAGAAAGGCACAGAAGATGAACACTATCCACTTTACAATTTTGGCCAGGCTCAGGACCAACCTACTGCTTAACTCTAGGGCCATTTCAACCACCCCTCCCCCAATGGAGCAAAGAGAGAAGCCACTGGGGGTGTATAGTTCTATGCTTTACCTGTCCAGATGTAACAGATGTCTAAGATCATGGTTGGGAAGGTAGGTGTGAATGTATACAGTTTTAGAAGAGAGGAAGTCCAGATATCTCTGTTTGCAGAATACAAGATTCTGTATTTAGAAAACCCCATCGTCTCAGCCCAAAAACTTCTGGAACTGATAAGTAACTTCAGCAAATTCTCAGGATACAAAATCAATGTGCAAAAATCACAAACATTTCTTCACACCACCAATAGGCAAGCAGTGAGCTAAATCATGAATGAACTCCCATTCACAATTGCTACAAAGAGAATAAAATACCTAGGAATACAGCTAACAAGGGATGTGAAGGATCTCTTCAAGGAGAACTACAGGCTGTAGCTCATGCCTGTAAATCCCAGCGCTTTGGGAGGCCGAGGCGGGGGGATCACTTGAGGTCAGGAGTTTGAAACCAGCTAGGCCAACATGGTGAAACCCCGTCTCTACTAAAAATACAAAAATTAGTCAGGCGTGGTGGTGCATGTCTGTAATCCCAGCTACTCAGGAAGCTGAGGCAGGAGAATTGCTTGAACCCAGGGGACGCAGGTTGCAGTGAGCCGAGATCACGCCACTGCACTCCAGCCTGGGAGACAGAGTGAGACACCATCTCAAAAAAAAAAAAAAAAGTTTGTAATTTCTAAGATAACCACTAAAATATTGATACTAATTGGTATAAGCACAAAACCAATAGAGGCGATAATGTGAAATAATGCAATATTTAAATAATAATAAAATAGTGTGGTAATTGCACAGGGCTAAACCAATGAATTTGTAGACAGCCTAAAGAATACAGAAAGAGATCTCAACATACACTCAAATGTCTTTTCAAAATCAATCTTCTGAAATGGTATCATAGGGAGATTAAATACATTATATATGTACATACTTTTCTTAGTTGAAGATAATTAATGGCCTATCCTCTTTACCTTGATTTCTCTGGTCTTCAATTTTTTATCTTGTGATGTGGTTTCTCAAATCTCTTATCATCCCATTTCTTCTTCTGGGCATACTCCATTTCGTCCACATCTTTAAGGGACGCTTTCCAGAAGGGAGCACAACACTTCAGGGATGGTCTGATTGTCCTGAAATGGGATGGAATTGTGATAACTTAGGGTTTGTCAGCTAATTTTAGAAGATTCTCCCTATCTGTGTACACTGAGCTTAGAGATCATGGAAACCTATGTCATTCCACACTTGATCCTATTCATCCTCTATCCTCATTCTAGAAGTTAGTCTTATGAACCCAAATTCAAGAACTCTACACAGTTTTTATTACCTTTTCTCCCACTGGATCTGTGCCATAATTTTAGCCTGAATTACTCTTGTGCCCAGAATCTGTCATTCCATACATTTGCTAAACCCAACCTACCACATTCTTTGAATTTAATAAGCATGCCTTTCAAGAGTTCATTCCAGAAACATGGGACAGGATAGGCTCAAAAGTTCAGAGCATGTAGATTCTCTGACAATGAGAATCGTATATTGCAAAGAGTCAGCTAAAGAGAGTCCTTGAAGTCCAGTATAGGTAAAACAAGTCCTCATCTGCCAAGGTTGCTTGGGTTTCATCCAGCTGGTGATTCATTGAAATAGAGTGGTAAACAAAACAAAGACACCTAGGAGGGAAGAGGCAGCTAAGGTTTTTCTTTGTGGAAATGCCATTGAGTCCATTCTTGACCTCATCAAGTAATCCACCTCCTCAGTTCTCCTACTCCCTGAATACAAGAAGCCATCTTAAAGGCAGTTTTACAAGCCTTTAAAAAAGGAAACATTTTCCCTCTCACTCTTTTTTACCTCTGGAAAATTCCTGCTCACTTTTCAAGTACCAATTCAAATATCACTTTCTCTCTGTTGTGTCCTTGACTCTCTACCCTCATCCTCTATTTCCACTACAAGGATAAATAATAGTTTGCTCATAGTTGCACACAAACAATAGTTTGTTCCTCTAACATTATATTCATTCTGATATATTGCAGTCAATGATTTATGCGTATGATTCACTAGTTTGAGTACTTCTCAAGAGCAGAATTTGGGTCTAACTTGTCTTTGTTTCCTCAGTAGCTTGCATAGGGCTTGGCCCATAAGAGGTGCTCAGTAAATGTTTATTAAATGAAAAAAATACCTTTTGTGCACCTTTCAAATGAAAGTCTAGTCTAAAGTGGTTTAGACATCTATTACTATACAAATAAGGTAATGTGTCTCCAATACACACAGTTGGCTGCTATTTATGCAGGATTAGCTGCTATAGAAGTTTTATCCATGACACCATTGGGCACAGAACTAGAAAAATTGAGTTGATTATTTCCTTCAGAAAGAATTGCTGTTAAGGAAATGCTCAGAGTTTGAACATTACATCCACAAAGTTGCTCTGCCATCCTGATTTTATTGGATCAATCGATCAATTTGTCAGAAAGTAGCTCTGGTGTATCCAGGTGCTCTGTGAAGTAAACATGAAATATCCCTGAAAGTATGCTACTCCATACCCTTCTGTACGAAGTCATAACATTCTGAAAATTTTTTTACTAATTAACTAAATTTATACTATTTTTCAAGTAAATGTTATGCAGCATCCTGTTTGAAACTTTTGTAGAGCCTGGTGTATGATTTTCAATTGAGAATAAATGTATATGTAGTAAAATCTTAATAAAGTGGATCCTGTTTAACTATAACAACAAATTAAATTTAGGTAAAAAAGACAAATGAGAAGAAAAAACTAAGATCAGGGGATTTATTTAAGAAAATAATTTTTAAAAATTTATTTCTTGCAGGAAGTCAGATTAGACTAGAAAGTGCTTTGTAATATTTAAAATTAAGACAACAAAAGCAAATCAAGATCTAATTTTCAGGTAATCATGGTTCTTTACAGTGAACTAAAAACATACTACTATGGTTTCTCACCCATGCCACAGTTTTTTAAAAGTGTTTTGAGTGATCAACACTTACTTTTAAAAGCTTGGTGATTTGTCTGTTTCCTCTTTTTGTGTCTTTCACACTCATCTCCAGGGTCCCTGAAAGCCTTCTTCCCTGCCACACCATTCCCAGCTCCATTTTGCACCTCCTAGAACCAATCTTGCATCTAGAGTACATTTAGAAAGCCCAGTGTGCAAATTCTGCTTTCCCTATGTACTTGGCTTTGATACCTGGCCTCTTGCCTAATTGCCATCTCCTTTAGCTCAAGTTGTGAAGCTAAGGTCCCTGTGTTGGTTCTTGCAAAGGAATCTTGCTCAACTCCTCTTGTAGTCAGAACTCAAGACCCTCCTTGCTTTCTATAGTCCTGTTGAAACCTGATCCCTTAATCTTACCTTGTTGTTGGACCTAGACACTGAATGCTTCTTGCCTACCTTGTCTTCCTATTAACTGACAAGAGTCCCACGATGTTTCCTGTACTCGTTTAGCCAAATGTCTTTCTGCTGCCTGCTTCTGAGTATTTATAGGTACTCTAAGCACCAGTAAGTTATATGAGAAAGAGGAATCTGTACCTCAGTTTTTGGAGGCAATTATTTTAGATGTTATTCTTAACTAAAGTTATGCATTAGAATCATCTGGGGAGCTTTTGGAAACACAAATAAACTGGCCTTAACCCATGCTTAAGTTTAAATGTTTTTTGAGATAATTCTCATATTACCTATAGATAGAATTATAGAAGGCTATAAACGCCTTTAGGAGCTCATTCTTTGTCCTTTATTCATTTGCCTGCCTCCCTTCCTTCCTTCCTTCTTTCCTTCCTTCTCTTCCTTCTTTTCTTCTTTCCTATCTTCAACTGCTATATGTACAGTGCCTGACATGTAACAGGCACTCAGAAACTGGCTGCTCACTGATTGATCATCAGGGAGATGGCAGCTGAGTAGATGGATCAAGAATTCTGAATTTACTAAAATGTGGCCCATCTTGATAGAAATGTGACTCCATTTTCTATAACAGCAGTTCTCAAGCTATTTGGTATTAGGACCCCTTTATATTGATAAAAATTGGACTTCAAAGAGCTTTTGTTTATGTGGACTATATCTATTGATATTTTTCATATTAGAAATTAAAATCGAGAAAATCTTAAAGCACAAGAATACACAGAAATGCATTCCATTAGCCATCAGAGTGATTATGTCATCGCTCATCATGTAGCCTCCAGAAAATGCCATTGTACACACATGAGAAAATAAGAGGGAAAAAGGAACATAACATCTTAGTTTTGAAAATAGTTTTTACCTCATCAGTCCCCTGAAAGGGTCTCAGGGACCCCTGGGATTCCCAGATTACCCTCTGTGAATTCCTGCTCTATAAAGACAAAAACTGATGGAAGAAATAATCCTTGGAAGAAGGGTGGAAAGTAAAAAGAATGGATATGTGTTCCAAAAGCAGGCAAAGCATAGAAATCACATCTAGGAATAAGCCCAAAGGCAGCCTGTGGGTAATATAAGATTGTATGAAAGTATAGGCAGAAATTTAAAGTAATTCTATTTGATAGCAAATATTTATAAATCATACCCGAGCATTTGTCCTTGTCTTGTGTATCACTTGTGTTTAAGCAGAAATTCATGTTGATATAACAGGTGATGTTTTAAATAAAATAATTTTATGGAGAAAGCATAGAGAGTTGGGTATGCCTTCAAAACCCTTCTCTTCTCTGCGATGCATAAAAAATAGCTTAAGCAGGTATAGGTAGAGTCTCTGGACCCATACCTACCTTTCCCTAGTTTAGACCGGTAATTTTCAAACGTGAGCGAACATGAGAATTACCAGGAACATTTGTTCAAATGCAGAGGTTATGATTCAGAATATCTGCAGTGGGGCCCTCTATTCTACGTGTTTCTGAGCATATGGGAAGACATTTTGAGAAATGGTGCCTTGTACTAGACAAAGAAAAACTTTATCTGGTGGTGTTACCTGGATGGCTACAGGGAGGTATAATTTGCCTCATGGACTTTTGCCTTGCACACCACTACTTAATTTAGGAAGAAAATAATCACATTCTTTGATCACAGAGTTTGGATTGTGGCTTGAAAATACTGGTTTCATCAAGTAAAATGAAATTCTTTCTTTGGGACATTCTTTGTGTTGAGTACTTCCAGCCAGTATTGAGCTGACATGAGGGAACCAAAACATCGGGACATTTGGTTTTCCTGTCGAGGTGGGAACAGACAGTGTATGACAGCACATGCTGTTTATTCTACAAGAGAAAGAAGGGAGGAGGGGCTGTTTATTGGCGCCAAGTAACTGAATGCTGAAGAAGGCTGGCATTTGTGTTAGAAGGGTTGAGACCGCTTTAAACATTGCAATTATATTTGAGTCCAGTTCACCTTATTGTGAAAGATGGCAGTAAACCCAACTCATTCCCTTTTACTCACAGCTCCAGAACAAATGCCCCCAGATTTTACTGCCCACCAAAACAGACAGAGGAGGCGATTATGTAGTTCTGGTGGGTGAAGAGTTGCCTAGCAGTTTGTTCTTTACTGATGAGGTGGGAGGCTTTCTTGCTAGTCACCTTGGGATGTGGCAGACTTCCTCTGTTGACACCCACAGGCTAGGAACATTTTCATGAAAAAGAACATGATTTTGCATCTGATTCTTTTGAAGGAAGATTAGCAGATAGGAGGATTTTTTTTAATTGCTAGTTTTTCAAGTTGGAGCTCAGCAGGCCAGGATGTCTGAGGTCTCATCTGTGACACTGGCCATTGTTTGTGAATGACAGTGGGACATTGTATGTGAAGGCAGCAGGAGTTAACACAAAAGCAGCCTTGGAGGCTGGGGAGCAGTGGAAAGGACAGATAGAAGAAGCAGGGAGGTACTGGGGAGAGGAGGGAAGCGGAGGAGAAGGCAGGGGAGGGAGCCCAAGGACATCTGTTCTCACTATGGTGCTCATAACACTCAGAAACTATTGTCCAGCAGATTGTAAATTTCAAAAGCACAGAGCATTTTTATCTACAATCTCTTTGAATAAGAGTGAATTACCTATTGAAAAGCAGAAAAAACAATGTTCGCTCTTTTGATAATGAAGATTGCAGGTCATATCCCACAGAGAGACTGTAGAGCACAGCTTGGGTTTTCTGTTTATTGCTCTATCAAGGCTTAGCAGGCATGATTTTTCTCATAACCCCCTTTCCAACTCATTCTGTGAACATGCCACATCAGTGGGGACCAGAGTCTCTATTTCTTCCCCAATTATAAATGATAACAGTAAAAGTTTTCTTTGATGGATAACTTTTTTCTGGAAATGCCAAGAACCAGTTTATGGGTAGCATTAGAATGGGTCTACTGGGATGCTCTTCTGTGGTTGTAAAAATGGGAGGATGACCTGGTGATACAGTTTGGCTGTGCTTCCACCCAAATGTCATCTTGAATTGTAGTCCCCATAATCCCCACATGTTGTGGGAGGGACCTCATGGCAAGTAATTAGATTATGAGGGTGGTTCCCCCATGCTGTTCTCATGGTAGTGAGTTCTCATGAGATATGACAGTTTTATAAGGGGCTTTTCCCTGCTTTGCTTGGCACTCATTCTCTCTCCTGCTGCCCTGTGAAGAGGTGCCTTCTGCCATGATTGTAAGGTTCCTGAGGCCTCCCTAGCCATCCAGAACTGTGAGTCAATTAAACCTCTTTCCTTAATAAATTACCCAGTCTCAGGTATGTCTTCATAGCAGCGTGAGAACAGACTAATACAGTAAATTGGTACCACAGAGAGTGAGGTGCTGCTGTAAGGATACCTGAAAAAGTGGAAGCGACTTCTGAACTGGGTAACAGGCAGAGCTTGGAACAGTTTGGAGGGTTCAGAGGAAGATAGGAAAATCTGGGAAAGTTTGAAATGTCCTAGAGACTTGTTGAATGCCTTTGACCAAAATGCTGATAGTGATATGGACAATGAAGTTCATGCTGAGATGATTTCAGATGGAGATGAAGAACTTGTTGGGAACTGGAGTAAAGGTCACTTTTGCTATGCAAAGAGACTGGCAGCATTTTGCCCCTGCTGTAGAGATCTGTGGAACTTTGAACTTGAGAGAGATTATTTAGGGTATCTGGCAGAAAAAATTTCTAAGTGGCAAAGTGTTCAAGAGGAAGCAGAACGTAAAAGTTTGGAAAATTTGCAGCCTGATGATGCAGTAGAAAAGAAAAACCCATTTTCTGGGGAGAAATTCAGGCTTACTGCGGAAATTTGCATAAGTAATGAGGAGCCAAATGTTAATCACCAAGACAATGGAGAAAATGTCAGAGACCTTCATGGCAGCCCCTCCCATCACAGACCTGAGGCCTAGGAGGGAAAAATGGTTTCGTGGGTTGGGCCCAGAGTCCCCCTGCTCTACGCAGCCTCAGGACATGGTGCCCTGCGTCCCAGCTGCTTCAGCTCCAGCCATGGCTAAAAGGGGAGAAGGTACAGATTAGGCCATTGCTTCAGAGGGTGCAAGCCCCAAGCCTTGGCAGCTTATGTGTGGTGTTGGGCCTGTGGGTGCACAGAAGCCAAGAACTGAGGGTTGGAAACCTCCACCTCGATTTCAGAGGAATATGGAAACACCTTTATGTCCAGGTAGAAGTTTTGCTGCAGTTTCTACATTTTAGCATATATTCATTCACTTTATTTAGTTTCCCAAATTTATTTAAATATGAAAACTTTTTTTAGAGGGACACTTAAAAATAGTGTAGCTTCCAACAAAGATTAGAGTTTATCTAAATATCTCTATTGTAGAGAAGAGTTCAGAGGAAAAATCAAGGAATAACCCTGGAAATTTTTTATTTGGCACAATTTTGATGGAATGAGAAGGGCTGACGAGGCAATAGTGAGAAAATAACTGTCAATTGAATTTGCAGATGGTCCTAAAAGAGAAGTGCTTTCAAATGCCAATGAATAGTCATTCATATGATAGTTTTGTCAAGATTTTTAAATCAACAATTTATCAATCAGACAAGAAGCATTTGCAAAGTGAGCACATGTTCAAAATAGTTCTAGATATTCTGTGTGCTGCCTATCCCCATTTGTGCCTTCAGACCCACCCTCTACCCTTCTGTGCTCTGATCACTCTCTCAAGAGATTGACCTGGGTATACCATATCAATGGTCTTCCTCATGCTCTGACTTCCAGTTAGACTTGTCCAATGGGAAGCACCAAGAGGAGATTAGAATGGTGACTTCTGTTAGCTATTCCCCCAGCTCTCCCACTGCAGGCTTATTAAGGCTGGGTGTATTACCCTACTGAAGGTCACAGGCCTCACCACATAATTTTCTCTCTAAGTCCAAGTTCTGATAAGCACACTATCCCTTCACTCCCTCAGGCCCAGGGGTGATAATAACACCTCTCTGTAACCTGCCCTTGGTCATGTAGTAACCCTTGTGGGAGATCCCTTAACAATGACCTCATCTTGGTTAAAACAAAGAAAAAAAGTTCCTTTATTAAAATTTCCTTAAATTACCTCAATTGCAGTATTTCATCAATTTCTGCCAGAGCTCTAACCAATATACTCTGAGAAATTAAATAAAACAAAACAAAACAACAGTGTAAAAGACATTGTCCCCACGTTTAGGGAACTTATGAGCTCATTGAAGAAGGTCATGATGTATAATGATCACAGGAGGAATAAATATTAGCACATACGACACCCACTACACCAGAAGAGAGATACTACAGAGCATTGGGTTTTACTTTCTTTTTTCTTTTTTGACAGCTTTATTGAGGTATAATTTAAAATGTACAATTTGACAAGTTCTGACATATGTATTTACCAGTGACACCATCAAAAACATCAAGATAATGAACATATCTATCACTTTCAAAAGTTTTTTTTATTTTAATTTTTAATTTTTAATTTTTTTCAATTTTAATTTTTATTTTAGATTCAAGGGGTACATGTACAGGTTTATTAAATGGGTATATTGTATGATGCTGAGGTTTCGGCTTCCACTGATTCTGTCACCAAGACAGTGAAATAGTAACCAATAGAAAGTTTTATGGAACTTGTGCCCCTACCTCCCTCACTCCTTTTGAAGTCCCTAGTGTCTATTGTTCCTCTCCATATGTCTGTGTGTGCTGGAAGTTTAGCTTCCACTTATAAGTGAGAACGTGATATTTGTTTTCTTTTTTTCTGTTAATTTACTTAGTATGATGGCCTCCAGATGTATCCATGTTGCTGCAAAGGACATGATTTTATTTTTTTATGTCAGTATAGTATTCCATGGTGTATATATACCATGTTTCCTTTATCCAGTCCACCATTGGTGGGCATCTAGGTTGATTCCATGTCATTGTTCTTAATAGTGTTGTGATAAACATATGAGTGCATGTGTCTTTTTGGTAGAATAATTTATTTTCCTTTGAGTGTGTACCCATTCATGGAATTGCTGGGTCGAATGGTAGTTCTATTTTTAGTTCTTAGAGAAATCCCCAAACTGCTTGGCTGAATTAATTTAAATTCCCACCAATAGTGTATAAGTGTTCTCTTTTCTCTGCAGCCTCACCAATGTCTGGTTTTTTTTTTATTTTTTAATTATAGCCATTCTGACTGGTGTGCAATGGCATCTCATTGTAGTTTTGATTTGCATTTCTCTGATGATTCGTGATGTTGGGCATTTTTTCATATGTTTGTTGGGTGCTTGTATGTCTTCTTTTGAGAGGTGTCTGTTCATGTTCTTTGCCCACTTTTTAATCAGGTTGTTTGTTTTCTGATTGTTGAATTATGTTCCTTATAGATTCTGGATATTAGTTTTTTGTTGGATGCATAGTTTGCAAATATTTTCTCCCATTCTGTAGGTTGTCTATTTACTCTCTTGATAGTTTCATTTACTGTGCAGAAACTCTTTCATTTAATTAGGACCACTTGCCAATTTTTGTTTTTGTTACAATTGCTTTTGAGGAATTATGACTTAGTCATAAATTATTTGCCAAAGACGATGTCCAGAAGGCTATTTCCTAGGTTTTCTTACAGAATTTTTATAGTTTGAGGTCTTAAATTTAAGTCTTTAATCCATCTTGTTGATTTTTGTGTATGGTGATAGGTAGGTGTCCAGTTCCGTTCTTCTGCATATGGTTAGCCAGTTTACCCAGCACTATTTTTTTAATAGGGAATCGTTTTCCATTGCTTATTTTTGTAGACTTTGTTAAAGATCATTTGGTGGTTGTCTCATTGGTCTATGTATCTATTTTTGTACCAATATGAGGCTGTTTTGGTTACTGCAGCATGTTGGCATAGTTTGAAGTCAGGCACTGTGATGCCTCTGGATTTGTTCTTATTGCTTAGGATTGCTTTGACTATTCAGGCTCTTTTTTGGTACCAAATGAATTAAAAAATTTTTTTTTCTACTTCTATGAAAAATGACATTGGTAGTTTGATAGGAATAGCATTGAATCTGTAGATTGCTTTGGACAGTATGGCTATTTTCAAGCCATGAGCATGGGATGCTTTTCCATTTATTTGTGTCATCTATGATTTCTTTCATCAGTGTTTCGTAGTTCTTCCCGTAGAGATCTTTCACCTTGTTGTTTAGATGTATTCCTAGGTATTTTATTTTTTGTTGCTATTGTAAATAGGATTGCATTCTTGATTTAGCTCTCAGCTTGAATGTTTTTGGTGTATAGAAATGCTGCTGGTTTTTGTACATTGATTTTGTACCCTGAAACCTTACTGAAGTCATTTATCAGTGCCAGGACCCTTTCGATGGAGTCTGTAGGGTTTTCTAAGTATAGAATCATTTCATCAGCAAAAAGGGTAAATTGACTTTCTCTTTTCCTATTTGAATGTCTTTTATTTCTTTCTCTTGCCTTATTGCTCTGGCTAGGAATTTCAGTACTATGTTGAATAGCGGTGGTGAGACTGGACATCCTTGTCTTGTTTCAGTTCTTAGTGAAGATATTTCAAGGTTTTGTCCTTTCAGTATGATGTTGGCTGTGGGTTTGTCATAGATGGCTCTTATTGTTTTGAGGTATGTTCCTTTGATGGCTAGTTTGTTGAGGGTTTTTATCATGAAGTAATGTTGGATTTTATCAAAAGCTTTTTCTGCATCTATTGAGAAGATCATATGTTATTTTTTTAAATTCAGTTTATATGGTGAATCATGTTTATTGATTTCATATGTTGAACCATCCTTGCATCGCCAGGAATGAAGCCTACTTGACTGTGGTGAATTAACTTTTAGAATGTGCTGCTGGATTTTGATTGCTAGTATTTTATCAAGGATTTTTGTGTCTATGTTCGTCAGGAATATTGGCCTATCATTTTCTTTTTTCATTATGTCTTTGACAGATTTTGGTATGAGGATGATACTGGTTTTATAGAATGAGTTAGGGAGGAATTCCTCCTTCATTTTTTGGAATATTTTCAGGAGTATTGGTACTAGCTTTTCTTTGAACACCTGGTAGAATTCTGCTTTACTGCAAATCCATCTAGTTCAGGGCTTCCTTTGATTAGCAGATCTTTTTATTACTGATTCAATTTTGGAACTCCTTATTTGTCTGTTCAGGATTTTAATTTCTTCCTGGTTCAATCTGGGATGGTGGTGTATTTCCAGGAATTTATCCATTTTATCTAGATTTTCTTATTTGTGTATGTAGAGGTGTTTATATTGGTCTCTGAGTATCTTTTGCATTTCTGTGAGATTGATTGTAATGTCACCTTTGTCACTTCTGATTGTGCTTATTTGGATCTTCTCTCTTTTTTTTCTTTGTTAATCTAGCTGTTAAGCTATCTATTGTGTTTATTCTTTCAAATAATCAACTTTTTATTTTATTGATCATTTGTATGGTTTTTTTGGGGTCTCAATTTCATTGAGTTCTGCCCTGATTTTAGTTATTTCTTTTCTTCTGCTAGCTTTGAGATAGTTAGTTCTTGTTTTTCTAGTACCTTTAGATGCAATGTTAGACTGTTAATTTGAGATTTTTCTATCTTCTTGATTTAGGCATTTAGCACTATAAACTTTCCTCTTAACTAATTGCTTTTGCTGCATCCCAGAGATTATAGTATGTTGTGTCTCCATTTTTACTTATTTCAAAGAATTTTCTGGTTTCTGCCTTAATTCCTTTGTTTACCCAAAAGTCATTTGGGAGCAGATTGCTTAGTTTACATGTAATTGGGTGGTTTTGAGGGTGGTATTGATTTTTATTTTTATTCCACTGTGGTCTGAGAATATGCTTCATAGGATTTTGATTTTTTGAAATTTATTGACACTTGCTTTATGGCCGAGGATGTGGTCATTCTTAAAGTATGTTCTATATGCAGATGAGAAAAATGTATATTCCGTGGTTGTTGGGTATTCTGTAGATATTTATTAGGTGCAATTGGTCAAGTGTTGAATTTAAGTCTGGAATTTCTGTTAGTTTTCTACCTCAGTGATCTGTCTAATGCTGTCAGTGGGGGTGTTGTAGTCTCCACTATTATTGTATAGCAGTCAAAGTCTTTTCCTAAGTTTAAAAGTACTTGTTTTATGAATATGGGTTCTCCAGTGTTCGATGCATATATATATTTAGAATAGTTAAGTCTTCTTCAATGAAACTTTTATCATTATGTAATGACCTTCTTTGTCCTTTTTTTACTGTTGTTGGTTTAAAGTCTGTTTTATCTGATACAAGAATAGCAACCCCTGATCTTTTTTGTTTTCCATTTGCATGATAGATCTTTCCCCATCCCTTTACCTTAAGCCTATGGGTTTTGTTACATGTAAGATAGGTCTCTTGAAGACAGCAGAAGGTTGGTCTTTTCTTTTTTTTTTTTTTTAATCCAATTTGCCACTCTGTGTCTTTTAAGTGGAGTGTTTAGACTGTTTACATAAAGGTTAATATTTATATGTGGGCTTTTGATCCTGTCATGGTGTTGATAACCGGTTGCTTTGTATTCTCGATTGTGTAGTTGCTTTATATGGTCTGTGGGTTATGTACTATTACGTGTGTTTTTGTGGTAGCAGATGTTGTTCTTTCATTTCTATGTTTAGAACTCCCTTAAGCATCGTTTGTAAGACCAATTGAGTGGTAACAAATTCCCTTAACAATTGCTTGTCTGGGAAAGATTTTATTTCTCCTTGCTTATGAAGCTTAGTTTGGCGAGATATGAAATTCTTGGTTGGAATTTCTTTTCCTTAAGAATGCTACCAATAGACCCCCAATCTTCTCTGGCTTGTGTGTTTCTGCTGCAAAGTCTGCTGTTAGCCTGATGGCCTTCTCTTTATAGGTGATAGGACCTTTTTCTCTACTTTGAAGCTTTTTTCTTTCATGCCCATCTTGGCAATTCTGAGGATAATGTGTCTTGGGGATGGTCATCTTATATAGTGTCTCACAGGTGTTCTCTGAATTTAATCAAGATGGATTAATGACCTAAATGTAAGACCAGAAACCATTAAAATTCTAGAAAAAAACCTAGGTTTTCAGAAAAACTTTTCTGAACATTGGCCTATGCAAATAATTTATTACTAAGACCCCAAAAGCAAATGCAATAAAAACAAAAATAAATAAATAGGACCTAGTTAAATGAAAAGGCTTCTGCACAGCAAAATAATCATCAGAGTAAACAGGCAATCCACAGAATGAGAGAAAATATTTGCAAACTATGCATCTGACAAAGGACTAATCCAGAATCTACAAGGAGCGCAAACAAATCAGCAAGAAAAAAAAAACCTCATCAAGAAGTGGACAATTGACATGAATAGACATTTCTCAAAAGAAGATGTAAAAATAGCCAACAGCCATATGAAAAAATGCTCAATATCACCAATCATCAGGGAAATGCAAACTAAAATGACAATGAGATACCACCTTACTCCAGCCAGAATGACCATTATTAAAAATCAAAAAAACAATAGATGTTGGCATGGATATGGTGAAAAGGGAACACTTACACACTGCTGGTGGGAATGTAAATTAGTTCAACCTGTATGGAAAACGGTATAAGATTTCTCAAAGAACTAAAAGTAGATCTACCATGTGATCCAGCAATCCTACTACTAGGTATCTATCCAAAGGAAAAGAAGTCATTATATCAAAAAGACACCTGCACATATATGTTTATCACAGCATAATTCACAGTTGCAAAGATATGGAACCAACCTAAGTGCCCATCAACTGAAGAGAGGATAAAGAAAATGTGGTATGTATACACCATAGAATACTACTCAGCCATAAAAAGGAATGAAATAATGTCTTTCACAGCAACTTGGATGGAGCTGGACACCCTTATTCTAAGTGAAGTAATTCAGGAATTGAAAACCAAATACTGCATGTTCTCACTAATAAGTGGGAGGTAAGCTATGGGTACACAAGGGTATACAGAATTGTATAATGAACATTGGAGACTCAGAAGCAGGAAAGTAGGAGGGGAATGAGTGATTTAAAAACTACACATTGGGTACAATGTACACTACTTGGTGATGGGTGCAGTAAAATCTCAGACTTCACCACTACACAATTCATCCATGTAACCAAAAACCACTAATACACCTAAAGCTACTGAAATAATTTTTTAAAAGAATCCTTTGTAGAAATATATACTTTCATTTTGCTTGGGCAAATACTTAAAGGTTAATAGTTGGATCATATGGTAAGTGTATGTTCATCTTTTTAAGACACTATCACACTCTTTCCCAAAGTGGTTTTAGATTTCCACTAATAGTGTATGAGAGTTCCAGTTCCTCCACATTCTCACCAACACTTGCTATGGGCAGTCTTTTTAATGCTATCCATTTAAATAGATGTGTAGTGGTTATCTCATGGTGGTTTTAATTTGTATTTCCCTAGTGACTAATTTTGTTGAGTACCTTTTTATGTGCTTATTTGCTACCTATATATCTTCTTGAAGTATGTGTTCAAATCTTTTAAATTGGGTTTTTAAAATTACTGAGCTTTCAGAGTTCTTTACATATTCTGGATACAAATTCTTTATCGTGTGTGTGTGTGTGTGTGTGTGTGTGTGTGTGTACATATATAGCATACATATGATACATTTGATATAATATGTATTTCTCCCAGTATGCATCTTGTCTTTTCATTCTCTTTAGCAATGTCTTTATAAGAGCAGAAATTTAAACCTTGATGACATTTGATTTTTTTTTCTTTTATGGATCATTTTTAAGTGATGTAGACATCTTTGCTTAATCCAAGGTCATGAGGCTTTCTTCTAAATTTTTGTTCTAGAAATTTTATAGTTTTAAGTTTTACATTTAGGTCTATGATCCATTTTGAATTAACTTTTGATTATGGTGTGAGATATAGGCTGCAGTTCTCTTTTTTTCTATGTGGATATCCAATTGTTCCAGCACCATTTGTTGACAAGATTTTTCTTTCTCCACTGAATTGCCCCTACACTTAAAAAAAACAAATTCAGTTGACCATATATTTGTGGGTCTATTTCTGGACTCCTGTTCATATTTGTATATCTTTACACAAATACCACACTGTATTGATTACTATAGCTTTATAATAAGTCTTGCAGTAAAATGATGTAAATTCTCCAAGTTTTTTGTTGTCTTTTAAACTTGTTTTGGCTACTTTAAGTTCTTTGCATATCCATTTGAATTTTAAAATTCAGTCGTCAATTTTTACAAAAAGCCTACAGAAATTTGCCGTGAGTTTGCATTGAATCTGTAGTTCAATTAGGGGAGAAATAACATCTTAAAATATTCAATCTTTCAATTCATGAATAGGGTATATCTATCTATTTATTTAGGTCTTTAATTTCTCTTAGCAATATTTTGCAGTTTTTCATGTGTAGATCTTTCATATCTTTTGTCACATTTTTTCTTAAGTATTTAATATTTCGATGCTATTATAAATGGTATTTTTCAATTTTTCACTGTTTCTAGTACTTTGTATAAAAAAACTATTGATTTTTGTATATTTGTCTTTTCTCCTACAACCTTGTTAAATTCACTTATTAGTTCTTAGACTTTTTGTAGATTTCATCAGGTTTTCTACATATATGATCATGTTGCAAATAAAAATAGTTTTACTTCTTCCATTCAAATCTGGTTGCTTTTATTTCTTTGTCTTGCCTTATTAGGCACTGACTAGAACCTCCAGTGTGACTGGACATCCTTGTCTTGTTCCTAATCTTAGAGGCAAAGCATTCAATCTTTCACCATTAAGTATGATATTAGCTGTGGGTTTTTTGTAGATGCCCTTTATCAGGTTGACAAATTTTTCTTCTGATCGTAGTTTACTAAGAGATTTTAAAAAATTTTTAAATCAGAAATGGGTATTGGATTTTTGCTTTTTTTTAGGACCATATAGGTGATCACATTTATTTTCTTTTTAGTTTTAATATGGTGAATTACATTCTTTGATTTTTTTAAATGTTAAGCCAACTTTGCATTTCTTTGAAAAATTCCACATGGTCATTATGCATTGTCCATTTTGTTGGATTTGGCTTGTTAAAATTGAATTTCAAATTTTTGCAACCATGTGTATGAGAAATATTGGTTTTTAGTTTTCTTTTCATGAAATGTCTGTCTGATTTTGGTAATACAGGCATTTGTGGCCTCATAGAAAGTGTTGGGAAATCTTACATTGTTTTCAATTCTACGGAAATGTTTGTAAAATTAGAACTATTTATTTTTTCTTTTCCATAAGTTATTGGGGTATGGGTGGTATTTGGTTACACGAGTAAGTTCTTTAGTGGTGATTTGTGAGATTTTGGTGCACCCATCACCCGAGCAGTATACACTGCACCATATTTGCAGTCTTTTATCCCTTGCTCCCCTCCCCATCTTCTCCCCAAGTTCCAAGTCCATTGTATCATTCTTATGCCTTTGCATCCTCATAGCTTAGCTCCCACACATCTGTGAGAACATATGATGTTTGGTTTTCCATTCCTGATGTTACTTCACTTAGAATAATAGTCTCCAATCTCATCCAGGTCACTGCAAATGCTGTCAATTTATTCCTTTTTATGGCTGCATAGTATTCCATCACATACATATACCACAGTTTCTTTATCCACTCACTAACTGATGGGCATTTGGGTTGGTTCCACGATTTTGCAATTGTGAATTGTGCTGCTATAAACATGCATGCACAAGTATACTTTTTGAATAATGACTTCTTTTCCTTTGGGTAGATACCCAGTAGTGGGATTGCTGGATCAAATTATCGTTCTCCTTTTAGTTCTTTAAGGAATCTCCACACTGTTTTCCGTAGCTGCTGTAGTAGTTTACATTCCCACCAGCGGTGTAGAAGTGTTCCCTGTTCACCACATCCACGCCAACATCTACTGTTTTTTGATTTTTTTATTATGGCCATTCTTGCAGGAGTGATGTGGTATCGCATTGTGGTTTTGATTTGCATTTCCCTGATCATTAGTGATGTTGAGCATTTTTTCATATGTTTGTTGGTCATTTGTATATCTTCTTTTGAGAATTGTCTATTCATGTCCTTTGCCCAGTTTTTGATGGGATTGTGTGTTTTTTTCTTACTGATTAGTTTGAGTTCATTGTAGATTCTGGATATTAGTCATTTGTCAGATGTATAGATTGTGAAGATTTTCTCCCACTCTGTGGGTTGTCTGTTTACTCTGCTGACTGTTCCTTTTGCCATGCAAAAGCTCCTTAGTTTAATTAGGTCCCAGCTATTTATCTTCATTTTTATTGCATTTGCTTTTGGGTTCTTGGTCATGAAATCCTTGCCTAAGCCAATGTCTAGAAGGGTTTTTTCCCAATGTTATCTTCTAGAGCTTTTATGGTTTCAGGTCTTAGGTTTAAGTCTTTAACCCATCTTGAGTTGATTTTTATATAAGGTGAGAGATGAAGATCCAGTTTCATTCTCCTACATGTGGCTAGCCAATTATCCCAGCACCATTTGTTGAAAAGAGTGTCCTTCAGAAAACCAAACACCACATGTTCTCACTCATAGGTGGGAGTTGAACAATGAGAACACATGGACACAGGGCGGGGAACGTTACACACTGGGGCCTGTCGGGGGATGGGGGGCTGGGGGAGGGATAGCATTAGGAGAAATACCTAATGTAAATGATGAGTTGATGGGTGCAGCAAAGCAACATGGCACGTGCATACCTATGTAACAAACCTGCAGATTGTGCACACGTACCCTAGAACTTAAAGTATAATAAAAATAAATAAATAAACAACAACAACAAAAAGAAAAGGGTGTCCTTTCCCTACTTTATTTTTTTTGTTTGCTTTGTCAAAGGTCAATTGGCTGTAAGTATTTGGTATTATATCTGGGTCCTCTATTCAGTTCCATTGGTCTGTGTGCCTGTTTTTGTACCAGTAGCATATTGTTTTGGTGACTATAGCCTTATGGTATAGTTTTAAATCAGGTGGTGTGATACCTCCAGATTTGTTCTTTTTGCTTAGTCTTGCTTTGGCTATGCAGGCTCTTTTTTGGTTTCACATGAACTTTGGAATTGTTTTTTCTAATTCTGTGAAGAATGATGGTGGTATTTTGATGGGGATTGCATTGAATTTGTAGATTGCTTTTGGCAGTATGGTCATTTTCACTATCTTGATTCTAGCCATCCATGAGCATAGGATGTGTTTCCATTTGTTCTTGTCATCTATGATTTCTTTCAGCAGTATTTTGTAGTTTTCCTTGTTGAGGTCTTTTGACTCCTTGGTTAAGTATATTCCTAAGTATTTTATTATTTTGCAGCTATTGTAAAAGGGGTTGTGTTCTTGATTGGATTCTCTGCTTGGTTGCTGTTGGTGAATAGAAGAGCTACTGATTTGTGCACATTAATCTTAATCCAGAGACTTTGCTGAATTCTTTTATCAGTTCTAGGAGCTTTTTGAAGGACTCCTTAGGGTTTTCAAGGTAAACAATCATATCCTCAGCAAACAGTGACAATTTGACTTCCTCTTTACCTATTTGGATTCCCTTTATGTCTTTCTCTTGTCTGATTGCTCTGGCTAGGACTTCCTGTACTATGTTGAAGAGGAGTGGTGAGAGTGGGCATCCTTGTCTTGTTCCAGTTCTCAGAGGGAATGCTTTCAACTTTTCCCCATTCAGTATTATGTTGGCTGTGGGTTTGTCATTAATGGCTTTTATTACATTAAGGTATGTCCCTTGTACGCTGATTTTGCTGAGAGTTTTAATCATAAAGAAATGCTGGATTTTGTCGAATGCTTTTTCTGCATCTATTTAATGATCACGTGATTTTTGTTTTTAATTCTGTTTATGTGGTGTATCACATTTATTGACTTGCGTATGTTAAACCATCCCTCCATCCCTGGTATGAAGCCCACTTGATCATGGTGGATTATCTTTTTGATATGTTGTTGGATTTGGTTAGCTAGTATTTTGTTAAGGGTTTTAGCATCTATGTTCATCAAGGATATCGGTCCGTAGTTTTCTTTTTTGGTTATGTCTTTTCCCGGTTTTGGTATTAGGGTGATACTGGCTTCACAGAATGAATTAGGGTGTGTTCCTTCTTTCTCTATCTTGTGGAATAGTGTCAAAAGTATGGGTACCAATTCTTCTTTGAATGCCTGGTAGAATTCTGCTGTGAATCTGTCTGGTCCTGGGCTTCTTTGTTGCTAATTTTTAAATTACCATTTCAATCTCACTGCTTGTTATTGGACTGTTCAGGGTATCTAATTGTTCCTGATTTAAGCTAGGAGGGTTGTATTTTTCCAGGAATTTATCCATCTCTTCTAGACTTTCTAGTTTGTGTGCATAAAGATGTTCATAGTAGCCTTGAATGAACTTTTGTATATCAGTGCTGTCAGTTGTAATATCTCCTGTTTCATTTCTTAGTGAGGTTATTTGGGTTTCTCTCTTTTCTCAGTTAATCTTGCCAATTGTCTATCAATTTTATCTTTTCAAAGAACCGGCTTTTTGTTTCATTTATCTTTTGTATTTTTTTGTTTGTTTTGATTTCATTTACTTCTGCTCTGATCTTGGTTATTTCCTTTCTTCTGCTGGATTTGGGTTTGGTTTGTTCTTGTTTCTCTAGTTCCTTGAGGTGTGACCTTAGAGTGTCAGTTTGTGCCCTTTCAGTCTTTTTGACATAGGCATTTAGGGCTATGAACTTTCCTCTTAGAACCACCTTTGCTGTATCCCAGAGGTTTTAAGAGGTTGTGTCATTATTGTCATTCAGTTTGCAGAATTTTTAAATTTCCATCTTCATTTTGTTTTTGACTCAATGCTCATTCAAGAGCAAGTTATTTAATTTCTGTGTATTTGCATGGTTTTGAAGGTTCCTTTTGGAGTTAATTTCCAGTTTTATTCCACTGTGGTCTGAGAGAGTGCTTGATATAATTTCAATTTTCTTAAATTTATTGAGGTTTGTTTTATGGCCTACCATATGGTCTATCTTGGAGAATGTTCCATGTGCTGTTGAACAGAATGTGTATTCTGCGGTTGTTGGCTGAAATGTTCTGTATGTATCTGTTAAGTCCATTTGTTCCAAGGTATAGTTTAAATCCATTGTTTCCCTGTTGACTTTCTGTCTTGATGTCCTGTCTAGTGCTGTCAGTGGAGTATTGAAGTCCCCACTATTACTGTGTTGCTGTCTATCTCATTTCTCAGGTCTATTAGTAATTAGTAAATTTGGGATATCCAGTGTTAGGTGCACATATGTTTAGGATTGTGATATTTTCCTGTTTGACAAGGTCTTTTACCATTATATAATGTCCCTCTTTGTCTCTTTTAACTGCCATTGCTTTAAAGTTTGTTTGGTCTGATATAAGAATAGCTATCCCTGCTCGCTTTTGGTGTTCATTTGCATGAAATGCCTTTTTCCACCCCCTTACTTTAAGTTTATGTGAGTCCTTATATGTTAGGTGAGTCTCCTGAAGGAAGCAGATACTTGCTTGGTGAGTTCTTACCCATTCTGCAGTTCTGTATCGTTTCAGTGGAGCATTTAGGCTATTTACATTCAATGTTAGTATTAAAATGTGAGGTACTGTTGCATTCATCGTGCTCTTTGTTGCCTGTGTACTTTGGTTTTATTGTTTTATTGTTTTTTGTTTTTGCTTTTTAACTTGTATTTTTGTTTTATAGGTCCTGTGTGATTTACGCTTTAAAGAGGTTCTGTTTTGATGTGTTTCCAGGATTTGTTTCAAGATTTAGAGCTCCTCTTCACAGTTCTTGTAGTTGTGGCTTGGTAATGGCGAATTCTCTCAGCATTTGTTTGTCTGAAAAAGACTGTGTCTTTTCTTCATATATGATGCTTAGTTTTGGTGGATACCAAATTCTTGGCTGATAATTGTTTTGTTTGAGTAGGCTGTAGATAAGGCTCCAATCCCTTCTGGTTTGTAGGGTTTCTGCTGAGAAATCTGCTGTTAATCTTATAAGTTTTCCTTTATAGGTTACCTTGTGCTTCTGTCTCATAGCTTTTAAGATTCTTTCCTTTGTCTTAACTTTGAATAACCTGATGACAATGTGCCTAGGTGAAGATCTTTTTGCAATGAATTTCCCAGGTGTTCTTTGTGCTTCTTGTATTTGGATGTCTAGGTCTCTAGCAAGGCCAGGGAAGTTTTCCCTGATTATTCCCTCAAATATGTTTTCCAAGCTTTTGGAATTCTTTTCTTCCTCCAGAACACCAGTTATTCTTAGGTTTTGTCATTTAACATAATCTCAGACTTCTTGGAGACTTTGTTCATATTTTCTTATTCTTTTTTCTTTGTCTTTGTTGGATCAGGCTAATTTGAAGACCTTGTTTTTGATCTCTGAATTTGTTTCTCCTACTTGTTCAATTCTATTGCTGAGACTCTCCAGAGCATTTCATATTTCTAAAAGTGTATCCAAAGTTTCCTGAATTTTTGTTTGTTTGTTTGTTAAGCTATCTATTTCCTTGAATATTTCTCCCTTTGCTTTTTGTATCATTTTTTAGATTTCTTTGCATTGGGCTTCACCTTTCTCTGGTCCCTCCCTGATGCTTAATAACTAACCTCCTGCATGACTCAGCAGAGGCAGCCATAATCCTGCTAGGTACACAACTCCAGTGACCTGGGAATCTCACCCACATCTCCCTCAGCAGCCACAACAGGGCCTGCCCAAGGAGAGTCTGAGCTCAGACATGCCTAGCCCCATACCCACCTGATGGTCCTTCCCTAGCCACCCTGGTAGTGGAAGACAAAGGGCATATAATAAATTAGGTAAATCAGGGATTTATTCTTGGTTTGGATCCATTGCTGGTGAACTAGTGTGATTTTTTTGTGAGTGTTGAAGAGCCTTGTTTTGTCATATTACCAGGGTTGGTTTTCTGGTTCCTTCTTGTTTGGGAAGTTGGTTTTCTGTTTTTTTCTCATTCTCTCTGTCAGAGGGAAGGTCTAGGGTTGAAAGCTATTGTTCAGATTCTTTTGTCCCATGGAGTGTTCCAATGATGTAGCACTCTCCCCTTTTCCTGTGAGCTGAACTCTAGTGATTGTTGTCTCTCTTCTGGGTTTAGCCACCCAGTGAATCTAGTCAGCTCTGGGCTTGTACTGGGAGTTGTCTGCACAGAGTCCTGTGATGTGAATTGTCTGTGGGTCTCTCAGCTGTGGATACCAGTGCCTATTCCAGTGGAGGGGTGGTGGTGGGGGTGGGGGAGTGTGCAATGGACTTCGTGAGGGTTCTTAGCTTTGGTGGTTTAATGCTCTATTTTTGTGCTGGTTGGCCTGCCAGGAGGTGGTGCTTTCCAGAGAGCATCAGCTGTGGTAGTATGAGAGGAACCAGCAGTGGCTGGGGCCCTAGAACTCCCAAGATTATATGCCCTTTGTCTTCCACTTCCAGGGTGGGTAGGGAAGGACCATCAGGTGGGGGTGGGGGTAGGAATGTCTGAGCTCAGAATCTCCTTTGACAGGTCTTTCTGTGGCTGCTGTGGGGGATGTGGGTGAGATTCCCAGGTCACTGGATTTGTGTACCTAGGAGGATTATGGCTGCCTCTGCTGAGTCATGCAGGTTGTCAGGGAAGTGGGGGAAAGCTGGCAGTCACAGGCCTCAACCAGCTCCCATACAAACTGAAGGGCCAGTCTCACTCTCACCATGCCTCACCAACAGCCCCCAGTCCATTTCCAGGTGGAGAGTTACATGGACTTGAAAACCTGCCCCAGGCTACCTGCTTCCCAGCTGTGAAAGAGAAAGGCTTGGTTCTTCCCCTACTTGTACAGTCTGCACACCAGATTTGTGCCCTCCTGTGAGTTCTGGCCAGGAGGCTTCTCACCCCATTCAAATTATTACAAAGTTCAGCTAGAGATTTCCTTCTCCCGTGGAGTTTTACCCCCGACTCCTCTCCTGTTGGATCCCTGTGGTGCCAAGCAGGAATGGCCTGCTAGGGGACCCAACGAGTTCCCAGGGCCTTTCTACTGCTTCCTCTAGCCCTGTATTTCACTTGGCTCTCCAAACTGACTCAGCTTCAGGTAAAGTCAGAAGCTTCTCCCACAAACAGACCTACAACTTTTCCACTGGGGGTGAGTTTGGGAGAGGAGGGTCTCCCTTTTCCACTTCCGCAGTTGGGGCACTCACAGTTTTGTGGGGGTCTCCCAGGTCCTGCAGGAGCAGTCTGCTTCCTTCAGAGGGTCTGTGGGTCCTCTTGGGATTGCTGGTTTGTTTTTGCAGTCAATCTAGAGCTAAAACTCACAGTGTGAGCCCCTGCGTGCTTCTCTGTCCGGAGCTGCAATCTAGTTCTGCCTCCCATCTGCCATGACGATCCTGTTCCCTGGAATGGTGTATCTCTGCTCTGTTCCACTCTTATTAGTGTAAGAAAACCAAGCTCATAAGGTAGGAACTGTGGCAAAACAGGGACAAGCCAATATCTTGGTTAAGGAGAAGAGGCTACCCTTCAGAACTATTTCTTGATTAAATATTTGGTAGAATTCACCAGTGAAGCTATCTGGGCCGAGAGTCTCTTCTACGGGAAGGTTTATAAATACAAATTCAATTTTTAAAATAGATAAGACAATTACCATTATCTATATCTTCTTGAGTAAACTTTCATACTTTGTGTCTTTCAATAAATTTTTCAATTTCATTAAATGAAATTTTGAAAATTTTTATATTTTAATGTTTCAATTTCAAGTTGTTTAATAAATGGAATAAAATTATTTATAAATGTCCTTATTATCTTTTTAATATCTGTAGAACCACTAGTGATACCACTATTTTATTCCACATATTGGTAATTTGTGTCTCTGATCCCAGATCAGTATGGCTAGAGTTTTGTCAATTTTTTTGATCCACTCAAAGAACTAGGTTTGGCTTCATTGATTTTCCTGCATTATTTTTCTGTCTCATTGATTTCATCTCTGATATTTATTATTTACTTTATTCTGCTTAATTTAGGTTTAATTTACTCTTTCTTTTTAGTTGTTTAAGGTGAAAGCTAAGGCCATTGATTTAAAGAAGAAAGCCTTTCTTCTTTCCTAATATTGGTAGTAGTGCTATAAATTTCCACCTAATTATTGCCGCAAATTTTGATATGTTGTGGCAGTTCAAAATACTTTTTACTTTCTCTTTTGATTTCTTCTTTGACCCATGCCTTATCCAGATGTTTGTTATTCAGTTTCCAAAATTTTAGGGATTTTCCAGAGTTCTTTTTAGTATTGATTTTAAAGGAAATACCACTGTGGTCAGAAAACATACTTTTTATGACTCTCATCCTTTAAAATTTACTGAGGCTTGTTTTATGGCCCAGGATATGATCTCTCTTTGTAAATATTCCATGTGTTCATTTTGCTATTGTTTGGTGGAGTGTTCCATAAATGCCAATTATGTCAAGATGACTGAATGTGATGTTCAAATCTGTATCCTTGCTAATTTTCTGCCTACTTGTTCTAGCATTTATGGGTGGAGTATTTAAATCTCCAAATATGATTGTGAATTTGCCTCTTTTTTGCAATACTATTATGCAATGTTATAGTAAAATTTTGATAGTTTTCATTTCATGCATTTTAAAGCTCATTATTAGTGTATGAATGTTTAAGATGATCAAGTCCTCTTGATAAATTGACTTCTTAATCATTATTAAATGGCCTTCTTTATGTCTGGCAATATGTTTTGTTTAAAAATCTACTTTGTTTACTAGTAATATGGCTACTTCATCTTGCTTTTTAAAAAATTTGTATAGATTTAGGGGTTACAAGTGCCATTTGTTACATGGATATATTGCATAGTGGTGAAGTCTGAGCTCTTAGTGTAGCCATCACCCAAATAGTCTACATTGTATGCATTAATTTATTTCTAATCCCTCACCTCTCCCATCTTCTCACCCTTCTGAGTCTCCAGTGTCTATTAGTCCATGCCCTATGTCCATATGTACACATTATTTAGCTCCTTACTTACATGTGAGAACATACAGTATTTTAATTTCCGCTTATGAATTATTTCGCTTAAGATAATGACCTCTAGTTCCATCTATGTTGCTGCAAAAAGTATGACTTCATTTTTTTATGGCTGAGTAGTAGTCCCTGGTATAATATGCACATAGCACATTTTGTTTATCCAATCACCTGTTGATGGACGCAGGTTGATTCCATATTTGCTATTGTGAATAGTGCTGCAATAAACATACGGTTGCAGGTATCTTTTTGATATAATGATTTACTTTCTTTTGGGTATATACCCAGTAGTGGGATTGCTGAATCAAATAGTAGATCTATTATTAGTTGTTTGAAAAGTCTCCATACTGTTTTCCATAGAGGTCATACTAATTTACATTCCCACCAACAATGTATAAGCATTCATTTTTTTCCACATCTTCACCAACATCTGTAATTTTTTGACTTTTTAATAACAGCCATTATGACTCATGGAAGATGATATCTCATCGTTATTTTAATTTTCATTTTCCACTTCAGCTTTCTTTGTTTAGTGTTAGTATAGAATATCTTTTTTCATGGTTTTACTTTTAACCTACTTGCATCTTTATAGGAAGCATATAGTTGGATTTTTTTTTATTCAATCTGACAATCTCAGCCTTTTATTAGGGTATTCACATCTTTTATCTTTTACATGTCATCTAATTATTAATATGGTTAGATTTTAATCTACCATCTTACTATTTGTTTTCTATTTATCTCATCTGTGCTTTGTTTTTTATTTTCTTTTTAATTATTTGATTTTTAAAAAGTGATTCCATTTTATTTCCATTGTTGGCTTATTAACTATTAGTAGTTTCTTGGGTTTATAGTATATATCTTTAACTTATTACAGTCTGCCTTCAAGTGATATACCACTTCATATATATTATAAGGGTCTTACAATAATATACTTCCGTGTCTTTCCTCCTGACCATTGTGCTATTGTTTTCATACATTTTACCCATAAGCTCCATGACACTTTATTATTATTTTTGTTTAAATAGTCCATTATCTTTGATAGAAATTTAAATAGCATTATGTATGTACTCATGTAGTTACCATTTCATGTGCTCTTTATTCCATTTTGTAGATCCATATTTCCACCTAGTATTATTTTCATTTTCTTTTTGCCTTAAGGACTTCCTTCAACATTTCTTGTCAAGGAGGTCTCCTGGTGGATTATTTCAGCTTTTGTATGTCCAAAAATGTCTTTATTTCACATTTGTTTTTGAAAGATATTTTCAATAGTTATAGAAATCTAAGTTGGAAGTTTTGTTTTCTTTCAGTACTTTAACAATATTGCATTACTGTCTCCTTGCTTCTATTGCTTCCAAAAAGAAATTTGTTGTCATCTTTATCTTTGTTCCCTTGTATGTAATGCATCTTTTTTCTCTGGTAGCTTTAAAGATTTTCCTTTTATCACTGGTTTTGATAAAGCTTATTTTAATGTAACTCAGTATAGTTTTCCACACATTGATGATGTTGAGGTTCATTGAAATTCTTGGATTTGCAAGTTTGTAATTTTCATGAAATTTGTAAAAATTTTTGGCTATTGTTCCTTCAAACATTTTTTTTCTGCATCTCTTCCCCTTTGAAGGACTTCAACTGAAAATATATTAAGCTGCTTTAAGTTGCTTCACTTATCGTTGATTCTGAGTTCATTTTTCCCCTTGTTTGTCTGTTTTATTTGAATAGATTCTATTGCTATGTCAAGTTCAGCCTCACCAATCTTTTCTCCTGTGAGATATACTTTGCTATTATTTTCATTAAGTGTATTTTTTTTACCTCAGAAAATGTAGCTTTCATATCTAGAGGATTGTAGGTTTTCTATGTTTCTACTTTACTTTTTGAACATATGAAATATTGTTATAGCTTTTAAAATGTCCATGTGTAATTCTAACTTCTGTGTCAACTCTGGATTGGTTTCAGTTCATTGATTTTACCCTTTATTATAGGTCGTATTTTCCTTCTTCTTTGTCTGCTTTGTAAGATTTTTCACAGCTTTATTGAAATATAACTAACATACCACTGGATTTACTTGTATAAAGTGTGCACATTAACAATGCTTTTTTAGACTGCTAATTTTGATCAGATACCAGACATTGTGAATTTTACCTTGGATGTTGAATATATTTTATTCCTTTAAATATTACTGAGATTTTTTTTCTAGTATCAAGTTAAATTAATTGAAAATACTTTGATCTTTTGAGGTCTTGCTTTTAAGACTTTTTAGGCAGGACCAAAGTTGTATTCAGTCTAAGGCTGACTATTCCCCACTGTTGAGGCAAGTCACTTCTGTGCACTATTTTCAATGCCCTGTGAATTGTGAGGTTTTCCAGTCTGGCTGGTGGGAGCAGGAAAAATTCCCAACCCTTTAGAGAACCAAGTATTGTTCCTTTTTCTCTTCTTCTTATTTACTTTATTGTCAAATTAAAATTACATATTTTTATGGTGTACCACAGAAATTTTTGAAATATGTATACATTCTGGAATGACTTCATCAAGCTAATTAACATATGCATTACTTCACACATTTATCATTTATTTGTGGTGAGACCTGTGATCCTTTTAGATAATTCTTTTCCCAGCCTTAGGTGGTTTCCTTACATGTGTACAGTGATCAATGCATACCTAGCTGAATACTTGAATGGGCCCTTTTGCAAATCTCCAGGTTCTCTTTGTGTGTAGCACTCTTCTCTCTGGTACTCTGTCCTGTGAACCGTGAGTGTTTTGATCTCCCAGGAGACAGATTCTGACCTCTGTCTCCTTAAGTCTGCCAGGCTGTACTTGGGTTCCTGTTCCTGTGGCCTGGAATAGCTTAAGGCACTAAGCTGGACCCAATCAAGGGACTCACCTTGATTGTTTTCCTTCTTTTAGGGATCACTGTCTGTTATGGTTAATTTTATGTGTCAACTTGACTGGGCTAAGGAATGCCCAGATAGTTGGTAAAACATTATTTCTGGGTGTGTCTCTGAAGGTGTTTCTGGAAGAAATTAGCATTCAAATCAGTAGACTGAGTAAAGAAGATCACACTCACTAATGTAGGCAAGCATTGTCCAATCCCTTGAGGGTATGGGTAGAACAAAAGGTAGAGGAAGGGCAAATTTGATCTGCCTTGTTTGAGCTGGAACATCTGTCTTCTCCTGTTCTCAGACATCAGTGCTCTGTGTTCTCAAGCCTTCAGACTCCATCTGTGACTTACACCATCCCCACCCTCCCACTCTCCCCCACTGGCCACAATGCCAGTCCTCAGGCCTTTGGACTTAGACTGAGTTTCACCTCCAACTCTTTCTTGTTTCTTCAGCTCATAGACAGCCTATTATGGAACTTCTTGACCTCCACAATCATGTAAGCCAATTCTCATTTTTTTATATATCCCTGTTGGTGCTGTTTATTTGGAGAACCCTAATTAATATGCAATCTTTCATTCCCTGATGCTCATTGTATTGAAAATAATAGATTCATACATTTTGTCCACTATTTGCTTATTTTAGGTGAGAAATTAAGCCAGACCTTTTACTACATTTTGGCTGGAAGCAGAAGTGTTAAATACTTAAAATAAATAAATAAATAAATAAAAACTTTTTTTCTGTAATTCCAAGGAAGTTTACATATATCTTTTAAAAGAAATTATGATCTTAGAAAACAAGTTGAGTTTGTGTCCACCCCTAAACCTCTAAACCCTGATTAAGTGTAGCACTGGGTGGAAAAATAAACTCAGGAAACCTGAAAATACAACTTTATCTTTTATTTAATGAGCCAATCTACAATGGTATTTTAGGGTCCAAATGATTTCTTCCAGTCTTCTCATCAGGAACTGCTTTTTTCTTGCATTTTTGATTATACTATAGCCAGGGTCATTGGATCAGCCTCATTGGGTTTTGCTTTTATCCTTGTAATGGAAATATATAAAACCTGATGGAATGAGGTAAGGTTTGGTATCCATTGTATTCTTAAAGTTGCCTTCTGGATCTCTTGCCTGGATGCTGGTACCCATTATTCAGATCCTTTCTCCAGTCTGGACCTATTTTAATCTCTGATCATTCTTCCTGGCACATTTCTACCTAGCTTTAGATTTACTTGGAATCTATCAGTAATCTGAACATTTTTCTATCTTTAGTTTCTGGTCTTGTTTCAGCTCTCCTGAGGTCACCTCTCCTGATCCATTCTTACATCCTCTCACCTTAGGCCCTAATGGGATAGGGATAGTTACAATGCTTAGTCTTATAGCAAATTTGTGGCTCTTCAAAGGAAGTGCTTCAAAAATTTTGTTGCATCAATAATGGGGAGAGAAGAGACAAATAGTTATTGCAGTCCAACCAAGTGATAGTATCAAGTCTCTGTGCTTTATGTAAAGACTGGGTATCATTTATTTGCCTTTTGCGTTGTTAATGTGGGGATTTTCTTCCTGTGAGTGCATCCCTTGATTTAAAACTTTGACACTTTTTCTCCTTTAGATTCATAGTGCAGTGGGGATCTTAAGATGCCTTCAAAATGGTATTTCCTATTCTTAAGCTTCATTGGTAATTCCTTGGTGAATTATGAATCTCTGTTAATGAGTTCTGCTGTTTTCTCTTTTAATTCAGTGCTCGCCATGGGGGATAGGAGGACTTTACCTCAATTGTGATATGAAGTGTTCTCTACAAATACATTAAATTTAGTTTGTGTCAGTTGGAATCCTGGCAAGTAGCAGGATTCAACAAGATTAATCAAATACAATACATTAATGAAAGGACTAATTACAGGGGTGTGGGCTTGATTAAGAAAACCAACAAAGGATGTTGAGGCACTCAGAGACTGGTCTCAGTGGAAAACCATCATCACTCCCAATAGGAGAAAACCTGGAGCTGTGGAGGAAGGCAGAGGAGCTGTAGTCATACAGGAACACAGCCATGCCAGAAATGTGGCACTGATGTATAGAGAAAGCAGGTAAAGAAATACCCCAACCTCTCTTCCACCACTCTTTAATCCCCCATGAATATCTCTATAAGCATAGCACAACCAGAAGTCAAATGGAAAAGGAGCCTTGGGTAATGCAGTCCACAGGGCCCCCTGGAACACAACAGAGCAAAGAGGGACATGAAATATACATAATTGGGGTGCAAATGGAGAAAAAATACAGTAAAAAGTCTTTGCATCTTTCTGGATTCTAGCTGGTATATTAGATAATTACTTAAGTATTATAAGTTACCAACTACAGTAAGAATAATAATTGAGCTAAGCTATCATTATACTAATTTTTTTTATTATTTACAGATTTTTAAAATGTAAGCACCTACTAAATTATTTGGGATAATGTTTTAAAAACTATGTTAGAATTTTCAAAATTTTAATGGGCTCTAGCATTAAAGATTTTTCCAATGCAGGATATTTTAAAAGGGCTAATGAGCTAGTGTGGTATGAGTCTACACTCAGCAACCACTGCATTTTTAACTTTTTTTTAATGCTCAAAAATAAACAACAAGATCCCTGAGTGCTTTTGTTGGCTGGGCTGTGTATTTTAAAACACTTACTCAGAACACCGCAGTTATTTGAAGGATGTGTCATACAGTCTGCTGCTGGCTTAAGAAACTATGAGATGGGGGACGTTCAGTTGCCTTTTTAAACTTATTTATTTAATTTTAGAAATAAATGTGTAGCAAAAGGAGTTTTGATTCTATAAGCTGAGAGTCTGTGTACAAATTGCAAACTTTTGAGCTTTAAGTCTCCTCTGTGACTCTAGACTGAGTGGTTGTCTAGGCTGACCCCAACCAAGGCAAGCAACCTCAGCAGTATGTTTAATACTTCAACCCACTTGGTCCTCAGCTCCAAATGCAAGAGTTTCTGAGCAAGTTAATCTTTTCCTTGTACTACTGCTGTTCAGGTGCATTCAACATGAATTTATTAAACAACTATAATGTGCCAGGCGTTGTGTTCGATGTTGGGAGACTAAAGATAAGATGTAGAACCAACATAAGAGAAATGGACACATAAACACACTCTCTGATATCATGTGGTATATGTGGTTACAGACGTAGGTATGGGCATTTAGCCTACCTGAGTCATAGGAAAGCTTCCTGGTGACTAATAGATTTTTGAAGGTTTCTAAATTTCACCTCTAGCGTGGAAATGAAGGTGGGGAAATGAAGGTAGTCTAGGCAGGGAAAACATTACAACTAAAAGTAAAGAGGCATGAATCAGCATGATGAGTGCTAGAAACTATACCAAGCATGAATAGCAAAGAAGGGAGTGGTAAGGGATTAGGCTGGGGGAAATCAACAGAACAGTTGACGTCAAGGGGAGTAGACTTGTTCAAAAGCTTAGACAGTATCTATATGTTATGAGAATTTTTCAAAGAGACTGTCAGCAAATATAGGGGGAGAGGTTAAGCCTAGGGAAGGGGCAACACTGGAGCTCAGTAGTGTAGGGAGAATGAGTAATAGGCCAGCTATGTGTTGTTTCAGACTTCCAGGCATCCATAAGGATCAGGGATCAGACATCAGGAACAACTCACCCATGTGATCCATGTAGCTGTCAGAAAATTCATGAGGAGCTCTCGCCCAGAAATCTGATTGGCAGTGGGAAAAATCCAAAGTGATACATAAATTAAAAGTTGATTCTCTTTGTCTTTGCAATACTGAAATGAGAAAAAGACAAAACAATTGGCTTACATCTCTACAACCCAAGGAGATCAGAGCACTTTGTACCCAAAGGATTGTCAGTACCTTTCTCCTCAGAGGGTCATTTGCACAGCAAATACTCATTTGTCTAGGGGTAGACATAATTGTCTTCAGTTTTGGGGAGATTTAGGGGTATAACCATCAACAGAAGTTCGTTCATAACTATTCAGGTAGTTCATGGCATTGAGTGTGGTAATAATTACAATTTCAAGATTACTTCTCTGTTCTCCTTCCAGATGGGAGGGCTCATTAACAGTTCTAGGTAACAGAGGCTTTCTGCTGGAGTTTAGCCATAACACCTTGGTTTCAGGTTAAAATATACCATAAGAAATAATTTTGAATCCCAAGCCCAGAGTTTTATTCTCCTCTCCAATCCAGCATAATTACATTTTCATTTTGGTAGGCAAAAGATATTCTTATCAATAAATGGTGTTGGGTCAATTGGAAAATCACGTGGAAAGAAAGATGTATCTTAACCTCTACTTTATACCATAACCAAAAATTAATTCCAGATAAATTGTGGACCTCAATGTAAAAGAGAAAACAATAAAACTTCTGGAAGATAGTGGAGGAGAAGAGCTTCATTACCTTGGAAAAGATTTCTAAATAGGACACAAAAAGTGCCAACCATAAAGGAGAAGATCAATAAATTGGACCATATTGATCAATAAATTGGGCTATTTTAAGAATTTATATTCTTAAAGAACACCAATAAGAGAGTGAATGGGCAAGCCACAAAACTCAGATCTAGAATATTATAAGGAAAATTCAGATACCGCAATGGAAAAATGAGCAAAATATTTGAATAGGAATCCCACAAAAGAGTATAATCAAATGGCCATTAATTATCTAAAATGGTATTAACCTTATTTTTCATTGAGGAAATGGCAAGATGACAGTAAGAATGGCCAAATTTTAAAAGACTGACAATACTAAGTGCTGGTGAGAATATGAAGCAACTGGAACTCTCATACTCTGCTGGTGGAAGTGTAAATTTGTACAACCACATTGGAAAACTACATGGAAGTATCTACTAACACCAAACATGCACATACCCTATGACCCAGCAATTCCACTCCAATGTATATACTCAACAGAGATGCATACTTATGAATCCCAAAATACTTGTACAAGTATGTTCATAACAGCCTCAACCCAGAAGTGGGTTGAGCAGTCTATCAACTACAGAATGGATAAATTATATTAAATAAAAAAGTGAAATACAACAACAAAAATTAAGGATCATCTCCTACACACAGTAACTGGATGAATCTCCCATACATACTATCAAATGGAAAAATCCAGATACAAAAGCGTACTTTTTCTATGACTCCCTTTGCATACACTTCAGAACTAGGTTGAAACCAATATATAATGGTAGAAAGGATATTGAGAGGAGAGGTAGTACTAAATGAAAAGGAACGTAAAGTGGGGGAGCTCCTGGGATGTTGGTAATGTTTTATTTCCTAATCTGGATGGCGTTTTCATGGGCATATTCACTTTGTGGTAATTCACAAAACTAGATGCTAAGAATGTGTACACTTTTATTTATGTAAGTTTTGCTTTAATAAAAATGCTTATTAATTCTTTTTTCATTTTGAAAGGATTACTCTGGCTGTTAGGTGAAGAATGAATAGGGGAACAGGTAGGAGCAGATGCAGGATGACTAGTTAATTGACTATTGGATATTTCAGGCAAGAAATAATGGTGAATTGGGCTTGGATGGTGGTAGAAAAACAAAGGCCTGAACAGCCATATGTAGGAGAAGAGATTGGTAGGAATTGGTGGTAGACTAAAAAGGGAGTAGGAACAAAATCTGTCGAAGAAGGTTACTGGCTTATATAAATGGATGAAACATTTTGGCATTCACTAAAATAAGGAATATGGGAATATCGGCATAGATTTTTTAATAGCATCTTTATTAAGATATAATTTGCATACTATAAAATTTACCCTTTAAAGTGTACAGTTCAATATTTCACTTGTCATAGCATATTTGTAGACATAGAAAACCATTACCACTATCTTATTTGATAACATTTTCATCACCTGAAAAAGAAACCCCATATCCATTAGCAGTCCCTCACCATTGTGCTTTCCTCCTCAGCCTCTGACAAAAACTAATCTACTTTCTGTCTAATGATTTGCCTATTCTGGCATTTCATATGAATGGAATCATACAATATGTCAGTGGTCCCCAATGTTTTTGGCACCAGGGACCAGCTTCATGAAAGACAATTTTTCCATGGACCATGAGGGAGGTATGGTTTCAGGATGATTCAAGTGCATTACATTTATTGTGCACTTTATTTCTACTATTATTACATTGTAATATATAATGAAATAATTATACAACTCACTATAATGTGAATCAGTGGGCCCTAGCTTGTTTTCCTGCAACTAAACGGTTCCATCTGAGGGTGATGGAAGGCCATGACAGATCGTCAGGCATTACATTCTCATAAAGAGTGTGCAGCCTTGTTTGCATGCACAGTTCACAGTAGGGTTCATGCTCCTATGAAAATCTAATGCCACTGCTGATCTGACAGGAAGTGGAGCTCAGGTGGTTATGTAAGTGATGGGGAGCAGCTGTAAATACAGATGAAGCTTTGCTTGCTTGCCCGCCACTCACCTCCTGCTGTGCGGCCCGGTTCCTAACAGGCCACAAACTGGTACTGGTCTGTGGCCCAGGGGTTAGGGACTCCTGCAATATGTGATCTTTTGTGACTGGCTTCTTTTACTTATCATAATTTTTTCAATATCCACCCATGCTATACCATGTATCAATACTCTATTCTTTTTTTATAGCTGAATAATATTCCACAGAATGACTATACCATGTTTTGTTTGCCCATCAGCTGATGGACATTTGAGTTATTTCAACGTTTTGGCCATTATGAATAATCCTGCTGGGAACATGCGTGTGCAAATTTTTGTGTGGAAACATGTTTTCTTTTCTCTTGGGTATATACCTAAGAGTGGAATTACTGAGTTAGGTGGTAACTCTGTGTTTAACATTTTGAGAAGCTATATAACTGTTTTCCAAATTGGCTGTACCATTTTACAGTCCCATCAGCAATGAATGAGTGTTCCAGTTTCTCTACATCCTTTCCCACACTTGTGTTGCCTGACTTTTTTATTACAACCATTATTGTGGGTGCGAAGTGGTATCTCATTGTAGTTTTAATTTGCATTTCCCTAATGACCATTGATACTGAGCATCTTTTCATGAGTTTATTAGACATTTATATATCTTCTTTGGAGAAATGTCTATTCAAATACTTTGCTCATTATTTAAAATTGGGTTATTTGTCTTTTTATTGTTTGGTTATAGAAGTTCTTCATTGTAGATACAAGTCACTTAACAAATTTACGTATCTGTGAATGGTCCTTTTACTTTGTTGATAGTTTCCTTTGAAGAACAACTGTTTTTAATTTTTATGAAGTCCAATTTACCTATTTTTTTCCATGACTGCTTTTGCTTTTAATGTTGTAGCTAAGACTCCATTGCCAAATCCAAGGTCTAAGAGTTTTATAGTGTTAAGTCTTATGTTTAGGTCTATGATGTATTTTGAGTTAATGTTTGTGTATAGTATGAGAAAGAGGTCCAAACTTGTGATTTTACATGTGGATATCCAGTTGTTCCAGCACCAATCTTGCACCCCTGAAATCAATCTCACTTGGTTGTGATATATAAACTTTTAAATATATTGTCAGTTTCAACTTGCTAGTAATTTGTCAGGGATGTTTGCATCCATGATCGTAAAAGATATTGGTCTGTAGCTTTATGTTCTTATTTTTTTTTTGTTTGGTTTTGCTATTAGATTAATACTGGCCTTATATAATGAGTTTGAAAATGTTCTCTCCTCTTCTGTTTTTTGAAACAGTTTGTGTACAATTTATATTAATTCTTTTTTAAATGTTTGGTAGAATCCAGCAGTGAAGCCATCTGGGCCTAAGCTTTGCTTTGCAAGAATTTTTAGAATTATCAGTTTAATCTTTTTTCCTTTTATAAGTCCATTAAGATTGTACATTTCTTCTTGAGTCAGGATCAGTGGTTTGTGTATTTCTAGGAATGCGTCCATTTCATCTGTGCTATCTAATTTGTTTACAAACAGTTTTTCATAGTATTAACTTTTCTTTTTTTTCATTTGTATAAGGTTGGTGTAATATTCCCTTTATTTCCTGATTTTAGTAATTTGAGTCTTTTCTAGCTAGAAGTTTGTCAATTTTGTTGACTTTTAAAAGAACCAACTTTAGCTTTATTGATATTCTTACTGTTTTTCTACTCTCTATTTCATTTATTTCTGGTCTAATCTTTATCATTTCCTTTATTCTTCTTGCTTTGGGTTTAGTTAACTCTTTTTCTAGTTTAATACAGTGGAAGTTTAGGTTACTCACTTGAGGTCTTTCTTCTTTTTCTTCTTCTTTTTTTTTTTTTTTTGAGACAGAGTCTTGCTCTGTCACCCAGGATGGAGTGCAGTGGCGTGATCTTGGCTCACTGCAACCTCTGTCTCCCAGGTTCAAGCAATGCTTGTGTCTCAGCCTCCTGAGTAGCTGGGATTACAGGCGCATGCCACCATGCCCTTCTAATTTTTGTATTTTTAGGAGAGACGGGGTTTTGCCATGCTGGCCAGGCTGGTCTCGAACTCCTGGCCTCAAGTGATCCACCCACCTCGGCCTCCCAAAGCGCTGGGATTACGGGCATGAGCCACCACACCCAGCCTCTTTCTTCTTTTTTAATATAGATGTTTACAACCATAAATTTATTTCTAAAGCATGGCTTAACAACATAACAAAACTGTTATATATTGTATTTTTGTTTTTCATTCATTTCAAAGTATTTTTCAGTTTTCCTCATAATTTCTTTTTTGACCCACTTGTTATTTGGAAGTGTGTTGTTTAATTTTGACATATTTGTGAATTTCCCAAATTTCCTTCTGTTATTCATTTTAAATTTCATAACATTGAGGCTGAAGAACATACTTCGAATCATTTTAATCTTTCTAAATTTATTGAGGCTTGTGTGATGGTTTAACGGTGGTCTCTCCTGGAGAATGTTCCATTGAATTTGAAAAAAAAAATACATATTCTTCTGTTGTCAGGCAGTGCTATATGGTCTGAAGCTTTGTGTCCCCTCAAAATGTATATGTTGAAACTTAATACCCAATGCGATAGTATTAAGAGGTAGGGCCTTTGGGAGGTAATTATGTCATGAGAGCAGAGCCCTCATGAATGGGATTAGTGGCCTTATAAAATATACTTGAGAGAGCCTATTTGTCTCTTGCTCCATGTGAGGACAAGGCTAGAAAGTGCCATCTGTGAGTAATGAGCCCTTAACGGATACCATATCTGCCAGCACCTTGACCTTGGACTTCCAAGCCTCCAGAACTGTGAGTAATAAATTTTTATTGTTTCTAAATTACCCAATCTAAGGTATTTTGTTTTAGCAACCTTAATGGACTAAGACAGAAATTGATACTGAGATAGAGTGCTGCTGTGACAAATATCTAAAAATGTGGTAGTAGCTTTGAAACTAGGTAATGAGTAGAGGCTGGAAAAGTTTGGTGGTACATGCTGAAAAAAAAAGCTTCTATTGCCATGAATGGACCATAAAGGGTTATTCTGGTGGGGGCTCAAAAGAAATAGAGAGCTGTAGAGAAAGCCTCAATCCTCTTAGGGATTACCTAAGAGGTCATGAACAGAATGTTAGTAGAAATATGAGCAGTAAAAGCTATCCTGCTGAAGGCTTAGACAGAAATGAGGAACATGTTACTGAAACTGAAGGAAAGGCAACTATTGTTATAAAGTAGCAAATAACTTGGCTGAATTATGTCTGTGTCCTAGTGTTTTGTGTAAGGAAGAACTTCTGAGTTGATGAAATAGGATATTTGGTGGAAGAAATATCTAAGCAAAGTGCTGAGGATGCAGCGTGGTTTCTCTTGACTACTTATAGTAAAATATGAGAAGAGAGATTAAAGACAGAACTTATAATCAAAAAGGAAGCAGAACTTAAAGATTTGGAAAATTCTCAGCCTGGCCAAGTTGTAAGGAATAAAAAAGCATGTTCAGAAGAGACCACCAAGAGTGTGGCCAAGCAACCATTTGATAGGGAGATTAGTATGGATAGAAAAAAGCCATATGCTATTCATCAATACAATGGAAGAATGCTTCTGAAGGTATCTCAGAGAACTTCAGGGCTGCTCTACCCACCACAGACCCAGAATGCTAGGGTCTCGGGGGCCGAATGATTTCCAGGCTCTGCTCCCCCAATTCTGGTGTAGTACTCCTGGGCCACCCCTGCTGTGGTGCAAGTGAGACCAGGTGCAGCTCAAGTCACTCCTCTGGAAGGCACAGGCAGAAAATCATGGTAGCACCTACACAGTGCCATCTCCATGGATGCACAGAGTATATGAGCTACGGAGGCATGACTACCTCCATCTAGATTTCAAAGGATGCCCCAGAGAGCCTCAGGGCCCAGGCAGAAAACTGCCACAGAAGCAGGGCCACACAGGGCATCTTTGCTAGGGCAATGCCCAGCAGAACTGTGGAGTTAGAGTCACCACAAAGAGCCCCCATTAGGGCAATGTCCACAGGACTCATGCAGGAGGGGCTGCCCCTGAGACTCCAGAACTATAAAGCTACCAGTGTGCAACTCCAGCCTGGGAGAGCTGCAGGCAACCAACTTCAATCTATAAGAGTTTCTGTGTGGGCTGTGCCCAGCAAAGTGATGGGGGTGGGGCCGACTGGACCCTTGGAGGCCCAACCCTCACCTCACTATGTCTGGAAAGCAGGACATGGAGTCAAAGAAAATTATTCTCAAGCCTTAAGATTTAATGCATTTTTCCTGTTGTGTTTTAGACTTATTTGGGATCTATTACTCTTTTCTTTTTTCCTATGTCTCTCTTTTAGAATAGGAATATCTACCCCATGCCTGTCCCATCACTATATTTTGGAAACACTTAACTTGTTTGATTTCACAGGCTCAAAGTTGGAAGGGAATTTGCCTCAGGATATGTCCCACCTTAAGTCTCATTCATTTCAGATTTAGATCATATTTAGATGAGACTTTGGACTTCAGGCTTTTGAGTTGATGCTGGAAATATGTCATCTCATCCTAGTTAGAATGACAATTATCAAAAAAAACAAAAAATAAGAAATGCTGGTGAAGATGTGGACTTTGAGGCTAATAGAATGAATGTATTTTGCATGTGAGAAGTACAAAAATTGCGGGGTGCCAGGAGCAGAATGCTATGGTCTAAAGCTTTGTGTTCCCCCAAAATTCATATGTTAAAACCTAATACCCAATGTGATAGTATTAAGATGTGGGGCCTTTGGGATGTGATTAGGTCATGAAGGCAGAGCTCTTATGAATGGGATTAGTGCCCTTATAAAAGAAGCTTGAGGTAGCCCCTTTACCCCTACAGCTATGTGAGGATGCATCTAGAAGGCACCATCTAGGGGTAACAGGCCCTCACCTAACACCAAATCTGCCAGCACCTTGATCTTTGACTTTTAAGCTTCCAAATTTGTGAGCAATAAATTTTTACTGTTTCTAAAATACCCATTCTAAAGTATTAAAGTATTTTCTTATAGTAGCCCAAACAAGCTAAGACAAGAAGGACATTCTATAAATGTCTGTCAGGTCTGGTTGGTTTATAGTGTTATTCAAGTTTTCTATTTCCTTGTTGATCTTCTGTCTAGTTATTCTATCCATTATTGAAAGTGTGGTATTGGAGTCTCAACTATTACTTTTAAATTGTCTATTTCTGGCCAGGCACAGTGGCTTATGCCTGTAATCCCAGAACTTTGGGAGGCCAAGGCAGGTGGATCGCTTGAATTCAGGAGTTAGAGACCAGCCTGATTAACATGGTGAAACCCTGTCTCTACTAAACTTGGGAGGCAAAGGTTTCAGTGAGTCAAGATTGCACCACTGCACTCCAGCCTGAGTGATGGAGTGAGACTCTATCTCAACAACAACAACAACAAATTATCTATTTCTCCCTCCAATTATGTTAATTTTTGCTTAGTGTATTTTGAGCTCTATTGTTAGTTGCATGCATGTTTATGATTGTTATGTCTTCCTGATATAGTCACACTTTTATCTTTATAAAATGTCCTTCTTTATACAAATGGCCAACAGGTATATGAAAAAATGCTCAACACCACTAATCATCAGGGAAATACAAATTAAAACCTCAATGAGGCATCATCTCATCCCAGTTAGAATGGCTATTATAAAAAAGGCAAAAAGTAACTAATGCTGGTGAAGATGTGGAGAAGGGGGAACTCTTATACACTGTTAATGAGAATGAAAATTAGTGCAGTAATATAGAAATCAGTATGGAAATCCCTAAAGAAACTGAAAATAAAACTACCTTATGATGCAGCAATGCCACTTCTGGTTGTATATCCAAAGGAAAGGAAATTAGTATGTCAAAAAGATATCTACACTCCCATGTTTATTGTAACACTATTCACAATAGCCAAGATATGAAACAACCTAAGTGTCCATCAACTGATAAATGGATAAAGAAAAATGTGGTGTATATACACAAAAAAATATTTAGCCATATAACAGAACAAAATTCTGCAATTTGTGGCAACATGCGTGAGCTTACAGGACATTATGTTAAGTAAAATAAGCCTGGCACAGAAAGATAAATACCACATGTTCTCACTCACATGTGGAAGCTAAAAATGTTGATTTCATAGAAGTAGAGAGTACTATAGTGGTTACTAGAGGCAGGAAAATGTGGCGGGTCAGGGAGGGGATAGCCAAAGGTTGGTTAATCGATACAGAATTTCATCTAGTTAAGAGGAATAAGTTCTAGGGTTCTATAGCAATATAGAGTGACTATAATGAACAATTTATTGTATATTTTCAAACAGCTAGAAGAGTGGATTTGAAATGTTCCCAACACAAAGAAATAATAGGTGTTTGAGGTGATGGATATGCTAATTACTCTGATTTGATCATTTCATATTATATACATGTATTAAAATATCATACTTTACCCCATAAATATGTATAATTATTATGTGTTAATTAACAATAGTTCTAAAAGCAAAAATAGATTTGTTTATAAAGATGTCCTACATTTGCAATGAATCACAGAAATAATAACTAAATTTGTCTTCTATTTTATTGATTTTTTTGAGTGGCCAATGCTGATATTATTTGAAGTCATTTTAAACTTGTATATTTTCTCTGAACAATACTAAATCAAATAAAGTTACTGAGAGTGTTCCAAAAATTGTCCTCCTTTGTTGGTAGAAAAACTTTTGTCTTCAAGTCTATTTTGTTGGATATTAATACGACCACTTCAGGTCTCTTTTAGCTACCATTTTCACAGTGTATCTTTTTCCATCCTCTTACTTTCCTCTATTGGTGGCTTTTAATCTAGTGTGTCCTTTATGGACAGCATGTGGTTGGATCATGATTCTTTACTATACTTCCAGTTTGTGCCTTTGGCTTGGAATGTTTAAACTGTATACATTTTATATAATTACTGATAAAATAGGAAGTACTTTTTTGCTTTTTAAAAAAAATAAAATAATAATGGAAGCAATTTAGTATATATATACTTTAGAATTTCTGTTTGGTTCTTTTGTTATAATTTCTATCCCTTTTATTCGTATTCTCTATTTCATTAAATATCATTCTCACGCATTCCTGCTTTTTTGTATGTCTCATAATTTTTTGTTGAAAACTGGACATTTTAAATAATATAATGTTGAATCTCTGGCAATCAGATCCTTCCCTCCTCAAAGTGTGTTGTTGTTTTCACTGTTGGTTTAATGACTCTCCTGGATCAATTCTATAAAGTCTGTATTCTTTGTTGTGTACTGTGACTAAAGTTTCTGCTCATTTAGCTTAGCAGTCAGCTAATGTTTGAATGGAGATTTCCTTAAATACTTTGAATCACAAATCTTCCACACTTTGCCAAAGGGCTCTGAGTGAGTGTTGAGGAACACTTTCAATGCCTCAGCAGTTTGAAACTTTACCTGATCCTTAATTTCCTGCTTTCAGAGAGCATTAGTTTTAGCCAGAGGTGACAAATTAGGGCCTTGAAGTATTTCCTGGGCTTGCCCCTTCCAGTTGCTGCTAGATTGCTGGTTTTCACAGCTACTGTGATTTTGAGGGTGCTGGTTTTCAAAGACTGCTGCAGAACTGGAGCAGTGGGGATGAAAATAAGGCAAGTTACAATACCACAGAGCTTACCATTCTTACTGGGACTCAGCCAATTTTCTTTTTAAAAATTTTTTTAATTTTTAATTTTTGACGATACATACTAGGTATATCTACTTATGGGGCACATGAGATGTTTTGATACAGGCATGCAATGTGAAATAATCACAACATGAAGAATGGGGTATCCTTCCCCTCAAGCATTTATCCTTTGTGTTACAAACAATCCAATTAAACTCTTTTAGTTATTTTAAAATGTACAATTAAGTTATTATTGACTGTAGTCACCCTGTTGTGCTATCAAATACTAGGTCTTATTCATTCTTTCTATTTTTGTTGTAGCCATTAACCATCACACCTTCCCCCCACCAGCTCCACTGTCCTTCCCAGCCTGTGGTAACCATCCTTCTATTCTCTATGTCCGTAAGTTCAATTGCTTTGATTTTTAGATCCCAGAAATAGGTGAAAATGTGTGATGTTTGTCATTCTGTGCCTGGCTTATTTCACTTAACATAGTGATCTCCAGTTCCATCCATGTTGTTGCAAATGACAGGATCTCATTCTTTTTTTTTTTTTTTTTTTTTTTTTTGAGACAGAGTCTTGCTCTGTCACCCAGGCTGGAGTGCAGTGGCGCAATCTCGGCTCACTGCAACCTCCACCTCCCGAATTCAAGCGATTCTCCTGCCTCAGCCTCCTGAGTAGCAGGGATTACAGGTGCCCACCACCACACCCAGCTAATTTTTGTGTTTTTAGTAGAGATGGGGTTTCACCATATTTGCCAGGCTGGTCTGGAACTCCTGACCTCAGGTGATCCACCCACCTCAGCCTCCCGAAATGCTGGGATTACAAGCATGAGCCAACACGCCTGGCCAGATCTCATTCTTTTTTATGGCTGAATAGTACTCCTTTGTGTATATGTATCACATTTTTTCTATCCATTCATCTGTTGATGGACACTTAGGTTGCTTCCAAATCTTGGGATGGTGAACAGTGCTGCAATAAACATGAGAGTGCAGATGTTTCTTCAATATACAGATTTCCTTTATTTTGGGTATATTCCCAGCAGCGGGATATCTGGATCATATATGTTAGCTCTATTTCTAGTTTCTGAGGAACTTCAAACTGTTCTCCATACTGGTTGTACTAATTTACATTCCCACCAACAGTGTACTAGGGTTCCCTTTTCTCCACATTCTCACCAGCATTTATTATTGCCTGACTTTTGAATATAAGCCATTTTAACTGGTGTATTATATTAGTCCGTTCTGATCCTGCTAGTAAAGACATACTCAAGACTGAGTAATTTATAAAGGAAAGAGGTTTAATTGACTTACAGTTCAGCATGGCTGGGGAGGCCTCACAATCATGGCAGAAGGCAAAGGAGGAGCAAAGGTACATCTTACATGGTGGCAGGCAAGAGAGCATGTGCAGGGGAACTGCCCTTTATAAAACCATCAGATCTCATGAGACTTATTTACTATCACAAGAACAACATGGGAGAAACCTGCCCCATGATTCAATTACCTCCCACTGGGTCCTTCCCATGACACAGGTATCTTTACAGCAGCACTTCACTCTTGGTAACAATGTGCTATATTAGTCTGTTCTCATGCTGCTAATAAAGACTTACCCAAGACTAGGTAACTTATAAAGGAAAGAGATTTAATTGATTCACGGTTCAGCATGGCTGGGGAGGCCTCACAATCATGGCAGAAGACAAAGGAGGAGCAAAGGCACATCTTACATGGCAACAGGCCAGAGAGCATGTGCAGGGGGAACTGCCCTTCATAAAAAACCATCAGATCTTGTGAGACTTATTCACTATCATGATAACGGCACAGGAAAACCTGCCTCCATGATTCAGTTACCTCCCATCAGGTCTCTCCCACAACACATGTGGATTATGGGAGCTACAATTCAAGATGAGATTTGGGTGGGGGCACAGCCAAACCATATCAACTAAGGTGAGATGATATCTCACTGTAGTTTTTATTTGCATTTCTCTGATTATCAATGATGTTGAGCACTTTTATATATGCCTGTTTGCCATTTGTATGTCTTCTTTCAATAAATGTCTATAAAAATCTTTTGCCCATTTTTTGATCAGATTGTTTGACTTTTTTTTTTCCTGAAGAGTTGTTTGAGCTCCTTATATATTCTGGTTATTAATCCCTAGTCAGATGGGTAGTTTGCAAATATTTTCTCCCATTCTTCACTTTGTTGATTGTGTCCTTTGCTGTGGAGAGCTTTTAAATTTGATGCAATCCCATTTGTCCATTTTGCTTTGCTTGCCTGTACTTGTGGGGTATTGCTTAAGTAATCTTAGCCCAGATCAATGTCCTGGAGATTTTCCCAATATTTTCTTGTAGGAGTTTCAGTTTGAGGTCTTAGATTTAAGTCTTTAATCCATTTTGATTTGATTTTTATATATGGTGAGAGATAGGGGTCTAGTTACATTCTTCTGCATATGGATATCCAGGTTTCTCAGCACCATTTATTGAAAAGACTGCCTTTTCCCCAGTGTATGCTCTTGGCATCTTTGTCAAAAATGAGTTTACTGTAAGCGTGCGGATCTGTTTCTGGGTTCTCTATTCTGCTCCATAGGTCCATGTGTCTTTTTTTATGCCAGTATCATGCTGTTTTGATTACTATGGCTCTGTAGTATAATTTGAAGTCAGGTAATGCAATTCCTCCAGTTTTGTTCTTTTTGCTTAGAGCTATTCTGGATATTTTGTGGTACCATATACATTTTAGGATTCTGTTTTATATTTCTGTGAAGAATGTTATTGGTATTTTGATAGGGATTGCATTGAATCTACAGGTTGCTTTGGGTAATATGGACATTTTAACAATATTGATTCTTCCAATTCATGAACATGGATTATCTTTTTATTTTTTGGTGTCCTCTTCAATTTCTTTCATCAATGTTTCATAGTTTTCATTATAGAGATCTTTCATTTCTTTGGTTAATTCCTAGGTGTTTAATTTTATTTGTGGCTATTGTCAATGGGATTACTTTTTAATTTCTTTTTCAGATTACTTGCTGTTGGTATGTGAAAATGGCAGCTTGTGGGTCTGTCATATATGGCTTTTATTATGTTGAGGTATGCTCCTTCTATATGCAGTTTTTTGATGGTTTTTATCATGAAGGGGTGTTGAATTTTATCAAATTATTTTTCAGTATCAGTTGAAATGATCATATGGTTTTTGCCCTTCATTCTATTACAATGTATCATGCTGATTGATTTGCATATATTGAACCATCCTTGCATCCCAGGGATAAATTTCACTTGGTCATGATGGATGATCTTTCTAATGTATTGTTGAATTCTGTTTGCTAGTATTTTGTTGAGAATTTTTGCATAAATATTCATGAGAGATAGTGGCTTGTAGTTTTTTTTTTTTTTTTAATGTGCCTTTGTCCAGTTTTGGCATCAGAATAATGTTAGCCTCATAGAATAAGTTTGGAAGTATTCCCTCCTCCTCTATTTTTCAGTAGGGTTGATATTACTTCTTCTGTAAATGTTTGGTAGAATTGAGCAGTAAAGCCATTGGGGTCCTGGGCTTTTCTTTACCGGGAGGCTTTTTGTTATGGCTTTGATCTCATTACTTGTTATTGGTCTGTTAAGGTGTTGGATTTCTTCATGGTTCAATCTTGGTAGATTGTATGTATACAGGAATTTGTCTATTTCTCTAGATTTTCCAATTTATTGGCATATCATGGCTCATAGTAGCCATTAGTGATCTTTTGAATTTCTGCAGTATCAGATGTAATGTCTCTTTTTCATTTTATATATTTAGATCTTCTACCTTTTTCCCTAGTCTGGCTAAAGGTTTGTCTTTTTTGAAAAGTTAAACATAACTTTTTGACCTTTTGTTTCGTTGATCTTTTTTATTATTTTCTTCATTTCAAATTCACTTATTTCTTCTCTGATCTTTATTATTTCTTTTCTTCTACTAACTTTGTGTGAGTAGTTTGCTCTTGCTTTTTTACTTCTTTAAGATGCATAATTAGATTGTTTATTTGAAGTTTTTCCTCTTTTTTGATGTAGACACTTAGAGCTAGACGCCTCCCTCATAGTACTGCTTTTGCTGCATCCCATAGGTTTGGTATGTTGTGTTTCCATTATCATTCCCTTCAAGAATTTTTTAAATTTCCTTCTTAGTTTCTTCATTGACCACTGATCATTCAGGAACAGATTGTTTAATTTCCATGTCTTTGTATAGTTTCAAAAATTCCTCTTATTATTGATTTCTAGTTTTATTCTTTTGTGGTCAGAGAAGACACTTGATATTATTTCTATTTTATTGAGTGTTTTAAGACTTGTTTTGTGAGCTAATGTATAGTCCATCTTTGATAATGATACATGTGCTGAGGAAAAAAATGTGTATTCTGTGACCACTGGATGAAATGTTCTCTAAATATCTATTGGATCCATTTGATCTGTAGTGCATATTAAGTCTGTTTCTTTGTTGATTTTCTGTCTAAAAAATCTGTCCAATGCTGAAAGTGGGGTGTTGAAGTCTCCAGCTGTTATTGTATTGGGGCCTATCTCTCTCTTTAGTTCTAATGATATTTTCTTTATATATCTGTGGTGCTCATGTGTTGGGTGCATATATATTTATAGTCATTATCTCCTATTGTTGAATTGACCCCTTTATTATATAGTGACCTTCTTTGTCTCTTCTTATAGTTTTTATCTTGAAATCTATTTTGTCTGATATAAGTATAGCTACTTCTGCTCTTGTTTGGTTTCCATTTGTATGGCATATCTTTTTCCTCCCTTTATTTTAAGTCTATATGAGTCTTTATAGGTGAAGTCTGTTTCTTGTGGGCAACAGATCAATGGATCTTGTTTTTTCATCCATTCAGCCATTCTATGTCTTTGGATTGTAGAGTTTAGTTCATTTACATTCAATATTATTATTGGTAAGTAAGGACTTACTCTTGCCCTTTTGTTATTTGTTTTCTGATTGTTTTGCAGTCTTCTTTCTTTCTTTCCTTCCTGTCTTTTTTTAGTTAAGATGATTTTCTCTGGTGATATGATTTATTTTCTTGCTTTTTATTTTTTGTGTATCCATTGTATGTTTTTTGGTTTGAGGTTACCAGAAGGCTTGCAAATACTATCTTATAATCCATTACTTAACCTGACAAAAACTTAACACTGTTTGCTTAAACAAAGAAGCGAAAAGAAAATAATAAAAACTGTATGCCTTAACTTCATCTCCCTGCTTTTTAACTTTTTCGTTTTTCTATTTATGTCTTATTGTACAGTCTATGTCTTGAAAAGTTATTATAGTTATCTTTTTTGATTGGTTCATTGCTTAGTCTTTCTACTTAGGCTAAGAGTAGTTTATAACAACAGTTACTATGTTATAATAATCTGTGTTCTGTGTATTTACTACTACCAGTGAGTTTTGTACCTTCAGGTGATTACTTATTGCTAATTAACATCCTTTTCTTTCTGACTGAAGTACTCCCTTTGCATTTCTTGTAGGAGTGGTCTGGAGTTTAGGAAATCCCTTAGCTTTTCTTTGTCTGGGAAAGTCTTTATTTCTTCTTCATGTTTGAAAGATATTTTCACCAGATATACTGTTTTAGGGTAGAAGGTTTTTTCCTTCAGCACTTTAAATATGTCATGCCACTCTCTCCTGGTTCGTAAGGTTTCCACTGAAAAGTCTCCTGCCAAACGTATTACAGAGCTCCATTGTATGTTATTTGTTTATTTTATCTTGCTGCTTTTAGGGTCTTTTCTTTATTCTTGACCTTTGGGATTGATTATTTAATGCCATGAGGTGGTTTTCTTTGAGTTAAATCTGCTTGATGTTTTATAACTTTCTTGTATTTGGTTATTGATATCTTTCTCTAGGTTTGGGAAATTCTCCGTTACTATCCCTTTGAATTAACTTTCTACCCCTATCTCTTTCTCTACCTCCTCTTTAAGGCCAATAACTCTTAGATTTGCCCTTTTGAGGCTATTTTCTAGGTCTTGTAGGCATGCTTCATTTTTTTTTATTCCTTTTCTTTTGTCTCCTCTGTGTATTTTCAAATAACCTGTCTTCAGGCTTACTAATTCTTCCTTTTGCTCCATCAATTCTGCTATTAAAAGACCCTGGCACATTCTTCAGTATTCCAGTCAAATTTTTCAGCTCCAGAATTTCTGCTTGATTATTTTTTAATATTTCAATCTCTTTGTTAAATTTATCTGATAGAATTCTGAACTTCTTCTCTGTATCATCTTGATATTTTTTGAGTTTCCTCAACACAGCTATTTTGAATTCTCTATCTAAAAGGTCACATATTTCTGTTTCTCCAGGGTTGGTCCCTGGTAGCTTATTTAGTTTATTTGGTGAGGTCATGTTTTCCTGGATGGTGTTGATGCTAGTCAACAATCTTCAGTGCCTGTGTATTGGTGAGTTAGGTATTTATTGTAGTCTTCACTATCTGAGGTTGTTTGCACCCTTCCTTGTTGGGAAGGCTTTCTAGATACTTGAAAGGACTTAAGTGTTATTATCTAAGCCATATCTGCTTTAGGGGTCTCCCCCAGCCCCATAAGGCTATGGTTCTTGCAGACTCGTAGAGGTACCACCTTGGTGGTCTTGGACAGGATCTGGGAGAATTCTCTGGATTACCAGGCAGAAGTTCTTGCTCTCTTTCATTACTTTCTCCCTCCAAAATGGAGTCTCTCTGTTCTGACTCACCTAGAGCTGGAGGTGTTGTGACACAAGCACCTCTGTGGCCACCACCATTATGACTGTGCTGTAGAGCACTGGATCTCACCCAAGGCTTGCTGTAACCACTCCCTGGCTACTTCTTATGCTTTCTTAGGGCTGAGCTGGCACTCAAAACATAAGACAGTCCTTGCCACACTTCTTTCCCCTTTCTAAAGGCAGAGTAGCCTCACCCTGTAGCCACGGCCACTGTAGACCATGGGGAGTTCTGCAAGACTATTGCCGATTTTCCCTTAAGACCCAAGGGCTCTCAAGTCAGATTGTGGTAAATGCTGCCTGGCCTGGAACTCACCATTCAGGGCAGTGGGCACTCTTCTGGCCCATGGCAGAGCCAGAGATGCCATCTAAGCATCAAATCCTGGAATCAAAGACTCCAAGAGCTCACTTGGTGCTCTGCCCAACTGTGGCCAAGCTGGTACCTAACCTGAAAGACAAAGTCCCCTTTGCTTAGTTCTTAGAGAGTACTAAGTGCTCTCTGTACCACACTGCTGCTGCTAGGGAGAAACGGGGGGTGGTGAGGGAGGGGTGACACTGGCGATTCATATAGTTAAAACCAGGTACTATGAAGGCTCACCTGATCTTATGAGGGTGTTTTCTTTGTGTAGTTTTTTTTTTTTCTTTTTTGCTAACAATGTTTTTGCTTTTTGCTTGTTTTTAATTGAACTAATTGTTCACATTTATGGAACACTGTGTGATATTTTTAACTTTTATTTTAAGTTCAGGGGTACACGTGCAGGTTTGTTACATAGGTAAATGTGTGTCATGGGGGTTTGTTGTCCAGATTATTTCATCACCCAGGTATTAAACCTAGTATCCATTAGTTATTTTTCCTGATCCTCTCCCTCCTCCCACTCTCCACCTTCCAATCAACTCCAGTGTGTGTTGTTCCTCTCTTCGTTCCCATGTGTTCTCATCATTTAGCTCCCACTTAAAAGTGAGAACATGTAGTATTTGGTTTTCTGATCCCGTGTTAGTTTGCTAAGGATGATTGCTTCCAGCTCTATCCATGTCCCTGGAAAGGACATCATCTCATTCTTTTATATGGCTGATAGTATTCCATGGTGTATATCTACCGCATTTTCTTTATCCAGTCTATCATCGATGGCCATTTGGGTTGATTCCATGTCTTTGTTTTTGTGAATAGTGCTGCAATGAACATATGTGTGCATGTGTCTTTATAACAGATTGATTTATATTCCTTTGGGTATATACCCAGTAATGGGATTGCTGGGTTGATTGGTATTTCTATCTTTAGGTCTTTGAGGAATTGCCACACTGTCTTCCACAATGGTTGAACTAATTTACATTCCCACCAACAGTGTGTAAGCATTCCTTTTTCTCTGCAACCTCACCGGCATCTGTTATTTTTTGACTTTTTTATAGTACCCATTCTGACTGGTGTTAGATGGTATCTTATTGTGGTTTTGATTTGCATTTCTCTAATGATCAGTGATGTTGAGCTTTTTTTCATGTGACTATTGGCCACATGTATGTCTTCTTTTGAAAAGTCTCTGTTCATGTCATTTGCCCACTTTTTAATGGGGTTGTTTTTTTTTCTTGTAAATTTGTTTAAGTCCCATATAGATGCTAGATATTAGACCTTAGTTCAGATGCAGAGTTTGCAAAAAGTCTCTCCCATTCTGTAGGTTGTCTGTTTACTCTGTTGGTAGTTTCTTTTGCTGTGCAGAAGCTCTTTAGTTTAATTAGATACCATTTGTCAATTTTAGCTTTTGTTGCAATTGCTGTTGGTGTCTTCATCATGAAATCTTTGCCTGTGCCTACGTCCTGAATGGTATTGCCTAGGTTATCTTCCAGAGTTTTAATAGTTTTGGGTTTTACATTAAGTGTTTAATCCATCTTGAGTTAATTTTTGTATATTATATTAAAAAGGGGTCCAGTTTCAATCTTGTGCATATGGCTAGCCAGTTATCCCAGCACCATTTATTAAATAGAGAATCCTTTCCCCATTGCTTGTTTTTGTCAGGATTGTCAAAGATCATATAGTTGTAGGGTTGCAGTCTAATTTCTGGGTTCTCTGTTTCATTCCATTGATCTATGTGTCTGTTCTTGTACCAGTACCATGCAGTTTTGGTAACTGTAGCCCTGTAGTATAGTTTGAAGTTGGGTAGTGTGATGCCTCCAGCTTTTTGTTTTGTTTTGTTTTTGTAGACAATTGTTAAATTGATGTCGTTGCAGGGGCGATGATCAGTGGAACCTTCTACTCCACCACCTTGTTCCCAGCCACTTTTCTTAAATCAACAATTCTCAAATTGTTGAAAGCCTTCGGTTAATTTCCAGAGTTCTGAAAGAAATGGTTTTGACATTTTTTGCCAGTTTTCTCATTGCTTTTATGGAGGAGCAGGTTTTTAAAGTCTTTACTTTACCATTCCAGAAGTGCTTCTTTAGGTACAGACTTGAGGGGAAATACCTTGGGTCAATTTTGGACTAATTAAATAAAACTTGTCTTTGAGACACCCAAGAGGAGATATCCAGTACACATTTAAATATGTGTCATATAACAGATGCAATGGTTAACATTTCTTTTAGGACTTCAGAGGAAGAGATGAGTTAACATATTTCTCAGCTCATTGAATGTTAATGTCATTGGTTTACACAAAGCCCCTCTCTGGTAGTTATTCTTGTATGTATGTATGTATGTATAATTACTCATATGACATTTCCATTCTTCCCTTTCATATGCAATCATTCCAATATGTTTAATATATATCTTTTGGCTCATTAAGTGTTCTCCCAAAATTTGTGTTATTGTTTTGTGTTCAAGTTTTCTGTGTGGTCAAGAAAATATTGTATCATATGTGTTTACACACATACACACCCACAACACACACACATCTGAGGGGTTCTCAAACATCGCTGCACATTGGAATCACCTGTATAGCTTTAATCTAATGTCTCACTTGCAGCTCATACCAAAAAATCAGACTCTATGATGGGACCCAGGCATTATAGTTCTTAAATTACTCCAGATGATCTCAATGCACAGCCAAGTTTGAGAACCGGTGATATATATATCATTCTATTTTTTTACTTTTTTAAAAACTCAGCACTGTTTTAAAGATCTGTCCATGTTTCTCCTTGTGTATCTAGTCCAGAGATCAGCAAACATTTTTTTTTGTAAGGGATATCACATAGTAATCATTTTTGGCTTTGCAGGTCATGTGGTCTCTGTTGCAACCCAGCTCTGCTGTTGTAGTGTGAAAACAGCCATAGATAATACCTAAAGAAACAGACATAGCCATTTTCTACTAGAACTTTATTTATAAATTATTTATAAACAAAAAGACAGAACCAAGAGGTGGGTCACAGTTTGCTGACCTCTGATGTAGTCATTTGTTTCCAATTACTGGGGCATCTCCATGGGGTGCATCTACTACATTCACCTATCCTCTCTTCTAGTTAGAGGTTAGTTTGCTTCAAATTCTTCACTACCACAAGTTATTTGCAATGAATATGAATCTGATCATCTACTCGTATCCTTATGGCCCCATATAATAAGTTATTTGGGAATTTCTGGACTATAGGGCATCAGTAACAGTAACTTTGACTATATAATTCTAGGTTTCTCCAGAATAGCTGTACCAGTTTACACTCCCACCAGCAGAACATAAGAATTCCTGGATCCTCACATCCATACCAACACTTGGCATTATCTAGCTGTCTAAATTTTGCCAGTTTAATAGTTTAATTTGCATTTCTGATTATAATATTTTGCTTCTTTGTGTGATTATCTGGTTAATAACTGTCTCCCATAAAATTCTATACATACTCCATGAGGGCGAACATCTTATCTGGTTTTGCTCACTCTTATTTCCAGTGCCTAGCGTAAGCCTTGCACGTAGTAAGTGTCCCATAAATATTAGTAGGACAAATAGGCAGATATGTGAGCACCTCTGTGTTAGTCATACAAAAACATTCATTTTTTATTGATAGGTTTGAACTGGTGACTTGAGAAAAGGGAACCTGTTTTGAGTAGCAGGATTCCTAACCTCAGGAGGACTTATACTTTGGGAAAGAGGGCAAAAGTATTCATGTATTCCACTTATTCAAAAAATATTTCAGCATTTATGCTATGTTCCAGGCATTATGCACAATGGTGAGCAAGACAGCTACAGTCCTACCCTCAGGGAGCCCACAGTGTGATAGAGATGTCAACTAGTTGGGCAAAATATTGTCATACAGTGAGAGGAATGGTTTGATTGGGTAAGTATCAGATACTCTGGAGGCTCTTAGTAGGTGTCCCCTAACATAATCTATTGGGAGTTAGGGAAGACAAGCACAGTGAAAATACAAGATGAATCCTTATGTATGCCCAGCAAATTTCCCTGGCAGTAGGATGTTAAAAAAAAAACTCAGGGACTCATAGAAGAGAACAGTAATATTCTAGCAGTGTTATACAAACAAGCTTAGATGTGTCTTCAAGATGTTCTGCAAATAGTGGAGTGATTTAAAGGAATTTAAGATAATTATACTTAAATCCCCTTTCTCCAATTGTTCTATTTTTGACTCCTAGAGAGGAATTGCTGGAGTGGTTCTCTTTCACTTTATTAGCTGTAAAATAAACATCTCCAGATGCTCAGAAATGTAAAGGCTACCATGCTTCTTTGGCCAATGGTTGATATGATTAGTAATGAATACAAAATCTTCAGTAAACCATAACTGATCTTTTGCCATTTTGAAAGTTTAACTGTTTGGGGAAAGTTTTGGATTCCTGCGAAAAGCAGATTTGAAATTTAATGGCTTGAATTTGCTTATTGAGCACTCCCTCATCCTCACCACTTATATACACACGCTGAAGAGTTTCACTAAGTATTATCATGGATTTAAAAATCTACGTAAAGTCCATAAAAATCTACAGTTTCTAAACAACAACAATTACTTCAGCTATCCTTGCTTATTCTTCCTACTCTTTCTGCATCATTTATTTTCATCTCTCCCTTCCTATTTTTTTCCTTTTTCCCCCACTAACAATGTTAGGAGCAAAGACTGATATTTATTTATTTATGTTTCATTTTATGATTGGAAGAAAGCCGCAGGCATCTGGTCCACACCCCACATTGTTAGAGACAGAACTTGGGTCCAGAAGGTTAACCAACCTGTTTACAGTCTCACTGCCTGTGTTTATTCTCAGTGGTGGTGGGGAGGTGACGGGGAGAATCAGGATAAATAGCAAAGAACAGTTCTAGATAAGGTAACAAGTGTTAGGAAAACTACTAGCACAGAAAATTAAAAGCAACAACAAAGAGCACATAGATGGCAGTGTTCCATCAACCCTCTATATTGTCTTGCTTATCTTTGAGGACTGCCATAGAATAAATAGTTCTTGAGCCCTACTACACTCAGGACACTGTTGTGGGCATGGCTAAGTGCTGATGTCTTCCCTGGTCTGAGGGTTATTCTCTGTTACCACTCCTCCGTTCCTGTCCCATACCATTCTTTGCCCTTCTCTGTCCTGCTCTGTGATCTTGGAGGAGGATCCCCATGGACTGCATCACCAGACTTCCTTACCACCACACCTTTAGTTGAGCTCAATCAACAGAGGCACAGGCATGAGATAGGACAAAAGGAAAACAGGTAGAAGTATTTCTTTCCACCCCTTCCTTCTCAGACAGCAGCTGAGATCTTCTATGACTATAGCACCATTGTGCACCCCCTTCCCTCCTCTATGTGACAGCTTACAAGGGGCTCTGTTTTTTCCTGTGTTCTCCTCAGGCTTTCAGATGGTAAAGGCTTCCTGCTGTGCTAGTCTCTGTGTGCCTCAACCCTCTTATTTGTTCTTTTTTTTTTTTAATTTTTTTAGTATTTATTGATCATTCTTGGGTGTTTCTCGGAGAGGGGGATTTGGCAGGGACATAGGACAATAGTGGAGAGAAGGTCAGTAGATAAACATGTGAACAAAGGTCTCTGGTTTTCCTAGGCAGAGGACCCTGCGGCCTTCCGCAGTGTTTGTGACCCTGGGTACTTGAGATTAGGGAGTGGTGATGACTCTTAAGGAGCATGCTGCCTTCAAGCATCTGTTTAACAAAGCACATCTTGCACCGCCCTTAAGCCATTTAACCCTGAGTGGACACAGCACATGTTTCAGAGAGCACGGGGTTGGGGGTAAGGTTATAGATTAACAGCATCCCAAGGCAGAAGAATTTTTCTTAGTACAGAACAAAATGGTGTCTCCTATGTCAACTTCTTTCTACACAGACACAGTAACAATCTGATCTCTCTTTCTTTTCCCCACATTTCCCCCTTTTCTTTTCGACAAAACCGCCATCGTCATCATGGTCCGTTCTCAATGAGCTGTTGGGTACACCTCCCAGATGGGGTGGCGGCCGGGCAGAGGGGCCCCTCACTTCCCAGACGTGGCAGCCTGGCAGAGGGGCCCCCCACCTCCCAGAAGGGGTGGCCGGGGGGGCGCCCCCCACCTCCCAGACCAGGTGGCTGCTGGGCAGGGGCACTCCCCACCTCCCAGACCGGGCGGCCGGGCGGAGACGCTCCTCACTTCCCAGACTGGGCGGCTGCTGGGTGGAGGGGCTCCTCACTTCTCAGACGAGGTGGCTGGGCAGAGGCGCTCCTCACTTCCCAGACTGGGTGGCGGCCGGGCAGAGGTGCTCCTCACCTCCCAGACGGGGTGGCGGCCGGGTAGAGGTGCTCCTCACCTCCCAGAGGGGGCGGCCGGGCAGAGGCTCTCCTCACATCCCAGACGGGGCGGCCGGGCAGAGGCACTCCCCACATCCCAGATGATGGGTGGCCAGGCAGAGACGCTCCTCACTTCCTAGACAGGATGACGGCCGGGAAGATGCGCTCCTCACTTCCCAGACTGGGCCGCCGGGCAGAGGGGCTCCTCACATCCCAGATGGGCGGCCAGGCAGAGACGCTCCTCACTTCCTAGATGGGGTGGCGGCTGGGAAGAGGCGCTCCTCACTTCCCAGACTGGGTGGCCAGGCAGAGGGGCACCTCACATCCCAGACGATGGGCCGCCAGGCAGAGACACTCCTCACTTCCTAGACGGGGTGGCGGCCGGTCAGAGGCTTCAATCTCAGCACTTTGGGAGGCCAAGGCAGGCGGCTGGGAGGTGGAGGTTGTAGCAGCCGAGATCACGCCACTGCACTCCAGCCTGGGCAACATTGAGCACTGAGTGAGCGAGACTCCGTCTGCAATCCCGGCACCTGGGGAGGCCGAGGGGGGCAGATCACTCGAGGTCAGGAGCTGGAGACCAGCCCGGCCAACACGGGGAAACCCCGTCTCCACCAAAAAATACAAAAACCAGTCAGGCGTGGTGGCGCGTGCCTGCAATCCCAGGCACTCGGCAGGCTGAGGCAGGAGAATCAGGCAGGGAGGTTGCAGTGAGCCGAGATCGCGGCAGCACAGTCTAGCCTCGGGAACAGAGGGAGACCGTGGAAAGCGGGAGATGGAGAGGAGGGAGAGGGGAAGACCGTGGAAAGCGGGAGATGGAGACAAGGGAGAGGGAGAGGGAGAGGGAGCCTCTTATTTGTTCTTATAACCCAGTTGTGGTCTCTTTAAGTTTCTTCATTTGAACTTTCTGAGTTGAATTCTGTTTTCTATTGGGATCCAAACTGATAGGATGATTCCTCTATCTTACAGTACTTTCATTGATAGTACTAGATGTAGAACAGTACTATAGAAATTTAGAGAATGAAGAACAAAAATCTTGATCTTACAACCTCATTGCAGAAATGGGAAAGACATAAATACACACACAGGGATGTTAAGTCCCCAAACCCAATAAACAAGAGAAGAATCAACCCCATATGTACAGAGACAGGTGCAAGATGCACACAAGTAGGAAAGTGGGGAAGATAAACATGTTTCTCTGAGCCTCTGTTCCGACCACAGTGTGATTCACAAGTGCCTGCTTGTGCTGTGAGCTCTCCCATAGGGCAAGATCATCATAACACAATGTCACCCCAGGGAGTGCCCACATTTTAGCTTGCTTGTTGCTGGGGAAAAGACTTGCTGCTTTGTGTTTCATTTGATGAAGGTAATGCTTCCTTATCAGAAATTCATTCCATTCTAAGGTACTTTATGTTTTCCTGTTTCTCCAAAGTCTGTCATTTCCTACATGGTGTATATCTGTTTCCCTTTGTCATGGTTTAGAGGAAATACCACATTTCATGAAGATTTCATTTATGAGAAGGAAAAATAGCAGTTTTAATACTGTAAGTATTTTGTTGTTGTTGTTTTCTGAAGCAACGTAGTGAATCTCATGCATGATGGGCCAATGCTCCTCTCTCTGTGACTTCCTGGGGCATGTGCCCATGAACTGGGTGATGAGCCTCTTTGCAGACAGATATTGTTCTTTCATTTTGTTTTTATACAGTGGGGTGTATATCTTCAGCCACTCGTAGCTTAGTGCATTTTCAGTCTTGTTTTAGCCACTGGGCTAAACTGAAGCACAAAGGGCTCTTCATAATATCTTCCCATTATGGATTTGGGGCAGGGGGGCCTTACAAACACTTTTCTGTGGCTGTGTTTTGGATGGGCCCAGAAAAGCTCATTTCAGTGGTGTCCAGGGATACGTTGTTAGCAATCACTCAAGAAAGCCCACAGGGCAAAAGCTCTTGTAAAGCATTAGGATTTTACTTCTCTTAAATTCTTCAGGTAATATAAATGAGGAGAAAACTCTGGGAAGCCCCAAAGGAGGGCCTCTTGTGTTACTGTAATATACACAAATTTAATTTAACTGCACTTCAGAATTCATTTATTCATTCACTTAACAAAAATATATTAGGCACTTACTATGTGCCTGACACTAAGCAGGGTATGAACAACATTTAAAGTCAAAAAGGAATGGCCTTGGCCTTGGTCCTCAAGAAGTTTATAGCCCTGTGTCTTATCTGTTCACTACCATTTAAAGGCAACCCCAGAAGACAAATAACCTTCTTGGACTTATTTCTTAAGTTGTTCCACTTGTTTTATCACAGGCTATAAAAAGTGGTATTGTACATTGCAATTTTATCTTCTTTATTTTATTTAAACATTACAACTACTCTGTGAAGTCAATCCAGTTAGTATAACATCCTCCATTTTAAAAGTTAGGACTGAGATACTATGTAAGCCCAAAGATTTACCCTGCAGTCACAGTTGAGAGAAGTCAGGCCCTGAACCTCACTTGAGAAAAGCCTTTGCTTTCTCCACTTTACCACTGTCTTGTACCTGGCCTCTGTTACTATTTTCTCGATGTGTTAATCTTGTTCGTCACCTAGAAGACCTTAAGCTGCTAAAGGCTCAGTGTCATATATTCTTTGAACTACTCAAAACATTTAACACAATGTTGAGCATATTGTTAATCCATATGGATTGGGTGTATTGATTTAGCAAAATTTAAGTTAAACTTTGAGATATGATTGAGAGAACTGACAAGGTAGTTCAAGCTCACCTCTCCAGGACCTACATATTTGAAACAGCATTGGCATTGACTTCTTCCTTTCCAAATGACATTCTTCTGGATGGGTTTAATTTACTGTGGGTTAGGATAATTGGGAGAGGATGAGACCACTACCTGGGAGAGTTAATGGCTGAAGATATTACTCATATTCTTCATTGGAAGTTAATGCATGAGTAATTCTCGAGTGGCTTAACCAGGCCCTAGATTTCACTGGGGAGATTATGATTTTAATTTAACATATCCTGCCATACAGTGTGTGAAATATGCAGCCAGCAGCGATCGCTATGAGATGAAAGCCCAGTTGTGTTTATTTTAAGAGACTTGTGGTTCTTTGCCAAAGCCAACATTCCTGGGCAGTGAATAGACTGAGTGAATCATTCAAAGTAGGTGAGAGGTCACAAGCCTGAAAAAAAAAGAAGAAGAAAGCTGAAAGCTTTTCCTGTCAAATAGCAACCTTTGAAAAGGCATTTATAAAGCAAAATCTATTATGGAAATAGGTCTTTTCAAGATGAATCTTCTGCCTGTAAATCCTAAAGAATTCTTCTTTAGCTCCAGATAATTAGCCCTGTTGTTGTTCACCTTTCCTGGAAATCAGGGCAGAGAAATACTCTAGTTCCTATCTCTGGCTCTGGACAATATGCCCTCATTAGAGAATAGAACAGTATCCATGTTCTTTTTTTTTTTTTTTTTTTTTTGAGATGGAGTCTCGCTCTGTCGCCCAGGCTGGAGTGCAGTGGCACGATCTCGGCTCACTGCAAGCTCCGCCTCCCAGGTTCACGCCATTCTCCTGCCTCAGCCTCCCGAGTAGCTGGGACTACAGGAGCCCGCCACCACGCCCGGCTAATTTTTTTTTTTTTTTGTATTTTTAGTAGAGACGGGGTTTCACTGTGTTAGCCAGGATGGTCTTGATCTCCTGACCTCATGATCCGCCTGCCTCGGCCTCCCAAAGTGCTGAGATTACAGGCGTGAGCCACTGTGCCCGGCCAGTATTCATGTTCTTGAGGGCAGTATAGACACTTTATTTGTGAGAAGCAGGCTGGCATACTGCCCATGACTTTAATGAGTGTCAGACAAATCTTCATCACCAACACTGGATTCCTTATGTATCAAGCATTATGGAATATCAACAAGGGCCAGGCATGACATTAAAGGCTCAGGATATGACAACTATTTATTAAGCACCTACTGTGTAGCAGGCATCTATTTAATCCTCTCCCATCGAATAAGATGGGTATTCTAAATTTCCACTTAGCAGATGAGGAAACTGAAGTTTGTGGAAGTGAAGTCACGTAGTTGGTTAGTGATCAAGATAAGATTCAATACTGAGAAGGAAGAAAAGAACCCTTTCTACTACCACCAACAAAAATAGTGGAATAAAAAAGAGTATGCAGTTCATTCTCTGACTATATGAAATGCAACTTCTATCTTTATATGAACGACAAACAACGAACAAAGCAAATCCTGCCATTCACTATACCGTAGAACATCAGGATGGAAGATGCCTTCTGTGAGCCCAGCCTTAAGAGAAATCAAAAGGAAACAAATCACAAAAGATACACAAAGTTGGGCCTGTGAGTGAACAGGGCCGGAAACTTGAACTCCAGTGACATGACATGCATAGCAGAAATCCATCCCAGTTATCCCTTGAGATATTCCTTGAGATGAAATGCTGGAGCTTCCAGAGGCTCCATTGAAAATACAGGGCCTCTGGAAGGGGAACTCAATAGGCTGTATCAGATTTTCCCTAAATTGTTTCATTTGGTAATTAGTCATCATCTTATGGAGCAGGAAGAACCTGGCTGAGGGCCCAGTGGGATGAATCCCAGTGGGATAGACTGGCGCACCTCACTGAAACTGGGTATGATGGAAAGTTCTGGGGCAGGAACAATTTAGGGAAAGCAGTTCCAGGTGGAGGGCAGTCCTTGGGAAGCAGGAAGGCTCCTTCTCAGTGGTGGGGTACAAAGCTCTAGAAGGGAGTCTCAAGTAGAAAGATGGAAGTTAAATTCACCAGAGCTCATCTGTGGGGGCAACAGTGAGGGTGAGCAGTTGGGGAGCATCTTTTAAAGGTTCACATCTGGGCTGTCAATTGAGTTTTGGTGGTGATAGGGTGTGGATTGTGTGTTCACGCACATGCAGGTAAAATTTTCTTTTAATGAATATTTTGTCAGAGCCTTCACTTTCCCTTTTATTACCCTTCAGTGGATACGTTGGGGAACATATACTGGAAGAGGCTTTTGAGAGCTGTGCTTTGTGGGAATATTCTTGGCAAGCCCTGAGTGTAGACACGGCCTCAGCTGATGATTCTCCAGGGAAACCTGGGTGTTCCCTTCATTTTCAGGTGGGGGATTTGGAGACAACACAGACCTCTACATGAAGGACTGATGCATGTGTATGTTCAGGAGGGGGTTGGGGAAACATTTGGGGGTGATTTTCCTCTGGTCCCTTATGGCTTTGGTGGTACCTCCTGTCTTCCTTTGTTTCTCCCCATCTCCCTGACCACTGTCTCCCTAGCCCCCATGCCAGATTGATGGAGGTAGCATCTTTTGTGATTTATTTTCTTTTACCCTTTCCTAAAACCTAGCTGATTGAAGACACTGCCCCAGTCATTTCCAACATACTCTGCTGCCTCTTCAGCCTGTCATGGGCTCTCCTGATTCAGAGCAGAGGTGGATACTGGCAAGGGACAGGCAGCCCCTAGATGAAGGTTGAGCTGATGGTGGCTGCTTTTACATAGTTTGGAGAACAGGTGAGAGAGAGGAGGGCAGCAGTCTCTGGTACAGAGCCCTGGAGGGGACAAAGGAGCAGCAGCCACAGCACAGCCTGTGGGGAGGGAAAAGGAGAGGGGATTGTGAAGCTGAGCATCTAGCTTCTAGCCAACCTATGAACTACAGAGCTGGCTGTAATCAGCTCCATACACACTGCTTCTTCTTAGAGAACATACAAAGCAAAGCATGAATGTAAGTTGATCATATATATAATTATCAATTATGTATTTAGCATTTGTTTATGTATTTAATGAACACACATAGGATTGACTGTATCCTAGGCGTTATCCTAAGGGCTTTATAAATAATAACTCACCGAATTCATCACAACTATATGAAGTAGTACTAACATTATCTTCATTTTACAGATTAGTAAGTGGCAGAGCCAGATACAAACCCCCAAGAATAATGTACTTTGCTACATTACGTCTTTTGCTAGCATGTCAATGAGAAAATGAAGGAAGTGCCTAGCACTAAATATACCATGTAAAAATAATAATTGTCATTATTATTATTATTAGCTAGTGCTCCACTCCTATAATACTTGCAGATGGCTTAAGCACCTGTGAAGAAACAGTTTAGCACAGTTCCAGCTCTGGAAGCCTCGGTTCAGATATTGATTCTACTACTCATTAGCTGTGAGATATTAGACAAGTTACTTAATCTCTCTATGCCTCAGTTTCTTAATATGTAACATGGAAATGATAATAGTCTTTGCCTTGTCGGTTTGTTGTGCATATTAAATAAGGTAATGTTTGTACAGCACTTAGAAAAATGCCTGATACACAGTAAGTGCTCAGTAAATACTTGTTCATGTTACTACTGTTTCAACTGAATTAAATTAATTTTCATTTTTCAGAGCTTCTTTTCATTTAGTCAGTCACTTATTTCCAGAGATTTCCTGGTGATGTTGCCTCACATTTATTTGTGGAAATGCCAGTATGTTTTAAGCTTGCAGGTGAGTTACTCCATTTAATTTTGAAGTTGCTGGGGCAGGTATTGTCCCCTTGTAAAGAATGTGGAAACTGAGGCCAGAGAGATGAAATGACTAGATCAAGCCTATATAGCCAGTCATGGTAGGTTTTTGACTAATATTCCAGAGCTCTTTCCAACATATGCACACCCATACCTATCCCCCTACCCACACACAGACACACCCTTGGTCTCCCTAATCTGGTGTCGCCTGACCTAAATTCTTAAATCTCTTGCTGTCCACATTAGTAGAGACCTATTTTCTCCATGTGCTTCTTTGGAAGATGATGAAGAAGTAACCCTCTATAGACTCTGCTCCCTCCTTCTCCCCTTTTCCCTCCATTTCACATTTACAGCTTTAGGGACTCACTAAAGCCTGCTTTCAGGGCTAAGAGCCAGACCATTTCCTATGTGGGATTTTCAGGGAATGATAAAGGTAACAGGACTAGAGACTGCTTTATCATGAATGTTGTTTTTTATGTCAATGCTGAGCCCAAATCATGGACCTCACATTTAATTTTTTAGGCAGTAAGTTTGGACTAAATCCAGAGCTTGGCCTTTTACTTTCAGCACTAAGTAGAAGAGATATGAGGGCTGATGGATTGGAGAGGCCTAGTTGGAGAGTGACTGGAGGGGCTGGACTTGGCCTTGTGCTGCACGGAGATCTGCCTTGAGATCCAACCAAGGACTCTGGGAGGAAAGAGAGGTTTGGGTTTTGGGGATATGCCTGTTGCTTCTAGGAGGGCAACTGGGGTTCCCTTGCATATGGTTCCAGATCAAGTTTCATCTCTTTGGCCACAGGACATTTTCTTAAGCTCCATGGCTGGGTAGTTGCTGCCTGGAGAGGAGGTGTTTGCTATAAGGGCCTCAGCACATGGAAAGTCTGCTGCATTGGTGTCACCCTGTGCTCTCCAACTAGCCCTTGGCCCCTTATGCTGCCCCCATCCCCTGCTTTCTGACCAGAGTCCTCCTCAAAATACAAATCTTCTTATATCCTCACTTGATATAAGAATAACTACTGTTGAATAACTACTGTTATTGAATAACAACAGTATAACTTGAATAACTACTGTTCTCTGGATCTAGCTTTGTGTTTTCTAACCTGGTAAGCAAATTCTCACAGGGCTTTGTGGTCGTCAATGATCATGGATTTTAATGTCACCTTCCTCATGTTAGTCAGAGTTTTCTGGAAGCAAAACCTTACCTGAAAAATTGAAGCTAATGATGGAATTTCAGGCACTGGTATAGACCCCAATGCCTTTCAAATGATTCTACCCAGAATGCTTACTCTTCTGCCCACCCATAGAACCAACTCTGAATTCCTATGTAATCAAAGACATAAGCTTTTTTGATGAAAACCCTAGAAAGGTAGTACAATGTGGTGGTTGGATGTTCTCACTCATAAGTGGGAGTTGAACAATGAGAACACATGGACACAGGGAGGGGAACTTCACACACTGGGGCCTGTCGGAGGGTGGGGGCTAAGGGGAGGGAGAGCATTAGGACAAATACCTAATGCATGCGGGGCTTAAAACCTAGATGACGGGTTGATAGGTGCAGCAAACCACCATGGCACATGTATACCTATGTAACAAACCTGCACGTTCTGCACATGTATCCCAGAACTTAAAGTAAAAAAAAAAAAAAAAAAAAAAACCAAAAACCAAAACAAAACCAAAAAACACAGGTACTCACTAGGAAAAAAAAAGATTAATTATTCTTATGTAAGCTGTCTTTACGTAATAAAGCTAAATAAGTGAAGTGAATCCAGGTACTACTTAAATTTTAAGGAAACACTTTCAGAAAAAAAAATGTGGTGGTTAAGATTAAGGATCAGGGAAGTGAAATGCATCCCACCTTCATTTACGTTTTTCAACCCATTCTGTCTAGTGTGCGCCACTCCATTCTCCCTGGTCTCCCTGATTATACATTGTTTCTTTCCAGTTTCTTCAGGCTTGACCCCATGGTCAGTGACGGGGACTTGGCACAGGTAGGGAACAATCTCTCTGTGTAGCTTACTAGCAGGCTTCATTGCCTGTGAAGGTGCTCAGTCATAGCCCATGCAGCAACTCTGCATGGTTAGTCTGCTGCTGAAAGGATGCCTGCTTCTGCATCACGATAGAATTTAGTTGTGGTTAAAGATCCCCCCAGTCTTGAGATTCTGTGAACCTTCCTGCCTCCCACCTCTCACCTTCACCAATGACTGGCCCTCCTGAGTGAGGCTGACAATGGAATGTGAGAGGCAGATGCTGAAGTTCCCTCACCCTTCTCTTAAGCACTGTCTGTGGAGATGAGAGGAAGTTCATGATGGAAAGTCACCTCAGCAGTGAGTGGTTTGGGAGTAGTAAGTAGTATTCGTTTCAAATGCCAAACTTAATTTGAAAAGGTAGCCTCATAATGAATGTCACTGTGCATGGGAGTGTTCTCAGGGATGACTCCATTTTTCTGGGATGACAGGTGGGAAGAGCCACCCAGGACTTAACAATGACGCTTCTGTGTGACAGACTGGACAGAAATCAAGCATTCTCCTGAGGCCATGACTTTTATGTTTGTCTCATGAAGTCTGAGAGAGGCAGTAGATTGGAAGAGGGGGAGTTACATGCCACAAGCAACAGGGGGCAATCTGTTCAGCGATCAGGGAGAATGGAGTGGCAATAAATCCTTGCCTGAATGCTGCGGACAGGAAAACCATGCCCCAGATGGCAGCATAAACATTCCATTATGCATCAGATGCTTGGCAGAGGACATTTGGGTCCTTGCTTTCTTCCCCAGGCATCAGAACCTTCCCTCTGAGGGCCCACAGACAGAAGATAAGGCCAGATGCCAGGCCCCAAAGGACAGGCAATGAAGCATAGTAAAAAATGGGGGCACTAGGTGAGGATTTTAGGTCTAGTCCACTGTTTACCAACTGTGTGACCTTGGGCTGGTCTTTCAATCTCTCTGAGCCTTTCTGTCTTCATCTGAAAGATTATGATATGATTTCTACTTTGTAGGGATACAGTGATGGCTAGATGAGCATCATAGGTTGTGTTCTGCAGAAGTAGAGCTTGCAGTAATAATTCTGTGCCAATGATTTATTAAGAACGTGCCCCCAGGGGAGATCAGTAAGGCAGTGGGGGAAGTAAGACAGGGGTGAGAAAGAAGCTAAGCAAGTCTCAGCTTCAGCTTGATCCTGCAGGAGAGCTCAACAGGGTACATTATACACTCAATTAACTCAACTTGGAGGGTGTTGGCTTTCCTATTCCAGTCAGTTACCAGCCAAAAGCCTGAAGGTAAGGGGTGGTGGTGAATGTAAACTCCCAGGCATTTCCAGTTCTCCGTATCTGAGGGATGGCTCCAGGTTTGGTGTGGGCTGTTAGAAGCCAAAGGACGCTGAAGCTGGGAGAGGAGTTCATAGAAAAAAAATATAAGGAATAAAAGGATCTGGACCAGAAACTAAAAATTACAGTGTCTAAGGGAAAAGCCATTTCTTTCTTCCACTAAGCACACTGTACTCTGTCCTGGAATGAGACAGAGAATAGACATACTGAATGGTCCATATTAATCCCTTTCAGAATCGCCTTCACTGTGTGGTGCTTCATACTATGAAAGACCAGCAAGGAAAGACATCTAGAAACACATCGTATTAAGAAACATTAGGTTTGTTGAGCTAGTTGCCACAAAAGAGAGAATACAGAGGAATCCTAAGGCCCTTGGAAAGAGGGAGCAGGCAGGGGCCCCTCATTGGGATTAGGCTTACTCCAAAAGATTCTCAGGAGGAATTAGGAAGCAGGGACCAATTATGGATTGGACGCTCTCAAGAAGCAGGGGCAATTTTGTGTTTGGGCATCTCAATAGTTTTTATACAGAACAAATAAGGCTGGAGCTGTCACAGGTAAGGGAACAGCAGTCACTCATGTTATTCAGAGAAGGAGAACGTTTAGTTATTTTTGTGATTACTGGGTGGCTTTATCTTTATCTTGTTCCAAATATGATCATGGAATGGTCTTGTCCCAGCACTGTTTATGTTAGTTGAGAACATCATGGTCTGGCTGCCAGCAGGACCATTTCTCACTCTCTCTGGTTGTCGGCAGGGATGTATTTTATTTCCTTCCTCAATGGCATATACTTTTTTCTCATCAAAGTTAAAAGAAACAGCCCTGCTAGTTCTACAGCAGCAGTACAAATTCTAAGGAGCATGCTAGCCCTTGTGCCACCTGGAATATGGCACAAAATATCCCATAGGAATTTCATTCAAAATTTAATACCAAGAAAAAATATCTACTTAAGGAATGATAGTCTTTCTTCTTCATGATAGCAAGGTCTAGGCAACACATCCTACTTTTTTCTTCTTCGTCTGCCTTTTAGGATGCCCAGAGCCATATTTGAAGCTCCTTTGACCTTTTTGGTTTGCACATATGCAGTCAATTTTCTCCCTGATATTAATTTTCTATTTCTATTTGGCTATTTTTTTGTTGTTGGCTTCTTCAGATCAAATTGGTGAAGGAATGAATAAATTCTGCATTAAGCCATGTTGCACAGCTTGAAGCGAACACAAAATTAGATCGTGCATTAGTTCCCAGTTATTTTATGAATGTAACGTGCCTCTCGTAATTTAAGAGGAGAGCATCTATCTTTTCTTTCTTCAATTTCCTTCCTTCCCATAACATAGCACAAAGAAATGTTAAATAGATATTATTTGGAAACTTTGTTTTTGATGGAAGATAGTTTGGGGATTCTTGCAGGCAGACAGTAGAGGTCACCATGGAGCTGTGCATGATGGAGCGGCCTCTCATGGACCTGGTAATTTAGCTGGATCGGTCTGAAATTGCATGAGGTTTAATCATTCAATTCAGATGAGTATACTTTTTGCTCTGGTCATTCAACAGACAGCACTTTGTGATGGTTGCCTTCATGTCACTTTGCTAATACAGTTGTTTGGAGGAGAGAAAGCAGCTTTTATATATTGTTTATTGAAAAAAAAAAATCCATCTTAAGCACTAAGGAACTCTGGGAAAAATGGTTACAAAATGTGTTTACTTAAATATTGTGAAACGAGGATGGAAATTCGCAGTGCAGGGTATTTGTCATCTGCTCATGACTAGCAGATGGCCGCCTCCTCCTCATCCTCCTTTGCGAGCCGAGTGACTCACATCTTACAGGGTGTGCAAAATGAAATTTCGAAACTCTCCAGAGTAGAGGTGGCAGTGCCATAACTCCATGCAGGAGGAGTGTGCCAGCCAGATTACTTTGCCAGCCAGCATGCTGCCAAAACTTCACAAAATGTCTCTCATTGGAAAAAAAAAAATGCGTTTGGATGTCTCTCCACACATGTTCAATCCACCATCTCTGAAAGGATACAGGGTATATTTCAGGCTGTGGGGAAGCCTGTGTGGGTGAAAGGGAGCAGGTGGTCTGCCGGCCCGGAGCTGGGTAGTAATCATTTCTACCAAGGTGAATCACAGAAGATGGGCTCACCTGTTTTGGCTTGTCAGCCCCAGAATGTTTGCAGGTCTGCCTCCAGCCATCAACAGAGCTGTCATATGCTCTAATAAATAAGAGATTAAATACAGTTTAAAGAGATACAAGTCATTTACGTTCAAAGTTTTTCTTTTTCTCTTTTGTTTAATTAAAAGAAACTCCAGATCTGCTACACCAAAAAATAAAGGCTGTATTACAGGCAATTGTACTTGTTTTAAAAATAGAGCCCTGCCAGTCAGGTGGACTAACAGATAACTTGATTTTTAGCTGCAGATTCTACTTTCCTTCATCTGATAGCTAGTCACCGAAGATTTCTCCCTCATCTCCACCCCCCACCAATGAACTGCACCTCCCAATATTTACCCCTTTGTGTAGTATCCTCCTTTTGAAGTCAAAAGAAGTCTTTGAGCTTTCACCTGGGTCTCTTGGAACACGTGCTCTGGAGGAAACCCACTGCCATGTAGGAAGTCTGACTACCCTGAGACCTCTATGTTTTGAGGGAGCCACATGTCACATGAAGAGACTGCATGGAGAGAGAAATTCCTGGCAAGCCCCTAGGTGTTTCAGGCTGTTGAACAAGATGTGACTAAAGAAGCCATCTTCAACATCCAGCCTAGTTGAGTCTTCTGATGACTCCAGCCGCCATCTACTGCAACCACCTGAGAGAACCCAAGAACTACCTAGCTGAGCCCAGTCAACCCATACAACCATGACAGATAATAATACAGACGGTCCCTGACTTATGGTGGTTTGACTCATGATTTTTCAACTTTAAGATGGGACACAATCATTCACATTCAGTATGCTCTTTGACTTATCTTGGGGCTAAGTCTGAATAAACCCATCATAAGTTTAAAATATTACAAGTCAAAAGTACATTTTCAACTTATAATGGGTTTATCCAGATGTAGCCCCATGGTAAGTCAAGAAGCATCTGTAAATTATTTTAAGCCACTATGACGTTTTCCCCAAAACATAGATAACCTAAACACTGTGACACTTTACACACACACACACACACACACACACACACACACACGAGAGAGAGAGAGACAGTGAGAGAGAGATCAAGTGGCTAAACAGTAACTGATTAGCAGATTATGTTAAAACTTAGTAGTTGGAAGCACTTTTGTTGTGGCTTGAACCTCAAATATTTTCTAGGAGACCTTAGACTCTAGTGGTATGATGAACAGAAACTCGTGAGTATATATAACACAGTGAATTTAAAAAATGCTCTTTGGTGCTGCATGAGATGGGGGCATACTCTATGAAGCTAAGGAGTAGCAGAGAACCTGGAAGTAATTAAATACAGCAGTACACTTGTCAGCCGTGGGGCCTCCATTCTTTGTTTATGTTGAGTACCTAGCCATCTGAAACATGTAGGTAACTGGAAGATGAAAAAAAAAGGTCCTGACAAGTTATTTAGAGTAATGAAGAGAGAATGTTATCAAAAAAGATTAAAGGTTCTGTATTAGGAGAGCCTAGCTGAACAATGGTTAAGGAATGGCAGCATGCAAGAATGTTAGTGCCAAAGAGAAAGACACATATTAGTCATTTGTAGGATCGGGTTACAGCCAATGAGAGAGGGAGAAGAAGGGGCACAGAGAGCAAGGGAGTCAAGAGGAACAGACCTAGGATGTATAAATGGTAGCATTTTTAGGTTAAAATCTTTCCAGTCAACCACAACCGTTACATTGAAACAAGCAAAGTTTGGTGTAGCAGAAAGGGTACCAAAACACAAATTGGAAGGTCTTTGTTCAGCTACTAACAGGTAGTATAAACCTGGCAAGTCACTTATCCTCTCCAGGTCTCAAGAAGACATATCATAAATTATAAAGGATTTTACAAAGGCAAAATATTATTGTGAATTATAAGAAAATTAGGAGTTGTACTTTATGAAATCTAAACTTCCTTTCAGCTGTAAAATCTTGTGATCCTAAACTATGAAAACAGAAGACAGTTTTAAATTTTAAAAATTAGATAACTAGGCTTGTAAACTGAAGTATGTATAAAATCTGTTATTGAAATTAGGTAATACATATAGAAAAAAATTTAGGAAAGGGCAAGGATCTTTATTTTATTTCCTGATATATCCCAAGCATTTTGAACAATGCCAACACGTGGCAGGCACTAATAAAAATACTTGTAGACTACATTAATAAGCAATTCCTGAAAAACCTAGGGAAAAAGTGACCTAAAAAGTAGTCATATCCACTATGTCTGTCCTTATCTTTTGTTTTTACAAGTTTTTCTCAGTTCTATTGCTTTGGCAGACACTGATAGCCAAATTTCTAAACAATACTTAGTCTTGCTTCTCTTTCTCATTTTAAAAGATAAATAAGGAAGCATATATTTTTCCCGATTAATGTTAATTCCTTAACTTATGATTTTTTATTTAAACGTTTTTAAAGAAAAAATTCAAACACATAAAGTAAATAGAATATCCCTTACCCAGATTCCGTAATTATCCACATTCTACAACTTTAGTTTCATTTATACTTCCACTACTTCTTACTCCCACTGGACTATATGTGATTGTGTTTTAAAGTAGATTTCCCCCCATCTAATAAAACAGAAGCTATTAACTGTTTAGTATTCTGCTTATCTTATCCTAGTGTACTCATTCGTGGTGTTTCAATTTCCCAATTTTTCAGTACATTACAAAGTTGCAAAGAACATCCCCAGGGTGCTATTTTTTCTGACTCTGGATTAAGTAACATTGCAATAATTTTAGAAAGGCTCTCTCTTAATGATTCCTTTGTATCTAGGGTTTCATAGCTCTTCTCTTTAGAAAGGGATTCACATCAGTCAGGGTTCTTGGTTGCAAACATCAGAACTTACTATGGTTGGTTAGGCAGAAAATATGTCTAACATATATTATTAGATGTCTCAATAGAACCTCTTGGAGGAACAGACCAGCCTCAAAGATATATGGGAAGGCACAACACCAAAATGATGCTGCAGGATGGGTCCAGAAAGGATGCCACCATTGTGACCACTGGGCACAGACACCACAAATTGTCCCATTGATCCTGGACATGGATGCTGAACTGCTGCCATCACTGCCCCTGAAAGTCATTGCTTCTGCCATCATTTTCTTTAGAGACTGGTGAGACTCCACAGAGTTTAGAGACTCCACAGTGTCTGTTTCCTCATATTTGTCTCTTTTAAACTCATGTGAGTGCACCTCATTGGCTGAGTCTAATACAAATATTTACACCTTAGCTTCAAGAAAGGCTGGGAAAGTGAGTTTGGGACTCCTGTGTTGGGAAAGCAAAGCTCATAAGGTGAGCCATTCCTCAAACTCAGGTGTTCCAAAGGTCTGGATGGCTGCAAATTATGACATGTGTTTATTAACATATCTTTAAATCTAAAATGATCTTTGAAGGAATTCTTAGACTGTATGAAAGGGAAAACACAGCTGACATTTTTACCTCCATACTATGAACAATTTGTTCATTTCTTCTAAGGTTAAAAAAATTGCAATTCTTTTTTTTTTTTTTAAGATGGAGTTTCACTCTCGTCGCCCAGGCTGGAGTACAATGGCGCGATCTTGGCTCACTGCAACCTCCACCTCCCCAGTTCAAGTGATTCTCCTACCTCAGCCTCCCAAGTAGCTGGGATTACAGGTGCACGCCACCCCACCCAGCTAATTTTTGTATTTTTAGTAGAGACCAGGTTTCACCATGTTGGCCAAGATGTTCTCGATCTCCTGACCTTGTGATCTGCCCGCCTCAGCCTCCCAAAGTGCTGGAATTACAGGCATGAGCCACCATGCTTGGCCAAAAATTGCAATTCTTTTAGTTTTTTTGTTGTTCACCTATACTATTTTACCTTGCTTTAATATCTTTTATCTTCTAGATCCTCTCTAAAACCTTCAAACCTCTCAATCATCTTAGAAGTCTTCCCCATGTAATAGCATTCCCTCTTCTTCTCAGCCTCCCCTGGTCTACCACCTTGTAGTTTTTCCTTTTCTTTTTTCTTTTTTGTATTTTACTTTAAGTTCTGGGATACATGTGCAGAACATGCAGGTTTGTTACATAGGTATGCATGTGCCATGGTGGTTTGCTGCGCCTATCAACCCGTCATCTAGGTTTTAAGCCCCGCATGCATTAGATATTTGTCCTAATGCTCTCCCTCCCCTTGCCCTGCCCCCCCAGCCCCCGACAGGCCCCAGCATGTGATGTTCCCCTACCTGTGTCCATGTGTTCTCATTGTTCAACTCCCACTTATGAGTGAGAACATGCATACTACCTTAAAGTTTTTCTAAAACAGTTTTATTCTAAGCCATTCTTTGATGCAATATTTTCTTTGCTGTACAATTTTCTCTCATTTAAAGTATATTTTTCTAAGGCATATATGCTTCCCTTGATAAAGAAGGATGCATCTCAGATGCTACAAAAAGATGATGTTAACTGATATATGCTAACTCACTCTACAGTAGTTTTACAATTGTGGGCATGTTGAGATATTTTTACTAAGTTAGCATAGTGAACCATCTACTTTCTATTAAAAAAGAAGGAAAAAAAACAGACTAAGGAGATAAGACATTCGCTCTTGTAGACTTATGAAAATATTGCAGAACATTTGTAATTTATATCAAACCTCTTTAGTTTGCCCTACACTATGCCTTATGTCCCTTTATGCTGCTTACTGAATGAATACGCTCACTCTTTCAAATGAAATTTGGATAATAATTTTAATTTCAAATGATAGACAAAGATCACTTTACCATATGTGAAAAAATATCGAAATGTGTTTATTACACATTATCAGGAGCAATAAAATAAATATACCAAAAGGTCACTCTGGAAAATGATTTTGTGAATAAAATAACATGGCAGGCTTCCCCTGAGAGATATAAAGCATGAAACCACCATGAAAAGATTTATCTCTCAGTTGATTTTCTTCTCTGTATCACTAAAATACCAAACTCAGCTACTTACATAATAATCAGTGTAACAGTCATTTTTAAATGTTTGAATTATCCTCTACTTCCCTTAAGAAATATAATTTAATAGGCAATTCAGTGAAAATATACTATTGAAATGTTTGGACTAAAATCAGCCATGAGCTAAAGTCTGTTTTATACTGTTCAGATTTTTTGGGGGGAGGGGGTGGGGTCTTTGTTTTTCATCAGTGAATGCAAATGAAACATTTAGGAGACAGAGGTCAAACGGAATGTCAATGTGAAATATGAATAAGACCAATTTATTCTGACTAGTAAGCTTTTGAACTTTACTAAAACAGTTTCGTGATAGTAAAGGATTTGAATATTTCACATTTTTTATTGCTAGTTTGAGAAAAATTATTAAAATATAATTCCTTTCCATCAAAATGTTACACTGAAAAGGCTTATTCTGAAACAAACAAAAAATGAGATTTACAATCTCCAATAGACAGCGAGGGAGGTAAAAGAAAAAAAAAAAGCAAGAAGAATTTAAAATAAAGATACAGTTTGTATTAGTTTTGTATTGTTGTGGAACAAATTGCCACAAATTTAGCAGCTTAAAACAATACTTATTTATTATATTACAGCTTCCATAAGTCAGGATTCCAGTCACAGCTTAGCTGGATCCTCTCAGAAGGCTACGATCAAGGTGTCAGCCAGACTGAGTTCTCATCAGAGGCTCGACTAGGAGAGGATCTGCTTCCAAGTTCCCTCAGGTTGTTGGAAGGATTCATTTTCTTGTGGCTAAGCTCACAGGAGCTTTCTTCTTCAAGGGCATCAGGAGAGTGGAGAGCGAGTCTACTCAAAGACTTCTATACAAATCATAAGGTAATCACATGAGGGACATACCATCATCTTTGCCATATTCTGTTGGTTACAAACAAGTCACCAGTTCCACCTGCACTCAAGGGGAGGAGATTATACAGGGTGAACATGGGGGCCATCCTAGAATTCTGCCCACTTTACAGTTGAAACAGTATTTTTTAAAATGCCAATGAAATCCAAGATAGACAGTTTATCTTGGATAAACTTTTAGCACCTTTTGATTAACATACCTGTTGGACTTTACAACTGTAAGATTAGTAAGCACAAGATTCCCCAGTATTTCAAGGATTTAAAGGGAACATGGTAAAAAGGTACTCTTTGCTATGCAAAATCTAGCCATCTAGCATTGCTGTGGCCCTGGCCAGTTTGCAGCTCTGGCCAAAAGAGGGCTGCTGAGTCCAGCCCTGTCCACAGTGTATACGGGCACACCTGACTACATCATGCACAGCAATCCTGTTTGTGGCACCACTGATGAATTACCCCTATTCAAGTGAACAGGCATTGAGACCCTAAGGGGACCACAGGGTCTGGTTCATTCACCACAAACACAGTCTTCCTTGAATGTTAGCAATGAGTTTAGTCATCTCATTAGGAGACTTGAACAGAAGTGAAGGTAAACACTATTCATGTCAGAAAAAAATATAACGTGGTAGGTAGTAAGATATGTAAACAAAGGACTACAGTTCTCTGCCTTTTGAAAGCATACCTGTGCTACTTGTCTGAAGTAAAAAAAAAAAACAACTGTGCATTATTCTGTATGAAGCATCTTTTGCATGTGTTCATGTGTATAAACAGGATTATGGGTTATGATGTAGGAATTGAGGATAAACTACATTTTATATTTTTTCATATTGTGGAAAGAAGAAATAAACTATACTCCTGTGTTAGCTGGATTCTCTGAGAAGCAGATGCTGAAATTGAATTAGAAGGGCAAAAGGTATATTGGGAAGTAACACCTGAGAGGATGCAGGATTTGGCAAAGAATGTTGTGTCTGCACAACTCTACGTGACCCACAAAAGTCATACATCTGGCCTTTAATTTTTTAAAAGAATCAAGAAGCTCTATGGTTTTATAGTATCTGGCTCTTGTTTATAATGATTAGAACTATCTCACAGAACCTCAGGGACTTAGGCAAATTCTCAGAGGTTGTCTATGCCAACCCTTCATTGTTAGACAGGGATGCATCAAATCACCCTGAGTGTGGGGAACATTTCCACCTTTGCGATGGCCCAGGTAACTGGTTTTACAAAATCCTTTGTTCAGCTGTTTCACTAAGAGGTTGTAGACATTGGAGTCTTCCTAACTAAATCACGTCTACTCCAGATTAAGAGTAGGATAGTATTCTCTGGTGGCTACTTTCTTTTTGCCAGTCCCTCACATGTTGGGGTTCACTAATATCTTCTTCTCTTCTTTCTTATGAGTCTTCCCAAGAACTCATTCAGCCCATAATGTCAATAGTGCCAAGGTTGAGAAATCCTGCTGTATAGAGACAACTCCCATTTCACATCCTCTGCCCAGGTTTCACTCCCAGGCTCCACATGCCAAGATGAGGAATATTTAATCTATATTCTAAATAGAGTAAAAAGCAAGGTCATCAGATGAAAAGGTGTTGGGAGCAAGACTGGCTTATTCCATTAAGCATAGTAGTCTAAGTGCCTGCTTGGGACCCACAATATTTTCAAGGGCCCATGAAAAATGTTTTAATTTTAATTTCTTTTGAAATCAGGAGGAAAAAATGAATATTGTAACAATGAATACATAATAATAAATCACACTTGGATTGTGTTTGTCTTTATAACAACTTGATGATGAAACATAATTTTTAGTATTTTTTAATAGAGGAAGGGACCCATGAAGGCAGAAGTATCCAGGGCCCACAAAAATCATAATGCAGCCCTTTTAAGGAGGAAGAGGAGGAACAGGAAATTTGGAGTGGATAAAGTGTGAAATATCCTTGTGGGCAGTGGGAAAGTAGTTTGAGGAGAGAAATGTAAGATTTTCTGTAAGACTGCCAGGTAGTATCAAATGCCCATTTGGGGTTGATATGCATCAACTTATAAGCATACCAATTTGTCTGGTAGTGTAGTTCCCTAGCAAAGTTTAGCTGCATGGGTATGGCACAAAGTGGGCAAATGTTTGAAAATTTCCAGTGCTTACCATTTGGAGTAAGGGAGAGAGAAGCAAAGGAGATAACAGAATTTCCAAGAGAATGTATATGAATTTATATAGTAATGAACGGAGGGAGCTAAGCTGGACAAGAAGTGAAGTCAGAATCAATTGGATCAAAGTGGAAAAGTCAATAATCAATCAGGTTGAAAAATGGTAATCTATGTGTGAGATTTGGGGAAGGTAGCATGTGCTCAAATATGCATTCATCAAGAGCTAGAAAATGTGATAATATAGATGAGTTACTTTGGGAAGACCTTGTCGATTTGTCAGATTTCTTGTTAAAATACGTATTCTTGAAAAGGGAAAAAAAACTATGTTCTTTTCAGTTAGCACCTTAGCTTATAGCTAGCTGTAACTGAAATCTAATAAGCAGTAGGACCCTGAACATGAGCCTAGGAAGCAGGCCAATTCAAACAAAGATCCATTTGCCAAAAAATCTACTCAACTTGGAGAATGGCCAGCATGATAAATTGCCAATTGTAGTATTACTTAGTCACCAAACATTGTTTCTGTTTACCAGTATAAAATCTGTAGCAATTTATGTTGAATGAGACAGTTCACCAGCCACTGAAGCTTTTCAAATGTTTTATTTTAGTTAGTATAGATCAGCTTAGGTTTCATTTTTAATTTACTGCAGCCATTTTACCATAGCCCTTTTGCAATAGATTTGTCAGTTCAACTCAATTGAACCTTATTTTCTGTGTGATTCACATTTTAGACATCAAGTACTCTTCAACTGCCTATTGGGAGACAATTTCCACAGCTCTCTCATGTTTCTGCACAACTTGTAAGCAAGACAAGACTCTCTTATCTTCTGGACTCTATTTTCAAGAATACTCATATAGTGAACAGTGTCTTCTTCCTGAGCGAAGGGCATAAATGCTACTTTCCATTTTAAAAGATTCAAGTTCCCTAAGCTCGGAATTCTTCTGTAATGCAACCCATTGTGTGTGCAGGTATCACCTGGCATTCTTCCCATTACCCTGTGGGAATTGGAGCTCAGGGAACCTTCATAGAAATTCTGATAGTCTAGCTACTGCTATTTCTATGAGTAATAAATTGTTTCTGACCTAGAAGTCTTGTGTCTTCTGCTGGCACCCATGAAATTATGAGGCTAAATTGTTAGATTACAAGTGAGGTAAAATCTTGGACGCTTCCCAGTTCTTGACACTGACTAAAATACATGCATATTCGTTTTATCAAGTCAGTTTGAAAAAAAATCTATGAATTAAAATAATTACAAAATTCTAAGGACTGAATTTGTAATATATTGGATGAACAAAACCCTCTACCTTGGTTCTGAAATTCTTGATAGTTGAGATATGTGTAACATTTGTAATTTGAAATACACAAGTAATTCTCTATTTAAAAGGTCATATATCCAAAGTATTGAAAAATCTAGAATACATTAAACTTTAGCTATCCATGGTGAAAGGCAGTGGCAAAACAGCTGCAGAAAAGCTGAAACTAGATTCAATTAAATCTTTGTGCCAAAACCAAGTGCACAAAAATCTCCCAAAGCTGTTAAAACTATACAGCTTATTTGCTATAAATTTTATAAATGGTTAAATAAAACAAGTTTTGAAGTAATTTGGTAAATTGACAAATTTTTCACTCATTGATTTGTTGTAGCTAATGAGGGATGGTGGGGAGTGGAGAAGGGTTCAGAGAACTTGGGAAGGATATAAAAATGGAGGTATGTGGGGCAAATGCCCCCAACTACATGTTTTAATCAAGAACACCAGCCTATGATCAAGGGAATTTTCATATACAGATGAGAGCTAGTCTCACTTGATCTTTCTGCATTAAAACTGTTACAAAGCAACTTCTTTATCAAATGAATACAATCACATTTAGTAGAGGCTCTAGTTAAGACCTGAGGCTATACTGACCTGGGTTAGAGACCTGGCTTTTACATTTTTACCTAATCTCTCTAAGCCTTAATTTCTCAGTTTTAAAAGTGCAGGTAATCATAGCATGTGTTTCCCAAGGATGTTGTAAAGATTAGTGTCAGGATGGCTGAGTGGTGTAAGGCACCAGACCCAAGGATGTTGTAAGGATTAATTGAAATATCCACTTGAATTGCTTAGCATGATACCTGCTATGTAGAAAGTGCTTGATAGCCTTAACAATATATATCATTAAGAAATTTCCTTGGAATGGGAATTTCAAACCACTTTATCAAATATACTTACTTCCTCACTTACTTTTGTGGTTTGGTAGCTTTTTCTTTACACATTTAGGAGGTGGGGAAGCACAGAGATATAGCACTTTCTTTTTTTTTTCTTTGAGACAGAGTCTCGCCCTGTCACCCAGGCTGGAGTGCAGTGGCGCCATCTTGGCTCACTGCAACCTCCGCCTCCCAGGTTCAAGCTATTCTCCTGCTTCAGCTTCCTGAGTAGCTGGGACTACAGGTGCACGCCACCAAGCCCGGCTAATTTTTGTATTTTTAGTAGAGAAGGGGTTTCACCATGTTGGCCAGGATGGTCTCGATCTCCTGACCTCGTGATCCACCCGCCTTGGCCTCCCAAAGTGCTAGGATAACCGGTGTAAGCCACCGCACCTGGCCAGATATAGCACTTTCTAAAAGGTCTATAAATCTTTCTAAAGATTAATATTGAGTGGGATCAATGTGTTTTAGGGAATCCAGATACTGCACACCACTTTGCAAATGTTTAGATTTTAGCAGAACAACAAATGGACTTTGCAAAGACTGTCTTTTAATTATTAAACCTCTATTTATTAAAAAGAAATTAGGCCAGGCACAGTGGCTCACGCCTGTAATCCCAGAACTTTGGGAGGCCGAGGTGGGTGGATCACCTGAGGTCAGGAGTTCAAGACCAGCCTGGCCAACATGGTGAGACCACATCTCTACTACAAATACAAAAATTAGTCGGGCATGGTGGCAGGCACCTGCAATCTCAGCTACTTGGGAGGCTGAATGAATTTACAGGTAGGAAGGCACACATTATATAAGTTAAAATTCAGTTCAACTATGAGTGACAGAAAACCCTAATGAGTGGTAGCTTAAACATACAATGTTTACTCCCTCAAACAAAATGTCTGCCTGATATGTAGCTGATGTGAGGCTCCATGGTGTCAGGGTCCCAGGTTTCTTTTATCTATGGCTTTGCCATCTTTATCACATGAACCATAATGACTGCTTGAGTTTCTTATGGTCTAAAATGGTTTCTTGAGTTTCCTATCCCCATCCAGTCAGGAAGAAAAAAAAAAAAAAAAAAAAGGAATGACTGATGAAGCGCTTGCTTTTATTTTAAGAACACTTCCTGCAAGTTGCACATACCAATTCTGTTTGCATTCTTTTGGCCACAACTTACCTACTTGGCCATGCCTAGCTTCAAGAGAAGAGAAATGTAGTCATTATTTTGAGTAGTTATATGTCCAGATGGAAATCAGGGGAGCTATCACACACACACACACACACACACACACACACACACACACACACACACACACAAAGCACAAAACAGATACTGGGGACAACTCATCTTCTTTGCCTCATACACTGAAATTAAGCCAGATTGGTCTTGTTTTTGAAAGAAAGTAACACTGTTAGTAAGAGAGACTTTGGTATTGTCTAATCAAACTTCTCTCTTTTTGTGGATGAGACTCATGTTGTCTGAGTTCAAGTTCAGATATCATCCATTCCTTGAGCTTGTATGTGTGATACTACACACTACAACCTAGCACAGAGAGGATGAGAAGACAAGAAATGAGAACTTAGGTGTTACTTAGTATTTATTTATAATAGTAGTTTTAAAAATGCTGTCTTGACACAGTTTTGAGGCCCTGGAAATAACATTTTAAAGTAAAAACGTTAAAGTTTAAAGAAGAGCTTTGCCACTTAAACGGGGGAGTTTGTCTGGAAAATATATTGAGTTGAAACACTTCATCCTTGGAAGGATTATATACGATGAACAATTGCATATAAATGTGTGTTTTAGAGAGATGTGAACGGGCAGTTAGTCCAGTGCCCTCATTTAAGAGGCCAAAATCCTGACTCAGAGGAGGTGTCCTTTGCCCAGAGCTTCTTAGCTAATCTGACCAAATGTTGGGAAATATATCTTACCTAACCTACTATTCCTTAATTATGGATTTTGTGGAAAACAATAAAACATGTTAATGAGTAATTTATATTAGTTCAATTTATTACAATTTTTTAGCTTTAAATTACAGTTTTCTTATAATGATGAAATGTTTTAGAATCCTTTGAATCTAAGTATTTACTTATTTCCTAAATAAAACATTAGTACAACATTTGATGTTTTACTTATGAAATATCCTCCTCTCCCAAGATAATTAAAACTTTTTCTTTCTATTTAAAAGCTAAGAAATGATGTTTTAAAGGAAAAATGAAATTATTTTCTTTTAGCTTCTTTTAAGGTAAAACAGCTTTTTTACTCTGTTATTGTGGTAATGGACAGAAAATTGCATACCAAAATATTCTGGGAGAGCATTCTCCTAGTTGGTTTTAAATCATTGTGCTACCTGAAAGGTTTTTTGATTTTGTAGGAGCTATTTTGTCCACCAGCATTAATGTGACACTAGTTATGAAAATATATTGAAGGACAAGAAGTGGACACAAAGTGATTTTTGTAACCTGGGCAGTTAATGAATGTGCCAACGTTTTCGAGGAAGGGACAGCAAGAATATTCTGCCCTGTAGTTAAAATACTGGCTGGCTTTTAATGTCTTCATGCTTAATCGTGATCACTTTCTTGCACTGTGATGTTTTTACGTGAACATGTTAAAATGGAAGTCTACCATATTACTTTATAAAATGTTTTCTGTATGCCAGTAAACTGAAAATATGGATCAACAACAACAACAAAATGCGTCTTGACACAGTTTTGAGGCCCTATGTAGGGGTTAGTCAATTTTCACTGAGCAATCGGTTAAGCCCATATCCCCAACCACCTCCCTTATGAGACTCTCACCCTCCTGGCCACCATACACTTTTCCTAATTACTCTAAGGGCAGGTATCAGATAACCAGAGGCAGCTCCTATACCCTGGAGCCCACTGAAAGTGCTCAAATTAGTCAATCCTAAGCCTGCGTATCCTGCCTCATCCATTCCTTCCTGCAGAAACCACAATAAAGACACTTGTCTTCCCTCTTCCTTTGCCTCACGACCAACCTTGGTGCTTCCCCTGAGTGGCCCTGTGTGGCATATTGTGTTCTTCCCAGAGAACTGTCAGTATAAGAAACTGTAAAACTCTTTCTGGTTTCTGTCTGTTGATCTGCATCTGGCCTCACCAGGTAATATAACTAAAACAGTATTAAATTAATACTGAGTTGGAAGAATAACAATTTGTATTTAATATAAATGCTTTTCCAGCCATAATCTTTGAGGCACAAATGAAATAATGGATACAACTTTAAAGAATGACAATTCCTTGTAAATGTAGGGTATTATAGTTGACTCTTAAACAACATGAGTTTGAACTATATGGCTCAACTTGTACATGAATATTTCTCAGTAAATATATTTGAAAATGTTTTAGAGATTTATGACAATTTGAAAAAAACTTGAAGATGAACCTTGTAGCCTAGAAATATCTAATATTTTCTAAAAGTTAGGTATGTCATGAATGCATAAAATATATGTAGACACTAGTCCGTTTTATCATTTACTACCATAAAGTGTACATGAATCTGTTATTAAAGTTTGTTAAAATGTACACAAACACTTAAAGACTGCACATGAGAGAAATGTAAACAAATGTAAAGATGAAGTATTAAATCATAATTGCATAAAATTAACTGTAGTACATACTTTACTACTGTAATCATTTCATAGCCACCTATTGTTGCTACCGTGGTGAGCTCAAGTGTTGTGTATTCACTGAAAACACCATTTGGTGCTAATCATCTCCACAGGAGCAGTTCGTCTCTCTAGTAAATTGCATATGGCAGTAAAAAGTGATCTCTCACATTTCTTGTGTATTTTTCATCATGTTTAGTGCAATACTGTAAACTTTGAGTAACATCATGAGACCTATATGAAGTGCCACTAATGATGCTGGAAATGCTCCCAAGAAGCATAGAAAAGTCATGACATTATGAGAAAAAGTTGATTTGCTTGATATGTACCATAGACTAAGATCTGCAGCTGCAGTTGCCCACCATTTCAAATGAATCCACTGTAAGGACCATTATATAAAAAGAAAAGAAAATGTGTGAAGCTGTCACTGCAGCTATACCAGCAGGCACAAAAACCTTGCACTTTTTGCGAAATACCTTTTTATCTCATATTGAAAAATGCAGCTTTTATGTGTGTGCAGGATTGCTATAAGAAAGGCATACCTATAGACTTTGAGATTAAATTTAATTTAAGATTTGAGAAAAGCAAAGTCATTATATGACAGTTTAAAGCAAAATGAAGGTGAAAGATCTAAAACTGGAGAATTTAATGTCAGCAAAAGATGGTTTGATAATTTTAGAAAGAGGTTTGGCTTTAAAAATGTCAAGCTAATAGGAGAAGCAGCTTCTGCCAACCAAGAGGCAGCAGATAAGCTGCCAGACACCATTAAGAAAATTGTTAAAGAGAAAGGACATCTCCCTGAACAGGTTTTTAATGCAGACAAAAGAGCCATATTCTATTTTTTTAAAGTGCCACAAAGGACATTTATTTTGCAAATGCAGTTGCGTTTATGATCAGGACTTCCCTTGTCTATAAAGCTGCTAACCTTTGAGCCTTGAAAAGAAAGGTAAGCACCAGTTGCCAGTATTTCGGCTGTACAACAAGAAAGCCTGGACAATGAGAACACTTTTTCTGGACTGGTTCCATCTATGCTTCATCTTTGAAGTCAGCAAGTATCTTGCCATTAAGCGATTGCCTTTTAAAGTTCTTTTGATATTGGACAATGTTCCTGGCCACTCAAAACCACGTGAGTTCAACACCTAAGGTGTCGAAGTGGTCTGTTTGCCTGAAAACACAATGTTTCTAATTCAGCCTCTAGATCAGAGGTTATAAGGGTCTTTAAGTCTCATTACACATGGTTCTCTATGGAAGGGACTGTCAATGCTATGGAAGAGAACATCGACAGAGGTAGCATCTTGAAAAGCTGGAAGGATTACATCATTGAAGATAACATTGTTGCTATAGAAAAAGCTGTCGAAGCCATCAAGCCCAACTAAATTCCTGCTGAAGGAAACTGTTTCCAGATGTTGTGCATGACTTCACAGAATTTATAACAGAGTCAATCAAGGAAATCATAAAAGAAATTGTGAATATGACAAAAAGGGTGGTGGATGAAGAATTTCAAGATACAGATCTTGTAGAAATTCAAGAGCTAATAGACATCACACCAAAGGAATTAACAGAAGACAACTTGATGGAGATGAGTGCTTCTGAACCAGTGCCAGATGATGAAAAAGAAGATGTTGAAGAAGCTGTGCCAGAAAACAAATTGACATTGGACAATCTGATGGAAGCATCCCAATTTTTCAAGACTTATTTTGACTTATTTTACAACATGGGCCCTTCTATAATATGGGCACTGAAATGAAAGCAAACAGTGGGAGAAGGATTGGTATCATATAGAAACATTTTTATAGAAATGAAAAAGCAAAAAAGTCACATTGCAATGTATTTCCATAAAGCTACACCAATTGTGTCTGCCTTTCTTGCCTTCCCTTTCTCCTCCTCCACCTCTTCCACCTTTGCCACTCTGAAACAGCAAGACTAACCCCTCATCTTCCTCCTCTTCCTCAGCCTACTCAACATGAAGACAACAAAGATGAAGACCTTCCTAATGATCCACTTCCACTTAATGACCAGCAAATAGATTTGCCTATCTTATAATTTTCTTAATAACATTTTCTTTTCTCTAGCTTTCCTTATTGTAAATGTAGAGTATACAGTGCATATGATATAGAAAATATGTGTTAGTCAACTGTTTATGTTATCAGTAAGGCTTCCAGTCAATAGTAGGCTATTAGTAGTTATGTTTTGGGGGGAAGTAATAAGTTATACATGAATTTTTGACTGGGTAAGCTGTCAGTACCCCTAACTCCCACATTATTCTAGGGTTAACACTGCCACGATATTACCTTCCTAGATATATTGCTGATCTGTTTCAGACCTTCATCATATATTATTTAGACAACTAAAATACAATTAATTCAGTTATTGATTAGCTTTACGAATATCAGTTGAGTTCTCTACTATATGCCAAACTCTTTACTAGTTACTGAAGCACTTTATTAGAATAAGACATGTTTTTCTTGCCTTCAAGAATCTTACATTTGAATTAGAGTTACATATGCAAGTAATTAATTACAATGTAATGTTATAGATGGATAATAAAAAATAATCATGAAAGCAGAGGAAGGAGACTCCTTGGTTATCTGGGGGAAGAAGAACTTCACAGAAGCTGATATTTGAAGTGTTTTGAAGGACAAATTGGAGACAGAAAACAGACTGATAATCTTAAAATTCCAGATAAAATGTGGCAAACATCCCTTTAAATAGACATTTGAGACCATAAGAAAGCAAAGGAGTTACACAGAATTCAAAAAATAAAGAAGTTCTATTTCTGGAATGGCAACATAAGAGGTTCCATGGACACATTCAACAGTGAAACTGAGGAAAATTACTTTAAAATAACCATTTAAAGGCAGTGGAAATTGTCCTAAGTGTATATAGCAAATGAGGAAACATTTATTCGGGAAAACATACCAAAACTTGGTAAGAACAGCAGGGGTCTGTGGTATTTGATCTATAAGCCTACTTTCACCCTTCCTGCTTCTGCTCAGAGTGGCAGAAACTCTGGGCAGGTGTGGCTAGGAAAATGGGGTTCCCTCTCCCCTCAGCTTCCAATCCAGTGCTATGGTATATCTTTCCAAGAGGGATGAATGTCAGCATTTCTCATCTTGAACCCCAGCTACCTGTTGCACAGGCTAAGTTCTGGATGGGAGCAGCAGAGAGAAGTGTCTCCCTTCTTTTGCCCAGCCAACATTCTTTAAGGGGAATTAGACTTCATCAAAATAATTCAGCCAGTCACTAAACAAATAAACAAACAAGTGACAGTAACATGCCCAGAGAGGCCATGCAGTACCAAGAGAGAGCCTGTGCACTTGGGTGGGGAGAGTACAGCAATTGGAGGAATTTACATTGAACTCAGTGCTGCCCTGTCACAGTGGAGAACAAAGCCGTGCTGGGCTCAGCCAGTGCCTGCATGTTGGGGGAGCACTTGCACTAGACCTAGCCAGAGGGGAACTTGAGTTTCTTGGCCACAGGGGTGCTTGCATCACCACAACCCCAATTCTAGGTGGCTCAGCACATGGAGAGAGACTGTTTGTTTGAGAGTGAGAGAAAAGAACAAGAGTCTCCGCCTGGTAATCCAGAGAATTCTTCCGGATCTTATCCAAGACCACCAAGGCAGTAACTTGTATGAGTCTGTAAAAACTACAGCATTACTGGGCTTGGGGCCTAAGTCCCTTGGAATACCTGGAAAGCCTTCTGAATGATGACAGGAACAAACAAGCCCAAAATGTGAAGACTACAATAAAGACCTAATTCTTCAATGGCCAGACACAGATGAGCATCTACAAGCATCAAGACCATCCAGGAAAACAAAATTTCACCAAATGAACTAAATAAGGCACGAGGGACCAATGATTCGTGGAGAAACATAGATATGTGACCTTTCAGACAGAATTCAAAATAGCTGTTTTGAAGAAACTCAAAGAAATTCAAGATAATATAGAGAAGGAATTCAGAATTCTATCCTATACAATTAACAAAGAGGTAGAAATAATTAGAATCAAGCAGAAAATCTAGAGCTGAAAAATGCAATTGACATACTGAAGAATGCATCACAGTTGCCAAGTAGTAGAATTGATCAAGCAGAAGAAAGGATTAGTGAGCTTGAAGACAGGTTATTTGAAAATACACAGTCAGAAGAGACAAAAGAAAAGGAATAAAAAAGAATGAAGCATACCTACAGGATCTAGAAAATAGCCTCAAAAGGGCAAATCTAAGAGTTATTGGCCTTAGGAGGTAGAGAAAGAGATGGGGTAGAAAGTTTATTCAAAGCGATAATAACAGAGAACTTCCCAAATCTAGAGAAAGATATCAATATATAAGAAGAAGAAGCTTATAGAACACCAAGCAGATTTAACCCAAAGAAAACTACCTCAAGGCATTTAATAATCAAATTCCCAAAGGTCAGGGATAAAGAAAGGATCCTAAAAGCAGCAAGAGAAAAGAAATAAATAACATACAATGGCGCTGCAATGGCAGCAGACTTTTCAGTGAAAACCTTACAGGCCAAGAGAGAGTGGCATGGCACATTTAAAGTGCTGAAGGAAAAAAACTTTTAACCTAGAATAGCATATTCAGTAAAAATATTCTTTAAACATGAAGCAGAAATACTTTCCCAGACAAATAAAAGCTGAGGGATTTCATCAACACCAGACGTGTCATACAAGAAGTGCTAAAGGGAGTTCTTTAATTTGAAAATAAAGGATATTAATGTGCAAGAAAAAATCATCTGAAGGTAACAAAACTCACTGGGAACAGTAAGCACACAGGAAAACACAGAATATTATAACACTGTAATTGTAGTGTGTAAAATACTCTTACCTTAAGTAGAAAGACTAAGTGATTAACCAATCAAAAATAATAACTACAACAACTTTTCAAGACATAGACAATATAAGACATAAAGAGAAAGAACAAAAAGTTAAAAAGCAGGAGGGATGAAGTTAAGGTATAGCGTTTTCATTATTAGTTTTCTTTATCTTTTTTTTTTTTACTGCAATCAGTGTTAAGTTGCCATTAGTTTAAAATAATGAGTTATAAGATAGTATTTACAAGCCTCATAGTAACATCAAATCAAAAATCATACAATGGATACACAGAAAACAAAAAGCAAGAAATTAAACCATACCACCAGAGAAAATCACCCTAACTAAAAGGAAGACAGGAAGGAAGGAAAAAAAAGAAAGAGAAGATCACAGAACAATTAACAAATAAATAACAAAATGGCAGGAGTAATTCCCTACTTATCAATAACACTTAATGTAAATGGACTAAACTTTTCAATCAAAAGGCACATAGTTGGCCAGGCATGGTGGCTTATGCTTGTAATCCCAGGACTTTGGGAGGCTGAGGTGGGAGGATCACTTGAGATCAGGAGTTCAAGACTAGCCTGAGCAACAGAGTGAGACCTCCATCTCCACACAAAATAAAAAATTAGCCAGTCATGGTAGCACATGCCTTTAGTCACAGCTACTCATGAGGCTCAGATGGGAGGATCACTTGAGCCTGGGACATTGAGGCTGCAGTGAGTCATGATTGTGCCACTTCACCATAGCCCAAGAAACAGAGGAAGACTCTGTTTCAAAAAAACAAAAACAAAAACAAAACAACACAAAACAAACAAAAAACAAAGAGTAGCTGAATGGATGAAAAAATGACCCAGTGATCTTTTACCTACAGAAACACACTTCACCTATAAAGACACACATACACTAAAAATAAAGGGATGGAATGATATTCCATGGGAACGGGAACCAAAACAGAGCAGGAGTAGCTATACTTATATCAGGCAAAATAAATTTCAAGATTAGAAACCATAAGAAGAGACAAAGAAGACCATTATATAATGATAAAGGGGAAAATTCAGCAGGAGGATATAATCGTTGCAAATATATATGCACACAACACTGGAGCACCCAGATATGTAAAGCAAATATTATTAGAGCTAAAGAGAGAGATATCAATATGATAATAGCTGGAGATTTCAACACCCTACTTTCAGCATTGGACAGATCTCCCAGACAGAAAACCAACAAAGAAACATCAGACTTAATCTGCACTATAGAACAAATAGACCTAATATGTATTTAAAGAACCTTTTATCCAACAGTTGCAGAATACACAGTCTTCTCGTCAGCACATGGCTCATTTCTCAAGGATAGAGCATATGTTATACACAAAGTGAGTCTTAAAACATTCAAAAAATGGAAATAATAACAAGCATCTTCTCTAACCACAATGGAATAAAACTACAAATGAATAACTAGAGGAATTTTGGAAACTATTTAAACATGTGGAAATTAAACAATATGCTATGAAATGACCAGTAGGTCACTGAAGAAATTAAGAAGAAAATTGAAAAATGTATTGAGACAAATGATAATGAAAACACAACATACCAATACAACAACAACAACAACAAACCAGCAAAACCAGTACTAAGATGGAAGTTTATAGATATACATGCTTACATCAAGAAAGAAAAACTTCAAATCAATAATCTAATGGTGCATTCCAAAGAAACTGAAAAGCAAGAGCGCACCAATCCCAAAATTAGTAGAAGAAATAACGAATATCACAGCAGAAATAAATGAACTTGAAATGAATACAATACAAAAAGTCAACAAAACAAAAACTTGTTTTTTTGAAAAGATAAAATCAATGAATCTTTACACATACTAATGAAGAAAAAAGAGAGAAGACCCAAATAAATAAAATCAGAGCTGAAAAAGGAGACATTACAACTGGCACGACAGAAATTAAGAGGATCTTTAGTGGTTACTATGAGAAATTATATGCTAATAAATTGAAAAACCTAGAGGAAATGCATACATTCTTAGATACATAAAACTTACCAAGATTGAACCATGAAGAAATCCAAAACCTGAACAGACTAACAAGCAATGAGATTGAAGCTATAATAAAAAAGTCTCCCACTAAAGAAAAGCATGGAGCTTGATGGCTTCACTGCTGAATTCTACCAAACATTTAAAGACTAATACCAATCCTACTCAAACTATTCAAAAAAATAGTGGAGGAGGGAATAATTTCAAACTCATTCCATGAGGCCAGTATTACCCTGATACCAAAACCAGACAAAGACACACTAAAAAAAGAAAACTGCATGCCAATATCTCTGATAAATTTTTATGCAAAAATCCTCAGGAAAATACTGGAATACCAAATTCAACACCACAATAGAAAGATCATTTGATAAGACCCAGTAGGATTTATCCCAGGGATGCAAGGATAGTTCAACAAATGGAAATCAATCAATGTGATACATCATATCAACATAATAAAGGGCAAAATCCATATGATCATTTTTATTGATGCTGAAAAGGCATTTGATAAAATTCAACATCCCTTCATGATAAAAATTCTCAAAAAACTGGGTATAGAAGGAACATACCTCAACATAATAAAAGCCACATACAGGAGACTCAGAGCTAGTAGCATACTGAATGGGGGAAAACTGAAAACCTTTCCTCTAAGATATGGAACATGACAAGGATGCCTGCTTGGCATCCAAATTTGAAATGAAGCACTCAAATTATCCTTGTTTGCAGATGGCACAATCTTACATTTGGAAAAACCTAAAGACCCTACCAAAATAAACTATTAGAACTGATAAACAAATTCAGTAAAGTTGCAAGCTACAAAATCAGCATACAAAAATTAGTAGTATTTCTATATACCAATAGTGAACAATCTGAACAAGAAATCAAAAAAAAATTCCATTTACAATAGCCACAAATAAAATTAAATACCTAGGAATTAACCAAAGAAGTGAAAGTATCTATAATTAAACCTATAAAACACTGATGAAAGAAATTGAAGAAGACACAAGAAAATGGAAAGATTATTCCATGTTCATAGATTGGAAGAATCAATATTGTTAAAATGTCCATACTACCCAAAGCAATCTACAGATTCAATGCAATCCCTATCAAAATAACAATGTCATTCTTCACAGAAATAGAAAAAAAAATCCTAAAATGTATATGGAACTACAAAATACCCACAATAGCCAAAGCTATTTGAGCAAAAAGAACAAAACTGGAAGAATCACATTACCTGACTTCAAATTATACTACAGAGCTATAGCAAGCAAAACAACATGGTACTGACATAAAAACAGACACATAGACATATGGAACAGAACAGAGATCCCAGAAAAAAAATCCACACACCTACAGTGAACTCATTTTTTACAAAGATGCCAAGAACATAAATTGGGCGCCTCAAATTGTGAAACTCCTGCAAGAAAACACTATGGAAAATCTCCAGGATATTAGTCTGATAAAATATGTCTTGAGTAATACCAGACAAGCACAGACAACCAAAACAAAAATGGACAAATAGGATCACATCAAGTTTAAAAGCTTCTGCATAGCAAAGGAAACAATCAGCAAAATGAAGAGAAAACTGACACAATGGGAGAAAATATTTGCCAACTACTCATCTGACAAGGAATTAGTAACCAGAATAATATAAGGAGTCCAAACAGCTCTACAGGAAAAAGTCTAATAATTCAATTGAATAATGGGCAAAAGATTTGAATAGACATTTCTCAAAGGAAGACACACAAATGACAAACAGGCATATGAAAACGTGCTCAACATCACTGATCATCAGAGAAATGCAAATCAAAACTACAATGAGATATCATCTCGCCTCAGTTAAAATGGCTTATATTCAAAAGACAGGCAATAACAAATGCTGGTGAGAAAGAATGTGGAGAAAAGGGAACCCTCATACACTGTTGGTGGGAATATAAATTAGTACAACCAGTATGGAGAAGAGTTTGCAGGTTTCTCAAAAAGTAGAAATAGAGCTACCATATGATCCAGAAATCCCATTGCTGGGTATATACCCAAAAGAAAGGAAATCTGTATATTGAAGAGATATCTGCACTCCCATGTTTGTTGCAGCTCTGTTCACAATAGCCAAGATTTGGAAGCAACCTAAGTGTCCATCAACAGGTGAATGGATAAAGGAAATGTCATATCTATAATCAATGGAGTACTATCCAGCCATAAATAAAATGAGATCCTGTCATTTGCAACAACATGAATGGAACTGAGGGTTCATCATGCACGTGAAATAAGCCAGGCACAGAAACACAAACATCACATGTTCTCACTTATTTGTGGGATCTAAAAATCAAAACAATTGAACTCATGGAGATAGAGAATATAAGGATGGTTACCAGAGGCTGGGAAGAGTAGTTGGGTCAGGGTAAAGGGTAGGTGGGGATGGTTAATGGGTAAAAAAATAGTTAGAAAGGCATAGAGAATAAGGATATGGACATAGAGAGTAGAAGGATGGTTACTAGAGGTGGGGAAGGTAGTTGGGTGGGGGGAATGAGGGGGAAGTGGGGATAGTTCATGAGTACCAAAAAAAATAGAAAGAATGAGTAAGACCTACTATTTGATAGCACAACAGGGTCATTATAGTCAATTATAATTTAATTGTACATTTAAAATAGCTAAAAGTATAATTGGATTATTTGTAGCACAAAGGATAAATGCTTGAGGGGATGGATACCCCATTTCCATTGATATGATTATTATGCATTTCCTGCCTGTATCAAAATACCTCATGTACCCCATAAGTATATACAGTTAAATATATACACTGTGTACCCACGAAAATTAAAAATAACAAAAAGAATTGGAATAAAGAACAAAGGTGATTGACGAAGAAGTACATAAAATTACGATTTTATGAAAAGGTAAAAAATTCAGTTAAATATGTGTTTTCAATTCTGTGATGTTAGGTATGATGTGATTAACATTTTCTCAAAGAAGAACACAATTGCATGTTTGTTCTGGCATCATGTGGACCCAATGAATGTGAATCTGACTCAATCATGCAGTCCCCAGCATAATATTCTCCATACATCAAGACCTTTAAAAGACCTTCTTGACAGTGATAACACTCATCTTCTAAGAAAGAAAAATAAATTCAAGTGCCAGCTGCAGGTCTCATTCATGAGCTTTGAGTATGTTTTTTCTCTGAGCTGAACTTGATGAACTCTTGGCCTCTTAACCAACATCTGCAAGAAACTCAATAATGCCAAATGTATTCTAGGTTTTATGTATAATTTTATGGGCCACAGAGAAAAATCAGGTTGAAAAGCTGATTCTTTACAGCATTTCATGTGAATACTTCCAATAGAACCATCTCGCCTCTAAGTCTCTTCTTTGAGCTTCCAGCCACTGGCTCTCTCTCCTTACACAAACTGTGCTTCGAACAGTGCCCAGTTAGCTTCTTATCCTTGGTCCTCTTTTTTTATGGAGTAGATTCTTTCTCTGTTGAGGACTCTGGGCCTTGGAGACTCAGCCTTCCCTCTCTGTGTCCTTATCCAAGTATCTTCTCAACAAAGCTGGTTTCTGCCTACGAATAAATTTTTCTTCTAGACACTAACATCAATTTTTCTACTTTTAGGCATTTGCAAGGAAAGATCCCTTGCCTGTTGGAGGCTGGGATGTGGGAATCAGATTTCTTGGCTCTAAGTCTTGATTATGTATGTACAAATCCTTGGACACTTGTCTCCTGGAATTGTGCCCCTCTTTTCCCATAAAGCATTTGCAGCAGACTTTTCAGGCTACCTTCCAGGCACCAAGATCATTAAATGATACCAAAGTTGTGCTGGACCCAGGCCTCTAATTTCATCAGAAACCGATCTACTCAGAAGGCCAGCTTTCTTATTCCATACAAACTCTATTGGAAAAATCTACTTAATTAGAAGGAAAAAATTGGAAAGTGGTTAACATTGTGCAAGTACAATTTTCTCAGATGATTAGACACTTTTTCTTTTGAAATGAATAAATAAAAGGGAGAGAGGGGCAGAATAATAATGGTACAGGTTTTACTTTTTAAAGTTTGAATAAAATTAGCATAATTTCCCTTTATTAAGCTACAGTACATAGAAAGCACATTATAGACACTGTAGGTGGAAATGTGGGTGGATACATAGGAGGGGAAATGAGAGAGCATTGAAAATACAGCTGAAATAATGAGCATGTAAGATGAAGAATGGCAGAAAGGATCAGGCTGGAAGATGTAAGGATCCCTGCTTTGATCACAGACAAAAGGGATAGTGCACAGAAAATAAGAGGGAACCATTCAGCTAAGCTGGGAGACTGGGGCAGCCTGGGCTAATGGAGCTGGGCATAGATAGCAAGAGAACAGGGAATGCTTCACCATTGACTTGGGGTTAAAAATTATACCTTGTGCTTAAAGGGGAGAAAAACACAATAATATCATTCATAAAAATACCTAGTTTTATCCACACTAACCCTGATGGAAATAGAAGCTACACAACTCAGCTACGCAACTTTGTACTGCAGCAAGCTTGTTGGAATATGGATCATTGGGTTTGCTGTTTATTCTGTCCATCCTGCTCAAGTATGGACAATGCAGTCCTTCTACACACAACCTTCCTGTCCCATTCATTTTACACATAAGGAAATGCAAGCTCAATGAAGGTATGCAAACAGAGTCATTTTAAAAATCTTAGGTCCTTGGGAGGCAGGCAAGTAAATCTCCATATGTGATTTCTATGGAAAGTGCTCTGCTTCTTGATATATGGCAAAGAATGAATCAAGAAATTGACAGTATTGAAGCAATTGATTTAAATTTTCAAAGGATGTTTACAGATTAGTGGATAAATCCGAATTTGGGACTTCCTAGCCTGACCCATGCCAGGCATACTATTTAGATGGTACCATAGTTTCAGCTACAAATCTGGAAATCCCAGTGAATTATCAGTATATTTTCTCTCCCGAAAGACTAGGCAGTTAGATGGCAAATTCTCAGCCCCAAAATTAGTCCTGGGATATCATCTTTTCAGCTTGCACTCTCTGCACCTTCCAGGCAGTGGTTCCACTCAATAACCTCTCTCCTAACTCGGAATCTCCTTCTCACTCTTGCCCCAGATTTTCTCGTTTCCCACCCACACCTCCTTTACCTCACCCAAAACTCCCTACTATCTTCTTTTCATCTTTTCATCATGGATGCCCTTGATGGCTATTGAGAGGAGCTTTGATTCACCAGTAAATATGGAACCCAAATTTTCATCAGTGGAAATTGGATCTCCCTTACTCAAGGGCAAGGAGCATTCTTCTCCAGCAACGTAATTAATTGTTAGGTCTCCCCTAGAGACTTTTCTCCTAGAGAAGATAAACTTTCTGTATATATTAGGACCAATAGCTCTGTCTAATGCACTCAAGAAAAATAAAGAGAAATTTTTCCTTAAAATAGAGTGAATCCCTGCATCCTATTAAAAGGTTTACTTCCCATGATGAGTAACCTGTCCTTAGTATACATCTATCTTAGTCTGCTTGGGCTGCTATAACAAAATACTTTAAACCGGGGAATTTATAAGCAACAGAGATTCATGCTCACAGATCTAGAGACTGGGAAATCTAAGATCAAGGCATAATCTGATCCAGTGTCTGGCACTGGCCTGCTCCTCACAGATGGCACCCTGTATGTGTCCTCGCATGGCAGAAGGGCAGTCTCCTTTAGGCCTCTTTTATAAGAACACCAATCCTATTCACAAGGGATCTGCCCTTATGACCTAATCACCTCCCCAGCCCCCACCTTCTAATACTATTTATTAGGGATTAGGTATCAGCATATAAGCTTGGGGGGATCTAAACACTCAGACTATAGCAACAGCTTAGAACTTGCTATACCAAACAGCTGTATACAGATTGCCCCCTCATCAGCCTCTCTGGAGGAGTTCTGGCTATGCTTAAAATTATTTACCTAATACTGTGCTGCTCTCAACCATCTTATCTAATGAAGCACTCCATTTATTCTTTATATTAATATATTATTTGTTTCCTTCATAGGACTTATTTCTCTTAAAATTATAGTATGTATTTGTTTATTTTCTTGTATTTAAGTTTCATTTTAGCTCTGTCAGGGCAGTGACTATGATTCTTCTGATTTTTGTGTCATTCCCAATAACTAAATGTTTCTGGCAGAGTTAACGCATAAATACGTGTTGATTGATTAAGTAGGTAACCTAGTATGAGCTAGGAGATCAGGATTCTGCTGTTCATGGGTAGCTCTCCAGAAAAACGACTTATGTCTACATGTGGCCCAGAAGCATCAAAAGCCACCTGGATTCAGGATGCTGACTCTGCCATGAGGTTGTCTTGGCTTTGGTCAGGAAATTTGCCCCATCCCACCCATGGTGGACTAAATCACTGAGTCCAGTTCTTTACCCTTCTATCTTCACCCGTTCTGTGGCCTTTCAGTTTTAGTCATGTCTTGCTTTAGCCAGTGTGGCTAGATGTGATGCTGGGTCAATTCTGAGCCTAGGACTTCAGAGGCTTTGCATATTTCTGTCAAGAGGTGAGCTGTTTTTGAAAAAGCTGAGCTGCCAGGTAGTTAATTAAGACAATAAGACAAAATGAAAGTGACAGTCAAGCACTTAATCACTTATTGTGATAGTATAAGCAAGAAACTAAACAAGAGTAAGTGCTGGTTCCTGCAATGTTCCATTTTTGCCTGTGAAACAGCACCAGGTGAGGGTCAGGTGTATCAGTGCAGATAGTAGGAATTGTCCCACCCTTGAGGGATTACCAAACAAAAGGCTCCTGCCATTTTATGGACCTGGGGTTGGCGATAGGAAGAGAAATAAAGGCTAAGAGTGGGAAAGTACTGAATATTGAGTCAAAGTAGAGAAAAATGTCTTCAAGTCACCCTGATCAGGTGGTGTCAGCAGAAGTGCTAGAGAGAAGCCTTGGCCAAGGACCTCCAATAAAGAAGTCTCTGAATGGAGGTGCCTGGCCTAGGAATTCAGATATTCATACAAGCATGGCAAGCTGGAGGGTCTGAGTCCTTGACTACAACTTCCTTCAGAGATTGCAATTCACAGCCGATATGGTTTGGCTTTGTGTCCCCACCCAAATCACATCTCAAATTGTAATCCAAATGTGTCAAGGGAGGGACCTGGTGGGAGGTGATTGGGTCATGGAGGCAGTTTCCCCCATGTTGTTCTCGTATAGTGAGGAAGTTCTCATGATATCTGATGGTGTTAAAGGTGGTAGTTTCCCCAGTACACTCTATCTCTCTTTCGCTGCCTTGTGAAGAAGGTACCTGCTTCCCCTTCACCTTCCACCATGACCGTAACTTCCTGAGGTCTCTTCAGCCATGCAGAATTGTGAGTCAATTAAACCTCTTTCCTTAATAAATTACCCAGTCTTGGGTAGTATCTTTATAGCAGTGTGAGAATAGACTTATACAAAGAATTGGTACTGGGAGTGGGACACTGCTATAAAGTTAACCTGAAAATGTGGAAGTGACTTTGGAACTGGGTAGCAGGTAGAGCTGGCTCTTTTAGAACACTGAGTTTGGAGTGTTTGTTATACAACATTATTGTGGCATAGCTGATAGATACACCACCCTTTTTCCAGTCACCATAAAAATTGGCCCCTACCACAGGTCCTTACTCCAATAAAAATTACCAGGCATGCAAAGGAACAGAAAAATTCTACTCATAATGAGAAGAAATATCAATCAACCAAAAGAAGCCCAGAAATGATACAGATTAATAAACAAAGACATTTTAACTTGTTATGATAACTGTACTTCATATGTTCAAGAAATTAGATGACAAATTGAGCATGTTAAGTAGATAATGGAAGATATAATAAAGACATAAATTAAACTTCTAGAGATAAAAAAATATCATGTATGAGACAAAAAGGCATGGCATAGAATTATGGCAGATTAGACATTGCAGAAGAAAATATTGTGAACTTGAAAAAATAGCAATAGAAAATATCCAAGAATATGAGGAAAAATGAGTAGAGATTAGTGAGTTGTACAACAACTTCTAGCAGCCTAACATAGGTGTAACTGAAGTCCTCAAAAGATAAGATTCATGGGTAGGGAAGAGAAAAAAGTATTGAAGAAATAATAGCAGAAAACTTTCTAAATATGATTAAAATTATAAATCTACTTATTAAAGATCAACAAATTCTTATCACAAGTAATAAGAACAAAGCCTACATTAAAGAACATCATAATCAAATTGCTCAAAATAAGTGATTAAAAAATCTGAAAAGTAGAGAAAAAACACATTAGGTAAAAAGAAACACGAATAAGGATGTCAGCAATTTGCTATTCAGAAACAATGCAAACAATAAGACAGTAGGACAACATATTTACAGTATTAAAATAAAACAATGGTCAACAAAGAATTCTTTCCCAGTGAAAACATATTTTAAAAAACGAATACAAAATAAAGGCATTTCTAGACACTTAAAAGCTGAAAGTATTAATCACTAGCAGGCCTGCACTCTAAAAAATGTTAAAGAACTTTATCCAAGAAGAATAAAAATGATGCAATATGAAAATCCGGATCTGTACAAAGTAATAAAGAGCACCTAAACTGATAACTTACCTGGATAATTATTTAAAATAAACTCTTATTATTTAAATCCCTTTAAGAGGTAATTGTCTAAAGTTGGACTTAGAAAACCTTTTCTGTTAAGGGCCAGACTAAAAATATTATGATTTGTAGGTCACATGGGCTCTGTCATTGTGTTAGGCCGTTCTTGCACTTCTATAAAGAAATGCCTGAGACTGGGTAATTTATAAACAAAAGAGGTTTAATTGGCTCGTGCTTCTGTAGACTTTACAGGAAGCATGGTTCTGGCATCTGCTCAGCTTCTCATGAAACCTCATGGAGCCTTTAATCATGGTGGAAGGCAGAGCAGGAGCAGGCACTTCACATGATGAAAGCATGAGCAAACAACAGAGAGAGTAGCGGAGAGGTGCCATACAATTTTAAATGACCAAATCTCACAAGAACTTATGCACCATCGTAAGAACAGCTCCAAGCTATGAGGGATAAGCCCTCAGGATCTAAACACCTCCCACCAGGCCCCACCCATTGGGGATTACAATTCAACATGAGATTTGGGCAGGGACAAATATCTAACTATATCATTCCACCTCTGGCCCCTCCCAAATCTCATGGTTTTCTCACATTGCAAAATACAACCATGCCTTCCAAAGTACAACGGAGGTATAGACATTGGGTAAACATTCCCATTTGAAAAGGGAGAAATCAGCTAAATGAAAGGGGCTACAGGCCCCTTTCTGAAATCCCTTCAAGTCTTTGCTGCCCTGCGTAGCCTCAGGACACAGCTCCCCATATCCCAGCTGCTCCAGCTCCAGCCATGGCTTAAAGGGGCCCAGGTACAGCTTGGGCTGCAACTCCAGAGGGTGCAAGCTCTAAGCTTTGGTGGCTTACATGTGGCATTAAGCCTATAAGGGTGCAAAATGCAAGAGTGAATTCATGGAAGTCTTTTCCTAGACTTCAGAAGATGTATGAGAAAGCCTGGGTGCCCATGCAGAACTCTGCTGCATAGGTGTGGCCCTCAAAGAGAATCTCTACTAGGACAGTGCCAAGGGAGAAATGTGGGGTTGGAGCCCTTATACAGAGACCCAACAAGGCACTGCCTAGTGGAGCTGTGAGAAGGTGGCCATCATCCTCCAGACCCCAGAATGGCAGATCCACCAGCAGCTTGCACCCTGCACCTGGAAAAGACACAGACACTCAATACTAACCTGTGAGAGCAGTCCCCCGAGGGCTGAACCCTGCAAAACCACAGGGACACAGCTGCCCAAGGCCTTGAGAGTTCGTTGCAGCAGTGTGCCCTGGATGTGGGACACAGAGTCAAGGGAGGTTATTTTGGAGCTTTCAGATTTAATGACTGCACTTCTGGGTTCCAAACTTGCAGGAAATTCAGCAGGGCAGTCATTAAAGGGGCCTGTAGCACCTTTCATTTATCTGATTTCTCCCTTTTGGAATGGGAATGTTTACCCAATGTCTATACCTCCATTGTGTCTTGGAAGTAACTAACTTGTTTTTGATTTTACAGGCTCATAGATGGAAGGGACTTGCCTTGTCTCAGATGAGACTTTGGATTTTGGACTTTTGAGTTAATGCTGGAATGAGTTAAGACTTTGGGGGACTATTGGGAAGGCATGGTTTTATTTTGCAATGTGAAAAGGCCATGGGATTTGGGAGGGTCCAGGGGCCTATGAAACCATTCAGTCCTCCTGAGCCTCTGGGCCTGTGATGGGAGGGGTTGATGTGATGGTCTCTGAAATGTCTTCAAGACCTTTTTCTCATTATCTTGGACATTAACACTTGCCTCCCTTTTGATTATGCAAATATCTCTAGCAAGTGAATGTTCCACAGACTGCTTGAATTCCTCTCCCAAACAAGCTTTTTATTTGTTTGCCACATGCCTTGGCTGCAGATTTTCCAAACTTTTATGCTTTACTTCCTGTATAAATATAAATTCTAACATTAAATCATTTCTTTGCTCTCATATGTGAGAATGGGTTGTTAGAAGCAGCCAGGCCATATCTTGAACAAACAGTTTGCTGCTTAGAAATTTCCTCTGCCAGATACCCTAGGTTCTAACTCTTTAGTTCAAACTTCCACAGATCCCTAGAACATAAACACAATGCAGCCAAGTTCTTTGCTAGGACATAACATGCGTCACCTTTGCTCCAGTTCCCAATAAGTTTCTCACTTCCATCTGAGACCTCAGCAGCCTGGACTTTACTGTGTATATCACTGTCAGCATTTTGGTCACAACCATTTAACCAGTCTCTAAGAAGTTCCAAACTGGCTGGGTGCAGTGGCTCATGCCTGTAATCCCAGCACTTTGGGAAGCCAAGGCGGGCAGATCACGAGGTCAAGAGATTGAGCATCCTGGCCAACATGGTGAAACCCTGTCTTTACTAAAAATACAAAAATTATCTGGGCATGGTGGCACGCACTTGTAGTCCCAGCCACTCAGGAGGCTGAGGCAGGAGAATTGCTTGAACAGGGGAGCTGGAGGTTGCAGTGAGCCAAGATTGCACCACTGCACTCCAGCCTGGCGACAGAGCGAGAATCTATCTCAAAAACAAACAAACAAAAAAAGTTCCAAATTTTCCCTCACCTTCCTGTCTTCTTCTGAGCCCCCCCCAAATTCTTCCAACCTCTGCCTGTTACCCAGTTCCAAAGTTGCTTCCATATTTTCAGGTATATTTACAGCAATGCCCCATTCCTGGTACAAATTTTCTGTGTTAGGCTATTCATGCATTGCTAGAAATAAATACCTGAGACTGGATAATTTATTAAGAAAAGAGGTTTAGTTGGTTCACAGTTCTGCAGGCTGTACAGGAAGCATGACACTGGCTTCTGCTTAGCTTCCAGAGAGGCCCCAGGAAGCTTTTAACTCATGGCAGAAAGTGAATTGGGAGCAAGTACTTCATGTGGCGAAATCAGGAGTGGGGGCAGGCGAGGTGTCACACACTTTTAAATGACTAGATCTTGTGAGAACTCACTCACTATCACAAGAACAGCACCAAGCTATGAGGGATCTGCCCCCATGATCTAAACACCTCCTACCAGGCCCCACCTCAGCTGTAATTAGCATTGGGGATTACAATTCAACATGGGACTTTGACAGAAATAGATATCCAAACTATATCAATCACATTACTCAATTCTGCTGTTATTGCATGAAAGCAGCCATAAATAATACATAAATAAAAAGGTGTAACTGTTTTCCAATAAAATTTTATTTTGGCTGGGCATGGTGGCTCACACCTGTAATACCAGCACTTTGGGAGGCCAAAGTGGGTGGATCACTTGAGGTCAGGAGTTCGAGACCTGCCTGGCCAACATGGTGAAACCCCATCTCTACTACAAATACAAAAATCAGCCAGGCGTGGTGGTGCATGCCTGTAATCCCAGCTACTTGGGTGGCTGAGGCAGGAGAATTGCTTGAATCCAGGAATCGGAGATTGCAGTGAGCTGAGATCGTGCCACTGCATTCCAGCCTGGGCAACAGAGCAAGACTCAATGTCAAAAAAATTTATTTACAAAACTAAGTAGTGATCTGAGTTTGCCTCATGGCTATAATTTGTCAAATCTTGTTTCAAAGCAGAAGTAATATCAATATATTACAGGATTTATAACATATGTAAAAGTAAAATAGATGCCAAGAGGAGCATAAGGACTGGAGAGGAGAAATGGGAATATATGACAGTTCAGTTATACTGCATGTGAAGTGTTATAACATCATGTGAAGATAGGCTATAACATAAGGATGTTTGTTCTAAACCTTAGAATAGCCACTAAATAACACAACAAAGCATTACAGCCAATAATTCAAAAAATGAGATAAAATGGAATAATAAAGATACCAAATCCAAAAGAAGGCAAAAAGGAGAAGTGAACAAAGAATAGATAGAATAAAACAAATAGCAAGATGTTGATTTAAATGCAATCATATCAGTAATCAAGTTAAATATAAATGACCTAAATACTGTACCTAAAATCATAGATTTTTCAGATTAGATTTTAAAAAGCAAAACTCAACTATATGCTGCCTACTAATAGGTTAAAAATAAAAGACGAAAAAATATATACTATGGTAACATTAATAAAAATAGAGCTGGAGTGAATATACTAATATCACACAAAATAAGACTTCAGAGCAAATAATATTACCAAGGATAAAGACAGTAATTTTATAATGATAGATAAGTCAATTCATCTATCAAGAGAACATAACAATTCTAAACATTTATTCACCTTCAGACAGAGCATCCAGATAGGAAAGAAAGAGGTAAACTATATTTGCAAATACTATAATCATTTATCAAGAAAATCATATGAAATTAAAAAAACCAGAAGAACTAATAGGTGAGTTTAAGCAAAGTTATAAAATTTAAATTCAATATACAAAAATCAATTGTATTTCTATACACTAACAACAAAAATAAGAAATTGAAACTTAATACTATTTACAGTAGAATAAAATGTAGGAAATACCTAGGGATAAATCTGACAAAATATATGCAAGATTTGTACTCTGAAATGAACAAAACATTACTGAGGACAAGTAAAGAAGACAATAAATGGAAAGGTATACCATATTTAAAGTTTAGAAGACTCAATTTTGTTAAAATTCAGATCTCCTCAATTGATCTATAGTTTCAAGAAAATTCCATTAAAAATTTCATCAGGCATTTTTGTAGAAATTGCAAAGCTGATTCTAAAATTAATATGAATTTATAAAGGATGAAAATAGCCAAAAAAATTTGAAAGAGAAAAACAAAGTTGAAAGATATACGCTACTTTACTTCAAGACTTACTATAAAGGTACAGTAATCAATACAGTATAATATTGCTATAAAACTATACAAACAGATCAATGGAAAAAATACAGAGTTCAGAAATAGATCCATGTATATATACAACTGATTTTCTATGAAAGTGTGAAGGCAGTACAGTGGACAAAGATAGCCTTTTCAACAAATGGTACATATCCATTTGAAAAAGAAGAACTTTAATCCACACCTCAATTAACTCAAAGTGGACCATAGACCTAAATATACAACCTAAAGCTATAAAACTTCTGGAAAGAAATCATAATCCATCTTAATGACCTTGGGTTAGGCAAAGACATTTTAGATACAAATGTCTTTAATCACCAAAATCACCATCTAATAAATTTCATCTATTTTTTTAAATAATAAATTTGGACTTCATAAGTAAAGGCTGCCACTCTACTTCCAAAGACAATACTAAGAGAATGAAAAGACAAACTAAAGACTAGGAGAAAATGTTACAAAATCACAACTTTTATCTGATTTTAATAACTTCTATATGGAATATATTAAGAACTCTCAAAACTCAGTTATAAGAAAATTAAATTCCCAATTAAAAATGGGCAACGAACTTCAACAAAAAATAGGCAGGTGGTAAATAAGAACATGAAAACATGCTCAGTACCTGTAGTCATTAGGAAAATGAAAATTTAAACCACAATGAGATCACTATAATTAAAAAAAAAACAAACAACTGACCATGCCTAGGGTTGTTAAGGTTGTGGAGTAAGTGGGGCTTTCATACACTGTTAGTAGAAATGTGAAATTGTTCATCCACTTTCAAAAATGGTTAGTTTCTTCTTTTAATGAGCAGCTTTTAAAAAACGTACTTTTAAAAGAGCTTTCTTCAGATATAACTCACATGCTACATGATTCACCCATTTCAAGTATATACAATTCAATGTTTTTTAGTATATCCACAGATACATGTAATCATCACCACAGTCAATTTTAGAACATTTTTATCACTTCAAAAAAAAAAATGCTGTTCCCTTTAGGTATTATCCTCTACTCCCCTACTACCCCAACCTTAAGCAACCACTAATCTTTCTAGCTCTATAAATTTGCCTTTCTGTGCATGCTATATAAATAGACACATGTACACTGTCTTTTGTGATTGGCTTCTTTCACTTAACATAATGTTTCCAATGTTCATCCATCCTGTAGGATGTATCTGTACTTCATTCCTTTTCATTGTCAAATTATATTCCATTGTATTACTATAACATATGACATTGTGTTCATTCATTTATCTGTTGATGGACATGTGGGTTGTTTCCTCCTTTTGGATACTATGAATAATGCTTGTTTACAAGTTCTCATGTGGACATATGTGTTCATTTCTTTGGGGTATATACTGAGGAGCAGAACTTCTGGGCATAATAAATATGTTTAACTGCTTGAGGAACTACCAAACTATTTTTCAATGTGACTGTACCATTTTACATGCTTATCAGCAGTATATGAGGGATCCAGTTTTTCTACATCTTCACCAACCCTGGTTATCTTCTGACTTTTTTGTGATAGCTATATTAGAGGATGTGAGGTGGTATCTCATTGGGTTTTTCATAGATGCCCTTTATGAGGTTGAGGAAATTCTCTTCTATTCCTAGTTTGTTAAGTGTTTTTTTCCATCATGAATAAGTGTTAGATTTTATCATATATTTTTCTGCTTCTATTGAGATGATCAGATTGTTTTCTGTTATTCTCTTTATATATTACATATTTCTGTTATTCTCTTTATATATTACATTAATTGGTGTTTCTTTTTTTGGATTTTAAACCAACTTAGCATTCCTGGCATAAATCCCATTTGGTCTTGTTGTATAATCCTTTTTATGTATTGGCTAGATTTTGTTTAGTACTATTTTGTTGTGTATTTTTGCATATTCATAAAAGATATTAGCCTGTAGTTTGCTTGTGATGTAGTTATCTTGTTTTGGTATTAGATTAACAACTAATACCCTAATAGAATGAATTGGGAAGTGTTTCTTCCTCTTCTAAGTTCCAGTAGTTTCTTCTCTTAGCTTTTTAGCTCAAGGCATTGTTATAGTTATTATTTTATAGTTTTATGTCTTTTTAAAAAGCTAAGAGAAGAAATTATATGTATATACACATAACTTCTTGTTTATCATTTCTGATTCTCTTCTTTTGTTCCTGTAATCGAAGTTACCATCTGGAGTCATTTCCTTAGCTCAATGTAGCCCTTCTCCCATTCACCTACTTTGTGTGGTTATTGGCAAATATATCACATTTCTATATGTTCAAGGCCCAGCATTCTATGAGATACATATTGTCTTACATGTAGCTTTTAAAATCCGTTGAGAAGAAAGAAGAAGAAATTATGGTTTTATATTTCTTTTATAATTATATAATTACTTTTACCAGTGCTTTTTGGTTTTTGTGCATGAATTCAAATTGCTATCTGAGGTCACATGCTTACAGCCTGCAGCATTTTTCTTAGTATATATGTAAGGAGGATCTGCTAGCAACAAATTCAGTTTTTGTTTATCTGGGAATGTCTTAATTTCACCTTCATTTTTGAAATCTAGCTTTGCTGAATATATGAATCTTTTTTTAACAGTTTCTTTCTTTGAGCTGTCTCAATATGTTATCCCACCACCTTCTGACCTTTACTGTTTCTAATAAGAAGCCAACTGTTAACCTTACAAGGGGTTCTCTTGAAAGTATAGTCATTTTTCTCTTGCTACTTTCAAGGTTTTCTCCCTGTCTTTGCCTTTTAGCATTTTTATTATGATGTGTCTATTTGTGGACCTCTTTGCCTTTATCCTAGTTGGAGTTCATGGAGCCTCCTGGTTGTATAGATTCATGTTTTACAATAAATTTGTGAAGTTTTCAGCCACTCATTTTTAAAATATGCTTCTTCCTCATCATCTTCTTCCTCTGGTATTCCTGTTATTTATGTGTATGCGATGAAGGTAGTAGTGACCCACATTTCTCCTTTGTTCATTTTTCTTGGTTCTTTTTTCTCTGTTCTTCAGCTTAGATAATTTCTATGAATATACAAGTTCACCATTTTTTTCTTTTTCCAATTCTAATCCATTATTAAGCCCCAGTAGTGAATTTTAAATTTTCATTATTATACTTTTAAATTCCCAAATTCCCATTAAAAATATTTTCTATCACTTTATTGACATTCTCTATTTGATGAGACAGTGTCATTGCACCTCCCTTCACTTCTGTAATCATGTTTTTCTTTTCTTCTTTGAACATATTTCTAATGGCAACCTTGAAGTCTTGGCTGCTAAATCCAACAAGTAGTAGTTCTCACAGGCAGTTTCTGTTGCCTTTTTTTTATATGATCTTTCCTGTTTCTTTGCATGTTTCATAATTTTTTATTAAAAATTGGACATTTTAGATAATATATTTTATTAACTCTGGGTTCTGGAATTCTCCTTCTAGGACTTGTTATTATTTGCTTGTTTACTTGTTTAGTGACTGACTAGACTATTTTAGCAAAGTCTGTTTCCTCCATGCCTCCAACGTGAAGCCTCTGATGTTGCTCCTCAGAGGGCACAGCCTTGATTATGCCAGTAGTTACCTTGGGATGAGAGTGGTTTGGGTAGGGTTCTCTTTGATCTTCTCTTTCCCTAACCACACCTGATGTTAAGTTCCACTAATTGCCAGCAGATTGTTCCATTGTTTTCAACAATGTCTAAGCATAAATTGCTTCATAGACTAATCCAATCCAATTCAGGCTCCTTTGAAGAGATAATTACTGAGCTCAGTGTTTAGAATTTGTTTGGACTATAGGATATTTCTTAGCTGTCCCTTTCCCTTGTTTTTCTCCAGCAACCTAGTCAGCCTATAGTTTTGATTTTATTTCCAATTAATCTACCAATCTCCTCCCAGTTGCCTTTCATTACAGTTTTTACTGTTTTTGAGAGTATTATTAGGCTTGAACTTCTCCACATTCTGTGACAAATTAAGTCAGTTTCTTGAGGTAGGGATTTGGAGCTCTCTGTTGTACAACCGGCTTCTCCCCTGGAGAAAATCTCTGAGACATAGCTCTTATGCTTGGGGCATGGAAAATGGCATGCATCTCTGAGTGACATCTCACTTTAGGAGCTGGATATTTGATAGATGGAGAGAAGCCAACAGCCCTAGGTCTTCTTGCCTTGCCTCTGTCAACCGGAAATCCCCCTTCCCATGAGCTGGAGCAAAGGAAATTGGGCCCTAGTATTCTCAGCAATGTTGCAACCTAGTTAGAGCCTCGATGCCATGATTGGGGACTGCATGGAAGAACGGAACACCTACCTCTTGGTTACATTCACCTGGATCTTAACTTCAGCAAGGGGTAGCTGGAGGCAGGATGAGAAATACTGACACCTCACCTCTCCCAAGAAGTTAGCCCTCTGACTGGGAGCTGGAGAGAAAGGGAACCCTGTGTTCTTGGCTGTACCAGGCTGGAATGCAGTTTCCATCTTGCTGAGTTGAGATGGGCAATGGAGGGCACAGATCTTGATTCAAATAACCACAGACTCTATCAGTTTCTACTAAGTTTAGTAGATTTTCTTGAATAAATATTCTTCATTTTCTATATTTCCTTAGAACAATTTCCAGAGACTTTAAATGGTTGCTTTAAAAATAATTTTTACCAGTTTTACTGGAAACAAATCCATGGAGCCCCTCATGCTGCCATGCCAGAAGTAGAAATCCAGCAGTTTTTTTAAAAAAGTTATATATACATACACCATATGACTTAGTCATTCCACACTTAGTTATCTATTCAAGAGAAAAGAAAATATATGTCTCTACAAAAGCTTGTACACAAGTATTCCCAACAACCTTATTTTTAATAGCCCCCAACTGGAAATAAGTCAAATGCCCATCAACAGGTCAATAGATGAATTAACTGTGATGTATCTGTGCATTAGAATACTATACAACAATAAAATAGAATGAACTGATACACACAACAGCATAGATGAATCTCAAAATAATTACACTGGGTAAAAGAAGTGAGACAAAAAATGACACATACTGTATGACTCCTATATAAACTTCTAGAAAATGTAAGCTAATTCATAGTGACAGAAAGCACTGGGGATGGGGTGTGCTGGCAGGGATTAGAGGGAGCGATTATAAAGGAGCATGAGGAAACTTTTCAGGGTGATGGACATTCTCATTATTTTCATTACAGTGATTGTTTCATGGGCTCATACATGTGTCAAAATGTATCAAATTGTACACCTTAAATATGGAAAGTTTCTTGAATGTTAGTTATAACTCAATTAAGCTGTTTAAAAAAGTTATTCTGCATTTTCTCCCTAAGCATCTCTGGTCCTGGGGAAAAATAGCAAGTTTCCTCTGGCTCAAGGTGACTTTTCCACTTTCTCATGTCCAGGAACAGCTTTTTGTGTGCTCACAGCTTCTGACAAACTGCCCAAACCACTACACTCTTCTCTCTTCCCCTCACTTGAATGCTTGGCTTCCCCCTTTCATCCTGTAATTCAGCTGTGTTTTGGATCCATTCGATTTTATTTCTTTGTGTATTTATTCGTTCAACAAACATTTGTTGAACACCTGCTTAATGCCACATGCTATGCTAAATTTTAGAAATAAAAAAGAAACATAGTTTCTGTTTCCAAGGTACTCATAGTCTAGTAAGACATATACACAAAAATGGCTAGGAGTCTTAAGTAATATGGAAGTTGGTGCAATGTACAGTAAAGCACAAAGAAGGAAATGGTGCTGAAAATATTTGGTTTTCTGTTCCCTGAGTATTCAGCCACCCTAATCTGATAACCACAGCCTGATTTTCTTGTGGATAATTATTTTTCTCCACTGTGTGCTGTCTCAGTGCAACAACAAGTGACTGTGCCTTCCTTTACCAGGAAGCATGTAACCCAAGCTGAGATGCTTGAGAGTTTTTTCCACGAATTTTCTGTCTTGAGAGACCCAAGGATGGAAAAATAGATATACAAATGGTCCCCAACTTATGATGATTCAACTTATAATATTTTAACTTTCAAATAGTGCAAAAGTGATATGCATTCAGTAAAAATTGTACTTCAAAATCTGAATTTTAATTTTTTCTTAGGCTTGTAATATGTAGTATGATATTCTCTCACGATATTGGGCAGCAGCAGTGAGCCATAGCTCCAAGTCAGTTTTGTGATCACAAGAGTAAACAATCAATACTCTAAAATGCATTAAATACATATTTGACGTATTTTCAACTTATAATGGGTTTAACTGAGACATAACTCCATCACAAGTAGAGGAGCATCTAGTGCATTCATTCCAGAACTACTTCTTGGACCAGATGGTCATATTCTAATCCCTGCTGCCAGCATACCTGATCTGTCTTCATTCTTGTCTATTTCTGAGTCTGGTCCTCCAAACTTCCTATTATGTCTGTGATGAACTTCTAATACATTTCATTTTTTCTTTAAATAAGCTCAAGTTACTTTCTGTTGCTTACAAGCAGATAACGCTAAATAATATATTTTCATGGAAGAGTTGACTATTAACATAGATATGGTTAAGATAGGCCATAGGGAAATTTGAAGTTGCAGATAGGTGCAGGGCCCTGGAGCATCTTAGGGTAAGGACAAGAGGATTTTAAAGTGAAAAGTAATCAATCAATAAAGTTATGGATTAGTCATTCTCAAAGTGTGGTCCTCCAGACCAACAAGATCAGCATTACATGAGAATTTGTCAGAAATGCAAATTCTAGAGCCACACCTCAGACCTGCTGAATCAGAACCTCTGAGTATAGGGCCTAGCAATCTACGTTTTAACAAACCCTCCAGGTAATTCTGATGCACTCTAAGATTTGAGAATCAAATCAATATCCTAGATAATTCACGCTGCTCTGTGAAGGAGGGATTCAAGGGGTTGAAATTTAAAGAAAGGGAGTCCAGTTGGACACTATTGCAGTAGTATATAACCTAAGCTAAGATACATCAAGTAGATGGAGTGGAAGGAAAAATGCAAGAAATTCAAAGGATAGAGGGCCAAATAGACTTCACCATCAATAGGATGTTCTCTATGAAGGAAATAAGATATCTAGAATTATTTCCAAATTTCTGATTTGGATGAATGTGTGAATAGTGGTGCCATTAACTAAGCCTTGGAAGTATAGGGAAAAAAGCAGATTTTTAAAAAATGTATTTAGGTGAAATTCACATAACATAAGATTAATTATTTTAAAGTGAACAACTCAGTGGCATTTAGTATATTCACCATGTTGTGTGACTACCATCTCTATCCAGTTACAAATATTTCTACACTCCAAAATAAAACCCCATGCTCATTCAGCATTTTTTCTCCATTCTCTCCTCCCCCAGATCCTGGCAAACACCAATTTGCATTCTGTTTATATAGATTTACCTATTCTGTATATTTCATGTAAATAGAATCTTGTAATATGTGATCGTTCATGCCTGGCTTCTTTCACTTAGCATGTTTTTGAGGTTTATCCACATTGGAACATAAATCAGTAAGTACTTCATTCCTTTTAATGGCTGAATAATAATTCCTTGCATGTATGTACCACTATTTGTTTATCCATTCGTCCATTGATAGACATCTGTTTCCACCTTCTGGCTATTGTGAATAGTGCTGCTATAAGCATGCATTTACATCTATTTGAGAACCTGTTTTCAATTCCTTTGTGTATATACCTAGGAGCAGAATTGTGGGGTCATATGGTAATTATATGTTTAACTTTTTAAGGAACTGCCAAACTGTTTTCCACAGTGGCTATATAATGTTACATTCCCACCAGCAATGTATAAGGATTCAAATTTCTCCACAGCCTCTCCCATATTTGTTAATTTCCATTAATTTTTTTCATTATAGCCCTCCTATGGGTATGAAGTGGTATCTCATTGAGGTTTTGATTTACATTTCCTTAATGACAAGGATGTTGAGCATATTTTCATGTACTTCTTGGCCATTTGTATATATTCTTTGGAGAAATGTTTATTCAAGTCCTTTACCCATTTTAAAATTGAGTTATTTGGCCCTTTTGTTATTGAGCTGTAAGGGTTCCTTATGTATTCTGAATACTAGATCCTTATTAGATATGTGATTTGCAAATATTTTCTCCCATTCTGTGGGTTGTCTTTTTCGATTTCTTGATAGTATCCTTTGACAAACAAGTTTTTAATTTTGAAGAAGTTCAATTTATCTACTTTTTCTTTTGTTGCTCATGCTTTTCGTGTCATCTAAAAATCCATTTTCTGAATCCAAGGACATGATGATTTACCCCTGTGTTTTCTTCTAATAGTTTTATGGTTTTAGCTCTTATATTTATTCAGGTCTTTGATCCATTTTTAGTTAACTTTCATATATAGTGTAAGGTAGGAGTCCAACTTCATTCTTTTGCGTGTGGATATACAGTTGTCCCAGCATCATTTGTTGAAGAGTCTATTATTTTCCCATTGAATGGTCATGGTACCCTTGTTGCAAATCAATTGACCATAGATGTATGTGTTTAGTTCTGTACTCTCTATTCTACTCCACTGTGGTTTTGATGTGCATTTCTCTGATGACTGCTGATGTTGAGCATGTTTTCATGTGTTTGTTGGCCACTCGTATGTCTTCTTTTGAGAAGTGTTTGTTTATGTCTTTTTCCCATTTAATAATGGGGTTATTTGTGTTTGCTTGTCAAATAGTTTATTTAAGTTCCCTATAGATTCTGGATATTAGACCTTTGTTGGATGCATAGTTTGCAAATATTTTCTCCCATTCTGTAGGTTTTCTGTTTACTCTGTTGATAGTTTCTTTTGCTGTGCAGAAGCTCTTAAGTTTAATTATGTGCCACTTGTCAATTATTGTTTTTATTGCAATTGCTTTTGAGGACTTAGTCATAAATTATTTGCCAAGGCCTATGTCCAGAAGGGTATTTCCTAGTTTATCTTCTAGGATTCTTATAGTTTGAGGTCTTACATTTCAATCTTTAATTCATCGTGAGTAATTTTTGTATATGGTATAAGGAAGGGATACAGTTTCAATCTTCTGCATATGGCTAGCCAGCTATTCCAGCACTATTTATTGAATAGGAAATCTTTTCCCAATTGCTTATTTTTGTTGACATTGTTGAAGATCAGATGAATGTAAGTGTGCAGATTTATTCCTGGGTTCTCTATTCTGTTCCATTGGTCTATATGTCTGTTTTTGTACCAGTACCATGCTGTTTTGGTTACTTTGGCCTTATAGTATAGTACGAAGTCAGGTGATATAATGCCCCCAACTTTATTCTCTTTGCATAGGATTGCTTTGGCTACTTGTGCTCTTTTTTGGTTCCAAAATAATTTTAGAATAATTTTTTCCAATTCTGTGGAAAATGACATTGGTAGTTTGATAGGAATATTGTTAGATATGGTTTGACTGTTTTCCTACCCAAAATCTCATCTTGAATTGTAACCCCATATCCCCATGTGTCAAGGGCAGGACCAGGTGGAGGTAATTGAACCATGGGGGCAGTTTCCCCCACGCTGTTCTCGTGGTAGTGAGCAAGTCTCACGAGATCTGATGGTTTTATAAGTGTCTGGCATTTCCCCTGCTTGCACTCATTCTCTCTCCTGCTGCCCTGTGAAGAGGTGTCTTTCGTCATGATTGTAAGTTTCCTGAGGCCTCCCCAGTCATGCGGAAGTGTGAGTCAATTAAACCTCTTTCTTTATAAATTACCCAGTCTTGGGTATTTCTTCATGACAGCATGAGAATGGACTAATACAATGTTGAATCTGCAGATTGCTTTGGACAGGATGGCCTTTTTAATGATATTGATCCTTCCATTTCATAAATGTTTTTCCATTTGTTTGTCTCATCTATGATTTCTTTCAGCAGTGTTTTGTAGTTCTCTTTGCAGAGATCTTTCACCCCTTTGGTTAGATGTATTCCTCAGTATTTTATTTTATTATGGCTATTGTAAATGGGATTGCATTCTTGATTTGGCTCTCAGCTTGAATGTTATTGGTGTATAGAAATGCAACTAATTTTTATACATTGACTTTGTATCCTGAAATTTTACTGAAGTCATTTATCAGTGCCAGGAGCCTTTTGATGGAGTCTTTAGGGTTTTCTAGGTATAGAGTCATATCATCAGTAAAGAGAGATAGTTTGACTTCTTGTTTTCTTACTTGAATTCCTTTTATTTCTTTCTCTTGTCTGTTTGCCCTGGCTAGCACTTCCAGTACTATGTTGAATAGTAGTAATGAGAGTGGGCATTTTTGTCTTGCTTCAGTTCTCAAAGGAAATGGTTCCAACTTTTGCCCATTCACTCTAATGCTGGCTGTGTTGTCATAGATGGCTCTCACTATTTTGAGGTATGTTCCTTCAATGCCTAGTTTCTTGAAGGTTTTTACCATAAAGGGATGTTGGATTTTATTGAAAGCTTTTTCTGCATCTATTGAGATAATCGGATCATTTTCACTTTTAATTCTGTTTAATGTGGTGAATCAGATTTATTGATTTGTGTATGTTGAATCAACCTTGCATCCAAGAATGAATCCTTCTCGATCACAGTGAATTAACTTTTTGATGTGCTGCTGGATTCAGTTTGCTAGTGTTTTGTTGAAAACTTTTGTGTCTTTGTCTGTCAGGGATATTGTCCTGTAGTTATTTTTATTGTGTTTTTGCCAAGCTTTGTTGTCACAGTGATGCTGGTTTCATAAAGTGAGTTAGGGAGGAGTCCCTCATCCTTAATTTTTTGGAATAATTTCAATAGAATTGGTACCACATTTTATTTGTATATCTGATAGAATTTGGCTTTGAATCCATCCATTCCATGACTTTTTTGATTGGTATCACTTTTTTTTATTACTGATTCAATTTTGAAACTCAATATTGGGTCTGTTTATGACTTCAGTTTCTTCCTGTTTCAATTTTTGGAGACTATGTGTTGCTAGGAATTTATCCATTTCCTCTAGATTTTCTAGTTTGTGTATGTATAGAAGTGTTCACAATAGTCTTTGAGGATCTTTTCCATTTCAGTTGTAATATAACCTTTGTTGTTTCTAATCATGCTTATTTGGATCTTCTCTCTCTTTTCTTTTTAAATCTATCTAGCTATCTATTGATCTTGTGTATCCTTTCAAAAAAACAACTTTTGATTTCCTTGATTCTTTGTATGAATTTTTGGGTCTCAATTTCATTCAGTTCTGCTCTGGTTTTGGTTATTTCTTCTGCTAGCTTTGGGGTTAGTTTGTTCTTGCTTTTTTAGTGAGGGAAGAGATTTAATACAGTGTTTTATGTTGCAGAGAGTTCATGAAATAAATATGAAAAGCAATCAATAGACTTGGAAGTCATGAGGCCACTTGTGACCTCAGACAGGATAGTCTGCATAGACTGTGGAAGGTAAAACCTGGCTAGAGTGGGTTGAAGAATGTACTGGGAGTAAGAAGAGGGCAACAGAAATCTAGAATGTTGTTTTTTAGTATCTTGGCAACAAAAAGAAGGGAAAAGATAGGGCTAGTGCAGGAAGATAAAATATAGTGTTATTGGATAATTTAGAGGCTACGGAAATTACCTCAAAGAGAAGAGAAGTTGAAAATATAAAAAAGAGTGATAAATGAGTGGGATGAGGCCTTGGATATGCAGGAGATAAGGGAGGATGTGGAAGGAGTTTCCTTGAATAGGAGAAAGAACAGCCTCCAGAGCCTACTTTCTTCTTCTTTAGCATAAATGACCAAACTTGAAGGTAAGTGCAGATAAAAATGACTCATAGCTATGAGGAAAAATTATGGAAGTTCAAAACCCGATAGCCATGGTATTCTTGGTGAAATAGGAAGTAAGGTCATGTGCACTGAGAGGATGACATCGATGGGATGGAGGACTTGAAGTTAGTGGAGACTTGCAGCAGCCATTGAGAAAAATGAGAGGGGATGCAAGTCAAAGATACCAAATTAATGAGGGCTATTGAGGAGCCAAGAGATGCTGAAGATTATAAATGGGTGGTGGCACTAATCCATTCAAAGATTTGATTTTCTGCAGCAGCATTCAGCAGCACAAGGTTTGAGCAACAAAGGCAGATGGTAGGATTAATCTAAAATTTCAAACTGCAGGTGAGATGTGGTGGAAAGACAATGGGATTGGTTTTGAATGTAAGAGTCTGGTGGTTGAGTGCAGTGGGTGTTCAAATTTGGATAGGGGAGGAAGTGAAGCCAAAGAAGGCTGGTGAACTGGAAGTAAAATGGCTTTGAGGTCTCTGTGTAAGATTAAAGAGCTGAAGTAAGAGAGAGTAAAGGGCCGGGTGTGGTGGCTCACGCCTGTAATCCCAGCACTTTGGGAGGCCGAGGCGGGCAGATAACCTGAGGTCAGGAGTTCGAGACCAGCCTGCCAACATGGTGAAACCCCATCTCTACTAAAAATACAAAGGTTAGCTAGGCGTGGTGGCAGGCACCTGTAATACCAGCTACTCAAGAGGCTGAGACAGGAAAATTGCTTGAATCTGGGAGGCGGAGGTTGCAGTGAGCTGAGATTGTGCCATTGCACTCCAACCTGGGAAACAAGACCAAGACTCCGTCTCAAAAAAAAAAAAAAGAGAGAGAGAGAGTAAAGCCTGGAAAGATAGAAGGATGAGATCCAAATGGTACATTAGAATACAGCCATGCACTGAATAATGACATTTCAGTCAATGATGGACCACATGTACAATGGTGGTCTCATAATATTATAATACTGTATTTTTACTGTACCTTTTCTATGTTTGGATATACAGATGCTTACTATTGTCTTACAATTGCCTACAGAATTCAGTACAGTAACATGCTGTACAGGTTTGTAGCCCAGGAGCTATAGGCTATACCATATAGCCTAGGTATGTAGTAGGCTCTACCACCTAGATTTGTGTAAGTGCACTCTATGGTGCTTTCACATGACAAAATCACCTAACAATGTATTTTTCAGAATGTATCCCCTTTGTTAAGCAATGCATGACTGTGTGAGTTCAGAGGTGGAGTTATTCTAAGTGATATCAAGGCCTAGGTTATGACAATCAGTGGGTCAAGGAGGTAGTTACAAATGAAGACTGTTGGTGTTGAAGATGTTTTTTTTAAAAAAAGCCATGAGACCATCCTGGCTAACACGATGAAATCCTGTCTCTACTAAAAATACAAAAAGAATTAGCCAGGCTTGGTGGCGGGCACCTGTAGTTCCAGCTACTCAGGAGGCTAAGGCAGGAGAATGGCGTGAACCTGGGAGGCAGAGCTTGCAGCGAGCCGAGATCACGCCACTGCACTCCAGCCTGGGTGACAGAGCGAGACTCTGTAAAAAAAAAAAAAAAAAAAAAGCTGTGAGCCAGAGTTCTGGAAGACTTCATGTGGATATAGTTGCTGCCCAGCATGAAGGCAGTACATGAGGAGAAGAAACAGTGAGTTTGTATCCAAGCCATTAACGAGTACAGGGGGGAAAGGTGGGAGGTTCAAAGACAAAATTAAGAGGTATGGAAGGAAGTATATATTGTTGGCACGAGTCTTAATAAAAGAAGGTTTTTTGCCCCAGGACAGAGGAGTAATCATCTGCCAATTGTAATGGCGAGCTAGGAGACCATGCAGTCCACAGCTCGTGATACATGGGTGTAGAAGAATCAGCCTCTTCCATAGAGGTTGCAGCAGTTATTGTGCTCTGGGGAGAGCCTGGAGATGGAGTTTTGTGAAATGGTTGAGGATATAAGTCAGGTTATTTACAGTGGAATGGGGGTCTCTGAGGAGGGAAGTCAGCAGTGTGAGAAACATCCGAGTGGAATGAAAATAATGAATGATAATAATGCATGTCCAGCACCATGCCAAGGGTGTGAGATATTTATTTTATTTAATCATTACACTAATTCTGCAATGTAGGTGCTATCTGTCTTTTGCATATTAATAAACTGACACTGAGAGCATTTAGAAACTCCTCTAAAGTGGTGTATCTAAAAAGTGACTGAGTTCAAGACCTGGTCTCTTAACCACTAACCCAGATTGGAATGAGAGGATGCAAGAGGAGAAGGTGCCATGGAGCTACCATTTTGGGAAAGGGCCTCTGATGACAGGATGGGAGACATCATGGATCTAACCAACTGTAAGAACCTAGGCATGTGTTTATTGGATCTGCTGGATGGCAGAAGCCCCTGATCAGAATCAGCTGCCTATCCTGAGAGTTCCAGATGGAATGTGTTTGGAGGAACATATTCAAGGCTTCTCACAAATGGCTCTAATCCTTCCTATATTTAAGCATTCAGTTCACAAAGACTCCTCAAGAAGAATATCCAGAGAAGCTCTTGTTGGCCAAGGCTCTCTATTGGGAAGTATACTTGGGAATTGCTTATCAAAGGTAATCCCTGCTCCATGTCATCAATGGGATGTTAGAAGTGTCTTTTTTATCATGGCTTTTGACAAAGCCAGGAATTCAGTACTAAGTAAATAGAGATAATCAAGGATCTGCTCTCCAAGCTCTGGAATTAGCAACAACAGGACTGAAGAGACAAGGAGTGATTCTTCGGGTTATTTTCTCTCCCTTTCTCCTACCACTAGTTGTGTCCCTCCCATAGCCTTCTGCTTTCTAGGTTTTGCCAGCTGTGGTGAGAGATTTGCTGATACTCATTCAGATTCCTTTGGATTGCTCTTACTGTTTCTGCACATTTTGGTGTGCTTTTGCTTCCAATGGCCACATGTGAGACTCTTCTGATGACTGCTGTCTTTGCCTGGGACAGCCTTTAGCCAGTGACTGGTGAGTGTGGCAATATGAAAGCTCAGCTTCCTTGCCTGATGTTGGGTCAACTTGAAGTCATAACCTATATGCCAAAGTTCCCCTAAGGGATTAGGATGAATCTACCTTCTGTGAGGCCTTGCCTGAAACTGTCCCCTGGTTTGGCTTCTTCCTCTTCTCTGTCCTGCTTCCCCACTCTCTTCCTAGTCTCTCCTGGAAGCACTTTTTAAATAAACCACGGGTACATGAATACTCAACTTAGGGCATGCTTCTGGAGAATTCAGCCTAAAACAGGCCATCAGGTAACTATTAAAGAGAAGTTCTTCTAGATAAAAATTTTGAGGATAAAGTTGAAAATGTAACTTTTTAAAACAAAAACATGTGACCAACCATTTAGGTACTAAGAGAAAGTATGGATGCATTACTTCATAATATGGGAGTGGGAAAAGCATTTCTTACTATTACTTAAAATCAAGAAGCAATGACAAGAAAAGATTAATAAATTCAACTACATAAAAGTGAAAATAAAGTTTGCTTGAAGTAGAATGGTGATTTACAGGGGCTGAGGGGATAGGGAAATGGGGAGATGTTGGCCGAAGGGTACAAAGTTTCAGTTATGCATGATGGAAATCTAACGTATAGCAATGTGACTACAGTTAATAATATTGTATTGCATACTTGAAATTTGCTAAGAGGGTAAATCCTAAGTGTTTTTACCAAAAGAGAAAAAAAAGAAACTATGTGAGGTGATAGATGTACTAATTGGCTTAAGAGTCATGATCATTTCACAATGTATATGTAGATCAAAACATCAAGTTGTACACTTTTAACATATACTATTTTATTTGTCAATTACACCTCAATAAAGCTGGGAAAAAATACTTGAAAAAACACCATAAGTAAAGTTTAAAAAGTGACAAAGTAAAATGAAAGGTATTTGCAACATATAGGGCTAATCTCCCTGATAAAGACCCATGTACAAATATAATTTATCAAAAAAATTTAAAAACTGAGAGGAAAAATACCAAAGGCCTAATCAAAAAATGATTTAAAAAGACACAGGAAAGTGAAACGGATCTTAAACATATGAAAATATGCTGAAAAGCACTTATAATACAAATACAAATTATCACTGCTCAAAGATATTTTATACATATCAACTTGACAAAAATGACATGCTTGACAAAACATGCTTCTTGACAAAGTATTCTATTTTATACTTATCAGATTGGCAAAAATGAAATGCTTGACAAAACATGCTGTTGGCAGGGCTGTGCAGAAACATATGCTCTCATGTATTGCTAGTGGGCAGTGCAAAATGGCACAGGCCCTTAGGAGGGGAATTTGGCAATAGCTGATGAAATTAAACATGTATTTATTCTTTTACTAAGCAGTACTGAAAATACACCTACACAAAAGTAAAACAATATATGTATAAATTTATTAGTCATGCATTATTCATAATAGCAGAAAGTTGAAAGCAATGCAAAATCTGTTCATGTGAACTGGTTGAATGAACCATCCACATAATGGAGTACTATGCAGCCATAAAGAAAGAATTAGGGCAATCTCTATGAGTGGATATGGAGCAATTTCTAAAATGTATTAAGTTTTTGGGACAAATATTATCATGAGCCTCCTAATATATATGATACACTAAAAACGGGACATTACTTAAGTAGCAAACCTGCCAAAAATTCTAACTTGAATTTGTCTGATGAAGAAACATCAATCTACAAAACAAGTTGAAAGACAATCTACAAAACAGCTGGCCTATACACTGCAATGTGGCACGGTGATAAACAACAAGAAATGCTGTTTAGAGGTTCCTCAAAAAGCCTAAAAATAGAGCCACCATATGATCCAGCAATCTCCCTGCAGCTATATACCCCAAAGAAAGGAAATCACTGTATTGCAGAGATGTTGCACTCCCATGTTTATTGTAGCATTAATCACAATAGCCAAGATTTTGAAACAACCTAAGTGTTCATCAACAGATGAATGGATAAAGAAAATGTGGTACAGATACACAATGGAGTACTATTCAGCCATACAAAAGAATGAGACTCCGTCATTTGCAACAACATGGATGCAACTGGAGGTCACTATGTTACTTGAAATAAACCAGGCACAGAATGACAAACATCACATGTTCTCACTTACTTATGAGAACAGAGAATTAAAACAATTGAGCCCATAGAAATAGAAGGTAGAAGGATGATGACCACAGGCTTTGAAGGGTAGTGGTGGGGAATGGGGAATGGGTGCAAAAAATAATTAGAAAGAATGAATAAGATCTATTATTTGATAGCACAACAGGGTGACTACAGTCAATAATAACTTAATTATAGATTTTAAAATAACTAAAAGAGTATAATTGGTTGTAACACAAAGGACAAATGCTTGAGGTAATGAATACCCCATTTACCTCTGATGTGATTATTATACATTGAATGCCTGTATCAAAATATTTCATATACCCCATATACACCTGCTGTGTACCCACAAAAATTACAAATTAAAAAATAAACAAAAAAGAAAGAGAAGCTTTAAAAAGAAAAAAGAAAAGAGACAAGAAATGCTGAGGAGCTTTTCAGATTAAAGGAGACTGGGCAAACATGACAACCAAATGCAATGCATGACCCTGAATCAAATTCAGGATTAGGAAAAACAAAATAACTATGAAGGTCAGTACTGGAACAATGATAAGATTTGGGTAAGTGGTGTGGATTAAACAACAGCATTGTAGCAATGTTAATTTCCCGATTTTGATTATTGTGGTGTGATTATTTAAGAGAATGTCCTTGTTCTTAGAAAATACACACTCAAGTGTGTTGTGAAGAGGTTTGATATTGTCAACTTATTTTCATTTGAGAGTATTTAGTTCAGAAAATATATATATATATATATATATATATATATATATGCAGAGAGAAAGAGAGACAGAAAGAAAATAAAACAGATGGGGCAAAATGCGAACAATTGGTGAATCCGGGTAAAGAGTATAGGAAAGATCCTTACACTATTCTTAGACTTTGAAATTATCCCACCTTCTCAGCTTGTGCAACATTTGAGGAGCAAACCAAATGGAAGGTGCACAAATATTATCCTGGGTGGAGGGTGCAAGACAATTAGAAGACAAAAAGGGGCTCGGTCTCGAATAACCAAATTAATCCTGAGAATATATTGTTCACAAAATCAAAATGTTTCTAGTTTTTTCCATTAAATATCACAAGTACTTTAAGTGTACAAAACAAATGGATGGTGTTTTAGATGTGGAATAAATACTAAGACCAGGTAAGAAGCCACAGCCTAGCTTGGGTTTACTGGTCTCTGGAATGGGGTGGAGACTGGTTCCTATGCCAGGCTGTGGAGGCAGATCCCCTGTCCATAGAGAGGTCAGACCCTGAACGAGAAAGAAAAGAGAAAGTACCAGTGAGGCAGCAGGCAGGGGTATTCCTTCTCCTGAATAAAACGGAGTAAGGGCATAGGAGGCCACATAGCCCACTCACTTGGGCCAGCAGCATCAGGCTTTTGGAGCCACCTCATTAACACATCATTAAGAAGAGCAGTATATTCTACGTAAGTGAGTGTTTCCCGGAAAAATGGATTATTTCTGTCCCCTTCAAATTCATGAATGCTGCCCAGAAAGCCCCAGGTTTCCTGTAATATCTATTAAAAATTCCAGTTATTCCAGCAACAATGTCCAGTCACCACTATTTCCACTAAGAGAAATAAAATAGTAACACTAAATTATACTGGTTCTTTCTTTGATGATGTACCCAGTGGAGAGAAGGTGTAATATTGGATTGAATCTGCAATCTCTCAGGATCATTACTAAAATACCTGATAGACTCTTAAAAAAATTGTAATATGTCTCTTTCTCTTAAAACTAAAATGCAAGAAAACCATTTCAATTATTAGAGTTTGGGGTTTTTTCCTTTTAAAAATATTAAAACTAAGAGAGTTTATTGTAATAGGGAATATGAGATGAGGTTGGCTTTGATTCTTGAACTGTTGTTTCTTTAGGGCCATAAAGCTACTTTTATTTCAGAGTATCTTGTATTTCATAGGAAGGAAGGAAACTGATATTTCTTGGATGCCTACTATGTGCCAGGTATTGTGCCATTTCATTTAATCCAGGGTTCAGCTCATTCCAAACTTGGGGAAAAGAGAGAGAGAAAACACTAAAAGATTTTTATTAGAAAGGAATAATCTTGGTGCCATTTTTTTTCCTGTGAATACAAATTCTGGACTTACATATTCAAATATGTTTTCATGCATCTTCCCAGGCATCTAAGTATTCATGCTGCCCTTGGTTGTTTTGGTCAATAAGAACTTCTTACTGCAGCTATTTCCGCTTTCTTTCATTTCATCATGGTTGCTTCTTTTTCCAGAATAGAATACTTATAATATTATATCAGTGAGGCTGATTGTGTCATATTTTCTCCTTTTCATTTAAAGACAGAAGAAAAGCACTGAAGAAAATTTGGCAAAATTATTTGGGAAGAAAACACTTAAAATCTCCGTCTTCCAACAGCAATTATTTTCAGTTTTGTGTAGTGCCTTTCAGTCTTTGTTCCTTGTCATACATTTTCACATCATTGCAATAAAAGCATATGTGCAGTTGAGGGCCTTTTACTTACCTTCTAAATATTTTATCATAAAGATATATATATTTTTCAATATTATAACTCTTAAAGGCTGATAGCATTCCATTAAGTGGGTATACCATAATTTCTTTGAGGGTAACCCTACTGTTGAGTAGCTAGACTGTTTCCTATTTTTCAACATTGGGCAAACTGTGTCAAAACTATTAGTCAAAACTATTCCTATTAGTACTTTTATGTTTGACATTAGTACTTTTACAGCAGGTGACTCCTCTTGTCAAATTGCTCTTTAAAAGTACTGTATTCAAATGACATCTCACCAGCATTGAATATGTTCCAGAGCTGCCACAATCTCCTCAGCTCTCTTCTAGTACTTAATTATTTCAATCATATTACTCTTTGGTTCATTTGATAGATAAAACATGGTATCAGTTAGTAACCTATAATATCTCCTATTTGATTTTTATTTGCATAGCTTCAATTTCAGTCAAGGTTGAACATTTCATCTTATGTATATCTATTAAAGGAGTAAATTTTTGTGTGAATTTTCTCTTTTCCCCATTTACCTATTGATTGTTTTTATAACTGCTAAGTCCATTCCACATTTAAAAGTGCAGGCCCAACATCAATACCAGTGTGTCTTTCTTTAAATATCTAGCCCCTACTTCTGTCTCTTTCGGGAGGCACATTGCTTCTTCCCATCTTTAGAACTACATTGAAAGCTGTAGGCTGAAAGAATAAATAAAAGTCTCCTTTTCTCTTCCAAGTTTTAAGCAAAGAACTCTAGTAGACCCTTCTACTGTGAAACACACTTCTGGCCAAACCACTGGAGGAATCACCCTGAGACCCAGAATAATGTCCCTATTAATAGCATCTTGGTATATCTTAGGTGAAAGGGGTCCCACATTCATAAAACCAACAAACAGTCCCAATATATAAAATTAAAAGCTGAACTTAGCTCCCAGGTTTAAATTCACCTCCTCTTTCTTCCCTTCCATAAATATTTGTTGAACATCTACTATGTGATAGGCACTGCATCAAGTGCTGGGGATAGAGGGACAAATAAGACAGTCCCTGCCAAACAGTCATACTTGCAATTTCTCTTTTAGGATATCCCTTATAATGAAAAACAAAAGACTAAGGTATATTTTGGGGAAGTGAATGTGTTTCTGAAGAAATTCCTTCATTCCAAGACAGGATTCTGCTTTTTTCCCAGAACTTTGAGGAAGAGTCTGAAACTTAAGGCAAGAGTCTTTGTCACCATGATGCCATGCTCAGTTAGCAGGCTATCCATGTCTGCCCAATCAGATAGAAGCCAAACAGTGAGAACACTGACCTCCCCAGAAAGGATGTGGAAGAGCATCCAAAGTGAGAGAACAGTATTGGAGACACATAGCAAAAGAATATTACATATAAATACCATCAATTGTAGCAATCCCTTACATATGGGAGGAGCCCTATCCTGAGGTTCTAATTTAAGAAGCCTGACTTACAGGCCCATTACATTGACCCAAACTATGGTTAGTAGAGTTAAAGTTGTTATAAAGCCCTATCTTTCAAGTCAATATACAACTGGAAGGTGAACTGTGAAGCCATCATGTGAGCCATCCTGAGAATTGTGTCCTATCTTGTGAGAAGAAATTCTAGATCTGTAGGGAGCTGGGGACTGGCCTGATGACAATTCAGTAAAGATTCTCACGTGAGGTCACAGGGGCCTCTAATTAAGAATGGATTAGAGAACCAGAACCACGTAGAGTTGCTGAGATTTAAAATATTAGGAGGGACAGTCAAAGAAAGATACTGGTATTGATGTTGGGCCTGCACTTTTAAAGGCTGAATGGCTTTAGCAGTCATAAAATCAATAGTGACTGGTGATACGTTTACTTTTGCCTCATATCCCTTCAAAATCAGAACCTAATGAAGTTATAGAATTAATATTCCCATCACTTTTCTTTGTAAGCAACATCACATTATTCAGACACATCACTTAGAAATTGTAATTCAATGAGTAAAGTTTCAGGAGTGAATTTGGTGTCAATTCACATCAACTTTCTACTGTGAGAACTTTCTATTTTACAGTCTCTCCCATCTGGAAAAACCTTCTTGTCTTTCTACCTCAGTGCTTCCCATTTTAAAATTAATCTTTTGCTCTCTGTCTGTACTTTGTAATTTCTCTTGTCCTATATTCTATTTACCATTTTAAAGCTGTGTGGTTTGATGGCGTCTATTTGAAAGGTGTTAAAAAAAGTTTTATGGCTAAAGCAGCACATTCTTCATAACAAAGCAACCCATGCTGGCTACCCAACAAATTGTAGAACATTCTCAGTGCTTTGTTCGGGACTCCTAGGAATGTGATCCTAAGGATTTGGCAGGGCCCTTACCCTAAGAGGAGACAGAGCCCTGAGAAAGAAGAGGCAAACAAAACTTCATGGGTATGGGATATGCACCTGTAGATGTATAAAGATGCTGCCGTTTATTCAGGAGGATTCCAAGGTACTAAATAGACGGGGTGCACTAGCACAGTGCCTCTCAAATTTTAATGTGCACAAGAATCACCTGGGGATCTTGTCAAATGCAGATTTTGATTCAGCAGGTATAAGGTGATTCTACATTTCCAACAAGCTCCCAGGTGATGCTGATAGAACCACACTTTCAGTAGCAAAGTCTTTGTAAATACAATGGCTAGTGAAGGCTATTTTAAATGATGTATTTGTTTGCATACTCTTTGTTCCAAGAAAAAAAAACTTGTTGCCATTTATAAAGTTACGGAAAAGAAAACAAGATAAAAAATTAAATAAAGGAAGAAATTGAGGTTAAGTGACAAAAATAGGAAAGGAAAACAGCATAAGGCTGGGAAAGTCAGTTGACATGTAAATTATTGTGCCCTGAACAATTGTGGTAGGAGGAAAAGTGTTTCTCTCTATGCTTTCAAAAATTTATTTATTTTAAATTTGCAGAAAAAAATTGTATTTATCATATACAATATGATGTTTTGAAGTATATATGCATTCTGGAAGGATTAAATCTAGCTTATTAGCATGTACATTACCTCACTTTACATCCACTCTCTTGGCATTCTTCAAGAATATTGTTAACTATAGTCACCATGTTGCACAATAGATCTCTTAAACTTATTCTATCTAACTGAAACTTTGTATCTATTGACCAACATCTCTCCGCCCCTTCCCCAAACACCCTAGCCCCTGGTAACCAACATTCTATTCACTACTTCTATAAGATCAACTTTTTTAGCTTTTACATATAAGTGAGATCATGCAGTATTTGTCTTTTTGTGCCTTGCTTATTTCACGTAATATGACATCCTCTAGGTTCATCCATATTGCATAAATGACAAGAATTCCTTCTTTTTATGGCTGAATAGTATCCCATTTTGTTTATATACCACATTTTCCTTATTCATTCATTTGTTGATGGACACAGATTGATTCCACATCTTGGCTATTGTGAATAATGTTGCAATAAACATAGGAATGCAGTTATCTCTTCAACCTACAGATTTTTCTTACTTTGGCTATATACCCAGTAGTGGGATTGCTGGATCATATGATGTTTTATTTTTAATTTTCTGAGGAATCTCTGTAATGTTTTCCGTAATGGCTGTATTAACTTATATTCCCACCAGCAGTGTGAGAGGGTTCCGTTTTCTCCACATTCTCACCAACACTTGTTATCTTTTGCCTTTTTGATAATAGCTATCCTAATGGGCATGAGATGACATCTCATTGTAGTTTTAATTTGCATTTCCCTGATGATTACTAATGTTGAGCATGTTTTTCCATATACCTGTTGATCATTTGTATGTCTTTTAAGAAATGCCTATGGAAGTTCTTTGCTCATTTTTTAGTCAGGTTATTTGTTTTCTTCCTATTGAGTTGTTTGAGTTCCTTATATATTTTGGATATTAACTCCTTATCAGGGGAATAGTTGGCAAATATTTTCTCCCATTTTATAGGTTGTCTCTTCATTCTGTTATTTCCTTTGCTATGTAGAAGTTGTTTAGATTAATACAGTCCCATTTGTCTATTTTCGTGTTTTTTTTTTTTTTTGCCTGTACTTTTGAAGTCTTAGCCATAAAATCTTTGCCTAAACCCATGTCCTGAAGCATTTCCCCTATGTTTTCTTATAGTAGTTTTATAATTTGGAGGCTTACATTTAGATCTTTAATCCATTTTGAGTTTACTTTTGTATATGGTGAGACATAGGGGCCTAGTTTCATTATTCTGCAAATAGATACACAGTTTTCTCAGCACCATTTATTAAAGAGGATGCCTTTTCCCCAATGTATGTTCTTGCTACCTTTATTGAAAATTAGTTGGCTGTAAATACATGGATTTATTTTGGGGTACTCCATTCTGTTCCATTGGTCTGTGTATCTGTTTTTATACCAATAGCATGATGTTTTGGTTACTATAGCTGTGTAGTATATTTTGGAGTTAAAAATTTTTTTTTATAGAGACAGGAGTCTCAGTATTGCCCAGGCTGGTCTCAAACACCTGGGCTCAAGCAATCCTCCCACCTCCGCCTCCCAAAGTGCTGGATTACAGGCGTGAGCCACCACAATCAGCCTTTATAGTACCTTTTGAAGTCAGATAATGTGATATTTCCAGCTTTTTTCATTTTGCTCAGGATTGCTTTGGCTATTTTTGGGGGTCTTTTGTAGATTAGTTTTCCTGTTTCTGTGAAAAATGACATTGTTATTTTGATACAGATTTACTGAATCTGTAGATTGCTTTGCACAGTATGGTCATTAACAATATTAATTCTTCTGATCTATGAGCATGAGATGTCTTTCCATTTGCTTATATTCTCTTCAATTTCTTTCATTCGTGTTTTTTTTTTTAATATAGACAAGGTCTCACTCTTGTCACCCAAGCTGGAGTGCAGTGGCATGATGACGACTCACTGTGGCCTCAACCTGCTGGACTCAAGCAATCATTCTGCCTCCCAAGTAGCTGGGGCTACAGGCATGTGCCACAACACCAAGCTAATTTTTAATTTTTTTGTAGAGACTGGGTTTTTCTATGTTGCCCAGGCTGATCTCAAACTCCTGGCCTCAAGCAATCCTCCTGCTTTGGCCTCCCAAAGTGCCAGGATTACAGATGTGAGCCGCTATCCCCAGCCTTATGAGTGTTTTATAGTTTCCACTGTGGAGATTTTTCACCTCCTTGGTTAGATTTACTCCTAGGTACTTTATTTTGTTTGTAGCTATTTTAAATGAGATTGCTTTCTTGTTATTTATTTCTAGTTTTATTTCATTGTGGTCTGAGAAGATAAGAAGATATTTGATATGATTTTGATTTTTAAAAATTTGTTGAGATTTATTTTGTGTACCAACATATGGTCTATCCTGGAGAATGTTCCATATGCTGAGGAGAAGAATGTGTATTCTGTAGCTATGAAATGTTCTGTAAACGTCTATTAGGTCCATTTGGTCTTTTTCTCTTTTTATACTTTTTGACTTAAAGTCTATTTTATCTGATACAAATATAGCTACTCCTTCATGCTTTTGTTTTTTGTTAGTGTGGAATATTTTTCTTTCCATGCCTGCACTTTCAGTTTATGTATGTCTTTAAGGTGAATTGATTTTCTTAAGGCAGCATACAGTTGGGTCTTGTATTTTTTTTATTCATTCAACCAGTCTACATCTTGTAACTGGGGAATTTTTGCAAAAGGAATTGCTGTTTTTGTCATTAAAAGTAATGGCAAAAACTGAAATTACTTTTGCACCAACCTAATAGTTACATTCAAGGTTGTTATTGTTAGGTGAGAACTTGCTTCCATCATTTTTTATTGTTTTCTGATTATTTTGTATATCATTTTTTCCTTTCTTCCTCTTTTATTGTTTACCTTCATGATTTGGTGGGATGTTTTAGTAATACTCTTTGACTCTTTTCTCTTTATCGTTTGCATATCTGCTCTAACCAGTAAGTTTTACACTGTCCTCTGGTTTTATGATTGTTTATATTATCCTTTTGCATCCAGATGTAAGGCTCCCTTAAGCATGTCTTTTGGGGCCAGTCTAGTGGTGATGAATTCCCTAAGTTTTTCCTTCTCTGTGAAAGACTTTATTTCTTTTTCTGTTTGAAGTCTTTGACTTTTGACAATTTAACTGTAATGTACCTTGGTGAAGACCTTTTTGGTTTGAATCTATTTGCAGATCTTTGAGCTTCCTGTATCAAGATGTCTATATCTCTTACAAGACTTGGGAAGTTTTCAGCTATTGTTTTGTTAAATATTCTACTCCCTTGCCCATCTCTTCTCCTTCTGGAACTCCCAACATTCAAATATGTGGTTGCTTTATGGTATCCCATGTGTCTTGTAGGGTTTATTTATTCTTTTTTATTCCTTTTTCCTGTTTTTCTTTATCTGACTGAGATATTTTACAAGACCTTTCTTGAAGTTCAGAAATTCTTTCTTCTGATTGACCTAGTTTATTGATTGGAGCTCTTGATTGTTTTCTTATATTTCACTGAGATATTTTTAATATCATTATTTTTTATTGTTTTTCAGGCATTTCATAGATTTCCCTTTCTTTGCGATCTGTTACTGGAGAATTACTGTGTTTCTCTGAGGGTGTCATGTTTACTTGCTTTTTCCATGTTTCTTGTATCCTTATGTTGATATCTGCACAACTAGTGTAACAGTCACTTCTTTCCATTTTATAGGGAGATATGGTTTAAATCTGTGTCCCTACCAAATCTCATGTTGAATTGTAATCCCCAATGTTGGAGGTGGGGCCTGGTGGGAAGTGATTGGATCATGCGGGTGGAATTCTTATGAATTCTTTAGTACCATCCTCTTGGTACTGTTCTCACAATACCGAGTGAGTTCTCGTGAGTCCTGGTCATTTAAAGTGTGTGGCACCTCCCCTCCCCTCTCTCTCTTACTCCTGCTTTTGCCATATGACGTGTAATCTCCCCTCTTTGCCTTTTGCCATGATTGGAAGCTTCCTGAGGCCTCCCCAGAAGCAGAAGACGCTATTTCTGTAAAGCCTGCAGAACTGTGAGCCGATTAAACTTCTTTTCTTTATAAATTACCCAGTCCCAGGTATTTCTTTATAGAGATGCAAGAATAAACTGACACATAGAGAAATACATTTTCCTACAGATGTATTGAGAGTGTGGGTTAGGTAAAGGACCTCGTCTTTGATTTTGGGTGGATACAGTAGTCTAGTTTCCATATGATTTCTTCAGCTGTAAATAGCATCAGTGGTATCTGTGAGTTCCTCAGTGGCTTAGGCTGCAGTCGTTAGTGGAGGCTGTGGCAAGTCTTCATTGAGGACAGGGCCACCAGGCAAGCCAGTCCTCAGGCACTGGTGGTGCCAGTGGTGGGCCACACATGCAGATCCTTAGGTCCCTAGGTAGCATATGAAGGCATTGGCAATGGCAGGCCTGGGTGGGCTAGTCCTTGAGCCTCCAGGTGGCATGCTCAGGTGGTGGTGGTGTCAGTGATGGGCTGGACAGTTGTGTTCTCGCTCTCCTGGGCAGCACACATGACATTGGCAGTGGCTATACCAGCAATAGGCTAACTCTTGGGCTTCTTGGTGGTGCAAGTGGGCACCAGCAATGGCAGTGGCATGTTTGGTGGATTGGTCTTTGGGTCCCCAGGAGGCACATATAGGTGCCAGTGATGTGCTGGGTTGGTCCATCCTTATGCCCCTGGATGATGCACAAGTGCACAATTGGCGGCAGGCAGGGAAGTCTTATCCCCAGGTCTCCAAACAGTGCACATGGGTGATGGCAGCAGGTGGGACAGTCCCATCCTCAGGACCCTGGAAAACATGCATGGGTGCTGGAAGTGGTGGGTGGGATGGGTACAATCTCCATCTGGGCAACGCACGTGGGTGCCAGCAGTGGCGGTAGTAGATGGAGTAGGCCAGGCTTCAGTCCTCTAGATTATGTGTGAAGGCACTGGTGGTGGCAGCAGGCAGAGTGAGCCTATCCTTAGGCCCACTGATGGTGCATGCAGGGACCAGCTGAAGTTGGTGGGGCAGATGGATCACCAGGTCCCCAGACAGCATGTTTGGGCACTGGAGGCAGTGGCAGTGTGGGGGACAGGCCTGTCTTCATGCCCCTGGGTGGGAGACTTGTATAGGGAGCTGCCCTATACAAGTCTGGCACATGTGGGCACCAGCAGTAGCAAGGAGGGCAGGCTTGTCCTCAGGCCCCAGGATGGTATATAAGCAGGCCAGTCCCCGGACTCCTGAAGGTGCATGTAGGTGCATGGCAGCCTTGTCACTGGATGTGGCAGAGCTGCTGTCAGTGGCAGAAGCTCTGAGTAGGTGACTCTCAGGCTCTGGGGAGCACAGGCTTTGGCTCCCTTTGTCCTGGGGGAGACTCTTTGGTGCACTGCACCTCTTGTTCCCTGGAGTGTAGGACACTGTGTGTACTAGAGTGCTGGGGAATTGGCCACCCTGCTGGATCCAGCTGGCATCATGATGCTACAGGCCCCTGGGTGGATATGGGGGATGTTAACAGGGCTACAGGGATGTAGAGATGCAGGGGCACTGGACTCCGGGGAAGATTGTAGTTTTGTGGGGGCTGAGCTCTCAAAATGGAGCCTTGCTGCAGCTGCTTGGGTCTCAGGGGGATGGGGGGGTGGAACACAGAGAAAACTCCTTCTCTGGAACATTGCTGTCATGTGAACTCTAGGCAGCTCCCTATACGGGTCTTAGTGCCCAGAAGGCTGAGGAGCTCTCTCGTGGCTAGGACTGCAGAAGTCTGTGGTGGGAATGTGGACCACACGGGGTCTCTCACTTATCTTTTCGCCATGCTGGGGAGTTCCTCCTGGCTCAAATCTGATCCTGGTCAGGCTGGCTACTTCACTTCACTCTCTTTTGTGCCTCAGAGGTCCTCTATCATTTCCTTGCTGAATTCCAGCGTTCTCTCTTAGAAACTCAATTAGATGTGTGATCCTCTACTTGCTGTTTTGGCCTTTCTTTGAGGAGGAGATAAGTGTGGGGTACCTCTAGTCAGCCATCTTGAAGCCTCCTCAATCCTTTGTAGTTCTGTGGTATCAACTATAATGTCTCCTTTTTAATACCTAACTTTATTTGAGCCTTCATTTTTCCTTACTCTAGCTAAAGGATTGTCAATTTTGTTTATCTTTTTTTTTTTTTAGATGGAGTTTCACTTTTGTTGCCCAGGCTAGAGTGCAATGGTGCGATCTCAGCTCATTGCAACCTCCACCTCCTAGTTTCAAGCGATTCTCCTTCCTCAGCCTCCTGAGTAGCTGGGATTACAGGCTACCATGCCTGGCTAATTTTGTATTTTTAGTAGAAACAAGGGGTTTCATCATGTTGGCCAGGCTGGTCTCAAACTCCTGACCTCAGGTGATCCGCCCACCTCAGCCTCCCAAAGTGCTGGGATTACAGTTGTGAGCCACCATGCCCGGCCTTGTTTATCTTTTTAAAAACACCTCTTAGTTTTGTTGATTTTTCTACTCTTTTTCTCCTCTCTATTTCATTTATTTCTGCTCTGATCTTCATTATTTCCTTTCTTCTACTAACTTTGGTCTTAATTTGTTTTTGTTGTTCTAGTTCCTTTACGTGCAACATTAGATTGTTTACTTGAGATCTTTCTTCTTTTTTGATGTAGGCATTTATTGCCATAAACTTTCCTCTTAGTACTGCTTTTGGTGTATCCCATAAGTTTTTGTATGTTGTGTTTTTATTTTCATTTGTCTTAAAATTTTTAATTTCTTCATTGACCCATTGATTGTTCTAGAGCATTTTGTTTAATTTCTGTGAATTTGTTGAATTTTTTGACATTCCTCTTGCTATTGACTTCTACTTTTATATCACTGTGTTCAGAAAAGATACTTGGTATTATTTAAATCTTCTCGAATTTGTTAAGATTTGTTTTGTGGCCTACCATATTGATCTATGCTGGAGAACGTTCCATGTGTTGAGAAGAATGTGTATTCTGTTGCCGTTGGATGGAATGTTTTGTATATGTCTGTAAGGTCAAAAATGCATCTTGTAATTAACTGGTTATTTTAAGCTGGTAACAACTTAACCTCTGATTACAAAAACTCCTATCTTTATATTCCACTTCCCCCTCCACATTTTGAAGTTTTTATATCACCATTTACATCTTTTTATATTGCATATCCCTTAACAAATTATGGTAGCTATTATTATTTTAAATACTTTTGCCTTTTAACCTTCATATTAAAGATATGTTATTTACGCACCACTCTTATAGTGTTAGAGTAATCTGAATTTGTCTGTATACTTTTACCAATAAGTTGTATACTTTCAGATGTTTTTGTGTTGCTCATTAATGTCATTTTGTTTCAGCTTGAACTCCCTTTAGCATCTCTTCTAAGACAGGTATGGTGTTGATAAACTTCCTCAGCTTCTGTTTGTCTAGGACAAGGTCTATACCTCTTTTTCATTTCTGAAGGACAAATTTTCTGGATACAATATTCTTGGTTGATATTTTCTTTCCTTCAGCACTTTGAATATATAATCCCACTATCTCCTGGCCTGTAAGGTTTAAGCTGAGAAGTCTACTGCTAGCCATATTGAACTCCCATATATATCAAATGCTTCTCTTCTCTTGCTGCTTTCAAGATCCTTTCTTTGTCTTTGATTTTTGGCGATATGATTATGTCTTGATGTAGTCTTATTAGGATTGAATATGGTTGAAGATCTCTGACCTTCTTGAACCTAGATATTTGCATCTTTTTCTAGGTTTGCAAAACTTTCTTCTACTACTTCTTTAAATAAGCTTCCTACCCCTTTATCTTTCTTGTATCCTGCTTAAATTTTTATCACTCAAAACTTGCTCTTCTGATGCTCTTTCATAAATCCTGTAAACTTTCTTAATTCCTTTTCAGTTGTTTTGATCTCCTCTGACTGTATATTTTCAAATAACTTGTAATGAGTTCATGAAATCTTTCTTCTGTTCGATCAGTTCTACTGTTGATGCTCTCTGTTGAATTTTTCATTTTTTATTGTAGTTTTCAGCTCCAGAATTTGTTTTATTATTATTATTTCAATACCTATTAAATTTTCCTTTCTCATCACTTATTTTTTTTCTCATTTTGTTGGATTGCTTCTCTACATTTTCTTGAGGTTCACCAAACATCTTTCAAAGAATTAGTTGCATTTCTTCATCAGGAAGTTCATATATCTCCATTTCTTTAGGGTCAGTCACTAACACTTTACTTTGTCCCTTTAGTGATAATATCCTGTTTCCTGACTGTTCTTGATCACGTGGTCATGTGTTGATATCTGTGTATTTTAAGAAGTAGGTAATTATTTCAGTCTACAAGGACTGGCTTTGCTGGGAAAGCCCTTCAATACTCATCCCATCTAGAGATTATGGACAGGCTATCTGGCACGATCCTAAAGTCCAGATCATTGCAGGGGGAACAGCCCTGTGGCACACCAGAAGTGGCAGCTGTGGCCATTGTAGCACTGGAATGCACCAGAAGCCTGAGGTTCCTGCAGCAGCAGTTCACTATGGCAGGTCTGAAGCCCAGGACACCTGTATCTGGCATGGCACTGAGGCATATCCAAAGCCCAAGAGCACTGTAGCTAGTGCAGTGCTGGAGCACACCTGGAGCCCAGAGCCACTGAGACCTGCCTCCCACTGAAGGCTCTTCAGAGCTCAGGGCCACTGAAGTTCGCCCAGCAGTCATGTAGGCCAGAGACAGAGTTCTGCCACACAAGCTTGAAGCCTGAAGCCTGGGGCTGTGTGGTATCAGGGCAGGTCTGAAAATAGTTTATGGGTAATGGCCTGGAGTAATGGGGCTGTGAGTGTCTGCCTAGTGCTGGGTTTTACAGTGGCTAGACCAGTGCTGGGGTCCAAGGCAAAGTCCTATGCTCACTCCCCTGTCTTCCTCCCAAGTGGAAAATAGCTCAGTGCTGTGCTTTCTGGGCTTGGGAGAGGGATAATGAGGGTAATGAAAAACTGTCCTTCCTACTCTCTAAAAAGTATTTTTTCTGTTATTATGCTACAACCAGGTACTGGGATCTCTCACCTGGTTTCTGGAGCCCTTGCAAAGCTCTTTTCATGCATGGATAGTTATTTAAATTGATGTTTCTTTGTGGGGATGATTGCTGGAAAGACCTATTCTGCCATCTTGCTCCACTCCTCCTTCTTCTCTCCGTGCTTTTCAATGACCAGAACTAAATGAAAAACTTGATTTGTTACAACTCTCACGGTGTCCTTCAGATGAAACCTACTCAGTTCTCAGCAGAAGCAAGTGGCACTGAGCCATCAGGGGCATCATTTCCTGCAGGTGACCATGCAGGAAGCACCAGGTGAAACAGTGAGCAATATCCTTCACCATGCTCTGAGAAGAAATAGAGTAGTAAATTCTTAGCTGTTTTTCTTTCAAATAAGGTATGCATCCATATAGAGTGATGGCATAATGCCAAAGTTTAGATTTATTGCTCTCTGAAACATTGGCTTGTTTCAAGGATAAGATTTAGTGTTGCTAGGATGGATGGACTACATATCCTTCAGTATGGATTGTTTATATTAATATATAGAAAAATCGGATATGTGTGTAGCTCAGGAAAATTTTGTGTAACAGGATAGGTGAGAGGATATGGAATAAGATAGATCCTATTGGCACAGAGTTTTCGTTAATGCCTCAAAGCTGAGGACAAGACCTCCACAAGGAACAGCTTCTCAAGATTTGCTAAGACATAGACTAAGTGGTCTTTCAGTTAGCTATCCTATTACAATCTTCAGAATACATCCAAAAAAACTAGAAAGTCTTTAGTGTGATCATTGAAGGGAAGTTACAGAAAAGAAGAGAAATCTAGCATTTCCCCCTCCTGTGGGAAAAAATAGGGGTTTCCTCCTGACCGTTTAAATTTGGAATCTCAAGAGAAGCACTTGGTGAGGTACTGCTTTCTACAAGAGGAGCCACAGACTCTCAAAGACATGCCTAATGCTGTTTCCAGAGTGGTTTAAGCAATGGTCTGCTAATAAGTGTTTAACAAGTTGCTTTCCAGAAGTTTCTGTGGGGGGATAACTTGTAGCATGTTTTAATTTCTGTGCTGTTATTATTCCCATTATGTCCAATTTCGAGCTACAAGCCTGAAGTCACTGATTTAAAATTGGGAGGATATGTGTACAATTAGCTCTCAGCTCTAGAACACCACTAATTTTAGGTAAACCCCATGTTGTTACAGTAATGCACACCCCCACCCCCCACCCCCCCAATGAATCATACTTCCCTGAATCTATGCCCTTTTCTAGACTCCTCTCACACTGACTCTGGGCTTAATTATGTGACTTGCTTTCAGACATGAGAAATCAGAAGCAAGACACAAGTAGAAGCTTAGAAAGGGTTTGTGCTTTAAAACTTCCCATCTTGAAATGTTACATCATGTGAAGAAACCTAGGATAGTCTGCTGGAAGATGAGAGATGACTTGGAGGTATGAGGCCCAGCCAACATTCAACACGAACTGCCAGACATGTGAGTGAGGTTTTGTGAGACCATCCAGCCCCAGTCAAGCCACCAGATGATGATAGCTATGTAGTCATAGGTAAGAGCAGCAAAAGTCTATGCTTCTGGGCGCATCCCAAATTGCTAACCCACAGAATTTTGAGCAAATAAATAGTGGTTGTTTTAACTTAGTAAGTTTTAGAGTGTTTAAACCTACAAAATTTGTACACAGCAATAGATAACTGATGCCTCACATGTGCCCCAGAAGTTTGGGATGCATGTGAGGATTAATATTAGTAAAGTAGCTCATGATGGCATACCATGGAAGGAAGGATCAGCATTGGGTCAAACCACACTGCCACCATTTGGGAAGCAAGGTTAAGTCTTTGCCATGGAAAATATTCTTGAAATAACCACACCCAAAAAGGCTATCTGCTGTGGCAAAGAGACCCCATAGGAAAAGAGGCTGTGAGCAGTCCCCTGGAAGCAAGAGATGAGGGCATATTATAAAAGAGGTCTGCCAGAAAGTTTATTGCCCACATCGGAATAAAGGTATAGTGTGATAGTTTTCACCAATGCATCTCATGACAGACTTAAGATTCAAATGCCTAACAAGAGAGAGGGTGTTCAACAGTCAAGAGAAACATGAACAATATCAACTCTAAGCTCTCTTTTATGCATTCCTTCCTTAAAGGAGCCACTAGTGGGCATAGAATAAAGCTGCTTGCTTTATTTTGTGTTGTACCAAATCCAGCCAATTCCATAAATTGATTACACTTGCATTTAAAGAATTGTGAGATACTATTGTATGCATAATGAGTGGCTTATGAACATTCAACAAAAATTAAATACTACCTTATCCATTCATTTATTCATTCATTGAATAAATATGGATGGAAGGTTACTTTCTACAAGGCAAGTTGTAGGATTTAAGAATTCAGTGATGCATAATATAAAGCTCTGCTTTCATAGATCTTTCATTCTAGTGTCAGGAACAGCTAAGTTAAGATAATAAAGCAGAGTGATTGATTGTGGGAGGACTATTTTAGATAGAGTGGCCAGGCAAGATTTCTTTTTAGAGATGACATTTATAGAGACCTATATTGTGAGATGTTTATAATTACATTTATATGGCAAATTTCAGGTGACACAAGTTTTCACATATATTCTTACTTGACCCTTGCAACAGCCCCTTGAGGTGGGCAGGAGTGCAGGCCTCAGAGTTGCTTCATTTACAAATGAAGAAAATGCAGGTCTGAGTGCAACTTGCCTGGTGGAAAATGGTGAAGCTAGGATTGGCATGCAAGCTTTCCTAGTCCACTGCTGTTTAAAGCCCATGAAAATGGAGAAGGTCCCCTTGGAACTTCTGTAAACTGAAGTAATGATCGTTAGAAGTTGATGATAGGACCTAATACCTAGTCCCCTAGGCCCAGACTTTAACCTGGCATTCATCTGTGATTTAGGCACCAACACACATAATCTGCCTTGGTCACTCGAGGGAAGGCTAAGACCATGCAATTACAACCAGGGGAAACACCAACTTGCCAATTAAGTGGTAGGGGAATAGGCCTGTATAATCCCTTTGAAAAATAAAGTTCCATGCTGGGACAACATTGTTTCATCTTTAGAATTTTAGATAAATCTGATTTTAACTCATTATAACAGTATGGACTCTAATTGGCCAGGAACATTACAAAAACCTTTTGTCTAAGTGAAAGCCTCCTGATGATAATGAAAGGGGTATAGAAAATCCCTCTTCTGAAATTATCCCTCAATATAACAGATCTCTGGCACTGAATGGTGCCCAGTCAATGCATGGGCAGGTTCCAACAGCTCCAGTAATGAACTTCACTTTGATGCTCTTCATTTCACACAGTTATTTGAGCACCTGGTAAAAGCAAACTTTTTATTTAGATTTTCTAAAATTGCTGATTCTATGAGGCTCTGCTATATGAATACTTCATTGTCTTAATCCAAATGCAATTACCAGGAACTGATATCTCAGGTTCATTCTTTGACTATGCTTAGGTTTTAAAGAAAAGGGATAAATGCTAAGAAAACTAATAATTAGTCATTTAAACACACGTACACACACACACACACACAAACATACAAATACACTCCAACAAAGTTTCAGTAGCATGCTGGAGCAAGTTCACCCCAACTCACCAGAGCTGATTATTAAAGTTTTAGGAATGTTATATGCTAGTTGAAGTTCATGTTAGTAACTCGAAATTGGCCATGGTGCAATATTTACACTACAGAAATAGGCAAACACTACAAATCAGGGCTTATTCCTCTAAGAAAGATGGTTGTATAACATTTACCAGCATACCACTGGTTATAGTCCTAGGTTAGTACTTGACTCTGTCAAATCCTTTGTTTCTATATATTTTTCATTTATATCATTTTGAGCAATAAAAGCCAACATATGGAATAATTTCAGAAAGGCACTATAACACACACTTAAAATTAGGGAAAGATTATTTGATTTTCTATACTTTCTAAAGCAAGACAATTCATGAAATTTTTTTACATTTTTATTTTGAAGTAATTGTTGATTTAAAGGAAGTTGCAAAGATAGCACAGAAAGATCCCATGAACCCTTCAACTAGTTTCTCCCCATGATTATCTGACATAATTTTAGTACAACATCAAAACCAGGAATAAAACACTAGTACAATGTGTGCATATAAATTTGTGTCATTTGCTGGATTATATAGTAAGTTTATGTCTCATTAAGAAACTTCCAAACTATTTTCCAGAATAGCTGTACCATTTTACATTATCTCCAGCAGTTTAAGAGATCTAGCTTCTCTACATCTTTTTCAGCATTTGAACTTTGCGCTGTTTTTTAATTTTAGCTCTTCTATTAGATGTGCACTGATATCTCATTGTGTTCCTAATTACATTTCCAGTGATGTTGAACATCTTTTCATGTGTTTATTTGCTATCCATATATCCAATTTGGTAAAATGTCTCTTCACATCTTTCACCAATTTTCCAATTAAACTGTTTTTTTTTGTTAGTGTTAAATTTAAAGGGTTCTTTATATATTCTAGATACCAAACCATTGTCAAATATATATGGTAACTATTTTCTTCCAATCTGTAGCTTGTTGTTGCATCCTCTTAATGAAGTCTGTCATAGAGCAAAGGTTTTTAATCTTGGATGAGATTTACAAATTTGATTTGTCTTCATCATGCTATTGGTGTCTAGTCTAAGAACTCTTTGCCTAGACCCACACCCTGAAGATTCTCTCCTTTCTTATTATCTAAAAAGTTTATAGTTTTGCATTTTATATATATATCTATAATCAATGTGGAGTTAGTTTTTGCATAAGGTTCATTTTTTTTTGCCAATGGATATACAATTGCTCCAGCATCATTTGTTAAAAAGTTTATCCTTTCTCCATTAATTTGCTTTTGCAACTCGCCTTACTTGTGTGGGACTATTTCTGAGTTTTCTATTCCTTTACTGTATTTACTATATTACTGTAGCTACATAGAAAACTTTAGTATCAAGTAGAGTGATTCTTTTCACTTTATTCTTCTTTTCCAAAATTGTTTCAGCTATTCTAGTTATTTTGCCTTTTGATAAAAATTTTAGAATAATCTTGTTTATGTCCACAAAATCTTGCTGGGATGTTAATAGGAGTTACATTAAACTGTATATCAATTTGAAGAGAGTCATAGAGCAAACCTTTGCTCTAAACAGCTTTTACTATGCTGAGTCTTCCAAGTCATGAATATGGTATATCTCTTCATTTAGTTAAGCCTTTGATTTATTTTGTCAGCATTTTGTAGTTTTCAGAATACAAGTCTGTATATGTTTTGTTAGATTTACATGTAAGTACCTCAAGGTCTTTTTTGAATTACTGCAGATGGTATTTTCTAAAAATTTTTATTGTTAATTCTTGTGGGTACATGGTAGGTGTATATATTTATGGGTTACATGTGTTATTTTTATATGAGCATGTAATGCATAATTATCACATCAGGGTAAATAGGACATCCATCACCTAAAGCATTCATCCTTTGAGTTTCAAACAACCCAATTATAACATTTTAGTTATTTCTAAATGAACAACTAAATTATTTTTACTATAGTTACCCTATTAGGTTAGCAAACACTGTCTTATTTATTATTTCTATTTTTTGTTGTTGCTCCCATGAACCATCCTCCCTTTTCCCATCATCCTCCCCAGCTACCCTTTCCAGTCTCTGGTAACCATCCTTCTACTTGCTATTGCAATGAATTTAATTGTTTTAATTTTTAGCTCCTACAGATAAGCGAGAACTTATGATGTTTGTCTTTCTGTGCCTGGCTTATTTTACTTAACATAGTGACCTCCAGTTCCACCCATGTTGTTGCAAATGACAGGATCTCATTCTTTTTTATGGCTAAATAGAACTCCATTGCGTATCTGTACCACATTTTCCTTATTCATTTGTCTGTTGATGAATACTTACATTGCTTCCAAATCTTGGTTATTGTGAATAGTGCTGCAATAAACACGACAGTGCAGATATCTTTTCAATATAGTGATTTCCTTTCTTTTAGGTATACTTAGAGTGCAATTGCTGGATTTTATGGTAGCTCTATTTTTAGTTTTTTGAGGAACATACAAATTGTTTTCCGTCGTGGTGGTACTACTAATATACACCCTTACCAAGAGTGAATGAGGGTTCCCTTTTCTCCGCATCCTTGCCAGCATTTGTTATTGCTTGTTTTGAGGATATAAGCCATTTTCCCAGGGGTGAGATGATATCTCATTGTAGTTTTGATTTGCATTTCTCTGATGATCAATGAGGTTGAACATGTTTTTATATAACTGTTTGCCATTTGTATGTCTTCTTTTGAGAAATGTCTATTCAAATCTTTTGCCCATTTTAAAATCAGATTATTAGATTTTTTTCTGTAGAGTTGTTTGAGCTCCTAATATATTCTAATTATTAATCCTTTTCAGATGGGTAGTTTGCAAATATTTTCTCCCAGCCTGTGGGTTCTCTCTTCACTTTGATGATTGTGTCCTTTGCTGTGCAGAAGCTTTTTAACTTGATGTGATCCCATTTGTTCATTTTTGTTTAGGCTGCCTGTGCTTGTGGGGTATTGCTCAAGAAGACATTGCCCAATCCAATGATCTGGAGATTTTACCCAATGTTTTCTTGTAGAAGTTTCATAGTTTGAGGTCTTAGATTTAAGTCTTCCATGTTGATTCAATTTTTGTATATGCTGAGAGGTAGGGTTCTAGTTTCGTTCTTCTACATGTGGATATCCAATTTTCCCAGCACCATTTATTGAAGAGACAGTCCTTTCTCAAATGTATGTTCTTGGAAACTTGTCGAAAATGAGTTCACTGTAGATGTATGGATGTACTTCTGGGTTCTCTATTCTGTTCCATTAATTATTTGTTCATTTTCATGCCAGTACCATGCCATTTTGATTATGATAGCTCTGTAGTATAACTCAAAGTCAGGTAATGCAATCCCTCCAGTTTTCTTCTTTCTGCTTAGTGTAGCTTTGGCTATTCTGGGTCATTTGTGGTTCCATATACATTTGAAAATAATTTTTTCTATTTCTGAGGAGAACATAATTGGTATTTTGATAGAAATTGCATTAAATCTGTATATTTCTTTGGGCAGTATGAACATTTGAACAGTGCTGATTCTTCTATGAACATGGAATCTATTTGTGTGTGTGTGTGTGTGTGCTTGTGTGTGTGTGTGTGTGTATGTATGTCCTCTTCAATTTCTTGCATCAATGTTTTAGAATTTTCATTGTAGAGATCTTTTGCTTTTTTGGTCAATTCCTAGGTGTTTTATTTTATTTGTAGCTATTATAAATGTGATTACTTTCTTGATTTCCAGATTCTTCACTGTTGACATATAGAAATGCTACTGATTTTTGTATGTCGATTTTATATCCTGCAACTTTACTGAATGTGTTTATCTGTTCCAATACTTTTTTTGTGGAGTCTTTAGGTTTTTCCAAGTAAAAGATCATATTATCTGCAAACAAGGATAATTTGACTTCTTCCTTTCCAATTGGGATGCCCTTTATTTATTTCTCCTGTCTGATTGCTCTAGCTAGGACTTCCAGTACTGTGCTGAATAACAGTTGTAAAAGTAAGTATCCTCATGATGTTCCAGATCTTAGAGAAAAGGCTTTCAGTTTTTTCCCATTCAGTATAATACTAGCTCTTGGCCGGGTGCGGTGGCTCACGCCTGTAATCCCAGCACTTTGGCACGCTGAGGCAGGAGGATCACTTGAGGTCAGGAGTTTGAGACTAGCCTGGCCAACATGGTGAAACCCCATCTCTACTAAAAAAACAAAAATTAGCCAGGCGTGCTGGCACGTGCCTGTAATCCCAGCTACTTGGGAGGCTGAGGCAGGAGAATTGCTTCAATCCAGGAGGTGGAGGTGGAGGTGAGCCAAGATTGCACCATTGCATTCCAGCCTGGGTGAAGAAATGAGACTCTGTCTCAAAAAAAAAAAAAATACTAGCTCTCAGTCTGTTGTATATGGCTTTTATTATGTTAAGGCATGTTCCTTCAATACCCAGTTTTTTGATAGTTTTCATCATGAATGGGGTGTTGAATTTTATGAAATGCTTTTTCAGCACCAATTGAAATGATTATATGGTTTTTATCCTTTATTATATTGATATGATGTATCACAGTGATAGATTTGTGCATGTTGAACCATCCTTGCATCCCAGGGATAAATCCCACCTGGTCATGATGAATGATCATTCTAATATATTTTTAAATTTGGTTTGCTAGAATTTTCTTGAGGATTTTTGATCAGTATTCATCAGAGATATTGGCCTGTAGGGTTTTTGTTTTTTGTTTTTGTTTGTTTGTTTGTTTGTTGTATTTTGTTTTTTTGATGTGGCTTTGTCTGGCTTTGGTATCAGGGTAATACTGACCTCATAGAATGAGTTTGAAAGTAAAAATCATGCTGCTATAAAGACACATGCACACGTATGTTTATTGCGGCACTATTCACAATAGCAAAGACTTGGAACCAACCCAAATGTCCAACAATGATAGACTGGATTAAGAAAATGTGGCACATATACACCATGGAATACTATGCAGCCATAAAAAATGATGAGTTCATATCCTTTGTAGGGACATGGATGAAATTGGAAACCATCATTCTCAGTAAACTATCGCAAGAACAAAAAACCAAACACCGCATATTCTCACTCATAGGTGGGAATTGAACAATGAGATCACATGGACACAGGAAGGGGAATATCACACTCTGGGGACTGTGGTGGGGTCGGGGGAGGGGGGAGGGATAGCATTGGGAGATATACCTAATGCTAGATGACACATTAGTGGGTGCAGCGCACCAGCATGGCACATGTATACATATGTAACTAACCTGCACAATGTGCACATGTACCCTAAAACTTAGAGTATAATAAAAAAAAAAAAAAAAAAAAAAGAAAGTATTCCCTCCTCTATTTTTTGGAATAGTTCGAGTAGGATTGGTATTAGTTTTTCTTTAAATGTTTAGTGGAATTCAGCAGTGAAGCCATTGGGTCACAGGCTTTATTCTGCTGAGAGAGTTTTTATTACAGCTTTGATCTCATTACTTGTTATTGATTTGTTCAGGTTTTGGATTTCTTCCTGGTTTAATCTTGGTAGATTGTATGTATCTAGGAATGTGTCCATTTCTTCTAGATTTTTAAATTTATCAGCATATACTTGTTCACAGTAGCCACTAATGATCCTGTGAATTTCTGCAATGTCAGTTGTAATATCTCTTTTTTTCATCTCTGATTTTATTTATCTGGGTCCTCTCCCCTCCCCGCTTTTTTTATAAGTCTGGCTATAGGTTTGTCAGTTATGTTTAACTTTTCAAAAAAACAACTTTTTTGTTTCATTGATCTTTTGTATTGTTTTCTTCACTTCACTTTCATTTATTTCTGCTCTCATCTTTATTACTTCTTTTCTTATCCTGCTTTTGCTGTACCCCATAGGTTTTGGTATGTTGTGTTTCCATTATCATTTGTTTCAAGAAATTTTTCAATTTTCATCTTAATTTCTTCATGAACCCACTGGTCATTCAGGAGCATATTGTTTAATTTCCATGTCTTTGTATAGTTTCTAAAATTACTCTTGTTATTGATTTGTAATTTTATTCCATTGTAGTCAGAGAAGGAGCTTGCTATTATTTTAATTTTTTAAATGTTTTAAGACTTGTTTTGTGACTTAACATATAGTCTATCTTTAAGATTGATCCTTGTGTTTAAGAAAAGAATGTGTATTCTGCTGGCGTTGGATGAAATGTTCTGTAAATTATCTGTTAGGCCCATTTGGTCTATAGGGCAGGTTAAGTCTGATGTTTCTTTGTTGATTTTGTGTTTGGATTATTTGTCCAGTGCTGAAAGTGGGATGTTAAGGTCTCCAGCTATTACTGTACCGATGTCTATCTCTCTCTTTAGCTCTAATAATATTTGCTTTATATATCTGGGTGCTCCAGTGTTGGGTGCATATATATTTCAAATTGTTATATCCTCTTGCTGAATTGACCCCTTTATCATTGGCATGGGATATCTTTTTCCAGTTGTTTTTTTTTACACTCTGTGTGTGCCTTTATAGGTGAAGTGTATTTACAAAAGTGGAGGAGCCTCATCCCCTGGCCAGCATCATCACAGGTCCATGGGGATTACTGCCAGGCTACCACTGATGTTCCTTTAAGCCCCAAAGACTCTTCAGTTACCTTTTAGTGAATGTTTCCTGCCTGGGACTCTCCCTTCAAGGCAGTGGGCTCCCCTCTGTCCCAAGGCAGGTCCAGAAATGCCATCCAAGAGCCAAGGCATGGAATCAGGGACCCCAAAGCCTGCTTTGTGCTCTACCCCCTGTGGCAGAGCTAGTACTTACAGTGCAAGACAAAGACCCCTTTACTTTTCCCTCCACTTTTCTCAAGCAGGAGGGATCTCTTTCTATGGCCACCATAGCTGGGAATGTACTGAGTCTCACCCGAAGCCAACAAGTCTCAGTGTCACCCAAGGCCCTCGACATAATACCTGAGTATTGCTGCTTGTTATTCAGGGCTCAAGGACTCTTCAGTTAGCAGGTGATGAAGCCTGCCAGGACTGTGTCCTTCCTGTCAAGGCAGCAGGTTCTCTCCTGTCACAGGGTGTGTCTAGATATGTCTTCTGGGAGCTAGGGCCTGGAATGAAGACCTCTGACCAGTGCCCTATCCTACTGTGGCTGAGCTGATATCCAAGATGTGAGAAAAAGTCCTCCCCACTCTTCCCTCTCCTCTCCTCAAGTGGAAGGAAGAAGTCTCTTTTAGAGCTGATATCTATGCAGCCTGGTGTTAGGGAAGGGTAGCACCAACACTCCCCTAGCAACCCTGGTTGGTGTCTTAGTATGTTACATTCCCCACCCCCCACCCATCCCCCTGAGTCCACTGGCTCTTAGCCCAGTTCAGCACTAGGACTTGCCTAGTAGTTACAGTCCTTGTGGCATAAACTGCTTTTCAAGCTTAATCAGGGCCCCAGGGCACTCCAGCCTGAGATAGTGAGCCTTACCAGAACTCAATTTCTGACCACTAGGATAGGCAATGCTCCTCTGGCTAGAACTGGCTTACATATTCTCTCTGTGGGCGGGTGTCAGCTGAGTTTGTTCTGGTTTTGCTTTCTGCTATAACAGAGCAGCACTGAGTTCAATGCAATGTCTCAAAATTGCTGCATTCTCCCTCTCCCAAGCACATAGATTCTCTTGGTGCCGCACGGTGGCTACTGGTGGATGGAGGAGGAGTGGCATTGGCAATTCAAGACTTTTTCCTACCTCTGTAGTGCCTCTTTCAGCAATATGAAGTTAAAACCAGTTACTGTGAGTGCTCACCCAATTTTTGGTTCTTACTAAAGTGCTTTTTTTCTTTATGTGCAGATAGGTGTGAAATTGGTGTCTGTGCAGGGAGAACAACTGGTGGAGTCTTCTATTCTGCCATCTTGCTGCACCCTTCTCTTTTTTTTTTGAGACAGAGTATCACTCTGTTGACCTGGCTAGAGTACAGTGGCATGATGATGGCTCACTGCAGCTTCAACCTTCTGGGCTCAAGTGTTCCTTCTGCCTCAGCCTCCCAAGGAGTTGGGACTACAGGAACACACCACCACACCTGGCTATGTTTTTAGAATGTTTAATAGATATGAGATCTTGCTATGTTGCCCAGGCTGGCCTCAAACTCCTGATCCTCCTGCCTTGCTGCCCAAAGTGCTGGGATTACAGGTGTGAGCCATTGTTACTGGACAGTATTGTATTTTTAATTTTGGTTTTCACAAATTCATTGATAGTATATGTAATAAAAATGATTTTTACAAATTATTCTGCATTCTGCAAAGTTGCTGAACTCAGATATTATTTCTAGGAGTTTTGTGTTGTGTTTGTTTTTGTTTTCAGTAGATTCCTTGGATTTTTCAATATAGACCATCATGTCATATGCAAGAAAAGAAGAACGGACAATTTTATTTCTTCCTCTCTGATCTGCTTGTTTTTTCCATTTCCTTCTCTTGCCTTATTTTGCTGACTAGATCTTCTGGTACTATGTTGAAGACCAGTGAGAAAAGTCATCCTTGCCTTATTCCCAATATTAAGGAAGAAAGCATTCAGCTTTTCACCATTAAGTATAATGTTAGCTCTAGGTTTTTTGTTTGTTTGTTTGGAGTCTGACTCCAAACAAATTGTGGATTTATTGAAACCAGTAGACTGTAATACGTTTATAATTGTGGATTTGCCTATTTCTTCTTTCAGTTTTTGCTTTTTATATTTTGCAGCTCTGCTCTTTGGGGCATACACAGTTCATATAAAGGGGTGGATGGACTCTTTTATCGTTATGTAATGTCCTCTCTGTCTCTGGTAATTTTCTTTGCTCTGAAGTTTACTTGGTCTGATGTGACTATCACTAGCCCTGCTTTCTTTTGGCTACTGTTTGCATGGTATCTTTTCCCATCATTTTACTTTCACCCTACGCATATCATTTTATTTGAAGTGTTTCTTGTAGTTAGTTCATGTCTTTTTCATTCACTTTGCAAATATCCTTCTTTGAATTGGTGTATTTAGACAATGTGATTTAATGTAATTATTGGTATATTAAGGCTTAAGTCTGCCGTTTTGTATTTTGTTTTCTGTCATATTCCTATTTTTACTTTTTCATTCCTGCCTTCCTGTGCTTAACTTGAACATATTTTAGGATTCCATTTTTATTTATCAATAGTATTTTTGTGCTAATCTCTTTGTATAGCTTTTCTTTTTGTGGTTGCTATAGTCTTTATGTTATATATAAATAACGTATTACAGTCTACTGGTTTCAACTTTTTACCAGCTTGAGAGAAGTATAAAAATATTACCTCTTTTTATATCCTTTTACTCTCCCACATTTATAATATTTCCCACATTTATAATATTTCTTAGATATTTCCTCTACACAGAGAACCACATTAGAGATTCTTGTAACTTTTATTCAGCTGTCAAACATCATTTAGAAAACTCAGGAAGAGAAGGGAAGTCTATTTTATTTACCAATATTTTTATTTTTTCCACGTTCTTCCTTCCTTCTTGATGTTCCAGTATTCCTTCTTTCACCATATTCTTCTGTTTAGAGAACTTCTTTACCATTCTTTTAGGGTATGTCTGCTGGCAGCAAATTTTCCTAGTTTTCTATCATTTGAAAATGTCTTCATTTTTCCATCATCTCTGAAGGATATTTTCACTAAATATAAAAGTCTGGGTTGAACTTTTCTTTCAGCATTTTCTTAAAAAATATTGTGTCATTTCCTTCTGGTCTTCATGGCTTTTGATGAGAAATCTACTGTCATTCAAATTTGTTGTTCTTGATTTTTTTTTCTTATGGGTAATGTGTCATTTCTCTCTGGCTGCTTTTGAGATTTTAAATTTGTCTTTTTTTTTCAGACATGTGACTATGATATGTGTGAGCATGGATGGTTTTGAGTTTCACCTGTTTGGGGTTTGATCAGCTTCTTAAACATTTAGGTTTATGTGTTTTTGCCAACTTTGGGAAATTTTCAGCCATTATTTCTTTTAATGTTTTTTCAGCCCAATCCTCTTTCTCTTCTTTTTTAAGGACTGTAATGACATAAACATTAAATCCTTTGTTATAGTTCCACATATCTCTGAAGCTGTTTTCATTTTGTTCAATCAATTTGTTGCTCAGATTAGATAATTTATATTGTTCTATCTTCAAGTTTACTAATTATTTTTGTTCTCCTGCCCATTCTGCTACTGTGTCCATCCACTGAGATTTTTATTTCAGTTATTGTATTTTCAGTTCTAAATTGTCCATTTAGTTCTTCTTAATATCTTCTATATGAATGTCTCTTTGTTGAGACTTTCTATTTATTTGCTAAAACTATTTTTTCATTTGTTTCAAGCATGTTCATAATTTTTCATGATTGCTCATTGAAACATTGCTGTGATGGCCCTCTAATATCTTTGTCAGATAATTCTAACATCTGTGCCATTTCTGTGTTGGCATCCGTTGATTGCTTTTTTAAATTTAGCTTGAGATTTTTCTGGTTCCTGGTATGACAAGTGATTTTTAACTGAAAATTGAACATTCTGGATATTATGTTACAAGACTTTGGATCTTATTTAAATCTTGTGTTTTAGCAGGCTTTCTCTGATAACACTCCCATGGATAAAAGGGTGCCACCTCACTACAGTTGGATGAGGGTGGAATTACACATTCTCCATGCATTCCCCATTGACCCCTGGGTAGAAGGGTCTTCTTGTTCTTCCTGGGCTAGGGTGGGGGGCCAGGAATGCAGGTGAGGAGAGGCCAGCAGGGGAGCAACTGAAGGCAGAGATGCTACCCTTCACTAGACCCTAATGCTTCCCAAGCAACCAGTGAAGTTCTTTATATGTAGTTACTTGAGACACTTTAAATATTCAACAATAAGACAGTGGACAATTAATTGTGGCATAGTCATGCAATTGAATGCCAAGCACGAATGACCATGAATGAATAATTGTTAAATGCATCAACATGGATGAATCTCAAGAACATAATGTGGCAAATAAAAAGGAAGCCACAGAAGAAAACACATATTGTGTTTCTAATCATATAAAGCTTGAAAACAGGCAAAACTAAGCAAAGTATTTTTTAGGGATACTTGAACAGGTGCAAATGAAAAAGTATAAAGAATAATAAGGGAATTATTAACAAAATTGAATAGTTGACTCTGGAAGAAAGAGTTGAGTACGATTGGAGAGAGGTACACAGAAGCCTTCAAAGGTACCACAAATGTTCTAGTTTATCAGTTCTCAAACTCATCTGTGTCAGAATCAGGTAGGAAATTTGATAAAAATTTAACAACCTGAGTTCTACTTCCAGGAATGTAAGCCTCTATAAGCCCTTCAGTTGATTCTGACAAAACCAAGTTTTAAGAACCACTGTTCTAGTTCTTGAGCTGGGTTGTTTCTAAATAGAAATTTGTTTGAAATTATTATCTAACTATATATGTGCTTTAAATGTACATATATATATGTATTTCATGTAAAATTTTATGTAGTTGTCTTAAAGGCCTGATTCATAGTTTCTAGGCAAAAATAGTTTCAGCAGTTCAAACCTCTTAACCATGACTGGACAGTCCTCAAGATACTTTAGGTGGCAGTCTCCATTCAGAAATTAGATTGTCCAGTCTTGCTTAATAGTCAAAACGTCAAACTTGAGTTAGCATTAAACTGTATTTCTTTTCTAGTTTATGCCTCCTTTAGGCAAAGACTGCCATAGAAAAGATGAAGTGTGGTTGACATGGTTGACTTCTTTTTTTACCTTCTCAAATCTCCCTCTACTAGCTGCTATACTCCAATCCACCATCATCAGCTGTCACAGTACTATTGCAATACTTTACTCTGGTCTATCTCCTTTCACTTTTGCTCTCGCCACAACCTTTACTCTATATAGCAACCTGAATAAACTTTGTTTATTTTATTTCAAACTAATTTTGGACTTAAAAAAAGTTGCAGAGATAGTTCAAGAGAATTCTCTTATACTCCTCACTCAGATTTTTCTAATGTTAGCATTTTACATAACCATAGTACACTTATCAAAACTGGGAAATTCACATTGGTACAACACTATTAACTAAACTACAAGTCTTATTTTTTCCACCATCCTTTTTCTGTTCCGAATCCTATCCAGGATCTCATATTGCATTTGATTGTTTTTCTACTTAGTCTCCTCCAATCTATAAAAGTTCTTCATTCTTTCCTTATCTTTCATGACCTTGACACATTTCAAGAATATTAGTTATTTTGTTAAATGTCCCTCAGTTTAGGTTTTTCTAATATTTTCTCATGATTGGGATGAAGCATTGTGATATGCCCTTATTTTAAAACTTTCTATGGCTTCCAATTCAATAAGAATAAAATCAAACATCATGTCCAAGTCTGGCATCATCTGATACTTAATTTTAGCTCATAGTTTACCTTAATGCACCCTGCTATGGCCACAGCAGGTGCTGTAGTTTGAATTTCCCAAGAAGTAGACTCTGAGATAGCATTTAACTTGCAGGGTGTTTATTAGGAAGTGCCCTTGGGAGCAACCTATGTGAAGGGAGGAGAAGAAAAGGGAGTGGGCACAGAGAGAAACAGAGCTGCAGGACTGGCCCAGTAATAGACTGATCCTATATGGAGCAGTGTGGCTAGAAATAGCCTTTCAGGGTTATCTTCCTTTGAAATGAGATGGCCAAGCCTTATACTCCCATGTAAATCCATCACTGGATGTGGTCTATCTTGAGAAAGAGGTAACCTTGGTAATATGGCTCTCTGCAGCTGAGGGAGCCCCTGAAGGTGGTAACACTGAAGGCTGCCTGCCCTTAGCACTCCCAGCAGCTGGGACAATAAGTCATTCAATAAAGGTGTATCTAGGTAGCACATCACAGTATTCCAACACACTTTCAGTTTAAGATTTTTTCTCTTTAGAAAATTTCATGTACTTGTATTTCTATCTGGTATACTTTCCCTTGGCATTTGCATGGGTAACTCATCTTTATCCTTCAGAAATCAGCTAAAATATCAGCGCCATGGTGAGACCATCCTGATTTCTTTCTCTTTACTTCAAGATTTATGATCACATATCTGTTATTGTTTTGCTGGCTCCCTATGAAGCCGAGAGTTCCATAAAGGCAGGAAGCATATAAATCGATTCATCTCTTTTACCACCACTTAGCCTGGGGCCCAGCCTGTGGGGAAGGATTAAAAATTCTTACTAAATTATCCAAAAATGAATAAATAACAGAATTAATGGATAAGTTGAAATATAATAAACCTAGATTTGTTGGACAAAACTTCAGAGTACAGTAGTATCCCCTTATTTGTGGAGGATACGTTCCAAGACCCCCAGTGGATGCCCAAAACCAAGGACAGTACTGAACCTGATTGTCATCAATCAGAATACACTTCTGCTCATGTCTTCCACCCTCAAATATAATGCCGTTTTCATCTTAACTAAGCACTTATTACACACCACGGCCACAACTTTTGCACTTTAAAGTGCGACATCAAAATAATTTTTCTCTTTCTTCACAATTTTATGGATAGAAGTTTCATTCTTACCATAGATCTCAGCAACTTCAGCATACAATTTGTTTTTCTTTTCATATTAAGTTAGGAACTTACACCTTTTCACTTAAAGGAAGCATTTTACAGCTTCTCTGTGACATATCTGAATTACCAGCATCATTACTCTTGCACTTTGGGGCCATTATTAAGTCAAATAAGGGTTACTTGAACACAAGCACTGTGATACTGAGACAGTCCATCTGATAACGGAGATGGCTTACTAAGAGACTGATGGGCAGAGAGTGAAGACAGTGTAGATGGGCTGGACAAAGGGAAGACTCATATCCAGGGCTGAATGGATATCAAGTTCAGTACTGTCCTTGGTTTTGGGCATCCACTGGGGGTCTTAGAATGTATCCTCCACAAATAAGGGGATACTACTGTACTCTGAAGTTTTGTCCAACAAATCTAGGTTTATTATATTTCAACTTATCCATTAATTCTGTTATTTATTCATTTTTGGATAATTTAGTAAGAATTTTTAATCCTTCCCCACAGGCTGGGCCCCAGGCTAAGTGGTAGTAAAAGAGATGAACAGTGTAAGATTTCATAACACTGCTCAGAATGGTGTGCAATTTGAAACTTATGAACTGGTTGTTTCTGGAATTTTCCATTTAATATCTTCAGACTGTGATTGACCTTGGGTAACTGAAACCACAGGGAATGAAACCGTGGATAAGAGGGGACTACTGAATGGTAAATAGTCATAGACATTTAGGGAATGATTCACGGTGTATTGTATGCTGCAGTCTCCTTAAGCAAGGGGTTCAGGGAGTGGAAAACACAGTGAAAGAGTCAGAAGTCAGAGAATGTCAAACATGTATTTGAAAATATGTCTTAGTGAGCTCAGGCTGTTGTAACAAAATTCCGTAGACTGGGTGACTTAAATAATACAAACTTATTTTCTCACAGTTCTAGAAGCTGGAAATCTAAGATCGAAGTGCCAACATGATTGGGTTCTGGTAAAAGGTCCTTTTGTAGATGGCTGCCATCTTGCTGTATGCTTACATGGCAGAGAGAGAGAGAAAGAGAGAAAGCAAGCTCCCTGGTGTCCACCCTCACAACTTCATCAAAACCTAATTGCCTCTCAAAGGCCCCATCTCCTAATTTCATCGCACTAGAGGTTAAGGTTTTAACATGTGAATATGGGGGAGACTATTCAGTCTGTAGCAAGATGCAACATATTTTGTATTGTTTGTTTAAAAGACTAAAATATATCAGCTTTATATTAACTTACATACTTTTGCATTGTTTGTCTAAAAGACTCAACATATTAATTCATTATCCTTTTTTAGAGTATATAGTTAGTTCTCAAGGAATAATGTCACTACATATTAAGTTTGAAATACTGAAGACATACTCCTTAGGACAACATGTGCTGTTGGTAATTGAATATGAGCAACACGCCAACCTTTTAGCTAGCAATACTCAAATGTTTGTGTGCATTGAAAATCTCCTGAGGATTTGGTTAAAATGCAGATGCCTGGGCTCCAGAGTTGGCACATCTGATCTGGTAGGTCTGGAGTGGGAATCTGCCCTTTTAACCAGAGGCCCAGGGTGATTCTGCCGCAGATAAGTAAGGATTGCACTTTAGAGAACACCTCACTGGGTAAGTTAGCAATAACTTTGTCCTTCAAACTGAGTTCCACTTTCTGCTGCCTCTTTCCATGGCATGACAGGCAAGGACACTGCAACACCTGTAAGAGGTCTGGTGGGTATTTAGGGCTGTGCTAGGTACTGAAACAACAGGGAGAGGGGTTTCTGACAGCCAAAAATCTACTACCTTAACTACACAAGCACGCGTGCAAACACACACACACACACACAATTCTGCCTCTTTTCTCCACTATAGTTGTCATCAACTCATCAAACACCCATTCTTCCCTAAAAGGAAAAACTTTTTTTAATACTTACAACACTTCTGACACCAGACTTCTGGGGGTTTGGACACCAAACGTCCAATCAACCAATTATCTAACTCTCCAGATACTAGCAGGATGTTCTACAATTCAAATCTGACCCCACAGGCAAAGGGTTTAGTCCCACAAGACTTCACATGCCAGTCATTAAGTCCCAGATTGTCACCTGTATGTCAGACCAACTGGCTATAAATTGGGGTTTCCTACAACTGCTTCTTCATCTTTGATAATTTGCTATAATGCCTCCCAAAACTCAGGGAAATATTTACTGGCTTATTATGAAGTATTTTACAACGGATACAAATGAACAGCCAGACAGAAAGGTGAATAGGGTGAAATATATAGGAAGGGGTGCAGAGCTTTCATGCCCTCTCTGGGTGCACCATCCTCTCAGCACTTTGATGTGCTCACCAACTCAGAAGTTCTCCAAATCCTATTGTTTAGGGTTTTCATGGAGGCTTCATTACGTAGGCATGATTGTTTAAATAATTGGCCATTGGTGACCAGCTCAACCTTCAACACCATTCCCCTCACTAGAGTCAGAGGGTGGCACTGAAAGTCCCAACTCTCCAATTATACCTCGTCCTGAAGCTATCTAGGGGTCCCCAGTCAACAGTCATCTCAGTATGCAAGAGACACTCATCACTCCAGAGATTCTAGAAATTTTTGTGTCAGGAACCAGGGACTAAGACCAAATATTATAACAAAAAATGCTCCTATCACCAAGGAAATTACAAGAGTTTTAGGAGTTCTGTGTCTGGGACTGGGAGCAGAGGCCAAATATATATTTCTTATTATGTCATATCCACTCTCGGTGAAAAACTGGCAGTGGGGCCTATTGAAGCCTATGGAAGTCGTGGAAATGCATTAGTTTGAAGTGAAATGCCCTCACGGGTATGGAAATGTAGCTGTAACTGAGAGTCCTCAATTTGGTTTAAATGCTTGCAGCATTGTGCAAGGAGTCATTTGCATTTCAAAAAGAAGGACCAGCAAGGGAAGAAACGGTGCAAAAAGATTTGCTGGCGGAAGAGGGGGAGCTTGTGGGCAGCTCAGGGAGATGCAGGAGGTAGGTGCAGCTCCACACTGCACTGTCACTGAGAGGATAAGCATAATGCCTTTAAATAAGTAAGTAAAGGAAGACAGTGAAATAAAGACAATTTTTGTAATCTGATATAGCCCAGCCCAGCACAATCCAAGCTCTTAAAATAAATGGGAGTTTAAGAATATCATTTTTATCTCCATGCTAGACTTCTATATTTAACAGGCCTCACTTCTTTTCATACCCAAGAGTATTCACAGAATGCAAGGGTAAAGCTCAGCTAACTTGAGGATGGAATTTAATTATTATACGTTTTAAAAGAACCAGCACAGCAACTGTGTGCGATGTGGATGACTAGAACAAGTGAAATCCGCTTTGGCCCCTTTTTGATTCACACTATAGGAGGGATTACACTTCCTAGTATTATTATTATGATCGTCATTATTATAATTCAAGTATTAATACACATATTTTAAAAACCCACTCTAATCTGGTAATGGAGTTGACTGTGGAAAAGTGAATTACTTATTTGTTTCATTTTACCTATGTATATTATGACTAAAAATTTATGTTATTTAACTAGGGGTTAAAATAGGGATTAATTAGCATGAATCAGATATAAAAATGAAGGGGAAAAATTTAAAAAATAAATCAGTTTTGTATTCATCACTTAACTATTTTTCACCTCATTTTAATTAAAGAGAAGAGAGAAAGTTAGCTTTTATTTTCCACCCTCAGCTATTACTTCACTGAAGGTTGAAAGATAATGAATAAGTAGTTTCTAAGTGTTCTTTTGTGATGAGAGAACATTTTTCAAAGAGAACAATTTTCAACAGCTTTCAAGAAGCTGTTGCTTAAAACATCTTTCTCTTGTATGAGGAACAAATAAAATAGAATCCAGTGATCAGACTGTGTTTGCAACAGTTGTTTGTTAAGCCTGGGACTTTTTAAAAACAAGTATATAATTATTCATCTAATCTAAACTTTGCATTTTTCTGTTTGCAGGTCAAACTCCCAAGAGTTTGAGGTCGAATTTGATGGAACACCCAGATGTCCTCAGCTGCCATGGAGAATACTTACCATATTTGCTTGCATATTTTCCCTATTATACTGGCAGACACTTTTAGTTGTTAACATAGAGGAAAGAGGTGAATTAAGGAGGTAACCTATTAATCACTGTAGCTTGGGGCCAATATCAACTTTGATGTAACCCAAGGCTTTCGGCTTTATTATATTTTTTTTCAGAAAGAAGCCATTGTTTCACATGTGGCTAATAAAATAATAATAATAAAGATAGTAATAATAGAAGAAAAAGAGCTGACACTCACTGAGCACCTACTATCCCCACTATACAAGCATACACACACACACACACACACACACACACACATTTTGCCTCTTGTCTTTATCGCTGTCATCACCTCATCACACACTTATTCTCCTCTCTTCTGGTAAAACTAGCAAAGGTACCTGTTGAAGCCTACAGAAGTCTTGGAGATGCATTGGTTTGATGTGAAATGCCTTCACAGTGTGGAAGTGTGGCTCTAACTAAAGATTTCTCAGCATGGTCCAAATGTTTGCAGCATTATGTAGGGGGTCTGGCAAATGATGAAATTGTGCAAAAGGATCTGCCTGGGGTTGTGGGTGGGGAAGGATATTTCCTTTTTAAAGACCTAACTTCTCTCCTAAACAGCAAGAGCAGGAAATAACAGCCCCGTGAATTTAAAAAATATGAAAAGACTACCAGGACTGGAAACCCTAGCACATAGCAACTGCCAGTCTAGGGAACTCCCACAGGTCTAGAAACTACTGTTTGCCTCTAGCAAAAATTAGGAGAAGAAAGTTTCCTTGCCTGTTATTAATTGCCAAAACATATGTGTCAAACTTTAATTGATACAAGAGCTTCTTGGGACATTTACACATGAATGGAGAGAAAAAGGAGGCAATATCTAGGGTTTTGCCCTTAATCGTCTTTTGTAATTTTCTCAAGTATAACAAATGCTGAATTCTCCAGAGGAATAAACTCAAAGATTTAGGAAACTTGGATACCAACAAGACATACCTTTTTCATCTTTGCCAGGTGCTCTAGTTTGGATGTTTGACTCCCCAAACCTCATGTGGAAATGTGATCCCCAATGTTGGAGGTGGGGGAAGGTGTTAGGGACATGGGGACGGATCCCTCAGGAACAGCAAAACGTCCTCCAGGTCTGATTGTTAAAGAGAGCCTGGCACACCTCCTCCCCTTCTTGCTCTCTCTCTCTCTCTCTCTCTCTCTCTCCCTCTCTCTCTCTCTCTCCCTCTCCTCTCTCTCTTTCTCCCTTTCTCTCTCCCTCTTCCCCCCTCTCTTACCATGTGATTTCCGCTTCCCTTTGCCTTCCACCATTAGTGGAAGCTTCCTGAGTTTCTCATCAAAATAGATACTGGTGGCATGCTTCTTGTACAGCTTGCAGAATAGTACTTAGGGAAATTTATTTCCTTTTTTCTTGTTTTCTTTCTTTTTTCTTCCCCTTCCTCTTTCCTCCCTCACTCGCTCACTCCCTAACTCACTCTCTCTCTCTCTCACCTCTTGTTTTATTGCAAAATGTGTATGTTGAGGGAGGTTGGCATATATAAATATGAGATAAACCTAAGAGACAACATGAAAAGTTTCCTCAAGTAAAAAGCATGGAAAGGGCCGGGCGCGGTGGCTCACCTGTAATTCCAGCACTTTGGGAGGCTGAGGCGGGCAGATCATGAGGTCAGGAGATCTAGACCATCCTGGCTAATACAATGAAACCCCGTTTCTACTAAACGTACAAAAAATTAGCCGGGCATAGTGGCAGGTGCCTGTAATCGCAGCTATTCGGGAGACCGAGGCAGGGAAATTGCTTGAACCCAGGAGGTGGAGGTTGCAGTGAGCCGAGATCGCGCCACTGCACTCCAGCCTGGGTGACAGAGCGAGACTCTGTCTCAAAAAAAAAAAAAAAAAAAAAAGCATGGAAAGAAGAATGCTAACAGGATTTAAGAGAGGGGAGGATAAGAGGGAAGGAGAAACACCAAAAGCTTCATGAGTACCTTTTTTTTTTTTTTAATTATACTTTAAGTTTTAGGGTACATGTGCACATTGTGCAGGTTAGTTACATATGTATACATGTGCCATGCTGGTGTGCTGCACCCACTAACTCGTCATCTAGCATTAGGTATATCTCCCGATGCTAACCCTCCCCCCTTCCCCCACCCCACAACAGTACCCAGAGTGTGATATTCCCCTTCCTGTGTCCATGTGATCTCATTGTTCAATTCCCACCTATGAGTGAGAATATGTGGTGTTTGGTTTTTTGTTCTTGCGATAGTTTACTGAGAATGATGATTTCCAATTTCATCCATGTCCCTACAAAGGACATGAACTCATCATTTTTTATGGCTGCATAGTATTCCATGGTGTATATGTGCCACATTTTCTTAATCCAGTCTATCATTGTTGGACATTTGGGTTGGTTCCAAGTCTTTGCTATTGTGAATAATGCCATAATAAACATACGTGTGCATGTGTCTTTATAGCAGCATGATTTATAGTCTTTGGGTATATACCCAGTAATGGGATGGCTGGGTCAAATGGTATTTCCAGTTCTTTTAAAATATATAATAATGGTAATCAATGGCTTAGGTTGGGAAAGTTAGAGAAATGAATCCAGGGGAAGAAAATAGCTTAAGAAAGATTTTTCTTACTTTTTTATAAGTGGAGAGGAGAGATGTTGCTTTTGTTATTTTTTAAGCTCTTCTTGTGAAAAAAAAAATTTTATTGGCAGAATTGTGGATGGAGCAATTAATACTGGCTCAGAGGAATGAAATGTAATGTCCATATTCACAGATCAGGCAGAGTAGGGTTGGACCACCATGTCTCCTGATGCCTAAACCAAAGTTCTTGTCACTGTATTATGTCAATTCTAACTAAAAAAAGCTTTTCAATCGCATAACTTACTAATTTTAAGAACATTTTAGTCTACATGTAAACTGTCCATTTGACTGAAGGTGAGCTCCATCCATGCTCCTGAAAAAACATGATCTTGTTTCTGTTTATGGCTGCATAGTATTCCATGGTGTATATGTACCACATTTTCTTTTTTAATTAATTTTTTTAAATTTTGGGGTACATGTACAGGATGTGCAGGTTTGTTACATAGGTAAGCATGTGCCATCGTGGTTTGCTGCACCTATCAACCCATCACCTAGATATTAAACCTAGCATGCATCAGCTTTTTTCCCTAATGCTCTTCCCGCTGCCCTCCGCCAACAGGCCTTGGTAAGTATTGTTCCCCTCACTGTGTCTATGTGTTCTCATTGTTCAACTCCCACTTATAAGTGAGAACATGTTGTGTTTGGTTTGCTGTTCTTGTGTTAGTTTGCTGAGGATAATGGCTTCCAGCTTCATCCATGTCCCTGCAAAGGACATGATCTCATTCTCTTTTATGGCTGCATAGTATTCCATGTATATGTACCACATTTTCTTTATCCAGTCTATCATTTATGGGCATTTGGGCTGATTCCATGTCTTTACTATTGTGAATAGTGCTGCAATGAACATATGCGTGCATGTATCTTTATAATAGAATTATTTATATTCCTTTGTATATGTACCACATTTTCTTTTTCCAGTCCACCACTGATGGACACTTAGGTTGATTCCATATCTTTACTACTGTGAGTAATGCTGTGATGAACATACGTGCATACGTGTCCTTATGGTAGAATGATTGACATTCCTTTGCGTATACACCCAATAATGGGATTCTTGGGTCAAATGGTATTTTTGTTTTGACCTCTTTGAGAAATTGCCATAGTGCTGTCCACAATGGCTCAACTAATTTATATTCCCACCAGCAGCATATAAGCATTCTCTTTTCTCTGCAACTTTGCCAACATGTTATTTTTTGACTTTTTAACAATAGACATTCTGACTGTGTGAGATGGTATCTCATTGTGGTTTTTATTTACATTTCTCTAATAATTAATGATGTTGAGCATTTTTCATATGCTTGCTCGCTGTATGTCTTCTTTTGAAAAATGTCTATTCATGTCCTTGGCCCACTTTTTAATTGGGAAGTTTGTTTTGCACATGTGGATTTGTTTACGTTCCTTATGGATGTTGGATATTAGACCTTTGTCAGATGGATAGTTTACAAATATTTTCTCTCATTCTGTAGATTGTCTGTGACTCTGCTGATAGTTTCTTTTGCTGTACAGAAGCTCCTTAGTTTAGTTAGGTCCCATTTGTCATTTTTTTGTTGCTGTTGCAATTGCTTTTGGCACCTTCATCATGAAATCTTTACCAGGTCCTATGCCCAGAATGGTATTTCCTAGGTTATCTTCCAGGGTTTTTATAGTTTTACATTTTATATGTATGTCTTTAATCCATCTTTATAGTTTATTTTTGTATATGGTGTAAGGAAGCGGTCCAGTTTCAATATTCTGCATATGGCTAGCCAGTTATCCCAGCACCATTTATGAAATAGGAAGTCCTTCTCCCATTTCTTGTTTTGTTGACCTTGTAGAAAATCAGATGGTTGTCAGTGTATGGCATTATTGCTAGGCTTTCCATTCTATTCCATTGGTCTATGTATCTGTTTTTGTACCAGTACCATGCTGTTTTGGTTACTATAACCTTGTAGTATAATTTGAAGTTGGGTAATGTGATGTCTCCGTCTTTGTTCTTTTTGCTTAGGATTGCCTTGGCTATTTGGACTCTTTTTTTGCTTTCATATACATTTTAGAACAGATTTTTCTAATTCTGTGGAATAGCATTGAATCTGTAGATTGCTTTGGGCAGTATAGCCATTTTAATAATATTGATTCTTCCTATCTATAAGCATGGAATGTTTTTTCATTTGTTTGTGTCGTCTCTGATTTCCTTCAGCAGTGTTTTGTAATTCTCATTGTAGAGATCTTTCATCTCCCTGGTTAGCTATATTCCTAGGCATTTTATTCAATGTGTGGCTACTGGGAATGGGATTCCATTCTTGATTTGGCTCTCAGCTTGGATGTTGTTGGTGTATAGAAATGCTACTAATTTTGTACACCAATTTTGTATCCTGAAACTTTGCCAAAGTTGTTTATCAGATACAGGAGCTTTTGGGCAGAGACTATGGGGTTCTTTAGGTATAAAATCATATCGTCTGCACACAAAGATAGTTTCACTTCCTCTCTTCCAATTTGGATTTCTTTTATTTCTTTTTCTTGCTTGATTGCTCTGGTTAGAACTTCCATTACTATGTTGAATAGCAATGGCAAGAGTGGACATCCTCGTCTTGTTCTGGTTCTCAAGGGGAATGTTTCCAGCTTTTGCCCATTCAGGATGATATTGGCTGTGGGTTTGTCATAGATAGTTCTTATTATTTTGAGGTACATTCCTTCAATGCCTAGTTTGTTGAGGGTTTCTAACATGAAGGGATGTTTAATTTTATCAAAAGCCTTTTCTGCATCTGTTGGGATGACCATGTTGTTTTTGTTTTTAATTCTTTTTATATGGTGGATTATGTTTATTGATTTGAATATGTTGAACCAACCTTGCATCCCATGGAAGATGCCTTTTTGATTGAGGTGGATTAGCTTTTTGATGTGCTGCTGGATTTGGATTCCTAGTATATTTTTAAGAATTTTTGCATCTATGTTCATCAATGATATTGGCCAGAAATTTTCTTTTTTTGTTCTGCCTCTGCCAGGTTTTGGTATCAGGATGATGCTGGCATCATAAATGAGTTAAGGAGGGGTCTTTCCTCCTCAATTTTTGGGAATAGTTTCAGGAGAAATGGTACCAGCTCCTCTTTATACATCTGGTAAAACTCAGCTGTGAATCCATCTGGTCTTGAGCTTTTGCCGGTTGGTAGACTTTTTATTAGTGATTCAATTTTAGGACTCATTATTGGTATGTTTAGAGATTCAGTTTCTTTCTGGTTCAATTTTGGGAGGTTGCAAATTTCCAGGAATTTATCCATTTCTTATAGGTTTTCTAGTTTGTGTGCATGGAGGTAGTTGTAGTAGTCTCTGAGGGGTTTTGTATTTCTGTGGGGTCGATAATAATGTCCCTTTTGTCATTTCTGATTCTGTTTATTTGAATCTTCTCTCTTTTTTCATTATTAGTCTAGCTAGTGGTCTATCTTAAATATTGTTTCAAAGAATAAATTGGTGTATTCATTGATCTTTTGTATGTTTTTTGTGTCTCAGTTTCCTTCAGTTCAGCTCTGATTTTGGTTGTTTATTGTCTTCTGCTAGCTTTGGGATTGGTTTGCTCTTGTTTCTCTAGTTCTTTGAGGTGTGATGTTAGGTTGTTAATTTGAGATATTTCCAACTTTTGATGTGGGTGTTTAGCCCTATAAACTTTCCTCTTAACACTGCTTTAGTTGTGTCCCAGATAATCTGGCATGCTCTATCTTTGTTCTCATTAGTTTCAAATAATTTTATGACTTCTGCTTTAATTTCATTGTTTACCCAAAAGTCATTCAGGAGCAGGTTCTTCAATTTCCATATAATTGTATGGTTTTGAGTGATTTTCTTACTATTGATTTCTATTTTTATTGGGCTGTGGTCTGAGAGTGTGTTTAGTATGATTTTGGCTTTGTTGAATTTGCTGAAGATTGTTTTATGGAAAATTGTATGGTCAATTTTAGAGTATGTGCCTTATGCAGATGAGAAGAATACATATTCTGTTTTGGTGGGGGTGGAGAGCTCTGTAGATGTCTATTAAGCCCAGGTCAAGTGTCAAGTTCAGGTACCGAATATTTTTTAGTTTTCTGCCTTGATGATCTATCTAATACTGTCAAGTGGAGTGTTGAAGTCTCCCACTATTATTGTGCAATTATCTAAGTCTCTTCATAGGTCTCTAAGAACTTGCTTTATGAATGTGGGTGCTCCTGTGTTGGGTGTATATATACTTAGAATAATTAGGCCTTCTTGTTGGACTGAAACCTTTGCCATTATTTAATGCATTATTCCTTGTCTTTCTCTATCATTGTTGGTTTAAAGTGTGTTTTGTATGAAATTAGAATAGGAACTGCTGCTTTTTTTCTGTTTTCTGTTTGCTTGGTAGATTTTTCTTCATCCCTTTACTTTGGGTGTCACTGCATGTGAGATGAGTCTCTTGAAGACAGCATACAGTTGGGTCTTGCTTCTTTATCTAACTTGCCACTCTGTACCTTTTAATTTGGGCATTTAGCCCATTTACCTTCAAGGCTAATATTGATATTTGCAGATTTGATCCTGTCATCATGTTGTTAACTGGTTACTATGCAGGCTTGATTGTGTGATTGCTTTATAGTGTCAATGGTCTATGTACTTAAGTGTGTTTTTGTAATTGCCAGAAATGCTCTTTCCTGTCCATATTTAGCGCTCCATTCAGGACCTCTTGTAAGGCAAGTCTGTTGGTAATAAATTCCTTTAACATTTCCTTGTCTGAAAAGGATCTTATTTCTCCTTCACTTATAACTAAGCTTTGTTGCCCTTGGAGGTTTGTTTGATCATGGTGTAAGATGGTTTCAGTTGACTGGCTTCATTTCTGGAAGATTTTAGGGTGTCAAGGCTCAGGTTGGCACTCCGTGTGTGGTTTAACTCTGGGGGGCTGGTACCAGACCCCCGGATTCATTCTCTGGCCCCTTGAGGTCAGGAACCTGCTGCATTGGAGGGACTGAACTGTTCCAGGTTCACTGACAGCGACACTCTGATGGGTAGTACCAATCAAAGCACTTTGTCAGGGTGGTGGCAATGGGATCCATGCTCATTCACTTGTGTCAGTAGCAGCAGCAGCAGTGCAGCAGGGTGCACATGCACCAGCTTGTGTAGGTTACTAGTGGAAGTGAAGTTGGGTCATTTTTGTGTATGCTCGTTCTGGCCATAGGGCACAGGTGGGAGTGGGGTTGCCAGTGTCCATGTTCATACTTGCACTGGCAGTGGCAGGGGTGTGGTGCTGGGATGCACAGGGCTGCTGGCCTCTGTGCATCCATTTGCACCATCAGCACTGGCAGCATGGCAGTGGGTGGGGTTGCCAGCATCCATGCATATGTTCACATACACAGTGGCTCTTGGGGGGCACGAAGTTGCCAGCATCTGTGTGCACGTTCATGCTGGCTACAGTGGCTCAGCTGAGTGCCTTCACATTAGTGGGGGGTAACCAACAAGTTGCCCTCTTGCCAGCACCAGTTGTGGGGTACATGGCACATGCACACCACTCAGGGAGGGGAAGCTAGGTCCGCTTATGTGTGCACACGATCAAAGTGGTAGAGAGTGCATGCTGGCAAAGTGGCACAGGGGAAGGAGGGTGTGGGTGGGTTGGTGCACATCAGTGGGAGCTGCTCTGCTGGATCTCTCCAATTGTCAGGTGCTGTCTGCTGGTGAAGGAGGTATGATGTGGGTCCCTAGGAAGCACCCTGGTTGGGCATCTGATGCTGCCCTGCCAGTGAGCACAACCGGCTGTGACTCTAGGAACGGCCAGCAGACAGTGGGGAGCTGATATTGGACTGGTCCTGTGTCAGGGGCAAGACCACCTTGCTCTGTTCAGTTCTGACAGTCATCCTATGGCCAAATTCTCCTAAAGGAGCATGGTAAGCCTGGGGGAATGGGTGTCCCTGGTTGTTCTCCACTGCAGACATTCCAGTACCAAGCCCTCTGGGCTCCACACAGGCTGGAGTCCTGCTACTACCACTTCTCTAAGCAGCTGTCTTTGCTAGCTCAAGTGTCCATGGAGGTCATGGGGTTTCGTGCTGCCTGGATTCCAGAGGTTTGTGTCAGGAGCAGGCTGCTCCTCACCTATTCCACTCACCTCTTCCCCAGGAGTCTCTGGGGGCCAGGAATGAGTCCCTGTGCTCGGCTGCCCCATGCAGTGCTCCTAGCCTCCTCCTTCTTCAGCCCAGCATCTCCTATTTTCTTATTGTTAAGCTTTAAGAGTTTTTTGTGTACTTTGGATAGCAGTCTTTTGTCAGATGTATCTTTTGCAAATATTTTCTTCCAGCCTGTGGTTTGTCTTCTCATTCACTTGACACTGTCTTTCACAGAGCAGAAATTTTTAATTTTAATGAAATCCAACTTATCAATTCTTTCTTTCATGGAACATGCTTTTGATGTTCGATTCAAAAACTTATTGCCATACCCAAGTTCGATTAGGAATTCTCCTATGTTATCTTTTGGAATTTTGTAGTTTTTCTTTTTACATTTAGGTCTCTGATCCTTTTTGAATCAACTTTTGTGAAGGATGTTAAAGTCTGTGTGTAAATTCATTTTCTTGCATGTGAATGTCCAGTTGTTCCAGCACCATTTTTTGAAGAGGCTATCTCTGTTCTGTTGTATTGCCTTTGCTATATTATCAAATATCCATTGACTATATTTATAAGAATCTATTTCTAGGTTCCCTATTCTGTTCTATTTATCTATTTCTCTGTTCTTTCACCAATACCACACTGTCTGGATTACTGTAGGCTTATATTAAGTCTTGAGATTGGGTAATGTCAGTCCTCTTGCTTGATTCTTCTCTTTCAATATTGAGTTGGCTATTTTAGGTCTTTTGCCTCTCTGTATAAATTTTAAAATAGTTATGTTGATATCCACAAATTAACTTTCTGGTATTTTTATTGGGATTGTATTTAATGGATAGATGAAGTTGGGAAGAACTGATATCTTGACAATATTGAATATTCTTATCCATTGACACAGGATATCTATTTTCTTCTTTGATTTCTTTTATCAGAGCTTTATAGTATGCCTCATATAGATATAATACATTTTTAAGGTTTATACCTATGTATTTCATTTTTGGAGCTGTTAATATAAATGACAAAGTGTTTTTTAATTTCAGCTTCCACTTGTTCATTGCTGGTATATAAGACAGTGATTAACTTTTATATATTAACCTCATATCCTGAAATCTTGCTATATTTGCTCATTAGTTACAGGATATTTTTGTTGATTCTTTTGGATTTTCTACACAGAGGATTATCTCATCAGTGAACAAAGACAGTCTGATTTCCTCCTTCCCAATCTGTACACCTTTTATTTTTTTCTTGTCTTATTGCATTAGCTAGGATTTCCAGTATGATATTGAAAAGCAGTGGTAATTCCAACGGCAGCAGCATACACATTCTTTCAAGTGCACACGAAACATTCTCTAGGGTAGATAATATATAAGGCCATAAAACAAATCTTAACACATTTAAGAAGATTGAAATCATTATCAAGTATGTTTTTTGGACCACAGTGGCATTAAACTAGAAATCAATAATTAGAAAATTTACAAATACATGCAAATTAAACAACACACTTCTGAACAACCAATGGAGCAAGAAAGAACTCAAAGGGAAATAAGACACTATCTTGAGACACTTCAGGCTCTAGGCAGGCTTCCACAGACCCAACCCCCAGGCCCATCCAAACGCCAGGCCAGCCCCCATGAACCCAAGCTCCAGGCCCACACCAGCACCAGGCCAGCCCCTGCTGCCCCAGCCACCAGACCAGTACTTACAAGCACATGGTCCAGGCCATCCCCTGCAGACTCAGGCTTCAGGCCCACCATAGTGCCAGCCTGTCTCCACAACTCCAGGCTCAAGCTGGTGCCTACAGACCCAAGTTCGAGGCTTACCCCAAAGCCAGACCAGTCCCCAAATGCCCAGACTCCCATGCAATTTCTGTCAAAATTGCAATGACGTTTTTCACAGAAATAGAAAAAGCTATCCTAGAATTCATATATTAATAGAACCATAAATAATCTGAATAGCCAAAGCAATCTTGAGCAAGAAGAACAAAGCTAAAGGCATCACACTAATCTCAAAATATACTACAAAGCTGTAATCATCAAAGAAGTATGATACTGGTACAAAAACACACATATAAACCAATGGGACAGAATAGAGAGGCCAGAAATAAGTCCACACATTTAGAGTCAGTTGATCTTTATCAAAGTTGCCAAGAACATACAATGGGAAAGAATTGTCTCTTCAATAAGTGGTGGTGGGAAAACTATATTCACACACAAGAGAATGAAACTGGACCCTTATCTCACATCATACACAAAAATCAACTTACAATACATTAAAGACTTAAACGTAAGACCTGAACCATAAAACTCCTAGAAGGAAACATAAGGGAAAAGCTTCTTGACATTGGTATTGGTCATGATGTTTTGAATATGACACAGAAAGCACAGGAAACAAAAGCAAAAACAGACAATTGAGATTACATCAAACTATAAAGCTTCTGCACAGCAAAGGAAACAACCAACAGGGCTAAGATACAACCTATGGAATGGGAGAAAATATTTTCAAACCATACATCCGATAAAGAGTTAATATCCAAAATATATAAGGACCTCAAATAATAGAAAGAAAACAAATAACCCAATTTAAAAATGGGCAAAGGACCTGAATAGTTATTTCTTAAAAGAAGACATACGAATGGCCAACAGGTAATACGAAAAAGTGCTCAACAACACTAATCATCAGAAAAATACAAATCAAAGCCACAATGAGATATTACCTCACACCTGTTAGAATGGCTATTATCAAACAGACAAATGATAACAAGTTTTGGCAAGGATGTGGAGAAAAGAGAACCCCTATACACCGTTGGTGGAAATGTAAATTGTTACAGCCATCCTAGAAAACAATAGGGAGGTTTCTCAAAAAATTAAAAATAGAACTACCATGTGATTCAGTAATCTCACTTCTGGGTACACAGATGATCCTTGACTTATGATGGTGTTACATCTGTGAAGTTACACCTGTGGAATGTAACCCCATCATAAATAGAAGAGTGTACTTAATAGATATCACTTTCACACCATCATGAAGTTGAAAAACCCTAAGTTGAACCATAAGCTGGGGACTATCTGTATAGCCAAAGGAAATAAAATCAGTATCTTATGTTACATATTTGTACACCCATATTCTTTGCAGCATTATTCACAATATACAAGATATAAAATCAACCTACATGTTCATTAACACATGACTGGATACAGAAAATGTGATACACACACACACACAAACTGGAATATTTTTCAGCCTTTATAAAGAAAGAAATCTTGTCATTTGCAACAAGATGGATGAACTTAGAGGACATTATGATAAGTAAAATAAGCCAAGAACAGAAAGACCAATACTACATGATCTCATTTATATGTGAAATCTGAAAAGTTGAACTCATAGAAGCAGACGGTAGAATGGTTGTTGCCAGGGGTTAGGGGTTAAGGGAAATGCAGAGATGTTGGTCAAAGGGTACAAAATTTTTGTTGTGCTGGATAAGTAAGTTCTGTAAACCTAATGTACAGCATGATGACTATAATTAATATTTTGTTATATACTTGAAATTTGCTAAAAGAGTCATTCTTTAGTATTCTTACCATTAAAAAATGTTGTAAATATATGAGGTGATGGACATGTTAATTAGCTTTATTGAGGCAATCATTTCATGGTGTATAAGAAAACATCACATTGTATACTGTAAATATATACAATTTTATTTATAAATTGTACCTCACTAAAAGTGAGAAAAAACTTAATAAAAAGGTTTTTTAAAATTAAGTAATTAATAAAACATACTAATGAAAGAAAAGCAGTGTTGAAAGGGACATCCTTTCTGAAGAAAGACTAATTGTTCCTGAAGGAAGACTAATTGTTATTAAAATGTTTCAAATATTTTATTTTCGTATGGGAGGCAGTGTAGTTCATGGTTTAAAGTATGGTCTCTTGAGTCAGGTGCCAGGTTTTAAAACTCGCCTTATGATTCATCAGTTGTGGCAAGTCCCTTAACTCCCCTGTGTCTCTATTTTCTCATGTGTAATATAGGGATGATGATAGTACCTAACTTAGAAGGTTGTGAAAAATGCCAACATTTATGAGGTACATGGAAGAGTGTCTGCTGTTCCATACATATTCTTTTCTTTTTTTCAATTGAAGTATATCATATATACAGAAAGATGCCTGCACAAATTCTAAGAAAATTATCACAAAAGCGAACATACCATATTATCTCTGCTTAGTTCTCCCAGAAGGTTCTTTGTGCCTCTTTTTCAATCACACTATCTCTTTCCTCACAAAGACAACTACTAATCTGTCTTATTACTGGATATTTATTTTAAAATAAATGAGAAAAGTGAAGTGGAGTTACTAGTGAGAGGTGAAGCCAGCTGGGCTTCTGAGTCGGGTGGGGACTTGGAGAACTTTTCTGTCTAGCCAAAGGATTGTAAATGCACCAATCAGTGCTCTGTGTCTAGCTAAAGGTTTGTAAGCACACCAATCAGCACTCTGTAAAAACGGACCAATCAGCTCTCTGTAAAACGGACCAATCAGCACTCTGTAAAACAGACCAATCAGCACTCTGTAAAACGGACCAATCAGCTCTCTGTAAAATGGAACAATCAGCTCTCTGTAAAATGGACCCATCAGCAGGATGTGGGTGGGGCCAAGTAAGGGAATAAAAGCTGGCCACCCTAGTGAGCAGCTGCAACTCGCTCAGGTCTCCTTCCAGACTGCTGTAGCTTTGTTTTTTCGATCTTTGCGAAAAGTCTTGCTGCTGCTCACTGTTTGGGTCTGTGCGGACCTTATGAGCTGTAACACTCACCACGGAGGTCTGCAGCTTCACTCCTGAAGCCAGCCAGACCATGAACCCACTGGGAGGAAGAAACTCCAGACACGTCCCAACATCAGAAGGAACAAACTCCGGACACACCATCTTTAAGAACTGTAACACTCATTGGGAGGGTCCGAGGCTTCATTCTTGAAATCAGAGAGACCAAGAACCCACCAATTCTGGACACACTAGTACCTGTGGTAATTCTATGTTTAACGTTTTGAGAAACTGCCAAACCTTTTTTTTCAAAGCAGTTGTACCATTTTACATTTCCACCAGTAGTGTATTAGGGTTCCAGTTTTTCCACATCTTCGTCTACACTCATTCTTATTCATCTTTTCCATTGTAGCCATGCTAGTGGGTGTGAAGTGGTATCTTATTGTGGTTTTGATTTGCATTTCCCTGGAAGCTAATGATATTGAGCATTTTTCATGTGCTTATTGGACATTTGTATATCATCTTGGAGAAATGTTTATTCAAATCTGTTTACCATATTTTAACTGAGTTATTTGTGTTTTTGTTGTTTTAAGAGTTATTCATACTTTCTAGATACAAGTTCGTTATCAGATATATGATTTGCAAATACTTTCTACCATTCAGTGGGTTATGTTTTCACTTTTTTTATAGTGTCCTTTGGAGCACAAAAGATTTAATTTTGATGAAATCTAATTTATTTATTCTTTTGTTGCTTATGCTTGTGATTTCATATCTAAGAAGGCTTTCCCTAATCCAAGGTAATGAAGATTTACCCCTTATTTTCCTCTAAGTGTTTTATAGGTTTAGCTTTTACATTTAGGTCTGTGATCCCTTCTGAATTCATTTTTGTATATGGTTTGAGGGAGAGGTCTAACTTCATTTTTTTTGCATATGGATATCCAATTGTCCCAGTCCCGTTTGTTAAAAAGACTGTACTTTCCCTGTTGAATTGAATTGACACCCTTGTCAAGAGTCAATTGACTATAAATGTGAGGTTTTCTTTAGACTCTCAATTCTATTCTATTGATCTGTACATCTACTTTTATGCCAGTACCATGCTGTTGTAATTACTGTATCTCTGTAGTAAGTTTTGAGATTGGAACTAGTGGGTTCTCTAATTCAGATCTTTTTCAAGATTGTTTTACCATTCTGAGAACCTTAAATTTTCATATGAATTTCAAAACTAACTTGCCTATTTCCGCAAAGCTAGCTAGGATTTTCATAGGGATTGTATTAAATCTGTAGATCAATTGGAGTATTGCCATGTTAATAACAGTAAGTCTTTGAAATCATGAGCATGGAATGACATTCCATTTATCTAGGTTTTCTTTAATTTATTTTAACAATCTTTTATAGTTTTCAGAGTATACATTTTGTACTTATTTTGTTGAATTTATTCCTAAGTATTTTGTTTTTTGATGCTATTAAAAATGAATTATTTCCTTAATTTTATTTTCAGATGGTTTATTGTTAATGTATAGAAATCCAATTTATATATATTGATCTTGTACCCTGAAACCTTACTAAATTCTTAAAATCAGTTCCAATAGGTTTTTTGGTGTATTATTTAGGATTTTCAATACACAAGATCAGATCATCTAAAAATAGAAGTTGTTTTACTTCTACCATTCTAATCTAGATGCCTTTTATTTCTTTTTCTTGTTTAGTTATCCTGGCTATAAACTCCAGCACAATATTGGATAAAAGTAGTTAGTGTGGGCATCTTCCTTTTGTTTCTGATATTGGGGAGAAGTTGTCATTATTAAGTATGATGTTAGTGGTCAGTGTTTTGTAGATGCCCATTATCAGAATGATGAAGTTTCCTTATATTCCTAGTTTGTTGAGAGGTTCTTTTTTATCATGAAGGGTTGTAGGATTTTATCAGATGCTTTTTCTGCATCTATTGACATGATCATTTGGTTTTTGTCCATTATTCTGTCAATATGTGGTAATACGTTGATTGATGTTAAATTAACCTTGAATTCCTGAGATAAGTCCCACTTGGTCATGATATAATCCTTTTTATATGTTGTGAGAATTTTGTTGAGAATCTATATTTATGATATGGTTTGGTTCTATGTCCCCACCCATATTTCATGTTGAATTGTGATCCTGAGTGTTGGAGGTAGGAGCTGGTGGGAGGTGATTGAATCATGAGGGTGGATTCTAATGGTTTAGCACCATCCCCTAGTGCTGTCTCATGATAGAGTTCTCATGAGGTCTGGTTGTTTGAAGGTGTATAGCACCTCCCCTTTCACTCACCCTCTCTCCTGCTGGTCAAGTGAAGATGTCCTTGCTTCCTCTTCATCTTCTGCCATGATTGTAAGTTAGTCCTAAGTCCTCCTCAGTCATGCTGCTTGTAAATCTTGTGGAACTGTGAGTCAACTAAACCTCTTTTCTTCATAAATGACCCACTCTAATGTAGTCCTTCATAGCAGCGTGAGAACAGATTAATGTAATTTGTAAGGAATAGTGGCCTGTAGTTTTCTTTTATTATGATGTTTTGTCTCATTTTGGTATCAGAGTGATACTGGCCTCATGGAATAAGTTAGCCAGTGGCCCTCCTCTTCTATATTTTGGAAGACTGTGAAAAAATAGTATTAAATTGTCTTTACATGTTTGGTGGAATAAATTAGTAAAGCTATCTGGGAATGACCTTTTCTTTGTGGGAAGTTTTTAGATTACTAATTCAATCTCTTAAACATCTATTCAGATTTTCTGTTTATTCTTGAATCAGTGTTGATAGTTTGGGTCTTTCTAGGAATTCTTCCATTTCATCCATGCTATCTGATTTGTTGGCATACAGTTGCTCATAGTATTTCCTTATAATCCTTTTTATTTCTATAAAGTTGACAGTAATATCACCTCTTTCATCCTGTTTAGTAATTTGAGTCTTCTCTCTTTTTGTCTTGGTCAGTCTAGCTAAAGGTCTGTCCATTTTGTTAATCTTTTCTAAGACCCAACTTTTGCTTTTGTTGATTTCCTCCATTGGTTTTTTATTCTCTATTTTGTTAGTTTCTACTGTAATCTTTATTCTTTCATCTGCTTTCTTTGGATTTAATTTCTCTTTTTCTAGTTTCTAGAGGTAGAAAATTAGGTTATTGATTTGAGATCTTCTTTTCAATATAGGTGTTTAAAGCTACAAATTTATCTCTAATTACTGCTTTAACTGCATCCTACAAAATTTTGTATATTATGTATTCACTTTTCTTCATCTCAAAGTATTTTCTAATTTCATTTGTGAGTATCTCCACATTTTCTGCTATTCTAATTTCACTCCATTTTGGTCAGATAACATACTTTGTATGACTTTAATACTTTTAAATTTATGAAGGCTTGTTTTACAGCCTAGCATATGGATCTGTGCTGGAGAATGTTCCATGTGCAACAAAGGTGAAGCACTATTCATCAGAACAAGCTGTTTTACACAGTTTTCAGGGACATAATCCACTACTGATATAATAACTTTATGGAAGAGTTGGATTTTTCGTCTCAACATGTTCCATCTGGTCTCTGGAAGAATTATTTCAGGTTGAAGTGGAAACCTAGCAACTATCTGGTTAACATGATCAATTTAGACAGCAGGAGGTCTGGCTGACTTACAGAGCTTAGCATTTAGCAACAATGAAGAGCTTGGAGTCTAGGTTTTCTGCAAGGCTAAAAATAGTTTGTTAAGAGACATTTCAGGAAGTTAAATAGTCACTTCCCCGGGATTCTTCTCTTCAAAAATCAACAAAGCTAAAATCTCACATATCTTCTTATTTGACCATTGCTATTAACTATGCTGTAATGTCTTCCCACTATTATCCAATTTGTCATTTGCAAGACACAGAATAGAGCTGGAGGTGGTTCTTCCAGAAAGCATTGTGTCAGGAACTTACTAGTATCTCAAATAGTCACAGCTTCAAGGAGGTACATCAACCATACTGAAGGATTTTTTGAAACTATGTATTGTATAAAATAATATGAACTCCATGAATGAAACAGCATGAAATACAAACCACCTGATATGTGTGCCCGTCTGAGGACAGGTTACAAATACATTCTTGTCATTAATTTGTTCACTTTTAATTTAGTGTAAATGTATCTTTGACTAATGTAACTGTTTTAAAAAGAGCTTAAGTACCAATAAAAATCAAATATTTCAAAAATTCTCATTTATTTAAATAACCCAATAATATTGTGTTGCTTATATGTATATTTTGAGAAAAACATTTTTAAAACAAATTTTTAACAAGAGATACTAGAGATAAGTTAAATACATCAAAATATAAAATATAGTGCTTATTGTGTCTGTTTCTAGCAGTAACATTATGAAAAATGTATTATCTTAAAAAGACAAAGATTTTATATGTGAAGAGAAAATATCTGGGAAGATCTATAAGAAAATAGTAACAGTGTTGACTCTGGAAAGAGAATCCAGGGTTGGCAGGGAGACTTACTTCATATTTTATATATTCATTATATAATGGATTTTATAACATGTAATGCATTACTTTAACAAAAAAGAATAGTTGAAAGCCAGCAAGTAAAGCTAAGCTTCTGCCACTTTGTTAACCATTTCCCCTGGCCACAGGCAGAACTTGATAGGAATCTAATGCATAGAATTCACAGCAGTTTAGAATTGGGGACTTTAAAGATCATCTGTTGTATTACATTAACTATTTCCAAACTGGTGTTGAGTTTGCTCAGTTCACCTGCCAGTAAGTAAAACCACATTCCAGTAGAGCTAAAGAATATGGGCAGCTCTTGAAATTCACCTTAATGGAATTTGAGCTATAGTTGATGGTGTAGATTTCTGCTTTATTCCTTAGTGTCATAAATGCCAGGATCATTTCTTACAGAAATGGGTAGGATGAGTAGAATAGGTGTTTGCCGTGAGTCTTCCATCTCCTCCGTAAGTTCCAAACACATTCCATTACAGATTCAGATTTTTGAATGAAGGCACTGACATTTACTGAAATGCATAAGCTCTTGTGGGAAACAAGCAATGAAACTTAACCATGAAGAATTAAGTCTATTAATTATTTCCTGAAAGTTGGAAGCAAAAATATGGGGAAAAGGGGAGGAGAAATTGGGAACACCATGGAGAGGAAAGAGAATACTGAAGAAAGCTTGGTCCACTTTCTCTTCTGCCTTATTAGTGTGTAATAAGCTTTAGAAAGTGGGTTTTGGTGGTAACTTTAGCCCGTCTGAAGCTGGACAACACCAGCAATTTCCCCAAGTCCAGTACACACACACACACACACACACACACACACACACACACAGTTTCCTCATTAAGTCCTACTCATCATTGAGGACTTTAACAATTCTTAACTGCCCATGGCATACTGACTACAACATCTCTCATAGTCTTTATAGCACTATATTGTAATTATTATTTTTCTTCTCTTCTTCACCAACTCTTAAAATCTTTGTGGGCAGTGACTGTGTCTTCTATCACAGTATCTTCTAACACCACATCTGGCATATAGTAGGTGCACAGTAAATTTTTATTGAGTGAATGAATGAAGAAAATGAAGCCACTTAGCTGCATTTTAACACTAAAACCCTAAATTTTTCTCCAAAAAGAATATGAATTTTTAAAGAATTATGAACGTGTTCCCCTCCCAACAATGATTCTTACGAATTTTCCATGGCTATAGCTTGCGTGTGAGTCTTACAAACAGCATTTGGCAGCAGTGTCCTTCCATATTTTCCGGGAAGAAGGAATTCTAAGTGATACATATTCAAAGAATTCTCAGGTTTTTGCATGGGTATGAAGATTTGGAGTTGGTGGGGAGGAATGGTTGGAGGAATGGGTGATAGAGAAGAAAGGAGTGAGAAGGAATATAAAGGACCAGTCACTATGGGTGGGGAAACCCAGGGTAAGAGCTGACAGAGGTTGGCAGAACCTCCAGGGCAAGTTTACTTTAGGTTGGCTATTCCCATTTCAAGTGTACACACGCCTCTGGAACTCCCTAAAGCCATTTGGAGGGGAAAACCACACCTACAGCTTCTGAAATGAAAAGTACCTCCAGGCCTCCAGAAATTAGTCCCGTGGTCTTACTATTACTCACTTCCTAGAAAAGTCATAGCTGGTCTATCCTGACCTTCAGAGCCTGCAGGAGTACAAACTCATTTTCCGAAGAATGATGATTCAAGAAGAATTTAGAGAAATCACTCAGGAAAGCCTCAGAAACAAATCTTTTTTGTCTTTTACTTTACTAAAACCTTCATGAACATTTTTACTGGGACTTTCTTTGGCAAGTTCTGGGTGAATCAGCATGAAAAACAAAAGCAATGTTGAAATTTAAATCTGTAAAGGATGTCATTTCCATTTTCTAAAAACTGCTCAGAACTTGAATGCGAAGTAATGATACATGCTTTCCAGCTTCATGTGAAGTCATACTTATAACCTGCAGCTTGGCATCATCTCTAGTTTTAGTGGTACTATTATTACCTATAGTTCTTTATTTTCTTCAACAACTTCAGTCTTGTTTTCCACCCTGGCATCGGTAACAGTAGTTCACCTTTAGAGAAAATATATTTACATTACCTTTACGTGTGTATGCTTACTTAGCAAGCAGAAAGCCAGTTTTGAGAATACTCTGTCCATTATTTCCTCCTCCCTTATGCCAGACTCTTGAGATTTTAACATTTGAATTAAGGCAAGGTTCTTTCTTCCAGTCTGGTTATGTCTTTTCAGGCCAAGTGAGTATGGCCTATGGATTCAAGCCCTAGATTGTAGCAAGTAGAAACTTGTTGATAGTCCCTCCCTGAAATAACTGCCATCAACCAAAAGAAGCAGATAATCCACTTTTGTGCTTAGGGCAGCATGTTTTGTAGATGCCATGCTGCAGGCATACCTATGTGGGCTTGTGAGAAATGAGGAATCTGGCCTATGTGCTTCAGCATCTGCAAACAAGCAAGCTCACAGTTCATCCCAGTCCAGCTCTTCCATCAGAGGATGACACATGCACCATTATTTTAATAAAGTCCATGTGTTGTGAATGAGTCTCATTCATCAATTGTCCCCCCAAAAGTTTTATTTCTTGCAACCACTGCATTTCATCTTTCTCACAATGAATTCATATTATAGGTACTCACAGATGTATATATTGACCTACCAATTACTTCAAAAGAAAAAGAATGGAGAGGGATATAGCAAAGAGATATAATAGAGATAGATAGATAGATAGATAGATAGATAGATAGATATAGATAGAATGCTTAAGGAACCACTGAATCAGTAAATCAAGCAACAAATGTGGGTGTTACTGGCATGCGTAGAATGATGGATGGATATTCTAGGAGCCTACATTAGGAGGACACTAAAACTTTCACTTTTTTCATCCCCTGTCAAAGCTCTTGAGATGGTTAAATTTTTACTAACAGGATGTTTTCATTAAGAAGGAAAAAACCCCACATAAATGGTTGAAAGCTAACATCTAATCAAATCTAAGGATTTTCCCCCATTCTCTCATTTCTGGAGCAGATTGGTGCAATTTATTTTCCTGCCTTGGGCAGTTCAGCAGCAGCTGAGGTTGTAGTCACAACTTAGCAATGTGGCTCATGTGACTTATCCAAATAAGAGCACAATTAGCAAAATGTGTTCCCATAAATGGCAGTTTAAACACTAAACTCTGGAGAGAATCCAGATGAAATCTAACACAGAACAGCATGGGGAAAATGGTAAGTTCTGGTGAACTAAAATGCATTGGTCATGCCTTTGGCTGGAGAGGGTCAAAGTCAGAATGACTTGAGAGTTTTTAAAAAGTCACTACTAAAATTCCCAAGCCAAATAGCAGTCATTGCCTATAGCACTTTGTGAATGGGAAAAAATATGTAAGCTCTAAATGTTAGACTCAGGAGAATATTGTATTTGTCAGACTAACAAAGCACTCTAACTTCAGCATTCTAAATTTAGAACCAATGTTGAACTGTTGGAGTTCTGTGTCCATAAAACTTTGAACTATTGGAGTTCTGTGTCCACAAGGGCTGAAAAAGGAAACTTCTTGGTTTTCACTCCCAGAGCCTGTAAGAATAAAAACTCGGCCGGGAGCGGTGGCTCACGCCTGTAATCCCAGCACTTTGGGAGGCCGAGGCGGGCGGATCATGAGGTCAGGAGATCGAGACCATCCTGGCTAACACGGTGAAACCCCGTTTGTACTAAAAAAAATACAAAAAAACTTAGCCAGGCATGGTGGCGGGCGCCTATAGTCCCAGCTACTCGGGAGGCTGAGGCAGAAGAATGGTGTGAACCTGGGAGGCGGAGCTTGCAGTGAGCCGAGATGGCCCCACTGCACTCCAGCCTGGGTGACACAGCAAGACTCCGTCTCAAAAAAAAAAAAAAAAAAGAATAAAAACTCCTTGATCTCAGGATCAATAGGAACAATGAAGGAATTCATTGTTTTTCTTTATATCTCAAACTCAAGTCGGTTGTCAACCAGAGCTTGGCAATGATGCAGAACTGCAGACTTATGTTTCTCAGATATGGATATGAGGAGACACAGAGGGTTTTGGAAAGTAGAGCTATGGCACTGCCAACTTATAAAAGATACGTAGAGAAGAAGACAACAAAGAGCCTACAAATGCCCCCTTCCCTGCTCTGTAGCCCTCTTCTGGCTTGTATTCTGATGTGAAAAGCATTTCTACCTGGTTTCCCTTAGGAAGTAAAATTTGGCCTGAGCTCTGAAGTATGTGGAAGAAAGAAACAACCTATCAGACAAAGCAAACAGGCTGTGCAAAGGCTCTGTGGCAGAGATATTATGGCACATTCAAGGCACAGAAATAAGGTTAGTGTGGCTAGACTACAAGAAGTGAGGGGAAAGTGGCTGGAAGGGTAACTAAAGTGTCAGATCATCAAGGCCTTGAAAACCATGTCACTTTCATTTGTATAGCCTTATATGCAGAACAATGAGTAGCCAGTGAAGGTTATCTGGGGAGAAACTACATGCCCAGATTCTCATTTAGTGATTGGTCTTTATGAATTGTGGTGAATAAATTAAAGGTGGAGAGACTAGATTCAAGGAGACCTTTCTTTTTTTCTTTTTATTTTTCTTTTTAATTTCAGAGCTACAACTGCAGGTTTGTTACATAGGTAAACTTGTGTCATGGGGGTTTGTTGTACTGATTATTTCATCACCCAGGTATTAAGTCTAGTACCCATTAGTTGTTTTTCCTGATCCTCTCCCTCCTCCCACTCTCCACCCTCTGAAAAGCCCCAGTGTGCGTTGTTCCCTTCTTTGTGTCCATGTGTTCTCATCATTTAGCTCTCACTTATAAGTGAGAACATGCAGTATTTGGTTTTCTGTCCTGCATTAGTTTGCTAAGGATAATGGCCTCCAGCTCCATCCAAGTGCCTGCAAAGAACATGATCTCATTCTCTTTTATGGCTATGTAGTATTCCATGGTGTATATCTACCACATTTTCTTTATCCAGTCTATCATTAACGGGCATTTAGATTGATCCCGTGTCTTTGCTATTGTGAATAGTGCTGCAATGAACGTACACATGCGTGTGTCTTTATAATAGAACGATTTATATTCTTTTGGATATATATCCAGTAATGGGATTGCTGGCTGGAATGGTATTTCTGTCTTTAGGTCTTAGAGGAATCGCCACCATCTTCCACAATGGCTGAACTAATTTACACTTCCACCAACAGCCTATAAGTGTTCCTTTTTCTCCACAACCTCACCAGCATCCGTTATTTTTTGACTTTAAAAATAGCCTTTCTGACTGGTGTGAGATGGTATCTCATTGTGGTTTTGATTTGCATTTCTCTGATGATCAGTGATGTTGGGTTTTTTTTAATTATACTTTAAGTTATAGGCTACAAGTGCACAACGTGCAGGTTTGATACATAGGTATACATGTGCCATGTTGGTTTGCTGCACCCATCAACTCATCACTTACATTAGGTATTTCTCCTAATGCTATCCCTCCCCCAGCCCCCCTCCCCACAACAGGCCCCGATATATGATGTTCCCCGCCCTGTGTCCAAGTGTTCTCATTGTTCAGTTCCCACCTATGAGTGAGAACATGCAGTGTTTGATTTTCTGTCTTTGTGATAGTTTACTGAGAATGATGGTTTCCAGCTTCATCCATGTCCCTGCAAAGGACATGAACTCATCCTTTTTTATGGCTGCATAGTATTCCATGGCATATATGTGCCACATTTTCTTAATCCAGTCTATCTATCATTGATGGATATTTGAGTTGGTTCCAAGTCTTTCCTATTGTGAATAGTGCCACAATAAACATACATGTGCATGTGTCTTTATAGTAGCATGATTTATAATCCTTTGGGTACATAGATGTTGGTTTTTTTTTCATATGATTGTTGGCCACATGTATGTCTTCTTTTGAGAAGTGTCTATTCATGTCCTTTCATCACTCTTTAATGGGGTTGTTTGTTTTTTTCTTGTAAATTTGTTTAAGTTCCTTATAGATGCTGGATATTAGATCTTTGTTGGATACATAGCTTGCAAAAATTTTCTCCCATTCTCCCAGGTTGTCTTTTTACTCTGCTTACAGTTTCTTTCACTGTGCAGAAGTTCTTTAGTTTAATTACATCCCATTTGTCAATGTCTGCTTTTGTTGTGATTGCTTTTGGCGTCTTTGTCATGAAATCTTTGCCTGTGCTTATGTCCTGAATGGTATTGCCTAGGTTGTCTTCCAGGGTTGTTGTTGTTTTTTCTTTTATAGTTTTGGGTTTTACATTTAAGTCTTTAATCCATCTTGAACTAACTTTTCTATACAGTTTAAGGAAGTGGTCCAGTTTCAGTCTTCTGCATATGGCTAGCCAGTTATCCCAGCACCATTTATTGAATAGGAAATCCTTTCCCCATTGCTTGTTTTTGTCAGACCAGATAGTTGTAGGTGTGCAGTCTTATTTCTGGGTTATCTTCTCTGTTCCATTGGTCTATGTGTCTGTTCTTGTACCAGTACCATGCTTTTTTGGTTGCTGTTGCCCTGCAGAATAGTTTGAAGTTGGGTAGCATGATGCCTCCAGCTTTGCTTTTTGCTTAGGATTGTCTTGGCTATTGGGGCTCTTTTTTGGTTTCATATGAATTTTAAAATAGTTTTTTCTAGTTCTGTGAAAAATGTCATGGTAGTTTAATGGAAATAACATTGAATCTATAAATTGCCTTGGAGAGTATGGTCATTTTAATGATATTGATTCTTCCTATCCATGAACATTGAATGTTTTTCCATTTGTTTGTATCATCTCGATTTCTTTGAACAGTGGTTTGTAGTTCTTCAAGGAGACTTTTCAAGAGACTACTCTATTAGTCCAGGCAAGAAATGATTATAGCTTGGTCTAGTGTGGGAGCCGAGGAGACAGATGGAAGTGGATGAGTATAGGAGGGAAAATTCACAGGGATTGTTGATGGATTGACCGTGGAGAATAACACAGATGGAGGTGCCAGAGATTATTCCTCGGTTTCTATCATGTCCAATTTGGTGGAACTACTAACTAAAAAATAAAAAACACTAAAAGAGCGTCAGATATGGAGAGAAAGATCACACTTGGACCTGTGGAATTTGAGGTGTTTTTGAAACTTGGAAGATGTTTGTTAAGTAGAATGTTGGATATGCTGGTCTGAATCTCAGAGGAGAGATTTGGGGTGGAGTTATACCACTTTTAATATTCAGTCAAGGAAGTGGGTGAGTTTGCCTCATAGGAAAAGTTATACAGAGAGAAGAGAAAAGGGCCTCAGACAGAGTAAGCTTTGAGAAACTCTATCAATGGGCCTATAGAGGAGAATCCACCGCCTACAGAGATAAGAGGAAAACCAGAGGTGAACAATTTCAGGAAAAGAGAGTATCAATAATTAGTTAGCTAAAATATAATAATGTCAGGATTAAAAGAAGTGCCTGAATGAGGAAAATGTACAAGGTGGAAACTTTTTAAAAGCTTGACCTTTAATAGAGATAAAGTGGTACTATTAATCAAGGGAGTAGTCGGTTGCAATAATTCCAAGGTGTAAAAGTTACAGGTGTTACTGAACTGAATTGAACTGGGGCCTGCTCGTCCAGCACAGTAAGGCCGAACATCCACACTGAGGTTTGCAGCAGGAAAAGGAGGGTGTTTATTTGCAGGACATCAAGCAAGAATTGGGCAGCTCATGCTTAAGAACCAACCTCCTCAGTGGCTTGCAAGCAAGGGTTTTTAAAGGCAGGGGAAATTTTCAGGAAATCAGAAGTTAAAGGCAAATTTGTAAATTGGTACATGGAAACTATACATTGGTTTGGCCTTAAAGGGGGGATATCTTAAGCAGGGGTTTACAGGTCATAGGCAGATTCAAAGATTTTCTGATTTGCAATTGGTTAAGGAAGAGAAGCTTTGTTTAAAAATTTGGGATCACCAGAAAGGAATGTTAGCTCTGACTTGTGGGTGTAACTTCCTCACCCACGAGGACTCAGACCCTCAGGAAGGACTTCAGAACATAGAATGGTGGTCAGGGTTCAGTCCTTAGTTCCCCCTTATCTGAGGTCTGCCTGCCAACAGATCTGTTTGATGGGGGTCTGTGGGGGTCTGGGTTTCTGAAAAACAACTTAGGGACTTATATTAAGATATTACCTTTAGTTTCTATAGGAAAACAAACATCTCATGACTCTAACTTCCTTGGCTATTGTTTTAAGCTACTATTACCTTTTTGCTTATCAAGTTCCTCATTTAATCTCAGGGCTAGCTAGGCAGAATTTCCAGAATTTCCCTTGAAGAAACTCAAGATTTTCCTTTATTTCCATGCTTGGGGGGTGGGGGTGGGAGTGTATGGCAGGCCCCTAAGAGGCGTCCCTGCTTTGTCTCATAGGTTCGTCAGAATGGGGTGTCCTCAGATGTGATTTGTGGTTGTGGGTTCTGATACGGATTTATCTAGGATTTGGTGGCAAGAGATGTGGAGATTAGGACTAGGATTGAGTCACTGTTTCAGGGGATAGCCTGGGGATGACCTAGGGAATTGTTAAGGAACAAGAGGTTACTATTTCTTTACACGGTGAGGATTGTCCTTTTTTTTTTTTTTTTTTTTCAGTCCAACCAGTGATTCCCAACTGACTTGACAGATGCTAACTTGCTATATTGCTTCTGCCACAATAATTTTTCCACAATGATTCTTAACCTATTACAAATGTATGGAAACAAATTAACCTGAGTACACTTGATTTGGTTACATTCTAAACATATAACTTTAGGAATGAGTCCACTTAATCATGTAGGAAACTAAATGAAGATACCAGCATTGAGGCTGAAAAAGCTGATGAATGTAGAAGTTTTGAGGGCAAATGATTGTATGTAGGGTAGGAGGGAGATGATGTAGAAGAGGTCAAGTCTGCAGTCCTGGGTGAGTGGGAGGAAGAGAGAAGTCAGATGGCAGGATCTATTTCAGGAGAGGTGCAGACAGTTTTGAGCATGTTTTGCTTGAGACCCTGGCATGAAGTCTATGTGGATTTTTCCAAGAGTCTGTTATAAACATTTGGCTGTTATTTTGTTGGAAACATTTTACTGTTATATGGGATGTCACACAACAATGAAAGTGCTGAGCTTCTCAGGGACTCTGGGGTGCAAATAAGCTCACTTTTCACTAGGGCCTTCTCCACCCCAACCCCTACAGGTATTTAGGTTGTAACTTCCTCAAGCAGTTCTTTCCACATCATGTAGCTCTGGTCCATGCCATGTGTGCCAATGGTAACCAAACCTTTCATCCTGACCATCACTAACTGGATTGGCGTCCCAGCCAAAAGCAACCAATCTCTGTGGAGAAAAGAGAAGCCAACGTCCTCTGAGAAGGTACGAAATAACAACACCTGAAGCTGGGAAAGGCTTCAAGAACTTAGGTTTTTAAGGATTAGTGATTTTACTTTCTCAGTTATTTGTTAATATGTTGAATTACATTGGTTTTTAAATGTTAAACTCTTGTTTTCTTGGAATAAGTCTTATTTGGTCACGGCGCATTAACTTTTATACATATATCTGGATTTTATTTGCTAATATTTTGTTTAGAATGTTGGCATTTATGTTCATGGAGATGGACTGACATTAATTTTCATTTCTTGTAAAGTCTTTTGCAGGTTTTTTGTATCATGGTTATATTCATATCATAAAATGAATTGGGAACCTCTGGTTTCAGCTCCAACATGTAAAGAGCTTAGAAGTTGTCACTTCCACCCTTATAATAAGAAAAGCCTGAACAAACTGAAAATCAATGATTTTTCTTGTACCCATCAGAGAGCTGAAGTTGCAAGGTAGACCACCACTCTGAAATTGGGAGAGACAGGCAAATCCAGAGAAGTACAGCTAATATTTGCATATCTGGAGCAGAAGCCACTTGGAGCCATAAACTGTTAGGAACACTTAAATGGTAATTTTGATGGTAATTTTGATAAATTGCTAGAGGCTGAGTGTGAACTAGCATGAGACTGAGAAATTTCCAGGGCCACCGTCTTAGTAGAGCCCTCATATTTTCATGGATTCTATTTCCAAAAACCTCATTAGTTTCTCCCCTACTGGCTCTGGTGGGGTAGAGCAGGGGGAGAAAATAAATCTTTATGAAATAAAACCAATGTATGCTCCATAGCAAAGGCATCTCCAGGGACAAACAGGCTTTTCCAGAGCCTTATCCCACCTGGGCAAAGGGCATTGATCCCCCTCTACTTTCCTCTAGCCTTCCTGTCTCACCTAACAGGGAGGAAAAAGTGAAGACACAGGCACACCAAACAAGACCTGTGGCCACAGGAACACAGGCCCACCAAAAGGCTGAGATTTCATCATAGGATTATAGAATACTTTCATTCTGCATACTAATATGCTCCCGTATAATGAAAGTAGATTACATGGACAAGAATTGAATATAGAGAAGCACAAAACAAATTTGTTGAAGTGATGGAAATGTCTCATGTCTTAATTAGGGTGACAATATTCTGGGTGTATAAATCCATCAAAACACATAGAACTGTCATCTTAAATCTGTGCATTTTATTTTACCTAAATTATACCAAAATAAAAAACATATAATGGGAAAAAATACATTATAGCAGAAAGAGCTATAAGATACAGACTCTCTCTGAGCAGGAGTACTTAGGGAAACCCAAAGTCAACAAAGGAGACAGAAACAAGGACGTTAAAGGAATTTGAAGCCTTTGGCACCTACAGCCACCATAAACATTAAAGACATCCTAGCTCCCAGCCAGATTAATATAAAAGCTTACACTAAAGGGCTATTTAGATTATGTCTGACTTTCAACAACAGAATGAATTGGGAAGCAGTTTTTCTTTTTCTGTTCTTTGAGTTTGGTTACAATTGGTATTATTAATTCTTTACATATTTGGCACAATCCACCAGTGAAGCCACTTGAGTCTAGAGTTTTCTTTATGGGAAGTCTTTCACTAGTGGATTCAATTGTTTTAACAAATATAAGACTACTCAAATTTTCTTACATTTTTAGTGTCAGTTTGGGTACATTGTGTATTTTAAGGAATTTACTATTCACTGAAGTGTCAAATATATTAGTATTAAGTTTTCTTTTAGCATTAGTAAGATCTATAGTTAATGTTTACTTCTTTATTTTCAATATTAGTAATGTGTTTCCTCTCAAACAGTTTTACTGGCATGTTATTAATTTTGTTAAACTTTTCAGATATCACTTTTGGCTATTTTGATGTTTTCTATTCTATTTTTTATTTCACGACATTTTCCTGGTGTCTTTATTTTTACTTCCTTCTATTTCCCTTGGATTTTATTTGATGGTCTTTTTCTAGCTTTTTGAGATAAAAGCTTAGATCATGAATTTTTGGCTTTTATTCTTTTCTAATATATGTAAATAAAACTATAACTTTTCCTCTAAACTCTATAGCTGCATCTCACAAATTTTCATTTGTCATGTTTTCATTATAAGTCAATTTTTTAAAACTTTCTAAGTTCTTTTGTTATTTTTTGGATCATGATTCATAAATAAGTATATTGTTTTATTTCCAAACTTAAGATTTTTATGGTTAACTTTTATTATTGATTTCTATCTTAACTAGGGTCAGAGAACACATTCTGAATTATTTCAATTCTTTAATATTTGTTGGGACTTTAAAACCCAGAATATGGTCAATTTTGGTATAGTCCAAGTTCACTGATAAAAATGTGTATTCTATTGTTGGCCACAGTTTTGTATACATGTCAATTAACTCAATTGTATTAATTTTGTTATTCTTGACTGCTATATCTTTTTTTTTTTTTTGGCAGAGCTAGCTGAGGTTTTATTTTGGACAAAAAAAAAAAAAAGCAAATAGAGGTCCTCAGGCGGTAAACTCCCCCTCGAATGGGCTGACGGCTAGCACTGAGCCTCAGGTGAGCCTCCCTCCCGTTCCCTGTGCTCCCCTGCACAGCAGCCTCCCTCCCAGGCTCTGGGGCAGCCGCAGGAGGGGCAGGCTGGGAGGGGCTGCCGCAGCTGTTCCCTTGGGCAGGATGTCAGAGGACTGGAACACCAGCTTCCCATCACGGGTCTCGATCTTCTTCACAACCATGGCCCTGGTGAAGCTGGTGCGGCTGAAGGAGCTGGAGCCCACACCAGAGCCAAAGCTAGAACCCAGGCCGTAGCTGAGGCTGGGGTTTGTGAGGCCCTCATAGGCGGAGCTCAGACCACCTGCATAGCCCCTGGTGGTCTTCCTATGGGTGCTCATGTTCTGCATCCCAGATTCCAGCCGGCTCTCCTCGCCCTCCAGCAGCTTCCTGTAGGTGGCGATCTCTACGTCCAGGGCCAGCTTGACATTCATCAGCTCCTGGTATTCACGCAGAGGCCGCGCCATGTCCTGCTTGGCCCGCTGCAGAACGGCCTCCAGCTCGGACAACTTGGCCTTGGCATCCTCAACGGCCAGCTCCCCACGCTGCTTGGCATCTGCGATGGCGGCCTCCAGGGAAGCCCGCCCTCAATCTCAGCCTGGAGCCAGCTGATGTTCCGGCTGATGTTCATCTCAGAGAACTCAGTCTTTGTATGCCCCAGGTCATCCCCGGGCTTCCCAGCCAGAGTTTGCAGTTCCTCATACTTGATCTGGTACATTCTCTCAGCCTCAGCCCAGCTGCGGTTGGCAATCTCCTTGTACTGCTCCTTGATTTCAGTGGTGATGCTGTCCATGTCCAGGGAGCGGCTGTTGTCCATGGACAGCACCACAGATGTGTTCGAGATCTGAGACTGCAGCTCCCGGATCCCCTCTTCATACAGCTGCCTGAGGAAGTTGATCTGGTCAGTGAGCCCTTCCAGGCGAGACTCAAGCTCTACCTTGTTCATGTAAGCTTCATCCACATCTTTGATGAGGAAAAATTCATTCTCCATCTCTGTACACTTATTGATCTCATCCTCATACTTGTTCTTGAAGTCCTCCACCAGCCCCTGCATGCCTGCATGTTGCCAAGCTCCGCCTCAGGCTTCAGCTTCTCCTGGCCCAGAGTCTCCAGCTGCCGCCTAAGGTTGTTGATGTAGCTCTCGAACATGTTGTCCATGTTGCTCTGAGCCATCTTCTGCTGCTGCAGGAGGCTCCACTTGGTCTCCAGCATCTTGGTCTGCTGCTCCAGGAACTGTACCTTGTCGATGAAGGAAGCAAACTTGTTGAGGGTCTTGATCTGCTTCTTCTCCTGGGTGTGCACAGCCTGGATGTTGGGGTCCACCTCCAGGTGAAGGGGACTCAGCAGGCTCTGCTTGACCATGATGGTGGTGATGCCTCCCATGCCACTGACCCCACCATAGCCTTCACCCATGCCATCCCGGAAGCTGCTGCTGCCCACTCGGGAGAAGCTTGAGGAGCTGATGTGGGCACTGGGCCCATGTGTGTAGGAGCAGCTGCTGAAGGCCCGGGGGCCAGAGGTGGGCACCTTGTAGGACTTCTGGATCACCCTGGTGGACATGGTGGAGGCAGGGGTGGAGGCAGGCAGGCTGAACCAGGCGGAGATTCCAGAAGGAGCAGAGAAGCTGCTTCTTGGTGGGCAACTGCAATATCTTTACTGTTATATTTTTCATTTGCTTGTACTATCAGGCACTGAAAAGTTTGTTAATGTTAATTATAGATTTTTCTATTTCTGTGCATTTCTGCTTTATATACTTTTCAGGTATATTATTGGGTGTATACAATAATGGTTTTTATTAGTTTCTCCTATTTATTGGTATGAAATATCTCTATCTCAAACAATTCTTCATGCCTTGAATTACATGTTGGATAATATTTTGGCTACCTTATTTTCTTTTGGTATATACTTTTTAATCCTTTTTGCTATAAATCTTTCTGTGTCCTTATATTGATATCTTCCTTTTAGGCAGTATAAAGTTGGGCAGGGTTTGTTTCTAGGCATCTTATTCTATTAGTCTATCATTATATCAATACTATATACACTGCCATAAGTATTATAGCTAATTATTGCTATCTAGTAAGGATATTTTCTCTTTAGGAGTGTCTTGGCTATTTTTACACTTTGTTCCTTCATATTTGTTTTAAATCTTTTTGTCAAGTTACACACACACACACACACACACACACACACACACACACACACATGCCTGCTGGGTTTGTGTTGCAATTCCATTGAATCTGTTGATCAACTGGAGGGCAATATTAAGTCTTCCTACCCACGACTACAGTTTCCACTTAGAACTTTTTAAATGACTTTCAATATAGTATTTTATTTTCACAATAAATATATTACATCCTTTTAACTACTTTTATTTCTAGGAACTGCACAGTTTTAAGGCTAAGTTCATTTTCTGTCACTGGAATATAGAAATGTTACTGAAATTTTTAACTTTTTATTTTGAAATAATTTTAGATTTATAGAAGAGTTACAACGATAGTATATAGAATTCCCATATGCCCTTCACCCCGCCTCCCCTAATGCTCACATCTGATATGGTTTGTCTGTGTCCCTACCCAAATCTCAACTTGAATTGTATCTCCCAGAATTCCCATGTATTGTGGGAGGGACCTGGGGGAGGTTATTGAATCATGGGGGCTGGTCTTTTTCCCGTGCTATTCTCGTGATAGTGAATAAGTTATATGAGATCTGATGGGTTCATCAGAAGTTTCTGCTTTTGCTTCCTCCTCATTTTCTTTTGCCACTGCCATATAAGAAGTGCCTTTTGCCTCCAGTCATGATTCTGAGGCCTTCCCAGCCATGTGGAACTGTAAGTCCAATTAAATCTCTTTTTCATCCCAGTCTCGGGTATGTCAGAAAGCATGAAATGCTTTCATGTCAGCAGCATGAAAACAGACTAATACAACATCTTACATAACCATGGCACAATTATCAAACTAAGAAATTAACATTAGTACAATACTGTCAACTAAATTATATGTGTTATTTAGATTTTCTCAGTTTTTCTGCCAATATCTTTTTATCTGTTTGAAGATCACATGCAGGGTAACACCTTGTATTTAATCACGTTGTCTCCCTAGTCTCTTCCAATGCGTAGCAGCTTCTTGGTTTTGCTTCTCTTTCATGACCTTGACCCTTTTGAAAGAGTACTGGCCAGGTATTTTATAGGATGTTTCACAATTTGGATTTGTAAGATGTTTTCTCATAATTAGACTTGGGTTATAGATTTGGAGGAAGAATACAGCATAAGGGAAAGTGCCCTTCTCATTGCCTCATTTCAAGGAGTACATGGCATTAACTTATCATTGGTGATATTAGACTTGATTATTTGGTTAAGGTGGTGTCTGCCAGGTTTCTCCACAGTGAATTTATTATTTCTTTCCATATTTAATTTGTTAAAAGTGAGTCATTAAGTTCAGTCACATTCAAGGGGAAGAAATTAAACTCCACCTCCTTGAGGAAGGAGTATGAAAAAATTCTGTGGTCCACCAGAGTAATTACTAAATTGGGGAGAAATACTTGGAGACTACACAAATACACTTTTCTCCTTAAAGTTTTGTCCACCAGTTTAGCATTCATCAACAGATACTACCTACAGCAGTTATCACTGTGGTGTTCTAATGCTGATATACTGTTTTCTTCATTTCTTCTATACTCATTAATTGGAATTATTCTTTAATGAAGATTTGTCCTTTCTTCCCCATTATTTATATCTTTGATCATTTATTTATATCAGGTGGACTCATGGATAATTGTGTCCTTTGAGTTATAACCCAATACTATCATTATTTTTATGTTTCTCAATTGGTTATTGACCCTCTTTCAGTTTGGCTCCTGTGTTCTTATGGCATGCCTCCACTCCTAACCCCCTTCCCTTTTTTAGCCCTTCCTTACTTACTAATACTACAAAATGGATAAGGTATTTTCCTTCCTTTAGCTTTAAAATCAGCCATTCTCCAAGGAGCTGTGGTTCCTTTTATTGAAGGGTGGTATTTTAAAACCCAGATCTTGGTGCTGGGTATACCTGTTACTATTGAAATGTTACTGCTTCTTGGATCTCTCAAAGCTAAAAAGTTACACACCCACACACACTCAAACCCATGTATACAAATATACATCTTTATTTATTTTTATCTCTCTCTACTTTTATTTATATCTATCTATCTATCAACATGAGCTCATGCTGATATCTCTGACTCTACTGTAGCATCACAGGATTCATTCTGTCCTCCCCCACCCCTTCATTTACTTGTAACTTCTTTCTTTGACAGTGTGAAATCTGGGCTCATTAACTTTAATATAGTTACTTATTTGATCAATCCTAGTAGGCATATAAAGTAGTTTCAGAAATGCTAACCCTTATCCTTATGGGAAAAAATTTCCCAACCAGAATACAATGTTTACTTATAGTTCTTTTTGTCTTTAGATATAAAATTTCCAGTCAAAAATCATTTTACTATTTTCCAGGACACAACATACAAAAATCTCTGGGATGCAGCAAAAGTAGTGTTAAAAGGAAAGTTTATAGTGCTAAACACCTACATCAAGAAGTTAGAAAGACCTCACTAACAATTCAACATCATACCTAGAGGAGCTCAAAAAAAAAAAAAAAAAAAACTAACCCCAAAGTTACCAGAAGAAAAGAAATAACTGAAACCAGAACAGAACTGAATGCAATTGAGACCCCCACATCCATGCAAATGATCAACGAAAGCAAAAATTGGTTCTTTGAAAGGATAAACAAGATCAATAGAACACTAGCTAGATTAACAAAGAAACAAAGGAGAAGATCCAAATAAGCACAATCATAAATGACAAAGAAACATTAAAACCAATTCTGTAGAAACACAGAAGTTACTCAGAGATGTGAGTACCTCTGAACACTTCTGTGCACACAAGAAAATCTAGAGAAAGTGGATAAATTTCTGGAAACACACAACTTCCCAAGACTGAATCTGGAAGAAATTAAAATCCTGAACAGACCAATAACAAGTTCTGAAATTGAGTCAGTAATAATAATAAAAAAAACCCCTACCAACCAAAAGAAGCCCAGGACCAGGTGAATTCACAGACAAATTCTACCAGTTATATAAAGAAGAGTTGGTGCCAATCTTAGTGACAACTTACACCACTATTCCAAAAAAGCAGGGAGGAGGGATTATTCCCTAATTCTATGAAACCATCATCACCCTGATACCAAAATCTGGCAAAAACACAATGAAAAAAGAAAACTACAGGCCAATATCCCTGACGAACATAGATACAAAATTCCCCAGCAAATTACTAGAAATCCAAATCCAGCAGTACATCAAACTTTAATCCATCACAATCAAGTAGGCTTCATTTCTAAGATGTAAGTTTGGTTCAGCATATGCAAATCAATAAATGTGATTCACCACATAAGCAGAATAAAAACCAAATACCACATAATCATCTCAATAGATGCAGAAAAAGTTTTTGATAAAATTTAACATCCCTTCGTGATAAAAACCTTCAACAGACTAGGCATCGAAGGAACATACTTCAAAATAATAAGAACCATCTATGACAAACCCACAGCCAACATCAAACTGAATGGGCAAAAGCTGGAAACATTCCCCTTGAGAACCAGAGCAAGACAAGAATGCCCATTCTCACCACTGCTATTCAACATAGTACTGGATGTCCTAGCCAGAGCAATCAGGCAAGAGAAATAAATAAAGTTCATCCAAATAGAAAGAGAAGAAGTCAGACTATCTCCCTTTGCAGACAATCTGATTCTGTACCTAGAAAACCCCATAGTCTCTGCCAAAAAGCTCCTAGATTTGATAAACAATTCCAGTAGTTTCAGGATACAAAATCAATGTACAAAACTAGTAGCATTTCTATACACCAGCAATGTCCAAGTTGCGAACCAAATCAAGAATGCAATCTCATTCACAGTAGCCACAAAAAGAATAAAATATCTAGGAATACAGCTAACCAGAGAGGAGAAAGCTGTCTACAATGAGAATTACAAAACACTGATCAAATAAATTAGAGATAACACAAACAAATGGGAAAACATCCCATGCTCATGAATAGGAAGAATCAATATCATTAAAATGTCTATACTGCCCAAAGCAACCTACAGATTCAATGCTATTCCTATCAAATTACGAGCATCATTTTTCACAAAATTAGAAAAAACTATTTTAAAACTCACTTGCAACCAAAAAAGAGCCCAAATAGCCAAAGCAATTCTAATCAAGAAGAACAAATCTGGAGGCATCACATTACCCAATATCAAAGCCTATGGTAACCAAAGCAGTGTGGTATGGGCACAAAAACATACATATAGACCAATGGAGTAGAATAGAGGACCCAGAAATAAAGAATCACACCTACCACCAACTGATCTTTGACAAAGTGGACAAAAATAAGCAGTGATGAAAGAACTCCCTATTCCGTAAATGGTGCTGAGATAACTAAGTATATGCAGAAGAATGAAACTGGACGCCCACCTGTCACCATATACAAAAATTAACTCAAGATGGATTAAAAACTTAAATGTAAGACCTTAATTGTAAGAATCCTAGAAGAAAACCTAGGAAATACCCTTCTGGACATAAGCTCTGACAAATAGTTTATGACCAAATTCTCAAAAGCAATTGCAACAAAAACAAAAATTGACAAGTGGGACCTATTTAAGCTGCAGAGCTTCTGCATAGCAAAAGAAACTATCAACAGAATAAACACACAACCTACAGAATGGGGGGAAATATCCACAAACTATGCATCTGACAAAGGTCTAACATCCAGAATATATAAGGAACTCAAACAAATAAGCAAAAGACAACCCCAATGCAAATGTCCATCAATGATAGACTGGATTAAGAAAATGTGGCACATATACACCATGGAAAACTATGCAGCCATAAAAAAGGATGGGTTCCGTGTCCTTTGCAGGGACATGGATGCAGCTGGAAACCATCATTCTCAGCAAACTATCACAAGGACAGAAAACCAAATACTGCATATTTTCACTCATAAATGGGAATTGAACAATGAGAACACTTGGACACAGGGCGGGGAATATCACACACTAGGGCCTGTCATGGGGTGGGGGGCTGGGGGAGGGATAGCATTAGAAGAAATACCTAATGTAAATGACGAGTTGATGGGTGCAGCAAACCAACATGGCACATGTACACCTATGTAACAAACCTGCACGTTGTGCACATGTACCCTAGAACTTAAAGTATAATAATTTTTAAAAAGTGGACAAAGGACATGAACGGACATTTCTCAAAAGTAGACATACACGCAGCCAAGAAATATGAAAAAATGCCCAAATTTACTAATCATTAGAGAAGTGCAAATCAAAACCACAATGAACTATCATCTCAAACAAGAATGGCTATTACTAAAAAGTCAAAAAATAACAGATTTTTTGTTGTGGAGAAAAGGGAACACTTGTACACTGCTGGTGGGAATGTAAATTAGTTCAGCCACTGTGGAAAGCAGTTTGGAGGTTTCCTAAAGAACTAAAAATGCAACCACCATTCGACCCAGGAATCTCATTACTGGGTACATACCTAAAGGAAAATAAATAATTATTTCAAAAAGATACGTGCACTCATATGTTCATCACAGCACTGTTCACAATAGCAAAGACATGGAATCAACCATGGTGCCCAACGATGGTGGATTGGATAAAGAAAATGTGGTATACGTACACCATAGAATACTACACAGCCATAGAAATGAACAAAATTATATCCTTTGCAGCAACATGGATGCAGCTGGATGCCATTATCCTAAGTGAATTAATGCAGGAATGGAAAATCAGATTCTACATGTACTCACTTAACAAGTGGGTGGGTACTCATGGACATAGAGATGGGAATAATAGACACTAGGGACTACTAGAGGGGTGAAGACGGGACGGGGTAAGGGTTAAAAAACTAACTGTTGGGTACTATGCTTACTTCCTGGGTGAGGGGTTCAATCACACTCCAAACCCAGCATTATGCAATATACCCACGTAAAAAGCTTGCACATGTACCCCTGAATCTAAAGTTAAAAATTGAATTAAAATATAAATAAAATAATAGTTTATACAGTTAGATTTGTCAGTCTGCATTCATTCCATCCTATGTTCTCCAGACATTCCAAATGATTTTTAAAATTTTCATACAGTAAACTTCACTTTTAGTGATGTACAGTTCTGTGAGTTTTGACAAATTCAGTCATAGATTCACCAACATGGTACCGTATAGAATAGTTCCATCACTCCATAAAATTCTCTTCTGCACCCCTTTATATTCAGTCCATGTCCCCTCCCCTAATTCCTATAAACCACCGAACTGTCTTTCATGTCTATAGTTTTGCTCCTGCCAAAATGTCATATAGAAGAAATCCTACATATGTAACCTTTTGGATCTGGTTTCTTTAATTTAGCAAAATGCCTTTGAGGTTCATCCATATTGTGGCATAAATTTGTAGTTATTCCTTTTTATTGCTGAGTAGTATTCATTGTATGACATACCACCATTTGTTTATCCATGAATCTATTGAAGGATATCTGGGTTGTTTCCAGTTTTTGGCTATTATGAATTAAGCTCCTATAAATATTCATGTACAGGTTTTTGTGTGAACATAGTTTTCAACTCACTTGGCTAAATACCTAAGAGTGGAATTACTCTTTCTAGCAGTAAGTTTATGTTTAATGTTTTAACAAAGTGCCAAACTGTTTTCCAAAATTGCTACACTATTTTGCATTCTCACCAGCAATGAATGAGTTTTAAGGTGGCTCTGCATCCTCATCAGCATTTGGTATTGCCACTTATTTACTTTAGACAATCTTATAGGTGTACAGTGGTATTCCATTGTCATTTTAATTTTCATTTTCCTAATGACTAATATTGTTGAGCATCTTTCCATGTTTTTATTTGCTATCCACATATTTTCTTTAGTGAAGTGTCTGATCAAATCTTTTGCCCCTTCTTTTTTTCTTTTGAGATGGAGTCTCACTCTGGCGCCCAGGCTGGAGTGCAGTGTCATGATCTCGGCTCACTGCGGCCTCTGCCTCCCAGGCTCCAGTGATCCTCCTGCCTCAGCCTCCCGGGTAGCTGGGATTACAGGCATGTGCCACCACGCCTGGCTAATTTTTGTATTTTTAGTAGAGATGGGTTTCACCGTGTTGGCCAGGCTGGTCTTGAACTCCTGACCTCAGGTGATCCACCCTCCTTGGCCTCCCATAGTGCTAAGATTACAGGCATGAACCACCGTGCCAGGCCCTTTTGTCCATTTTTAAAAAATTCAGTTGTTTGTTTGCTTATGGTCAAATTTTAAGTGTTTTAAGTATATTACAGGTAAAATTTCTTTATCAGATATGTGATTTGCAAATATTTTTCCTTTCTGTGGCTTTTCTTTTCATTCTCTTAACTATGTTTTTCACAGAGCAAATGTTTTTAATTTTGGAAAGGTCTAATTTATCAATTTTTTATTTTATGGGTCATGCTTTTGATAGTATATCTAAAAACTCATTGCCAAACCTAATGTCATGCATATTTTCTTTGATGTTTTCTTCTAAATGTGTTATAGTTTTATGCTTTACATTTAAGTCTATTATTCATCTTGAATACATTTTGTATAACGGCAATTTATTCTTGAGTACTAATTTTAGATTTTGGCATCTTGCTAAATTATTTATAAATTCTAATAAATTAGGTTTTCAATAAAGACAATAATCTCGTCTCAGAGAAATAATGGTTTTCTTTTTTTTCTATTTGAGTCTTTACATATTTAATTCCTTTTTTTACTGTGCTGGTTGGAATAATTCTAAATATAGAAGTGGTGATAACAGAGGCCTTTATCTTGTTCCTACTGTTTAAGAATATGCTTTCAACATTTTTACATTAAGCATAAAGTTTGCTCTCAGTTTTCTTTAATGCCCTTTATGGGATTAGTGGCCTTATCTTATGTTTCTACTTTAATAATGTTTTATATCAGGAATGGTTTTTGAATTACATTAAACAATTTTTCACATATATTCAGAGGATTAAAAAACTTTTTATTTAATCTGTTAATATGAACATTTTGTTAGATTTAAACCAACTTTACAGTGCTGGAATAAGCCAACTTTGCTCATGCTGTATAATCTTTATTACATATTATAGTGTTCTATTTAATAATGTTTTGTTTATGATTTTGTATCTGTATTAATCAATGAGATAGCACTATAACTCTCCTTTCTCATTTATCAGGGTAAGGTTTTGATATCAAGCTTATACTAGTCTCATAAAAAAATTGGAAAATTTCCCTCGGAACTGGTTATATAAGTGTATTTGTTATTTGTAGTTTATTGAAATTACCCATAAAACTGTGTTGTCCTTGTGTCTTCTTTGTGAGAAGAGTTTTGTAACTACAAATTTAGGCATTTTATGTCTTGAGTCAATTTTAGTGATTATATCTTCTGCTGTGGTTTAAATGTGTCCCCCAAAAAGCATGTGTCAGAAACTTACTCACCAATGCAACAGTGTTGGGGGGTAAGAACTTAAGAGATGATTAGGTCATGAGGGCTCCACCCTCATGAATGGGTTAATGTCACTATAAAGAGGGCTTGAGGTTGCGAGTTCCACCTCTTGCTCTTTCTCACTTCTCACTGCCCTTCCTCCCTGGGATGATGTGACAAGAAGGCCCTTGCCAGATGTCTGCCCCTCAGTCTTGGACTTCCTAGCCTTCAGAGCTGTGAGACAATAAATTTCTGTTCATCATAAATTACTCAGTCTTGGGTATCCTGTTATCACAGCACAAAATGAACTAAGACAACTTTCTAGGAATGTCAATATTTTACCTAAATTTTGAAATGTATTGCCAAGTTTTTCAAAACATCATTTTATAATTTTCCTAATATCTGCATTCTTTATCATCCTTTTTTTGTATCTTTGGTTTTTGATCACCAATCTTGCCAAACATTTTTATATATATTAATCTTGAGAGAAATATAGACTTAGATATTTAACTGAATAACTAAAAAGAAGAAGAAAAGAACATAATTAAAGAGATAAGCATTCAAGAGTCTAGATTTGATGGACCTTAAGTATCTATCTACCCTCCCTTGAAATTCCTTTCATTCAGGGGACTCCAAAATATTCCCTTTTCACTGGCCATACAGGGTAGGCTAAGTAGATGGCACAGAGACAGATTTTTTAAAAGTGCTTTTGTTCATGTTATCCTGGATAAGAATCAAAAAAGAAAAACGTGAATAGTATCATCTTGAAAATTATTTTCTCTGGTTTCCACAAATTCTTGGTCCATGGTCTCGGCTGAAGTGGCTTGAATGGCTGAGGAAGGGTGGCATGGCTGTTCCGGGGCCATAATTCTGGGAATGTAGCTCTAATTATTGGTTGGACTAATTGATTCTTCTTCACATCACTTCGGCTGGAGTTAGAATGTCTAAGATGATTTCATTACTTACATGTCTGGTGTCAGTGCTTGGATAGCTAGAACAGCTGGATTTCTCTAGGTATCTCTGTCTCTGCATGCAGCCTGTCCCCATGACTAGCTTAGGCTCCGTCACAGTAAGCCATTATTTGAAGTAGTTTGAGGAACGTAACATGTTTCTTCTTGGAGAATCAAAATGCACATGAATACATAAAAGGCACTGAGATGTCTATTTAACTTTCCCAAACATGTTTGACTAAGAAATTCCTTTTTAAATGTAAGACTCATTAACATCAATTCATAGAATATGCTTCCACAGATGTTGTAGTTAACAATGCAAAGAAGACATTATAAAGTGTAATATTACAGGCAGAATCTCATTTTAAGGAGTACCATCAAACTGTTAAAATTACATAACAAGGCTACTTTCATGATTTGACTGACCACCTAATTCGAAACTGCTTTGATGATATATATACAATAAGTTTTCATGGAAGAGAAATCTTGTGTTACCAGAGTCCCTAAGTCCTTGCCCACCTATTAGTGAAAATAATGTTAAATATAATTTCTGCTTTTTAAAAGGATTTGGGTGTTTATATTTTTAACACCTATACAATGCTAAATTTTATTAATAAAATACTTCACATATTAAATTTATTATATTGAAGAGAATTTTACACTGAAGGGAATTTTTACACCTGTATATATTTATATATGTTAAATAGATATTGTCTATATTGAGATAATCTCAAGTACATTTAGATAATCTTAGCCTATCCCTTTGGCACTTTCTATAAGTCAAACCATGTTGTGATACCAAAAAAATATATGACACACCACCAGACTTCATAAACTTCAATGTTGTTTGAAATAAATGGGCTTTGCATATCTCAAACAATAATGCTGCCAAAAAAGTCTATATAACAAAATAGTAAATTGAATAAAACCCCAAGTCAAATGTTTCCTATAGTCAAAATATACTATGGAATGGAAGAAAATAGAAGAGCTAAATACCTGAAGCTGCAATGGAGAGAAGAGAGTAGGACTTGACTTTCTTCTTGGTAGATGTCACATAATTTGAATTGGCAGAGGAGAGAAACAAGCACCCGGTAGACAAAGCGTAATCAAAGGCAAGTGTAGTGAATCCTGTTTCCCTCTGGAAATGGAAGTTCTTACATACACTTCCACTGTTTTATGCCCTTTTCTTCCTGTCTCAACCTTCTCCTGCTTATTTGCCCCTTCATGGCTCATTGAAACCCTGTCTGGCAGCTGTGTTCATCCACCACTTGGTTCTCAGTCACCCAGAGACAACTCAAGTACGTTCTCTTCCATTAAGAAGGCTTCCCAACAGTTGTGATCATCTTTTACAACTAGATATCATTTTGGCATCAGCAAATTGAAATGTTGCCTGAGTGTACAAGAGGACAGCTAAATCTGATGGATCCATTGTTGAGATGATTGAGCCAATTAAGGTAGTAAAGATTGATGTAAGTGCTTTCTCTGGGCACCGTCAAACATGGAAGGGTAAAATGTAGAGCTAAGGAAAAGTGTGACTGACTGCAATTGATTGATGAGACCATTGGGTCCCACTGAAAGTGTCCTAAAAGGGAAGCCAATGGGAAAAAGTAGTATTTTGTGGGGTTTATTCTCAAAGTAGAGCTGTATAGGATTTTACACAGTGAGATCAAGTGGAGAAGTAATTGGAGTTCACAAATGACATGGTGAAAGCTGTTATGATGTGTCAGGAGTGGACATAAAGAAGAGGAGATAGATCTGTCATATTGCCAAGAAAGATTTGCAGAACTTGATGACGGTGGCCAGGCATGGTGGCTCATGCCTATAATCCCAGCACTTTGGGAGACTGAGGTGGGCAGATCACTTGAGGTCAGGAGTTCGAGACCAGCCTGGCCAACATGGCGAAGCCCTGTCTCTACTAAAAATACAAAAATTAGTCAGGCCCAGTGGCGGGTGCCTGTAATCCCAGCTATTTGGGAGGCTGAGGCAGGAGAATTGCTTGAACCTAGGAGGCAGAGGTTGCAGAGAGCCAAGATCATGCCACTGCACTCCAGTCTGGGCGACAGAGTGAGACTCTGTCTCAGAAAAAGAAAGGAAAGGAAAGGAGAGGAGAGGGGAGGGGAGGGGAGGAGAGTGGAGGGACTTGATGACAGTTACCATAGAAAACAACAGTTACCATAGAAAACAACTTGGGTTGCCTCATTTCTAAAGTGAGAAAATTAAAATAGATGCTTAAAAAGTTTCCTTCAAACTATATAATATCTATGAGTCTAGGATACTCAAGGGGGAGAAAAAAATTAAAACCTGGTATGTTTCTGTCTTAGCTCAGGCTACTGTAACAAAATACCCTATAGACTGGGGGACTTAAACAGCAGGCATTTATTTCTCACAGTTCTAGAGGCTGGGAAGTCTGATCAGGATCAGGGTGTCAACATAGTCAGGTTCTAGTGAGTACCCTCTTTCTGGCTTGTAGATGACTGCCTTAATGTTATGTCCTCACATAGCAGAGAGAGAGAGAGAACTAGCTCTCTGATCTCTTCTTATAAGAGCACTAATCCTATCATGAGGACCCCACCTTCATGACCTCACCAAAGCCTAATTACTTTCCAAGGGCCCCACCTCTTAATACCATCACATTGGGGATTAGGGCTTCAAAATATGAGTTTTGGAAGAAAAAAATCATTCAATTCATGAAAGTTCCCTTTCTGAGTTTTCTGTTGTTGAATTCTACCACACTCTCAAACACACAGTATTATTAAACTGTGGTTATGTTTCCAGATGTGTTCATGCAGGCCGTAATTATGTTTACCATGGAAGTATACTTGCATTGTGCAAGCATATACATTGCTTTCCCCCTCAATAAATTTGAGCAAGTTTTCAACTGTTGTTTTCTGATGTTACGTGTATGTGTGTATCAGCTAGGGGCAGATTTGGCTGAATGCAACATAAAACCCAAGCAACAATGTCTTAAACACAATACAAATTTCTTTTTCATATAATAGAAGTGTGGTGATAAGTTGTTTAGAGCTGGTATGGCAAGTCTACAGTTGTCAGAGACTGACGCCCCTTTACTCTCTGCTCTTCCATGGAGAACAGCTTCCATTTTCAAACTGCCTAATTGTCCAAGATGGCTTCTAGAGTTCCAATAATCTAGGCATCAGAAAGGAGGAAATGGAGAAGGAGAAGAAAAAGTACATTTCCCAATTGAATCAGCACCCTTTAAGGAGCTTTCCATGGAATGCCACACAATTCTATTTACATCTTATTGGCTGCCCCTCTCTGTAAGAGAGGGTAGTTTTTAGCCAGGCACATTGTTCTCCCATTAATACAAGGTTCTGGTAATTAAGAAGGTGGGAATGGATATCATCTCTGCCATAGTATGCTTAGTAGTTAACAACATAGTATTCTGAGTATTGAGTTCTAGATCTCTCAGGACTATTTTATAAAAGGAAAGAAACAAGAACATATTGTCTGAATCTTGCTATTGACATCAAAATAAGCTATCCCATATGTCTGCAAAGTGACTTTTTTTCATACTTTGTTAAATTTTCCATTAACTACAGAGAGTTGCCTGATTGTAAAGTTGATCTTTAGGGATCGGGAAATGACACCACTGAGCCACTGTCCACTAAAACTGTATTTTGACTACTGTTGTGTTTTGAATGTCTGTGTCCCCCGCCACCAAAATTAGTATGTATGTTGAAGCCCAATCCCCAATGTCATAGTATTAGAAGGTGGGGTCTTTGGAAGGTGATTGTGTCATGATGTCTCTGTCCTCATGAATGGAGTTAGTGCCCTTATATAAAGGACTCCAGAGAGCTAGCTAGCTAACCCCTTCAACCATGCAAGCAAGAGGGTGCCATCTACGAAGCAGAGAGGTATCCTTCATCAGACACCAAAGTTGCCATTGACTTGATATTGGACTTCTCAGCTTCCAGAATTGTGAGAAATACATTTTCGTTGTTTCTAAGTCACCCAGTCTAAAACATTGTGTTATAGCAGCCCAAATAGACGAAGGCAAGTGTTTGTCTTTTGATTTTTGAGGTGAAAGAATGGGCTTTCTTCAATCCACTCCACACTCTAACTTGGACTCTCTAGTTACTAGGGGTTTTCTATGGTAAGGAGAATGGCCAGGGCTAGAAGTGAAGGATACTGATGCTAATATTCTCTGTAGGATAAAAACAATGAAGTTGGCAAAATTCCTGCAGTAAAGTCAGCTATCTAGGTTTGCTCAGAATGCATTTCCTGTTTTTACTTGGAAACACCACGTCCCTTCAATTTAGTTGACTCAAGTGAGACTGGCCCCTGTCTCAGTTTGGACTTCTCCACATGCAGGCTATGAAACAAAGACTTGGGCAAAAGTGGTCAATTTGGAAGGTGATCCCAGAAGTATACCCTCAGCCTATGCTCTCTGCCTAGAGATGTCCACTTCTTGCTTCAAAACCGTAACTCTTGGCTGGACGCAGTGGCTCACGCCTGTAATCCCAGCACTTTGGGAGGCCCAGGTGTGCGGATCACGAGGTCAGGAGTTCGAGACCAGCCTGGCCAACATAGTGAAACCCCATCTCTACTAAAAATACAAAATTTAGCCAGGTGTGGTGGTGCGCACCTGTAGTCCCAGCTACTTGGAAGGCTAAGGCAGGAGAATTGCTTGAACCTGGGAGGCAAAATTGAGCCAAAATTGCACCACTACACTCCAGCCTGGGTGACAGAGCGAGACTGTAAAAAAAAAAAAAAAAAAAAAAAAAAAAAAAAATTAAAAATAAGTAAATAAATAAAACCCACCTAACTCTTAATGTGTTTGCACTAAATTCCCATAAAGGAGCCCTCCTACCAATAAGCCTTACAAAACTTGGGGTTTTAAGTTTGCTAATTAACCCAGGGAAAACAATTGATCCTGAAACTCCTGTGTTTGTTCATTCATTCATTTATTTGTCACTCACTTCTCTGTTTCTCTTTGTCTCCCCTCCATGAGCTATCTTGCACCTACATCTTTTTTGTCTATGAGCCATATTCTATTGTCAAAGATGGAGCATTATGTATCCCCGACAGGAAAACCAGAATTGAAAATATTCACCCCTCCCTACCATACACACATTGTGCATGTTCATAACATCTCCTACACCATACCATTAAACATTTTCTGGGTGCTGGAAGCAGCAGCAGCTGGGAAAACTTACTATTGAAAATCTCCATGTGCATGTTCAGTAGACTACACAGATGCCTATCTATATGTTTCCAGCCCTTTCTTCAATAAAGAGATCCTGACTGATGACCCCAAAATCTGGGATACTGAAATATTTTCACCCCACACTGAAGATAACTGCACCAGGGCTCCAGCTAGTGTCATTCAAGAAGACAGACCATCCCCACCAATTGCTCTAATTACAGATTCATCAAGCAACAGTTCTTTGAGTTATTTGGTTTCCCATGAGGTTTCCTATAGGAAAGAGAATGTGCCAATAAGATGACACAAGTCTGAGTCTATGTAATAGTATTAGTTCTCTTATAAATTTATACATTGGCATTCTAGCTTATATATATTAAATTTCTGTTAGTTTACATAGTGTAATAGACTGAATAATGACCTCCCAAAAGATATCAGGTTCTCATCCATGAAACTTATAAATGTGACCTTGTTTGGAAAAAGGATCTTTGCAGATATAACTAAGTGAAGGATCTTGAGATAGAGGTATTATCCTGTATTATCCAGGTGAGCCCTAAATACAATCACAAGTGTCCTTATAAGGGAAAGACAGAAGTATTGATACACATAAAGGAGAAGACAATATGAAGATGGAACAGAGAGAGCTTTGAAGTTTGGAGTGAGGCATCCACAAGCTAGGGAATACTGGCAGCCACCCAAATCTGCAAGAGACAAGGAATGAATTCCAACTTTTGGCCTCAAGAACTGTGTTTTAAGCCAGCACATTTGGGGTAATTTGTTACAGCAGCTACAGGAAACTAATACAGCTAGTCTGGATAAAACCTAGAGAATCCAATCAACTCTGGGAGCACTGACCAAATTGAGACCCTAGACCATGGTACCCTACTGATGGAATGATATTTTATGATGCTCTACTTGAGTAGCCAGCATCCTTTTCTAAATCTCTGCCTTGTTTTCTTTAGTGTCAACAGTCTTTATTATAAATTCTTATTTTATTATAAAAGGTCTTTAATTATTACTTTAAACTATCATATTAAACTATTAATAGGAAAAAATTAGCTAAGATAGATTGAGCATTTACAATTTTCCAGGCATTCTGTTAAACACTTAGTATGTTTTCAGTGCTACCCTAGACCCTTGGGCTTGAGCTGTGTGTGAGCCTGTGCATTGGCTATCACCCATCCACATTCTGACAACAGGGTCACCTCCCATTTATGATACATGAAGTCATCAGAGGTGATGGCAGGCATGCTTTAGCCTGTGCATATTTCCAATTCTGATATCCAGAGCAGCCATCTCAATCCTTTCTGCAAACTTTGTACTATATGTAAAACAGTCGTCCTATCTCCTCCGAGAGCTTTTGAGACTTTGGCTCTACAACACCACTGGGCCTTCCTGATCAATGTCCTCACTTTCCTTGAAAAGATGTGGTGACATTGTGCTCTTCTTGGTAGGTCTTAAGTAATGCAGGATGAGTGATGGATATTCCTTGCAAGAACAGAACCACTCTTGTTACTCAGCCCACAAGATTCTTGCCTGTCCTTCTCTCTGGTGGCAGTACATGGAAGGCCAGGGTACAGTCAAGACTGAAAGATATCATATTGTAGGAATGGAGTAATTAAAACCTGAAGAGTTCAAAAGTAAACACTGTTGGAAAATGCATTGGTTTACATTTATGCTATTCTCACATTTTTCTGCACACTCTGGGTAAGACTTGTGGCACCATAAACAACAAAACAGCGTAAGAATGTCTGACAGAGCAATTGGAAGGCAATATTCAAGGGAAGCCCTCTGAATGATAAAGTGTCACAAGTAATGATATGAAACAGCATTAAAAAAATGGTGTTAGGAACATATAGAAGCAAGACGATCTATACCGTTTTAATATAAATAGGTTCCAAAGAGCCACGACATTGTGAATAATAACAGTATTGCTACTGATTTATGGTAGGAGATATGACGTTAACCAGGAATGGCACATTTGACAAAGAACAGAAACGATCAGCATAAAGTGGAGATTTCTGGACCTGAACCAGAAGAGATAGTGCCTGGACACTGCAAAGAATCTTCATATGCATCAATTGAATATTAAACAAATAGGTAAGTACTATTTCTCTAAGAAGTATTCTAAATATTCTTTGATAAATCATTACACTTCTTATGGACCAATGAATTTTGTAATACACTTTTAAAATCAGATTGCTTGCATAGACAAGGGCCCCATACACACAAGAAAATGTAGATCAACACTCTACAGGCAGTTCTATATATATTATCTCATTTAATACAATGAAATAGGTATTATGAAACACATTTGAAAGATGGGAAGACTGAGATTCTGAAAAAAAAATTCCCAAGATCACATAGCTAGTAAGAGGTAGAACCAGATTTGAGACTCAAGTCTCCCTGAGTTATCCTGCTGACTGCATCTTTAAGAATACCCTACTTGGGCCAGGCGTGGTGGCTCATGCCTGTAATCCCAGCACTTTGGTAGGCCAAGGTGGGCGGATCACGAGGTCAGGAGATCGAGACCATCCTGGCTAACACAGTGAAACCCCATCTCTACTAAAAATACAAAAAATTAGTCGGGCGTAGGGTGCCTGTATTCCCAGCTACTCGGCAGGCTGAGGCAGGAGAATGGCGTGAATCTGGGAGGCGGAGCTTGCAGTGAGCCGAGATCGCACCACTGCACTCCAGCCTGAGCAACAGAGCGAGACTCCAACTCAAAAAAAAGAATCCCCTACTTGAAAGCCAGTATTCAAGATAGTATCCAACACAGACCCTCTGGGTCAGTCAGAGAAGCATTTGCTGGGATGCTTCTGAGCTGCTTCCTACCTGAATCACCATTAACATCACCAATACCCGACTGCTTCCTCTGGTTCTTTTGTTTTTGGAACGACTCCACTGAGGTATAATTTTCACACCATAAAATTGAGAAAATATAGTAATTTTATATAGAATTGTGCAATCATCAACATAAACCAGTTTAGGAACATTTCCATTACCTGAGAAAGTTCCCCATGCCTGTTAGAAGGCCTTCATCACCAACCTTAGGGAACTACTTTCTGTCCCTATGGATATGCCTTTTCTAGAAATTTTATATAATTGGAATCATATGATATGCAGCATTTTGCACCTGGCTTCTTTCACTTAGCACAACGTTTTTGAGGTTCACACATGTTGTGGTATGTATCAGTAGATTTTTGCTTTTTATTGTTAAATAGAATTCCATTGTGTGGATTTACCACATTTTGTTTATCCATTTACTTGTCGATGAACATTTGAATTGTTTCTAGATTTTGAGTGTTATAAATAATGCTGTTATAAACATTTGTTTACAAATCTTTGTATGAATGCTTTTTCATTTCTTTAGCATAGATTATCTAGATGTGGAATTTCAGGGTTGTGTCGTAAGTAGAGGTTTAAGGTTTTTTTGTCAAAAAAAGCTTTACTGATAAATGACTGACATACAATAAGCCATACATATTTAAAGGGTACAATTCGATAAGTTTCGACATGTGTATACTCATGAACTCATTGGCACAATCAAGATAATGAATATATGTCATCCACAAAAGTTGTTACATGTAACCCTTCCTGACCCTTTCCCTAGGCATTCTCCAGAACACCACTGATCTGTGTTCTTTCACTATAGATTTCTTTACATCATCTAGAGATTTATATAAATGAAACCATACAGTATGTACCTTTTTAATGTCTTGGCTCTTTCACTCAGAAAAATTGTTTTGGCATTCATTGAAGTTGTTGCATGTATCAACTGTTCAGTTTTTATTACTCAATAACATTCATTTTATTATTTTCCATTTTTAACTTTTATTTTAAGTTCAGGGTACAAGGGGAGGTTTGTTATGTAGGTAACCTTGTGTCATGGGGGTTTATTATACCGATTATTTCATCACCCAGGTATTAAGCCTAGTACCCACTCGTTGATTTTCTTGATCCTCTCCCTCCTCCCACTCTCCACCCTCCAATAGGCTCCAGTGTCTGTTGTTCCCCCCTGTGTGTCCATGTGTTCTTATCATTTAGCTCTCACTTATAAGTGAGAACATGCAGTATTTGGTTTACTGTTTGCTAAGGATAATGGCCTCCAGCTCCATCCATGTCCCTGCAAAGGACGTTATCTCATTCTTTTTTATGGCTATGTAGTATTCCATGGTGTATACATACCACATTTTCTTTATTCAGTCTATCATTGATGGGCATTTAGGCTGACTCCATGTCTTTGCTATTGTTAATACTGCTGCAATTAACATACATTTGCATGTGTCCTTATGGTAGAATAATTTATATTCCTTTGGGTATATACTTAGTAATGGGATTGCTGCCTGGAATGGTATTTCTGTCTTTAGGTCTTTGCAGAATCCTTTTGGGTTTTACATTTAAGTCTTTAAACCATCTTGAGCTAATATTTGTTTCAATCTTCTGCATATGCTCAGCCAGTTATCCCAGCACCATTTATTGAATAGGAAATTCTTTCTGCACTGCTTGTTTTTGTCAGGTTTATTGAAGATCAGATAGTTTTAGGTTTACAGCCTTATTTCTGGGTTCTCTATTGTGTTCCATTGGTCTATGTGTCTGTTTCTGTACTAGTACCATGCTGTTTTCCTTACTGGAGCCCAGTAGTATAGTTTGAAGTTCAGTAGTGTGATGCCTCCAGCTTTGCTCTTTTTGCTTAGGATTGCCTTGGCTATTGGTGCTCTTTTTTGGCTCCATATGAATTTCAAAATAGTTTTTTCTAGTTCTGTGAAGAATGTCAGTGATAGTTTAATGGGAATAGCATTGAATCTATAAATTGCCTTAGACAGTATGGCCATTTTTACAATATTGATTCTTCCCATCCATGAGCATTGAATGTTTTTCCATTTGTTTATGTCATCTCTGATTTCTTTGAGCAGTGTTTTATTGTTCTTCTTGTAGAGATCTTTCACCTCCCTAGTAAGCTATATCCCTAGGTATTTTATTCTTTTTGTGGCAGTTGTGAATGGGAGTTCATTCCTGATTTGGCTATTGGTTTGACTGGTGTTGTTGTATAGGAATGTTACTGATTTTTGCACATTGATTTTGTATTCTGAGATCTTCCTGAAGTTTATCAGTTTAAGAAGCTTTTGGGCTGTAACTATGGGGTTTTCTAGATATAGGCTCGTGTTATCTGCAAACACAGATAGTTTGACTTTCTCTCTTCCTATTTGGATGCCTTTTATTTCTTTCTCTTGCCTCTTACCCTGGCCAGGATTCCCAATACTATGTTGAATAGGAGTGGTGAGAGATAGCATTCTTGCCTTGTGCTGATTTTCAAGGGGAATGCTTCCTGCTTTTGCCCATTCAGTATAATGCTGGCTGTTGGCTTACAGTAGATGGCACTTACTATTTTGAGGCATGTTCCTTCAATACCTAGTTTATTGAAAGTTTTTAACATGAAGGGGTGTTGAATTTTATTAAAAGCCTTTTCTGCATTTATTGAGATAATCATGTCATTTTTGTCTTTGGTTATGTTTATGTGATGAATCACATTTATTGATTTGCATATGTTGAACCAACCTTGAATCCCAGGGATAAAGCCTACTTGATCGTGGTGGATGAGCTTATAGTTGTCCTGCTAGATTCTGTTTGCCAGTATTTTGTTGAAAATTTTTGCATCAGTGTTCAGCAATGATATTGGCCTGAAGTTTTCTTTTTCTTATGGTATATCTGTCAGGTTTGGGTATCAGGATGATGCTGGCCTTATAGAATGAGTCAGGGAGGAGTCCCTCTTCCTCAACTTTTTGGAATAGTTTCAGAAGGAATGGTACCAGCTCTTACTTGCACATATGGTAAAATGTAGCTGTAAATCCATCTGGTCCTGGTTGGTAGGTTATTTATTACTGATGAATTTTAGAGTTAGTGGTCTGTTCAGAGATTCAACTTCTTCCTGGTTCAGTTTTGGGCAGGTGTATGTGTCTGGGAATTTATCAGTTTCTTCTAGATTTTCTAGTTTATGTGCATAGAGGTGTTCATAATACTTTCTGATGGTTGTTTGTATTTCTGTGGAATCAGTGGTAATATTCCCCTTTCGTTTCTGATTGTGTATATTTGAATTTTCTCTTTTCTTCTTTATTAGTCTAGCTAGCGGTCCATTTTAGGATTTTTTTCAAAAAACCTGCTCCTGAATTCGTTGGTCTTTTGTATGGTGTTTTGTGTCTTTATCTCCTTCAGTTCAGCTCTGATTTTGGTTCTTTCTTGTCTTCTGCTAGCTTTGGGATTTGTTTGCTTTTGGTTCTCTAGTTCTTTTAGTTGTGATGTTACTTTGTTAACTTGAGATCCTTCTAACTTTTTGATGTGGGCATTTTAGTGCTATAAATTTCCCTCTTAACACTGCCTTAACTGTGTCCCAGAGATTCTGGTATGTTGTATCTTTGTTCTCATTAGTTTCAAAGAACTTCTGGATTTCTGCCCTAATTTCATTATTTACCCAAAAGTCATTCATGAGTAAGTTATTCAATTTCCATGTAATTGTATGGTTTTGAGTGAATTTCTTAGATTTCATTTCTAATTTGATTGTGCTGTGGTCCGAGAAATTGCTTGTTATGATTTCAGGGTATTTTGCATTTGCTGAGAAGTGTTTTACTTCCAATTATGTGATCCCTTCTTGAGTATGTGCCACATGGCAATGAGGAGAATGTAGATTCTGCTGGTTTTGGGTAGAAAGTTATGTAGATCTCTATCAGGCCCATTTGATCCAGTGCTGAGTTCAGGACCTGAATACTTTTGTTAATTTTCTGTCTCAATGATCTGTCTAATATTTTCAGTGGAGTGTTACAGTCTCCCACTATTTTTGTGTGGAAGTCTAAGTCTCTTTAAAGGTCTCTGAGAACTTGCTTTATGAATCTGGGTGCTCCTGTGTTGGATGCATATATATTCAGGAGAGTTAGATCTTCTTGTTGAATGGAACCCTTTACTGTTATGTAGTGGTTTCTTTGTCTTTTCTAATCTTTATTGGTTTAAAGTCTGTTTTGTCAGAAACTAGGACTGCAACCTCTGCTTTTTCCTGTGTTCCATTTGCTTGGCAGATTTTTCTCCACCCCTTTATTTTGAGCCTATGTGTGCCATTGCATATGAAGCTGAATAACATTTGTTTACCCATTTACCTGTCATTGAATATTTGGGTTTTTTCCACCTTTTGACTATTACACATAAAGCTGCTATAACATTCATATACAAGTCTTTGTATTGACATAAAATATACAAGTCTTCATATTGACGTATTTCATATACAAGTCTTTGTATACAAGTCTTCATATACAAGTCTTTGTATTGACATATTTCATCTTCTTTGGGTAAATACTTACGGGTAGAATGGCTGGGTCGTGTGGTAGGTGTATGTTTAACATTTTATAAAACTACCAAATTGTTTTCCAAAGTGGATACACCATTTTACATTCCAATTAACAGTATTGAGAACCCCAGTTCCTCTACAACTTCACCAACACTTGGTATAATAAGTCTATTTTATTTTAAACATTTTAAAAGGTCTGTAGGAGTATCTCATTGTGGTTTTAACTTGCATTTCCCTAATGATGGTGAGCATCTTTTTGTATGCTTACTTGTGATCCATCTTTCTTCTTTGGTGAAGCTTTTGTTCAAATCTTTTACCCATTTTTAATCGGGATGTTTGTTTTCTCATTGTTCAGTTTGGAGAGTTATTTATATATTCCAGATACCAGTGCTTTGTTAGATATATATGATTGGCAAATATTTTCTCTCAGTCTGTGCAGTATCTTTTCCTCTTCTTAACAGTGTCCTTCAAAGAGCAGGAGAATTATTTTTTTTAATTTTTAATTTTTGTGAGTACATAGTAGGTGTAAATATTTATGGGGTACATGAGATGTATAAAAATCATATCATGGAAAATGGGGTGTCCATCCCTCAAGAATTTATCTGTTGTGTTACAAACAATCCAGTCATACTCTTTTAGTTATTTCAGTATGTACAATTAAATTATTTTTGACTATAGTCACCCTTTTGTGCTATCCAGTTGTATTAGTCCATTTTCACACTGCTATAAGATACTACCTGAGACTGGGTAAAATGTGCTTTTCACCTTCTGCCATGATTTTGAGGCCTCCCCAGCCACATGGAACTGTGAGCCCATGAAACCTTTTTCTTTATAAATTGCCCAGTCTTGGGTATGTCTTTATCAGCAGTGTGAAAATGAACTAATACAGTAAATTGGCACCAGTAGAGTGGGGCGCTGCTGTAAAGATACCCAAAAATGTAGTAGCAACTTTGGAACTGGGTAACAGGTAGAGGTTGGAACAATTTGGAGGGCCCAAAAGAAGACAGAAAAATGTGGAAAAGTTTGGAACTTCCTAGAGACTTGTTGAATGGCTTTAACCAAAACGCTGATAATGATATGGACAACAAAATCCAGGCTGAGGTGGTCTCAGATGGAGATGAAGAACTTGCTGAGAATTGGAGTAAAGGTGACTCTTGCTATGTTTTAGCAAAGAGACTGGTGGCATTTTGCCCTTGCCCTAGAGACTTGTGGAACTTTGAACTTGAGGGAGATGATTTAGAGTACCTGGCAGAAGCAATTTCTAAACAGCAAAGCATTCAAGAGATAACTTGGGTGCTGTTAAAAGCATTGGGTTTTACAAATTTACAAGAAAAAAACAAACAACCCCATCAAAAAGTGGGCAAAGGACATGAACAGACACTTCTCCAAAGAAGACATTTATGCAGCCAAAAAACACATGAAAAAATGCTCACCATCACTGGCCATCAGAGAAATGCAAATCAAAACCACAATGAGATACCATCTCACACCAGTTACAATGGCAATCACTAAGAGTCAGGAAACAACAGGTGCTGGAGAGGATGTGGAGAAATAGGAACACTTTTACACTGTTGGTGGGACTGTAAACTAGTTCAACCATTGTGGAAGACAGTGTGGCGATTCCTCAGGGATCTAGAACTAGAAATACCATTTGACCCAGCCTTCCCATTGCTGGGTATATACCCAAAGGACTATAAATCATGCTGCTATAAAGACACATGCACACGTATGTTTATTGCAGCACTATTCACAATAGCAAAGACTTGGAACCAACCCAAATGTCCAACAATGATAGACTGGATTAAGAAAATGTGGCACATATACACCATGGAATACTACGCAGCCATAAAAAATGATGAGTTCATGTCCTTTGTAGGGACATGGATGAAATTGGAAATAATCATTCTCAGTAAACTATCGCAAGAACAAAAAACCAAACACCACATATTCTCACTCATAGGTGGGAATTGAACAATGAGAACACATGGACACAGGAAGGGGAACATCACACTCTGGGGACTGTTGTGGGGTGGGGGGAGGGGGGAGGGATAGCTTTAGGAGATATACCTAATGCTAAATGACGAGTTAATGGGTGCAGCACACCAGCATGGCACATGTATACATATGTAACTAACCTGCACATTGTGCACATGTACCCTAAAACTTAAAGTATAATAATAATAATAAAATTAAAAAAAATTTTTTTGAAAAAAAAAAAACATTGGGTTTTAAAAGAAAAACAGCATAAAAGTTCAGAAAATTTGCAGCCTGATGATATGATAGAAAAGAAAACCTGTTTTCTGAGGAGAAATTCAAGCCAGCTGCAGAAATTTGTATAAGTAATAAGGAGCAAAAAGTTAGTTGCCAAGACAATGGGGAAAATGTCTCCAGGGCATGTCACAGAGCTTTGTGGCAGCCCCTCCCATCACAGGCCCAAAGGCCTAGGAGGAAAAAATGGTTTTATAGGCTGGGCCCATGGCCCCCCTGCTGTGTGCACCCTAGGGTTTTGGTGCCCTGCATCCCAGCCACTCTGTCCATAGCTAAAAGGGCTCATAGTACAACTTAGGCCATGGCTTCAGAGGATGAAAGCCCCAAGCCTTGGCAGCTTCCATGTGGTGTTGAGCCTGTGGGTGCACAGAAGTCAAGAAATGAGGTTTGGGAACCTCAGCCTGTATTTCAGAGGATGCATGGAAATGCCTGGATATCAAGGCAGAGGTATGTTGCAGGGGCAGAGCCCTCATGGAGCACTTCTGCTATGGTGGTGCAAAGGGGAAACATAGGGTTGGAGCCCCCACACAGGGTCCCCACTGGGGCACTGCGTAGTGGAGCTGTGAGAAGAGGGCCACCGTCTTTCAGACCCCAGAATGGTAGATCCACCGACAGCTTGCACTGTGCACCTGGAAAAGCTGCAGACACTCAGCACCAGCCTGTGAAAGCAGCCTGGAGGGGGGCTATACCCCGCAAAGCCACAAGGGCAGAGCTGCCCAAGGATGTGGGAGCTTACCTCTTGTGTCAGCATGACCTAGATGTGAGACATGTAGTCAAAGATCATTTTGGAGCTTTAAGATTTGACTGCCATATTGAATCATGCATGGGGCCTGAAGCCCCTTCTTTTTGGTCAATTTCTCTTATTTGGAGTGGGCATATTTACCCAATGCCAGTACGGCCATTGTATCTAGAACATAACTAACTTGCTTTTGATTTTACAGGCTCATAGGCAGAAAGGACTTGCCTTGTCTCAGCTAAGACTTTGGACTGTGGACTTTTGAGTTAATGCTGAAATGAATTAAGATTTGGGGGAATTGTAGGGAAGGCATGATTGGTGTTGAAATGTGAGGACATGAGATTTGGGAGGGGCCAGATATGGAATGATATGGTTTGGCTATGTCCCCACACAAATCTCAGCTTGAATTGTAACAATCTCCACATGACAAAGGTGGGGCCAGGTGGATATAATTGAATCATGGGGGCAGTTTCCCCTATACTGTTCTTGTGGTAGTGAATAAGTCTCACAAGATCTGATTGTTTTATAAATGGGCATTCCCCTGCACAAGTTCTCTCTTACCTGCTGCCATGTAAAATGTGCCTTTTGCCTTCTGCCATAATTGTGAGGCCTCCCTGACCATGTGGAACTGTGAGTCCATTAAACCTCTTTTTCTTTATAAATTACTCAGTCTCAGGTATGTCTTTATTAGCAGCGTGAAAACTGACTAATATACTCAACATCACTAATTATTAGGGAAATGCAAATCAGAACCACAATGAGATACCACCTTACTCCTGCAAGAATGGTCATAATCAAAATATCAAAAAAAACCCATAAATGTTGGCATGGATGTGGTGAAAAGGGAACAATTTTACACTGTTGGTGGGAATGTAAACTAGTGTAACCACTATGGAAAACAATGTGGATATTCTTTAAAGAACTAAAAGTAGATCTACCATTTAATCCAGCAATCCTACTACTGGGTATCTATGCAGAGGAAAATAAGTCATTGTACAAAAAAGATACTTGCACACACATGTTTATAGCAGCACAATTCACAATTACAAAAATGTGGAGCCAGCCCAAACACCCATCAACCAACAAGTGGATAAAGAGAATGTGGTGTATATATATATACCATGGAATACTACTCAACCATAAAAAGGAATTAAATAATGGCATATGCAGCAATCTGGATAGAATTACAGACCATTAATCTAAGTGAATTAACTCAGGAATGGGAAACCAAACATCATATATTCTCACTCATAAGTGGAAGCTAAGCTATGAGGACGCAAAGGCATAAGAATGATACAATGAACTTTGGGGACTTGGAGGAAAGGGTGGGAGGGTGTTGAGGGATAAAATACTACACATCAGGTACAGTGTACACTGTTCAGGTGATGGGTGCACCTAAATCTAAGAAATCATCACTAAAGAACTTATTCATGTAACCAAACACCTATTGAAAATTAAAAAAAAATTAGGTGTGTGGCACTTCCCCCTTCCCTCTCAGTCCTGCTCCTGCCACGTAAGATGCCTGCTTCTGCTTTGCCTTCTGCTATGAGAAAAAGCTTCCTGAGGCCTCCACAGAAGCAGATACTGTCATGCTTCCTCTATAGCCTGTGGAACCATGAGCCAATCAAGCCTCTTTTCTTTATAAATTACCCAGTCTCGGTTATTTCTTTATAGTAGTGTGAGAATGGACTAATACACTTTTGGTTTCTAGTTTAGTGAGAATTTTATCAGAAATGGGTGTTGAATTTTGTTAAATGCTTTCTCTATACCTATTCAGATTATAATATGGGTGTTTTCTTAGTTTGTTAATGATGGTTAACTATTACTGATTGAGTTTTAAAATATTAAATCAATTTTGCCTTTTTGGGATAAACCTGATTTTGTCATTGTGTATGTCTTTTTTTTTTGCGTGTTGTTGAGTTTGATTTGCTAAAAATTTTGTTAGAATTTTTACATCGCTGTGCATGAGGTATACTGTTTTACACTTTTCTTATAATGTCTTTGTCTGATTGTGGTATCAGGGTAATTGTGGCCTCACTGAACAATTTGGGAAATATCCTCTTCTTTCCAATATTCTGGAAGAGTTTGTGTAGAATTAGTATTATTTATGCCTTAAATATGTGATCGAATTCACTCGGGAAGCCACCTGGGCCTAGGATTTTCTTTGCGGAAGGTTTTTAACTACAGATTCAAATGTATTAATAGATATAGGACTATTCTCCTTATCTATTCCTTCCTGGGTGAGCTTCGGCAATTTGTGTTATTCCAGGAATTTTTTCCATTTTATCTGTTGCCAATTTTATTGGCTTAAGGTATTCATTATATTCCCTTATTATCCATTTCACTATCTGAATCATCTATAGGGATAAAACTTCTCTCATTTCTGATGTTGGTAATTCGTATCTGCTCTCTATTTTTTCTAGTAAGTCCAGCTAGAGATTTATCAATTTCGTGGATCTTCTCAAAGAATAGGCTTTTGGTTTCATTGATTTTCTCTATTATTTTATTGATTTCCACTCTGATCTTCATTATTTTATTTCTTCTACTTATTTTGGACTTAATTTTTTATTCTTTTCTGGTTTCTTGAGGTGGAAGCTGAGGCCATTGATTTCAGACCTTTCTTTTTTTCTTTGTTGGCTTATTAGCTAACAACTCTTTGTTGTTTAATTTTATTGATTGCTTTAGAGTTTACCGAGTATGTCTTTTTCTTATCATAGTATATCTTCAGGTGACAGTGTACCACTTCACCTACAGTATAGTTCAGGGAGGTTTCAAGTCCACCTTGTCTTTTGCTTTCTGCTGGGCCCTCTTGAGTCTCCCTGTAAATGCCCATAGTTTCCCAGTCAGCTTTTGATATGCAGAGAGTATACTCGACCTTCTATAGTTCTCTCATTTTCAGTATATCCTCCTATCAAATTTTTGGCTTGCTCACTGCATGCCCCAAGCAAAACCCCAACCTAGCAGTGCTGTGGATTTTAGCATTCATTTCCTACCAAGTTTGTTACTTTTATGGAAGACACCACTCCAAATCAAGTCATCCTCTGGTAATGTCTTAGTTGAATGAGCTAAACTTTTTAAAGAAAATGATATAAACCTATACTTAATAAAGATGATGAAATCAAGTATGTTAATAGATGAAGAGAACAAATGGGCATAAAAAAGATGTTAAGGAAACACATTCAGACAGAATAAGATAGACATATGTCTAGAATGACAGACTTTCATGATAGTAACTTCACTTTGGATTACTTTAAAGATATTGCCAAGCTGAAGTATATTTGTAACCCTATGCAGATATATGCTGTTTTGATATTTATGACATAAAAGATGAGATGAATATGATGAATGACATAAAATGAATTAAGTTGGGATCTGCACAGATGCGGCTCATGGTTCAGTGAGTTCTTACCACTACTGTAACTGGTGGCCACTAATGTCAGGGAAAAATTGTTATGGATATTTATTTTCTGCAGAGATGGTAGAATTCACAAAAGCATTCTATTTACCAATCATGGCCAGAGCCCGCAAGTCAGCTGCTTCTGTTTTTAGCCAGGTATAAAAATAAATTGGGAAAGTGCCTTAATTCAAGTTTCAGCAAATTCCATGTAAGTACTGATAAAAATTTAAATCATGAGCTATTCCAAGTTTATTTTCAATATAGAAATAATTCTTCCTAAGAACTCTCTGGGGGAATTTGGGCTCTTAGAGAACAAAGAAACAAGATATACTCATGTGTATTCTACTTGGTGCCTAAGACGTGAGGCCTCTTTTTGTCCCATCCAGCCAGCACCACATAAAAGCAGGAACCAAAGACCTCATAGTATTCAGTCTTCATCTTGAACCACATTCCATAATCCATCTCTCACCACACACCCCAGCCAGCTTCCCTTTATTCTGTACTTGCCCTCAGTTGATGTTGCCTTTGACCACCCAAAGTTAAAGCCTCATCTAGTCTGGTCTCGCCCTTGGAAGCCTAAAATTCAACATAGGGCTTTCAACTGGCATCCTTTCCAGGTTTCACTAAACCCTGTCAGTTGGACAATCAATCCTGGAAGGGATTTAAAAGTTGAGAGGAAAGTAAGATTTTGTTAGAGGAATGCTGTTGTCCTTATATATTAACAATATTAGCAACCTCCCAACCTTAGCCCTCTATTAGAGTACCCATCTGCAGCCACCATTTAACATCCCTCCAACCAAGCAGAATAACTTATTTGCTTTTATTTGTGCCTCTAGATCTGTTGACAAATGTTCACCACTGAGGTAGAGAGGGTATTAGGATCCACAGGAAGCCACATGTCAGAGTCACATTGCTCACATCAGCCCTTATTGTGTCTTGGTTTATCTTTTGTCACCTACTAAAGAGCATGGCAAGAAAAGGGTCATGGAGAGGCAGCATTCTGGAGTCAAGCTGACCTGGGTTCAAATCTTGATTCTGTCACTCCTCAGATATGAGACGTCAGGCAAATGCCTTAAATGCTCTGAACTCCAATTTCCTAAATATGTCCTTAATAAATAGTGGCTAAAATAGCATCCAGACTTCTGACTCTCGGCCCAGCCTTATCAATGAAGAGCTCTGTTGTCACTCTCTATCATCCAGGTGCCAACACCGTCTTAAATATCCAATCACTGTGGGTCTCTGAGGGAACCTGCACATATTACTCCTGGCTTGCTTTGACCTCCTGAGCTGGAACATCCCCTAAATTCCTGGATTTCTGTGTATGGTACTCTTCTTTTGGTTCTCACATCATTGACTCACTCTGTTCTGGCTGTTCGTCTCATCTGGGAGCCCTATAATACTGTGTCCGGAATTGGTGGGTTCTTGGTCTCACTGACTTCAAGAATGAAGCCGCGGATCCTCGTGGTGAGTGTTACAGTTCTTAAAGGTGGCATGTCCGGAGTTTGTTCCTTCTGATGTTTGGATGTGTTCGGAGTTTCTTCCTTCTGGTGGGGTTTGTGGTCTCGCTGGCTCAGGAGTGAAGCTGCTCAGGAGTGAAGCTGCGGACCTTCGCGGTGAGTGTTACAGCTCTTAAGGAGGCACATCTGGAGTTGTTCATTCCTCCCAGTGGGTTCGTGATCTCGCTGGCTTCAGGAGTGAAGCTGCAGACCTTTGCGGTGAGTGTTACAGCTCATAAAGGCAGTGTGGACCCAAAGAGTGAGCAGCAGCAAGATTTATTGCAAAGAACAAAGCTTCCACAGTGTGGAAGGAGACCCGAGTGGGTTGCCACTGCTGGCTGGGGCAGCCTGCTTTTATTCTCTTATCTGGCCCCACCCACATTCTGCTGATTGGTCCGTTTTACAGAGAGCCGATTGGTCTGTTTTACAGAGAGCTGATTGGTCCGTTTTGACAGGGTGCTGATTGGTGCATTTACAAACCTTGAGCTAGATACAGAGTGCCGATTGGTGTATTTACAATCCCTTAGCTAGACATAAAGGTTCTCCAAGTCCCCACCAGAGTAGCTAGATACAGAGTGTCGATTGGTGCATTCACAAACCCTGAGCTAGACACAGGGTGCTGATTGGTGTGTTTACAAACCTTGAGCTAGATACAGAGTGCTGATTGGTGTATTTACAATCCCTTAGCTAGACATAAAGGTTCTCCAAGTCCCCACCAGACTCAGGAGCCCAGCTGGCTTCACCCAGTGGATCCTGCACCATGGCCGCAGGTGGAGCTGCCTGCCAGTCCTGTGCTGTGCACCCGCACTCCTCAGCCCTTGGGTGGTTGATGGGACTGGGCGCCATGGAGCAGGGGGCGGAGCTCATCGGGGAGGCTCGGGCCGTGCAGGAGCCCACAGCGGTGGGGAGGCTCAGGCATAGCATGGTGGGCTGCAGGTCCCGAGCCCTGCCCCAGGGGGAGGCAGCTAAGCCCCGGCGAGAAATCAAGCACAGCAGCTGCTGGCCCAGGTGCTAAGCCCCTCACTGCCTGGGGCAGGCAGGGCCAGCTGAGTGCAGGCCCGCTGAGCCCACACCCACCTGGAACTGGCGCTGGCCTGCAAGTGCTGCAGGCAGCCCCGGTTCCCGCATGGGCATCTCCCTCCACACCTCCCCACAGGCTGAGGGAGCCAGCTCCGGCCTTGGCCAGCCCAGGAAGGGGCTCCCACGGTGCAGCGGTGGGCTGAAGGGCTCTCCAAGTGCCACCAAAGTGGGAGCCCAGGCAGAGGAGGCGCAGAGAGCAAGCGAGGGCTGCGAGGGCTGCCAGCACGCTGTCACCTCTCAATACTGTCAAGGAAAGGGGCTCAGCATCATCTGTCACCATCAGGGGACTTCTACTTTAGGGAAAGGAGCTGTTATTGCCCCAGATTTAGCCCCCTTCTGGTGATCAACTCTGAGTACCAAATAATCTTGAGCCCACCTTGCTCTTTGCCCAAAAATAGTTTAGTACTTGGCCTTTATGGAAGACCACAATTTCCGTGCTTCAACAAAATCCCAGGAAAGCCCTCTGAAATACCTCCAAAGAAAGGACAGGCTACCCACTGAATCCTCTTTTACCTGATGGCTTGGGTGCCTGGGCCTATGAGAAGGTGGAAGAAGTGGTCTGCCTATACTGTCTGGCTGTCTGTTAGTCTAACTCATCTCTGGTGGTCTCATTTTAGAGGTTGAGTGGTGTTCAATTGCTTTAGCCCCTCACTTTTCATAATATGGTAATATTGATAATAAAATGAACCTATCCAGCTAGGTGCAGTCATACTTCTTGCCTTGAACTTACAAAGCCTCACCCATATTTCCATACTCTTTCCAGATAAGACTCCTCTTCATTTTCTATTCTTGCCTGGAGTTAGACTGTATTTCTCATGCCCTAACTAGACTTGTTCCCTGGTTGTCAGTACTTTTCCTGACACATCCCACCCCTGTTTGGCCCCTCATTTTCTTTAGTTTACTATTATTTCTCCTCTTCATTATTCTCCTACCTTATTTGATCTTCCTAGTCCCAGTAAGCAGAGCAACTAGAGGGCCCAACAGAGTACCCTCATGTTTTGGAAGTGTGGATAGTGACTGACGGTGAACCTACAGGCCACCTGCTCATGGCACCTGCTTTGTAATTCAAAGGTGAAGTCTGTGCTTTGATACACAAAAGTGCTGCCTTGGTTTTATCACTAACTCCCCTTTAACTTCTGGCCCATATCCAAAAAGGTTCTTTCTCTCCATCCCCCAAATCCATCCTGCCCAGTCCTGCTTTATGTAGCAATTTTCCTACAAGCAATGCTTCTGAATATGCTTTTTGTGCAACATTGTTTCAGACTATAGGAAGCCAGCCTAAGCAGTGTTAATGCATCCTGATGTTTTCCAGCCAAACATCTAATTGAGTTGATTTCTATGACATTTCAAAGCCACCCACTCAACTTCAAATTTTTAAAAACTTGGAATTGCACGTCTCTTTTCTGTTGCCACCTAAACAAAACTCAGCACACACCACATTTTTCTTTGGAGAAAACAATAACCCTCTGAGAATAAGGAAATGAAGCTTCTCCCTCCCATGAAGACCCAAGTAAAACAGAAGAATTATGGCTGTTAGAATATAATATATAAAATCATTGAGACATGCAAGCACCATACTTCTCTATATATAAGATTTAAGTCATTTCCAGTTAAGGTGAAAGTTCTACCTGGACTTGAACAGAGGCTGAAGATCTGCTCAACTTTTCCTACTCACTGCTAAATTCCCAGCACATGTCAAACAAACTCTGATTAAACAGAGTTCCCAATACGGCACATGTGAAATGAAGGGTATTTGCAGTGGGACAAATTGCTGGATCACTGAGATCAAGCACTGAGCCAAAGTGCTTATTACCAAGCACACGTGGTAATAAGCAAAAGAATGGGAGCAGTATTTGAAATCTTATGTCAAAAAGTACAAAAAGAACTATCCAAAATATAACTAGGGTTCTAGCTGCTCTATTATCAACCAAGTGCAAGGGAAAATAGAGAGCAGGGTAGATATATTATGCACTTACTGTGAAAAGAAAGCAGGCAGAATTAGCAAGGCTTAACATCTTATCTAGTTACTGTGAATTTTCAGTTAAAGCTTTCAAAAATTAATATAGATGAAAGCCTTCTTTGCCCATTGTATCAGGGGTACTATCCCTGATATCTGGGCCTGAAATCTGACTCCAAGATGTTTTATCTGTGTTATCTTTGGCAAATTACTTAATCTCTTTGGTCTCTGTTTCTTCATTTGTAGAAAGGGAATAATAATGATAACCAATTTTAACATTGTTGTAGGGATTAAATGAGATATCGTATTGGAAGAGCTTAGCATAGTGCCCATTATAAAGTTCAATGACTGCTATGATTATGATTACGAGTATGATTTTTACAATGCAAATGTTAGTTTTGATGGCTTTTCAAATGTGGCCTTGGCCAGAGAATCATCACGAACAGTTAGGATCAGCAGAGGGAGTCAGTTTCCCCGTGAGTGGGCATTGGGAGGACCAGGTTAGATGAGGGGATGATATTTATAAAAGTGGGTGAAGTCCTGTGAATTTTATGGGCTTATTGCCTTTTCTGTGGGCCTGGACAGTTTTCAATCCCTTTTGCAAATTGTGGTGGTAAAAGTAGCTAGCTGCCAACTCCCTCTGGCCCTCACCACCTTTATTATGATTGAAGCAGGCCAGGTGTGGTGGGTCACGCTTGTAATCCCAGTGCTTTGGGAGGCCAAGGCAGGATCACTTGAAGCCAGGAGTTTGAGCTCTGCATGGGGAACAAAGCAAGATCCTGTCTCTACAAAACATTTGAAAATTAGCCAGGCATGGTGACTCATGCCTGTAGTCCTAGCTACTTTGGAGGCTGAGGCAGGAAGATCACTTGAGCCTGGGAGTTGGAGGCTGCAGTGAACTGTAATTGTGCCACTGCACTCTGGTCTGGGTAGAGACCTTGTTTCATAAAAAAAAAAAAAAAAAAAATCATGATCAAGGCAAAGGTCTGAATCTTGATAGGAACATTGCTTTATCAGACTGCAGAGTCCTGCCCACAAAGCTAAGGCACATTTTATTTTACGGAGTCCTGCTCACAAAGCTAAGGCACATTTTATTTTACAGAGGCCTTATTTTTGTCAAATGTTTTCCAGCCTTGAGATATGGAGGCTGATGTATTTGTTGACTCCTTTCTTGAAGGAAAATAGGAAAATGGAAATTCAGCCTCCATGCCTCTTCACAGCCTCCACCTCTAGGGATGATGCCCCTCTCATGAGCAGAAGAGACCTTCATCTACTTCAGGAGTCTCAAACTCAAATGACTATAGTGGCACAGGAATAAGTGAAATAAGCCAGGAGATTGGTAAGCCTCGCGATGATGTAAGAGCTTGACCCTCTTTAGAGGGAAGCTCTGGCCAGTCGCTTTCATTGAAAAATATAGATCCTGTGGTGTTATATAATCCAATTTGCGGAGAAAACCTACAAATCTAGATTTTTAGATTGAATCTCCTAATTTCTAACTGCTGGCAAATATTCAAGTTTTTAAAAACACCACATGAGCCCAAGGAACAAATATTTCTATTTGTCAGACATGGACCAAGGATTGCCAAATCGTGACACTTCTCTACGTGGTACAATTTCAGGTTCCTGGGGAGGTTCCTTCTGACCCCAAACATGTCCCCTACCTTCTGCTACTCCTCTAGAAGTTTAGCAATCTTTCCGATGTCTAAGGCCTCTCCTTCAAGACACAAAATCCCCCTTGTGGGGAGCATATTGAGCACTCATCACTCATTCGCTGCTTAGACTATGTTAGTTCACCACATCCACTTGGGGAATGCAGGAAAGGCGAAGTTGTAGAGGTGGGTGGGAGTTGGGAGTCCAGTGGTATGAACACCCAGAATTCTTTCCTCTGATACTCACTAGCTATTGTAACCACAAGGAAATCACTTATTTGGCATTCACTTTAATTGTGAAAAGGGGCTATATAATTACTACTTCATGGAATTGTGGCAATAATCTAGTGGAATAACATATAATGAATGCCCAGCATCATGTAGACTGCCCTTAATATAAGTTTAATCTGGGCAAGAAGAAGGAATGATGTTCTGGTGCTCCAGGGAAGTTGTAAAGTTGGGGTGTGGTCACAGAGGACCTCTTAGAAGAGGGGTGAAAAGGGTGGGAAGGCAGGAGGGAGCTGTGAGCAGTCAGTGTATCATTCTCTGGCTAGCAGCCCAGCTAGTACAAGGAGATAATGTACTAAGGGAGAAACAGTCACTACAATAATAAGCCACGAATGCAGCCTGTTATACTGACCTGCATTCGAAGCTTACACAAGTCTAACTCATCCTTCCAACATTTTTGGCCACTATAGACTCTCGATACTGTTTCTTTGACTTCTTTACTCAAATCAATATTCCATACCTATATTTCTTACTTGTGTAACACATAAGTGAATTGTAAGCCAAATCCTTTGCTTTATGGAAAAAAATAAAAACAACAAAACCTCTTAATGTTTTATGCTGCACATAACTCAGGAGACATCAAAGAGAAGAAATTTTGATCAGAATGAAACCATGTTGGGATGTATATGGCCAGGACAGGATTGTAGAGTTGGGGAAGGGATGGGAGATGGACACAAAGCTCCATCAATAAGACAAAGGAAAATGACAAGTGAACTGCGTGTTATAAAATCACACAACTGCAGGTTGACTTTGTAAAAATGCCCTCATGCCTATAACGAAGATATCACAAAAAGGCACAAGAAATCATGGGCCATGTACCAAAAACACATTTCCAGATCTTAGTTTCTATCCCGTGCCATTGTTTAGCTTATTCCAGCAACAGGAGCCTGCAGACTTGTCTGTTTTAATAGTTCACAAAGAAGGAGACTGGATGTTATCCAGGAGGCAGACCACAGGGAGACATGGTTCCCAGTTGAGTACTGAAATTCCCACCCGCGCCCCCATAAAAACACACACAAATGTGACTGTGCATGTGTATACATATTTATGCGTAGAGCCAAAGTGCTTTGAATTTGTATTACTATAGCTGACAAATCAAAGATGGGCCAAATCTCCACACTCTGTGTGTTTTATGTGGTTGGTCTCTTGTCTGAGGCAAAAGATCAGGCAGGATGTTAACCAGGGGTCCAGATGTGGCTTTTCAGAAAAACACATTCCTTAGCTTGGCTTCTGTATGTCTTAGTTGCCAAGATCCACTCTTCTGTGTTCAACCCAGCCTCACTGCACCAACCCCTCCCCTGCCTCATCTCAAATGGCCACCACAGTGGCTGGCTTTTATGCTGGAGCAGAAAAAATGAAAGCCTTGAGAATATGTACTCTGCTCCACAGGTAACTGGAGAAGACATGTCAAATGCAATCCACATCTATATGTCAATTTCTCTCCATATGTAAGTTATTTTTGCAGAAAATATTGTCTAAAGAACTCTCATCACTGCATTTGTGCAAACATGGCCATAATTCCTGAGGTTTGGATCTCTGATACAACAGGTGTTGTATTCAGTTTGATTGTCTACAATCTCAGATGATAAAACTGGCCACACTATTAAGGGTCTACCTTAATTTTATTAAATTCAAGTAATGCTTTGTTTGGAAATTTCAAAATTGAAAACAAATACAGGCTGACCCTTTAAGAAACCTGATTCAATCTGTCACAAAGCCCAGAAATCTGTATTTTATAACAAGCGAATTGGGTGTTTCTGACGCAAAGAGTTCCCTGAGCTTACTTTGGGAAACACAGCTCTGTTCCTTTATATCAGCAGTTCTCAAATATTTGGAGCCCAGAATTTTTTTGCACATTCAAAAATTATTGAGGATCCTAACAAGCTTTGGTTAATGTAGGTTATATTTATTGATACTTGCCATATTAAAATTAAATTTGAAAAATATTAATCTATAAATTAATTTTGAAATAATAATAAACTTATTATAAGTTAAATATTTTATGAAAAATTGCTATTTTTTTCTGAAGCAAAAGAATTAGTGAGAAGAATAACATTATTTTACATTTTCAAATATCTTTACTGTCTGGATTAATAAAAGACAGCTGGGGCCAGGTGCAGTGACTCATGCCTGTAATCTCAGCACTTTGGGAGGCCGAGGTGGGCAGATCACAAGGTCAGGAGTTTGAAACTAGCCTGGCCAACATAGTGAAACCACGTCTCTACTAAAAATACAAAAATTAGCTGGGCATGGTGGTGCGTGCCTGTAGTCCCAGCTACTCAGGAGGCTGAAGCAGGAGAATCGCATGAACTTGGGAGTCAGAGGTTGTGATGAGCCGAGAGCGCGCCACTGCACTCCAGCCTGGGCAACAGAGTGAGACTCCATCTCAAAAAATAAATAAATAAAAATAGAAGACACCTGGATTCTCATATCTGCCTCTAAATTCTAGCTGTTGCAATATGTTGTCTTGATCAAAGTATATATGTAAAAAATATCCAGCTTACACAAACGTGTAGTTGGATAAAGGAGGGGGTATTTTAGTAGCCTTTTTAGATAATTGTGAATATTCTTTGAAACTATACCAAAATGCGAGTGGTAGCTGCATAAAGGTTACTTGCAACATAGATCTGAGACCATATCAATGAGCATTTCATCATCTGTTACATTAAAATTCATTGTTCTATTTTGTACTTGAAATATGTATTTTTTTACTCACGAATGATTTTATAAAACTATGAATTGGTCATGTGGAAAATATTGGTTCACCAAGTTATGCAGATATCTCAAATGTTGACATTTTATTATATACATTTTTGAATCATATTTGTTAATATAAACAACAATCTCATCAGAAAATGTCTTTACATATTGGGAAGCTGACAAGCTCATGGGGGCAGATATAAGCTTTCCAAAATTCCAATTTTTTTCTTGAAAGCTGGAATTTTATCTTTGGCAACGCATATTGCCAGTTGTTTTCCTTGAAATAACAAGCTCACTTTGTTCATTTTCAAGAAAATATCTGCCAAATACCCAAGTCTGAACAACCATGATTTATCTATCAGTCATTCATTCAAGTGAAAATGGTTGTCCATGAAAAAACTCAATTGCACATGTACTTTTCCTTGAGACAACAATTGAGCTTGAGTACATAGTAGAAGTGCCTTATGCATACTTTCCACTTTGCCATACAGAATATTAAAATAAAATAAAGTAAAATAAAATAAGAATGTGTAGGCTCAGAGTTTTCTTGCATTAATTCAAGCTCATGTTTGAGAATCCTGAAGCACTGGTCGCTCCTGATACCTCTGGTCAGATGAAAGTCCAATGTCTACTGGGGATTAGGACTATAGCATATGAATTTGGTGGGAAAGGACACAATTCACTCCACAATAGAAGCATTCTATGATTTGCTGTCTAGGGATAAATTATAAAAATTCACCTCAAAAGAAATTGTCTAGGTTATACGTGGCTCACCCCATTTTAGAAGAAACTATCAAAATCTGGAGAAACACTGTCAACAACAACAGAAAATACACACCGATAAAGAACACCTTCTCACAACAGTGGCCAAATTCAGTAGGGACTCAAGTCTAATTTGGTGGGCCTTATGTTAATTAACTTGGTTTAATTATTCTGCAATGTATACAAATATTGAAACATCACATTGGGAGGGCAGACAAGATGCTGACTAGAGGCAGCCAGGAAGATCATCCCCAACAAAGAGCCTGGGACATTGGGAACACTGGCACACTCCAAGCAGATCTTCAGAAGGAAGGCATCAAAAGTGGATGGAGGGAGAACTCAGTTGCTGGGCTGAAGCAGGAGGAAGCTAGGAACCCTGCATGGTGCTATGAAGCACCGGGATTTGTTCCTGGCCCACAGTGACTCCTGGGGAAGGGGTGAGTTGAACAAGTGAGCAGTGGCCCACTCTTGTCACAAACCTCTGGAATCCTGGCAGCAGGAGACCCCACAACCCCCATGGACACTTGAGCTGGCAGCAAAAGCTCCTTAAAGAGGTGATAGGGGCAGGATTCTAGCCTGTTCAGAGCCCAGAGAGTTTAGTGCTGGAATGTCTGTGATGGAGCATGGCCAGAGATACCCCTCCCCCAAGGCTTGCCACACTCCTTCCGGAGACTTTATGCTTAGGGTGATTGTCAGATCTGGACAGAGCAGGGTGGTCTTGCCCATGCAATGGGGCCAGTCCAATCTAAGTGCCTCCTGTCTTCGGACCTCTGCCAGGGCCCCAGCCTGGCCATGCCTGCTTGCAGTGCAGCAGATGCCCAACCAGGATGCTTCTGGGGGGCCATCATCATAGCTTCTTTGCTGGCAAACCACACCTGACCATCAGAGAACCCCAGAAGATATCCAACTCCATTGATGTCCACCACTCCACACACCGTAGCCTCCCCCAACCACTGTGCTGGCCAATAAGTGTCCCCCAACTGCTTTGCCAGCATGCAGAGGCAGGTGGCCCTCACCTGCCCTCCCTTGTGAGCGTGCGTGTGCATACACACCCCACCACACCACTGCTGCCAGCGTGAGTGAACCCACTGCCTGTCACACCTTGCTGCTGATGCACAAACACCTGCCTGCATCATCATCATTGGCGCAAACACATGCATAGATACTGGCAACCATGCCCCACCATGCCACTGCCAGTGCAAACACCCAGGGATGCTGGCATTGCCACCCCCCGCATGTTGCCACTGCCATGGCCAGTGCAAATGTGTGCATAGATGCCAGTGGTCCCACTGCCCACCAACACACCACCACCACCACTGCTACCATGGGTTTGAGCATGCAGAGGAATGCAGAAGCCCCACTCCCACTAGTACGCTGCCCCAACTGATGCACATGCATCCTGCTGTGCTGCCACAACTGCTGGCACTCATGAGCCACTACCCTTATGAAGCACTTTGGCTGGTACCACTCATTGAATCGTTGTGGCCAGTGGACCAGGAATACCTCAGCCCCTCCACAGGTTCCTAACTTCTAGGAGCTAGAGAACAAAGCTAGGGGTCCAGTACTAGGCCCCCAGAATTACAGTATGCAGCCCAGGAGTACTGAGCTGAGCATTGTCCCCCTAAAATCTTCCAGAAATGAAGCCAGTTGACTAACCCACGTTTTACCATAATTAAACCCTCAAGGGCATGAAAGATGTGGTATAAGGTGGGTTTTATCAAAGATGAAAGCAAAAAAAAAAAAAAAACTATCTTAAGGACAGCAACTTCAAAGACTGAAGGAACATTAGACCCCACAGATGAAAAAGAAGCAGTGCAAGAACATTGGCAACTCAAAAAGCCAGAGTGTCTTACCTCTGAATGACCACACTAGTTCCCCAGCAATTGTTCTTAACCAGGCTGAAATGACTGAAATGACAGAAGTAAAATTCAGAACATGGATAGGAATGAAGGTCATCGAGATTCAGGAGAAAGTTGAAACCCAATCCAAGGAATCTAAGGAATACAATAAAACAATATAGGAAATAAAAGACCAAGTAGCCATTTTAGGAAAGAACCAAACTGATCTAACAGAGCTGAAAAACACATCTCAAGAATTTCACTATACAATTGCAAGTATTAAGAGCAGCATTGACCAAGCTGATAAAAGAATCTCAGAACTTGAAAACCAGTTCCCTGAAATAACTCAGTCAGGAAAAATTAAAAAAAAAAAAGAAGATTGCACAACCACAGAGAAATATGGGATTATGTAAAGAGAACAAATCTACAACTCATTGGTGTCCCTGAAAGAGAGGGAGAGAAAGCAAGCAACTTGGAAAACATATGAGGATTTATTCAGCATTCTTAAAGAAAAGAAATTCCAACCAAGTTCTTATTCAGCCAAACTAAGCTTCATAAGCAAAGAAATAACATACTTTTCAGACAAGCAAATGTAAGAGAATTCATTACCATTAGGTCCTGAAGGGAGTTCTAATGTGGTCCTTACAAGAGGTCCTGAAGGGAGTTCTAAATATGAAAAGGAAAGACTGTTTCTGGCCACCACAAAAACACACTTAAGTACTTATACCACTGACACTATAAAACAACCAAACAATAAATTCTGCATAATAACCAGCTAACAACACAATTACAGGATCAAATAAGCACATGCAATATTAACCATGAATGTGAACATGCTAAATGCACCAGTTAGAAGACACAGACTAGTAAGTTGGATAAAGAAGCAAGACCCAACTCTATGTTGTCTTCAAGAGACCCATCTCACATGCAGTGTCACCCACAGGATCAAAGTAAAGGGATAGAGAAAAATCTACCAAGCAACTGGAAAATAGAAAAAAAGCAGAGGTCGCTATTCTAATTTCAGACAAAACAGACTTCAAACCAACAATGATCAAAAAAAGACAAGGAAGGGCATTACATAATGGTAAAAGTTTCAATTCAATAAGAATACCTAATAATTCTAAATATATATGCACTGAACAAAAAAGCACCCAGGTTCATAAAACAAGCTTTTAGAGACCTATGAATATACTTAGATAACCACACAATAACAGTAGGAGAGTTCAACATCACATTGACAGTATTAGACAGATCACTGAGGCAGAAAACTAACAAAGTTATACACTACCGGAACTTGATATTTGACCAAATGGATGTAACAGACACCTACAGACCTCCCCACTGTGAAATAACAGAATATACATTCTTCTCTTCTGCACATGGCAGGCACTCTAAAAGTGACCACAGAATCGGCCATAAAACAATCCTCAGCAAATTCAAAAACACCAAAATCATACTAAACACATTTTCAGACCACAGCACAGTATAAATAGAAATTGGTACTTTAAAAATTGCTAAAAACCATACAATTATATGGAAATTAAACAACCTGATCCTAAATGACTTTTGGGTAAACAATGAAATTAACACAGAAATCAAGACATTCTTTGAAACAAATGAGAACAAAGATACAACATACCAGAATATCTGTGATGCAGCTAAAGCAGTGCTAAGAGGGAAGTTTATAGCGTTAAACACCCACATCAAAAAGTTAGAAAGCTCTCAAAATAACATGCTAAGGTCACACCTACAGGAACTAGAGAAACAAGAGTAAACCAACCCCAAAGCTAGCAGAACACAAGAAATAGCCAAATCAAAGCTGAACTTAAGGAAATTGACACACGAAACACTATACAAAAAAAAAAAAATCAGCGAATCCAGGAGTTGTTCTTTTTTAAAAATAATAATAATAAAAAGATAGATGGATCACAAGCTAGATTAATGGAGAAAAAAAAGAGAAGATCCAAATAAACTCAATCAGAAATGACAAAGGGGGCATTACCACCAACCACACAGAAATACACACACAAAGAAACCCCTCAGAGATGACTATGAACATCTCTATACACACAATCTAGGAAACCTAAAAGACATGGACAAACTCCTGGACACATACGCCTTCCCAAACTTGAGCCGGAAAGAAATTGAATATCTAAACAGATCAAAATCAGTTGCAAAATAGAATCAGTAATAAAAAGCCTACCAGTCAGAAAAAGCTCAGGACCAGAAGGATTTACAATCAAATTCTACCAGATTTATGAGGAAGAGCTGGTACATTCCTACTGACACTATTCCATAAAATTGAGGAGGAGGGAATCCTCCCTAACTCATTCTAAGAGGCCAGCTTCATTCTAATACCAAAACCTGGCAGACGCACACACACGCAACAAAACAAAACACTAAACAAACAAACAAAAAACCTTCAGGCCAATATCCTTGCACATAGATGTAAAAATCCTCAACAAAATACTGGCAAACTGAATCCAGCAGCACATCAAAAAGCTAATCCACCACAATCAAGTAGGCTTCATCCCTGGGATGCAAGGTTGGTTTAACATATGCAAATCAATAAATGTGATTTATCACATAAACAGAACTAAAAACTAAAACCACATAATCATCTCAATAGATGCAGAAAAGGCCTTTGATAAAATTCAACATCCCTTCATGTTAAAAACACACAACAAAATAGGCATCAAAGGAACATATCACAAAATAATAACAGCTGTCTGTGACAAACCCACAGCCAATATCATACTGAATGAGCAAAAGCTGGAAGCATTCCCCTTGAGGACCAGAACAAGACAAGAATGCTCACTCTCACCACTGCTATTTAATATAATGCTGAAACTCCTAGCTAGAGCAATCAGGTAAGAGGAAGAAATAAAAGGCATCCATGTAGAAAGAGAGGATATGAAATTATCTCTGTATGCAGCTAATATGATTCTATACCTAGAACACCCCACAGTCTCTGCCCAAAAGCTCCTAGATCTGATAACAACTTAGGCAAAGTTTCAGCATACAACAATCATGTACAAAATTGGTAGCATTTCTATACACCAACAACAGCCAAGCTGAGAGCCAGATCAAGAATGTAATCTCATTCACAATAGCCACAAAAAAAATAAAATACCTAGGAATATAGCTAACCAGAGAGGTGAAACATCTCTACAATAAGAATTACAAAACACTGCTGAAAGAGATCAAAGATGACACAAGCAAATGGCTAAACATTCCATGCTCATGGATAGGAAGAATCAATGTTGTAAAAAAATGGCCATACTGCCCGGAGCAACTTACAGATTCTATGCTATTCCTATTAAACTACCAATAATGTTTTTCAAGGAACTAGAAAAAACTATTTTAAAATTCATACGGAGCCAAAAAAGAGCCCAAATAGCCAAGGCAATCCTAAGCAAAAAGAACAAAGCTGAAGGCATCATGCTACTCAACTTCAAAATATAGTACAAGGCTACAGTAACCGTTACAGCATGGTGCTGGCACAAAAACAGGCACATAGACCAATGGAGCAGAATAGAGAGCCTAGACATAAGGCCACACATCCACAACCATCTGATCTTGAACAAAGTCAACAAAAACAATGAATGGGGAAAGGACTTCGTATTCCATAAATGGTGCTGGGATAACTGGCTAGCTATATGCAGAAGAATGAAACTGGACCCTTTCCTTGCACCATATTCAAAAATCAACTCAGGATAGATTAAATACTTAAATGTAAAGCCTAAAACTATGAAAATCCTGGAAGTAAATCCAGGAAATACCATTCTGGACAAAGGTCTAGGCAAAGATTTCATGAGAAGATGCCAAAAGCAATTGCAACAAAAAAGAAAATTGACAAATGTGATCTAATTAAACTAAAGAGCTTCTGTACAGCAAAATAAACTATAAACAGAATAAACAGACAACCCACAGAATGAGAGAAAATATTTGCAAACTATGCATTGACGAAGGTCTAATATCCAGTATCTATAAGGAACTTAAACATACTAACAAGCAAAAAACAACTCCATTAAAAAGTGGGCAAAAGGCCAAGCACAGTGGCTCATGCCTGTAATCCCAGCACTTTGGTAGGCCGCGGCGGGCAGATTACTTGAGGCAGGGAATAGGAGACCAGCCTGGGCAATACACTGAAAGCCCATCTCTACTAAAAATAGAAAAAAATTAGCCAGGTGTGGTGGTGTGTGCCTGTAATCCCAGCTACTCAGGAGGCTGAGGCAGGAAAATCGCTTGAACTCGTGAGGCAGAGGTTGCAGTGAGCCAAGATCATGCCACTGTACTCCAGCATGGGTGGCAGAGTGAGACTCTGTCTCAAAAAGAAAGCAATAAAAGACCAGAATAGTGGCTCATGACTATAATCCTAGCATTTGGGAAGCTGGGGCATAAGAATCACTTGAACCTGGGAGGCAGAGGTTGCAGTGAACCAAGATTGTGCCACTGCACTCCATGCACTCCAGCCTGGGCAACAGAGCGAGACTCTGTCTCAAGAAAAAAAAAAAAGGTGGGCAAAGCCCATGAACATACACTTCTCAAAAAAAGACATACATGCAGCCAACAATCATGTAAAAAAATGCTCAACACCACTAATCATTAGAGAAATGCAAATCAAAACTACCATGAGATAACATCTCACACTGTTCAGAATGGCCATTATCAAAAGTCAAAAAATATCAGATGTTGGTGAGGCTACAGAGAAAAGGGAATGCTTATACACTGCTGTTTGGAATGTAAGTTAGTTCAATCATTATAGAAAGCAGTTTAGTGATTTCTCAAGAACTTAAAAGAAAACTACCATTCAACCCAGTAATCCCATTATTGGGTATATACCCAAAGGAATATAAATTGTTCTAGCATAAAGGCACATGCATGTGTATGTTCACTGCAGCACTATTCACAATAGCAAAGACATGGAATCAATTTAAATGCCTATCAATGGTAGACTGGATAAAGAAAATGTAGTACCTATACACCATGGAATACTACATAGCCATAAAAAAGAATGAGATCATGTCCTTTTTAACAACATGGATGAAGCTGGAGGTCATTATCCTATGTCCACTAACACAGGAACAGAAAGCCAAATACCTCATGTTCTCACCGATAAGTGGGAACTAAATATTGAGTACACATGACCACAAAGAAGGGAACAATAGATACTGAAACTACCTGAGGGTGGAATGTGGGAGGAGGGTGAGAATTTAAAAACTACCTATCAGATACTATGCTTATTACCTGGGTGACAAAATAATCTGTACACCAAAACCTGAGACATGCAACTTACCTATATAACAAACATGCACATATACACCTGAACCTGAAATGAAAGTTTAAAAAGTTTTTTTACACATCACATTGTACCCTATAAATATATTCAATACAAATGGTGGGTCTAAGTTTGTTCCACTGTTTTCTACAAATTTTTCATTGTGTTTCATTGTGGATTTAAGAGATGAGCTAATAAATTGATTTAGGCTCTAATAAATGCAATAGATGTATAGGATGTGTATACACATTATAGTAGAAGTCAAAATCCTCCTTTTTTCTCTAGAAAGCAAGATGTATTCTCTATACTTACTCTTTGGAAGGGCAATTATTTGCTTTAGTAAAACTGTAGTTGGAGATGCAATGAAGCATAACAAAGCAATGATATTAATTATGATGGTGTTAGGTTATTGATTCAAGAAAACTTAAATATTGCCTCAATTCACCTGTCTCTCCTTTTGAGGAGCTCAGAAGAGAGAAACAAAGACATCTGCAAGTCAGGCCAAGTAAAACTTGAGATTACTAACAGGAATTTTGCTTCTAATCCCAAGTGTGAGGCTCCAATAACTTGGGCTGGGTCCCATGGCTGGCTCATTTACCCAAGCAAAGTTGACTTCAGTGGCCTAAAACCAAAGCATCCTAAAGGCCCATTTTGCCTCTCTTTCCTAAGTTCAAAAGTCACCGCTTTACTAGGACAAAAAGCCACCAATGTTCATAGCACATTATTCACAATAGCTAAAAGTGGAAATAATCCAAATATCCACCAGCAGATGCATGGATAAACAAAATGTGGCATATGTATATAATATCGCATAGCCTTAAAAAATAAGATTCTACAAATTCTACAATATGGATAAACCTTGAGGACATTATGCTAAGTGAATCAGCCAGACACAAAAGGACAAATATTATATGATTCCATCTACATGAGGTAGCTAGAGTAGTCAAATTTAGACATGGAAATATTTTGTAGAGAAGATCCTTTCATTCAGATACAAACATTTTGGGAAAATGAAAACACATTATGTAATGAAGTCAAGATATTGAATAAGTTGACAGTTCAATTTGGGTAACACGACCATAAATAAGACCACAATTGAATGTAATTTTTGTTGTTGTTGCCTGTTAGTTTATTTTTAGTCTTCCCATTTAGTTTCTACCTTTCTCTCCTGACTTTCTTCTGTTTCCATTTTTCCCACTCTAATTTTTCTCCTTCTTTTAATTCTGTTTTTCAATCATCTTACACCTTTTGCTGCTATTTCTTTGCCTTCTTACCTGCATTTGCTCCTGTCTACCTCAGTCTTCCCCTCCCTCTTTTCCCCCTAGACTTGGAATTCCTACCCCAGATGGGTTTTGTAGGAAGATCAAAGCCTCTATCTCTCCTTTTGCTTTCAGCCCTATTCCTCGGTAATAACAATGGTGTGGAGGGACTCAAGGTAGCCCAGGCATCTCAAACCTGGTAGTATAGACGGCCCCCAAAGAGAAAAAACTGATATAGCCTACTTTCAGTGACTAACAAGCTATTAATAGCTGGAGTAAAACAGGTTGACTCAGATAAATTGTTTCACATGACATTACAACTGCTATCCAGTGTGAGATTCTATAAGCACATTAGAGTATACTATCTTTGAGGGCAGAGACATCTCACTAACCTTGCATATAATTGACAAACAAATTATTTTTTAAATTCTTATTTTTAGAAACAGAGTCTTGCTCTGTTGCCCAGGCTGGAGTACAGTGACACAATCATGGCTCACTGGAGCCTAGAACTCCTGGAATCAAGTGGTCCTCCCACTTCAGTCTTCTGAGTGGCTGGGACTACAGGCACATGCCACCTCACTTGGCTAATTTTTAAATGTTTTTGTAGAGATCAGGTCCTTCTATGCTTCCCAGGCTAGTCTTGAGCTCCTGAGCTCGAGCAGTCCTCCACCTTGGCCTCCCAAAGTGCTGGGATTACAGGTGTGAACAACCACACCCAGCCCGAAAAACAAACAAAGTTTATTTTAATTAGTTACAGCTTATAATTTACATGGCTGATTTTAATTGGTTTAACTAACTCAATCACCTACAGTCACAGAGTAAGATAATTTCTGGATAGACAATAAGCTCTTACTATGCAGAACAGGGTGGAGTTCCAGACAACTGGCCCTGGAACCCCATCCCCTGAGTTTGGATCCTGGAACTATCCTTACTAGATATATGGCCATGTAAAAGCTACTTGAGTTCTAAAATATTTCCATTTTAAGTAATATCAGAGTCTTTATAAATATTCGGATGTACTTCTAATTATTGACACAATGAAATATATTGAAAGCAATGAAATATATTAAGGGCACATTCAATATTGGGTTGCTGTGAGGGTCATAGCATTGGGCAGTCTCAGAAGTCAGATGGAGGTCTTCTTCTAAGTTCCTGAGCTATGAGGGAGGATGAAGCAAGACTTTCATCACTGTGCAGTGTGAAGACAACACACCTAGTATTCAGAGTGTTGCGGTTACCTCCACACTGAGGGATCAGAGACAATCTTTGCATGGCATTTCAAGGACACTTTGTAGGAGGCCAAGGTCCAGGCATGTGATGCAAGGGAAAAAACATTCCATTTTTAGTGAATACATTGAAGTAAAGAAGTGGGTGTCATATACACAGAACACAGCATGCATGAAGAAAAGCCCTAGATAACAATGTAGGAAAGGCAGGTGGGTGCCAGGTTGCAGACAGCCTAAATAACAGGCTGGAGAACCACCCCTCTTCATGCCTGCATTTGGAACCATTAGTCTCCTTCCTTTTCTCCGTGTAGTGCAGAGTAATGTCCGCAGCCCTCTCTTGTCCCAAGAAACCACCCTTCCATTTCCCACTCTAATAGACGTCCCTCTGTCTATCCACTCAAACCCTTCCAACTTTGGGTAGTGGAGACCTGCCTTTTAGTCCATGGGCCAATGAGAACCAAGGTTGGCACTGATAGCTGGAATCTGTTTGTGCTGCCAGTCAGCTTTCCAGCAAGTCCAAGGGGAACTTATGGGGGCCCATGTCACCTCCAACTCCATCCTCCACCTCTATCCTCAGAGTCAGCCAACCTCCCTTGACCCCATAATGTGGTTGCCTGGCCTGTGTGATCTGACTTCTTCTGGTGTGTTTTTGAGTCTCTGGAACCAACTCTAAACCCCACCCAGTTGCTCACACTACCAGGGTCCCTTCCCCTTAAGAACAACATTCAGTCCTTCTCTCCCCACCTTCACTTCCATTGGATCTCTCCATTTCTTAGATATCATCACTAGTTGTTCCAGTTATACACTACTGCTTAACAAACTGCCCCAAACTTAGAGTCTTAAAATAACAATTTATTATTAGTATTAGTATATTTCTCAAGCTGGGTCAGAAATCCAGACAAGGCAAAGAAGGGAAGCTCATCTCTGCTCCACGAAGTCTGGGTCCCCGGCTTAGATGACATGTACTGCTGGGGGACAGAATGGCTAGAGGCTGGCTGTGTCTCTGTCTCAGTCTCTGTCTGCTTCTCTCTTTTCTGTCACATGAACTCTCCATGTGGCTAGCCTGGGCTCCCTCACAGCATGGCAACCTCAGGGTAGCCAGACTTTTGAAAGGCTAGCTCAGGGCTTCAGGAGGAAGGAAGCAAAAACTGCCAATCCTCATAAAGGCTAGGTCTGAAGTGGCAGGGCATCACTTCTGCCATATTCTATTGGTCAAAGTAATCACAATCCATCCCAAATTTAGCAGATGAGACATAGACTCACTTCTCAATAACACAAGGGTCAAAACTTTGTGGCCATTTTTAATCAACCACATGGGACTTGACAGGAGGAGTATAGGACGCTCCCTACTATAGAGTGGACCAAACCTTCAAATGCCTCAGATATTCAACCAACTGGATCAGACTTGACTTTGCCTTTTTTTCCTCTGTTATGGCAGATGAGTCCTGGAGAGGTATGCTGTAAGCAAGAAATTTATTTAAAATTTTATGCTTTATAGTAAATATTTGTGCAAAATTTGCATTTCAGTCTAAACACAGTCTGTTTATGTTAATCTCAACATGTTTATTATTGCCTTAAAACTTCAGGTGAAATTGCCCCCAGGAAGATGGGTCATAATTGTTCTTTTCTTGCTGTGAACCTTGGTTTTCCGTATCCTGGGTAGAGAAAAATTCATAAGTAGCAGAAATTATTCATAATCACCTTAAAGAATGGTTCTGATAATTACAAGAGTTGTTATTAACCAGATTGTCTCTATTAACTGAACAAAACAAATAGCTTATACTCATCAAGTACTTTCTGGGTGCCAAGCACTCTTTTAAGGATTTTAGTTTTATTAACTCATTTAATTATCACAACAACCTTATGTGGTAGATTCTATTATTATCTCCTTTTTATAAATGAGGAAACTGAGACACAGAGAAGTTAGTACCATAGTAGTGGAGCTGTGCTACTAGCTCTAGAGCCTGCACTCGTAGCCATGATACCAGTGTGCCTCCACTTAATGCTTTAGATGACAGGCAATGCCTGAGGACTGAATCTCACCCTTGGCAGTTCATAAACCTGACTCAGCAGTCCATCAAGGGTGGACCTGTCTCTACAGAGCAGCCTCTCATCAACCCAGTGTATCCAAAGATGAGATTTATTAATGTGCTTTTGAAAATCAGAATCACAGGGATGGAAATTCTTGAATCCCACTGAATAGCATATTCTACTCCTGCAGGGAGCCCTCCACTGGTGGCCAAACCACAGCCAAAGGGAAATATAGACTCCAGACAAAGGAGGTTGACAAGTCCAGGATTGCGTGGTATTGGGCTAAGATTGTCTGATAGTCACACGTCTTTTGGAATAAAGAAATCCATTACACCAAGGAAATTGCTCAAGTTCCTTTTTCAGGTTATCCCTTTTATAGAGAAGCATGCTAGAAATAACACAGGTGTTTTCCCTGCTGAAATCAGGACTGATTTTGAGAATACCAGAAACCACTTGTTGCATTTCACCTAGAAGTGGCATCTACAATGAGTACCTGTGCACATTTAATGACACTTCATCTGCATCTTTGATTCTTGCTTTGTGGTGCGCTAAGTAAAAAGCCAAAATATTGTTGCATTTCAGTTTATGAAGACTTCCACTTGTCCCTGAGCAAGTTATGCCTTTTCTTGTTCCCAAGCCTTAGTTTATGCTATTCCTGCTCTCCAGATTGCTATTCTCACCACCTTGTTACTACCCAAATCCTCTCCACTCCTTAATGTTCAATTCTTATGTCACCATTCTGATGTACATGATTTCCCACTCCTACCTGCCCTCATCCATGCACGGAAGAAAATCGTAGTGATTATTTCATTTTACTTCATATTATATTTCCTTATTTATATCTCTATCCCAACTCTTTCCACCATAGCCCATGATTCCCAAGGTGGTCTATCTTAGCCTTGCATGTACAGGATTTGTGCTGTAGGTTTGAAATAATTAAACTCTTGTTATATGATTGCATCACAAACTTATATCTCTGGATTAACTTTCAAAAACTCATTGACAACAATAAGCTGAATCTCAGGCATGCATAATATTGATACAACACATATTTATTTAGTGTCTACTACTTGCTAATCACGGGACTCTGTATTGGGGGACAGTGATCTAAGATAGTCATGGTCTTTGACTCGTGGAGCTTACAGCCTAGCAGGAAACACACATAATAAAAGAAGCAGTCACACCAACTGAAGGGCAGCAGGTGTGCTGTGATAGGAAGACAGGGTGTTAGTGGAGCTCATGCCACAAAATCCTAACTGAGCATGTGGTTGTAGGCAGATAATAAAGAGGATTTTTTTTAAAGTTGTGTCAGATAGGCAGAGATACAGAAAAAGTGTTCCCAAAAGAGAGATCAGCACTTGAGAAGACATGGAGGTGTGGTAGGAAATAACATGTTGAAGGAAGTGAATGAGGTGGCTTGAGGAGACAGAGAGCGAGGTAGCAGGGATGGTTGAAAGTTGCTGTTGAGAGGGAGGCAGAAGCCTACTTCAGATGATGTAAAGGTCTTCAGCCATTGTATGGCATTTGCACATTACCCTAAAACCAGTGGGAAGGCACCGATCATTTTTGTTCTGTTTTTAGAAAAATTGCTCGGGCTGCCATATAGAGAAGAATATGAAGAACAAGAAGGAATAAGAAAGGAGTCTGTGTGAGCTTGGACTCTGATGTATCCTCTCTATGTCTCAGTTCTTTACCTGTGAAGTATGGAAAATAATAGTCCCTTTCTCATAAAGCTGTGATGAGGAATAAATGGATTAGTATACATAAAATGTTCTACACATTGCCTGGCCAAATATTGGCCTTTAATTAAACATTAGCTATAATTATTAAAGCATTTATTCTTGTACTTTCAGAAAAAAAACTGATATACACACATGTAAGTGTGCATCATATTTCGAATTGGCAATTTCCATTTTTTCTTTTATTCATATTATTAAATACTTAGTTATTACCCTTTTGCTACAGAACCAAGATGATTTTAGGGCATGAATTATATGGCATGATTCTGTAAGCACAATTTAGACAATATTTCCAGAAGAGTCAACTTCTTTGGAAAGTGGAAATGAGGCCAGTGTGAAGGGCAATCATTTCAGACTGACAGACTCTTAGGTTCTGTGATGTATCTGGACTGTGCTAAGCAATGTGGGTCCAGCAAGATGGGAGGGTCTCCCTCTGCCTTTGGACATTACACCTTTAGAGCCTATCAGACCAAGGCACCCACCTGTCTTGAACCAGCTGGGCAACACAAAAAGTCAGATAAATGTCCAAAGCTTCTATGCCACAGAGGCAAATCAGCATTCCCAAAGTGGGTGTTGAGTGGGGAGCCACAAAAAGTACTCATCGCTAACTAATGATATGGCAACTGGAACCAAGAAAACATACACCCTTCCAGACTGCCTTTAACGACTGACACACTGCCCTTCTTCATGCTGTCTCTCCCTCCTCCAGCTTCAGTGTCCCCTTCCTAAGGCTCCAGTTTGCTTAAGCTGCTGTTAGATGGGATAGTTAAATATGCATGCTTTCTATATATTAAAGAAAAAGCCCAAAAGTTCAACATTTTCCTGCTCAAAGGTGAAAAACAACCCCAAAAGTTTTTCTGGCCTTCATGATTTACTATATCTAATCCTCTGAAGTCTTCATATTTATTATCTAGTTGCATATACTAAAAAACTAAGCTGAGATTCTTTGCTCCATCTAGCCTTGTCAGTAGTTTGCATAGTGCACTAAACTGGAAGATTCTGCTGGCCTGAGTAGTTTCCACTTACTCCTCTCCACTATTTTCAATGCTATTTTCCTCCCATCTACCTCATAGGAAAAGGCAGACCTAGGTCCACAAAAAAAAATATATATATATATATTTAGGCATCTTCATTTCCATAAAGTGAGTCTTTTCACATGGAACATATTCCCAAATAGTTAACTATTTTGTTTTGTCTATAATACCAGCTGGCTGGGTTTTACAACCCTTTTTATTACAAAATAAAACATAGATACAGAAAACCCCACAATGCAATAGGATTGTTCCCTAGTAACCATCACCCAGGTCAAGAAACAAAATTTTACCAGCCAACCTAGAAGGCTCTCAATGTTCCATGCCCCCAATCTTTTTTTTTTTTTTTTTTTTGAGATGGAGTCTCACTCTGTTGCCCAGGCTGGAGTGCAGTGGCGCAATCTCGGCTCACTGCAACCTCCACCTCGTGGGCTCAAGGAATTCTCTGCCGCAGCCTCCCGAGTAGCTGGGATTACAGGTGCCCGCCACCACGCCCACTTGGTTTTTGTATTTTTAGTAGAGACAGGGTTTCACCATTTTGGCGAGGCTGGTCTAGGACTCCTGACCTCTTGATCCACCCGCCTCGGCCCCCCAAAGTGCTGGGATTACCTGCGTGAGCCACCGCGCCCGGCCTCGCCCTCAATCTTTTTTTAACTTTTATTTTAAGTGCAGGGGTACATGTGCTCGTTTGTTATATAGGTAAACTTGAGTCATGCAGGATTATAGTACAGATTATTTCATCACCCAGGTATTAAGCCTAGTGCCCATTAGTTATTTTTCCTGATCCTCTTCCTTTTCCAGCCCTCCACTCTCCAACTGACCCCAGTGTGTGTTGTTCCTCTCTATGTGTCTATGTGTTCTCATCATTTAGCTCCCACTTATAAGCGACAATATGCGGTATTTTCTTTTCTGTTCCTGTGTTAGTTTGCTAAGGTCTCCAGCTCCATCACTGTTCCTGCAAAGAACATAATCCTGTACTTTTTAATGGCTGCATAGTATTCCATGGTGTACATGTACCACATTTTCTTTATCCAGTCTATCATTAATGGGCATTTAGGTTGATTCCATGCCTTTGCTATTCTGAATAGTGCTGCAATGAACATATGTGTGCGTGTGTCTTTATAATAGAATGATTTACATTTCTTTGGGTAGATACTCAGTAATGGGATTGCTGGGTCAAAGGGTATTTCTGTTTTTAGGTTTCTGCGGAATTGCCACACCGTCTTCCACAATGGTTGAACTAATTTATGCTCCCACCAACAGTGTATAAGCATTCCTTTTTATCTGCAACCTCGCCAGCATCTGCTATTTTTTTACTTTTTAATAATAGCCATTCTGACTGGTGTGAGATGGTATCTCATTGTGGTTTTGATTTGCATTTCTGTAATGATCAGAGATCTTGAGCTTTTTATCATGTGATTGTTGGCTGCATGTATGTCCTCTTTTGAAAAGTGTCTGTTCATGTCCTTTGCCTACTTTTTATGGGGTTGTTTGTTTTCTTGTAGATTTGTTTAAGTTCCTTATAGATGCTGGATATTAGACCTTTGTTAGATGCATTGTTTGCAAACTTTTTCTCCCATTCTTTAGGTTGTCTGTTTACTCTGTTGATACTCACCTTTGCTGCACAGAAGCTCTTTAGTCTAATCAGTTCCCATTTGTCTATTTTTGCTTTTGTTGCAATTGTTTTTGGCGTCTTTGTCATGAAATCTTTGCCCGTTCCTTTGTCCAGGATGGTATTGCCTTGGTTGCCTTCCAGGATTTTTACAGTTTTGGGTTTTACATTTAAGTCTTTAATCCATCTTGAGTTAATTTTTGTATATGGTGTAAAGAAGGGGTCCAGTTTCAATCTTCTGCATATGGCTAGCCACTTATCCCAACACCATTTACTGAATAGGGAATCCTTTTCCCATTGCTTGTTTTTGTCAGGTTTTCTGAAGATCAGAGAGTTGTGAGTGTGTGGGGTTATCTCTGGGTTCTCTATTCTGTTCCATTGGTCCATGTGTCTGTTTTTGTACTAGTACCATGCTGTTTTGGTAACTTTCACCCTGTAGTATAATTTGAAGGCGAGTAGCATGATGTTTCCAGCTTTGTTCTTTCTGCTTAGGATTGCTTGGGCTATTCAGGCTCTTCTTTGTTTCCATACAAATTTTGAAATAGTTTTTTCTAGTTATGTGAAGAATCTCGATGGTAGTTTCATAGGAATTGCATTGAATCTATAAATTGCTTTGGACAGTATGGTCATTTTTATGATATTGATTCTTCCTATCCATGAGCATGGGATGTTTTTCCATTTGTTTGTGTCATCTCTCATTTCTTTGAGTAGCATTTTGTAATTCTCCTTGAAGAGATCCTTCACTTCCCTTGTTACCTGTATTCTGAGGTGTTTTATTCTTTTGTGCCTGTCCCTAATCTTAGCCCCCTCCTTCCTCTGAAAATAACTATCCTGACTTGCTTTTCTTTGTAGTTTTGTCTCCAAAGAGTACATACTTACTTATTCTAGTTTAATCTTGCCCATTAAAAAAACTGAAGTCACTTACTTGACAGTTTTCTTCTCCATCTGTTTCTTTTTCTCATGATCTGTTGAATAACTGGGGCAATTGATGATATGGTTTGGATCTGTGTCTCGGCCATATCTCATGCTGAATTGTAATCCCAAATGTTGGAGGTAGGGCCTAGTGGGAGGGATTTTGGTCACGTGGGCAGATACCTCATGGCTTGGTGTTTTCCTTGATGTAGTGTGTGAATTCTTTGAGATCTGGTTGTAAAATGTGTCACCTCCCACCAACTCTCTCGCTCTTGCTCCTGTTTTTGCAATGCGAAGTGCCTGCCCCAACTTAGCCTTCCAACATGAGTAAAACTCCCTGAGTCCTCCCCAGAACCTGAGCAGATGCTGGTGCCATGCTTCCTGGACAGCTTACAGAACAGTGAGCCAATTAAACTTATTTTCTTTATAAATTACCTAGCCCTGGGTATTTATTTATAGCTACACAATGGACTAACACAGAAAGTTGGTACTGAGGAGTGGGGTCTTGTTATAAAGATACCTTAAAATGTGAAAGCAGCTTTGGAACTGGGTAAGGCAGAGGTTGGAAGAGTGTGGAGGGTGCAGAAGAAGACAGGAAGGTGAGGGAAAGTTTGGAACTCCTTAGAGACTTGTTGGATGGTTTTGACCAAAATGATGATAGTGATATGGACAACGAAATCCAGGCTGATGAGGTCTTAGATGGAAATGGGGAACTTATTGGGACTGGAGCAAAGGTCATGCATGTTAGTCTTAGCAAAGAGCTTGGCTGTATTCTGTGCATGCCCTAGGGATCTGCAGCAGATTGAACTTATGAGTGATGACCTAGAGTATCTGGCAGAAGATATTTCTAAGCAACAAAACATTCAAAATGTGGGCTGGCTTTGCTCATATGCAGGAGCAAAGGAATGACTTAAAGTTGGAACTTATATTTAAACAGGAGGCAGAAAGTAAAAGTTTGTAAAATTTTACTGGCAACCTGGCCATGTGGCAGAGAAATAAAAAGATTTTTCCGAAGCGGAAATTCAAGCAGTTTGTGGAGCAACCACTTGCTAGAGAAATTTGCATAAATAAAATGGAGCCAAGTACTAATAGCCAAGACCATGGGGAAAAGGCCTTGAGGACATTTCAGAGACCTCTGCAGTAGCTCCTCCCATCACAGTCCCAGACTGCTAGGAGGAAAGAGTGGCTATATGGGCCAGGCCCAGGGTCCTGCTGCCCTGCACAGCCTCAGGACACTGCTCCCTTCATCCTCTCTGCTGCAGCTCCAGCCTCAGCTTAAAGGGACCCAGATACAGCTTGGGCTGCTGCCTCAGAGGGCGCAAGCGGTAAGCCTTGGCAGCTTCCACATGGTATTAAGCTGGTAGGTGTACGTAAAACAGGAAATCTAGAAAAAAAACTGATAAATTCCTGGACACATACACCCTCCTAAGACTAAAGATGCCTCAAAATAATAAGAGCCATTTACAACAAACCCACAGCCAATATCACAGTGAATGGGCAAAAGCTGGAAGCATTCCCCTTGAAAATCGGCACAAGAAAAGATTCCCCCTCTCACTACTCCTATTCAACATAGTATTGGAAGGTCTAACCAGGACAATCCAGCAAGAGAAAAAAATAAAGGCATTCAAATAAGAAGAGAGAAAGTCAAACTATTCCTGTTTGCAGATGACACAATCCTATATCTAGAAAATCCCATCAACTCAGTCCAAAAGCTTCTTAAGCTGATAAGCAACTTCAGCAAAGTCTCAGGATACAGAATCAATGTGCAAAAATCATGAGCATTTGTATACACAAACAACAGTCAAGCTGAGAGACAAATCATAAACAAATTTTCATTCACAATTGCCACAAAAAGAATAAAATACCTAGGAATACAGGTAACAAGGGAAATGAAAGATCTCTACAAGAAGAATTACAAAACCCTGCTCAAAGAAATCAGAGATGACACAAACAAATGGAAAAACATCCCATGCCCATGGATAGGAAGAATCAAATCATAAAAATGGCCATACTGTCCAAAGCAATTTATAGATTCAATGCAATTCCTATGAAACTACCATCGAGATTCTTCACATAACTAGAAAAAACTATTTCAAAATTTGCATGGAAACAAAGAAGAGCCTGAATAGCCCAAGCAATCCTAAGCAGAAAGAACAAAGCTGGAAACATCATGCTACTCGCCTTCAAATTATACTACAGGGTGAAAGTTACCAAAACAGCATGGTACTAGTACAAAAACAGACACATGGACCAATGGAACAGAATAGAGAACCCAGAGATAACCCCACACACTCACAACTCTCTGATCTTCAGAAAACCTGACAAAAACAAGCAATGGGAAAAGGATTCCCTATTCAGTAAATGGTGTTGGGATAAGTGGCTAGCCATATGCAGAAGATTGAAACTGGACCCCTTCTTTACACCATATACAAAAATTAACTCAAGATGGATTAAAGACTTAAATGTAAAACCCAAAACTGTAAAAATCCTGGAAGGCAACCAAGGCAATACCATCCTGGACAAAGGAACGGGCAAAGATTTCATGACAAAGACGCCAAAAACAATTGCAACAAAAGCAAAAATAGACAAATGGGAACTGATTAGACTAAAGAGCTTCTGTGCAGCAAAGGTGAGTATCAACAGAGTAAACAGACAACCTAAAGAATGGGAGAAAAAGTTTGCAAACAATGCATCTAACAAAGGTCTAATATCCAGCATCTATAAGGAACTTAAACAAATCTACAAGAAAACAAACAACCCCATAAAAAGTAGGCAAAGGACATGAACAGACACTTTTCAAAAGAGGACATACATGCAGCCAACAATCACATGATAAAAAGCTCAAGATCTCTGATCATTACAGAAATGCAAATCAAAACCACAATGAGATACCATCTCACACCAGTCAGAATGGCTATTATTAAAAAGTAAAAAAATAGCAGATGCTGGCGAGGTTGCAGATAAAAAGGAATGCTTATACACTGTTGGTGGGAGCATAAATTAGTTCAACCATTGTGGAAGACGGTGTGGCAATTCCGCAGAAACCTAAAAACAGAAATACCCTTTGACCCAGCAATCCCATTACTGAGTATCTACCCAAAGAAATGTAAATCATTCTATTATAAAGACACACGCACACATATGTTCATTGCAGCACTATTCAGAATAGCAAAGGCATGGAATCAACCTAAATGCCCATTAATGATAGACTGGATAAAGAAAATGTGGTACATGTACACCATGGAATACTATGCAGCCATAAAAAAGAACGAGGGTTCTTTGCAGGAACAAAGCAGGGTCTTTGCAGGAACAAATCAGGGTCCTCTAAGAAGCAGGACCAGGTTACCCACGTCTAAGCGTGTGCCAGAGGAGGGCGGTGGAAGCAAAATGTTCATAAGTTCTTGGGTCACTGAGCAAGCAGGCAGTCTCAGAATCTTTTGGGTCAGCTGCTAGTCCTGACCCTGGCCATTTTGCCTGATAAAGATTATCATCAAAGACATTAGCAAATGCACCAGCTCTGGCTTAACAGTTGGGCTTCAGCAGTGAGGAATAAAGCTGGTCCTATCCTTTTCTACCTCTCCCTATTCCCACATATACATAGAGTTTCTGCTACAGTAATTTTTTGGAGCCTCAGCTTCTGACCTCAGGAGTCACAAAGAAGAAAGGGAAATACATAACCCCAAACAGGCACACACCCTCACATATCCATCCCTGTATATCCATTATGCTGTAGTTTTTCTGATTTTATGATGGGGAACATAAAATAAAAGCAAACAAAATGGAAAAAGAATGAACAAAATTAAAATCCTACCTTCTAATTAACAACATAAGAAGAATGTGCCTAAGGAAACTCTAGATACCCAGAGTTTCCTCTCCTAACTCCCCTGAGGTAGAATGGAGAAGATCTCTATAGAGTTAAAGATCAATTAGAGAGAAATGTGGTGCCAGAGTAACCTGGTTCTCTAGTACAAGGAAACAGATGAGTGAATAGAATAATTATATAGTAGAACATATTATAATAGAGTTATGTATATATGGTATGCTTGCTGTACAGGCGTGGGACATGTAACCCATCTTGGGAAAGAAAAGGTGGTCAGGACCTATATGCATAAAGGTCTCTCTGGGAAAGTGTGGAATACTAGTTACTGGAGACCTGGATGGGTGGGAGGGGGATGAGGGATGCAAAATTACTTAATGGATACAATGTTCTTCATTCAGGTGACGGATACACTAAAAGCCCAGATCGCACCTCCATGTAATATATCTATGTAACAAAACTACATTTGTACTCCTTAAATTTGTACAAAAAAGGTCTCTCTATGCCATAATACATTTTCAGACCAAGGACTGATATGTTCCTTATGTGGGCTTACCGAAGCTTTACTATGGGAAAGGAGGGAGTTGGATTTCAGAAGGCAAGAGTAAAGACCTTCACTCATTCAAGAAAAAAAATTATTGAGCACCTACTATGTGCCAGGCACTTTTCTAGGGACTTGGAACACAACATTAACCCAAACATACAAAAATCCCAGTCCTTATGAAGTCAAGTAGAAGAAAAATAGGAAACAGTGTTTCATTAGGGGAAGCACAGTGAGTTTTTTAGTTTGTGGAACTAATCTGTATTGAGTGGTATATGTATGTTGTTATGCATTTGTCAAAACCTACAGAAATTTACAGCACAAAAAGTGAACCTTAATGCATGTAAATTTTAAAAAATCAACCAGGAGGTCAGGGGATCCCAGCATGAGATGTAGACTATGACAGAAGAATCTAATGGTGTTACAAACGTAAGCCATAATTTCATGGAAGAGAATGGAGACAAAATATCCCGATCTAAGTCACTTTGAAAAATGGTGTTTCACCATACACCGTAAGACCAAAAACAAAAGGGATGATATATGAACACTATAGTCTAGTTGATAAGGTTGCTTGTCATAGGGGTACGGGTTAATAATTCTAACATGGCTGTACATGTATACTAGGATGAGCAAATAAATAAATGAGTGGTTGAGCCAGTCTTCTCACTGTTGGTGAGGAAGGTTCCAGATAAGCAAGGGGAGATTAGAATGGACTGACCCATGTGGTACTGGATTAGAGTCAGAGACATCAAGGTAAACTCATATTTAGCTTGATATAGATACAGATGGATAGATACAGAAGTAGTTGTAAAGATGAGTGCATACATGAGTTTGTATATACACATATATCTCTTAGCTCTGTCTTCTGAGAGGGCCTAAAAGCAAAGACACCCTAGTAGCAACAAGCATGCCTAGCTCCCAGATCTTGGTTTCTAATAATATTTTCTAATGAAAGAAACTGGAACTTCTTTAGAGATGTATCTTATTCTAGGGCTAGGGCAGGAAATATACACAATGAGCCTGGAGTGCCTTGAAGTGCCAGAAAGTAAGAAAGTGCTCAAATAGCAAAACAATGGTGGCATGTCAAAGGGACACAAGAGCCAACTGAAAGAGTCCCCAGTGGCTAAGGCTGGAACAATTTGAGCAACAAAATATATAACATAGTATTGGAATATAACCCAGAGTATAAAACAAATATCTGTGAGACCATACTGATATAAGTAAATGACTGAATAAATAAATGTATATATGTATATATTTATATGTATTTATATATTTACATATTTATATGTATTTATATATTTACATATTTATATGTATTTATATTTATATGTATTTATTTATAAATCCATTTATAAATAGGAGATATATATATATATAAATCTCCATTTATATAGGAGATCTCCTATATAAATATATCTCCTATACAGAAGTCCAAGTAAGATAGAGACTCCCTCCTCAAGGAGGTATAATCTAAGCCCCCACATTCTGAGCGTGGGCCGTGCCTAGTTACTTATTTCCAGAGTATGAAAAGGGAGGGTAAAGTAATTTTATAATGGTGAAACCTGACAAACACTACCATAGTAGATCAAAGTCAACATCAACAGTGATAAATCACGTTGATTAATAGTATGCATCCTTGATATAATATGATGAGAAGTACTTTCTACCTCTATGCCCGTACTCCCAAAAACCTCCAGTCTAAACATGAGAAAAACTTTCTACAAAACACCTGAGCAAAACTTTTCTCAAAACTGTCAAGGTAATCAAAAACAAGGAAAGCCTGAGAAACTACCACAGATTAGAAGAAGCTAAGGAGATATGACTGAATGCCATGTGCTATCCTGGATGGAATCCTGGAATAGACAAGGAAAGCTAACGAAACCTGTATAAAGTAAAAGTATGGAGTTAAGTTAATAACAGTGTATCAATATTGGTTCCTTAGTTGTGACAAATATAATATAGCAATCGAAGTTGTTAACAATAGGGAAAATTGGTTTAGGGTCATACACAAACGCTATTATTTTTGCAACTTTTCTGTAAAGTTAAAAGTATTCTAAAATAAAAGGTGTATTTACATTAAAATAACAAAATAATTACAGAGATTTATTATAAGCCCTATGGAAAAAAATAAAACTGGGTAAGGAAGACTGGCTGTGGAGGGAGGGGCTGGGTTTTATTTTATAGATAGTGGTCAGGGAAGAGCTCTCTAAAGAGACATTTGAATAAGCATGAGTAGCAAGTCATGTAGACACCAGGTGGAAGAGCATGCCAGGAAGTGAAAACAGGAAAAGCAAAGGATGGAGGTGGGAGTTCAGGAAGGAGCCTACTGAAAATAGCTCAGGTGCAACAGAAAGAAGGTCTGAACCAGGGCAATGGTGGGAGGCAAGAAGGACAGGGAGCAGACTTGAGAAGTCCTTATTTCATGGACCAGGAAGAAGAAAAGAGGAATAGTCCGGAAAGAGAATGGCCCCCAGCACCATGCACAGCTATCATGCCATTGTGTGGCAATGCTCAGAGTTCTATGGCTTTGCACAGTTCCACATGGCTTCGCATGGTACTTATTGAATCAAGTCTTCACTGCAACCCTGGGGTTCTAGTCCACACTTCTAAGAATCAGGACATTGCACCTCAGGTTCAGATTTGTTCAACTCACATCTTGCAAAAGCAAACTGGAGACTTGAAACTAGGCTTTCTGACTATGTATCCTCTGATTCTCCATCTTGCCCTCTGTCCTCCATACCTTCTATGACATTACCAGGGTATCATGGAGGAGGCTAAGACTGTGAATTGCAGAGTCTAGGAAGTTTGATGGAACAAAAGTCCACCCCTAAAACCCTGGGGGCAGGTCCTGGCCCAGTTTAAGCCTGACTCAGAGAGAGACTTTTAAAAAAAGTTGTATAAGTCCTGATATTAATAATGTTTCTTCATAACCTACATATAAAAGGTCAGAAGGACAGGTTTCTGCTACTATCAAGTCTAGACTTCTGGCCATCCTTTGCTATCCCAAATGGACCTCAGGGCCTCATGCCACACATTGTGTGTATGTGTGTGTGTGTGTGTGTGTGCGCACACATGCATGTGGCTGTATACCTCCTAAATTTCTCCATTGTGAAACATACAGTCCTCTTTCTCTTTTTCCAATATATACACATGTTCCTAGAGTCCCCAAGGGCTGTAACTGCTCCAAGCAATTTTTTCCAAGTCAAAAGCAGCTGGCTGTCTCTAAGTGATGAGCTGAGAGTGAAACCAACTTCAGGAAACCGTCAGGCTAAAGCAAGCCCTTCACAGCCCTCAGATCTTGAGGAGATAATGGTGGAGACTGGGAGCAGAGCAGAACCCCAAGCTCTCTATCTGAAGTCACTCTAAATCTATTTGATTATCAGAACATGTTATCATTAAATATTATCAGGTTTCAGAATCCTTAGGCCCCTGAAGCTGTTGGCCATGTCCCAAACCTAGTGTCACCCCTCCCCTCAGTCCTCCAAACCAGGATTTCTTCTCATCCCCTGAACCCCACCTTTGGCCATATCCTTCTGAAAGATTATATGGAGTGCCCTTTAGCATTCTGGAGACTTTCTGAGTATTGAGCTTTGCAAAAGAGAAACAAATCTTGAAGCAATGAGAAATTTGAGTGTGTGGAAAGATTTTTCTCAAGTATGTATTGGCCTCAATGAGGAAAATGCATGCTTATTAAAATGTTTAGTTGGTCATAATAATTTAATTTTTCTAACAATATAATTTAACTTGATCATTCTTCATTTATGTATAGATTTTTAGAGCAGTGTTCTCCTTCCTTCTCTTACTCTCTTTTCTCCTTTCTAAAAGATACATATTAATCTCTGGGCTTCATTGCCTCAAAAGTGGATTCAAGAACTTCTTCAACTGTTAAGTTACTCCCTGTTCCTGAAGGGAAATAATTGGAACATCACCATCTGCAGCCATCTTGGAGAAAGACATGATTTTGAAGGAAGGCATTCAATGAAATAACATTCTGATTTGAAGTTAAATTGTCCAAGAGCTAACTTCCTCGACAGCTCTGATTCAGGCCTCCTAAAATGTTGCACACTCTGACTCATGCTTCCTTCTGGAAATGACAAAATTTCCTCGCCACCCTGATCTAAGCCGTCTGTTCTTGGTCCTCCATGCTCTCAGGAAGGGATTGGGTCGTATGTTACATTTTTTCCATGGTGGGCAAGGAAACTCATCTTTTGTTTTTTCAAAGGGAGAAACATACACACGCGCGTGCACACACACACACACAAGAATGACACACTGAAAATTCTGAAAATTAATACCAGGCAGAGCACCCCCACCCTCCACACCCCTGGAAAATAAATGCTGTTTAAGAATTGTAGAAACAAAAGGGAGTTGATTTTTTAACCATTTATGCTCCAAATATTTTTTTAAATGTTCAATTTTCTAAAGAAAAAAATATGTAGTAACTTTACAAAGCTAACATGTTTTATTAGTTAAGGTGGTCTGAAAGAGCTTGGATTTTGTAGGTAACTAATAATCAGTGTTGAGCATCACTGATCCATTTCCCAGGGAGATTGCATTCCCTTTGTCTCTGAAGAGATGCTTGGGGGAAAAGCCATGTTGGGGAACAGAGGAGAGGAAAAGGAGGAATAAGGAGAGGAAGGGATGCAATTGACAACAATATTTTTGTGGTACTGAAATCTGTTCTAGACTGTCCCATAGCAGCCTCAAATATAAATACGTGCCAATCTGTATCTTATAATGTATAACCCAGTACTCATTAGAAACACTACTCACTGGAGTGAAAAAAAGCACCCAGAATATTAATTCAGTATAAAGATTTACCACATAGTAAATAAGGATTTATTCTGAGGATAAGAATTTTGAGACCAGAAGTTTAAGGATATTTTTCTATATTCTCAGCTATAATAAATTAAAATTTTGATAAATGCTATATATATAATGTGTATAAAGTGAAGAATGACTTGCATATATATTTACATAGCCTTACATTTGTCCTCTCAGAGTGTCTTCAAACATGAAGATTGAGAAGGAGAAAATTGCCTTACACATTCTATCTCTTTTACTTTCCTCACAACAAAGCTATGGGCATCAGTCTTGAGTTCTATTCTCAGCTCTGCTACTGGGTTATTATGGGCTAGTAATTTAATTGAAAATGGAAGAATGGATCAGATGATTCCCAAAGACCCTTCCAATTTGAAATTCTATGACCCGATGTTTTGTTTATCTCCATGGGATGTTTTCTGTTTTCAAAGAAGACGCTAAGATGTATTTCCTATTCCTGTTAACAGCTCTTGACTGTGAGCTGGGAACCCCAACGGCTCTGCCAAGCCCAAGTCCTAGGAGATAAGGCCTAGGAACAGGGTATTCACCTTCCCTACCCCATCTGGACCCCTCTCCACTGGCAGATCAGATGGCCCATGGCCTGAATCTGCTAGAGGTGTGGAGGTCTGCCAGGACCTAATGGCAGGATCCTTATGCTCATCCTTAATCACTATTAATTTGCGTTTCTTTCATATGACTTTATGAGTAAGTAAGAGAAGTCCCATTCATTCCACATGCATTTATGTGTGCGTGGTGTATGTATGCTTAAACCACTGTACTGAACACTGCGGATAGAACAAAGTTGGGTTTTCCTGAGCCCACTAGTAATTGTGCAATTGTGGTTTTGATTAGGGAGACAAAGAGACTCATAGTAGAGACCCACCATGGCCTTTGAAGTTTCACCAGTAATGATTCACTGTTTGAATCTTCTGGGCTTTTTGGACTTTCAGAGTGCTCTATTAAAAAATTCTTTTAAGTACTTGGAAGGAGGGAGAAGCCCACTCAATGGCCCTGAAGGAATGAGATGAAGAGGAGGAAGAGCTGGGGAGGGGTGAAGAGATATCAGAGAAAGGCTGGTGTAATTAATGAGGGGTGTGGATAATAAATAGGTCCCAAGAGGCCAATGCTTATAGAAAACAAAAATTTCAAATGATACATTAAACTAAGATCTGTATTCTGATGGTAGTCTATATCAGTTGCTCAACTGGCCAGCAAGCATGGAGCTCTTATTATTTTCCAGGCTCTGTTCCAGATGCTGGAGATACAGCAATGAACATAACTCTGTTGGACTAAAGGAGCTTTAAGTATAGAGAGAGAAAGAGGGGAAGGGAGGGAGGAAAGAAGGAGAGAGATAATTTTCAGAGCTTAATAATGACCAACCACTAAGAAAATAAAAGAGAAAGATAGTACAGGTTGTGAGTGGGGAGTACAGAAGGAGGTACTCTAGTCAGGATGGTCACAGGAATATTTTGTAGGAGCTAGGGCCTGAATAATGACATAGAGGTTAGCCTTGTAGATTCTGGAAGGAAGAGTTCTGACTTGAAAGAACAGCAAATGCAAAGCCCTTAACGGCCTGCTTAAGAGTCAGAAAGAAAGCCAGTATGACTGGAGCACAGTGGATAAGGAAAGAGGGTGGTAGAATATAAGGCTGAAGAAGTAGGCAGGGGCTAGCTCATGCAGGACCAGCTGATGTAATAATAAGAGCAGCTAACATTTATGGCATCCTTGGACAGTGCTAACTACTTTCTAGGGATTTGCTTCTTTTCTCCTCACACCTACCTCATGAGATTATTGCTATTTCCAGTGGTCACACAATCCGTGGTAGGTGCTAGAGCTGAGACGTGACCCCACAGTGGTCTGATCCCAAACTGGTTTTCATTCTCAATTTATTGCTACATCAAAAAATATAAGTGCCTTAAAAACCGCTTTGGGGACACATGAATGAAGCATACTCAGGATCATCATCCATCATAAGGTCTAGAAGGCACTATGAAAAGGATCCTCTTTGTATTAGTCCGTTCTCACATTGCTATAAATACCTGAGACTGAGTAATTTGTAAAGAAAAGAGGTTTGATTGGCTCATGGCTTTGCAAGCTGTACAGAAAGCATGATGCTGACATCCGCTCAGCTTCTGGGGAGGCCTCAGGAAACTTACAATCATGGTGGAAGGTGAAGGGGAAGCCAGCACTTCACATTGCCAGGGCAGATGCAAGAGAAATGGGGGAAGGTGCTACACACTTTTAAACAACCAGATTGTGTGAGAACTCACTATCACAAGAACAGCACCAAAGGGATGGTGTTAAGCCATTCATGAGAAATCCACTGCCATGATCAAATTACCTCCCATCAGGCCCCATCTCCAACACTACGGATTACAATTTGACATGAGATGTTGTGAGAACACAGATCCAAACCATATCATTCTTTAAAAGTCTGTGTAACAGTGGAGAATGGTGGCTGGGAGTACTGCCACTGGGTGGCTACTTTGTCTACTTCCTATGGGCAAAATGTCAATTTCCCTTCCTTCGCTCACACTCAACCCCCATACCACCCAGCACCACCCAATACGGTGCCAAACTGACTCTGACATCTCTTTAAATGCATTCCCTGGAGGCACTGGAGAAAGGCAAGAAACATGCTGGACAGAGCAACAGGAGCCCTTGAGTTGGGCTTACTCCTGCCTTGATCACACTGAAGAGTTGTTGAAAATAATCATTTATCTTTTTCAGCTTCCCTTTTCACACCTATGAAACAAGATTGTTCCTATTTGGAATAATGTAACAGTAGGCAGAGGTAACTCAGAAGCCCCCAGGAGATGCTGTAAACTTGATACTTTAAAGGAACTCATCATGTTAACTGGCTGAACTGCCATCCTTAGACCCCACTGAAATTTGCAATGTGACTGCTATAGTAAGCAGAATAGTCCCCAAAGATGTCCATGTCCAAATCCCTGGAACCTATTTATGAAAGTGTTATCTTACACGGCAAAAGGGGCTCTGAAGATGTGATTAAATTAGGGATCTTGAAATGGGGAAATTAGCATGGATTATCAAGGTGGGTCCAATGTAATCCCAAGGGTCCTTACAAGAGGGAAGCAGGAGAGTTAGTGTCAGAGTGGTATGATGTGAGAAGGACTTAACCCACTGTTAATGGTTTTGAAGATAGAGAATGACGCCACAGGCCAAAGAAGATACGCAGCCTCTGAAAGCTGGGAAAGGCAAGGAAATGGATTCTTCCCTGACAGCCTCCAGAAGAAACTGTGTCCCTGATCGGTTCCTTCTGATGGGTTCTTGGTCTCGCTGACTTCAAGAATGAAGCCGCGGACCCTCGTGGTGAGTGTTAAAGTTCTTAAGGATGGTGTGTCCTCAGTTTGTTCCTTCAGATGTTCAGATGTGTCTGGAGTTTCTTCCTTCTGGTGGGTTCGTGGTCTCGCTGACTTCAGGAGTGAAGCCGCAGACCTTTGCAGTGAGTGTTACAGCTCTTAAAGGCGGCACGTCCAGAGTTGTTCTTTCCACCCTGTGGGTTCATGGTCTTACTGGCTTCAGGAGTGAAGCTGCAGACCTTTGCGGTGAGTGTTACAGCTCATAAAGGCAGTGTGGACCCAAAGAGTGAGCAGCAGCAACATTTATTGCAAAAAGCAAAAGAACAAAGCTTCCACAGAGTGGAAGGATTGCAGCTGCTGGCTCGGGTGGCCAGCTTTTATTCCCTTATTTGGCCCTGCCCACATCCTGCTCATTGGTCCATTTTACAGAGCACTGATTGGTCCATTTTAGAGTGCTGATTGGTCCGTTTTTACAGAGTGCTGATTGGTGCATTTACAAACCATTAGCTAGACACAGAGCTCTGATTGGTACATTTTTACAGAGTGCTGATTGGTGCACTTACAAACCTTTAGCTAGACACAGAGCGCTGATTGGGGTGTTTTTACAGAGTGCTGATTCGTGCATTTACAAACCTTTAGCTAGACAGAAAAGTTCTCTAAGTCTCCACTTGACCCAGGAAGTCCAGCTGGCTTCACCTCTCAAAACCATCCCTGCTGACACATTGACTTCAGCCTACTTAGACTGATTTTGGATTTCTGGCCTCCAAAATTGTAGGATAATAAATTCGTATTGTTTTGGGCCCCTGAGTTTGTGATAATTTGTTACAGCAGCAACAGGAAATTCACACAGTTGGCCTGAGCTTTGACAATACCAGTATTAACGTTTTATCATAAAGTCTCATAACAAAAACTCGGAGAAAAGTTTGAAATTTGTGCCTCACAACTTGTTTCCTTAAATTTGTGCATTGATTTCTGCATTGATTCATTCGGACATTGTAAAGAGTCACTCTCCCCCACACCTTCACCCCTGTTATCCTGATTTCTTCTGCAACATCAGGTTTCTGTCACTTCTTACCTCATAAGACACTGTTCTGCAGAGGGAAAACATAGCTGAATCAAAAAGAAAAATCCATCCATATGCAAGACTAGTTGAGTTCAGTTTTAGAGAAATGTGCCATGTATCAGCCCCATATCTGTTCTGTGAAGGACGTGACACAAGAAGGCGACTTTTCTCTGTGTCTCTTGAATGGCATTCCGTGAAAGTACAGAATTTTCTTTGGATTCCAGAGCCACGTACAGTATATATTGACAGATCTCACAATGCTCATTCATTAGCTAAATACAATGAGAGCTGCGAGGGCTTTAAAGCAGAACTGTAGCCTCCTAGGTCAGTTGCAGGGGCATCTTAAAGGGATCACTTTACTCCACCTTATATCAGAGTAAACATCTTAGAAACAGGATATGGTAGGGGTCAGTCCTTTGCTAAGTTAAATCAGGTCCTCTTTGAATCCCTGTAAGTTCCATCATGTCTGTAAATGAATATAGAAAGGCTGTCTTCTCCTGACACCACCTTGGAGAACTGAAGAATAGACTTCTTGGTCTATCTCTGTGAGAAGAGCTGGGCTGCTCAACTTCTGAGGCTGGACACATGAGTTCCATTTCCCATCAGCTTGAGCTGTGCCAACATTTAATGAAGCTCTGAAGCTACAGTTGCTATAGAAACCAACCAAGTAGGCCAGGTACAGTTGTTCATGCCTGTAATCCCAGCACTTTGGGGGGCCTAGTTGGATGAATTGCTTGCACCCAAGAGTTCGAACCAAGCTTGGGCAACATAGCGAAACTCTGTCTTTACAAAAAAGTGCAAAAATTAGCTGGGCATGGTGGCACATGCCTGTAGTCCCAGCTACTCGGGAGACTGAGGTGGAAGGATCTATTGAGTCCAGGAGGTTAAGCCTGCAGTGAACCGTGATCATGCCACTGCACTCCAGCCAGGATGACAGAAGGAGATCTTGTCAAAAGAAAGAAAGGGAAGGGGCCGGGCGCGGTGGCTCACTCCTGTAATCCCAGCACTTTGGGAGGCCAAGGAGGGCAGATCACGAGGTCAGGAGATCGAGACCATCCTGGCTAACACGGTGAAACCCCGTCTCTACTAAAAATACTAAAAAATTCGCCGGGCACCGTGGCGGGCCCCTGTAGTCCCAGCTACTCGGGAGGCTGAGGCAGGAGAATGGTGTGAACCCGGGAGGCGGAGCTTGCAGTGAGCCAAGCTAGCGCCACTGCAGTCCGGCCTGGGCGAAAGAGTGAGACTCCGTCTCAAAAAACATAAAAAAAATAAAATAAAATAAAATTTAAAAAAAAAAAAGAAAGAAAGGGAAGGAAGAAAGAAAGAAACCAATGAGATGTTGATATTCTTAGATGGTGCCACCTCACTCCAGCCAGGATGACAGAATGAGATCCTGTCAAAAGAAAGAAGGGGAAAGAAGGAAGAAAGAGGGAGAAAGAAAGAAAGAAACCAAGGAGATGTTGATATTCTTAGATGAGATAATTAAATAATTTGAAAGTAATTAGCTACATCAAATGAAGATTCTGTGTGAATTACACACTGTGGATTTCTTTCCAACCTAACACTGAGTAGCAAACGCTGCAGTTTAATGTCCTGTAAGAAAGTTCTTCTTCAGCTTTTTTGAGTTTAAAACAGTAACAATCACAGGGATTTTTTTAAGACATAAAGCCTTTTTGGTTTTCAAGTTAAATAGTTGACTAAATTGCCTTCATACATCAAAAATCTTTAAAAAAAAAGACCTTGAAAGATCAATATAATTTTCCCTTCTTGTTATTGTTATAACAATATATTCCCTTCTTGTAATTTGTTATAACCTCAAATTACAAATCCCATTTAAACTTCTCTTTTCTTTGAAGCAAATCAGAAGCAGGAAAGATAAACTAAAATGTTGGTGCAAATATGGTGCGTTTTTAGAAGTGCAAAAAAGTCTGCATGTACACAATTTCTAAGTATTACAAGTATTTTAATTTTTTTCAGAAAGCTGAACACAAAGGAAATCTACTTAACCTTTAACCAAAACATTCTCATATTTGCTTTTCTCTCCTTCATTCTCCACGATTGGAATGCAGCAAACATAATTTTTTTAGTGAATTCCTGCCTTGTAAATCAAAGATATTGGTGATGTTCCTCTATGTATCAAGTTGCTTAATGAAGATCCCATATCCTTTAAGAGTTTGTAGCATGTTGAGAAAATTGTGGATACTTAGATGTTAAATAACAACTGCTCAATCCAGAAGTTTTCACTAAATCTAGGAGCCTTTTTTTAAAGGCTTTTTAAGTGGTCAAGGTACATTAAACCTGGAACTAAAAGGTCACTAAGAGGCTCCAAGACACTCAGATTTTCAATGAAGTGTGATTCCCTTCTGGAAGACACATGAGTGAGAGAAAGGTATCAGTGCTGATTATCTCTGCACAAATATTTTTAGGGAATGGAGGAGGGGTGTTTGGGGGCACAAGGCCCTTTAAGGCCAGAAATAACAACTTAAGGGCTGCAGGCTGATGCAGGCCACAGACACCAGACACACACACATACACACACATGCACGCACATGTGTATATATAATGTGCATATATATACATATATATGTGTGTATATATATTACATACATATATACTACATATATATATATATATATGACCTGCATGATGTGTTAAAAACATTTTAAATTACTTGCCACTACTCAAAAACCAGGACTGAAATCTGGATTTGCCACTTCTCTTGAGGATCTGGCCCCCAGGGCCACGTTCCCTTGTAGTAACAGCTGACCATCAGTCTCCCTGGCCCAGCCTCACTGATTTGTATTCCCTGCCCAACCTATATGCAGGCTCATGGGTTGGTAAGCCCAGCTTGGTGTGTGGGGAAATCCGGCCGTTGCTTCTCTGGTAATACCGGAACATTCATGTCTGCTGATGGTTCTGCTAACTAGGAACTCTCGGTCCTCCATGTCCTGGGTGAGAAGTGTCTCAGCTCAAACCCCTCTTGGGAAAATTCTAGGAGCTCATAGTGAAATTGAAAAAATTGAGAGACCTCGTTGGTACAGAGGGAATGCTTAATGAAACCGTGAGTAGGTCCTAGTCTCCACAAGTGTTTTATCCTGTGCTGATATTTAAGCTAAGACTGGCCATTAGACAAATTATGAAGTGGATGAAGTTAATCTTTACTGTTCACACTCTCCCCTATCATCTCCTTGAAGGAATTCATCCCTAACCAATCAAATGCCCTGTTCACTAACACAACATCACTCTCAGCTCTTCAATGGCTTCCCATCATATTAGAATAAAATCCAAAGTCCATACCATAACCAACAAGGCTCTACATGATCCAGTCCCTGCCTACCTGTCCAAATTAATCATCTGCTACCATTCTCTCCCTCCCTCATTGTGCTCTAGGCACACTGGCATTCTTGCTATTTCCCAAACAGACCAAGCGGGCTCCCATCTGAGGGCCTTTGCTCTTGCTATCCTCCAAGCCTGGAAATTCCTTCCCATAGGCAGGGATATGGCCGGCTTCTTTACCCCACTTAGGCCTCTATTCAAATCTCACCTTTCCAGAGGCGCATTCTCTGACTGCCCATATAAATAGCCCATTCTCCCATCAGAGTCCATCATTCTCTTCCCCTTTGCCTTGCTTTATTTTCATATCCTTTAGCATTAATTCAATACTCTATAGGAAGTTCTTACTTTGTATGGTGGTAGGGGACCATAAAAATGGCCATGCAAGCTGAAACGATGTAAAGTAACCCTCATAATCGATGGGGAAAATAATAATTGCTCCATGAATGACCATTAAAAATTTTTTGTCAAAACAATAAAAACCCTCTTACTATTGGCTATAAATGTATAGGAAAATGAAAAAAAAGTAAGATGAATATTTATTTACTAAACTGTAATTTAAAACACTAGAGATATTGGGAATTAAAATGTTTTCATTTCTTTGTAGAAAACATCAATATTCTGAATGGACATTTCTCAAAAGAAGATATACAAATGGCCAATAAGCACGTGAAAAGATACTGAATATCACTAATCATTATGGAAATGCAAATCAAAACCACAATGAAATACCACTTCAAATCCATTAGGATGGCTACTACAGAAAAAAAAAAGAATAGCAAATGTTTGCGACTATATGGAGAAATTGGAACTCTTGCACATTGCCCATGGGATGTAAAATGGTGGAGCCACTGTGGAAAACAGTGTTGCAGTTTCCCAAAAATTTAAGCAGAATTATCATATGATCTAACAATTCTACTTCTAGGTGTCTACCCAAAAAAGTTAAAAACAGGGACTTGAACAGATATTTCCACACCAATATTCATAGCAGCATTATCTGTTTTTGTTTTTGTTTTTGTTTTGAGACGGAGTCTCACACTGTTGCCCAGGCTGGAGTGCAGTGGTACGATCTTGGCTCACTGCAACCTCTATCTCCTGGATTCAAGCGATTCTCCTGCCTCAGCCTTCTAGCTGGGACTAGAGGCGCACACCACCACACCCAGCTAATTTTTAAAAAATATTTTTGGTAGAGACGGGCTTTCAACACATTGGCCAGGCTGGTCTTGAACTTCTGAACTCAAGTGATCTGCCCACCTCGGCCTCCCAAAGTGCTGAGATTACAGGCCTGAGCCACCGTGCATGGCCTTCATAGCAGCATTATTTACAATAGACAAAAGGTGGGAACAACCCAAATGGATAAACAAAAATGTGGTATATACATACAATGGAATATTGTTTACCCTTAAAAAGAAATGAAATTCTAATACATGGATGAAGCTTAAAGATATTATGCTAAGTGAAATAAGCCAGATACAAAAGGACAAATACTGTATGATTCTACTCATATGATTATATTCATATGAGCACAGTCAAATTCATAGAGACAAAGTAAAATAGAGAATACCAGAGGCTGGGAGGAGTGGGGAAGAGGGAATTAATGTTTAATGGGCACAGAGTTTCTGTTTGGGTTGACGAAAAAGTTGTGGAGATAGATGGTAGTGATGGCTGCACAACAATGTGAATATATTTTTACATTGTGAATGCCACTGAATGATACATTTACAAATGGTTGAACTGGTAAATTGTATGTTATGTATGTTTTGCCACAATTAAAAACTTATCAAGAGTAGTTTTACAGTATGGAGATTTCTCAAAAGCTAAAAATAAAACTACTATTCTATCCAGCAATCCTACCCTTGGAATAACTACCCAGCCCCCTAAAAAAAAATCAATCTTTCAAAGAAATACCTGCACTCACATGTTTATTGCAGCAGTATTTACAATAGCAAAAATATGAGATTCAACTAAATGCCCTTCAGTGGTAAACTGGATGAAGGAAATGTGGTATACATACACAATGGAATATTATTTGGCCATAAAAAATGAAATCCCGTCATTTGCAGCAACATGGATGGAACTGGAGGTCATTATATTAAGTGAAATAAGCAAGGCACACAAAGACAAATATCACATGTTCTCACTTATATGTGGGAGCTAAAAAATCTGATCACGTGGAGGTAGAGGGTGGGAAGTTAGAGAATAGAGACTGGAACTGGAGGGGAGGGGGGAATGAAGAAAAGTTGGTTAATGTGTACAAATATACAGTTAGATAGAAGGAATAAATTCAGTGTTTGCTAGCAGAGTAAGGTGACTATAGTTAAACAAAAATTTGTTGTACCCAGGAGATGGACACCCTAAATACCCTGACTGATCATTACACATGATATACACATAACAAAATTTTCCATGTATAGCATAAATTTGTACAAACTACAAAAAGAGTAGTTTGAACAGTGCTTGCTTCTTTCTTCTCTTCATAAAACCTACAATGCAGAGAGAACATTTTTTAATATTTCTTGGTGAATAGCCATCCTCCTTTCTAAGTTTATTGGATCAGCTTCCAATATTTGTCCCTTGCATTTTCAATGTCATGAAATATCTCTGAGAGCTCTTTTAATGTGAAGTTTTTCACAAGTGTTCCTTCCTCTGGGATATATTCATCTCTTTCATCACAATCACTTTTTCATTTGTGTTCATAAGTTTGCTCTCACTAAGTTTCTCTGGCTGCATATCAAGAGCCTCTCAAAGAGCAGCAGTGTGTCCACATTGCCATGGTCAACTATTTCTTCTACAACTCCATTTACCTTTTATTAGAAGCCCATAAAGTTACTTGCATGGCATAGGAAAAGTTCCTTCCATACTGCGGGCATACTACTTGTTGTTACTTCCTGCCATGATGCTTGAATGTGTTCAAGTACGTCCCTTATGTCATATTTCTTTCAAAACTCAGCTAAAAAAATGGCATGATTTCTAGTTAGAGCATTCCTAGTCTGTCTGAAAGTACATCTAATAGGCTTTCAAATTTGAAATAACTGCGTGGTCCATTGGATGGATTAATGAGGTTGTGTTGGGTGTAAAAAGCAAATTTTCACATTTCCATTTAAGAGAATCAGGTTGACCTGGAGTGTTATCCAACAGTAGTAGTACTTTAGAAGTTCAATTATTTTGCCTAAAGTATCTCTCTACCACTGGGAGACAAAGAGGCAACACAGCTACAGGCTTTGCTTTCCTTGTGTGAACTGAGTAACAGATGCACAGTGACCAATCACTGAATGATTTTGAAAGAAGTAATGCGATTGGTCACTGATTATGATGAACATTTGTCACTTACATAGCCATTTGTGGCCTGGAGAGCTAGCAGTGAAATTTGCAGCAGTTACTCACAATTAATATGCTGTGGTGACTAAAATTTGAACTGTTTTGTTGGGAACCTGGTGTTAAATAAACCATGGTAATCAAAATTCATGCATATCAAAACAATGCAAAGTGAGAATTATCTGCATTATGTATTTCTTTGCTTATTATGTTTCCCCTATGAGAATGTAAGCTACATGGGATGCAGACTTAGCCTATTTTGTTTACAGTGATATTCACAATGCCTAGAACAAAGTGTAGCACATAGTAGGGGCTCAATAAATACTCGTAGACAAGAAGAAAGGAAAAGAAAGAGAATGGAAGACAGGAAGGAAGAGAGACAGATGTAAAAATTATCTAGCTAGATCAACTTTCGCGTGAAGATGGTGCCCAGAGAAATGAAATCACTTTCCCAAAGGTACCCTGCACTTCAAGACTTCTGATTTGGGGTTTGAAATGTACCCTCTAACCCACATTGTTCCTCTCTCTCTCTCTCCCTGTCCATGCCTTTCAGTTTATGCATTCACATGAAGATGTGAGTAATAAAGTGGTAGAGGCCTTAATCACTTGACCTTTGAGGAAGGATAAGAGCTTTACTCCAGAAGGCCACAGCCCTGTGGTGGTGATGGTGGGGGTGACATTAGGGCCTTCCCAGACTCCCTAGTATCAGACCACAGAGGCTGCTAATTCTTAGTTTATGTCAAGCTATTTGCATTTTCTTTCCTAAATGTCCTTGTGTGGTGCTACTGTCAGAGTGTACAGGATGCTGGGGTTTTTCTGCTTGTAACTCACTGCCCTGAAGTTGGGTTTCTAATTTACTCAAGGGGCTCCAGTGTCTCAGAGCAGATGGGGCAGCCTGGCCAACGGGGAGAGGAAAAGGCTGATCGGATGAAGAACTTCTGTTTCTGTGACTAAGGACTTAGTCAGCTACCTGGTTTAGGATGTACTATTTGTCAGTAAGTGGATCAGGAGGAAGCAGCACTCATTCTGGCTAGAGTAATGGTTTTCAGTGCATTTTTTACTCATGAAATTCAAAAAGAACAGGGTGCCAGTTCAACCTTGTGGTTGAGGTTATGAATGAGAAAGGAAGCTTAAATTACCCAGAGAGGCTGTCCCCTTAGTCACAGTTTCAGAGCATTCCAGACTCCTGTGTCAATTAAACCATATTGAACTTCAATAAAATACCAAAAAGGCAAATAATGGTCTTTTTGGAGAGCTCCCTTTTGCCCTACCCTTTTGATTGCGCTCTGTCTCTCTCCCCCATCTCTCCACCTCCTCTCTCCTTTCTCCCTCCCTCTCTCCCTCTCTCTCTTTCCTTTTTTCTTTCTTTCTTTCTTTTCTCTCTCTCTCTCCCTCCTTTCTTTCTTTCTTTCTTTCTTTCTTTCTTTCTTTCTTTCTTTCTTTCTTTCTTTCCATTCTTTCCATTCTTTCTTTTCTTCCTTCCTTTCCTTTTGTGGAAAAAGTAGCCGTTCTTTATAAGAATAAAATCACGTAAGTAATTAATTGGAAATGACCTTAGCTGATCTAAAGATTCTAAATCCAAGCTCTGTGTAAACAACTGATATATGTTTTCTTTCATTTTCAGATCCTTTGCCTTTTCACTTTCTCCCTCCATCTTCCTCCCTCTCTCTTGTACCCTCAGATCGCCACGCTTTGGACCTCCCACGAATGGTTTGAACCTGAGGCATGAATTGAGCTTGACTCCCTTGAGGGAGAGTTGCGAGAGGTCAGTGGTGCCTGAACCTTTTCTTGTTAGATACTCTTACAGAAGTTTTGATGAAAAGAATGAGTTGGCCAGAATTAGTCTTGGTTTGGTACATTTCCAATATCTGTGCTTTTCCTGGTTGTCATTAGCATAAATATTTGAGAGTCAACACTGAAAGAATTTGAAAAACGTATTGACTGAAGATTTTTGTCACAAACACTCCATTTCAACTGGCATCTTTCACTCTTTGAAAGGTCTCTCATTTTAAATACCACTTTCTTCTTTTGTCCTATTGAATTTCAATTATGTGCAAAGCCTTTTGGGGAGACACAAAGATGGATAGGACACAGTTCTTACCCTTACTACCAAAAACCATGCAGGGAGATAAGAGTCAGGTTGGCAAAAAGCTAAACAAACACAAGGCTAAACTAATAGTTAAAAAACTCAAAACAAGAAAGGGTCCATGGAGGCCCTGTTTAATTTTCAGTTTACCTCTACAGGCAGAAAATATCAAAGGAGGTCTGAGGAAAAAGGAATGCCTTGGGGGTTGTGGTAAGGCCAGGATGGAAAGAGGAGTTCAGATCAGAGATGCGTCTGGAAAAATTTGGAAGGCAGAGTTGCAGGGGAAGGTATTTTAGGGGGAAATTATTTGGGCAAACAGGGCCACCATGTGCAGTTGTGCAGGTTGTGCAGGCTATGCAATATACAACTATAGGGGTTGCCATTCACATCAAAATCTCTGTGTAGAAAACAATCTCTGTGGCCACTGGTGGCAACCCTGGGACAAAAGTCTAAGAGATATACAGTGCAAAGCCTCCGTGGACATAAGAAGTAGACTTGTTACCATGATGTAAGCCCTGAGAGGGCAGGGACTGAGCCTTATCTTTGGATCTTCAGAGCTTTGCAGTGTCTGGCACATATTAGGTATATGAGACATGTTTCCCAAATAAATGAACTCAATCTTGCCCAATCCCCACCAGCTGGTTGTATGAATGAGGGTGAGGTCACAGAATGGGGATAACTCAGATTTCTTTGACAACTCTGGATAATGTTGGGCCTCAGCACCAAAAGTGGCCCCCTCCCAAATCATTCTAGTTACTTCCAGGATCTTACAGAGAGTTTAATCTGTGTTTCCGTACTGTACTCTCTTTTTCTTCCATTCTGGTCTTTATCCAATGTTTTGAGAGGGACAGCACTTCAGTCATGCCCACTCTGCAGACCACCACCTTCTCTGTGAGTACAGTGTACCTTCCTAGGTGCTTTTCTCCGTGTCCGCAAAGCTGCTACAATGGAGACCATGATGGTGTCATGGTCCCTTCTGACCTCTGGGATTGAAGCCTTATTGATACTACAGAGAACTGTGGAGAATGGCCTTTTGCCCTCCATGGTCATACACATGGAAATGAGGCTGTGTCATGTTTCTCATGTCTGATACAGCCCTCCTTAAAACAATGTCTTCAGCTTCTTCCTGCCTCAACACTGAGCAAAAGATGAACACTATGCAGCTCTTTCTACCCTCCACCCCTATGTTTCTACTTTTGCAAAAGGAAACACAATGAAAAGCATGGGGCGTGTATGGGAACATGGAATATTTTAGTTTGGATGAAGCAAGAGGTATATACAAGTGAGAGTGGGCAAAAGCTGGCCCCAGTGGAGACTGAGTCAAACAGTGAGGATGGATGCATGCAAACCCATAAACACTAGTGGAAAATCATCTAAAAGCTATTTGAGGGGGAGCCACATTTTTAAGTATGAAGAAAAATATTATTATGACTGATGCTATGAACTTAGTGTGGCCCCACCAAAATCATACATTGAAGCCCTACTCCCCAGTGGGATGGTATTTGGAAGAGGGGTCTTTGGGAGGTAATTAGGTATTGGGGGGGGGTGGAGCCCTTGTGAATGGGATTAGTGCCCGTATAAGACGAGATATGAAATTGAGATCCCTCTCTTAACCATCTGAAGATACAATAAGAAGGTAGTCTTCTGCAACCCAGGAAGAGAGCCCTAACCAGAACCCATCCACGCTGGCACCCTGATATTGGACTTTCAGCCTTGAGAAGTGTGAGAAAGTAAGTGTTTGTTGTTTAAGCCACCCAGTCTGTGGTATTCTGTTATAGCAGTTCAAGTTGACTAAGACAGCTGGTTAAAGATATAACAAAAGTCTAAGCAGAATCGGACAGTGGAGTTACACAAACCTAGGTTTGGGTCTCAGTGACCTTGGTTAAATCATTTAACCTCAGGGACTCTTAGTTTCCTTATCTGTAAAATAGTCATACTACCCATCTCTCAGGTTCTTTTATAAGAATAGTGCTTATGAAATGCTTAGTACAAAACCTGGCACATAGTAAATATCCAATAAAATGGCCACCAAAAACTAGTGTATTGTAAGGCATTCTCACTTCTAAGGTAATGTTTCATCAGGCCGTATAATAAGTAAGCAAAACTGTAGATTAGGTAGTTTTTTTGGGCTCCTTGCATTCTCTTTTCCCAACCAATGGCCCAGAAATTAACTAGGGAGTCAATATGATCAATTAATCCACAGCCTGGTGGCAACACCTTTTTTTTCTTCCATAAATTCCAAAAAGTGGGAAAGTAGAGAATGACTGGTAGTAGAAGTTCAGGGATCAGTAGAGGTTTGGAACAAGGGTGGTGGTCTTTTGAGTGTGAGCTTCTTCTCCCTAACCCTTCATACCACATCCTTAAGGTGATTCGTTGTTCCACACAGTGAATTTTGGATACAAAAGACTCAAGGCTTTTACTCCATTGAGCATTCTGTGCATTTCAGTCAAAGGATTCATTGCAGAAGCCTCGCACTGGACATCTGTAGACATAACCTGTAGTTGCCCATCCACCATTGTTTTCAGGCACTCATTTCCCAGAAGACAGAAAGCCCCAACTTCCAGGACAGGCTCCACTTGCCAAGAATTTCTAAACTCTTTGAAGATCAGCTTCTACCTTATCAGGTACCTTCCAAATATTCTCAGATGGATGACAACAGTCTCTCCTCTCAGGGTTGTGTTTGCAAGTCTAGAAGTTTCTGAAGAATAGTAACTGAAGAGTTACTATTGCATATTTTCATTGCCATCAACAACTTCCAGTGATATAAAGAAGAAACTTTTAAAGCATGTGATGGCAAATCCTGACCATTTTGTAATCTGTGTTGTATTTAAGAATCATTCATTCCAGGTAGCACTAAATCAAGAAGTTTCTTCATGCTGTCTACTTCTATGAAAGACACAAAAACCACCAAATCTGGTCTCAGTCTGAAAACTAAGTGGCCATGCCACTGAATGTCTGACACTGGAATACAGGAATGGAACCATGCCATGTCTGAGGGATTTCCTGAATTAGGATTCTGGAAAACTGGGCTCTTCATTTTCTCTGCCTACATCTTGTAGCCTGGGGAAAGGGAGCTTCCTCACAATATATAACACTGTCTGCTCACCTTGGACCATCTTAGTCGAGGAAGGGAAGAACTTAATTAGAGCTTTGGACAGATTGACATTAACAAAGTTGTCCACCAATAATTCTCAAACATGTAGTCCTTATGAACGCAAATGTTGTAGCCAATATTTCTGATATTTCAGGAGATTGGGAAATGCCAGTGGGGTTCTACTGCCTGAGGCAGCGCTTCCTCTGAGGAAGCCCTCCGGAAGTGGCAAGTGTTTTCTTTTCCACTGCTTAAAGGTCACACCAAATCACTTCTTCCTCAAATAGATTTCACTTTCACAGGCTCATAAAATGGCCAAGTCAGAATGTGTCTTGCTTTATGAAGCCAGCTAAGGGTGTGAGGGTGACTCAGGCTTTCCCAAGTTCCCCTGCTTATTCAGTACCAGGAATATTTAAATCAGAGCTGGACTTAAAATAGCAACTCTTTGAAAAGGGCTCAGCATTGACTCCTGAGACTCTCTTTCAGATGCTCTTCTTACTTTTCTGTTCCAGTGGTCACTGCTTAGAAAGTCTGTAGACAATACATGCCTGTCTCTGATTTTTTCATTTTGACTGAAGAACATTACACTGTGTAAAATTCTAGAATTCATGACAGCTGATGAGAATACCTTAAAACCCTTTGCCTACTGAGAGAATATTACGGCAGACTTTTATCTCCTGCACTGGGATACTCAGAAATTGGCCTGCATGAGTATCTTTGCTTGATAGATATTTGAAGTACAAAATTCTTCATTAAAGTTTTTCAGAGAACAAGAATGTCATATTACTTTCTGCTCATTCTATGCACCATGATCAAACCAATTGTGATCATTCTAACCATGGCATTGTGCCATTGACTCTCAGACCTCTCTCGAGGTCCAATTTCCTGTTCTATCTCTCCACATGAGTGATCCATAAAAACTCTAAACTCAGTGGAACTAAAAGCTAATTCAAACCTATTCTGTCTTCTGTCTCCATCTCAGTTAATTACATGACATCTGCCAGTTCTCTCAAATTGAAAAACCTAGAGGCATTTATCCTTATGTCTCCCTCTCATTCATTCTCAACATACAACCAGTCACTGTACATTTCCAATTCTCTTGCAGAAATGTCTCTTGGATTAGTCTGCATCCTCCCTGTCTGAGTTCAGGGACTAGTATCCTTTCTTGGATGACTTCAGCAGCATCCTGTGGAGACTTCTTGCCACCTGCCTCCTCTAGAGAGCTCAAAAACCCACATCTGATTATGTCATTTCCATGCTATGAAACTTCAGGCTCTTGGGAGACACTGTTTTAGCACTCAGAGTTCTTAGGCTGGCTCCAACCACCTCTGTAGCCTAATTTCCTGCCGTGCCACCTTCCAGCCCCTTGACCCCAGACACAGTCAGCTTTTTACCCCTCCAGAAATAGGACTGACCTTTTCCCCACACTCACCTTGGCCTAGGTCTTTACCTCCCTCTCAAATACCTCTTCCTTCCCATCTCAACCTAGCCAAATGCTACTCACTCTTCAATACTCATTTCAAATGTTTTCTCCTGAGAGAAGCCTTCCTTAATCTGTGCCCCAGCCCTGCCCCAAGTTAATGACTCTGCCCTCCACAATGCTTCAGCATTTTATTCAGGCCTCTACAATAACAGAACTCCCACCCACCATATGTAAGTACATTGTAGGATGTTCCCTGTCTTACAATTCATTTTATCCCTGGCACTCAGTAACATTTGATAGATGGACTAGTAGATGGATAGATGGATGGGTTGAGTGATAAAGTTTAAATGTAGGAGAGTGGGCCAACATCAGAGAGAAGGCACTGTAAGAACGTGGAGAAAAGGGAAAAGAAATCAGAAATCATGTCTCCTCATTTATTCACTTCTAATTTTTTATTCAATTCATTCATTTTCCTTCAAACACAGTTATAATAAATATTGATCTTCTAAATATTCCCATGGCCCTGTATTTAAGAAGTTGAGAAGTTAAATTTACCTTCCAAATCTGCTTATTGAACTTATAAAAACATTTTCCTACAGTTTCTTAGTGGAAATTTTATTGCCCCTTAAGATTTTTATAGCAAACAATAGAACTATGAGCAACTTCCTCTTCTAGCCAAGATGGAATACCAGGGAGAAGATTTATCCTCCCGTCTTAAGCAACTAAAAAACTGGACAAAATATATGAAAAAAAAAAGTTTTCAAGACATTCGACATTAAGCAATAAAGACAATGATTCCTGAGAAACAGGAAACAAAGTAGTTAAGCCCTACACTTGCACCAGTTTACTGCCTGGAGGGAGTGTCCAGGTCATAGTGCAGGGACGGGGAACTCAGAGGGGGCCCAGAAGACTCCTTGAGTTGCAGAAATAGAGTTGAGAATCTGAAGGAGACCAAGGCAACTAGACTTGGCAGTGTAGAGAGAAGAGAAAAAATTCAGGATTGCTGTGGAGGTCCCCCTCGAGTATTCAGCAGAGTACTAATTAGCACATGCATCTGAGGAAACTATACAAGCATAGGGAAAGAACCACATGAAAGCTTTAGCGGGAACAATATCCAGTGCTCACACAGAACCAGGAATAGTAAATGATACTTGTTCCTCCCAGCCTGGGAATAGGTGGGATGAGGGTTGGGAGAAAGAAATTATAAAAGGGCAGGAAGAAACTTTTAGAGGTGATGGATCTGTCCATTTTCTTGATTGTGAAGATGGCTTCACAGGTATATATACACATGTGAATACTTATCAACTTGTACATTCTCAATCTGTATGGCATATATTATAGCAATTACACCTCAATAAAGGTATTAAAAATACAGTGATTATAAGGCAATAGTACAGAGTTTCTATAAATGATACTTTTCTGTTTTGCTTTGAATCAATGGTTCATGATAAATAGTTCACATAGATAAATATCCATTCATTGATTTTAAAAGTGTTTGATCCAAATGCAAATAACTACAATTTACAAAAATATCAAAGAGCTAACAAAAAAGAAAAATAAAGAAATCACATAGCTAAGTTAAACATGGGCAGTGTCCTAGTTTGTTAAGGTTGCTATAACTAAACGCAATAAACTGGGTGGCTTATAAACAATACACAATGATTTCTCACAGTTCTGGAGTCTGGGAAGTGCAAGACCAAGGCACTGGCAAATTCAGTATCTGGTGAGGGCCCATTCCTCATAGATGGAGGCTTCTCACTGTGTCCTCACATGGGGAAGAGGCAAGTGAGCTCTTTGGGATCCCTTTCATAAGGGCATCAATCCAAATCATGACCTAATTACCACCCAAATGTCCCGCCTTTTAAGGCTACCACCTTGGGGGGTATTTGTGGGAACATAAGCATTCAGTTCATTGTAGGCGTGAGGTGAGACAAGAATTATCTGGAAAGAGAATGGAAGTTGGGCTGTTTCTGTCCCAGAAAGAACCTTAGGTAGGGGGAGTTACTCCTCTACAAGCTCCTCTCAGCCTGTGGGAATGGGCAAGGCCTAAAATCTGACTCAAGCTAAGTAATCTCTGAAAAGAAAATCTCAGCTTATTTCACAGATTTTCTCTTTTATGTAAATGGCTAGCCCAATTTTACAGACAAGCAGATAGAGAAGCTTGGCTAATTCTCCAAATCACAACTGGGGTTGGAAAATGGGAGAAATTAAAACTGCATGAATATCCAATTTAATTGGGTGGGTGAAGTACTGGGACTCATCTGAAACTGCCTTGCCTTGGAATGAGCAGGTGCTTACCAGAGTGGAGGAGGGTCAACAAACACATCTAAAAGACAAAGACTGCATCAGAATTAGTGGTGAGTATATTGACAAACATTTTTTGGCTGACAGAGTCATGAGGCAGCACTTGGAATCAAGTGAAACATAGCGGGAATTACTACAATTTTCCTAATGGCATCAACAGATTCTATAGTCACTTCTGGCTGGGGGAGGGAGAAAGAGGTGTGTATGTGGTTGGCTTCTAAGAGCAGGGTATGTTTTCATTCACTGTTCTCGTATGATGTTTTTCCACACCAGGCTCACAGCCCTTTACAATACCAAGGCTCTATTCCTTTGTGTTTTTTGAAAAAACAGTGTGGAAAGAGTTTATTCTGATTCTTCCTGTTCCTTCATTCAGTACCCACTAAGTATTTGGCCTTCCTTGGGCTGCTCTTAGAAGCCTAACCACAGGCATAGATACCAGATGAAGGATGGTATTTGCCTGTGAGAAACAGTGTGGCTAGAAATAAAGAATAATTTTTAGAAATTCTCTAGACTTCAATATTGCTTCATTTGCTTTCTTTTCTTAAATAATAATCAGAAATAATTATATATTGGGGAATGTCATACAGAAAAGGTTGGTAAAAATTGGAGATGGTCAATTTGAATAATTTATTCAACATTTATTGAAGCCTGATATGTAAAAAGCTGTGCTTAGCCCTTAATTGCAAAGCCTGAAACTATGGAACTACGAAAAAAAAGTGGGAAATGCTTAATGACATGGATATAGACAATGGTTTTTTGGATAAGACCTCAAAAGCACAGGCAACAAAAGCAAAATTGGACAAAAGGGACTATATTAAACCAAAAAGCTTCTTCACAGCAAAGGAAACAATCAGCAGAGTGAACAAACAACCTATAAAATGGGAAAGGATACTGGCAAACTATACAAACTACATGGGTTAATGTCCAAAATATGTAAGGAACTCAACTTAAAAGCAAGAAAACAAATAACCCTATTAAAAATGGGCAAAATACCTGAATAGACACTCTGTAAAGAAGATATACAAGGGGCCAACAGGTATATAAAAAATGCTCCACATTACTAAACATCAGTGAAATGCAAATCAAAACCACAATGAGATATCACCTTATACCTGTTAGAATGACCCAGGCCTTGCTTTCAAGAAGTCAGCAGCCTGTTAGAGTAGAAATTACCAGCAGACAAATGGCTAGAACAAAAAACAGTAAAAGCAGAGACCTAAGATTGGGTTAGCATATTCTGAGTTTTCCTCAAGTCCTGCAGGCCACATGCAAATTACTTTCTAGTGGACACTAGTGCCACCATAACAGATAGCCAAAGTCACAAAATGCCTTCAAGACGTGTATGTGGAAGAACACAGAGCAGGCCAGGTTGGTGGGATCCCGCTGCTGATAGGAGGTTGTGGTAGATTATTAAAAATGTCTTCCCATGAGTCATGTCTTCCTGTATCCATGCCCTTTTGCAATGTGCTCCTTCCTTGATGTGCTTCTCCCATCAAGAAGTGGCATTTCTTTCCCCTCCCTTTGAATATGGGCTGATCTTATGACTTTCTTTTATCAATGGAATGGTCAACTTTACGTCCCATGAGCAGGATTTGTTCGACATAATGAGTACTTCCTGAATCCAGGTCTTTCTGAATCTAGGAAAAAAAACATTTTCTCAGCCCTTCAATCCCTTTACAGTGTTACTTCTTTTGCTATACTTCATTGTCAAACATTTGTTGTCTCTCTCACATCCAGATAGGGCCTTGTGGTTAGTTCTCATTACTAGAGTGTGTGGAAGTGATGTGTCACTTTGAGGCAGTTAAGAGGTGGTGAGCCTTCTCTATGTTCTCTCTACCTACCCTCTCTGTAAGCAGATATCCCCAGATGACTATGAATCCATGTGAAGATAGTGGAGCCCCAGTGAAAGGAGTTTGATGCCTGACTTATTGCCTGGAGCAGAGTCTCCACTGTCAGCTGGTATTACATAGTGATGTAAGGGAGAAATAAAAATTTATTATATCAAGTCACTGACATATGGGGATTGTTTGTAACAGCAGATCATATAACCACTCGTGTTGGTAAATGTTTACCAACTGGATGTTCAAATGAAACAAAATAAAACAAAACACAAAACTCCTATTTGTAGTGTTTGCTGATTTCTGTGATGTAAATACTACCACCATGGCTGTTTTCAAGCTACCAAAGTGATCATTTATTCAACATTTACTGAACTTGGAGTTGGAAAGAGATGCTAATCAGTGGCTCTTGTGAACCTGTACAAACCTGCCTCAGCATACCATTGTGTATAACTTACCTTAACTAATTTACTCTGCCGTCTTCAACACTGGCTGGGTTTGGTGAGAATCTAACTAGTCTGTCACATGGAGCCACCAGACTGGATAAAGCTTGGATCACACCGTCATCCTGCCAACACTTGCTAACTGCATTGGACTGTGACCTAAGTGTGTAGTTATTGAGATTTTGGGATTGTTTGTTAAAGGAAATGCAACGCCTCCTTAGCATCTGACACTGTGCCTTGCACATGGCAGGCATTAATAAATGTCTGCAGAATTGAATTCTCAAAGCAAGTTCTTTACAAAATTTGGGTAGTATTCAAACCTCATATTCATTGGTTGGTATTGCTCTTAAGAATGTAGACTAGGAATGTTCAGAGTCCAGTTAAGCCTCTTCTGAAGCTAAAATATATATACGTATACATATACATATACATATATATGCATATGCATATATATACACATATATATGCATATGCATATATATACACATATATATGCATATGCATATATATACACATATATATGCATATGCATATATATACACATATATATGTGTGCGTGTGTGTATAATTTTTTCTTCACATTTATTGTGTGCTAAAAAATAATTCAAAATTAGAGCTTCACTGCCATATTGGTTTGATACATTCATGCTATAGCTTATATCCTTTAAAGTTGTTTTGCCAAAAGCAGATACATATCTTGGCTTACTAGCTGGGATTCAGTGCCCTCATCTGTAAAATGAGGGAGATTATCTATTACTATAAATTGCTGGCATCTCTGGACCTATAAGAGTTTGAGAAGGCAGTATGCTTTAAAAGAAACTTATAAAATATGTTTAAGACTTCAATTTTTTTAGTTTCTTCCCAGCTATGAGTTTGTTTGGAAAATAGGACCTTAAAGAGACAAACCAACACAACTGAGTCGTTGTAATATTGGAAAGGAGCACGAAGACTCCAAACATATCTTTTTTTTTTTTTTTTTTTTGAGACGGAGTCTCGCTTTGTTGCCCAAGCTGGAGTGCAGTGGCGTGATCTCGGCTCACTGCAAGCTCTGCCTCCTGGGTTCACGCCATTCTCCTGCCTCAGCCTCCCGAGTAGCTGGGACTACAGGCGCCCGCCACCACGCCCGGCTAATTTTTTGTATTTTTAGTAGAGACGGGGTTTCACCGTGTTCTCGATCTCCTGACCTCGTGATCCACCCGCCTGACTCTAAACATATCTTAAGCATGTGCAATGCAGACCAGAGAGAAAATTGCTTGTCAAATGACTATAGAGGGAATTTTTAAAGCCATAAATCTTCCAGCGAATGGCATCAGGATTTAATTTTTTTTTATTCCATTTTTGGCCGGGTGCAGTGGCTCACACCTGTAATCTCAGCACTTTGAGAGGCCCAGGCGGGTGGATCACCTGAGGTCAGGAGTTCAAGACCAGCCTGGCCAACATAGTGAAACCCCTTCTCTACTAAAAATTTAAAAATTAGCCGGGCATGGTGGTGGGTACCTGTAATCCCAGCTGCTCGGGAGGTTGAGGCAGGAGGATCGCTTGAACGCTGGAGGTGGAGGCTGCCGTGAGCTGAGATCACGCCACTGCATTCCAGCCTGGGCGACAGAGTGAGACTCCATCTCAAAAGAGAAAAAAAATCCATTTTTGCCTTTTCATTCAGGTCTTTTCTTAATATGATATACAACTTTGGAAACGCACACCATCAACTGGGATATATATGTTACAGGTTAAACATTTTCTTCAATTCTATGTTTAGTCTTGGAACTAATTAAAATGTGAATAGTGATTAATCATAGGCCATGTGTGGATCAGGCACTGAAAAGGCGGGTAAGAATATTTCTACAAGAGATGAAGTATAAGCCCAAACGGTAACTTTGGCCAAGAGCCATGTGAGCCACATAACAGGCATTAAGAAGTTACAAAAACTCCTCTTATAGAGCAGCAGAAAAATGTAGTTTGTGCAGTGTTTTAAAAAATGTCATCTTGAAATTTGAGTCTGGGCTTGTTCTCTTTAAAAATTTGAAAAACATGGATTTGAGAGGGTTTTCTTACATTTCTGATTCAGTCTCTTAAAACATATAATACTAGTTGTTAAAAAAAAAAGAATTATATTAACTTGGCCTGGCGTGGTGACTCATACCTGTAATCCCAGCACTTTGGGAGGCCAAGGTGGGTGGATCACTTGAGGCCAGGAGTTCGAGACCAGCCTGGCAAACAAGGTGAAACCTCATCTCTACTAAATATATATATATAAATTAGCAGGACTTTGTGGCGGGTGCCTGTAATCCCAGCTCCTCGGGAGGCTGAGGCAGGAGAATTGCTTGAACCCGGGAGGCGGAGGTTGCAGTGAGCTGAGATCGCACCACTGTACTCTAGCCTGGGTGACAGAGTGAGAGTCTGTCTCAAAAACAGAAAAAATAAGAATTATATTAACTTAGTAACAGCCATCCTGTAGAAAAGAACAACATGGGAATGAACTTTGCTTATTCCTTAATGTGAGAGCACAGACTTAGACTGAACTCCTTGAATCTGAGCTGAGCGTTCAAATGAGAAAAATCCAATTTGCAAAAAGTATGGTCACAGAGCTGTGCAACCATCACCATAATCATTTTTAGAACATTTTCATTATCTAATAAAGAAGCTCCATAACTATTAGTAGTCATTCCCCATTTCTCTTCACTCCGTTCTATCCTCTCCCCTCCAACCCCTAACCCCAGGCAGTCACTTGTCTAGTTTCCATTTCTATATATTTGTCCATTCTGTACAATTTTTTTACTCCTCCTGTCTGTGATTGTATATCCTTTGACCAACAATTCCCCCTACCCAGCAATCACCGAAGCCCCTGGTAACCACCATTCTACTCTCCTCTTCTGTGAGATCAGCTTTATTAGATGCCACATATGAGTGAGATCATGCAGTATTTATCTTCCTGTGCTTGGCTTATTTTACTTACATTATGTCTTCCAGTTTCATTCATGTTGTCACAAAAGGCATGTGTGCATGTGTGTGTGTGTATATATGTATATATAGACACATATATGTAGATATGTATATACATGTATGTGTATATGTATATACACATACATGTAGATATGTATATACACAGATATGTGTATATGTATATACACAGATATGTGTATATGCATATATGTGTACATATGTACATATACATATTTCACTCTTTTAATCCACTTATCTGTTGATGGGCACTTAGGGTGATTCCACGTCTTGGCTATTGTGAATGGTGGTAAACATGGGAGTGGAGATGTCTTTTTGACATACTGATATTATTTACTTAAGATATATACCCAGTGGTGGGATTGCTGGATCATATGGTAGTTCTCTTTTTAGTTTTTTGAGGAGCCTCAATGCTGTTTCTCATCAAGGCTGTACTAATTTACATTCACACCAACAGTGTGTAAGAGTTACTTTTTCTCCACATCCACACCAACACTTTTTGATAATAGTCTTTTTGATAATAGTCATTCTAACAGGTATGAAGCGATATCTCATTGTGGTTTTGATTTGCGTTTCACTAATGATTAGCAATGTTGAGCATTTTTTATATACCTGTTGGCCCCTTGTATATCTTCTTTACAGAGTCTCTATTCAGGTATTTTGCCAATCTTTAATAGTGTTATTTGTTGTCTTGCTTTTGAGTTGAGTTCCTTACATATTTTGGACATTAACCCCCGTAGTTTGTATAGTTTGCCAGTATCCTTTCCCATTCTGTAGGTTATATCTTCACGCTGCTGATTGTTTCTTTTGTTATGAAGAAGCTTTTTAGTTTAATATAGTTCCATTTGTCCAATTTTGCTTTTGTTGCCTGTGCTTTTGAGGTCTTATCCAAAAAATCATTGTCTATATCCATGTCATGAAGGATTTCCCCTGTTTATTTTAGTAGTTCCATAGTTTCAGGTTTTGCAGTTAAGTCTAATCCATTTTGTGTTTATTTCTTTACTTTTTTTTCTTTTTTATTTCAACTCTTATTTTAGATACGGGGGTACATGTGCAGATTTGTTACATGGGAATATTGCGTGATGCTGAGGTGTGGAGTACAGATCCCATCACCCAGGTAGTAAGCATAGTATCCAATAGATAGTTTTTAAACCCACCTCCTCCCTCCACCCTCTAATAGTCCACAGTGTTTATTGTTCCCACATTTATGTCCATGTGCACTCAATGTTTAGCTCTCACTTATAAGTGACAAAATGCAATATTTGGTGTTCTGTTCCTGCATTAATTTGCTTAGGATTATGGCCTGCAGCTCTATGCATGTTGCTGTAATGAACATGATTTCATTCTTTTTTATGGCTGCATAGACCCCACAATCCCAGTACTGTGTATATACCGCCCACCCAAAAAATCATTCTACCAAAAAGACACATGCACTCATGTGTTCATTATTGTACTATTCATTATAGCAAAGACATGGAATCAACCCAGGTGCCCATCAGTGGTAGACTGGATAAAGAAAATGTGGTACATATACACCATGAAATAATATGCAGCCATTTTGAGTTGATTTCTGCATATGATGAGAAATAAAGACCTAATAACATTGTTTTGCATGTGAATATCCAGTTTTCCAAACACATTTATTGAAAAGACTGTCCTTTCCCCAGTGTGTATTCTTGACACTTTTGTCAAATATCAGTTGGCTATAAATGTGTAAATTTTTTCATGGGCTCTCTATTCTGGTTCGTTTGGTCAATGTGTCTATTTTTTATGCCAGTACCAAGCTGTTTTGGTTATTATAGCATTATAGTATATTTTGAAGTCAGGTAGTGTGATACCTCCAGTTTTGTTCTTTTTGTTCAAGATTGCTTTGGCTATTTGGGATGTTTTGTGGTTCCATACAACAAAAGCCATATGATCATTTCGAGAGATGCAGAAAAAGCATTTGACGAAATTCAACACCCTTTCATAAAAAAAACTCTCAACCAATTAGGTAAAGAAGAAATATACCTCAACATAATAATGACCTTATTTGACAAACCCATAGTGAACATCATATTGAACTGGAAAAAGTTGAAAGCTTTTCCTCCAAGATCTGGAACAAGATAAGGACTCCCATTTTCACCACTTCTATTCAACGTAGTCCTGGAAATCCTAACCAGAGAAATTAGGCCAGAGAAAGAAATAAAACGCATCCAAGTTGGAAAGGAGGAAGTGAAACTATTCCTGTTTGCAGATGACATGATCTTATAATAAATAGAAAACCCTAAAGATTCCACCAAAAAAAAACTGTTACAACTAATGAATGAATTCAATAAAATTGCAGAATACAAAATCAACATTAATAATATTAGATTAATAGATAGCATATATCTGAATATATATACAGAGAGAGAGAGCAGCCTATCTGAAAAAGAAATCAAGAAAACAATTCCATTTACAATAGCTACAAAAAAATGAAATATCTAGGAGTAAATTTAACCAAGAAGGTTAAATATTTCTACAATGAAAACTTTAAAATACTGATGAAAGAAATTGAAAAGTACACAAATAAATGGAAAGATATCCCATGCTCATTGATTGGAAGAATTAATATTGTTAATTAATTAATATTGTTAATATTGTTAAAATTGTTAAAATGTCTATACTAGCCAAAGCAGATTCAATGTAATCTTTATCAAAATAGTAAGGATATTCTTTACAGAAATAGAAAAAAATCACTTTGTTTCTAATTATAGGTCTTTTTCTTATGAGACAGAGTTTCACTATGTGGCCCAGGCTGGAGTGCAGTGGTGTGATCTTCGCTAACTGCAGCCTCTGCCTCCCAGGTTCAAGCAATCCTCCCACCTCAGCCTCCCAAGTAGCTGGTATTACAGGCATTCACCACAGCGCCCAGCTAATTGTTGTATTTTTTAATGGAGACAGGTTATTGCCACACTGGCCAGGCTGGTCCTGACATCAAGTGATCCTCCCATCTCAGCCTCCCAAACTGCTGGGATTACAGGTGTGAGCCACAGTGTCTGGCTTTTAGGTCTTTTTGAACTCACTTATATTTGCCATTTAGATGCTAAAAAAAAAAAAAAAAGTTCTCCAAAAGTAGGCTGTACCAATCGCTGTAGCCCTTGTAGCACCTTCTATAAGACCACATGAAGGTCTCCAGCACCTTATGACATTTTTTGAAGCTTCTATAACTAGACCAACCCATACTAAACAGAGTCCTACTGTGCTCCATTACATAAAACTAAAATGTATTCCTGGGAGAAAGACCATTTGGCAGGATGTTAAGTGTGAAGGCACACTCTTTAAAATTGAAAGTTTCTGCATCACTTACATGGGTCAATAATTGCTTAGGACTAAAAAACTGTGATGTCACAGGTAAAATTAATGGTTGCAAGAGCGATAAATGGCTTCTATACCAAGATTCCTCTGGACATCAACATTGCCATATTCCATCAACACCAAGTCACACATTTGGGAAATTGTTTTAAAATTTAATGCCAGATGATCCTTTGACCAAAAACAAGATCGGAGCCACCCCAGGAAAAAAAAAAAAAGATATTGTATTAAAACTGTGCGTGGACTAACGGGGAAATAGGCTTTCCAGGACACTGAGAAGAAGGATACAGAGATTATCCAGGGACTTCTGGGCACTCACTCTGTTTTATCCTTTAAATAAGCATAAATCTTGCTGACACTGAGTTTAGCTAAAGAATCATTAGCCCATTTACCCTCTAGATTGTCTTTAATGTTCCAGAATATCTAAATATCTGGATATATCTAAATCCAATATATCTAAATATTGTCTTCTAAGGGCAAACATTATCTGTGTAAATGCTTCCTCGATGGTACTGTGACATAGTCAAAAAATGAATTCCTCAGATCAAAAAAAACAAAAGAAAAACCCAACTTTGCATGTTAAATGTTAATGGAAGCTTCCAAGAGATGCTAGCACAGGCAGTGTAAAGGCAGCTACCTTGTTTCCAAGAAGATTCTACATTCCTGCCTAAATAAACCAGGAGTTTAATCTAACCTATGTGTGCATGTATGGTTTCTTCCTACAGCTGCACTGGATTCTGCAACTGTCATTTATAACATTATGTGGGTATCATGAATGAGGTTTAACACTTAAATATATGGCTACATTGAGGTGAAAGAGGGACGGCAGGAACAATGGGAGGAAACAAGTGCATTAGAAAACACATGAATATTATCATGAATTTAAGTTAAAAGGAGAGCACTGTTCTGAATAACAATGACCAACTGAACAAACACATTTACATCTGTCATAGAGTCACAAGAACAAAGAGAAGAGAGAGAAGACAACAGTAATAAATTTATGGAAGCCAGAAAACAGATGGATAGATGGTAACTGACCTAAAAGGCTCAACTCAGCTGAATTCTAAGCCAGCAGCAGGAAAACCAGAAACAACCCAGTTTGCATCTCAGAACTTTTTCCTAACAGCTTAGGAATTGGTGGCAGCTGTAGAAATGCTGGTTAAAGTAAGGCTAAAAACAGGAGATTTCACTGAAAATCTGTTTAAGAAGAATTGGGGTCCCAAAGTGCTTCCTCCACTCAAAGCAGTCGAGAATGATCCTACTTCATCCTAACAGGAGACTGAAGGTTTATTTCTTGAAGCGAATGCGGACAGTGGGTCTTTGGACTAAGGTACACCAGGCACAGTTGATTATAGAGAGGGGGACATTTGCCTATTAAATGTTGGCACAGTCAGCTTTCTCATCTCTTTCAGTTTCCCAAATGCTCATAAGCTATTGTAAAGGTCTTCATTTTGGAACCTGACCAATTGGGCGGGAGGCGGGGGTTGGGGTGGTGGGGGGGAAGAGATATTGGCATTAGGGATTTTCTAATGAAATAGATCAGGCAAATCACATTATAGTGTCTCCCACAATTGAAAAACCCTACTCATTTGTACAAAGCTGTATAATGTATTCAGACAGTCAAGGGTCATCAGATATGAGAAATATGAAACAAAGTGAACAAAACAACCAGAAAGAAAAGAAACAGGAAACAAACTTGGAGAGAGAAGAAAACTTTTAAAAGGATTACTTATATCTTCTGAGAGATAAGATATTGTATCCATGAAACTAGAACAATATGGTATGAGGAAAGAACATTCGGAATACACAAAAAGTTGAAGAGCCGTTGGCAATAATATAAAAATTCAATACGAGTTTGGAAAGCATCTCAGAAAATAGAGCAAAAAGTATAAAGAATTAAAAATGAAGGAAAAAATAAGAATCCATTCAGAAGATACTAATCTGAATAACCTGTGTTAATTAAAGTAACTAAAATCATTTGCTGAGCTATACTTATGAGTTCCTAAGCTTTACAAATTTTTTTTTAAGTTTTAGTTGTTTTTCTGATTTATAATTTAGTTTTTTGAAGTCATGATGAAATGTAGATAGTTTAAGAGGCAAACTATCTGTGGCCACAAACATAAGACGGAAAAACAGAAAGGAAGACATCAGCAACAAAACGATTTCCAGAATTTTCCCAAAAATTGAAAAACTTGAATTTCCAATTTGAAAGGGCTCATCACAAAGAAGGAAGATAGAGCCACATCAAGGCAGTTTTACATTGCTTAGGTCAAATAAAAGGTTTTTCTAAAGAGAAAGAGATGAAACAGCAACAGCAAAAACTCAGCTTTTATATAAAGGATAATGAATGATTGTGGTATTTTATTTTGCCACAGCAATGCCGGAAGCTAGAAAACAATAGAACAATGCGATCAAAATTCGAAGGAAGGCCAGGCACGGTGACTCACGCCTGTAATCCCAGCACTTTGGAAGGCCAAGGCAGGTGGATCACCTGAGGTGAGGAGTTCAAGACCAGCCTGGCCAACAGAGTGAAACCCCGTCTCTACTAAAAAATTACAAAATTAGACAGGTGTGTTGGCTCATGCCTGTAATCCTAGCTACTCAGGAGGCTGAGGCAGGAGAATCGCTTGAACCCAGGAGGCAGAGGTTGCAGTGAGCCAAGAACATGCCACTGTACTCCAGCCTGGGAGACAGAGAAAGACTCTGTCTCAAAAAAAAAAAAAAAAAAATATATATATATATATATATATATATATATATATATATATATATATTTTAAGACTATATATATATATATATATATTTTAAGACTATATATATATATATATATATTGTCTTAAAAATTTTACCTCCCATGCCCTCTTTCTGGGGAAACTACTAGAGTATGTGCTCACTAAGAAAGATGGTAAACCAAGGAAGAGGAAAATATAAGGCAACAGGGGAACCAAGTCAAGAAGGTGGCAAAAAAAAAAAAATGCCCAAGATGGTGGCAAAGGGAGATTATAGGATGACAGTGTTCAACAGGCCTAGGGAGCAAGCTGTCTATATTTAATCAGATCAGAGGTTTGTTAAGAGAGATTTCTCTTTAAAAAGGCAAAACTGATGGAATATCTAATGTATTCAAATGTATTGAGAGAAGGAATGAAGAAGAGTCTGGAAGCAAAAGTACGTGTAAATACATAGAAAACTAAGGAAACAAAAGAAACAAGAAAAGTATTTATTCCAGGGGAAACATAGTTATGCAGTAAAGAAAAAGTAGTCATAGTGAGTAGTGAGTAGAGGTGGAGAGAGGGATATCTAGATAGATAGATAGATACATAGATAGATAGATAGATAGATAGATAGATAGATAGATAGATAGATAGATGATAGATAGAGAGATGACACATTTTATGTAATCACAATCTAAATTCCACCAAGTTGTTTCATAGAAGTTGGAAACCTTATTGTAAAATTTATATGAAAATATAAAGTATCTAAAATAACCAAATGAGGCTCTCCTAGTCTGCCACCGGCCAACCTGACAGGTGCTTTGTCCTAGCTCTTTCCTGCATTTTGCTAATGGTCTCTGAGAGCACCCACCCTGGCAGCCCTCACTGGGAACTCTCTACAGACCCAGAGGAACAAAAGTGGCTCTAAACCCGGCACATGCACTTTGAATGAAATTAAAGCATTTAATATGAAGCACGGGAGCAGATAGTGCCAAATAGCAAGTAGTAGCTGGTACATATTTGGTGAGTAGGGAAGCACTTCCTTCTCTAGATGGAAGAAATTAGTCAATTTCAGTATGAAATGGAATACAATAAAGATATTAGTCAGCAAATGAGGGTCCCAGAAAAATTAAGTCAGCACCATCAAATGGTGACCTGGAACAAGAATTCCAAAAAGGAGTTCTAAATGCTAATGTGATGATGCAGGTTCTAGAGAGGATTGTTACAGCAGAGAACAACGGAGACATTCTGTTTTGAAGACCAGTGGATTTTGACTTTATTCAGTCAACTCCCTTTAAACCTCTGGCACTAAAACCACCGCTTCATATACTTTAAGTGGAAGACCACCAGATTTTCAGGATTTAGAAAGACCTCCTTCAACCCTTCAAAATGAAGAAATCTGTGCATTTGGCAAGCTAAAAAGAGACTGCTCTTTGAGTGAAAATGTTGTTGGCCAAAATAGACGTTGATCAGGAGTGATTTCATCGTGACACCATCACCATAAGAAGCTGTCTTCCCAACATGTTACCCGAAAATAGAACTAATCTTTCCTCTGTTCATGGCATTCTGTCATTTATCCAGTCTTCTACTCGTAGGGCTTACCAGCATATCGTGGATGAGATGGGTGAAAATCGCAGACCTGTGCAGTATGGCAGGTCTGCTGCTACCACTTCTAATCCGCATCGTGACAACATCAGGTATGGCACTTCAAACATAGATACAAGTGAAGGAACTTCGGATGACATGACTGTTGCAGATGCAGCTTCGTTAAGACGACAGATAATCAAACTAAATAGACGCTTGCAACATCTAGAAGAGGAGAACAAGGAACGTGCCAAGAGAGAAATGGTCATGTATTCAATTACCATAGGATTGTGGCTGCTTAGTAACTGGCTCTGGTTTCGCCGCTAGAGGTAACTTCAGCTCTTAAACATACTGCCTCAACAGCTAGAAATATAGAGAACTTGCAAACTTCTTTGTTTCTGTCTTTGCATTTTATGCCGTTATGTAGTCCATGCCCTGATGATGTGTTTCTTCCAGAGAGAAGTGGGGAAGGACCTATATTGTCAGAGGAAAGGTATATTCTGTCACTCAGCTGTATTCACTTTTAACCAGTTCTGCAGTAATACCTACTTAAAATTCTCCCTTTGCATGTTTTGTAAGTAGGCTCTAGTTTGTTGGGATTTTTTTAAAAGGAATTGATTTTTTGCCTCATCAGTCTGCACAACTAACTCTTTGAATGGGAGAAAGAGTGCATAGAGAATGGATTTAGAAAAGTATCTTTAAAAGAAAAACAATGTTTTATTCTGTTTTTCAAAGACTAATAGATTAAATGATTTTGTTAATAGATGGTTTTGCACCTACATTTCAACATTAACACTTTTGAAGTCACGGTCTGGTGTCAGATTTAAGTAAATCAAACCACCTAATATTTCATGATCACCTTCATTAAGCACATGTACAGGTTAAATTAATTCATAACATTTCAGCAGTTTATCTAATATGTGTGCAATATGTGTGTTCTTATTTTCATTTCGGTCTTGCAGTTGGTTTTCTATAAAGTGCATATTTACTAAGCCCATGTGTGAATAATTTTTAAAACTACAGCATTAAGTACAAATGTAGTATATTTAATAAACTGTCAATCAAAAAATAAAACCAAATAAGGTTTGAAAAAGAGGAATAAAGTTGATGGACTTAAACTACTGACTTCAAGTCTTATTATAAAGCTTTAGTCTTTAGTAATCAAAATTGTGTGGTATTGGCATGAGGACAGACATACCTATCAATAGAATAGAAATAGACCCATGCATATATGGTTAATTTATTTTCTCAAAAGAGAGCAATGTAATTAAGTAGGAATAGGATAGTCTTTTCAGGAAATGGTGCTAAAACAAATTAGAAATCTACATGGAAATAAAAAGAATTTCAACCCTTATTGTGTACTATACACAAAAATTAATTAGAAGTGCATCATAAACCTCAAATAAAAGCTAAAATTATGAATAATCTATAAGGAAACAAAAGATTTCCTTAATAAGATATAAAAAGCATGGTACTCTTAAAAGTAAAACAATTTAAAAATGTAGTATAGATACAAAATGGAATACAATTCAGCCTTTAAAAGAGGGAAATTGTGTCATTTTCAACAATATAGCCAAACCTGGAGGACATTATGTTAAATGAAATAAGCAAGGCACAGAAAGACAAATACCACATGATCTCACTTATAAGTGAATCTAAAAGAGGTGAACTCACAGAAGTAGAGAGCAAAATGATGGTTACAAGAGGCTCAGAATGGGAGTGGATGAGAAAATGGAAGAAGCTTATCAAACTTTCAGTTAGACAGGAGGAATAAGCTTTAGTAATCTATTGTACAGAATGGTGACTATAATAAATAATAATATATTGCATATTTAAAAATAGCCACAATAGTAGATTTTAAATGTTTTCACCACAGAAAGGTAAGTATTTGAGGTGATAGGTTTGTTAATTAGCTGAATTTAATCATTCTATATTGTAAACATATACCAAAACACCACATTGAATCACATATATACAATTATTAGTCAATTAAAAATAAATTTTTTAAAAATCTAAAGAATTTTTAAAAAAGTAGATAAATTAGATGTCAAAAACTTCTCTTCTTTGAACAACATTAATATGTTTGGCTCCAAATCTCATCTCCAATTATAATCCCCATGTGTCAAGGGGGGGAACTAGTGGGAGGTGATTGGATCATGGGGGCGGTTTCCCCCAGGCTGTTCTTGTGATAGTGAGTGAGTTCTCATAAAATCTGATGCTTCAAAAGTGTTTGGCAGTTTCCCCTGTGCTCTTGCTCTCCTGCTGCCATGTAAAATGTGCCTTGCTTCCCCTTTGCCTTCTGCCATGATAGTAAGTTTCCTGCGTCCTCCAAAGCCATGTGGAACTGTGACTCAAACCTCTTTTGTTTGTAAATTACCCAGTCTTGAGTAATATCTTTATAGCAGTGTGAAAATGGACTAATACGGAGAATTGGTACTGGCAGAGTCGGGTACTGCTATAAAGATAACCTGAAAATATGGAAGCAACTTTGGAGCTTGGTAACAGGCAGAGGTTGGAACAGTTTGGAGGGCTCGGAAGAAGACAGGAAGATGCGGGGAAGTTTGGAACTTCCTAGAGACTTGTTGAATGGTTTTGACCAAAATACTTATAGTGACAGGGACAATGAAGTCCAGACTGAGGTAGTCTCGGATAGAGATGAGAAACTTATTGGGAACTGAAGCAAAGGTCACTCTTGCTATGCTTTAGCAATGAGACTGGCAGCATTTTGCCCCTGCTCTAGAGATCTGTGGAACTTTGAACTTGAGAGAGATGATTTAGGGTATCTGGTGGAAGAAATTTCCAAGAAGCAAAGCATTCAATAGTTGAACTGGCTGATTCTGAAAACATTCAGTCATGTGCATTCATAAAGAGAGGGTTTGAAATTGGAACTTACATTTAAAAGGGAAGCAAAGAATAAAGGTTTGGAAAATTTGCAGCCTGACCATGTGTAGAAAAGAAAACGCATTTTCTGGGGAGGAATTCAAGCAGGCTGCAGAAATTTGCACAGGTGAAAGAGCCGAATGTTAATAGCCAAGACAATGGGGAAATTGTCTCCAGGGCATATCAGACTAGCAGCCCCTCTCATCACAGGCCCAGAGGCCTAGAAGAGAAAAATGGCTTTGTGGGCCAGGCCCAGGGCCTCCCCGCCACCACCACCCGTGCCCCGCCCCCGCCACCAGTGTGATATCTTGAGGAAGCACGGCGATCAAGGTCTCTCCGAATAAGATTACGACACAAAGCTGGAGAGTTGATATAACCCTGAGGTAGGACAGTAAAGGCATATTGCTGGCCTTGCCACCCAAAGGCAAATTGCTTCTTGTGGGCCTTATGGACAGGAATGGAGAAAAGGGCATTTTCCAAGGCAATGGCTACATACCAGGTACCAGGAAATGTGTTAATTTGCTCAAGCAATGAAACCACATCTGGTACAGCAGCTGCAATTGGAGTCACCACTTGGTTAAGCTTAGAAAATCCACTGTCTTTCTCGAAGATCCATCTGTCTTCTGCACAGGCCAAATAGGAGAGTTGAACGGGAGTGTGGTGGAAATCACCACCCCTGTGTCATTCAAGTCCTTGATGGTGGCACTAATCTCCGCAATCCCTCCAGGGATGTGATATTGTTTTTGATTTACTATTTTTCTAGGTAGAGGCAGCTCTAATGACTTCCATTTGGCCTTTCCCACCGTAATAGCCCTCACCCTACTATTCAGAGAGCCAGTGTGGGAATTCTGCAGCTGCACCGCTTTTGTTCATAAATTACCCAGTCTCAGGTAGTATCTTTATCGCAGTGTAAAAACAGACTAATACAAATACTGTTAAGAAAAAGAATAGGCGCCAGGCGTGGTGGCTTACGCCTGTAATCCCAGCACTCTGGGAGGCCAAGGCGGGCAGATCACGAGGTTAGGAGTTCCAGACCATCCTGGCTAACACAGTGAAACCCTGTCTCTACTAAAAATACAAAAAATTAGCCGGGCGTGGTGGTGGGCACCTGTAGTCCCAGCTACTCAGGAAGCTGAGGCAGGAGAATGGCATGAACCCAGGAGGCGGAGCTTGCAGTGAGCTGAGATCGGGCCACTGCACTGCAGCCTGGGCGACAGTGCGAGACTCCGTCTCAAAAAAAAAAAAAAAAAAAGAAAAAGAAAAAGAACAGGCATGCAACAGGCTGGGAGAAAATATTAGCAAAACACATGTCTAATAAAGGGTCTCTATGCAGAATATATAAAAACTCTTAAAACTGAATAATGAGAAGACAAACATTCCATCTAAAAACGGGAAAAGATATGAAGAGATATTTAACCAAAAAAGGCATATGAATGGCAGATAAACACATGAAAGAAAGTCAACATCTTTAGTCATTGGGGAAGTGCAATTTGAAACCACAATGAGATACTACTCATAGCCACTAGTGCAGCTAAAATTAAGGACTGCCAATATCAAGGGTCAGCAAGAATGTTTGAACAAATGGCACACTCATAAATTGTAGGTGAGAACATAAAGTGGTACAATCACTTTGGAAAACAGTTTGGCAGTTTCTTATAAAATAAAAAATATACCTACCTGTGACTCATAAGTATTTTCCCAAGACAAAGGTAAATATATGACTATACAAAGGTTTAATGTACATAAAAAGCTTTATTCTCAATAGTCAAAACTAAAAACAACCCAAATGTCCATTAAAAGATGAATAGATAAACAAACTGTGATATATCCATTTAATAGCATACTACCAAGCAGTAAAAAAGAACTACTGATTCATGAAACACAGATGAATCTGAGAAACATGCCAAGTGAAAGAAACCTGACTCGGCCAGGCATGGTGGCTCACGCCTATAATCCCAGCACTTTGAGAGGCCAAGGAAGGCAGATCACCTGAGGTCAGGAGTTCAAGACCAGCCTCACCAACATGGAGAAACCTTGTCTCTACTAAAAATACAAAATTAGCCAGGCGTGGTTGCACATGCCTGTAATCCCAGCTACTCAGGAGGCTGAGGCAGGAGAATCGCTTGAACTCGGGAGGCGGAGGTTGCAGTAAGCCGAGATCGTGCCATTGTACTCCAGCCTGGGCAACAAGAGCAAAACTCCATCTCAAAAAAAAAAAAAGAAAAAAGAAAAAGAAAGAAGCTTGACTCATAAGGCTATATATATAATTCCATTTACATAAAACTCTAGAAAACGAGTTTACTATTTTTCTAGATAGAGGCAGCTCTAATGACTTCCATTTGGCCTTTCCCACCATGATAGCCCTCACCCTACTGTTCAGAAAGCCAGTGTGGGAGTGTGTGCCTTGTGGGGGTGGGAGTGTGTGCCTTGTGGGGGTGAGTGTGTGCCTTGTGGGGGTGAGTGTGTGCCTTGTGGGGGTGGGAGTGTGTGCCTTGTGGGGGTGAGTGTGTGCCTTGTGGGGGTGAGTGTGTGCCTTGTGGGGGTGGGAGGGGTGTGGGAATTGACCTAAAAGAGACATGAGGGGGATTTTTAGGATAATAAAATGTTTTATATCTTGGTTGTGATGATTGCTAATGGGTATATATTTATCAAAACTTTTTGAATTTATACTTAAAATTGGTGCATTTTAATATATGTAAATTATACCTCAATAAAGTTGTTTTTAAAAAATCAGTGCAATTCACCACATTAACTAAACAAAGGAGACAAAAACCAGATGATCATCTCAGTAAATGCAGAAAAGGCATTTGATAAAATTCACTATCTACTCATGAAAAAAATTTAACACTCTCAAAAGAGAGGTAAACTGCCTTAAAAGGCCTATTTTTACAAAGAACCTAGGGCAAACGTCATACTTACTGGTGAAATGCTAAGTGTTCCCTTTGAGACTGAGAATAAGACAAAGATGCTCTCTATGCACTCCTCTATTCAACACTGCACTATATGCCCTAGCCAGTACAATTAGTAAACAAAGATAAATAAGAAATATAAAGATTAGAAAGGAAGAAAGAAAACCTATTCATAGATATATTTGTGTACATAGTCAAAAATCTACAATTAACCTTAGAATTAACAAATAAGTTTAGCAAAGTTGCTGGATACGAAGTCAAAAAAACGAACTGCATTTTTATATACCAGGACAATTCATTACAAAGCGAAATTTTGAGATACCATGTATGGTAGCATCACAAAAGATCAGATACTTAGGAATGAATCTAATGTATGATGTGCAAAAGCTCCACACAGAAAACTTTAAAACATTTGAGAAATTAAAGACCTAAACCAGTAGAGAGATCCCAGTATTCACATATCAGAACACTCTATAAAGCATAAATATCAATTCTCTCCAAATTGATTAACTACGTTTCCAATTAAGATCCTAACATTTTTGGCAAAATTTACAATGGATTCTAAAATTTATAACACAAATGCAAAGAGCTAAAATATTCAAAGCAATATCAAAGAACAGCTCTAGTGGATATCAAAACTTATATAGCGGCCAGGCGTGGTGGCTCACACCTGTAATCCCAGCACTTTGGGAAGCCGAGGCAGGAGTATTACTTCAGGAGAGTTTGAGACCAGCCTGAGCAACATAGCAAGACCTTATCTCTACAAAAAAAAGAAAAACTTAGCTAGGCATGATGGTGTGCACCTGTAGTCCCAGCTACTTGGGAGGCTGAGGCAGGAGGATTACTTGAGCCCAGGAGGTCAAGAATGTACTCCAGCCTAGGTGACAGAGTGAGACCCTGTCTCTAAAAACATTTTTTTAACCTATACAGCTATGGTAATAAAGACAAAGTATTATTGGTACAAGAATATTCAAATGGACCAATAGAATACATATCCCAGAAGTAGACACAGACATCTATAGGCATTTGATTTATTTGTGAAAGTTGCACAGAGCCGTGGGGAACGTTTTCAACAAATGAAGTTGAATAACTTGTAAATCCCTATACTAAAAAACAAAATTTGACATCTAACACACCCAATTTATAAAATTCAGTTCCAGGAGAATTGTGTATTTAAATGTGAAATGTGAAAGGCAAAACAATAAAACTTTTGGAATAGGAAAAGATTTTAACAGGACATACAAAAAATAACACTTACTAAAGAAAATATTGATTGATTAGATTACATTAAAATTAAGAATTTTTGGTCATTGAAACCATTGAGAAAACGAAAGGGAAATCATAGAGTAAAAGATATTTGCAATAAAATAACAAAAGGCTTACATCCAGAATATATGAAGAATTCTTACAAGTCAACAAATAATCTGCCTGAACATAAAAATGAACAAGAGAGTTGAAAACTTCATTAACAAGCAATACTAAGCTATAATTTTAGAATTCAGAGTGATAGTTACCTTTGGGGAGCAGTGAAAGATACCGACTGGGAGGATACATAGGAGTTGAGTTTCTGAGATACTTGGAATATTCCATTTGTTGATTTGGGTGGCAATTACACAACTCTATTTAGTGAGTTGTTTATTTATTTTACATGCATTTCCCCATATGCTACTTCACAGTTTTAAAAGTTAAAATGGAAAAAATATATCAACAGGAAAGTTACAGAAAACCTCCAAAGCTCAAATGCATACAAAAAGATGTTCATAATCATTAGCAACCAGAGAAATGCAAATTAAAACAATAAGATATCACATCTTTTAGACTGGCAGAAATAGCTTCATCATATCGGTTATGGGCAGGGATGTACCAAGGAAACCTCATTCACTAACACTGGGAACATGGACTGATCAGGCCATTCTGTGTGTGTGTGTGTGTGTGTGTGTGTGTGTGTGTGTGTGTGTCCTATGACCCAACAACTCCATTCCTCATTATACATTCCAAATAATTTCCTACAGAGACCCATAAGGAGACATGCATTATTAGAATGTTCAGTACAATGTTATTTGTGGTGGCCAGGAATTGGTTCCCATGTGGGGTCTATCACTGGAAATGGCATAGGTGAAATGTGGTAGTTGCACTCCAAGGAGTATCATGCAGAATTAAAAATAACAGATTAGAAACAAGAATGGACCTTAAAAACAGTGCTGAATTTTAAAAGTAAGAAATGGAATGAGATACAACACAATGTCACTCATGTAAACTAAAAATACTTGGACACCAAAACAAGGTACATTTTTCAAGAACACATAGAAACTACATGATACACATTAAATATATTTGACTATGTGTGGGGAGTAAGGGAAAATGGGAGTATAGAATGGTGATAAAATGAAATTTTTTTATAAACAAGAAAGAAAACTATGAATAGTCACAATCACACACCAAAGAAACTGATCACTGAATTTAACATCACCAGTAGCAGGACAAATCGATGTAATGTGTATCCTAATATGATGCACTTAAGGACACAACTGTACTTACGTGTTATTCTTGCCAAACATGTATAACCTGACTTTAAGCAGAAGGAATTACCAGAAACCCAAACTGAGGAACACTCTACAAAATAACTGGCCTGTACTCTTCCAAAGTGCCAAAGTCATGAAAGACAAAGGAAAGCTGAGAAACTGTTTCAGGTTAAAGGAGACTAGAGATATAAAAACTAAACGTGGGATCTTAGATTGGATCCTAAACTAGAAACAGAACAACAGAGAGACAAGTGGTGAAATCTGAACACAGTGTGTAGGTTATAGTATTATATTGATGTTAATTTTTTGATTTTGATAATTGTAGGTACATAAGATATTGTCATCTGGGGAATTGAAGGTGTGTGGATACTCTCAATTTTTTTATTATTAGATATAATTCACATATTTTGAAATTCACCCATTTAAAGTGTACAATTCAGTGATTTTTAGTATATTCACGAAGCTTTGCAACCATCTCCAGAACATTAATTTCATAATATTTTCATCACCCCAAAGAGAAATGTTGTATCCATTAGCACTCATTCCCCACTCCTTCCTACCTCCAAGCCCCGGCAACTACTTATCTACTGTCTCTATAGAATTGCCTATTCTGGATATTTCATATAAATGGAAATACATAGTATGTGGCTTTTTGTATCTGGCTTCATTCACTTAGCATAATATTTTTGAGGTTCACCCATGTTGTAGCATGAATCAGTACTTCATTCCTTTTAAGGCTGTGTAATATTGCATTGTGTGGATATAACACATTTTATCATTCATCTGTTGATGGACATTTCCGCCTTACAGTTACTGTGAATAAGAATAGTGCTACTATGAACATGCATGCACATGTTTTTGAGTACCTGTTTTCAATTCTTTTGGGTATACCCATACGAGTGAAATTTCTTAATCATATGGTAATGTTATTTAAGTATTTGAGGAACTGCCAAACTTTTCCAAAGCAGCTGTACCATTTTAAACTCCCACCAGCGCTGCCTTCATATTATTTTTGCAACTATGTTGAAGTTTGAAATTATTTCAAAATGAAAAGTTTTTTAAAAAAGAATATAGTCAGGTTGTTGTGCCTCTTCTAGTAAGAGCCAACAAACCAGTGTCCATTGCTTCAGGGTCTTACAGAATGAGAGAAAAAAAGTTGAGAAAAAGTGAGAAAACAAGCCCCTGGTTGTTTGCACCTTTCCATCTTGTTTTCATGCTTAACACTTTGACATCAAATGTGCAGGTTTCTTCCCCGACACCAACCAATTCTCTGACACTAGCTGAGTGCCCTACAATTTAATTCTGGCACCATCTAACTGGAATTAGTGTCAGATGGTGCAAGTTAAGGACTCACAAGACTGCCCCCACTTCAAATGTCAATTCCAAGTTCTGAACCACTTGTATTTCTGACTGGCTATTAATCAGGAGTTCCCACTGCTCCCTCCTTGTGTTAGATAATTTGCAAGAACAGCGCACAGAACTCAGAATAAACGTTTACTTAATATTAATGGTTTATTATAACGGGTACAAGTCAGGAACAGCCAAATGGAAAAGATATATAAGGCAAAGTATGTGGGAAAGGATGAGGGGCTTCCATGCAGCCTCCTGGAATGCCATCCCCTTAATATCTCCATGTGTTCACCAACCCAGAAGCCATCAGAACTCTGTAATTCTGGGGGTTATATGGAAGTTTTATTACATACACAATTGATTACATCATTGGCCATTGGTAACTGCTGTGATCTGATTGCATCCCCCCAAATTTGTATACTGAAACTTAATCTCCAATGTAATAACATTAAGAGGTGGGGTTTTAGGCAGTGATTAAGTCATAATGGCAGAGTCCTCATGGATGGCATTATGGCTCTTATAAAAGCACTTGAGGGAGTGGGGTCTTCTCTTCTGCTCTTCTGCCATGTAAGGATAGTTCATCTCTTTTGCCCTTCCACCTTCCATCATGTTAGGACACAGCAAGAAGGTCCTCACCAGATACCAAATGTTGGTGCCTTGATCTTGGACTTCCCAACCTCAAGAACTGTGAGAAAAATAAATTTCTGTTCTTTATGAATGACCCAGTCTCAGGCACTTTTATATAGCAGGACAAATGGACTAAAACAGAAACTAGTACTAGAAAATTGGGGTGTTGCTATAACAAATATCTAAAAATGTGGACACAGCTTTGGAACTGGATAGTGGATAGAAGCTGGAAGATTTTGAAGGTGCAGGCTAGAAAAAGCATACATTGCCATGAACAGAGCATTAAGGATGATTCTGGTGAGGGCTCAGAAGAGGAAAGCTGTAGAGAGATGCTTTTTTTGAGAGTACCTAAGTTATCATGATCAGAATGCTGACAGATATATGCATAGTAAAGGCCATCGTGAGGAAGTATTATATAGAAATGAGGAGTGTCTTATTGGAAACCAGAGGAAAAGTCATCCTTGTTGCAAAATGGCAAAGAACGTGGCAGAATTTTGCCCACTTCCTAGAACTTTATGGAAGGCAGAATTTAAGAGTGATGAACTAGGATATTTGGCAGAAGAAATCTTTGAGCAAGGTGTTCAGGGTACTGCATGGCTTCTCTTAACTGCTTATAGTAAAATGCAGGAGAGAAATATAGTGAAGATGGAATTTAAACTCAGAGGAGTGGCCAGGCATGGTGGCTCATGCCTGTAATTCCAGCACTTTGTGAGGCCAAGGGTGGGTGGATCTATTGAGCTCAGGAGTTTGAGACCAGCCTGGGCAACATGGTGAAACCCTGTCTCTACCAAAAATACAAAAAATTAGCCAGGTGTGGTGGCACATGCCTGTACTCCCAGCTACTCGGGAAGCTGAGGTGGGAGGATCACTTAAGCCTGGGTGGTCAAGGCTGCAGAGGGCTAAAATCTCACCACTGCACTCCAGCCTGGGCAACACAGCAAGAACCTGTCTCAAATAATAATAAATAATAAAATCAAAGGGGAAGCAGAATTTAAAGGTTTGGAACATTCTCAGCCTGGCCAAGTGCAAAAGCATTTGGAAGAAAACACCAGGGGTGTGAAGAAGTGACCATTTGCAAGGAGATTAGTATGGATAGAAGAAAGTCATACACTGTTCATCAAGACAATGAAAAGTGACCCTGAACACGGTGAAACCCCATCGCTACTAAAAATACAAAAATTAGCTGGGTGGTGGTGCACACCTGTAATCCCAGCTGCTGGAGAGGGTGAGGTGGGAGAACCACTTGAACCTGGGAGGTGGAGGTTGCAGTGAGCTGAGATCGTCCCGCTGCACTCCAGCCTGGGTGACAGAGTGAGACTTTGTCTCAAAACAAAACAAAACAAAACAAAAAACACCCTGAAGGCATATCAGAGACTATTGGTGCTGCCTTTCTCATGACAAGCCCGGAGTGCCAAGGCCTGGGGCACATAACTAAAACTAGGGGCTTAGGGTAACCGAAGAACCTCTGCGTTCACTGCCCAGTGATGCCTCATCTCTGCTCCATTTACTCCAGTGTAGCACTCCTCACCCACCTCAGCTGTGGTTATGCCTAGGTGTGGCTAGTGCCCCCAGTGTCCACATTATAACTCTGCAGACACACAGAGCGCAAGAGCTGTGGAGGAATGACTAATTCCACGTAGGTTTCAATGGATGACTTGGAGAGCCTCAGGACCAACACAGAGAACTGAGACAGGGATAGTGCCACCAGACTCCCCAGTGGGACAATGCCCAGGGTAGCCATAAGATTGGGACTGCCTCTGAGACTCCAGTACTGCAGAGCCACTGGAGTGTGATCCTAGCCTGGGAGAGCTGCAGACACCCAACTCCAACTTGCGAGGTGCTGTATAGAATATGCCCAACAAAACCATGGGGCTGAGGCCCCCTATGGCCTTGGGGGCTTAACCTCCACTCCAGTGTGTCTAGATTATTCTCAAGCCTTAAGATTTAATGTTGTTTACCTTGTTGGTTTTAGCACTTACTTAGGACCTGTTATTCCTTCTTTCTTTCCTATTGCTTTGTTTTGGAATGGAAATGTCTATCCTATGGTTGTTCCACCATTGTATTTTGGAAGTATATAACTTGTTTGACCTTATAGGTTCACAGCACAAAAGCAATTTGTCTCAGAATGAACCTTACCTTCAGTCTCACTCATATCTGATTTACATGAGATTCTAGACTTTTGAGTTGATGCTGGAACAAGTTAAGATCTCTGGGGCTACTGAGATGGAATGAATATATTTCATACGTAAGAACATAAATTTGGGGGGCCAGGAGCCAGACACTATGGTCTGATTGTGTCCTCCGAAGTTCATATGTTGAACCTTAGTCATCAGTGTGATAGTATTAAGAGGTACAGGCTTTAAGAGGTGATTAGGTTACAAGGGAAGAGGCCTCACTGATGGGATTAGGCTCTTTAAAAGGGGCTTGACGGAGTGTGTTCTTTCTCTTCTCCTATGTGAAGACACAGCATTCATCTTCTTTTTGCCCGTTCATCATCATATGAAGAAGCAGTAAGAAGGCCCTCACCCAACACTGAGTGCCAAGGCCTTGGCCTTGGACTTCCCAGCTTCTAGGACTATAAGAAAATAAATTACTGTTCATTATAAATTACCCAGTCGCGGGTACTTTGTTATACCAGCATGAATGGACTAAGACAGTGATCAACTCAGTTGTCAGAGGTCAGGGGTGGGATTGAATGTTGAAAGCTCCAACCCTCTAATCATACCTTGGTCTTTCTGACAACCAGCCTTCATCCTGAAGCTAACTTGCCACCACCTCTACTCCCCGCTAAGCCAAGTCATCTCATTATCTTGTTAGCATACAGAAAGACACTCATCACTCCAGAGAGTCCAAGGATCTTAGAAGCTCTTGTGTCAGGAACAGGGGACTAAGACCAAATACTTTAACAAAAGATGCTATCACCTCTATTAGTTAGAAAATTATGACAGTTTTAGCAGCTCTGTTCCAGGAACTGAGGGTGAAGACCAAATATGTCTTTTTCTTATTATATTATCACAACATTCAATCTTGCTTTGAGGATCAACCCAATACTTGTACCTGAGAGGGAAATGTAAACTTATCAATGGAATTAGGGAGTTCTTCACACCTGGCACCACTGTCAACACCTTCTCATTTAATGATAGGCAAAGGGACTCAAAGAACATCAGAAGTAAGGAGTGGAGGACTGGGCATGGTGGTTCAAGCCTGTAATCCCAGCACTTTTGGAGGCTGAGGCGAGAGGATCACTTGAGCCCAAGAGTTCTGTACCAGTGCACTCCAGCCTGAATGACAGAATGAGAACTCATCTCTTTAAAAAAAAAAAAAAAAAAGTATGAGTGGACATGGGAGAAGAGAAACTGTCCCTTTGGTAATTATGATTTATTAAACATAACCATGTTGCACAGAGCCACTTATTTCTCTTAAAAGCCTGTCAAACGTCTTAAGTGGAATTACTTTCTCTTCCCGGGTCACAAAAGCCAGTGGCTCAGGTACAGAATAGATAATAGAACTGATTGGTGAGTAGGAAGCCAAAAGACACACACAGAGAACAGTACAATCTTTTAAAAGCTCCAAGTCATTAGCTTTATTTTTACTGAATTCAGCATGGGATGACAAAAATGCATTATATCACTACCATCCATTATTACATGTAGACATTTATCCTTGTATTCTTTATATGTCCATTTTCTACGTTAAATCTGTTAACCAATACTAATTTAAATTACATGATTTCCTACTAAAAATATGCAGTTCATATAAGCAAGGGCAAATAAATCCTCCTTAAAACATTTTATTCCTTTATAATTGAGAACTTAACAGTCTTAATGGCTAGTTCTTAAAAAATGTTTATAGGATTAAGTTTATTTAAGAGAGCAGACAAACAAAACATATTGTAAAACTAGTATTTTCCAGAAGCAATTTCCATTCTCTTCCTTTCTTCCTGCAAACTGGTGTTTTATCTTTACAAGTTCTCTGTCATTCCATAAGAAAGCTGAACAGTGGTTAAAACATCCAGTTTGCTTGAATTCCTGAGTGATTCAGATTCCAGTGAGATTGAGGGTCATTCATAACAGTTACAAGGCTGGTGTGGTAAAGGGAGAACAAAAATAAACTGGGTTTCTGCAGGTAAGTGAGAAGACAAAATGAAGAGGAATAAGGTTGTAAGGCAGTATGATTAGGCTTGTGGGTGCTATGCCTTCTGATAATAATTATGAACAGAAATAGAAGCCAAAAAGTAAACAACATGTAAGTTGTCAATCTTTGACAGTTGAGGCAGGGAGAAGGAAGGAAGGATGACATTACACCTTATCTCTGGTTTACTAGGCTGGTGTGTGAGACCATTTGGGTGAAATCGTATTGAAATCATTCATTGCTGAGGTGATCAGCTTTCTTGCGGTCCTTTCTCTGCACTCTATTCAATGATAAACTCCACTGGTTTATACCTCCTGGAAAACAGTTATTCAGAAACATTATAGGGGTAGCATTGGTGAGACAGCCAATGGAGAACATGTTTCCAGGTAGCCTGAAACCCAGCAGACAATGTAGCTGTTGCCTAACGAACACAGAAATCTACATTGTATGCCAGGTTCATGCCCCAGACCTGGATGTTCAGCTTGCAAGTAATTCTCACATACTATTTCAACACAACTGCCTACTGCATTCAAGATTTCAAAATTGGCATTTGTCTTTTCTACCACAAGGAAAAGAAAACCAACAGTCAGAAATGCTGGGACTTACCTACTACCAACAAAATTTCCTTAAACCATCATATCATCAAGTTGTCATCATTTAATCATGACATCATGTTGAAAATGCCATCTAAAAGTCAAGAGATGAAAAAGCTGGATGGAAGGAAGGTCGGATAGATAAACTGGTAGGTACGTGGGCAGGTGGGTGGATGGATGGATGGATGGGTGGATGGATAAATGGGTGGATGGGTAGGGGTAGATAGGTAGGTAGGTAGATAGATGAATAGATTGATCTATCCAAATGATACCTTTCATAGGGGGGAAAGAGAAAAAAAGAGGTAAAACAAAAACAGGTAAGAGCTAAAACATGGATAAATATCCAGATTCCTCCCCCTTGTAGTATTGAAAGCAAATAGACCTCATCATTCATAAAACCTTGAAGGTTCCCAAGCCCCAGCTGATAATGTTGGACTTAACACCCTAGAACTTGACTCTCTCCTCTCTCTCTGTCTCTCTCTCTCTCTCTCTCTCTCTCTCTTTGTGTGTGTGTGAGTGTGTGTGTGAGTGTGTGTGTGTGTGTGTGTGTGTGTGTGTGTGTGTGTGTGTAATTCAAGGTAAAGTTTTCATTATTAAAGACTGCCCAATAATCTCTCTCAGGACACTGAAGCAGAAGCTAGAAGATGCCATCAGAGACCCAGTAGCCAGATGTAGCTGCTGATTACGAAAGACAGGATCTACACTGGCTACTGAGCCATTGAGGGTACCTACACCTTCCAGCAGCTGGGTGATCCTTTGCCTTCTGGGGAGGGGCTCTGTGGAAGAAAAAAGAAGATATCAGATTTCAATTGCACATTTTCTTTGGATCATGAATTGACATTTTGACAATATTCCCATGTACGTAATTTTAAACAACCTCTGGATTTATTTACTTATCCAACAGATACTGACTGAGTGACATTAAATAAAGTGCCACATATTTTCTTAGGTGCTGGAGATCCAGCAGCAAACAAAAAAAGTGGAAAATCTCTATACTTCTACAGCATACATGATTCCTTGTGACAAAATCTACAATCAATTATTTGGTATGTTTTGCAGTAAAATGGAAATATACACAAGAGAAAAACAAACAAGCAAACAAAAAACCAATCTACCATTTTATTGTGGCTTGGAGCATTTTTGTTGCTTCCTGTCACTTTAACTTGGGTAATCTAGCAATGATGCACATATGTAAAGTAAATTGCAGTTAAAAAATTCTTTCGTGTTACGAACTGAGGATAATACAGTTATTTTACCAAATATCTCAAACACCAAAGAAAATTACAGAAAATGCATATTATAATAAATATTCAAAGCAGGTGCTCACTAGCATGTCAGTTCCAAGCTTTCCTCCCATGATACAATGAAGGTAACAAAATAAGTCACAGGATTGGTGTTCTCTTTGCTATTCATTTATCCACCCCAGAAATACTTACTGAGTACCTTCAATAAGTACCTTTCAGTACCTTACTGAAATACTTCTGCGTGCTTTATTCCAGGCACTGGGAATGCAACACTGAACAAAATCCTTGCACTCACGGAAGTTTAAGTCTAAGATTTAAGGAAAGGGTAGAAAAAGACTGAAAAAAACCTCCATAGATATGGACGGTCATTTCATAGAGTAATGAAACAGTTAAGAGGAATGCTATTTTCGATAAGGTGGCTAGGAAAAGCCTCACTGAGGGCCTGGCATTTGAGTGGATTCCTGAAGTAGGAGGAGAAGAATCATGTACATACCTGGGGTGGGAAAGGACACCACAGGGAGAGGCAAGAGTCAGAACAAAAAGCACTGAAACAGGAAAAAGCCTGGTATCTTGGACAAGGTGTTCTTTTATTAGCACATGACCACATGGCCAATTATTGTTTCCTACTTTTAGGATTATTCTAGAAGGTAAATGACTATGCAACTTTTCTCCAAGTACACGTCTTAGAATCCTTTGCTGTGAATTTAAAATGCTTCAGCTATCACTTAGAAAAGATTTAATAAAGCTACTGTCAATTGGAAACTAGTACCATTTGATCGGACATGCAGCTATACCACAGTATGACACACACATATTTATCACCAAGAGAAAAGTGGCTTTTTAAAAATGTGTTAGCTATAAGAAAAGATAACCAGCTTTCTGGGAGCTCTAAATATATACATATCTAGGGAATGATTTAACTATTTAATCACAGATGTCTAATTTTAAGAGGCAACTCACTTGCCAAATTATAGTAATAGTGCTTCACCAGTGTGGTTAGCTCTTGGTGGGGGAGGATAAGGGTGGAATTTACAAGGTGAAGCAGGGGTTTTTTTGATTGCTTGCTTTTTTTTCTCTTTAAATAAGTTAAGGCCAATCCCATCTATGAAGTATATTTTGGCACTGCCTACAAACCAGAGCATACATACTGAAGTGGGGGAAAAGACCGTTTATATAGGTTTGGCTAAGTCTTACCCTCAATGTAAAATAAAGCATTTGTAGAACACACAAACTTACATTTCATAAACCACTAAAACTAACTGTTCATAACTCTACTTTTATGAATAAGACTAACAATTAAAGTGAGGCAAGGGTTTAGTGTGGTCACTTTCAATGCCAAAATACAAAAGATTATCTTTTATAAATCTTTACATTTAGATGAGAAAAGGTAAATTTTTAATTCTCAAAGGTATCTATTCTCCACATCTTAGTACTAAAGTTAAGGTGGTCTTTTGCCCCTTGTTTTAAATTTAATCTAGGTAATACAAATAGGAAAATCTGTAAATAAAATTTTATTAAAGGTTATTCTGTAAATTAGTGTCAACCACTAAACAATACTATACAGTTTTAAGTTTATTAAAAACACAAAGAATAGAATATGTAGAATATATAACACCATAGAATATTAACCAATAATGCATTTTCAGTTTAAAAATAAAAGGAAAAGAAAAGAAATAGGTTCAAACTAGAAATGTTGAGTTATATAATTCTGTTATCTAACAATTAAGATGACAACTAAGCCCCAAGGGTGAGTGATAGGACTGTAACCAAGGTACTTCTGCTCAAGTCCTAGTCACACTGCAAACAAACAAAACAAAAATAATAATAAACAAAAACTCCCATACATTCTGGCTAAAGACCATTTATTTGAGGTATGAGAAAGAGTTTAAAGGGAGGGAAAGACTATTAAAAGTTAAGCCTGCCACCTGCTGTTGGAAGGCCTGCTTTGAACTGGGATAAAGACCATTTCTTGAAATGTTAACCTAGAATTTGAAGAGCTTACACTCCACACGGTTAGAACAGGGGCAACCTATACACCAAACCAAGAAGTAAAGAAACCCATTGATGTTTAAAGCTACACTGAGAGAGATAAAAGTCACATTCGCATCAAAGTTCTACTGGAAATGAAAGAAATGCTGCTTCGTGCGTCATTCTACTGAAGGAAGAGTAGAATTACTCTGTCTTTTAAACTGATTACCTGGACAATTCTATTTTGCCCCCAAAAAGCATCTCTGACTTTAGAAATTATCATTTTTAGAAAGAAATTTTGACCCTAGGGACTATATGTGGAAGTAAATGAAGAGAGATGAACGATTTCACAGCATTGCCAGAATGCTAACTTTACCAAGTCAAAATTGTCTAATTCACTGTTTTTAACACAAATGTGAAAGAATCTATGCTTCTTTGAGTAAAAGAACTTCCAGATGCTTTCCAGTTCCATGATTTTCTATAACCTCACAAAGTCTGGCCCCACATGTCCCCCTAAACCCCATCCATGATATTTCACATATTTTTGTTCATGCACCAGTAGTTTTCTGTAACTAAATAGGAATAGAGTCAAATTCTATCACAATCATGTTTAGGGATTTGACAGAGCATAAGCCAGTCCACTATTCTAATGAAGTCAGAGTTTACTTTAGAAGTGAACAAAAACTGCCACCCACAGTGTATATCTCATGTTAAGTGATTCTTAACATATACACAAACACAGACACAAAACCAAAGGGATACAATGAAACTTTGAGAGATGTTGAATACATCCATTACCTTGATTATGGTGATGGTATCACAGGTGTTTGCATATATCCAAACTCATGAAATTTTCCACATGAAATATGTGCAGTTCTTTATCAATTATACTTCAATAAAGCTGTTTTTTTTTTTAAAAAAAGCTGCCTCCCACACCGTTAAGAACAAAAAGTCCAATTAACTCTAACTGTAGGCCAGGGAAGAAATGCACCCATGTATACACAGTGCGCCACAGGGTGAAATTATGCTAGAGGAGAAATCAGCCTTTTAAATACAGGTGTCTAATTAAAGTATGTTCTTATGAACTTGGATTCCTTCTGTGTTATGTTATGTTAGAGCAACTGAGCCAGGGTATCACCATAACCGGGCACGTGGTTGAAACCCGTCCAGCTCTTGCATACCTGAGATCCTGTGACTACACTGACCAAAAACATTTATACCAGCTGATGGTCACTTGATTCTCACATCTCTCTATTTAGTAAATTGCTCCGCAAGCCAACTTGAAGACTGAGGTGAACATTCTCTGGGACGTTCCTGCTGAAGACATTTTTTTAAAAGACATTGCCCCTGCCAGATAATTCTAGTCTGAACAGGCCTCAGAAGGGACTGGTTGGCACAAGATCCTAAAACAAGCTTCTAAAGGTGAAACCACTCAGAGCCCATAAAGACAGACTCAGACTAGTTTTTTAAAAACTAATATTTAACAATTAGGTGCATGCCTTTAATCCTTCTCAACGAAAAACAACATTTTTTAAACAATCAATAGATGAAAACATGAAGCATTTTACTCATTGCAAACACTCAGAGGAAAAGGATAGTTTTAACCTAAGTAACAAACAGTCTTTTTATGGACAAGTTTCAGAAATTAATTGCCCTAAATCCATGTACATATATATCTCTCTTTGTCCCTCTCCCCACACTCTGGAAGAAAACCCTAAGGCATTCTCTACATACAATGTCAGCAGTGTGCAACGATGGTGAGGAATTCTTGTCGTTTTTAAATAAAAGAAAGAGGAAAATAATTTGCATTCCATCAATGATAAGTAAAAACAAAAGAAGGACGTCAAAATAAAGTAACTTCTCTGAGCTTGTGAATAGCAGAAAAACCAGTCAGTTCTCTCAAGAATTCATGACTTAGAGACTTATTTAGTGACAATTAACCCATTACTACTCTATACTATTACCGAGGCCTTTCTGTGGATTTGGTCTCATTTTTAAGCCTTGTGCTATTTTCTAAAGGCATCAACATCGCACATGTCTACCATTGCAACCTTCATTTATAATCAGATCTCTACCAAGCCTCTGCTTTTGGCACTGTACAGAACTTCTTTTGTCATACAATGTTCTTATGGTACAAAATTCTTTGTGTCGTCTTCCTTGAATCTTCCCATCAAGTTTCCCTCTCCTCAGATGGACTGATGGAGGAGCAAAATTCGGCTTCTGAACACTGCCTGACAAGCACTTCCCTCCCTGCAAGGCCCAGCTCTCTTATAGGATGCTAAGGGACCTTCCTGGATTCCTCTGGAAAGTTAGCTGCATACTACTGGGGGCTGGTTCCCAGATCACTGAGTCTGTGGTCTCAGCCAGAAACACAAGACACATTGCTCTTCAATTTGTTTAGAAATGTGTCTCCCTGTGAGAATATGTGCTCTTTGAGGGTAAGAATCAGTCCCATAATTTTGAGATTCCCCAGGTACCAGCATAGTACACTAGATCATAGTCACCTTTTAGTAAATATTTGTCAAATAAAGAAATGTGAGTGAATAGACAGTAAAATGCCTGACACCTATACTGATACATTTCAAAAAACAACAAACACAAACACACACACACACACAGTGGAAGACTATCTCCATTCAGGGAAACTCTTGTATTTCTTCATCCTTTAAACATTTCTTGCTTTCTCTCTTAGTTTTATGGTAGCTTTCTGTAAGATTTGTGGGTGCTTATAAGATCATGCTATTTGTAAAAGAGTGTATGTTCCTTTTAACAGAAGTATGGACTAGTGAAAGCACTGTCTTAGAGTGTGTTTGTGTACCATCACAGGTTTGTAGCACAGAAGGGTCCTCAGGGAAATAAAATCTACTCCAGTAAAATGATAAAACTAAGACAAATGAACAGGTAATGAGGGAAGACCAGAAAGAGAACATCCATATATACAGTTTCTTTTGCTTATGATGGTTATCAGAAGCTCAACCACATTAGGTATCAATTATTATGAGTTCTATGACAGTATGTGGACTTTTAAAATTAAGTGGCTTATATAAATAGCTCACACCACAATGGAAGAGAAAGGAAGATAGTTAGCAGAAGAAGTGTGAAGATTCGGAAAGACTAATAAAAATGATTTTTAAATGATGAAGGGCTAAATGTATTTCCCGCAGATGCTATTTGATGACCTATCAGGTACAAAACACACACACACACACACACACACACACACACACACACACTTCAGCAAAGAGGAACAGGATGAAAACATGGATTCTACTTGTGTAACAAAGAGAAAATGGAAACGCTAATTAAGATTTTTAAAGAAAGAATGTTCTAAAATGTGTTAAACGAAGGGAAAGAGGGGAAATAGATATTTTCAAACTACGAAGAAAGACTACAGTATAAAGACCTAACCTACAAGTCCAGTATTTGCTCCCAGAGTGGCTGCCACACAGTGGACGTGTGATCAGTTCTTCAACAGGTTGTAAGGAAACCTCAACTGTTTTGGAGGAAATAACTCGGTACACCCCAAGGACCATGCAAAGCCTTGATAATAGCACAACAGCATCCTTCTACCCCTTCTTCTCTCCTTATTGGTTGATGCTGGACTGTATTTGTGCTGACAGTGGAAGGTTTTTTGACAACGTATGGACAGTTCTATAGAGCAAAATATAAGTATCTAGAAAAACAACATCAATATAATTAAAAATCAGATTAAAAATTAGGATTCAAAACACTAACAAAGAGGAAAATGGCAAAATATCAAGCACTCAGCTTACAATTGGAGATGGTCTACAACATGACAGTCTGGAATGTAAAAAGGAAGCAGGATATTGAAGAGGGAGCACCACCGCAAGTGAGAAAAGAGCCAGGGAGAGAGACGTCAGTCAATACACCAGAAGAGAAAATGGACATAGGGAAGCCCAATGCCCAGATACTCATCAATGAGGCAAGAGCTTCATGGGCGCCCACTATTATTAACTAGGTAGAATAAGAAGTTTACCAGGTAGGGAAAACCAGAAGGTGGGGAAGGGAAGGAGGCTGAGGAGTAACTCTTGGAGGTTTAAAAAAAATGTTAGAAAAGGTGAGCATCCGGAGTCCATGACAAAGCGAAGATTATTCATAGGCCTGGGCAAAGTCAAGAGATGAAGGAAGGAAGTCTTTCTTCCTGTGCGGGGTGGGGAGAGCAGCAGCAGCAAACTTTATCACTAGGTTGAAAGGGGAAATAACAGAAACAAAACTGCTGTTTGTATTGATGGCAGTCACACAGGGGAAATCTGGTTCCTCTTTCTATGAGTGAAGAAAGAGGTCAGGGGAGGTACTTGGCACTAAAGGATGATATAACCTTGAAAGGACTGGCTCAGGGAGGACAAGAGAATGGTGTGTGTGTGTGTGTGTGTGTGTGTGTGTGTGTGTGTGTGTGTGAAGGGGAGACCTGGTGGAGTGTGAATGGCAATATGCTATGGGAGTCGTTTTCACTCAAAAAGGAATAGCAAAACCCTCTCATACAGAGAAAATGACAGGGCGCAAGGAGCTCAAAAATGAAGAGGAGCCTTCCACTTCTAACAAGAACACACTAGATGTAAATTGGCAATGCTGAAAGAGCAGTGAGTCCCAGAGCCAGAAGGAACTTTCCTAAGGTATCCAGCCCGTGGATAGTCTAAATGTCCCACGTAGATGTGACAAGCCAGGAATGATCCCAATTTACCTAGCTCCAGAATTGCCTGATCTTCTTCTTGACTCAATGCCCCCAACCTCACATTCATCCCCTTGCTTCCCATTTCTAGCTAGTAGGTAACAGCACTGAGCCCGTTCAAATTTCTCACAGACAGTCTCTATTCATTCTGACATTATCTCTCCAGTAAGTCCTACTCTGGTTATCAAACTTTCTGTAGTCTGGAGAACAAACAAATCCCTAATATGGTCATTCTTTTCATGCTGAGAGATCAAACTCATCCTATTACTGGGATCAGTAATAGTAAATGCAACCCTGACACCGACAGGAGAGAGTCGTCAGGTACATTACCACTTTTCTTCACAGCTGCCCCTATGAATGCCATGAAGGACCACGGAATTAGGGATGGAATAAATTCGAGGATTTGATGAAAAACAAAACAAAAAAATAGGGCTCCCTTTGATTGTCATCCTTAGACAAAATTTGATACTCTTTGCACTACCATATGATTATATCCCCTGATTTTCTAAGATTAAAGTCCATTAGAGTTAGAAATTGGAACTCTCAAGCCGAAGTCAAGAAAACAAATCATGTCTGGTTTTAGAGGTGCCAGAATGATACAATGGACTTTGGAGACTTCGGGGAAAGGGTGGGAGGCGGGTGAGGGATAAAATACTACAAATTGGGGCTGCGCGTGGTGGCTCACGCCTGTAATCCCAGCACTTTGGGAGGACAAGGTGGGCGGATCACAAGGTCAGGAGCTCGAGACCATCCTGGTTAACACGGTGAAACCCCGTCTCTACTAAAAATACAAAAAATTAGCCGAGTGTGGTGGCGGGTGCCTGTAGTCCCAGCTACTCAGGAGGCTGAGGCAGGAGAATGGCATGAACCCGGGAGGCGGAGCTTGCAGTGAGCCGAGATTGCACCCCTGCACTCCTGCCTGGGTGACAGAGTGAGACTTGTCTCAAAAAAAAAAAAAACTAAAAATTGGGTACAGTGTATACTGCTCGGGTGATGGGTACACCCAAATCTCACAAATCACCACTGAAAAACTTACTCATGTAACCAAACACCACCTGTTCCCCCAAAACCAACAGAAATTTTAAAAAATTTAATTTAATTTAAAAGAAATCAATATATGAAAAAAGAAAAAAAAAAAAAAAAAAAAGAAGTGCCAGTCGGGACAGACAGAGAACTCTCAGGAAAACTGCTCATTTTGCCAATACATCAAATAGTTATTTAAAAAAAAAACAAAACATTTTCTAAAGTGTGTTAGAGGGCTAGTGAAGAGAGAAGGCCATCGAAAATGATGAAGAATAAGGAGGAGAGATGTACAGGCAACACAACCAAGGAGAAAAGGAGGATGCCAGACATGGGTCAATCTTGTTAGCTAAGTAAACCTCAATGGTATCTGCCTCTAAGCTCTGTTTGGTGAGTCTCTGGGACCCAACTAATGATGGTTTAGTGTCCTTTAAAGAAGAATTTAAAATAATCCAGTACATAGGATTTCTTATTGTGCAACTTTCCAATTCTGAAGGAAGCTATAGGGCAACTAATGTTAACTAAACTGCTATGTCTCCCTGTTGGGTTTGCAAAGCCACTCAGTACTGTGTGATCAGTAACCCAGGAACAAAGAGGGCAGTCACACAGTAACATCAACACCCACTGGGTACACAGAGTTGCCCACTTTTCATGACTCTTCCACGTGTAAGGGTCACAAACTTGGGAAGCTGGTGGCTGTGTTATTACCCATTTAGAAACGGGGAAACAGAGGATTAGAGGGAATTATCATCTTGAACATCTCATATTTTTAAAAAGGAACTCTAATAACTACCTGACAAATTGGTGAGTGAAGAGTCTTAGCCAAACACTCAATGACAATAGTTTGAGGAAGAAGCAAAGTGTAGTAGTTAGAATGGTGATTTCTGAGCAAGAAGATGGGGGCTCTGTATTCCTGGCCAAGTAGCTTGGCTTCTCTGGGTCTCAGTTTGCTGCCAAAGCAAACGAGGATAATACTGATCCTACCTGTAATAGGACCATTGAAAGGATTTCACAGGATGAGGTTTATGAAAATACTTTATAGTTAATAATTCTACATCATATACCTGAAATTTGCTAAGAGAGAAAAATCTTAAAACGTTCTCACCACAAAAGATAACTATGTGAGGTGATACATACGCTAATTAGCTTGATTGTGGTAATCCTTTCACAATGTATACATATACCAAAACATCATATTGCACACTGTGAATATATACAATTTATTTGTCAATTATACCTCAATACAGCTGGAAATACATAAATTTTCATGCACTGTGTAAATATGAGAGATTTATTTCTCCAACAATGATAGAATCTGAAAGTGGGGATTTTCATGTCTTATCTTTGCAATCTGAACACAGCAACTTTGGATGTCTTAGCCACATTGCACGGTAGACTGCTACAGTAAGTTTGTTTAAGTGCTAATGCTTAGAAGTCGGGCAGGCAGCTGGAACCACCATGCTGGAAAAGATACTTCCTGAACCACTTGTTCAAATGCTTTGTAAACAAAAGGGACTAAAGAGATCCCATTTATTATGTTCACTGTTTAACTTTGGTTTCTCATCTGTACTAGAAGGTCGTATTTCTGTCCTCAAACCATTAAAACTCTATCAGGTTCCCCCCTCCCCCCAAGAAATGCTGATTTTGCCAAATAAGGGCATTTTAAAGCCTTCCATCTACTATAACAATGATTTCTTATTTTAAGTTTTTTTTAAGAATTAAGGAATAACTGACATACGATAAACTGCACATATTCAAATTGTATAATTTGATAAGTTTTGACATATATACACCCATGAAACCATCAACACAAGACAGAAATTATCCACCAGCCCGGAAGTTTTCTCGGGCCTTTTTGTAACCCCTTTCTTGCCACCCCCATCTCCCCTACCCCAGGTAACCACTGATCTGCTTTCACATTTTCCAGAATTCTGTATACATGGAATCATATGATATGACTCTCATGGGTTAGGGTCATCCATGTTATTGAAGGTATCAATAGTTCATTCCTTCTTATTATTGAGTAGTATCCATCATACAGATACACCACAATTTGTTTATCCATTTACCTGTTGATAGACATTAGGATTGTTTCCAGCTTTTAGCTATTACTAATAAAACTACTATGCATATTCACGTACGAGTCTTCAGGTGAGCACATGCTTTCTTTTCTCTGGGAGTGAAACAGCTGAATCATATGATAGGTGTATGTTTGACATGTTTGTATCATTTTACATGAGAGTTCTAAATCCTACACATCCTTACCAACAGTTGGCATGGCTGGCTTCTTAAATTTTAGCCATTCAGATAGGTGTGTAGCAGTACCTCACTGTGGTTTTGACTTGTGTTTCACTAATGACATTGAAAAGATTTTTTCTTGTGCTTATCTGCCATTTGCGTATCTTCTGTGGTGAAGTGTCTGTTCAAATCGTTTACCCATTTTTAAATTTTGTTTTCTTATTATTGAAAATGCCATCAGTTTTAATGAGTGGAGCAAGACTGGTAACTGAGAACTGCAACAAAATTTTACAATTCATGATACCCAAGAGGATAAAAAAATTCACAAAGATTATTTTCCAAAACTTGTGTGGAGCGAAAATATTCTCCAAATGTTATGACAAATCTGAACTTCTTTTAAAGCTTGAAAAGGATTTAATGATATTTTATCAGTATTGCTGCTAAGTCTGCACAGGTTCAGACTATTAGTAAACCAAATAAGCATATTTCGATGTACTCTATCGGTACCCAAACCATCTTAACCTCTCCTTCGTGCATTAGTTCAATTACCCAAGCATCTATCCCTAAGCCACATTTCACACTTTGCACTAATTATACTCTAATCCCATAGATTCCATTTTACTAATTATTTCTTATGTCAAATTTGTGCCCACATTCAAAAGGTGATGAAGGCCAAAACCTCTATCGCATTTTTTTATGTCAACAGTAACAGATAAAATGTGATCTACAAGCATGAAGATGAATTCTCCTTTCCGATCCATAGAGAATGCTAGATTTGAGGGCACCTACAGGCTTTGAGGAAAAGCAGGCCCCATTCGGTTGTGTAGAGCCATCGGTTCGTAGCTCAATTGTTACAGTTGATGTGGGTTTCCTTTTAGATGTCTGGAAAATGACTCTGCTGACCACATCCACATTCTGAAATACTTTTTGAGAACTTGTAACCAAACTGCAGGAACTGACTCATTTTGCAGTGCCCAGCCACCACACAATTGTTCCAGAACAGACTCAAGTCAAAGGGAAAAATATGAAGGTCTTAGAACACAGACAGCAAGTTGTCTACTTATATGGGGGGACAACCGGGGGAAATCCCAGAGCACATGGGGCAAAACGGCTCAAGCCCCGGACCAATCTTAGAGGAAGGACCAAACAGAACTCACCACTTCGTGGACAACACATGTGTTTTCCTCAAAGCAAGGGGGTCAGAGGCTGGTAGAAAAAGAAACTTAATGTCTATCTCTTAGACACTAATCTACACTTAGAAAGTAGATTCAGTAGAGAAATGTCTGCAGAAGACTCGGGTTAGATGTTGTCTTGAAAGTCCATTCCTGAATTCCTTGTACTCCCAGCTCCTCTGAGATGGGATGCTCAGTAAGTCAGGAGTATGCCCCTTGTCTTACAGGAGATAAGCCAGCAGGGACAGCATGTCCAAGATGCTAGGCAGAACTGAGGCTGACACTTGAGCTTAGGACCAGAAATTCTCTGGCTCCCCTGGGGCTTCTGTACATCCTCTCCTGGTCCATTTTTACATCTTTCTCTTAATTCCCAATGTGTCTCACCCAAGGGGGTCAGTTTCCCCATGATGTCCCAAATCTTTCTCCCTCTCTCAATGCAGACTTCTTACCTAAGGGGAGGATGAAGAGGAGCAAACTAAGCTCTCCTCCACACAACACTCTATGTTCCCAAATTACTCATTTCTCTACCCCACAAGTGAAACTGATTTAGTCAGTCAGTTTCAGCCAAAGGCGGTGAGGAAATCCGGTCTTGTTGAACTAAACTATAAATGACAAAACCAATAATAACTCTTTTCTGCAGGTGGGTCCCTTGCTAAAAGAATATGAGGGTTAACCCAACCCAAATCTATCATTGACTAATAGAAAGGCTATGTGATAAGAATTAGGTATAGAGTCTCAGGCAGTATTTCAAGTAAGATAAACCTGGACGACACCTATAAAAGGCTATCAAGCCCCTTTCTAAGCCCTGTATGTTGTCGATATAATTACATATACATTTTATGTCTGTTCTCACCCGTGCAATGTCTCTTAACATGTAAACTCCCAGATGACAGAACTTGCCCATTTCCTTAGATTTAGTAAGGGGCATTTAGTATCCGAGTATAATAGTGAAGTAATGACAGGGGGCTGCAATCAAATTATGGCAATCAACTCTACCTTTAAGAAATTACAAAAATGTTTTTAACACAACTTTACAAGAGAAAAGGTACATAAAACAATTTTACCCTTCCCACCTGGCCAATTGCCTTTATTTTTCCACACTCTCTTTGTACCTCCAATAAAATAAGTACTGTATAACAAGACTTCTTAACCTGTACCAAACAGTAAGTTTTCATACAGAATTTTAAAAAGGAGCTTATCATCTGACTGAACATAAAACTAAGAATTATTTTAAAATGAAAGCACTTTAAACATGGATTTAAAATCCCTTCAGTTCAAAATTCTAAACTGCTTGTTACTGAGTGCAAAAATCAGCAAAGATATGCCTTATGGAAGATGAGTTTTTGGCAAATTTAAATCAAATCAAAACATTCCACAGTTAGACATTCAGGTACCCCACATCTCTCTGAGGAGTAGATGTGATAGGAAGAATTGCCCACTTTGCGCTTTTTAGCTGTAATTGTGCTTCAAATAGTTCAACTTTATCTATCTTTGCTAAGGTTTTCATAGCATAATAATTTAAATTACAAAAGTAGCATTTTACTGCAAGAAGGCCTTACACGGCTTGTAAACACTCCAGTTATGAGGCACAAGGGGCTCGACTCTCCGGGATCCCTACAATAAATCACATAGACTCTCAGAATACCATCTTCACTCTCTCTAGTTATCATTTCCTACCTTCCAAACAGCTTCTTACTGTGGCCAACAGAGTCCTACCTGATCTGCCATGATGTGTCTCTTGGACACACAAAGCCTGCTCCCGTCTCTACTGCAGTTACTTTTTTATTTTCTCTGCCTGGAATCCTCTTCCTCCAGACACTCCCACAGCTGATTCCTCACTGGCCTAATAACATCAAAGAGGCCTTCCTATTAGCCCTGGTTAACGTCGCTCTACCCCTGATCCCCAGGTACTCTCTCTCTGACACAGCTTTATTTTTCTCCGCAGTGTTTACTAACACCTGCCGTATACTTATGAGTTCCATCACCATCAGCCTACCCGCTCCATGTGAGCGGGGACTTTATTCACTGCTGTATTACCAGACCCAGAACTCTCTAAGGCACATGGTAGACATGGTAGATGTATAATATATTTTTGTAAAATGTACATTTCCCATGTGGTGTCTTAGTCTGTTGTGCTGCTATAAGCTTATGAAATTTAGTTGGCACCTGAGACAATTTTTGTTAACACCTTACCAAAACTCCAAACGCCTCAAGGGCCAGGTGGACAAGAGCTGTAGGAAAGTGATCACTCCCCCAGCAGTAAAAAAAGAAAGCAGGAAAAAGAACAGTTTCTCTATAATCTCCCTGCTACCCATGCATAGCAAATAAGGGAAGGTCTTTTGGAGTATGGATGTCAAACGGAATGGGGAGAAAGGTAGATATTCACTGTCATTATCAACCTAACTTGTCCTGAGGCCTCCTTATTGGTTTTAACACAGAGAGAGAGAAGAGCCTTGAAATACTGAGACATTCTTTTAGAGTGTGAGTGATTTTGTTTTTGTTTTTAAATCTACTTCAACATTTTCTTCCCTTGGGCCATATATACCCACTAATAATGTAGACTTCACATTTCATGCTGAAAGACAAAGCATTTTCATTGCCTTTGCTGGTATGGTCAAACTTGTTTCAGAAAATGCACAGGTATAGTTTGTGCCATTGAAGACAACTTGAAGAGTGATGTCTTTCAAAAACTATAGGAGGTGATATCAAGATTTAAATAACAAGTAAAGATAATGACTCTGTCTTAAGGAAGCGTATTCCTAACTGCAACATGGAGACGAGTAATATTTTTTGAAAGAATAGTAGTATAAATTCCAAAAGCCCTCCCCTATGTTCATTCCTCATTTTCTATATATTTACTTAGAGATATTTTCAAAAAGTCATAATAAATTTGATTGAGGGCATGGCAACACTTCTTACCTTTAAATTAATTAAAATTCTATTTTAAAATTATTTTTGAAGACATCTTTGTGATGGCCTTTGTTGTCTCTTAATGTTCTTTTATTATAAGCGTAGGCAGGTGAAGCAGCAGGAGTAGAGAAAGAACAAAGCAATCTGTAACTGGTTGTGATCATTAATTGTAAACGCTACTGCACTTAATATCTTTAAACAAGGAAATTATTTGAAAGCATGAGTGCTCTTAGATTATATTTACTGATACGTTCCCTACTATGAACCCTTCTTCCGCCAACATTAAAAAGAAAGAAAGAAAAACCATTTCTCTGCACTGTTTTTCCCTCACAAGCATTTTCTCCTCTCACTTTAAAAAAAGAAATGCAGCTCCCAAAGGAAGATGCTTAAAGACCTTCATGAGTGTTGTGAGTGTCTGTCTGTGAAATATACGTTGTCTCCAAAGGGACAAACAATCAGATACAAGATGCAGTCAGTGAGGTGAAAGGAACATAGAGTGAGTTTATTGCTTCTCCTCTCCCGTCCCCTGATGGACTCTCACTCCCATCCTTTCTTTCACCTATTTGCAGGTAGATGTTGAATGACTTATGCGAGAGTATGGACAAATGAAGGAATGAACAAACAAAGGAAAGAATGAAGGCCGGCATGATTAATAAATCCTCCAAGAGCAGGCTCAGTCCAAGGCCAGGGGATTTTTTTTTTTTTTTAAAGAGACTTCCAAGCACTCTGAACCCACGGGCTAGGATAACATGCCCTCATCTTCTAAGTCAAAATTCTCAATCTACATCAGAAAGAGGAAATTCTCAATGTGAAACCCCTTTCCCATATTCTGAAAATTAAGTCCACACCCAAACATAAGGTTTTATGCACATAGATGGCTTCCTGTACTTCTTTATCTAGAAGTTTTACCCCATCCTCCAGAAAATATCCAGAACTAGATGGAGATAAAGAAGAAAAATATTAGTAAATACAGATTCTTACACATTTCATTTTTCTATGGATTAGTTCTATACCAGCAAGAAGGAATTTCCAGAAAGGTTGATGTAAGTGCATCCCTAGGACTCAAATGCTAACATACTTCTCCCTCCCACCCCCACTTTCAAGTGAAAACATTAGAGAAAAAAATAGGGGAAGTTACATGATTAAACTTGTTAGTATATGAGATCAACTGAAAACAAGGAATTCCCCTCCTGGACTGCAGTGGCCTAATTAAAACTCATAAAACACAAATGACTAAGACTGTTCCCGTTGATTTGTGAAATAAAAAGCAGAAAAAGTTAATTTTGTATTTCAATATTGACAGAGGTAGGCCTAGAAGACGTGACACTTTACAGAATAGAAATGAGAAGACCATTTCCGAGACTTTCAGGTTCAGTCAACTTTTATTCTGCTTTCCTGCCAGAAGTACATGTACTTACCATCTGTACTGGCAACAGCCTATTTGGATTTAGATTCTGGTTCCATGACAGATGAGTGGCCCTAAGTAAGTTCCTTTACCTCTCTGTGCCTCTGTGTGTTCATCTATGAAATGGGCATGATAATTGCACCAATAGTTTGTCATGAGGAAAAATGGGTCGATGCAGGTAGAGCCCTTACAACAGTGCCTGTCCAGAACATGGTAACTGCACAATAAGCGACAGTCACCATCATCAGTGTTTTGCTTAATCTGATGTGAAAAAAAGTCATATCACTTAGCATGGATCTACAGGCTTTAGGACTAAACTGAAGAAGTCTGTTCCTAAAGGGATTTTGGAAGGGAATGCAAGTGTGTTAAGCACCATTACTCCAGGTCCCACAGCATGTGCTTTACATGTGTTATCTCACACAACAAACCTGTGCACTACTTCTGATGCTCTACACTCTGGGGCTCAGGGAAATAGCGGAGTAGCTTACTCAGCTAGCAAGGGGCAAAGGGAGCTTAAAGCACAAATCTACTTATTTCCAAAGCCTGGGCCTCTTAGGGAGTAAACTACTTCAATGGAGGCTGTGAATGGACACCCTCTTGGGGTCATGGGTACCACTTTCACGCACTAACACTCTCTGGAAAATGTCTGAAGCTTTCAAGATTTTTTTCAGGTAATCCGAACTCTGAATGTTCCCTGCAAAGTTTTGCCGGGCGTGTACATATTTACTGTTTCTCTCAACTTTAAGAACTCTAGTCTCACTTCAGATATATTATACAAATCCTAATCAAGAAAAAAAAAAATCAATGGATTTTCACTTTTAAAAATCTTTCTTCCCTCTCCTTTTAGGAAACGCAGAAAAACTAAGCTTTCTTTCAATACCAACACCAACAATGGGCTTTCAATACCATAAGCACATCAGGGGAATTAAACTCTTCCATGGCAGAAAGAGGAGATAATTTAAAATGAAACCTCAGCCTACTCTTCATAGTCTACCTTAAATAGTTATACTATGTTTTTAAAAAGCAAGTTATTACTTTAGTAACCATTTAAAAGAAAGTAACTAGAACTATTTTGTTATAAAGCATAGCTAAGAAAACAAAATGTCCCAATCATTATATTAACTTACAAAAGCATACTAAATTCAACTTTTGTATGTATCTAATCTGTTCCTTTAAGAATTAGTCTAGGCCAGGCGCGGTGGCTCACACCTGTAATCCTAGCACTTTGGGAGGCTGAGGCGGGCAGATCACAAGGTCAGGAGTTCAAGACCAGCCTGGCCAACATAGTGAAACCCCGTCTCTACTAAAAATAAAAAATAAATAAATAAAAAATAAAAAAAAATTAGCCGGGCGTGGCAGTGTGTGCCTGTAATCCCAGCTACTCGGGAGGCTGAGGCAGGAGAATCACGTGAACCCAGGAGGTGGAGGTTTCAGTGAGCCAAGGTCACACCATTGCACTCCAGGCCGGGTGACAGTGCAAGACTCTGTCTCAAAAAAAAAAAAAAAAAAAAAAAAAAGAGAGAGAAAAGAAAAGAAAAAAAGAACTAGGCTAAAGAAAAAAGATCAACTAAAATGATGCATTTACATAACCACATTGTTTATAGTTAATAATATATGTGGGGGTTTTTTTACTTTATGTTTTAGATTGCCCTAAATATGTTGGAAAGAATAAACTAGAATAAATATGGGGTTGAAAAACAAGAGGTTAGAGTTGAGGATTTTAAGAACTTGAGTCAGGAAATATTCAAGGTTAAATCACTTACAGTCTTTAATGTGTAGAATAACTGTTTAATAATTGATTTATTTTTCAAATGAAAACAGTAGGAAGTAGGTAGGTTTAACAGGTCTTACTCCCAAAACATGTCATATACAGTTACCCAGTTGTCTATTTAAATTGAAGGTAGTTCATAAAATGCAAGTGTTTACTTTGCATGTTCTCCTTAGTAACTTAATCTTCTGGATTTGTTACCCAATGATTATATTCAAACTTGGCTCAATTTCCCCTCCTGAATGAAGACGTCTATTCTCCAAATTCAGACTGTATAACCAGTACAGCTTGTTTAAGAAAAATAAATATGATAACTAATAGTAAAAAAAAAAAAAAAAGGCAAAAAATCATTTATTTACAGCAGTCTGAGATTGATAGGAGGGAATGAGTTAGAAGATGAGCATCAAAAAGAAATAAATCTAGGACCTTTAAATGTATTCAAAGAAAACAATACTGCTAGTGTCTAATTAAAATGTCAAATGAATAAATAAGTAAGACATACAATATGTCAGACAGAGGCAAGTGCTAAGAAGAAAAATTAAGCAGGAAGAAGGATAGAAAGCTGGGGAATAGAATGGGGAGGTTGCCATCAGTTTGAAATGAATTTTTTTATCCCTAGAAACATATAGGGACTTGAGACATGCCTTATATACATTTTTTGAGAAGTACTGTTAAAGGTATCCTTTTGTGAATTCAAAGAGTCATGCAGCTGAAGCTCCATGGGCTGCCTGATTTCTGCCAAGAGGCTCTGCTGTGTCCCAGTGTAGTTCCCAAGCCAGGGAGCTCACAACCTTGGAGGTGACCCATGCCCTCTTTATTGATTCCACACCTCCTGCTGGGTAAGGGGTCTAAGGAATGTCTACAAAAACGTTTTTCCCACTGTTCAAGGAAACTTCCTTAGGGTTAAGGAAAGAGTTATTTCCTATGTCTTAATTTTTCAAGATGAAAAAGTCGGGCTGATTTACTGATGGAGATCACCTTGGGAAGCCTGTGAGGAGAGTTCAGACCCCTGGAATTCCTACACTCCCACCCAGGAGAACCTGTTATAAGCATTCAACCACAGCCCCGGCTAATGACCATAGTGGTGATACCACCAGCTCTTGATCGTAGGAGGTATAGGGTGACTATGAATAAAGTAAATCACTCAAACACCCCCTCTGACTCAGTTAAGAAGTCCAGTGCCACATCTCCAGTCCTCTCTTGTACCTGCATCAGAATCATTAAGAGCAGATTGGAGCTAGACTGTCTGCTTTCAAATCTTGGCTCCGCTACTTCCTGTATACTGTTTTTGTGAGTTAAAGAATTTAATAAGTGTAAAGCAGTTCCTACCAAAACGTGTCTACTAAGTACCTACTATGTGCCAGACACTGTTCTTAGATGCCAGTGATTCATTTAGAATGGTACCCGGCATATAATATGAACTCAATGTATGTCAGTAATTATGGGTCCACAAATGCTTACCTGACACTCAGATTGATTATTATTATTATTTTATAAAGGTAATAGGTTGACTATTCAATATAGTATATAAACCTCTAGGGGAGTCTGGAACAATACTCCGTGATCAAACACATTAATACTTCTACAGTAAAACATACAAAGATTCATTCTGAGCGAGCTAAACAAAGACTATCATTAGCTTCACATCAGTTCAGGTCAGGATTTGCTGCCAAATTTGTTACATGAAAATCTTTTGATTTTCAGAGCTTTTTGGATTACAGAAGAGATGGTGGGCATATATTTATTAAGAGACTAACCCCACTGAAATCTTTTTCTTTCTAACTTCAGGAGGTTCTAGCAACCAAATAAATAGTTAAAACTATTTAGGAGTAGGAAATAGGAAGACCTTCAGACATGGAAAATCAACAACTGCATAATTAAGCTATGCCAAATATTAGTCTGAACAATCCCTCTCCTCAAATACAGTGCTCCATAGATTCTCCATTGACAGACATTTCCACAAACAACAGGTCTCAAACAATCTTTTTCTAAGTACTTTTCAAAAGCACTTTTTGAATATAGAATAAAATACTTAAATTTTATCACTATTTTAATAGTACAACCTTGTCTTTCCCATAGAAAAAAGACAAAAGCTATTAAATGACAAATGAACAACTGGTTTAAAAACATGTGCCTTAAAAGAACACAGTATCCTCTGTAGTCTGCCTGGGGGAGATGAATAAACGTTATGCCAAAGTGGTAAACCATCCTGCTACCAAAGGAATTTTCTCCACATTGCATTTTAAGGAAATTCACAGCTCTTGAAGAGCTATACAATAACTGGTTCAAGATGTTCTCACTGCTGGTCAGCACTGGATAAAGGATTTGCAGAAACCCATGGAAGCCTATTTCTCTTGCCTCTTTATTGCCCCCATGTGTTGTTATTTATCTTCCCCAACTTTTCTGACCCTTTCCATGTATTTTTTTAATTGAAGTATTGCTTTGTTCAAGACCTATGTTTACCACTCCCATGGCGATCCTGTACACAAAGACAAGTCAGGAAGACATGAAACGAACGGAGATACTTATGTTGCTTCATGGTTTTTCCCCTTCTCATTATCCTCCTACTCAATGAGACTATAGTGGGAGGTCTGAATGACATTTCCAAACCAAGAACTTAAAGCTACATTTCAACACCCAACTACTCAGTTGTCATAGGAACAACACTATGAGGCTTATCTGGGTTCTAACAAACAGCCACTTGTTTCACTAATGATTAAAACTCCCCCTTCAAATCAAATATAGACACCCATACATATACAGACCTCAAAAGAAAAATTTAATTGGGTAAAACTGTATACTACACCAAAAACTTAAGAAACAAGCCCAAAGGGAAAGCATTTACGTTCCCGAACATGCAAATTCAAACACTATTTCAGAGAAATTATTTTGAGGTCTGTCTCTTGACCAGATCCCTTCAGTTTGTTGTTTTACACACCCACAAAGACAAAGGCATATGCATGGCATTAATATCTTTTAACAGGGTATACGAAAATGTGAATACTCTCAATGACCCCAGAGGAGAATTCAGAGCAAGCAATGCTACTCACTTTCGATGTACTTTTAAAAATTAACAAATTGAGAACAGAGAACGGCAAATAGAATTGAAAACATGAAGTTCTCAGTTAATTCTTCTGGGATATACTTTCTAGCATTTACTGTTCCAACCTGTTTCTATCACATTTTGTCATTCAAAACAATGGATTTTAAATGGATGAGGAAAACCTAAAAATTAGAGGCTTTTTTCCAACAGGCACGGCAGTATTTATCCAGATTATTAAATCATCATGTTCTCCCCAAGTATTTACTTACATGAAATACAGAGTTGAAAACATAAGCTAGCAGTTGAATATAAATTATCTGTAAATACCTTAATGCTTTGTTGCCATTTTTCTGTCTTCAAGACTCTAAAAACCTATAAATTCATGTGCTTCAAGAAAACTAATGCCATTCCTTAATTAAGTCAAATTGACTTGTCATGTTCACAAGTTTGGATCACCCGTTTCCTGACTTATTGGAGGACCTGCCCTTAAGAGCCGTGCTTATCTTGTCTTTCTATTTCTTTAAGAATAAATACTTATGCAAAAGTCTTGAGAGCTGCTAGTCTGAGAAAACTGATCTCAAAAGTTATCCAAGTATACAAGAGGGGGAAAAAACAATTAATATATCTCACTAGATTCATCTCCCTCCCCCACCCTCATCCCACTCCACTGCTAAGAGAGAGAAATTTCAGCACTGCTATCCTGTTTTATTATACATTTTCCCTTTTGAGTTAAGGATTTTAAGATTTTGAAAGTAACAGAACAGGAACCAAAAGTAGATTCAACTTCCAATTTGGCTTAAAAAGAAAGAAATAATTATTATTTCCTATATTACCCAAAACTTATTCTGTTAATAACAGTTATAATTATATATTCAAATTAATAAATGAAGATTGCTAAAATTGCCTATATACTTGTTAGCAGTTAAAGAAGAAAAATTTTTTCCATTTGCTTCTATAAGTAGACATCACATGATTACTTCTATTGACCAATAAGAAACTAGTAAAATCAGGCAGTCACCCACCATTCTTTTCTAATGTTCTTTTTCTTATTCTATTCAACCTTTTCAGTATATTCTTAAGAAGCCAAATCAAGAAATTAGACATTCATGCCTAAAATAAAATTGCGTTACCTTATACATCATGAACAGGAACCTGTTGTATATAACACGGGTATTCAAAGCTTTATTGTCTTTTTCTAGAACCCTTTAACATAAAGGCAGCTCAGATTCAAGATTAGAAAACTGAATTCAACAGGCAGGAACACGCATACGAAACCAGTAAGAACTACTAATCACGACCTCTCAAAATGTCATGAACCATATAGATAGAAATAACCCCCCTTTTGCTGTACTAATGTAATCCAATAGAACAAACTTAAAATTCGTGACACAAATGTAAGAAACAAAAAACAAAAATCTATTGCCATTGTAATCTACCCTTCCCAATCAGGAGAGGTGTTTCCGACGCATTACTTGAACTTTCATTTTGTACAACTTTCATCTTGTAAGGTTCTAACTAAATACTTGACATCTTAATGCAGAGGAAAGGAAAGGAGGGCAAGTAGACTAATTCTGAAAGCATCCCTTCAAATTTCATACATGCTATTCAGACTAAATGGAAATCTACATCCATGGAAAGTTAATGTCGCAATTCTACTAAACAGCCCATTCTGATTTTATGTTTCTCCTCCACTAACAAGAAAAAATAAAACAACCAAATCTAGCTGTATTACATATGTTTAGCTAAACTGATAGCACTCAGCTCATTTTTGTTAATTACCTGGCTTCTTCTCAGTCTTTATGCGGTATTCTCGTGCTGCTCTTTTTTAGAACTCCTCACTGTTTATGTGTTCTCTGTTCAACACAGTTGTTAGGGGTCTGTGAACAATTTTTCAATTCCCACACACGCATATGATATCTATTAGGGAGCAATGCCACTTTTCACTTACCAATTCTGGATAAAGGAGTATTTCCTGGTGACAGAATGCTGCTGCTTCCGTTCACTAAAACTCCCTCTTCGCAGCTTGATAAATCTGATTATAAAACGTCTTTGTTCCAGATCACACGAGGCGCTTTTCCTACAAAAGTTTTCTAAAGAGTTATCTGCATTTCATTCCTGTGACAAAACAAATCAGAACAAGGGGGGTGGGGGGGGGAACAGGGAATAAGTCCACACAAGTTCCTGGCAAAGATTTTAAGCTGCATTTTTCTGAGTTTAATCAGTAACCTATATTAAAGTGACAGTTACCAGTTCAGGAAGCCTAGAGTTTGATCAAGTCGGTCACAACCACTTTGAGAGTCTTCCACTGGTGTGCGGACTCCAAGAAAGCAGTCACTTGGTCATCTATCACATGTGGCTGAATCACTGGACAGACCACCCCCGCCCCACACACCCCCAGCCCCCGTTGAGCAGCAGCCCAGGCAGGAGAGTGGCCGGACGCCCGACCCAAGACCTCTTATAGGGACCCGCCAATTAGCTGCTGACCAATCGCAGCCAGCACCTAGTACCTAAGTCACATGATAGGGCAGTCCCTATGACTGCAGGATTTCTGAATTACTGGGGTTACACAAAGGACACTCATTCAGGAAAAGAGAAAAAAAGCCATAAGCCGAAACAGAAAACGCCCAGGCTGCGACAACTACGGCTTTAAAACAGGGAACACCCCAGCCTCACACAGACAGAGAAAGAGCCACAACCAAGCCAGGATGAAAATCAGAAGAATGTCTGGCACATATTAAAAAATAATCCCAAAGCAGACGCTGAGTTTACAAACCCACTTCAGCTATAAATCTACTCCTCCTTCCCCTTCCTCTATAGTCTCCAATAATTTTACATTCTAAACTTTTTTATTTTAAAAAGCTCCAGTGAGCCTCTGCAAAACCGCTGTAAGAAAATGTGCGAGACACATGAGCCTCTCTTCCCATCCCCTCAAAATACCCCTGAAGGAGATTCAAATTGGCCATGAAAAGATTCCTAAGTGAAATACATTTCTTTTAAAATAGTTAAATAAATTAAGTGAAATTAAACATTGCCAGAACAGATTCGTATGGTAACTAACAAATCATCTCTCTCTCAATCATTTTAAACTGTACACATCAAGGACACTCTTGTTAAGTAAACGAGCCCACTTTGTGAACTAGATACCCATTTATTTTTATTTGAATGCCCCCAATTTGTCTCTTAAACACCTTTTATGTTTAGGAAGAAATTCAACTGCGAACACCCCTACCATTGCTCCGACCTCCAAAAATGGTACTTACAAATGTTCCTTGTTTGGATCTGTCGACTTCTTCTCCCCTCCCCCGACATTTGGAGTCAAAATATGGGCTCAACCTCATCCTTCAAACCTAAAGGCCCTATTTTGATCGTGCAAGACTGCAACAGCTCCTTCTCCCAGGCAAGCCCAGAACACTGTGCCGCTTGCCATTCCCAATTTATGGAAGGAAGTGTATGTCAAACAAACCAGGTGATGACTCAGACTGCCTCCTCCAGCCACGTTTTCCCTAGAATGGGAGGGTAGTTTAAGTGCAGCCCATTTGGATGTGACTCAGTTTTATTAGACTGGTGGCTGTAGCTAAGCTGACAAGCTCACATTTTTTTTAAATAACTTGTACATTTAGAGATCAGGACGCACATTCCAACTGGTTTCAAGAATTGAATCATGTAAACAGGAGAGATGCAAGATTATTTTTAAGGTATGGCAACGCTCTGGCTCTGTTCCCTAATATTTTAAATTTCAGAACTGTGCACTGAAATTTTTACAATGGAGGCAACCAAACGTTTTAATTCACACAAGAGTAGCAAACAGGTTTTCTACATTTAGGTTTACTTGAGGTCTTTACCATGAGGGACTTGGACTCCTTCCATCCTGAAGATTCAAGTCTCTAAGTCTGGGGCCCGCGCGGCGGGTTCTTCAGGAAGTGGTTGGGAGCATGAGAGCCATGTTGCAGCTTTCACTTTTGCATTTACTGCAATTCACACTCTAAGCTGAGCTAGTCACACACAGCACACACGTAATACAATCACATCACCAAAAAATCTGTACAGTCCTTTAGTCTCGACCTGCCTAAAAGCTGTGAAATAAAAACTTGAAAACCACCAGTGAAAATTCCAATTAAATATACTGACATGCCCTAGTAGTCTTCCTCTTCAGTAAAAACTTCACTACCAAGATGGGAGTGGCATTACATGGAGTAAATTGTTCCCAGGTATTATGTAGACAGGAAGAATACAGTAATAAGAAGGGCAATTCCCCACATGAAAAATCTGGAAGGCTTGGGCTGAGCAATTTAACTACAGTTATCTCTTTTCAGCATACTTCCTTTAACCTTCAGCAAAGTCAGCAACTGCTCTGACTAAGGCTTGGCATTTATTGTTGATTATGCCTTGATGGATAACTAGTTTTATTACAATACAGGAAATACATCCAACATTTGAAACACAGAAAAATGTTCAGATGTCTAATTTTCAGATTGGTAGATGAGAGCACAGAAAAGGTATACACACTGAAACCATGTATAACAGTTAATTCAGGAGTTGATTATTCACTTTATAAAAAGACTTCCTGCAGGGTTTTACTGGAATAAACACTACATTCAATTTACATACAGAATTAATTTTCAGAAATTAAAATCACACGAAACTATTTCGAGAGCACTTCCAAATTACACTTTTGAATTCTACTTTAACCATGTGTATGTATTTCTCAGTTATTAAAACTTATTCATACTTCAGTAGTAATGTATTAAGTTTTATTGGCTTAAAGACAGTTACCTTGCTAAGATACAGAACATAAAGTCTATAATTATATGGCTTTCAGTGGAAATAAACACAGGCTATGAAAATAGAATGTGAATAAAATGGAACATCTAAAACTCTGGCATCTAAAAGGACCTATGACATCTCTGAGGAGTCTAGCTTCTGGAGTCAGACTTGCTGGGATTTGACTTCTGGTTCTGCTGTTCCTAGCTGTGGCACCTGGATTAAAAAATGATTCTATGTTAAGTGCTGAGAACAGTGTCTGACAGAGAACTCTGGAGTCATACACATTTCAGTCATTCCCTAAGTAACACTTCTGAATGAGAAAAATATGATTCCATAACTTTTTAAAAAAAGAATCACTAGTAACTATTTTACTAATGTTGACAAACACGTAGCCCATCCATATTTTCCTCCTAAAGTTTCAGCAGTTGAAATACTCATCCAGTTTTACATCTGAGATCTGTTTGGGTCTTTCCTCTCCAAACTTCCTGGAGCCTGCTAAGGCCAGTGCAGAATCGAGCTGGGGCCAGCCAGAGAGGGCATTTAAGAACTCCAATTCCACTTTGCCCAGATGTGTCAGGACATTGGAAGTGTCATCAGCCAGGAAAGAAGGTGAGTGGGTCAGAGACTGGGGGCAACACTACAGCTCTGTTGGGGACAGAGCACTGCCCTTGACATTAACAAGGGCCCCTAGTCAGAGGCATGAAGAGATGGGTACAGACTCAGAAAAAAATACCCAAGATCCACTGTTTATTCGCTCCACAGGGCCGTGACATAAAACCCTACCACAACTACCCTAGGAGAAACCCAGAGAGTTGGGTGGGGAACCTCAGTATGCATTCTCCTCTATGCTGTCTTTCATTAAGAAATTGCATTTCTTAAAGGAGCAAACAGCATGCATTTCCATCTGAGAACTATATGAAGCTGTTTCAAGCATCCCACAAACCCCTCAGTAACAAAAGCTAATCGTTTCCAGTCAGCACATAACATATTTGAAGAATAATAAAAAGGACAGCAAGCAGACATCATCGAGGTGCAGGCAAGCTTTATAAATATGGAATTCCTCAAATATGGTGCTCGGCACTAGTGTGGGGGGGAATGGGAGTGAGGAGAAGTAGTTCTGTGTTTTGTTTGAGGGCGAGCAACTGCTCCAGTTTGTCTTTACCCAGGCAATGTTTTGGAGACAGATGGTAACATAATGGGGGAAAAGCCAGCAAAATGAAGAGAGGGTGGTTGGGATTACAAATGAGTGATGGGGGAAGGCTCCATTCTGTTCCCCTCCATGTCGCAGCCCAGTTTGAAGATGCACACAGACCTGATTCAACAGTTCAGTTCAAGGCTGGTTTGGAGCTCCAGCATGGAGCTTCCTGTCCACCGCCACTCCTGTCTTGGGTAAGTTCTAAAATACCAAACGATCCAACTGTGTCAGGCTCCCAGAAACCAAAGTTACAAGTCAGGGTAAAGACAAACAGCCTGGGTTGTAATACTGTCTCTGAGGCTATTACCTGTGGGGACATAGAAGAGTCCCTTCATTTCTCTAAGGCTTTCACTTCATCTGAAGAATGGGAATAAGCGAAAAAATACAAGCAAGGAACAGAGACTGCTGCCTCAATATGTCTGCTACCACCATCAGCTCTCTAAGGGTGAGCTGTCACCTTCAGTACTAACCTTACAGTTCCTCAGGAGAGAAACAAAAAACAATCTTGTGGCCGAGTGCAGTGGCTCACGCCTATAATCCCAACACTTTGGGAAGCCGAGGTGAGAGGATTGCTTAAGCCCAGGAGTTGGAGAACAGCCTGGGCAACATAGTGAGACCTCATCTCTACAAAATAAAATAAAATAAAATAAAATAAAATAAAAAAATTAGCCAGGCACAGTGGTGTGCGCCTGTAGTCTCAGTTACTTGGGAAGCTGAGATGGGAAGATCAGTTGGGCCCAGGAGTTCAAAGCTGCAGTGAGCCGTGGTCTGTGCCACTGAACTCCAGCCTGGGCAACAGAACAAGACACTGTCAAAAACAAACAAAACAAAACAAAACAAAAAAACAAACAACAACAAAAAAACCTCAAGCTGCCAAGTCACACGTTCATTTGAAGGCAAACAAAATGTCTTTATCACCTATGTTTTGCAATGATCAAAAATCTTTGGATTGCTTCTATATTCACTTTTTGATTATAGCAAAGTATCCTACTTTGAAAACAAGATTCTTTCTGTATACATTTTATGTAAGATCCACAATATCAGAGGTTTTTCACAGAAACCTGCCTCCATGGCTATGTGTATGCCTCTACAGACGTGCACACAAGCTATACTAGTCTTATATAAGAATCTGAACATTTCTTTATGAGGGCTGGCCTCTGTTTCAAGCTTCTCATGTTATGTAAGTAGCCGCTTTGCCTGTCTTCCTGCAATGATTTCAGCTCTAAGCAGTATACTTCGCTCAGAAAAGTTTTTATTAGTTGTCTTCTTTCCCCACCCATTTTAAAGAACAAACTGACTCAGTTTTTTGATGGCAACACCACTGGGTGGGAGTGAACATGGGAGTGGGCAGGGTGGGAGAAAGGGAGGATGAGGAGGCGGAGGAGGTGGTGGGAGCCAAGAGCTGAATCACAGCCATGTGAGTAATCTTAGGCTTTTTTTTTTCTTCCTAAGGGTATGAATCAAATTAAGCTTATTTTGCTGTGGGTGAAGGAAGAGGAATATAATAGCGTGAATCAGAGCAATTATCAAATATGCGGCACTCACTAAAAATTAATTACAATCACTACTTTTTTTCACATGTCTGCCTGAAAATGCCAGAGAGCTTCTGTTATTAATCAATATAATCCTTGACAAAAATTCTTCAGACTTTGAACTCAATTATCACCCTCTTCCCTTTAAAAATTTCCTTTTACACATGAATTTCAGAAACAGGAATTCTTTCGGAGCTTCTGTGAGATAATCTTTGGCCCTTGGAGGTAAGTGTGAAAACAGCATGGATAATACTGGGTAGAGACCAGGTTATACACTATCTGGCCATGAGCACTGGAAGCAAAATACTGAATGTATAAAAACAATTGCTCAGAGAATGAGTTCAACCTCTCAAGAGCATTCCAATGGGAATGCTGCATGCAACAACACGCCCTCAGGGAAAAGTGGGCATTCCTTTCCTAATAGTTGGCAGTGAGAATAAAGTTGTCATACAGAACTTTTGAATTGCCTTAGGGTGAAATAAGCAGATCTTCACTAAGAGTAATATTAAGAAAAAGATGGATCAAAACATATAAAATCTGTTTTTCTGAATTTACATAGTTATTACCAGGTGTAAAATGGCTAAGGCGGAAGGCTTGGACAACTAAAATACTATTTTAACGGAGTCTATGCATTAGGAAGTCAAGAGGGCATATTTGAACTCTACTGAGATTCTGTTACATGTTTTACTACACAAATGAGCTAAAATACATTGTCTGCTTAGTTACCTACCCATGATTTTTTCCTTTATTAAACATAGGTATGGATATTCTTTAGATAAGCAAATGTTCTCTGTGAATTAGTACCCTTACAGAATATTCTACACCCAGGAGCTCAGAGAATAGAGTCTTTATCACATTGTCGGGTTTTCCAAAGTTCATTTCTATTTATATAACACTGTTTTTTGTGCTAGCATCTTTACTGGGGTCTCCAAATAAATTCAAGACCACTCTGAATAAGCCAAGGCTTTTACTTCTCTATTTCTATGTGTTCCTCAATTTGGAAATTTTAATCTGTAAGGATGAGCTCTTTAGGGATGATAATTTGTATGCCCAAGTTTGCATATCCCTAAGTCTGCCTATAGAACATTAACAATTTTGGAGACCTTAGTCAAAATATATTTACATAATCTACAAAGATATATCAATATTGGGTTCATATAAAATGGGCCAGATCTCTTTCTAGAACAGGTGACTTGGCTACCTCTACCCCCAACCCTCAGGTTCTCTACCATCCCACCTAAGCCAAGTTAATTGTATTGCAGTATTTGTCCTTCTACCCTTCAACTCAGTGCTCTCTCAACTAACTTCCTATGTAGTAGAAATAATACTCCCAAACCCAATTTTGTCACATCCTGACCAGCATCTATCGCAAGGGGCTGGCAGTTTCCAGAAATTTCCAGTTCATATTTTAGTTCTCTCTCGCTCTTTTTTTAAAAAATATTTCAAATAGCAATTGCAGGGGAAAATTCTCAGAGTTCCAGCCCTCTGAAGAAAAGAGTCCTCGGGCACTCTGTATGGGTTTTATCGGCTCCCAAAATGCCAGATGTTTGAGGCTGAAGGTCAGGGGCAGGGGGCAGGGGTTGCCATTCTGATATTTTATCTGGGGAGAATCAGAATTTTCAAAGGCATCATTGATGCTGAATATACATGAATTTAAGACTGTTTGGTCTCAGCATAGTCACTAACTATGCTGACATGACGTGGTTCTCATCTAGCGATAACAGAAAAGAATAAAAAACAGCAGCAAAGACAACTTGAAGGCCAGGCATTTGGGCAAGGACAATGATGGAAATGAGGTAGAGGTGAAGGACAATGGTGGAGATAGAGGTGGAGGTGGAGGTGGAGGTGGTGGTCTTGGCTGAGAGGTGATGTAGTGAAAGAGTCAGCAGAAGCAGAAAACAAAAGGTGAGTATTTGGACCGAGGAGATAGGGGTATCAGGGCCCCTCACAATGCAGACCATACCCTAGAAGTCTGGCTTCAAGGGATAGAAGACAGTACAGGGTGTCCAAAAGTGCAAGTGAAAGATAACAAATAATAGAAATAGGAAAGAGAAACAGGATAAGGAAGGCACTACCCTCATTTGAAGAATATAATTTTAATAATGAGCTTTCGTTTCTAATCTTGTACCAAATACCTTCTGTCATATTTTTTCTATAATGTACCTCTCTCAGCTCACCCCTTAATCTATCACCATTATCTTCTCTCTAGGACGTGGCCAAGCTATCAAAAAACTGCAGCCTGTGGAGAAGTAGCAAGTAGGAGGGAGGTCAGGAGTGGGTGGCTAAAACCACCACAAGATTTGAGAACGCAGATGTATTTAACTGGAAGGAGAAAAGGAAAGCACAGAGGTACCTGTCTGTTGTCTGATTTGTGGGTAAGAAAAGTCCATCATGTGGAAACTGGACAGAGGCCTTAAGCAGAGAAGGATCTTAAGAAGAACTGCAACAGTGACCTGGCTGGGTCTTTAAGGGGGAAATCACCCTATCCAATGGGTAAGGTTGACCTCACATCCCTTCCAAATGAGGTTCTAGATCTTTAAGTTGATCTATTTCAAGAGGTTTTTTGGAGCACGTGAAATCACTCTAAAATGATTGCTTCAAAAGAAAGCTGTGCTGAAGCAAAAACAAATCAATTAAGAGTTTCTCTGTTGGAGAGCTTCAGGCCACTAACTCTTGAAGACATTTTAACCTGAGTGATTATTTCCTCTAGGTCATGAAAATCAATGTATTAGTCCCTCTATAGCAACTCTGCCTCTGGACTCACCACCTGCGACCAGAAACACTCCCTCCCAAAGCGAGGCGGCTTAGACCATAACGAAATTACCTGATCTCTCTATTCCTACTCCAACAGGTCATGGGAAAAGAACAAAATGATCTATTAAAAACTGCAGCTGTGCTATAGTTATGGGCAATGTCACTATGGGGAGAAACTAGCTGATGGATACTCGAGACCTCTCTGTACTATTTTTATCACTGCTTAGGAACCTATAATTATTTCAAAAAAAAAATTGAAAAACAAAACCAGCAGCTGTCTGAAAAAATTATCTTCAAGCTAATCATGAGAAACAAAAGTCAAAACTCACGACTGGATAATTGGTCCCAATTATGCTAGTTCTGTACCTAATGCTTGGAGAAAGACATTCAGTAAGGAAACCAAGAAATGATACACAAGTGTCTGGCCAAACCCCTCCCTTCTTGGTTTAACTAATATGGAAGAGTAACATTTGTTATCTTAGAAACTAAGAAGTAAACTAACAACTGTAAATGGCAAAATTAAGATTTATAAATTCATTTTATCATTCTAAGATCTAGAAAAGAGACCCACCCTATTTTATCCAAGCTAAAACTCTGCTGATTGTAAGACACTTCATTATTTTATGTATCATTAGGAAAGAAACAAACTTTGCCAATTAACTATGACACAATGCCTTAAAGACAGTCTTGGGTGACAGTCAAACTAGTTCCTCACTGCTTTGTTCTGGGGGATTTGGCAATTTCTTCTGCCTTGAGTTGCATTGCTTGTCGTGTGATCAGCAGTCCTTCTGAATGTAACTCAGTAACAAAACATAACACAGCTTCAATCATTTCTCCAACTATGAACATTTGCTTGACTAATATTAAATTTAGTGCCTGGTTTTCTCATGCCTTTCTGTATGCCCAATAGCATTTTGTTTCATCATGAATAAAATCTTATTTCAATAATGTAATCATATTGAGAGCATATTAAATGACAGGTACAGCCACTCTTCCGTTCTCTGTAGCCTATTTCTGACCAGTTTGCCTAGGAAATTCACTCAGTCATTTAAAAACTGTTTATTGAGTGCTTACTAACTTCCAGGCACCGCACTAGGTTAAGGTGATACAGCAAAGAACAAGAGACAAATTCCCTGTCCAGTCTAAAGAGGAAGGAAATATAACCAAATAACTACATAATATGCTCCCGGTGATGAGTGCTCAAGCAGGATAGAGAAGGCAGGCAATCCTGGGACATGGGGGTGGGAGCAGGGTTAGGAGCAACTTATTTTGTTTAGGGTGATCAGTGAAAGAAAGCCTCTCTGATCAAGTAGGCATTTAAACAAAGATCTAAAGGAAGAGAAGTAGTAGGTTTCATAAATATCTAGGCAACAAATGAGAGGGCAAGGCAGAGAAAACTTGTAAAAGAGACAGTAAAGAAGCCAGTGTCACCACAGCAAAATGATCAAGGGAGAATGAAGAGGGATATGAGACTGACTGGGTTTGGTAGAGATGGGAGAGCAGATCACATAGGACTTTCTAGGCCATTGTCTTTACAAGGGCTATGGTCTTTACTCCGAGAGAAATGGAAACCCACATGAGTAGATTGGGAGAGATCTAAGAATCTTTCCAGGGTGATTCGAAAGGCAAGAGTGGAACAGGGCACCCAACTGATCACCTCCAGATAAGACATGACAGCTGCCTGAACTAGGTGGTAGCAGTGGAGATTATAAGTGGTCAGATTTCAGATATATTTTAAAAGAAGAGCAGACATGATTTGCTGATGTGAAGTAGAAGCTAAAGACAGAGGTCAATAGCAGCACTAGGATTTTGCAATTTTAAAAATGGCACTGACATTTACCAAGATGGGGCAGATTGGGTATGGCAGGGGTGAGAAAGTGTGTAGAAGGAAATGAAGTTAAGCTTTGGACATGCTAGGCTTGAGATGCCAATCAGATATCCAAGCAGAGAGGTAGAAAAAACGGTTGAAATTGAGCAGAGTTCCAAGATAAAATCGTCAGTGTTTAAGTGACATTTAATGTCAAGGGACTAGATAATTTGGGAGTGAGGACAGTTACAGAAGTTGTGGAGGCCTGAGGCACTTGAATATGAAGAGGCTGAAGCAATGCCAGGAGGATCAGCAAAGAAGATTGGCATGGATCACCCTCTGGGTAGGCAAAGGACCAAGTGTGGCATCAAGGAGCCAAGTGAAAAAAAAATGCTTTCAAGGAAGAGGTCATGATTGGTTGGGCCAGATCCTGCCAGTAGGCTGAATAAGATGAAGACTGGGGACTCAACACTGAATTTGAAAGGTGGAGGTCCTGGGCGATTTTGTCAGAGAGTCATTTGGGGGTGGGGAGGGGAACACCAAGCCTAACTGGAGTGAGGACTGCAGAGCATGGGAGGAGAGGTATGTGCGGCAGTAAATAGAGACAACAACTCTTCAGAGATATGGTATAGCAGCTGGAAGGCAATGTGGGTGCAAGAACAGATGCCACCAGGGACCACAGGGACAATTGCAGAAACCTTGAGTAGAAGACAGGATGATGGGATTCAGTGCATTGTCAAGAGATGGGCCTTCGGTGGGGCACTACAGAAAAATAACCCATGAGCACCCATAAAAGTATGTCAGTAGGTTCCCAAGTAGCAACATATGAAAGCTTTCTTCCAATTGCCTAACTCTATGCCATATGTCTGTTTAAAATCTTCTCTTTAGATATAGGCTAGTTTGTTCTCCTCTGTGACATTTTATTGCTGCCTTTGCCACATTGAGATATACAGTAGGCCCATGGGCCGATCCCAATTTTTTACAACAAAGAAACAGACAGACTTTGTTGTTGTTAATGTCATGCAGAGTGATCTGTGGCTATATATTGAAATATCTGGCAAACGTTAAACCACAAGCATAAAACAGAACGGTGTGTAATAAATGGCGCTTGCTTTTTGTTTACACAGCGAAGAAACACAATGAATTGTAAGCAAAGTGCATCAATAGCAAATAATACTACAAAGCCACTACAGCAACTTTAATATCTGTATCTTTCGTATCTTAGTCACATTGTTTGAAAACATCCAACTACATGGCTTATGCAGATCCATCATCTGGAATCATGAGACAAACTTCAGATTGATTTTCTCTCTGGCAGTGACACCAATCACTCTAGTCAGAGGCAGCCCCTGCCCCGCCTGCCTTATGTGGTGCCTCTCTGGAATTGGCTAGTTGCGCACACCAGGTAGAATCTATCTGTAGCCACAGAACTGAGGCTGACCTGAGCTCTCAGTAATTGAGAACATCAGGCCCCACCACTGAGTTTCTTGAACTCTAGGCAAAATAGGTGCCTGCAAACGACGTCAAAATTTATTCTAAAAATGCTGTGTGAAAAATAACACCAAAATTATCAGATCATTATCTGAAAAAAAAATCAATTGGCTTCCCTAAATTAGTTTACCATAGAGGCAGGATTATAGAGTGAGGCTAAGAACACAGACTGGCCAGGTCTAATCCCAGCTACACCATTTACAAGCTGTGTACCTTTGTGCAATTCACTGAACATCTATGTGCTTCAGTTTTCCGTCTATAAAATGAGTAACGGACAGTACCTTTTGCATAGGGTTATGGGGTGGGGGTTAAGTTAATTGCTATATGCATATGCAATAATTATAATGAGGCATAATCTCCATCCATCTTGTAATTTAAAACTGACCACGAACAATATAGCTATAAGTAGCATGCGGACACTCCAGGGAATTTACAAAACCAGGGGATAGGCATGTTCCATATCCTTGGGGTTTAACTTACACTACAAAATCTAAGGACAATAAATAATGTAATTTGTAAAAATAAATTTTAAATTGTTTAAATACGAAAACATAGCTATAGTGAAGATTAGAATACAAAAAATCCCACTTGAAGATACGGCAGAGACTGGAAATAAATTGTATGTTTGCCTCTGGCCCTTTCATGCTCACACCCTCTGAGGCTTAGTGCCCTCTTGTGAAACTGCAGAGGAATACTGACATAAAGCATTGTCTGCTGAGTCAGAGGAGATTCACAACCAGCAGGGAGATCATGCTGGGAGGGCTCTCCCATATCAAATTCTCAAAATGAGATGAAACAGACCTAGAAAAGTTTAGTGACTTGCCTAAGGTTAAATAAATAGGCAGTGGGGTTAGCAAGTAAATCAGGGCTACCAATTCCCAGTTCAGCCATCTTTTTACCTTGCCCTGGTATTTGAGGTCTCCAGTGGGAGACACCATGTTGTATGTACAGTTTCTTAACAAGAGAGTCTGGGAATCCTCGGAGTGTTTCTGAGAGGACTGTGGTCTCCACCCTAAACCTTGTCAAAGGGCCCAGCCTCCCCTGCATTCCCCCTACGTCAGGTGGCTCAGCTCCCAGAGATGCTCCAGCCAGGCCTGTCACTACCTGTCCCCACCTGTCCTTTACTTTTAGCCCCAGACTTAAGAGATAGGTGAAAGGAACCTGAAGGATGAGCAAGACAAAGAGAAGATGGCTCCCATTTTCAAAACTACACATTTTAAGAGGAGCAAGTAATAGAAGGAGGTGGTCGCAGGGTATGAAAAACTTAAATTTGTATCATCTATAAACTCTGTGCTCTGAAAATCAGGGAAGGAAATATTTTAATTCACTCCTGCAACAAATATTTATTTTCAACCTTATGATTTACAGTGCAGTGGCTGGGCTCTGGGACAGTAGAAATATACAGGACTGAGACCTTGTTCTCCAGAATTCATGATGGAATCTTAGAGACAAGGTATGAAGATTAGGAAAGACAATGAATAATATAAGACAACATGCCTTATATTATTATATACCTTGAGCTTTGCAATGTTTTCTTCAAAGAAAATGTATGAGAAAGCCCAAAATGTAAAACAGATAAAGTCAATTGTTTTGGTAGAAGCTAGAAGAGGCTTCAAGAAGGGGAGGCAGGCTGTGCTTTCAAAGGTGAGCAGCACTCCCATGAGCAGGAAGGAAAGGGTCCCCTAGGCAGGAAGGGCTGAAGGAAGGGCTGTCAAGACACCGGTGTGGAGGCAGGAATAATGCCACAGGTGGACTTCAACAAACAAACAAAGAGCACAACTGTCAAGAACAGAAGTTCATGGATGGGAGAGTTACAAAAGCTGGTGGCATGACTTCCCCTTTCTGAAATTCTAATCCCGAAGAGTACAAAGCAACTGCGCAGCCAAAAAGCTGTGCAGCAGTGGCCTGGGAAGGGCTCGACGAAGGGCATAGCTCAGGGGCACTGCTCAGGGGCAGAGCTCTGGGGCATCGCCCACTCATAGGGAGAGCAGCAGGGAGCCACACTTCCCATCCCAACTCAGCTTCTGTCCCAGCTCTCATCCCAGGCTCCCCAGCCCACAGGATGATCCCTGTGAAGAGAAGCATGTGAAGATGGAGGAATCCCAACCAAGATTCCACCAAGGACAAAAATAGCTAACACGATGAGAGACAGAGGCCAGGGAAGGTTGTAGAACATGTGCCTCTATTGACCGTGGCAGACATTTCTCAGCAACCCCTTACCCCTGCCACTTCCCTGACTTTGCCATGTGAGGATGCAGGTCCAGGGGGCCAAATCAACCAGTTTTTCAAGAGAAAAAAAAACACTGCAGTGTTTATAACTGTGTGGACCAAAGAGAACATGTCTACAGGCCAGTGTGCAGTTCCTATATTAGAAGAGGGGTCTGAGTTGATCCTGCCTATTGCACTGGGTCCAGTATCTTGTTCAAGGTCTAACAAAGGTAGGTGCTCAATACATATCTGTTAAATCAGTGCATGAGAACCAAATATTAGATTAGGCAGCAAATTGTAAGCCAATGTCTTTCCTTCCTCCTCCATTAAAGAAACGCTACAGCTTAAGAGAGGTAGATGGAGTAGCAGGTTCTAAGTAAAAGGAAATCTACATATAAGTTACTCACCAAGTCACTATTAACAGTGCCAGGGTTAGTGTTATTGCCCTCCACATCGCAATTCTTCAAGCTCTTCAGTTATGCTGTTATGTTTACCTCAATCCCAATCTAATTCTTTTCATCCTCTTTTCCCTTCTCACGTTTTTTAAAGACCTCACTTGGGGATTTACTAGAGGAAAAAATATCAAAATCACAAAGTAAATGGGGGAGAGGGGGTATATGCATACTTCCATATCAGGATGGCAAGGGGCGCTACATCTATCTCCACCTTCGGAAAGGTGATAAGACCTGAGTTCTCATCTTCTGCCCTTCAGAATCTTGGTCCTTATCAGAACTGAAAGTGATGCCTTCCTACTCCTGGGGTTGCTAGGACCATCTTTGGCACTCTCACATCAAAATGTATTCTTGAGGTTTTTGAGATATATCCCAAGTCTCTGCTCTCAGCAGCTCCAGCTGGAGTTTACAGAAAGTCAAATGTGAGGTTGGAGAGGTCGGTAGTTCGGAGATGAACAGAGTGAGGTGGATCCTGTACATCAGAATGAAAACAACTCTCAAAAGGTAATACAGAGATGGCTGCAGGCACCCAACCACTGAAGAGAGATACTTAATCAGATGTTCAGGGCAAAAACCAAAGTGTCCCAGAAATGAGCAGATCCTATACTTGCCGAAGTAAGTAAAGAAATTCTTGATCATCTTGCTGAGAGAACGCAACAGATGTGTTGTGTGGAGATGGTGCTGTATCCAGAGGCCATAAAGGACAATGGAAGGTGTGGGCCAACTTTTAGAGGAAATGGGGCTGACAGCAATGAGCAAGAGACAGGCTTCACAGGAAACGGCCCTTCACTGGAGGGTTTATGAGAGCCAAATCTAGCTGGATCAGGAATTTCTATCTGTGCCCTTCCTCAAATACTGCTTCTACACTCCATCCTGAACTGGCCCCATACCCTGCAGGCTGCTGTACTTGACCTCTAGATATATTCAGCTCTTCCTCTGACCTTTTAAGAACACCAACTGTAGTCCTGAAATAAGATTGAGTTTTGTCTATTTCTGCTGCCTTTAAAATATATATATTTGTAATCCCAGCACTTTGGAAGGCCGAGGTGGGTGGATCACTTGAAGTCAGGAGTTCGAGACCAGCCTGGCCAACATGGTAAAATCCCACCTCCACTAAAAATATAAAAATTACCCAGGCGTGGTGGTACGCCACTGTAGTCCCAGCTACTTGGGAGGCTGAGGTGGGAGGATCGCCTGAGCCTGGAAAGTGGAAGTTGCAGGGAGCCGAGACCGCACCACTGTACTCCAGCCTGGGTGACAGAGTGAGACTCCGTCTCAAAAAAAAAAAAAAAGCCATTTCAAAAGTTATCCTCATTGTGCTAATCTTGTTTCATCCGGCCCCTCCACATTGTTTTTTCTCCCTCCTAAATGCCTCACTCAGAGTCACCCTGTTAGAAGCACATATAAGATTGTAACTCAGGCCAAGTCAAAAAAAATTGTGTGCGACAAGGTACATATACACTTAACACTATTGTACTGTACACTTAAAATGGGTAAGATGATTAGTTTTATGGCAAATTTTTTTAAACCACAATGAGAAAAATTGTACAAGGTCCTTTTGAGAGATTAAAATTCAAGGAAAACAAACAAACAAAAAAGACCCTGAGTGAAAGCTACTTACCACTCTTTTTGGTACCTTCTCTGACCTCAGGAAGTTAAAAAAAAGATCAATAGGAAAATAGATAAGCAATTGAATATGTAAATATTTTCAGGCCAATATTTACATATTCAATTGCTTATCTATTTTCCTATTGATCTTTTTTTAACTTCCTGAGGTGAGAGAAGGTACCAAAAAGAGTGGTAAAGGCTAATATTCAATGAACCGCAACAACAAAAATCTGTATATCTACAACTCCACATTTTTTAAAAAGGTATGGGGGGAGAGCTGCATTTTTAAATATTGAACTTTAGGGCTTATAATTGAAAATATATTACCAATTCATGATATTTTATACCCTCATATACTTTTTTTTTGGTAGAGATGGTGGTGGCATCTTTTTAAAATATAATTTTAAGAAGGCAGTGATTTTCCAGGTAACTAAAGCACATGTCACAATTAAAACTGAGAAGCAGACATGTAGGCTTCTCTTAGGACTGTGATAAAATGTTTCATTTTATAAAATCAGCAGCCAGGATTGTTCTATTTGCTGTTCCCTCTACCTGCCCCTCCAGTTCTAGCTAAATCCCTTCTGTTCTCTCGTCTCAAATTTCTTCAGGTTCCTCACACAGCCCACTCCTTGTTAATGCTCCCACATCATAGCTTCATCTCCTTCATTCACTTACCACAGTTACCTTCTATTAAGATTTCATCCATCTAGAATATAAGCTCCGTACCAGGGCCAGGTCCTTGCCTCACCTTCTCTACTGCATCCCTACTGCCTAAAGCAATGTGGTGCTCCCTAGCTAGGTGCTTAAAAGGATTTCTGGCATGTGGAATCAATCACTGTTGGTTTGTTTTACACTCTTCCCTACTGTGCCATTCTTCACAAACCTTCCCTTTCTCTGCTTTCCAGGTTTCTTCTCTCGTACCAGCTCTACCCCATCTCTTCATTGATTTTAGTGCCCTGACATTTGATGATAAGTCACCAGAAATGTCTAAGAATGATGTATTGCCCCAGATACCATGGTTCTGTTCCCTTTTGCAAGGTTGGGATGGCAGATGGGAGCACAGCTAACTGCTAAGCATTTCACAACTCAAACTCAAGTCCTGAGGCACAATCTAAACATGTAAAAATAGACCTTTAAGTGTTTTATTAACAAGAACCCCATATAATGCCATTGGATGCCAACAAGGCAGTATTCTTAGGGAGCATTATATTCTGTCTTTGCCACCCCACTATCTTTATATGTTTAGTAAGGATGCAAATAATGTTAATACACTGTAGCACTCCTTACTGTGTCGATGCTATCTAAAGCTCAGGGGCAATTTAATAGCAGCCTCTACAGAACTTGGACAAAGAATACTTCATGCAGAATGGCTACCAGCTAATTACTACCTCCATGACAGAAAGCTCAACTGGAAATGGAAGAGGCCAAAATGACACTATAGAAATTTAGGCTTGAGAAAAAGAAGTATATCCTAAAAGTGAAAACCTAAAAAACAATGAATCTCTGAAACCACATGTAAAACCTTTTTGTTAGTAAGCTATAGTTTCTATTCCTTGAGATGTCTAGAAGTAATATTTAGACATACCTATTTGCAGGAATGAGTGAATCAGGCTAAATTGACATGTATCTTCCATACGAGTGAATGCAGCAGGGAGGACTTTGGTTTTCATTTCTTTTCTGTGTTAATTTTAAGCCATTTGTTGCTCAATGTCAGCACTGTGGCCATATGGGGTCAGAACACTCTTGGTTGGTGGGAAAGTTCCGGGGGGGCGGGGATCCTGCGCATCATAAGGCACTAGGGTATGTAGGCTCCATTACTGGCCTTCACTCACTACATGCCAGTAGCATCTCCCCTCCTCAACCAAAACCCAAAACAGTATGCAGACATTGCCAAATGCCCTCAGAGGGACAAAGTCACCCTCAGTTGAGAACCACTGCTTTAAGTCCCCAAACACGCCAATCTGTGCACCCATTCCTTCTTATCATCCTCCACCCAACAAAAGTCAAACTCACCAACCTATGAATTTGTTTTCGTACCAATAAATTTACTTCAATGAACAGTTATGCAACTTAAAAGAAACCATAAGCAGAATGGATAATCTGCTTCCAGGAGGGCACATAAGAGGCATTTAAGAAATGTTGGTTCCCACTTTCCCTTTCTGTTAAGGAATTCATAACTTCTGAAGCAAATACCTGTCCCTTCTAGGCACCTGATTTCAAAGGCATGCATATATATTTTGAATATGACATTATATTCAAAATAATATAACTAAAGGTTCTGATTCTCTTTACTTTCTCTCCATAAGAGGAATGCAATTCTTAATTCTTAGGAAGAGCAACTGAACTAAATAAATAAGTAGCACATTAAAGGAAATACTTTCTACACTTCGATGAATTCTTGCCAGGCATGGTCTTAAAAACACAGCACCTTCAACAATGGTGTCTAATAATAACACCCCATATACCCCACAGTACTTATAGCCTCCCACCCAAGTTTCTATGGTGATTCTTGAACTCAAATGGTTTGATTTCAAACTACTTAGTAATCTGAAGAAAATCCCTTTCTTCATTCCTTCAAGTATTTTTTTTTTTTTACATAATTTGTTGGGGGGAGTGAGATTAGGACCCTATAACTTTTAATAATAAATTTTCTTTCAAAGTTAAGGAATTTGGCTCAGGACCTTCTCAAGTTTTAATGGACTAAGGATAAGAATTCTAGACTGATTTTCTAAGACTTTTTTCCATTGTTATAATCAGGAAATACTAGATATTGTTCAAGTAGAGGCAGAGTGTAAGCATGCCACATAGTTGAGAAATCAGCAGCAAAATATTAATCACAGCTGAAACCTGACATACACTCTCCCATGTTCGTTAGGTACAATACATTCCGGTGATTAAAAATACATTCCATTTCCTCTACGTGCAAATTCAATCTGTCGAACTGGATGACAGCACCATAAAGCCGCTGAAATTCTGAAACCCAACCTGCTAAACATCCTGAACAGACATTCTCCAAAGAAAACTGAAGAAAAATGTATGTATCCTTTTGAGATGTGGAAACATCTTAAAATTACTTAAGAACGATTTCAAAATAACCCCCTAATAAACTGCTTAATGTGAACAGCATTTCAAATTCTCAGCCTAGTTTTAAATTTCCACCTTTGTTGTAAATGGAACCCAAATAAGAATTTCCTTGTGCTCTTAAGAATACTATAGGGTTTAAGATCTACTGCAAGATCCCTCTAGCAGACATTGGCATAAACCCTTGAAAACTGTGGGTTGTATCTTTAAAAGGTGTCAAAGGAAAAGCAGATGAAATGCTGTAATCTCCACCCACTGTCACTTAAGACTTACTGCCCACGCACTCCACAGTCCCAGCCAGCATCCTGCATCCACCCTTTTTTTTCAAGCCCACTGCATTAGACCATGGAAACTCAGGATGTGTGGCCACAACGGCCCCTGCTCTGGATCCAGCTGGCCCACCACGTGGCGTGGCCGTGACCTTAGTCACACTTCCCCCTGACATCCTGTGAGTGGGCTCAAGCTGGAGCCAGACCTTCCCACCGTGCTGCCCGCCCTGCTCCTGGAAATGACAAAACCCGGCTCCCTAAAACATTCCATTCTCCACTTACACCAACAGAGCTTCCTGCTCCCCACCCCTCCTGAACAACAGGTCTTTGAATATCATTCACCACCCTGGTAACACCTTTAACCATTTGGCCATTAGCTACTAAGGGAGGCATGCACAACTTCACTTCGGATTTTCATAGAAGCCTGTTCTCTTGATTTTCACTAAGTTTTTTAAACTATTATCACAAGAATCACTTCTACGGGATTTATAAGCATATGCAACATTCAAAATCGAAAACGTGGCACTGCAAAATCTGCACAACAAAGCTCTTCATGAGAGAAGTATCTCTTAATTTAGTGGAGAGAGTATCTGCTGGATTCAGATTTACATAAGCATTATCTTCTTGGTCCTCTTCTAAGCTGGACTAAAAGGATTTCAGAAATCTTCGACTTACTATGTATAACTCTCATCTTTGAAAAAGAACTTGCATTTTAATAAAAAGGTTAATGAGAAAAAAATACTCCCAATTTAGTTTTAGCTGTAGAGTCAAGAAGCAAGTTTTTGTTTCATCAGATGGTAAAGGTAATGCTTTTAACTGGCAGCACTAACCCCACCTTCCTCCTAAGAGGTGTCTGTGGATCCTAAGGATGGTTTTTCAAGCAAAGAGGTAAAGTTGGGTAGAGTGACACTAAGGGGGCAATTAAGGCACCCATTGTTTAGAGTCATACTATTCTCCATATTCAAAATCAAACAGAGGTTCCAGTTCTACGTAGGATAGATAGTCAGCACACTCCACCCTGTTTTTCCCAGGGCCGCAACTACGAACCTCAGAAAGAATGCTTGGAGCAGCTATACGAGGACTCTGAAAAGTAAACAGGAGCAGGCACATTAAGAAGGAAGACTAGAACATGAAAGACCACCCAACTGACAGTTTCCTCTTCTTTTTTCATCCAGTGTGCCCAAGCCTGGTCTCAACACACTGTCGGCAGACCCTAGGTGCTGACAGACGACAGGGAAAAATCCCCTGTTTTTTCCTTTTCTCTGTTCTCTCAGGCCACAGTCCCCAAGTAACCCTGCAGTGGCTACAGCAGCCAGCAGCAAGGGGAGCCTGCAAGACAGGGAACTCTGAGGGAGGAAAACCTTCCTCTAGATTCAACAGTGCCATGATTCCAAGAAAGTAGGGCCAAATCCCACTGTTTTTAGTGTCTCTGTCCTCCAGGGGCTTGACCCTGGGGACATGGGCACAGTTGTGAAAGTACATGGCAAAATAGAGTAACTAAAGCCCAAGCTTTCTAGCTAAATGGCCCAAAAGAGAAGCCCCATAGAACTGGAAAGAACTAGAGAGAGCACAAAGGGGAAGGAGCTCAAGAAAGAGACCCCATAAAGTTGCTTATCCACGTGCAAGTCACTCCTCAGATTTGCACTTGTTGACCTCATCCTAACAGTCTACCAATGACTTTGAGAACTGAAGACCTAGCTCCCAGATCGGCCACTGTGGAGCACACACACAGGATATATCCAAATGGTGCTGCAAATGCTAACACAGGACCACAGCTCATAGAAGGTGGTTGGAACTTGTTCTCTGAACCTAACCATTATCAACTGCCTGCTAAAACAAAAATATTGACATTCTCCATAGGATTTAGACAAGATGCAGAGTTTCATAACATAATATTCAAAATGCCCTGGATAAATTCAAAATTACTCAGCATGGAAAAATACAATCAACAGGTGCCAAGGCTGAGATGACAGACATTTGGACTGACAAAAACTTTAAATCAAGTTATTACAAAAATGCTCCAGCAACCAATCATAAACAATCTTGAAACCTACGGAAGAGAAAGTCTGGGCAAAGAGACAAAAGATCTAAAGAAGAACTGTTGGAAACTGTAGAACTGAACAATAAAATAACCAAAATAAAAAACTCATGGGATGGGCTCAATGGCATCATGGATATAAGAGTCAGCGAACTTGAAGATGAATACATAGAAATTAGCCATTCTGCACAAGAAAGAGAAAAAATATTTAAAGTAAAAAATGAACAGGGCCTCAGGGGACCAGAGAACAATAAGAGAAGGTCTGCCATTTGTGTCATAGAAATCCCAGAAAGAGAGAAAGAATGCCGTGCAGTACAGGAAAAATATTTGACAAAATAATGGCTGAAAACTTCATAAATTTCACAAGACACATATACGTACAAATTCTTGGAAAAGCAGAGTGAACCTCATGTAGGATAAACCCCCCAAAACCACGCTATAAACCAGAGATGAAACAAACATTCCTGAAAGCAGGGAGAGAAAAATGCCCTATTATCTAAGTATGGGGCACAAAAAGTCAAATGGTTATAGATTTGTCACCAGAAACCATGGAGGAAAGAAAGAAGTGGCACAATATTTTTAAAGCATTAAAGGAAAAGAACTGTAATCTAGAATTCTATATCCAGCAAATGTATCCTTCAATAAAGGTGGAATACAGATATCATAACAAAAGGCAGGAGGACAAAGGAACCTATATGGTGGTAAGGTTTCTACAGTCCACTTAAAGTGATAAAATGTCCATTCGAAGTGATTCTAAGTTGACTGTGAATGATTCTAGTTGACTATACATATTGCAATCCCTCAAGCAGGCACACACACAAAAAAAGAACTACGAAATATTCAAATAGCTCAAAAAAAAAAAAAAACACAGAATAGGAGAAATAGGAACAAAAATGGAATAAACAGAAGGCATAAATCCAAACATATCAACTATTACATTAAACTGAAATGGTCTAAACACAAGAATTAAAGGCAGAGACTGTGAGAATGAATAAATAAATATGAACCAACTACATGCTGTCCAACCAAAACTCACTTGAAATATAATATAGGCAGGTAAGTTAAGAGCAGAAGGATGAAAAAAGGTGTAACATGCAAGCTGTTGAAAAGAAAAGTAGAGTGTCTATATTTAGACAATGCAGACTTGAAGACAAAGACAATTGCCAGGGACAAAGAAGAACATCACATAATAATAATAAAAGTATCAATTTGCCAAGTGGACATGACAATTCTAAATGCGTATCTACCCAACAAATGACCTTCAAAATACACAAACCAAAAACTGACAGAATACAAAGGAGAAACAGGTAAATCTACAGTTGTCGTTGGAAACTTCAACACTCTTCTCTCAGTAATATATAGAAATAGACAGAAAACACCATCAATCAATTAAATTTAATATTTATAAAATACTCTAACCCAGGGATCCCCAACCCCCAGGCCATGGACCAGTACCAGAACGGGCTGCACCGCAGTAGGTGAGCAGCAGGCGAGTGAACATTACCACCTGAGCTTTGCCTTTTGTCAGATCAACAGACGCATTAGATTCTCATAGGAGTGGAAACCCTATTGTGAACTGCACACACGAGGAATCTAGGTTGTGCACTCCTTATGAGAATCTAATGCCTGATGATCTGAGGTGGAACAGTTTCATCTCGAAACCATCCCCCCACCCCCTCACCCCTCCCACCCCCATACCAATCCATGGAAAAATTGTCTTCCATGAAACCAGTCCCTGGTGCCAAAAAGGTACATTCACTGAGATAGACCATACTCTAAAGAATAAACCTTTAATAAATTTAAAAGAATTAAAATAATACACAGTATGTCATCTGGCCATGATAAAATTAAACTAGCAATCAACAACAGAAAGAAAAGGAAAATTTCCCAATACATGGAAATGATACAACACACTTCTAAATAATTTTTCAGTGAAGGGAAAGTCTCAAGTGAAAAAAATACATTGAGTTGAACAAAATGCAAATACAATATATCGGCCGGGTGCAGTGGCTCACGCCTGTAATCCCAGCACTTTGGGAGGCTGAGGTGGGCAGATCACTTGAGGTCAGGAGTTTCAGACCAGCCTAGCCAACATAGTGAAATGCTGTCTCTACTAAAAATACAAAAATTATCTGGGCGTGGTGGCAGGTGCCTGTAATCCCAGCTACTCGGGAGGCTGAGGCAGGAGAATCACTTGAACCCGGGAAGCAGATGTTGCAGAGATCCAAGATTGCACCACTACACTCCAGCCTGGGTGACAGAGTGAGACTCTGTCTCAAAAAAAAAAAAAAACAAAAACAAAAACAAAACCACAATATATCAAAATCTGTGTGATACAGCTAAAATAGTGCTTACAGAGAAATTTACAACATTAAATGTTTATATTAGAAGAAAAGAAGGTCTCTAATCAACAATCTAAGCCTCCACCTAAATAAGTTAGAAAATGAAGAGCAAAATACAGCCAAAGCAAGCAAGAAAGAAAAAGCAGAAAGCAATGAAATTGAAAGCAGAAAAACAATAGAAAAAAATGAAACCAAAAGCTGATTCTTTGAAAATATCAGTGCAATTGTTAAAACTCCAGCAAAACTAATAAAAAATAAAAGGGAAACACAACTTAACTAATATTAGGAATGAAAGAGGGAATATCACTACAGATCCCACAGACATTAAAAGAAGGGAATGTTTATAAATTTGATGGATGATGTTACTAGTATTTTTTGATGAACTTATGTTGTCTATGTTTATAAAGGATACTGGTCTGTAGTTTTGTCATCATTATTTTGTTTTGTTACTGCCATTGGTATCAGGGTAATGTTGGCCTTATAAAATAAGTTAGAATGTTTTCCCTCTTATTCTAGAAGAGACTGTCATTTCTTCCTTAAATGTTGGAATTTACCACTGAAACCATCTGGGTCTGAAGATCCCTTTTTCAGGAGATTTTTAAGTATGAATCCCGTTTTATTAATGGTTATAGGACTATTCAGGTTGCCAATTTCATCTTAGGTGAGTTCCAGTAGTTTGTGGCTTTTTCAGGAATTGGAGCTGCAAGACGTTCTTGTTGAATTCTCAAGTTTGATTCAGTTACTTGATCTCCTTGAATTCCAGAAGAGACCACCTGATCTGGGATCTTCCAGATTGTCACAGACAGGTTCCCAACCTTCTTGGCAACAATCAGATAATGGGTAAGGGGAGCTTAAGGTTGGGGGAAGCTGAGAGGAGGATGCTGATGGGTTAAATTTCAGGTTCCCAGCTTCAGAGCCCGGGTTGTCACACAGCACAGTGGTTAGCACAGCCATCAAAATTCCTATTGCCTGGCCAGGGCAAAGGATTTGAAATGTTTAGTTCTATGAAATGAGCTGGGAACTGTGTGGCTGGAGGTGGGGCCAGGGGTGGTAGGTGGAGGAGGGGTCAGGTCTAAGAGTAAAGCTGGCCAGGGAAGGCCATGGGGACTTCACCACTCTCTCTCCAACTACAGCAACTACCCTCTGAACCACCTGCTGGGAGGCTACCTTCTGGGATTCCTCCATTGTACAAGAAGCAAATACCCAGGCACAGGGTAAGTGCTGACACAGTCTCTGCCTACATGTGACAAGGAATATTTTTTTAACTCTTTATTTCTTTTAAGAAAATTTAGCTTCCACAGAAAAAGTTTGAAAAACACTGCCCTCAGATACCCCAAAGGAGGTGACTTGGGTTTCTGGCATGGGCTCCTCAGGACAACAACAAGCCAGCCATTCCCAACCCAAGGCAGGGGACCTGAGTGGAGTCAGCCTGAGTTTGGAAACAAAGTCGTGGCACCCAACTGAATGGCTGCAATTCTTCCCCCATTTAGTCAGACTCATAAAGCTGAAAGTAACCTCATAAATCTCTCTGCCCATGCCCTTATTTCACAGATGAGGAGACTTCTAATGAAAAATTTCTATCAGCGTTTGACAAGCTATTCTTTCAGGAGATGTTTCCCCTACACCTGGCATTCTCATGATGGGGAATAATCTATACTTTCAAGGGACAAACACAATGATGGAATCTGAAACTTGAGGTGAAACTGGCTACCATTTAAGTTTTGCATATGGCAAATTGCCACATGGGAAGGTTTAAAAAACAAAAAAAACAGACTCAAGTCTGTAGCCCAGGAACCGATCATTCTATTGTAACAGGAGGTCAGGCTCTGCTAACCATCATGACCAACAGATGAACAAAAAATTGGTATGCAAGTCCATATGAAGCATAGAGCTTTCTGGAAGCAAAAAAAAAAAAAAAAAGTCAAATCAACTACAAGATGGCTAAGACAACTACTAGAAGAGATGTTCCTGGGAGATTCTAAACTGCATTGCAAACTTGGGTAAACTGACCAATCGTTTTGGGATAGAAAGGCAGAAGAAACTATCAGGCACTGTCATCACAGTGGGTAGGATTCCGGACACACCAGTACCAAACAGGTGTGTGACCACCTGCCTGGGACTCTGCTTCTCATTTCATAACCTCTAAAGGTGCTTATTTTGGATAAAAGTATAGAATTTAGGATATTAAAAATGCTTTTCATGTATTCAACTTAAAAACCACATTTATTCCATCCAGCTCTGATGGGGCAGAAATAATTTATCATCATCACAGCAGGCTGCAAGGGTCCAAAGCAGCAGCTTCCACAAAGGCTTCATGGAATCTCCCTCCTTGAAAATGATGAATACTAGAATGGTTTAGGTTGGCATTCCCTCCAGACCCTCAGAAGCTGGCTAAGTAACCTCAAAAGTACCCTGTTAGTTCAGTAATTCTGTGAGTCAATGGAAAAATAACAGCAATTAATCTTGGGCTCTATGTTTCCATGCCTTGCTATTAAAGAAAGAACATAATGAAATATGCACAGATACAGCTTCTTTCTAGTTTTATCTCAGAACCTGATAAAAATAACTTACTTTTGCATATGCTCACTGCTGTATCCCCAGCACCTAGACAGGATCTGGTATAAAGTGGAACCTCAGAAATATTTTTCCAATGTCATTATTACACCAAAATTCTGCAAAATGAAAAATATGCCTTGAAAAACAAATTTGTTATTTATACTGATATACGAATAAGAAAGGAAATCTCAAACTCAACATCCATTTTGCTGTATGTTTTTTCTTGGTATAGGCTTGGTGAAATCAGAAAAGGGAAGGTAACGCATATCCTCTCTATCATTTACAATGTGATTTTGGGCAAATGACTTGAATGCTCTCTTAAGTATCTATGGCCTCATTTCTAAAATAAGGCCAATCATCTCTTCCTCACAGTGTTGCAGTACAGATGAAGTGTGTAATAACTGTTTCAGAGCCTGGCACACAACAGACAGATATTTAACAAATAAACACACATGAAAGAATACGGGGAAACCTCTTATCTTCTCCTTCGACCTCACACATGAGCCCTGAGTAAAGGTTAGTATCATCCATGTTATTTTCTGAGTTTCTCCGCAAAGAGATGAGTCCTTCAATCATTATAGCAAGAATTCTCTGCCCTGGCTGTGATCAGAGACCCCAGGGGAGCTTTCTAGCCAGGTAATTTGCTGACCTTGACTCTCCAGGCGTGGGCAGGAAGAGAGGGGCTCTCTGGTGTGGTTTCCCGCCTGCTCCTGAGCACTCAGGCCCTGACCCAGGCCCTCCAGGAGCCCAGGTACTTGAAGACAGAGGGGCACCAGAAAGGTCACAGGCAGCGTGATGCTTCAGAGGCAGATAAGAAGGAGGCACAGCATGAGGAGCACCAGTGAAAGGATGGCCAGCCCAAATTAGGAGAACATGAGCTCTGCCTGAGAGAAGCATCCTTAATTTAACCAGTACATGAAAAGCAGTTTGGAGATAGCTTCTTCAAGCTGTGATTTGACAGAAAGTTCAAGTGAATATATACCTAAGCTTTCCAAAAAAAAAAACAGATCTGAAATTGGCTGGTTAATTTGGCCCAAACCATAACATATGGATAGATCGAAATGCTGCTGAAAGCCTCCATTTTAAAAGTGGCATATGTATTTTTTCAATGTAAGTTTTAACATTTTTTAAAAAATCATGAGTGATGTAATCAGAAGGTCAATAGTTGCAATGCTGAGCAAAAGCATTTCTCTTTAAGAGGGAGCCAATCAAGGAGAAGTCTTTCTCATCTTGACCTCCTAGACAAGCCAGATGCTACTTCAGTTCTTTGTATAATTTCAAGGATGTTATAATCCTTCAGGACTCAGTTTCTCCATCTGTTTAAAAAAAAGCGGGGAGGGATAGATCTAGCTAACTCCAAAATACTACACTTCTCTTCTGAAAATATAAATCATTGTTACTTTCCTCTGGGCCAGGTATTTCATTGTCAAATATGCGGTATCTTTGAGTACGTGGTTCGTGAGAAGGGTAAGAGGAAATAGGGTTTCTAAAATAACACAGATTCACACAGCCTTTAAGAAAAAGTTCCTAGAGACCTTGTTCACCTCAAAACAGGACAGACCAAACAATATTCCCCCCTTTTTTCTTTTTAATCAAATTTCCATGACTCCATCTCCCAGATGCCACAAAACCTCTCTCATATAAGCCAAGGCTTAAGATAGAATAAATCTACTTATAGGCTGGGAACTCTCTTGCTAAGTATGGGTTTGTGATAATCACATCAGATGAGCATGGTATCGAGTTGAAAGGCCCACACTGAGGATGGTGAGAAGGCCACATGGGCCTGGTGCTATATGCTATTCAACACCCCTGCTCAGCTCATAGTGAAGAGTGTATGATACAGACAAGGAAAATCCGAGGCTTAAAAAAGTGCTTTCATTTAATATTGATGAGGGGAGAATCACATATATTTTTATGATATATGCAAAGTATAATCAAGTTAAAGTACCAGCACAGGCCCTATTTTGTAACATTCTCAAATAATAATGGAGGAAAGGTCACAAAAACCAAATGCGGCCAAGACCAGTCTATTTTTAAAGCATGAGGTATTTAGAGTACATGAAGAAAAATGAATTTTTCATTAACTCCAACACACAGAAAACCTTAGTATTCATTAAATGCCATAAAAACTCTTCACATAGGCTTTAAACTTGATAATGCCACATGCTCTAGAAACCCAAAGTAGCTATAGAATATTAACATTTATTAAGCACTAAGAACTGCAGACTACATAAATAGGGAAACTGCTCACTTACAAATGCAAGAATTCAAAAGCACATAACAACAACCAATCCTAGGAACAGTTCAACAGTTTAACTCGCTTCAACAGCCTGATTCTATAAGCACTTGAAGTGTTCCTGGTTTGCAGTGATGAAAGTTCATCTTTAAAAACTAAAGAACTACTACTGTAGCCAATGGTTCAACAAAGCACATATGTTGAGAGTCAATGAAAGAAAATTAATTAGGAATAAGAGAATTTGTACTAACATAATTTCTGCAAAGTGAAATGTCTTCTCTCAATATTTATAGGGAAAACATGGATCCCTCCTTTTCTCACACCATTTCTTAGGCATATAACACTGTGCATAAAATGCCCAACTTATACCATTTTGTCCTAAAAAGCACAAAGCCATTTTTAATTACAGACAACTGCAAGAAGAACCAATACAACTCTTTTCCCACTTGCTGTAAGGGGAGAAATATACAGAGAGCCAGAATGTTACTGAAAATGCTTAATGATAAACTCAAGTTGCCAAAGATGGAGGTTTGTGAAAAATAATCAATCCTGCTAAACATTAATGTGAAAATGATCTCTTAGAAATCCAATCTCCAATAAACATGTCAACAGAAAGTTTTAGAAGTATATAGCTGAACAGGCAAATTATTTCTCCCATTTCCTTCGGAATGTTTTCACATTGCTCTTACAGTTCGGTTCATGAGATGTAATATGATCTAGTACACTGTGTAAATGGATTCATTTGGAAAGTCTCCTTTCATTCACAGGTCTGAAAAATGCTTGCTTGCTGCGTTCCAAAGGAGGCCATTTTATAATCAGTAGTTTTTATAAGATTTACTTTGCGTGCTTCTCATGTGATTAGACACTGGCAAGGTCAGCCCTGGTGTGGGGAACAACTGAGCATTAGCAAAATGCTCTTGCTTGAACGCTCACAAGCCTACAATGATCTGTTCTTAGCCCTCAGTTATTACCTTCCCAAGGCATCCATTAAGTTTCAAGTATTTTACCCGAAAGGAGTAATAAGTTAACAGCCACAAATGCATGTCTAAATGCTACATGCAAGTTTACTTCTGTCAGTAAAGAGAGCACAGGGTGGGAGGACACCTAAAGCTCCCCATGACCCAGTGGGGTTGCCTGAGTGGTAAGGAAAGGAAAAAAAGGGGAGAGGAGGGAGAGACAGTGAGAAGAGAGAGAAGCGTGACAGGGAGAGAAAAGGAGAAGCAGGGAAAGAGGGAGGAGGGAGAGAGGGAGAGGGACACAGGGAGAGTCTGGGGAAGGAGGGAGAGAGAGAGAGGAGGGTTCCTAATAGTAGGTGAGAAACTTAAAAAGACACTAAATTTCTCTGCTTCCCTACGTGGCCTTAAAGGCAGGTAATTCCATGTTTGCTTTCACTTTCAAACAACTTTACCTATGCATATAGGTGAAGCCTAAAATTAAAATGAATTGATAAAAAAAATTGAGAGGGCCCAATTACACAATCGATGGAAAAGCAACACGTTTATACCTCCCAGTCAGGAAGAGCATTCTGAGAAAGGAGACTTGCCAGCTTCCAAAGGCACTCAGCCTTGACAGCTTGGCTACTTCACGGGCTGACTGCAGCTCAAACACCTGTTGGTATCTTGGAGCCACAGCACATCCATCCTTCCCTCACGCCAACATCAACCTGATGGTGAGCTTTCTGAGTAAGGTGTCTTTGTTGGTTGGTTGAGGCCTTCACGTCCTTCTTAGTTTGGGAGGCACTTGCATTTCATATAGCATCACCACATCTATCGGAGTTGATTTGGGGAAGGTGGGTGTGGAGCAGTGATAAAGGAAAACGTTACATCTCTGTGGAAATTCCAGGCCTTTCCACTTCTTTCAGGTACACCAGAGTTCACTGTGGTCATTATATTCAGAAGACTCACACAGTGCAAAAGGCAGTATTTTGGGGAATGAAGCCATAAACCAGTAAAATAAGCCTCAGACTGTTTCCCCAATTTATTATTCTCATTATTCTCATCTCCCATACACAGTATGTTACATGGGGTGCAACAAAACCAAGAAGTTGTTTAAGGATCAAAAATCACTTCTATTTTTAAAAAATAACTTGTAATAGAAATATTTTTGCAATATTTAAGGCAGTAAAAATTTAGCACTCTTAGATAGCCCAAACTGTTACTTTAAAAACCAGATAAATATATATGATGCTTAAATGTGGCAAATATTTTGAAAACATTGACTAGTATTTAAGATATCAATTTTAAAGAATAAAATATTTGATTCATTAATTTGTCTTTTGTTTTAAAACTCAGTTACTGTCATAATAAAAAAAGTTGGCAAAATAAGGTTCACTTTTCAATTGCTTTGTAATTTGTCGTCCTTTTTCCTACCTCCCAGTGTGTGAGAGACAGCTACACAAGTTAAGGCAAAATATAAAACTCCCCTATGGCTCAATTTCCTTTTAAGTAACATGAGGAAATTGTCAATGATTTGTTTCTGCCCCTCATAACTTTTGAGAATAAGTAAAACTTATAAAGTACTTTGCAAATACAAAAAGCTGTTTTAAAAGATGGGGCAGGGGATGGACAAGCAGAATAAATATTTCTAGGTCAAAATTCTTATTTCATAACTACCTTTTAATTTTCTAAGTCTCCTGTATTTTCAAAATGTATTTTATAACAGCCACAATCCCTAGAGAAGCATTTTTAGTAAACACTCTTTGAACTGAGGAAGAACTGTCTCAGATTTGCAGCCTAAGGAGACACGATGACTAAAAACACTGTGGGATCCTGGATGGGATCCTGGAACAGAAAAAGGACATAAGTGGAAAAACTGGTGAAATCCAAATAAAGTCTGCAGTTTAGTTAGTAGTTCTGTACCAATGTTAATTTCCTGGCCTTGATAAGTATACCACGGTTAACAGAGAAAGCTGGGCAAAGGGTATATGGGAACTCTCTGTACTATATTTACAATTTTTTTTTTTTTTTTTTTTTTTGAGACAGAGTTTTGCTCTTGTTGCCCAGGCTGGAGTGCAATGACGCGATCTCAGCTCACCACAACCTCCGCCTCCCGAGTTCAAGCGATTCTCCTGCCTCAGCGCCCCCCCCCGAGTAGCTGAGATTACAGGCATGCGCCACCATGCCCAGAGGCTAATTTTGTATTTTTAGTAGAGACGGGGTTTCTCCATGTTGGTCAGGCTGGTCACGAAATCCCGACCTCTGGTGATCCACCCGCTTCGGCCTCCCAAAGTGCTGAGATTACAGGCATGAGCCACCGCACCCAGCCTATTTTTACAATTCTTCTGCAAATTTAAAATTAGTTCAAAATCAATAGTTTTTAAAAATCATTCTTTGAGTAAGAAAATCAATTGTTACATGTTTTATTAAGAACCTAACTCTTGGCCAGGCATGGTGGCTCATGCCTGTAATCCAAACACTTTGGGAGGCCGAGTCAGGAAGATCGCCTGGAGCCCAGGAGTTCAAGACCAGCCTGGGCAATGTGGCAAGACCCTGTCTCCGTAACGAGGGGAAAAAAAAGAACCTAAATCTAAATTAGTGTGTACTGTAATACATTATAGTGAAATGTTTCCACTAGATGGCACTCTGTTTTCTTCAGTGACCAGAGACACCTCTTCACACTTCTAGTATCCATCACCTGATAGAAATATTTCTTGAGCTTATTTTATAGCTCCAGTGGGCACACGTCTTTGTATAATTTATTCCGTGATTTGAGTCAAAAATATTGTTTGCTTTATTTTCTTAAAATGCCTTCTTTCAGGTTTCAAGCCTCACTATCATTCCAGAATTTTAAGACAAGGTTTGTGAATCCAGTCATTCAACATATTCAGTAAGCCATTACTTTGTGCCACTATTATCTCTACAGTCTGAGGAAACCCATTCTCTTTAGCATTGACCAACATAAAAACTGTCCATCCTCCTACACATTTGCAAACTGCATAAGATTCAAAGAGTAACTCTGAGCAAGGAGGAAACAAATGCTTTCCACCTTGTTTGCATGACTCTTTGATGATGCTGGACACCCCACTGATTTTTACTGCTTAAACAAAGGGTTAGCTATTCAAGAATAACTTCTAGCTTCCTTTTGTATGTCAAAGCTGAAAACCAAAGTTCTTTTTTAAATTAAAACCAAATAGCTAGGAGTTCACCAGTTCCAATGAGGTTCGGCTTCTGCACTCCAATCATATTTATTAATATCTATAGCATTTCCTGGTCCATTCAATAACCTCCTTAATAAAACATTTCTGTTGTCCATACTCCTCAGCTCATCACTGCTCTCTGCTGAAAAGCTCCAATAAACCCAAGACTCTAAGTTCCATCCAGTACTGAAGTTTCATTTTAGGAAAGGTATTTCAAACTTTGCTAATATGAGTTTTTTTTAAAGAAAAAACAAACTCATTCGGGGGCTTACATGTCAAAATGAAAATAGAGTCATGCTGTTTATTAACCAGTTTCCAAAGTGCTAAACCTAGATGAGATTGGAAAACTTTCAATCTCTGACTTTACAGAATAAACGCTTATAATACTTCAGAATGAATTGGAAATAGTGATTCTGCATAAGAGAGACGATACTTGTAATATGTGGCACTAGCCAAAACCAAAAGACACAAAAACAGGAGACACCCTCAATTTGGATTGAGGTGTCCTGCAAAGGCTTGAGGCAATTCTTATACCAAACGTCCATATAAATCCCTCTGAATTCATTTTTCATTTATATACACCAACAAAAACGCTGAAGAGTAGAATACAATAACCAAATTGGATTTTAAAAGTTATTTCCTTTTAAAATAAGCAATCTGCTCTAATTGTGAAAGCAAAACTCTTAGATAAAATTTTTCCTAAATACAAAAAATGTTTCCTAAATACAACACTAAGCTCTACAGGATGGTTTCTCTGGACCCCTTGCCCAGGGTCAAGTGAAGTTAGGAAAATGGAGTTTCAAGGAAAATAACATTTACAAAATATTTTCAAGAAGAATGAAAACAAAACATTCTCTGATCAACACACAGATAATAGAAAATTCCACAACAGACTATCCTGTCCTTGTACATTTTGATTGGTTGTATGTTTGCTCTATTTATAAATAATGTTATGATCTTTCATTTTAAAAAGATAGCATCTATGTTTACGAAAAAGATGGTTGGTCAGTTCTTGTACTTTTTTATACCATGATAAGAAAAAAAAAAAAACCCCTAAGAAGAAAAAGTCAAACAAACCTTTTATGGTTTCAGTTCACAGACATTACTGCCAACCTTGTTTTAATCAACTGGTTGCTCTTGCTTACTGGACATCTATGGTATTTCTTCAATGCAAAACAACGAGCAAGCTCATCTGCCAAGAACTCCCCCCAGGAGGCCAGTGGAAAAGAAGCCATACTTGTAAGAATTCTAAAGGAAACAAGAACTTTGTAAGGGTAAACGGAGTTACTTCCGAATTTCCCTAAGGGAATCCTTATTGTGACCACTTCAGCTGCCTTTTGTATTAAAGCAACCTTTAAATAGCTCTCCTTCTACTTATATTCCTCCTAAATTCACTATTGTTACTCATTATGAGTTCACCAATATTAGTCAGCACAAGTCAGTTAGTCACCATATTTTTTAAACCACCAAGCCCACCCACCCCAACCAACTTCTGGTTTTCCCTTCCCTTCGGTATTTTGCAACATTTGAGAAGATGAGTAACTATACCCAAGAAATGCTGCTGGGCTTCTTCTGTTTGCTTGTGGTCTAAACAGTGACCATATCTCCATTAAAAAAAGGAATGCAACTCTTCACAACTCTTTCCAGCCACTTTCTTCTCTCGTGAGAAGGTAATACCTGGGATTTAGGGAGTTACCTTCAGATTAAAAATTTATTCCGCATATTTTGCTTGGCCATCATTTCTCTTAAACTTATTTAGTAACAGGTCACACAGTCAAATTCATTTCTTTATCCAAACAATAAATAGGCAAATGGGCACCATTCTTTCTTTTGAAAGACCCTAGTCTATGGTTTCTGTCAATCACAAATAAGAAATGAAAAATGATCCTGGAAACTATGGCCTGTGTTGGCCTTCAAACTTATCTGTCAATTGAGGTCCTACACAAACAGCCCCAACATATCTTCTCTATCTGGCAAGACTTTCACAAATCCGCCATCACTATAACATGCTTGCTGGATTGAAAGAAAAAGCCTCCTTGCTCTGGGCAATTCACAGGGGCCTTGAAAGTTCCCCTGCCCCTCTGTCCATCCATCCCCAACCACCTGAAACCAAAGGCTCCTCGAGAAACAGAACTGGAAATGGAAATGGAAATGGAAAACTTCCCTAACCACCGTGACTACCAGCCACTTCCTGCTCTCTGGACTCACAGTGCACTGACATCTCATCCTTCCTAACCCACCATGTACCCACATCTTCCCTTCCCTACTCAACAGTTTGCTCCTTCCAGAGATTCTACCCTGAAGTTTCTCTGTTTTACCCACAACACCTGGCATTTGGATGAACATACTAAATGTCTGCAAAGCCAAACCTCCTTCATTTTTTAAAGGTAGGACATCCGAGACCCAGGGCAAATTCTTGTCCTACCCATGTGTGGGTTTCATTCAAGCAACCTGGAATAGCAGTGGTGTATAACTAAAATAAATAGCACAAAGGAGAATTCCCCCAGAGAACCAGTAATCACCATCTGCACCTCCTAATGAGCATGACAAATGTGTCCCTCACAATACTAAGGTAATCTGCCACTTCATAGGGACCTTTTCTTCCACATGGACAAATGCCACCATGAATTGCCATGGAATTGTCTATTTGGCCTTTACAGAGTGGCTGCATTGAACTAAGAGAGGGGTTTTGCTTGCTATGCAACATTGGGTGTAGACTTTCTCCTTGAATTTCTTATGAAAAGGAAAGATGGAAGAAAGTGGTTGTCAACATGCAAAAGTTTTTTAACTAGCCATTCACATTGGAATATGGAAAAAATCTTCACCTATTAATTGCTATACTTTCTCTCTCTTGTGTGTGTGTGAGGAGGGAGGAGGTGAGAGAACCAAGAGAAGAGCCAGGAACGATAAGGGAACAAACTTCATATTAGAGTAAACGTGATTTTTCCAATACGCTCATAGTATGCTATCATTCCCAATTACCTTCCCAACTGCACTTCTCATATAATGTATTTGGGAGGCCGAGGCAGGCAGATCACTTGAATCAGGAGTTCAAGACCAGCCCGGCCAACATGGTGAAACTCCGTCTCTACCAAAACTATAAAAATTAGCTGGGCATGGTGGCAGGTGCCTGTAATCCCAGCTACTCGGGAGGCTGAGGCAGGAGAATCGCTTGAACCCGGGAGGCAGATGCTGCAGTGAGCCAAGATCACGCACCGTACTCCAGCCTGGGTGACAGAGTGAGACTCTGCCACAAAAAAAAAAAAAAAAAAAAAAAATACCAGTACTTTGGGAGGCTGAGGAGGGAGGATCGCTTGAGGCCAGGAGCTCAAGACCAGCCTGGGCAACATAACAAGACTCCATCTCTATTAAAAAAAAATTATATATATCTCCATACCATAAGTATTTTGAATGAGAAAAATTAATTATGTATCATTATTTGTTATAAAGTATTAATTTTTTTAAACTTTATTTTTTAGGTGGTAGGCATATGTGTTCACTGTAAAATCTTTCAACTTTGCTGTAGACTTGAAGATGTTCATAAAAAATAGGAGGAAAAACTTATTTTTTGAAGTCGTATACACACAAAAATAGGGATTGTCAAAAGTCTCTTTAAAGTATTTCTCCATGTCTCCAAATTGGCCTCAACAAAGCAAGGAGTCCTTGGCTTCCACCTGCCTTCCAAAGGGATCCCTCACTTTGGGGAAAAGATTTGCCAAGGCCCTCACCTGACACACACCTGAGAAACAGCTGACTGCCCTGACAGTTGGCAGGGCTTAAGCGTGCAACTCCTCCCCAGCATTCTGTAGTGTAAAGGACAGGACCAGCTGTCACTGCTGTAAAATGGTGCACCTGGTCCTCCCTCTGCATCCCATACTCAACTCAAGTGCGTCCGAGGGTCTGGGGCCTGGGGCCACAAGGAAGCCACATTCTACAGAACGCAAGTACTTCCCCAGGCACTTCAGACTTGTCTGTCAGCTTTTTCTGAAGCTTTTCTGGGGGAAAAAAGAAAAAAAAATCTTTTTCTGAAGCTTTTCTCCTCTCCAGCCAGTCAGCTGCACACTGTCTTGCTTTCCGGAGGACATCAAAGAAGCAGAGAAAGGCAAAGCATTCCCTGACTCCCCTTAACTCCGGGCAAGATAGAGACATTTTTAGTGCTGTAGTGGAGACCACACACTCTACACCACATCCCAGCTCACAGACGGGCCCTAGCCAACTACAGGAAAAGTTAAAGAGAAGCTCCCACCCTGGGTTGCTTCTCACCCTTATCCAGGAATCCTAAGGGACGGGGAGGAGAAAAAGGCTCATTCTCACAGCTTGTACCTGCCAAAGACAGGCAATCACTAACACTGCAGCATCTTTGAGGACAAGGACCCCAGCCACTCTCAAAATCTGGCCTCTCCAGCTGTCTCATCATTTTGCTCTCAGGAAAAAACAAAGTTGAGAAAAAGTGAAAGTAACACTACGCATTTCAGATTCTCCCTATCAGATTCTACCCCAACCACGTGTTCTTTCAAGTCAAATCTTTGTCTTCGGGTTCTCTGGCAGCACTTCTTAGACTAAAGCCAGACCACAGAGCGTATTGCTGGTGTGGTTTTGCTTTAGCCAGAACTGCTGCTTCAACTCTGAGTGGAGCTGGAATCCATATAGAAGCTGATCTGTGAGAAAAACCCACAAAGTCCAATGGGAAAACCCATTAACTAACCTTAATGATCTCATAGGTCATCCATCCTTTCACGGCTCCGACAGCTCCTTTCTCGCCCCACCCCCTTTTCCCCTTATCTCTTCCCTCTAGACATTCTATGGAAGCACAGACAACTTTAGGAGAAAATGCCAACTTTATCAAGCTCTCCAGTGAACACTTGAGCACGTGCCTTAGTCTGTACCCCTAAGGGACAGTCTCAGAGACTGTAATACTAAGAGAGAGCCAGATGGGGTATATGAGGAGGAGGGTTTTGGATTTTGAAGGAGTGCAAACCTAAATTGCTTGTACTAGAATTTCAGTGGAGGAAATTCCACGTTTTGCAAGTATGAAAGTCTGATATTAAATATCACAAACAAAAATTCCATTTCTTAGCGTACATGTCTCAGATTTAATTTCTCTATGTTCTCTGTGGTTTGGTTGTTTTACCTCCCAAGAAAAGCTTTCGTGAGACCACTCTTTACAAAAAGACAAACTGCCTTCACAGATGAATGGGTAAACAAAATGTGGTATATGTACATAATGGAATACTATTCGGCCTTAAAAATAAGGAAATCTTGTCATCTGCTATAACATGGATGAACCTGTTGGACATAAAGTTACATGAAATAAGCCAGACACAGAAAGACAACTGCTGCATGATTCCCTTTATATGGGGTATCTAAAGTATTCAAACTCTTAACAGAAAGTACAATGGTGGTTGTCAGGGGCTGCAGGGGAGAGGAAAATGGGGAGTTGTTCAATATACTTTCGGTTTTGCAAGATGAAAAAGTTCCAGAGATCTGTTGCGCAACACTGTGAATATATTAACACTACTATACTGTACACTTAAAAATGCTTAAGGTGGGAAATTTTATGATATGTTTTTTGCCACAGTTTAAAAGGTACCACCTTCATGCTACATTTTGGATACTCTAAATCGCCAAGTCAGCATTTTGATATTTAAAAATAAAGCAAATATTTGGGTGACTTATATCTTAACTGAAAATGAAAACCCTAAAATTAAATTGCTTTGAAGATTCAAAAAGGATAATTAAGAAGCACTTGAAACCATTGCTTGAGCCAAACCTTGTCATTTTAAGCATGCATGACATTTTCATAGCAGGAAGGGTCCTGGCATTCTTCTCAAATGGTATGTGTGGTATGCTGAATCGGCTTCTAAATCAAACGAGGCTGCTGATATGTAGCCTTTTAGCAAAAGAAGGATATATCACAAGACAGCCTTAGAGACTGAACACTGTGGCTATTATAACAAAGCGGCAAAATGAATCATTCATGCGTAGAGGGAGTATACAAGCATTACTAGCTACGGCTACTTTTTGAATGGTTCCCGCACCGGTTCCCCCTCTACCAAACCTCTCTTTACTCTCTCATTACTGTAAACACTAATCCATCATCCGTTCCTCTGAAACGTAGACGTTTCTCTAAGGAGACAACATTTGTAGAAACAATAACTCTTAAGTTGAAAGAGCAAAGTGGCAAGGCAAACTTATTCACACAGCCTTCCGTTCAGAAAAGCTAAACTCAAAGGAAACTGCACAGTTCTAAAGCTCGTGATTTCAACTTTCCACTGTAAGAATTATAATGTAAGGGAAAGAATTGGAATGCTGAAGACTATTTCCCCTATAACAGAAATCTGATGAACATTTCTGTAACTTGGCTATGGAGATTAAAAAACAAGTACTATATAACTGAATTTCCCAATAGCTCATGACTCCTTAGCTTTTGGGATCTATGATTCAGAACATTCTCCTTTTGCATTTCACCAGAGGCATTAGTGAGGTATGTGAAAACATGAACAAGATAGGAAATATATTTGCATAGTTTCTGTATGATTTGCATACTCCTCCACAAACTGTAATCTATTGAAAACACACACACACACACACACACACACACACACACACACACACAGAGTAAAGGTTAGTTTCTGAACGCCATAAGGCATGCCATGATTTTTCTTACTTCTGCCCCCGTCTCAATTAATTTGTACCTAATGCCACTATCACTGACACAGAGTACCATCTTAGAGGTACAGGAGATGAAAAACCAAGGAGAAGCAACCCTGTGAGGCTTTGTCCAGGGCAAGCCTTCAGTGCACATACTGGCCTAAGAAAGGCTGCGGTAGGTACATACCCAGGCACATTCTGGCAGGGGTCTGAGAAATAAAGGAGAGAGAACAGAACTGAACTGCAACGTCATGGTTCAAGCAATAATCTGTGTCCCAAGCTATAATCAGCAAAGTCTCCCAAATTCACATGCTGTTGAGCAAAAGAGAGGCCTTAACTATGAAGTGTGCAAGGCCTGGCCCTGCCCTTCTCATCCCTCCTCATCCAAAGGCCCCCTCCTTGCTCATACTTCATCACCCATCTTCTCCAAATCTAGTCATAGGAGCTGCTACTAAATGACTCTACATGGTACTTGTTCAGGGAAGTTGAAGCTCTTGTCCTCTCGGGAGTGTGTTCCTGTTTTAACAAAAAGTATCAGGCCGGGCATGGTGGCTCACGCCTGTAATCCCAACACTTTGGGAGGCCAAGGCAGGAAGATCGCTTGAGACTAGGAGTTCAAGACCAGCCAGGGCAACAAACTGAGACTCCCCGTCTCTACAAAAAACTTTTTAAAAAATTTAGTCAGGCATGGTGGCATGCGCCTGGGGTCCTAGCTACTCAGAAGGCCAAGAAGGGAGGATCACTTGAGCCCAGGAGATCGAGGCTACAGTGAGACATATGATGGTACCACTGCACTACAGCCTGGGGAACGAGGCAAAACCCTGGTCTCAAAAAAAAAAAAAAGCATCAAAAATCTTCCATCAAGAAAGACAGAAGCCCTGGGTGAGGACTCCTAGGGGCCAGAGACAACTGCTCCCGATGGCCAAAGCCTGTTCCCACCCCCTGAGCAGCACCAGGCTCCTGACAACAGCCCTGATGCACAAGTGGCAGGGCTGACATGAATGAACTGCTTCTTTCTGGTACTGTGCAGTCATGTACACCCCCCACCCAACCCCGTAAACTTCTTCCCCCTCTCAAATCAGGCTGGGTGTGCCACATGGTGATGTGAACAGAGTACCTGGGATCCTCAGACCAGAGGTTCAAACTCAACACCAAAGCAGACAGCAGGGCCTCCTCAAACCAGCCCTCTCCCGTCCCTGTCTAAATAAAGGAACACAAGAAACACATTTAACAACTCTTAGAATGACCTGGCCCCTCTAGCTTTCTAGTGACCCGACACTAATACAAGACACTGCTATAAACAGTTCCAGAATTAGAATCAGCATCTGTATCTTGAAGCTGCAAAGAGAGAAGGGAAGCTTTGATTGGGTGTCCTTTGGGACATTATTTAGATCTAAGTGGCCAGGAAGAGGCACACTGTGCACATAAAACTGACTACAAGAATTAGGGACAATCCCAACTATTAATAGCCAACATTCCCTACAGGAGGGAAAAAAACAGGGAGGGGAGGCAAGGAAAGTGAAGGTAATACCAATTATCCATTATTGTGTAAATGACATAACTTCAGGCTTCACTTTCCTCACTACAACTTAGAGAATTCGCAGATTATCTCGGGGATAACTTACACTTATATAATGGTGGGTGACTACGGGCTTTATGGGTCCAACCCAGAGACCTAATTCAGAATTGTGGTAACCCACCCCACACACCATCTCTTCCCTCCCCACCTGCCCAAGAGACGGCCAAACCCCACAATTAGACAAAGGAAAAAGGAACAAAGAAAAATGAAGGACAAAGAATACTATGGTCAAGCTTAAACCACACATGGCCAGCAGAGATATTTTAAAGAGAAGACGGGAGAAAAAAAGAAAAGAGGGGAAAAAAGAAACCGAAGAGGCCACCATGCCAGGGACTTCACAAGGGACAGAGGATAAACATGGGTGTAGAAGAGGCCTTCCCCTTATCCCGAAAAAATGAAGAGTTGCACTGTTTTGTGGCCAACCCCACTTACCACCTGCCCTTTCTCATATTCTTACACATGCAAAAGTGCTTGGAAAACTTTAAACCAGCCACTACATGACACAGTTTGACTTTTACTATATCTCTCAGTCCCCAATGCTAACTACCCTAAGAATATGATTGAGGCTGATTAAAGTCCAATAAGAATATGCTAAATAATCACTCCCTTGTATGTATCTTCAACTCCCTTTCCACTACCTCACTTTGTCATCCTTGCCTGGCAAGACCAAATCCCTGCTTAAATCCAGTTCTTTGTCAACACCACGTCTGCACCCACTCGGTCCATAGTGATAGGAGAAAAACATACCCCCACACCAACTACTCACTTTATATTCATGGCCACCAAACTCAAATGGGCCCTGAGTGCTTTCTGATGATCATGATACATTTTACTGGCTCAATTACTCTCAGATTCTCCCCAATGACTATTTCATACACATGGCTCTCCTCATATCTCTGATGCCTCCTCGTTATCCTCACACTCGGCTTATCTTCCTGTTTCACTGAAATACCAGGCACAGTCAGAACAGACTTTCCACAAGTGCCCCCCCCCGCCCCCGCCCACCCATCGCATCTGTCCTCCTAGCTACATCTGTGCCTTTATCACTCAAGACAGGCCAGCTTATGCTCTAACAACAACCACTACAACCCTCAGGAGCTTAACGACAAAAGACAGTAAATGTTCATCATGGTCAGCTGAGGGATCTGCTCTACACTGCCCTTACTCAGGGATGCAGGTTGATTGATAATCAGCCAGATTCTGGAACATCACCAGTCACCATGGCATAAAGGAAAATAACTTTTGAAGATGTTTACACTGACAATTAAATGCTATAGCACAGAAATACGTGTCATTTAACACAATTCACCAGCCACAACCAGTTACATGATCCCAGCAAGCCATCAGAAGCCAGGAAGAAGAGTCCTACCATATGCCCACAAGTCAGAGAGTTGAACAGCTTTGACATTAGTGCTAATGACTTCCAAAGTGCCCACATACTCTACCTTTTCTCCTGTGAATATACTGTACTCCTAGCTAAGGCCAACCCACTCATGTGCTAGGATCCTTCTTGCCTCCTGAAACATAGCAATTCTACAACTGGCTTCTCTGTCTCCTGTCTCATAAATATTTGTCTCTCTACTGAATCATTCTTAGCATATAATCATTACAATTACTTACCTTAAAAAACAAAAACTGGCTGGGTGTGTTGGCTTATGCCTGTAATCCCAGCAATTTGGGAGGCTGAGGTGGGCAGATCACGTAAGCCCAGGAATTTGAGACCAGCCTGGCCAACACAGGGAGACCCCATCTCTACAAAAAAAAAAAAATTAGCCGGGCATGTTGGTACATGCTTGTAGTCCCAGCTACTTGCAGGGCTGAGGTGGGAGGATTGCTTGGGTGCAGGAGCCCAAGACTGCAGTGAGCCATGTTTGTGCCACTGCACTCCAGCCTAGGCAACAAAGAAAGTCCCTGTCTCAAAAAAAAAACAAAACAAAACAAAACAAAACAAAACACTAAAAGCTTCACCTCATGTCCCCTTCCAGTTACACTCCTATTTCTCTGTTCCTGTCAACAGTGAATTTCCTTTCAGAGAGTTGCTATATTCACTCTAATTCCCCTACCCCACATTCTCTTGAACTCACTCCAATAAAGAGTATCCCCTTCTGTATTAGTCCGTTCTTGCATTGCTATAAATAAATACATGAGACTGGATAATTTATAAAGAAAAGAGATTTAATTGACTCACAGTCAATCTGCAGGCTGTACAAGAAGCATGATGCTGGCATCTGCTCAGCTTCTGTGGAGGCCTCAAGATACTTACAATAATGGCAGAAGGCGAAGGAGAAGCAGGCACAACTTACACGGCCAGAGCAGAAAGAAGAGGAGGGAGGAGGTGCTATATACTTTTTTTTTTTTATTTTACTTTAAGTTCCAGGATACATCTGCAGAACATGCAGGTTTATTACATAGGTATATGCGTGCCATGGTGGTTTGTTGCACCTATCAACTCATCATCTAGGTTTTATGCCCCGCATGCATTAGCTTTTTGTCCTGATGCTCTCCCTCCCCTCCCCACCCCCAGTAGGCCCTGGTGTGTGTTTTTCCCCTCTCTGCGTCCATGAGTTTTCATTGTTCACCTCCCACTTATAAGTGAGAACAGGCGGCATTTGGTTTTCTGTTCCTGTGTTAGTTTGCTGAGGATGATGCCTTCCAGCTTCATCCATGTACCTGCAAAGGACATGATCTCATTCCTTTTTATGGCTGCATAGTATTCCATGGTGTATATGTACCACATTTTCTTTATCCAGTCTATCGTTGATGGGCATTTGGATTGGTTCCATGTCTTTGCTATTGTAAATAGTGCTGCAATAAACATATGTGTGCATGTATCTTTATAGTAGAATGATTTATATTCCTTTGGGTATATACCCAGTAATGGAAAAACTGGCTAGCCATATGTAGAAAACTGAAATTGGACCCATTCCTTACACCTTATACAAAAATTAACTCAAGATGGATTAAAGACTTAAATGTAAAACCCAAAACCATAAAAACCTTAGAAGGAAACCTAGGCAGTACCATTCAGTACATAGGCATGGGCAAAGATTTCACGACGAAAATGCCAAAAGCAATTGCAACAAAAGCTAAAACTGACAAACGGGATCTAATTAAACTAAAGAGCTTCTGCACAGCAAAAAGAAACTATCACCAGAGTGAACAAGCAACCTACAGAATGGAAGAAAATGTTTGCAATCTACCCATCTGACAAAGGTATAATATCTGGAATTTACAAAGAACTTAAACAAATTTACAAGAAAAAAACAAACAACCCCATCAAAAAGTAGGCAAAGTATATAAACAGACACTTCTCAAAAGAAGACATTTATGTGGCCAACAAACATATGAAAAAAAACCTCAGCATCACTGATCATTAGAGAAATGCAAATCAAAACCACAATGAGATACCATCTCACGCCAGTCAGAATGACAATTATTAAAAAGTCAAGGGCCGGGCATGGTGGCTCACACCTGTAATCCCAGCACTTTGGGAGGCCAAGGCGGGCAGATCACCTGAAGTCAGGAGTTGGAGACCAGCCTGGCCAGCATGGTGAAACCGTGCCTCTACTAAAAATAAAAAAATTAGCGTGGTGGCAGGCACCTATAATCCTAGCTACTCGGGAGGCTGAGGCTGGAGAATTGCTTGAACCTGAGAGGCAGAGGTTGCAGTGAGCTGAGATCGCACCACTGCACTCCAGCCTGGGTGACAGAATGAGACTCCGTCTCAAAACAAAACAAAACAAAATACAAAAAGTCAAGAAACAACAGATGCTGGCAAGGCTGTGGAGAAATAGGGACGGTTTTACACTGTTGGTGGGAATGTAAATTAGTTCAACCATTGTGGAAGACAGTGTGACAATTCCTCAAGAATCTAGAACCAGAAATGCCATTTGACCCAGCAATCTCATTGCTAGGTGTATACCCAAAGGAATATAAATCATTCTACTCTAAAGGTGCTATACACTTTTAAACCACCAAACCTCATGAGAACTCTATCTTGAGAACAGCACCAAAGGGATGTTGCTAGACCATTCATGAAGGATCCACCCCCAAGATCCAATCACTTCCCACCAGGCCCCACCTCCAACATTGGGGATTACAATTCAATATTAGATTTGGGTGGGGACACAGATCCAAACCATGTCACCTTCCCACCATCCCTTCACCAAAACAGGTTAAGGTCTCCCAAGACCTCTACCTTCCTACAGCCAATGGCTAAGTTTCAGACCTTATAGTATCCAAACTATCAGCTACATTCAACATAACTGCACACTTCAATTCTTAAAACATTTTTATACTTGACTCCAAGACATTTGGTTCTCCTCCTACTTTCCTGGGCACAGCTGCTCAGTCTCTTTTATTTGTTCTTTCTATGCTCATTTACTACCAACAGTAGGGTATCCCAGGGGTCAGTCAGTGCTCACACCACTCCTCTTCTTGGCTATACTCCTAACATCATTTGAGCTCATGATTTTGAGTGCTATATCTATGCACTGATGACTCCCAAATGTGTATCTTGGGCCTGGATGGCCACACTGAGAAATATTCGGCTATCCAATGAAGTATGAAGTATCACCACTTTCATGTTTCAGATTTGTAGAATTTTGTTAAGAATTAATGACTCAACTTGAAAAATCATCCAGTCCAATCACGTATTTTAGAAGTAAAGAACCCAAGGTTCCTAGAAATAAACTAATTTCCCAAAGATTAAAAAGGGGACTTGTCACCGGATGCTTTCAACCACCTCCCTACCTTCATTAAAAAGCATAATACTGTAGGGCATCCCAAAGATGAAAATAAAGAGGGAAGTATAACAAACAGTAAATTAAGACAATAACAAACTTAAGTATGTTTCTAATAAAGTTAAAATGGAAAAGAACTGGAGTAAGTAAAAAGAAATTCATAAAGCCCTAACAGACTAATAAGAGATGACTTTACCTACTCGTGGAGTTTTTCAGGTCATTCTAGCAAGGACTCAACTTCATTCTCAAGACATTCCATCCATAGCCTAAATACCAGAAAGGGATGTTAACAGGGTAGGTGGTTTGGGTCTCTGGGGCTGGCCAACTCATAAGAGAGCTTGAAAGAGCTGCAGCATTTCTAAGAATGATTCTTCCCAAGTAGGGCTACCAATTGATCATCTCACTACCTCACCTCACTTTGTTTCATGTTTTCTATTTCCCAGCAGCACAGCAAGGTTAAATTTCACAGCAAAAGACACACCTCCTCTTTCATATCCAAATGGACAGCTTACTAAGAATTTGAAAGCTGATGGGGAACAAGGTAAAGCTCAGTTAATATGCCTAAGCAGCCGGACACGGCGGCTCACGCCTGTAATCTCAACACTGTGGGTTGCTGAAGCAGGTGGATTGCTTAAGGCCAGGAGTTCGAGATAAGCCTGGCCAACATGGCAAAGCCCCATCTCTACCAAAAATACAAAAAAAATTAGTCAGGCATGGTGGTGCATGCCTGCAATCCCAGCTACTCGGGAGGCTGAGGCACAGGAATCTCTTGAACCTGGGAGGCGAAGGTTGCAGTGAGCCGAAATTGCACCACTGCACTCCACCCTGGGTGACAGAGAAAGGCTCTGCCTCAAAAAAATAAAATAAAATAAAATACGCCTAAGCAAAGATCACCGTGCATGCCATTTCACAGGACTCGGATCAACTTCTTATGGTGCAAGGCATCATTTCCAAGCTAGTGACAATACTGTGGCATAGATAAATGTACTGACAGGCATTTATGCATTTAATCATACCAAATTTAACTATCCCAACAAATTAACTCACAAGTTTAAATTCAACATATTTAACTATTCTTGCCCTGTGTTTCCTTGTATGAAAAATGAGGTGACTGGACCAGACCATTTTTAGTAACTCCTCCCACATAATTCTTACCCAGGAGGAATATGAACTGCTTTGATAAAGCTATGGCTGGCCGGCCGCAGTGGCTCACGCCTGTAACTGAGGCTGGTAGATGGTTTGAGCCTAGGAGTTTGAGACCAGCCTGGGCAACAAAGTGAAACCCCAGTCTCCACAAAAAGCACAAAAATTAGCTGGACGTGGTGGTGCACTCCTGTAGTCCCCAGCTATTTGGGAGGCTGTGAGGTGGGACAATCACTTGAGTCTGGGAGTTTGAGGCGGAAGTGACCTATGATTGTGCCACTGCACTCTGGCCTGGGCGGCAGAGTGAGACCCTGTCTCTATTAAAAAAAAAAAAAAAGAAGAAGAAAAAGAAAAGCTATGGCCTACGTAGTCCCTAGGATGCTCTAATGGTCCATGAATGTAAAGTAGTTTAGATGATGAGGCAAGACGCAGAAAGCCCACCTTGTCCAGAACAGATATTAAACTAGGGGTATGACAAATTAAATTAATAAAAATTGTATTTATTTATTTATTTATTATAGAGAAAGGGTATTGCTCTGTCACCTAGGCTGGGGTGCAGTGGTGCAATCACAGCTTACTGCAACCTCGACCTCCTGGGCTTAAGTGATCCTCCCACCTCAGCCTCTGTAGCTGAGCCTACAGATGTGTGCTACCACGCCTGGCTAATTTTTGTACTGGTGTGTGTCTGTTTGTGTGTGTTTAGAGACAGAGTCTCACTTTATTGCCCAGCCTGGTCTGGAACTCCTGGACTCAAGTGATCCTCTGGCCTCAGCCTCCCAAAGTGCTGGCATTACAGGTGTGAGCCACCACACCTGGCCAAATTTCAAAATATTTTAAACACGAATCCAACTTCTGGGATGGAAACAAAGCTACCTAGAACGGGAACTATGTATTTTAGAAAATGAGAATAGCTTAAAAAGCTCAGTTCCTATCTCAAGACATTAAGAAAAGCAAAATAAACCTAAAGAAAATAAAAAGAAGGAAATAATAAGAGCAGAAATGAAATAGAAAATGAGGATAAAATAAAGATGATCAACAAAGGCATAAGTAGGCCATTTGAGAGGATTAATATGCCAAATCTTTGATGAAGACTGATGAATAAAACAGAGATAAAGATACATAACTGCACATTGTAAAGATAATCAAAAAGCATATTTCAATCAACTTTATATCAAAAAGTTTTAAATTTTGGACAAATTGGGTAAATTCTCAAGAATGTACAACTTAACTGTCACAAAAAATGTAAAATCTGAATAGTCCTATAAGAAACTGAATCAGGCCATGTGCAGTGGCTCACGCGTGTAATCCCAGCACTTTGGGAGGCCAAGGCAGGCGGATCACGAGGTCAGGGGTTCGAGACCAGCCTGGCCAACATGGTGAAACCCCGTCTCTACTAAAAATACAAAAATAGCTGGTCATGGTGGTCCACGCCTGTAATCCTAGCTACTCAGGAGGCTGAGGCAGGAGAACTGCTTGAACGTGGGAGGTGGAGGCTGCAGTGAGCTGAGATCGCGCCACTGCACTCCAGCCTGGGCGACAGAGCGAGACTCTGTCTCAGAAAAAAAAAGAAACTGAATCAGTAGGCCAAGCGCAGTGGCTCATGCCTGTAATTCCAGCACTTTGGGAGGCCGAGGCGGGCAGATCACTTGAGGTCAGGAGTTCCAGACTAGCCTGGTCAATATGGTGAAACCCTGTCTCACCTAAAAAAATCAGGTGGGCATGGTGGTGGGTGCCTGTAATCCCAGCTACTTGGGAGGCTGAGGCAGAAGAATCACTTGAACCTGGGAGGTGGAGGTTGTAGTGAGCCGAGATCTCACCACTGCACTCCAGCCTGGGCAACTGAGTGAGACTCTGTCTCAAAAAAAAAAAAAAAAGAAAGAAACTGAATTAGTAATTTAGAATCTTCCTATAGTAAAAAAGTAAACTGTATGTCCAGATGGCTTCACCAACAAGTTCTAAGGAAACAATAACACTCCACACAAAGACTTGAGAATAAATTATACAAACACTGTCAGAGAACAGGAGCAAAGGGCACCTTTCCTAGCTTAGAGTTTAGAATGTGTTCAGTACAAAAACACAACTAGAACTGAACAAGAACTGAAAACTATAGGCCAATCTCATTCACGATCACTTATGCAAAAATCTTCAAGAAAATAGTAGCACATCAAATTCACATTTTAAAAGGATAATACACCCTGATCAAACTGGAGTTATTTTATTTCATTTTTTTTTTGAGATGGAGTCTCGCTGTGTCACCCAGGCTGGAGTGCAGTGGACTGACCCCAGCTCACTGCAACCTCCGCCTCCCAGGTTCAAACAATTCTCCTGCCTCAGCCTCCCGAGTAGCTGGGATTACAGACCTGCACTACCATGCCCAGATAATTTTCATATTTTTAGTAGAGACGGGGTTTCACCATGTTGGCCAGGCTGGTCTCAAACTCCTGGCCTCAAGTGATCTGCCCACCTCAGCCTCCCAAAGTGCTGGGATTATAGACGTGAGCCACCATGTCCAGCCTCAAACTGGATTTAAACCAGGATTCCACACTTTAAATTTTTGACTGACATTAAAAGTCAGTCAGTGTAACTTACCATATTAACATATTTAAGGAGGATACTCATATTCTCATCTCAACAGATGTGGAAGAAGTGACATAAGCAAACAGAAGGGAAGTTCCCACTCTGAAAAGAGATACATATCAAAAGCCTGTAATAAATTCCATACATCAAAAGCATTCCCTTTTAGAAAGGGGAATCACACAGGATGCCTACCATCATCTCTTCTACTCAACATTGTACTAGAGGTCCTGGCCATTGCAGTAAGGCAAGAAAAAGAAGGAAGAAAAAAATGATATTATTTACGGATGAGAAGGTTGTGTTCATAGAAAAATCAAAGGAATTACTATTACCACTATTACTACAATTTTAAAGGGTTTATCAAGATTGCTGAATATATTAATGTGCAAAAATAAAATTTTTATTTATCAGCAATTGTTAGAAATAAAATGTTGAAAGACATGCCATTTTGTTAACATCAACATAGAACAAGTACCTGAAATAAATTTAATAAAATATGTGAAATATGTTACTGGATATACCGAGCAAATAAAGCCAGACACAATCTATTTATAGAAAGCTCAACAACAAGCAAAACTATACAATTTAGAGATAGGTAGCAAAATTTAAAAACAAAACAAGGAAGTGATTTTTCATAAAGTCAGGATACCTTTGGGAGAAATGCATAATGATTGGAAGGAGAAGCAGGGGGCTTCTGGGCCCTGGCATGTTGTATTTGTTGACTTCAGTGGTGGTTAGACAGGGCTCATTTACAACATTTCTTTCAGGTATACATTGTTTACATCACACTTATATTTCATAAATGTGCATACATGCATTAGAATTTTTTTTTTTTTTTTGAGACCGAGTCTTTCTCTGTTGCCCAGGCTGGAGTGCAGTGGCGCGATCTCGGCTCACTGCAAGCTCCGCCTCCCGGGTTCACGCCATTCTCCTGCCTCAGCCTCCCGAGTAGCTGAGACTGCAGGCGCCCACCACCACACCCGGCTAATTTTTGGTACTTTTAGTAGAGACGAGGTTTCACCGTGTTAGCTAGGATGGTCTCGGATCTCCTGACCTCGTGATCCACCTGCCTCGGCCTCCCAAAGTGCTGGGATTACAGGCGTGAGCCACCGCGCCCGGCCTCAGAAAAATTTTTAAATTCCCAAGCAGCAGCTACAAAACAGGGGAATCCATATGGTAACTGCATCTTTTAAGACGTAAGGATAATTAATTTGAAATAATCACTTGATGAAATGCCTTTATTAAATATCATATCTTTAAAAAGACAGAGAACTAACAGACGGTCTTCTTACCAAGACAGCTAAAACCATGGGTTTTAAAGTCAGAAAATTTGGGTTTCAATTTTGCTCCACCACTTTCTAGAAATGCAGTCTTCAGAAAGTGTTTTAGCTAAGTCTACTTTTCTCTACTGCAGAATGAGAGTTCTACTTAACTCATGAGGCTCAGAGAAGACACATCTAAAGTGTCTTATCATAGAAATAAAGTGGGAATCGCTTTTGTAATGATCACGACTGTAACCAGAAGGTGGGCACCTTCCCACTTTTATGAATAAGTCCACAATCTTGAACTGACACAAAAAGTTCTAAGCAAAGGCATTCCCAGCCATTTGGTTAATAAAAACTGACCATCAGGAACAATATCACTTGAATTATTAAATGGTGACAAGTTTTACAGAACTCACAATAAATTACATTTAACGCATTCAAAAAATATGGCTTTACTAGGCTGTTCTAATATTTTTTCTCTGAAAGAATCCCTCTTACATACATATGACCACAGTATAACTTTTACATAAAAATAATAAACAAACTTCACAGGCTGAGAACATTAAGGATATATTAATATACGTCACTCATCAATAGCGATCATTCATCACATTAGTCCACATGTATTCAAACACACAGATATTCACCATGACAACATGAGCTGCCCACAAGCTCTTATTCTCCCAGTCCACCTCAGTCCTATGCATTCACAGGACAAGCAACCAAAGGTCATGGAGGATCCACTCAGTGTTTGAGAAACAGTGTAATAAGATGGAAAAAGAACATATCTAAGAGACAAACAAATCTGCTTTCAAACCCTGGCTATGCCACTTCCTAAGTAGGTATCCTCTTGAAGCCTCAGCATCCCAAGTTGTCCACCTGGAATAAAACCAACCTCACAGGACTGTTTTACAGAAACTCTTCACTGCAGAATGCTGGGGCCGTCATTCTCCTGAGTGAAGCAACCTCAAATACCCCATTCCACCAGACTGGGCTTATTTCCTCACAAAGATTGATTCCTTGCTAAGTGTTTTGTAACAAGTGGCTAATACAACCATTATTAAGACATCTCCTGAAGTATGTGGGTTAGAATCCCAGAAACTCAGAGAGCTAGAAAAGAGCTCTGAGACCACCAAGATGTAACAGACTCTCTGCTGATCCACCTAAACTTACATGTTTTTCTATCATTTTGCAGATCAGTACAAGGTAGTTAACTGTTAAAGATTTGGTCCGCATCAGCCAGGCTCACTGGCTCACGCCTGTAATCCCAGCACTTTGGGAGGCGGAGGTGGGTGAATCACCTGAGGTCAGGAGTTCAACACCAGCCTGGCTAACATGGTGAAACCCCGTCTCTACTAAAAAAAAAAAAAAAAAAAAATTAGCTGGGCATGGTGGCACACAGCTACTCGGGAGGCTGAGACAGGAGAATCGGAGGCAGAGGCTGCAGTGAGCCAAGATCATGCTGCTGCACTCCAGCCTGGGCTATAGAACAAGACTCCATCTCAAAAAAAAACAAAAGAGATTTGGTCCATATGAAGAATACATGATTTCAAAATTCAAATTAATACAAATCCAACATGAAGAATACATGATTTCAAAATTCAAATTAATACAAATCCATCATTTCGGGTCAGACATCTCAAGGGCAAACAATTCATTGCTTATTAAGAAATATGCATGGACTCTCCAGAATTGTCCTGCCAGAACAACACTGCTTCCTTAGTTAATCTGTCTGACTCAGTCACTCACATTCAATTTCCCTTAAGTATGGCTTTAAATCTAAGGTTGAGAATTTCAGCAGTCAAACTGAATATTGATTCTTTTTATTGCAATCAAGTTTCCAATTTTCCAATTTTTGTTCACCCACAGGGTGGCTGGATATCCTACAGCAGCAGTTGGCAAACTTTTTCTACAAAAGGTCAGAGAGTAAATATTTTTGGTTTTGTTAGCCATATGGTCTCTGTTGCAACTATTCAATTCTGCCCTTGAAAGACAAAAGCGATCACAGACAATATATAAATAAACGAATGTGGATGTTTTCTAATAAAACTTTATTGACAGAAGCAAGCGTCCAGGCCAGATTTGGCCTACCCAAAGGTCTTTGTTTGCCTGCCCCTGCCACAGAACAGTGCTTCTCAAACTTTAATGCACATCTGACTCACACACAGGTATCTTGTTAAACTGCAGATTCTAATTCAGTGGATCTGGAGTGGGGCCTCAGATTCTGTATTTCTAACAAGCTCCCAGGTCATGCTGATGTTGCTAGTCCAAGGACTACACTTTAAGTAAGAGTCTAAAAGAATAGTTGCACATTACCATCATATAGGTAGTTTAAACACACACACACACACATACACACACACAAATGCCTATACCCCACCTTGGATCAATTGAATGAGAATTTGAGGAACACAGTCATTTACATTTTGTAAAAACTTCTCCAGATGGTTCTAATGTGCACTTAGGACTGACATTACCAAATTAGAAGAAAAGATGGTAAAGAAACACATTTGTCAGTACTTTGTAATCAAAAGATGGCTTTAATAATTATATGGTACTTTTCCTATCCTGCTGAAAAGAGAAAGAAAAGTTGGGTGAAGAACAACACAAAAGATTAGGCTGTATTTAAAAAATTTAATGATTAAGGGAGTTATTTGATATAAGTGAATTAAAGACATATAATCAACTTCTCTAGAGAACCATATTTCATGTTTGAGCATATTTGGGAATTGTCATGTTAAGAAATTACATGAGGCTGGGTGTTGTGGCTCATGCCTGTAATCCTAGCACTTTGGGAGGCCGAGGCAGGCAGATCACCTGAGGTCAGGAGTTCAAGACCAGCCTGGCCAACATGGTGAAACCCCATCTCTACTAAAAATACAAAAATTAGCCGGGAGTGGTGGCGGGCACCTGTAATCCCAGCTACTGGGGAGGCTGAAGCAGGAGAATCGCTTGAACCTGGGAGGCGGAGGCTGCAGTGAACGGGGATGGCCCCACTGCACTCCAGCCTGGGCAACAGAGCAAGACTCTGTCTCAAAAAAAAAAAAAAAAAAAAGAAAAAGAAATGACATGACATTGCTTTCTTCTCAGCACTCTGCAATTTCTCAACATTCTATCCAAACTAAACAGTGCATTAGAAAGTTACTCAAAATGTAATGTTTTAAATCATAAAGGAAAGCATTCTTAATAAAAAGTAGCAAATAGAATTATGATTTTTGTTCTGTATTGTCTGCTTTGTGAAAAATATATTTCTACCCAAATTCCAGGGATTCTTACTTTATTTTCCAAATTTTTCCTATAAAAAATAAGTTACTACTATAGCAATATTTTCCCTCCCTGATTTTATTTCCCGCTCATTTATTCTAGTTTTCTGCACATAGCAACCACAGAAATCTCTGTTATAAGCTGCTTATAGCACTAGAATCCTTGGCAACATTCAGGAATGAATATATCTTAAAACTATGAGAACAATTAGCTGAATACCATAGTTTCAAATATCTCTAAAGTGCTATTTCTGCTGAATCTATCCCAGATCTGTCAATTCTTATGAGTAATACATCTCTCTTTATCCTCATCCAGGCAGACTAGTGAAGGCTGCAGCAGAATAAACTGGTTCATAAGTTTGCTCATTATTACTGTGTTTTAGAGCTAAAGACATGAATTCCCTGCATGTATAGCTGAACTACTGATTATTTAGTATGTATGTATATATTTTATTTCCCAACAAAAGCGGCAAATAATGGGATAATCTTTATTCAGATTTTGAGAATGTTTTAGTCTGTAGGTAAGAATTTAGCTGTTAGCATCATAGCTATTTGAATCAATGGAATATTGGTGGGCTGCTGTGCTTTATCAACATATTTTACCTAGAAATAAGCAGAAATTAAGACAATGAATGTGACTCTTTGCATAAGGTTCTCCTGTTTGTTGACAAATTTGTAAGTGAGTGATGGATTAACATCTACCCCAAAAAACCTCATCACATTTAGGCACAGAAAGGGCCAGTAAAGATACAATCACAGCCTCTTCTCTTAAACTCCTTCAATAATGAGGCTTACCAGAATCAAGATTAATCATACACATCCATGTGTGCACATGGATACATATAGAGATATGTATGTGTACCTATTATTTTAAAGCATATATATAACCATATACAGCAAAGTATGAAAAATACTGCATTAGCTAAAATATAATTAAGACTATCCCCAAAAAGCCCTAATGAGTCATTTCTTTATTCTTTTTTAAAAGTTTCCTCTTAAGCCCATATATAGAGAAGGCACGGGGGAGGTTGATAATCAGTAGAATGAGGAATTTTTTCCACGTTGTATTCACCAGCAGGTTGTTCCAGTCTAATGATTCATGACCTCTTAGGTATATGATGGGACAGCTTGCTCTTGGCAGGGTTTGGCATGAGTCACTCCATAGCAGATTCACGGTCCTCGATGACCAAACCATGCAGTTTGCCCATGAAGGGCTCACAGCCCACCACAAGGCGGCACCCCAGGGAAGGAAGAGCCTAAGGTTGGAAGGTTCCAGTGAAAAATACACACTGCGCTGTATGAGGGAAGTGGCATGCATCAACATGATATATAAAAACACACAATTCACTGATGAAATACTGCATTTGTGTAGTAATGTCAGCATCTGATGACAGTATTATCTTCAGTACTTTGAAAAGGATTGGTTGAAGGGGCAAAATTAATTTGACCTGTGATTAGGGCCCTAAGGCAATCTGGAAGATTGATGTAATCTGGAAGAAGATAACAATCTATTAAATGTTAGACTGACTGTTTTTTTCTCTTTAAAAAAAATCAAGATTCTTCAGATACTTTTCTCAATTTCACACAAATACAAAAAGTTACCCTTTATTATTGATACCAGGGCGCTAAAGTTATTCCATAAGGGCCAGAGAGTAAAGGTTTAAGCTGTGCAGGCCATATAGTGATCTCTGTCACTCTGACATTGACGTCATGAAAGTAGCCATAGACAATTAGGTAAATAAATGGACGTGGCTGTGTTTCAATAAAATTTTATTTATAAACACAGGCACAGATTCGGCCCCACAGGCCATAGTTTGCCCTAAACCCAGGCAAACATCTTACGTTGAGTTGACTAGGCATCTGAGAATTTGGAGAGAATTTTCAGGCCAGGTGCGGTGGCTCACACCTGTAATCCCAACACTTCGGGAGGCCGAGGTGGGCGGATCACGAGGTCAGGAGTTCGAGACCAGCCTGGCCAACATGGTAAAACCTCGTATCTACTAAAAATACAAAAATTAGCTGGGTGTGGTGGTGCATGCCTGTAATCCCAGCTACTCGGGAGGCTGAGGCAGGAGAATCGCTTGAACCCAGGAGGCGGAGGCTGCAGTGAGCTGAGATCGCACCATTGCACTACAGCCTGGGCAACAGAGTGAGACTCCGTCTCAAAAAAGTAATAATAATTTTAGTGCCCACACCACGCTTCCAGTGAGTTAGGTCCTCTGACACATAATCTATACATAAGGAAACTCAAGAACACAATTACTATCAAGTAATAGGGACATGTAGCAAAAAGAGTATTTATTAATAGTTCAAGAATTACCATTTTGTTTCAAAGATTCTATCTTAGTCTGCTTTCTATTGCTTATAATAGAATATCTGAAACTGGTTAATTTATAAAGAAAAGGAATTTATTTCTTACAGTTATGGAAGCTGAGAAGTCCAACGTCAAGAGTCTGCATCTGGTGAGGGTCTTCTCTCTGGTGGGGACTCTCTGCAGAGTCCCAAGGCAGCATAGAGCATCATATGATGATGGGCATTTTAGCTCAGGTCATTCTTCCTCTTCTTATAAAGCCACAAGTCCCACTCCCCTGATAACTCATTAATCCATTAAGCCACTGATCCATTAACCCACGAACCCATTAATCCATGAATGGATTAATCCATTCATGAAGGCAGAACCCCCATGACTCCAATCACCTCTTAAAGGCCCCACCTCTCAATACTGTCACATTCTTGGAGGGGACATTCAACTCATAGCAGACTCTAAATGTTGCATCTTAGATTACTTATAATACTGTTGGAGTTTGATCTCCTAAGATCAAAATAAGACTTCTCGAATTCAAATAAACCAAATAAAATGTCATGGACCAACAGCTTTTGCATCAAGATTAAACCTTGTAGGTAAAATAACATTTTCTTAGAAGTTCAAAGAAGAAAAACCACACTTCTAAATTATTACTGTTCTAACTATGCCTGTTTTTAAATACTGTATACACTATAGAAAACTCTTTGTTTTCTTAAGACAGAGTCTTGCTCTGTCGCCCAGGCTGGAGTGCAGTGGTGCAATCTCGGCTCACTGCAGCCTCGACTTCTCGGGTTCAAGCCATATGCCTCCCTCAGCCCCTGAGTAGCTGTGACTACAGGCGTGTGCCACCACGCTTGGCTAACATTTGTATTTTGTGTAGAGATGGGCTTTCACCACATTGCCCAGGCTGGTCTCGAACTCCTGAGCTCAAGCAATCTGCCTGCTTTGGCCTCCCAAAGTGCTAGGATTATAGGCATGAGCCACCACACCCAGCCAGAAAATAGTTTTTAAAACTGTAAATATTATTGATTTATTCATTATGGTCAAATTAAAAGGGAAATAATAATTCAAAAAGAAAACGAATCCATTTCTTTTCTTTTAAAACATCCATTTCTCCAAAAGTTTCCTAAGGACTACCTACATCATTGTTGTTCAAAGTTTAATGTACATCTAATGTCCTGGGGATGTTGTTAAAGTGTAGAATTTGATTCAGTAGCTCTGAGATGGGGCCCAAGATACTGCATCCCACTTTGGGATGTGAGGCCAGGAATTTTAAATTATCTCCCCAGTAATGATGTACTTTTTAAAGGACTGAAGAATAATCATCCACAAATTCAGCCTATATTTACTTTAATGATCCACAGCATTGTGTATATTCGTGTTAAAACTCAAGAAAAGTCAAGTTCCATCCAAACAGCAGGACCAAAATAGCACATTTAGTACCATGGTAAAATTACATCTTTAAAGGGAACTAGCATTTGCTGGCAGCCTATTTATTTTGCAAGGCAATGTGCACCATGCTTTCCATACATCATTTCTTTTAATCCTTCCATTTCAGTGGAGGCAACTAAAGACAGAGTCCCTGCCTAAGGTCAGAATCTGGATTCAACAGAAATCAGCCTGTCTCTACCTGCTATTTTTGCTTCTTTCTATTTTTATGTTCTATCTTATCATCTCATCTCCCTCCAGGTAGTAGATAGGATTATTATTCCCAACTATTCTTCCCTCCCTCCTTATAATAGGAGGAAGCATCCCTGCTCATTGTCACGGGGGAGAAGTGTACGTCCCCACTTCATTGACTTTGGCCCTATGACACACTTTGACCAATAAAATGTGTGCAGATATGACACTGACTACCTCCAAGCAGAAGTTTTAACTGAGTTTCACAGTTGGAATAGGCCCGCTTGTTTTCCTGGTCTCCACCAATGGCACATCCCAGATAGAAACTGTTCTTTCAGCATTACTTTTAACAAGAGAAACTTAGAAATAGCCTATTGTCTATAACAGATAATAATGACAAAGACAGTTAACATGGAAAAATACATAATGTAAAATGAAAAAAGTATAATATGGTTATGATTACACCTGTGGTAAACTGCAACACACATATGCACCGGGGAAAAAAGACTGAAAGGAAATATATACCAAAATATAATCAAGATTTTGTTAGAATTATGATTCATTTTTGTCTTCTTCCCTAAGTGTTACAGTGTCACATTGCTTCAATAATATACAAATTCCTCTGCGACTTTCAAAATTCAAGGCAAGACTTCTTTTTTTGTTGTTTTTGAGACAGAGTTTTGCTCTTGTTGCCCAGGCTGGAGCGCAATGGCGCGATCTCGGCTCACCACAACCTCTGCCTCCTGGGTTCAAGCCATTCTCCTGCCTCAGCCTCCAGAGTAGCTGGGATTACAGGCATGTGCCACCACGCCCGGCTAATTTTGTATTTTTTGTAGAGATGGGGTTTCACCATGTTAGCCAGGTTGGTCCCCAACTCCTGGTCCCCAACTCTTTACGTGCAGTAAAACCTCACGGTCATCAGGAGCAGCATGACCTGGTGTAATTTAACCACTCCATGCCTGTTTCCTCGCCCCACAAAAGGATTTAATAATATATAGGTGGCTCAGGCCTGTAATCCCAGCACTTCGGGAGGCCGTGGCAGGTGGACCATGTGAGGTCAGGAGTTTGAGACCAGCCTGGCCAACATGGCAAAACCCCGTCTCTACCAAAAATACAAAAATTAGCCAGGCATGGTGGCACACACTTGTAATCCCAGCTACTCAGGAGACTGAGGCACAAGATTCGCTTGAACCCAGCAGACGGAGGTTGCAGGGAGGCCGAGGCTGCAGTGAGCCTAGATCACGCCACTGCACTCCAGCCTGGATGACAAGAGCAAAACTCCGTATAAAAAAAAAAAAAGAAAAAAGAAAAAAAAGAAATACATCAATGAAGCATTAACCAAAGACAATGTTCAAGGCAATTTAAGACCCCCCAGCAGTCCATGGACTCAGCTAATAAGGCAATCCTACAGCAGAGACCACTTTTGAGGAGCTTCATGATTACACTGATCCCACCCAGATAATCCAGGATAATTTCCCTATTTTAAAGTCAGCTGAGTAGCAGCCTTAATTCCATTTCCAAATCTTAATTCCCCTTTGCCATATAACATGCTCACAGGTTCCAGGGATTAGGATACATAGACATCTTTGGAGGGTGTCTTAGCCCATTTTGTCTTACTCCATTTTGTATTGCTATAAAAAAAAACAAAACAAAACCTGAGACAAGGCAATTTATAAAGAAGAGGTTTTCTTAGCTCACAGCTCTGCAGGCTAAAAAGTTCAAGGGCATGGCCCTGGCTTCCGGCAATGGCTTTCATGCTACATCACAACATGGCAGAGAAGGTCAAAAAGGAAAGAGACACTTGTGAAGACAGAAAACCTGAGGGGCGTCCTGGCTTTATAACAACCCACTCACTCAGGAGCTAATCCATTCTCCGTGGGAACTAATCCAGTCTAGGGAGAGCAACAACTCGCTACTGTGAAAACAGCACCAACCCATTCATGAAGGATCCACCCCTATGATCCAAACACCTCCCATTAATTAGGCCCCACCTCTAACACTGGGGAACAAACTTCAGCTTAAGTTTTGCTGGGGAGAAACCATATCCAAACCACAGCAGAGAGCCATTATTCTACCTATCACACTGTGCTACTTCATATAAAATAATTTAATATTTAATAAACTGGCTAATACCATAGATTCCCATAACAACATACACCATGAAGTCGTTTCTGATCTTATACTTTTCTCTTCCCTGTGGCTAATCAACATTCAGTCTCTTAAAGCAGTACTTATCTATAGAAGTGTACTTAAATGAATGATTGTTCTCTCTCATTTATTCAGCACTGACGGAGGGTTAAGTCCCATAGAAATAAATCAGACACAGTCTCTGCCACAAGGCACTCACCCACTAGAGGCAGGAACAAAATGGAGAGGATGAAGTGAAATCCCAGCACTGATATCAGGGCTACTAGAGGGACCTTTAAAGTTCTGTGGAGCTGTAACTGAGGTTGCTGGTGAAGACTTCTCTGAAGAGTGCATTTGGGCTGAATGTTTATGGAAGAAAAGAGAAGCAAGGGGCTGAAGCCTTAAGATTCAACATGGTGTCAAGGGTGTGAGGAAGCAGCCCACCATGCTGGTGATCACAGATGGCGGCTGAGTAGGGAGTTGACTACAGGTTGATGCTGAATTCTACTGGAGAATAGCATCACTTAAAAAACTAGAAAGGGAAGAGGAATCCAGCCTAGATCCTGAGAAGAAAGGATCATATAGGCTAAAAGAAGAAGAAAAAGTACCCAGAAACTGGCAGCAAGTTAAAAACAGACAGGTGTCATTGAGAAACAGCCACTGGAGTCCACCGTTAGGTCATTGATGAGCAAAAGCCAGATCAGCGTCCCTAAGGGAGGCCAGGAAACAAATTGCAACAAACTGGGGAGTTAAGGGGACAAGAGAAGGCAGGGAACAGAAAGAAATAAGAAGAGTAACAAGAGGAAGGTGGAGGACAAGAAGGCAGGGGATGACAGAGAGGAAGGGGAGAGTCAGGAGGGAGGGAAGGAACTTTCCTGAGCTACTACCAAGCACCAGTCCCTGTACTTGTACATTACCATATAAGGAATTAATCGAAGTTGAAAAAGCTATGAGTCTTCTTACCAGTTTCCTTTTCAATAGTCAAGTATTGAAAAGAAGCGGTATGTAGGATGAAGTAAACAGTCTTACAAGTTTGGACACATTTGTAGACCAAGAAGAACCAACAGAAAGGGAGAGCAAGACAAAATAGGTCATAGACAGAATGACTGTTAGATTAGGTCCCAGAGGAGGCAAAAATGGGTGGGAATCAAGAGCACAGGTAGGGGATTGGTTTTGGGTGAGAGACAGAGGACCCTCTTCTCTGAAGTGGGTAGAGGTGCTATACCATCCAAATGGAAGGAGAGGGCTGTGAAATAGGAGGGAAGTGAAAGATATCAGTGGGGATAGGGAGAAGGAAAATAGAGAATCCCAAAGTTTGAAAGCAAAAGAAATCTCCTTCATTATTTTGGTACTTGATCAAAATTATAGTCCTAATTATACAAATCAGAGTTTAAGCAAAACTCTTTGTGGTTATACCTTGAAGCAGCTCTGTTAACTTAGGTAAGTCAGTTAAACTTCATAAGCTACAACTTAAAAGAGGGGAATTTGGTGATTCTAGTGTCCCTTCCAGCTCTACATTTCAATGGCTCCAAGGACAGAGCTCAAACCCTAACCATAGTGTCAGCTTACCTACCAAAAACAAACAAAAACAGTCATATGGGAACAAAACTCAAGGTGAACGTAATTTAAATACCTTTGGGTCATTTTCGCATCTTGCTTTTGAGAGTGACAGCCACAACAGATGGTTACTGCTGACAAGGGCTGCATCATTAGTCCTAATGATAATCGATGTTTTTATAGCCCTTTACTATTTATAAAGAGCCTTCACACATGAAATGTTTTATTGGCTTCCCCAAACACCCACATGAGATAGGTAAAGCTACTGTACTATTTATTCTATCCACTTTCTAGTTGAGGAAACTGAGGCTTATAGTTGATGACTTGCCCAAGGCACCAAAGCAGACAGTGCCTATGACTCGAATTCAGGTACTCCAGATTCAAAAATCACTATTTCATTTTTATTTGTTTACATGCCGTTTAGTGCTCTTTACACACAACTCCTTGCTTCTTCATTAGGTTGGAAATAGAAAATTTTAAAGAGTTAAAAGAAATTTGCATACTTTCATTCTTTTAATTGATCCTGGCAATACAGTTTGTTGAAACGCATGTATAACCTTAATTTCCAAGTGATAAATGACTGATTGGAATCCAAAGGGCAGAGATAGCATTAGGATTCAAGTATTTCAATGTTCTCATTCTCGGGATGAGTGAACAGAGGCCTCACTGGCAAATGGCTTGTGGAAGCAGAGCCAACACTAGAACTCAGGGCCTCCATCAACCCTGGGGCTTTCGGCACTGGCCAAGTCTTACACAGCTTCAAACAAAAGTTAACGGAATTGCTCCTTAACAATGAAATGGTTCAGATTTAAATAATTTGGGGAGCTCATTCTCTTGTTTTTACATGTGCAAACCATATGGACACTGCCTATTAGTGGTACTAGAATTCTCTGGAGCAAATTCTCTTCTCAAATGGGAGGGTTTGTAATGACAGTCATGCCTCATTTTACTACATGAGAAGTAAATGGATCCAATAAGGAATCCATCTGAGGGAGCTTTAAAGCAACTGAAACTGCCTCCATTACCATCTTCTACCTACAAAGTGTTTTCTAGACAAATTAAAATTTGAAAAACTTAAAAAATGCAATGAAAATATTTTGAAGACAACCATATTGTCTAAGTATTCCCATTTTCCTCCTTTGAAAATATTGTAATGAGTCAGCAGGTGCTTACTACCAAAATTACTTTTTATCATGAAGCTAAAAAACGTTTAATGTTTAAACAGAAGACTCCATGAGAATAGATGAGAACATGCAAATGCTGCATATTATGAAGTTACAGATCCCATCTTACATGTTGCATGGAGAAAAATCTCTGAGGCTTCCATTAGACTATAAGGGACTCAAAAACAAGAATGCCAGAGGAAGGGAACGCTGCTGAGGTGAGCTGATAGTCTGATTTCCTTTCCTCCGGGGAATTGAGAACTCTGAGCTCATCCTAATGAGACTTGTGAAGAGAAGGGATTTCTGCTGGGAGAAAGAGAACCAGCAAAGCTTTATGGTGAATACACAAAAGCTGATGTGACAGATGGGAACTATTCCCGTTTACTCAGTTCTGGGGAAAGAGAGTGAGATATTAGGCTAAGGGTTTCTAGAAGGCAGAGTGAAATCTCCTACAGTTTCATAGTGCTTTGGAGACAGCATTTTAGGAGAGTAGGAGTGTTCCCTCAAATACATAACCAGTTTTACCCTCAAACAGTTGCAAGAATTTGAAATTCTGGGAGCAGGAGGTTAAACTCAAGACCTCCAAAGGGCAGGACTGAATCTTCCACAGTTTTGCATCTTCCACAGTTTTGCAGGACTAAGAAAACAAAGGTCTTCCAGGCTTTTGATCAAAGTCCAGGAGAGCCATGCCTGAGAAGCACAGACAAGCATAGCTGGATTGAGTCTTCATAAAACTGCAATCTGGCCTTAACTTAGCTTAATTCTCAATGGAGTGAAAGTGTTCAGTCCTTCACTGCATTTACCTAACAAAGTAAAGAGGAGAAATTTTCTCTGGAGGAAGATATAATCTAGAGTTAGTAAGGTTCTTTTGGACATTATAATGCCCAACATAAAATTAAATAAGTATGAGACCTGAGAACTGCAAGAAAATGTAACCAATATTCAAGAGAAAAATAAGAAAGATGCAGATTCACAGATGATCCAGATATTGGATTTAGATGAGACCTTTAAAATAACATGATTAATTGATTTAAAAAGTAAGAATAAAAACAGGAAATGGGTGAAAAGAGAAATTCACCAGAAATTTCAACAGAGAACTAGAAAGTAGCTTTAAAAAAGAATCAAATGGACATCCTAGAAAAAAAAATCTGAAATTAAGAAAAAATACAGTTATCCGAAATTAATCCACTGAATGGGTTTAATGGCAGACTGGACACAGCAAAACACAAGATTAGTAAACTGAATATAGAGGCTAATGAAAAATATCCATTATTAAAAGCCAAATAGAAAAAGGGGGAAAAAAGAAGCAGATCCTAAGAAATACCAAAGGGTCTCATGTCCTTGTAAATTGGAGAACCAGAAGGAGGGGAAAGACAGAATACGGCAGAATCAAACGAGATGATGGCTAAGAGTTTTCCAATACTGATAAAAGACATCAACCTTCAGAATCAAGCTCACCAGCCCAAAGCAGGATGGATATACAAGGAAATCAGAGTTGGACTTGTGAGTGTCAAATGCTTAGTACAAAAATATGGCAAAAACTGAGGAAGTCATATAGTAGCAGCAAACTGAGTCCAATACAACTTAGCCTCCTCTCCTTGGAAAGGTTATGATTGAGAACAGTGACTGGGGACTCACCCTAACACAATAATAAAATGTTACACTGTAGCAGGGTTGTAGTCACTCTGCTCTTGACCAAGTACAGAAAACCCCACAATAACATAAACTTGAATATGCAGATGGTCCATGGTTCCACTTACGATTTTTCTACTTTACGATGGTGCAAAAGTGATACATATTCAAGAGAAACCATACCTGGAGTACTCAAATAGGCATTGTTTTTTCACTTTCACTACAGTATTTGATATGTTACATGAGATATTCAACACTTTACTATAAAATAGGCTTCATGTTAAGATGATTTTGCCCAATTGTAGGCTAATGCTACATGTTCTGAACACGTTTAAGGTAGGCTAGGCTAAGCTATGATGTTTGACAGATTAGGTGTATTAAATGCATTTTCAACTTAATGATATTTTCAACTCACGATGTCTTTATCAGGTTAAGTTGAAGAGCATCCATACTGTGATGGATGATTACCTCGTGGTTTCCACCTGGCCACTGATTTCATTTCATTAACATAATGATGCAACTCCAGTACACCCAAGAGATATATCTGCACTCCCATGTTTATTGCAGCACTATTCACACAACAGCCAAGATCTGGAAGTAACCTTAAGTGCTCAGATGAACAGATAAAGAAAATGTGGTACATATACCCAATGGAGTACTATTTAGCCATGAGAAAGAATGAGATCCTGTCATTTGCAACAACATGGATGGAACTGGAGGTCATGTTAAGTAAAATAAGCCAGGCACAGAAAGACAACCATTGCATTTTCTGACTAATACGTGGGAGCTAAAAATTAAAATAATTGAACTCACAGAGATAGGGAGTAGAAGGATGGTTACCAGAGACTGGGAAGGATAGTGGGGGGTTGGAGGAAAGTGGGGATGATTAATGGGTACAAAAAATAGAATTAATAAGACCTACTATTTGACAGCACAACAGGGTGACTACAGTCAAAAATAATTTTTTTGTTTTGTTTTATTTGAGATAGAGTCTCGCTCTGTCACACAGGGTGGAGTGCAGTAGGGCAATCTCGGCTCACTGCAACCTCTGCCTTCTGAGTTCAAGAGATTTCCTCATTCAGCCTCCCGAGTAGCTGGGATTATAGGCACCCACCACCACGCCCAGCTAATTTTTTTTTTTTTTTTTTTTTTGAGATGGAGTCTTGCTCAGTCACCCAGGCTGGAGTGCAGTGGTGTGATCTCGGCTCACTGCAAGCTCCGCCTCCCGGGTTCACACCATTCTCCTGCCTCGGCCTCCCTAGTAGCTGGGACTACAGGCACCTGCTACCATGCCCAGCTAATTTTTTGTGTATGTTTTTTAGTAGAGACGGGGTTTCACCATGTTAGCCAGGATGGTCTCGATCTCCTGACCTCATGATCCACCTGCCTCGGTCTCCCAGTAATTTTTGTATTTTTAGTAGAGACGAGGTTTCGCCATGTTGGCCAGGGTGGACTTGAACTCCGTACCTCAAGTGATCCGCCCGCCTCAGCCTCCCAAAGTGCTGGGATTACAGGCTTGAACCATGGCACCCAACCTAATTTTTGGTGTTTTTTGGGGTTTTTTTTTGAGACAGGGTTTGGCTCTGTCTCCCGGGTTGGAGTGCACTGGCGCAGATCAAGGCTCACTGCAGTCTTGACCTCCCGGGCTCAAGTGATTTTCCCACCTCAACCTCCCGAGTAGCTGGGACCACAGGTGTAGCCACCATGTCCGGCTCATTTTTCTTATTATTTTTTATGGAGACAGGGTTTTGCTATGTTGCCCAGGCTGGTCTCAAACTACTGGGCTCAAGGGATCCTCTTGCCTAAGCCACCCAAAGTGCTGGGATTACAGGCACATTCCACTGTGCCCAGCCCAAAATAATTGTACATTTAAAAATAGCTAAAAGAGTATAATTGGATTGTCTATAACACAAGTGATAAATGCTTGAGGTGATGGATCTGCCATTTAATTTACCCTGATGTGATTATTACACATTACATATCTATAACAAAATATCTCATGTAACCCATAAATATATGTACCTATGTGCCCATAAAAATTAAAAATTAAAAACTATACTCAGAGTTTAAAAATAATGCAACTCCACATTTTATGCAATCAAATTTTAAAATCTCAATTATAGTTTTATGATGTAGTTTTTGCTGAAACTGGATGGGGGAGCTCCAACCAAACTATTAAAACTTGAGGCCAGCACGGTGGCTCACACCTGTAATCCCAGCCCTTTCGGAGGCCGAAGTGGGCAGATCACCTGAGGTCAAGAGTTTGAGACCAGCCTGGCCAACATGGTGAAACCCCATCTCTACTAAAAAATACAAATTTAGCCAGGCATGGTGGTGAGTGCCCATAGTCCCCAGCTACTCGGGAGGCTGAGGCAGGAGAATCACTTGTACCCGGGGAGGCACAGGTTGTAGTGAGCTAAGATCATGCTACTGCACTCCAGCCTGGGCGATGGAGTAAGACCCTGTCTGAAGAGAAAAAAAAAAAAAAAAAAAAGGCCGGGTGCAGTGGCTCACGCCTGTAATCCCAGCACTTTGGGAGGCCGAGGTGGGTGAATCACAAGGTCAGGAGTTTGGGACTAGCCTGGCCAACATGGTGAAACCCCATCTCTACTAAAAATACAAAAAATTAGCTGGGTGTAGTGGCGGGCAACTGTAATCCGAGCTATTCGGGAGGCTGAGGCAGGAGAATCACTTGAACCTGGAAGGTGGAGGTTGCAGTGAGTCAAGATCGTGCCACTGCACTCCAACCCTGGCGACAAAGTGAGACTCCGTCTCAAAAAAAAAAAAAAAGAAAAGAAAAGAAAAGAAAAAAAAAAGAAAAAAAAGACTTGAGTGTGAGAATGTGATGAGACTTCAGAGATCAATAGTCCAACTCTCGGCCGGGCGCAGTGGCTCACGTCTGTAATCCCAGCACTTTGGGAGGCCGAGGCGGGTGGATCACTAGGTCAGGAGTTCAAGACCAGCCTGGCCAAGATGGTGAAACCCTGTCTCTACTAAAAATACAAAAAATTAGCTGGGTGCGGTGGCAGCCGCCTGTAATCCCAGCTACTCGGGAGGCTGAGACAGGAGAATCGCTTGAACCCCGGGGGGCGGAGGTTGCAGTGAGCAGAGATGGCGCCACTGCACTCCAGCCTGGGCAACAGGTGAGACTCTGTCTCTTTAAAAAAAATTAAAAAAAACAGAAAACAAAAAACAGTCCAACTCTCATGTTAAAGATGACAATACCTAAGTCCAGACCAATAAAAAGGATGTGCCCAGACATCATAGCTACTTAGAAGCTAACTGGGGATAGAACAGCAGCCTCCTCACTTCTAGTTCAGCCATCTGATTCCAGCATCAGGCAAGTCCAAGGTCACATCAATTCAGGGTCAAAGCTCTTGGTGAAATATTGTTATTTTTATGAATATATAAATATATATTTTTTCACTGATAGTGATGGAAAATCACCAATAGTGATAAAAAATACAGAACACTAGGTACTCATTCACTATGACCACATAGGTAGGAAAAATCTGTTACAATCACTGGGAAGAACCGCTCCCCTCCTCACCTTGCTACACACACACACACACACACACACACACACACACACACACACATACACTATGACTGTACCTGATGTTCACCAGCACAGGCAGAGCAGGACCACATGTCAAAGAAGCAAGAAAGGTTGTGGCATTTGAAATGTGTACGTTCTAAAATTTCCATTTAAAAGCCAGCAGCGACTGTCACTTAAATCCCAGCAATCAGATTATGTCTGAGTCTCGAGGCCTTCCTCATAACATGGATAAGAAAATGCATAGTATTGGCCGGGCCCGGTGGCTCACACCTGTAATCCCAGCACTTTGGGAAGCCAAGGTGGGCAGATCATGAGGTCAGGAGCTCAAGACCAGCCTGGTCAATATAGGGAAACCCCGTCTCTACTAAAAATACAAAAATTAGCCGGGCATGGTGGCGTGCACCCGTAGTCCCAGCTATTTGGGAGGCTGAGGCAGGAGAATCGCTTGAACCCAGCCCAGGAGGCGAAGGTTGTGGTGAGCTGAGATCACACCACTGCACTCCAGCCTAGGTAACAGAGCGAGACTCCATCTCAAAAAAAAGAAAAGAAAATGCATAGTATTATCATATATATTGGTGACTAAAGGAAGAGATCCCACATTGCCCTCCCGGGAGGTAAAGAAAGAACAACAGATGATCCTATGCATGGTTTGTCAACAGGGCACAAGGTGTTCAATCAGTGCGCATGGCATTTTACTTTCCTCAGCTGTTCTAAGGAAAAATATCATCTGTTCTTTCAATCGTGTACAAATCTGAAGCATTGGGATTAGCTGAGACGGCCACACCCCTTCCTCTTTAAGAAATTCATTAAGACTCTATTGTCTTTCCCCATTATATTTTCCTGGTCAAATACCTGCATGCACAGCTGCGCTACTGGATAAGCAAAGATGCTTCTGCAACCATAGATGTTGACCTCTGTGCCCAAGCCTACATCCAGAAATCCACCATACTGACAATGCCATGACAGTAAGAAAATTTTGATTACATCATTAATCAGGAAAAAAACAGAATATTTTTATAAAACATATAATTCATCCTAAATATTTTCCAATGTAAGGATTAGTATTCAAATGATTGGAGAGTAATTGATTACCATCTAGTCCATCTTAAATGTGCACATTCTAAAATCTCTTTTAAAAGCCAACAGGCTGGGCGCAGTGGCTCACACCTGTATTCCCAGCTGTTTGGGAGGCTGAGGTGAGCATATCATTTGAGGTCAGGAGTTCAAGACCAGGCTGGCCAACATGGTAAAACCCCGTCTCTACTAAAAATACAAAAATTAGCCAGGTGTGGTGGCAGGGAGGAGAATCACTTGAACCCAGGAGGCGGAGGTTGCAGCAAGCCGAGATAGCACCACCGCACTCCAGCCCAGGTAACACAGTGAGACTCCGTCTCAAAAATATAAAAAATATAGGCCGGACGTGGTGGCTCACACCTGTAATCCCAACACTTTGGGAGACCAAGGCGGGTGGATCACCTGAGGTCAGGAGTTTGAGACCAGCCTGGCCAACATGGCGAAACCCTATCTCTACTAAAAAGAAAAACACAAAAAGAAATTAGCTGGGCGTGGTGGTACACGCCTGTAGTCCCAGCTACTTGGGAGGCTGAGGCAGGAGAATCCCTGGAACCTGGGAAGCAGAGGTTGCTGTGAGCCGAGATCCCGGCACTGCACTCCAGCCCGGGTGACAGAGTGAGACCCTATCTCAAAAAAAAAAATAAAAAATAAAAATATATAAAATAAAAAAATAAAAATAAAAGCCAACAGTAGACTAGGTCCATTAACATCACTCAGTGTGGCACCTAGGGCTTGTAAAACTACCACCTTGAATGTATTAGTTGTTTCTCTGTCACAGCCTTCCTTCAATGTAAATATACTTGTTAGCTAATAATCCCTTCCCTCATTGAATTTAATCATTGTCCTACATGGCTGTTTTAACAAATATAAGATCTACATTTACTTATGCTTTTCATATAGCTTTTGCCGGTATTTTAACCTTTCACAGGAGGATGTGTGGGTTTGTTCGCTTTCTCTCTCTCTCTGTCTTTCTCTCTCTCTCCCACCCCACTCCCCACAACAGAGACATAGTATAGTACATATAGACCATGTTTTTTTGTTTGTTTTTGTTTTTGTTTTTGAGATGGAGTCTCGCTGTGTTGCCCAAGCTGGAGTGCAGTGGCACGATCTTGGCTCACTGCAAGCTCCACCTCCCAGGTTCACACCATTCTCCTGCTTCAGCCTCCCGAGTAGCTGGGACTACAGGTGCCCACCACCACGCCCGGCTAATTTTTTTACTTTTTAGTAGAGATGGGGTTTCACTGTGTTAGCCAAGATGGTCTCGATCTCCTGACCTCATGATCCACCTGTCTCAGTCAGCCTCCCAAAGTGCTGGGATTACAGGTGTGAGCCACCGTACCCGACCCAGACCATGTATTTATACATCAGTAAATGTAACTTACAATTCACATTATGCATCATGTTGGCAGTATAGTATATAAAATGTTTTATGGTTGCTTATGACATCAAGCTCTTTTTTTTTTTTTCCTTCCCTGAGACGGAGTCTTGCTCTGTCCGCAGGCTGGAGTGCAGTGGCGTGATCTCAGCTCACTGCAACCTCCTCCTCCCAGGTTCAAGCAATTCTCCTGCCTCAGCCTCCTGAGTAGCTGGGACCACAGGAGCCCGCTACTACACCCGGCTAATTTTTGTATTTTTAGTACAGACGGGGTTTCACCATGTTGGCCAGGCTGGTCTTGAACTCCTGACCTCGTAATCCACCCATCTTGGCCTCCCAAAGTGCTGGAATTATAGGCTTGGGCCACTGCGCCCAGCCAAAGCTAACTCTTTTGGAAAAACAAAAATTAGTGTCTTATTTTAGTCTGTTAAAATACCTTGATTTGATACATTTTTAATTGATAAAAATATTGATTTCGTAACTCAAATTGTTGTGGTCCTCTAAAAATATTTAACTATGACTACTATCTGAGTTTATGTTGTCATTAAGTAAACAACAAACACTACACAGAATCCAATAAGGAAATGATCTACACACAAGGCATGGTGAGATAAAAACTCAATCTTCTGTTGAATAAAATGAAAAGCATGAGCATGCCATAATAAAAAATTTGGAAAAGATAAATTAAAATTCCAGAGGGGCAGGAAAAAAATTCTATTTTCACCCACAAATGGCACAGCTGTTATTTCAGCAGAGGATTACTCAGGTTGTGGATTTTTCATGCCTCCAACTGTGTCAGCAGCCAATCTAGGACTGGCAAGAGGCAATGAGAGTTCACTTAGCGGTCATGAGGGGTCTTAAGACCCTGTAAGTGCCTCCCATTCTTTTATGCATTTTGGTCACTTCACAGTACGGCTCTATCTCTAGGATTAGTAGAAATGGGCATGAATGAGGTGAAATTTACATCTGCTTTTTTTTTTAACTGCTTCTAACAACTCTACTAAAACATTCAGATGTACACTGAAGCCAAGTTCTGGAAAAGCTAGAACTTATTCATGGTTATTATACTACCTCTTGAAAACTAGGATCTCTTCATACATGTTTTAGCATATTTCAACTGAGTTCCTGCGTTGTATACTGTAACTATACTTTTTCCTAATGTAGTCTAGTCCTCAAAAAAGGTTCCTTTCATGGGTGGTGTATCAGAGACGTTTAAATTCATGTTTCCACTCTGAAGAGTTTGTAACAGCTGGGAAAGCACACAGACATTATAATTGGGTAAAGGACTACTGTTTCTCAGTAGGAGAATATCTTAAATTTTCACACATGGCGAGGAAGAACATAGATGAACAGTCCCAATCTATCAGATCTCTTTTTGTTTCCTGACACTCTCCTCTCCTAGAAAATGCCTTTTAAATCGGAGGATAGAGACAAATCAATGGCAAATACTTGAGGGTGCTTCACAATGAGAAAGCCCCCAATTTCCAAGGCTATATACAGCAGCTTCCAGGATGAAGAGGAAAGGTGTTGTTCCCTTTTCCAATACTGAAGAGCTCCTTCCTCATCCCATAGCACCACCAGTGGTATTTCCACTAGGCCAGCCCAAATTACCAATGCCAAAAGGAAACTGGGGCTGTCTTAGATATGCTTCAGATTAAAAAAAAAAAAAAGCGGGGAGAGGGGCTGAGGATTTGAGAGGAGGGCCAAAAGAGGATGCTAGGAACCACAGAACCATCTTGGGCTCATGTTAGGTGCAATTAAACCCATGAGTGAGGGCCACAACTGTGCACCCCGCTGCTGATCTAAGTGGAATAAACCTCCTTGGCCCAACCTGCTCTAATCTCCATTCCTGCTCCCAAATAAGTGTAGTAGATTGCTTGCAAAAAGGCTTCAATTATTCTCTTCTCTCTATCCATGTTCCTTGCAATGTGATTATATAAATAGCTCCTTCCATCAAGAGATAGAACCTACTTCCTCACCTCCTGAATCAGGGCTGGCTTTAAAGTGACTTGCCTTGGCTAACAAATTCAGAGGAAATAATCTTGTGCCAGTTGCAAGTCTAGGCCTCAAGAGGCCTTGGTTGCCTCTGCACTCTCAATTAGAACCTGGCCAGCCATAGTGTGAACAAGCTCAGGCTAGCCTGGTTACAGATTAAAGACCACAATGTCGAGCAGAGAGGAGCTGAGGCCATCCTAGAAGAGACAGCCTCCAACTCACACAGCAGATCACAGACACAAGTGAAGGTGGCCAAGGTCAGAAGACCTGCCCAGATTGAAAGAACCATCCAGCTGAGTCCTGCCCAAATTGCCAACCCACAGAATCAAGAACTAAATAAATGGTGGTTGTTTAAAACCACTAAGTAGACCGATATTGTGATGAGCTGTTAAGCAACAAAATCTGAGCACAGATGGGTTCTCCATGAGTTCATTCATTCCATGAACATTTATTAAATATCATTTGTTTTCAAGTAGTGCCCCAGTAGTTGCTGGGGGTATAATAATTAATATGCATTACTGCCTGCAATTATGAATCACTTCCTCCAACCACACTAAATGAGAGATGAATAACAAGATCTACTTAAAGAAAAGGAAGGCTCAAAGAGGCCACTTTTCAGCTGGCTTTTAAAGGAAAACTAGTAACTTGCCAGGTAGACAGGCATGAACATCAGAAATAGAAGAAACAGCATGTGAAAAGCATAGATGCAGGAAAGAACTCAAGGAATGTTCTAGGAATGGAAAATAGTTTAGGACAGATGGAGTGTGGGGAGGAAATGGCAGATGATAGAGCAGAGAAAACAGATTGAAGGCAAATAATGAAGAGTCTCACATTGTAAATCATGCTTAGGGATTTGAATGCCTCTTGTAGGCAGTGGAGAGCTACAAATCGTTTTTAAGTAAAAAACAGCATGATTAAATCTGTGTTTTAGGAAAAGAAAGCTGATGACAAGTGGAAGATGGATTAGAGGCAAGAGTAGAATCAGGGAGATCAGATGGGAGGTTATTACTACAATCCTAAAGGGGGATTAAAGAACCAGAACCACAAGGTAGTGAATATGGGGAAGAGGGGATGTCTATGAAAGATGTTTCAGAGAAAGGAGAAAGACTCAGCAGCTTTGATGACCAACTAAGTATGAGCTGTGAGGGTGATAAAAGTCATGCAGGAGAATCCGGAACAGTGCCAAGAATTCTACTTCAGAATCCTAGAGGAATGGTAAATATATTAATTAGGGTGGGAAAGCAGACAAGCAGACTGGAGAGGAACAACACATGTTTCATATGAAAGGCACCTGTGGGACATCCAGAGGGAGATGTCCAGGAGGCAATTAACAAATACATACCTGCAGCCTGAGTTGAGGGATAGTAGTGGGAACAGGCTATAAAGATGTGGGGGTTGAGGGGTCTGAAGGGTCTGAAGAACATGGGGCAGTGGGAGGGGACATTTCAAGACATCAAAGTGACAGAAAATGCAGACCTTTCAAGAAAAAGATGAAGAGAAAAAGCTAATGAATGGCAGGATCTTGAGGTGCTAAGGAAAGCTGCAGCACTGAACAGCAGTGACTGTCCTTGGGGATAGAAGAGGGGAGGGGGAGAATCATTTGGCAAGCATGGATTACAAATAGAGAAAGTATAGATACCCATATATTTTGCCACATTCTTTCCTACAGAAGAGTTATCACTGAGCTCTTCCCTATGGTTCTTCCCAATCTAGAGGGGCCCCGAGTGGAGGCCACTTGAGTAATAGCATCTATGCCCATATAAACATATAAACATACTTGCTTCAAATCCCTTTTCTGCCACCTGCTGCAGAAAAGGTGTATATCACCAACTTCCACACTCAAGGCACATATTTGAAATATGCTTATAGTTAATTTACTATATCTTCCAAACAGATTGTCTCCATATGTTTTCAGTTACTAAAAACAAGGTTTTTAAAAAATAACCCCAAAGTAGGCAAAAATTTCATAAACAGAACACAAAAAACAATAGCCATTTTAAAAGGCAAAAATTGATCACTAGACTTCCAAGTTATCAAAAGATTCCATTTAGACAGTGAAAAGGCAAACCAGACTGGGAGAAAATATTTGTAACATATGTATTTGGCAAAGGACTCATATGCAGGATATAAAAGAACTTTTACAAGAAAAACCAACCAACCAAAAAACAACCCAACTCAAAAATGGGCAAAAGATTTGAAAAGGCACTTCACAAAAGGATATATCCCAGTGCCATTAAGTATATGAAATAGTACTCAACATCATTACTCACCGGGAAATATAAATTAAAACCACAAGGACCACCTCACATCCATCAGGATGGCTACTATCAAAGAAACAGAAAATAAAAAGTGTTGTTGAGGATGTGGAGAAACTGAAACCCTTATACACTGCTGGCTGGAATGTAAAATGGCTTGTGCCTGTATTCCCAGCTACTCAGAAGACTGAGGCAGAAGAATCACTTGAGGCTAGGCATTTGAGATCAGCCTGCGCAATACAGCAAGAAAAAAAAATTAATTGCCTAGGCATGGTGTCACATGCCTGTAGTCCCAGCTACTTGGGAGGCTGAGGAAGGAGGATCACTTGAGGCCAGGAGTTTGAGGCTACAGTGAGCTATGATCATACCACTACACGCCAGCCTGGGCAACAGAGTGGAACCCTATCTTTATTTATTTATTTATTTTTTGAGAGACGGAGTCTGGCCCTGTCACCTAGGCTGGAGTGCAGTGGCAGGATCTTGGCTCACTGCAACCTCCGCCTCCTGGGTTCAAGTGATTTTCCTGCCTCAGCCTCTCTAGTAGCTGGGATTACAGGCACCCACCACCACACCTGACTAATTTTTCTATTCTTAGTAAAGATGGGGTTTCACCATGTTGGTCAGGCTGGTCTCGAACTCCTGACCTCAGGTGATCCGCCCTCCTAGGCCTCCCAAAATGCTGGGATTACAGGTGTGAGCCACGTGCCCGGCTGACCCTATCTTTAGAAGCTTTTTAAATAAAAATAAAAATAGAATTACCATATGATCCAGCAATTCCACTTCTGGGTATATGCCCAAAAGAACTGAAAGCAAGGACTTGAAGAGGTTATCTGTACAATAATGGTTCAGAGCAGCATTATTCACAAATAGCCAAAAGGTGAAGACCCAAGTGTCCATTGACAAATGAATGGATTAACAAAATGTGGCATATACATACAATAGAATATTATTTCTCCTTGAAACTGCTAAATTCTAATACATGCTATAACATGGCTAAAACTTGAGGACATTATCTAAGTTAAATAAGCCAGTCACAAAAGGCAAACGCTACATGATCTAGCTTATATGAGGTGTATAGTCAAATCCACGGACACAGAAGGTAGAATGGTGGTTGCCAGTAGCTAAGGAAGTGGGACTTGGGTAATTACTGTTTAATGGGTACAGTTTCAGTTTTGCAAAATGAAGAGTTCTGGAGATGAGTGGTGGTGAAGGTTAGATAACAAGTTGAATGTACTTAATGCTACTAACCGTACACTCAAAAACAGTTGGCCGGGTGCAGTGGCTCACGCCTGTAATCCCAGCACTTTGGTGGGCTGAGGCAGGTGGATCACCTGAGGTCAGGAGTTCAGCATCAGCCTGGCCAACATAGTGAGACCTCATCTCTACTAAAAATACAAAAAATTAGCCAGGCATGGTGGTGCCCGTCTGTAATTTCAGCTACTTAGGTGGCTGAGGTAGGAGAATTGCTTGAACCCAGGAGGCAGAGGCTGTAGTGAGCCAAGATCGCACCACCACACTGCAGCACTCTGTCTCAAAAAAAAAAAAAGGTTAAGATGGTAAATTCTAAATATACATATTTTCCCACAATTACAATAAAATACGTTTTTAAAAACCCACAAAGATACCACTGTACACCCAGCAAAGTAGCTAAAATTTAAAAGACAGATAACACCAAGTGTTCATTAAAATGTAGAGCCACTAACTGGGTAACACTCATACACTACTGGGGAAATTTAAGTTGGTACAACCCCTTTGGGAAACTGTTTGGCAATATCTACTAAAGCTAAATATGTGCCTACCTATGACCCTACAATTCCTCTCCTGAGCATATGTTCAGAGACATGATTGGGCATGTGCACCAAAAGACATAAGCAAGAATGTTCATGGCTGCTTTATTCGTATTAGCCCCAAACTGAAAACAATCCAAAGAGCCAACAGGAAAATGGAGAAACAAACTGTGATATATGCATACAATGGAATGATTCTCAGCAAGAGATTAGAACTACTGATATGCACAACCTTGTGGATGAATCTCATAGACTTTATGTTATGCCTATGAAATTCTAGTGCCTGTCTATATGTGTGAATGAAAGACACACACAAGAGTTCCCACTATATGACACTATTTATACGGAACTTACAAGACAAAACTAGTGGATGGAGTTTTTTAAAAATCACAATGTGGTTACCTTCATGTTGGAGGTACGATGAATTCTGAACAGAAGGGGCAAGAGGAAATCCTCTGGAGTGCTGGAAATCTACATCTTGACTCAGGTGATGGTCACATGGTATACACGCATGCAAAGTTTCACTGAGGAGTACACTTTATTTATTTATTTATTTATTTATTTATTTATCTTTTTGGAGACAGGGTCTCATTCTGTCACCCAGGTTGGAGTGCAGCGGCACGATCTCGGCTCACTGCAACCTCAGCCTCCTGGGTTCAAGTGATTCTCCTTGAGCAGTACACTTTAGACCAGTACCTTTTACACACTTTATTATGTATGTTATATGTCAAAAGTCAAATATCTCTAAAGCACCTAATGGCTCTACAACAAATATACTATAATTCAAAAAAGGAATAAAATATCAACCTTGTTCTTTTTCTTTTTGACTGAGGAGACTCCATTCCTGTTAGATATTTTGAGGGATAATTAGTTACATCCCAATTTCCTGAGTCAGATAATGAATCTAAGTCTCATGCAGTGCAAACTTACATGTTCCTAAATGTTCAAGAGCTTTCCTGAAGCCACTCCTTATCCATGGAGTCTTTAAAGTGAGAACCCTTCAGTATTTAGTGCAATCTACACTTTCTGAGTCTGAGCTCCCTGTTTGCTTTCTACTGGTAAGTGTTCAATTTCTTTTTTTTCTTTTTTTTTTTTTTCTTAAGAAGGGATCTCACTGTCACACCCAGGCTGGAGTGCAGTGGCATGATCGTGGCTCATCACAGCCTTGACCTGCCAGGCTCAAGGGAGGCTCCCACCTCAGCCTCCCGACTGTGTGGGACTACAGGTACACATAGCTACAGGTGCACATCACCACGCCTGGCTACTTTTTGTAATTTTTTGTAGAGACAGGGTGTTGCCATGTTGTCTAGGCTGGTCTTGAACTCCTGAGCTCAAGCAATCCTCCCATCTCGGTCTCTCAAAGTGCTGGGATTCCAGGCTTGAGCCATCGCACCCAGCTTCCATTTATTTTTTAAGCTTCAATAACAGCATCCAAGTTTATTTAACACCTTCATTAGCAGGGACGAAACAAATCCCTCCTCAGCTGTAAGGCAGAATGTCGAGGTAACACCACAACCAGCACTGTGATAATTGTGCACCCCATCCCACCCGTTGCATCTGCACAAAGAGAAAGCTTCATTCTCTTGAGCGGCCATTTTGATGCCTGACCCTTAACACGGCCAGCACAATAACTTTAGCATCCGTGTGAAAGTACCAATAGCGGTGGTAGGCGCTGGCTCATGCCTGTAATCCCAGCGCTTTGGGAGACCGAGGCGGGAGGATCACCCGAGGTCAGGAGTTGGAGACCAGCCTTACCAACATGGTGAAACCCCATCTCTACTAAAAATACAAAAATTAGCCGGGCCTGGTGGTGGGTGCCTGTAATCTCAGCCACTCAGGAGGCTGGGGCAGGGGAATCGCTTGAACCCGAGGTGAAGGTTGCAGTGAGTCGAGATCATGCCACTACACTACAGCCTGGGCGACAGAGACTCCTTCTCAAAAAACAACAACAACAACAACAACAACAACAAAAAAACATACCAATAGCTATGGCCTACCATTCCCAGGAAAGAAAGTAAAAGCCCACAAAGGTAAATATTTTCTTCCCTTTGGCGTCTTCTGCCCTTCATTATAAAGAGTTGCTCAGTTGTTGAAAAAGGATCTTAATATGCAAAACTTTACATTTTAGTGAGAATCAAAGGCAAATTCTTTTGAACTGTGTCACAACGAATAACATTACAAACATGTCTCTCATCAGCACATAACTCGTCCTTATTTTAGTCAAGCAGGCAAATTAGTGGGCCTGTAAAAACAGCAAGGTAGTAGGAGAAAAATCATCAGAAGGTTAATAGCAGAAGGGCTTGGTTTAAAAGAAGCCTCCTAATGCATCTGTATTCTGATCGGTGTTACGTCAATTCAACAGTGAGATGCAGTTTTATTAAAAGCTGATACTTGGCTGGGTGCAGTGGCTCATGCCTGTAGTCCTAACACTGTGGGAGGCCAGGGCAGGCAGATCGCTTGAGCCCAGGAGTTAAAGACCAGCCTGGACAATATGGCAAAACCCTGTCTCTACAAAAAATACAAAAACAACCCCGGCGTGTTGTGGGAGGTTGTAGTGAGATGGAGATGTAGGAGATGTAGGATGTAGGAGATGGAGGTTGTAGTGAGCTGAGATCCTGCCACTGCCCTCCACCTGGGTAACAAAGCCAAACCCTGTCACCAAAAAAAAAAAAAAAAAAAAAAAAAAATTTTTTTTTTTTTTTGAGACGAAGTCTCACTCTGTTACCCAGGCTGGAGTGCAGTGGCGCGATCTTGGCTCACTCCAAGCTCCACCTCCCGGGTTCACGCCATTCTCCTGCCTCAGCCTCCCGAGTAGCTGGGACTACAGGCGCCCGCCACCACGCCCGGCTAATTTTTTGTATTTTTAGTAGAGACGGGGTTTCACCGTGTTAGCCAGGATGGTCTCGATCTCCTGACCTCGTGATCCGCCCGCCTCGGCCTCCCAAAGTGCTGGGATTACAGGCGTGAGCCACCACACCCAGCCAAAAAATAAAAAAAATTTTTAAGCTGATATTGTTATTGGTTCATGCAGGTGACTCTGTTAACATTATCTCAAATGAAATTATTCAGAACAATTGGCAGTTTTATGTAGTTTCAGGAAAAGTGTTTTGAAAAGCAGATATCAAACAACTGGTTAAATGCAAAGCCACATGGTCACAATGGAAAAACAACTCTTTTAGAACAGTAAAAAGTCATGTAATATAATGACATGCAGAATTTTTATTTAAATACATTGTCAGAAATAGATTAGACCCTGCTTCTCCTCGGAGGTTACCTCAAAATACATTTCACTTCATAGAAATTTATATAAGTGTCAAAATATTGAACATAAGAGCAAATGGGTTAGTACTACTGGAATGCAATAATTATAAAGCTAGATAGGTGGATTAATTGTCCTACATACCTGTGGTTTTTCAGATTCCTGTGCTTGCTTACTCATGTACATTTGACTCTTTCAGAAACCACTTCTGGAAGCTCCCGGTCTGGCTTCTACACTGCCACCTGTAGACATAAAAGAGAAATAAATCATGTATTATTCGTCAACAATGCATCTTTTCTAGGCATCTAACGGGGACATCTGGGGAAAAAGTGGCAAAACATTTGCTCCAAAAGACAAAAATGTTCTTTCTCCTCTGTGTTGAAAATTCCTAAGGCGTCCTTCTCCCCAATGGTATGATAAATTATTTGATTAGAAATTGAAACATATGTAAGTCTCAGATCATCAACTATACACCACTCTGAGCCGATCATTAAAGAGATGGAGTCGCAGAACTCAACTTACAGCCATTTCAAGACCTGTCGTTTAAAATTAAAAGAAAACTTCACCGCTTTGTTCATCTGTAATTCAGAATTCTGTAAATTGACACAAAGAAAGATCAGGGGCGATTCAGGCTAAGGTTACTTTACCACAAGGTTGTAAGATGTCTATTTAAAATAACAGTAATTCTAACCTGAACTACAGTTTTGTCCAATCCAAACAGCAGTTTGGTGGGGTATTTTCATCAAAATGCCCTATCCTTGATTTGAATATGAATGACTGCGGAAGGGTCTTTCTGAAACCCCACGGATTTTAATACAGGTAGGTCCTTTTTCCAAAAAAAAAAAAAAAAAAAAGTCAGGAAATGAACAAACAGGAATAAAAATTCATGAACAACTATCGGCAAATCCAAGCAGCCATGAGACGTGCGAGTGTGTGTGTGTGTGTGTGTGTGTGTGTGTGTGTGTGTGAGAGAGAGAGAGAGAGAGAGACAGAGACAGAGAGAGAGAGAGAGAGAAAGAGACAGAGAGAGACCGACCGACAGACACACACTGAGATTTCTGGAGTTAATTGCGAATAACCGCGCCGCGAAGCTTTTTTACCTCCTCCAAGTCCCACAGTCTACCTAGGACAAGTAAGCCCGGCTCCAGCACCTTAAGCCAAAGACACAAGCACCACCACCTCCACCCCCACTACCTAGGCGAGACAGCGCCAAAAGCCACCGAGCGTGCACGCCAGCCAGGCCCGCTACCCCGCAAACCCGGGAGCTTCTTTATCCCCAGCAGAGATCCGCCCCACTTACCAGTAATTTACTTTAACGCCTCGAAAGCATGATTTGGTTTACGGAATTGCAGCAAATAAAAGAAAATCAAGTCTCCTTGAGACACTGTCCTCCTCCTCCCTAGGACGCACATTCACACGGAACACTCTCCTTTCGCTCTCAACCCCGAACACGCTCTGGACTATCCCAAGAGGGTCTTTGGGGACCCGCCAGAGATCGATACTGCTCCCACGTGCCTCCATTAAACCCTTGTCCAAACATGCACAAGGCGCCAAGGGCATGTGCAGAATCAGCCCTCAGAGTAAGTTCAGCAAACCCATTCCCTACCCCCGAAAGCGCGAGGGAGCACCCTGACGCAAGCGCCGGCCCCGGCAGACAATACTCAAGCAACTCCAGCCTTCCGCGCACACGCCCCGACCGGTCCAGCCACCACTCTCTCCTCCCATGGTCCCTACAGTCTTCGGGCCGGGAGCAGGGGGCGTCCTGATGGTTGCTGGGTGTGGACTGTGAAGAGAAGGGCAACCTGCACACGCCACCGATACTGCGGGGCGGGTAGGAGATCGCAGTTTTCCAAAGCCCCACCGGTGTGCCCAGCTCCTCAGAAGGGGTGGGGTGGGGACAGTGGAACCGAGGGAGTGAACCCTAAGGGAGGCAGCTTTTCTGCACCTCTTTCCCACCTACCACAGCGCGCGCGCAGAAGCGCGCCCACCACGGGGCCGTGCACCTTCCTTCTGCCCCTGGACCTACCCAGCCCTCGCCCCCAAGCGCAGTGGCCTGGAAGAGCGGGCGTCCGGCCCGCGGTGGCCGGGGGAGCGGGCAGAGCGCCGCGCTCGGGGGTGCCCACCTGCGCGCAGGGTCGTCGCTGCTGCCGGTGCACCCGCCGCTGTTGCAGTCTCCAGCTGCAGGAGGAAGAGGCGCGGCGGCTGAGCCCCCGGACTCCACGCGCCTACTCGCGCCCCGGAGCGGTGGTCCTCATTTCCCTTCGTCCCGGCTGGCGAGCCACCCACCTCGCCCGCAGGTTCTGCCAGTCCCGCGGCCCGCCAGAGCCCAAGCTATCCTCTCCGCCCCTTTCCCGCCGCCCCGCGCTGCGCTGCGCTCCGCCCCCTGCCCGCCCATCCCCGCCGGGGCCCAGCCGGGGGCTGCGGGCGCCGCGCCTCGTGCCGCAGATTTCGGGTTCTTGGGTCTGTGGCGGTAGAAAGGGGATGGGGGGGACCAGGGGTGCGGCCCTGGGGTCCGCCCCCAACCCCGCTCTCCCAACCGGTTCCCCACTCCTGGGGCCCGCGGCGGCCGCCCGCGGCTAAGGGTGTGGGAACCGTGCACTCTGCCCCCGCTCTTCCGGCGTCTCCCCGCATGGCACCTTCCGTGGCCCAGAGGGTGCCTCGTGTCTTAGGGGGAGGGGGGTTGGTGAAGCAAGGTGGAGTGAGCCTGAGAGTGGAAGCGAAGAAATTACCATGTGAATTGCCAGGGGATGCAAGTTGCTGCCTGTGCCCTGTTTCTTCTACATTAACTACCTGGATGTGCTGCTTCCCTTGCTACAACCGCAGTAATATTCAGAAGCTTGAATATAAGATTTCCAAGTTAATTGGCTGTAGGGTGGTTGGGTTTTTTTTTTTTTAATGTAATGATGGCAGAAGACAACAGATTCACTCTTTTTAAAAAGTTACTTTACATATATGTACAATATATAAAGCCATATTTCTAATTTAAAAAATAGCAAAATGTAAATAACAGAACAGCTGTGTTTTACAGAAACAAATCCAGTGTGTATGTGTTATTTAAACCCACGGTAATTATATTAATTGGTTCGTTTTAAAGTGTATTTTAGGTATTTCTTAAAACGGACTCAGAATTTAGGGATTAGGAACCCCTGAGTTTTAATTTGGCTTTTTGTCATAGTTCTAAAATGTCAATTTCATGGAAATTACTAAATGAGGTTGTTTAGAAAAATGGGTTCTTTTTCTTCCAGGTTGGCAGCATTTTCAGATCTGGCAAAGGACAGAATTTTTTTTAAAGCCAAGAGATAATAAAATTCTCATTCATTTTCTGATGAGGGAATATCTGGTCTGGTAGCTTTTTCTTTGTTTCTCTCTTTGAGGCAAACTTCTTTTCTGTTTCTTCTTACACGTTTTTCTTCCAAAATTTCTCCTAAGTATAGGCAAAGTTATGGAAGCCGTGATTTTTGAGCCTTTGTTTTCTTAAAAGAGATGGAAAATTAATTATAATTCATTATCAATATCTATCCCAGGCTCATGATACTACATTTCACATTGATTAACCCTGTTTTTCAACTCTGCTTTTAGTAATTTCACCTAACACTTGAGAACCAAGAGTTTTTTAAGTTTCATCCTTATAAGAATGAAAGGCACACTTTAATTAACATTTTGAACCAAAATTAAATTCATTAAATTCACTAATGGAAAGTACGTTAGTACAGTATGTGTTGCTGGGTAAATGAGGACAATGTGGATGATAAACAGTTCTGAAGAAAAGACTCTGAAGCAAAGAAAACAATCCTTAGAAAAACTGATGATCCCCTTTTCAAGGAAAGGATGACAAATGCCAGTAATTATGCAAAGAATGACTCCTGCCTCTCTTTGCTTTGGTTTTGTGGCTAGGCCTGCATTTATCTCTCTTGATCATCATAATAAAAGTAAAGTAATTCAGCATTCCGGTGACACTGCTTAGTAAATTAGCAATTTGAAAATGCTTTTATTACCTAATTAATCCAAGCAAATGCCTTCGATAAATCCAGTTTTACTCTTAACATTTTTTGTGCCTCCAGAGAAACACTTGCATGAAATAAAAACAGCTAAGGCAAGCTCTAAAACAATTGCTAGCCAGATTCCTTGGGTGTGTGAGTGCAGCAATAGAGTTGATATTAAGTGACCTTTGGGTCTTAAATTATATATCAGATATTGGTTCTGAGTTGCTCACTGGCATCTTCTTGAGTGAGTTTCTGTGTGTTTGCTTTGCCGTTTATTCCCCAGAAGCATGCTTCATTTCTTCCTTTCTGCCTTACTGAATCTACCTTAGTCTAAATTATGTTCATTGAACTCTCACCAAAAAATCAGACCCTAATCCATAGCCCACTTGACAATCATCTTTGTCCTTCAAGTTTAGTCTCTTTTGAGGTCTTTGGTAAGAATCCAGCATGATTAAACATCCAAAATTGGAAAGAGTACTTCATTAGGCATGGTTCTAACTAAGAGATAACAACCAGATTTCTCAAAACAAAAGGGTGTGCCATTTGAATAAAAAGAAGAAAGAAATAAAAACAGCAAATCCATTTTGTTCAGGTCAAAACTAAGCCAACAAAATCACAATTGAAATCCTTTCTAAGCCTGAATTGTGCTACGAGATATGTAAAAAGTACAATTAAAATACACTACAAATCCTTTGCTCCACTGACCAAACACCATTATGCTTCACATTTCCCTTTTAGTTCCCGTGCTATTGAGTTTTTTTCACTGATCTTTAAATAAGAAAGTGCTCTGGACACTCCCATTATCCCCAAGGAATTCTGTGTCACCCTCCATTTGGTTTCAAAAGTTCTCTTGAAATGTCTGTGACATTGATGAGGACAGATCTGAACATCCCATGTAGACCTGTGGAAAGGGAGCTCCATGACTAGTCTACATTCAAGACAGTGGGATTAAAACAAAACATGAGTTTTGTTCTAGCAGTTTAATCCAATTGGCATCTCCCATTCTGATGCTCACTGCAGCGAAAGGTTTTATAATGTGTGTTTTTCCCTCTTGAGAAATTTTCTCTTGATAATTATTTTAATAATTTTTTGTTCGTTTACTCTTTGAGTTGTGAGCCTGAACATAATGCACAGTCTTCTCTCTTTTCTTTCCTGTGATAACTGATAATTGATTTAAGGGGAAAAGGGACACAATGAGACAACACTTTTGCCAGTTTTTTCTTCTGGCTCTAAGAAAAGCATGAATTAGCTTTCTTTACTTTGGTTGATTGGATTGAGTGGCATCATTGATTCAAATTTGCAGAATGTCAGTTGCTTTAATTGATCTCCTCGTGTTAGGGAAATACATCACTAGTTATCTCACAAGACAATGAAGATAGAGACAATACTACCCATATAATGCTCAGATTGAAATGTTGATGATCTAAGTTACTTAAAAATATGTGTGTGTATATGTGGGTGTGTATATGTATAATTCAAAGCTAAATATAAACCTGATTACTTGTAATAGATTCTTCAGTTACAAAACCTTTGGTAAGCTCTCTCATGTTTTTGGAGTATGTGATAAACTGAAGAATACCTCACTACCTTACTCACAGGAAAGTACTTTTTTTCTGATCCAGATCTCCACATAAATTCCCAACATCAACTATTTAACCGTATCATCTCATGGTTAAAAAAAGAAAAAAGAAGAAGATGATGATGAAAGAAAAGAAGAAAGAATGAAAGAAAAAGCAGGAAAGAAGAGAGAGAGAGAGAAAGAGGGGGAGGAGGGGGAGGAAGAAAAAGATAAAGAGGAACAGAGTAAAGACTGTGGCCAAGCACAGTAGCTCACAGCTGTACTTCCAGCACTTTGGGAGGCCGAGGGGGGTGGATCACTTGAGCTCAGGAGTTCGAGATCAGCCTGGGCAACATGGCGAAACCCCATATCTACAAAAAAATACAAAAAGCCAGGCGAGGCTGAGGCAGGAGAATCGCATAAACCCGGGAGGCGGAGTTTTCAGTGAGCGGAGACTGAGCCACCGCACTCCAGCCTGGGTGGTAGAGTGAGATTCTGTCTCAAAAAACAAAGAGTAAAGACAGTATGGTAGGGTGAATACGTGTATGACAGGTTAGCACAACTGATAAGCACATCGGGTTAGTAAGATAATGGTTTTCTCTCCCCGTGGACCATTTTGCTTTGTTTTGCTTCATGGCTATCAATCAAAGCCCTATTCCTAGACATGAACAAATGTAGTCCTAGTCACCAGATACGGTGGCTGGAATTGTGTCCCCCAAAAAGATATGTCGAAGTTGTACACCTGTGACCTGTGAAAGTGACCTTATTTGGAAAGAGGGTCACTGCAGATATAATTACGATGTAAATTAAGATTAGGTCATACTGGAATAGAGTGAGCCCTTAATCCAATATGACTGGTATCCTTACAAGAAAATGACACACACACACACACACACACACACACACACACAGAGGGAAATGGTCATTTAAAAATGAAGGCAGAGATTGGAATTATGCTGCTACAAGCAAGGAACAGCTGAGAGTACCAGAAGCTGGAAGAGACAAGAAAGTGTCCTCCCCTAGAGGAACTGGAGGGGGCATGGACCTGCCAACACTTCGATTTTGGACTTCTGGCCTCCAAAACTGGAAAACAATAAATATCAGTTGTCTTCAACCATCCAGTTTGTGGGACTTTGTAGCCCTAGAAACCAATACACCAGGAATTCATCACGAACTTTTAGTGATGCCAGCCCATCATTTTCTGTACCCAACCCAGAGTAAATGTTCAAGTGTAAAGTGTTTAAGAATGATAAGCAGGGCCGGGTGTGGTGGCTCATGCTTGTAATCCCAGCACTTTGGGATGCCGAGGCAGGTGGATCACTTGAGGTCAGGAGTTCGAGACCAGCCTGGCCAACATGGTGAAGCCCCATCTCTACTAAAAATACAAAATTGGCTGGGTGTGGTGGCGTGCACCTGTAATCCCAGTTACTCGCAAGGCTGAGGCAGGAGAATCACTTGAATCTGGAAGGAGGAGGTTGCAGTGAGCCAAGATCATGCCACTGCACTCCAGCCTGGGCAACAGGGTGAGACTCAATCTCAAAAAAATAAAATGATAGGCAGAGACATTTTTCTACATGAAGGACAACAGCAGGGTAGAATCATCCAGGAATTAGAAAGAATCTTGAGAATTCACCTAATCCAATAAATGGCTCCTCCAAAATATGACTCTGCTACAATTTAGAATCATAGAGTAACAGAATCTTTTTTTTTTTTTTTTTTTTTTGAGACAGAGTCTTGCTCTGTCACCCAGGCTGGAGTGCAGTGGCACCATCTTGGCTCACTGCAACCTTCTCCTCCAAGGTTCAAGTGATTCTCCTGCCTCAGCCTCACGAGTCGCTGGAATTACAGGCATCCACCACCATGCCCTGCTAATTTTTGTATTTTTAGGAGAGACGGGGGTTTCACCATGTTAGCCAGACTGGTCTCGAACTCCTGACCTCAAGTGATCCACCGGCTTCAGCCTCCCAAAGTGCTGAGATTTACAGGCATAAGACATCATGCTCGGCTGAGTAACAGAATCTTAACATGTTAAAAGAATCTTGGAGATTTTTCTCTTTTTTTGAGATTATGTGATACCTAGGTGGTATGACTTTTAAAAATGCAGGATGGGGTCCTCTGCACATATTGTGCCCCTCAATACTCAATCATGCTCCATTGATTCAATTTCACCTCTAGTTCTTGGCTTGTAATAGCTTCCTCCCTTTAAGCCTTGAAAGCTTTTGGTCTTCAATAGTCCCAAATTAAAATATAAATGAGTCTGGAAGATTTCCCAGCCTGAACTCAAACCAGTTCTCAACTTGACTGCTTATCAGTACATGGTTGTATTCCCCTATTGTCTAGTACAGTGGTCCCCAACGTTTTTGGCACCAGGGACGGGTTTTGTGGAAGACAATTTTTCTGCGGACTGGGGGATAGTGGTGGGGGAATGATTTTGCAATGAAGCTGTTCCACCTCAGATCATCAGGCATTAGTTAGATTATCATAAGGGGTGCACAACCTGGATCCCTCCCATGCACAGTTCACAACAGGGTTCATGCTCCTATGGGAATCTAATGCAACTGCTGATCTGACATGAGGCGGAGCTCAGGCGGTAATGCTCGCTTGCCCAAAGCTCACCTCCTGCTGTGCGGCCTTCAAGGACTGGTACCAGTCCTCAGCCAGGGGTTGGGGACCCCCTGGTTTAGAAGAACGCTGAGCTCATAGAGTATCCTCCATAAATATCTGCCAAGTTAACAGAGAAGCAGAGTTTAGCATGAACTCAGAGAAGTAGAGGTTAGCATGAATTAGATGCAGGATTGGGTATGATAGTGTCTCAGTCCATTCACCCTGCTATCACAAAATACCTGAAACTGGGTAATGTGTAAAAACAGAAATTTATTTCTAACAGTTTTGGAGGCTGGGAAGTCCAAGATCAAGGTGCTGGCAGATTTGGTGCCTGGTGAGGGCCTTTCCTTATACAGGGCATTCTTGCTGTGTCCTCACATGGCAGAAGGCAGAAGGGCAAAAGGACCTCGCTAGTTCCCTCTAGCCCTTTTACTGTAAGTGCCAATCCATCCATGAGAGCAGAGCCCTCATGGCCTGATCACCTGTTAATACTGTTGCATTGAAGATTAAGTTTCAACATGAATTTTGAAAGGCACAAACATTCAAACCATAGCATGTGGGTAGAGGAGAAACGAAGAAGAGGAAGAAAAGGAGAGCCCGAGACACATTTACTCTCAGAGCTTTATATAGAAGTCTACATAAAGTCCCACCTGACTCTGATTGTAATATGGACTGTAACATAGGAGTAAAAAGTCATCTGGGAGCTTTATTCACTTTACTCCTCCCCGTCTAGTCATCAATTATGGTCATAAGGGGTGGTGCAGGAGGGGCAAGAAGGAGCTTTCATCCTCTCTAAAAACCTCCACCAACTCTCTCACTCCCTCTCCAGCCATCCACCTAGAATACACAAGCTGAATAAATATAATGCGTTTGGTATACAAATGCAACTTTGAGCAAGTTGTAACCAGCATGACTCTCCATCCCAGCTTCTACTTCCAAATTCTAATCAGAGGCAACCCCTATGCCCTTCCTTAATACACATGCTGGAGCTGCCACTGCTAGTGGGAACTCATTTTCAAATGTATGCCTGGGACAGACCCCAGCGTAAACCCACCAACATCAGAAATCCGCCCCCTGTGTTTATTATCCATAAAAGAGAAGCAAATACTTTTGAGAGAAGACTGCATCACTTGAAGATGAATAGAGTGGTTCTTCAGTCAGAAGTGCTAGGAGAAATAAATAGGAAAGTGTCAATTCTCTGAAGAAAGGAGAGCTGGAGTACTTCTCCATATGTCTATTGTTAGATCTTGATATCTAGACTCTAAAAACTTTTGAAAATGTTTGAAACAGGAGCTTCACTGGATTTATTCTCTCATGAATACGTGCAGAAGTATTCCAGCTATAGCCAACAAATTGAATCATGGTGTTACAATAGAATGAAAATAAAGTTTACATTCAATTTTTTTTAACGGGCCTGTTGCTGAGTGTGGTGGCTCACACCTGTAATCCCAGCACTTTGGGAGGCTGAGGCGGGCGGATCACTCGAGGTCAGGAGTTCAAGACCGGCCTGGGCAACATGATGAAACCCCATCTCTACTGAAAATACAAAAATTAGCCAGACATGGTGTTGCACGTCTGCAATCTCAGCTACTCGGGAGGCTGAGGCAGGAGAATAGCTTGAACCCAGGAGGCAGAGGTTGCAGTGAGCCTAGATCGTGCCCCTGCACTCCAACCTGGGCGATAGAGTGAGACTGCACCTCAGTAAATAAATAAATAGTAAATAATAAATGGGCCCATGAAGGGAAGTCAACAATTTAAAATGTAAGTGGTCTACTCATGGTATTTTTGTTATGATATCCTCAGTAAAGGATCACTCTTCTTTGTAATGCACATGAAGTCCATCAACCACTAAACCTACTCCATGGTATAAATAGGGCATCTGACTCCGTCTCTGGAGATGCTACCTAGCAGTTGAGTCACAGGGCACCAAACTTTCTCTGGCCCTCTGAGGTAGTGGTAGCCAATCCCAGCCAAAAATGAGAAAAAAACTTCCCCAGAATCCAAGGCCAGAGTCATTATTTAGATATTGCCTGAACTGCAGCTCCCAACCCCCACCAACCTCCAAGCTCCAACAGCTCCATTTACTGCTTTATATTTCTCTGAAGCATCTTCTCCTATCAAACATTCTTTGTATCTTTTTCATTTTTATTATCCACCTCTCCCCACTAGAATATACATTTCCTGAGAGCAGGGATTTTTGGCTATTTTGCTTAGGCTATGGCCTCAGCACCTAGGATAGCGTCTGCAATGTTGTAGGTGGTCGATAAATATTTGTTGAATGATTGATGCACACATTATAATTTCACATATTACACGAATAGGACTGAAAAAAGTTCTAAGTATTTGCCTATTTATTGGTAGGAAGGCCAGGCATGGTGACTCATGCCTGTAATCCCAGCACATTGGGAGGCCGAGGTGGGAGCATGGCTTGAGGCCAGGAGTTTGAGACCAGCCTGGGAAACATGGCAAGACTTCGTCTCTACAAAAAAAGAAAGAAAGAACAATCTTGATAGGAAAGTCAATTCATATTTTGACTGATTTTATATTATTGAAGCAAAGAATTGTTACTAATGAGAGATAGTGTACAATGTAGCCAAAAAGATTCATGATGAGCATTTTGTGTGCTTTTTGTCATTGTCTCAATTTTTATTTGTGAATATATTAACAGATCCACCTGACAATTTCTGAATCATAGGACTTGTCTACTCAAGACCTTCCTTTTGCATAATTTGAGCTCTTCCCCTTGTTTTTGTGTAATAACTCAAGTGTTCCAATGACACAGATGAGGATGGGAGTCTTTGACTCAAAGAAATCCAGATTCAGCCAAGGCTATCTCCAGAGAGAGAGAACAATAAGAAAAGTCATCTTGGACTTTTCTATCTACTTTTCTCTCTAGCCTCTGTCCTGCAAGTCTCATTCACTCCTTTTAGTTTCTAGGGGTCAGAGACTTCTACTAGTAGATGGCTCACTTTGGTTCCAGACAAATGGCTCATTGCCTTGGCGTCTCACAGTTTCAAGTCCTCACTGGACACCCAGCTGAAAGGAAAACCTAAAGGTGGCTTCCCCTTTCTCACCTATGAGGGGCACACAAAGTAAATCAACCCCTTAGCCTGTTTATTTGAAGAACAGTGGACCAGGAAAGAGGCAGTGCCCATCCCTGTTTCTCTAACCCAGGGTCCCAGGGCTGGATGTTGCAGTTGTGGTGGCAGACACTTCTCTCAGCAAGGCTCACACTGCTTGTCTCCATTGAGACAGGGCAAGTGGGTGGGGTCAGAAGATCTTCTGGGAAGGCGGAGCCCAGCAGCTCTGGCAGGGTAACAGCTAGTCTTTTTAGAGGCTCCAGGTTCACTCATCAGCAGGAGGGTGTCTGCTGTTTACTGGCAAGCTTATCCAAGGCTTCTTTATTAGTGCACTTAATTCAGTGCTTCTTAGATTGAAATCATCTGGGAAGATTTAAAAAGTGCACTAATGTCCAGATCCATGGCTTGCTACATAATTTGTGGGCCCAGGGAAAAATAAAAATATGGGGCTGCTTGTTTAAAAATTACTAAGAATTTAAAGATGGCAGAGCTTTAAACCCAACATAGGGCTCTTCTAAGTGCTGCCTGGTACAACTGCACAGGTTGCCTGCCTGTAAAGCCCATCTTGCCGAGACTCCGCCCCCAGAAAGTCAGATTTTATTGATCTTGAGTAAAGTTCAGACATTGGAATTATTCTAAAGCTCCCCAAATATTTCTTATGTGTAGTTAGGATTAAGAACCTTGATTCTAGCTCAGTGAATCATTAAATACAAAAGATTCTTACAATTACAATTGACACCTGCATACAAACTTATCTCTAATTCAATAACTCAAAATCCTCACTCTGAAACATTTTCAGCTTACCCAGGGTGAAATCATCATGACAACATTCTTTAGAAAAATTTTCAACCCATACATAAGTTATAAGCTGTAGTCATGAATCACCTTTTGATTCCCTTTTTCAAAAACAAAAAAAGTCATGAAAATGGCATATTTTCTCATATAGAAAATTAATATAATTTGAGGTGTTATTACTCATCGTCATTCACATTAAATTTGAAATAAAGCTAAACAAGAATATTGCTAAATGGAAATTTATTACCACATCAATAGAATTCACAATGACACTTTAAAAATATTCAAAAGAATGTCAAACATCTTCCCCTGTGCTCTGCACTAAAGAATAAGAAGCAAATATGCACTATTCTGAGAATTTCATCTAGGAGAAAGAATCTCCGGGAAAGGTCCATGGATAGTCCTCCACCCCAAGCCAGTCCCACTACTGCAAGTCTCTCTAGAGAATCTTTGCACCGTCTCCCATCCTTTGGAATCCTGAGGTCTTCCTCAGAAGCACATCTTTAAAAGCGCGCTCCTGATGCTTTTACACTGTTGGTGGGAGTGTAAATTAGTTCGACCATTGTGGAAGACAGTGTGGTGATTTCTGAAAGACCTAGAAACAGAAATACCATTTGACCTAGCAATCCCATTACTGGGTATATACCCAAAGTAATAGAAATCATTCTATTATAAAGATACATGCATGCATATGTTCATTACAGCACTATTCACAATAGCAAAGACATGGAATCAACCCAAATGCCCATCAGTGATAGACTGGATAAAGAAAATGTGATACATATACACCGCGGAATACTATGCAGCCATACAAAGGAACGAGATCTGTCCTTTGCAGGGACATGGATGGAGCTGGAAGCCATTATCCTCAGCAAACTAATGCAGGAACAGAAAACCAAACACTGCATGTTTTCATCTATAAGTGGGAGCTGAACAATGAGAACACATGGACACATGGGGGGAACAACACACACTGAGGCCTGTCGGGGGTGGGGGCACAGGGGTAGGGAGAGCATCAGGAAGAACAGCTATTGGATGCTGGGCTTAATGCCTAGGTGATGGGTTGATCTATGCAGCAAAACACCATAGCACATGTTTACCTGTGTAACAAACCTGCACATCCTGCACATGTACCCTGGAGTTTAAAACAAAAGTTTGAGAAAAAAAAAAGTGTGCTCCTGCTGCCCTGGTTTATAAAAGCCATCACTGTACTTAAAAGAAAATCCAAAGCTGAAGCCCTCTCATCCTTCTCTACAGGCCCTGCATCCCTTGTTGAGACTCCATTTCTTCCCCGTTAAGGACTTGTGCTCTCAACACAGCTATGGAAACTACCAAGTACCACATCAGGGAAAATTTGTGACCTTTCTGCACTCACAACTGGCTCTACTTCTCTTGGATCTTTCATGAGAAAACCTGATAATTCTTCGTGGAGTGACTCTTCAGATACAGAAAGGGTGGTGACCCACCTTTCCGGATTACCCAGGATCGGCTAACTTTCAGCACTGAAAATGCAGCATCCTAGGATACCGCTTGTCACCTTAGAAGCAAAGTGTCATTCACAATCACTTCCAAAGCCTCCAGAACCTAAAAATATGCATAGGAGGAAAATTTTGCTTGTTTTCCCCTGGAATTTGGTTTAACTGTGTGTTAACCAATTGCAGATGTGCTTCTGAAAGGGCTCTGTAGCAGCTGCTGCTGGTGCTCTGGCCAGACCCCCTCCACTACTCTCCTTTATAGGTTCTGTGCACCCATCCCCCAACTTCTGCAGGCTTGTCTCCTAACTGCTCACACCTGCAGCTTTCTTCAGAGAACTACCCTTGGGCTACCGGACCCACTTCACTGGACCTGCTGAGAGCTGGCAGGCTTATGTCCCTCCCCATCTCTCCCTCCACCACCCCCAATTCTGATCCTGGGCAGCCCATAAGCAATAACTAACAGGTAAAGAAGTGTGAAAGCTCCTTCTCCCTTGCCACAAGGGAAACAAACTCTGAGGTGTAATTTATACTTCCAAACTAAGTGCGGGATCAGCCTAAGGCTGGGACATCACTTGTCTTGCTTGCCCCACTCCCTTACTGGTTTCTCCTGAAGGTGCTTTTTTCATAAAAAGCTTCTATCTAAATCCTCATCTCAGCCTCTGCTCTGGGGAACCTGACCCAAGACAGGCTTGATTCTTTATACATAAAAATATAACAAACACTAATAAGCAAGGTGGGTCTTTGCTTAGTTGTCTGCCGGAGGAAAGGAGAGCTCTGTCTTTACAAAGTCAAGGGATGATAAATGCATAATCAATCTTCATGCTACCAACAGAGAATATTCCTGAAAACCCCAAGTGAACTTGGGTAATTCTTTCACTCTCTCATTGCATTTACCTTCATTACAGCAATTCTTTTATGGTGTTACAGTATTTTGTGTGTCCAGTCTTGTCATCTTGGCAGATTATAAGCCACTAAAAGGTAGTAACAAAGCATTTTCTTCCTGAATCACAAGTCTTACACAAAATGGTGACTTATAGCGCAGAATGCATGCTTACATAATAGATAGAAACACCATTCAAAAATGTTTAGAACTTTTCCCCATTCTAGTAAATATCTATTAATATTTCATTGATGGCTGGATGCGGTGGCTCACACCTGTAATCCCAGCACTTTGGGAGGCCGAGGCGGGTGGATCACCTGAGGTCGGGAGTTCGAGACCAGCCTGACCAACAGGGAGAAACCCCATCTCTACTAAAAATATAAAACTAGCCAGGAGTGGTGGTGCATGCCTGTATTCCCAGCTACTTGGGAGGCTGAGGCAGGAGAATCACTTGAACCTGGAAGACGGAGGTTGCAGTGAGCCGAGATCACGCCATTGCACTCCAGCCTCGGCAACAAGAGTGAAACTCTGTCTCAGAATATATACATATATATATTTCATTGACTATCAACTGGGGTTCTGGCAACAGGAACCAGAAGGCACACCCAAATGGAATTCTGAAGACAATTCAATAAAGAGAATATTTGCAAAAGTGAAGGCAGGGAAATGAGAACCAGCAATGGATGGTGAAGCACCTTGGAACCTGTAAGTGGGAAGCTGCTGTTATCCTTAGGTTTGAAGGGGAAAGTAAGAGGGGGAAATCGTAGGAACCCAGTGACATCTATAGCTGTTGGAAAGAGCCACAACTCCTGCCAAGACAGGAGCCAGGACTCCAGCAGAACTCAATCACTGCCAATCTGCAACTTGGCAGGGTGGAATTCAGGACAAATAAATATTCTCGTCTCTCTCCTCCTACTTTCAGATCTCTTCCCGAGATTGGCCAAACCCAACTAAAAGCCAGGCAGCAAGGTAACCTGGGTGATACCATCTAAAGGAGTTCGAATCAGAGTAGAGAAGGCTAGAGAATGATCTGGAAGGGCAAATGGGGAGTAATCTGAATACTAAACAACACTCTAAATCCCACCCCATGTGATATGGTTTGGATGTTTGTCCCCTCCAAATCTCATGTTGAAATGTGATTCTCAGTTTTGGAGGTGAGGCCTGTTGGGAGGTGATCAGATCATGGGGGCGGACGTCTCACGAATGATTTAACAGCATCCCTTTTGTGATAAGTGAGTTCTCTCTCAGTCAGTTCATGTGAGATCTGGTCCTATAAAATAACATGGGACCTCCCCCTTCTCTCTCTCTTGCTCCCACTCTTGCCATGTGACATGCTGGCTGGCTCCCCATCACCTTCGACCATGATTGTAGGCTTCCTGAGGCCCTCACCAGAAGTAGATTGCCAGCACCATGCTTATACAGCCTGCAGAACCACGAGCGAATTAGACTTCTTTTTTTTGTAAGTTACCCAGCCTCAGGTATTCTTTTACAGCAATGCAAGAATGGACTCACATACCATGTTTGGCACTTGGCCACATGTAAAACAAACCATGGATGATAGCTCCTGTTTTAAGTCTTTATTTCTTAATACTCTCTGTTTACTATTTCCATTCATTTCTGTTTCTTCCTATCTCTCTTTCTTGGGTTCCTGGCTCTGTACTTCTCCCTGCTTCTTCCTCTGACATTCATGACACCCTTTGGATTTTTCTTAGGTTCCTGAATGTTAGCTTTCTAGTAGGTTCTTGGCTCTCTGTTAATGACTCTCATTTTTGATTCTCTCCAAGGAGAAACTTCTCACTCTTGCTTTAGGCTTGTGGAGTCCCACCAGTCATGACCAGTTTCCTGACCAATTGAAAATCCATTGTTCAAGGAAAAGTAACTTCTATAGCCACTAATAGACCAACATAAGATGGTGACTTTGACATGGAACATGTGCCTAAATTATAGAATTCTTAGCTTTGAGAGTCATTTATTAGAAAGAACTCAGCCTAAAAGTCATGTGTGCGTGTTCTGCTAGACACAAATTTGATCTATAAAACCCTTCTGTGCGGGCAGAAAATGAACACACTTTTTCCAAAAGGCAAATTAACGTGGAAGCACACTCTTTTTGTTTTCATTTTTTGTGTATATCTCCATTAGCAAGTGGAAATAGCTGTAGAACTATGAGTGGTGTAGACATTGTGATGTGAATTCTTAACTCGGAGTACTGGCATATAGAAAACAAAAATTTTCTGCAATTCACCTATCAGTTGTGATATGAAAAAAATGGGCCAGGCACGATGGCTCACGCCTGTCATCCCACCACTTTGGGAGGCCAAGGTGGGTGAATCACATGAAGCCAGGAGTTCAAGACCAGCCTGGCCAACATGGTGAAACCCTGTCTCTACTAAAAATACAAAAATTAGCCGGGCGTGGTGGCATATGTCTGTAATCCCAGCTACTCAGGAGGCTGAGGCACGAGAATCTCTTGATCCTGGGAGGCAGAGGTTGCAGTGAGCTGAGATGGCACCACTGCACTCCAGCCTGGGTGACAGAGCGAGACTCTGTCTCAGAAAAAAAAAAAAGAAAAGAAAGAAAAAAAGAAAAAAATAATTAGTAATGCAATCTAGCTCAGTGTGAGTTGAGACAGGAATTAGCCACCATGGTCACTCGTTGGAAAGAAGATGAAGATACAGACAAAATCAGAATAGGGTATTTACTTTAACCAGACCTGAACAAGGGTTTCAGTGAGGAGAAATTGAAGGTAGACATCAGAACTATAGCAGGTCCTTGAATAAGTTATTTTATTCAACATTGTTTCATTCAACATGATTTTATTATAACTTTGATGAGAAAAAATATCAATTCCTGGCCAGGGCCACCGGGCCACTGTCTGTGTGGAGTCTGCACGTTCTCCCCATGTGTGCAGGAGTTTTCCTCAGGTACTCTGGTTTACTCCCATATCCCAAAGCTGTGCATATTAGGTGAATGGGCGTGTCTACATGGTCCCAGTCTGCGTGAGTATGGGTGTGTGTATGAGTGGGCCCTGCAGTGGGATGGCATCCTGTCCAGGGTGGATTCCTGCCAGGCAACCTGAGCTGCTGGGATAGGCTGTGGCCACCTACCACTCTGAACTGGAATCAGGAGGTTGGAAGATGAATTAATGAGTGAATACAAATGATCGTAAAATAGAAATCTGTAAAGTCTACAATAATCATATACACATGCACAACAATAAACGCTGCAGGATGAAGGCACTCAGACAGCCCCTTGCTAGTTGTGATTGATTTTGAACTGCATGGTGGTATGAGGTGCTCCTTATTACGTTCACTTTGCAAACACTTATTCCTTGATTTAGCCCACCACCACCATGACTGCCATTGCTACTCATTTGCCAGAAACTGGGTAAATAATTTTCTTACTTATTTTTATTATGTTTCTTAAATGTATGTAGAGCTCACATTAATTTCAATGTTTAATAGTAGAAATGTTTTGGGGTCTTTATTTAGAAGTTTGGTGATGTTTTTGTCACCATACGAACTTAATTCCTAATTAGATCAATTAACAAACCTACAGGAAAATTGGTTCCTCACAACTCTTTTTGCTTAAAGTTGCCATTTCCAAGAGCCTATTGACAACATTGAGGGCTACTATATGTAATTAGCTGACTTATTTATATCTCATCTTCTTTTATAAACACATTATTGGGAAAAATAATTTTCTATGCAGCAAGTTTTATTATCTGTGATGAAAAAGTGCAAAAAGTCTTACTTCAGAAAGAAGTTAGTGCAGATTAATGCCAGTTGTCTATAAATCTCTTTTATTCATTCGCCAGCATTAACAAACACTATCTAATAATTTTACTAACCAATTGATTGTGATCAGAAAGCAAACACTTCCTTAATAAAGCATGTTATGGATTATTATTTGCAGCACAAGGGTACCACTTGATCAAGAGAGAATGCATATCCAATATTTTCACCAGTAATACAGGTATTCAATTCATTCAGCACACATTATTTGAAAATTTACTCTTTGATAGGCACTAGGCTGAGGACCGGAAGAGACAATTGTCATAGAATTTTGCTGTGAGGAATTAGGAATTCTAATTAGGAATCTTTCACAAGCCTGGTGATCAGAATTTGTACCAAGCCACTCCAAGGACAAAATTAAGCCAGTAGTCATGGAGTGGATGATAATATCCAACTTTTAATAACAATTTCAGAAGCTGAAAGAAACAGATATTGCATCTGGTTTCTTTAAGGGTTTCTTTTTGTCTAAGAAATCCTAAGATCCACATTACAAAGTGGTACGCAGTAACTGTAGAGTTCTAAACCCATTTGATTCACGGCTTCCTACAACATGGCTGTGGTAGGCACAATAACAACCCCCAAAGATGTCCACAAAGATGTCCGCAAAGTATAACAATCCATACTTTCACGGCATGACATGGCAAAGGGACTTTGTAGGTATGAATAAATGGAGGATATTAAGATGGGGAAGATTTTCCTGGATCACCTGAGTGGGCCCAATGTATCACAAGGGTTCTTATAAGAGGAAGGCTAGAAGCTCAGAATCAGAGAGATGTGATGACAGAAGCAGAGATGAGAGAGAGAGAGACAGAGAAAGAGTGATAGAGAAATATTTAAAGATGAAATGATATTTAAGATTGAAAGCTGACTGTGAAGATGGAGAAAGGGGTCATGAATCAAGAAGTGTAGGTGGTCGCTAGAAAACGGAAAACACGAGAAAATGGATTCTCCTCTGAAGCCTTCAGAAGGAAAGCAGTTCTGCCATTGCCTTGACTTTAGCCCTGTATGACTCATTTCAGTCTTCTGACCTCCAGAACTGTAAAATAATAAATTTGTGTTGTTTTAAGCTACTATGTTTGAAACTAATACAATGACTGAGTGTAGAATGTTTACAGAAAACGTGACAACAAACTCACCTTTGAGTAACTCCAAATGTGTGATGACTGCAGACACAGTAGGTTCAAAGGAAGTGCTGAGGTACAAGAATCAATCATGCAGTGTGACAATTTGAAACATGGCCCCAAGTTCTTTCACAGACCTCCTTTTGAGAGGTAGGATCTGTGTCCCCTACTCTTGAATCTGCATCCTCTTGGGACTGCTTTGACCAATACAGTGTATAAATGCTGATAAATGACATTTAAGGCCAGGTCATAGAAGACCACAGAGTTTCCAATGAGAAACATGACTGTCCCTATGTTCTTTTTCACTCTGTGAAACTATAATTTGATAAATGATTACATCTTCTAAAGAAAGTACCAGTGAGAATAAACACATTTCATCAAAGAGAAAGAAATTAAGCTACACTGCATGTAAGATTCCAATTCAAATAAATTATGGGTAATTTTCATCTGCTATTTTTTAAGACATTGTATCAGTCTTTGAGCTCATTTTCTCACCAGGTTTGAACATATTCCTTCTTTTCATCCTGTGTTTTGCCGTTTTGATGTTACAAGAATTATTTTCAGTGCCACTTCCTTTATTTGCTATAACAAAAGGAAGGAGAAATTAGTTTTCACTCTCCAATCTGGCTTCAGCAATGCTGATTTTTTAAATTATTATTTCCACATGTTCTCATCTTCTAGTCTTTACTGCTATCCCTTCTTAGACCCTCCCCCCCTTCTATCTACCACCTTTCAAACACATGTAACATTAAGGATTTATCCTCTAACAACACTTCTTTAAACAAGAACGCTCTTCTCCATCCATTCTTCTCGTTCCTTTCCAGTTTAGGGAAGCAATCAAGTTTCTTGAGGCTGTTTGGCCATATGGACAGGCAACTCCAAAATTCTTTCTGATAAAATGTTTGTTCAACTTTGCTTCATTGAAGAGACAAACTTTGGAGCTTCAGTAAGAATAATGGGTTCTATGGGAAGATGTAATAAGTGGTGGCTCTATATAAGACATATCACCTGAAATCTCATATGTAAAGGCCCAGTTCAGGTTTAGAAACCACTAAAAGGTGATTTTCACAGGTAATTTACAACAATGACTATGAAAGATACAATTTTTTCTGAACCATTTTAAAGTAAGTTAATGTTCACATGTCCTTTACTCCTTCAGGGTATGTTTCCAAAAACAAGGACATTCCCCTACCTAACTGCAATATAATTGTCAATGATTTAGATGGACTTCTAATATCTGTTCCCTTCTAAAATTCTGAGTATCTTTCAAAGGAAATTTTGGTTGGAACACATTGCTATAATCAGGTAAAATCTATAGCTGTTGCATGCTTTTTATATTGGGAGCTCCGGAGGGTGGAAAAGTCCTCTCTCTCCTGTTAAAGATGTACAGATTTTGTCCCAAGTTCCTTTTGTCCCTGTAAGTGGGGGGAGGAAGGGGAGGCTTCTGAATTCAGGACTAAAATGAAGCCAAAAATTTAACTCATGAATCCACTCTGTGCATGTGTCCCCCCATTCTGGTGTGATTAGGTTTACTAAATCTTTCTAGATTTTCTGAAAGTATGATCTAAAATGGTCCTAAACTGGACTTAGATCTGTGTTGGATCTATGCAAAAGTTAGGAGATTCTCACTTTCTTTAGGGATGCAATTTTCACTTCACGTAGATCTCTGTAAGATTTATATTTTCTGGACTTCGGTAAAGTACACTGCTTGTTATACCATGTTTGTCCAGCTTTTGAGGAGAGCTTTACTACTATCTTCCAGGACATTTTCTAATTTGTAATTTCCTATAATTCCCCTACTTTCAGCTCAACTCTCTAATATATTATTTTACTTTCATATTTATTTGAACAGAGAAAGTCAATTTTAAAATCATTGATCTATTCTTTAGCTTCACTTGAACAACTTTGCCATGGAAATTAGTAGAATTGGGTTTTTTGTTTGTCTGTTTGATTGATTCAGGGTCTCACTCTGTTGCCCAGGCAAGAGTGCAGTGGTGCGATCATGGTTCACTGCAGCCTCAACCTCCTGGGTTCAAGTGATCCTCCCACCTCAACCTCCTGAGTAGCTGGAACTACATGTGTGAACCACCACACCTGGCTTTTTTTTTTTTTTTTTTTTTGAGACAGGGTCTTGCCCTGTAGGCCAGGCTGGAGTGCAGTGGCATGATCTCTGCTCACTGCAACCTCCACCTCCCAGGCTTAGGTGACCCTCCCACCTTGGCCTCCAGAGTAGCTGGGACTACAGCCATGCACCACCAATGGGCCTGGCTAATTTTTGTATTTTTAGTAGAGACAGAGTCTTAACATGTTGCCCAGGCTGGTCTCGAACTCCTGGGCTCAAGCGATCTGCCCACCTCAGCCTCCCAAAGTTCTGGGATTACAGGCGTGAGCCACTGCACCCTGCCTAATTTTTTTAAATATATTTTTTAGAGACAAGATCCCACTGTGTTGCCCAGGCTGGTCTTGAACTCCTGGGCTCAAGTGATCCTCCTGCCTGGGCCTCCCAAAGTGATGGGATTACAAGCATGAGCCACTGCACCCAGCCAGAAGTAATTGTTTATAATGCCCCATGTTTTTGCTACTTGAGAACTTAATAAACCATTTCCCCAAATGCTAAAGCACACAATTTTAAAATAATTATTTTAAGTAACAAAATGTAGTTTTTAAATGTTTGGTAAAATAAAATATGTTATTGCAGAATAAATTTTATTCTACTTTGTACAAGATAGGTGCAAATTGGATGGTTAATTGAAGGCATTTGGTAAACAGCGAAAGTACAATTGGAAGCATGGAATTGACAGAAATCACTGGGTTGGTGTAGGTATTTTATTAATGATATTGTTGAAATTCATGGCATACTAAATTAGGAGGTACCATAAGCATCCATAGACTTAGATTTATTTCTAGGTGTATGATGGCATCTTAAGCTATTCTAGTGATATTGTTTTTCATTTTCCAATTGTCTTTTGTTAGCACAGGCATACCTCGGAAATATTGCAGGTTCAGTTCCAGACCACTGCAATAAAGCAAATATCACAATAAAGCAAGTCACATGGAATTTTTGGTTTCTCAGTGCATATAAAAGTTATGTTTACACTATACTGTAATCTATTAAGTGTGCAATAGCATTACATATAAAAAATGTTCATACCTTAATTAAAAATACTTTATTGCTAAGACATGCTACCAAAACAAGCACATGTTGTTGGAAAAATGATACTCATAGACTTGCTTGATACAAGGTTGCCACAAACCTTCAATTTGGAAAAAAAAATGCAATATCTGCAAAGCAAAATAAAGCAAAGTACAATAAAATGATGTATGCCTGAATAGAGAAGTCCAGTTTATTTTTGTATATTGACCTTGTACCATGCAACCTTGCTGAACTCACTTATTTTACCAGGATTTTTTTTTGTAGATTGTTTAGGATTTTCTATGTACAGTCATTTTGTCTGTAAAGTTTTAATTTTTCTTTCCACTTTTTACATTTTTGCATTTCTTTTTCTTGCTTTATTTCACTGGCTAGGAGTTATTAAACAGTGTTGAATCAAAACGATGAGAGCAGATATCTTTTCCTTGTTCTTGATCTTAGGGGAAAAATGTTTAGTATTTTGCCATTAAGAATGATCTTTGCTGTAGATTTCTCACATATGCTCTTTATTGGGTGGCAGAAGATTCCTTCTATTAGTTTGCTGAGAAGACCCACCATCTGACACGTGGTTAAACAATTACCCAAAATAATAACAATCAAGACTGCTTTGGGAAAATCTGAGTATGTGAGGTTGCTATATCTTCACCTTTTACCTTTGAGTTTCAGGCAAACCTAAAGCTGTGAGCTTTCTTCTTCCTGCCTTCTGAAGCTTGCCCTGGTACCTTTTAGCCCTTTCAAAGTAGAGACGTCTCCTAAGCAGAAAGTAATCCCCAGTTCTAGATGTGCCTCCATGCAAGAATGCACTACATATTCTGTTAAAACCCCAGAAAAATATCATTCAAGGTCAAAAGCCCTTCCAGCTCATATGAGCCATTTAATCTTCCTTCTGAAAGTCCTACCCTCAATCTAGTGAAGGAAAGGGAAATGGTGAAAGCTAAAAGAGACGCATCTCTCAGCCCTTCTAGTCCTAAATGACTCTGTGGGTAGCACTCTTAAGTAGGTGTGAAGGGGACTGCACAGGGCTACAAATGAGTGGTGAGGATGCAGGTGGTGTGGTGAAAAGAGCCTGGACTGGCAGTAAGGAGACCTGGGCTCTGTTGTGTATTCTGTCCCTCTCCAGCTATTTGACCTTGAAGAAAGCTCCATGGTGAACTCCCTGGCCTCAGTATCTTCATCTGTAAATTGCATGGATTGAACCAACATATGAACTCCAAGGGCCTTCTGATATTCTGGATCACTATGACTCTAAATTAGAACAACTAAACATACAGAAAGACTAATCACCACAAAATGAGGAATCTACTAGAGAGCAAATGCAAATACTCTTCTCAACTGTTTAGTAGATAACTGGAGTCATATTCACTGCAAGGTTATCTACATATTGATTACTCTGTCCCAGGAAATGTCTCCACATTTATGTCCTCAGCTGGATCACAGCTTCCTAGCCAGTAAGAAATGCACTGAGTAAGACTTACTAATTTTTCACACAGGGAACAAGAAATATTCTCCTTCAGCTTTGTCAGGGAAGAAGTGGGTAGAAAATCTCAAGTTATGGCACTGCCCAGGAAGGGATGAAGAAGAAGGGGTGAAGAGTAGGGGAAGCTGGCAGTGGAAGATCTCCTCACTTAAATGGGGAAAAAAAGAAAAGGCATCTCACCTGCATTAATGGAAGTGCTTAATTTGGGAGAATTCCCTGGAGATCCAAGATGTCTGATAAGTGCAGAATAAAATTTGTTGGACACCAGAGTATTACAGTTAACAGGCCCAAGTCAACAGGTTCAATTTCCATCATTGCGGTATTGAAGCCAACATGGTCTTGCCTTTCTGGGACAGTGCAGATTTCATGTAATTTAATAGAGGTCATTAGTGACATATTTTATGTAATTCAATAAGGGTCATTAGTGAAAATATAATTGTGGTGGTTTTAAAGCAAATTCTTTGACACACCCATGGGCAAGCAGGGGTCTATGTCCCCTCCCTTTGAATCTTAGCAGACTCTCAGCTGGTTTAACCAATAGAGTCCAGCAGAAGTAGTGCTATGTGACTTCCAAGGCTAGATCAGAAAAGGTGATGCAGCTTCTACTTTGCTTGCCTAGAACATTATCTCTTGGAGCTCTGAGCCACCACATGAGATGTCAGACTATTTTGAGATACCGTGCTGTGAGGAAGCCCAAATCAAATAAAGGGGTCATGTATAGGTGTTCCAATCATCAGTCCCAGCTGATCTCAGTCTCCAAGACATCCCAGACTAGATACCTGACATGTGAGTGAGGAAGCCTGTAAATGATTCCAGGCCTTAGCCAATTAAGCCACTCCCAGCCTTCTGAATCTTCACAGCTGAGTCCTCAGACATTGTGAAAGAGAGATAAGCCACACCTGCTGTCCCCTGCCTTAATTACTGACCTACAGAATCCGTAAGCATAATGAAATCGTTGTTTCTTTCTGCTATTAAGTTTGAATGATTCATTAAACAGTAATAGATAATCAAATAACAACCAACAAATGTGATTTAATCATTAAATTTGAAAACTAAATCTTTGCTTAGAGAGCATCATTCAGTCTTTTATTTGAGGAAGTAGGATCACTGTTATCTATTATCCATAATGTGCCCCATCCTCCCAAATGAAAACTGGAGGATTTTATGAATATGTTGATATATGAGTCAGCTGATATTTACTGAGCACACACTAAATATATAACCCAGAGTAAGTTTTAAAGCAATAATATGGAACACAAGACACATTCCGTCTTTCAGTAATTTGCATCTGAATTGGATGAATGGACCAAAATACAGAACAAATGCAAATTTGCTTACAGAAGGGCTCACCAGTATTTACAAGAACAAGTTGTAGACTACAACCACCTGGGATTTGAATCCTCAGGTTCAAATTCAGATTCAGACCCCCTCCCTTCCAGTTGTATGACATCAAGCAAGCTACTTAACCCCTTTGTACCTCAATTTCCTCATCTGCAAAATGAGGGTATCAGTAGTACCCTGATGTTAGGTGTCAATATTACAAGAGTACCCTGATGTTAGGTGTCAATATTACAAGAGTACCCTGATGTTAGGTGTCAATATTACAAGAGTAGCCTGATGTTAGGTGTCAATATTACAAGAGTACCCTGATGTTAGGTGTCAATATTACAAGAGTACCCTGATGTTAGGTGTCAATATTACAAGAGTACCCTGATGTTAGGTGTCAATATTACAAGGGTGTTTGAGAGGGTGCTCAGGTGTTTAGACATAGCCCACACAGCAAATGCAGACTAAAGCAAAGTTGCTGTACAAAAAGTCATTTCAATAATCCATGGGCTAAAGGCTCAAGTGTAACCCTGAGCAAAAGGCTTCACGCTGGAGACTGAGTGAATACCCTGCTTTGCTCCTTCTCTTCTCCCCAGTCACTGACTACCTCTGGCTCCCCCATCTTGCCTGGCTGTGGACGTGATGAAAGCGCTTGAATTCTGGAGTCAGACAGGTAATGAGTCCCAACCTTGGCACTTACTACCGTGACCTTGGGTAAATTCATTAGCATTCTAGTTTCCCTCCTTGGTAAACTGGAGAAAACAATGCCTACATTTATGGAGTGTTGTTAGGACTAATAATCTAAGATAGAAGGTACTTGATAAGAATTCCTTTCATGATAGGGTAGTGGGAAAAAGAGTTAGGGAAGATGCCTCAACTACACTTGTATAAATGTTTATTGATACACAATTCTGATTAGCCTGTCCTCAGAACAGCCTTCAAAAGCAGTTGCCTTACCACAGGTGGAATTGATCATGTTCTAAACATACAGTGTTGTTGGATTTTAGTGTGCCAGGGTCCATAAATATGTGTTTACCTTCTCGGGACAAACAGATTCTAGACATTCAGGATTTAAGGTATAAAAGCTTCTCATAGGAGGCAGGGTGCGGTGGCTCACGCCTATAATCCCAGCACTTTGGGAGGTCGAGGCAGGCGGATCACCTGAAATTGGGAGTTTGAGACCATCCTGACCAATACGGAGAAACCCCGTCTCTACCAAAAATACAAAAAATTAGCCCAGCGGTGGTGCATGCCTGTAATCCCAGCTATTCCAGAGGCTGAGGCAGGAGAATCGCTTGAACCTGGGAGGTGGAGGTTGCGGTGAGCTGAGATCATGCTATTGCACTCCAGCCTGAGCAACAAGAGCGAAACTCCGTCTCGGAAAACACACACACACACACACACGCACACACACACACACACACACGAGACTACACACTGTATGAATCAATTTATACAACATACAGGAAAGGCAAAAGTATTCTGTGAGACTGAGGGCAGAATTGTGATCACCTTTGTTAGAGTACCACCTGGGAGAGGAAATGAGGAAGCCTTCGGGGGTACTGGGAATGTTCTAAACCTTGATCTGGTATGTACCTAAAAATTATATCAAGCCGTATGCTTAAGATTCATGTGCTTTACTGCATGTGTGCTAGACCTCATTAAAAATGTCCCAGGAAGGTGCTGCCATTACTACTTTCCTTTAATTTGCCAGTGGTGGGAATGAGGAAGAGAAGAGTAGTGTAGAGGCTCTTACTATGTCTGGTTGTAGACCAAAGCCTTCATTTTGGTAATTACTTTTAATTTAGCAGAAAAGGCTTGATGCAGCAACAACAGCGTGATTCAGCTCCCTGCTTTCCCACAGCACTCTCTGAAATGAAGGCACGGCAGGGGGGATATATGTAATTCCTTTCTTCATGTATAAAGGGCTTATAAATAGTAATACCAACCTCAGTGCCGGGCATTTCCTGGGGAATTAATAGCCAGCTGGGGTTAACAGTCCTTGGTTCGACTTTAGGCCATCAACTCTTCTTGCTGCTCATTAATTCCCAGAAAGTGCCCTGTGCCTTGATGGTTATTGCTTAAATACATTAAAATCAAGTTAAGGGGCTGACTTAATGTTTAGGTGTGATAATGTAAAACACAAGGAAGTACTCCCAGCAGACACATTCACTGTCGTGTGTTTTTATTTAACTAATTTTCTTCTATATGTTTGAGTAGTGCAATGGAGTGATGCATATGGACATTTTTGCAGCTGTTGCTGGTGTGTGTGTGTGTGTGTGTGTGTGTGTGTGTGTGTGTTTAATGCTCATAACTAATCAGACAAGACCTGCACAGAGACCTTGCTAAAAAAAACTTTACAATGGGTTCATCATTTCAGTGAAAATTCTCTATTTGGATTCAAGAGAAAATATTTACATACAAGAGAAAATATGAGGAAATAGTTTAGGAAAATGTGGGTTAAATAAGTCATCTGTTCTTTATTAGCTTAGCACAAAGACATTTTGGGGTAGGCCCAAGAGAGGCCTGAAACATGGGGAGGCACCCTTTAAAACAACATTTCCCCTTTGGAAGATGGAAAAGAACCCTTCCTAGGGCTTTCTGCTTATTGCTGCCCAGTAGAGGAGAATCATCTTAAGGCAATTCCAAGCAGTTCTTGAAATAGGAAAGCAGGCACATTTTTAATTTTAAAACATCCTCTTTGTTTAATTCAATAAAGTGGGCATTTATCGTAAGCATCTTTTGTGCAAGGGTAGGGAGGGGAGCATAGTTGACTGTGAAGCCCTAGCCCTTCATAGCTCACAGTCAAATGTGAGAGATGGGCAGATGGACCCAGACCAGGCTACTAGGCAAAATGTTTTCATCTCTGTAATCAAGACAAATATCACATGCTTCAAGAAAACAGATGGGAAGTTTATTGTGAATAGAAAAGATTCAGGGATCACCCAAATTATGAGAACTCAAAGCATTTGGACTGATTGTTAACTTCTTTTTTCTCTTGAGACAGGGTCTCACTCTGTCACCCAGGCTGGAGTGCAGTGGCACAATTGCGGCTCACTGCAACCTCTACCTCCCGAGCTCAAGCGATGCTCCCACCTCAGCCTCCCAAGGAGCTGGGCCTACAGGCGGACATCACCACACCTGGCTAATTTTTGTATTTTTTGTAGAGATGTGGTTTTGCCATGTTGCCCAGGCTGGTCTCAAACTCCTGGGCTGAAGTGATCCACCTGCCTTGGCCTCCCAAAGTGCTGGGACTACAGGCATTAGCCATCATGCCCGGCCTCTTAATTTCTTCTATGAATCAGTTTCCAAACAAAGGGTGGAGTGCAATGGCATGATCTTGGCTCACTGCAACCTCTGCCTCCTGGGTTCAAGCAATTATCCTGCCTCAGCCTCCCAAGTAGCTGGGATTACAGGCACCAGCCATCATTCCAGGCTAATTTGTTGTTGTTGTTGTTTTCTTTGTTTGTTTGTTTGTTTTGAAATGGAGTCTTGCTCTGCTGCCCAGACTGGAGTACAATGGCTCAATCTCAGCTCACTGCCACCTCCGCCTCCTAGGTTCAAGTGATTCTCCTGCCTCAGACTCCTGAGCAGCTGGGATTACAGGCACGTGCCACCACACCCAGCTAATTTTTTATCTATTTGATAGAGATGGGGTTTCACCATGTTGGCCAGGCTGGTCTTGAACTCCTCATCTCAGGTGATCCGCCCACCTTGGCCTCCCAAAGTGCTGGGATTACAGGTGTGAGCCACCACACCCGGCTTCCCACAAGTACTTTTTAACTGGTTTTATGATTTGGAAATTTTGTTTAGCTTCTTGCAGGCTAGGACCACTTCTAATTCACTCTTATCTTCCTATGGCCCAGATAATGCTTGGCATACCCTATGCTCAAAACGTATTTGATAAGTGGAGGAATGGATGAATTGGTGAAGGTAAGTTCATATTTGAATGGCTAGCAGCCTCCTTTCCAACTGTTCCCATGATCAAAACACTCATCCAAAATAGATGTTAACCTGGAAATGGTCTGAATTCTCTAAGACTGACAACTATTTGGGGATGTGTGCATTTGCCAAGTCCCTGGTTTGGATGCCACACCTGGTAGAGGTAAAACCTGGTTACTACATACAAAAGATGTGCTATCACCTGTATTAGAACAATTGAGAAAAATTCTCTGTGGCAATTAGGAAGGATACAGCTGGGATTCGCACTAAACTGAAATTTAAATGTCTACATAGACAATGAAAAAATAAAATCCTATCACTGACTGTCTTTCTCTCCATCCATCCATCTGTGAACTATGGATAATAATTACATATACCTTTTCTACCTCCCAGAGTTGGAGAATATATAATGTACGTGAAATTTATCAGTTGTATAGTATTACATAAATACCAATTCTTATTAGCATCTCTACTTTCTATTGGTAAATATTTCTGTGGTGAATATTTCACTTAAAGTGTGTCTTCCCATTCACAGCACATTCCAAGAAGCCTGTATCCCTCACCACCAGACTAAGATGTGCCCCTCAGGTTAAGTATAATTATTTTAGCAGGAGTTTAAGAAAAACATAGCAGGAAGATAAATGCTAAGCAAAACAGAATTTTTTAAAAATTTAAAACAAATTCTATTTTGGATAATTTTTTTTTTTTTTTGAGATGGAGTCTCACTCTGTCGCCCAGGCTGGAGTGCAGTGGCGCCATCTGGGCTCACTGCAAGCTCCGCCTCCCGGGTTCACACCATTCTCCTGCCTCAGCCTCCCGAGTACCTGGGACTACAGGCGCCCGCCACCACGCCCGGCTAATTTTTTGTATTTTTAGTAGAGATGGGGTTTCACCGTGTTAGCCAGGATGGTCTCGATCTCCTGACCTCGTGATCTGCCTGCCTTGGCCTCCCAAAGTGCTGGGATTACAGGCGTGAGCCACCGTGCCTGGCCTCTATTTTGGATAATTTATGCCTTTCATTTTCTTAGATAATTAGGAGTTAATTACCAGCACACACCGTGTTCAGCTTATCATGATAACTTGGAGAGATCTTTACTAGAAGGAAGTGCCATTTAACTGGTACACTTGACTTTCCCCCATATCCCAGGTGGTTATTTTTTTTTTCCAGCTAGCCAAGTTATTTTCATCATATTTCTTTTCATCTTAAGTTCACATAACCCCCAGAACCTGAATCTAGGGCAAAAGAAGAGAGATCAGACCTAACACTATCGATTCATTGATGTGGGCTCCGTTGGTTTTGATTTTAGAAGGTCAATGCCCTATGGGCCAAATTTGTTCAAAGGACAAACACACAATAATGATATGGTGCTTCCTGCCTTTAAAAATCCAACTACCACTGTTTAAATATAGTTAAGTATTAGTGGGAAAATGTAACGTATACTTTAAAAAGTAAGTCTCTGTGTGGTTTAGAGTCATTCTATAATTATGTTTTAAATAAATGATGACCTTTTAAAATATATAATAATAATATTGTTGATACTTCAGATAAATGGTTCCTGTTTCATTTTTAATATGTCATTAACTTACCATTACTAAAAATTCAACCATGCTTTAAAAAATTTTCAGATGGAAATGAGATTATATTAGTAATTTACAATAGAGCAATACATTTCCATTATGCTTATTTAATAGCACATTTATATCATGCAAATTCCTTTAGATGTAAAATTGCCATCTGGTTTTACTGGGGGGTTGGTAGGAAATAAGAAAAAAAAATCCAAATAGGAGTTTTGAGGAAAGATGACAAATATGCAAAGCAGAGTTTCTTCCTATCAATAGCACAGTACCTTGGGGAGGAGGCTTTAAAATATATTTTGGAAAGAAGGGCTAAAGGAAGTTTGTGCGTGGGTGTATTGTGTTTAAAAGAAAAATAACTCCTAAAATATAGACTGAAATTATTCTTCAATGTCCAGAATGTTCATTTATTTAAAAAAAAACTCAGGGCCATTACATTTACCAACCAGCTAAATTCACTTCAATGCCACTCCTTACAGGTATATAATGCTTTAGAGTTTTATTGTTGCTATAGTTTGAGTACTTGACGATCCAAACCTCATGTTGAAATTTGATCCCCAATGTTGGAGGCGGGGCCTAGTGGAAGATGTTTGGGTTAGGGAGATGGATCCTTCATGAATGGCTTGGTGCCATTCTTGCAGTAATGAATGAGTTTTCCCTCTGTTAGTTTTCGCAAGAGTTCCCCAACAGCTGATTGCTAAAAAGAGCCTGAGACCTTCCCCCTCTCTTGCCTCTGCTCTCTCACCATGTGATCTCTACATGCCAGCTCCTCTTTGCCTCCCTTTTGTCTTCTGTCATGAGTGGAAGCAGTCTGAGTTTCTCTCCAGAAGCAGATGCTGGCACCATGCTTCTTGTATGGACTGCAGAACCATGAGCCAGATACATTTATTTTCTTTATAAATTACCCAGCCTCAGGTGTTCCTTTATAGCAATACAAAATGGACTGAGATAATAGTATACAGAAAATGTCACCTACAGCTACCATGATAGTTGAAGGCCTAGCTGTAGATGTCATCATGCAGATGATGCTGTGTCTCTGTTTTCAACATTGGCTTACAACCAACCTTACCGTGTGAAAATCTGAAATTGTCCTGGGCTTCATGTTCTTTCCAAAGCTCCCTACCTACTGTATGATCTAGTATGATCTTTTATGTTGATTTTAAATTTCATGCTGATTACCCGTTTGCCAAATGTTACTGAAGTTATTTTTATCTCCTTATGGTGGTTCCTTAAAACCACTTTGTTACTTGATTTATAAAAAGAAGTGGACCAAAGGACACTTATCCCAGAAGGTCTTAGCCTGGAAAGCTTCAAGCATCACCAACTCTCAGAAGTTTCATATTTGATTTGCATATCTGTATGCCCTATTCTAGGGAGAGGGTTCCTAGTTTTTGTTAGAGTGTAAGAGATTAGAAAACTGAGAGGTTTTCAGATCCACTGCAAGATGAAGCCAATGGCAGGGCCAGAGGCAGAGCAAGAAAAGAGGGCAAACTGAAGAGGCAAAAGGAGAGGGAGGGTGTGAAAGTTGTCACAATAAAAGTGGAGTTATTGTGGTTTGCTTTAAAAAAAAAAAAAAAAAAAACAGCTGGGCCTGGTGGCTCACACCTGTAATCCCAGCACTTTTGGAGGCTGAGGTGGACAGATCACTTGAGGTCAGGAGTATGAGACCAGCCTGGCCAACATGGTGAAACCCCATCTCTACTAAAAATACAAAAATTAGCCAGGCCTGGTGGTGCATGCCTGTAATCCCAGCTACTCGGGAGGCTGAGGCAGGAGAATCGCTTGAGAGGTGGAGGTTGCAGTGAGCCAAGATTGTGCCCCTGCACTCCAGCCTGGGTGACAGAGCGAGACTCCATCTCAAAAAAAAAAAAAAATTAATTTAATTAAATTAAATTGAAAAAAAAAACAAAAAACCGAAACCCTGACAAATAGAGCCAAGGAAGGCCATAGAGGATTCTCATGTATAAGCACTTGATAACAGAAACTACCATGAAAGGCTCTGCAAAAACCACAACCTTGCACAAAGGCTAGTGCAACCTTACACAAAAAATATATCTGTTAGTATATCTTCTCAGCAACTGTCTCTCCAACCCTGGACTGGCACCACCCTTGGTGCTCATAGCCAGGAATAATTATCTCAAAATAATTATGTAATCCTCCTCATTTGTCCTTTAAAAACCTGGTCTTCCTTTATCTCCCTGAATACCCATATAGCTTACTATGACATGCATATTCTTATGGCAATTCCCTATGCCCGAATAAATATCATTTTCTTTTAGAGAGCTTCTCTCCATTTGTTATTTAGGTTGACTAGGGACAAGAGAAAAACAGGAGAAAGAAAAGTTAGAAGAAAGAAGCAAGAAGAACAGAAGGAACAGAGAAGACAAGAAGTTGGGAGCAAAGAAAAATAAAGGTGAGTCAGAGAAGGAAAGGAAAAGGAAAAGAGGCGGATAAATTTAAAAAAGAAGAAGACTCATCCTTCAGCCTTCCCCAGGGCTCAGGGCACCAGGAAACTTCCCCTTCCCTCAGCCAGGTGTCCCCCAGCAGGTCCAGCTTCTGTCTAGCTATGGCGCCTTTATTCTTTCCTATTTGTTTGAGTCATTCTGTGACTATTGACTCAAACACAGGTTTCCACTTGGGCAAAGGTCCCATACAATGAATTAAATGATGGCTTCAAATGCGCATTAGAAGAATGAAGATTGTTCAGCCTCACAGTGAATACACTCCTATTTGGGTGTATTCAAATAGGCTAACCTAAATGAATAGTCTTGAGCAGCAACTTGGGGTCTAATGAACATTAGACACTCCTACCGACAATGAGAAAGAAACCTGTTGTCTAGGGTGAAAAACATAGCAAAATGCAGGTCCTTCACAGAGTTCAAAAGCTTCAGGATTTCAGGGAAAATAAACTTTTATATGAAAAATAAAATTGGAAATAAAAAATAGAAGTCCTGAATTTACATTAAAATAATGCTTTAAAAAAACCACTGGGTTCTAGGAGTAGACTTTTGGAGTGGAATTTGAATGATCAAGAGATTATATTATTTAAAACCAAGTAAACAGAAATTCCCCATAGTACTTGAAGTGGTGTAGTGGAGACTACTCCACGAAGATACCCTTTTCAGATATTAACTTTGGTACTCATAAACACCTATGCTGAAGCTCTGATGTTGTCTCAGAAAAGCACGGAGGAACATGGTAGAACTGCTTAACATTTGCTAATAAGACTAAATTACCATTAAACTGTTCCAAATGGCCCCTATTTATAGAGTGAACATATGACTTATCCAAACTGGGAGATTTTAGAGAGTAGAAAGAGGTGTCATTAACAAATTAAGCCAGGGCAGTAGTCATAAATTGACACTGTCCCTGGGAAATTGGGGTGTATGATCAACTCTGTCTCTACAGAACTTCTCACTGCTTGGAAGTGAAATAAAACAAAACAGGCAAACAAACAAATAAACAAAAGCAAAATAATAGGAACGATTATTAAAATGGTAATGGGCCAGGTGCCATGGCTCACGCCTGTAATCCCAGCACTTTGGGAGACCAAGTTGGGAGGATCACTTGAGTCCAGGACTTTGAGACCAGACTGAGCAACATAGGGAGACCCTGTCTCTAAAAAAAATTTAAAAATTAGCTGAGGATGATGGTGCGTTCCTGTAGTCCTAGCTACTCAGGAGGCTGAGGTGGGAGGATTGCTTGAGCCTGGGAGGTCAAGGCTGCAGTGAGCCGCAATGGCACCACTGCACTCCAGGTGTCCAGGTGACAGAGCAAGACCCTGTCTCAAAACAAACAAACCTGTAATGAAATCTGGTTCCATATGGAACCCAAAGAAATTCAGGGATTTTAACTACCAAATCTCATCACTTTTGTGGCTACCATTTAGCCACAAAAGTGTTGTGTAAAAGAGGTGTAAAATAAGGCATAAGGCATTTGGATACTTTCTCAATTTAAATGAAAGATCCTGGCTAACATGCAATTTAAGCATTGATGGGAAGGAGCCTCCTGATGACTGACAGTGGCCACTTTCCAGCAGCAGCTGCAGGTGAAGGGAGTATCGGGAATTTAGTCCCAATGTAAGGGAAAACTTTCTATTAAGAATATATAATATTTTGTAATATACAGGAGTTGGCTGTATTTTATTGGATGACTGTCTCTTGTCTTTTTTTAAGTCTGGTTTTTTTTTTTTTCAATCTTCTGATGAGTCAAAAAAGCCTTGGGTTCTGTCCTGAATTCACAAGGCTTTCTAGAGGCCAGAAGAGACGGGCAGAAATGAAAGCTTTTCATCAGTCTTCTGGGCCATTGCAACACGATGTTAAAAAATACATACATACATGCATACAAAACAACCTCTCATTTGTTCTGATTCATTCCTGAACCAACAAGACAGTGGGATAGACATTTTAGTGGGTGGGGTGAGGAGCCTTCCCAGAATGTCTCCCGGAAATTGGGGCAATACTCACTCTGCTTACTTCTAAAGATAATTCTACTATAATGGTTAACCGAATATATCAACTTGACTGGGCCATGGGATGCCCCGACATTTGGTCAAACATTATTCTGGGTGTGTCTGTGCTTTTGGAGGAGGGTGGTTTTGGATGAGATTAAAATTGGTAGACTGAGTAAAGCACATTGCCCTCCCTAATGTGGGTGGCCCTCATTCAATCAATTGAAGATTTAAATAGAACAAAAAGACTAAGAGGGAACTTCACCTGACTGCTTGAGCTGGTACATTGGTCTTTTTCTGCTCCCTGACTAGAACTACACCATCAGCTCTTCTGGGTCTCCAGCTTGCCCACTGCATATCATGGGACTTCTTAGCCTCCATAATTGCATAAGTCAATTCCTTATAGTAAATCTCTATCTATCTATCTATCTATCTATCTATCTATCTATCTATCTATCTATCTATTCTATCTATCCATCCCTCTATCTCTCTATATTTATATCTATATCTATCTCCTATTGGTTCTGTTTCTTTGGCGAACCCTGACAAATAGTCCTACCTTAGGGCTATCTGAGTCCAACAGTGCCTTAAGTTACAGCCAAGAATAGGTCTGTGATCCATTTAAAGTTAAAAAAAAAAAATCTCACACTGTATATCCCATGGAGAATGATCAGAAGGGGCATTGGCCTGTCCTGGCACCAACCACAGCTGTAAACATAAAGCAGGCTGGGCCAAAATCAATGGGTCCCCTGACTTTCAAATCACTGCTCTGCATTGTGGAAGGCCCCTGATACTTGTGTGTCCCCCAAAGTTCCATCACCTATCTGACACTCTTCATATTTGCAGTCTAACCCTTAGGAACAAATCCAGGACTGAGGACAAAGTTTGAATTCTGGGGCTACCTGCTTGGGAGAGGCCACAGGAATAACCAAGGGATCAAGAACTTCAACCAAGCACTTCACAGAAAAAGCAGCAAACCATGAGATGAAGAAGGAGTATGGTTGAAAGCTAACTTAGTCAATAGATCAGGGATCCGAATGGAAAGTGAGAAATGGAGAGAAGACAACATCCTCAAATAATGCACGCCTGCCTCTGTAATCTTTGGGCCCAATTATTCATGTTTCTATTGGCCCAGGCAGGTCCCCAAAGTACCTGTGCCTTGCTGGATACCTCAGGGAACTAGACATTAATTCTCAATCCTACTTTATGGGCATTCTATCTTCACGATTTTGTCTCATTCCTGCCTTTAGATTCATCACAAGATTTTATAGCAGTTGGACAAATCTTCCCCATTTCCAGACAATTATTGTCCATAATTTTCAACCATTTATTTTAAACATAAAAGCATTTTTTCCGTCCTCACTCCTGTTCATGGCTGAGGTTAAAAAGGCAACTGTAAACTTTGTCTGATAAATTTTCCATTCATTCTCCTCCTTTCCTTCAATATGCCAATCAGGCTGTCAGCTTGCTTTCTCTGCAGATTCATAACACTTCACCTTCAGTCTCATTAACTGATTTTCCTTTTGTTTCACATGAAGAAAACTCATCTCAACACTTAAAACCCTGGGAGTTACAATTTAGAACTTCTTCGGCTGACTTGGATTTTTAGCTCCCACTGATTGTTCTTTATTTTCTGCCTTTCAGATAAAAAAAAAAAAAATTCTTTTCCTTTTAACCACCTTTTGCTGACCTCATCTTTAAATACAGAATAAGATTTACGCTCATATTGTAGCTTTTATGTGGGTCAACTTTTATAAATTTCAAAATATTGGCTCATTTGGACTCTGGATTTTGTGAAAATTAGGATGAAACCTGGGTTACAGTTTGCTTAGTTGTGCCCCTCCCCATGAGGGTAATAATTGCCCTAAAATATTTTATGTGCAATAGAGAATGTAATCTGTATTTTAGAGTACTATTGAACCCGGGTTGCCCTAAAGTAGAATTGTCAGCCAGATATGGTGGCTCATGCCTGTAATCCCAACACTTTAGGAGGCCAGTGTGGGAGGATCACTTTAGCCCAGGAGTTTGAGACCAGTCTGGGCAACATAGCAAGACCTCATCTCTACAAAAAAAATTTTTTTAATTATCTGGACATGGTGGTGTGAGCCTGAAGTCCTAGTTACTTATGAGGCTGAGGCAGGAGGATCCCTTGAGCCCAGGAGTTTGAGGTTGCAGTGGGCTATGATCACACCACTGCACTCCAGCCTGGATGACGGAGAGAGACTCTGTCTCAAAAATAAATAAATAAAAATAAAAATAAAATTGAATTGTCCTTAAAAGTAAGCAGAGTGGGCCGGGCGTGGTGGCTAATGCCTGTAATCCCGGCACTTTGGGAGGCCAAAGCAGGTGGATCACCTGAGGTCAGGAGTTCGAGACCAGCCTGGCCAACATGGCGAAACTCTGTTCTCTACTAAAAAATAAAAAATTAGCCGGGCATGGTGGCATGTGCCTGTAATCCCAGCTACTAAGGGTGCTGAGGCAGGAGGATCACTTGAACCTGGGAGGCAGTGGTTGCAGTGAGCCGAGATCGTGCCACTGCACTACAGTCTGGGCAACAGAGGGAGACTCTGTCTCAAAAAGAAAAAAAAAAAAGTCAGCAGAGTGAGTACAAATCAGAGAGCATTCACAAATGCAGATGACCTTTGCTGGTGCTACTTGATGAAAGCATTTGAAGTTAATGTAAGCTCCTTGATAGCTGAAAAATTATGTTTCTTTTTTTCTTTTCTTTTCTTTTTTTGTTCTTTTTGAGACAGAGCCTTGCTCTGTCGCCCAGGCTGGAGTGCAGTGGTGTGATCTCAGCTCACTGCAACTTCTGCCAGGTTCAAGCAATTCTCCTGCCTCAGCCTCCTGAGTAGCTAGGACTACAGATGCCCGCCACCACACCCAGCTAATTTTTGTATTTTTAGTAGAGAGGGGGGTTTGCTATGTTGGCCAGGCTGGTCTCGAACTCCCAGCCTCAAGTGATCTGCTGGCCTTGGCCTCCCAAAGTGCTGGGATTACAAGCGTGAGCCACTGCATCTGGTGGAAAAATTATGTTTCTAAAGCCTAAAACTTTATATTGTAGTTAAGGATGCAGTTTTAGAGTCAGGCTGTCTTGTTTGGAATCCTAGCTCCACCATTAAGTTACTGTGTGATCTTGAGCCAGTTACTTCTTAGTGCCTCCATTTCTTATCTGTAAGGCATGGGAAAATACAGTGAATACCTCTTAAAGTTGTCAAATACAACTTTATGTCAAATACTTTGCACATTGCCAGGAAGAAGGTACTCTCACAGGCAGCTGACCAAGTTTGTATTCTCCCAGAAGCAGGTCCTGGGACAAGAGTTTGAGTGCAAGTAATTTGTTTATCTGGGAGATGATCTCAGAAAACACTAACAAAGGAGTGTGGAAATGAGACAGGGGAGGGAAGGCAGCCAATAAAGGGTGCAATATCAAGTAGGTTATCACTGTGGGCAACTGGTTCTCAGTCCCGCTAGGGATCTTTGGGAAACTGTAGCGTATCCATATGAGAGCTATGCCCAGACCCCCTGCCAAGCGCTAAGGAAGCTGGGTGTTTATAGAGCAATTCCTAATGATTATGCCCGGAGTACTGCCTGGGACAAAGGAGACATTGACTCTGCCTTTGTGGATCTTACATTTTAATGGGAGTAAAATAGAGCATCTTGGAGTCTGACTGCATTTAACAAAATTATCTGGGTCCTACCAGTGAGGTTGTGGTCAATCACGACGGGGTAGCTATGCTCTCAGAAGAGCCAAGTTTGGATCCAGATTATCAACAGTGTATGTTAAATCCACTTGATTTTATTCAAAAGTATGTTAAAACCTTCATTTTATTCAAAGTTCAGCTCAAATATTACCCCGTCAAGAAAGCTATCTTCCCCAAATACCCCTTCTCCTTTGCATATTGTTATGCTACCCTGTGAATCTCCTTTGTGACACTTATTTTAATATCTTGATAAAATGACACGATCAGTTGTGTCATTAGCCATTTGATGGCTACCCTCCTAAGAAATCTGTGACCTTCACCACCTTATCCAAGGACTTTGCATAGTGCAGGCCAGAGATGCTGCTCGTAATAATTTGTTGAATAAAAGAGCAAGTATTGCTGTGTGAAGTTTATAAAATATTGCATAGGCCAGTAAATAGTAGCCAAAGAAATGCAAAAACAGCCCCTCCTGGATGATTTTTCCACTGATTCTTTCAGCAGTGTTTCTCTGCTACTCTCTCTATGCTTGGAATAGTCCCAGCCCCCTCTGTTGCTGGGCAAAGCAAAGTGCCTTTCTCAGCAACATCCTGAGTGACCAGCTGCTCAGGAAGTGCCCTTGATTGGTGAATATAATGCTGTGAAGCTTTTGCAATCAATGATTCAAATTTGAGGCAATGGCTGAGGCCTAACTGTTTTCTCAGGGGTCTTCTGCAGGTCACTGCATCAGATACTTGCCCCAAGTGAGCCCTCCTACTTCCACTACATTTTTTTTTCAGATAGGGTCTCACTCTGTTGCCCAGGCTGGAGTGCAGTGGGAGGATCATGGCTCACTGCAACCTTGACCTCCCTGGGCTCAGTGATCCTCCCATCTCAGCCTCCTGAGTAGCTGGGACTACAAGCGTGCCCCCACCATGCCTGGCTAATTTTTGCATATTTTTGTAGAGACAGGGTTTCACCATTCTGCCCAGGCTGGTCTCGAACTCCTGAGCTTAAGGAATCCACCCACCTCGGCCTCCCAAAGTGCTAGGATTACAGGCGTGAGCCACCATGCCTGGCCTACTTCCACCAGTCTTTTCAGGAGCAGGCTTTGAGTGTGGTGCTTTTCTCTCCCTTAAGAGTGTTCAATCCTAGATATCTAAGGGCCTTGGTCATAACCCCAAACCATCTTCCCTCTCCTGTGGGGTGGAAGGGCACTTGTGTAAGCATTCTAGGGACATCTTGGGTCATCCCATGATCGTCAAGTTATTTGTACAAATTAAACTCTGACAGTAACCCTGGGAAAACACTTTTTTACTCAGAGTTGTGAGAGGCAATGGAATCGCATGGTTTTGCTACAGTTAGTCCTTGCTTTGCACAGTTTTGATGTACAGTAGTCCCCACTTATCTGAGGGCGATACCTTCCAGGACTCCCAGTGGATGCCTGAAACTACAGGGAGTACCGAACTCTCTATCTACTAATTTTTTTTCCATCTCATAACTGAGACGGTGACTAGTGACTAACAGATGGTAGGTCAAAGTCAGCGTGGACCTGCTGAACAAAGGGATGATTCACCTCCGGGTGGGATGGAGTAGGATGGCTCAAGATTTAATCGCTCTACTCAGAAAGATTCACAATTTACAACTTGTTTATTTCTGTAAGTTTCCATTTAATATTTTCAGACTGCGGTTGATTGCAGTTAATTGAAACCATGGAAAGTGAAACCGTGGATAAGGGGAAACTACTGTACTGGAAGTTAAATTTGCATCAAACATAAATGGAGTTATAGAAGAAAAAGATGACTGTGGGAATGTTGACCCTGCCTCCATTCTCAAGAGATTCCTATGCAGCCAGAGGAACTTAGTGAAGGGGAACTTATGAAACTTACAAATGAGGAAAATGGTGGTGCTGAAAAGATGTCTCCAAGGGAGTGATGCCAGCAAAAACTTCACATCGAAGGAACTCCCAGAGATATTGCAAAGGACAAAATGTTGGAAGCTGATCCAAACTTAGAAAGGAGTATGACAATTTGCGAAGGGATAGAAAAGGTGCGTGCTCCGTGTTGTAAGTTATACCATGAAAAGAAGGAGGCAAGCACTGCTCAAACTACTTTTTTTTTTTTTTTGAGATGGAGTCTCGCTCTGCTGCCCAGGCTGGAGTGCAGTGGCACGATCTCGGCTCACTGCAACCTCTGCCTCCCAGGTTCAAGCGATTCTCCTGCCTCAGCCTCCTGAGTAGCTGGGATTACAGGTGCGTGCCACCATGACTGGCTGATTTTTGCATTATTAGTGGAAACGGGGTTTCACCATGTTGGCCAGGCTGGTCTAGAATTCCTGGCCTCAAGTGATCTGCCCACCTCAGCCACCCAAAGTGTTGGGATTACACCTGGCCTACTTTTGATAACTTTTTACAAAGACATGAAACACTCTAATTCTCAGTGTGTCTGTTTTAAATTGCAATGCACTAAATAAACATTAATTTTACTGTTTCTGCTTTCCTATACATTTCTAAGTGACAGGAAGATAAATTTTGATGTTTTTAACAATAATTTGTAAAGTTCACAGAACAATTATAATTATTCCTACTGGTTATTAAGATTGCTTTTGCACAGTTGGCAATACAAGGGCTGCCTGTAATTTGTTACAATGAAATACATACAGATGTTTTGACAAGCCCAGTGGTATTATGACAGTATTAACAAACTAACAATTGTATAAAGTCAGATATTCATATTCTGATAGCAGGGCAGAATATTTAAATTTGAGACTCTCCTGGAAAAATAAAGTTACTCAAAAATAATAGCATAATATCAGGTATCTAGAGCAAGAGATTTTAGCACTATTGCATTGTCTCAATTTTTAATGCTACCAAATCTTGCTATCTCCCCTCTTTTCTATTCAGTGTGTGTGTGTGGTGTGTTTTTTTTGTTTGTGTTGTTGTTGTTGTTGTTGTTTTTAAACAGGATCTTGTTGGGTCACCCAGGCTGGAGTGCAGTGGTGCAAACACAGCTCATCACAGCCTCAACCTCCTGGGCTCAAGCAATTCTCTTGCCTCAGCCTCCCAAGTAGCTGGGACCACAGGCATGCCACCACACCTGGATAATTTTTGCATTTTTTGTGGAGATGGGGTCTCGCATGTTTCCCAGGCTGATCCCGAACACCTGGGCTCGAGCGAGCCTTATAGGTGTGAGCCACCATGCCCGATCGGTGTGTTCTAAATATTAGTAAGAAAGCTTAAATTCCATCCTCTGATCTATTGATGAATAAGAGAGAGTTTTGGACACATCTCATTATCTTCGTATACCTCAAACCTTTCAACTGTGTGATTAAACATATTTATAGGTATGTTACAAAGATTGACAATAAAATAATTTTAGATAATTCTGGACAGTATGTGATGCTGATAAACTGCATGTATTAAAATACATTTTATGGGGGATTCTTGCAGATCTTACGGTCAGGAGCATCCTCCCTGTTGCAATAGTTTCCTCCACCTTGCAATAATACTTTCTTACGTGCACCTATTACCTAATGATCCTTATGTATACATACACATTGGAAGCTGAAATCCCAAGCTCTAGCCTAAATTGGCCAATGCCTGCCAAATGTAGGAACCTCTCATTAATATGAGATGAGTCTGGTCTACAAAGTTATTAGGATTTGTCTTCCTCTCCAATCCAACATTTTCAGCATCGCCCACAGGGCAATCTGTGATCTCGCAGCCACAGCTTGGGCTCGTCTCTTTCGTCTTGATCTGGAACCCAAGGAAGGGGGCCAAAGGACTCCCCCTGTGACCTACCAAAAGAGATGTGAGCTTGCCTCAGGAAACACTCTTGGTTCCTGTTTTGTGTATAGGCCTTGCTCAATACATATTTGTGGACCTGACCAAAGTATATTATTTGATTGTTTGTGGGGACACAGTTGTAGGGCCCTGAGCAAAGTGGGGACAAAAAAGCCCAGAACCGTAGGCCTTAGCTCCTGGAGATGATGAGATTACATAAGTTGGATTGTTAAATGGGTTTATAGATTGCTAAAAGTAACCACAACAACTTTATTTCTTCTGGGCTACTGGAGACTAACAGTCATTAGAAAGCCAATCAACCTACCCAGATGGCTGGTTGTGAACAGAGTGATGTGGAGGGCACGGCAGGAGCTGGGAAACAAATGAGAAGACGGCTCCAGAAATGGACATGTTGGTGTCCCCTGTGGGGCATTTCACACAGTATCAACCCTTTCATCCCCTCTCAACTATTTTTATGTTTATTATTGTAAATTTGTGTACATTTGTAAATAGAGAAAAGTGCACCAGATAAGATGCACCCCAATAGTACCTCTAAATATAACAACTGTTCCATTTGTACTCTCTAAATATAATCATTGCTTCTATCTTGGTTTAGATGCTTCCAGCCTTTTTAACTTGTAATATTTATTTATTTTAAAAATTGTGGTAAGGTTGGGCGTGGTGGCTCACGCCTGTAATCCCAGCACTTTGGGAGGCCAAGGCAGGCAGATCACCTAAGGTTGGGAGTTCAGGACCAGCCTGACCAACATGGAGAAACACCATCTCTAATAAAAATACAAAAGTAGCCAGGCGTGGTGGCACATGCCTGTAATCCCAGCTACTCGGGAGACTGAGGCAGGAGAATCGCTTGAATCCAGGAAGCAGAGGTTGCAGTGAGGTGAGATCGCATCATTGCACTCCAGCCTCTGTCTCAAAAAACAAACAAAAAAAATTGTGGTAAAATACAGATAACATAACATTTACCTTCTTAACCATTAAAAAAAATTGTCCCAGATACATCAGACAAATATTAAATCTCTTGATGATTCAATCTGCTGAACTATGCAACTATCATAGTACCCTTTTAACCATTTTTAAGCGTACAGTTCAGTAGTGTTTAGTGTGTTCACATGGTTGTGCAATGAATCCCCAGAACTCTCTTCATTTACCAAAACTGAAACTTGATACGCATTAAACAATAATTTCTCATTCTCTCCTATCTACAGCCCTCAGCAACCACCTTCTCAAACTATTTTTTTCTCAACTGTAAAATAGGGACACTATTCCAAAAGGATTGTTATGAGACTTAAATGAGTTAAGTGTCATGGACTAAATGTTTATGTCCCCCCAAAATTCAGATGTTGAAATCCTAACCTTCATTGTGATGGTATGAGGAGATGAGCCTTTGGGAGGGGATTAGGTCCTGAGGATGAAGCCCTAGTGAAAGGGATTAGTGCCCTTATAAAAGAGTCCCCAAAGAGCTCTGTAGTTCTCTTTCTGCCATGTGAAGCTACAAGGAGAAATCGGTAGTCTGCAACCAGGAAGAGGACCCTCCCCAGAACCCACGCCTGATCTATTTCTAACCTCCAGCACTGTGAGAAGTAAATTTCTGTTGTTTATAAGCTACCCAGTCTATGGTACTTTGTTATACACCCCAAACTGACTAAGACAATAATGTATGCAAATTGCTTGCTATAGTGCTTCATACACAATTTAAGTGCTCAGTAAGTGTTAGATATTATTATTTATGATTCTGTCTTAATGATTTTTTTGAAAACACCACTAATTAACATGGGTGAAATTGGGTATATAAACACAAATAAAGGCTATAATTAGAGAAAGATGAGTATGAAGGAAGTGAGCAACAAGAGACCGTATGTGGAAGAGGAAAGAGGAGGATGAATACTCTTATGGTCTTATCATGGAGACAGGGAGTTAGGATGCAGGTCCTGATCTACCTTGCCTTGATTGGTGGCTGTATATGAGCCTTAATTTCCACTTGCTTATTTCCTGTGGGCAGGGGCTTAAGAGACCTGGGCAATTTTCCATTTGTCTGATGCAGAGGTGGCACATAGCAGTGGGTTTTTGTTTAGCTTAATGTAAAGCATGTTATTTAAAAAGTGAATTAGTCTTCAACCTTTATTGATTGGGATTTTCACATAAAAATCTGTATTTCAGGCTTCATTCACTTGGAAGATCTGCTAAAAAGTGGTCCTCATTTAATTGAGGCAACAATTGGCTGGACTGTGTAGATGATTTCATCTCAGCCCATATCACTCAACTATGTTACCTGCTTAGCCTCTGAGGAAGGTGGTCTGTAAGGTTAATCAGGCAACTTATTTTTTTCATATAATCAAACTCATATTCCCAATATACGATCATGACCACTATCGTGACACATACTGACAATTCTACCTTTTCTAGGAAACTTGATATCCTGACTACCAATGTGTCTATAGATTATGTTCTCCCAAGTTAGTACCTTCAAGAACTGTGAAAGGTCTAAGATTTTTTTTTTTTAACTTTTATTTTAAGTTCATGGGTACATGTGCCAGACATACAGGTTTGTTACATAGGTAAACTTGTGTCATGGGGGTTTGTTGTACAGTTACTTCCTCACCCAGCTATTAAGCCTAGTCTCCATTGGTAATTTTTCCTAATCGCCACCCTCCTCCCAACCTCCACCCTCCTAAAAGCCCCCGTGTGTGTTGTTCCCCTCTATGTATCCATGTGTTCTTGTCATTTAGCTCCCACTTATAAGTGGAAGCATTTGGAATTTGGTTTTCTGTTCCTGCATTAATTTGCTAAGGATAATGGCCTCTGGCTCCATCCATATCCCTGCAAAGGACATATTTCACTCTTTTTTATGGCTGCATAGTATTCCATGATGTATATGTACCACATTTTCTTTATCTAGTCCATAAGATTTTACTCATAAACAAAAAAGTTATCTTAGCACAGTTTTATAGATGCTAGTGAAGATATGAGACTCTGGGGTTAGAGACATAGGATAAGGACAGTTCATTCCTCACAGCAATAGCTGTAGCCAGAGCATCAGCATTTGTGCTGCTTCCCTAAGCCTAATTCTTACAGGGCAACACAAAGAGGATCAGATGACACCTGCACGTGTGTGGGTTGCATTATAGGAGTGGGACCCTAAGTTTAGGGAACTCAAATCTTTCATAATGGTCAGTAAGCATACTTGACCTTTGCTCTAGAGCAAGTTTTTCCAGCACACAGCCCATGGGCCGCATGCGGCCTGGGACAGCTTTGAATGTGGCCCAACACAAGTTCATGAACTTTCTTAGAACTTGAGATTTTTTTGTGATTTTTTTTTTTTTTTTTTTTTTTTTTTAGCTCATCAGCTGTGGTTAGTGTTAGTGTATTTTATGTGTGGCCCAAGACAATTCTTCTTTTTCCAGTGTGGCCCAGGGAAGTTGAAAGATTGGACACCCCTTCTCTAGAGGGAGATACTATCTTTGTTATAATGGGACAATCAATAAACCTGCCCTTTGCTCTGAAGGGAGACATAATTTCTCTCTTCTAAGGCTGTTTGCTATGTAAATATTCTGGAAAAGTTAGTCTGGAACAAAGGCAGTCAGTGCCTCTGCTTGTAAGATGTGCGGAAACACCAAAGACCTGTGGAGAATTGTCTCCCAACATGCACCCAGCACCATTTGTCCTGTCAACTTTACCTTCACTTTAGAACAAGTTTGCACTTACTAAGAAGGGAAACCCTGTTTCTTTATTCTCACACTTAACTCTGATACCAATGTGTGAAAGGTTTTTCAACACCAACCAATTCTTCAACTCTCTGCATACCAACTGGGTATCTCACAATTAAATTCTGACATTAACTACCTGGAGTTAGTGCAGACACTATAGGTTGAATGCTCAATCCCACAAAACTGCCCCCACTTCAGATGCCAATCATGAGAAATGGGTCCCCAGATGACCCACACTTTTACCCAACTTGACTACATATTGAAGGTTCCCATGGGTTCAATAATTTGCTATGGGCTGGGCGTGGTGGCTCACGCCTGTAATCCCAGCACTTTGGGAGGCCGAGGTGGGTGGATCACTTGAAGTCAGGAGTTCAAGACCAGCTCGGCCAACATGGTGAGACCCCGTCTCTACTAAAAATACGAAAAAATTAGCTGAACGTGGTGGCATGCACCTGTAGTCCCAGTTACTCAAGAGGATGAGGCAGGAGAATTGCTTGAACCCGGGAGGTTGCAGTGAGCAGAGATCATGACACTGCACTCCAGACTGGGCGACAGAGTGAGACTCCATCTCAAAAGATAATAATAATAATAATTTGCTATGACAGATTGAGACTCCATCTCAAATAATAATAATAATTATTTGCTATGACAGCTCACCGAACTCAAGGAACCACTTACATTTACCAGTTTATTATAAAGGATATAATAAAGGATACAGATGAACAGCCAGTTGAAGGGGTACACAGGGTGAGATCTGGAAGAAACTGAGTACAGGAGCTTCTGTCCCAGTGGGAGTTGGGGCATGCCACCTTCCCAGCATGTGGATATATTCGTCGATCCAGGAGCTCTCTGAGCCATATACTTTAGGTATTTTAATGGAGGCTTCATCATGTAGGCATGACTGATTATTAACTAAATCTCCAGGCCCTCTCCACTCCCCAGAGGATGGGGGTAAGGCTGAAGGTTCCAAGCATCTAATCATGGCTTGGTTTTTCTGGTCACCAGCTCCCATCCAGGAACTCACCAAGAGTCACCTCATTAGATCAAAAGATACTCCTATCACCCAGGAAATTCCAAGGGACTTAAGACCTTTGTGTCAGGAACCAGGATCAAAGACCAAATATTGGAACAAAGGATGCACCTAGCACCCCATGGCTCAGGAAATTACAGGGGTTTTAGAAGCTCTGTGCCAGGAACCAGGGGCAGAGACTTTATTTATTTATTTATTGAGACGAGGTCTTGCTCTGGAGTGCAGTGGCGTGATCTTGGCTCACTGCAACCTCCTCCCCCCAGGCTCAGGCAATCCTCCCACCACAGGCTCCCCAGTAGCTAGGATCACGGGGATGTGCCACCACACCCATCTAATTTTTGTGCTTTTAGTAGAGATGGGGTTTCATCATGTTGCCCAGGCTGGTCTTGAACTTCTGAGCTTAAGTGATCCGCCCCCCTCAGCCTCCCAAAGTGCTGGTATTACGGGCGTGAGCCACCATGCCCAGCCAGCCTATTTATTTATTTTTGTGTCACACTAACCCAAAGGAAACAAACAGGGAACATTATGGATGAAGTATACTGGGTATTCATTTGCTTATTAAGCAAATATTTATTACACGCTTACGATGATAAGAGATGCGCTAGGCCCCAGAAATACAAACTTGAAAACAACCCACTCTTTCCCTTCAAGGTGCTTATAATCTAGTTTGTAAGTCAGGCAAGTAAATTGGCAATTACAGCACAGTGTAACAAATGCTACCTGTGGGCAAAGGAAGTCCTGGGGTGAAGGGAAAGAGAGAAAGGTGGTTTCCAGGAGGAGGGCTCACTTCACCAAAACCATGAAAGTGGAGTAGTAGTTGGGGGAATGAGAAGTGGGGAGAATTAGCCCAGGATGTCAGGCAAGAGAGGAGAAAGAGGCAGGTTATGAATTGGCGGACTGTGATGAGAAATTTGGATTTACAGGAGAGCAATGTGGGAATAGCCCTGGAGGAAGAGAGACCAGTTAAGAGGCTTTTGCAAGAGTCTAGACATGAGATGGTGCTGGGTTGAAATAAGAAAGTGGCAACAGAAATGAAGGGAAGAGGACACAGCTGAGTGATATTGAAGAGGTATAGAATTGATCGGACTTGGTAATGAACTGGATGAGGCAATAAGGGGAGAAAAATAATCTTTGTGCCCAGCTTTTGTCTTGGGAAACTGGGTGATTGGTGATGGCATTAACTGAGTTAGAGAAGACAGGAGGAGGAGGACCAGGTTTTGGCTGAATATAACCAGTAGGTAAATAGACATACAAGAATCTTATGCCGTGTAAATTCAAGATACTATTTTTTAATTGTTAGTATTGCATTAATGCACTTTATACTTTAAAAATTAATTACTTCAACATATTAGATTATATGCAAATCAATAACTATCAAATACTATATATAGGAAGCACATAATGACTTGTACATAACTGACAGAGAAAAGTACAGCTAAAACATGCTGTGTGGGCATCCATTAAGTAGGCAACTCACAGACCTGAATGCAAACTCAGAGTACTTAACAGTATGCTCTCTTCATACTCAAGTAAATCTTTTAAGGAAAGGAAATAGCACTTCATTTTAAGTCAGGGTGCCATTTCCACTGTAATTGCAGCTGACATATTGCTAATGCACCAAGACAATTTGTGATTTAAAAAAAAACCCCAGAAGTTCACTATATTACAGTTCATAATCACTAGGGCTTTCTTTGCTCAGTTCTAACTTTTAAAAAGCTTACATTTACCATCCAAATGCCATGATAAAATAGCTACTCTTGCCTGTGACGTTGTCATTATTACCAGAACAAGATAAAATTCCAAATTGTTAATGAACTGAGTGAATTTTAATTTGGGGACTTTGTAAGAAAGAAACATTCCCCATTAAATACTGTATATTTATTTATTGAGCTAAAAAAAATGAAATGCTTCCCACCAAATCCTATAGTGTATATTTGTCACAATCAGTAAAAACAAAAATGAGTAGGACCAGGCATAATTGGAAACCAATTGTCCCTTCATCCATCACTAATGTTTCCAATCTGTTAAAGTCACGTTTGCCTTTTTCCAGGCTATGCTGTGGTTCATATTTCCCACAGACTCATCGTGAAAGCATTGACAATAGTAAGCTTCCACTCTTCACTGTTCAGTCCTACCTTAATTACAGCATCAAATGAATACTGAGGAAAGGAATATTGTATTATCTCACTGGTACAGCAAGACAGATCATTCCAATCAGATCACACGCAAGTTGTAGTTCAGACAATCACTGTCTTAGACTTTTTATTTGTGTTTTTCTTTTCTCTAAATTTCAGCTATAGTAGGACATATCCGCATTATTTCCACTTTTTAAAAGCCACCACTATAGGAACATTTTGGGATGCTAAATATTTGCTTCCAAGTTGACATTAAAGATGGCAAGTTTTCTCCTCCTGAAGAATATATTACAAACAATCGTTTACCTATAAGCTATATTTCCTCAAATGCTTTCCAATCCATTTTCCCTGAGAACATAAAAGCAAAGGTGAACAGCCCTTAGTGAATTATCTTGTGATCCCTGAAATGCAGTAATGATTGAAGAAAAAGGGAGGGAGATGGTCAATGATCTTCTGCATGTTACTCGGTAATCAAGTATCATTGATTATCTCTTTGATATACTGATTTCCTTTCTTTTGGGTATATACCCAGCAGTGGGATTGCTGGATCATATGGTAGCTCTATTTTTAGTTTGTTGAGGAATGATTGAGACTAGTTTTCACTTCAGAACCAAGCAACCATTGCATTCTTCAACTTTTCTAGTCTCCTCACTGAAGTTAAACAATTTCATGAAGATGAACATTGTAAGATATCTGATCTTTTGTTTCAATCAATGCCAGCAATAATTCTGGGGATCATTCCATACAGAGCTTGCCAGGGTCAGAGTAAAGCGTCCTCATCAAAATCATTATCTCTTTTATGCTTGGAAGCATTAGCTCCTGACAGGCCTCCAGATTCCAGAGGCTTAGCTGTGATTACTATTCTGATCTCATTCGAGAGCATCTTATGTCCGGGGTGGCCCAGAATCTTCATGGCTTGAATTTAACAGGTGTAATTATTAGAACAGGTTCCAAGAACATAGTGTAAAAACAGAAGAAAATGAGGAACAGGAGAGCAGAATGTAGAGACAATATCATCATGTGTTCTTGAGGCCCAAAGCAGAATCTTTTTTTTGAGGCAGTCTTGCTCTGTCACCCAGGCTGGAGTGCAGTGGCACCATCTTGGCTCACTGCAGCCTCTGCCTCCTGGGTTCAAGCTATTCTCATGCCTTAGCCTCCTGAGCAGCTGCAATACCAGGCGCGCAACCACCACACCTGGCTAATTTTTGTATTTTTAGTAGAAACAGGGTTTCACCATGTTGGCCAGGCTGGTCTCGAACTCCTGACCTCAGGTGGTGATCCATCTGCCTCGGCCTCCCAAAGTGTTGAGATTACAGGCGTGAGCCACTGTGCCCGGCCCCAAGGCAGAATTCTAAAGTGCACTTCCAAGGGAGAGCAAGTCAAGTCTACTTTAAGGTTGAGGAGAGGGTCATTTGAAACTTGGGGAGAGGGTTGCGGTGGCAGGTTGCCCATGAGGAGGTTTCAAGGGGTTAAGCCAGCAGGAGATGGTGGAGACATTCACAGAGTGTGACGGGGAAAGACAAGTGGAAAGGGAAAGACAAGTGTATGAAACATATTTGTCTACTTGGGAAATTTCCCCTGCTTTAGTTCATAGCCACTAGACTGTTTTGTGGTGTGTCACGCTTCTAGATACCGAGTGATCACTGCTGTGGGCTGTGAGCAGAGCTTTAACAAACAGTAGGGCTCATTGATTACTTATTAGTAGTAGTAGAAGTAGTACAGACAGGATCTCACTATGTTGCCCAGGCTGGTCTTGAACTCCTGGCCTCAAGCAATCTTCCCACCTCGGCCTGTCAAAGAGCAGGGATTACAGGCATAAGCCACCATGCCCAGCCTGATTTTCTTTTCATGATGTCCTGCATTTCCTCCATGTTTCATTTTCTTCAGTTGCTCCAAGGTTACTCTGGGCTCTGTACCGGTGATTTCTGCCACCTAAGAAGACAACCCAGCCCAGCCACACAGGTAAGACACTCAAAGGTGGACTGACTTCTCAGACACACATAAATGCTAAAGACTCAAATGGGCCCGAGTGAAATTCTAAGGCACATTCTCTGGCATTTTTTCAGACATTACCAGATTCACTCTAGTCTAGAACATTAAGCAATCCATTTTAACCGTGCATTCCTCCCGAGACAAAGCATGTGTCTATAAAAGGCCCCTGCTGCTCAGTGAAGGGAGGGCGACCTTCCAGTGTATAGAAACCAGTAAAGCACTTTGAGTCTGGCAAAACCCCAGCCCATCATGGCTCCACAGATGTTACTTTTAGTTAAAAAAAAAAAAAAAATCAGATGCATTTGCCATGGGAACAGCAATGGAAGGTCACTCTCTTCTGTACTTATTTTTATGTGTGTGAGTCGCTGAGCCCTCGTCCTCCTCCAGCCAGCTCTCTTCAAGCTACCCCCTCATTGCTATGTTGTCAGCCCTGCCTCTGCCTCTTCTTCCAGCCAGTTTCAGCTCGCCCTCCAACTCTTCCCTTGCCCTCCCTTTGCTGCTTCTATCAAAGGAGCTATTAGTCTAACAGAAACTTTCAGGGGGAAAGGCAGTGAATATTGTTTTTGCAGAGGCAAAATCAGTCTTCTCTGTGAGCTGGACAGTGTTGCAAAGGCACGGCTGGTCAGAAAGGGCACTGGTACAGGAGGGAGGCAGGAGACCTGGGTCTAGTCCCAGCTCTGTCCCCAGCCGGCAGGGAGACTAGGGACAAGCCACTTTCCTTTGGTCTCAGGCTTCCTTGTCTGTAAAAAAAGGAAGTTCCCTATTTGTAGAAACTCAGGAATATTGTTCATAATCAAGAAAATGAGGTTGGAGGGTTGGAGGCATAGTTGTCCTGAAAAAATCATCCTTTTCTAAAGCCTGAAATTAAAATAGTACAGTTTTTTAAATTGTAAAATTACTTGCTCATTAGAAACAACGAAAACATCTCTCTCCCTCTCTCTCTCTCTCTCTCACACACACACATACACAATGAGAAAAGTCAGAATTATCTAAAATCTCTTCATTTAGAATAAGATTATTCTTAGGAGATCTATCAGTGTCACCTTAATAAATCTTCCTTCTTTTTTTTTTTTTTTTTTTTTTTGAGACGGAGTCTCACTCTGTTGCCAGGCAGGTGTGCAGTGGCGTGATCACAGCTCACTGCAACCTCCCTGGTTCAAGCAATTCTCATGCCTCAGCCTCCAGAGTAGCTGGGATAACAAGCATGTGCCACCACGCCCAGCCAATTTTTGTATTTTTAGTAGAGACACGGTTTCACCATGTTGGCCAGGATGGTCTCAATCTCCTGATCTTGTGATCTGCCCCCCTCAGCCTCCCAAAGTGCTGGGATTACAGGCATGAGCCACCTCGCCCGGCTGGATAAATCTTCCTTCTAAAGGCACTGTGCCCAGAGAAGTTTTTAGCACCCCAAAGTAACAGATAAAAGTTTGAACTGGCTATGTTCATTACAGCATTATTTACAAAAGCCAAGATGTGAAATTAACCTAAGTGCCCATTAGTAGATAAATGGATAAAGAAAATGTGGTATATACACAAAATGGAATGCTATTCAACCTTAAAAAAGAAGAAAATTCTGTCATTTGTGTCAACATGGATGAACCTGGAGGTTATTATGTTAAGTGAAATGAGCCAGGCACAGAAAGACCAATACCTCATGATCTCACTCACATGTGGGATCTAAAAAAAGTTGAACTTAGAAGAGAGAGTGGAATGGTGGTTCCCAGGATCTGGGGGTAAGGGGCATTGGGGAGATGTTGATTAAAGGGTACAAAGTTTCAGACAGAAGAAATTGGGTTTTTAGATTTCTTGCACAGTATGGTAACTATAGTTAACATAGTGTACTATGGCCAGGCGTGGTGGCTCACCCCTGTAATCCCAGCACTTTGGGAGGTGAGGTGGGTGGATCATGAGGTCAGGAGTTCGAGACTAGCCTGACCAACATGGTGGAACTCTGTCTCTACAAAAAATACAAAAGTTAGCCAGGCACGGTGGCACGTGCCTGTAATCCCAGCTACTCAGGAGGCTGAGGCAGGAGAATCGCTTGAACCTGGGAGGCAGGGGTTGCAATGAGCCAAGATCTCGCCATTGCACCTCTCCAGCCTGGCAACAGAACAAGACTCCGTCTCAAAAAATAATAATAATGATAATGATATAATAGTGTATTATATATTTCAAACTTGCTGAAAGAGTACATTTCAAATGTTCTCACCACAAAAAATAATATGTGAGGTGATGAATATGTCAATTAGCTTGCTTTAATCATTCCCCATTGTATACATATATCGAAACATCACATTGTCCCATATAAAAACATACAATTTTACTTTGCCAATTAAAATACATAATGAAAAGCTCAAATTGCCTTAATATTGAACACATTCTGTGCAATAAAAATAAACAGAAGCAAAGGTAAGGATTTATGCATCATATTTATCTTGTGTCAAATCGACCTGGTGAAGTAGAATAAATTTGGGACCTGAAATTAGAATAACAGGGTGCTTGTCCTGACCCAGGCTTTTATTGGCTATATTTGTCAGTCAAGCTGTTTTTTCTCCATTTGTTCCTTGCTTCCCTCAACAAAGACATGTGCACATGCACGCACACATGTACACGTACACGCACAGATCTTCCCTCTCATTTTTTGCCCTGACTGGGCCCCTGGAGACTAACCTTTATGGACTGCATCACCCTTGGCCTCTGGCTTTTTATTAAGTTTGGTCAATGGGAGGCACCAGCTGGAGACAGGAGGGTGGGAGGAGAGAAAGGTGTATTTATTCCCCACCTTCTATCTCTCCCTCCTTGGTAAGATGTGATTTTGGCAGTTCCTTTTTCCGGTGTCTATAGCCACAGCTCTGCCAGGAAGCCCCTCTTCCAAGACTACAGGTCTCATCTTCTCTGGTAATCCTACTGCCTCCCCTTGCCCTTGCTGGCCCACGGAAGGTAAAGCCACAACAATTCCCCACCATACTCTATCAGGATCCACATCGATGTAAACAGTCTCTTCGTTCAACTCGCTTTGGTTACCCTGTTGAGTGCACCATCTGTTTCCTGCCAGGATCCTGCCTGATACAGAGTCTAGCCAGTAAACAGAACCCTCTTGAGTGTTTAACCCAGAGCACTTTAATGCAGGGAGCTGGTTATTCAGGTAAAGGAATTGCTGAGAAGCCAAACAGGCCACTTGGCAACTCAGAGATTAGCAACAGCAGGAAGCCACAAAAACAGAGGGAGAAGGGGAGGAGCCCATGACACAGGCACTGAGGAGCAGGAGTCAACCCGTGAAAGCTGGCACCAGGACGGGTCTGTCCTTCAAGGGAAAAGACATAGCCCCTGTGGGAGAAGCCATCCAAGGCAGGGAGGGGTGGTCTAGCTTTCCCCTCCGAACCATTCCTTCCATTGGCTGCACCCAGGCAGCTGACACAGGAGCTTACTCAGAAAACTGGCCTGCAGGGGTCAACCCTCCTGCCCTACAAAGTGGAACTGGAAAACGACACAAAAATAAATTGAGAGCAAGTAGGTCCAGAACTAGCATAATAGCTGTAAACCTTGGGCTAGTTACTAAACCACTCTGAGCTTTCCTGTCCTCACATACGAAAGAAGATGGTTAATACTTTACTTACTTCGTGGGATGCTCTGAACTAAAACGAAATGAGCTAGAGGATGTATAAGTGTTTGGTAAATTCTGAGGTGCTATATAAAATAAGGTGTCAGAGTGTCCTGAAGTTTATGAGCCTGTGAGTTTCTAATACTATCACTTTCATTCTTGGGCAATTGCTTTTAGTGTAATACCTCAACCAAAGAAATACCTTTGCCAGATCCATTCACTTAAACTGCCTATAAGCCTGTTTTGCAAGGAAAGGCAATTAAAGCACAGGCTCAGGAAATGGAATCATTTGTTTGTGACCAGGGTCTACTGGCTACCAAATCAAGAGGTCTGCAGGGGGGCCCAGCTACTGTCTTGCTCAGCCCAGATGCATCCTTGAGGACGTGTGCCAAGCCCATTGTGGCACACTGAGAAAAGTGTGCCCCCTTAGCAGTCCCCATACCAGGCAGTCTCTAGGGAAGGATAGCAGAGAGCCAGATGGAAAACAGACACATCTCTACACAGGATTAGCTTCTATGTCCCCTGTGCTCTGGGGAAGCCAGAAGCCAAGCTGGGGAGTCAGCCGCCTGCACAGAATCACCACCTCACCAGTAGGGATGCATTTGCTCAGCACCTGTTTCTGAGGACGGTGGAGATTGCCTTCGGTATCTACCTAGTCCTTCCTCCTTCAGCCATTTATTTCTCCTCTGATCCTCTTCCCAGGTGAATCCTTTCTTCTTTCCACCTTTGTTTTAATATTCGTCTTCAAGAGGGATCTGTAGCTAGGCTTTCGAATCAGTGTACCACATTACCTTGGCAGTGGTTTTGGAATCTGGCTGCATTTGGAAGCATCTTGGGAGATTTTAAAAATCCCAATGTCTAGGCCATACCCTAGACCAATATCAGAATCTCTGGAAGCTGGAGCTACACAATTGGTTTTTTTAAGCTTTTATTTTAGGATCAGGGGTACATGTGCAGGTTTGTTATGCAGGTAAATTGCGTGGCATGGAGGTTTGGCATGCAGATAATTTCATCACCCGGGTAATGAGCATAGTACTCAATAGTATTTTTTCTGATCCTCTCCATATTCCCACTCTTCACCCTCAAGTACACCCCAGTGTCTGTTGTTCCCCTCCTAGTATCCATGTGTTCTTATTTTTTAGCTCCCACTTATAAGCAAGAGTATATGGTATTTGATTTTGCATTAATTTGCTTGGGAAAATGGCCTCCAGCTCCATCCTTGTTGCTGCAGAGGACATGATCTCATTCTGTTTTATGGCTGCATAGTATTCCATGGTGTATGGTGCCACATTTTCTTTATCTAGTCTACCATTGATGGACATTTAGGTTGATTCCATGTCCTTACTATTGTGGATAGTGCTGTGATGAACATACGCGTGCATGTGTCTTTATGGTAGAATGATTTATATTCCTTTGGGTATATATACCCAATAATAAGATTGTTGGGTCAAATGGTAATTCTGTTTCAAGTTCTTTGAGGAATTGCCACACTGCTTTCCACAATGGCTAAACTAATTTACACTCCTGCCGGCAGTGTATAAGCGTTCCCTTTTCTCCACAACCTCACCAGCATCTGTTCTTTTTTGACTTTTTAATGATAGCCATTCTGACTGGTGTGAGATGGTATCTCATTGTGGTTTGGATTTGCATTTCTCTAATGATTAGTGGTGTTGAGCATTTTTTCATATGCTTGTTAGCTGTGTGTATGTCTTCTTTTGAGAAGTGTCTATTCATGTCCTTTGCCCGCTTTTTCATGGGGTCGTTGGTGACACTGGTATTTTTTTAAAGTTCCCCCAGGTGATGTGAATGTGCAGCCAAGGTTAAGAGCTTGTGAAACAAAACCATGCTCCTCCCTCTGAAGGAATATCAGCCAGAGGCTTGTAGGGCAAATAATCTTCCAGAATCACAAGTGGGCTGCCTGAGAAGGAGCTTGCAGGGTGATGAATGGTCAGTTCCTTCCAGGGCGGGAGGCAACCCCAGACTACTGCACTTCTGGAGCAATTCACAACCCCACTATTACCACCCAGTCTAGCGCCAAAACTATAGTCTTCTCAAAGTTGACTAAAGTCTTGGAATGGGGCAAGAAGAGATCAAACTCTCTTTGAATCACGGAAGCTTTGGACCAAGGGGTCTCAGTTGATTTTAGACATTATCTAAAATGAGAAGAGGAGAAAATGTCAGCCTGAGAGGTTAGGTAACTTTTCTGCAGTCCCACAATGGGCTTTTGGCAGAGTTGGGATGGACTGCAGGTCTCCTTCCTCAAGATCCTGCCTCAGTTCTATTCCCCTCTCCCTGAATCCTCATGCTTCTGCTGGCATTTGAGCCCCCTTAGCAAAATTTTGAAGGCTTTTCAAATGACGATTCTTGTACTAGGATCCAAATAAGTAAGGCGAGACAGCGATAATGATTAGGAAATATTTATAGTTTTTCTGCATGAGGCCTTCACATGCTGATTTGTTTACCTAGCAAATAAACTGGAGCCTGTGGTGCCACTACACATGGAAGAAAAGTTTAAACATTCATCTCTGCAAGCAAGGAAAAGAAAACTTATTCTATTTGTGAGAAATAGGTGACATTACATTAATTTGAATAAGGCTACCTTATTAAGCTGTAGCAGCTCACTGTGGATAATTTTTCAGCATTTGGGAAGGCAGAGAACTATCACTCACTTGGTTGAAATGATTATGGAACTATTTTCAAGATTACATTTTATTTGTTTATTTATTTTTCTGAGACGGAGTCTCACTCTGTCGCCCAGACTGGAGTGCAGTGGTGCTACCTCGGCTCACTGCAACCTCTGTCTCCTGGGTTCAAGCGATTCTTCTGCCTCAGCCTCCCGAGTAGCTGGGATTACAGGTGTATGCCACCACGCCTGGCTAATTTTTGTATTTTTAGTACAGACAGGGTTTCACCATGTTGGTCTCGAACTCCTGACCTCAAGGGATCTGCCCACCTCAGCCTCCCAAAGTGCTGGGATTACAGGCACGAGCCACTGGGCCCGGCCTTTGAGATTGCATTTTTAAACATATACATTTTGCTTTCGTGTTTTTGACAGCTAACATGAAATGATATCATGAAGACGTCTTACAGTTTCCAAGTTTTAGGAAGGGTTCAGTTTGAGCAGTGTGCTAATTGCCTTTATTTGTGAGACAGAAATGAGCTTATAAAGGCATAAGATATTGGAAACTTAGGCACTGACTTAGAGTTTTGAGACCTAATTTCTTCTCGTTACTGTGCTGCCTGAGTCCAAGAAGACCTGGAGTCAATGATTGATTGAGACAAGTCTCAATCATTTTAGGAGGTTTATTTGCCAAAGTTAAGGACACACGCCCAGGAGACAGGTGTATGCCTTTCTCCAAAGATAATTTTGAGGGCTCCAAATTTAATGGGGAAAGGGTGCGACATTGAGGAGTACACAATTTTCATGTAAGAGGGGTGTAGGGAAAAACAGTCATTCATGCCTTTGTCTGGCTCAGTGAATCTGCATTTTTTTTACATAAGATGACACAGACAAATGGGGCAGAGGAAAAATGCTGGGAATCTGCATTTTACATAAGATAACAAAGACAAAATGGGGCAGGGGAACAATCAGGTATGCATTCGTGTCTGTGGAGGGTGGAGGAGGGGGTGTGTGTGACTGCACTTCTAAAGATAAGCTATCAATTTACCAAAGAGATGCAGAAAAAAAAAAAAAAGGATGCAGGAGAGAGTAAAAAGAGAGCCTAGGAACTCAAGTGAAAAAGGGCAGGATATATTAAAAACCAAATCTTCATGAAGGATCACCATGAGAATCTAGGAAGTAGTTTATCTAACTGGAGCATGTATTAGAAGACCCTGGAGGGTTTATGGCTAGACACCACCTCCCAGAGTTTCGGATTCAGTGGTAAGTCTGGACCAGTTCTAACAAGCTGCATTTCTTTTTTCTTTTCTTTTTTTTTTTTTTGAGTCGGAGTCTTGCTGTGTCGCCCACGTCCAGCCTGGAGTGCAGTGGTTGATCTCGGCTCACCGCAACCTCTGCCTCCTGGGCTCAAGCGATTCTCCTGCCTCAGCCTCCCCAAGTAGCTGGGATTACAGGCATGCACCACCACGCCTGGCTGATTTTGTATTTTTAGTAGAGACGGGGTTTCTCCATGTTGGTCAGGCTGGTCTCAAAACTCCTGACCTTAGGTGATCCACCAGCTTCGGCCTCCCAAAGTGCTGGGATTACAGGCACCGCACCCTGCCACAAGCTGCCTTTCTTTCTCTCTTTCTTTTCTTTCCTTTTCTTTTCCCTTTCTTTCCTTCTTTCTTTTCTTTTCTTTCTTTCTTTCTTTCTTTCTCTTTCTTTCTTTCTTTCTTTCTTCTCTTTCTCTCTCCCTCACTCTTTCTTTCTTTCTTTCCTTTTTTTTTTTGACGGAGTCTTGCTCTGTCTCCCAGGCTGGAGTGCAGTGGCGTGATCTCGGCTCACTGCAACCTCTGCCTCTGGGTTCAAGTGATTCTCCTGCCTCAGCCTCCCCAAGTAGCTGGGACTACAGGCGCACACCACCAAACCCGGCTAATTTTTGTATTTTTGGTAGAGACGGGGTTTGGCCATGTTGGTCAGGCTGGTCTCGAACTCCTGACCTCAGGTGATCCGCCCACTCTGCCTCCCAAAGTGCTGGGATTACAGGCGTGAGCCACTACGCCAGGTCCACAAGCTGCATTTCTAACAATGCTGCCAGGTGCCGCTACTGGCCTTGGGGGGATGAGGGCGGGGCACGGATACTTGAGAACTGCTGTTCTGGAGCAGTGTCTCTCAAACTGGGGTCTCTGACTGAGAATCTAAGCATGTTTAAAAATGTACCTGGGATTTGTTTAAATCAGGTATGGCAAGGTGACAGACACTGAGACAACTGCCTTACAATTAGGCAGAAAGAGTGAGGGGTCACAATGGGCAAAAGCCTTTTGTTTTTTGCAGGAAGAAATGGGCAGGGCAAGGTGAGCAGTTTAGGGTTGGCTACTTTAAATAAATAATTTCAGTGGGCGCTGGGCTATAGGCATAGTCTCTAGTTCAGTGCGTGGTCCTAGGGTGCTTTAGGGCAGGCTTGGTGTGTAAAAGTTAGATAAGGGAGGTAGTGGGGAGGCGGAGGCAGCATGGGCTATGAATTGTTAGTTTGCATGTGAAAGGTGCCCTGGAAGGCAACTTGTTTGCTATCTCTAGGAATTAGCTGGCCCCCACAGGGGCAGTCTCTCTGGGATTAGCAAGGCCCCAAGATATCAGTATCATAAAATACAGAAAAATTAAAAACATGATTAATACAAAGAGTAATTTTCGGCCGGGCGCGGTGGCTCACGCCTGTAATCCCAGCACTTTGGGAGGCCGAGGCGGGCGGATCACGAGGTCAGGAGATCGAGACCATCCTGGCCAACACGGTGAAACCCCGTCTCTACTAAAAATACAAAAAAAAAAAATTAGCCGGGCGTGGTGGCGGGCGCCTGTAGTCCCAGCTACTCGGGAGGCTGAGGCAGGAGAATGGCGTGAACCCGGGGGGCGGAGCTTGCAGTGAGCCGAGATCGCGCCACTGCACTCCAGCCTGGAAGACAGCAAGACTCCGTCTCAAAAAAAAAAAAAGAATAATTTTCTATTCTGTCTTTATTGTAATAATAATCTTTTTTTTGGTACTGGTTGTAAAGACCAAATTTTTTTCCTGGTGATAATTCCCAATTTAAAGATAGTTTCACAAAATGAAATTTAGTTTATGAACTCATTGTCTTTAAAACTGTGGACTAAGGACCCTCAGAAATCCAAACATATATCTTTACATGTCCAAGGGAATTTTTCAAACCATTAAAGGGACTTCATACTTAACTTTGAGAAACATATTGTTTTGGCATTCACATTAATCTATACTAACAGCCCCCTTCAGTCAATGAACAGCAAGCATTACCTTTTTATTATTATTATTATTATTATTTTTATTTTTATTGAGACAAGATTTTGCTCTGTTGCCCAGGCTGGAGTGCAGTGGCATGACCACAGCTCACTGTAGCCTCGACCTCTTGGGCTCAAGTGATCCTCCTGCCTCAGCCCCTGAAGTAGCTGGGACTGTAGGCGTGCAGCACAGTGCCCAGCTATTATTTTTATTTTTGTAGAGATGGGGTCTCCCTATGTTGCCCAGGCTGGCCTCGAACTCCTGGGTTCAAGGGATCCTCCTGCCAGGATTACAGTCATGAGCCACTGTGCTGGCCTTTTATTGTTTTCTTAAAAGCAAACTTTTGAAAAACAGTATATAGGGCATCAGAAATGTTAAAGAGTCATGAGATCATTGTCCCTATCAAGTCATTTCCTTTCCTTTGTCTTTTATGTGCTCACAAAACTTTTTATAAGCCCACAAGACTCTGTGTGTATGTGTATGTATGTGCATGCTTACACAACGGGTTTCACTAAGATACTCTGAATTTTACTTTCAGGAATGGTTATATAGGTTACTCTACTGCTTCAAACATCAACTAATTTTATCTGTGTGTGTGGGGAGGGGAGGGTGGTGTCTTCCATTGTGTCCGTGTGGCAAGACAAATGGGGGAAAAAGTCCACTTTTCTCTGAAGAGAATCCAGTGTACTATGAGGATAAAAGTAGCATCAATTTTGTCTGTCACACATTGCTACTGCTCAATGAGCAGGTGACTATTTATAAAGTGACACTCTGCATTCGCTGCTCAGCATTTGAGGAGTTTCCTGAAAAATCAGGGTTCCTTCCAAACTTTATTCAGGTCATTGAAGCTGAGGTTTCAGTGATACTTGAAATCTTTTCTGAGCTGAACAGTATATAGAATCCCCCAACAGAACCATAATAAAGTCTGGAAATTACTTGTGGCTGGGGTAGAGTTTTCATGAGGGACTTAAAAAGCCTTAAGTGTGTACTTAGCTGGCTATAAGGGAAGCCATGCGCACTCCAGCAAAATAGAGCGATACACAATAAAACATTTCATGGCCCACAAACTGTCCCTTACTAATTTGGATAACTGGGGCACAGAGTTTATTTTTGCTCATCTTACTTATTTTTGTTTTGCTGAAAACCTATGGCGTGCTGAGGCATATCTACCCCACCTTTAGCACTGCTATTTTTCCAGCTTTTTTCATGTTTCTTCCTTCTCAAACTCTTTATTTCTTTGACCCCCATGCCAGTGTTCCTGCCATTTCTTTCTTTTCCTATTATCAGTCAATAAATAATTAAATGAATATTAAATTATACTGGCTAAGTATTTACTAATATTTCCTAACTTACACGGATAGGGAACAAGAAAGCACGACATATAGTCCCTGAGCATAAATTTCAAATTTTTGCTACTAGGTACAGACTCCTTTTTCAATCCCCATGAAGTTTGCCTTTCTGAAGATTGTAATTATTAGTAAAAGCATCAGCCAGTAGCCTGCCTGGAGCAACCCTGCAAGGTAAAAATGCTGCAAGGGCTGAGTCTGGTGACAGACAGTGGAGAAGGACATGGAGGGCCACAGAGGGCATAGGATTGCGTTCCCAGAAGGAAGTTCTGGAATCAGGAATAGAAGCACAGAAGGTCATTCCGAAATGAAGGAAGCATTTTCCTCTGTTCACAGCTGAAAATGGAATAGAAAGCTAGAGAATTTACAAAGATAGATAGAGTTAGATATTTAGCTATTATGGTTTAGGCAATAAAATGGAGGAAAGGGACTTAGATTTATGGAAACCATATAGTGTACTAGGCATTTAACTACGTGCTTTATGTACATGATCTCATTTAACCCTTTTAACAATCCTGTGGGCTAGCTATTACTCTTGCCATTTCATATTTAAGAAACTCATCCAAAGTCATACAGTTAGAAAATGGTAATGTCAGGATATGCATCAAGGTCTTTCTGACTGCAGAGCCCACGCACTTCCCATCCTATCTTGCAGATGGCCCAGTTTGAGACTGATGGGAACGCGCTGTAGGTATTTATGTCTACCTTGCAAGCCAGAGACTGTGCTATTACATCAACTTGCATGTCATCTGTCAGAGAAGTTTTGTGTGTGCGTGAATGTTTTATTGTTATTATTATTGTTGCTCTGATTCTGGAGGTAAATGTCTTTAGAATTTCAAATAACGCATGACTCATTTCCTGATATACACTGTCACCACGATTTCTTTTATGAAAGTATTGAATGCAGGCTCTGGAAATAAGAAAGGCTTTCTACACATGCACTGTAGAATAATGCTTAAGCTCAAAAGAAAGAAAAAAAAAGAAAGGTGACCTTATTAACCCTTTCTGCATAAAATTCCTGCAAACTGTCAGCATCCCACAAGATTCCACCCACCTGGCAAATCCTAGTGCCATACTTTGAACAAAGACATCTACCACAATAATATTTCAGGCAGCTACTGAAACCATCTTTGGGATACAGGGCTTTCTTGACCAGCTCTGTACAGTTGACCCTTGAACAACATGGATTGAACTGTGGGCGTCCACTTATATGTGGATTGAAAATATAGTATTTAGGTGTGGGGGCTGGGGGTCATATGACTCAGGTGTCCCCGGGCCCTGCTGCCTTCACAGCCTGGGGCAGCCATGGGATGCCAGAGTGTGGGGATTGGTGGCCAGTGGGTCTGAGGCTGTGTCTACTGAGGCTAAGATGACTGCCTTTCTTGACTGGCCTTGACTTTTCCATACATTGTGTGACTCTTGCCCCATGGCCCTTTGGCTGACCTTACCGGAAGCCATGATGACAGCGGCCTTTTGCCATTAGATGCAGGGAGATGGTGGTGGAAGTGGATACAGCAGTCAGAGAACATCTGGCAGAGACAAATATGGACCACCTGTTCATACAGAATACGAGCTTATTATAGAAAGTCTTTCTAGTTGTTACAGTTGGCAAGATTTAAAGGATTTTATGCAACAAGCAGATGAAGTAACCTATGTTGATGCTCACAAGGAATGCACAAGTGAGGGCGTTGAGTTTCACTCCTATTTTGACATGAAGCTTGCTTTGGACAAACTGGATGGTGCAGAAATATTAGGCTTATTGAAGGTAAGCCAGGCACAAGCCATAGGCGATCTGATTCTGGAAGCAGATCCAGGTATAGATCTAGAAGATGGTCACGAAGTAGGAGTCGCAGGAGCAGCCACAGTAGATCTCGAAGTATCTCAAAAAGTCACTCCTGATCAGGTTGCGGAGCAAAGGTCGATCACGTTCTCGTTCAAAAGGCAGGAAATCTAGCTCAAGGAGCAAATCTATGCCCAAATCTGATCTGGGCTCCTGTTCTTGTTCTCAAAGCAGATCTAAGGATGAGTATGAGAAATCTCCAAGCAGGTCTCTGTCCCGATCTTCCAAAGAAAATGGAAAAGGTGATATGAAGTCAAAATACAGATCAAGGAGCCAGTCTCGTTCCAATTCACCCCTACCTGCTCCACCCTCAAAGGGTCATTCTGTGTCCCCTCCGCCAAAAAGAGCTACTTCAAGATCCCGTTCTAGATCCCATTCAAAATAAAGATCAGGGTGCAGGTTGAGTTCCAGAGATTAATCCAGAACTCTTCATTCATTGCGCACTATTATGGAACACTTTTCTACTTGCTTAGGCAGTTGTTCTTCCATGTTTATACTTGGCTTCTTTTGCAAGAGGAATCTCCTGAAAACAGGGGCACACAGAAATTTGATTTGTGGCCAAATTTGATGAAAAAGATGAGGCTCTAAGGAAATGGTGGCATAAAGTCAAAGACCCTCTCCCTTCTTTGTAGAATTAAGATAACTTCAATTTTATAGCTTTTGAGCTAAAATAACTTTTGTAAAGATTAAGCTCATTTAGATGTTTTTAAAAGTATTTCAGCAGGATCTGCTGCAGGGTTTGTTGTTGTTGTTGTTGTGTTACTTGTTTGCTTATTTTAAAATTAACCGTTTCAAGCTTTGAATACTTAAGGCTTTAGAGGGACAACCCAATTTTCAATTACATTTGCTTTTTATAAAGCTTGAGTTATGTAAGCTTTAAATAAAAGTTTGCTACCAAAAAAAAAAAAGAAAATACAGTATTCACAAGATGTGAAACCCAAGTATAGGGAGGGCCAACTTCTCATATACGTGGGTTCTGTAGGGCTGACTGTGGGACTTGAGTATATGTGAATTTGGGTATACCCCAGGGACCTTGAACAAATCCCCTGCATGTACCAAGGGACAATTATAATGAGGTATAAAGCTGTAAAAGTGTCCTAGTACACAAGAGGATGATCTTGAATTTCCTGCTGCAGGGCCACACATGGGTAATGTGCAACGTGCACATTCAGTAGGTAAATCAGATGTATAGAAATGGCTCGCACATGCTGCCACCCACTTAAGCTGTACCAATGACAGCTATCTGGGAAGAATACCAACTCTTTTTTTCCCAGCCCAGGAGCAGTCTTAGCCCTTCTTCATGCTAGGCACCTATTGATTGGAACAGTCACTTATGATGAAATACATTTGCCATTCCTGATCTAAAAACATTCTTTCTGCAAAAAAAAAAAAAAAAAAAATCACGTGGACATGATTCAAAAGTATGTTATGGTTGTCTTTTAGAACTGTGCCTAGCCTCAAGTAATTGATAAAACCTTCCTTCAGAACCTCAACCACTCCCAACCCCCTGCAGTGCATACTATCTAAACATCCCATTGGCATTTACCATAGGCTTCCTGAGCTTTTATTTATTTTCTCAGGTATATAGGATTGCAGACCCCTCACCAGTGGGGACCACATCTCATCCTATCTCTCTGTTATGCTGTCATATAGTGCTGTGATTTGTTTATGTAAGATGTTCAGAACTGTGCATGATGATGTTAACATAATGCTTGAGGCTGGGCGCAATGGCTCACACCTGCAATCCCAGCACTTTGGGAGGCTGAGGCAGGTGGATTGTTTGAGGTCGGGGTTCAAGACCAGCCTTACCAACATGGTGAAATCCCGTCTCTACTAAAAATACAAAAATTAGCCAGGCGCGGTGGTGGGTGCCTGTAATCCCAGCTACTCCGGAGGCTGAGGCAGGAGAATCACTTGAACCTGGGAGGCAGAGGTTACAGTGAGCTGAGATGGTGCCATTGCACTCCAGCCTGGGTGACACGATAAGACTCCATCTCAAAAAAGAAAAAAAAAAGATAATGCTTGATGGAGAGCATTTGGAAGTAGGAGTAATAAAAGGACTAAGATGGTGCAGATGGCCCAGCATTGATTTGGGTCACCATTATTGAAGAACGACTCAGCTTCCACTCTTACTGCTCATGGGTCAGCAGTATTGCTTTGCACAGGAAAGGGAAAATATTCTAACAGAATGTTCAATTTTATTGTAAGTCTGACCCAGAGGAAAAGGGAGAGAGACAGGCCCAGGACCTGTCTATTGGTTGCTTTGTGGCAGAAAACAAGGTCATCCTTGCATGACAGGACCTCTCCAAGACAGCTAGGCTCATGGGGCATGCTTCATGGATGTCTGAGGTGGAATGAGATTTGTAAAGCTGCCCCTTCTTGGTGGCTTGCTTCAAGTTTTCCTCTGCTCTATCAGTTGTGGCCCAGAAGCCTGGATTAGGGGTCTCAGCTGTTGAGCTCTCTGCCCAGGGTGAGGCGTCCTATCTGCTCCATCTGTCCATGAGGCTTCCTAATCATCCTCTGTTCTTCTTTTCTTTTTTTTGAAACAGAGTCTTGCTCTGTCACCCAAGCTGAAGTGCACGGAGGCCATCTCAGCTCACTGCAGCCTAAACCGCCAGGCTCCCACCTCAACCTCCCAAGTAGCTAGGAATACAGGCGCCACCATGCCCAGCTAATTTTGTTTATTTTCTGTAGAGACAGGGTCTTGCTATGTTGTCCAGGCTGATCTCAAACTCCTGAGCTCAAGCAATCTTCCCTCCCATCTCGGCCTCCCAAAGTGCTCGGCTTACAGGTGTGAGCCACTGTGCCCAGCCTCTGTGTTGTCTTGGCTCTCTGCCTTGACATATGAGCCCCACATAGTAGCACAGAGTTTCCCTTCGGGTACTCCCTCAGCCCTTAGCCTGTGCTTAGCAATTTAGACAAGAGCTTCTTCTGCCAGTATTTTTGGCAATAAAAGAGGCATATTTATCAGATATATGTTATATATATCCTATATCATATATATGTATGCGTGTGTATTTATTTCTTCAAATAACATTCTATTGTATAATCTTTTTTGGAGGGACACTCTTTTTTATTTGACAAATAATAATTGTGTCTATTTATGGGGTACAATGTGCTGTTTTAATCTGTTTATATGTTATAGAAAGAGTCAATTAAGCTAATTAACATATTCATCATCTCACCACTTTAGAAACAGCAATCCTTCCTCAGTGTCCACACGGCAATTCTACACCGCATGGAGGGTCATTTCAAAGTTCTGTGTTCTGTGAGGGATAAAGGGCCTCCAGTGAGTGAGTATGAAGAAATGTCGTTTTTCCAAACCTTAGTCTACTTCATAAAATATATTTTTCTTCCCTGATTATTGGGACACTTTTTTAAAGTATAGAAAGTACAGAGAATAATGTAACAAACACTCAAGTATGCAAAGCACATAACTGAATTTTGTCATTTGCTTCTGATCTTTTAAATACAAGAAAAAATTACAGATAGAGTTCAAAGGGTCTTTGTACTCCTCCAGAGCCACTTACCTTTCTTCTTTTACCATCCTGAATTTTGTGTGTATCTTTCCAGTCTGTGTTCCTGTAATTTAATCATATATGCATTAATTGCATGTTTCATATATTTGTATGTGTGCTTATGCAAATGGCATCATACCATACACATAATTGTACAATTTCCTTTTTTATTTCAACGTATTTTAGCATATTTTTGGAAGAGAGTTGGTTCATTTGTTACAGCTATATAGTACTTCATCATATGAATATATTCCAACTTGATGAACATTAAGTTGGTAATAGTTTTTGCTATTACAATAATCCTGCAATACTTAATACATGTCTCCTTGAACACATGGATGAAAGTTTATCTAGGCTACCTTAAAATGGAATTGTTGCCGGGCACGGTGGCTCACGCCTGTAATCCCAGCGCTTTGGGAGGCTGAGGCGGGTGGATCACCTGTGGTCAGGAGTTGAAGACCAGCCTGACCAACGTGGAGAAACCCCATCTCTACTAAAAATACAAAAAATTAGCCAGGCACAGTGGCGCATGCCTGTAATCCCAGCTACTTGGGAGGCTGAGGCAGGAGAATCGCTTGAACCTGGGAGGCAGAGGTTGCGGTGAGCCAAGATTGTTCCATTGCACTCCAGCCTGGGCAACAAGAGCAAAACTCTGCCTCAAAATAAATAAATAAATTAATTAATTAATTAAAAAAAAAGATGGAATTGCTAGGTATAGTTTCAACTTTACTAGTAGTGCCAAATTGCACTTGATATTCCCATTAGCAGTGTTTGAGTGTTTCTAATTTTCCAGATAGCCATCAATACTTGATCTTTTCTGACATTTTGTTTTTATTGATCTGATACATGTGAAATAGATCTAATATTTGTCTTCGTTTGCATTTTGCTGATTACTTGTGAGGTTGAGCCTCTTTTTATATGTTTATTGGCTATTTGTATGCCCTCTTCCATTAATTGCTTGCTCATATCATTTACCCATTTTTTTCTGATTTATTTCTAATCAATATATAGAATATCTTCATCTATTCTGGATACCAACCATGTGATAGTTATATGCATTGCAAATATAGCCTCCCAAGCGATTGTTCAACTTTTTTTTTTTTTTTTTTTTGAGATGGAGTCTCACTCTGTTGCCCAGGCTGGAGTGCAGTGGTGCAACATCGGCTCACCACAACCTTCGCCTCCCGGGTTCAAGTGGTTCTCCTGCCTCAGCCTCCTGAGTAGCTGGGACTACAGGCACGTGCCACCATGCTTGGCTAATTTTTGTATTTTTAGTAGAGACAGAGTTTCACTATGTTGGCCAGGCTGGTCTCGAACTCCTGACCTCGTGATCTGCCTGCTTCTGCCTCCCAAAGTGCTGGGATTACAGGCGTGAGCCACCGCACCCAGCCTTGTTCAACTTTTAATGTCATTCGTGATGTATTTTTTATACAGAAGTTTTAAATTTTAGTGTAGTCCAATTTATCAATATTTCCCTTTGTGACTTGTGCTTTTTATGACGTATACTGCATACACAAAGATATTCTAAAATTTTTCTAATAATTTCTAAATTCTGATTTCCACAGTCAGATACATCCATTTAAAATCTGGTTTCTGTCAATACTAAGAGGTAAGAATTTTTTGTTTTCCACGTAGGGATAATCAAATCTCCTGATAGTAGTCATTAAATAGTTTAGAATTTCCCCTAATGATTTATAAGTCTATTTCTGTAGTAATCCCCATATATCCAGTCTGTTTCTGGGATTCCTCTTCTATTCCATCAATCTACTTATTTATTCTCATGCTAATATCACTCTGTTTTAATCTGTTTTAATCACTGTAGCTTTTTTTTTTTTTTTTTTTTTGAGACGGAGTCTCGCTCTGTCGCCCAGGCTGGAGTGCAGTGGCGCGATCTCGGCTCACTGCAAGCTCTGCCTTCCGGGTTCACGCCATTCTCCTGCCTCAGCCTCTTGAGTACCTGGGACTACAGCCGCCCGCCACCACGCCCGGCTAATTTTTTGTATTTTTAGTGGAGACGGGGTTTCACCATGTTAGCCAGGATGGTCTCGATCTCCTGACCTCGTGATCCACCCGCCTCGGCCTCCCAAAGTGCTGGGATTACAGGCGTGAGCCACCACGCCCGGCCTAATCACTGTAGCTGTATATAATTCTTTATATCCGGCAGAGCAAACGTCCTTGTCCTATATTTTTTCAGGAATGTCTTGGATTTTCATTAGTTTTACACTGCTATATGAATTTGATAATTAGTTTGTTAAAATACATTAAGTATTCTGGTATAATTTTAATTGAAGTTGCATTAATTTAGAGACTAACTTAGTAAGAATTGACAACCTTAAAATATTGAATCTTCTCATCCACAAACAAGCATACCTCTCTATGAAAGTGTTTTTCAATATCCCGCAATAACATTTGATATATTTCCACATAAAAGTCTGCACATAATTTGTTATGCTTATTCCTGGTTATTTTATAGTGTTTTGTTATTGCAAATGGGTTTTTTCTATTGTATAGGTTGGTGCAAAAGTTATTGCAGTTTTTGCCATTACTTTTAATGGCAACGATTGTCAATTCTTACTAAGTTGGTCTCTGAATTAATGCAACTTCAATATTATCTAATTTGTGATTACTTATATATAGGAATTTCACTATTTCTATGATGACCTTGTGGCCAGCAACCTTTTTTTTAAATAAAAATTTTATTTATTTATTTATTTTTATTGTGAAATGTATCATACATAAAAAGAGCATGCATAAGATATATGTACAACCTAAACAAGACTAATAACATGAACACTCATTCACCCACTACTTAGCTCAAGAGGTACAATATTGTCAGTCCTTTTTAAACTTTCTGTGCTCCTCTAATCCCTTCTTTCTCCCTTCTGTCAAAGGTAATACTAGCCTGAACTTTGGGTGAATCTTTTTCTTGCCTTTTTTCATAGTTTTAACACATACGTATATCCCTAAACAATGTATTATTTTTGAACCTTAAATAAATGCAACTCTACTGTATACATTCTTCTGTGAGTCTTTTTTTCCATTCAGCATTTCACTGGTATCATTCATATTAATGTGTATAGCCACAGTTTATTTTCATTGCTATAGAATATTCCATTTTATGAATATACTATGCTGTTTTCCTCTGACAGTCATGCTCTGAACATCCTCGTGCATGTCTCATGGTAAAATCTACGGAGAATCCCTTGTCATAAATCATATGCATGCTCAGTGTTTCTGGGTAATCTCATTTTTTTAGTGCTTATTTTTTAAGTGCTTGAAACAATTTATCCTCTATCAGTAGTTTATTATTTTTTAATTTTTATTTTTAGAAACAGGGTCTCACTGTGTCACTCAGGCTGGAGTGCAGCTGGCGTGATCATAGCTCACTGCAGCCTAGACCTCCAGGGCTCAAGCAGTCCTCCCACATCAGCCTCTTGATAGCAGGGATTACAGAGGCATAACACCACACCTGGCTAATTTTTAAAATTTCTTGCAGAAACGGGGGTCTCACTATGTCTCCTAGGCTGGTCTCAGGCAATTCTCCTGCTCCTGGACTCAGGCAATCATCCTACTTTGGCCTCCCAAAGTGCTGGGTTTATAGGTGTGAGCCACAACACCCAGCCGAATTTATTGGAGTCTCCATTGCTACATTGTTTCTAGGTAACAGTTTGGGATTCTAGTTTCTGATAAGATACCATGATGGCTTTAAATTCCCTTTTTGTTTCTGATAAGCTTGAGTTATCTTTTTTTTATTTTTCAGTCTGACTACATATTTACTTTTTTTTTTTTTTTTTTGAAATACGATCTCACTCTGTCATCCAGGATGGAGCTCAGTGGCAGGAATACAGTTCACTGCAGCCTTGAACTCCTGGGCTCAAGTGATTCTCCTGTCTCAGCCTCCTGAGTAGCTGTGTGACCACAGGTGTACACCACCACACCAATTAATTTTTAAATTTTTTGTAGACACAAGGTCTTGCCATGTTGCCTAGGCTGGTCTTAAAGTCCTGGGCCCAAACAATCCTCCTGCCTTGGCCTCACAAAGCGCTGAGATGCACCCAGTCCAAATTTCCGTTTTTTTCTGCTGATATTTTATCATATTTTAACTAGGGTTTCTATGGGTTTATTGTGGTTGAAAGTATGCTTTCCATAGCTCCGTGGTTGATATCCTTAACTGGAAGTCTTGTCCTTTCCCCCTAACTGTACAATTTTAGATATGCTTCTTATGGTCTCTGAAAATCCATGTTAATAATGAAGAAAAGAAATAACAACACCTGTATGACATGAAATCAACCTAAAGAAGTTGGAGGTTTCCATTAGTTCAGTTCTTTTAGGTATACAGTGACCATCTCTGAGTACACATTGGGCTGCATATACTTGGGTCTGCTGGCCCATTCATCTCAATTAATGCCTAAGTCCTTGCCAATTTCACATTGTCCTCACACACCAAACTTTATTATTTTTTTTTTTGTAGAGACAAGGTCCCACTATGTTTCCTAGGCTGGTCTCGAACTCGTGGGCTCAAGCAATCCTGCCACCTTGGCTTCCCAAAGTGTTGGGATTACAGGCATTAAGCCACTGCGCCCCACCCTCACAGTAAACTTTTGATTCCCCCTATTCTGTACTCTTTTAACTGTGGTGCAGATTTGAAACAGGCCATTGTCTTTTTGTTTTTTACATTGTTCTGAAGTTTCTTTGTTTAAGAAGTTTATTGAGGTATACTTTACATATGTAAAATTTGGCTTATGTAAATGTACAATTTGTTGATTTATAGTAAATTTATTAATTGGTGCAAACATCACTACAATCCAATCTTATAACAATTTCTTCATCCCAAAAAGTTCCACAGTACTCACTTTCAGTCCACTATCACACAAACCTCCAGCCTCAAGCAACCACTCTTCTTTCTGTATTCATAGTTGTACCTTTCCTAGAAATTTCATATAAATAGAATCATAAAATATGTACTCTTTTGTGTCTGGCTTCTATTATTACTTAGTATAATGTTTTTGAAGTTCATCCATGTTGATATATATATAAATAGTTCATTTAGTTTATTCCCTTTTATTGCTTAGTAGAACACTGCTGCATAGATATACCATATTTTGTTTATTCAATCACCAGTTAACGGACATTTAGGTTGTTTCCAGTTTTAAGCTCTTACGGATAATGTTGCTATGAACATTCACATACAAGTCTTTGTGTGGGCATATGTTTTCATTTCTCTTGGTTATATACCCAGGAATGGAATTGCTGGGTTATATGGTAATCACACATACAACTTTTTTTTTTTTTTTTTTTTTTTTTTTTGAGACGGAGTCTCGCTCTGTCGCCCAGGCTGGAGTGCAATGGTGCAATCTCGGGGCTCACTGCAACCTCCACCTCCCAGGTCCAAGCAATTCTCCTACCTCAGCCTCCCGAGTAGGTGGGATTATAGGCACGCACCACCATGCCTGGCTAATTTTTTTGTATTTTTAGTAGAGATGGGGTTTCACCATGTTGCCCAGGCTGGTCTTGAACTCCTGACCTCAGGTGATCGACCTGCCTTGGCCTCCCAAAGTGCTGGGATTACAGGCATGAACCACTGTGCCTGGCCAGACTTTTTCATTAGTATCGTATGCGTTATGGTGATCTGTGATCAGCAGTCTTTGATGTTACAACCATGCCCATATAAAACAGTGAACTTAAATTGTAAATGTTATATGTGTTCTAACTGCTCCACTGACTAGCCATTCCCCTGACTCTCTTCCTCTGCTCAGGCCTCCCTATTCCCTGAGACACAACAATATTAAAATTAGGCCAATTAACAACTCTACAATGACCTGTACATGTTCAAGTGAAAGGAAGAGTCACATACGTCTCACTTTAAATTAAAAGCTAGAAATGATTACGCTTAGTGGGAAAGGAGTGTCAAAAGCCAAGATAGACTGAAAGCTAGACCTCTTGCACCAAACAGCCATGTTGTGAATGTAAAGGAAAAGTTCTTGAAGGAAATTAAAAGTGCTACTCCATTGAACACAGGAATAATAAGAAAGTGAAACAGCCTTATTGCTGATATGGAGAAAGTTTGAGTGGTCCAGATAGGAGATCAAACCAGCCACACCATTCCTTTAAGCCAAAGCCAAATCAAGAGCAAAGCCCTAACTCTCTTTCATTCTATGAGGGCTAAGAGAGGTGAGAAAGGTTCAGAAGCTAGCAGAGGTTGGTTCATTTGGTTTAAAGAAAGAAGTTGCCTCTCTAACATAAAAGTACAAGGTGCTGATGCAGAAGCTGTGGCAAGTTATCCAGAAGATCTAGCTAAGATAATTAATGAAGGTGACTACACTAAACATCAAATTTTCAATGTGGGCAAAACAGCCTTCTGTTGGAAGAAGATGCCATGTTGGAAGAAGATGCCTTCTAGGACCTTTATAGCTGAAGAGGAGAAGCCAATGCTTGCCTTCAAAACTTCAAAAGACAGGCATCTCTTGTTAGGTAGGGGCCAATGCAGCTGGTGACTTTCAGGTAAAGCCAATGCTCATCTACCATTCAGAAAATCCAAGGGCCCTTAAGAATTATGCTAAATCTACTCTACCTGTGTTCTATAAATGGAACAACAAAGCCTGGATGACAACACATCTGTTCATAGTGTGGTTTATAAAATATTTTAAGCCCATTGTTGATACCTATTGCTCAGAAAAAAAGATTTCTTTCAATATATTGCATCTCATGGACAATGCACTTGGTCATGAAAGAGCTCTAATGGAGATGTACAAAGAGATTCGTGTTGTCTTCGTGCCTGCTAACCCAACATGATTCTGCAGCTCATACATCAAGGATAAATTTTGACTTTCAAGTGTTATAATTTAAGAACTACATTTTGTAAGGCTATAGCTGCCATAGATAGTGATTCTTCTGATGGATCTGGGGCAAAATAAATCAAAAACCTTCTGGAAAAAATTTACCATTCTCCATGGCATTAAGAACATTTGCAACTCATGGGAGAAGGTCAAAATATCTACATTAATGGGAGTTTAAAGAAATTGATTCCAACCCTTATGGATGACTTTGAAGCATTCAAGACTTTAGTGGAGGAAGCAATTTCAGATGTAGTAGAAATAACAAGAAAACTAGAATTAGAAGTGAAGCCTGAAGATGTGACTGAATTCCTGCCATCTCATGATAAAATTTGAATGGATAAGGAGTTGCTTCTTATGGAGGAGCAAAGAAAGTTGTTTCTTGAGATGGACTCTACTCCAGTACAGATGCTGTGAACATTGTTGAAACAATGACAAAGGATTTAAATATAACATAAACTTAGTTGATAAAGCAGTGGCAGAGTTTGAGAAGATTGACTCCAATTTTGAAAAAAGTTCTACTGTGGGCAAAATACTATTAAACAGCATTGCAGGCTACAGAGAAATCTTTCATGAAAGGAAGGATCGATCGATGTGGTAAACTTCACTGTTGTCTTATTTTAATAAATTTCCATAGCTAATCCAACCTTCAGCAATCACCACCCTGATTCCCTGATTAGCAGGCCATCAACATCAAGGCAAGACCCTCTTCCTGCAAAAAGATTTCACCTTGCTAAAGGCTGAGATGATTCTTAGCATTTTTAGCAACAAAGTATTTTTAAATTAAGGTATGCATATTTTTTTTTTTTTTTTTTTTTGAGACAGAGTCTCTCTCTGTTGCCCAGGATGGAGTGCAGTGGTGTGATCTCGGCTCACTGCAAGCTCCACCTCCCAGGTTCACACCATTCTCCTGCCTCAGCCTCCCAAGTAGCTGGGACTACAGACGCCCGCCACCACGCCCGGCTAATTTTTTGTATTTTTAGTAGAGACGGGGTTTCACCATGTTAGCCAGGATGGTCTCGATCTCCTGACCTCGTGATCCACCTGCCTCGGCCTCCCAAAGTGCTGGGATTACAGGTGTGAGCCACCGCCCCCGGCCACATATTGGTTTTTTTTAGACACAATGCTATCGCACAATTACTAGACTACAATATACCATACATATAACTTTCATATGCACTGGGAAACCAAAAAATTTGTGGGATTAACCTTTTGTGATATTCCTATATTGTGGTAGTCTGGAACTGAACTGAACTTGCAATATTTCTGAGGTATGCCTATATTCTGGATATAAGCTACTTTTGAGACATGTGATTTGACAATTTTTTCTTCAAGCTTGTGGCTTTATTTTGAAAATAACATTAAAAAAAGTCTGCAAGTACTGTGGCTTTATTTTTATTTGAAAGGCAAAAGTTTTAAATTTTGATGAAGTTCAATTTGTCATTTTTTGACAATGTTATGAAGCACAGCTTTTGTGTCATAACTAAGAAATCTTTGTCAAAGATCACAAATATTTTGTCTTATAAGTTTTATAGTTTTAACTCCTACATTTAAGTCTATGATCCATTTTGATTTAATTCTTGTATATTATGTGAGGCAAGGATTTAAGTTCTTCATCTTTTTATTGGTATATGGATACCCAATTGTTCCAGTAATATTTGTTGAAAGGTTATTCTTTCTCCATTGTATTGTTTTGACACCTTAGTTGAAAATCAATTGATCACAAATTTTGGGTCTATTTCTGGACTTTCTCTTTTTAAAAAATTGATCTATATGTTCATCATCATGTCATCTGATATACAGTTTAAAAATCTGTCTCTGCCTGGCTTATTTCATTTAACATAATGCTCTCCAGTACAATCCATGTTATTGCAAATGACTGGGTCTCATTTTTTATGGCTGAATAGTACTCCATTGTGTACATTTTCTTTCTTTCTTTCTTTCTTTTTTTTTTTTTTTTTTTTTTGAGATGGAGTCTCTCTCTGTTGCCCAGGCTGGAGTGCAAGTGGCGTGATCTCGGCTCACTGCAAGCTCCACCTTCCGGGTTTACACTGTTCTCCTGCCTCAGCCTCCTGAGCAGCTGGGATTACAGGTGCCCACCACCACGCCTGGCTAATTTTTTGTATTTTTAGTAGAGACGGGGTTTCACCGTGTTAGCCAGGATAGTCTCGATCTCCTGACCTCGTGATCCGTCGCCTTAGCCTCCCAAAGTGCTGGAATTACAGGCATGAGCCACCACGCCTGGCCTGTACATTTTCTTTATTCATTCATCTGTTGATGGACATTTAGGTTGTTTCCAAATTTTAGCTATTGTAAACAGTGCTGCAGCAAACATAGGAATGCAGCTAGCTCATGTGCCCCATAAAGATATACACCTACTATGTACCCATAAGAACTAAAAAAAAAAAAAAAATTTTTTTAAACCTATCATTTCCCGTTAAGAACTGTCTTAACTACATCCCATACACTTTGATAAGCTGTTTTGACAAAGGTACCAAGAACATACACTGGGGAAGTCAGTCTCTTCAATAACTGGTGCTGGGAAAACTGGATATCCATATGCAAAAGAAGGAAATGAGACCCTAGCTCTCACCATATAAAAAATTAAATAAAAACGGATTAAAAACTTAAATCTAAGACTTCAAACTATGAAACTGCTACAAGAAAACATTAGAGAAAACCTTCAGGACATTGGTTTGGGCAAAAATGTCTTGAGCTGTGTTTTTAGTTTTATTCATTTCAACATGTTTTCTAATTTCCCTTGTGATTACTTCTTTGATTCATGTGTTATTTGAAGTGTATTTTTAAATCCCAAGTATTTGGTATTTTCCAGGTTTGTTTTCTGTGGTTGATTTATAATTTAATTCTGTTATGGTCATAAAACATACTTTGTATGTCTTTAATTTATTGAGAGATGTTTTGATCTAGTCTAGGGTCTATCCTGAAGAATGTTTCATGTGTGCTTATAAAGAATGTGAATCCCTCCATTTTTAGGTAAATAAATAAAGCACATATATATAAAACACACACACACATAACATGTATATGTTAAGTTAGTTGATATTGTTAAAATCTATATCCTTGCTGATTTTCTTTCTAGTTGTTTTATCAATTACTGAGAGACATATTGAAATACCCAACAAGAATTTTTGAATTTTCTATTTCTGCTTTCAGTTTTGTCAGTTTTGTAAAATGTATTTTAGAACTCTTTTAAAGCTGCATTTACATTTTCAATTCTTGTATGCTCCTGATGTATTGAGTCTTTTATCATTATTAAATGTCTGTTTTCATTTCAAGTAATAATTCTTTTCCCAAAGTCTATTTTCTTTTATATTTATTTAGCCACTCCAGATCTCTTATGGTTACTGTTTGCATGGTTTATGTTTTCCCATCCTTTTACTTTCAACGTTTTTTCTGTCTTTGAATCTAAAGTAGGTCTCTTATAGACAGCATATACTTGGAACTTGCTTTTTTATCCAATCTGACAATTTTTGTCTGTTAATTGAAGTGTTTAGTCCATTCTCATGTAATATAATTATTAATATTGTTAAATTTATGTCTTCCATTTTGCTTTTTTGTTTCTAAATATCTCATGTCTCTTGTTCTTCAGTCTCTCTTTTACTGATGTTTTTGTGTTAAACAAATATTATTATACCATATTAACATCTGTATTAATTTTTAAGCTACATTGTTTTCAGTTATTTTCCTGCTGATGACTCTAGGAATTAAAATATGCATCCTTAACTGAACAGTCTACTTCAGGTTAATATTGACTTCAATCTAGTAAAATAGAGTACTTTGCTCCAATGTATGTACTTTTTTTCCCCTGCCTTTGTGCTGTTATTATCACATATATTATATGTATATATGCTATATGCCCAATAATGCAGTGTTATAGTTATTGCTTTAATTACACATGTTTTAAAATATGTTTTTTAAATAATAAAAAGAAATATGTATATGTATATATGTGTATGTACAGTTGTGTGTATACACACACACACAGGGTCTTTTTTATGTACCTTCATATTTATTATTTCCAGTGTTCATTCCTTTCTGGGGATTTGAGTTAACATCTCATGTCATTTCCTTATAGCCTGAACAACCACAACTTCATTTAATATTTCTTCAAGAACTTTGCTAGCAACAAATTCTTTTCATGTCTGTTTATCTGGGAATGTGTTTAACTTCATTTTTAAAAGTATAGTTTTGATGGATAGCCAATTCACAGTTGAGAGTTCATTTCTTTCAGCACTTTGAATGTGTAATTCCACTGCCTTCTTTCTGCTATTGTTTCTGATATAAATCCACCTGCTAATTTTATTGTTTCCTCCTGTGATGATTTTTTTTTCTTGCTGGTTTCAAGATGATCTCTTTGTCTTTCAGCAGTTTAAGTATGATGTGTCTAAGTGTGGATCTCTGTGTTCTCCTACTTGATCTGTCGAACCCCTTTTACCTTTAGATTATTATTTTTCAGCAAATTTGGGATTTTTGGCGTTATCTTTTTCAAAAATTTTTTGCCCCATTCTCTCTCCCTTATCCTTCTGAAATTTCCATTACATTGGTATATTTGTCATGTTCCCCAGGTTTCTGAGACTCCATTAATTTTTCTCAAGCATTTTTCTTTCTGTTCTTTGTATTATTTTCTATTAATTTTTTCAAGCTTACTGGTTCTTCTGCCATCTAAAATCTGATGTTAAGCCCATCAAGGAAAATTTCTACTTCAGTTATTGTACTGTTCAGCTCTAGATTTGTATTCGGTTTTCATAGCTTCTATTTCTTTTTTGAGATTTCTTATTTATTGAATCAGTGTCATTATATATTCGTTTAATTCTTTGATAATTTAATATTTTGAACACATTTGTAATATATAATAGCTGATATTAAATCTTTGCTTGCTAAATCCATAATGTGTGTCTACACAGAATCATTTCTTTGACTGCTTTTTAATTTTCCAGAATATGGACCACATTTTTCTGTTTCTATGCATGTCTCATAATTTTTGGTTTACAACTAAACATTTCTTTACATAATAGATTGTGGTGACTCTAGATTCTGTTTTATTTTTCTGAGAGTTGTTGTTTTTTAGTAACTTGCCTGGACTTAAACTATGGAATCTGTCTCTTCGGTGATATATGGCCACTGTTCTCAAATTTTTATTCTTATTTTTAGCTTGGCTTCTCAGAAGTCATTCCTATGTCTGCATAGCTTAGTGGCAAGCCAGCGATTTAGACAGAGGTTGTACTGAAACATCCCAAGCCTGTAAGACTTCCACTTATTGCTGATTTGTGTGTAGGTGAGGGAATACATTCAGATTTGCAGCTAATTCTCATGTCTCTCTTGGCTTTTACTTTTTGCTGAGCTCGCTCAGGTTTCCTCTGTGCGTGTGTGTAATTTCCATGATATCCAGCTAGCAGAGAGCTTATCTCAGCCCTTCTATAGCTCTGTCATTTCCAGAATCTCCCTGTTGAAGTTTTTGGCTTGTTTGTTACTCACTCCAAACAGGACTGCAACCTCAGGCTAGGAAAGCTGTGGTTCTCCTCATTTGTTTCCCATAAAATTTGTTACTTTTAGCTGATTAAAGCATGTGTTATGGCCTCCAATACCTGCCATCTAGTAGCAAAGCTGTTAGCTTTCATGGCTAGCTTCAAACTGGCAAAAATAAGTTCTTACCGATGGAGCTGGGAGCAAAGTATGTGAACAGCCCCAGGAGTGAAAGCCACAGACTCCCGCTGTTCTAACCTGTAGCTCAGAAAATTTCTCAAGAATAAATATTTCTCAATTTGTTTTCTATCTTTGGCTCATTCCAAAGCTCTAAAACTGTTGTTTTTGACACTTTTGTCCAGGTGTCAAAAACACCTACTTGTTCTTTACTGAGAGGATTCACCGATTTCTTCATGACACCATAACCTGAAATCTTTCCCTTCTTTTGGTTTTAGTGGCACTCATAAGTTCCTCTTAGTCTCTCATGCCTTCTGGTGCCAGGAATATCAGCACTATCTGGATCTCATCTCCTGGCTTAACTGGAATCCATGATGCTCTTAGCCAGGCAACTTATTATTATTATTATTATTTTGAGACGGAGTCTTGCTCTGTCGCCCAGGCTGGAGTGCAATGGCGCAATCTCGGCTCACTGAAACCCCTGCTTCCCAGGTTCAAGCAATTCTCCTGCCTCAGCCTCCCGAGTAGCTGGGATTATAGGCACCCGACACTACGCCGGGCTAATTTTTGTATTTTTGCTAGAGACGGGGTTTCACCATGTTGGCCAGGCTGGTCTCAAACTCATGACCTCAGGTGATCTGCCCGCATGGGCCTCCCAAAGTGCTGGGAGTACAGGTGTGAGCCACTGTGCCCGGCCCTTAGCCAGGCAACTTATGCCCACGAACAGAACTTTCATCCATCTCTCCTCATCCTCATCATGGAGCCTGGAAGCTTAGTTACAACAGAGTGAAATTTCCCTGTGTGGAGTTATTTTTTTCACGTGAAAAATTTTCTGCATGATAATGAGATTATTTATATAGCCAACGAATAAAAAATTTCATTTTACTGGAAGCAACCTAAAATTTGGATTTCATTCAAGACTGGAAATCTGGTAACTCTAGATATAAATGAGAGATAGACAAATAGTTTACTCAAAGTTCATGGAGGACAAAAAAAATTGGGGTGGAGTAATTTAAAAGAATCGTTTAAAAAAGAGTACAAATTAATGTAGGGACTTAATGCCCATGGTTATAAATCTCAATTCACAAGGCAATAGGTGTCCATAGTGTCTGGCAAGGTTGTGGCATGGCTCCTAAGCACTCCAAGGGGATAATGTTTACTATTGATATTAAGCAAATTAGGAACTGGGATCAGAAAAGTTGTCCTGAAAGTGTTAACTGTGGAATTGAATGGAGCTTCGAAGCTAATTGTAAATTGTTGTGTTATAGTGGCTTTTACCGAAGAGCTATTCTTATTTTACAGCATATTATTGGGTACCAAATGCATTTAAATACACCAAGAAACCAGAAAGTTACCCTTCTTAATTTTCCCTGCCCACATCATCCTCAGAGACCTGATGCTTTTGTGTAGGGCATCTAAAAACCCTATTCAGAGATCTATTTTTACCTTCAATTCACAACTAAGAGAAACTTTAGGTCTGATCAATTTACAGATTCCAAGGGCTAGGAAAGAATAAGGATTCCCTTTTTTGAGGGGGTCGGGACAGCATCCTGAAGTAATAAGACAGTGGAGAATCCCACTCAATCCCCACAGTCCTGTGGATCCTACCAGGACACTATACTAAAGTCAGGAGCAGGGTTTGTCTGAGCTGGCTAGGGGTTGCAGGCCAGGCTAGAGATAATTAGGGTCCATTGTAGAATGCATGATGTGGAAGCGTGGAGGGGAAGCATCCAAGCCTGGGAGGACAGCTATTTTTAAAAGGTTTCTTGAAGGCATTCTTTTAAAAAAGAGAAAAAAATCCAAAAAACTATGGGGGAACTATAAACCCTCGTTAAAAATTATCTTGTCAAATTTTCAGATCAGTTTCAACCCTTTGAGATGGGTCACGTGGCTGGTGTTACTCATTCACAGGACCTCAGGAAGTTTGTAATTCAAACAAGTATACATTTAATGCCTAGAATCTTTGAATCTTTTTAGCACTTTGCTAAATGTCATTAATACCACACGGTGGAAGTTCTCTTTGTCTTTTTGACATCAGCATTCAAAGGAAACTCTAAAATGTATTACAAATACAATATACCTCATTTTCTTGCTTCTTGAGATACCTATTTTCTCATTCTGAAGTTGATATACATTTTTTTCCTTTTCTTCCTTTTTTAATATTTTAATTATTTATTTATTTTTTCTTTTTTTGAGACAAGGTCTCTCTGTATTGGCCAGGCTGGGATGCAGTGACACGTTCTTGGCTCACTACAACCTCCGCTCAAGTGATCCTCCCACCTCATCCTCCTGAGCAGCCGGGACTACAGGCATGTGCCACCACACCTGGCTAGTTTTTGTATTTTTAGTAGAGATGGGGTTTTGCCATGTTGCACAGGCTGGTCTCAAACTCCTGAGCTCAAAAAGTCCACCCACCTCAGCCTCCCAAAGTCTTGGGATTACAGGCGTGAGCCACCGTGCCCAGGCTGGTATACATTTTTCGATCAACCTATTCATTTAATGAGGTAGTATTCTTTATTTCTTTGAAAATATCTCATTAAATTGAGGGTGTATCTTACATTCTATGGGGTCTTAGAACAGTAGAGATAGTGAAACAATTAAGATCATGAACTCCGATCAGAACTGTTTGAATTCTTTCTTTGTAAACTACTGGTTCTGTGACTTTGGCCCAGATACTTTATTTGCTAAGCCTCAGCTTTCTCATTTGCACAAATGTGGTAATAAAACCTACTTTTTAGGGTTTTGAGAATTAAATGAGATAATGTACATCAGATATAAGTGAATGCTCAGTTAATATAAACTATTATCATGATATACTCATTTTTTCTTCCTCTTTTAGCCCTGGATAACAAGTCTTATTAGGCTTATTCCCCAGAAATCAGCCTGAGGAAAAATTTATCAAACTGTTATTACATCTGCAAGGTCTTTTATGTACTCAGCACCATAATAGGTGCTTTGATAAAAGTTACAGAATCATGATATGAACTTTGCCCTTTGGGAGCTTATCACCCAGTTGAGGACAAAAATACACTCAAAGAAATGATCAAAAAAAATTTTTTTTTTTTTTTTGAGACAGAGTCTCACTCTGTCCGCCAGCTTGGAGTGCAGTGGCGCGATCTCGGCTCACTGCAAGCTCCGCCTCCCGGGTTCACGCCATTCTCCTGCCTCAGCCTCCGAGTAGCTGGGATTACAGGTGCTTGCCACCACGCCTGGCTAATTTTTGTATTTTTAGTAGAGATGGGGTTTCACCATGTTGGCCAGGCTGGTCTCAAACTCCTGACCTCAGGTGATCCACCCGCATTGGCCTCCCAAAGTGCTGGGATTACAGGCATGAGCCACTGCACCCGGCCTAGAATATGTTTTTTTTTTTAATAAATGTTATTACATAAACTTGTATCTTATTTTGCAAATCAGGATAAAAGTGACTTAGCACTCCTTGAAAGAAAGGACTTTGGTTCATAGGAATAACATAGATTCTAAAGTCAGACCAGGGTTCAAATCCTGATTCTCCCATTTACTAGCTATGTAACTTTGAGGAAGTTACAGAACTTCCCTGACCTTCTATTCTCTTGTTGGGAAAATGAGGGTTACAATATCTATGTTATAAGGTTGCTATAGTAAGTTCATGACCTCTAGCTGGTACTTAATATGTAGTAGCAATTATTTGATACAGATTTGTTTTTTCCATAGCACAGCACCTAAATCAGCAATCTGTACAAAAACATGTAATCAGTAAATGTTTAGTGAGATGAAAAATTAACATTTGTTTTCTATTTTATTCTTCAGGCTGTTTTATTGACTGCTATAATATATGGCCTAACAGTGATCATCCAGGTGAAGTAAATTGGTGGACAATTTGTGAGCTGTCATATTTTCAAAACCTATCTATGATCTGGAAAAGATTCGTGAATTCAAATTAACTGAAAGGTCATTGTCTTCCCTATCTCACTGATGAATATTCTAGCAGTCAATTCTAGCAGGAAATGGTGTAAATTTCCTCCATGATCTTTACTGTGCTGTATGTGTGTTATCTTATGCCAAATACTCCACACAGGCAAATATATTGCTTTCCATATTAAATGTTCTTGAGAAAAACAGCAAATTACAAAGTTGATTAGTGAGTCATCCCATTAAGCAGATCACTTTATGGTTACTCTGTCAGGGAAACATTTGATGAATCAGAAAGAGCCTCCCTGTGAACTAAAAGTATCCTAAGCTTAACCTTGCACTAAGAAGAGCTAGGAGGGCTTTCTTAACACATTTCACAAACACGTGTGAGCTCCCACTGTGTGCAAGGAATTGTACTGGGGCTATGGAGTTTAAAAGATACATAAGGCCGGGCGCGGTGGCTCATGCCTGTAATCCCAGCACTTTGGGAGGCCGAGGTGGGCGGATCACGAGGTCAGGAGTTCACGACCAGCCTGACCAACATGGTGAAACCCCATCTCTACTACAAATACAAAAAATAAAATAAATAGATAAAAGATATATAAGAGCTATTCTCTACCTTCAAAGGGTTTTGTACCAAAGAAGGACCCAAAAAATAACTATAATAAGGCAAAATATTAGGTGGCTAAAGGCAGCCTGCTATGGTTTGGATCTGCTTTGTGCTCATCAAAACTCATGTTGAAATGTGATCCCCAGCATGGTAGTGTTGGAAGATGGGGCCTCGTGGGCGGTGTTTGAATCATGGAACAAATCCTTCATGAATGACTTGGTGCCTTTCTCAAGGTAGTGAGTGAGTTCTTGCTCTGGTGAGACTGGATTAGTTCTTGTGGGAATGAATTAGTTCCCACCAGAGTGGGTTGTTACAAAGCCAGGATGCCACTTGGGTTCTCACTCTTCACATATCGACACTTTCCCTTTGGCCCTCTTTTTTTTTTTTTTTTTCATTATACTTTAAGTTAACCAAACACTGCATGTTCTCACTCATAGGTGGGAATTGAACAATGAGAACACATGGGCACAGGAAGGGGAACATCACACACAGGGGCCTGTCGTGGGGTGGGGGGAGGGGGGAGGGATAGCATTAGGAGATATACCTAATGTAAATGACGAGTTAATGGGTGGCCCTCTCTTACATGTTTTGACCTAGTATGTGGCTCTTAGTAGAAGCTGAACAGATGCCTGTGCCATGCTTCTGAGACTTCCCAGCCTGCAAAACTGTGAGCTAAATAAACCTCTTTTCTTAATAAATTAATCAGTCTTGGATATTCTGTTATAGCAACACAAAATGAACTAAGAGAGGTACAACCTGCTTTGGGAATATGAATGCTGGAGAGATTAATTTCTGTTGGAGAGACTATGAAAACTCCAGGAGGAAATGCAACCTAGCTTTAATTCCTGATACAGACTGAGACTTCCTTAAGCTCTGTTGGCTACTGAAGGTAGTAAATCTTATCTAAACCTTATATCTGCCTTAGGTAGAATTATTGATACTTTGATGACTTTGCAAACAAAGCTGATCTTCACCTCTGACATAACTTCAGCAAATAATGACTTTTTCTTAAGCTTCCTCTTTACCTCCCTTCTACGGGTTGACACTCTTGAGGAGAACAATCTTAAATATACCAGCCTACTTGGTTCCTGATTAAAGTACAATTGTGGTATGCGTATCTTGTAATTTTTAAGGGTACCGTGGAATGATTTGGCTCTCTATTCCTGACAACCTATTTTGCTTCATAAAATATCAAATGTATCAATAAAACAAATTTCAAAAAGAAAAAAATACATGTTGCTTTAAAATATGAATATTTATGAAATATGTAAAACCAAGCACTTATAAATGCTGCATTTTAAATGCTCCTTTGGAGGATTTTTCTGGAAGATAGGTAAGTGAAGCCTTCTTAAAATAAATGTTTAATGAAGTTTGGAATGAAGACCCCTTCTTCTTTGTTTCCTAGTAAATCTCCCTCTAGTAAGCATAGGAATTCATAATTAGGGTCATCTGTCTTGAATTTTTTTCTCTGCTGATTTGTTGTGGATAAAAGCTTCTAAAAACCTCTGAAAGGCAAATGTTAGTGGGAGGCAGTTTCCATGGTGACTTCAGGGTTTGTATTGTTTTTAGACATCATAAATATGGGGGCTGTTTTTGCTTGTTACTGTGCAGATCTTACTCATGGTAAGAAAGGTCATAGGGTAGAAGGTGAGAACAGTGCACTCAGCCCAGAACTGAGTGTCCAGTGGTGTTCATTTAGAATCTTTGTATCTCTCATGTCTATGTGTCTAATTGTATCATTTGATGCTGAATCTAATCTTGAATGGAAATGCAACTCAGATACCCCAGTCAAGCCTACCAGGGAGATATGCAGGCAGCATACACAAATGGAGTTGGAGGAAGGTTTATCATCACAAGTGAATAAAAGTTGATGGTTACCTTAATAAAACAGAAAATATGTCACTTGTTTTCTGGACAAACTCATTCTCTCTCTAAGCAAAACTATTTCTATGTCATGTAAAAGTAGGAAGAAGCAGCTATTGCTTCCTTCAAAGTCAAATTTAGATTTATTTCCCTTTACTATCATAACATACATACTTATAAAATGTTAATATTAAGAGAATGAGAGACTGCATGTTATACAATATCTGCAATAACTTCATTTAAACTATGACAAAGACTTCCAGATAATACACCCTTATAGGGTTTCAATCTCTATTTTTTTTTCCTTCAAATGTCACCTGGCAACTTGTAAAGAATTTAACCCTGCCCAAAGTAATGTCTGGCCTTTGCCCTTGACTCCTGGGACTCTCTCAGGTCCTGGAATACCCTACCTGACAAAAGTGTCTTTGTTTGTCTTGGGGTAGTGGGCCACATTAGATAGTTTAATAATGTAATTTATGGTGGGGGCTTTGCATCATGCAGTATCACAGGAGCTGGACCTCTAGAGGAGCTGGAGACTGAAATCAGCCGCAAGAGTAGACAGACAGGTCTGTATGACTGAGCCCCAGTAAAAACTCTGGACATCAAGGCTCAGGCAAGCTCCCCTGCTTGGCGATGTTCTATGTGTATTGCCACACATTGTTGTCAGGAAAGTTAGCACTATCTACAACTCCACTGGGAAGGGACAACTGGAAGCTCCACATGTGGAATTTTCCTGGTGTCTACCCCATGCATCTCTTCCCTTGGTTGATTTTAATCTGTATTCTTCCACTGTAATTAACCATGAGTATAACTACTTTCAGTGAGTTCTGTGAGTCCTGTTAGCTAATTATCAACCTGAGGGTAGTCTTGGGGAACCCATGAACTTGCAATTGGTATCAGAAGTGAGTGTGGTTTTGGGGACTGTTCCCTAATTTTGCCCAACTTTAGCTAAACTAGAACACTAAAACATGGGGAAATTGGTGAATTCCTCTCCTGTTGTAGGTTGGGTTCCCCAGAAAACAGATTTTGAGACCCTGAGATTTGTGTGCAGGTGGTGTATTGGGGAATGCTCCAGGAACAACCTCTGTGAGGAAGCAAGGGAAGCAGGATTGGACAGAGGGAGGGGTTGAACTAATACAGTCATAACAGGAGGTCTCAGCCAATCCCATGGGAAGCCCTGGAACTGGGATGACCTTTTAGAGTTGTCATGAACTGAGGCAGATGGACTAGGCCTTTACATGAACCCTCACCATTCTCTCCACCACAAACCAGTGATTAGATATGGGTTACAACCAGGGAGTATGTGTGATCTTTGGAGAGGCAGCAACCATTAGCCCAGGTAAAGGCCTGGGGAGGGACTCAACTGTGATCATCATCAGCCAACACTTGTAGCAGCTGGGAAAGTTAGTACCTCCAGCATAAAGACAGGATCTGATCTTGCACCAGATTATCCACTACACCTTCCTTTTTACTTTTCTCTGGGTTCTACAGACTGACTGTTAGGGCCGGAGCCAACTTGACTGTCTCTCACTTTGTGAGATGAAGGTCATAAAACATGGTCTACATGCATCTCATTTGGGAAACCTCATAAAATTACGTGTCTCTACAAAATGAAATACTTGAGGAGAGACTGTTTCAATTCACCTCTCCACCCTTCCCTGGCAGAGGAAAGAGATGATGAAAATCTGTGGGAGCAAGGACAGAGAAAACGAAGTTAAAGTGATAAACACAAATTCTAGTGGAAGCATAATCACAAATGAATACAAGACATCACTGAAACTGTCACGTATGTTTGTGATGAAAATAGTTTAAAATTTTAGAAAAGTTCAAGTGCAGCAGATGCTGTCACTGCCCTACCCATATCTACTCTGCCCATGCTGGAGGTTACCCCCAGAAAGTTCCTTACATAGCTTCCTGTGTCTGCCTAAGTGTTTTCTGACCACTTTCACCATCACTTGAGGCAGTCCAGAAATACTACAGTGTTAATGCCTCAGGAATTAATGTGGGACAAAAAGTGGGGGATACAAACCCTAGCATCCTTGCCCCACAGAGGGGTATTGATGAAGTATATCCTAAGGGATGTCCTATACCGCCTACACTGTCCACTAGTCTGATTAGAGATGTGCTGTGAGTATAAAATACATGCTGTAGTTCAAAGGCTTAGTATAAAAAACAGAATGTAAATGATGTCATTGATATTTTATTTTATTTATTTATTTACTTTGAGACGGAGTCTCACTCTGTTGCACAGGCTGGAGTGCAGTGGTGCAATCTCAGCTCACTGCAACCTCCGCCTCCTGGGTTCAAGCAATTCTCTGCCTTAGTCTCCCAAGTAGCTGGGATTACAGGTGCCCACCACCTTGCCCGGCTAATTTTTTGTAGTTTTAGTAGAGGCGGGGTTTCACCATCTTGGTCGGGCTGATCTTGAACTCCTGACCTCATGATCCACCCACCTCGGCCTCCCAAAGTTCTGGGATTACAGGTGTGAGCCACCACGCCAGGCCATCATTGATATTTTAAATACTGATTAAAAATATTATTGAAATAATATTTTAGATATATTGCGATAAATAAAATACATTATTATCATTAATTCCATCTGTTCCTTTTTATTTTATTTATTTATGTATTTATGAGACAGAGTCTTGCTCTGTCACCCAGGCTGGAGTGCAATGGCACAATCTCGGCTCACTGCAACCTCTACCTCCTGGGTTCAAGCGATTCTCCTGCCTCAGCCTCCTGAGTAGCTAGGACTACAGGCATGCACCACCACACCTGGGTAATTTTTGTATTTTTAGTAGAGAAGCGGTTTCACCATATTGGCCAGGCTGGTCTCGAACTCCTGACCTCAGGTGATCCGCCCACTTCGGCCTCCCAAAGTGCTGGGATTACAGGCGTGAGCCACCGTGCCCAGCCCCTTTTTAGTTTTAAAAATGTGGCCAGAAAATTTTTAACTAGAAAAATTTTAATTACATCTAAAAACGTAGCTTGCATTTTATTTCCATTGAACAGCACTTTTCTGAACAGTCTCAGAAAATCCTCAGAAAAATGAAAGAGAGGTGTAACCAGCTCATTAGCAAATCCTTTGTTAGTTTCCTCTCTTCTCTGTCTCACTTCCTCACACTCTCATCATGCTTCCTGGGATCACTTGCCAAATAAACTGCCTATACCCAAACCCTTGATTCAGGGTCCGCTTTGCATGGGAGGGTGGGAGTGAGGGGCAAAATAAAGACATCGAGTGAGCTACTATTTTATAACCTGAACCCAGAAGATCCTTGGTGTTACTATAGTTAGGATCCCTTCTTCCTTCCTCCCATCAAAAACCTCTCTTGACTCCCTAATGTACATAAGCTAAAGTCCATACAACTTAGCATAACATAATACCCTTTACCGTCTGCTCAAGATATCCCTCACTTTGGAACTCACAGTCTTGCTACACTGCACATCTTTCATCTCTCCTTGCTCTTATAAGTTCTTTCCTCCAAGCCTTAAATTTACTTTTCCTTTGTTTTTTCCTCTTCCTCTTCTGCAAAACTCTTATTATATTTTAAAGCCCAGCTCAAATGTTAACTATTATGTTAGATATTCCCCCAAAGTATCTAACCTCTTGGTATCTTACTTTTTGGTAATCCCACAATTCCCTCATCCATGTTTTAAAGCATAGTAAGCCAAATTATAACTACCAGCTTTTGTCTATCTCCTACATTCTGCTTACTATGTGTTCCTAAGAGTAGTCCCTTTGTCCAGTAGCAAGCAGGGTCTCTGGCACAGAAAAGCTGCTAAATGAAATTTGGACTGAAGATTCTGATGGGCCTTATAACAGAACTTCTCAAAGGTTTCTGTAACTGAAGCTGTAACTGAAAGGGATGGTGGGATGTGGGGTATGGAATGCATAGAATGGGAGTATTCACTACAAGATAAACTCATGCTAATCTCAAAAATCTCTTATGAATTTCGGCCTCCCGAAGTGCTAGGATTACAGGCGTCAGCCACCGCGTCCAGCCAAATTTTGAATTTTGCCCTATAATCTATCTGTGTATTTTAGTATTAAAGACGTTTTAAATTGACACTAAGGAAACAAAACGTGAATTATTTTCTACTTGTCTCATTAGCTAATGGGCAGGCTGCTGCTGAGTTGAGTTTATTAATTCCAAACAAAATTGTGCTGAGCTCAAGTTAGCAAGAATTACCTGAAAGATTCAGTATGAGACAAACCCTTGCAATCTCTAGACAGACACAATATGTTGAAAGCCCAGATGTACGTAAGTATGTGGATATAAATGGCAACAGCTTTGTTTCCCTCTGTTCTCCCCTCCCCTCCCCCGCTCCCCTCTCCTTTCTTCTCTTTCCTTTTCTATTATTCTCTTTTCTTTTCTTCTTCACGTAAGGGAAATTCTCCAGGAGAGATACCCCAAAAACCTACCAGAGAGAGAAGCTCCTTGAGACTTGGTTAGGTTGAATATTCTTTTGAGTGTATTTGCTTGCTGACAGGACAGCAGTGTTTTCTCTTTCAAAATTAATTTTGTTTCTTATGAAATAATCCATACTAAAGAACATATGTAACTTATATATAAGGTATAAAGGATAATTAATCACTCATACATTCAACACCTTTGTAGCCTCCCGTTTCTTCTCTAATCTTATGCATTTTCTCTTCTCTCCCTGTGAGAGGAGTGACTTTTTAAGTTTTTAAATTTATATATATATATATATATATATATATATATATATATATATATATATATATATATATATATATTTGTTTTTTGTTTTTGTTTTTGTTTTTGTTTGACACTGAGTCTTGCTCTGTCGCCCAGGCTGGAGTACAATGGTGCAATCTTGGCTCGCTGCAACCTCTGCTTCCCAGGTTCAAGTCATTCTCCTGCCTCAGCCTCCTGAGTAGCTGGGATTACAGGTGTGCACCATCACGCCTGACTAATTTTGTATTTTTAGTAGAGATGGGGTTTCACCATGTTGGTCAGGCTGGTCTCAAACTCCTGACCTCAAGTGATTCACCTGCCTCAGCCTCCCAAAGTGCTAGGATTACAGGCGTGAGCCACTGCACCCGGCCTTATTTATATATGTTTGTAGGGATGGGGTCTCACTCTGTTGCCCAGGATGGAGTGCAGGACACAATCATAGCTCACTATAGCCTTAATCTCCTGGGCTCAAGTGATTCTCACACCTCAGCCTCCCAAGTAGCTGGGACTACAGGTGTGTGCCACCATGTAAAGTTTTTATTTTTATATTTATCAGTCCTGTGTTTTTTATTTCCCATTTTGGTTTTACTATATATGTATGTGTCATTTAAAATGTGCTTAATTTTATGTTTATATACATTTAGGGACAGATCCGATTTTGCGGGTCTTGAAGCTTACATAATTTGGGAAGGCTTCTTTAAGCAAAAGAATGTAAAATTAGTAATACAAAAGTAGATATGGGAATATATATTAATTTAGAGAAAATGCTCACAGTAATTATAATGCCACAGGACAAGAGGAAAAGTGTGATAGAAGAGATATCAGAGTCGAAAGAAATAGTGGTCTTAATAGATTGTGGTTAATAATTTTTCCTCCATGGATCCTGCTTTTGGTGTTATATTTGAAAATTCATCATTAATCCCAAGTTAATGCAGATTTCTTATGTTTTTTTTTCTAAAAATTTCATAGCTTTACATTTCACATTTTACATTTTATAGCTTTACATTTTAGGGCCAGGTATGGTGGCTCACACCTGTAATCCCAGCACTTTGGGAGGCTGAGGTGGGAGGATCACTTGAGTCCAGGAGTTTGAGACCAGTCTGGGCAATATAGTGGGACCTCATCTCTGGAAAAAATAAGCAAAATTAGCTGGACATGGTGGCATGTGCCTGTGGTCCCAACTACTCAGGAGGCAGAAGTGGGAGAATTGCTTGAGCCCTGGAGGTCGAGGCTGCAGTGAACCAAGATCACACCACTGCAATCCAGCCTGAGCAACTGAGTGAGATCCCATCTCAAAAAAAAAAAAAAAAATACCCACCATTTTACATTTAGGTCTATAATCCATTTTGAGTTAATTTTTTAATAAGTTGTAAGGTATGTGTCAAGGTTAATTTTTAAAATATGGATGTCCAGCTGTTCCCACACCATTTAGTGAAAAGACTATCCTTGAATTTCCTTGGCACTTTTGTCAAATATCAGTTCATTCTTTGTGTGGGTCTATTTCTAGGCTTTCTATTCTATTCAATTGATTTATTTGTCTATCCCTTTGCCAATACCAATCTGTCTTAATTTCTGCAAATCTATAGTAAGTCTTGAAATAAGGTAGTGTGAATCATCCAATTTTGCTCTTCTTTTCCAGAATGCTTTAGATATTCTAGTTCATTTGTCTTTCCATATAAATTTTAGAATCAGTTTGTTGATGTCTACAAAATAGTTTGCAGTGTGTTGGTTAGATTTACATTGACTTTAAGGATCAATTGAGTATAATTGACGTCTTAACAATATTGATTCTACCACCCCATGAACATGATATATCTCTTCACTAATTTCTATCTCCTTTGATTTCTTTCATTAGTTTTTTTGAGTTTTTTTTTTCGTCTGTTTTCTGGTTTTTAGTATATAGATCCTACACATATTTTATTAGATTTTATTTCTAAGTATTCCATTTTTTGGTTGCAATTGTAAATGTTATTATTTTTTAAACTCAAATTCCAATTGTTCATTGCTGATATTTAGAAATATGATTGACTTTTGTATATTGCCCTTATAATCCTGTCATTGTAAATATATTTATCAGTTCTAAAAGCTTTTTTTAGAGACTTTAAAATATTTTCTACATAGATAACCATGTCATTTTCAAATAGAGGCAGTTTTATTTCTTTCTTTCTGTATGCCTTTTCAAAATATTCTTATTTTATTGCACTGGTGAGGCCTTCTGGTATGCAGTTTAATAGGAGTAGCGAGAGAAGATGCCCTTGCCTTGTTCTCTAGATGCTAGTTGCTTGTTGCTTGTTTCTATCTTAGGGGGGAAGCATATAGTTCCTCAATATAAAGTATAATGTCATCTGTAGGTATTCAATAGATGCCTTTTTATTAGGTTATGGAAGTTAACTTCCATTCCTAATTTGCCCAGAATTTTAAAAAATCATGAATAGATGCTGAATTTTGTCAAATACATTTTCCACATTCATTAGGATGATTATATGGTTTTTACATTTAGTTTGGTTAAATATGGTGGATTACATTGATTGATTGTTGAATGTTAAATCAGCCTTGAATTCCAAGAATAAACTCCACTTAGTCATGATGTAATTTTTTTTTTTTTTTTTTTTTTTTTTTTTGGGGGGAGATGGAGTCTTGCTCTGTCACCCAGGCTGGAGTGCAGTGGCGCAATCTCGGCTCACTGCAACTTCCTCCTCCTGGGTCCAAGCAATTCTCCTGTCTCAGCCTCCGGAGAAGCTGGGATTACAGGCGCCCACCACCACGCTCAGCTAATTTTTGTATTTTTAGTAGAGATGGGGCTTCACCATATTGTCCTGGCTGGTCTCTAATTCCTGACCTCAGGAGATCCACCCGCCTCGGCCTCCTAAAGTGCTGGGATTACAGGCGTGAGCCACCGCTCCCAGCCTCTTCTTTTTATATGTTGCAGAAGTTGATTACTAATTGTTAGGGATTGTTGTATCTATATTTTTATTAGGGACATTGGTTCATAGTTTTCTTTTCTTGTAATATGTTTATCGTGTTTTGACATTAGGGTAATGCTGGCCCTATCAAGTGAATTGGAAAGTGTACCTTCCTCTTCTATTTTCAGGAGAGGTTTGTGTAGAATTGTTATTATTTCTTCCTTAAATGGTTGGTAGCATTTGCCAATGAAATCATCTGAGCCTGGTGATTCCTTTCTTGGAAGATTTTTAACTACAAAATTTCTTTAATAGATATAGGACCCTTCAGGTTATATATTTTTCTTCAATAATGTTTTATAGTTTATGGCTTTCAAGGAATTAATCAATTTCATCTAAGTTGTCTAATTTATGGGCATAGAGACATTCATAGTATTCTCTTATTATCTTTTTAATGTCTGTGTAGTCTCTAGTGAAATTCCCCACTGTCATTCCTGATATTGATAATTCGTGCCTTGTATTTTCTTGGTCAGTCTCACTTGAGGCTTATCGATTTCATTATTCTTTAAAGAACCAGATTTTAGTTTCATGATATTGCTTTTCTGTTTTCAATTTAACATATTTTATTATTTTTATTTTTTACTTAATTTTATAAATTTCCCTCTAAACATTGACAAAGCCTCTCTCCTTGACCAAACTTTAAGTGGGGTCCTCTGAGCCTTCTTCTCAGCTACACTATGACCTTTGAGCCTCCAAACTGTGTCTTTGCAGAAGTTTAGCAAGCATTCTGCTGAGTTAGTTTAGTGAGAATCCCTTGAGATCTGATCACTCTCAATATCTGGTCAAATTCCTCATCCTCCATCATGCCCCAGGTGATATATGATCACCCTGGCCTGCCTTCAGCAAGAATCCTGTTAGGTCAGTTTAGCAAGAATTGCCCTACTCTTAGTAATTTTTTGTCCTCCAACCCTCCATGCTGATCCTTGGCTATAAATTCCCACTTTTCCTTGTTGTATTCAGAACCAAGATCGGTTCTAAACCGAGATCTCTGTTTCCTTATTGCAGTCATTCCTGAATAAAATCTGCTTTTATTATGTTGGTGCAAAAGTAATTGTGGTTTTTGCCATTACTTTTAATACTACTTTACTGGCCAGCTCTTGTTCCCTTTAAGAGCACTGTTTTAGCTACATCCCACAGATTTATATGTTGTATCTCCTTTTTTATTTAGTTCAAAATATTTTTTAATCTCCCACGAGTGTGTGGTTTAATTTTCAATATTTGGGAATGTACCAGATATCTTCCTGTTAATGATTTCTAGTTTAATTCCATTATGGTCTGAGAACATACAATGTATGATTTATTTTATTTTCAATTTGTTGCAGCTGATTCTATAGCCCAGATATGGTTTTTCTTGGTGCATTTGAATAGAAAGTATATTTCGCTGTTTCAGTTGGCATGTTCTATACATGGCAATTAGGTCTAATTGTTTGATAGTATTGCTCAAATCTTCTGTAGCCTGGCTATCTCTTTCTTTCTCGGCTTGTCCTCTTCTTTAAAGCCAGATAGTTTGAATTTCTATCCCTGGGTCTGAGAGAGATTTGAAAGTTGGTATCAAGGACGTGGAAGTTGCCTTCTTGACCTCAGAACAGGCCCACCTTGAAAGAGGTTCTGAGAAAACTACTGACTTTTGACTGCTTCTTGCATTATTAATCAATACCTCACATGCACTGGGTACACTGAAAATGTGCTGAATATGGTTGTTTGGTGAAAGTGTTCCTCTTAGGGTCAGTATTTGGTAACTATAATCTGGTAAGAAATGTGAGTTTGTTACTTTATTATGTCTTAGTTTAAAAATATGGAAAAAAATGCAAAATATCAAGATCTTTTTATAGGGTGGGGTGTAGTGCAGGCCATTTTGTTCCTTTTTTTTTTTTTTACAAGTGCCCAACAAAGTTTGTTTCCAGATTTAGCCAGCAATAGATTCTTCAACATTATTGCCTAATAGTAATCTTCTGAGACTTTGGTTTTCCAACATTATGTTATCAAATGTAGTGCTTTTCTGTTAAACCCAAAAGACCACTGCTCTGGTTATCTTGAAAGGCATCACGGCAATAGCTTCTCAGTTAGCTCAGTGCATTTAAGTGTGTGTACCAGCACTAGCAAGAAATAGTCTCTTGTGCCTTAAAATCCAGGCAAATCTGAAAATGTCTGTGGGGAATTGGATGAACATAGCATAGACATAATGGAAGGGATTTTCTTAGCTTTATTTTTAAAAACTGGTTTACCCTAACAGTCAATCCAGGCTCTGGTAACTAATCAGCTTTTTCATCACCACTACCCAGATCCAAGCTTCTATTATCTCTCACTTGAATTCCTGTAGCTTTCTAACCTGTCTCCCGGTTTCACCCTTGCCCCCAAACCCCCTACAGCTTGTTCTCCACACAGAAGCCAGGTGATTTGAAGTCATTCTTCTGCTCAAAACTTGCCAGTGGTTTCCCATCTCAGAGTAAAACCCAAAGATTTTATTATGATCCTCAAGGGCCTGCATGGTCTGATCCCCTGATAACTCTTTGACCTAATCTCCTACCACTGTCTCCCTCAAACTCTTCATTCCAGACTCATTGGCATTTTTGCCATTCCTTGAACTCATCGCACACACTGTTACCTCATGACCTTTGCGCTTGTAATTCCCTCTGTTAAGAAAGTTCTTTTCTTAGATATCCACTTGTTTCATTCTTCATTTTCTTTAGAGAGGTGTTCAAAGGTTACTTTATTAAAAAGGCCTTTTTAAAAATGTTACTTTAAGTTCTGGGATACATGTGCAGAACGTGCCGGTTTGTTACATAGGTATGCGTGTGCCATGGTAGTTTCCTGCACCTATCAACCCATCATCTAGGTTTTAAGCCCCACATGCATTAGGTATTTGTCCTAATGCTCTCGCTCTCCTTGCCCCCCAGCCCCCAACAGGCCCTGGTGTGTGATGTTCCCCTCCCTGTGTCCATATGTTCTCATTGTTCAACTCCCACTTGTGAGTGAGAACATGTGGTGTTTGGTTTTCGTTCTTGTGTCAGTTTGCTTCCAGCTTCAGATGACTTCCAGCTTCATCCATGTCCCTGCAAAGGACATGAACTCATTCTTTTTTATGACTGCATAAAATGAGTTCATTCTTTTTTATGGCTGCATAATATTCCATGATATATATGTGCCACATTTTCTTTATCCAGTGTATCACTGATGGGCATTTGGGTTGGTTCCAAGTCTTTGCTATTGTAAATAGTGCTGCAATAAACATATAGTGCTGCAATAAACATATACCCAAAGGATTATAAATCCTTCTACTATAAGCCCATGTATTTTTTTCATCTGCTGGCAACAATCAGGGTCTTTTGGATTTTTTTTGTTTTTGTTTTTGTTTTTAGATGGAGTCTTGATCTGTTGCCAGGTTGGAGTGGAGTGGTGTGATCTTGGCTCACTACAACCTCCGACTCCCTGGTTCAAGCCATTCTCCTGCCTCAGCCTCCTGAGTACCTGGGATTGCAGGCACGCCCCACCACGCCTAGCTAAGTTTTGTATTTTTAGTAGAGATGGGGTTTCACCATGTTGGCCAGGATGGTCTCCATCTCCTGACCTCGTGATCTGCCCACCTCAGCCTCCCAAACTGCTGAAATTACAGGCATGAGCCACCACACCAGGCCATCTTTTGGAATTTTTAACTGATCTGACCAAACCAACAGAAGAGCTGGTACTGCTATTAATATTAAGCAGGATAGTATACTAAGGAAAGTTGAAGAGTTTTTAAAAATCATATTGTTCCTCCCCAAGGTATTTTGGCGACTTCAAATCCGTATATCAACATACATAATAGAATGCTTTCCCTCTATTTCTTACTAGTCTAGGCCAATGGCAAGAATGATATAATAGTGTGGATATCCAGGAGGCTCACCTGATTTAAGGTCTTACTTATCATTATTGACTCATACAGCTGTAATACAAGGGCAATCAGTAGGTGTAGTGCTTCAACATCTCTATTTAAAAACTGAAAACTATGGTGACTTGTATTAATACTACAAAAAATGACTTGGTAGATTTACTCCCTGAATGCTCTGTTTGCATGAATGTTGCTAATGGGAACAGAGATGCATTAAATATGGGCTTGCAGGTGGTGTCTCATGGGATTGGTAATTAATTCACACAATAAAGCACTAACATACCTTTTCATGGGTAATTACAATACTGAATCACCAATGAAGCCTAGTAATATTTTAAATCTTTTAAGTTACAACCAGATGTGCAAGCTTTGGAATAATTCCTCTCAGTTTCTTACCAACAAATGCATGTTGTTTGTTTTATTAATTTCAATTGAATATTTTTAGTCTAAAATGGAAAGAAGTTGAGTGGCAATAAAATGGTATTCATAAAAATAAGCCACTGCTCATTTTACATTTTTAAGTTAGGGTTTGGTCATCATAAAGCCTGAGCTACTCAGACTCATAACTTCTCTATTACTCTGAACATCTGAAATTTAGCAGTGAAAAGACCCTAAAAAGCAAATACAGGGTTTTCCCCTTAGAAAATTGCAAAAATATGGCCTCTTAGGGGTGTTTCCTCACAATAATTTCCCTTTGAGTTGGGGGAGCCATTTCCCAAGTCTGCCCTCTCTTTCAATGAACATTTACTCGGCCTTTGACCACCCATGAAAGATCACTACCATTCTTTCCCTCTCCTACCCATTGAATTTTATGAGCCCCCATCCTGTTAGAATGGTGTCACTTACATCACATAGATGGATTTGAATATTTTGGGTAAATCTTGTACAGCTGTTTTCAAAGTAGTCAATGTAACTCTTTACTGGGTTACAAAGTCAACATTCAATCATTAAAATATGAAATATAATAGAATATACCAAAGTATATAGTATGCAGTAAAGATAAATATGATTTCAGGAGGGTTTTGTATATGTGTATATATATGTAGGCATACACATACATATATATACACACATACATGCATGCATACAAGTATGTGTCTGCTAAGTCACCATGCATTTAATGCATATTTCTTCCTAATAGTTACGGTCAAAAAGTTTAAAATCATTGCTCTAGAGTAGTTTTCCACAAAATGTGGTCTGGGATGCTTCAAACAGATAGCTGGGCTCCATCTCAGACCTTTTAAGCAGTTCATTTGAACTGTGGTTCAAAGAGTCCTCACCTAATCTGAAAAACTAACCTTTGTTAAAGTGCTAATGAGGAAGGGCTATACTCTGGAACAATTAAATCAGAGTCCCTGGAGCCTTCTCTACAAGATTTCAATGTGCATCCAGGATTGAAAACCACTGGGCTCTACAGTGGTCTTTGGAAACAGATACTAGAGTTCAAAGTCAAGTAGGAAAGAGATAGTAGAATTTGCCTGTGCTGCTTATCTCACTCCATCTATGCCAGTGGTTCTTAGACCTTAGTGTTCATCAGAATCACCTGGAGGGCTTCTTAAAACAGATTGCTGCACCCCACCCCCAGAGTTGTTAATTCCATAAGTTTAGACTAGGGCCCAAGAATTTGCATATCTAACAAATTCCCATGTGATGCTGATTCTGCCAGTCTGAAGACTACATTTTGAGAACCACTGATCTATAAAAGGACTAGCTATATCCAGTTGAAAAGGGTACTTAAGACATAATGTTAACTACAACCAACTAGGATTAACTCTAAATAGCAAGGCTGGTTAAATGCTTGAAAAGTAATGTAGTCTATCACATTAACTGGCTAAAGAAGAAAAGTTGTATGATTATATCAACAAATTCAGAAAAAGCTTTTGACAAAATCCTACATCCACGTATACAGAAACTCTCAGCAAACTTCTTAAGGCAGACGTTTACGTTGTTGATTTGAGATATTTCTTCTTTTTTAGTGTAAGTGTTTACAGCTATAAATTTTCCTCTGAACACATATTTGCTGCCCATGAGTTTTTTTTCCATGTTTTGATTTTAATTCATATCACTGTATTTTCTAATTTTCCTTGTGTTTTGTTCTTGACCCATTGGTTATTAAAGATTATTTTTGTTTAATTTCCTCATATTTGTTAATTTCCCATCTTTTCTTGTTATTGCTTTCTAATTTCATTCCATTATGGTCAGAAAACATACTTTGTATGATTACAACATTTTAAACACATTAACCCTTGTTTTACAGCCTAATATACGATCTATCCTGGAAAACATTCCATGTGCACTTCAGAGGAATATATATTCTGCCATTGTGGGGTAGAATGTTCTATGGTGTCTGTCAGGTCTAGTTGGTTTGTAGTGTTGTTAAGTTTTCCATTTTTTCTGCTAATCTTCTGTCTAGTTGTTCTATCAATCATTAAAAGTAGAGTGTTGGAGTCTCCAACTATTAATGTTGATTTGCCACCTTCTCCCTTCAATTCTGTCAGTTTTTACTTCTGTAATTTGAGGGCTCTGTTGTTAGAACCCTCAAAATTCAGCATATAAGTTTATAATTGCTATATCTTGAATTGATCCTTTTGCCATTATACTATGTCCTCCTTTTTCTCTAGTAACAATTTTGCCTTAAAATCTATTTTGTCTGATATTAGCATGGCCATTCCAGCTCTTTTTTGCTTACTATTTACACGGAATCTTTTGTTCTATCCTTTTATTTTCAACCTTTTTGTATCTTTAAAGTATATCTTTTGTATGCAGCATATAGTTGGATGATGTTTTAAAAACCAGTTCTGCCAATTTATGTCTTTTAATTGGAAAATGTAATATATTTTTTCTAATGTAATGAATAACAAAATAGGATTATGTCTATAATTTTGCTATTTGTTTTCAATGTCTTGTGTTTTTTGTATTCCTCAGTTTCTCCATTACTATCTTCTTTTGTGTTAAATAGAGACATACAGTATCATTTTAATTCACTTGTCATTTCTTTTCCTATATATTTTTGAGCAATTTTTAGTTGTTACCCTGGGTGTTATCAATAATATCTTAATTCATAATAATCTAGTTCAGATTAAGATCAACTTTAATTTCAATAGTATACAAAACTTTGCTCCTAAATAGTATCATTCCCCCCTCCCTTATGTTGTTTTTGTCACAAATTACATCTTCATACATTGTGTGCCCATCAGCTTACATTTATATGTATTGCATTGTGAGTTGTCTTTTGAATCATATATGGGAAAAAAAGTTATGACAAAGAATATGTTTATACTGTCTTTTATATTTAACTATGTAATTATCTTAACTAGTGTTCTTTCTTTTTTTTGAAAACTTGCTATTTATTTGACAAAAAAGCTTTTGAATTTAATAAAGAATTGGCAATACATTAATTCAAAATGTTTTCACTAAGCACCAAATAGAATCGTCCCCAATCTCTGCACCGAGAACCCCTTTGAAAGAATGCCTAAAACTTAATCAGTTTATTTAGGTTTTTAATCAAGAAATCCATTAGCAACAATCTTCCTTAATGGAAAAATGTCTCACCTCCCGTAATGTAAAACAAAAATTATACAAGCAAACAAAACTCAAAACAGAAAGAGATGATCAGAGCAAGCTTCAGCCCCTCATAGCTCACCTATGCCCCAATTGTCACACTGCTGAAAACAGGGTCTGCCTCATTACTTAAACTAATTCATTGCTGCAGAACATAACAACATTTAGCATATCACAGCTCCCACTACATCCCTCCCTGTCAAAAAAGTAAATAAACAGCACACAAAATATAAACTTATGCCAAATAAAAGTCAGCATCAACCTAAGGTTCCTACTGTAATACTACTACACTAACCCAGGATATTTTAATCTTTTTCTGACCTATTTACAAAAAATCCTCATTTTGAGAGCTCTGGAAGCATTACAAATATTGTTGCATTAGATTCCTCTTCTTGAGGTAGTTTGAAGTCTTGAAACAGAGCAAATTTACATATTTTTCTACATTACCACTGAAGGGTAACTATCATAAGAGGCCTACAACAAAAATCCTCTTCCTCTGATTCTCAGGCTATTATAATTTTTCCCTCAGATCAAACAAACAATGGGAAACACACATGAAAAGATGATAAGTCATACAAAAATTTAAAAACAAGCACAACAACCATAAAAAAGAGTCGGTATCATCATACTAACACTCTAAACTTTGCTAGACGAAAAAAGAATTTACTTGGTTTACCCAAGCTATAGACATTTTATAGAGTACTCAAGAAATTAACAGCTTGTAACAATAGTGGAAAAATTTTTGGTGGGAGCAGAAAACTAAAATCAACACCTTCTCTGGCAAAGACTTCTTCCCAAATGCCAAGTCCACAAGAAGGAATGTGTGGCAAAGCTTGCACACCAGCCCTCTCTCAGGCTGACAGCCTTTGCCCTTTGCTCAGGTTGGCTTCAGAGGTGGAGGGATATTGGCAGATGCCTGCTCAAGGTAGGCCAAGGAGCCCTGAGGGATGTCGGCTGGCTTTTGTTCTGCATGTTGATGTCCTTTAGCACCTGCTGCCAATGCCTCAGCTTTGTCAAATGCTTCTGGACCAGTGCATCTTAATGTTGTAATTCATTCCATAGTTCTGAGATATCCTCTTTGATAACTTGCTCTGGTTTCTGGACAGATAATTGCAATCTTTTTTTAGGAAAAACAAAACAAAGCAAACATTGTCTCTCTTGCAGTATCCGGAAACTTCTGGATACACTGATTAACACCAGTTTGAATTTCTTCCTGATCAGTGCCATTGATATAGTCCTGACTCACCAGAGATACAAAGCAAGCCTTGAAAGATGACTCCAAGTCAACCACCAAAGTACTATTAGAAGGGCTTGGAGCACCTGAGAAGTGAAGCCTAGCCTAGGAGTCCTGTCAGGGGTGGTCGGGCCCCTGGTGGCTGCCCAGAGAACATACTACCTAGTGGAGCTGCCTGTTTGGAGTGACAGGGTCTTTATTTCCTCAAGTAAGTTAGGTGTAAATCCTAGGTATTGTCTAGTGTCCTTTCAGAAGTTCCTTTAGCATTTCTTCTTCTTTCTTCTTCTTCTTTTTTTTTTCTTTCTTTTTTTTTTTTTTTTTTTTGTTTTTGTTTTTTTGAGACGAGGTCTCACTCTGTTGCCCAAGCTGGTCTCTAACTCCTGAGCTTAAGCGATCCTCCCACCTCAGCCACCCAAAGTGCTGGGATTACAAGAGTGAGCCACGTGCCTGGCCAATATTTCTTTAGTGCAGGTTTGCTAGTGGCAAACTCTCAGTTTTTATTTATCTGGGACTGTCTTAATTACTCCTACGTTTTTTTAATTATGGTTTTGCTACAAATAGGAATTTTGGTTTATAATTTTTCTTTCAGTGCTTTGAATATGTTTTGTGGCCTCTGTGGTTTCTGATGAGTTCATCTTATTGAGGATCACTTGTATGTGATGAGTGGTTGCTCTCTTGCTCCTTTCAAGGTTCTCTCTTTTCTCTGGCTTTCAATAGTTTAATTATAATGTTTGTAGGTGTGGGTCTCTTTGAGCTTATTCTACTTGAAGTTTGTTGGCTTCTTGGATGCACAGATTAATGTTTTAAAACCATTTTGAAAAGCTTGGGGCCATTATTTATTCAAATATGTTTCTATTTCTTTCTCTTTCTTCTTTCCTCCTGGCCCTCCCATTATGCATATATTGGTATGCTTCATGATATCCCACATCATAGAGCAGGTCTCTGAGACTCTGCTCATTTTTCTTCATTCTTTTTTTTTATCACTATACCTCAGAATGGATAATTTTCATTGATCTCTCTCTTTCTTTTTTTTAATTCCCAACTTTTATTTTAAGTTCTGGGGTACATGTGCAGGATGCGCTGGTTTGTTACATAGGGAAACGTGTGCCATGGTGGTTTGATGCACAGATCAGCCCATCACCCAGGTATTAAGCCCAGCATCCATTAGCTATTCTTCCTGATGCTCTCCCTACCCCCATTCCCCACCCTCCAACAGGCCCCGTTTTGTGGTGTTCTCCCCATGTGTCCATGTGTTCTCATCATTCAGTTTCCACTTATAAGTGAGAACACACAGTATTTGGTTTTCTGTTTCTGCATTAGTTTGCTAAGGATAATGTAATCGCACTTTATGTTCTTTGATTGTTTCTTCTGCCTGCTCAGATCTGCTATTAGTTCCCCTAGTGATTATTTCCTGTCAGTTATTGTAATTTTTAAGCTCCAGAATTTCTATTTGGTTTCTTTTTATTATTCCTGTCTCTTTTTATTTTCTATTTGGTGAGACAACTTTCTCATATTTTCCTTTAGTTCTTCAGGCATGTTTTCCTTTGGCTCTTTGAAAATATTTAAAATAGCCATTTTGAAGTCTACCTGGTAAGTCCAATGTCTGGATTTCCTCAGTGACAGCTTCTATTGGTTGCTTATTTTCCTGTGTGTGGGCCATACTTCCTTGTTTCTTTGCACATCTTCTAATTCTTTTGTTGAAAACTGGACATTTCAAAGAATACAATGCGAGAACTCTGAAAATCAGTCCCTTACCCTCCCAGGGTTTCTTGTTGCTGCTTTAAGTAGCTGTTTAATTACTTTTTATGAAGTAATGTTGTAAATTCTTTATCTTTGCATTTGTGGCCACTAAAGTCTCCACTTACTTGGCTTAGTGGTCAGATAATGATTAAACAGCATTTTTCTTAAATGCCTAGAACCAAAAAGTCTTCAAGTCTTCCAGTCATAGGGGCCCCGTATGTGTGTGTTGGGGCATGCCTTCAACACTCTACCAATCAGTTTACAACTCTGTTTCAGCCTTCACTTCCTGCTTGTGCAGAGCCTTATGTTCAGTCAGAGATGAACGATTACAGTCATTGTAAGTCTCTCCTGAGCTTCTGAAAAGCCCTACACACATTTGTGACCTTTTAGATTCCCAAGAATATGTTGAAACTTTTCAAAACCCCTACAAGCATCTCATTCCTCAGCTTTTTCTCTTAAGCTTTCTGGCTGGTTTATTGTTTGCCTTAACTGCTATCCATCACTTCAGGCAACTGTGATGTTAAAACATTTGAGAAATGCCCCTCCACCATCTGGGTAGAAATGTTTAGCATTAGGAGAGTTTCAGTGAGCTCTAATAATGACAAGCCTTTCAAGTTGTATCTTCCAAGGAGCCATTTGGTGGTGACTCCTATTTCTGAGTGAAGCTTTGAAAGATCTCTAGCTCTGCTCTACTTTCTCTAGTACTGGGAAGGCAGTCTGTTATTTTTCATGGTGGTGTGGAGCATGGAAACAGAGGACAGGACTAGTGTAAGTGTAAATGCCATAAAGCTTACTGTTTTTATTGAGATGCAGCTGTTTTTCTTGACTAAACACTTCCCATGTGGCTAAAGCCGTTGGTTAGTTTCCAGAGTACTGAACAAGTTGATTTTAACAATTTTGGTTAGTTTTCACATTGCTTTTATGGAGGAGCAAAATTTCAGAGTTCCTTACTCCAGCATTTTCACTGATGTTATCCCCTCATTATTTTTTGACATTTCATCTTATAATGGAAAATCATTTTTTTTAAAGCAGTGAATAAGTTACCTATTTGTGCTTCTTATTTGTTTGTTTTGGTAACCCAGCTGTGGGCTAGAATGTCTTTGTCAGTGAAAATCTTTATTTTAGAAGCCAAACACGATAAGCCATATTATTATTCTTTTAAATGTTCTCACTGAATAAGAAACAAAATTAAGAAAAATTTTAAAGTATGAATCACCATTTCTAGAACCATATATACAAAGAATCATAAATATACACAATGTTTTAAAGAAGGTAAGTTATATAGTTAAAAAAAGAAATTCTGCCGTGAAGAATTTAGATTCTATATGGTGCTGAATTGCAACACATAAGCTATATTCCAAGTAAAAATTAAGACTGACACAACAATGAACCAAATTGTATTTCACCTTTCTTTGAAGATGCTATAAGTTTAGAATAATGTGTCAACTTTCCCTAACTTGGACTTCTTTTATTACTTTTTAAAGTTAATCTAAAACATACCAGTTTTGTTCTTGATCTGAGTTTTAGACTACTTCCACATTCTGTATATTCTTCCTAAAGGAAATTATAAAAACTTTTATGAAAATTTACCTGCAATAGGTTTATAAAGAAACTAATTAAAATGCAATTGAAATTTGAGTTACTTTTAACATAAACTATCTATGAATTTCTCACAAAGTGTTTACATAATGACATAATTATGAACAGATCAAAAGCGAGATGTGGGTTTGATTTCAAAATCTTGTATAGTTTGTCAGAATATGGAAATGTGTGTGTGTTTGTGTGTGTGTGTGTGTGTGTGTGTGTGTATGTTTTAAAAGATGGCTTGCCTTATTCAGTATTTCACCATACTTTCTATTTCCAATTAACAGTAAAGGAAGAGTTGGCTTAAAATTGATCAGATTAGTGGCATATGGGTGGGATTCTGGAAGCATCCAAATATTCACATGAAAAATAAATGCAAACCCTGGAGGGAAATATGCCTTCTTGCATGGAGAACTTGGCCACATGTCATAGCTAGAACCTGTGAGAGACAAAATGTACAGGGTGCACTACATTTGTATCCTCTGTACTTTTAGCATTGCCACAACGTGATTCTTTCTGTGCAAAATGGTGACAGGAATTCCACTGCCAATGTCTAGATATCAGATGATAATAGAAGCTCTGAGGACAATCCCTGAGTCTTTTATCCTCAGATTTTAGAGCCAGACATTGTCTTCATATGTCAGTTTGGGGAGTCTAGAATTTTTATTCTAGCCTATTTGGTAAATAGGTGTTTTACTTCACAGAAGAAACAGAGGAAGTGTTCTGATTATGATGGTTAAAAAATCCAAAATGTACTGGGCCCTTCTGCATGCAAAGCAAGTCATTAAGTCATCATACAGTGAGTTAACATTCACAGCCATAGTCCTCCAGACACTTCAAGTATGAAGTAGACAGCATTGCCATGGTTACGCATAAAGGGGATCTGCACAAAGCAAGCCCATTGCATGGCATTATGTGCATACTGTGGGGTAGCGCAGAAGGCAATTAGGAGGCTGTATGTTGAGAAGATGTGGGAATATGAAAATATGCCTTGTCATAGAATTGTGCTGGCTTTCTAACTCAGTGTATGAGCTCTGATGCAGTTTCATTTCTTAATGGTTCAAGGCATAATTAAGCTGAATTCTGACTATACAGAGACTCCGAATCATTGGCTTATTCAAGTATCAAATATTAATTGAGTACCCACCATGTGCCAGGAATGGTTCATGGTGAAACCACTGGGCATTGGGAAAACAGCTGACAAAGCATTTCCCTCCCAGTGAATGCTATATTTAAAAGTTCTCTTCACATTACAAGAAGCAGGTTATGCAGGTGAAATTTGTAATTGAAGAATAATAGAATTTATTTATTAATGCATACTACTATGTTGCTCCTCTTCCACCCTGTCAACATGGACCGTGAAGAATGCATAGCATTTAGATAGATAGACAGGGAAAGCCTTTCTTATGACAGGAACAGCACGAGTAAAGGCATAAAGGCAGGACTAAATAGAAAACAGTGAGGAACACACATTCCTTAAAACAAAATAAGTGGAAGGTCTTGGCTCTCTGATAAGTAAATGGGCTGTTTCTTGCAGGAATTTAGTTCGTTTAAATGAGAACTAAAATGCAACCATAAAATTGTCACATTCTACCAGTAGACCTCGTCTCCAGGAATGTAGTCCAACATTTTGATCAAACCAGAAATTGTATATAAAAGGACTTTGGGCTGGGTGCAGTGGCTCATGCCTGTAATCCCAGCACTTTGGGAGAACGAGGAGGGCAGATCACTTAGGGTCAGGAGTTCGAGACCAGCCTGGCCAACATGATGAAACCCCGTCTCTACTAAAAATACAAAAATTAGCCGGACATGATGTTGTGCACCTGTAATCCCAGCTACTCAGGAGGCTGAGGCAGGAGAATGGCTTGAACCTGGGATGCAGAGGCTGCGGTGAGCCGAGATTGTGCCACTGCTCTCCTGGGCGACAAAGTGAGACTCCATTTCAAAAAAAAAAAAAAATAGCCCTTTGGAATTTTTAAGTGCTCTTACAAATGTCTTATTTATTCTTATCTTCCTTACCTAGCCCATCAGAGGAAGCAAAAATGAGAGCAGGAAGAAAACTGGTGTGTTGACCACTATTTGGCTGTATCTTCTTGAATCTGGAATATCTTCTGAAGTGTTTTTTTTTCTTCTCTTTTCTTCTTTTATTTTTTCCTTTTCTTTTCCTATCTGTTTATTCATTCAACAGATATTTAATGAGTACCTTTTTTTTTGGTCAGGTATGTTCTCTATGCTAGGGACATGGCAGTAAACAAAATAGACAAAAATTCCTGCCTTCGTGCAGCTTACATTGCAGTCAGGGGAGAAAAATAGTTTATTAGATGATGATGCATGCTATAGAGATAAATTCAGCAGGGAAGAGAGTAGGAATTGTGTATGTGGGGCGGGGAGGGGAGCTTTAACTTTGATGAGTTGACCTCATTGAGGTGACATTTCAGCAAAAATTTGAAGAAGTGATCCATTTAGATATCTGGAAGAAGAGTGTTCTAGGCAGAGGGAACAGTTAGTGCAAAGGCCCTGAGGCAGGATTATGCCTGGCAAGTTCAAGGAACAGCAGATTAGGCAATGTACCTAGTAATAGCAGAAGTAAGAGAGGGAGAGAGTTGAAGGGAAAGAGTTGTGTTGTGTGTGTGTGCGTGTGTGCAAACTTTGTTTTGGTGGAAAGGGGTAGAGATGGTATAAGGCCTTACATGCTTTTACTCTGAGTGAGATGGGAAGCCACGGTTCATTTTGATTTTGACATGGATCTGTTTGCTAATGCAACCCACAAAAAAGATTAACAGGCTGTAAATGCTAATAAGATAAACAGAAATATTAATACATCAGTGATGTGGGGGGAATATGAAGCTTTGATTTGAATTCAGTGCATTATATCTATTTGAAACCTGTAAAAATAAAAGGAAGGACCCTGATCTACTACTTTGTGATAAATCTATCCATCTCTCAACTCTACCAAAGATAGAATGGTATCTGATGGATATTCATGACTGACTATCTATGACTCTTCTAAATGTAAAGGGATGTAGGAGGACACCACCAGCATGGTTCCTCCTCAAGAGTTTCCATAAATTTCTTCATCCCCCTTTACTCCCTGCTCCATTACTAGTCTGGTGATCTAAAAACTTTGCCTCTCCCCTATACAAGGCATGCAGACTCCACAAGAGAAGGGGCTTTGTCTATTCATGATACGCAAGGTATTTCAGAGGCACGAAGCATCCTTGACCAGAGGACTTTGTTGGGCGAATTTAGAAAATAAAAGGGTAACTTCTCAAATATAATAGTTGAGAATCCCTAATCCATGGGGAGTCATATTTTAATGTACCTTCAGGATGCCTTCTTTCATCAATAAATGACTACTGAACAGTAGTGGTGTACAGAGGGTTGGGTGGTGGAAAGCAATATGATCTGGATGCAAGCAGTAATGGAGTGTACTGTCTGTTGAGAATATAAAAATAATAAAATCAACTACAACAATCCTATTTTTATTATTGCCATGAGCCAGTAAGTCTAAACTATATCAGTAATAATATAATCCTCCTGCCCAATATTTTAAGTCCTAAACAATAACTGAAATTACTGATGAGTTTTTTTATTGTGATAAAATATAGGAAGGAGGAGCCAAGATGGTCAACTAGACACAGCCAGGAGGAACATCTCCCAGCGAGACACCACGACATCAGGAACACTGACACACACGCTGAGCAGATATTCAGAGGGAAGGCATTGAGAGTGGACAGAAGTTCGCAGATGTTGGCCTGAAGGGGGAGGAAGCTGGGAAGGCTGCACATTGCTGCTAAGTACCAGAATTCCTTCCTGGGTCCCAGTGACCCCTGGGGAAGGGATGAGTTGAACAGGTGGGAAATGGCTTGCTTTTGCCATGGACGACTTCTGGAATTCTAGCAGCAGAAAACCCCACAAAACACATGGACTCTTGAGCTCACAGGAAGAGCTGCTTAGAGAGGTGGCAGGTGCAGGACTCCAGCCTGAGTGGAGCCCAGAGCGTTTGGTGCAAGAACATCTGCAGTGGAGCATGGCCAGGAACACCCCTCCCCCAAGTTTCTCTGTACTCCTCTAGGTGACTTTAGCCTTAGGGTGACTGTCAGACCTGGGCAGAGCTGGGCGGTCTTGCCTGTGGGACAAGGCCAGTACTATCTGAGTGCCCCACTGTCTGCTGGCCTCTCCTGGGACCCCAGTCTGGCCACACCCACTTGCAGCTACATGCCCAACCAGAGTGCTTCCCAGGGGCCCTCATCCTAGCTTCTTTGCTGGAAGACCATGACTGACCATTGGAGAACGCCAGCAGACCAGCCCCGACTGACACACGCCAGCCCACACACAGGATCCCTGCACCTCGGCCTGCCCCCAGCTCTTTGCCAGCACGCAGTCACCCATGGCCTCCCACCACCACTTTGCCAGCATGTACCTCTCTGCACCACCACTGCCAGTGCAAGCACACCCCAATGTCCCCCGGCCTGCTGACACACAGGCACCCCACCAAACCATCACTGCCAGCACAAATGCACACACAAACACTGGCAACCCCACCCTGATCATGACACAGCTGCCACCCATGTGAACACCCACACAGATGCCAGCAACCCCACTCCCACCAGCACCCCACCCCTGCTGCTGTTACTGCTGCAGCAAGTGTGTGCAAGAACAATGCCCTGCACCAGCTGAAGTGCATGAACCCTACCATGCTACCATGGCTACTGGCACACACAAGCAAGCATGGATCCTGCTGCCACCACCCAGACAAAGTGCTTTGGCTGGCACCACCCACAATGTTGTGGCCAGTGGACCAGGAACACCTTGGCCCCTCCAGCACAGCAGGTTCCTAACCTCAAGGGGCCAGAGAACAAAGCCAAGACCCTCAAACCAGACCCCTAGAGTTAGAGCATGCAGATAAGGGGTGCTGAACTGAGACTTGGCCTCCTAAATCTTCTAGAAATGAAGTCAGTTAGCTGAACCCACCTTATACCACAATAAAATCCCCAAGGACATCAAAGAAGATAAAAGCAAAAAACCCCATCCAAAGGACAGCAGTTTCAAAGCCTGAAGGAACATCAGCCCACACAGATGAGAAAGAACCGCCAAAAGAACTCTGGCAGCTCAAAAATCCAGAGTGTCTTCTTACCTTCAAATGGCCACACTAGCCCCCCAGCAATGGTTCTTAACCAGGCTGAAATGATTGAAATGACAGACAGAATTCAGATTATTAAATAGGAAGGAAGATCATCAACATTCAGCAGAAAGTTGAAACCCAGCCCAAGGAATCTAAGGAATACAATAAAACAATACAGGAGCTGAAAGATGAAATGGCCATTTTAAGAAAGAACCAAATTGATTTGATAGAGCCGAAAAACTTACTTCAGAAATTTCATAATACAATTCCAAGTGTTAACAGCAGAATAGACCAAGCTGAGGAAAGAATCTCAGAGCCCAAAGACCAGTTCTCTGAATTAACTCAGTCAGGCAAAAATTAGGAAATATAATAATAAAGAATGAACAAAACCTTGGAGAAATATGGGATTATGCAGAGAGACCAAACCTATGACTCATTGACATCCCTGAAAGAGAGGGAGAGGAAGCAACTTGGAAAACATATTCTCCAAAGACGACATGAAAGAAAAAATATTAAAGGCAGCTAGAGAGAAGGGACAGGCTACCTACAGAGGGAATTGTATTGGGCTAACAGCGGACCTCTCAGCAGAAACTCTACAAGCTGCTAGGCGCGGTGGCTTATGCCTGTAATCCCAACACTTTGGGAGGCTGAGGTGGGTGGATCACCTGAGGTCGGGATTTTGAGACCAGCCTGACCAACATGGAGAAACCCTGTCTCTACTAAAAATACAAAATTAACCAAGCATGGAGGCACATGCCTGTAATCCCAGCTACTCGGGAGGCTGAGGCAGGAGAATTGCTTGAACCTGGGAGGCAGAGGATGCGGTGAGCTGAGATTGTGTCATTGCACTCCAGCCTGGGCAACAAGAGTGAAACTCCGTCTCAAAAAAAAAAAAAAGAAGAAGAAGAAGAAACCCTACACACCAGAAGAGACTGAGGACCTATATTCAGCATTCTTAAAGAAAAGAAATTCCAACCAAGAAGTTTATATCCAGCCAAAATAAGCTTCATAAACAAAGGAGAAATAAGATCCTTTTCAGACGAGCAAATACTGAAGGAATTTGTTACCACCCGACCTGCCTTACAAGAGAGGTCCTGAAGGGAATGCTAACTATGGAAAGGAGAGACCATTACCAGCCACCACAAAAACACACTTAAGTACATAGACCATTGACACTATTAAGCAACCACACAAACAAGTCTGCACAATAACCAGTTAACAACGTTATGACAGGAACAAATCCACATATATCTGTATTAATTTTGAATATAAATGGGCTAAATGCCCCAGTTAAAAGGCAGAGTGGCAAGTTGAATAAAGGGGCAAGACCAAACTGTAGGCTGTCTTCAAGAGACCCATCTCACATGCAATGACACCCACAGGCTCAAAGTAAAGGAATTGAGAAACATCTACCAAGCAAATGGTAAACAGAAAAAAGGAGGGGTTGCTGTTCTAATTTCAGACAAAACAGACTTTAAAGCAACAATTATCAAAAAAGACAAAGAATGCATTATGTAATGGTGAAGGGTTCAATTCAACATGAAGACCTAACTATCCTACATATATATGCACCCATCACAGAAGCACCCAGATTCATAAAGCGAGTTCTTAGAGACCTCTGAAGAGACTTAGATAACCACGTCATAAGAGTGGGTGATTTCAATATCCCACTGGCCGTATTAGACAGATCGTTGAGGCAGAAAACTAATGAAGATATTTGGGACCTGAACTCAACACTTAACCAAATAGACCTAACAAACATCTTCAGAACTCTCCATCCTAAAACCACAGAATATACATTCATCTCATCTGTACGTGGCACATACTCTAAAATCAACCACACGATCAGTTATGAAACAATGCTCAGCAAACGCAAAAAACCAAAATCATACCAACCACACTCTCAGACCACAGTGCAATAAAAACAGAAATCAATTCTAAGAAGATTGCTCAAAACTATATAATTATTTGGAAATTAAGGAACCTGCTCCTGAATGACTTTTGAGCAAACAATTAAATTAAGACAGAAATCAAGAAATTATTTGAAACAATAACAGAATTCATCTTCCTCTCAAATGCACAGCCCTGAAAAAGAATGATATCATGTACTTTGCAGCACATGCATGGATCTGGAGGCCATTATCCTAAGTGAACTAATTAAGGAAGAGAAAACCAAATACTGAATGTTCTTGCTTATAAGCGGGGGTTAAACACTGAGTACACATGGGCATAAAGAAGGGAACAACAGACACTGGGGCCTACTTGAGAGTGGATAGTGAGAGGAGGGTGGGGATTGAAAAACTACCTGCTAGATACTATGCTTATTACCTGGGTGACAAAGTAATTTGTACACCAAAGCCCCGTGACACCCAATGTACTTATATAACAAATCTGCACATGTTTCCCTGGACCAAAAATAAAAGTTAAAAAAAAATAATGTTTTTCAAAAATATCTATAAAACATGAAACTCACCATTTGCTTTCAGTTCTTTTGGATGTATATCCAGGAGATGAATTGCTGGATCATATGGTAATTCTATTTTTTAATTTCTTAAGGAACCACCATACTGTTTTCTCTAGTGGCTGCACCATTTTACATTCCCACCAATAATGGACAAGAGTTCCAATTTCTCTACATCCTCAGCAACACTTGTTATTTGATTTTTTAATAGTAGCCTTTCTAATGGGTGTGAGGTGGTATTTTGTTATGGTTTTGATTTGCATTTCTCTTATAATTAGTGATGTTGGGAATATCTTCAAGTGCTTTTTGTATTCCTATGTCTTCTTTGGAGAAATATCTATTCAATTCATTTCCCTAGTTTTAAATTGGGTTTGATTTTTTTGTTCTTTAGATGTAGGAGTTTTTTAGTATCTTCTGGACATTAACATTTTATCATATATATTATTTGCAAATATTCTCTCATTTCATGGGTTGCCTTTTCATTCTGTTGATAGTGCCCTTTAGTGCACATATGTTTTTAATCTTAATGTAATTCAATTTAATTTTTTTGTTGTTGCCTCTGCTTTTGGTGTCATATTCAAGAAATCATTGCCAAATCTAATGTCATTGAAGGTATTCCCCTACATTTTATTTTAAGACTTCAGAAGACTTCAGTTTTAGCTCTAATGTTTGGGTCTTTGATACATTTTGAGTTAATTTTTGTGACTGGTATAAGGCAAAATTCTAACTTCATTCTTTTCCATATGCATACACAGTTTTCCCAACTGTCTTTTCAACAAACTGTTGGGAAAACTGTATATGCATATGGAAAAGAATGAAGACTATTCTTTCCCCCTTCAAATGGTCGTTGCGGCATTGGCAAAAAGCATTTGATTATATATAAGCTTATTTGGGGGCTCTCTATTCTATTTTATTGATCTATATGTCTGTCTTTATGGCAATACTCCACCGTTTTGATTTCTGTAATTTTGCTGTAAGTTTTGAAATCAAGAAGTGTGAGGCCTTAAACTTCGTTGTTCTTTTCCAAGATTATTTTGACTGTTCAGGGTTCCTTGAGATTTTATATGAATTATAGAATAGATATTTCTATTTCTGTAAAAAAAATCATTGGTATTTTGATAAGGATTATACTGAATCTGTAGATCACTTTGAGTAGTATTGACATCTTAACATTATTAAGTCTTCCAATCCATGAACAGGGGATATCTTTTCATTACATGTGTCTTTACTTTCTTTCAGCAATATTTTGCAGTTTTTTGGTGTAGAAGTCTCTTGCCTTTTTTGTTACATTTATTCCTAAGTATTTTACTCTTCTTGATTCTATCGTAGATGGAATTGTTTTCTTAATTTTCTTTCTTTTCAGATTTTTCATTGTTTATGTGAAGAAATACAACTGATTTTTGTGTGTTAGTTTTGTATCCTGCAACTGTGCTGAATTATTTTATATTAGTTCCTTTTTTTTTTTTTTTTTTTTGAGATGGAGTCTCACTCTGTCACCCAGGCTGGAATGCAGTGGCGTGATCTCGGCTCACTGCAACCTCCGCCTCCCAGGTTCACACCATTCTCCTGTCTCAGCCTGTCTGAGTAGCTGGGACTACAGGTGCCCCACTACTCCAGCTAATTTTTGTTGTATTTTTAGTAGAGACGGGGTTTCACTGTGGTCTCAATCTCCTGACCTCATGATCCTCCTGCCTCAGCCTCCCAAAGTGCTGGGATTACAAGTGTGAGCCACCACGCCTGGTCTGTTCCTTTTTTTTCTAAGACAGGCTCTAGCTCTGTCACCCAGGCTGGAGGGCAGTGGCATGATCACAGCTCACTGCAGCTTCGACCTCCAGGCTCAGGTGATCCTCCTGCCTCAGCCTCCCAAGCAGCTGGGAATACAGGAACATGCCACCATGCCCAGCTAATTTTTTATATTTTTGTGGAGATGGGATATTGCCATGTTGCCCAGGCTGGTTTCAAACTCCTGGGCTCAAGCAATTTACCCACCTTGACCTTCCAAAGTGCTGGGATTACAAGTGTGAACCACCTCCTATAATAGTTCTAACAGAGTTTCGTGTGTGCATGTGAAATCTTTAGGGTTTTCTACATATGAGATTATATTGTCTACAAACAGATAATTTTACTTCCTCTAAAATTTGAATGCTTTTTTCTTTTTGGTTTTCTTGTTAAATTTCTCTGGCTAAAACTTCCAGTACTATGTTGAATAGAATTGATGAAAGTGGGTATCTTTGTGTCACTTCTATTCTTGGGAGAAAAAGCTTTCAGTGTTTCACTACTGAGTATGTTGTCAAATGTGGGCTTTTTATAAATGTTCTTTATTATGTTGAAGTAGTTTCTCATATTACCAGTTTGTTGAGTATTTTTATTATTAAATGATGTTGAGTTTTGTCAACTGCTTTTTCTACATCAATTCAGATGATCATGAGGTTTTTGTTCTTCATTCTGTTAACGTGGTGCATTACATTGATTTTCAACTGGGAAACCATCCTTGCATTCCAGGAATGACTCACTCATGGTATATAATTCCTTTACAGTTGAATTTGGTTTGCTCATATTTTGTTGAGGATTTTGCATCAGTATTAATCAGGGATATTGTATATAATTTTCCTGTAGAGTCTTTGTCTAGCTTTGGTATCAGGGTAATGCTGGCCTCATAGAAGAAGTTTGATAGTGTTACTTCCTTTTCAATCTTTTTGGAAGAGTTAGAGGAAGATTGGTGTTAATTATCCTTTAAATGTTTGGTAGAATTCATCAGTGAAGCCAGCTGTTCCTGAGCTTTTCTTTGTTGGGAGGACTTTGATTAATGATTTAATTTCCTTACTAGTCATAGATCTGTTCAAAATTTCCATTTCTTCATGATTCAGTCTTGGTAGCTTGCATGTTTCTAGAAATTTGTCCATTTCATCTAGTTTGCCAAGTTATTGGTATATAAATGTTTATATACATGTACTCCCTTATGATAATTTTTATTTCTTTAAAATGAATAGTAATATCCCCTCTTTCACTTATAATTTTAGTTATTTGAGTCCACTCTCATTTTTCTTAGTCAATCTAACTGAAAATTTGTCAATGTTGATATTTTTGAAGAACCAACTCTTAATTTTGTTAATTTCTCTGTTGTTTTACTATTCTTTATTTTATTTATCTCTGCTCTTATGTTTATTATTTCCTTCTTTCTGCTATGTTTGGGTTTAATGTGTTCTTCTTTTCTAGTTCTTTAACATTTAAAGTTAGGCTGTCGATTTAAGATTTTTCTTCTTTTTTAATGTCCTTATAGCTATAAATTTCCCTTTTAGTGCTGCTTTCACTGTATTTCATTTTTTAAATGTTGACCTTTCACTTTCATTTGTCTTAAGATATTTTAAAATTTCTCTTGTCATTTCGTCCTTGACCCATTGGTTATTTAAGAATATCTTGTTTAATTTCCACATATTTGTGAATTTTCCAGTTTTCCTTTTGCTATTGATTTTTTTATTTTCATTCTATTGTGATTGTAAAAGCTACTTTGTATGACTTCTGTCTTTTTAAATGCATTAAGACTCTTTTGTGGCCTCACATGTAGTCTGTCCTGGAGAATGTTCCATGTGAACTTTACAAAAAAAAAAAGTGTATTCTGCTATTATTGGGTGGAGTGTCCTGTATGTCTTTTAGATTCAATTGTTCTATGGTGTTGTTCAAGTTCCCTATTTCCTTACTGATTTTTTCAGCTGGTTGCTCTCTCCATTGTTGAAAGTGGGGCTATTGGAGTATTGAAGTTTCCTCCTATTATTATACAGATGCCTGCTTCTCTTTTCAATTCTGCAATATTTGAAGTTTGATGCATATATATTTATAATTATTGTATATTTTTGGTTAATTAACCCTTTTTCATTATATAATATTCTACATCTTTTTTATGTTTTTTACTTTTTTTTTTTTGAGATGGAGTCTCACTCTGTGGCCCAGGCTGGAGTGCAGTGGCATGATCTCAGCTTACTACAATCTTTGTCTCCTAGGTTCAAGCAATTCTGTCTGCCTCAGCCTCCTGAGTAGCTGGGATTACAGGTGCCTGCCACCACACCCAGCTAATTTTTGTATTTCTAGTAAAGATGGGGTTTTGCTATGTTGGCCAGGCTGGTCTTGAACTCCTGACCTCAGGTGATCCACCCACCTTGGCCTCCCAAAGTGCTGGGATTACAGGCATGAGCCACCATTCCCAGCCTAAGTTTTTTACTTAAAGTCTATTTTGTCTGGTATTAGTTTAGTCACCCCCGCTCTCTTCTGGTTAGTATTTGCATGGAATATTATTTTTCATCTTTTCATTTTCAATCTATGCATGTTTTTAAGTTTAATGAAAGTTTCATGTAGATAACATATTGTTGGATGTTGTTTTTCTATCCATTCAGCCAATCTATATCTTTCGATTTGGGAGTTTAATCCATTTACATTTAAAGCAATTACTGATAGGAAAGAGCTTACTATTGCTACTTAATTATTTGTTTTCTCCATGTCCTACAGCTTTTTTTTTTGTTCCTCATTTCCTCCCTTACTGCCCTCCTTTGTGTGTAGTTGATGTTTTGTAGTAATACACTTTGATTCCATTTTCATTTACTTATGTATATTTTATAGATACTTTCTTTATGGCTACCTTGGAGACTACATGTAACATACTAACATTATAACAATTTAAGCTGATAATTTAACATCAATTGCATACAAAAACTGTACTCATTTACATCTCTTTCTTGTCCACTTTATGTTATTGATGTCACAAATTACATCTTTATATATTGTTTACCCATTAATGTAGATTTGTAATTATTTTTTATTCTTTTACCTCTAAAATCTTGTAGAAGAATAAAAAGCAGAATTAGGTACTAAAATGACAATAATACTGGTTTTTATATTTGTCCATGTATTTACCTGTACTTTATATTTTCATATGGCTTTCAGTTACTGTCTACCATCCTTTCATTTCGACTTAAAAGATTTCCTTTAGTATGTCATGTAATGGTAATAAATGCCTTCAGCTTTTGTTTATCTGAGAATTTCTTAATTTTTCTGTAATTTTTGAATGACAGTTTTACCATATGTAGAATTCTTGGTTGACAGGCTTTTTTTTTTTCCACTTCATCCCCTTAAATGTATCATTCTACTGCTTTCTGTCCTACATGGTTTCTTCTGAGAAATTATTTTATTAAGGATTCCTTGTACATCATGAGTTACTTTTCTCACTGCTTTCAGGGTTCTCTCTTTGTCTTTTGACAGTTTGATTATAATGTGCCTTGCTGTGGATCTCTGAGTTCACGGAGCTTCTTATATTTGTATATTTATGCATTGCCTCAAATTTGGAAATTATGCTAGGGGCAGGTGGGGCAAGGACAAGTAAAAATGTTACGAAATTTTCTACCATTTGTAATTTCGGTTTTTAAAAAATTGGGTATTTGCTTGGTTGCTGTAGATCTTTGAGTGATTTCCAGAGCTCCTATAAAGTCATTTTAGTCAGTTCCTAGTTGTTTATTTAATGATTCCATAGGAGGACAAGGGCTTAGAGCTTCCTACTGTGCCATGTTGCTGATGTCACTCCCATGATGAGATTTAATAATATACATGTAAGAATCAAGTTAGCATATTATTAACTTTTTAATTTAAAATTATTATAGATTCACAAGAATTTTTTTAAAAAGTACAGAGAGTTCTGTATTCCTTTCATCCAGCTTCCCTCAGTGGTAACATCTTACATAATCATATTGCAATATCAACACCAGAAAGTTGACATTTGGCAGTTAAAAAATGACGTTTATGGCTGGGCACAGTGGCTCATGCCTATAATCCCAGCACTTTGGGAGGCTGAGGTGGGTGGATCACGAGATCAGGAGTTCGAGACCAGCCTGGCCAACATGGTGAAACCCCATCTGTACTAAGAATACAAAAATTAGCTGGGTGTGGTGGCGCATGCCTGTAATCCCAGCTACTCGGGAGGCTGAAGCAGGAGAATCGCTTGAAACCAGAAGGCGGAGGTTGTGGTGAGCCGAGACAGCGCCACTGCACTCCAGCCTGGGTGAAAGAGTGAAACTCCATCTCAAAAAAATAGGAATGACATTCACCCAGTACTCATACTCATTCCTACAGGAATCCTGGTCTTCTCAAATTTTAAAACGGTGTCCATCTTGCCTCAAGGTTGTAACAGAGGCCCTGACTGTGTTAAATTCTAAAATAAGGTGCCAGAAAATTTATGGAAGACTTGCGCACAAGGTGACAAAAGTTGATTTGCTCCCCTCAGATCATTATATGCACAGGACATACAAGATTAACAAAGAGAAATTGTTGAGTTGATGAGGACTATTTCCTTAGAGAACAAGTTGTTGCAATACCGTGATGTTTCCCATCTTGTTCCTTTTCCTTTAAGTCAAGTTAGAGCAATTTAAGAAAACCACCTGGATAGCTGTACCCTCTGGAATTTGGGGGCTTCAGGGATTCAACTGGAATTGGATTTATAAGACTTCCTCGAGGGCAAAGTGAGAAAAGATGCTACTGCAGAAGTGAACTGCATTCTCATCGAGTTGATGGGATGCACCAGAGTAAGATTTCTTGAGAATCTGGTCCTTAATCCTGTCAGACTCAATGCCCTCTTTTTATAATAAATATTTTAACATTTCTCTTTAATATCCTGAAATGAAATATATAAATAATACCTACACACAAAATTTCAAAAACAAATAAAGATGTAAACAAATAGAACAGTAATATGAAGGTGAAATGAATAAAAGCAATTTATAATAAAATAATAAACATTTCAATATACAAATTCCTTGGCATGACTATACTAGATCACATAATGAATGAAATGCTTGAAACTACTTATAGTGAACAAGTCTGGATTGAAGTGAGTAACAATATTTAATTGAATATAATCAGTATCTTTTCTTTATGTTTAACCATTTGAAATAAGGATTAAGTGTATTCCTATACATACATACAGAACCACCATAATTATAGCAGCTACTGATGACGTCTTACACAAGTGTGCCGTATTGGTTATTTATATACCACACATGGTGTGTCTGTTAGTGAAATGATTTTTTTGAAATGACGAACAACTCTTGGGAAAGTTCTGAACAAAACAATGTATAATCGTCCTTTGATTTATCCAGTGTTTTCAATTTTGGAAAATTTAGTGTATAGTAAATCAAGGCAAAAATATTTTATATTTATGTTTTTCTTTCATGTATACATGAATGTCCAGCGGGTCATTTGAAAGCCATGCAATATCTGCAACAAGTGTTCATTTGCTGGCAGAAGCCTTGTTTCTCTGGCCTGTATATAGCCAATACCATTGAATCTCATCCCCCACCATTGCAACAGCCAAATGTGTCCCATGAATTTCCAAATGCCCCCAGTGAGTGGGCCTCTTCTGTTGAAAACCACAATTTTAGATTTTAGTGGACCTTTTCATAACTGAAAACCATCAAACAAGTTATGAGATCTGTCCAGGATTTCATCAGGGCTGAGGAAGAAATTGTTTGACAGAGGAGTAGTAGTAAGAAAGAATAAAATTGTTTCCTGCTTGCACTCTATAGAGTTTAGTAGGTTTTAACAAACGATTAACAACGTATTAACAATGATGCTAGCAACACTAGAACAATGGTCAGTAAACAGCAAGTAAAAGGACTTTCAGGTAGAAATAAACTCAGTATGTTTAAGGAATAGTAAGATGGCTGGAATGACTGGAGTGTAATGCCAGTATAGAAAGTAAGAGAAAGAGTGAAAAGATGTGAGGTCAAAGAGCAACTAGATTATGTAAGGCCTTGGACAAGAGTTTAACTTTTCTTTTAAATACAATGGGAGACAGAGCTACGACATGAACTGATTTGTGTTTATAAAAAAGCATAAAAGTTACACTGATCTGAAGATTATGGATTGTAAGGAAATAAGAATGGCTGCAGGGGAATATTTAAAAGGCTATTTCAATCTTCTAGGCAAGAGCTGGGGCTAGGGTGGTAGCAATCAAAAACTAAAACACATCTAGGAAGTCAGGGTGATTGTACTTCCTGATGAACGGGTGTGGATGGGAAAAGGAGGGAAGCCATAATGGCTTTGACTGACTAAAAGAATGACGAAGCCCTTGACTGGGGTAGGGAAACACTTGAGAATATAATTTGATAAACCATTAAAAAGACAACTGTTTTCCCCTTTTATTAAAACATGTCTTATTAGGAGGAAGACAAACGTGTCATGTACATAGTTGAGGACTCCCAGTTAGAAAATAACCGTCTTGGGACCAAGCATGGTGGCTCACGCCTGTAATCCCAGCACTTTGGGAGGCCAAGGCGGGCTGATCACTTGATGCCAGGAGTTCGAGACCAGCCTGGCCAACATGGCGAAACCCCATCTCTACTAAAAATAAAAAAATCAGCCAGCTGTGGTGGCACATGCCTGTAATCCCAGCTACCTGGGAAGCTGAGGCATGAGAATGGCTTAAAGCTGGGAGGTGGAGGTTGCAGTGAGTCAAGATCATGCCACTGCACTCCAACCTGGGTGACAGTGAGAGACTCTGTCTCAAAAAAAAAAAAAAAGAAAAGAAAACAGTCATCTCAGAATCTTCACCATCACCATCATTAATACCTTTAAGCATAAACTGGGCTAAATCTACCTTTAAGCAATTTCCATCTGAGATTCAAATCTAAATTTTGCCTCTCCCTTGTTCTTAAACCAGGATTTCGACATAATTTCTTCATCTGTAAAACTTTCTTAAGAATAACTAATTTCACAAGATAGTATGAGAATTAATTATTGAATGGTTACGTAAGTCTCAGCAAATATTAAAACTGATATTTCAAGGGCTGCTATTAAAATGGAAAAGTGCTTTTTTGCTATCTCTGGATTCAGCAGGAGAAAAATTAACAATCATATGCTCATTCTCATTAAATCTGGGGAACAATTATGGAACTCTATGTGCCAGACACAGGTGTTGGGGGGAATTGTGCGTGGGTGGGCATAACGATGAGCCAGATGGGCATGGCTGCTCTCCCAAATAAGCCCCCAAGTTGTTGTCCATACATGGAAACAAAAACTGAAAGCAACCTGAATTAGTACTGAATTTAGACGAATTGAGGTGAACAAAAGTGTCAAAGTATTATATCTGTCCAAATTGTTGCAGCTCCTTCAAGGCGCCATTTTATTTTCTGGCAGAGGCCAGATATCATTTTTCTTTTTAAAGTTTTAAAGTGTCCTGAGGCTCCCAGTTTCCAATGTGGATGTGCCCCTTTTGGGCACTGCTAGAATGAACACACACATTAGTTCAGGCTCTGTGGGACAAAGTTGAATAAGGGAAAGAAAGGCCCAAATCACAAGATAAGGTTACATTTGGTCTGATGGCAAAGGAAGAGGCACAGCATGAGGGCAGTTGGGATTCAGTGTTGGGAAAGGAGGTAATGATGGGTGACAGAAGCAAGCAGATGAGGGTACCAGAAATCATTTAGTCTATTACACTATTTTTCCTAGGGCTGGCTGTTAGGGGAGCTGGCAGTGGAGTTAACTGCCACTTGGGAGAAACAGGATTTTATTGAGTCTCTCTAAGGTGCTACAGCAGTGAGGTTTTCTCCTCTATTCCTCTTTTCCATTGCTTTACTAGTCACCCTTTCTGCCCTTTGCCTACTTTTCTCAGTGGTGAAGCTGGAGGAATCAAACATAACCAAGAGAAAGCACCCACTGGTGGTACTCACTGATTAAAATCTTCCCTAGTGAGCCATTCGGCCTTCACACCTCACCTCCTCACACAGGGATTTGGAGCCTCAGGAAATCCTTTGATAAACAGACTTCTTTTTGTCTAAATGAAAGCAACAAGGGGACAAAAGCGAGACCTTAGAGGGAGTTGCAATCTATTCTTAACCTCTTTTGCAAGACAGCTTGCTTGGGCTGAGAAGATAAGTAGCGTCTGTTCTGAGCTGTTACTCATAAGTATTAGGTTGGGTTGAAGAAGCGACCATGTGGAAAGGGGGAGTAAATTAACTACACAAGTAAGTTTTCCCTTAATATTTCTGAATTATTTCTTCAATTCTATGAAAAATTAACAGCCTGCTGGACCTGTGCAAATTGTTGGGGGTCATGGTATGGCTGACAGAGATTATTACAAATAAAGTGCTTGCCTCTGGCCAAAGTTCACACCAGGCTTGTACATTCTTGCAGAATATTTGGCTATAGCAGGCCCCTTCAGTCTGAAGACCAAATGTATCTTTTGTACATCCATGGCAGCATGCATGAATTTGCTTAATGAGGCCTAGGGCTGTCAGTGTTATCTAGGCATAGGGCTTAATCAGCTGCATACAATTAGACACAGAGCATGTGCCCAAGAAGTGTTGGGGTGGGGACTCCAGCATTATTTCTTTGCCTTATTCCACTGTCCCTATACTCCCCTGCCCACACACACATACACATTCCCTGATACATCTTCCCCGCTCCTCATTCTTACAGCTGTTTATTGGCCCATGCCTGCACTCCCTCGGGCTCCCTTAGACTATCTCAGTACCATCCCAGTTGATCTTGCTGCCTCTGGTTTCTCCTCAGAAGAGCCCTCTCACTGCTCACTGGATGCTCACTGTAAACCAGGCATTAGGCCAAGTACTTCACATGTATTATCTCATTAACTTCAAAACAACCCTGTGAAGATGCCCAATTTACAGATGTGAAAGCCAAGGCCCAGGGAGCTTACGCAAAATGCCCTAGGAAACAGAGATAGTTGAGGTGGAATCGGCATTGCACTCAAGACTGCCTGATCCCCAATCCTGAGATCATAACCATCACAAGTTCTCTAGTTCACCTTTCACACTGATCTTTGTAGTATGATCTTTGTAAAGCACACTTAGTACCATGTTATTCACCTCCTTAAAGCCTTCAATCATCCACCCCATTACCATGCCCTTAAATCAAATTAAACCATTTGCCTCAGATATTCAGAGTGTTTCCATGAAATTGTTGTAGTTTCCCAACTTTGCTTGGCTCTAGTTTCTTATTCCATTTCAGTTCTGCCTAGGTCCCAACCTGTGGGATGTTTCTCTTCTATTTTTTCTGTCTCCTGTCTGCTGGGATTTGACAATTAAGCTCAGCTTTTCCAGATTTGACTCTCATAGCCCTCTAAGTACTCATGTGTCTCCCTTTTCTGATCTTGGTTTCTTTAAGCAAATGGCCCCTCATATGACTCCTTGGGCTTCTGGGATCTCATCCTGATATTTGTTCCATCAATGTTCCCAAATGTCCACATGCCAAAATTTAGCTCCATGGATTGATGGAGTCCTTGACACTCTGACTCCAAATGAGTTTTCCAGCCTCACTTTGTGCTTTTTCCTTAGGGTATATAAGCCTTTTAAAATGATTTTTTAAAAATAACGTTCAGAAAATTTTCGGCTATTATATGCTTAAATATTGTGTCTATACTGTTATTTCTCTTTTCTTCTTCTGAGACTTCAATTAAATGTAAACAAATCTTATTATGGAGTTCTCTATGTCATTTATTCTCTCTTCTGTGTTTTCTATCCTTTTTTTCTCTCCATGTTTCAATCTGGATATTTTCTGACCTACCTTCTAGTTCACTAAATCTCCCTTCATCTGGAATGCTTATACACTGCTGGTGAGAATGTAAATTAGTACAACCTCTATGGAAAATAGTTTGGAGATTTCTTACATAACTAAAAGTAGACCTACCATTTGATCCAGCAATCCTACTACTGGGTATCTACCCCCCAAAAAAGAAGTCACTATATCAAAAAAGACACCACAAAAAAGACATCACTGCATGTTTATTATAGCACAATTCACAATTGTGAACGTTGTATTTGCAAAACTGTTGTAAGAAGTAATTTGAGGTCTAAATTAATGTTATTGCCCTCCAGAGAGGATTTATGTTTGATTCCATCAAGTGCTTGTTGGCACTAGCAATAGGGAATCACTTCAATTCAAGTCCAGTGATGGGGTGATGATTCAAAGCTGAGCTAGAGTCTGAAAAATGAATATCTTCTTTAAGTCCCCTTTAGGGACCCTAAAGGAGACTCCAATCCCTGTCTACCCAGCCCTTCGAAGCTTGTAATAATGTTACTCAATGTCTCAAGTACTTAATCTCCTCCTGAAATGAGAAAACACCCCAAGAGAAAACAAGGTCCCAGTGATGGTCTTACTTTCTGGAACCTCTGTTTTCACCCCATCTTGGCACTATAATTTTTCACTCTTTTTTTTTTTTTAGTTTTCTGATGCCTTTATGAAGATGGTTTTTATATTTTGTCCAGCTTTGTTAATTGTCACGAATGAGAGGGTTGGTTTGACTTTTCTAGTCCCTGATTATCTGAACTGCAGTGAAATCATATCATTTTATAAGCTCCTGGCTTTCATTATAGAGAATTTCACAGAGGTCTCACCCTCCAAAAATCTACAGTGCAAACTGGAAATTGCTGACAACTCTGTCATTTAAAGGATACAATTAAGCCCATATTGAAACAATATAAACAAATACATTTACATATAAGCAAACTAGTTACAGTGCACCAAGATTTCCACTAACCCTCATTTTGCTCATAGCACAGGCTTCCTTATTCTCTAGTTATATTAACCTTATCTTACAGCTTTGTTTAATGAAGCATTATAGTATTTTGCCATGTTGGTTACTAGTAATCCACTACCCACAATATTTAAACCTCAGGATCCAGTTTACAAAATATAAACACATGGAGGGGGGGTGGATATACAGCAAATTGAGATTTTTCAGCAGTCACTGGTCCCAAATAGAGTGTAGGTCATTCTGCTTCAAGGGATTCTTAGGCTATGAAGATACTGGTAGAATGTGGAAGACATACAACAATTAATCTTCTTTGAAAGTACATTTAAATCTGAGTTAGCAAAATGGATTAAGGACTTAAACCTAAGACCTGAAACTATAAAAATTCTAGAAGATAACATTGGAAAAACCCTTTTAGACATTGGCTTAGGCAAGGATTTCATGACCAAAAACCCAAAAGCAAATGCAATAAAAACAAAGATAAATAGCTGGGACCTAATTAAACTAAAGGGCTTCTGCATGGCAAAAGGAACAGTCAGCAGAGTAAACAGACAACCCACAGAGTGGGAGAAAATATTCACAATCTATACATCTGACAAAGGATTAATATCCAGAATCTACCACAAACTCAAACAAACCAGTAAGAAAAAAACAAACAATCCCATGAAAAAGTGGGCTAAGGACATGAATACACAATTCTCAAAAGAAGGTATACAAATGGCCAACAAATATATGAAAAAATGCTCAACATCACTAATGATCAGGGAAATGCAAATCAAAACCACAATGCGATACCACCTTACTCCTGCAAGAATGGCCATAATCAAAGAATTAAAAAACAGTAGCTGTTGGTGTGGATGCAGTCAACAGGGAACACTTCTACACTGCTGGTGGGAATGTAAACTACTACAGCAGCTATGGAAAACAGTGTGGAGATTCCTTAAAGAGCTAAAAGTAGAACTACCATTTGATTCAGCAATCCCACTACTGAGTATCTACCCAGAGGAAAAGAAGTCATTATTTGAAAAAGATACTTGCACACGCATGTTTATAGCAGCACACTTCACATCTGCAAAATTGTGGAACCAATCAAAATGCCCATCAATCAACGAGTGGATAAAGAAACTGTGGTATATATATATGCGATGGAATACTACTCAGCCATAAAAAGGAATGAATTAACAGCATTTGCAATGACCTGGATGAGACTGGGGACTATTATTCTAAGTGAAGTAACTCAGGAATGGAAAATCAAACATCATATGTTCTCACTGATATGTGGGAGCTAAGCTATGAGGACACAAAGACATAACAATGATACAATGGACTTTGGGGACTTAGGGGGAAGAGTGGGAGGGGGTGAGGGATAAAAGACTACAAACACACTGCAGTGTATACTGCTCGGGTGATGGGTGCACCAGGATCTCACAAATCATCACTAAAATACTTACTCATGTAACCAAATACCACTTGTACCACAATAACTTATGGAAAAATAAAATAAAATAAATAAATAAAATAAATCTGAGTTAGAATAATAGTTTGGAATCTAGAATGGAAAATAAAGCCATCAGTGAAAATACCAGAAAGATTGCTAAATTTGGAGGTGAATATCTGAAATGGTTTTTCCTCTAGATAGATATTAGTTTTTTAGTATAAATAATTTATAAATACTTAAAATCATATTTGGTTTAAAATTTTAAAATATTTCTGAAAGTACATTTGGATTATTTTGTTTTACTATCATTCAATTTCCTTGTAAATAGTTATGACCAGTATTATATGATAATACATGAGACAATATTTTTTAAAGAAAAACTATCTTACCTCTCAAGTTAGTTTTTCTCTCTTTCCCGTCAGAATCTAACTCAAAACTTCAAGACTACTATGCTAAAGTATTCTCCTACTTAAAAACAAACAAACAAAAAACACAATAGCTTTTTCTTGAAGGGGGAAGCAACATGCCCCATCACATTAAAACTTTCTTATTGATGGTTCCCTTAATCTACAATTGCACCAGCCCATCAAAAATCAATTATGGATCTCCCCAACAGTTCTCACACTTGTACTCTTGAGAGCTCCTAGAGAAAATCTTACAACACACAAATATTTGCAACTGGAAATCCAAGACCTCTAACCTCAGCTGGATCATCAACTCTTTCTCCCACAGCAGTGATTTCAAACTTTCACCAATCTTATTAAACCTTCAACCCACAACCTTAACTCTCAGCAGATAACTTTTCCTCCTACTTCACAGCAGAAACTTAAGCTATCCCCTGAGTAACAGCAATTTTTTACCCCAGGGTTTTTTATCAATATTTTTTCAACTTTTTATTGTGGAAACCTTTAAACATACACAAAACTAGAGGGGGATGGTATAATGAACCCTCATGTATGTATCATCCAGCTTCAATAATTATCAACTCATGGCCAGTATTGTTTCATTGATCACACTGATTGCAGTTTTTTTTAAACTGCCTTTTAAATCATTCTTTCTTACTTTCCTCCCATCATTTGTCTCAGTCCATTTTGTGTTGATATAAAAGAATACCTGAGACTGGGTAATTTATTTTTAAAAAGAGATTTATTTAGCTCATAGTCCCGCAGGCTGAGAAGTTCAAGGACATGGCCTTGGCTTCTGGTGAGGGCTTTTGTGCTGCATTACAACATGGTGGAGGAGGTAAAGAGGTCCAACTAAGAGGAAAAACATTGCTTTATAACAACTTGCTCTCTCAGGAAATAATCTATTCCCTCAAGAACTAATCTAGTTTTGCATTAGCAAGAACTCACTACCAGGAGAACAGCATCAAGCCATTCATGAGGGATTGAGCCCTATGACCCAAATACCTCTCACTAGGCCCCATCTCCCAACACCACCACAATGGGGATCAAATTTCAACATGAGTTTAGATGGGGACAACAGACCACATCCAAACCATAGCATCACTGTAAAAGAAGTTTCCTTTCTGAGATTATTCTCTGTATCAAGATCTGGATCCTATCCCTTCCAGCCTCTTCAAACATTTGCTGTATTTAAAACATTCCCTGTATATTAAGTGATTTCGGTCGGTATTTAAATATTATTAATTTATTTTTGTTTTAGGAATGCTGTGCTCTCTCTCTGTCTCTTGACGACACTGTATATCTTTTTGGCTAATATCCCATTTTTCATCTTCCATTTTTAGCCAAGAATCTAGAAAAGGTATTCCACACTCACTGTTTCTGTTGTATTATTCCCTCCCACACCTCAATTCAAGCAAAAGGATTTCCAGCCACACCATGCTGCTGAAACTGCTCTTATTGAGTTCAGTGAGGCTAACTGATTTTGGTAAGCCTTCTCAACTCATGTCCTGCGACTTGTGAAACATTTGACATAGATCCCTCTCTGTGACTAGCAAAGCTTCCTTGAACTCCTTCTTCTCCTTGATCCCATGAGTACACTTTAGCCTGTATTTCCTCCTACATTGCTGGCCTCTCCTTTCTGTTTCCTTCGCTGACTCTTTGTTTCTTTCATGTGGGTGTTCCCTGGGATCTTTCCTTGGTTCTCTTTGCTTCTCATTTACACTATTTTGGAGCAATCTAACCCACTGCCTATGTCATCACCATCTGTATAGTTTTTCTCAAACATTTGGAATCAAATGCGATAACGATACACTAGGACCAACAATTTTTTAATTAAAAGATACGTTTCTATTTGTAAAATGAAAAATGCAAAATTATTACTAATGAACTAATGACAATAGTTTCATAACAGAGAAAGTGAGGACATTTGCAACCTTTCCTTTCCGTATGTCTATCTCACTGAATGTTGAATAACTTGAGTTTTAAGCAAAATCTCATATTTATCTGCTGCTTCTTCTTCCTCCTTTTATACTCATTTAGAAGGCCCTAATTCACAATTTTGAGATGTAGAAATGACATCATGTGTTTGTTGCATTTACCAGTTTTGGATACCGGATTAAAGATAGACCAAAAATTATGAAGAGAATTCTAACTAAAAATTAATGTTTTGTCAGATGCTAAGCTGAATCACATATCAGAAAAAATTAGAGAGATGAATGTTTTAGTTTGGGAAACAGCATTAAATATATTGCTGATCTGTTCTGTGGTCATATTCCTCTCCGAAAATATTTCATCATATTCAGATGCAGTACTTGGAGGTGATTTAAAAATATGCTCCATGATACATCAATTACTAGTTTTTTAACGATTGAAGAAAATCATCCAGTGTTGGGAAAGACTCAACTCTTGGAATTGAAAATTTTACATCACAATTTAGTCATCATAAGACATCCTATCTTATTATCACTGGAAAACCATGACTTTTGGTCCTGAAGTGACAAGATGTAATTGTTGAGTATCTTTCTAAGTAATTCAGCTTGAACAAGCCACTTAGAATCAGAGACTTAGTCTTTACTGGCATTATTTGTGATGAAGAGGTATTATTATCTCAACAGTCATTTCAAATTCTCATGTGACCAAATTCCCCCAACACCCAGTTTAATTGAAAGCGGAAAAGCAGGCTTGAAATGATACATGTTCAGTGACCACATCTGAGTTGCCTTCACATTTTTCACTAAGAGGGGAGTGTTGTTATTCCTCATTTATAGATGATAAAGCTGAGATTTAAAGAGGTTCACTGACTATGCCGTTGATTACACAGTAGCAAACTGGAACTTGACCCTTATCATTCTGACTCTAAGTGCTAATCTTTATCAATGTCCTATGCGATCTCCCATGAGAGTCCCACTGCATGTAGCCAGAGTTCTTTTCTTATTTTCTTTTTTTGAGACAAGTTCTCACTCTGTCACCCAGGCTAGAGTGCAGTGATGCGATCACGGCTCACTGCACCCCCAACCTCCTGGGCTCAAGCAATCCTCCCACCTCAGCCTCCCAAGTAGCTGGGACTATAGGCATGCACCACCATACCTGGCTAATTAAAAAAAAATTTTTTTTTTGTACAGCCAAGATCTCACTATGTTGCCTAGGCTGAACTCACACTTCTGGGCTCAAGTGATCCTCCTGCCTTGGCCTCTCAAAGTGTTGGGATTATAGACATGAGCCACTGTTCCTAGGCAGAGTTATTTTCTAAAACTCAAATAGAGCTGTCCCTTTCTTCTGGCTAAAATCTCTCCATATCTCTCCATAGCCCTGGGGGAAAGTACAAACTCCCCCTCATTCATGTAAAGTGCCTCTAAGTCTGAATCTTGCTTCTTTTTCTGTTCTAATTACTATGGTTGCATAACAACGCTCCAAAACCTAGTAGCATAAAACAACCATTTATTATGTTTATGAATTCTTTTGGTCAAGAATTCAGATAGGATGCAGACACAGAGAAGAAGGCTTATCTCTGCTCCACGCAGCATCAGCTAAGGCAGCTTGAAGGCTGGGGTCTGGAATCATCTAAGGCTTGTTCACTCACACATCTGATGGTTGATGCTGGAAAGACTCCAACAGCTGAAGCTAAAATAGCTGGGGCTTCTCAAGCTCCTCTCTGTCTCTCTCTCTCTTCTCAAGCTCTCTCTCTGTCTCTGTGTCTGTCTGTCTCTCTCTCTCTCTCTGTCTCTCTCATCTGTCAGTGTGGTCTCTCCAGCATGGCAGCACCAGAGCTCCAAGGTGTGTATAGCTAGGAAGAGAGCCAGGCAGACACTTTGGTAACCTAACCTCTGAAGTCACGTAGAGTCAGTTCTGTGTATCTTTCATTAGAAGTGAATCACTAAAGCTGGCTCAATATTCAAGAGGATTCTATGATCCTGTATGGGAAAGAGATGCTAATCAAATAGTCTCACAAATATATAATAAAGTACTGCGATACAAGGAGTTATGACAGCATAGATCAGGATACCTGAACTGGTATGAGGCATCCATGGCCCAAGGAAAGTGGGATTTGAGCTTGTCCACCAATCTCTCTCTCCCATGGGCATCCAAAATAGCTTTATGTGTGTGTAGCATGACTCTAATGATTATTTACTCTAACTATTCATATTTGAGGACAAAGACTTTGTCTTATTCATCTTGATACCCCCTACATCTAGTACAGTGACCGGCATGTAAGCACATTCAATATTTGTTAAGAAGAAGAAAGTATTTTGGGAAATAAGAGTGACATTTGAAAGAACTTTCTTTCCATTTAAGTATGTAGGGAAAATCCCCCACGTTTCCCATTTTTGTGACAAGATCTTAGAAAGTGGGCTAACTCTACTTGGAATGGTTTTTCTTAACTAGCCAAGGAAGGAGTGTTTGCTTTCTTCCTGTTTGAACTGGCCTTAGCAAAATAGGCAAAGTTTCTTTTTCATGTTCTCAGTCTTTCCTTTCTCTGTCCCTGTGCAATTTTAAAGCATGGCTCCAATGTTTTCTGACACTCCTACAACTAAAAGGTGAAATCTATATCGCTTTCCTTTGAATCTGGGATCTGTGACTGCTTAGCCAGTTGAATATGACAGAAGCGATGTGCGAATTTCTGAGGCTAGGCCTTAAGAAATTTGAAGTTTCCACTTCTTGTCCCTTGAGATTATCACCCTCATAACCCAGCCACCATGCTATGAGGAAGCCCAACTACCTTATGGAGAGCCCAACATGAAGAGGAACCAATAGCCAGTATCAACTTGTCAGCTATATGAGTGAGCCATCTTGGAAGTAGATACCCTGGCCCACGTTAAGCCACCCCAGATGGCAACACATGGAGCAAAGACAAACTGTCCCCACTGAGCCCTGCCCAAATTTCATATTCATAAACAAATGAAATGATTGTTGCCTTTTAAGCCATTAAGTCTCTTAGTGGTTTTGTATACAGCAAGAGATAGAACATTCCCCTTCTTTGACCCCTCCTTTCCCCATCTTTTCCCTCCCTGTTAGTTTCACTTGCTTTTCCCCAAATCTGTCACACAATCAACACATACTTTTTACTTCTTGGGAAAGGATTTGTTCAGTATTGTTATTCTTTTTATAAGATGAACAACTAAGACTCTATCTTGTTAATTTCCATATGGACTTAGTAAAAGCACAATACATTTTACTTATTTGGATTAGATTGATTTCAGTCGCTTTCACCAGTTTTCTATTATTTTTAATAAAAGATGTTCACAGCACTCCCTATACCTACTAAATCAGATGTTCTAGAGTGGAGCCTGGAAAGCTACATTTTTATAAGCTTCCCAGGTAATTTTTACACATATCAAAATTTGAAAATCTTGCTGTACTGGTTATTTAAAGGTTGTTTGCTATTATTAAAAGTCCAATAATAGCAGATGTTGGTGAGGTTGCCGAGAAAAGGAAATTATTTTATACTGCTGTTGGGAATGTAAATTAGTTCAGCTACTGTGGAAAGCAGTTTGGAGATTTCCCAAAGAACTTAACACAGCTACCGTTTACCTAGCAGTACCATTATTGGGTATATACCCCAAAGAAAATAAAGTTTTCTACCATAAAGACCCATGTACTTGTATGTACATTGCAGCACTATTCACAATAGCAAAGACATGGAATGAGCCTAGGTGCCCATCAGTGGTGGATTGGATAAAGAAAATGTGGTACATATACACCATGGAATATTATGCAGCCATGAAAAAGAATGAAATCATGTCCTTTGCAGCAACATGGATGCAGCTGAAGGCCATAATCCTCAGCAAATTAACGCAGGAACAGAAAACAAATATCACATATTCTCACTTATAAGTGGGAGCTAAACATTCGTTACTCATGAACATAAAGATGGGAACAATGAGTCATCAGCAAAGCCTGAGTCCTGTCCTCTCACTCTCCTCCCTGGCTAGCATGAGCTTCACCACTTGCTCCGCCTTCACCAACTACTGGTCCCCGGGTTCTGTCCAGGTGCCCAGCTATGGCACCCAGCCTGTCAGCCACGCAGCCAGCGTCTATGCAGGCCTGGGGGGCTCTGGTTCCCGGATCTCCGTGTCCCACTTCACCAGCTTCTGGGGTGGCATGGGGTCCGGGGGCCTGGCCACGGGGATGGCCGGGGGTCTGGCAGGAATGGGAGGCATCCAGAACGAGAAGGAGACCATGCAAAGCCTGAGAGACCGCCTGGCCTCCTACCTGGACAGGGTGAGGGGCCTGGAGACCGAGAATTGGAAGCTGGAGAGCAAAATCCAGGAGCACCTGGAGAAGAAGGGACCCCAGGTCAGAGACTGGAGCCATTACTTCAAGACCATGGAGGACCTGAGGGCTCAGATCTTTGCAAATACTGTGGACAACGGCCGCATCGTTTGACAGATCGACAATGCCCGTCTTGCTGCTGATGACTTTAGAGTTAAGTATGAGACAGAGCTGGCCATGCACCAGTCTGTGGAGAGCGACATCCATGGGCTCTGCAAGATAATTGATGGCACAAATGTCACTCGGCTGTAGCTGGAGACAGAGATCGAGGCTCTCAAGAAGGAGCTGCTCTTCATGAAGAAGAACAACGAAGAGGAAGCAAAAGGCCTACAAGCCCAGATTGCCAGCTCTGGGTTGACCGTGGAGGTAGATGCCCCCAAATCTCAGACCTTGCCAAGAACATGGCAGACTCCCGGGCCCAATATGACAAGCTTGCTCGGAAGAACCGAGAGGAGCTGGACAAGTACTGGTCTCAGCAAATCGAGGAGAGCACCAGAGTGGTTACCACACAGTCCGCCAAGGTTGGAGCTGCTGAGATGACGCTCACAGAGCTGAGACATAGAGTCCAGTCCTTAGAGATCGACCTGGACTCCACGAGAAATCTGAAGGCCAGCTTGGAGAACAGCCTGAGGGAGGTGGAGGCCCGCTATGCCCTGCAGATGGAGCCATCATTGTTATTTTCAAAGATTATCTTTGGGAGAGTTTGGGAGATATCATACTTACATGTCTTTGAGGGCAAGCAAGTTGTTGTATGCTGGTTTGCTTATTAAATCAGGTAGGCAGTTGTTGCCTACAGAATGCTCTTGGCTCCAGGCATCAGATGGAGGATTGCAGTTACTTACAGGAGACCAGAGTAAGTTTAAGCAAAACATTCTTCGGTATTTACCCACCTGGCTTCAGGTACACACATGCACATGCAAGAGACAGGACATAATGGCTCATCTGGTACATGTTCTGGCAAATGGAGTAAATCATTGAATCTGAGCCTCTTTAGAACACCCACAACTGGGGATCTTCATATATTTGGAAGAAGATGCCTACAAGGAAATCCCAGTAAACATCTGGCCAAATTCCCCTGGTTTCTTCTGGGAATATTAGGGGCCTGACATCCTACTTCAATATTGAAGCAGATGTACTGGCTTATGGGCTGAAAGCTTGAAAAGAGATTTGGACAGCCTGACTGAAAATCAGCCACAGTTTTTAAGAAAAGTCAACACACTCTGCAATTTATTTTCCTTTGGATGTGGCTTTTATGAGCATTCCATTAAGTGGAAAAAATTCAGTCTAGATTATTAAATCTCAATTAGAGTGAATGCTTAGAGAACAGGATATTTTGACATCAAAATTTATTAATTTACTTACGATTAAAAACATCCCATTCTCTTTCAACCCTTGTTATTAAAAAATAACAACACTCTAGCATATTCTGTCTTAATAAGAATAGTGTAAAAAAATAGTGTAGCAAACAGTCTGAATCTGTGTGAATTACTTAACCTCTGTGTGCCTCAGTTCCCTTGTTTTTTTTAAAAAGGAAGAATAATAGTAACTCAAAAGATTGTTGAAGATTAAATTAGTTAATATATGAAAGTGCATAGAACACTTTTTGGCACATAGTAAGCACAAGATAAGTGTTAGCTATTTTATTATTGTTTTTGTTATTAATTATTGTTATTTGTAAAGAAATCATATCACTAGGCAACTTTTCTTTTTGTACAGACCTATAGGTAAAGATGTAACTGGAAGAACTATGGAAATCAGGTTGATGCAAGGAAAACCCGACTATTCCCTAGGAGTGAAATAAGGATCTTTTTTGTTCACCTCTGAATCTTCATAATCTTGCATCGTGCCTGGTCTGGCACACGATCGTGTGCTCAATAAACCGTTGAATAAATGATGGTTCCTAAAAGTGAATGCTTGTTCCTTTTCTTGTCTTCTGAACCTCTTCTTAGAGCTTGAGTGTGGCAAGAGGGATCTTTAATAATTATCATTAATTAGATTCTGTGTCATTGAGTGTGACTATTTTCTTTCATTTTTTAATATAGCAACAACACTTATTATTTTTTGTCTCCCCCCAGCTTTATTAAGGTGTACTTGACAAATAAAAATAGTATATATTGACAGTATACAACATGGTGTTTTGATAGATGTATACACTGTGAACTGACTAAATCAAGCTAATTAACACATCTGTCACCTCACATACTCATCATTTTTCATTTCTTATTTCTTGTTAGAGGAACTCGATGGAAGTAAAGAGGAGATAAGTGGAACCAGAACCCAAGAAAGAGGTGAAACAGCTCACTGCAAACTTTGTAGTCTAAAGACTTTTGATTTATCTTTGAAGTGTATTTAAGTGATAAAAAGAAAACATCTCTACTAACCAGAGTGTGATTACAGGGACTAAATGTATAAAAGACAATAATCCCCTGCCCCCCCTCCCCACCTCTCCTTTCTGGGAAAGAGTGTAGGAGTGTAATTGCAACACTCACATATCATCCAGCTTAATGTTTTGCTGTGCTGCAGAGCCCAGGCTCAGTTCTTGGTACAATCTCATTGAACTAAGTATCAAACTTGATTACAAGATTGAATCACCGGATGTTAAGTACATGAACTTTATTACTTAGTCCACCAAATATGGACATTTTCTATAAGCTTGTTTTTCTAAAGAGTTAGTTTGTATCAAATTAGAGATACCATGGAAATGAAGAGCTATGAGTAATAAATCCCTAAAGCCTTTGACAGGAGTAGGAGTTTCCAGTCTGTTCATCTGCCATGCTCCAGATCAGGAATATATGCATTCTGTTTTGTTTTCCCCAGTGCACCACTTGGGGAGATACTTCTGCAGTGTTTATTTAGAAAGCCTCAGGCTAGATTCAAACTAAGAAAAAAAATCACTGCTGTGTCCTAACTCACAATGAAGCTGCCTTCTTCTCCTTCCCCCTTTTAGTCCCACCTTGATCCATATGTACAGATCTTTGTTGAATGTCTTGAGATGTGGGCAGGAGAAGGGGAGATTGTTGGTAAAAATAAAGGACTCTACCAACCGTTCTTTTCAAAGCAGATGGCTTGCAAGGAACTGAACATAGACTTGCATGTCCAAAAACATTATTCTATAAATTGCCTTTTGAAACTTAGATATCTAAATGAAAATAATAAAACAAAAATTAAGGCAGGAAAAAATATATTTCCTCATCTCCTGATTCAAGAAACCATGAGACATGAAGTATGATTTACTCTAATGGAGTGGGTTATCAGCACAATGAAGAAACTTATACATCAGTTGGCTTTTGCAATGTAAAAAAAAACAACACCTCAAAACATAGTGCTTTAAAACAACCAATTATTTCACTCTTGATTCTATAGGTTGATGGAACAGTTCTTCTGGTCTGGGCAGCCTCTACTAATCTCTGCTGGCAGGTTGGCTGGAGGCTGGATGATCTAGGACAGACTCAGTCACATAGTTGGTGTTTGGTAGGGCAACAATGATGACTCATGATTCAGCAGGCCGGCCCTGGGTTGATCCCAGGGTTCTAAGAGTGTGAGGGAAGAAGCTGCAAACCTTCTTAAGGCTTAGGCTAACAATTATGCATCACTTCCATAATATTACGGTCAAAACAAGTCACAAGATTCAAAGGATGGGTAAGTAGATTCTATTTCTTGAAGGTAAAAGCTACAGACGATTGTGGCTATTTTTGCTGTCTCCAAGAGGAGGTGTACATGCAATACATGGCACTTTACTCACAATTGCACTAAACAAACCCACTGCTGGAGACAGAGGTTTGATGGTGGCAAGAGTGCTGGAAACTGGACTCTAAAGACCAAGGTCCTAGAGAAGATCCTACCATCAATTACTTCCTGACCTTAAATCAGTCCACTCTCCCTCTCTGGGTCTCAATTAAATCATTTCTAAAACAAAGGATTGGGTAAGATCATCTCTAAAGTTTCTTCCAGATTTCTAAGGACTAAGAATTTAACACACTCTCAGTCTTCAAAGGCAAGATTTCCTAGTTCTAAGGATTTCAAGGAGATGGTTCAAAATTCTAAAGTTTTTTTCTTTACATTATGACTCTAATTTGGGGGAAAAATCACAGGCTATGATTACAACCATGTACAAAGTATACTTATGCAAGAAAATATTTTAAAAATAATGGCATTGTGGTAGGATTTGGAGCTTTAAAAATTCTTTTAAAAAACTAAAAAAATTTGTTATTATCTTGACTTTTCAATAAAATGGAGTAAGTACTGTCCATGCACTCTTCCTAAGAAGAAAATGGTTGCTAGAACAACAGGACCACAATTCTCACAGCTCCCAGGAGCGACAGGGAATTAATTGCTTGTTTGACCTTTTCCATTCCCCAGTAGGTAGCAAAGAGATTGGTTAGAGGGATCCTTGCCCCCATCCCCTTCTCTCCCTGTTACATGCCCTGCCCAGACTCCCCACCAAGAGCATCACAGTTCTTGCTCAGAGGTGTACACTTAAACCTTGAATTGGAAGTTATTTTCTCTCAAATTGATAAAACTTTCAAGACAGATGCTCTGAGGAGTAAAGAAAAGAAGCAAAATCAAGGATTCGGTTAAGATTATTCATTTCTATTTTAGCCAGGCAATGGTCATCAGAATCATCTTGATTATTTTCAGGCTTATTTTACTTGACCTCACAGGTGAGTTTGACCTTTTTGATCACCCCATTTTTCTTGATGGTCCTGTCTCCCTTAGTTTCTGAAACATCACTCTAACTTCTCCTTCACAGCTGTCTTTTTCATGACTATTCACTCAAATGTTGGTGATAGCTAACCTTTGTTTCTGGTCTCTGATCATCCTACATCGACCCTGAGTGAACTCACTCACTCCCATAATTTCAGTGACTGTTTATTTTCTGTTGACGCCTAGTTATATGTCTTTATCACAGACTTCTCTCCTGAACTTCAGACTGCATCCTGGGCAGCTCTACCACAACATCCCACAGGTACCTTAAACTCAACACGTTTCCAAACTTCTATGTGCTCAGCTTAGTGAATTACTATCCACCTAGTCACCCAAGATAGAAAATGGGGAAGCCACTTTCTCTCTCTTACTCTGCATTCAGAAAACCAGGCCGATTTTCTTTCAGAACTGCTCCCTGACAATCCTCTGCTCTACTCAAAAGTATTTAACCCCTTGCAGGCTGCATCCTTCAGTTTCTTGTATCAACTTGTGGCTAGGTTTATCCAATGAGAAACCCTGCTGCTAGAGACTAGCAAGACTCAAGCATGTGGACTTTTTTTTTTTTTAAACCAAGAATGTTCTGCCACTCTGCTACTGAGTGCCCAGCCCACCAAATCAGAGGTCAGCATTAAGCTCTTAACTTGGCACCATTCTCTTGGGGAACCAACCAGTCACTTGGTAACAAGTTGATTACATTTGACCCTTTCCTGTCATGGAGGAGCCACCATTTGTTGTTACTATTATGGATATGGATATGCCTTCTCAAAACCACCATTTATGGACTTATAGAATGCCTAATTCACCATCATGTTATCACACATAACAATGCTTCTGTCCAAGGGACATATTTTATTACAAGGAAAGTACAGTAGTAAACCATGCCATGAAAATTTGCTGATCTTAGCATGCACCCCATTACTCAGGAGCTGCTGGCCTGATTAAATGGAGAAATAGCTTATGGTATCATCTGGGAGGTCACATTCTGTGGAGCTTGTATACATCCCCCAGGATGTAGCATATGCTTTGAACCATTGATGAATATATGGTACGTCTCTCCCTTATGTAGAATGCATGGGTCCAGGAATTAAGGGGCAGGAATGGGAATGGCTTTTCTTACTATTATATCTAATAATCCACTTGCAGAATTTTCACTTCCTGTCCACAACCTTCAGCTCTACTAGTCTAGAAGTCTTTGTTCCCAAGGAATAAATTTTTTTTCCACCCAGCCTCATTATAAACTAGAAGTTAAGGCTCTCACCTGGCATTTGGAGCTCCTCATACCACTGAACCAACAAGCAAAGAAAGCGTGAATTATATTGGTTGAAGTGATTGGTCATTATTAATAAAGGAAAATTGGTTTTCTGCTACACAATAAGAGCATAAAAACTGTGGCTAAAACCCGGGAGATGTATGGGTGCATCTTTTAGTACTTCCATGTCTGATAGTCAAAGTCAATTAAAATCTACAGCAACCCAATTAAGTATAGGACCACCGAAGATTCAGACTTTGTAGGAATAAAGGGTTGGATTACCCCACTGAGTAAAGAAGGGCAACCAACATGCTGGTTACAAGGGCAAGAAGAAACAAAATATGTGGTGGAAGAAGAAAGTCGTATGTATATGCTATGGCCACATGACCAGTTATAGAACAAGAATTGTAACTACCAGGCATATTTTATTATGTGTGTGTTAATCAACAACCTTTTTCCTACTATTTTGTATAAAGAGTGTCAGTAATAAGCACTTGGTAATTTAATATGTAAGTCACCAGACTACAGGGAGCCACACTTGCTATTTATAGGAGGAATTCCATAATGCCTGGAGATCTTGGACTTGAGGTAGAAAACTGACAAATCAGAATTTGTTCCTCCTCTTGTTGGAGAGAGTTGGTGAGTTGTGTCATGGATAGTTGTCTCATGTCTGGCAGAGACGTGAATTTGTCAGATATGGATATGAGGTAAGAATGAATGCTGAGTGGTGAAATAGATGGACTATGTTAGTGTTGGGCGAGTTTGCCACCAGATTTATTTCATGCCCTTCTCCAGCTCTACTCTGTGTCTTAGAGGCTACATTTCCATTTCCCAGGCTCTCAAGTCATCTGACCTCAACTGGACTTGGCATTGGTAGGAGACTGGAGCACTAGAAGGAGAAAGAACCTAGGCTGCTTTCACCCTTTCTCTCTGATGTCGGCAGATTTTCCAGTTGGGGCTACATCTGTGGCTTTAGCTCTTGACAGGAAAGCTACTGTATTTCCAGCTTCCTCTGGGCAATCCCGGCTTCAGTAGAATGGCTGAAGCCCTTGTTTCATCAGTTGAAGGCTGGTGGAAGCTTCTTACTATTGCCAATCTCTGGAGTCCTTCACTGAGCTCTGTTTCACTCCCAGCTCCTCTCTCACTTGTGTAACCAACTCTCTGCATTAAATCTCCCTACAGATACAATCAAATCTCTGTTCTTTAACACATCTTAAGGCTGTTCCCTCCTGCCCACCTCTTACAGCGACTGCCTTACACATATCAGGCTCTCATTACCTTTTACCTGGGCTACTGGTCACACTTTTCAAACTCCATTCTACCATTCCTCCTCCTGCTAAATAACATATGTAGGCTCTATATCTTTAGTGTTCCTTTTCCTGTACTTCAAGCAAGAATACATTTTAGAAATGTAGGTTCATAAATACAATTGGTCCTTGAACAACATGGGGGTTGGGACAGTGACCCCCTGCACAGTTGAAAATCCAGATATAACTTTTGACTCCCCCAGAACATAACTACTAATAGCCTACTGTTGACTGGAAGCATTACTGATAACACAGTTGATTAACACACACTTTGTGTTATATGATTGTACACTGTATTCTTACATTAAAGTAAGCTAGAGAAAGGAAAATGTTATTAAGAAAATCATAATAAAGAGAAAACATATTTACTGTCCATTAAGTGGAAGTGAATCATCATAAAAGTCTTCATCTTCATTGTCTTCATGTTGAGTAGGCTGAGGAGGAGGAAGAGGAAGAGGAGGAGTTCATCTTGCTATCTCAGGGATGGCATAGGTGGAAAAAATCGACATGTAAGTAGACCTGTGCAGCTCAAATCCATGCTGTTAAGGCTCAATTGTAATCTTGTTTCAAAAACTAAACCATTTAACAGTATGACCTAGTGAATTATGCCTTCTACTCAGTAGAGAAGATGTCTTTAAAAACTGTGAAACCAGGAAAGAACACAGACCTACATAGTGGCAGAAATGACATTGGAAGTTCAAAATTCTTTCTTGTCCATCTTTGCCAAAATGGAGGTATTACTAGAATCAATTTGTCTCCCTAGCCTCAATCTTTCTTTTTCTATACTGCTCCAAAACATTGTTACAAAGATGGTCAGATCAAATACTTTATTTTAGCTTTTATTTTTAAAAATATTTTTTCCATTTTTAATATTTGTGGCTACACAGTATGTGTATATACTTATGGGGTACATTAGATGTTTTGATACAGGCACACAATGCATAATAATCATATCATGGAAAATGGGATACCCATCTCCTCAAGAACTTATCCTTTGTGTTACAAACAATCCAATTATACTCTTTGTTATATTAAAATGTATAAGTAAATTATTATTGATTATAGTCACCCTGCTGTGCTGTAAAATGCTAGGCTTTATTCATTCATTCATTCTACTTTTCTGCACTCATTAACCCACCTCTCCCCAAACACCCCCACTACTCTTTCAGCCTCTGGTAACCATCCTTCTACTCTCTACCTCCATGGGTTCAATTGTTTTGATTTTTACATCCCATAAATAAGTGAGAATATGCAATGTTTGTCTTTCTGTACCTGGCTTATTTCACTTAGCATAATGACCTCCAATTCCATCCATATTGTTGCAAATGACTGGATCTCATTTTTTATGGCTGAATAGTACTCCATTGTATTTCTTTATCAATTCATCTGTTGATGGACATTTAGGTTGCTTCCAAATCTTGGCTGTCATGAACAACATGGGAGTGCAGATATCTCTTCAATATACTGATTTCCTTTCTTTTGGAAAGATACCCAGCAGTGAGATTGCTGGATTATATGGTAGCTCAATTTTTAGTTTTTTTGTGGAACCTCCAAACTGTTCTCCATGGTGGTTGTACTAGTTTACATTCCTACCAACAGTGTATGACTGTTCCCTTTTTCCACATTCTTGCCAGCATTTAATGCCTGTCTTTTGGATATGAGTCATTTTAAATAAGGTGAGATAACATCTCATTGTAGTTTTGATTTGCATTACTCTGATGATCAATAATGTCGAGCAACTTTTCATATGCCTGTTTGCCATCTGTGTGTCTTCTTTTGAGAAATATCTATTCAAATATTTTCCCCACTTTTTGATCAGATTATTAGATTTTTTCCTATAGAGATTTTTTGAGCTGTTGATATATTCTGGTTATTAATCCTTTGTCAGATGGGTAGTTTGCAAATATTTTCTTTCCTTCTGTAGGTTGACTCATCACTTTGTTGATTGTTTCCTTTTATGTGCAGAAGCTTTCTAATTTGTGATCTCATTTGTCCATTTTTGCTTTGGTTGCCTGTGCTCGTGGGGTATTGCTCAAGAAATCTTTGCCCAGACCAATGTTCTGGGGAGTTTCCCCAATGTTTTTTTATAGTAGTTTCATAGTTTGAGGTCTTTGATTTAAGTCTTTAATCCATTGATTTCATTTTTGCCTATGGTGAGAGATGGGGACTGGTTTCATTCTTCTGCATATGGATGTTCAATTTTCCCAGCATCATGTATGGATTACTGATTATTAATGTCAAAAACGAGTTCACTGTAGGTGTATGGATTTGTTTCTGCATTCTCCATTCTGTTACATTGGTTTATGTGTCTATTTCTATGCCAGTACCATGCTGTTTGGGTTACTATAGCTCTGTAGTATAATTTGAAGTCAGGTAATGTGATTCCTCCAGTTTTGTTCTTTCTGCTTAGGATAGCTTTGGCTATACTGAGCCTTTTGTAGATCCATATAAATTTCAGGTTTGTTTTTTCTAGTTCTGTGAAGAATGTCTTTGGTATTTTGGTAGAGATTGCATTGAATATGTAGATTGTTTTGGGTAGTATGGATTTTTTAACAATATTGATTCTTCTAATCCATGAACATGGAATGTCTTTCAATTTTTTGGTACCCTTTTCAATTTCTTTCATCAGTGTTTTATAGTTTTCAGTATAGAGGTCTTTCACTTCTGTGGTTAATTCTTAGGTATTTAATTTTATGTGTGGCTTTTGTAAATGAGACTATTTCTTAAATTTCTTTTTTAGATAGCTCACTGTTGGCATACAGAAATGCTACTAATTTTTGTATGTTGATTTTGTATCCTGCAACTTTACTGAATTTATCAGTTTGAATAGATTTTTGGTAGAGTCTTCAGATTTTTCCAAATATAAGATCATATCGTCTGCAAACAAGAATAATTTGACTTCTCCCTTTCCAGTTTGGATGCCCTTTATTTCTTTCTCATGTCTAATTGCTATAGCTAGGACTTCCAGCACTATGTTGAATAACAGTGGTGAAAGTGGGCATCCTTGTCATGTTCCAGATATTAGAGGAAAGGCTTTCAGTTTTTTCCCATTCAATATGATGCTATCCATGGATCTGTTTTATATGGCTTTTATTATGTTGAGGTATGTTTGTTTTATACCTAGTTTTTTTGAGGTTTTTTTTTTATCATGAAGAGATGTTGAATTTTATCAAATGCTTTTTTAGCATCAATTGAAATAATCATATGATTTTTGTTCTTCATTCTGTTGGTATGATGTATCTCATTGATTGATTTGCCTATGTTGAAGCATCCTTGCATCCCAGGGATAAATCCCACTTGATCGTGATGAATGATCTTTCTAATGTATTGTTGAATTCAGTTTGCTAATATTTTGTTGATGTGTTTTGCATCAATGTTCATCAGAGATATTGGCCTGTAGTTTTCTTTTTTTTGATGTACCTTGGTCTGGTTTTGATATCAGGGTGATACTGGCCTCATAGAATAAGTTTGGGTATTTCCTCCTCTATTTTTTTGGAATAGTTTGAATAGGATTGGTACCAGTTCTTCTTTAAATGTTTTGTAATGTGTCTTTTTTCATTTCTGATTTTATATATTTGGATTTTCTCTCTTTTGTTCTTAGTTTGAATAAAGGTTGGTCAATTTTGTTTAACCTTTCAAAAACAAGCTTTTGTATTGTTTTCTTTATTTCAAGTTCATTCATTTCTGTCTGGTTTTTATTATTTCTTTTCTCCTACTAATTTTGAGTTTGGTTTGCTCTTGCTTTTCTAGTTCTTTGGGATGTGGCATCAGATTTTTCATTGAAATTTTTTCCTTTTTTTTGATGTGGGGACTTATAGCTGTAAACTTCTGTCTTAGTACTGCTTTTGCTGTATCCCATAAGTTTTGGTATGCTGTGTTTCTATTATCATTTGCTTAAAAATTTTCAAATTCCTTCTTAATTTCTTCATTGACCTACTGCTCATTCAGGAGCATATTGTTTAATTTCCATAAATTTTTATAGTTTCCAAAATTTCTCTTGTTATTAATGCCTAGTTTTATTTCCTTGTAGTCAGAGAAAATGCCTGGTATTATTTCAGTTTTTGTTAATGCTTTAAGACTGTTTTGTGACATAACATATGATCTACTCTTGAGAATCATCTATGTGCTGAGGAAAAGAATATGTTTTCAGCAGTCATTGGATGAAATGTTCTGTAAATATTTATTAGATCCATTTAATCTATAGTGCAGATTAAGTCTGATGCTTCTTTCTTGATTTTCTGTCCAATGTTAAGATCTGTTGAATGCTGAAGGTGGGGTGTTGAATTCTCTAGCTACTATTGTATTGGGGCCTATCTCTCTCTTTAGCTCTAATAATATTTTCTTTATATATCTGGGTGCTCCAGTGTTGGGTGCATATATATTGAAAATTGTTATATCCCCTTTCTGAATTGATCCATTTATATAATGACCTAATTTTTCTCTAGTAATAGTTTTTGTCACAAAATCTATTTTGTCTGAGGTAAGTATAGCTATTCCTGCTCCTTTTTTGGTTTCCATTGGCATGGAATATCTTTTGCAATTCCTTTATTTTCAGTCCATGTGTGTCTTTATAGGTGAAGTGTGTTTCTTGTAGGAAACAGATCAATAGGTTTTGTTTTTTTCATCCATTCAACCACTCCATGTCTTTTGATTGAAGAGTTTAGTCCACTTACATTCAATTTTACTAGTAGCAAGTAAAGACTTATTCCTACCATTTTGTTATTTGCTTTCTGGTTGTTTTTGGTATTTTCTTCCTTCTTTCTTTCCTTCTTGTTTTCCTTTTAGCGAAGGTGGTTTTCTCTGATGATGTGATTTAGTTTCTTGTTTTTTTAATTTTCCATGTACCCATTTTATGTTCTTGAATTCCTCAAATCAGGGTCCCCAAGAGCCTGCCTGGTGGCCAAACTTGTACCTAAGGTGCAAGACAGAGTCCCCTTTTCCCTCTGCTTTTCTCAAGCAGTAGGAGTCTTGACCCATAGCCACCACAGCTGGGAATGTGCTGAGTCTCACCTGCCTGCAAGTCTGAGTCTCACCCAAAGCCCTCAACATAGAACTTTGGTGTCACTGCTGTTTATTCAGGGCCCAAGGGCTCTTCTGTTAACAGGTGATGAATCCTGTCAGGACTGGGTCCTTCCCTTCAAGGAAGCAGGTTCCCTTCTGGCCCAGGGTGTGTCTAGAAATGTTATCCAGGAGCTAGGGCCTGGAAAGAGGGCCTCACGACTCTGACTGGTGCCTTATCCTGCTGTGGCTAAGCTGGTATCCAACATACAAGACAAAGTCCTTCCCTGTCTCCCCTCTCCTCTCCTCAAGTGGAAGGAAGGGGTCTCTTTTGTAGCTATGAGCTGTGCAGCCTGGGGTTAAGAGAGAGGTGATGCCAACACTTTCTTTGCTGGCCTTGCTGGTGTCTCAGTACGTCATCTTCTCTCCCTGCCCCCCCACCCACCGCCCATCCATTGTCTCTGGGACCAGTTCATCCCTAGGACTCACTTTGATGTAGCAGTCTTTGTGGCCTAGACTATCTTTCAAGTTTATTTGGGGCCCCAGAACACTTTAGCCCACGGTGGCAAGTTTTGCCAGAACTCAAGTTCCCATCACTGGGATCAGCAATTCCCCTCTGGCTATGGCTGGTTTAAATGTTTCCTTTGTGGGTGGGCATCAGCTGAGTTTAGTCAGGTTTTGCTTTCTGCTATAACAAGGGCAGCACTGAGTTCAATACCTCACAATTGGTGGCTCTCCCTCTCCCCAGGGCACAGAACCATTCTCCCCACCACACCACTGCTGCTGGGGAATGGGAGAGGGGTGGCACCAGTGATTCAAGACTGTTTCTCCTACCTCTTTGGCACCTCTTTCAGTGATATGAAGTGAAACCCACGTACTGCGAGTGTTCACATGACTTTTGATTCTTACGAAGGTGCTTTATTTGTGTAGATAGCTGTTAAATTGGTGTCCCTGTGGGGAGATCAGTGGAGACTTCTATTCAGCCATCTTGCTCCAGTCCTACAAATAGTTTATTTTTCTCACAGTACCATCTTTGGATGCTCATTATGAATATTTTTGAGTACCCAGCATAATACGAAGGAAAAAACCCATCATCTGTAATTCCACAACTCCAAAATAATCATTGTTAGCAGATCACCAAATTGGGATCCTACTGTAAATCTTACTTTTTAATTGAATTGTTATTGAGATATTAATTGATTCATATGCAGTTGTAAGAAAAAATACAACAATCGTTGTGTACTTTATTCAGTCTCATCCAATGGTAATATTTTGCAAAACAAAGCATAATAACACAAGCAGGATATTGACGTTGATACAATGTGGTAAACTGATTCAATTTTCTCCACTTCTGGTACCCATTTGTGTGTGTGCGTGTGTGTTTCTATGTATTAGAAACATGAATTAATATTAGTACTACATTCTATACAATTATATCATCTATGTAGTTTCATGTATCCACCACCACTGTCAAGATACAGAACAATCCCAACACTATAAGTATCTCTCATGTTATCCTTTTATAACCACACTCACTTTCCTCCTCTCCTTCAATATCTCCAGCCTCTGGTAATTACTAATCTGTTCTTCATTTCTAAAATGTTGTCATTTCAAAAAGGTATATAAATGGATTTATATAGTTTGTAACCTTTTGAGATTAACCTTTTTTACTCAGCATAATTTCCTGGAGATTCATTAGTGTAGTTATATGTATCAATAGTTCTTTACTTTTTATTGCTGAGTAGTAGTCCATGGTATGGATATACCATGGTTTGTTTAACCATTCACCTGTTGAAAGACATATGGGCTGGTTCCAGTTTTGGGCTATTATGAATAAAGCTGCTATGAACATTTGTATACAGGTTTTTGTGTGAATATAAGTTGTCATTTATTTAGGTAATATGGTAACTGCATGTATTTTTTTTAAGAAACTGCCAAACTATTTTCAGAAGGATTGTACCATCTGACATTTCCACCAGCAATGTATGCATGAACCTGTTTCTCCGCATTCTTATCAGCAGTTGGTGTTGTCGCTATTTCGTATTTTTGCCATTTTGATAGGTATATAGGAATATCTCATTATGGTTTTAATTTACATTTCTTTAATGGCTATTGATGTTGAATGACATTTTGTTTGCTCATTAGCCATCTGGATATCCTCTTTGGTAAAAGTCTGTTCATGTCTTTTGCCCAGTTGTTAAGTGTTGTTTTTCCTTTTTTACTGTTGAGTGTTGTGATTTCTCTATATATTTGAGATACAACTCCTCTAGTGCATATGTGGCTTGCACATATTTTCTCCCAGCCCATAGCTTGTTTTATCCTCTTAAAGGGTCTTTCACAAAGCAAAAGTTTTAAAGTTTTTTTTTTACTATTATACTTTAAGTTCTAGGACATGTGCACAACATGCAGGTTTGTTATATATGTGTACATGTGCCATGTTGGTGTGCTGCACCCATTAACTCATCATTTACATTAGGTATATCTCCTAATGCTATCCCTCCCCCCTCCCCCAACCCCACAACAGGCCCCGGTGTGTGATATTCCCCATCCTGTGTCCAAGTGTTCTCATTGTTCAATTCCCACCTATGAGTGAGAACATGCGGTGTTTGGTTTTCTGTCCTTGCGATAGTTTGCTCAGAATGATGGTTTCCAGTTTCATCCATGTCCCTACAAAGGACATGAACTCATCCTTTTTTATGGCTGCATAGTATTCCATGGTGTAAATATGCCACATTTTCTTAATCCAGTCTATCATTGATGGACATTTGGGTTGGTTCCAAGTCTTTGCTATTGTGAATAGTGCTGCAGTAAATATACCTGTGCATGTGTCTTTATAGCAGCATGATTTATAGTCCTTTGGGTATATACCCAGTAATGGGATGGCTGGGTCAAATGTTATCTCTACTTCTAGATTCTTGAGGAATCGCCACACTGTCTTCCACAATGGTTGAACTAGTTTACAGTCCCACCAACAGTGTAAAAGTGCTCCTATTTCTCCACATCCTCTCCAGCACCTGTTGTTCCCTGACTTTTTAATGATCGCCATTCTAACTGGTGTGAGATGGTATCTCATTGTGGTTTTGGTTTGCATTTCTCTGATGGCCAGTGATGATGAGCATTTTTTCATGTGTCTTTTGGCTGCATGAATGTCTTCCTTTGAGAAGTGTCTGTTCATATCCTTCACCTACATTTTGATGGGGTTGTTTGTTTTTTTCTTGTAAATTTGTTTAAGTTCTTTGTAGATTCTGGATATTAGCCCTTTGTCAGATGAGTAGATTGCAAAACTTTTCTCCCATTCTGTAGGTTGTCTGTTCACTCTGATGATAGTTTCTTTTGTAGTGCCGAAGCTCTTTAGTTTAATTAGATCCCATTTGTCAATGTTGGCTTTTGTTACCATTGCTTTTGGTGTTTTGGACATGAAGTCCTTGCCCATGCCTATGTCCTGAATGGTAATGCCTAGGTTTTCTTCTAGGGTTTTTATGGTTTTAGGTCTAACATTTAAGTCTTTAATCCATCTTGAATTAATTTTTGTATAAGGTGTAAGGAAGGGATCCAGTTTCAGCTTTCTACATATGGCTAGGCAGTTTTCCCAGCACCATTTATTAAATAGGGAATCCTTTCTCCATTGCTTGTTTTTGTCAGGTTTGTCAAAGATCAGTTGGTTGTAGATGTGTGGTATTATTTCTGAGGGCTCTGTTCTGTTACATTGGTCTATATCTCTGTTTTGGTACCAGTACCCTGCTGTTTTGGTTACTGTAGCCTTGTAGTATAGTTTGAAGTCAGGTAGCATGATGCCTCCAGCTTTGTTCTTTTGGATTAGGATTGTCTTGGCAATGCAGGCTCTTTTTTGGTTCCATATGAACTTTAAAGTAGTTTTTTTTCCAATTCTGTGAAGAAAATCATTGGTAGCTTGATGGGGATGGCATTGAATCTGTAAATTACCTTGGGCAGTATGGCCATTTTTGTGATATTGATTCTTCCTATCAATGAACATGGAATGTTCTTCCATTTGTTTGTGTCCTCTTTTATTTCATTGAGGAGTGGTTTGTAGTTCTCTTTGAAGAGGTCCTTCACATCCTTTGTAAGTCGGATTCCTAGGTATTTTATTCTCTTTGAAGCAATTGTGAATGGGAGTTCACTCATGATTTCGCTCTCTGTTTGTCTGTTATTGGTGTATAGGAATGCTTGTGATTTTTGCACATGGATTTTGTATCGTGAGACTTTGCTGAAGTTGCTTATCAGCTTAAGGAGACTTTGGGCTGAGATGATGGGGTTTTCTACATATACAATCATGTCATCTGCAAACAGGGATAACTTGACTTCCTCTTTTCCTAAGTGAATATCCTTTATTTCTTTCTCTTGCCTGATTGCCCTGGCCAGAACTTCCAACACTATGTTGAATAGGAGTGGTGAGAGAGGGCATCCCTGTCTTGTGCCAGTTTTCAAAGGGAATGCTTCCAGTGTTGGCCCATTCAGTATGATATTGGCTGTGGGTTTGTCATAAATAGCTTTTATTATTTTGAGATACATCCCATCAATACCTAATTTATTGAGAGTTTTTAGCATGAAGTGCTGTTGAATTTTGTCAAAGGCCTTTTCTGCATGTATTGAGATAATCATGTGGTTTTTGTCATTGGTTCTGTTTATGTGATGGATTATGTTTATTGGTTTGCATATGTTGAACCAGCCTTGCATCCCAGGGATGAAGCCCACTTGATCATGGTGAATAAGCTTTTTGATGTGCTGCTGGATTCAGTTTGCCAGTATTTTATTGAGGATTTTTGCATCGATGTTCATCAGGGATATTGGTCTAAAATTCTCTTTTTTTGTTGTGTCTCTGCCAGGCTTTGGTATCAGGATGATGCTGGCATCATAAAATGAGTTAGGGAGGATTCCCTCTTTTTCTATTGATTGTAATAGTTTCAGAAGGAATGGTACCAGCTCCCCTTTGTACCTCTGGTAGAATTCGGCTGTGAATCCATCTGGTTGTGGACTTTTTTTGGTTGGTAGGCTATTAATTATTGCCTCAATTTCAGAGCCTGTTATTGGTCTATTCAGGGATTCAACTTCTTCCTGGTTTATTCTTGGGAGGGTGTATGGGTCCAGGAATTTATCCATTTCTTCTAGATTTTCTAGTTTATTTCCATAGAGGTGTTTATAGTATTCTCTGACGGTAGTTTGTATTTCTGTGGGATTGGTGGTGATATCCCCTTTATCATTTTTTATTGCATCTATTTGATTCTTCTCTCTTTTCTTCTTTATTAGTCTTGCTAGCGGTCTATCAATTTTGTTGATCTTTTCAAAAAACCAGCTCCTGGATTCATTGATTTTTTGAAGGGTTTTTTGTGTCCCTATCTCCTTCAGTTCTGCTCTGATCTTAGTTATCTCTTGCCTTCTGCTAGCTTTTGAATGTGTTTGCTCTTCCTTCTCTAGTTCTTTTAATTGTGATGTTAGGGTGTCAATTTTAGATCTTTCCTCCTGTCTCTTGTGGGCATTTAGTGCTATAAATTTCCCTCTACACACTGCTTTAAATGTGTCCCAGAGATTCTGGTATGTTGTGTCTTTGTTCTCATTGGTTTCAAAGAACATCTTTATTCCTGCCTTCATTTAATTATGTACCCAGTTGTCATTCAGAAGCAGGTTGTTCAGTTTCCATGTAGTTGAGCGGTTTTGAGTGAGTTTCTTAACCCTGAGTTCTAATCTGATTGCACTGTGGTCTGAGAGAGCGTTTGTTATAATTTCTGTTCTTTTACATTTGCTGAGGAGTGCTTTACTTCCAACTATGTGGTCAATTTTGGAATAAGTGCAATGTGGTGCTGAGAAGAATGTATATTCTGTTGATTTGGGGTGGAGAGTTCTGTAGATGTCTATTAGGTCCGCTTGGTGCAGAGCTGAGTTCAATTCCTAGGTATCCTTGTTAACTTTCTGTCTCGTTGATCTGTCTAATGGTGACAGTGGGGTGTTAAAGTCTCCCATTATTATTGTGTGGGAGTCTAAGTCTCTTTGTAGGTCTCTAAGGACTTGCTTTATGAATCTGAGTGCTCCTGTATTGGGTGCATATATATTTAGGATAGTTAGTTCTTCTTGTTGAATTGATCCCTTTACCATTATGTAATGGCCTTCTTTGTCTCTTTTGATCTTTGTTGGTTTAAAGTCTGTTTTATCAGAGACTAGGATTGCAACCCCTGCTTTTTTGTTGTTGTTGTTTTCCATTTGCTTGGTAGATCTTCCTCCATCCCTTTATTTTGAGCCTATGTGTGTCTCTGCATGTGAGATAGGATTCCTGAATACAGCACACTGATGGATCTTGACTCTTTATCCAATTTGCCAGTCTGTGTCTTTTAATTGGAGCATTTAGCCCATTTAGATTTAAGGTTAATATTGTTATGTGTAAATTTGATCCTGTCATTATGATGGTAGCTGGTTGTTTTACTCATTAGTTGTTGCAGTTTCTTCCTAGCATTGATGGTCTTTACAATTTGGCATGTTTTTGCAGTGGCTGGTACCGGTTGTTCCTTTCCATGTTTAGTGCTTCCTTCAGGAGCTCTTGTAAGGCAGGCCTAGTGGTGATAAAATATCTCAACATTTGCTTGTCTGTGAAGGATTATATTTCTCCTTTGCTAATGAAGCTTAGTTTGGCTGGATATGAAATTCTGGGTTGAAAATTCTTTTCTTTAAGAACGTTGAATATTGGCCCCCACTCTCTTCTGGCTTGTAGTGTGTCTGCTGAGAGATCCATTTTTAGTCTGATGGGCTTCCGTTTGTGGGTAACCTGACCTTTCTCTCTGGCTACCCTTAACATTTTTTCCTTCATTTCAACTTTGGTGGGTCTGACAATTATGTGTCTTGGAGTTGCTCTTCTTGAGGAGTATCTTTGTGGCGTTCTCTATATTTCCTGAATTTGAATGTTGGCCTGCCTCACTAGGTTGGGGAAGTTCTCCTGGATAATAACCTGCAGAGTGTTCTCCAACTTGGTTCCATTCTCCCCGTCACTTTCAGGTACACCAATCAGACGTAGATTTGGTCTTTTCACATAGTCCCATATTTCTTGGAGGCTTTGTTCATTTCTTTTTACTCTTTTTTCTCTAAACTTCTCTTCTCACTTCATTTCATTCATTTGACCTTCAATCACTGATACCCCTTCTTCCATTTGATCGAATCAGCTACTGAAGCTTGTGCATGCTTCACGTAGTTCTTGTGCCATGGTTTTCAGCTCCATCAGGTCATTTAAGGTCTTCTCTATGCTGTTTATTCTAGTTAGCCATTCATCTAATCTTTTTTCAAGGTTTTTAGCTTCCTTGCGATGGGTTCGAACATCCTCCTTTGGCTCAGAGACGTTTGTTATTAACTATCGTCTGAAGCCTTCTTCTCTCAACTCGTCAAAGTCATTCTCCATCCAGCTTTGTTCCATTGCTGGCAAGGAGCTGCGTTCATTTGGAGGAGAAGAGGCACTCTCATTTTTAGAATTTTCAGCTTTTCTACTCTGGTTTCTCCCCATCTTTGTGCTTTTATCTACCTTTGGTCTTTGATGATGATGACATACAGATGGGGTTTTGGTGTGGATGTCCTTTCTGTTTGTTAGTTTTCCTTCTAACAGTCAGGACCCTCAGCTGCAGCTCTGTTGGAGTTTGCTGGAGGTCCACTCCTGACCCTGTTCGCTTGGGTATCACCAGTGGAGGCTGCAGAACAGCAAATATTGCAGAAAAGCATATGTTGCTGCCTGATCATTCCTCTGGAAGCTTCGTCTCAGAGGGGCACCCGGCCGTATGAGGTGTCAGTTGGCCCTCACTGGGAGGTGCCTCCCATTTAGGCTACTCAGGGGTCAGGGACCCACTTGAGGAGGCAGTCTGTCCATTCTCAGATCTCAAACTCCATGCTGAGAGAACCACTACTCTCTTCAAATCTGTCAGACAGGGACTTTTTAAGTCTGCAGAAGTTTCTGCTGCCTTATGTTCAGCTATGCCCTGCCCCCAGAGGTGGAGTCTACAGAGGCAGGCAGGCCTCCTTGAGCTGCAGTGGGCTCCACCCAGTTTGAGCTTCCCGGCCTCTTTGTTTACCTACTCAAGCCTTAGCAATGGTGGGCGCTGCTCCCCTAGCCTCGCTGCTGCCTTGCAGTTTAATCTCAGACTGCTGTGCCAGCAGTGAGTGAGGCTCCGTGGGCATGAGACCCTCTGAGCCAGGCATGGGATATAATCTCCTGGTATGCCATTTGCTAAGACCATTGGAAAAGCGCAGTATTAGGGTGGGAGTGACCCGATTTTCCAGGTGCCATCTGTCATGGCTTCCCTTGGCTAGGAAAGGGAATTCCCTGACCCCTTGCACTTCCTGGGTGAGGTGATGCCTTGCCCTGCTTTGGCTCATGTTCCGTGGGCTGCACCCACTGTCCTGCACCCACTGTCCAACAAGCCTCAGTGAGATGAACCTGGTACCTCAGTTGGAAATGCAGAAATCACCCATCTTCTGCATCGCTCACACTGGGAGCTGCAGACTGGAGCTGTTCCTATTCGGCCATCTTGGAACCTCCCCCAAAAGTTTTAAATTTTGATGAAGGCCAATTTATCAGTTTTTCCTTTTGTGGATTGTTCTTTTGGTATCAATGTCTAAGAACTCTTTGCTAGGCCAGGTGTGGTGGCTCACGCCTGTAATCCCAGAACTTTGGGAGGCCGAGGCAGGTGGGAGTTAGAGACCAACCTGGCCAACATGGCAAAACCCCATCTCTACTAAAAATACAAAATTAGCCTGATGTGGTGGCACATGCCTTTAATTCCAGCTACTTGGGAGGCTGAGGCACGAGAATTGCTTGAACCTGGGAGGCGGACGCTGCAGTGAGTGGAGATGACGCCACTGCACTCCAGCCTGGGCAATGGAGTAAGACTCAGTCTCAAATAAAAAAGAACTATTTTCTAGCCCCAGATCCCCCAAATTTTCTCCTAGTTTTCTCTAAAAGTTTTATAATTTTATATTTTACATTTAATTACTGATTTACTTTGAGTTAATTTTTGTATAAGGTGTGAGATTTAGGTTGAGATTCATCTTTTTTGCCTGTGGATGTCCACCTACTCCAGCAACATTTGTTGAAAAGGCTCTCATTTCTCCATTGAATTATTTTTGCACCTTTGTCAAAAGTCAGCTGGGTGTATTTGTGTGGCTCTATTTCTGGATTCTCTGCTCTGTTCTGCTGTTCTGTGTCTGTCCCTTTACCAATACCACAGTCTTGATTACTGTACAGCTAGATGATAAGTCTTAAAGTCAGATAGACTGTTTTCTCCAACTGTATTCTTTTTTTGAAAATTTTAGTCATTGCAGTTCATTTACATTTCCATACACATTTTAGAATAATATTGTCTGTATCTAGAAAAAAATCTCATGAGACTTTCATAGGAATGATATTAAATCTGTGTATCAATTTGAGCAGAACTGACATTTAATTTTTTTTAGTTTTTGTGGGTATGTAGAACCCACAAAATATCTCATGAGGTACGTGAGATATTTTGGTACAAGCATGCAAAGAATAATAATCACATCATGGAAAATTGGGTATCTATGACCTCAAGCATTTATCCTTTATGTTACAAACAATACAATGATACTCTTAGTTATTTTTAAATGTACAATTAAATTATTATTGACTACAGTCTCTCTGTTGTGCTACCAAATACTGGGTCTTATTCATTCTTTCTATTTTTTTTTTTTTTTTGGTATCCATTAACCGTCCCCACCTCCCCCCACTGCCCCTCCCCACTACACTTCCCAGCCTCTGGTAACCATCCTTCTATTAAAACTTGTATTTTTATTAAGTTTTCCAATACATGAACATGACATGTCTCTCCATTTATATAGGTCTACTGCCATTTCTTTCATAAGCATTTTGTGTTTTTCAGCATACAAGTCCTCTGTTTTTTTGTTTGTCTGTTTGTTTGTTTGTTTTCTGAGGCAGAGTTTCACTCTTGTCACCCAGGCTGAAGTGCAGTGGTGCAATCTTGGCTCACTGCAACCTCTGCCTCTGGGGTTCAAGCGATTCTCCTGCCACAGCCTCCCAGGTCGCTGGGATTACAAGCCCCCGCCACCATCTCTGGCTAACTTTTGTATTTTTAGTAGAGACGGAGTTTCACTGTGTTGACCAGGCTGGTCACGAACTCCTGACTTCAGGTGATCCGCCCACCTCCGCCTCCCAAAGTGCTGGGATTACAGGCGTAAGCCACCACGCCCAGCCTCCTGTGTATTTTTTTTAGAGTCACATATAAGTACTTCATTTTTTTTAGAGCAATGATTAATGGTACAGGCATACCTCTGAGATATTGTGGGTTGAGTTCCAGACTACCACAATAAAGTAAATATCACAATAAAGTGAGTTAAACAAGGTTTTTGCCTTCCCAGTGCATACAAAAGTACTAGACTACACTGTACTGTAGTCTAGTAAGTATGCAATAGCATTATTTCTAAAAAATGTCCACACCATAATTTAAAAATACTTTATTACTTAAAAATGCTTACAATCATCTGAGTCTTTAGTGAGTTATAATCTTTTTGCTGATGGAGGATCTTGCCTCAATGTTAATAGCTGCTGACTGGTCAGGGTGGTGGTTGCTGAACGTTGGGGTGGCTGTGACAATTTCTTAAAATAAGACAACAAAGAAGTTTGCCACATTGATTAATTCTTCCTTTCATGAAATATTTCTCTGTAGTATGTGATGCTGTTTGATAGCATTTTACACAGAGTAGAGCTTTCAAAATTGGAGTCAATCCTTTCTCCATCCCTGCTCCTACTTTATCAACTGTTTATATAATATTCTAAATCTTTTATTGTCAATTCAACAATGTTCACAGCATCTTCACCAGAAGTAGATTTCATCTCAAGAAACAACTTTATTTGACCACTCATAAGAAGCAACTCTTTATCCATTAAAGTTTTATTACTATATGGCAGTAATTCAATTACATTTTCAGGCTTCACTTCTAATTCTAGTTTTCTTGCTATCTCAACTACATCTGCAGTTATGTCCTTTATTGAAGTCTTGAACCCCTCAAAGTCATCCATGAAAGTTGGAATTAACTTCTTTCACAGTCCCGTTAATGTGATATTAACTCCTGATATTAACAGGAGTTTAATCATCAAGAGTTAACATCACATTAACAGAAGTTTGAAAGAAGTTAATTCCAACTCTCATGTGATATTAAAATGGTGAATTCTTTCCAAAAGGTTTTCAACTTACTTTGCCAGATCAGAGAATCAGAAGCAGCTATCACCTTATAAAATGTAGCTTTTAAATAATAGGACTTGAAAGTCAAAATTACTTCTTGATCCATGGACTGCAGAGTAGATGTACTGTCAGAAGGCATGAAAATAACATGAACCTCCTTGTACATCTCCATCAGAGCTCTTGGGTTATCAGGTGCATTGTAAGTGAGCAGTAATATTTTGAAAGGGATCTTTTTTCTGAGCAATAGGTCTCAACAGTGGGTTTAAAATATTCAGTAAGCCATGCTGTAAACAGATGTGTTGTCATCCAGGCTTTGTTTCTCCATTTATAGAGCACAGGCAGAGTAGATTTTGCACAATTCTTAAGGACCCTAGGATTTTCACAATGGTAAATGAGCACTGGCTTTAACATAAAGTCACTAGCTGCGTTATCCCCTCACAAGAGCCCCTTCAAAGAATTCTTTGAAGCTTTGAAGCCAGGCATTGACTTCTCTCTAGCTATGAAAATTTTAGATGACACCTTCCAATAGAATGCTGTTTCACAAACATTGAAAATATGTTGTTTAGGGTAGTCAGATTCATCAACAATCCTAGCTAGATCTTCTGGATAATTTGCTGTAGCTTCTCCATCAGCACTTGCTGCTTTACCTTTCACTTTTATGTTATGAGATGACTTCTTTCCTTAAGCCTATGAATTAACCTTTGCTAGCTTCAAACTTTTATTCTGCAGCTGCCTCACCTCTCTCAGCCTTCATAGAATTAAAAAGAGTTAGGGCTTTGCTCTGGTTTAGACTTTGGCTTAAGGAAATGTTGTGGCTGGTTTGAACTTCTACCCAGACAACTCAAATTTTCTCCATATCACCAATAAGGCTGTTTTACTTTCTTATCATTTGTGTGTTCACTGGAGTAGCACTTGCAATTTCCTTCAAGAACTTTTCCTTTGCACTCACAACTTGGCTGTTTGGTGCAAGAGGTCTAGTTTTCAGCTTATCTTGACTTTTGACATGCTTTTCTCACTAAGCTTAATCATTTCTAGCTTTTGATATAAAGTGAGACACATGACTCTCTTTCTTTCACTTTAACACTTAGAGGCCATTGTATGGTTATTAATTAACCTAATTTCAAAATTATCATGTCTCAGGGAAGAGGGAGGCCTGAAAAGAGGGAGAGATACCAGGCAATGGCCGATCAGTGGAGCAGTCAGAATATAGACAACATTTATTAAGTTCTCCGTCTTATATGGGCATTGTTTGTGGCACCCCAACACAATCGTAAGAGTAACATTAAACATCACTGACCACAGATCACCATAACAGACAATAATTATAAAAACATTTAAAATATTGCAAGAATTACTAAAATGTAATGACATAAGGAGACATGAAGTGAGCATGTACTTTTGGAAAAATAGCACCAATCAACTTGCTTCATGTAGGGTTGCCACAAACCTTGAATTTGTAAAAATGCAATATCTGTGAAGTGCAATTTAGTGAAGTATAAAAAAACAAGGTATGCCTGTGTTATATTTTAGCATTCATTGCTAGTACATAGAAGTACAATTGGGTTTTTCATGTTTACCTAGTATCCTGTAATAGCACTCACTATTAGTTCTAGGAATTTTGTAGGGGTCTTTTTGTTTGGTTGTTTTTGTTTTGTAGATGTCTTGGGATTTTCTGTGTAGATAATCATGTAATCTGCAAATAGGGGCTGCTTTTTTTCTTCCTTTATAATTTGTGCAACTGTTATTTCCTTTTCTTGTTTTATTGAACTAGCTAGAACTACCAGCACTACATGAATAAGAGTGATGTGAGTGGACATTCTCACCTTGTTCTTGATCTTAGCGGGTAGTGCATTCAAGTTTTCACCCTTGAGTATAATGCTAGCTATGGTTTTCTGTAGATGTCTTTTACCAAGTTGAGGAAGTTCCTCTGTATTCCCATTTTTCTGAGAGTTTTTATCATGAATGTATGGTGAATTTTTTCAAATACTTTATCTGCATCAATTGATTTGATCCTATGATCTTTATTCTTTAGCTGTTAATATGGTGGATTACATTCATTACCTTCATATTTGAGAACTGAACCAGGCTTGCACACCTGAAATAAGCCCCACTTGATCATGGTATAATTCTTTTTATATATTGCTGAATTCTGTTTGCTACTATTGTGTTGAGGATTTTGTGTCTACATTCATTCATGATATTGGTCAGTAGTTTTCTTTTTTATAGTCTTTGTCTGCTTTTAATCTCATGGTAATACTAGCTTTATAAAATGAATTGGAAAGTATTGCCTAGTCTTTCATTTTCTAGAAAAAGTTGTGTAGAATTGGCATTAATTCTCCTTTAAATATTTGGTATTATTCTCCAGTGAAATCATCTAGGCCTGGAGATTTCTTCTGGGAAGATTTTAAAATTACAGATCCAATTTTCTAAATAGTTATAGGGCTATTTGAATTTTCTGTTTCATGTTGGGTTAGTTATGATAGTTTGTGTATTTTTGAAGAATTGATCTGTTTTATCTAAGCTGTCAAATTTATGCCTATAAAGTTGTTCATAGCATTTCCATTTTTTTAAATGTTTGCAGAGTCTACAGTTATATGCCTTGTTTCATTCTTGATATTGGTAATTGGTATCTTCTCTCTTTTTTTCTTTGTGAGTCTTGCTAGATGTTTGTCAATTTTAGTGATCTTTTTGAAAAGTAAGCTCTTCATTTTGTTAATTTTTCTATTATTCTTCTGTTTTCAATTTTATTGATTTCTCTATCATTTTCTTCCTTCTGCTTGCTTTGGGGTTATTTTCCTGTTATTTTTCTAGATTCTTGAGATGGAAGTTTAGATTATTCATGTAAGATGTTTCCTCTTTTCTAATGTTAGTATTTAATGCTATAAATTTCCCTCTGCACTGCTTTAGCTATGCCCCACAAATCTTGACATTTATTTTTCTTTTCATTCAGTTCAATATATTTTTCAATTTCCCTCAAGATTTCATCTTTGACCCATGGATTATTTAGAAGTGGTTTGTTTCATTTCCAAGTGTTTGCACATTTTCCTGTTGTCATTCTGTTATTTCTAGATTAATTACATCAAGGTCAGAGAAAACACTGTATCATTTCAATTCTTTTAAATTTATTAATTTTTGTCTTATAGCCCAGGATGTGGTTTATTTTACTATATATTCCATGCACACTTGGGAAGATTGTGTACCTGCTTTTGTTGAGTGGGGTGCTCTCTAAATGCCCACTAGATTCTGTTGGCTGATGGTGTTATTGAATTCTTGTATATTCTTATTGATTTTCCATGTAGTTATTCTATCAGCCATTGGGATAGGAGTGTTGAAATCTCCAACTATATTTATCAATTTGTCTATTTCTCCTTTCAGCTCTATCACTTTTTGCTTCATGCCTTGTGAGGTTCTTTTGTTTAGTGCATGTGCACTCAGGTTTGTTATGGCTTCCTGGTGGACAGATCTTTCTATCATTGTATAATGTCACTCTTTTTCTCTAGTAATTTTTATTTGATCTGAAGTTGCTTTATCAGATATTAATATAGCCACTTCTTTTTTACATTAGCATCTGTATGGTTTATCTTTTTTGCATTCTTTTACTTTCAACCTACCTATGTCACTAAATTTGAAGTGAGTTTCTTAAAAGTAGAATATAGTTGGGCTATGTTTCTTTTTAATCCCCTCTGCCCGTCTCTGTTCTTTGATTGTTATATTTTCATAATTTATATTTAAGGTAATTCTTGATATGTTAGTGCTTAATTAAGTTTCCCATTTTATTGTTTGTTTTCTATCTCCATTAGGTCTCTTTTCTCTTTGTTCAGTGTGTGTGTGTGTGTGTGTGTGTAACAGTGTTAAGATTCTTTTTTACTTATGTTAGTATTTTTGGGTGTATGTCTCTTTATAGTTTTGTAGTGATTGCTCTGAGTATTAATATACACGTATGTGACTTGTAACAATCTACTTTTTAATCAGCATTTTGCCACTTTACATGAAGTGTGGAAATCTCACTTCAATTCAGGTTCTTTTACCTTCACCACTTATAAATATTATTGCCTTGAGTATCATATTGTGCTAAAAATTTTGTTTCAATCATTAAACTCGATTTATAAAACTCATCAGAGAAAGCATAGTCTATTTTATTACCTATATTCCTGCTCTTCTGCTGTTCCTGAGACTCTACAGTTCCTTCTTTTACCATTTCCTGTCTGTTTGAAGAACCTCCTTTAGTCAATTTTTTATGGATAAGACTTCTAACAGGTTTTCTTAGTTTTCTTTTATTTAAGATCATTTTTATTTTCCCTTCATTTCTGAATGGTCATTTTGCTGGATGTAGAATTCACAGTTGGCATTGAGGCCTCCGTGATTTCAGATAAGAAATCCCTTGCCATTCAAAGTGGTGTTCCTATACATATAATGTATTATTTTTCTTGGACTGCTTTCAAGATTTTTTTTTTTCCTTTAGTTTTCAAAAGTTTAATTATAATATGTCAGGACATATATTTATTTGAGATTATCCTATTTTGGATTTATTCAACTTCTTGGTGTCTTTTGCCAAATTTGGGGAGTTTTCAGCCATTATTTCACAATATGCCATATCTAAGAGTGTTTTGCCTACCAGTTTATCTTTGAATCACGCCTGGTACATAGTTGATGCTCTCTACAGTCATCAAACGAATTAACGGATGGATAAATGATTGAATTAATGAATTTTTGTGTAAGTGTGATAAATGGTTAGCTATAATGGAGTTTCAAGTCTCTCTTTTTTTTTTTTTTGAAACGGAGTCTCGCCCTGTCGCCCAGGCTGGAGTGCAGTGGCGCGATCTCAGCTCACTGCAAGCTCCGCCTTCTGGGTTCACGCCATTCTCCTGCCTCAGCCTCCCCATTAGCTGGGACTACAGGCACCCGCCACCACACCCAGCTAATTTTTTTGTATTTTTAGTAGAGACGGGGTTTCAGCGTGTTAGCCAGGATGGTCTCGATCTCCTGATCTGGTGATCCGCCCACCTCGGCCTCCCAAAGTGCCGGGATTACAGGCGTGAGCCACCGCGCCCGGCAGAGCTGACCTGGTTTTATTCATCTAGTTATAGGTATAATCCTAAGTGTAATGCTCAAGGAGCTAACAATCTCTTTTGTCCTTGGTTATTTGCATCTTCACATTCCTGAAGCATTTAACCTCATGTACTGGTTGAGAAGAATGAACGTAATGGGGGATGTCATGAGGACTCTGGAAATTTCAGGAATCAAGGGAGGGACTCAAGTGGCATAGAGAGCAGTCCTGGGAGACTAAAATTACCAGGGCCCTACTTTGGCATCTACACTGTTTTGTCCTCACTATTTGTATCCTTTAAAATATATCCATTAAAAATCATCATTGGAGTAAACATGGATAAATTCTTAGACATGTCTTTGGATAGAAAATTAAATATGTTTCCAGATGCCCAGAAAGACAGCATTCCCGGCACTGTGTTCCAGCAGTCACTCCTAGCTATAGTTTATACGACTGAGAAATAATACTTTGAGCATCCATTTCAGGTTGGGCTAGAAACAGCAACACACTTATATTTGATTTCCAAGCCAACAGTGAACCAAAGGTTTGATCAATAGATTTTGCCAGAGGCAGAAGCAAGTTTACTGTGATAGTTTATTGAAAAAAATCTCCCCTTTGTGCTAAATGCATCACTTGGTTATATGTGTTTCTCTTGTTTTCATAGTTTCCTCTTCTTTCTTCCTTTCTTTCTTTTTTTCTTCTTCTCAAATAAGGGCTACTTGCATACACAGAATACATCACAAATAAACAATTTTTGTTCAGTTAGCATCAATTTAACTCTAATTTTAATCAAAATGTATTTAGACAAGAGCTATATATTTTCTAAGTGAATTTAAATGTACTGAAAAACAAAACAAATGATAACGCGCCAAATAATATGCCCGTATTCCAGTGAACATAATTTAATGGAATTTTCCTCAGTTGGCAGCTGGATTGACTTATAATCCTCGCTGTGGTAAGGTTTTTCAAAGCACAGCCAGAAACCTGTGGTCCTTTACCACTTGGGACCAGTTAAACATTCCTGATTTGTGACCATTTTCCAAATGACTTGGAGAAATTTAACCAGGCTGCAGCAGTGTGAAGACCAGGAGTCTCCTGGGAAGGCTGTGGCTGTTATTGCCCGCAGGTCAGCCTAAACCTAGCTCCAGGCCCACACAAGTCATTCCCACACTTCCAATACTACTTGGGGTACAAAACGGGACCTTAGGGCAGAGGAGTGAGGATGTATGGCCAGTTTCAGGCTCTGTCCACAAGAATATATCACAGCCTAGAATTTTAGCCCAATTCTGAGCATGGTCAGAGGGCTTTTCATGTTCAGCATAATTCTAGGTGAGAGAGCCAGAATAAAGGAAAGCCACAACCACAGTGGGAATGGTGTTGTTTAAGATAGAAATATTTAATGTTTTCAGAAAGACTGAGGTTATTTCGTGTCCCTGTTAAGTGGTCTTCAAAGTTGTTGGTTTGGTTAATATGCTTTTTTTATTTGGATGAAATATTGGCTTTGTTTGCCAAATGATTGCCTAATCATATGGTATTTTGCCTTCTAAAATGGCCAGAAAGTTTTGTTTTGCCGCTTCTTTATTTGCTTTATATACCTGATCCTTAGTGAAGTCGAATTGTTTCAGGGATTTACATGAATAATTATAATGAGGAGTCACCTCTGTTGGTGACATAAATCGCACTTTTTTTCTTAGTTTTTCATATGCTTTTGGAATTGATGATTACTTTTTCAAGCAGAAATGTTTGCTTTTTAGGTAGGCAAGTGTATCAGTTTTTAATGTTATTGTTTCTGGATTTGGACGTTTAAAAGACCCTTCCCAATCCGAGATGATCAAATAATTTCTCCATGTTTTCTTCTAGCACTTACAGTGTTTCGTTTACATCCTTGATCTATTTAGAATTTATGCCAGTAGATTGTGTAGGTTATAAATCAAACGTTATTGTTTTCCAGATGGTTACCAAGCTTTTCCAAAATATTTTGTTGAATATCTATTTTTCAGCACTGATTTGAGAGGCTACTTGTATCATATATTAAACTGTTGTATGTAGTTGAGTCTATTTCTGTTCCTTTTGCTTGTCTTAATATAATATCTATGCATTAATATTACATTGTTTTAATATTGAGGTTTTTATGATGGTAGAGATGGTCTTCACTACTTTATCACTTGACTAAATTTTCCTGGTTACTTTAGCTTTTTTTAAAATTTTTCCATATGAGCTTTACAGTGACCTTGTCTACTTTTTACCAACATCACAAAAAATAAATAAGTAAATAAAATATGCTGCAATTTGTATTGCTATCACATTGAATTTATGAACAAACTTAAAGAGAATGTATATCTGGTGTAAATTGAGTTTTCCTAACCAAGAAGATGAGTTGTTTTTCTAATCATTTCTTTTGTGTACTTCAAAAGTGACTTAAATTATTCTTCACATAAATTTTTGATACTTCTTGGTAAATATAATCCTGTGCTTTTTTAATGCTATTGTTGCTATTGTGAAGGTGGTCTTCTCCTACACGATAAATTCTAACTAGTTGTTATTTAAGCACAAAAATTCGTATGTGCTCAAATCTTGTAGCTTTCTTTAGATGGAAATTTCTGAGATATTGCAGAAATTTGACTGTGATTCAGAGATACCTCTATTTACAAATGCCTCAATAATAAAGTCATTTTACTATAGTATACTATGCTAAATCAATTTACCTGGCAATTTGGCAGTCCATAAATAAAGCTTTAAAAATGTGCATGCTCTTTGATTTATACATGTGTGCTTACAGACCATAAGAATGGATATGAAGCTACCAAGATTGGCTGGCTCTAGGTAGTGGGGTTTTGGGAGGGGTTTACATTTCCTTATTTTCTGTTTGTTTGCATGTTTGAATTTTACATAACAAACATGCATTACTTTTTAAAATGTTTTTTTAATAAAAATTCATCTTCACAAATTATAGAAAAGATGACTATATGCACAGTCACATGTCACCAAAATCCCCTGCTCCACACTTTGGATGTGCTCTACTAAGTGAGCTGGGCCTGAGTTCTAATCCCATCTCTGCCACCTGCTAGCTTTGTGTGCCCGGACAAGTTACTTAACCTTTCTGGATGTCAGTATTCTCACCTATAATATGGGGATTGTTGCGAAGTTATAGAAAATATAAGCAACAATATTTAGCACACAAAAAGAATTTTGGTAAAAGGTAGTTACTACCGTGAGTCAACAGCATTAGGACAACCCTTGGCAACATCTGAAGTCTGAGCAAGTTTTCCCCTCCCTTTCTTCCCTCTTGGTGACTCCGTTATGGCCCCTAAATAACTCTCCATACTCAATAGATAGATTTTTTGCTCTTCATTTCTTCTCCTATCTTTATTCAAAACCCCTTCCTGCTGTCAAAATAGGACATTTACAACTCTTGATTAATTAGCTGAGAGCAAACAGCATTCTCAAGTAAATGTTTAATCTTTTATGTAGAATGAAAAAAAAAACTGTTCTTTACTAAAATAATTTCGGGTTAGGGTGATTTTGCTTCTTACACATCCCAGACCAATATTTTATGTTTTTCAGAGTATTTTACATACTATTAATTGGTACTGAGTCACCTTTGCATCATTTATGATTTATTTTACTTTGGTATGAATCACAGGCCTCACCTGATACTGTTAAATACATCTTCATGCCTCCTGTGTAACTTCTTCCAAGGGCAGTAACATTTGTGCATACAATATGTGCTGGTCAAAACATATTTTGTTAATAAATACTCCGTTAAAATATGCTTATGTTTAAAATGTGTAATGGGACAAAAAAGGGTGCTTTAGTGGCACATTTTTATTTTTAATTTCTGTAATTCCGGTTCCATTTGGATCTATGTTATTCAAATGCGTTATTGAGCCTAAACAAAACTACAGTGTAGGATTCTTAAAGAAATAGCAAGAAGAGTAATCAACGAATAAAGGCAATTTGAGTGATACTTCAGCACGGTTCGGAACTGGCTGCAGAGGCCAAATATCAAGGTCACGGAGGCCAGAAAGAAACAAGATTAAGTTCATAAAAAAGACTGTAGACTGTCTCCTTCTGGAAGACTAGAGATGGAGAGGGGAATCTAGTGTGCTAAATAAAGGCAATTCCAAAGATCTGGAGTCCTGCAGTAATGGTGCTGAACTTGATGATGACGTCCCCCAACAAACCCGGGGAAAGAGACCGACAGAGGGTGAAGGTGGGGCGGGTCTGCAAGGAGGGCTAAAGCAAGCCGTGTAGAACAGAAAGACACTGAGCAGCAGGCGGCTTTGTCCGCGGGGAGTATGTGGGGATGTGCCGATGGGAGGAAATGCCCGGCGCCGCTGATACCCTAAAGGACCCCACCCGTCTTCACATGGAAAGGGAATGGCCTTCGAAGGCCAGAAACGCCAGCTTTAGGAAGAGAAACAGTGGAGAATGAGGCAAACACTCATAACAAACCGAATTACGTTCCTTAACGATAAACCCAAGACTTACTGGGGGCCTGTTACATATTTGTGGCGCAGGTGAGGAGTCTTAAAAACCTCAAAGATGGCCTTTGTGCCTCAGTTTCCTCGTATATACTGGTGATAAAGAAGACTACACATATCTGATAGAGTTATGAAGATGATTACAGTAGTGTAATCTATGGAAAATGCTCAAAAGAGAGCCTGGCACATAGTAAGTGTTATATGTATTTACTATTATTATTCTGCCAATAACCCTGCTTTAATTGTAATGTGCACCTTCTAAGGCAAGTTCAAGGGCATTTATGGAGGACAAGAGGATTATCCAATAGCAGAGCAGTGAAAGAACAAGGTTCTAGGACCACATAATACACAATGACTTCATTACTTTGCTCCAAATTAAGGAAGCTTCCAGCTTCTTGTTAAGTTTAGAAAATTCGTGATGCTGTTGGTGGATGTTAGGAAGGGAAAAAGGTAGAGAGGGAGGTTGGTGGGAGGCACAGAGCTAAATTGAGTTTTGAAGACCTAGTCTCATATGAACCTTATTTTGACTTAAACTCTGTTCAGATAAACTCTTCACACTTTAACTCAGATTTTCCTTTCCTTTCATTTATTCATCATTTGCAACTTTAAAAAAACTGCATATAGGTATGACCATTTTCATATCCTATTTAACATAGCTCACCCAAGATATCACTGTGCAAATGCCAAGATGGATTCATGGGGCACTTACTGGCCCCTTCAAAAACAATTATGAAGCAGGCAAGTGGCCTCCACAGACAAACAAGTCAATACTCCTTTTCTTTTTGGGGTTGCTGAACTCCCAGCAGAAGCTATTAACAATGAATATTTTTGCATCTCTTTGAGCTGTAAATTGTAAAAGTCTCCCCATATCCCTACTGCTCTCCCAACGTTTGCCTCCTCTGAGCATTATGGCTGAAAAACCCAACTAGTTAATGGGCTCTGTGTTTCTTTTACTTCCTAAGAGAACAACGCAAACTCTGTGAACCTTATTAGTAACACCAAGCTTGCTGGAAAAATAAAGCAGTGTAATTTTAATCCATAATCCACAGCTAAGTATGTCTAAGATGCTTAGCATTATAGCAATTAGTACTTACTCAAGATAATGAAGTCTTGTTCTAACTCTTCCCTCCCACCCTCCCTTCCTTCCTTCTTTCCTAGAAATAGCTGCTATGGAAATAGGTGGGATCAATACACATTTTTAAAAATAAACTTTTTATTTTAGGATAGTTTTAGATTTACAAATTTATTGCAAAGACAGTACGGAAAGTTACCGTACACCCCACACCCAGTGTCTCCTATTATTAATATCTTACATTTGTATGGCACATTTGTCACAATTAATGAACCAATATTGATGCATTATTATTAATTAAAGTCATGCTCTATTTGGATTGTTTCAGCTTGTCCCTAATGTCCTTTACTTGTTCCTGCATCCATCCACCACATCATGTCTCCTTAGGATCTTCTTGGCTGTGACAGTTTTTCAGACTTTCCTTGTTTTTGATGACTTTAACAGTTTTGAGGAATACTGGTCAGGCATTTTGTAGAATATCCATCATTTGGGATTTATTGATGTTTTTCTCATGTTTAGTTTGGTGTTATGGGATTTGGGGAGGAAAACCACAGAGATGAAGTGCCCTTCTTTTCTCATTATATCATGTCAAGACTCTATACTATCAATAAGACTACTTATCACTGCTGATGACCTTGATCGTCTGGCTGAGGTAGTGTTTGTCAGGTTTCTCCAATGTAAAGCTACTCATTTATTCCTCCCTCTTCCTACTGTACTCTTTGGAAGTAAGTTACTAGGCTTAACCCATACTCAAGAGTTAAATAGTTAAGCTCCACCTCTTATTTATTTATTTATTCTTCAACTTTTATTTTAAGTTCTGGGGTACATGTGCAGGATGTGCAGTTTTGTTACATAGGTAAACGTGTGCCATGGTGGTTTGCTGCACAGATCAACTCATCACCTGGGTATTAAACCCAGCGTCCATTAGCTATTCTTCCTGATGCTGTCCCTCCCCCGACCTCCCCCAAAAGGCCCTGGTTTGTGTTGTTCTCCCCACGTATCTATGTGTTCTCATCACTCAGCTCCCACTTATAAGTGTAAGCTCCACCTCATTGAGGGGAATATTTACATAAACTATTTGGAGTTCTTTAGTACAGAAAATGTGTCTATTCTCTTTATTTATTCAATCATTTATTTATATCAGTGTGGACTTGTAGATGTTTATTTTGTACTTTGGGTTATAATTCAACATTATTTTGTTCCTCAAACCCTGCTCCACCTTTGGCCATTAATAGCTCCTTCAGTCAAGTAGCTCCTGATCATGGTTTGTTTGTTAGCACTTCCTTACCTTTGTGGCCCTACAAGATGCTTCGGGCTTATTTTGTATATTTCCTGCCCCGTCCTAAAATCTGCCATTTATCCAAGGATCTTCTGGTTCCTTTCATTGGAGAATGGTTGAGAAATCAAGATCTGGGGGCTGGGTGCAGAGTAATCTTTGGAAGGCTGAGGCAGGAGGATGGCTTGAGCCCAGGAACAGCCTGTGCAACATGGTGAGACCTTGTCTCTAAAATAAATAAATGAATAAAAGATAGCCATGCTTGGTGGTACTCACCTGTATTCCCAGCTACTCGAGAGGCTGAGGTGGAAGAATTCCTTGAGCCCAGGAGTTTGAGGCTGCAGAGTGGTATGGTCATGCCACTACACTTCATCTTGGATGACAGAGTAAGACCCTGTCTTTTAAAAAACAAAACAAAAAAAGAAATCAAGAAATCAAGATCTGGATGCTAGATATACTCATTGCTACTAGGGTGTTATAGGGTGTCATTGCCTGTAGGTCCCTCAATCAACAGCACAAGCAAAGCAAGGAGATATATGTGTGTATACAAACCCGTGTATATACATAGATCTATAAATATTTCCATGTACAACTCTCTATATTTATACTAAAGTAAACATGAGTTTATATTGATGTCTCCAACTCTAATTCATTACCACATGGATCATTCTAGCCTCTTCCCCTTCCCTATCTGTAATCTCCCACTCCAACAGTGAGAAAACTGGCTCCCACCATTCACCCTCTATGTATTAATACTTAATTGTTCAATTCCAGTGTACATGTATAGTGATTTTAAAATTGCTACTCCATACATCGCTGGGAAAAAAATTTATCAGTAGAGTACAGTGCTTATGTGCAGTTCCTTTTACTTTTAACCTTACAGACCACTCATTTCCAAAATTGCTTAGGTCAATACCTTAGTCCCTTACTCCCTTTGGGTGGGGTTGCTTCATATATTTATAATAGATTGTTTTGTCACATTCTACATTCCATCCTGGAATCCCTCAAATTTCTAAATTATTAATTGCATAATTAAAGTTTATTCTTTGTATTGTAAAATTCTATGAGGTTTGACAACTTCTTAATGTGTTATATTCACCATGATAGTATCACACAGAATAGTTTTACTGACTTAAACAATCCCCTGTGCTTCACCAATACAACCCATTCCCATACTCCCCAAACATCTAACAACCACTATTTATTATCTTTATATAGTTTTGCCTTTTTCAGAATATCACACAATTGCCATCATACAATCTGTAGCTTTTTCGAACTGGCTTCTTTCACTTAACAACTTGCATTTAAGATTCATCCATGTCTTTTTGTGGCTTGACAATTCAATCCATTTTATCACTGAATATTTCATTATATAAATGTACCACAGTTTGTTTATTCATTCACCTATTGAAAGACATCTTGGTTGCTTCCAGTTTTTGGCGATTATGAATAAATATGCTGTAAGCATTTACATGCAAGTTTTTGTGTAACATAAGCTTTCAAATGAGTTGGGTAAATACCTAGTAGTGCAATTATCAATCACATGGCATACTAGGTTTAGTTTTGTAAGAAACTGACAAACTGTTCTCCAAAGAAGCTGTATCATTTTACATTCCCACCAGGAATGAATGAGAGTTCTTATTGCTCTGCATACTGGCCATCAATTGGTATTGTCAATTTAAAAAATTTTAGCCTTTCTCTTTGCCTAGGCACATTGTCATCAGGTTATCCAAAGTTAAGATGAAGGAGAGAATCTTAAGAACTGTGAGACAGAAGCTCCAGGTAACCTATAAAGGAAAACCTATCAGATTAACAGTAGATTTCTCAGCAGAAACCCTACAAGCTAGAAGGGATAGGGGCCCTATCTTCAGCCTCTTCAAACAAAACAATTATCAGCTAAGAATTTTGTATCCAGTGAAACTAAGCATCATATATGAAGGAAAGATACAGTCTTTTTTCAGACGAACAAATGCTGAGACAATTTGCCATTACCAAGCCACCACTACAAGAACGACTAAAAGGAGCTCTAAATCTTGAAACAAATCCGGGAAACTCATCAAAACAGAACCTGTTTAAAGCATAAATCACACAGGACCTATAAAACAAAAATACTAGTTAAAAAGCAAAAACAAACAAATTAAAAAACCAAAGTACACAGGCAACAAAGAGCATGATGAACGCAACAGTACCTCACATCTCAATACTAACATTGAATGTAAATGGCCAAAATGCTCCACTTAAAAGATACAGAACCTCAGAATAGATAAGAAGTCACCAACCAACTATCTTCTGCCTTCAGGAGACTTACCTAACACATAAGGACTCACATAAACTTAAGTAAAAGGGTGGAAAAGGCATTTCATGCCAATGGACACCTAAAGCAAGCAGGGGTAGCTATTCTTATATCAGACAAAGCAAACTTTAAAGCAACAGTTTTTTTAACTTAAAAAAGTCAAAGAGGGACATTATATAATGGTAAAAGGCCTTGTCCAACAGGAAATATCACAATCAAATATCATAAACATATATGCACCTAACACTGGAGCTTCCAAATTTATAAAACAATTACTAATAAACTTAAGAAATGAGATAGACAGCAACACAATAGTAGTGGGGGGCTTCAATACTCCACTGACAGCACTAGACAGGTCATCAAGACAGAAAGTCAACAAAGAAACAATGGATTTAAACTATACCTTGGAACAAATGGACTTAACAGATATATACATAACATTTCACCCAACAACTGCAGAATATACATTCTATTCAACAGTGTGTGGAACTTTCTCCAAGATAGACCATGTGATAGGCCATTAAATGAGCCACAATACATTTAAGAAAATTGATTATATCAAGCACTCTCTCAGACCACAGTGGAATGAAACTGGAAATCAACTCCAAGAGGAACCTTCAAAACCATGTAAATACATGGAAATTAAATAACCTGTTTCTGAATGAGCATTGTGCTAAAAATGAAATCAATATGAAAATTTAAAAATTATTCAAACCAAACAACAATAATGACACAACCTACCAAAACCTCTGGGATACAGCAAAGGCGGTGCTAAGAGGAAAGTTCATAGCCCTAAATGCCTACATCAAAAAGACTGAAAGAGCACAAATTAACAATGTAAGGTCACACCTCAAGGAACTAGAGAAACAGGAACAAACCAAACCCAAACCCAGCAGAAGAAAGGAAATAACCAAGATCAGAGCAGAACTAAATGAAATTAAAACAAAAAAAATACAAAAGATAAATGAAACAAAAAGCTGGTTCTTTGAAAAAGATAAATAAAATTGATAGGCCATTAAGATTAACCAAGAAAAGAAGAGAGAAGGTCGAGTATGGTGGCTCACGCCTGTAATGCTAGCACTTTGGGAGGCCAAGGTGGGTGGATCACCTGAGGTCAGAAGTTCAAGACCAGCCTGGCTAACATGGTGAAACCCTGTTTCTGCTAAACATACAAAAAAATTAGCCAGGCATCGTGGCACACACCTGTAATCCCAGCTACTCGGGAGGCCGAGACAGGAGAATCACTTGAACCTAGGAGGCAGAGGTTGCAGTGAGCTGAGATCATGCAATTGCATTCCAGCTTGGGCAACAAGAACAAAACTCCGTCTCAAAAAAAAAAAAAAATACCTCACTAAGAAGAAACAGGAGATACTACAACTGACACCACTAAAATACAAAACATCATTCAAGGCTACTATGAATACCTTTACACACATAAACTAGAAAACCTAGAAGAGGTAGATAAATTCCTGGAAAAATACAACACTACTAGCTGAAATCAGGAAAATTAGATACCCTGAACACACCAATAATAAGCAGTGAGATTGAAATGGTAATTAAAAGTAACCAAGAAAAAAAAGTCCAGGACCAGATAGATTCACAGCAGAATTCTACCAGACATTCATAGAAGAATTGGTACCCATCCTTCTGACACTATTCCACAAGATGGAGAGAGAAGGAGCCCTTCCTAATTCATTCTATGAAGCCAGCATCACCCTAATACCAAAACCAGGAAAGGACATAACCAAAAAAGTAAACTACAGACTGATATCCTTGATGAACATAGATGCTAAGATCCTTAACAAAATACTAGCTAACTGAATCCAATAACCTATCAAAAAGATAATCCACCTTGATCAAGTGGGTTTCATATCAGGGATGGTTTAACACACACAAGTCAATAAATGTGATACACCCCATAAACAGAATTAAAAACAAAAATCACATGATCGTCTCAAAAGATGCAGAAAAGGCATTCAACAAAATTCAGCATCTCTTTATGATTAAAACTCTCAGCAAAATTGACATACAAGGGACATACCTTAATGTAATAAAAGCCATCTATTACAAACCCACAGCCAACATAATACTGAATGGGGAAAAGTTGAAAGCATTCCCTCTGAGAACTGGAACAAGACAAGGATGCTCACTCTCACCATTCCTCTTCAACATAGTACTGAAAGTCCTAGCCAAAGCAATCAGACAAGAAATAAAGTGCATCCAAATCGGTAAAGAAGAAGTCAAACTGTCACTGTTTACTGATAATATGATCATTTACCTTGAAAATCCTAAAGACTCCTTCAAAAAGCTCCTAGAACTGATAAAAGCATTCAGCAAAGTTTCCAGATACAAGATTAATGTATACAAATCAGTAGCTCTTCTATACACCAACAGTGACCAAGGGGAGAATCAAATCAAGTACTCAAACCCTTTTACAATAGCTGCAAAAAAAATAAAATAAAATACTTAGGAATACACCTAACCAAGGAGTCAAAATACCTCTACAAAGAAAACTACAAAACACCGCTGAAAGAAATCATAGACACAAGCAAATGGAAACACATCCCATGCTCATGGATGGGTAGATCAATATTGTGAAAATGACCTCACTGCCAAAAGCAATCTACAAATTCAATGCAATCCCCACCAAAATAACACCATTATTCTTCACAGAATTAGAAAAAACAATTCTAAATTTCATATGGAACCAAAAAAGAGCCTACATAGCCAAAGCAAGACTAAGCACATGTAGGAGAATGAAACTGAATCTTCATCTCTCACCTTATACAAAAATCAACTCAAGATGGATTAAGGACTTAAACCTAAGACCTGAAACTATAGCAATTCTAGAAGACAACATTGGAAAAACCGTTCTAGACATTGGCTTAGGCAAGGATTTCATGATCAAGAACCCAAAAGCAAATGCAATAAAAACTAAGATAAGTAGCTGGGACCTAATTAAACTAAAGAGCTTTTGCATGTCAAAAAGAATAGTCAGAAGAGTAAGCAGACAACCCACAGAGTGGGAGAAAATCTTCACAATCTATATGTCGACAAAGGACTAATATCCAGAATCTACAATGAACTCAAACAAATCATTAAGAAAGAAACAAACAATCCCATCAAAAAGTGGGCTAAGGACATGAATAGACAATTCGCAAAAGAAGATATACAAATGGCCAACAAACATATGAAAAAATGCTCAACATCACTAACGACCAGGGAAATGCAAATCAAAACAGCAATGCAATATCACCTTACTCCTGCAAGAATGGCCATAATAAAAAAATCAAAAAACATTAGATGTTGGCATGGATGTGGTGAACAGGGGACACTTCTATACTGCTGGTGGGAATGTAAACTAGTACAGTCACTATGGAAAACTGTGGAGATTCCTTAAAGAACTAAAAGGAGAACTATGATTTGATCCAGCAATCCCATTACTGGGTATCTATCCAGAGGAAAAGAAGTCATTATTCAAAAAAGATACTTGCGCACACATGTTTATAGCAGCACAATTCACAACTGCAAAATCGTGGCACCAACCGAAATGCCCATCAATCAAGAAGTGGATAAAGAAACCATGGTATATATGTATGATGGAATACTATGCAGCCATAAAAAAGATTGGATTAACAGCATTTGCAGTCACCTGGATGGGATTCTAAGTGAAGTAACTCAGCAATGGAAAACCAAACATCATGTGTTCTCACTGATATGTGGGTGCTTAGCCATGAGGAAGCAAAGGCATAAGAATGATATAATGGACTTGCAGGGAAGAATGGGAGGGGGGGCGAGGAATAAAAGACTACAAATATGGTGCAGTGTATACTGCTCAGGTGATGGGTGCACCAAAATATCACAAATCACCACTAAAAAACTTTCTCATGTAACCAAATACCACCTGTACCCCAATAACTTATGGAAAAAAATTTTAGCCTTTCTAATAGGTGTGTAGTTGTATCTCATTATTTTCCTTTGCAATTCCCTAATGATAAATGATGTTGAGCATCTTTTTATATGCTTATTTGCCATCTGTGTAATCCCTTTTTGATGAAGTGTTCATTTATATCTTTTCCTGTTTTTAATTGGTTTGTTCCTTTTCTTATTACTGAGTTTTAAGAGTTCTTTACATATTTTGGATATGTAGCCTTTATCAGATATGTGCTTTGCAAAATCCCTCAGTCTTGGGTTTGTCTTTTTATTTTTTCATTTTCCATTTGCAAAGCATAACATTTTAATTTTAATAAAATACAATTTAACAATCTTTATTGTTATATTAGAAACTCATCACAAAACCCCAAGTTATGTGGATATTCTATTCTTTATATAAAAATTTTATAACTTTGTATATTACATTTAGATCTATAATCCATTTTGAGTTACTTTTTATGTAAAGTCTGTGCCTAGGTTGATTTTTTTGCACATGAATGTTCAATTTTCCCAGCACTATTTGTTGAAAAGTCTATTCTTTCCCCCATTGAATTGTCTTTCCTCCTTTGTCAAAGATGAGTTGATTATATTTGTATGAGACTATTTCTGGACTCTGTATTCTGTTCCTTTCATCTATGTGTCTGTTCTTTCGCCAATATGATGCTGTCTTGATCACTGCAGACTTATAGTAAGTCTTATGTAGAGTAACATGAGTGCTACAACTTTATTCTTCTTTTACAGTGTTGTGCTGACTATTCTTGGTCTTTTGCTTTTCCATATAAACTGTAGAATTAGTTTCTTGATATTTATAAAATGGCCGCCAGGGTTTTCACTGGGATTATATTGAATCTATAGATGTAGTTGGAAAGGATTAACATCTTAATAATTGAGTCTTCCAATCCATGAACATAGGCTATTTTTCCATTATTTAGATCTTCCTTGATTTTCTTCATTAGCATTTTGTAGCTTTCTGCCTGCAAATCTTGTGCTTATTTTATTATATTTATCTCTAAGTATTTTAAATTCTAGGTGCTTTTTTTTTTTTTTTTTTTGCTAGACGGAGTTTCACTCTTGTTTCCCAGGCTGGAGTGCAATGTGTGATCTCGGCTCACTACAACCTCCACTTCCCGGGTTCAAGCGATTCTCCTGCCTCAGCCTCCTGAGTAGCTGGGATTACAGGCATGTGCCACCATGCCCAGCTAATTTTGTATTTTCAGTAGAGACAGGGTTTCACTATGTTGGTCAGGCTGGTCTCAAACTCCTGACCCCAGGTGATCCACCAACCTCAGCCTCCCAAAGTGCTGGGATTACTGGTGTGAGCCATCGCACCCGGCCCTCTAGGTGCTATTATAAATGGTATATATTTTTTCACATTTCAAATTCCATTTGTTCATTGCTGGTATATAGGAGAGCAGTTGACTTTTATATTGCAACCTTGCTATACTCACTTATTAGTTCCAGGAGATTATTGTTGATTCTTTGGGATTTTCTACAAAGACAATCATGTCATCTGTGAGTAGAGAGAGTTTCAGTTTTTCTTTTCTAGTCTGTATATGTCTTATTTCGTTTTCTCATCTTATTTCATTAGTCAGAACCATGTTGAATAGGAGTGGTGATAGAGGACATGATTGCTTTGTTCCTGATTTTAGGGGAAATCACCCAGTTTTTCATTATTGAGTATAATTCAGCTATACATTTTTTGGTAGATGTTCTTTAATTGAGTAAGTTTCCCTTTGTGCCTAGTTTGCTGAGAGTTTTTGGTATTGGATACCGATTGGAATCAGTATTGGATTTTGCCAAATGCTTTTTCTATATTAATTGATATAAATCTATGGTTTTTCTTCTTTAGACTGTTGATATGGTAGATTACATTGATTGATTTTTGAATGTTCAACCAGTCTTGCATACCTCTCTAAATCCCACTTCATTGTGGTAAATAATTTTTCATATACATTGTTGAATTTCATTTTTAATATTTTATTAAGGATATTTGTGTGTATGTTCATGAGAGACATTGGTCTGTAATTTTCTTTTCTTGTAATGCCTTTATTTGGTTTTTGTATTAGCATAATGTTGACCTCAGAGCATGTGTTAGGAAGTGTTACCTCTTCTATTTTTTGGAATAAATTCTAGAGAATCAGTATTATTTCTTCCTTCAATATTTTAAAGAATTCACTGGTAAAACCATCCGAACTGAAGATTTCTTTTTTGGAAGGTTATTAATTCAAATTTTCTAGTAGTTACATTTTAAAATGTTAAATTTTAAAAAAAGTAAATTTCAGGCTGGACATCGTGGCTCACACCTGTAATCTCAGCATTTTGGGATGCTGAGGCAGGTGGATCACTTGAGGTCGGGAGTTCGAGACCAGCCTGGCCAACATGGTGAAACCTCATCTCTACTAAAAATACACAAATTAGCCAGGCATGGTAGTGGGTGCCTGTAGTCCCAGCTACTCAGGAGGCTGAGGCAGGAGAATTGCTTTAACCCAGGAGGCAGAGGTTGCAGTGAGCCAAGATCACACCACTGCACTCCAGCCTAGGCAACAGAGTGAGACTCAGTCTCAAATAAAATAAAAGAAAACAAAAGAAATAAGTAAATTTCATTTGAAAATATACTTATTTAACTTAATATATCCCAATTATTAACACTTCAACCTGTCATTAATATTTAAAATATTGTTGAAATACTTTATATTTTTTTCATACTAAGTCTTTGAAATCTGCTGTGTATTTTATACTTACCACACATCTCAATTTGAACTAGCCACATACCAAATGCTCAGTAGCCACATGTGACTAACGGCTATCATATTGAACAACGTATGTCTAAGGCCTGAACCAAAGCTGTAGTTACTGTTGAGTTTTAATAATATCTATTTTATCCTCTCTCAGGATGTTAATGATGGAATATAGATGGACTATTTTTAAGACATTCTAATACTTCCTCTTAAGAGAGAACCACATTGGCCACTATCAGAAAATAAGCCTTGGTAATAAAAAAAAAAACATAGTATGTGTGAGATTGTTTCTCATGTAGTAAATGTAAATTAATTTTATGGAATGTCACAAAATTTTCAAGAGGTGAATAAATCAAGTTGCGAAGTGGTAACTGGAAAATTACAGTTTTCTGTTACAAAGTAACTGCAACAGATTTAAATTGAGTCAGTATGCTCAAAGAACTGTAAAAGCAAAGCTATCTACTAGCAAAGTGACTTGACTTTGTTGCATTAAGCCATTTATTGTTAGCAAACATTTTCAATATGGCCTACTCATCAAATACAGTGGAGCAATCAGCTCTGTTAAACATCATCCCTGTCTGATGTTGGCTCCGTAAGGTTTTTGCCCCTTTTTGTATCAGTAGCTTTCCTTTTCCAGACCTGTCTCTGCTAGCCTTCAGAAAGCCCAAACACTATGAAACCAACAGGACATTGAACAGTGGTTCTAAAGTATCGATTTGCATTCAGCCAGGAATGCAAAAGACACAGCACAGGTAGCAGGAATCTGTTATTTCTGGCTCAGGGGTTCAGTAGCTCACAGGTGTCTTAGCCTCCATGAGGTTCCCCAAATCTTGCCAGCATACTATCAGCATCAAGAATGAGCTTCTTATTTTTGTTGTTCTCACCATTGTATCTCAGATACCAAGAAGAAATCATACTGTAAGTGGTTAAAAAATAACAGTTGGGTGGATGGATGAGTCAATGAACAAATTCATGCATGAATAAATGAAAAAAAATCAAGTTCTGTATTCTCAAGGATCTGTAGTCCTCCTGCCTGCTTAAGGGGCAAGCTCCAGGCCAAATTCTGAAGTCCAGAAGCTTTGTCTTTGATTTCTTCTCATCTCTTTTTCTTAGTGCCATCATGTCCCCATGAACTCTACCCTGTGTCCTATTCCCACATTATCTCCTAGTCCTTTGTGATAGTATTATTATTTCTATTATACAACTATAAAAATAGAGGCTCAGAGAGAAACTCCGAGTTCTAATCTTGGCTCTGACTTTGTCCAACAGGATGATCTAGAATATCTCTCCTCAATCTTGAGACTCATTTTTTTAACAGCTGTATTGAGGTACAATTGATATAAAAAGAGCTGCACATGCTTAATGTGTACAATTTGATGAGCTTGGTTATGTGTAAACACCTGTGATACCATCACCATGGTCAAAGTAATAGACACATTCAACACCTCTCAGTTTCCTTATGTCTTTTTGGGTTTTTGTTTGTTTTTGTTGTTTGCTTTGTGTGTGGTAAGAACACTTCACATGAGATCTACTCTCTTAATAAATTTTGAAGTGCACAATACCATATTGTTAACTATAGGCGCTGAGTTGTGCAGCAGATCTCTAGAACTTATTCACTGAGCATAATTTGAAACATTATGGGCATTGAACAACTCCCCATTTCCCGAAACCCCAGGATCCTGGCAACCACGATTGTAGTCTCTGCTTTTATGAGTTTCACTATTATAGATACCTCATATAGAGTGGAATTGAGTATTTGTCCTTCTGTGACTGGCTTATTTTGCTTAGCATAATATCCTCCAGGTTCATCCATGTTGTCGCAAAAGACAAGATTTCCTTCTTTTTTAAAGCTGGATAATATTCCATTGTGTTACATGCTGGGACTCAGATTAATGCCTTCTATTCTGACATAGCTTGGATGACTGCCACTCAGCAGCTGTGTGGATATAGACAATTTTTTTTTGCCTTCCATTAGCCTTAGTTGCCTGACCTATGAGGTCTGAGTAAATACCTGATGGGGCAATTTATGTAATGGGTTTCTATTTATAAAAAAGTAAATAGATGAAACAAGGCTCATCAACCACTTAGCATAATGCCTAGCATATGACAAATACTTCATAAACATTAGCCACTATCATTTTTATTATCTCCAAACTATCAAATTGTTGTCCTGCCTTTGCTGAAAAATAATACCTAGCATATGAAAAATACTTAATGATAATACCCAGCCTAATGCCAAGCATATGACAAATACTCAACAAACATTAACCATTATCATTTTTATTTTCTCCAAACCAACAAATTGTTGTCCTGTCTTTGCTGAAAAATAATAATAATACTGAAATAATAAACAACTAGCAAGAATTGGCCAGGACATGTTCAAAGCTACTTACATATATTAGCTCACCTGATTTTCACAATTATAATGTCCTCATTCTACACGTGAAGAGACAAAAACTCAAAATGTATAAGTAACTTGCCTAAAATCACAATGACTAAGTGGTAGAGTGGAGATTTGAAGGTGTATCTTTCTCGTTTCAAAGTATTTTCTCTTCCCACTATATTATAAAAAGTCTTCTATCACCAAAAGTCTATGACTTCCATTATTTGATTTATAAAAATTTGTCAATTTAAAAAAATCCATCAAAGGCCAACTCGTGTACAGCTTGTGCTAGGTGCTATGGAGGGTACATGAGTAGGACATGGTCCTTAGCCTCTCATATGCTGGCAATATGAAATGAACATTTCATTCTGGCCAGTTTTCCTTGGCGTTCTTTTCTGCTATAATCCTAGAACTGAGTAGCCATTTCTCTCATTCTCTCATTTTATAAACTGTTAGTTTAGAAATGTGTTTCTAAGAATCACATTTTCTAAATTAACAGTGCTAACAAAAGCTGATTATCTCATCACAGTACATTGTCAGCATCTATGCTTCAGCTTTTTAATTAGCTTGAAATTATTATTACTAAGTGACCCTTTATGTAACAAACCATTTCAAAAAACATTTGCTGACAACCTGCAATAAGCTAGATGGTGTCCAAAAAACCCCAACAAAACAACCTTAAAAGCCCACCCATGTTTCAGGGTTGTGGTTTTGTCTTTTTTTTTTAAGAAAGATTAAAACTTATAGGGGCTTCTCCCACTCTCCCATCTGTAAAAAGATCTGTTCTATGGAATGCCTGCTGTGATACATGGTGCTTGATGTATAAGCTAATATAAAGTATAGGGTATGAGGAATGAGCTTGTTTTTCTAAAAATTAATTTAAAAAAATGGATTGAGAGATAACAATCAAATGGATTATGGTTTGAAGAAAATAGTCTGAGAAACTGAACTAACCAATCCACAGAAATCTTATACTTACTGTTTACATGAAACACATTTTTAAATCGCTTTTTATACTACCAAAAATTTATGGCAACGCTTCCTTTGTACCCCCTGCTCTCATCCAAATGAAGAGACATTAGCATAATAAAAATACTTGCGCAATTTTTATTGAATTTGTTCTCATTTCTCATGCTTCTGGTTTCTGTGGTTTCAGAAATCAAAAAAATGAAAGGTTTAATCACATTATTTTCACATTGATCAGGAAAGAGGAATATGTATAAAAGGTTTTTATGTAGAAACTGCCCCATCTACCTCCCTGCTCAGAGTATTCCAAAATTTATATTTTAAATCAGGGCAGATACTTTGTTAACTAAAAAGTGTCTTTCCATCTCAGAGGCTGTCAAAAACCAGATCCTTCTGACTTTACCAAGATCCCTGCTCTTCAACTAGTCTCTCCATTATTAACTACTGTTTCCTCTCTAACCAAGCCAGTAGGTTGCTTAGGTTAAACTTGTTGCTTAGGTTATTTGAAGCTATCATTCTCTCTAACAGATGACCACTAAATTGTTCTGAGATCAGCTGGGTAATAGATGACTGAAAGTTTGAGCTGTGAATGAAATTCTGCTCAAACCACTTGTTGATAAAAAGTCAACTACTTTCATTAACAGATGAGGACTCACAAACATTAATAGATGGAGACTCATAATCATCACCTATGCTTTAATCAACATTTCCACACCCAATTATTCTAACATTATAAAGAAATTTCAAAGCTATGGGGGTGGTTGAGAAACCCACTGACCTAATCCTGAGGGTTGTTCTCTGTGGAAAACCATGCCTCTCTTTCTACATCTTCTTTGCCCTCATATTAATGTCTTTGCAGTCCAGTGATTTATAGCTCATAGACTAGACCACACCCATAGACCACTCAACTCTGCCCTTTTCCTGCCTTGTGCAAGGTTGTTCATTCACATTTATCAAATTTCCAAATGACCAGCTAGGTGAGTGATGGTGTGTGCAACAGAAAAAGAATTGCAAAAGATCTTGAAAGGTTGAGGTGACTGGGCTCAGTCAGAGCAGATGAAATGCAACAAGAATATATGTAAGCTTCCTCACTCTGGCCTGAATAACTCAACTGTGCAGGCTTGGAGTGAAGGGGTCAGAGCTTTTCAGGAATATGTATAGTCAAAGGTGTAGGAGTTAATAGAAGCGTAAGATCTAGTGTCTTTTGTTTGGTCTCTGACTGCTTCACTGTATGGAATTTTGACTTAGAAAAGAAAAGAAAGAACTTGGAATGTGTTCAGAGGGAGATGAAGAAAAGGCAAGATAAAATAAAAGAAGAAGGAAATGAGCAAAGGGAAAGATGGGGGAAAAGAAAAAGGAGAACCATAGCAGACAATCTGTCTTCTAGTATCTGAAACAGAGGATCAGAAATTCAGTCTCGGAATTCAGGCCTTTCAGCCTATCTCCATCCCATCTCTTCCCTGCCAAGCCCCTCACATGTCAAGAACTGGAAGAGTGTTCAGTTCAGGCAGTTTAGATGGCAAAATAAAGAGTAAATAAAGGATAAATATCCTTGGTTGAGGAGAGCAGTCTCTAATAACACATGGATTCTGTCTTGTAATGTTTTCCAAAAGAAAAAAAAGGTCACGTTCTCTGATTTTCTCATAGAGTGGGAAAGTATAACCACTGTATCAACACAGCAGACTTTAATGGACCTGACATATCGTTTTAAGAACCTCGAAACAAGGCCGGGCGCGGTGGCTCACGCCTGTAATCCGAGCACTTTGGAAGCCCGAGGCGGGCAGATCACAAGGTCAGGAGATTGAGACCATCTTGGCTAACACGGTGTAACCCCGTGTCTACCAAAAATACAAAAAATTAGCCAGGCGTGGTGGCACGCGCCTGTATTCCCAGCTACTTGGGAGGCTGAGGCAGGAGAATCGCTTGAACCCAGGAGGCAGAGGTTGCAGTGAGCTGAGATCACGCCACTGCACTCCAGTCTGGGCAACAGAGCAAGACTGTGCCTCAGAAGAGAAAGGAAAAAGGAAAGGGAAGGGAAGGGAGGGGAGGGGAGGGGAGGGGAGGGGAGGGAAGGGAAGGACCTCGAAACAAAGTATTTACACCAATAGGCAAAAAGGTCTCAGTCTAGCTCCTAAATATGTATTTACCTAATGTGCCAATAAAAGTAATGTCACCCGGCGCAATGGCCACACATGTAATCCCAGCACTTTGGGAGGCCGAGGTGGGTGGATCACTTGAGCCCAGAAGTTCGAGACCAGTCTGGGCAACAGGATGAAAGCCCTTCTGTACAAAATATGCAAAAATTAGCCTGGCGTGGTGACACGTGCCTATACTCCCAGCTACTCGGGAGGCTGAGGTGGGAGAATCGCTTGAGCCTGGGAGGCAGAGGTTGCAGTGAGCTGAGATCAGGCCACTGCACTCCAGGCTGGGTGACAGAGTCAGACCCTGTCTCAAAAAAAAAAAAAACAAAAAACCCTTGAAATTAATGTAAAAATATAAGTGCTTACACACTGAGCCAAGAGATGAAATTCAGTATCCCTTGATTTTCTTTTTGAGCTCCAACTATTTAAACTACTGTAAAGACACTCATCTGGCCAGGCACAGTGGCTCATGCCTGTAATCCCAGCACTCTGGGAGGCTGAGGTAGGAGAACTGCTTGACACCAGGAGTTTGAGATCAACCTGTGCCACATAGTGAGACCCTCGTCTCTAAAAAAGTTTTAACAAATTAGCTGGGCATGGTGGAAGGTACCTGTAGTCCCAGCTACTTTGGAGGCTGAGGCGGGAGGATCACTTAAGCCTGGGAGGTGGAGGTTGCAGTGAGCTACAATCCCACCACTGCACTCCAGCCTGACTGATAAAGCAAGACCCTGTGTCTTAAAGAAAAAGAGATACTTACCTTGTATTTAAATCATATTGAGTTTTACTTTTAAACTGCATTACTTTGATCTCATTTTGAATTCTTAAAACTTTTAAGAAGGAATAATGGTGGTGGGTGTTAGCAGTATGGGATAACAGATATTGAAATGATGCCTCACATTTGGGTTACATTTTTAACTTTTCAAAAGACTTTCATATCTTTTCATTTAATTTTTTTTAAATCCCTGGAAATTCACAGAAAGGAGACCAAACTTTGAAAAGGATGGAATAGAAGGCACTGAAAAGTCAAGTGGCTCATCTTTACAATCCCGGTTGGCCAACTTGAAACTCAAGTCCCTTAAAATTATTCCACTGTATTTCTTGAAGTGTAGCCCTCACAATGTTACCGTGTAATATTTTCTGTAGAAAAGGAGACCATGGTTAAAGAAGGACATGCTTCAATATATAATCACCTTAGAGATTCACAATGACATGGTCATATTAAAGGTTCTGAGAAGTTCTATATTAAAGAAACATGTTTAACTTTGTCCTGTGAAACACACTGGAAAAATTGCTCTAGATTTGTGCTGCTTTTGCAATGGGCTAGGTCTAAATTCCCTAACTTCTATGCAAAATAGTACCAAGATAAAGCAGAACAAGTTGAACACCAAAGAGTTTACTCCAATCTGGACATCAAAAAACTTAGAACAGTATTTCATTGCTTATGCCTGAAGTGAGATTTTCTTTTTATGGATCTCATTAAATGATGTGGTTCAAATCATTCATAACAAATGCTAAGAGACTGTTTTAGCACATTTCAATATGTCAAATTGTACTTGGCATTAGGCCAAGAACAGGACAATTTTTCTGTGTTTTCAAAGAGGTTGGTTGGTTGGTTGTAGGGATTTAAGACTTAATGCTTTTATGCAATGGTATGTTGAGATGTAGTGATTGGAAATGTTTTTGGGAAAACACTGCCTTTTCCATAGAGCAAGTTTGGTACTTTTTTGAAGTCTAGTCATGCCTTTTTTTTAGTTTTGTGTTTTGTTTTAGATTTATTTTTTCCTACACATATTGTTGGATATAAAAAAAGAAAATTTCTGTTTTCCTTAGGCATATGATGCACTTAAGTATGAAGAGGTTTGAAAAAGAAGAAAATTGCTGTCCATTACCTTTTGGATTGGACAAGGGTTCTCGGAAAGCTATTTCAGTTAATAAAATGACTCAGAAGCTTTTTATTTCTAGCTATTTTTTTTTTAATAAAAAATGGCTTTTCCTCTTCTACCTAGAAAAAGACATCAAGGCTTTTCAAAACTATCTTATTGTTGAACCAGTGGCTTTTGTCCTTGAAGAGTAATGGATTGCTTGTTTCTTGGAGTCTTCCTGGAAGAGGAAGGGAATGGATGTCCAGGGCAAGTTAAATATACAGGATTCGAGCCCTGTTGACTTAAATAGAATGTTAGTTTCTGGTCAAGAGTTCTCTTGGCTCCACAGAGTGTTAGATGCCTTCCCAAAGAGAAGGTAACCATCCCTTACCCTATTAGCTGGGGGCTGGGAGTTCAGGAGAAGCAATGGATATTATCAGAGAAGCAAACTACATTCTTAGCTAGCTATGCTTCTGTTATTATCTGTAGAAACCTTGGACATCCAATCCCCCAGGGAATCAGCAAGACCTTTTAGTACTCATTCTAAATAAACCAACCTGCTGAATGTAGGGAAGTTACTTCTGTTAGAAAACCTCAGCCCTTAATTTGGCTCTTTTATTTTCCTTCCACAGTACAGAAATATTTCCAAAACCTGAAGTGGTTCTGATTAGTGGTGAAGTCAAGAAGCCTTCAGCTCCAATTAAAATGGGCATTAAGTCATTTTGTGTGGTAATGGCTTCAGTATAAAAGCAAGTTAAATTTCTCTTCATTTTTGACCATGAATTTGGCTCTTGAATTATTCTATTCACCAGCAATGTTGGCACAGCTTTCTGGGCTGCCTGCGGAGGAGGTGTTCATGGGCTTCCCAATTAACACCCTGTTAAGCTGCACACCTGTGGTGAAATTACCCTCAGATCACAATATTGAAGTTTTGAATCTCATGACACCTATATTATTGTCCTGAAAGTCAGACTTAAAATTATATAAAATTATTCCTGGTGTCCTTTCAAAGGCAGTTTGTTTCTATGGTATTCTTGTGGAGCAGTCAAGGGTAGAGGTGTATGTGGGGGAGTCACACAGCAATTTATTTATTCATTATGAACTTTATTGAGGTATAGCTCACATACCATAAAATTCACCCATTTTAAATGTTCCAAGTCAATTATTGTTAGTATATTTACAGACTTTTGCAACCACCATCAAAATCCAATTTTAGAACATTTCCATCACCCCAAAAAGAAACCAGTACCCATTAGCCATCACTTTCCATTCCCAAACCCAGCCCTAGGCAACCAACAATCTGCTTTCTGTCATACAGATTTGCCTTTTCTGAACATTTCATAGCATGGTCAAATTCCATTCCATACAAATGGAGTCATGCAAGATGTGGTCCTGTTTATCATTAGTCTACAGACATTTCGGTTATTTCTATATTTTGGCTATTATGTGTAATGCTGACATGAACACTCACATATACAGATTTGTGTGGACATAACAATTTATATTTAATATACCAAAATCAAATTAAAACTCAGCTTAGATCTCCAGCCAGAACACTATTATTAGTGGAGCTGTGGGGGACTGTGACATTTTCAGAGTAAATGGTAGTTACAGTAAAGTGCTGATAATCAGAACACTAATTAATTTGAAAATTCATATAAATTCCCAAAGATTTTATAAAAATTTGGAGTTTTATGAGAATTTTTAGGTCATGCCTTTTCCATGTCCACTAGCAAAAAGCTAGCAAAAAGCTAATTTTCCAATGGCTATAAGGTACAGGGCTGTGAAGGTTAGCGTGTGTGCCAGCCTGAGTTCTGGGGACTGGTCTGGGATTCAAGAGTTCTCTATGCCTTTTCTATAGCCTTCTGTGCTACTCTGGGAAAATCTTTTGAGGCATACTCCTCAGTTTCATTTTTTACAAAATGGGGACAAATGATTCCCATACAAATCCCAAGGTGGTTATAAGGTTAAGCATTTTCCAGGCATTTAAAGCACCTCAAATGAAATAGAAATATACTATATAAGTGTAAAAAATTTGGTTGGCAAAGATGAAAGGAAGGTTTAGTCAGCCTTTTGTTCTTTCTGGAAAACCTAAAAAATAGATAAAACCACAGAGTTTAATTTTGTACATTTGCGCTGGCAAGAATGTGATATTCATTTCCTCCATGGCCAAAAATGTTCATGGTTCCAGTAATGTTAAGCCCTTGATTGGAGGAACTGTTTTTCTGAGCTCCCCAAAGATTTGCTAACTGCATTCTAACATGAAATCCTTTTACCTTCTCATCCCAATACAGCAACTATTTGGTTTAGAGCAGAAAAGGAAAAAAGTTACATAGAAGGAAATTAACCCAGTAAATAATTAACAAGCAAGTCCTCATTGAATGAGATACAAGGTGTTTCTGCCCTTAAGGAAGTTACTATTCTGATGGGGTTCAAAGACAATTAACAAGACAGAAACTATGCCTTATTTCCTTTGGTATCCAGAATGGTATCTGCCCTATTGAAGATAATTTTTAAAAAGTGGTAAACCTTTAATTCTCATAAAGATGTAAAAATTAGCACATTTTTAGGGTTTGATTTAACTCATAATGAGGGGCAAGGCAGATGTTATAACCAATTCAAAGGAGAATACAAAGAACAGATATATATATATATATATATATATATATATATATATACACACATATATATACACACATATATATATATATTTCAGGAATATTGAAATGAATGTGCAAATGGAGACGAAACTGACGTCTTCCACTGTAGGAGAGGGGAGTCAATTAAACCCCTACCAGAGAACAGAATTTGCATGTCTATAAATAAGAATTATTTTGCATTGCTATCAGTTATCTATAATTTAGGGAGCTACAAAATAGCTCCCATAAAATCAGAATCAGATAACCTGAAGGAGTGTCAGCTAGACCAGAGGGTCAGCAAACTAAGGCTCTCAGATGAAATCTAGCCCCATGCCTGTTTTTGTAAATAAAGTTTTATTTGAACACAGACATGCCTACTCAGTTATGTATTCTGTATGGCTGCTTTTACACTATAATGCTAGAGTGGAGTAGTTGCGACAGAGACACTACGGCCTTCAAAGCCTAAAATATTTATGACCTTGTTCTTTTGCAGAAAAAGTTTGATGACCCCTTCTCCAGACAATGCATGTTTTCCATTGAGACACAGTTTTTCTGTATAGTCTCTAGAGTGCTCAGAAAATATTTTTAAAGTTAATGGATAAAATAATTAATCAGACAATAAAAGCTAGAATTTAAAGAAGGAAATTGATAAAGGTCTGTAAGAGTTTATGGAAGAGGAGGGCAGGAATTTGACTTTGAATAAGATTGGGATAATGTCAGGGTACAAGGGCAGTTCTAGACAGGGACAAAGGCATGTGAAGAGATGGGATGACCCAGCCTGTTAAATGTCCAGGCTAGTTGGAAGTGAAGGGTTGGACTGGTTCTATGATAGGAGTTAAGAGGTATGTCATTTATACACAAATTTTCAAATAAAGAGCTGGCTGTGTCCCCAGTTGCTTTCTTAGTGTGGAATCAGCCTGTGGGCACCTACAGTTAAATAGTGTGGTTTGAGGTGTCCTGATGCCTCCTCACAAAAGATTTTATGGATTCACCAGACTGTCCTAGTGTCTGAACTTTCCAAATCTAGTCACTCCTCTGGTTGAACCATATTGGAGGCAGCTGTTCAAATGTCAATGGCATCCATCTTGAAAGAATAAGTTATATAACCCTACTGGTCATTAACACCATAGCTCCTATTAGATGATTAGGTTCCTCAGAATAAGAAGAACTCCACCTAGAGGGAGGCCCCAATCAAGATGCCACTTTGAATTTTGGCCAGTTTGGTTCTGCACCACAAAATACTTTGGGACATGGGAAAGGAGTGTCTTCAAAGCATCCATCATGCAAATACCTGTAGCTGGTAGACAGTTTTGCCCGTAAAGGTTTCAATGAAGAGCTTTAGGATAGGATTCTACCTAACTTGGCTGGAAGCTTAAGGCCATTCTCCTGAAATCATACCTCTATGAGTCTCTTTGAAGTTCTCTGTTTCTCTGGCACATTTTTGCTTTAATTGGCTCTCAGAAGAGGAAAGAAGAAATCTAGGAGCATGAAACCCTGTCTCACAGAAGGAGCTGGTAGAGACTGTCCTCCCAGAGGTGGGGTTTCTTTGCTAAGTGGCTCTTCAAAAGAGAGGAAGGAACTGGCAAAGGAGGATGCAACTTCCTGAAATGCTTGTATTAGTCTCTTCTCACACTGCTATAAGAACTACCTGAGACTGGGTAATTTATGAAGAAAAGAGGTTTAATTAACTCACAGTTCTGCAGGCTTAACAGGAAGCATGGCTGGGAGGCCTCAGGAAACTTACAACCGTGGCGGAAAGCGAAGGGGAAGTAAGCACGTCTTACCATGGCAAAGCAGGAGAGAGAGAGCAAAGGGAGAAGTGCCATACACTTTTAAACTATCAGATCTCATGAGAACTCACTTATTGTTATGAGAACAGCAAGGGGGAAATCCGCCCCCAAGATCCAATTACCTCCCACCAGGCACCTCCCCTGACACGTGGAGATAACAATTCAATATGAGATTTCAGTGGGGACACCGAGCCAAACCATATCACTGCTTCTCCCATTTCACTCCTCTTTCTTCTCACTTGCTCAGTATTTCCCATAGTGCTCAGCTCTCTAAGTTGATTCATATGTTTGGTCTGCAGCTTTTGGGGACATTCTAGATACATATGAAATTAGTTCACCAATAAGTACTGTGCTACAGGGTGTGGTGCATACAGGTATGAGACTAGCCCCTGCCCTCAAGGTGTGTGCAGGAGGAAGCAAGACACAAACATGTGAAGACATCACTAATAAGTATGACAAGAATTTTTATTAATATTGTGGAATTCCTATACTTGGAACTCACCAGATACCTTAATCATGAGTTAAGTTTTTCATCAAAAGATGAAAAACTAATATTTGAGAAAGCTTAATCATCCTCTAGATCAGCAGTTCTCAACCCTGGCTGCTTATTAGAGTCACATAAGAGGCTTTTTCAAAATGCCTTACCTTAACCCAGATATTCTGCTACAGTTGAATTGTGGTAGAACCCAGGTATTAGTATTTTGAAACTTTTCTTTTTTGAGACAGGTTTCTGCTCCATCACCCAGGCTGGAGTATAGTGGCGTGATCATGGCTCACTGCAGCCTCAATCTCCCGGACTCAAGTGATCTTCCTGCCTTGGCCTCCCAAGTAGCTGGGACTACAGGCATGCACCACCACACCTGGCTAATTTTTTTATGTTTTTGTAGAGATTAGGTCTCACTGTGTTGCCCAGGCTGGTCTCAAACTCCTGAGCTCAAGCAATCCTCCGCCTGGGCCTCCTAATATGCTGGAATTGTAGGTATTAGCCACCATGCCTGGCCTTGAGGCTTGTTTACTATGAAATAAAATACGAATTCTAAACGAACATATAATGAGAATGTACAGTTTAAGAAACTGTTTTTTAATGAATACCAGTGTCATCAATATCCAAGCCAAGAAATAGAACATTTCCTACACTCCATCAGTCTCCTTTCCATGACTCCATGTGCTCTCCCAATCACAATCTCCTTCCTCCCTTAAAAGTAACCATTATTTTGATTTTTATGGTCATCACTCATTGCTTTTCCTTATAGTTTTACCACATATATACATATACCAAAATATTAAATATGAGTTTGATCTCTAAAATGTATTTAATGGAATTCTTTACATTCGTTGGTGTCTGGCTTCATCACTCAGCATTATGTTTGTGAAATTGATCTAATTTGTTGTATATTGTTTGTTTTCATTGCTGTATGGTATTCCATAGTTACTATTGGAATACTATACTATCATGACTATTTCACACTTCATTTATCCATTCTACCACTGGCCAACATTTGCCTAGCTTCCAATTTTGGGCTTTTATGGACATTCTTGTACATGTCTTGATGCATTTAAATATGCCTTCCTGATGGATTTATACCCATGTGTATTATGGTTAGGTCATCAGTTTACATGTTCAGCTTTAGCAAATATTGCCAAACAGTTTTCCAAAGTGGTTGTACCAACTTACAGTTTCACAAGCAATGTCTAAGAGTTATTTTTCTTCCATGATCTCACTAAAGCTTGTTATTATCAGCCTTTTTTAGCTTTAGGCATTCTGATGGGCTGAATTTTAAACACAATTACTATAAGACCAACAGGCTCATATCCCATTGCACAGTAACAGACCCATTACACTGAGACAACAGGGTTTGCAGAAGAGAGTTTAATGATAGCAGGGTGCTGCGTGAGGAGATGGAAAGAGATCCTCAAATCCATCTCCCATCTCCCTGAGGAAATCTGGGCTGGAGTTTTTAAGAGGATCATGGAGGGGGAGAGGCTGGAAAATTGAGGTCATTGATTGGTCAGGGCAAGATGGTTGAAATCATCAGGATTTGGAAACTGCATTCTTTGCTGAGTCAGTTCCTTGTGGGATCCTTCAAACTAGCTGGTGTCAGTGGGGTCTTTCAGATCAGCTGGCATTAGTGAGGTCCTTCGGATCAGCTGAGCCAGTAGTTTCATCAATAGGAAAGACCTGAAGGAATATCTCAAAGGGAAAACTTAATATTTCATAACATTCAAGTCATTATCTATAGAACAGTTAAGGGGAACTATAATCTAGGGTCTATGGGATTCTAGGACAATAGGCACCAAACAACTATGAGGAAACAGGTCAGAGAGCAAATTGACCTCAGGATTAATGCTAAATGTGATGCAAGCTTGGTTTATTTATCTCCCTCTCTCTTCTTCCTTGATTAATTTCATAAAGTTTATCGGGATGGTTTCACAATATCTTATTGGGGTTTTAATCTGTGTTTTCCTGATTGCTAAGAGAGTTGAGCACTTTTTCCTATTTATTGGCCATTTGAATTTCTTCTTTTGTTAAGTGCTAGTTTGAATCTTTGCTCATTTTTCTATTGGGCTGTTTGTCTTTTTTCTGTTGATTTGTAGGAGTTATTTGTGTATTCTAGACACAAGTCCTTTGTCAGTTATATATTTTACAAATGTCTCTTACCACTCTGTGGCTTGTCTTTATGTTCTCTTACTGGTATCTTTCTATGGACAAAATTCTTAATTTTAACACAGTTAAAGTTATCAAGGTTTTTAATGTCAATATGACTTCACTGTAATAAGAAGAGAGCCATAAAGATAAAGAGATATTTTGCCAAAGATTAGATGAATCATATTTGCAGCCAGTTATAGAAAAATAGAGCACACATGATGTTGATATGTTTTTTAATCAAACAGAGAATAACACAAGTTTCTGATGAGAAGCCTTTATCAGAACTCATTACACAAATGCACAAGGCTCAGTTACAAGGACCAAGACCTGGAAATAAGCCTATCCATGAGGCTAACACTCATATTTTATTTGCTAATTATTTCAAACCTATTATTGGTTTCTAAATTAGATTTTAAAATCCAGTCAAGCAAATGGAATTCATTATCCTTGGACATACTATATAATGTGTAAACTTGCAGGCAGAGTATAGTACAGAGAAAATGAATGCTGGGTAATACATAGTGAGCTATAGAGGTGTAGGAGAGGAAAAATAACTTATTCTCTACCCATTCTAGGTTCATGGCTGTGGGCCCTATACCAAAAGAGATTAATAAGAGAAAAGCATACAAATGTATTTCATATAAGTTTTATGTGATATGGGAGCCTTAATAAGGAAATGATATAAAGTAACAGTTGAACTTGTGCATTTTTATACAAGGTTTGATGAAGAAGTAAAATAGTCATGGAGAACTATGATTAGAGGACAAAAGGGTACAATCTAATGGTAATAAACCAGGAGAAACTTAGCAAGACCTGTTTGTTCAGATTCTTTTCTGAGTCCCTATGTCTTCAGAGACAAGAATATTTCTTTCCTCTGGGTATAAGGAGCTGTGATAGTTAATTTTAGGTATCAACTTGACTGTGTTCAGGGATACCCAGATAGCTAGTAAAACATTATTTCTGCATAGGTCTGTGAGGATGTTTTCATAAGAGATTAGAATCTCAATCAATAGATCAAGTAAAGAAGATCTTCCCCCACCAATGTGAATGGGCATCATCTGATCTGTTGAGATCCCAGATAGAGCAAAAAGGAAGAGGAAGGTATAAATTTACTCTCTCTTCCAGAGCTGGAACATTCATCTTCTTCTGTCCTCAATAATCAGAAATCCAGGTTCTCAGGTTTTTGGATTCTGGGATTTATACAAGCAGGCCCCCAGTTTCCCAAGTCTTCAGTCTTGGGCTGAGAATTACACTGTTGGATCCCCTGGTTCTCAGGTCCTTGGATTTAGACTGAATGACACCACCAGGCTCCCTGGTTCTCCAGCTTACAGACAGTGTATTGTGAGACTTCTCAAACTCCATAATTATATGAGCCAGTTCCCATAATAAATCTCCCTCTTATCTGTCTATCTCTCTCTTTCTCTATATATACCTTTTATTGACTTGTTTCTCTGGATAACCCTGACTAATCCAGGAAAGTACCTCTAAAATGAGGGTTTTATGGCCTGCTTTAGGGGAGAAGGGAAAGAGAAATGTGAAAGTGATCTTCTCGCTTCTGCTGTTTTCTCAAATCACAAGATGACACATTTTGGGGCAGTGTATCTTGGACCCCATCAGATGATTTACTATCACTGGGGTGGAAAGCATTGAGAAGGAGCAGGAACATTGGAGCTAATAACTAAGAGGTCTTGTTAAACTAAGGAACCTCGAGCTTTATACTGAAATGGTGGTCTATCGAAGTGCTTTAAGCAGGAGGCTAACACAGTCAGTTCTGTAACTAGGGTCACTGGCAACTGTATGGAGAAAGGGTTGAGATAAAGGGAATAAGACTCAATGTACAAAGGCCAGTGGCCATTAAATGGAGAAGGCCCATGATATTTAAACAATAAATTAAAAAAATTAGTGATTATTCAGGGGTGAGGGAGGTGAAGAAAGGAAAACATATCCTGAAGTCCTAAAAAGTTAGTCCAGCAAGATATTTTATTTACAGATTGGGTTCTGACATAACAAAGGTTTGAGAAACACAGTGTGACTCTCTTAGGTGATCACTAGAATGATAAGAGCTCCAATAACTAATTTGACAGGGGAAATCTGCTTATTTTTGTTAATCCAGTAGTTCAAAATTTTATTTTATCAAATAACTTTAATTTTTACATAACACATTAATATTCTGTTCTGGTAGGTTTGCCTAGAACTACAGGTTTGGGAAATATTGGTCTAGGATGGCTTCCAGGGAACTCTGGCTTGCTTAATAGAGTAAAGGGTGGTTTCACTGACTGAGTCAGCAAATACATTAGTAAGAGAAGATCTGTAGAATAAGATAATAAGTTTAGTTTGCATGTTTTGAAATCCATGAGGATATCTCTAATAAGCAATTGAATAGATAGGCCTAGAGCTCAAGGGTGACAGCTGGGGTGGAGGAACAGATTTGGAAATCACTGGTTAAATTCAAAGAAGTTGATCATATTTCTAAGAAAAGTATTTATAAGTAGAAGGAGACAAAGGCCTAAGAATGGTGTTAACAGCACCATTTACTGAATTCTTTTCCCATTGATTTATCTGTTACAGATTTTATATTTCACATATATAGGTCTGGTACTGAGCCATCCATTTGGTTCCATTACTCTATTTGTCTATTTATCTGCCAATATTGTGCTACATTAACAGTAATTAGCTTTATAGTAAGTTGGATTCTGGTAAGGCAAATTCATTCACACTGTTCTTCAAACTTTTCCTGGCTAGTATTAGCCCTTTGATCTTTCAAATAAACTTTAGGATAAGCTTATCAAATTCTAGAAAATATCACTATTAGTATTTTTATTGAAATTACACTAAAGTGATTAGTTCAGGAAAAACTGTTATTGTTATTCCAGTGAATCTACTAGTCGATGAACAATGGTACATATATCTCATTATGTATTTATGTCTTCTATATTATATATTTCAATATATGTTTCTATATTATATTTTAATATACTTTTCCACTTCAATAATATTTTATGTATTTTGAAGGGATTAATGCTAGGCACCTTGTGGTCTGATTGCTATTTGTCAATAGACTCTTTTTGCCCATCTTTTTCCATTGTCTGATTGGCTATTACTGTTGTGTAAGAATGATATTGATTTTCATATGTTGATTTTGTATTTAACAGCCTTGCTAAACATTTTTACTAATTCAAAGAGCTTGCCTCTTCTCTTTAATTTTCTTTGCAGACAATCTGTCAGGTACAAATAAGGAAAGTTTGATGCTTCCCTTTCAGTTCTTTTGCCATTTTTATTTTTTATATCTTCTTGCACTGCCAAGGACCTCCAGTACAATCTTAACTTTTAAAAAATGATGTCCAGATATGGCAGATTGGTTGAAATTATCAGACCAGAAATTTAAAACAACTATGATTAATATAGTAAGGGTACTAATGAATAAAGTAGACAGCATGCAAGGATAGATGGACAACATAAACAAAAAGATGAAAATTCTAAGAAAGAGACAAAAATAATTGCTATATAAATAAAAAACACTGTAACAAAAATGAAGAAAAAATGTCTTTGATGGGCTTATTAATAGACTGGACATAGCTGAGGAAAGAATCTCTGAACTTGAGGATATCTCAATAGAAACCTCCCAAACTGAAAAGGAAGGAGAAAAAAGACTGAAAAAAGCAGAACAGAATATCCCAAAACTGTGGGACAACCACAAAAGGTGTAACATGTCCATAATAAGAATACCAGAAGGAAAATAAAGACAGAAAGCAGTAGAAGAAATTTTTAAAACAATAATGAAATTTCTCCAAACTAATGTCACACCAAACCACAGACCCAGGAAGCTCAGAGAATATGAAATGAGATAAATGCCCCCCAAAAGCTACACATGGACATATCATATTCAAACTACAGAAAATAAAAGATGAAGAAAAAATTCTGAAAGCAGCTAGAGAAAAAAAAACACCTTACCTATAGAGGAGCAAAAATCATAATTACATCTGATTTCTCCTCAGAAACCAATGCAAATAAGACAAGAGTGAAATGAAACATTTACCTTATTGAGAGGAAAAAAACTCTACCAACCTAGAATTCTGTACCCCAAGAAATTATCCTTCAAAAGTGAAGGACAAATAATGACTTTCTTAGACAAACAAACATTGAGGGAAATGTCACCACTAGACATTCCTTGCATGAAATATTAAAAGAAGTTATTTAGAGAGAAGGAAAACAATATAGGTCAGAAATTCAGATCTATACTAAAAAGGAAGAACATCAGAGAAGAAATAAATTGAGGTAAAATAAAAATTTTATTTGTCTTAATCTTATCTTGATTAATCTAATCTTGACCTAATGGATAGTTTGTTTGAAAGATAACAGCAACAATGTATTATATAGATATGCTTATGTATAAGTGAAGTGAATGACAGCAAAGATACAAGGGGTAGGAGGGAGGAATTAGGATTATTTTGTTATTATAAAATATTTGCATAACCGTGAAGCAATATGGTGTTATTTGAAAGTGGAACTGGATTAGTTATAAGTGAGTGCTGTAAAATCTAAGGCAATCATAAAAAAAGTAGAAAAGGAAGTACAACTGATGTGCTTTAAAAGGAGAGAAAATTGAATCATATAAAATGCTCAAAACCACAAAAGGCAGAAAAATAATGGAAGTCAAAAATAAGGAACAAAGAATAAGGGCAGCAAATAGAATCAGTAACAAATGTGACAGATGTGAATGTAACTATATCAGTAAACACTTTGAACATAAACTACTTAAATATATCAATGAAAAGAGAGATTGTCAGAGAACATCAAAAATCCCAAATTAACTATATATTGTCTACAAGAAACCCACTTTAAATCAAGACACATATAGGTTAAAAGTAAATGAATGGAGAAAGATGCACCATGCTTACACTAATGAAAAGAAAGTAAGATTAGCTACATTAATTTCATACACAGTATATTTCACAGTAAGGAAAGCTATCAGGGATAAAGACAGATATTACATAAAGATAAAGGGATCAGTTCTCTGAGACTAATAACAATCTGTAATGTGTATGCACCTAACAACAGCACCAAAATACATAAGGCAAAAATTAATAGAACTACAAGGAGAAATACACGAATCTACTATTATATTTGGAGATTTCGATACACTCCTATCAGAAATGTACAGATTCAGCAGACAGAAAATCAGTAAGGTCATAACTGAACTTAACAACATCAACCAACTGAATCTAATTGATACTTACAGAATACTTCATCCAACAAGAGCAGAATATACATTATTTTCAAATTCACATAGAACACTCATGAAAATAGACCACATTCTGGGCCATAAAACACAGATTTTAAAAATAGACATCACATGTTGTCTGCTCTCAGACAACAATAGAATTAAACTAGGAATTAATAACAGAAAGATAGCTAGAATATCCCAAAATACTTAGAAATTAAACAACACACTTCTAAATAACACATGGATCAAAGAAGAATTCTCAAGAGAAATTTTAAAATATTTTGAAATAAATGAAAACACAACTTATCCAAAAGTTGTGGGATATAGAGAAAGCAGTGCACAGAGGATAATTTATAGCATTGAGTGCATATAGAAGAAAAGAAGAAAAATTTAAAATCAATAATCTAAATCAATAATTTTTGCCTTAGGAAACTAAAGAAAAGAAGAGCAAATTAACTTCAAAGCAAGTAGAAGAAAAGAAATAATAAAAATTAGAGAATAAATCAATGAAATTGAAAATAGAAAATCAATTTTAAAAATCAATGAAACTAAAAGCTTCTTCTTTAAAAATATCATTAAAATTGATAAACCTCTAGCCAGGTTAACTAAGAAAAAAAAGAGAAGATACAAATTACTAATATTAGAAATGAAAGAGGGGATATCACTATAGCTCCAATGCACATTGAAAGGATAATAAAGGCATACTTGGAACAATTCTGTGGCCACAAATTTGATAACTGAGATGAAGTAGAACAATTCTTTGAAAGAAACAATCTGCCAAAACTTACGCAAGAAGAAATACGCAATATGAATATGTCTATTGTCTATCAAATAAATTGAATAAATACTTAATTACCTTTCAAAATGGAAATCATGAGGCCCAGATGAGTTCACAAGTAAATTCTTCCAAACATTAAAAAAGAAGTAATATCAATTCTATATAATCTCTTTCAGCAGACAGAAGTAAAAAGGATTCTTCCTAATTCATTCTGTGAGGCCAGCATTACCTTAATACCAAAAGACAAACACTTCATAAGAAAAGAAAACCACAGACCAACATGTCTCATGAACATAGCTGCAAAAGTCCTCAACAAAATGTTAACAAATCAAGTCTAACAATATAGAAAAAGAATTATACACCATGACTAAGTGGGATTTATCCCAGGTATGCAAGTTTGGTTCAACATTCAAAAATCAATTAATGTAATACATTAAATCAACAAGTTAAAGAAGAAAAATCACATGATCACATAAATAGATGCAGAAAAGCATTTGACAAAGTCCAACATCCATTCATGACTAGAAACTGTCAATAAACTAGGAATGGAGAGGATCTTCCTCAACTTGATAAAGAATATCTACAAAAACTAACAACTAATATACATAATGGTGAGAAACTCAAAGCTTTCCCAATAAGCTCAAGAACAAGACAAGAATTGGGTTGTTTGTAACACAAAAGATAAAAACTTGAGGGGACAGATACCCAGTTTTCCACGATGTGACTATTACACATTGCATGCCTGTACCAAAATATCTTATGTGCTGTATAAATATATACAGGTACTATGTACCCACAAAAATAAAAAATAAATTTTAAAAAAGAACAAGGCAATAATGTCCCCTCTCACCATTCCCTTTTTACTTTGTACTGTAAGTCCTACCTAATGCAATAAGACAAGAAAAAGAGATAAAACATATACTGATAGGGAAAGAAAAAATAAAAGTGTCTTTGTCTGTAGATAACACAGTTGTCTATGGAGAAACTCCAAAGAATTGATTTTTAAAATCTCCTTGAACCAAAGAGTGATTACAGTAAGGTTGCAGGATATAAGGTTAATATACAAAAGTATGCTTTCCTATATCCCAGGAAGGAACAAGTGGAATAAAAAAAAATACACTACCATTTACATTAACACCCTCACAAAATGAAATATTTAGGTATAAATCTAACAAAATATGTAAAAGATTGGCTGGCTTAAGATTGCCTTGGCTATTCGGGCTCTTCTTTGGTTCTACATTAATTTTAAAATAGTTTTTTCTAGTTCAGTGAAGAATCTTGATGGTAGCTCAATAGAAATATCATTGAATCTATAAATTGCTTTGGGCAGTATGGCCATTTTTACAACATTGTTTCTTCCTATCCATGAGCATGGAATGTTTTTCCATTTGTTTGTGTCATTTCTGATTTCTTTGAGCAGTGTTTTGTAGTTCTCTTTTTAGAAATCTTCCACCTCCTTAGTTAGCTGTATTCCTAGGTATTTTATTCTTTTTGTGGCAATTGTGATATCAGTTCTTCTCAACGTGATCTACAGATTCAATGAAATCCCAATCAAAATCCCAGCAAATTATTTTTGTGAATACTGAGAAACTGATTCTAAAGTTTATATGGAGAAGCAAAAAAAAAAAAATCCAAAAACAGAATAGCTACACAATGTTGAAGAAGAAGAAAAAAATTCGAGAAATGACACTACCCAACTTTAAGACTACCATAAAGCTACAGTAACCAAGACAGTATAGTGTTGGTAGAAGGATAGACAAATAGGTCAATAGAACAGAATAGAAAGCCCAGAAATAGACTCGCATCAATAAAATCAACTGATAATTGACAAAAGAACAAAGGCAATTCAATGGAGCAGAGAGAGTCTTTTCAACAAATGCTGCTGAAACAATTGGACATCCACATGCAAAAGAAGTTAATCTAGACTCAAACCTTACATTCTTCACAAAAATTAAAATCAATTAAAGACTTAAATGTAAAACACAAAACTATAAAATTCCTAGAACATAACCTAGGAGAAAATTTAGATGACCTTGGGTTTGGTGATGACTTTTTAAATATGACACAGAAAGCACACTCCATGGAAGAAAGAATTGATAATTTGGACCTAATTAAAATTAAAATTTTACGTTCTGCAAAATATACTATCAAGAGAGTGAAAAGACAAGCCACAGTCTGGGAGAAAATATCTTCAAAAGACATATTTGATAAAGAACTGTTATGTAAAATATACAAAGAACTTTTAAAATTTAACAGTAAGAAAATGAACAACCTGATTTTTAAAAATGAGTCAAGACCTTAAAAGAAACCTTCCCAACAGAGATACATAGATCCCAAATACACACTTGAAAAGATGCTCCATGTAATATGTCTTCAGAGAGATGCAAATTAAAACAACACTGAGATAGCACTACACGCCTATTAAAATAGTTAAAATCCAAAACACTGGCAACACCAAATGCTGGTGACAATGTGGAGCAACAGGAATTCTCATTCATTGCTGATGGAACTGCAAAGGGTTACATCCATTTTAGAAAATATTTGGCAGTTCCTTATGAAACATTCTCTTACCATATGATACAGCAATCATGCTCCTTGGTGTTTACCCAAAGGAGTTGAAAACATGTCCACACAAAAACCTGCACATGAATGTTTTTAGCAGCTTTATTTGTAATTGCCAAAACGTGGAAGCAACCAAGATATCCTTCAGTAGGTAAGTGAATAAACTGTGTTATACTCATACAATGGAATAGTATTCAGTTTTAAGAAGAAATGGATTATCAACCCATTTAAAGACATGGATGAAGCTTAAATGCATATTACTAAGTGAAAGAAGCCAATCTGAAATGGGTCTATAATGTATAATTACAACTCTTTGACGTTCTGTGAAGACAAAACTACGAAGACAGTAAAAAGATCAATGGTTTCCAGGGTTTAGAAGGAAGAAAAGGATGAATAGCCAGGGCACAGAGAATTTTTAGGGCAGTAAAACTACTCTGTATGATACTATAATGGTAAATATATATCATTATATATTTGCCCAAACCCATAGAATGTACAACACCAAGTGCGAACCCTAATGTAAACTACAAACTTTAAGTGATAATGATGTGATGTGTTAATGTAGGTTCATCAATTGTAACAAATGTAACTCTCTGGCATGGTGGGGGTTGGGGGGATGTTGCTAGAGGGGGAGGCTGTGCACATGTGGGGGAAGGGATTATATGGGACATCTCAGTACCTTCTGCTCAATTTTGCTGTGAACCTAAAACTGTTCTAAAAAATTAAAGCCTATTTTTTTTAAAAAAAAGATGGCACCTCTGTCTTGTTCTTAAGTTTTATGGGCATGTTTCCAGTTTTTCAAATGATGTTTCCCATAAATTGTGATGGATACTTTTATTAGGTTAGAGAAGTTACCTTTTTTCTGAATTTGCTAAAGGATTTTTTTCTGCATTGACTTTTATTCAATATGTTTTTGATATCACTCTACTTTTATCTGTTAACATAGCATATTTATTACATTAATAGACTTTTTTGAAATTCAAGTAACTTTATTTAAATTCAAAAACAATTCTTTTATTTACTTTATTTATTTATTTATTTATTATACTTTAAGTTTTAGGGTACATGTGCACAACATGCAGGTTCGTTACATATGTATACATGTGGCATGTTGGTGTGCTGCACCCATTAACTCGTCATTTAGCATTAGGTATATCTCCTAATGCTATGCCTCCCCCCTCCCCCTTCCCCCCACCCCACAACAGGCCCCGGTGTGTGATGTTCCCCTTCCTGTGTCCATGTGTTCTCATTGTTCAATTCCCACCTATGAGTGAGAACATGTGGTGTTTGGTTTTTTGTCCTTGCGATAGTTTGCTGAGAATGATGGTTTCCAGCTTCATCCATGTCCCTACAAAGGACATGAACTCATCATTTCTTATGGCTGCATAGTATTCCATGGTGTATATGTGCCACATTTGCTTAATCCAGTCTATCATTGTTGGACATTTGGGCTGGTTCCAAGTCTTTGCTATAGTGAATAGTGCCGCAATAAACATACGTGTGCATGTGTCTTTATAGCAGCATGATTTATAATCCTTTGGGTATATACCCAGTAATGGGATGGCTGAGTCAAATGGTATTTCTAGTTCTAGATCCCTGAGGAATTGCCACACCGACTTCCACAATGGTTGAACTAGTTTACAGTCCCACCAACAGTGTAAACGTGTTCCTATTTCTCCACATCCTCTCCAGCACCTATTGTTTCCTGACTTTTTAAAGATCACCATTCTAACTGGTGTGAGATGGTATCTCATTGTGGTTTTGATTTGCATTTCTCTGATGGCCAATGATGATGAGCATTTTTTCATGTGTCTTTTGGCTGCATAAATGTCTTCTTTCAAGAAGTGTCTGTTCATATCCTTCACCTACTTGTTGATGGGGTTGTTTGTTTTTTTGTTGTAAATTTGTTTGTGTTCATTGTAGATTCTGGATATCAGCCCTTTGTCAGATGAGTAGATTGCAAAAATTTTCTCCCATTCTGTAGGTTGCCTGTTCACTCTAATGATAGTTTCCTTTGCTGTGCAGAAGCTCTTTGGTTTAATTAGATCCCATTTGTCAATTTTGGCTTTTGTTGCCATTGCTTTTGGTGCTTTAGACATGAAGTCGTTGCCCATGCCTATGTCCTGAATGGTAATGCCTAGGTTTTCTTCTAGGGTTTTTATGGTTTTAGGTCTAACGTTTAAGTCTTTAATCCATCTTGAATTAATTTTTGTATAAGGTGTAAGGAAGGGATCCAGTTTCAGCTTTCTACGTATGGCTAGCCAGTTTTCCCAACACCATTTATTAAATAGGGAATCCTTTCCCCATATCTTGTTTTTTTCAAGTTTGTCAAATATCAGATAGTTGTAGATATGCGGCATTATTTCTGAGGGCTCTGTTCTGTTCCATTAGTCTATATCTCTGTTTTGGTACCAGTACCCTGCTGTTTTGGTTACTGTAGCCTTGTAGTATAGCTTGAAGTCAGGTAGCATGATGCCTTCAGCTTTGTTCTTTTGGTTTAGGATTGACTTGGCAATGCGGGCTCTTTTTTGGTTCCATATGAACTTTAAAGTAGTTTTTTCCAATTCTGTGAAGAAAGTCATTGGTAGCTTGATGGGGATAGCATTGAATCTATAACTTACCTTAGGCAGTAAGGCCATTTTCACGATATTGATTCTTCCTACCCATGAGCATGGAATGTTCTTCCATTTGTTTGTATCCTCTTTTATTTCATTGAACAGTGCTTTGTAGTTCTCCTTGAAGAGGTCCTTCACATCCCTTGTAAGTTGGATTCCTAGGTATTTTATTCTCTTAGTAGCAATTCTGAATGGGAGTTCACTCATGATTTGGCTCTCTGTTTGTCTGTTATTGGTGTATAGGAATGCTTGTGATTTTTGCACATTGATTTTGTATCCTGAGACTTTGCTGAAGTTGCCTATCAGCTTAAGGAGATTTTGGGCTGAGACAATGGGGTTTTCTAGATATACAATCATGTCATCTGCAAACAGGGACAATTTGACTTCCTCTTTTCCTAATCAAATACCCTTTATTTGCTTCTCCTGCCTGATTGCCCTGGCCAGAACTTCCAACACTATGTTGAATAGGAGTGGTGAGAGAGGGCATCCCTGTCTTGTGCCAGTTTTCAAAGGGAATGCTTCCAGTTTTGGCCCATTCAGTATGATATTGGCAGTGAGTTTGTCATAGATAACTCTTATTATTCTGAGATACGTCCCATCAATACCTAATTTATTGAGAGTTTTTAGCATGAAGGGCTGTTGAATTTTGCCAAAGGCCTTTTCTGCATCTATTGAGATAATCATATGGTTTTTGTCATTGGTTCTGTTTATATGCTGGATTACATTTATTAATTTGCGTATGTTGAACCAGCCTTGCATCCCAGGGATGAAGCCCTCTTGATCATGGTGAATAAGCTTTTTGATGTGCTGCCAGATTCGGTTTACCAGTATTTTATTGAGGATTTTTGCATTGATGTTCATCAGGGATATTGGTCAAAAATTCTCTTTTTTGGTTGTGTCTCTGCTAGGCTTTGGTATCAGGATGATGCTGGCCTCATAAAATGAGTTATGGAGGATTCCCTCTTTTTCTTTTTCTTTTTTTTTTTTTCTTAAGACAGAGTCTCACTCTGTCACCCAGGCTGGAGTGCAGTGGCGCGATCTAGGCTCACTGCAAACTCCGCCTCCTGGGTTCACACCATTCTCCTGCCTCAGCCTCCCAAGTAGCTGGGACTACAGGCACCTGCCACCACGCCCGGCTATATTTTTGTATTTTTAGTGGAGACGGTGTTTCACCATGTTGTCCAGGATGGTCTCCATCTCCTGACCTTGTGATCTGCCTGCCTCAGCCTCCCAAAGTGCTGGGATTAAAGGCATGAGCCACCGCGCCTGGCCAATTCCCTCTTTTTCTATTGATTGGAATAGTTTCAGAAGGAATGGTACCAGCTCCTCCTTGTACCTCTGGTAGAATTTGGCTGTGAATCCATCTGGTTCTGGACTTTTTTTGGTTCGTAAGCTCTTAATTATTGCCTCAATTTCAAAGCCTGTTATTGTTCTATTCAGAGATTCAACTTCTTCCTGGTTTAGTCTTGGGAAGGTGTATGTGTTGAGGAATTTATCCATTTCTTCTAGATTTTCTAGTTTATTTGCATAGAGGTGTTTACAGTATTCTCTGATGGTAGTTTGTATTTCTGTGGGATCAGTGGTGATATCCCCTTTGTCATTTTTTATTGCATCTATTTGATTCTTCTCTCTTTTCTTCTTTATTAGTCTTGCTAGCGGTCTATCAATTTTGCTGATCTTTTCAAAAAACCAGCTCCTGGATTCATTGATTTTTTTAAGGGTTTTTTATGTCTCTATCTCCTTCAGTTCTGCTCTGATCTTAGTTATTTCTTGCCTTCTGCTAGCTTTTGAATGTGTTTGCTCTTGCTTCTCTAGTTCTTTTAATTGTGATGTTAGGGTGTCAATTTTAGTTCTTTCTTGCTTTCTCTTGTGGGCATTTAGTGCTATAAATTTCCCTCTACACACTGCTTTGAGTGTGTCCCAGAGATTCTGGTATGTTGTGTCTTTGTTCTCATTGGTTTCAAAGAACATCTTTATTTCTGCCTTCATTTCATTATGTACCCAGTAGTCATTCAGGAGCAGGTTGCTCAGTTTCCATGTAGTTGAGCTGTTTTGAGTGAGTTTCTTAATGCTGACTTCTAGTTTGATTGCACTGTGGTCTGAGAGACAGTTTGTTATAATTTCTGTTCTTTTACATTTGCTGAGGAGTGCTTTACTTCCAACTATGTGGTCAATTTTGGAATAGGTGTGGTGTGGTGCTGAAAAGCATGTATATTCTGTTGATTTGGGGTGGAGAGTTCTGTAGATGTCTGTTAGGTCTGATTGGTGCAGAGCTGAGTTCAATTCCTGGGTATCCTTGTTAACTTTCTGTCTTGTTGATCTGTCTAATGTTGACAGTGGGATTTTAAAGTCTCCCATTATTATTGTGTGGGAGTCTAAGTCTCTTTGTAGGTCTCTAAGGACTTGCTTTATGAATCTGGGTGCTCCTGTATTGGGTGCATATATATTTAGGATAGTTAGCTTTTCTTGTTGAATTGATCCCTTTACCATTATGTGATGGCCTTCTTTGTCTCTCTTGATCTTTGTTGGTTTAAAGTCTGCTTTATCAGAGACTAGGATTGCAACCCCTGCCTTTTTTTGTTTTCCATTTGCTTGGTAGATCTTCCTCCATCCCTTTATTTTGAGCCTATGTGTGTCTCTGCACATGAGTTGGGTTTCCTGAATACAGCACACTGATGGGTCTTAACTCTTTATCCAATTTGCCAGTCTGTGTCTTTTAATTGGAGCATTTAGCCCATTTACATTTAAGGTTAATATTGTTATGTGTATATTTGATCCTGTCATTATGATGTTAGCTGGTTGTTTTACTCGTTAGTTGATGCAGTTTCTTCGTAGCCTCGATGGTCTTTACAATTTGGCATGTTTTTGCAGTGGCTGGTACCAGTTGTTCCTTTCCATGTTTAGTGCTTCCTTCAGGAGCTCTTGTAGGGGAGGCCTGGTGGTGACAAAATCTCTCAGCATTTGCTTGTCTATAAAGGATTTTATTGCTCCTTCACTAATGAAGCTTAGTTTGGCTGGATATGAAATTCTGGGTTGAATATTCTTTTCTTTAAGAATGTTGAATATTGGCTCCCACTCTCTTCTGGCTTGTAGAGTTTCTGCTGAGAGATCAGCTGTTAGTCTGATGGGCTTCCCCTTGTGGGTAACCCAACCTTTCTCTCTGGCTGCCCTTAACATTTTTTCCTTCATTTCAACTTTTGTGAATCTCACAATTATGTGTCTTGGAGTTGCTCTTCTCGAGGAGTATCTTTGTGGCATTCTCTGTATTTCCTGAATTTGAATGTTGGCCTGCCTCACTAGATTGGGGAAGTTCTCCTGGATAATATCCTGAAGAGTGTTTTCCAACTTGGTTCCATTCTCCCAGTCACTTTCAGGTACACCAATCAGACATAGATTTGTTCTTTTCACATAGTCCCATATTTCTTGGAGGCTTTGTTTCTTTCTTTTTATTCTTTTTTCTCTGAACTTCTCTTCTCACTTCATGTCATTCATTTGATCTTCAATCACTGATACCCTTTCTTCCAGTTGATCAAATCGGCTACTGAGGCTTGTGCATTTATCACGTAGTTCTCATGCCGTGGTTTTCAGCTCCATCAGGTCTTTTAAGTACTTCTCTGCATTGATTATTCTAGTTAGCCATTCATCTAATTTTTTTTCAAGGTTTTTAACTTCTTTGCCATGGGTTTGAACTTCTTCCTTTAGCTCGGAGTAGTTTGATCGTCTGAAGCCTTCTTCTCTCAATTCGTCAAAGTCATTCTCCGTCCAGCTTTGTTCCGTTGCTGGTGAGGAGCTGCGTTCCTTTGGAGGAGGAGAGGCACTCTGATTTTTAGAGTTTCCAGTTTTTCTGCTCTGTTTTTTCCCCATCTTTGTGGTTTTATCTACCTTTGGTTTTTGATGATGGTGATGTACAAATGGGGTTTTGGTGTGGAAGTCCTTTCTGTTTGTTAGTTTTCCTTCTAACAGTCAGGACCCTTAGCTGCAGGTCTGTTGGAATTTGCCAGAGGTCCACTCCAGACCCTGTTTGCCTGGGTATCAGCAGTGGAGGCTGCAGAACAGCGGATATTGGTGAACAGCAAACGTTGCTGCCTGATCATTCCTCTGGAAGTTTTGTCTCACAGGAGTACCCGGCCATTTGAGGTGTCAGTCTGCCCCTACTGGGGGGTGCCTCCCAGTTAGGCTACTCAGGGGTCAGTGACCCACTTGAGGAGGCAGTCTGCCTGTTCTCAGATCTCAAGCTGTGTGCTGGGAGAACCACTACTCTGTTCAAAGCTGTCAGACAGGGACATTTAAGTCTGCAGAGGTTTCTGCTGCCTTTTGTTTGGCTGTGCCCTCCCTGCAGAGGTGGAGTCTACAGAGGCAGGCAGGCCTCCTTGAGCTGCGGTGGGCTCCACCCAGATTGAGCTTCCCAGCCACTTTGTTTACCTACTCAAGCCTTGGCAATGGGGAGCGTCCCTCCCCCAGCCTCACTGCCACCTTGCAGTTTGATCTCAGACTGCTGTGCTAGCAATGAGCGAGGCTCCGTGGACATAGGACCCTCCGAGCCAGGCACGGGATATAATCTCCTGGTGTGCCATTTGCTAAGACCATTGGAAAAGCGCAGTATTAGGGTGGGAGTGACCCCTCTGTCACCCCTTTCTTTGGCTAGGAAAGGGAATTCCCTGACCCCTTGCACTTCCTGGGTGAGGCAATGCCTCACCCTGCTTCAGCTCATGCTCAGTGCACTGCACCCACTGTCCTGCACCCACTGTCCAACACTCCCCAGTGAGTTGAACCCGGTACCTCAGTTGGAAATGCAGAAATCAGCCATCTTCTGCATCGCTCATGCTGGGAGCTGTAGCAAAAACAAATCTTAAAACTGCATTTAGAGTCAAGACCCTATTGTATTGTAAAAATCACAAGTATTTCTAAGAGAGAAAAATAGTTCTAGGTTAACTAGACCAGATCTGACTGACTTTGGACTTTATTCTTTAAACAAATTGCAGAGAATAGAGAAAAAGGTTATTTACAGAAAACAATATCTACATATGTACTTAGAGGTACAAATTTGGTGGCAGAAAAGACTTCAGTATATGCTGGCATCTCAGAAGCAGTTCTCAAAGAGCTTAGTTTTATTTTCTTGAATTTTATGAATGCCTAAGGTCCTTCTTCATCCTCCATCTTGGGAGCCAAGTAGTACTTTAAGTGTCCCACATCAGCAATTTTATAGTCTACAACAAGGTGTATGTCTGCAGACATATTGAGTGTCACCATTGAAGAGAGTGGAGTGGCTTTTGTAAGGAAGTTCAGGTACCTCAGTGCAAAAGTTAGTTGAACTGGTTCATTCATCTCCATGGTAACAGCTTCCTCCTCTTTATCGACAGTACTTGTCTGTGACAATTTGTTTTCTATTTCCAAGGTCTCCACTTGCAGAAAATATAATTCCATCTTTTACACCGGAAATTACAACAGCATCTCCAATATGGCTGAGATCTCAGCATATACTTGCAAATTCACCAGAAAGCATCTTTACTACATAGTGGTACTCTTGTTCTGCAATTCCAAGTTGTTCAACATCCAAATCCATCAACTTAATTTCATAGTCTGAAACCTTCTCCTGATTTGAAGCTTCAAATACTAGCACCAAGGTATTCACATTATCTTCAATCCTTAGTGTAACGATATCTTCATTGCCAGCACATTTTAGTATTTTGGACATAATAGTGAGGTTCACGCCCATGGCCAGGTTGCAGTCACAGCGGTAAGTGTCAAAGCCCTCAGACGGCAGGGTGAACTGCAGCAAGGAGACGTGGACGAATCCATGCTCTGCAGGTTCACGCCGCTCGAGCTGATGTCCCAGCAGGCCTCGTTGATGAGGTCCTTGAGTGCCTCCAACACCTTCTTCAGGATGGAGCCCTGGACCAGGGGCACCTCGAACATGGTGGCAGAGTGGCAACAACGCGGCTACAGGCGGGCGGAAAGTAGGAAAGTCTAGCCAGTTTTGGCTTCACGAGCCTCAGAGCAAGCAGGCGAATGCCATAGGGAGAGGCTGAGACCTAGAATGACAACCATTAATAGACTTTTTAACGTTTAATCATCCTTGCATCACTGGAATGTACTCTACTTATTCCTGGGATAAACTCTACCTGGTTGTCCTAAGCAGAATTCTAAGATGGCCCCTGTGATTCCCACTCCCTGGTATCCTTGCCTTTGTGAAATCATCTCCCCTTGAGTGTGAGTGGAACATATAAGTTGCTTCTAACCAGTAGAATTTGGCAAAGCGAAGGGATTTTTCAGATGCAATTAAAGTCCTTATTCAGTTGACTTTGAGTTAATTAAAAGAGAGATTCCCTGGGTGGGCTTGACCTACTCAGGCAAGCTCTTTAAAAGAGGGTCTAGTGATTAGAGAGATTCTGCTGCTGGCCTTGAAGAAACATGCCCCTATGAGTTCCACAGCTTCAAGAAAATGAGTTCTGCCAACAACTTGTGAGCTTGGAAGAAGACTCCAATACTCAAATGGGACCCAGCTCTGGCCAAGTTAACTGCAGCATATGAGACCCTAAGCAGAGAATCTAGTTAGGCTGTCTCTGAATTTCTGAACTACAGAAACTGAGATAGTAAATGAATGTTGTTTCAAACCGCTACATTGTGTGATTATTTGTTACACAGCAATAGAAAACTAATACATTGGTATAATACATTTTTAAATTTGCACCGTCTGTTTTTAGAACTTTAGTATCTATGTTTATAAGTGAGAATGGTTTAATTTTTTGCACTGTTTTTATTCCATTTTTGTTATCAAGTTTTTATTAGCCTCATAAATGAGTTCTTATGTTCTCTGGAATGGTTTATATAACATAGGGAGAATGTATTCCTTGAAAGTTGATAAAAATTGCCTATAAAATTAATGGGTCCTGATATCTTTTGAATAAGACAGTTGATTACTTTTGAAAGCTTTCAGTGGTTAATTGATATCTTGAGTCAATTTTTTATAATTTACATTTTCTTAGAAATTATTTCATCTTTGTCAGATGGATAGATTGCAAAAATTTTCTCCCATTCTGTAGGTCCCATTCTGTTCACTCTGACGATAGTTTCTTTTGCTGTGCAGAAGCTCTTTAGTTTAATTAGATCCCATTTGTCAATTTTGGTTTTGTTGCCATTGCTTTTGGTGTTTTAGTCATGAAGTCTTTGCCCATGCCTATGTCATGAATGGTATTGCCTAGGATTTCTTCTAGGGTTTTTATGGTTTCAGGTTTTACTTTTACATCTTTAATTCATCTTGAGTTAATTTTTGTATAAGGTATAAGGTATAAGGAAGGGGTCCAGTTTCAGTTTTGCATATGGCTAGCCAGTTTTTTTCCCAGCACTATTTATTAAGTAGGGAATCCTTTCCCTATTGCTTGTTTTTGTCAGGTTTGTCGAAGATCAGATGGTTGTAGATGTGTGGTGTTATTTCTGAGGCCTCTATTCTGTTCCATTGGGCTATTATCCAGAATCTACAAGGAACATAAATAAATTTACAAGAAAAAAACAAACAACCCCATCAAAAAGTGGGTGAAGGATATGAACAGACACTTCTCAAAAGAAGACATTTATGCAGCCAACAGACACATGAAAAAATGCTCATCATCACTGGTCATTAGAGAAATGCAAATCAAAGCCACATGAGATACCATCTCACTCCAGTTAGAATGGCAATCATTAAAAAGTAAGGAAACAACAGATGCTGACGAGGCTGTGGAGAAAGGAACGCTTTTACACTGTTGGTGGGAGTGTAAATTAGTTCAACCATTGTGGAAGACACTGTGGCCAGTCCTCAAGGATCTAGAACCAGAAATACCATTTGACCTGCCAGTCCGATTACGGGGTATATACCCAAAGAATTATAAATCATTCTACTATAAAGACACATGCACACATATGTTTATTGCAGCACTATTTACAACAGCAAAGACTTGGAACCAACCCAAATGCCCATCAATGATAGACTGGATAAAGAAAATGTGGCATATATACACCATGGAATACTATGCAGCCATAAAAAAGAGTGAGTTCATGTCCTTTGCAGGGACATGGATGAAGCTGGAAACCATCATTCTCAGCAAACTAACACAGGAAGAGAAAACCAAACACTGCATGTTCTTACTCATAAGTGGGAGTTAAACAATGAGAACACATGGACAAAGGGAGGGGAACATCACACACCAGGTCTGTCAGGGGGTGGGAGGCAGAGCATTAGGACTAATACCTAATACATGTGGGGCTTAAAACCTAGATGACAGATTGATAGGTGCAGCAAACCACCATGGCACATGTATACCTATGTAGCAAACCTGCACGTTCTGCACATGTATCCCAGAACTTAAAGTAAAATTTTAAAAAAAGAAAAGAAAAATTATAATAGTAAAAAAAGCAGTGTACATTAAGAAACATGAGAAAATAGCATGATATATGCAACTTAATAATTCATATATGCAACTCAATATGCAATTAAAAAAAGAAATTATTTCATCTGTTCCTAAATATATTATTTATATTCTCTTTATCTTTTAATTTTAGAAAACTCCTTGTTTGTAATGTTATATCTCATTGTTCCTAATATTGTTTACTTGTGTGCTTTTCATGTGATTTCCTGTTTTTGTTCAGTATTACTAGAGATATGTTAAATTTATAGATTTTGTAACAGTTTTTATTTTTGTTGATCCTATGTAGTTTTCCACTTTATTTTTACAGCTCTTGTCCCCTTTATTCCAACTTATTTGCGATGTTAGTCTTTTTATTTTATTTAGTATTTGTCTTTATAAAAGTTTTGTGTGTGTGTGTGTGTGAGTGTGTGTGTGTATGCATATATTTGGAAAAGTCACAGAGTTGTGCACATAGATTGTTTCATAACAAATAACACTGTCCTGCCACACCTTCCCCATTCCTGCTCCCCAGAAGCAACCATGTTCATTCTTTTAGCTATTACTTATGATTCACGTATCTTAAAAACATGGCTTATATTGCTACTTTTTGCTTGCGAAGTTTTAAACATTATCCATTGATTTCCCAAAACGGAATATTGGTATCTGGGGTTTAGTTACCTCTCACTATTATTCAATCCCCACTACATTCCCTCATGCCCTATTTTCCTTGTGCCCTGTCCTTCCAGAACAGTTATATGGTTTCTTTGGTTAAATCATAATAATTTAACCATAATTGAGTCATTATTGGGTCTATATAAACGCTATTTATCTTGAAATATTTTTTCCTGCATAATCTTTTGTTTTCTTGCAGTTGATATCTTTTTGTTTTGTTCGCAAATGCTTCCCCCTAAAATTATGCTCCATTGTGTAAATAGCCTCATAATAGAATAATATAATATTGGATTCTATTTTTTTTTCATCTTCTTGAAGAAATCCTTCTGGAAACTAGTGATTGCTCTCTCCCTAATCTGCAGTTGTCTTTCTGAGATTTCACGTCAGCAGTAATAGGGGGAATTTCCTTCCTTCTTTCTTATATCAGCCCCCATTACTTGAATCCCATGTTTTCCTCTTTCTTGGTTTACTCCCTCAGTTTCTGGGAGGCAAAAATGGTTGAGATCTTGCATGTTGGGAAAAAACTGCCTTTATGCTACCCTCACACTTATTTGATAGTTTAGCTGCTTGTTAAATCCTTGATTGTAATTATTTTCTAAGAATGATGCTGCTCTATTGGTTTTGGGCTTTCACTGTTGCTGGTTAGAACTCCAATGCTATTCTGACCCTTTTACATTCCTGTTAAACCTTTTCCTTTTCTCCTCTTTGGAAGCTGCAGGATCTCCAGTGCTCCAAAATTTTATGAAGACATGCCTAGGTTTGAGCCCTTCAATTGATTGATCCATTTAGTTGTGAAACAGGTCTTTCAGATATGGGAAACATTCTTAAATCATTTCATCCATGACTTCTGCGCTATTTTCTTTGTTCTCTGCATCTCTTTGTCTTTCCTTATGAATTCCTATTATTTAGATGTGAAACCTCAACAGCTAGCTTATCTTTTATCTCCCATTTTCATAAAGTTGTCTTGTTGCTGTTTTCCAGGAAATTTTTCTCAAAATTACACTCCATTTTATTGAAAACTTTCCATGTTTTTATTTCTTTGTTCTTATTGTTGTTTCCTGAATGTGATTTTTTGTAGTTTCCTGTTCTTGTTTCAAGGAAGATTTTTTTTTTAGTTTCCTAGTCCCATAAAGTCTCTATTTCTTCCATACTAACTGAATATCTGTCATTCCTTTTCTAGCTTCTGGAAGAGAACACAACTTTTTTATTTTCAATTAACGTCTTTATTTTCAATCTTTTTCATTTTTAAATAAAAACATTTTAGACTATAAATTTCTCTCTAAACACTGCTTTAGCTGCATGTTACAAGTTTTGAAATGTAGTATTTTCATTGTCATTCAGGTCTAAATTTCTATTTTGCAATTTTCATTGTTTCTTATTAAGCATGAGTTAGTTCCAGGAACATTTTTAGGTTTACAAACATTGTGTTTTTAACCACCTTTTTCTGGTGCTTGATTTCTAATTCAATTTTATTGTGATCAAGGAAGAACATAGTCAATATGATAACACATCTTTTACACTTTTTAGAAACTTTATTTAAGTCCTATTAAGTGACTAGTTTTTATAAATATTCCATCTATATTTGGAAATAATGTATATTTTATATTTATTGAATGGTAATTAATTTTGTTGTTCCTTTGAATAACAAAATTCCTTCTTGTAAGAGAAAAAAAACCCTGTTTTTCCTTTCTGCTCTCTACTTTCACACTCAACACATAGCACATGGACACCAGATTCTCCAGGGGACACCAGCTGTGTGTCCTCCAATTCCATTCTGACACTATTGTCAAATTCCATAGGTTGAGGGCTCAGTCCCACAAGACTGTCCCCCACTTCAGATGATAGACACAAACCCCAGGTTTGATCTGTACTTTTGACCTATCAGCAGTAAATTGGAGTTCCTATGACTCTCTCCTTGGATCCTATCAATTTGCTAGAGCATTGCACAGAGCTCAGGGAAATACTTTACTTATGTTTACCAATTTATTATAAAGGATATTAAAAAGTATACAGATAAACAGCCAGATGGAAGAGCTGCACAGGGCAACCATGTGGGAAGGGGAACAGAGTTTTCATCCCCTTTCTGAGCATGCCACACTCCAGGAACTTCCATGTGTTCAGATATCTAGAAGCTCTCTGAACCAGCTTCATGTGTAGATATGATTAACTAAATCATTGGTCATTGGTGACCAACTCAACCTTCAGCCCTTCTTCCCTCCCCAGAGGTTGGGAGGTGGGGCTAAATATCACAACCCTCTAATAATATGTTGGTATTTCCAGTGACTACCCTCCTTCCTGAAGATATTTAGGGGCCCCAGCTACCAGTCATCTCATTAATATACAAAAGATTCTGATCACTTTAGAGAATCCAAGGGTTTTGGTAGCTGTATGTAAGGAAATAGGGACAAAGACCAAATACATATTTTGCAATATCACAGATTCTACACCCTTAATAATTTTTTATCTTCTTGATCTATCAATTTATAGTAGAGATGATTTTAAATCTCCTATTATGATTGTAGAGTTTTGTTGTATATCCGTTGAGGCAACGTTGTCAGTTTCATACAAGTTGAAAACAAATACCTTTCTGGTACAATTTTCATTTCATTATATTATTGCTAGTTATCTGTCTTTATTACAGTTAACGCTTTTGGCTTCCAATTTTAACTTGACTTATATGAATATAATTTAACACCTTTTTATAGTTAGTATTTGCATGGGTTTTTATATTTCTGTGGATAATTTTGTGGATAGGTATGTATGTTTATGGGGTATATGAGATGTCTTGATAAGGTACGCAATGCATAAAAATCACATCATGGAAGATGGGGTATCCATCCCCACAAGTATTTATCCTTTGTTTTACAATCCAATTATACTCTTTTAGTTATTTTCAAATGTATATCTAAATTATTATTGACTATAGACACCCTGTTGTGCTAACAAATACTAGGCCTTATCTATTCATTTTAAATATATCTGTACCCGTTAACCATCCCCACTTCCAGCTCAACCCCCCACGAGCCTTTCCAGCCTCTGGTAAACATCTTTCTACTCTCTCTCTCTTTTTAAAAAAATTGTTTTCAACTTTTATTTTCAGTTCAGGGGTACATGTGTAGGTTTGTTACATAGGTAAGCTTGTGTCATGGGGACTCGTTGTATAGATTATTTCATAACCCAGGTATTAAGCCTAGTATCCATTACTTATTTTTCCTGATCCTCTCCCTTTGCTCATCCTCCACCCTCCAATAGGCCCTAGTGTGTGTTGTTCCCCTCATCATTTAGCTCCCACTTATAAGCGAGAACATTCAGTATTTGGTTTCCTGTTCATGAATTAGTTTGCTAAGGATGATGGCCTCCAGTTGCATCCATGTCCCTGCAAAGGATATGATCTCGTACTCTTTTATGGCTGCATAGTATTCCATGGTGTATATGTACCATATTTTCTTTATCCAGTCTATCATTCATGGGCATTTAGGTGGATTCCATGTCATGTCTTTGCTTTTGTGAATAGTGCTGCATTGAATATTCATGTGCATGTGTCTTTGTAATAGAGTGATTTATATTCCTTTCCATATATACCCAGTAATGGGATTGCTGAGTCAAATGGTAATTCTGTCTTTAGGTCTTTGAGGAATCACCACACTGTCTTCCACAATGGTGGAACTAATGTACACTCCCTCTAACGGTGTATAAGTGTTCCCTTTTCTCCACAACCTCACCAGCATCTGTTATTTTTGACTTTTTTAATAACAGTCATTCCGACTGGTGTGAGATGGTATCTCATTGTGGTTTGGATTTGTGTTTCTCTAATGATCAGTGATATTGAGCATTTTTTCATGTGACTGCTGGCCATGTTAGGAATAACGCTTAAAATTTTAAGGAAATTGAACACTTGAATAAAGGATTTTTAGTAAAGCAATTTTACTTTCGTGTAGAGGGGCGTTTTTTGGCCAGTTGCTATGAGAGTATATTTGAACAAAGGGGCATGAGAGTTTTTATTTTTGACACAGCATGTGGCCACCGCCACCTCAGGCCCACAAGGAGTTTTACCAGATTACCTCTGATGTTCCCTCAAGGCCCAAGGGCTCTTTAGTTAGCTTATGGTGAATGCTGCCTGGCCTGAGACTCACCTTTCAGAGGAGTGGGCTCCTCTTTGACCTGAGCAGGTCCAGAAATGCCATCCAAGAGCCAAGTCCTGGAATTGGGGACCCCAAGAGCCTGGTTGGTGTTATACCCATCATAGTGTACTCAACATAGTACCTGGGTATCACTGCTGGTCAGGGTCCAAGGGCTCTTCTATTAGTAGGTGATTCATCCTGTCAGGACTGGGTCCTTCCTTTTGTCAGGCCTTTAAGCCATCATAACCCCTGTGACCTGCACGTATACATCCATATGGCCTGAAGTAACTGAAGAACCACAAAACAAGTGAAATAGCCAGTTCCTGCCTTAACTGATAACATTCCACCATTGTGATTTGTTCCTGCCCCACCTTAACTGATAAATTGATCTTGTGACATTCCTTCTCCTGGACAATTAATCTTAGGAGCTCTCCACCAAGCACCTTGTAACCCCTGCCCCTGCCCGCAAGAGAAAACCCCCTTTAACTGTAATTTTCCACTACCTACCCAAATCCTATAAAACTGCCCTACCCCCATCTCCCTTTGCTGACTCCTTTTTCGGACTCAGTCCACCTGCACTCAAGTGATTAAAAAGCTTTATCGCTCACACAAAGCCTGTTTGGTGGTCTCTTCACATGGTTGCACGTAACACCTTTCAAAGCAGTGGGTTCACTTCTGGCCCAAGGTGTATCTAGAAATGTCCAGGTGGTAGGGCCTGTAATGGGGGCCTCATGACTCTGATCAATGCCCTATCCTGCTGTGGCTAAGGTGGTATCCAAGAAGCAAGACAAAGTCCTCCCACTCTCGCCTCTCCTCTCCTCAAGTAGAAGGAGGGGATCTCTTTTTTTTTTTCTTTTGCCTGCTCCTACTTTGCCTTCCACCATGACTGTGGAAGGAGGAGGATTGTAGAAGCTGATGCTACCATGATAAGGAGGATGTCTTTTGGAGACACAAGCTGTGCACCCTTGGCTTAGGGAAGGAGTGATACCAGCAATTTCTTAGCTGCCCCAGATGGTGATTCAGTAGGTGAAGTTCCCGCCCCTGCCACCTGCCACCCGCCACCCAGTTCACTGTCTCTGGGCCCAGTTCAGCCCTGGCACTCACCTAGTGTTGCAGTCCTTGTGGCCTAGACTGCCTTTCTAGTTTATTTGGAGCCCCAGAGCACTTTAGTCCATGGTGGGAAGGCTTGCAGAAACTCAAGTTCCCACTGCGGGGACTGGCTATTCCCCTTTGGCTAGGGCAGGTTTAAATGCATCCTCAGTGGTTGGGCATCAGTTGAGTTTTATCGCATTTTGCTTTCTGCCTTAACAAAGGCAGCTCGAAAGTTCATCGCCTAAGGATTGCTGGCTGTCCCTCTCCCCAGGGCACAGAAAGTCTTTCTGCACCAAGCCTCCACTGCCAGGGGATGGGGGAGGAGTGGCGTCAGCAATTCCAAAGGGTTTATTCTACCTCTTCAGTGCCTCTTTCAGCAATATAGAGTTAGAACAAGGTACTGTGAGTGCTTGCCTGATTTTTGTTTCTTACAAAGGTTTTTTTTTTGTGTAGATAGTTGTTAAATTGGTGTCCTTGCAGAGGGTATAATTGGTGGGGACTTCTATTGTGCCATCTTGTTCTACCCTGCATGACGTTTTTCATTCCTTTATTGTCAACATTTCTGGTGGCTTTATTTTTCGATGTGTGTCTTACATACTTGAAGTTTTAAATGGCCCACTCTTTTAATAAAGAGTGTAATATGTTACATTTATTTTGATTATTAATATATTTGAAGTTACTTGTGTAATTATTATATGTTCCTTTTCTTATGCCTTCTGTTGGATAGATAAAATTTTCCATTTGTTGATTTGGAGGCTGCATTTTCTGAGAAAGTTCAGTTATTCAATATCTATATCTTTATCCAACCTTGGTCCTTAGCTTAGTTTTACTGTCCAATGGGCACACTTGCTCTTGGTTTTGTTTAATGTTTTAATTTTATACCCATTTTAAATATGAAAAGTTGTTATAATTATTTTAAATTAATAGTTAAACAAATTTACTAACATATTTATTATAGGTGATGTGGTGTGTTTCCATTAGAAAGCATATAATGTCTGGCTCTCTTTTTATGCCATTAATAGCCACTAATGACCATTACCTACATCATTAATTAGATAAGTGTTACAAAATGGTGGTTTTATTTTTATTATTTCTTTTTCATTTATTAGTTGAAATACTTCTATAGATAGAAACTTGTACTTATCAACTATTTGTTTACCCTGAGTACAGTTCATATAGGAAAGGCATAATTAATACTTGATTTCCCCCCTTATTTATGTGGGTTTTTTTCTGGAGTGCATTGGTATAACCCCTTATTTGTTAATTCTGAGTAGTAAATTCATTCTCTAGCATCCTCCAAGGAAGATCAAAGAGTATTTTTTAAAATATCCTTATGAACTCATGGATTTAAATCCATTACATGTTTTTATCCTTCATGATCTTCAGACAGACCTACCTTTGATTAGTTGGAACCTATTCATACTGATATCTGAGTCCTACAGACACAATTCTATTACTCTTTGATAAAACTTCTTGCTTTTATTATATCACATGATATTTAAGCTCATCTAATACATTTTATATCCAGGAACTCTGATCCTTCTAATGGGAAATTAGAGACCACAGTGTGGGCTCTAGTGGTGCTTATTACTTCTGGTTCATTTTCGTTTCTAGATCTTTTTAGTGATAAAAACAAATAGGCCTTTTAAAAAGAAAATGCATCATGAGTTCATAATGATACTTCCAATTCAAATAAGAATAACCAATTTTACCTAACCTCATTGAATTTACATACCGATTTCCTTTCTCCCATGTCAAAAATCCTGATGACACCAAAAAATTACTCATTTGCCTTATTCAACAATAAACACACAACAATCGCAGAATAACATTATCAACACTACCACTAACAATGTAATTAATTACTAAGTGGTTTTAGATCTATTTTTCAGGGCTGCCTTTTGTTATTGTTGTTGTTTTGTCCTTAGGTTTTGTCCCCATTAAGGGTATACAGACAAATTTCTGTGTTTTAAAATCAATGGGTATAAGTCTTCTTTCGGTGATTATGCCACCAACTATATACACATGAGTTCATTTATGTCTTCTTAATTTCAATTTTAGGAGTTGCTTTGTATAAATTTAATTTTGCCTTATAAATGCATGAAATATTTACATAGTTTCAAAGTCAAACACACAAAATGAGGTATATTCATTGAAATCTAGCTTCTATTTCTGTCTCTTTGATGCTACTTCCTCTCCTCATAAGTAACCATTCTTTAATGTTATGGTTTATAATTTCATTTACAATGACATATGGGCATAATTATACATGCATTTATAATTTATATTTCTCCTTTCCTAGATAAAAATGGCATCTATACTGTTTTCTCCTTTTTGATTTTCTTCCCTAAACAACATACCCTAAGATTACTTCATAGTATTACACAGAGATTTTTTTTATCCATTTTTGTACCTGCATAGCACTTCACTTTTTAATACCACAGTTTATTTTAGCAGTTCCCTATTGATAGACATTTAGATATGTTTCTTGCTTTCCTATCATTACAAATAATGTTTCAATGAATAACTATATATATATATACACACACATATATATGTCTTTGCATTTTTGGCAATGTATCTTTGAATGATATACTTAGAAATGAGATTGCTGGATCATAGGATAATTTAGTATGTAATTTTTCAGGATTTTGCCAATTTCCCTTTATAGGGACTTTGCATTTTCCACTCCCATCAGCAGTGTTGCCTCATAGCCTCAGCCAATCTGGTAAGTGTGAAATGGTCTTTCTGCACAGTTTGCATTTCATTCATTTTGAGTTAACCATCATAAGGTTAAGGTCCATTTGCATTTTTTTCTGTGAACTGTCTGTTCTTATCTCTATCCAAGTTTTCTCTAGGACTGATGGTCTTTTTCCTGCCTATTTTAAGAAGTCCTATATTCTTTCCTAGTTTATTATTTCTCTTTTTACTTTATTCAGAATGTTTTAAATGTAATCAAATATATGAGTCTTTTTTCCCTTATTACTTCTGGATTTTAAAACATAGTAAGGAAAGTTTTTCCAACTCTCAACTCACAGAAGAATTCACCCATGTTTTCCTCTGGTACTTATATGTTTATTTTCTGTATTTGAATCTCTGATCCATTTAAAACTTATCTAGTGTATGGTGTGAGGGGTTTTATCTTTTTCATTAAGGTTATATAGTTATCCCATACCAACTAAATAAAAGTCCATCTCCCCCTACTGACTTGAGATGTCACTTTTAGTGTATACTTGAATTTCATATAAAATGGGGTCTATTTTCTATTCTTTTTTTTTGAGACGGAGTCTCACTCTGTCACCCAGGCTGAAGTGCAATGGTGCGATTTCAGCACACTGCAACCTCCACCTCCCAGGTTCAAATGATTCTCCTGCCTCAGCCTCCTGAGTAGCTGGGACTACAGGCACCCACCACCATGCCCGGCTAATTTTTGTATTCTTAGTAAAGACAGGGCTTTGCCATGTTGGCCAGGCTGGTCTCAAACTCCTGACCTCAAGAGATCCTCCTGCCTCGGGCTCCCAAAATGCTGGGGTTACAGGCGTGAGTGACTATGGCTGGCTTAGATTTTCTATTCTTTCTCGTTGGTGTGTCTATGAACCAGTATCAAAATGTTGATAATTTTAAAAGATATGTAGTATGTTTTAATGTCTGGTATTGTTAGACCTTTCACCATTACTTTTCATTTTCAGGGTTTCCTGGATATTCTTACTTATTTGTGATTCTAAATGAACTTATAATCAACTTGTTAAGCTCCAGGAAAATAACTGTTAAATTTATAAATAAACTTAAGGAGATCTGATACCCTATTATGTTGATTCTTTAATGCAAGAATATGCTAAGTCTATTTCGGTCTTTTAAAGTGTTGTAGAGGTTTGCTCATATCTGTTTTGAATATTTCTTGTTAAGTTTATGTCTAAGCATTTTATTTAATTTTTTTCTATGGCAAAAGAGCTCGTATCTCCCATTCGACCTCCTAAATGGTGTTTGCATATATGAAGGATCTCTTAGTCTTTTTTTCTCTTAAATTTCTCTATCTCTCCCCACCAAGCTTAAATGATAAGTTTAGCTGTGTAAAAATGGTAAATTGAGATTTGTTTTTCCCCTCTGAAAATGTTACTCCTTTCTCTTTGTCATTAAGCGCTACTGGTGAGAAGTCTTCTCTCAAATTCTTATTAATATGTATATAATGTATTTTGTAGCTATTACTACAGTCTCTTCATCTCTGAAATTCTACAACTTTACTGTGAAATGCCTAGCTATGTATTTGTTTTAATTTATTATATGAGGTGCTAAGAGTCCTTTTATTCTGCATGTTCAAGGTTTTGTTCTATTTAATTTAATTATTATTATTTTTAAAAATTTCAACTTTTATTTTGATTCCAGAGGTACATATGCAGATTTGTTACATGGGTATATTGCATGATGCTGAGGTTTGGGGTTTACAAATGATCCCATCACCCAGGTAATGAGCATAGTACCCAATAGTCAGCTTTTCAACCCTTGCTCCCCACCCCCACTCTAGGAGCCTCCATGTCTATTTCTCCCATCCTTATGTCCATGTGTACCCAATGTTTAGCTCTCACTTACAAGTGAGAACATGCAGTATTTGGTTTTCTTTCTGTGTTAATTAGCTTAGGATATTGGCCTCTAGCTGCATCCATGTTGCTGCAAAAAACATGATTTTGTCCTTTTCATGGCTGCATAGTATTCCATGGTGTATATGTACAACATTTTCTTTATCCAGTCCACCATTGATGACCTAGGTTGATGTCACGTCTTTGCTATTGTGAGTAGTGCTGCAATGAACATAGACGTGCATGTGTCTTTTTGGTAGAATGATTTATTTTCCTCTAGGTATATATCCAGTAATGCAGTTTCCAGGTTGAATGTCGAATGGTGGTCCTATTTTTAGTTGTTTCAGGAATCTCCAAATTGCTTTCCACAGTGGCTGAACTAATTTACATTCCCATCAACAGTGTGTAAGCGTTTCCCTTTTTTGCTCTGCAGCCTCACCAACATGTTATTTTTTGCCTTGTAAGTAATAACCATTCTAAGTGGTGTGAGATGGTATCTCATTGTGGTTTTGATTTACATTTCTGTGATGATTAATGATATGAAGGATTTTTTCATATGTTTGTTGGCTGCTTAGCAAGGATGCCCACTCTCACCACACATATTCAACATAGTTCTAGAAGTTCTTGCTGGGGCAATCAGGCAAGACAAAGAAATGAAAGGCATACAAACAGGAAAAGAAGTCAAGATCTCTCTCTTCACTGACGATAGGACTCTATACGTAGAAAACCCTAAAGATGCCACCAAAAGGTCCCTAGAACTGATAAATGACTTCAATAAAGTTTCAGGATACAAAATCTATTTACCAAAATCAGTAGCATTTCTATACACCAATAATGTTCAAGCTGAGAGCCAAATCAAGAACACGATCCTGTTTAAAATAGCCACACACAAAAATAAAATACCTAGAAATACCTTTAGCCAAGGATTTAAAAGAGCTCTAGAAGAAGAACTACAAAACACTGCTGAAAGAAATCAGATGACACAAACAAATGGAAAAACATTTCATGCTCATGGGTTGGTAGACTCAATATCATTAAAATGGCTATACTACCCAAAGCAACCTATGGGTTCAACACTATTCCTATCAAACTAGCAATATTGTTTTTCATAGAATTAGAAAAATCTATTCTATAATTCATATGGAACCAAAAAGAGCCCTAATAACCAAAGCAATCTTATTTTACTATTTTTTTAAGAGACAAGATATCATTTTGTTGCCCAGGCTGGAGTACAGTGGTACAATCATAGCCCCATGGGCCTCAAACTCCTGGCCTCAAGTGATTCTTCTGCCTCATGCTCCTGAGTAGCTGGAACTATAGGCATGCACCAACACACCCAGCTAATTTATTATTTTTTTTTTTAAGAGATGGAGATCTCACTATATTGCCCAGGCTGTTCTCGAACTCCTGGCCTCAAGAGATACTCCTGCCTCCGCTTCCCAAGTAGCTGGAATTACAGGCATGAGCCACCAGGCCCAGCAAATTAGGCTTAACTTAATTAAAATAAAATTCTCACTTATTATATCTTCAAATTATTGTATTTTGCCATTTCCTCCGTTCTCACCCCCTTAAAACAATTTTCTACAAATGTGGAAGCATCTCAGTCTTCTCTTTAATATTTCTCTTTATTTTTATTTCCCTCTTCCATCCTGCATTCCTCAGGATTATTTCATATAATTCACTAATTTTCTCTATTGGCCTAGTCTTTATTAAATTTCAATTTTTCTGACAAGAGATCAAATTTCCAACATTCTAATGGGTTTGTTTTCAAATATACATTTTTTTTCTCTTTTTCAGACAGGTTCTCACTCTGTCACCTAGGCTGAAGTGCAGTGGTGTGATCATGGCTCACTGCAACCTCCGCCTCCCGGGCTCAAAAGATCCTCCCACCTCAGCTTCCCGAGTAGCTGGGACTACAGGTGCATGCCACTATGCCTGGCTAATTTTTGTCAAATATACCAGTTCTTTTAAAATATCTCTCTGTTTTTATTTCTTTACTTTTTTAGTCAAAATTATGCTTTCATTTATGTCTTTGAACATTTTCAATACACTTATATTCAATTCTTCATCAGATTATTACACAAAAATAATTTCTTTTTTTCTTGTTTTTTTATTATACTTTGAGTTCTAGGGTACATGTGCACAACATGCAGGTTTCTTACATATGTATACCTGTGCCATGTTGGTGTGCTGCACCCATTAACTCGTCATTTACATTAGGTATTTCTCCTAATGCTATCCTTCCCCCCTCCCCCCACCCCATGAAAGGCCCCGGTGTGTGATATTTCCCGCCCCATGTCCAAGTGTTCTCATTGTTCAATTCCCACCTATGAGTGAGAACATGCGGTGTTTGGTTTTCTGTCCTTGTGATAGTTTGCTCAGAATGATGGTTTCCTGCTGCATCCATGTCCCTGCAAAGGACAAGGCCTCATCCTTTTTTATGGCTGCATAGTATTCCATGGTGTAAATATGCCACATTTTCTTAATCCAGTCTATCATTGATGGACATTTGGGTTGGTTCCAAGTCTTTGCTATAGTGAATAGTGCTGCAATAAACATACTTGTGCCTGTGTCTTTATAGCAGCATGATTTATAATCCTTTGGGTATATACCCAGTAATGGGATGGCTGGGTCAAATGGTATTGCTAGTTCTAGATCCTTGAGGAATCGCCACACTGTCTTCCACAATGGTTGAACTAGTTTACACCCCCACCAACAGTGTAAAAGTGTTCCTATTTCTCCACATCCTCTCTAGCACCTGTTGTTTTCCTGACTTTTTAATGATCACCATTCTAACTGGTGTGAGATGGTATCTCATTGTGGTTTTGATTTGCATTTCTCTGATGACAAGTGATGATGAACATTTTTTCATATGTCTGTTGGCTGCATAAATGTCTTCTTTTGAGAAGGGTCTGTTCATATCCTTTGCCCACTTTTTGATGGGGTTGTATGTTTTTTTCTTGTAAATTTGTTTAAGTTCTTTGTAGATTCTGGATATTAGCCCTTTGTCAGATGGGTAGATTGCAAAAATTTTCTCCCATTCTGTAGGTTGTCTGTTCACTCTGATGGTAGTTTCTTTTGCTGTGCAAAAGCTCTTTCGTTTAATTACATCCCATTTGTCAATTTTGGCTTTTGTTGCCATTGCTTTTGGTGTTTTAGTCACGAAGTCCTTGCCCATGCCTATGTCCTGAACGGTATTGCCTAGGTTTTCTTCTAGGGTTTTTATGGTTTTAGGTCGAACATTTAAGTCTTTAATTCATCTTGAATTAATTTTTGTATAAGGTGTAAGGAAGGGATCCAGTTTCAGCTTTCTACATATGGCTAGGCAGTTTTCCCAGCACCATTTATTAAATAGGGAATCCTTTCCCCATTGCATGTTTTTGTCAGTTTTGTCAAAGATCAGATGATTGTAGATGTGTGGCATAATTTCTGAGGCCTCTATTCTGTTCCATTGGTCTATATATCTGTTTTGGTATCAGTACCATGCTGTTTTTGTTTCTGTAGCCTTGTAGTATAGTTTGAAGTCAGGTAGCATGATGCCTCCAGCTTTGTTATTTTGGCTTAGGATTGACTTGGCAATATGGGCTCTTTTTTGGTTCCATATGAAGTTTAAAGTAGTTTTTTCCAATTCTGTGAAGAAAGTCATTGGTAGCTTGATGGGGATGGCATTGAATCTATAAATTACCTTGGGCAATATGGCCATTTTGATGATATTGATTCTTCCTATCCATGAGCATGGAATGTTCTTCCATTTGCTTGATTCCTCTTTTATTTCGTTGAGCAGTGGTTTGTAGTACTCCTCAAAGAGATCTTTCACATCCCTTGTAAGTTGGATTCCTAGGTATTTTATTCTCTTAGTAGCAATTGTGAATGGGAGTTCACTCATGATTTGGCTCTCTGTTTGTTTGTTATTGGTGTATAAGAATACTTGTGATTTTTGCACATTGATTTTGTATCCTGAGACTTTGCAGAAGTTGCTTATCAGCTTAAGGACATTTGGGGTTGAGACAATAGGGTTTTCTAAATATACAGTCATGTCATCTGCCCACAGGGACAATTTGACTTCTTCTTTTCTTAATTGAATACCCTTTATTTCTTTCTCTTGCCTGATTGACCTGGCCAGAACTTCCAATACTATGTTGAATAGGAGTGCTGAGAGAGGGCATCCCTGTCTTGTGTCAGTTTTCAAAGGGAATACTTCCAGTTTTTGCCCATTCAGTATGATACTGGCTGTGGGTTTGTCATAAATAGCTCTTATTATTTTGAGATACGTCCCATCAATACCTAGTTTATGGAGAGTTTTTAGCATGAAGGGCTGTTGAATTTTGTTGAAGGGCTTTTCTGCATCTATTGAGATAATCATGTGGTTTTTGTCGTTGGTTCTGTTTATGTGATGGATTACATTTATTGATTTGCAGATGTTGAACCAGCCTTGCATCCCAGGGATGAAGCTAACTTGATCATGGTGGATAAGCTTTTCGATGTGCTGCTGGATTTGGTTTGCCAGTATTTTACTGAGGATTTTCGCGTCGATGTTCATCAGGGATACTGATCTAAAATTATCTTTTTTTGTTGTGTCTTTGCCAGGCTTTGGTATCAGGATGATGCTGGCGTCATAAAATGAGTTAGGGAGGATTCCTTCTTTTTCTATTGATTGGAATAGTTTCCAATCAATAGAAAAAAAGGAATTGTACCAGCTCCTCTTTGTACCTCTAGTAAAATTCAGCAGTGAATCCATCTGGTCCTGGACTTTTTTTGGTTGGTAAGCTATTAATTATTGCCTGAATTTCAGAGCCTGTTATTGGTCTATTCAGGGATTCAACTTCTTCCTGGTTTAGTCTTGGGAGGGTGTATGTGTCCAGGAATCTATCCATTTATTCTAGATTTTGTTGTTTATTTGTATAGAGGTGTTTATAGTATTCTCTGATGGTAGTTTGTATTTCTGTGTGATCGGTGGTGATATTCCCTTTAACATTTTTTATTGAGTCTATTTGATTCTTCTCTCTTTTTTCTTTATTAGTCTTGCCAGTGGTCTATCTATTTTGTTGATCGTTTCAAAAAACCAGCTCCTGGATTCATTGATTTTTTTGTAGGGTTTTTTCTGTCTCTATCTCCTTCAGTTCTGCTCTGATCTTAGTTATTTCTTGCCTTCTGCTAGCTTTTGAATTTGTTTGCTCTTGCTTCTCCAGTTCTTTTAATTGTGATGTTAGGGTGTCGATTTTAGATCTTTCCCACTTTCTCTTGTGGGCATTTAGTGCTCTAAATTTCCCTCTACACACTGCTTTAAATGTTTCCCAGAGATTCTGGTACGTTGTGTCTTTGTTCTCATTGGTTTCAAACAATATCTTTATTTCTGCCTTCATTTCGTTATTTACTCAGTAGTCATTCAGGAGCAGGTTGTTCAGTTGCCATGTAGTTGTGTGGTTTTGATTGAGTTTCTTAATCCTGAATTCTAATTTGATTGCACTGTGGTCTGAGAGACAGTTTGTTGTGATTTTTGTTCTTTTACATTTGCTGAGGAGTGCTTTACTTCCAACTATGTGGTCAATTTTGGAATAAGTGTGATACGGTGCTGAGAAGAATGTATATTCTGTGGATATGGGGTGGAAAGTTCTGTAGATGTGTATTAGGTCTGATTGGTGCAGAGCTGAGTTAAGTCCTGGTATCCTTTTTAACCTTCTGTCTCGTTGATCTGTCTAATATTGACAGTGAGGTGGTAAAGTCTCCCATTATTACTGTGTGGGAGTCTAAGTCTCTTGGTACGCCTCTAAGGACTTGCTTTTTGAATCTCAGTGCTCCTGTATTAGGTGCATATATATTTGGGATAGTTAGCTCTTCTTGTTGAATAGATCTCTTTACCATTATGTAATGGCCTTCTTTGTCTCTTTTGATCTTTGTTGGTTTAAAGTCTATTTTATCAGAGACTAGGATTGCAATCCTTGCTTTTTTGTTTTGTTTTGTTTTAAGCTTTCTATTTCCTTGGTAGATATTCCTCCATCCCTTTATTTTGAGCCTATGTGTGTCTCTGCACATGAGATGGGTCTCCTGATTACAGCACACTGATGGGTCTTGACTCTTTATCCAATTTGCCAGTCTGTGTCTTTTAAGTGGGGAATTTAGCCCTTTTACATTTAAGGTTAATATTATTATGTGTGAATTTGATCCTGTCATTATGATGTTAGCTGGTTATTTTGCCCCTTAGTTGATGCAGTTTCTTCTTAGCATCAATGATCTTTACAATTTGGCATGTTTTTGCAGTGGCTGCTACCAGTTCTTCCTTTCCACGTTTAATGCTTCCCTCAGGAGTTCTTGTAAGGCAAGCCTGGTGGTGACAAAATCTCTCAGTGTTTGCTTATCTGTAAATGATTTTATTTCACCTTCACTTATGAAGCTTAGTTTGCCTGGATATGAAATTCTAGGTTGAAAATTCTTTTCTTTAAGAATGTTGAATATTGCTCCCTGCTCTCTTCTGGCTTGTAGAATTTCTCCCAAGAGATCCACTGTTAGTCTGATGCGCTTCCCTTTGTGGGTAACCCGACCTTTCTCTCTGGCTGCCCTCAACATTTTTTCCTTCATTTCAACCTTGGTGAATGTGACAATTATGTGTCTTGGGGTTGCTCTTCTCGAGGAGTATCTTTGTGGTGTTCTCTGTATTTCCTGAATTTGAATATTGGCCTGCCTTGCTAGGTTGGGGAAGTTCTCCTGGATAATATCCTAAAGAGTGTTTTCCAACTTGGTTCCATTCTCTCCATCACTTTCAGGTACACCAATCAAACGTAGATTTGGACTTTTCACATAGTCCCATATTTCTTGGAGGCTTTGTTTGTTTCTTTTTACTCTTTTTTCTCTAAACTTCTCTTCTCACTTTATTTCATTAATTTGATCTTCGATCACTGATACCCTTTCTTCGACTTGATTGAATTGGCTATTGAAGCTTGTGCATGCATCACATAGTTCTTGTGCCATGGTTTTCAGCTCCATCAGATAATTTAAGGTCTTCTCTGTACTGTTTATTCTAGTTAGCCATTTGTCTAATCTTTTTTCAAGGTTTTTAGCTTCCTTGCAATGGATTCAAACAGCTTCCTTTAGCTCGGAGAAGTTTGTTATTGCCGACCTTCTGAAGCCTACTTCTGTCAGCTCGTCAAAGTCATTCCCCATCTAGTTTTGTTCTGTTGCTGGTGAGGAGCTGTGATCCTTTGGAGGAGAAGAGGTGCTCTGTTTTTTAGAATTTTCAGCTTTCTACTCTGGTTTCTCCCCGTCTTTGTGGTTTTATCTACCTTTGGTCTTTGATGTTGGTGACCTACAGATGAGGTTTTGGTGTGGATGTCCTTTTTGTTGATGTTGATGCTATTCCTTTCTGTTTGTTAGTTTTCCTTCTAGCAGTCAGGTCCCTCAGCTGCAGGTCTGTTAGAGTTTGCTGGAGGTCCACTCCGGACCCTGTTTGCCTGGGTATCACCAGTGGAGGCTGCAGAACAGCAAATATTGCAGCATAGCAAATATTGCTGCCTGATCCTTCCTGGGGAAGCTTCGTCCAAGAGGGGCACCCGCCTGTATGAGGTGTCAGTCAGCCCCTACTGGGAGGTGTCTTCCAGTTAGGCTACACAGGGGTCAGGGACCCACATGAGGAGGCAGTCTGTCCGTTCTATGAGCTCAGACACCTTGCTGGGAGAACCACTGCTCTCTTCAGAGCTGTTAGACAGGGATGTTTAAGTCTGCAGAAGTTTCTGCTGCCTTTTGTTCAGCTATGCCCTGCCCCCAGAGGTGGAGACTACAGAGGCAGCTGGCCTTGCTGAGCTTCAGTGGGCTCCACCCAGTTTGAGCTTCCCCAGCAGCTTTGTTTACCTACTCAAGCCTTAGCAATGGCGGACACCCCTCCCCCTGCCAGGCTGCTGCCTCGCAGGTCGATCTCAGACTGCTGCACTAGCAGTAAGCAAGGCTCCCACCGTGCCAGATGCAGGATATAATCTCTTGGTGTGCCATTTGCTAAGACCATTGGAAAAGTGCAGTATTTGGGCAGGAGTGTCCCATTTTTCCAGGTACCATCTGTCACGGCTTTCCTTGGCTAGGAAAAGGAAATCCCCTGACCCCTTGCCCTTCCCCGGCAAGGCAATGCCCCACCCTGCTCCAGCTCGCCCTCCATGGGCTGCACCCACTGTCCAACCAGTCCCAATGAGATGAGCCAGGTACCTCGATTGGAAATGCAGAAATCACCCATCTTCTGCATCAATCATGCTGGGAGCTGCAGACCAGTGCTGTTCCTATTCGGCCATCTTGGAATGGAATCCAAAAATAATTTCTTGTGCAGTAAATTTCTGTTTCAATTATTTGTTTTATCAATTTTTTCATAGTCTTAGATTTATTCTTGCATTTTGGAATTTTTGTTTGTAGCCTCAGTTTTCTTTCTTTCTTTTACTCCCGTCTATGCTCCCCCTTTTATTTTGGCAGTTTTGTAGTTGCTTACCCTTGTCCCTCTGTACTTTCCATTCAAAGCTAGGTCTAATAATAACTTTTGGGGGGCTTTGTCTCATAGTGATCTTGAGGACCTGACAGATTCAGTAAAGGCCAGCATGTGGCTTAGTTCAATCCCAGGTTTCAACATGGTATGTCTGTTCTTTTACTTTCCTTGACCTGCAGCATTATTCTAGTTTTAGGTTCTTCACTGTAGTTGTCCCAGGAAACATTTGGGGTAATTTCTTTAGGCCCCTTTCAGAGGGGATGAGTTGGGACCTGGTTCCCCTGACCCATTGCTTTACACTGTGAGTCTGCATCTGTTTTTCGTGTCTTGTATGAATCACTCCAGTCTCCATGGCCATACAGGAGCTAAATTTCTAGCTACTATTGCCTGTTCTTGGGTTTCGAGTTCAGCAAGCCTCAGCCCATCTCTGGTTCACAAATATATATCTCTTGTATTTGATCTCAACTACATTCTTTTTTATTTTTACTTTTTGTATCTTATGCACCATTGTTATGTGTTTAGATCCAAAAGGGTTTTCAAAGCAAGGAATCACTAAGGAATGTTAATTGGAGGTCTGTGTGATTCTGATTCTTTTCATCATTTACCCTGGATTTAACATCCATTGTGGCTGCATATAATTGTCTGACTCCAGGTCACATGCCTGTATCAAAACTTCAAGGGAGCTTAAAAAGTATCTGGCATTTTCAGTTCCCAAAGAGAGAGATAGCTCTGCCTCCCACCAAAACTCACAATTTGTTTATCTACCAGACTTAGAAAGGGTATTCAGATTTAGGGCTGCCAAACAAAATAACAATCTACTATATACTATATACCCTGCAAACCTATGAAGCGATATCCTCTATTTGAGCATTACATATATTTTCTCCTTTCTGTACTAAACCATATAAATACTGAAACATCAACCAGATAAAGTATAATCTCCATGCAATGCAGAGCTGCAGGCTCTACAGATCAACAAGACCACATGAAGCAGAGCTTTTTTGTTAAAAGCCCAACTGAAATTCACAATGGCCTGATTTTATACTTTATAATAGCTTTTAATCTGCATTGGTTGGAACTCTAGAGGCCCATCTGTTCTAACAGAAGACTTTGTCAACTTTATATTTTTATGGCACTACTGTAATTGCAGGTTTTTGTGATATTTGTAGAGTTTGAGCTGAAAATAATGAGAAAAAATAATCTATAAAAAGGGTTGGGATGCCATCACTTTTTAGCAGTTACCATGTGATCACAGATGCCAGGGACATTTAATGATTTAATTATATTGAACTTGAGGTTCTCTTTCCAGTTTCAAAATTTGTAGACTTTTGGTATCATAGATTGTGAGGAAAAGAAAAAAGAATGGGGTTTCCAGATTCCCTTTCCTCTCCTATGTAAGAAAATATTTCCTTTGCCTTATGCCCACTGGAAAAGATTACCACTCCCTTGTGTCCTATGAGAATCTCCCTTTATAATTTTTTTATAAACAAAATGTACTACAAGTCTTCACTTGAACCTTTGTCAATGACTCTGTGCCTTTTCTTCATATGCCAAATGTAAGTGAATATATGGGCCTCTATTCTTCCCCAAGATCTGTACCTACCTATGTAATGTCAAAGCCTGCAGGTTCTCTGGCAAGATTTTAGAGTTAAAATTCCAACATGATATTTGTTTGCTTCCCATACTGATTCTCATTAATAATTAGGGCAACGTCTGACTCCATATAGGAACACTGTGATCATTCTTAACACTTTTTTTTTTTAGACGGAGTCTCACTCTGTCACCAGGCTGGAGTGCAGTGGCACAATCTTGGCTCCCTGCAACCTCCGCCTCTTGGTTTAAGTGATTCTCCTGCCTCAGCCTCCCGAGTAGCTGGGAGTACAGGTGCCTGCCATCATGCCCAACTAATTTTTGTATTTTTAGTAGAGATGGGGTTTCATCATGTTGGCCAGGATGGTCTTGATTTCTTGACCTCTTGATCCACCTGCCTAGGCCTCCCAAAGTGCTGAGATTACAGGCATGAGCCACTGCGCCCAGCTTAACACATTTTTTTTTTAAGAGATGGGGTCTCGCTCTGTCACTCAGGCTGGAGTGCAGTGGAATGACCTCAGCTCACTGCAGCCTTGAAATCTTGGGCTCAAGCAATCCTACTACCTCAGTCTCTCGAATAGCTAGGATTACAGGTGTATGCCTCCACACTGAGCCATTTTTTTAATTTTTTATCTTTTGTAGAGATGAGGTCTCACTCTGTTGCCCAGGCTGCTCTTGAACTCCTGGGATCAAGCCATCCTCCTGCCTCGGCCTCCCAATGTGCTGGGATTACAAACATGAGCCACTGTATCCATCCCATTTTACCACATTTCATGTTAGAAGATAACTCGACTGTAACGATTTGTCTATAGTTTCTGCCTTATGCTTGATTACTCCTTCAGCATATTCTTCGGGAATCCTCTTCATCTTCTTGACTCCATTTTAGACGTGCCTTAGAACATTATCATAGATTCTCTGTGCATTCACCAGATGAGAGATTTTATTGATTGACTGGAATTTGGTGACAGCGTACCACCTTTTTCTCTGACTATTTACCCCTCTTTCTTACCATCTAACTTAGACATATTTTTACCACCTCAAGTTGTATATTGGTTAAGACTAAATTCTCCTTACCCTGAATACAACTGGTAACATTTTGACTAGAAGAGGTAAGGGTGGAGTGAGAGGCAAACAGGCCTGGAAGCCAAGCTCGGGAAAGAAGTAAGAAATGTGTATTTTCCAACCAACTAAAGGAATAAAACATGCACCTATTTGCTCGTCTTATCTCCTTAAAGAAAGGGTCCTTGAATTAGCTACTAGCGCACTTGTGACCTTCTCCATGGTACCTGACATGCTGTGAATAGTCAGAATGGGTTGTACTCACCTTCTCTTTTATATTGTTTAGTGTTAAATTCAAGGTTTAGTGAAAATGTAACAAATATAACAAAACCCAGTGAGCCTATATTACACCATTTATTGTGGTTAAAGTGATAAAAGTTGTACTGAAAGTATACAGTTGGAGAGAAACACTCCTCAGATTTTTCAAGACAAAGAAACACAAACATATTTCAGAAATTTTCTAAATAGCTATACATTTATAATGGAATGAATAAAATTATTTATTTAATTAAATCCCCCATCTTTATGGATATATTCCTTTTGAGAATAATATGAACAGAAATAAGTACCATTTTTCTAAGAAAGGTGTGTTGTCATCTGGCATCAGCAAAATCAAAAAGAGCACTATTATACCACTAAAAATCTTGATCCTTGTCTTCTAGTCTTTGAAGCTGTGATTACTGCAAGTTTACTTCAGATTTACATTGAAGCAAAAAATCTCCTTTCCACTTGTCATTTTACCCAGTGGTCTCAGAATTAAATTAAGCTATTTTGGTGGGGGAGGAAAGGAATAGATTTGCATAGTGAGATTAACTCCTTTTCCAGGAGTAGGCCCTGATCACACTGTAATAAAAACAAGTACCAAAAACAAGTGAAGAAAATAGGCTAGACCCCAAATCAAATGTTAATATTAATGCAAAAGTAGGGAGGAGACAAAGGTAGAATTGCAAAGTAATTGTCAACACAACATAGAATGAAAATAAGTGGTCACCCCTTGCATCATATACGCATGTCACACTGCTGCTACCTGCCACAAACCAGAGATAAGCTCGTGGAAGAATTGATACTCTCTCTGAACCAAACTAGGGGTGGAGGAGGGGTGGAAGTCTAGAGAAGGCTGGATGAATAGTTATTCTTTAAGTAACACATAGGAAGGGTGGAGGAGAAGGTGATAGATGAGGAGGAGTAGAACTAGGAATAAAATGTTATAATTTGACAACTCCCTCCTGCAATTCCTTTATAGTCACATCTCCTCCCCCCCTACACCCCCAACTCCTGGCAACCACTGATGAATTATCCATCTTTATAGGTTTCTCTATTTCAGAATAACATACAAATAGAATCACACGGTATGCAGCCTTTGGGTCTGGCTTCTTTGACTCAGTATAGTTCCTTGGAGATTCATTAAATTTGCTGCACATATCAATAGCTTGTTCCTTTCTATTGATGAGTAGTATTCCAGGATGTATATGACTGTATCACTGTTTGTCTAACCATGAATTTATCTGAAAGACAGCTGGGTTGTTTCCAGTGTTTGTCTATTACAAATAAATCTGCTATTCATGTACAAGATTTTTTTGTGAACATACGTTTTCTTTTTTTTTTTTTTTGATAAATGATCAAGAGTGCAATTGCTGGGTGATATGATAACTGTATGTTTAGTTTTATAAGAAACTGTCAGAGTGCTATGCCAACAGCAATGTATGAAAGATTCAGTTGCCCCACATCCTCACCGCCATTTGGTATAAATAATATTTTTATTTTAGCCATTCTAATTGGTATATAATGGTATCTTATGGTGATTTTAATTTGTCAAATACTTTGTATGATTTTCAATTCATAGCATTGTGTGACTTTTCCTTCCTAAATCTGTTAATATAATGGATAACCTCAATGGATTGGGGGGAGGAATAACTTTTTTAAAAATAGATTTTAGTTTTTAGAGCAGTTTTAAGTTTACAGCAAAATTGAGCAGAAAGTGCAGAGTTCCCATATATTCCCTCACCTCCACACTTGCATGGCCTCCCCCACTATCAACATCCCCCACTAGTTACAATCGATGAACCTACATTGACACATCATTACCATCCAAAGTCCAGTTTCATTAGGGTTCACTCTTGGTTTTGTATACGCCATATATTTTGACAAATGTATAATGACATGTATCCACTAGTATAGTATAGTATAGGTGTAGTATAGTATGGTATAGCATAACATAGCTTTGTATATACAGAATAGTTTCATTGCCCTAAATATCTTCTGTGCTTTGCCTATTTATTGCTCCCTTTCCCCAAACCCTGGCAACCACTGATCTTTTTACTGTCTCTATAGTTTTGCCTTTTCCAGAATGTCATATAGTTGAAACCATACAGTATATAGCAGACACCTCACCAAAGAAGGTATGCATTTGGCAAAGGAACCATACAAAAAGGTTCTTGACATCATATGTCACTACAAAATTTCAAATTAAGACAGCAAAGAGATACCACTATATACCTATTGAAATAGTGAAAACCCCAAACACTGACAACACTAACTGCTGGTGAGGATGTGGAGCAACAGGAACTCTCATTCATTGCTGGTGGGCATGCAAAGTGGTACAGCCACTTTGGAAGACAATGCAACAGTTTCTTACAGAACTAAACATACCCTTACCAAACAATGCAACAATCATGTTTCTAGCTAGTTACCTAAATGAGTTAAACATGTGGGCCACACAAAAACCTGTACATGGATGTTTATAGCAGCTGTATTCAGAATTGCCAGCACTTGGAAGCAACCAAGATATTTTTCAGTAGGTAAGTGGATAAACTGTGGTACAATGAAATTTTATTTAGCACTAAAAAAATATGAGCTACCAAGGCATGAAAAGACATGGAGGAATCTCAAATGCACATTACTAAGTGAAAGAAGCCAATCTGAAAAGGCTATATGCTGTATTATTCCAACTGTATAACATCTGGAAATGGCAAAACTCTGGAGACTGAAAAGATGAGTGGTTGCTACAGGTTCAGGAGATGGGAAAGGGATGAGTATGTGGAGCACAGAGGATATTTAGGGCAGTGAAACTGTTATGTATGCAAAATTGAACAGCCATTTTGGAATATAGTTTGGAAGTTTATTACAAAGCTAAATAGTCTTACCAACAATTGTGCTCCTGGCTATTTACCCAAATAAGCTGAAAACTTATGTCCACACAAAAACCTGTACATTAATGTTTATAGCTTCTTTATTCATAGTCATCAAAATTAGAAGCAATGGGTGACTGGCAAGATGGCTGAATAGGAACAGCTCCAGTCTGCAGCTCCCATTGAGATCAATGCAGAAGGTGGGTGATTTCTGCATTTCCCACTGAGGTACCCTGCTCATCTCATTGAGACTGGTTAGACAGTGGGTGCACTGTAGCCCATGGAGGGCGAGCCGAAGCAGGGTGGGCCGTCACCTCACCCGGGAAGCACAAGGGGTCGGGGAACTCCCTCCCCTAGCCAAGGGAAGCCATGAAGGACTGTGCCATGAGGAACAGTGCATTCTGGCCTGGATACTATGCTTTTCCCATGGCCTTTGCAACCCTCAGACCAGGAGATTCCCTCAGGTGCCTATGCTACCAGAGCCCTGGGTTTCAAGCACAAAACTGGGCAGCTGTTTGGGCAGACACAGAGCTAGCCACAGGAGTTTTGTTTTGTTTTTTTCATACCCCAGTGGTGCCTGGAATGCCAGAACCTCCCTGGAAAGGGGGTTGAAGCCAGGGAGCCCAGTGGTCTAGCTCAGCAGATCCCACCCCCATGGAGCCCAGCAAGCTGAGATCCACTGGCTTGAAATTCTCACTGCCAGCACAGCAACCTGAAATCTACCTGGGACACTTGAGGTTGGTGGGGGAAGGGGCGTCTGCCATTACTGAGGCTTGAGTAGGCGGTTTTCCCCTCACAGTGTAAACAAAGCTGCAGGGAAGTTCAAACTCGGCGGAGCCCACCACAGCTCAGCAAAGCTGCTGTAGCCAGACTTCCTCTCTAGATTCCTCTTCTCTGGGCATGGCATCTCTGAAAAAAAGGCAGCAGCCACAGTCAGGGGCTTATAGATAAAACTCCCATCTCCCTGGGAGAGAGCACCTGGGGGAACGGGCGGCTGTGGGGGCAGCTTCAGCAGACTTAAACATTCCTGCCTGCTGGCTCTGAAGAGAGCAGCAGATCTCCCAGCACAGCACTCAATCTCTGCTAAGGGACAGACTGCCTCCTCAAGTGGGTCCCTGACCCCTGTGCCTCCTGACTGGGAGACACCTCCCAGCAGGGGTGGACACACCTCATACAGGAGAGCTCTGGCTGGCAACTGGTGGGTGCCCCTCTGGGACAAAGCTTCTAGAGGAAGGAACAGGCAACAATCTTTGCTGTTCTGCAGCCTCCACTGGTGATACCCAGGCAAACAGGATCAGAAGCGGACCTCCAGAAAACTCCAGCAGACCTGCAGCAGAGGGGCCTAATGGTTAGAAGGAAAACTAACAAACAGAAAGGAATAGCATCAATATCAACGAAAAGGACATCCACGCAAAAACACAATCCAAAGGTCACCAACATTAAAGACCAAAGGTAGATAAATCCACAAAGATGAGGAAAAATCAGCACAAAAAAGACTGAAAATTACCAAAATCAGAACACCTCTTCTCCTCCAAAGGATCACAACTCCTCGCCAGCAAGGGAACAAAACAAGATGGAGAATGAGCTTGACGAATTGACAGAAGTAGGCTTCAGAAGGTGGGTAATAACAAACTCCTCCAAGCTAAAGGAGCACGTTCTAACCCAATTCAAGGAAACTAAGAACCTTGAAACAAAGGTTAGAGGAATTGCTAACTAGAATAACCAGTTTAGAGAAGAACATAAATGAACTAATGGAGCTGAAAAAGACAGCACAAGAACTTTGTGAAGCATACACAGGTATCAATAGCCAAATTGATCAAACAGAAGAAGGATATCAGGGATTGAAGATCAACTTAATGAAATAAAGTGTGAAGACAAGATTAGAGAAAAAAGAATGAAAAGGAATGAACAAAGCCTCCAAGAAATATGGGACTATGTGAAAAGACCAAACCTACGTTTGATTGGTGTACCTGAAAGTGACTGGGAGAATGGAACCAAGTTGGAAAACACTCTTCAGGATATTACCCAGGAGAACTTCCCCAACGTGGCAAGTCAGGCCAACATTCAAATTCAAAAATACAGAGAACACCACAAAGATACTCCTCAAGAAGAGCAACCCCAAGACACATAATCCTCAGATTCACCAAGGTTGAAATGAAGGAAAAAAATGTTAAAGGCAGCCAGAGAGAAAGGTCGGGTTAAAGGGAAGTCCATCAGACTAACAACGAATCTCTCGGCAGAAACCCTACAAGCCAGAAGAGAGTGGGGGCCAATATTCAACATTCTTAGACAAAAGAATTTTTAACTCAGAAATTCATATCCAGCCAAACTAAGCTTCATAAGCGAAGGAGAAATAAAATCCTTTATAGACAAACAAATGCTGAGAAATTTTGTCACCATCAGGACTGTCTTACAAGAGCTCCTGAAGGGAGCACTAAATATGGAAAGGAACAACTGGTACCAGCCACTGCAAAAACATGCCAAATTGTAAATACCATCAACACTATGAAGAAACTGCATCAACTAATGGGCAAAATAACCAGCTAACATCATAATGACAGGATCAAATTCACACATAGCTATATTAATCTTAAATGTAAATGGGCTAAATGCCCCAGTTAAAAGACACAGACTGGCAAATTGGATAAAGAGTCAAGATCCATCAGTGTGCTGTATTCAGGAGACCCATCTCACATGCAAAGACACACATAGGCTCAAAATAAAGGGATGGAAAAATATTTACCAAGCAAATGGAAAGGAAAAAAAGCAGGGGTTACAATCCTAGTCTCTGATAAAACAGACTTTAAACCAACAAAGATCAAAAAAGACAAGACCATTACATATTGGTAAAGGGATCAATGCAACAAGAAGACCTAACTATCCTAAATATATATGCACCCAATACAGGAGCACCCAGATTCATAAAGCAAGTTCTTAGTGACCTACAAAGAGACTTAGACTCTCACACAATAATAGTGGGAGACTTTAACACCCCACTGTTAATATTAGACAGATCAACAAGACAGAAAATTAACAAGGATATTCAGGACTTGAACTCAGCTCTGCACCAATCAGACCTAATAGACATCTACAGAACTCTCCACCCCAAATCCACAGAATATACATTCTTCTCAGCACCACATCACACTTATTCTAAAATTGACCATAAAATTGGAAGTAAAACACTCCTTAGCTAATGCAAAAGAAGAGAAATAATAACAAACAGTCTATCATACCACAATGCAATCAAATTAGAACTCAGGATTAAGAAACTCACTCAAAATCACATAAATACATGGAAACTGAACAACCTGCTCCTGAATGACTACTGGGTACATAATGAAATTAAGGCAGAAATGACTAAGTTATTTGAAACCAATGAGAACAAAGACACACATACCAGAATCTCTGGGACAAAGCTAAAGCAGTGTTTAGAGGGAAATTTATAGCACTAAACGCCCACTGGAGAAAGCAGGAAAAATCTAAAATCGACACCCTAACATCACAATTAAAAAAGCTAGAGAAGCAAGAGCAAACACATTCAAAAGCTAGCAGAAGACAAGAAATAACTAAGATCAGAGGAGAACTGAAGGAGATAGAGATGCAAAAAACCCTTCAAAAAAATCAATGAATCCAGGAGCTGGATTTTTGAAAAGATTAACAAAATAGATAGACCACTAGCCAGAATAATGAAAAAGAAAAGGGAGAAGAATCAAATAGACACAACAAAAAATGATAAAGGAGATATCACCACCGATCACACAGAAATACAAACTACCATCAGAGAATACTATAAACACCTCTACACAAATAAACTAGAAAATCTAGAAGAAATGCATAAATTCCTGGACACATACACCCTCCCAAGACTAAAGGAGGAAGAAGTCGAATCCCTGAATAGACCAATAACAAGTTCTAAAATTGGGGCAGTAATTAATAATCTACCAACCAAAAAAAGCCCAGGATCAGATGGATTCACAACCAAATTCTGCCAGAGGTACAAAGAGGAGCTGGTACCATTCCTTCTGAAACCATTCCAATCAATAGAAAAAGAGGGACTCCTCCTTAACTCATTTTACAAGGCCAGCATCATCCTGATACCAAAGTCTGTCAGAGACACAACAAAAAAAGAAAATTTCAGGCTAATATCCCTGATGAATATCGATGCAAAAATCCTCAATAAAATACTGGCAAACTGAATCCAGCAGCACATCAAAAAGCTTATTCACCATGATCGAGTGGGCTTCATCCCTGGGATGCAAGGCTGGTTCAACATACGCAAATTAATGAACATAATCCATCACATAAACAGAACCAATGACAAAAAACACATAATTATCTCAATAGATGCAGAAAAGGCCTTTGACAAAATTCAACTGCCCTTTATGCTAAAAACTCTCAATAAATTAGGTATTGATGAGACATATCTCAAAATAATAAATGCTATTTATGACAAACCCACAGCCAATATCATACTGAATGGGCAAAAGCTGGAAGCATTCCCTTTGAAAACTGGCACAAGACAAAGATGCCCTCTCTCACCACTCCTATTCAACATGGTATTGGAAGTTCTGGCCAGGTCAATCAGGCAAGAGAAAGAAATAAAAGTATTCAAATAGGAAGAGAGGAAGCCAAATTGTCTCTCTTTGCAGATGACATGATTGTATATTTAGAAAACCCCATCGTCTCAGCCCAAAATCTCCTTAAGCTGATAAGCAACTTCTGCAAAGTCTCAGGATACAAAATCAATGTGCAAAAATCACAAGTGTTCCTATACACCAATAACAGACAAACAGAGAGCCAAATCATGAGTGAACTCCTATTCACAATTGCTACTAAGAGAATAAAATACCTAGGAATCCAACTTACAAGGGATGTGAAGGACCTCTTCAAGGAGAACTACAAACTGCTGCTCAAGGAAATAAGAGAGGACACAAACATATGGAAAAACATTCCAGGCTCATGGATAGGAAGAATCAATATCGTAAGAATGGCCATACTGCCCATGGTAATATATAGATTCAATGCTATCCCCATCAAGCTACCAATGACTTTCTTCACAGAATTGGAAAAAACTACTTTAAACTTCATATGGAACCAAAAAAGAGCCCATATTGCCAAGACAATCCAAAGCAAAAAGAACAAAGCTGGAGGCATCATGCTACCTGACTTCAAATTATACTGCAAGGCTACAGTAACAAAAACAGCATGGTACTGATACCAAAACAGATATATAGACCAATGGAACATAACAGAGGCCTCAGAAATAATGCCACACATCTACAACCATCTGATCTTTGAGAAACCTGACAAAAACAAGAAATGGGGAAAGGATTCCCTATTTAATAAATGGTGTTGAGAAAACTGGCTAGCCATATGCAGAAAACTGAAACTGGACCCCTTCCTTACACCTTATAAAAAAATTAATTCAAGATGGATTAAAGACTGAAATGTAAGACCTAAAACTGTAAAAACCCTACAAGAAAACCTAGGCAATACCATCCTGGACATAGGCATTGGCAAAGACTTCATGACTAAAACACCAAAAGCAATGTCAACAAAAGCCAAAACTGACAATTGGGATCTAATTAAACCAAAGAGCTTCTGCACAGCAAAAGAAACTATCATCAGAGTGAACAGGCAACCTACAGAATGGGAGACAATTTTTGCAATCTATCCATCTGACAAAGGGCTAATATCCAGAATCTACAAAGAACTTAAACAAATTTACAAGAAAAAAACAACCCCATCAAAAAGTGAGTGAAGGATATGAACAGACACTTCTCGAGAGAAGACATTTATGCGGCCAGCAAACATGAAAAAAAAAGCTCATCATCATTGGTCATTAGAGAAATGTAAATCAAAATCACAATGAGATACCATTTCACAGCAGTTAGAATGACGATCATTAAAAAGTCAGGAAACAACATGCTGGAGAGGATGTGGAGAAATAGGAATGCTTTTACACTGTTGGTGGGAGTGTAAATTAGTTCAACCATTGAGGAAGACAGTGTGGCGATTCCTCAAGGATCTAGAACCAGAAATACCATTTGAACCAGCAATCCCATTAGTGGGCATATACCCAAAGGATTATAAATCATTCTACTATAAAGACACATGCACACCTGTGTTTATTGCAGCACTATTCACAATAGCAAAGACTTGGAACCAATCCAAATGCCCATCAATGATAGACTGGATAAAGAAAATGTGGTACATATACACCATGGAATACTATGCAGCCATAAAAAAGTATGAATTCATGTCCTTTGCAAGGACATGGATGAAGCTGGAAACCATCATTCTTGGCCAACTAACACAGAAACAGAAAACCAAACACCACATGTTCTCACTCATAAGTGGGAGTTGAACAATGAGAACACATGGACATAGGGAGGGGAACACCACACATCAGGGCCTGTCGGGGGTTGGGGGCTAGGGAAGGGTTAGCATTAGGAGAAATAACTAATGTAGATGACAGGTTGATGGGTGCAGCAAACCACCATTGCACGTGTATACCTATGTAGCAAATCTGCACGTTCTGCACATGTATCCCAGAACTTCAAGTATAATAAAAAATAAAAAAATTAGAAGCAACCAATATGCCCTTCAATAAGTGAATGCAGAAACAAACTGTAGCATATCTGTATAGTGGAATATTATTCAATGATAGAAAGAAATGAGCCATCAAGCCACTAAAGACACAAAGGAAACTTACTTGCATATTACTAAGTGAAAGAAGTCAGTCTGGAAAGGCTACATAGTATATGAACCCAACTATATGACATTCATTTGTCAAAACCCATAGAACCGTACAACACAAGGAGTGATCCTTAAACTATGGACTTTAGTTATTAGTAATATATCAATATTGGTTCCTTGATTGTAACAAATATACCACATCTTTGCAAGATATTAATAATAGGGTAAAATTTGAGGGGGAAGGGAGGAGTTGGGATATAAGGGAACTCTGTACTTTATGCTTAATATTTCTATAAACCTAAAAAACTCTGAAACATAAAGCTATTAATTTTTAAAAATACACTTACCATATGACACGGTAATCCCACTTCTAAGTATTTAGAGAAACGAAAACATGTTCTCACAAAAAGATCATGTTCCCACAAAAAGTCTGTACATGGATGTTTATAGCAGTTATTCATCATAACCTCAAACTAGAAACAATCCAAATGTCCTTAAATAGGTGAATGGATAAGCAAACTGTGGTATGCCCATAAACTGAAATCTTGGCAATGAAAACAAGCTAACTATAGATACATGCAACAAGCTGGGTGAATCCCAAATGCATTTTTCTAAGTGAAAGAAGTCAGATTCAAAGGGTTACCTATGTTACAATTTCATTCTATGACGTTATGGAAAAGATAAAACCAAAGGAACAGAAAACAGATAACTGGTTACCTAGGGTAACTATAAAGAGGTAGAATGAGGTAATATTTTGGGTTGAGCAGACTGCTCTGTATCTTGATTGAGATGGTATTTACACAACTCTATGCATTTGTCAAATCTCAAAGAGCTATACACTAAAAAAGAGATTATCTTACTGAATGTAAATAACAAAAATAAACAAAGGGTAACAGATGTCCCTCCTGTAAATGCCTCATGCATCACAGAAATAGGTTTACCATTTTTAGATACTGAAGTTACTGTGGCCTTGGAAACCTAGGTCTCTGCTAAAAAAAAAAAAAAGGTTAAAAGATGTTGCATTCTTTTTTTTTTTTTTTTACCAGTTACTTTGATCCTGAAACAAATGAATAATTTCAGAGGCATTCTTTTTCACAGGTAGTCCTAAGTGCTAAGGCAGCATGAATCATAATTGTCAGGAAAAACTTCATAGATTCCGCTATAGTATCTCCGGTATTGTATCAGGACAATCTATAAGACATTTGGAGCTACACCAGTTGAAAGGTATTGGCTCAGTCAGCCCCCTTATTCAGTTTTGTAAATTAGGGGGCCACTTGAAGAAAATTCTATGGTTTATGCTAATACACATGTAGCTGAAAATATAATTACATTTAAAATCTGTTGAATTTAAATTTACTACAGTTTTTTTTTTTAAAGATCATGCTATCCTTCAGTCAGTCTTGCAGCAATTTTCCAACTCAATGTAGAACTACCAATGAAAAGTGATACCCTCAGGGAAACTACACACAACACAGACACAACATACACATGCACAGACACAATCTCACCAGCACACACAGGCAGACAAACACGTACACACCCACCTATATTCACATGTACATACGTTCATCCTCGTGCATGCACACACATATAGTTATATATAGGCACACACATAAACACACAGTGACAGATCTATGTGTGCTCATACACAAAAAAGCACAACCCCACAATGCACATTACTTTCGTTTCTCAAAAATTTAGACCGTTCAACCTGGGCAACATAGTGAGACCCCATCTCTACAAAAAATTAAAAACTTAGCCAGGCACGGTGGCGTGCACCTGTAGTCCTATAGCTACTTGGGAGGCTGAGGCAGGAGAATGGATTCAACCCAGGAGTTTGAGGTTACAGTGAGCTATGATCTTGCCACTGCATTCAAACCTGAGCAACAGAGTGAGACCCTGTCTCAAAAACAAAAAAATTAGACCATATATTATAATCCACAGTGTAAGAACCCGAAGTGTAAGTTCCACAATGAGATAACACTTTATACCTACTAGGAGTTGCCTAAATCCCAGCAATTTCACTCCTAAGTATATACCCAAGAGAATTGAAAACAGATGCTCCAAGCAAAACCTGTTCATGAATGTTCACAGCAGCACTAGTCACAATAGCCAAAAGGTGGAAAGAAATTAAGTGCCTATCAACTGATGAATGAATAAACAAAATGTGATATATCCATGCAATGAAATATTATTCACCATAAAATAAGTGAGTTTTAACACAATAAAAAAGCAGTAAAGTATCAGTACACGCTACATGGACAAACCTTGAAAACATTATACTAAATGAAAGCAGCCAGACACAAAAGGCCACACACCGTATAATTCTGTTTATATGAAATGTCTAGAATACACAAATTAATAGAGACAGAAAACATATTTGTGGTTCCCAAGGGCTGGAGAGGAGGAAGAATGGGATGTGACTTCTTAATGAGTACAGAGATTCATTACGGGGTGATGAAATTATTCTGGAATTAGAGAGCGGTGATAGTGCACAACGTTGTGATTATAGTAAAAGCCACTGAATTGTTAACTTTTAAATGATTTAGAATGGTGAATTTTACCTCAATAAAAAAAATAAGTCTAGATTGATTGTTCTTTTGTTTCAGCACTTGAAAAACATTGTGTGTCACTTTCGTCTGGCCTCCACGATTTCTGAAGAAAAGTCCAGTAAAATTGTTGTTCTATTATAGGTGATGAATTGTTTCTTTCTGACTGCTTTAAAGACTCTTTCTTTGTTCTTGTTTTTCAGAAGTTTGATTACGATGTATCTTGGCATGGATTTCTTTGAATTTATATTGTTTGAGATTCACTTGCTTTATTTTTTAAATAAACTTTTTATCTTAGGATAGTTTTAGATTTACAGAAAAGTTGCAAAGATAGTACAAAGAGGACCTGTATACCCCACATCCAGCTTCCTCTATTGTTAACACCTTACATTGTACTATGATACATTCATCACAACTAATGAATACATTATTATCAACTGAAGTCCATCTTTTTTCAGATTTTGAAAGTTTTTACCTAATGTTCCAGGATTCAATTCTGGATACCACATTATAGTTAGTCATCATATCTCCTTAAACTTTTCTAGACTATGGGAATTTCTCAGACTTTCCTTGTTTGAAATTCCTGATAGCAGTCATTGACAAGCATCACCCAGTTAACTTGTGTCCCAGGATTCACTCTGCCATGTTGTAAACCTGAAAGTATTTTATCTCCTACACTGAATTTTCCCTTGACCTGTTTTCCTTGAGGCCATTTCTATTTAACATGTTAAACTGTAACTCATCTTATTGAATCTGTATATTTATGTCTTTCTCTGATTTGGGAAATTTTCAGCTATTATTTTTTAAAATATTTTTCAGCCTTAATTTCTTTCCCTTCTCCTCATGGGTGTCCAATGGCATAGATGTTATTGTTTCATAGGTTCCTGAGTGTCTTTTTAACTTTTTTCTAATCTATTTTCTCTTTGTCATTCATATTTGATCATTTTTATTTAAGTTCACTGATTATTTCCTGTGTATTCTCCATATGCTATTGAGTCCCTGTGATGGTTAATACTCAGTGTCAACTTGATTGGATGGAAGGATGCAAAGTATAGATCCTGTGTGTGTCTGTGAGGGTGTTGCCAAAGGAGATTAACATCTGAGTCAGTGGGCTGGGAAAGGCAGACCCACCCTTAATCTGGGTGGACACCATCTAATTAGCTGCCAGTGTGGCCAGGATATAAAGCAGGCAGAAAAAAGTGAAAAGGCTAGACTGGCTTAGCCTCCCAGCCTACATCTTTCTCCTATGCTGGATGCTTCCTGCCCTCGAACATCAGACTCCAAGTTCTTCAGCTTTGGGACTCAGACTGGTTTCCTTGCTCCTCAGCTTGAAGACAGCCTATTGTGGGACCTTGTGATGGTGTGAGTTAATACTACTTAACAAACTCCCCTTTATATATATGTGTGTGTTTGTGTGTGTTTGTGTGTGTGTGTGTGTATAGATATATAGATATGTATATATCCTATTAGTTCTGTCCTTTTAGAGAACCCTGACTAATACAGTCCCCCTAGTGAATTTTTTTTTATTTTGGCAAATGTATTTTTCAGTTGTAGGGTTTCCATTTTTTAGAATATATTTTATTTATTTTCCAAGGTTTTCTGTTTTATTTATTTCAAATGTGTTTCTAAGCGCTTATTTAAGCATATTTATGATAGTTACTTTTAAAATTCTTGTTAGATAATTCCAATATCTGTGCCATCTTGGTTTTTGCATCTGTTCATTATCTTTGCTCATTCAAATGGAGATTTCCTGGTTCTTGGTATAAGTGATTTCCAATTATATCCTGACCATTTTGAGTATTATGAGACTTAGATTCATATTCATATTCGTATCTTATTATATACTTTTGCCAGGCTGACATGGTAGTGAGGGCTCTCTTTATACAAACAGCGTCTGCTGATGTCTGCTGCCTGGGAGGCAGAACCACTTCATCACTGCTATGGCTGGATGGTAGACTGGCCCTGCTCCCACAAATCACATCTGCAGACACTCATGGGTAGTGGAGAGGCAGAGCTCCTCATCGACAACTCATTGTTGTTTTGTGGTATGTTAGTCAGGCTCTACTCTCATAGACAGCATTCTAGATCCCTGCTAGCCAAGAAGCAGAGAAGTGTCATTACCAGGGCCAGTATAGTAACAGACTTAATTCTCAGGTACAGCCGCTGTTGATGCCTGCCATCCAGGAAACAGAGCCACCTTGTTGCATAGTGGGGTGGTAGATAGTATCCATGCTCATACTAAGCCTCCCTAGATGCCCATCCATAGGCCAGCATCAGGAGCCGTCTCATTGTCAGCACTGGTAGAAAGGGTTAGTTCTTGTATGCAGTGTCCATAGACCCCTCCAGTGGGCAGGCAGAGTAGTCTCATTACTGGGGCAGAATGGTAGACAGGCTCAGCTCTCAGGCACAGCCTCCACAGATTCCCACCAACTGAGACGCAGAGCCATCTTATTTCCATAGCATGGTGATAAAAAGGTTCACTTCTCAAGCAGAGCATCTGCCAGCCAAGATATGGAGCCACCTTGTTGGAGTAGGGTGGTCAAACAGAGTCTGTAGGTGCCTACCAATCAGTATGCAGAGCTAGCTCGTTATTATCAGGGCTGGATGGTAGTCAAATCTCCACTCACACAATCCTGGTGCTGGCAGGGGGTGTGGAGGTGGGCATAGTTTTTCCCATGGTGTTTAGCTATAAGTAGAGCTACTAGTATCAGAAAGGTGCTGTCATGCAAGTCTGACCTCTACCCAGAACGTCAGGCCTGTCCTTTTACCTTTTTTTCTTTTGGGTTCCTGTTGTTGTTTCCAGATTTAGATTTCCTATGCCCATTCTGGGACATACAGGAGGTAAAATAACAACAACAACAACAACACTAATAATAATAATTCAGAGAACTCACCAATGAATCATTCCTTGAATCCTGAGGTCCCTAGATAGTTTGCCTTCTTTTCTCCACCATTCAGAGCCTCCTGGGGTCCATTTCATTTATTTTATCAAGGGCATTTAGGAGTGATAAGGGTGAAGACTAGGGTGAAATGTTCTTATGCCATGTTTTTCTGATCCTCCATAAATTTCAAAATGTTTTAATTTTCATTCAGTTGAATATATTTTCTAATTTCCCTCGTGATTTCTTCTTCAATCCAAGTATTCTTTAGAAGACTGTTGTCTAATTTTCAAACATTTTTTATTTCTTAAATACTTTTTGTTGATTTCTAATTTAGTTCTTTTGTGGTCAATGAACATTCTTAGTATGATTTTAATCCTTTTAAATGTATTTGGATTGTTTTGTGGCCTAGTGTATGGTTTATCCTGGAGAATGTTCTACATGTACTTTAGAAGAATGTATTTTCTGCTTTTATTGGGTAAAGTGCTCTAGAGATGCCAGTTATGTCAAGTTGGTTCGTAGCATTGTTCAAGTCTGTATCCTTCCTGAATTGCTGACCACTTGTCCTACCCATCATCAGAAGTGAGATATTGAAATCTTTATTTTTGTTGAGTTGTTTATTTCACTCTTCAATTCTGTTAGTTTTGGTTTTGTGTATTTTTTCACACTTTTTAGGTGTATATCTTTTAACTGCTATATCTTCCTGATAAATTGACTCTTTTATCATCATAAAATACCCTTATTTTTCTCTAGTAACAATATTTTTCTTATTTTGTCCGATATTAATATGCTCACTCCAACTCTCTTCTGGTTGCTCTTTGCATGGTATATCTTTTTTTAACTTTTAAGTTCAGGGGTACATGTGCAGGTTTGTTACACAGGTAAGCTTGTGTCATGGGGGTTTGATGTACAGATTGTTTTGTCACCCAGGTATTAAGCCTAGTACCCATTAGTTATTTTTCCTGATCCTCTCCCTCCTCCCACCCTCTACCCTCTAATCAGACCCCGTGTGTGTTGTTCCCCTCTATGTGTCCATGTGCTCTTATCATTTATCTCCCACTTATAAGTGGGGACATGCAGTATTTGGTTTTCTGTTCCTGCATTAGTTTGCTAAGGATAATGGCCTTCAGCTCCATCCATGTCCCTGCAAAGTACATAATCTAATTCTTTTTTTATGGCTGCATAGTATTCCATGGTGCATATATACCACATTTCCTTTGTCTGCTCTATCATTGATGGGCATTTAGGTTGATTCCATGTCTTTGCTATTGTGAATAGTGCTGGAATGAACATATGCGTGCATGTGTCTTTGTAATAGAATGACTTATATTCCTTTTGGTATATACCCAATAATGGGATTGCTGGGTTGAATGGTATTTCTGTCTTTAGGTCTTTGAGGAATCTCCACACTGTCTTCCACAATGGCTGAACTAAGTTACACTCCCCCCAAGAGTGTATAGGCATTCCTTTTTCTCTGCAACCTCACCAGCATCTGTTATTTTTTGGCTTTTTAATAATATCCATTCTGACTGGTGTTAGATGGTATCTCACTGCGGTTTTGATTTGCATTTCTCTAGTGATCAGTGATGCTGACCTTTTCTTTAAATGATTTTTGACTGCATGTATGTCTTCTTTTGGAAAAGGTCTGTTCACGTCCTTTGCCAACTTTTTAATTGTGTTGTTTGTTCTTTTCTTGTAAATTTGTTTAAGTTCTTTATAGATGAAAGATATTAGGTCTTTGTTGGATGCATAGTTTGCAAAAATTTTCCCTTGTTCTGTAGCCTGTCTGTTCACTCTGATGATAGTTTCTTTTACTGTGCAGAAGCTCTTTAGTTTAATTATATCCATTTGTCAATTTTTGCCTTTGTTGCAATAGCTTTTGGCATCTTCGTCGTGAAACCTTTGCCTGTGCCTATGTCCTGCATGGTATTGCCTAGGTTGTCTTCCAGAGTTTTTATACTTTTGGATTTTACATGTAAATCATTCATCTATTTTGAGTTAATTTTTGTTTATTGTGTAAGGAAAGGGTCCAGTTTCCATCTTCTGCATATGGCTAGCCAGTTATCCCAGCACCATTTACTGAATAGTGAATTCATTCCCCTTTGCTTGTTTTTGTCAGGTTTGTCTAAGTTCAGATAGTTGTAGGTTTGTGGAATTATTTCTGGGTTTTCTACTCTGTTCCATTGGTCTATGTGTCTATTTTGTATGAACACCATGCTGTTTTGGTTACTGTAGCCCTGTCGCATAATTTCAAGTCAGGTAGCATGAGGCCTCCAGCTTTGTTCTTTTTGCTTAGGATTGCCTTGTCTGTTCAGGCTGTTTTGTTTGTTTGTTTGTTTTTTTTTTTTTTTTTTGGTTCCATACGAATTTTAAAAGTTTCTTTTTTTTTCTAGTTCTGTGAAGAATCTCAATGGCAGTTTAATAGGAATAGCATTGAATCTATACATTGTTTGGGGCAGTATGGCCGTTTTTACTATATTGATTCTTTATGTTAAATTCTGGGGTACATGCACAGGATGTGCAGGTTTGTTACATAGGTAAACGTGTAAAAAGTCATCATTCTTACTGGCATAAGATGCTATCTCATTGTGGTTTTGACTTGCATTTCTCTAATGATCAGTGATGCTGAGCTTTTTTTCGTGTTTGTTGGCTGCATAAATGTTTTCTTTTGAGAAGTGTCTGTTCATGTCCTTTGCCCACTTTTTAATGGGGTTGTTTGTTTTTTCTTGTAAATTTGTTTAAGTTCCTTATAGATTTTGGATATTAGACCTTTGTCACATGGATAGACTGCAAAAATTTTCTCCCATTCTGTAGGTTGTCTGTTCACTCTGATGATAGTTTCTTTTGCTGTGCAGAATCTCTTTAGCTTAGTTAGATCCCATTTGTCAATTTTTGCTTTTCTTGTGATTGCTTTTGATGTCTTTGTCATGAAATCTTTGTGCATGTCTATGTCCAGGATGGTATTGCCTAGGTTGTCTTCCAGGGTTTTTATAGTTTTGGGTTTTACATTTAAGTCTTTAATGCATCTTGAGTTAATTTTTGTATAGGGTTATTATTAAATAGGGAATCATTTTTAATATGTGGTGTTGGGAGAACTGGCTAGCCATATGCAAAAATAAGATGTGCAGCCTTATTTCTGAGTTCTCTATTCTGTTCCATTGGTCTATGTGTCTGTTTTTGTACCATGCTGTTTCAGTTACTGTAGCCTTGCAGTATAGTCTGAAGTCAGGTGGCATGATGCTTCCAGCTTTGTTCTTTTTGCTTAGCATTGTCTTGGCTATACAAGTTCTTTTTTGGTTCCATATAAATGTTAAAATAGTTTTTTCTAGTTCTGTGAAAAATGTCAATGGTCTTTTAATGGGAATAGCATTGACTCTACAAATTACTTTGGGCAGTATGACCATTTTCACAATATTGATTCTTCCTATCCATGAGCATGGCAATGTTTTTCCATTTGTTTATATCCTCTCTGATTTCCTTGAGTGGTGGTTTGTATTAATAGTTCTCCTTGAAGAGGTCCTTCACTTCACTTGTTAGCTGTATTCCTAGGTATTTTATTCTCTTTGTAGCTATTGTGGATGAAAGTTCATTCATGATTTGGCTCTCTACTTGTGTGTTGTTGGTGTCTAGGAATGCTAGTGATTTTTGCCCAATGATTTTGTATCCTGACACTTTGTTGAAGTTGCTTATCAGCTTACAGAGCTTTTGGACTGAGGCAATGGAGTTTTCTAGATATAGGATGATGTCATCTGCAAACAGAGACAATTTGACTCCCTCTTTTCCTATTTGAATACCCTTTATTTCTTTCTCTTGCCTGATTGTCCTGGCCAGAAATTTCAATACTATGTTGAATAGTATTTTTTGTGCCCGTTTTCAAGGAGAATGCTTCAAGCTTCTGCCCATTCAGTGTAATGTTGGCTGTGGGTTTGTCATAGATGGCTCATTATTTTGAGGTATGTTCCTTCAATACCTGGTTAATTGAGAGTTTTTAACGTGAAAAAATGTTGAATTTTATCCAAAGCCTTTCTGCATCTATTGAAATAATCATTTGATTTTTGTCTTCAGTTCTATTTATGTGACAAGTTACATTTATTGATTTGCATATGCTGAACCAGCCTTGATTCCTGGGGATGAAGCCAACTTGATCATGGTGGATAAGCTTTTTGATGTGCTGCTGGATTCAGTTTGTCAGTATTTTATTGAGGATTTTTGCATCAATGTTCATCAGGGATACTGACCTGAAGTTTTCTTTTTTTGTTGTATCTCTGCCAGGTTTTGGTATCAGGATGCTGCTGGCCTCATAAAATGAGTTAGGGAAGAGTTCCTCCTTTTCAGTTGTTGGAATAGTTTCAGAAGAAGTGGTACTAGCTTCTCTGTGTACTTTGGTAGAATTCAGCTGTAAATCCATCTGCTCCTGAGCTTTTTTTGGGTAGTAGGCTATTTATTACTGCCTCAATTTCATAACTCATTATTGGTCTATTCAGGGATTCAACTTCTCCCTGGTTCAGTCTTGGGAGGGTGTGTGTGTCCAGGAGTGTATCCATTTTTTCTAGATGTTCTAGTTTATTTGCATAGAGGTGTTTATAGTATTCTCTGAGGGTTGTTTGTATTTCTGTGGGGTCAGTGGTAATATCCCTTTTATCAATTTTTATTGTGTCTATTTGACTATTCTCTCTATTCTTCTTTATTAGTCTAGCTAGTGGTCTATATATATTATTAATTTTTTCAAAAAACCAGCTCCTGGATTCATTGATTTGTAGAAGGACTCTTCATGTCTCTATCTCCTTCAGTTGCACTCTGATCTTGGTTATTTCTTTTCTTCTGCTAGCTTTGGGCTTTGTTTACTCTTGGTTCTCTACTCCTTTTAGTTGAGATATTAGGTTGTTAACTTGAGATATTTGTAGCTTTTTGATGTGGGCATTTAGTACTACAAATTTTCCTCTTAACACTGCTTTAGCTGCATCCTGGAGATTCTGGTACATTATCACTTTGTTCTAATTAGTTTCAAAGAACTTCTTGACTTCTACCTTAATTTTATTATTTGGAGGTGGTTCCAAGATGGCCAAATAAGAACAGCTCCAGTCTACACCTCCCAGCATGAGTGATGCAGAAGATGAATGATTTTTGCATTTCCAACTGAGGTACTGAGTTCAACTCATTGGGGATTCTCAGACAGTGGGTGCAGGACAGTGGGTGCAGCACACCGTGGGTGAGCCGAAGCAGGGCGAGGCATCGCCTCCCACAGGAAGTAAAAGGGGTCAGGGAATTCCCTTTCCTAGTCAAGGAAAGGGGTGACAGACGGCACCTGGAAAATCGGGTCACTCCCACCCTAATACTGTGCTTTTCCGACGGTCTTAGCAAATGGCACACCAGGAGATTATATCCCGCGCATGGCTTGGAGGGTCCTACACCCATGGAGCCTCACTCATTGCTAGCACAGCAGTCTGAGATCAAACTGCAAGGCAGCAGTGAGGCTAGGGGAGGGGTGCCCTCTATTGCTGAGGCTTGAGTAGGTAAACAAAGCGGCCAGGAAGCTCGAACTGGGTGGAGCCCACCACAGCTCAAGGAGGCCTGCCTACCTCTGTAGACTCCACCTCTGGGGGCAGGGCATAGCCAAACAAGAGGCAGCAGAAACCTCTGCAGACTTAAATGTCCCTGTCTGACAGCTTTGAAGACAGTAGTGGTTCTCCCAGCATGCAGCTTGAGATCTGAGAACAGACAGACTGCCTCCTCAAGTGGGTCCCTGACCCCCAAGTAGCCTAACTGGGAGGCACCCCCCAGTAGGGGCAGACTGACACCTCACATGGCCGGGTATTCCTCTGAGGCAAAACTTCCAGAGGAATGATCAGGCAGCAACATTTGCTGTTCACCAATATTCACTGTTCTGCAGCCTCCGCTGCTGATACCCAGGCAAACAGGGTCTGGAGTGGACCTCCAGCAAACTCCAACAGACCTGCAGCTGAGGGTCCTGACTGCTACAAGGAAAACTAACCAACAGAAAGGACATCCACACCAAAACCCCATCTGTACATCACCATCATCAAAGACCAAAGGTAGATAAAACCACAAAGATGGGGAAAAAACAGAGCAGAAAAACTGAAAATTCTAAAAATCAGACTGCATATCCTCCTCCAAAGGGATGCAGCTCCTCACCAGCAATGGAACAAAGCTGGATGGAGAATGACTTTGATGAGTTGAGAGAAGAAGGCTTCAGATGATCAAACTTCTCCGAGCTAAAGGCAGAAATTCAAACCCATGGCAAAGAACTTAAAAACCTTGAAAAAAGATTAGATGAATGGCTAACCAGAATAACCAATGCAGAGAGGTCATTAAAGGACCTGATGGAGCTGAAAACCACAGCACAAGAACTACGTGACGAATGCACAAGCTTCAGTAGCTGATTCAATCAAGTCGAAGAAAGGTTATCAGTGATGGAAGATCAAATTAATGAAATAAAGTGAGAAGAGAAGTTTAGAGAAAAAAGAATAAAAAGAAACAAGCAAAGCCTCCAAGAAATATGGGACTATGTGAAAAGACCACATCTACATCTGATTGGTGTACCTGAAAGTGACAGGGAGAATGGAACCAAGTTGGAAAACACTTTTCAGGATATTATCCAGGAGAACTTCCCCAACCTAGCAGGGCAGGCCAACATTCAAATTCAGGAAATACAGAGAATGCCATAAAGATACTTCTTGAGAAGATCAACTCCAAGACACATAATTGTCAGATTCACCAAAGTTGAAATGAAGGGAAAAATGTTAAGGGCAGCCAGAGAGAAAGGTCGGGTTACCCTCAAAGGGAAGCCCATCAGACTAACAGCTGATCTCTCGGCAGAAACTCTACAAGCCAGAAGAGAGTGGGGGCCAATATTCAACATTCTTAAAGAAAAGAATTTTCAACCCAGAATTTCATATCCAGCCAAACTAAGCTTCGTAAGTGAAGGAGAAATAAAATACTTTACAGACAAGCAAAAGCTGAGCGATTTTGTCACCACCAGGCCTGCCCTAAAAGAGCTCCTGAAGGAAGCACTAAACATGGAAAGGAACAACCGGTACCAGCCACTGCAAAAACATGCCAAATTGTAAAGACCATCGAGGCTATGAAGAAACTGCATCAACTAACGAGTAAAACAACCAGCTAACATCATAATGACAGGATCAAATTCACACATAACAATATTAACCTTAAATGTAAATGGGCTAAATGCTCCAATTAAAAGACACAGACTGGCAAATTGGATAAAGAGTCAAGACCCATCAGTGTGCTGTATTCAGGAAACCCATCTCACGTGCAGAGACACACATAGGCTCAAAATAAAGGGATGGAGGAAGATCTACCAAGCAAATGAAAAACAAAAAAAAAAAGCAGGGGTTGCAATCCTAGTCTCTAATAAAGCAGACTTTAAACCAACAAAGATCAAAAGAGACAAAAAAGGCCATTACATAATGGTAAAGGGATCAATTCAACAAGAAAAGCTAACTATCCTAAATATATATGCACCCAATACAGGAGCACCCAGATTCATAAAGCAAGTCCTTAGAGACCTACAAAGAGACTTAGACTCCCACACAATAATAATGGGAGACTTTAACACCCCACTGTCAACATTAGGCAGATCAACAAGACAGAAAGTTAACAAGGATATCCAGGAATTCAACTCAGCTCTGCCCCAAGTGGACCTAATAGATATCTACAGAACTCTCCACCCCAAATCAACAGAAAATACATTCTTCTCAGCACCACACCACACTTATTCCAAAATTGATCACATAGTTGGAAGTAAAGCACTCCTCAGCAGATGTAAAAGAACAGAAATTATAACAAACTGTCTCTCAGACCACAGTGCAATCAAATTAGAACTCAGGATTAAGAAACTCACTCAAAACTGCTCAACTACATGGAAACTGAACAACCTGCTTCTGAATGACAACTGGGTACATAACGAAATGAAGGCAGAAATAAAGATGTTCTTTGAAACCAATGCGAACAAAAACACAACATACCAGAATCTCTGGGACACATTTAAAGCATTGTGTAGAGGGAAATTTATAGCACTAAATGCCCACAAGAGACAGCAGGAAAGATCTAAAACTGACACCCTAACATCACAATTAAAAGAACTAGAGAAGCAAGAGCAATCACATTCAAAAGCTAGCAGAAGGCAAGAAATAACTAAGATCAGAGCAGAACTGAAGGAGATAGGGACACAAAAAATCCTTCAAAAAATCAATGAATCCAGGAGCTGGTTTTTTGAAAAGATCAACAAAATTGATAGACTGCTAGCAAGACTAATAAAGAAGAAAAGAGAGAAGAATCAAACAGATGCAATAAAAAATGATAAAGGGGATATCACCACCGATTCCACATAAATACAAACTACCATCAGAGAATACTACAAACACCTCTATGCAAATAAACTAGAAAATCTAGAAGAAATGGATAAATTCCTCCACACATACACCCTCCCAAGACTAAACCAGGAAGAAGTTGAATCTCTGAATAGGCCAATAACAGGCTCTGAAATTGAGGCAATAATTAATAGCCTACCAACCAAAAAAAGTCTAGGACCAGGTGGATTCACAGCCGAATTCTACCAGAGGTACAAGGAAGAGCTGGTACCATTCCTTCTGAAACTATTCCAATCAATAGAAAAAGAGGCAATCCTCTTTAACTCATTTTATGAGGCCAGCATCATCCTGATACCAAAGCCTGGCAGAGACACAACAAAAAAAGAGAATTTTAGACCAATATCCCTGATGAATATTGATGCAAAAATCCTCAATAACTTACTGGCAAACCGAATCCAGCAGCACATCAAAAAGCTTATCCACCATGATCAAGTGGGCTTCATCCCTGGGATGCAAGGCTGGTTCAACATACATAAATTAATAAATATAATCCAGCATATAAACAGAACCAATGACCAAAACCACATGATTATCTCAATACATGCAGAAAAGGCCTTTGACAAAATTCAACAGCACTTCATCCTAAAAAGTCTCAATAAATTAGGTATTGACAGGACGTATCTCAAAATAATAAGAGCTATCTATGACAAACCTACAGCCAATATCATACTGAATGGGCCAAAACTGGAAGCATTCCCTTTGAAAACTGGCACAAGACAGGGATGCCCTCTCTCACCACTCCTATTCAACATAGTGTTGGAAGTTCTGGCCAGGGCAATCAGGCAGGAGAAGGAAATAAAGGGTATTCAATTAGGAAAAGAGGAAGTCAAATTGTCCCTGTGGGCAGATGACATTATTGTATATCTAGAAAACTCAATCGTCTCAGCCCAAAATCTCCTTAAGCTGATAGGCAACTTCAGCAAAGTCTCAGGTAGAAAATCAATGTGCAAAAATCACAGCAAGCATTCTTATACACCAATAACAGACAAACAGAGAGCCAAATCATGAGTGAACTCCCACTCACAATTGCTACTCAGAGAATAAAATTCCTAGGAATCCAACTTAGCAGGGATGTGAAGGACCTCTTCAAGGAGAACTACAAAGCACTGTTCAATGAAATAAAAGAGGATACAAACAAATGGAAGAACATTCCATGCTCATGGATAGGAAGAGTCAATATCGTGAAAATGGTCATACTGCCCAAGGTAAGTTATAGATTCAATGCCATCCCCATCAAGCTACCAATGACTTTCTTCACAGAATTGGAAAAAACTACTTTAAACTTCATATGGAAGCAAAAAAGAGCCCGCATTGCCAAGTCAATCCTAAGCCAAAAGAACAAAGCTGGAGGCATCATGCTACCTGACTTCAAACTATACTAGAAGGCTACAGTAACCAAAACAGCATGGTACTGGTACCAAAACAGAGATATAAACCAATGGAACAGAACAGAGCCCTCAGAAGTAATGTGGCATATCTACAACTATCTGATCTTTGACAAACCTGAGAAAAACAAGCAATGGGGAAAGGATTCCCTATTTAATAAATGGTGCTGGGAAAACTGGCTAGCTGTATGTAGAAAGCTGAAACTGGATCCCTTACAAAAATTAATTCAAGATGGATTAAAGACTTAAATGTTAGACCTAAAACCATAAAAACTCTAGAAGAAAACCTAGGCAATACCATTCAGGACATAGGCATAGGCAAGGACTTCATGTCTAAAACACCAAAAGCAATGGCAACAAAAGCCAAAATTGACAAATGGGACCTAATTAAACTAAAGAGCTTCTACACAGCAAAAGAAACTACCATCAGAGTGAACAGGCAACCTACAGAATGGGAGAAAATTTTTGCAATCTACCCATCTGACAAAGGGCTAATATCCAGAATCTACAAAGAACTCAAACAAATTTACAAGAAAAAAACAAAAACAACCCCATCAAAAAGTAGGCAAAGGATGTGAACAGACCCTTCTCAAAAGAAGACATTTATGCAGCCAAAAGACACATGAAAAAATGCTCATCATCACTGGCCATCAGAGAAATGCAAATCAAAACCACAATGAGATACCATCTCACACCAGTTAGAATGGTGATCATTAAAAAGTCATGGAACAACAGGTGCTGGACAGGATGTGGAGAAATAGGAACATTTTTACACTGTTGGTGGGACTGTAAACTAGTTCAACCATTGTGGAAGTCAGTGTGGCGATTCCTCAGGGATCTAGAACTAGCAATACCATTTGACCCAGCCATCCCATTACTGGGTATATACCCAAAGGACTATAAATCATGCTGCTATAAAGACACATGCACACGTATGTTTATTGTGGCACTATTCACAATAGCAAAGACTTGGAACCAACCCAAATGTCCATCAATGATAGACTGGATTAAGAAAATGTGGCACATATATACCATGGAATACTATGCAGCCATAAAAAATGATGAGTTCATGTCCTTTGTAGGGACATGGATGAAGCTGGAAACCATCATTCTCAGCAAACTATCACAAGGACAGAAAACCAAACACCGCATGTTCTCACTCATAGGCGGGAATTGAACAATGAGAACACATGGACACAGGAAGGGGAACATCACACACCGGGGCCTGTTGTGGGGTGGGGGGAAGGAGGGGGGGGGAGGGATAGCATTAGGAGATATACCTAATGCTAAATGATGAGTTAATGGGTGCAGCACACCAACATGCCACATGTACACATATGTAACAAACCTGCATGTTGTGCACATGTACCCTAAAACTTAAAGTATAATTAAAAATGTTTTTTTGTTATTCACCAGGAGCCATTCAGGAGCACATTGTTTAATTTCCATGTTGTTGTGTGGTTTTGAGTGAATTTCTTAATCTTCAGTTCTAATTTGATTTTGCTGTGGTCTGAGAGATTGTTTTTCATGATTTCAATTCTTTTACATTTGCAGAGGAATGTTTCACTTCTAATTATGTGGTCAGTTTTAGAGTAAGTGCCATGTGGTGCTGAGAAAAATGCATATTCTGTTGTTTTGGGGTGAAGAGTTCTATAGATATCTTGATCCCCACTTGATATCTGGATATCCCCACAAGATATCTGGATCCACTTGATCCAGACCTGAGTTCAAGTCTTGAATGTCTTTGTTAATTTTCTATCTCAATGATCTGTCTAATATTAACAGTGGGGTGTTAAAATCTCCCACTATTATTGTGTGGGAGTCTAAGTCACTTTGTAGGTCTCTAAGAACTCGTTTTATGAATCTGGGTGCTCCTGTATAGAGTACATATATATTTAGGATAGTTAGGTCTTCTTGTTGAATTGAACCCTTTACCATTATGTAATGCCTTTCTTTGTCTTTTTTGATCTCTGTTGATTTAAAATCTGTTTGGTCAGAAACCAGGATTGCAACTCCTGCTTTTTTCTGTTTTCCATTTGCTTGGTAAATTTCCCTCCATCTCTTTATTTTGAACCTATGTGTGTTTTTGCATGTGAGATGGATTTCTTGAATACAGCACACTGATGGGTCTTGACTCTTTATCCAGCTTGCCATTCTGTGTCTTTTAATTGAGACATTTAGCCAATTTGCATTTAAGGTTAATATTGTTATGTGTGAATTTTATCCTGTCGTTATGATGCTAGTTGCTTATTTTGCAGACTTGTAATGTAGTTGCTTCATAGTGTCATTGGTCTGTGTATTTCAGTGTGTTTTTGTAGTGGCTGGTAACAATTTTTCCTTTCCATATTTAGTGCTTCCCTCAGGAGCTCTTTCAAGGCAGGCCTGATGGTGACAAATTCCCTCAGCATTTGCTTGTCTGAAAAGGATTTCATTTCTCCTTCACTTATGAAGCTTAGTTCATCCAGATATGAAATTCTGAGTTGGAAATTCTTTTCTTAAGAATGGTGAACATTAACCGCCAACTTCTTCTGGCTTGTAGGGTTTCTGCTGTGAGATCTGCTGTTAGTCTGACGGGTTTCCCATTGTAGGTGACCTGGCCCTTCTCTCTTAACATTTTTTCCTTCATTTCAACCTTGGAGAATCTGATGATTATGTGTCTTCAGGTTGATCTTCTCATGGAGTATCTTAGTGGGGTTCTCTGGATTTCCTGAATTTCAATTTTAGCCTGTCTTGCTAGGTTGGGGAAGTTCTCATGGATGATATCCTGAAGTATGTTTTCCAACTTGGTTCTGTTCTCCCTGTCTCTTTCAGGTATCCCAATCAGTCATAGGTTTGGTCTTTTCACATAGTTCTCAGAGGTTTTGTTTGTTCCTTTTTATTTTTATTTTTTTTCTAATCTTGTCTGTCTGTTTTATTTCAGAAAGATAGTCTTCAAGCTCTGAGATTATTTCCTCCACCTGGTCTATTTGGGTATTGACACTTGTGGTTTCATTGTGAAGTTCTTGTGTTGTGATTTTCAGCTCCATCAGGTCATTTATGTTCCTCTCTAAACTGGTTATTCTGGTTAACAGCTTGTATTAGTTCATTTTCACATTGCTGATAAAGATATACCCAAGACTGGGAAGAAAAAGAGGTTTAATTGGACTTACAGTTCCACATGGCTGGGGAAACCTAAGAATCATGGTGGATGGTGAAAGGTACTTCTTGCATGGTGGTGGTAAGGGAAAAATGAGGAAGATGGAAAAGTGGAAACCCCTAATAAAACCATCAGATCTTGTGAGACTTATTCACTACCATGAGAACAGTATGGGGGAAACCACTCCCATGATTCAAGTTATCTCCCACCAGGTCCCTCCTACAACATGTGGGAATTATGGGAATACAATTCAAGAGATTTGGTTGGGGACACAGAGACAAACCATATCACAGCTCCTGTAATGTTTTATCATGGTTCTTAGCTTCTTTGCATTGGGTTAGAACATACTCCTTTAGCTCAGTGAAGTTTGTTATTGTCACCTTCTGAAGCCTACTTCTGTCAGTTCATCCATCTCAGCCTCAGCCCAGTTCTGTGCCCTTGCTTGAGAGATGTTGCGATCATTTGGAGGAAAAAAGGCACTCTGACTTTTTGAGTTTTCAGCATTTTTGTATTGATTCTTTTTCATCTTCATGAGCTTATCTACCTTCAATCTTTGAGGCTGCTGACCTTGGATGGGGTTTTTGTGGGGTCTGTTTGCTGATTTTGTTGTTGCTTTCTGTTTGTTTTTCTTTTAACAGTCAGGCCCCTCTTCTGTAGGGTTGTTGCAATTTGCAGGGGGCCTACTCCAGACCCTATTTGCCTGGGTCCATCCCACACCTGGAGGTGTCACCAGTGATCCTGCAGAACAGCAAAGATGGCTGCCTGTTCCTTTCTCTGGGAGCTCCATTCCAGAGGGGCACCAACCTGATATCAGTGGGAATGCTCCTGTATAAAGTGTCTGGCGACCCTGTTGGGGGGTCTCACCAAGTCAGGAGGCATGGGATTAGGGACCCACTTAATGAAGCACTCTGGCTGCCCCTTCGTGGAGCAGGTGCACTGCACTGTGGGGAACCTCCATCTTCTGGACTGCCCATACTCTTCAGAGCCAGCAGGCAGGAAAGACTAAGTCCTCTGAACCATGACCACCCCTCCCCCGCAGGGCCTCCGTCTCATGGAGATCAGAGTTCTGTCCATAAACCCCTAGCTGGAGTTGCTGAAATTCTCCCAGGGATGTCCTGCCCAGTAAGGAGTAATTATTCTGGGTCCCACTTAAAGAAGCAGTCTGGCCATGATCTGCCACAGTTGCTGTGCTGTGTTGTGGGGAATTCCTCCCAATCTAAACCACCCAGTCTCCCCAGCACCAGCAGGGGAAAATGGCAGACTGGAGCTGCAGTGACGGCAGCCGCCCCTCCCCCTGGGTAAATTGGTGGTCTTAGGCAGTATCCAGTCTGCTGCCACTGGCCACAACCCAAGTGGTTGCCAAGCATCTGCACAGCTCTGTGCTTGGGACCCAAGGCCCTGGTGGCATGGTCTCATGGGGAGATCTGATCCTTGGGTTGCACAGATCCATGGTAAAAACGTGGTTTCTTTGGCAAGGTAGCGCAATCACTCACTGTCTCCCTTGGCTGAGGGTGGGAGCTCCCCTTGCCCCATGTGGCTCCCAGGTGGGCCGTTGCTCCATTCTGCTTTTCCTTGCTCTCTGCCGGTCATGCCAACTGTCTAGTCAGTCCCAATAAGAGAACTTGGATACCTCAGGTGAAGGTGCAGGATTCACTCACCATTTTTATTCTTCTCAGTAGGAGCCACCAATGGTAACTGCTTCTAGTCAGCCATCTTGGCCCCTCTCAATATTGATGCTTTCTATCCGTGAGCATGGAATGTTTTTCCATTTGTTTCTGTCATCTCTGATTTTTTTTGAGCTGTGGTTTATAGTTCTCCTTGTAGAGATCTTTCACATCCCTAGTTAGTTGTATTCCTAGGTATTTTGTGTGTGTGTGTGTGACAATTGTGAATAGGCGTTTGTTCCTGATTTGGCTCTTGGCTTGACTATTGTTAGTGTATTGGAATGCTAGTGATTTTTGCACATTGATTTTCTATCCTGAGACTTTGCTGAAGTTGTTTATAAGCTTAAGAAGCCTTTGAGATGAGACTCTGAGGTTTCCTATATATAGGATCATGTTGTCAGCAAACAGGGATGGTTTGACTTCCTCTCTTCCTATTTGGATGCCCTTTCTTTCTTTCTCTTACCTGATTTTCCTCCCCAGGACTTCCAATACTATGTTGAATAGAAGTGATGAGAGAGGGCATTCTTGTCTTGTGCCAGTTTTCAAGGAGAATACTTCTAGCTTTTACCCATTTAGTATAATATTGGCTGTGGGTTTGTCATAGATGGCTTTTATTATTTTGAGGTATGTTCCTTCAATACCTGGTTAATTGGGAGGTTTTTTTTTTAACATGAAGGGTTGTTTAATTTTATGAAAAGCCTTAATGCATCTATTGAGATAATTATTTGGTTTTTGTCTTTAGTTCTGTTTCTGTGATGAATCACACTTATTGATTTGTGTATGTCAAATCAACCTTGCATCCCAGGGATGAAGCTGACTTGATCATGGTGAACAAGTTTTTGATTTGCCTCTGGATTCAGTTTGCCAGTATTTTGTTGAGAATTTTTGCATCAATGATCATCAAGGATATTGGCCTGAAGTTTTCTTTTTTTTTTTTATTGTATCTCTGCCAGGCTTTGGTATCAGGATAATGCTGGCCTCATAGAATGAGTTGGGAGGAGTCCCTCCTCCTCAATTATTTGGAATTGTTTCAGTAGGAATGGTACCAGCTCTTCTTTGTACATCTGGTAGAATTCAACTGTGAATCCATCTAGCCCTGGGCTTTTTTTGGTTAGTAGGCTATTTATTACTGCCTCAACTTCAGAGCTCATTACTAAAGTGTACAGGGATTCCATTTCTTCCTGTTTCAGTCTTGGGAGGGTGTATGTGTCCAGGAATTTATCCATTTGCTTCTAGATTTTCTAGTTTATGTGCATAGAGATGTTAATAATATTCTCTGGTGGTTGTTTGTATTTCTGTGGTGTCAGTGGTAAAATCCCCCTTGTCATTTCTGATTGTGTTTTTTTGAATCTTTTCGCTTTTCTTCTTTATTGGTCTTGTTAGCTGTCTATCTATTTTATTAATCTTTTCAGAAATTTAGCTCCTGGATTCCTTGATCTGTTGAATGGCTTTTTGTGTCTCAGTCTCCAATTCACCTCTGATTTTGGTTCTTTCTTGTCTTCTACTAGCTTTGGGTTTTGTTTGTTCTTGGTTCTGTAGTTCTTTTGGTTGTGATGTTAGGCTGTTGTCTTGATATCTTTATAACTTTTTGATGTGAGCATTTAGTACTATAAATTTCTCTCTTAACGCTCCCTTAGCTGTGTCCCAGAGATTCTGGTATGTTGTATCTTTGTTTTCATTACTTACAAAGAACTTCTTAATTTATGCCTTAATTTCATTATTTACCCAAAAGTCATTCAGGACCACGTTGTCCAATTTCCATGTAATTGTATGGTTTGGAGTGAATTTCTTAGTCTTGATTTCTAATTTGATTGTGCTTTGATCCAAGAGACTGTTTTTCATGATTTCAGTTCTTTTGCAGTTGCTGAGGAGTGTTTTACTTCCACTTATGTTATCAGTTTTAGAGTATGTGCCATGTGGTGCTGAGAAGAATGTATATTCTGTTGTTTTGGGGTGGAGAGTTCTGTAGATTTCCATCAGGTGCATTTGATCCAGTGCTGAGTTCAGGTCCTGAATATCTTTGTTAATTTTCCATCTTGATTTTCTTTCTAATATTGTCAATGGGGTGTTAAAGTCTCCCACTATTACTGTGTGGGAGTTTAAGTCTGTTTGAAGACCTCTCAGAACTTGCTTTATGAATCTGGGTGCTCCTGTGTTAGGTGCATATATATTAGTTTATAAGATAGTTAGCTCTTCTGGTTGAATTGAACCCTTTACTATTATGTAATGCCCTCCTTTGTCTTTTTTTTTTTTTTAATCTCTTTTGGTTTAAAGTCTGTTTTGTCAGAAACTAGGATTGCAACCCCTGCTTTTTTCTGTTTTCCATTTGCTTGGTAAAATTTCCTCCATCCCTTTATTTTGAGCCTATATGTGTCTTTGCACATGAGATGGGTCTCCTAATGACAGCATACCAATGAGTCTCAGCTCTTTATCCTGCTTGCCACTCTTTGTCTTTTAATTGGGGCATTCAGCCCATTTACATTTAAGGTTAGTATTGATATAGGTGGATTTGATCCTGTTATCATGATGCTAGCTGGTTATTTTGCAGACTTGTTTGTGTGGTTGCTTTATAGTGTCACTGGTCTGTACACGTCAGTGTGTTTTTTTAGTGGCTGGTAATGATCTTTCCTTTCCATATTTAGTGCTTCCTTCAGGAGCTCTTATAAAGCAGGTTTGGTGTTGACAAATTTCCTCATTCCCTCACCATTTGCTTGTCTGAAAAATATCTTATTTCTCCTTTGCTTAGAAGCTTAGTTTGGCCAGATATGAAATTGTGTGTTGGAATTTATTTTCTTTAAGAATGTTGAATATTGGCCCCAAATCTCTTCAGGCATGTAGGGTTTCTGCTGAGAGGTCTTCTGTTAGTCTGATGGGTTTCCCATAGTAGGTGACCTGACCTTTCTCTCTGGCTGCCTTTAACATTTTTTCTTTCATTTCGACCTTGGAGAATATGACGATTATATGTATTGGAGATGATTTTTTTGTGAAGTATGTTACTGGGGTTCTCTGGATTTCCTGAATTTGATTGTTGGCCTGTCTTGCTAAGTTGGGAAAGTTCTCATGGGTGATATTCTCAACTATGTTTTTCAAGTTGGTTCCATTCTTCTCATCTCTTTCAGGGACACCAATCATTCACATTAGTTTGGTGCAAACATAAGTGTGGTTTTTGCCATTACTTTTAAGTGGCTATTTTGTCTGTCAGTTTCTGTGATGTTTTATCATGAATTTTAGTTTCTTTCCCTTGGGTTACAATGTACTTCTGTAGCTCAGTGAACTTCTTACCTATCCATATTCTAAATTCTACTTCCCTCATTTTAGCCATCTCAGCCTTAGCCCGGTTCCAAACCCTTGCTGGAGAGGTGATGCCATAATTTGGAAGAAACCACTCTGGCTTTTTGAATTTTCAGTGTTCTTGTGCTGATTCTTTCTCATCTTTGTGGCCTTATTTACCATCAATCTTTAAGGCTACTGACCTTTGGATGGATTTTTTTTTCTTTCATCTTATTTGATGACTGAGGGTTTGATTGTGGTATAAGGTGGATTCAGCCAACTGGCTTTGTTTCTGGGAGATATTAGGGGGCCAATGCTCAGCTCCCAACTTCTGGACTGTGTGCTCTAACTCTGGAGGACTTGTATTGAGTCCCAACTTTGTTCTCTGGACCCTCAAGGTTTGGAGTCCATTGTGATGCAGGGGGCCAAGGTGTGGCAGCTGCAGCAGAGTGCCAGCAGATTCAGGGGTGCTTGCCCCCTTGCCAACGTTCATCACAGTGGTGAAGGCAAGGCAACTGGGAGGGGGAATGGGGGGGCCACTGCTGGAGACTGTGTGCACAGTTGCACTGGAGGTGGTGTTGGCTTGGGGAGGGGTGCTGCCCAGTGCAGGTCTGGGTGCCTTCTCTGTGCCCCGCAAGCAGGAGTGATCACTCAGGGTGAGAGGATCCCCTGTTCACTTCACAGTGTTAACACAAGGGCAAGGTGCTAGTGGGGGCAGGGCTTGCTGGCTCTGTGCCCACCAAGGCTCTGTCTGCAATGGCAGTTGGCAGGGGTAGGGAGCAGGCTGCATTCCCACATGCTGGCAGGGCAAGTAGAGCAAAACCTGCTCGTGCAGACATGTTCCAGCAAAGTGATATGGGGAGTTGCCATGGGCTAAGGGGAAGCTTCAGTATCTGGAGGGAGCATGCAGGCTGGTGTGTGGCTGTAGGGGCTGCCTTGCTGGAGTTCTCCACTGTTCAGGCATGGTCCATTGGTGCTGAAGCTATGGTGTGGGTCCCCAGGGCACCCAAGACTGCCCTGTAAGCTGGTGTGGCCAGGCTGGGGCCCTGGGAGAGACCAGCAGACCAAGGGGTGCTCACTTTGGATCAACACCATCAGACGTGCAAGACTGCCCTGCAGAGATCAGGTTCAACAGTTCCCCTAGGGCAAAAGTCTCTTATGGGAACAAGTTGAGCCCAAGGGGATGGCTGTCCCTGGCTGTGCTCCTGCACCAACCCCTCTGTGCTCCACAGCCACTGTCTTGCTGCCCCACCATTTCTCTAGGCAGCTCTCCCTGCCACCTCAAGTGTCCATGGCAGTTGAGGGATCCTCTCATGATGGGGTTCCAGAAACCTGTGGTGAGAGCGGGTTGCTCCATACAGTTCAACTCACTCATTCTCCTGGAGCAGCTGTGGTTCAAAAATGAGTCCCAGTGTGTAGTAACCCATGCATGGTTCCCAGCTTTCTCCTTCTTCAGCCCAGCTTCTGTGTTTTCCCTCCATCCACTCTTGGCACCTTTCCCTCTGAAGATCTATTAAAAGTATGCCAGTCATCTCAGTCCCTCCGTGGGAGCTATTCCACTTGTCTGTGTCTAGTCAGCTATCTTGCCCTCACATGGTATATCTTTTTCCATCTTTTTACTTCCAACCTTTCTGTATCTTTGAATATAAAATGTGTCTCTTGTAGACAGAATAGTTATGTTTTTAAAAAATTATGGACTGCCAATCTGCCTTTTGATTGGAGAGCTTACACAATTCACATTTAATGTTATTATTGATATGATTTTATTTATATCTGCCATTTTGCTATTTGTTTTGTACCTGTGTCATGTCTTTTTGGGTTCCTCTTTACCCCCCTTTAATGCCTTATTTTTTTTTTTTTGTTAAACCAATATTTTCTAGCACAGTATTTTAATTTCTTTTTTGGTTCTTGACTATATTTTTTGAGGTATTTTCTTAAGGGTTGCTCTGAGGGTTACTATATAGATCTTAATTTGTCACTCTTTCTTTCAATTAATGCTAATCCAAATAAAATATAAAAACTTTTTTCCAATAGAGATTCATTTACTCCTCCTACCCTCTGCTTTTGTTGGAATATATATTATACTTTTATATGCTTTGCTAAAATAATTAAATTGAAAGCCATTAGAGGGAGGTGGCTTTAATGTCCTCCATTCCTACATAAAGAAACTGAAACCTAACTAAGAATTTTAAAGAAAACCAAACGTAAGCTCAAGCAATCACAGATGCCGATTTGGTATTAGTTATATTGTCTTGAACTTTCCCATAGGGATTATCTAAATAAGGCAATTATTCAAAATTTAATTAATCAAATAACTTCTTTGCTCTGCTTCCACATTCACCCTATAAAAGCCTTCCCTCTCTTCCCTTTAAACAGAATCTTGAACCACTTCTGGTTTGGAGCAGACCGATTCATTAATTGCTGTCTGCTCAAATAAATTCTTTCAAATTTTAACGTTCCAAAGTTTGTCAACAGTTCTAAGCCTAAAAATAGTTTTATAATATTGCTTTGAATTATGCTTTGAATTAGTTAAGAGAAGGAAGTCACACTTTTCTGGGTTTTTTTTCCATGTCTCATAATTTTTTGTTGAAAAATGTATTTTTGAAAATAGTATATTCTAGCAAATCTGAATTCTGGTTCCTTTCCTCCACACCCAGGAGTAGATGTTGATCGTTGTTAATTGTTTAGCCTCTTGCAAGGACTATTTCTGTGGAGAATGTTTTTCCCTCAGTGTGTAGCTGTTGATTTCTCTGTGAAGTTGTTTTCTTAATTTTATTTTGTTTTTAATTTTTAAGCCTAACCTCCTAGGAGTCATTCTTGGGTCAGCAGTGCAGCACAGCTTAGTGATCAGCCAAATATTGCTCAGAGGTTGTGCTTAAACACATTAGGAAGTAAGATGTCTACCCTTTGCTGATGGATTTGTGTGCTGCTTGGGGAAAGGATTCAACATTCAGACATCTTACAGGTCTATTACAGCCTTTGCCTTTCTGCACTTACACAGCATCACAGTTATCCAGGAATAAGTAACTCACTAAGGCTCTCTCCAGTCCCTCCTGAGCATGAACACTGTGCTGTGCACACACACTCAGTCTCCCAGACCCCCAGGGATATTTGACAACTTATCAAGGCCCACTATGGCTATCTTATTCTCACCATCAAATTTCTTGCTGTTATGCTGTTCTATTGTTTGTCCCAACTAGTACCATGATCTCAGGCTAGCTGTGGTGTTAGCCCCTCCCAATTATTTGCCACTGAGATCACTGTTGTTTTCCAAAATACCCCTCAGCATGGTTTTTCTGTGCTCCAATACAAATCAAGCACAGCTCCCTCACGGAGCTGAGAAGAAATAGGAGCAGCACCAGACTAAAATGCCACAGAATCACACTGTTGCTGCCTAAATGCTTCTCAATTTGATGTTTGACTTTAGTCAATTTCCAGAGTCCTGATATGGTTGTTTTTGTTAATTTTATCCAGTTTTATTATTGCTTTTGATGGAGAGGACTTACTGAGCTCTTCACTCCACCATTCTGGAAGTCCTGTCCCCTGGTCGATGCAATTTTATCTCTGATTAGGACATTGATGTGTTGAGCATCCTAATGCTCTTGTGCTTCTTCTAGTTTCTGAAAATTACCTCTTATTTGTGGATTGTTACCTTAGGCTTAGAGTGAATTTGGCAGACTTATATAATGTCAGTATGAACTTCATTGTTTTGTTAATTAATTGTGTCACACTCATTCTGGTTATTAACCCCTAATTATTGTGGCACCATTTTGAGGAAGGGAGTAATTTTAGGGATTGGCTCACTTTTTACCTAAACCCTAGTTGATGTAACAATAATATAGCATTTGACAATTAGCTAGGTCAGATATGGACCAGATGCACAAGAAATCTGCGAATTTTTGTTTCTGATGTCTTTCCGCTTGGAAACCTCTTCTCTTCCCACAAACCTTTAAACTCAGCTGAAGAGAAAATGCCATTTCCAAGAAGGTATCTTGGATGTTTATTGTTCAGAATTAAGCCCTCCTCACCTTATATTACCAAAAGAGTTTGCTGATCGACTATTTGAGGGGATTGCTTTCTTCTCTTCTCCCTGGATTCTCTTTCCCAATTTACTCTTCATGGGAGAGAAGTTGTTTAATATGATTGATAAGCTTGGGGCAAATAAACTGGGCAACCTCAGCTCAGCTCTGCCGTTTTTCTCCTTGAGGGCAATCCTACTTTTGGGTAGCAGAAGATCTCTGGAACTCAGTAGCATAGTTTTGACCCAATTTTGCCTGTGACAGAGTGAGTTAATCTGCCTAATTAGTTGGCTATACCCTCCTATTTAGCCTTTATTAGTGATAAAAGTTCGTAATTTGGCCTCTCAATCATTCTTTTACATTTTTTTTCTCAAATTACTCAAAATCTCTTGAGGGTGTGGAAAGAAAGAGAGACTATTTATTTGACCCTCTTGTAGAGCACAGCAAAGATTTTAATATCTCATAATTCAGGTGGCTTTTTACCATGAATATAGTAGTTATTATTGAAGCACACTTTCCTCTAGAACATTGCTACACAAACAGTGGTACAGGGGCCAGGTACATTAGTATCATATGTGATCTTCTTAAAAATGGAAAATATTGGTCCTGACCCCAGATTTAAAAAGTTACAGCCTTCATTTTAACAAGATCTCCACTGCAGATTTAGGTGCACATGAACATTTGAGAAGCACTGCCCTAGGTGTCTTACCCCTAGAGAACAGGTGCATACACTGGTCATTCTCTGATTTCTCTCAGTGCTTAATACACTTCTTGTGCCATAAGGTTCTAATGATTTGTTAACTAAATTTCTTAAAACAAATTCTAAAAACTGAAAATGCACTCATACTTTATTTTTAATTTTTTCTTGAGATAAAATTTACATTACATAAAATTCACAATTTTAACCATTTTAAAGTGTACAATTCAGTGGGATTTAGTATATTTACAATACTGTAAAACTAACATCACTATTTAATCTATTTAATTCCAGAAGATTTCCTTCATCCTAAAAAGAAATTCTATACCTTCCAGTATCCCTTCCCCCCACCTCTTGGTAAGAACTACCTTGCTTTCTGTCTCTGTGGATTTGCCTCTTCTGTACGTTTCATATGAATGGAATGATACATTGATACATTATGTGGCCTTCCTTTTGTGGCTTCTTTCACTTAGCAAAATGTTTTCAAGGTTCATCTATAAAACTTTATTCCTTTTTATGGCTAAATAATATTCCATTGCATAAATATACCACATTTTATTTATCCATTCATCAGTTGGCAGGCATTTGGGTTGTTTTTACTTTTCGGCTATTATGAATATTGATATTCATACGAAGATTTGTGTACAAATTTTTATGAGAACATGGTTTTTAATTTTGGAGGAGTATATTCGCAGGAGTGGAACTACTAGGTCCTATAGTAACTATATATTTAACTTTGAGGAACTGCAAAACTATTTTCAATAGCAGCTGCACCATTTTACATTCCCACTAGCAATGTACAGGAACTAAAATTGTTTATACCCTTGCCAACTCTTGTTATTTTTCATTTTAAAAAAATTATACCCATTCTAGTGAGCATGAAGTGCTACCTCATTATTGGTTTTATTTTTAGTAGAGATGGAGTATCACTATGTTACCCAGGCTGGTCTCCAACTCCTGGGCTCAAGTAACCCTCCTGCCTTGGCCTCCCAAAGCACTGGAATTATAGGGGTGAGCCACCACACCTGGCCCATTGTAGTTTTGCTTTGCATTTCCCTAATGACTAATGATGCTGAGCATATCTCCAGGTTCTTACTGGCCATACCTTCTTTGGAGAAATGTTTATTAAAAAGCATTGCCCATTCTTAACTGTTACTCGTCTATCGTTGAGTTGTAGGAGGTCTTTATATATTCGGAATACTAGACGTTTAGCAGACATATGATTTGCAAATATTCTCTCCCATTGTGTGGGCTGTCTTTTCACTCAATTAATAGTTTCTTTTGATACACAACTTTTAAATTTTTGATGAAATAAAAATTATCCATTTTTTTATTTTGATATATATGGTTTTGGTGTCATATTTAGGTAACCACTGCTTAGTCCAAGTTCACAAAGATATACATCTATGTTTCCTTCTCAGAATTTGGTAGTTTTAGTGCTACATTTAGGTCCCTGATTCTTTTTGGGTTAATTTTTGTATATGGTGTAATATAGGGGTTCAGCTTCATTATTTTGCACCTGGATATCCAGTTGTCCTAGCACCATTTGTTGAAAAAACTATTCTTTCCCTATTAAATGGTCTTGACACCATTGCAGAAATAAGTTGACTGTAGATGGACGGACTCATTTCTGGATTCTCACTTCTATTGCATTGAGATTACATAGATAGATAGGTAGATAGACAGACAGATGATAGATAGATAGATAGATAGATAGATAGATAGATAGATAGATGATAGATAGATAGATAAATAGACAGGTAGACATAGAGATATCTTATGCCAATACCACACTGTTTGAATACCATTGTTTTGAAATTGAAAAGTGTGAATGCTCTGACTTTGTCCTTCTTTTTAAAGAGTTTTGGCCATTTTTGGTCCCTTGCAATTCCAAATGAGTTTTAATATCAGCTTGTCATATAAGATCATGTCATCTGCAAATAGGGATAGTTTTATTTCTTCCTTTCCTGTGTGGATGCATTTTGTTTCTTTTTTCTTTTCTTTTTCCCCCTAATTCCCTGGGTAAAATTTCAAATGCAAAGTTGAAAGGAAGTGACAACAATGGACATCCTTGCCTTTTTCCTGATTTTAGAAGAAAAGCTTTCAGACTTTCAACATTAAGTATGATGTTAGGTGTGGGTTTCTTATAGAAACCCTTTATTAAATTGAGAATGTCTTCCTTATTCCCAGTTTGCTAAGTGTTTTTATCATGAAAGCATATTGGATTTTGTCAAATGCTTTCTCTTTGTCTATTGAAGTGATCACATGTATTGTTTCTTTCATTTTATTAATATGGTGTATTACATTGATTAATTTTTAAATGTTGAACTACCCTTGCATTCCTGGGATAAATTTCACTTGGTAATGGCGTATAATCCTTCCAATGTTCTGCTGTAGTCGGTTTATTAGTACTTTGTTGAAGATTTTTGCATGTATATACATTAGGGATATTAGGCTGTAGTGTTTTTCTTAAAAAAAAGCTACATGTTTTCGGCATTGTATTGAAGTAGTATTAGCCTCATGATATGAGTTAAAAATCATTCCTTCCTCTTCGTTTTTTTTTTTTTTTTTTTTGGAAGAGTGAGAAGGATTAGTCTTAACCCTCCTTTTAATATTTGGTAAAATTCACCAGTGAAGCCATTTTGCTCCTGAACTTTTCTTTTGGGAAGTTTTACGATTATTAATCCAACTTCCTTATTTGTTATATGTCTATTCAGATTTTCTATTTCTTCTGAGTCAGTTTCAGTAGTTTGTGCCTTTCTAGGAATTTGTCTGTATTATCTAAGTTATGTAACTTTTTGCCATACAGTTGTTCATAGCATCCTCTTATAATTATTTTCACCTCTGTAAGGTCAGTAAAAATGTCCTTAATTTCATTCCTGACTTCTTGCTACTTTCAAAATTATCTTTGTCTTTTTCTTTCAATAGTTTGATTATGATTTGTCTAGGGGTAAATCTCTTTGAGTTTATCCTGTTGGGTTTTGTTAAATTTCTTGGGTGTGTAGATTAATGTGTTTCAACAAATTTGGGGAGTTTTGAGCCATTATTTATTTAAATATTCTTCTGCCTTTTTTCTCTTCCCTCTCCTTCTAGGACTCCTCTTATGTGTATGTTGGTATATATGATGATGTCTCACAGATCTCTCATGCTGTATTCATTTTTTTCTTTATTCTCTTTCTGCTCCTCAGATTGGATAATCTTAATTGATTTATCTTCAAATTAACTGATATTTTCTTCTGCCTGCCCAATCTTCAGTTGATGAATTTTTCATTTTAGTTATTGTACATTTCAACTCTTAAATTTCTATTTGGTATCTTTTAATAATTTCTATCCCCTTATTTCTAGTCTCTATTTTATGAGATGTTTTCGTGCTTTTCTTTTTCTAAGCAGGATTTCCTGTAGCTCTTTGAACATATTTAAAATAGCTACTTTAAAGTCTTTGTCTTACAAGTCTAATGTCTGGGCTTTCTTAGGAGCCAGTTATATTAATTGCTATTTTTTCTGTGTATGGGCCATATTTTCCTGTTTCTTTTCGTGCCCCCAAATTTTTGTTGCAAATTTGACAAGTTGGATATTACAGCATGGAAACTCTGGAAATCAGATTCTTCCCCTCTTCGGAGTTTGCTTTTTCTGCTTGTTGTAGTTGTTGTTTATATTTTAGTGATTTTTTAAAACTAGTTTTAAAAAATTAAGCTAATTTACAAAACTAGTTTTAAAAAATCACTAAAATTAATTCTGTATTATTTGTCATGTGTGCCCCCTGAAGTCTCTGTTCCATTAGCTTAGTCATCAGCTAAAGATTTAACAAAGATTTCTATAAATATCCTGAACAAAAAAATTTCCCAATCTTTGCAGAAGTGTCTGTTTTGATGCATGACTTCAATATTCAGCCTGGCAATTTACAACTCAGCTATAGCTTTCACTTTCTGATTGCACAGAGCCTGAGGATCAGCCAGAGGTGAGAGCTTATGGCTTTTTCAAGTCTTTCCTGAGCATGCAGACAGCCCTGTGCATGTCCATGGCCTTCTAGATTTTTGGAATATGTTGGAGCTTTTCAAAACTTTTGTTCCCCGAAATATCTCATTCCCAGCCTTTCTGATCAATCATTTTGCTTAGTATATTGTTTTCCCTGTTTTCCATTGCCTCATGTGACAGGGGAAAAAATATTTGCCTGTAAATGTTTTTGAGCAACGGTTTCCAAGTAGTGGCTTTAGTCCTGGGTGACTTCTGACTTAGGTAAGATAAAACAAATCTTTTGAGCCAACCTTCCAAGGAACCACCAGGCAGACCAAGGACGATCTTTGCAAAAGAGGTCTATTCTGCTTCTTCAGTGCTGGAACTGGCAATGCAGGCTTCTATTGTCAAGGCTACTGCTGAGCTGAGGAAAAAAGGATAGAACTAGTGTAAGTTAAAACACCACAAAGCTCACTATAATTATAAAGATTCAGCAGTTTTTCTTGAATAAATGCTCCGTGGGTTGTTGCAAGCTTTTGTTAGTTTTCAGCATTCCAAAAATATTGATTCTGACAGGTTTTTTTCCCCATTTTTTAGTTGATTTTAATGAGGGATAGACTTTTAGAGTTGCTTACCCTGCCTCTTGTGCTGACGTCATTCCTCTGCACACATACTTTTAATCAGAATGAGTCAGGTACATAAAGGAGCAAATGCATTATAGGTCAACAGGTTGCTTTCCAAATTGTCTCTTCAAATTCTCTTTCTTTATGAGAAAATATTTTGCTGAGACTTGCTTCTTAAGAAAATGACCTGTGATTTATATCGTGATTCAAATTTTATGTTGCAAATCTTCATATGAGCAAACGCATCTCTGAAGAGATCCAGTGAGAGAGTTGCTCAATCATCAAGATGAAACGAGAGCGCCAGGCCAGGATGAAAATAAACTAGTGATGAACAAGAAGAAAGATAGATGGTGAGTGCTTATCCAAGTTACAGGTTTGAGCAATGTAATGGGTAGCGACAGCCCAGGTAAATCAAACTTGGGCAACCTTATCTAACAGTTTTTGCCACCTCAATATGGACATAGATCAATAAATTCAAATTAAGAACCTATGTTTACCTCATGGAAAAGTGAAATCATTTCTATGTTACTCCAAAATACAGAAGATCAAAACAAAAATCAGATGCTTCCTTCCTACAGAGCTAGACAGCGTAGACTGTAGTAGGACCACATTGTGTTTGGGTATGCAATAAGAAATCTATTTAATGATTTTACTGACTCTTATTCTCAAATTAATGCCCTGTTTATTACTGGTAATCTACTTAGGAGGCCATAGCATATTTAAACAGTGTTTCTTGAGCAAAGAAAAAAAAATACATTGTGATATATTCAATACCTTTCATGTACTAACAGATCATAAGATGCAAGTTAAATAAACTAACCATTAAGAGGACACAGAAAAGTCAATCAAATAATTTGCTCATTAGATGATCTTTGAGAGAAATTGTCTACCATATTTATAAGTTGTTAAATAAATTTATTTATTTATTTATTTATTTATTTATTTATTTTTGAGATGGAATTTAGCTCTTGTTGCCTTGGCTGGAGTGCAATGGCGCGATGTTGGGTCACCACAACCTCCACCTCCTGGATTCAAGCGATTCTCCTGCCTCAGCCTCCCCAGTAGCTGGGATTACAGGCATGCATCACCAGGCCTGGCTAATTTTGTATTTTTAGTAGAGACGGGGTTTCTGCATGTTGGTCGGGCTGGTCGTGAACTCCCAACCTCAGTTGATCCGTCCGCCTCAGCCTCCCAAAGTGCTGGAATTACAGGCGTGAGCCACCGCACCTGGCCAATCCATTTATTTTAGTTGCAAGAAGTCTTTGCAATAACCAAGGCCAATGTTTTCACTTAAAAATTATTTATTAATATTATTATCAATTATTCTAAACATAAAATATGAAAAGAAAATAATATAATAAACTTCATACATCACCATCCAGCTTTACAAAATATGAACATCGAATACATATTTAATTACATCTAATGATTTTCATGGGTAGTACTTTCATTGTTATTTATTTCTAGATATTATATAATTCTCAAAATGATCCATAAATCATTCAGATGTACATGTGAAGTTTTCAAATGTGTATATTGTTTATATATGTATCTGTTTGTATTTACTCTCTTTTTATTGTTAATTAGTAAATTGTAATAAGCAAAAATTATCTATATGATATTGGCTCTTTGAAATCTGAAACTACTTTGTAACCTAGTATGAGGTAAATCTTCATAAATGCTTTATGTGAACTTGAAAAGAAAGTATATTCTCTACCTATTCTGTATATACCCATTAGATATAGATTATTAGTTTTTCTGCTCAAACTTTAAAAATTCTTACTAACATTTGTGTCTCCTTGTCTAATAGAGGTATATTAAAGTTCCCCCATGATTGTAGATTTCTCAACTTCTCTTATAATCCTGGCTTTAAAAATGTTATATATTTTAAGGATATGGTATCAGGTGGCTACAAGTTCTCAACTGTTATATTTTTGTTTCTTTTAATGTGTGTCAATGTGATGTGTAGTACGTTGGTCACGATAGACTATGTACTTCTATAGTGACAAATAATCCCAAAATCAATAATGTAAAACAGTTTTAAAAAGTATTTTGCTCACACTACACTGCATGTTCAACATGAGTTGACCCCATTGAGGTTTTATCTCGATATCTCACCTGTTTCCATGATCACCACAGCAGTGAAGAGAATATGGCAACTTATGCAATGCCTCTTAAAGCTTCCACCTGGACATAACACACATCCCTTCTACTTACATTTCATTTATCAAGGCAAATCACATGGCCACATCTATTGTTAAGAGGGTAGGGAAATGCAATTTTACCACGTGCTTGAAAGGGGAGAGAACTAAAATGATTTGGTAAACTGTATTAATGACTGCAATATGTAATGCCCCCACTTAATTCCTACAGAAACCAAAAGCAGTAGCTGATGAATAGGCAAAAATAAAAAGGATAAAAAGGCATAATGTGGCCCCTTTTCCATTACGTGTTTCTGAGCCTGAGGGAGGCCTGAGCTGTGGGAATGGGAAAATGCTTTGAATTCATTAGAGAGTGACGTTTTCACTCAAATTGACTTTTTAATACCTAGAAATCTGACTTTCCCCATGTCAGAGAAAAAAATTTAAAAATTATTGGATCTGTGCTAGAAATGTCATCTAGTTAGGAGAGAAGAGCTAGAATAGTTCTGAACATCAATGGTAGAGAATAGATTTGCTCCCCATTAACACATCCAGTCAGATGTGTTAACACATTTCTGACTATGCGTCTGACTAATTAAGTCAGTTTTTCATTATTTCTATTCTGCCCCAGTCTAGAATTTAAGCACTGTTTATTGAACACCATCCCAATCTGATTACCGCATTGAATTTTGGCTTTCCCCTAACAAACAAACAAAAAAATTAGGATGCAAGCAGAAAACAACTTCATTTATTTCACTGTCTCTTTTAATTTGTTGAATAATTCTTTCCTTATCTCTGAATGAAATCCTAGATTGGTCTCTAGATTTTATAATTAGTATTATATAACAAAAAGCCCTCTTGTCATATTCAGTCACAAGAATACATTCAATTTAGTACTTCAAAACACCTAATCAGTATGTTAATCAAAACTCCCGTCTGGTCTAGTGTTATAAACCACTCCAGCTCATACCCACTTGATTTGTGGATGTCCCTAGTGTGGGAGAGGGCATGGTCGCCTGCTCCTATCTTCCTTGTTCTTCTCTTCCCATTCATTAATTTTCTGGTTCCTAAGGATGAGAGCGATTAGGCGAAAGGGCAGAATATTAAGTTTTTGGTACAGGTGTCCTCCGACATTGATCATCCCTAGATGTGGCATATGTATAATTGCTAGCCCTCTCCCTCCTAGAAATCATGTGCGTTTTTCAGAGACTGTACCACTAGGACTACTGACCGCAGCTCCTTTGGCAGAAGTTTCAACCGCAAATGGTTAGCACCTACAAAAGGTTTTCATGAGTAATTGTTGTAATTGAACAAATATTGCTTGTAATTAGTACTGTTCTCTGAATGAATAAAATAAATCAAGTAAATTGGTGGTACTCTTGACATCTCATAGTTACCTACCATTTACTTGACATTTGTTTTTTTAATCATACATTTCAGTTCAGCAGCTCATATTATGAAAAATAAACCCACACACCATAGCTGGAAATAACCAAACTTCATCATTTTCAATATTTTGTTATACAGCTATTTGGGATTCCAACTCTATTCAGATGTTCTTGACAAAATCAGCTGTATGTTCAGTGCCCTGGGTCATATTTGTAACTCTAAGAAAACCCCTGAAGTGATGAACACACAATTATAAAAAAGAAGACCCCTAGTTTTTAAACCAGATAAAACCACATAGGGCTTCGCAAACTACAGCCCACAGGCCAAATCCAGCCCACAGCCTGTTTCCACATAGCCTATAAGCTAAGGATTTTTTTAAAGATATGTGTTAGATAGTTAGAAAAAAAACAGAAGAAGAATATTTTACGACATGTGAAAATCATATGTAACTCAAATTTCAGTGTCCATAGATAAAGTGTTACTGGGACACAGTCACCCTCATTCATTTATGATTGTCTATAGCTGCTTTTGTGCTACAAAAACAGAGCTGAGTTGTGTGGCAGAGACTATATGACCCTCAAAACCTAAATTGTTTACTGTCTGGCCCTTTGTAGAAAAAGCTTGTTGATCCTTGATTGTCGATTGTCGGTTTGTTCAATTCAGAGTAAATATTGTTCAATTAATGCATCAATTTTAAACTATCTGCACAGCAAACTGAGGTAACTCCATAAATATCAAATTATTTCTGCCTGATTAGTTGTCCTGACGGTGATACCACCCCCAAATGTTTCTTGTTCAGCAAACCCTATTAGTCGCCCACCCAGATCCCTCAGACCTTACTATTTCAGTGTCCTCTGTTCAACGTTCAATGGCTGGTATCTGCATCTCTGTATCCAAAGGCTTTGTGTCAGAACTGGGAAAGGCTGCTCTGCTTACTCATGTGTAGCAGGCTGAAAATGCCAGGCGATTAACACCTCCCCTGCCCCAGCAGCCCTTAACAAACGACTTACAGGATTTGCTGTATAAATACCCCAGTTCTATTGACTATGGAGTGGGCTAATTCTGAGCTGTGGTATTTTTCTTTTTCTTTTTCTTTTTCTTTTTTTTTTTTTTTTTACGCCATTTCTCAAGAGTTTCTGTCTGAGATTAAGCACCAGTTGCCCATTATAGCAACTAGCTTAATACTACACTTTTCTTTTCTGGCTGCCTTTTCTTCCCAGTATTAGTTCTCCATTTCCCTGCCTGCACCTCTATCCACCCCTGAATAAACTACTTGCACTGAAATCCTTGTCTCAGGATCTGCTTTGAGAATCCAAACTAAGACATCACACAATTAGACAACATTTAGCTTCTAATATTGGCTTCCTAGACAACCTCAAAATATCCTCGTTCTCAGACAGCAAGGCACCTCAGTTTTCAATATTATTCTTACAATTCTGAGCTTTTAGCACCACTTAACAATGGAGGTTGAGTGAATGTGAGAGGTAGAGACCATGACATGAATCAAAGAAAGGCTTGAAACACAACATTAGGGGAACTAATGTCTTCCACATATCTGCACTCTTTAGCTAGATGTCCTAAACACTCCTCAAATTCTACCAAACTTTCCCAATATATTTCTAAGCCTCTATGAAGTCACCATTTTTCACATTAGGATGCTGAGATTGAGGAAGGTTAACCCAAATTACCAGCATGTTGTACATTTTCATCAAAGACAGACCAGAGGAAAGGGGCTGAAAAAATAGTTATGGTTTACATTTGATACTAAAGAATTTTGAACTGTATAAATGTAAGTTGCTAAATTGGCTGCCAGAAAATGAAACAAGTTAGGGAAATCAGCATAGTGTGGAGTTACACAGACTCAAATTTAAAATTTGAGGTTCTCCACTTAAAAGCTGTATGATTTTAGGTTAAGTGGCTTAACCTTTCAAAGACTCAATTGTGCATCAATGAAACAAGAGGTAGTGATTGAAAAATTAAATGAAATAATGTGCACTCAATAAATAGTAGCTTTTATCATTTTTTAATTTCCATTTTTTAATTTTTAATTTTTATCGATACATAATAGTCATACAAATTTATGGAGTATATGTGATATTTTGATATAAGCATATAATGCGACTTTTTATCATTTTTATTTTCCTAGGAGTCTAAGTAAGATATTGCTTTGGATGAAGATTCTGGCATTTCCCACAGTTATTCCACTCCAATATGGAAAAGGAGCTGATCTTCTATTGGCACAAATGCTAGCTCATATTCAGGATAAAAAGTTCAACCTTTTTGTCCTGTCCCACAGTTTACAAATCTGCACTTAAACAGCAGAATGCCATTATTTGGTCACTCATTAGAGAATATAATTTAAACTCCCTGCTATTCATCATTTGTTGAAAGCACAGCAAAAATAAATAATGTAAAAGGAAGGTAATCATATTTCTACCTTTGGAACTGGGAAAAACTTGAATTCCTCTAGGTGATGTCAATACTCCTTTCTGGTAAGAAGAGCCATGTACTTTCTCACATTTTCCTCTTTGCTTTGACCTTAGACTTCTAGGGATTTAGACTCACATTTTCATAAACATATTTATGTATTTATAATGAAATGTTCTATGTATTCTTTTTTTATATATAATTATTTTTTCCTCAAATCAAGTTTTTATACTTTTTGTTTTGTCCTTGTTATTTCTGTAATTTTTTTAAAAGCTATTCATTTTTGTTGTTTATTTGTTCATTTGGGTTTTTGTGAAAATGCGGTTAAGAAATAAAGTCAATAACTTAAAAAATGGAAATTAGCCCAGTATATATGTTTTTAGGGTATATTAAATGCAGTGAAGCTTGGCATTGGAGGCAAAGATTTTTGCAGGCTCATTTGAACCATGACTCTATTGAGCTAGAGTCTTCTTTCCTCATAATTATGGTTCCTTCTGGTGTATCATTTATTCTCCTAAATATGTCATTTGATATTTTTTATCATGAACAAAATGAAAAACGTGATGCCATTCTTATTTCTTTGTTCATTCCCTCAACAGATATTTATTGAGACTATCCAGAGCTGAAGATACAGCAGTCATCAAAGCATAGAAATTCTTCACTCTCAAGGACCTTACATTCTAGTAAGAGAAGAAGAAAATAAATAAACTCTGTTCTCTCTGTTCTGTCATCTATAAAGAGCCACAGTATGCTGATGATTTGGTTTAACCTTACTTGACCTCAGTTTCTTCATGTGACAGGTAGTGATCAAATAAAGGCATAGAGATATGTTGGGAAGTTTTGAGTTTTTAAGTGCTATGTAGGAAATGAAGGCAGGGTAAAAGTATAGTAAGTAATGAAGGAGGCTATTATTTATGACAGAGTGGTCAAAGATGTCTTTGAGAAGGTGGCATATAAGCAAAGACCTGAGTTGAAGTGAAGGAGCATGCCATTCAGTTATCTGGGGGAAGATTGTGCAGCAGAGAGGACTGCAGGAGCAAGGGCCTTGAAGTAGGAATACACCTGGCATGTTCAAGAAATAGCAAAGAGGTCAGTGTGGATGAAAGGCAACAGGCAAAGCTGTAGCATTCAGAGATGAGCTCAAAAAGATAGGCAAGGAACAAGATCACGTAAATCGAAAAAGCCTTTGGTTTTATTCTGATTAAGATGGGAAGCCATTGCCGGGAGGGGGGAATAAATTTAGGAATGACATTGTAGTTTTAAGATATTCTTTTGGCAACTATAGAGTTACAAGCATAGACACAGAGAGACCAGTTAGGAAGTTGTTGCCATAATCGGGGCAAGAGATTAGATTATTGAGACTTGGACCGGGGATATGGTAAATCATCAGTGGTCAGAGTCTAAACATATTTTGAAGGTAAAGCCAACAAGAATTGCTTAACGGGTCGAATGTGGGAGAAAGAAAATGAAGAATTTTCTCACAGACTAGCTTCTGGTAATGAAGCCGAGCACCACTTCATGAGCTGGGCACCATAAGATAGGTTCATATCCTGATATGAACTCTGGCTCTGCATCTTCATGTCAACATATCTGGTGAGTCAGCATAGTGGGCAGTAAATGTCTTTCTAGAAGCCATTTCTACAGCTAGCAGTAACTTAGCTATATATGGAAGTGACTGTGAATGTAACCCAAACTAAATATATTCTCAACTCAATTTCCCTTTAGCTGGATCTCAAAATTGCCCATGGCCACTCCAGCATCACTCAACTCAAGGGAAAGTGTGATGGAGTGAAAGTTGAAGTAGAAAGAGCCAGCGGTTTTTAACTGTTTGCAGTTAAAATATCTAATTTTTGCAAATTTTACAAAGCTGAAGGGTTATAAGAACACGTTGCTAGGGCTTTCCCAAGAGCCTTAGAATGAGCTTTTTTAAGTGCAGGCCCCTGCATCTTAAAGCCAATTAGCTTCACAGTCTTTTCACTTCTGTATGTAGTTTTGGAGATAGGAGTAGGAATCAGTCTAGGAGGCTGAGTGAATGAACTGTCAATGCAGAAGGAGAACTAAGAGAGAAGAGTAACTTATAAGCCAAATAAAGATCTTAACGATGAGACCAGTCAGATGAGGACTAAGAACTGAGAAATGTATTTGGCAACATGAAGGTCATAGTGAACTTAAGGGAAGATGAATTATTGGAGAGCAAGAGTGAATTGAATGAATGTGTTCAGTCAAGAGAGACGGGGGGAAGGAGACAATGAGTAAGCACAATCCTCTTGACACTGTCTTTTCACTTACTTTACAGATCCAAATCTTTTGTGAGTTATATGAGTAGTTATTATATCAAGAATTCTTCCTGTAAAGAAATAATCCATCCTCCACTCAGTCCACCTCTTATATCACACTTCAGGTCCTACAAAATGTTCGGCATTTTCCCAACTACATCCACCTCCTTGGCACATTAAAATGAGTGTTGTACCAAATGCCCATCAATGATAGACTGGATAAAGAAAATGTGGCACATATACACCATGGAATATTATGCAGCCATAAGAAAGAATGAGTTCATGTCCTTTGCAGGGACATGGATGAAGCTGGAAGCCATCATTCTCAGCAAACTAACACAGGAATAGAAAACCAAACACCGCATGTTCTCACTCAAAAGTGGGTGTTGAACAATGAGAACACAGGGAGCGGAACATCACACACCAGGGCCTGTAGGGGGTGGGGGGCAAGGAAAGGGAGAGCATTAGGACAAACACCTAATGCATGCGGGGCTTAAGACCTAGATGATGGGTTGATGGATGCAGCAAACCACCATGGCACATGTATACCTAAGTAACAAACCTGCACATTCTGCCCATGTATCCCAGAACTTAAAATAAAAAAAAAATTAAAAAGAGTGTCATATTGCTTTATCCTATGAAATGTAGTGAATTTGACATTTAGATAATTAAACTGGCATTTATTAGAAATATGGGAAATTCTCTATTGATATCCATGTTAAGACATTTCTATGAAAACTGTAGAATGATGAGGAGACCCTTGTCTGTGGCACATGCCAATGAGATTAAATATTGGCACTTAACATATCACGGGAATCTGGGGAGAAGCCCAGTATTATTAAAAATAGAGGATGGGGACTACAGAATAACATGTAAAACACTACTTATTGAGTAGAGTTATGAACTAAAAATAGCATTGCTATGCTATTGGGATTGAGGTGAAAAGAGTGAAAAGGGAGCTTTCAATGAGAACAATATTAAATCCCCTATCTATGCTGATAATATCAGACCTAACAACTGCCACCAAAACCAGAGCAATGATATAGTGTGGGTTCAGGATGTAGGGATGTCAGTAAGGCAGGTTAAAACCTAAGGTAGGAGAACAAAACAAGATGTGATCCACTGTGATTCTGAAGAAGGGAAAGCCAGTGAAAACATTCCTCTTTTGCCTTTATTCTAAAGGATGTGCCTTTGGGTGATTTATAAAATGAAGTTTAGCTCCTTCTCAATTTTGTGAACATCTCTGTTGCTCTAAGGGCAGCTATTTCCAGACATTGCCAAGCTTGGATGGAGGTATATGTTTGGAAATGTTATACAGGCAGAGTAGTACAGTGGGGAAGAGACCTACATTCAAGGTCAGAATATTTGGATCACATCCTGATTTTTCAATGAGGCTTATAATATTTTATTTGTATAAATTTAAGGGGTACAAGTATACTTAATGTTACATGGATATATTGTGTAGTGGTGAAGTCTGGGCTTTTGGGGTAACCATCACCTGAATAGTGTACATTGTACCCATTAAGTAACTTCTCATCCTTCACCCCGCGATACCCTTCCACCCTTCTATATCTCCAGTGTCAATTATCTCACATTCTATGTCCATGCATACACATTATTTATCTCTCACTTATAAGTGAAAACATGCAGTATTTGACTTTTTGTTTCTGAATTGTTTCACTTAATATAATGGCTTCCAGTTCCATCCATGTTGCTGCAAAAGACATGATTTCATTCCTTTTTACGGCTGATTAGTATTTCATGGTATGTGTGTATATACATATATATTTATGTGCATACATATTTATATGTACATGTGTTTACATGTACATATATTTATATGTACATAATGTATTTATATGTATATGTGTACATATATTTATATTTATATACATATATATTTATGTGTATACACACACGCGTCACGTTTTCTTTATTCAATCATCCATTGATGGGCACTTTAGAGACAAACTCTGACTTCAGCTGCAATACTTATAATTACACATCTAGTCATGTCATTCCCTTATCTAAAACCTTTCAGGTGTTAAAAGTTGTGAGAAAAATGGGGCTTATGCTCTTCATCCACACAAGGCCCCCTATGGCTGTATCCTACCTCTTTCACCAGTGTGATCTCTGTTTACCCTCCACCCAACCCCTAAGAGCCTAGTGAGACTGAACTGCTTGACCTTTCCTCCTGAACTGTGTTCTTCCAGAGGAGACATTGTTCCCTTCTTTTCCCACCAAACTCATTTATATTTATTCTCAACGTTCAGTTCAGCTGTCATCCCCTTCAAAAATCCTTCACTGGATCCAGTTGGACTGAGGCCCTCTCCCTGCTGTTTCCATAACATGTCATATTAGGATGAAAAACATCTGTGACCCTGACTATGAGGGCATGGCCTGTGTTTTTGTTGTCTCTATATCCCGAGGCCCACCACGGGAAAAATAGTCACTCCAGAAAAAAACCTATTGGACCAAACAATCATAAATTGAGGGAAATAACACTTGCCTAATACCTAACAGATTACTGGCAAGCAAAAGTTGGGTATTAACATAATACATGTAAGAGTGTATGGAGGAATGAGCATTTACTTAACCCTTAATATGTTTATTTATGCATTCATTCCCAAAATATTTATTGAATATCAACCATGTGTCTGCAGCACTGGAGATATAACAGAGAATATCATTGACCAAGTCCTTCTCTTCATAAAATCTACCTTGCAAGAGGAACATATATCTGCCTGTATGCCATTTCCAAACATATACCTCCATCCAAGCTTGGCAATGGCTAGAAATAGCTGCCTTTAGAGCAATAGAGATGTTCACAAAATTGAGAAGGAGCTAAACTTCGTTTTATCAATCACCCAAAGGCACATCCCCCAGAATAAAGACCAATAACTATATATCCCATTAAGTGAAGAAATAGTATAAAGAGAAACAGAGCAATGTGAGCAAATGGAAATTGAAGAGCGTTACTATTTTAAATATGGTGTCCAGTAGGACCTGTTTGATGAGGTGGTGATTAATCTAAGGGAAGTAAGAAAGTAGGCCATTTGATACTCTTTCTGACAGTGTTCTAGACAAAGAGAGTTCATCAAGTCTGAAGGCCTGGAGACAGGACCTTGTTTGCCATGTTCGAGGAACAGCAAGGAGCCTGGTGTGGATCAAGGGCACTAAGTGAGGGAGAGTCTGATAGGAGATGAAACAGAAGAGGTAGTGAGGAGACCAAATGATATAAAGGCCTTGAAAACCATGGACAGGACTTGAGTTTTGTTTTAAGTGAGGTGAAAGTCAGTGGTAGAAAAGGTGAGGGAGCAGACGTGATCTGACTTATAGTTTAGAAGGCTTCCTCAGGTAAGCTGGACTAAATGGGAAGCAAGGATAGATGCTAGTGATCAGAAGATCATAGCATGGACTGGGGAGACAGCAGTCAGATTTTGGATTTAGCGTGAAGACAGAGCAAACAGGATTTGCCAAATATTTGAATGTATGAGAGAAAGATGAGTTAAAGAGGCCTCTGGGATTTTGAATCCCCAAAAGATTGGAGTTGGATTTATGAGATGTGAGGAGCTACAGAAAGGATAGGTTGGGGCAAGGGGTGGGTAGGTAATCAGAAGTCTGGTTAATTAATGTCATAGCATGGTTATATGCTAATGGGAGTTATGCAGCACTAAGTAAAAAAAATCATGTAAGAGAGTGGCAAATTGCTAAAATGATGTCTGTGAGATGACAGGAGGGAATGGGATCTAGCACTGACCTTAGATAAGGGCATAAACAATATCAGATATTACACTGGGGGTTTAGGCCCTGTGGAACACTGCACAAACATAAGGCACTTATAGGCACAACTTCATTAACTAGATTTATGAATATTCTAGCTGTTGTATTCTTTGAGGGTAAGTATATTTTCCAGTTGAACTAGTTCAATGAATTAAAATGTCTAAAAGGCCATAGCAATGACATGGTGCATATTGGATTTGTGCTCCCTGGAGTCATCCTCAGGCATAGAACTGCAAATTTAAAGATCATTTGGCCTTTTCAAGATTATATCCGTTTCCATGGTCTCCCATGATACTCAAATTCTAGGTAAAGTAGGCATTATAATCATTTTATAAATGAAAAAAAAAAACAACAGAGGCCCAAAATACTAAACAGTTTACCCAAAATCACATGGTTTGTTAGTGATAGAATTAGGACTGGAACCTGGGTTTTCTGTCCTACACCCCAGGGCTTATCCTAATAATTGGAATCACAGTCATATTATGCACCTGCCTCCTTGACCTTGTCCTGACCCAGAAGAGACTTACATAGTTCCAAAGGGGCATTACCCTGGCCACTTGGTCTCTCAGTTCACTAATTTTTCCTGCTTTCTTTTCTTCATCATTCTCATCCTTGGAGTAATAGAAAAGGCTTGTAACCTTCTCATAGGAAAGCGATTAACTATGGGGATAAAGAACTGGACTCCTGTCAGGATGCACAAGAAAAACTATGTCTCTCCTCCTCAGGTAACAAAGCTAACCTGTTGCCATGGTTCTTTCTGACATCCTGGTTTAATGTTTCTCATCTGCACGCAGGGGGCTTAAAGGATATTGATTTTCCAGGCATTCTAGATAAGTAGAGAAACTTCCACATGTTTGTTTATGGGTTATATTGCAGATTCTGCCTTTTTTTCTTCCTCTCCCTCCTCTTCTTCTATTTTCCAAATGCCTTTAAAGGGGCTTACAGAATTCATACTGTCAAACATAGCAAAAACAAATAGCAGAGACAAAAAGGATGAAGGGAAGATAATAAGGACTGGATGATTCTCAAGTGAGATTAAATAAAATGGCCAAAGCCCTACACATCTTCTAGAGGCAGCATGTATTCTTGGCTCTGTGCTTCTCAACAGCCAAAGCAAAGGGGAAAACATGACCAATAAAATATCCATGAGCATCCACAGAATTATGACAAATTAGTTGCTCAGAAATGTAGCCTTTTCTGTTACTAATATGAAAGAGAAATTTGCCCCATAGGCCATTAAAAGAGGACTTGGGAAATAGAATAGATGAAGTCCTTATAAAATCCTCACAGTGAATACTGCAGTGTTTCCCAAGGCTAGAGACTAGAGATTAGACTCTTCTAAGAGGAGAAGAGGGAAGAGGAGAGGAGAGGAGTCTGATAATATAAGGCTTTAGAAGAGCTCAGTTCAGTAATAGTAACCCAAAGAAGAGACATCACAAATTGATCCAGGTGAAAAGCTTTCTGTTAGTCTGACTTGATGCATTTCTCAAACATTTTGATCTCAGGACTACTTTGCATTTTTTAAAATTATCAAGGACTCCAAAGAACCTTTGTTTATGTGGAGTATATCTACCAATATTTACTTGATTTGAAATTTAAATGACAACTTTGAGAAATATGTATTTGAAAAATTCATTTAAAAATAATCCATTACATGTCAACATAGCAACATATTTTTCAAAACAAAAAAATTATGAAAAAGTGACATTGTTTTATATTTTGGCAAATCTCCTTAATGTCTGGCGTAATAGAAGACAGCTGGGTTCTCATATTTCCTTCTGCATTCTAATTGTTAAGACATATTTTGGTTGAAGTATATGAAGAAAATCCAGCATTACATAGATATTTTATTGGAAAAGGGAAGAGTATTTTAAGAGCCTTTTCTGATAACTGTGAGTATTCCTTTGTACTACAACAAAATTTGACAAGTGGCTATTTCTTAAAGGTTAGTTGCAATGTGGAATCCAAAAGTATATTGACGAACTTTTCATGTGCTGTTACATTACACTTCATTGCTCTATCTTGCACTTTTAATAGATCTTCTACCCATGCATGATTTTGTAGTATCATTCGTCATTCGGAAAATACAGATTCACTGAGTTGAGTAGATCTTCTAAATGTTGATATATTTTATTATATCAAAAAATCACATTTGCTAATATTGCCACTGATCTCATTAGAAAGCCCTTAAGTGTTTGGAAGCTGTCAAGTTCGCAGTAACAGATATAAGTTTTCCAAATTTCCAATTTTCAGTTGAAAGCTAAAATTTTATCTTTGGTAACAAATATGATCAGTTGTTTTCCTTGAAGTGACAGGTTCTTTTTGTTCATTTTGAAGAAAATGTCTGCCGAATGCCCAAATCTGAATAACCACAGTTTGATTGTTAGTCATTCTTCAAGTAAAAATGGTGTTTGAAGGAAAAAAATAAAAGAGACTAGTTCAGCTTATAAGTCAGTTGCACAAGTGCTCTTCCTGGAGACAACCCTCATGCTTCAGCGTGCAGTGGAATTGTTTTATTCATGCTTTCCATTGCATCACACATTCTGTGAGTTCAAAGGTTGAGATTTAATAAAATTAGTCACTTTTACCTTAGCATCAAGGACATTCTTAACTAAAATTTACTCTTTCCCTTTATTTTGCTTGTTGTTTCTTTTTGTTTTGTTTTATCTTTTACTGTGAGGGAATGGCATTGAAGAAGATGATGACTACTAGTATAGTTGGTGCCACTGCCTTGATTCATGCCAGGGTGCCAGCCGTTTGCCATTATATTTGCACCATCACAGTGTAAAAGCCAATAAATCTTAGTATTAATTACTATAGTTATAGGTTAAAATATAAAAGCATACCTTGTTTAATTGCACTTCACTTTACCATGCTTTGCAGATAATGTATTTTTTTATAGATTGATGGTTTGTGGCAACCCTGTATCGAGCAAGTCTATCGGTGCCATTTTTCCAATAGCATGTGCTCACTTCACTTCTCTGTGTCACATTTTGGTAATTCTCACAATATTTCAAACTTTTTCATTATTATTATAACTGTTTTAGTGATCTGTGATCGGTGAGTTTTTATGTTACTATTGTAATTGTTTTGGGGTGCCACAAACCGCACCCTTGGAAGACAGCAAACTTAATCAATAAATTTCACATGTGCTCTGACTGCTCCACTGACTGGCTGTTTCTCCATCTCTCTCCCTCTCCTTGGCGTCCCTATTCCCTGAGATACAACAGTACTGAAATTAGGCCAATTAATAACCTTACAACGGCCTCTAAGTGTTCAGTTCAAAGAAAGAGTTGTGCACCTCTTACTTTAAATCAAAAGCTAGATATGATTAAACTTGATGAGGAAGGGAAGCTGAAAGCCAAAATAGGCTAAACACTAGGCCTCTTGTGCCAAACAGTCAAGTTGTGAATACAAAGGAAAGTTCTTGAGGGAAATTAAAAGTGCTACTCCAGTCAACATATGAATGATAAAAAGCAAAACATCCTTATTGCTTATAAGGAGAAAGTTTGAGTGGTCTGGATAGAAGATCAAACCAGCCACAACATTCCTTGAAGCCAAAGCCTAATACAGAGCAAGGCCCTAACTCTCTTCAATTCTGTGAAGGCTGAGAGAGGTGAGGAAGCCGAAGAAGAAAAGTTTGAAGCTAGCAAAGGTTGGTTCATGAGATTTAAGAAAAGAAGCCATCTCCATAACATAAAAGTGCAAGGTGAAGTAGCAAGTCTTGATGGAGAAGCTGCTGCAAGCTATCCAGAAGATCTAGCTAAGATCATTGATGAAGGTGGCTATGCTAAACAACAGATTTTCAATGCAGACCAAACAACCTTCTATTGGAATAAGATGCCTTCTAGGATTTTTATACCTAGAGAGAAGTCATTGCTTGGCTTCAAAGGATAGGGTGACTCTCTTGTGGCCTCATACAACTGGTGACTTTACGGTGAAGTCAATGCTTATTTACCATTCAGAAAATCCTAGGACCCTTAATAATTACGCTAAATCTACTCTGTCTGTGCTTTATAAATGGAACAAAGTCTAGATGACAGCACATCTGTTTATAGCATGGTTTACTGAATATTTTAAGCCCAGTGTTGGAACCTACTGTTCAGAAAAAAAAGATTCCTTCCAAAATATTGCTGTTCATTAATGGTACACTTGATTACCCAAGAGCTCTGATGGAGATATACGAGGACATTCATGTTGTTTCTGTGCCTGCTAAAACAACATCCATTCTGCAGCTCATTGATCAAGGAGTAATTTCTATTTCAAGTATTATTTTCTAAGAAATACATTTTGTAAGGCTATAGCTGCCATAGATAGTGAATCCTCTAATGGATGTGGGCAAAGTAAATTGAAAATTTTATGGAAATGATTAACCGTTTTAGACACCATTAAGAACATTCATGATTCATGGAGGGAGGTCAAAATATCCACACTAACAGGAGTTTGGAGGACATTGATTCCAACCCTCATGGATGACTTCGAGAGGTTGAAGACTTCAGGGGAGAAAGCAACTGCAGATATGCAAATAGCACAAGAACCACAATTAGAAGTGGAGCCTGAATATATGACTGAACTGCTGCCATCTCATGATAAAACTTGAATGGATTAAGAGTTGTTTCTTATGGATGAGCAAAGAAACTGGATTCTTGAGACCGAATGTGCTGCTGGTGAAGATGCTGCGAGTATTCTTGAAATGTCAACAAAGAATTTAGACTATTCCATAAACTTGGTTGATAAAGCGTGGGCAGGGTTGGAAAGGATTGATTCCAATTTTGAAAGAAGTTCTACTGCAGGCAAAATGCTATCAAACAGCATTGCATACTATAGAGAAATCTTTTGTGAAAGGAGGCATCAATCAGTGTGGCAAACTTCATTGCTGTTTTATTTTAAGAAATTGCCACAACTCTCAAAAAACTGGGTATAGAGGGACCATACCGCTACATATACATAATAAAAGCCATATACGATAGACCTGCAGCTAACATCGCACTGAATGAGGAAAAACCTGAAAGCCTTTTCCTGTAAGATATGGAACATGACAAAGCTGCCCACTTTTACCACTGTTATTCAACATGGTACTGGAAGTCTTAGCTAGTGCAATCAGACAAGAGAAAGATATAAAGGGCATCCAAATTGGAAAGGAAGAAGTCAAATTATCCTTGTTTGCAGATGATATGACCTTAGATTTGGAAAAGCTTAAAGACTCTACAAGAAAATTATTAGAACTGATAAACAAATTCAGTAAAGTTACAAGATACAAGATCAACAGACAAAAACCAGTAGGGTTTCTATATGCCAACAGTGAACAATCTGAAGAGGAAATCGAGAAAGTAATCCCATTTACAATACCCGCACATAAAATTAAATACCTGGGAATTAACATAACCAAAGAAGTGAAAGGTCTCTGTAATGAAAACTACAGAACATCAATAGAGGAAATTGAAGAGGACACCAAAAAATGGAAAAATATTCCATATTCATGGATTACAAGAATGAATATCGTTAAAATGCCCATACTGCCCAAAGCAATCTACAAACTTAATGCAATCCCTGTCAAAAATACCAATGACACTCTTCACATAAATAGAAAAAACAATCCTAAAATTTATATGGAGCCACAAAAGGCTCAGAATAGCCAAAGCTATCCTAAGTAGAAAGAACAAAACTGGAGAAATCACATTACCTGACTTCAAATTATTTTACAGAGCTATTGTAACCAAAGTAGCATGGTACTGGCACAAAAATGGATACATAGACTAATAGAGCAGAATACAGAATCCAGAAACAAACGCACACACCTAGAATGAACTCATTTTTTACAAAGGTGCCAAGAACATACACTAGGGAAAAGACAATCTCTTCAATAAATGATGCTGGGAAAACTGGATGCCCATATGCAGAAGAATGAAACTAGACCTCTATCTCTTGCCGTATACAAAAATCAAATCAAGATGGATTAAAGACTTAAATTTAAGACCTGAAACTATGAAACTAATACTAGAAAACATTGGGGAAAATATCCAGGACATTGGTCTGGCAAAAATTTCTTGAGCAATACCCCACAAGCCCAGGCAACCGAAGCAAATGGGACCACATCAAGTTTAAAAGCTTCTGCATGGCAAAGGAAACAATCAACAAAGTGAAGAGACAACCCACAGAATTAGGAGAAAATATTTGCAAACTACACCTCTGACAAGGGATCAATAACCAGAATGTATAAGGAGCTCAAACAACTCTACAGAAAAAAAAAATCTAATAATTCAATGAAGAAACAGGCAAAAGATTTCAACAGACATTTCTCAAAAGAAGACATACGAATGGGAAACAGGCATTTGGAAAGGTGCTCAGCATCACTGCTCATCAGAGAAATGCAAATCAAAACTGCAATAAGATATCATCTCAACTCCAGTTAAAATGGCTTATATCCAAGAGACAGGCAATAACAAATGATGCTGAAGATGTGGAAAAAAGGAACCCTTGTACACTGTTGGTGGAAATGTAAATTAGTACAACCACTATGGAGAAGAGTTTGGAGGTTCCTCAAAAAACTAAAAATTGAGCTACCATATGATCCAGCAATCCCACTGCTGGGTATATACCCAAAAGAAAGGAAATCAGTATATGGAAGAGATATCTGCACTTCTATGTTTGTTGCAGCACTGTTTACAATAGCTAAACTTTAAAAAAAAACTAAATGTCCATCAATAGATGAATGGATAAAGAAAATATGGTACATGTACACAACGGAGTACTATACAGCCATGAAAAGAATGAGATCCAGTCACTTGGAACAACATGGAAGGAACTGCAGATCATTATGTTAAGTGAACTAAGCTAGGCACAGAAAGACAAACACACATGTTCTCACTTATTTATGTGATCTAAAATTCAAAACAATTGAATTCATGGACATAGAGAGTAGAAGGATGGTTACTAGAGGCTGGAAATGGTAGTGAGGGATGGGGTGTAGAGAGTATGTTTAAGGGGTACAAAAAAATAGAAAAAGTGAATAAGACTTACTATTTGATAGCACAACAGGGTGACTATAGTCAATAATAATTTAATTGTACATTTTAAAATATCGTAAGAGTGTTATTGGATTTTTTGTAACTCAAAGGATAAATACTTGAAGGGATGAATACCCCATTCTCCATGATGTAATTATTTCATGTTGCATGTCTGTGTCAGTACATCCCATGTACCCCATAAATATATACAGTTACCAAATACCCACAAAAATTGGAAAAAAAAATTTTAAGAAATTACCACAGCCACCCCAACCTTTAGCAACCACCACTCTGATCATTCAGCAGCCATCAACACGGAGGCAAGACCTTCCACTGGTAAAAAGATTACAACTCACTGAGAGCTTAGATGATCATTAGCATTTTTAGTAACAAAGTATTTTTAAATTAAGATGTATACTTTTTAAAGACATAATGCTATTGCACACTTACTACACACTACAGTATGTATAAACATAACTTTTATATGTACTAGGAAACCAAAAAAATTATGTGACTTGCCTCATTGCAATATTTGCTTTAATTGCAGTGGTCTGGAATTGAACCCACAATATCTCCAAGGCCTGCCTACATTAGTATGTACTCAGTATAATTGGCCTTTGTATTAATATGCAAACAGTATTGACACTTAAATGCTTTGAAGAGGTGTCTGTAGAGAACTCTTTGAGAATTGCTCATCTTGGGGAAAGGATGGGCTGCATATCCACCAGGTAATTTTATATACATATTTTTATACATTTTATATGTATATAAAAATTTTAAGGGTCGTATAGTACCCTTAAAATGGATTTTTAAAATTAAATTTTATATTTTGAGACCATTATAAATTCACAGGCAGTTTTAAGAAATAATAGGAAGAGATCCTGTGCATCCTTTGCCCAGTTTCCCTCAATAGTGACATCTTCCAAAACTACAGTACAATAGCACAAACAGATCACTGACATTGATACAATCAAGATACAGAATAGCTTCTTCACCACAAGAATTCCTTGTATTGCCTTTGCATAGTCACATCCACTTTTCCCCTTTCCATTGCCACCTATCTCCTTCTCCCTGCAATCTTTCATCTGTTTTTATTTCTAAATTTTGTCATTTCAGTAAGATTATCTGAATGGTATGGTATGTACCCATTTGGGATTTTCAATCTACATAATTCCTTGAGGATTCATCCATGTCGTATAAATATTTTGTTCCTATGTACTGCTGAGTAGTATTCCATTCCATGAATATGACACAGTTTGTCTATTAATTCACCCTTTGAAAGGCATTTCAGTCAGATTCTGGTTATTACAAATAAGCTGCTGTGAAGATTGATGTATACGTTTTTGTGTATACACAAAACGTGTGTATGAATGAAAATTGTGAATGAATGTTGTGAATGAAAGTTGTCTGTTCTCTGGGATATTTGCCGGTTTTTGTTTTGTTTTGTTTAAAGACATGGTCTCACTTTGTCACCTAGGCTAGAGTGCAGTGGCGTGATCATAGTTTACTGTAACTTCAAATTCCCGGACTCAAGCCATCCTCCCCGCTCTGCCTCTGGAGTAGCTGGGAATGCAGGCACACGCCACCATGCCTGGCTAATTTTTTTTTTTAATTGTTTTTTGTAGAAATGAGGTCTTGCTATGTTGCCCAAGCTGGTCTCAGACTCACGGCCTCAAGTGATCCTTCCACCTCTGCCTCTCAAAGTGTTGGGATTACAGGCATGAGCCACTGTGCCCTGCCAGGTTCGTATTGTAATAAACTGTCAAATTGTTTTCCAGAATAGCTGTGTTATTCTCCATCCCCACCAGCAAAGTATGAGTGATCCATTTTCTCTACCTTCTTGCCAGCATTTGGTATAGTCATAATGTTTTTATCTTAGCCATTCTGGTATGTGTATAGTGATATCTCCTTATGGTTTTCATTTGCATTTCTCTATGTAACTAACCTGCACAATGTGTACATGTACCCTAAAACTTAAAGTATAATAATAAAAAATAATCATAATTATAAAAAAGGAAAAAAAACCAAAATAATAATAATAATAATAATGTTGGATGTCTTTTTATGTGCCTATTACCATCTATATATCCTTGTCATAAAAATGTGTGTTCTCGTTGCACCCATTTTCTAATTGGATTCTTTGGTTTTTTTACAGTTGAGTTTTGAAAGTTCTTTATAAATTCTGGAAACTAGTCCTTGCTTTTTTATAAAACTTTTATGGTTTTACATTTTACATTTAAGTCTGAGATCCATTTTGAATTACCTTTTTGTACAAGGCATGAGACTTAGGTTGAGGTTATTTTATTTTATTTTATTTTATTTTTGCCTATGAATGTCCAATTTCTCCTGTGCTGCTTTTGCACTTTTGCCAAAAATTAGTTTGGCATATTAGCACGGGTCTATTTCTGGGTTATTTTCCATTGAGCTATGTGTCTATCACTGCTTCAATACCACACTGTCTTGATTATTGCAATTATATAATAGGTTTTAATGTCAGGTAGAGTGATCACTCCTACTTCATTCTTTTTTTTTTTAAAGATTAGTTTAGCTATACCAAGGCCTGTGCCTTTCCATTTAAATTTTAGAATAAGCTTCTCTATGTGCACAAAAAATTTGCTGGGATTTTGATTGCATTGAACTTCTTTAGTATGCTTTGTCTTTCCAATTCACGAACACAATATATTCCTCCATGTATATATTTCTTCTTTGATTTCTTTTATCAGCATTTTGTAATTTCCAGAATAGGGATTCTGTGTATGTTTTCTTAGGTTCGTATCTAAGTATTTAATTTTATTTGGAACAATTGTAAATGGTATTGTGATTTCATCTCGCTTTCTACATGTTCATTGTTAGTATGTTGAAAGGAGATTTCTGTGCTTTCATTTTACATTCTATGACCTTGCTAAACTCATGTGTTAGTTCTAGGAGTTTTTCTTGAATAGATTTCTTTAGATTTTCTATGTAGATAATCATGTAACCTGCAAATAGGGAAAGTTTTTTTCTTCCTATTCAATTGCTATTCCTTTTCTTTCTTTTTCTTGCCTACTATAGTGGCTAGAACTCTCACTACTATGTTGAATAAGAGTGGTGAGAACAAACATGCTTTCTTTGTTCCCAATCTGAGAGGGAAAGCATTGAATCCTTCACCATTAAGTATGATGTTAGCCGTAATTTTTTTGTAGATGTTCATTAAGTTTAAGAAATTCTTATTTCTTTCTGCCTGGCTGAGAGATTTTATCATGAATTGGTATTGGGTTTTGTCAAATAGTTTTTCTGCATTGATTGATATGAAAATACGGTTTTTCTTCTTTCGTCTGTTGATATGATGGAGTACACTGACTGATTTTTGAGTGATGAACCAATTTTAATAACCTTACTAAATCTCACTTGGTCATGGTGTATAATTCCTTTTGTAAATTGATGAATTCAATTTGCTAATATTTTGTTGAAGATTTTTACATCTAATTTCATGAGAAATATTGATTTGTCTTTTTTTCTATCATCTTTCTATTAATTTGGTGTAAGGGTAGTACTAGTTTATAAAATGAGTTGAGAAGTGTTCCCTCCTCTGAGATTTTCTGAATGAGATTGTGTAGATTGGTGTTAATTTCTCTCCTCCTCTTCCTCCTTCTTTTTGTAATTCTTCTTTAAATGTATCTCCACTAAAAATCATCTGGACCTGGAGATATCTTCTTTGAGAGCTTTTGAGAGCTTTAAAACTACAAATTCAGTGATTGTAGGGCTATTTAGATTGTCTATTTCATTTTACTTTAGTTTTGATAGTTTGCCGTTTTCAAGAAATTGGCTCATTTCTTCTATTAAATTGTTAAACTTATGAATGTAAAGTTGGTTGTAGTATTCCCTTATTTTCTTTTTCATGACACAGGATATGTAGAGATAGTCATGTTTCATTTATAATATTGTGTTGTCTTTTCCCTTTTAAGTTTTCTAAAGGTTAATGAATTTTGTTGATTTTTTGAAGAACCTGATTTTTGTTTTGATTGTGTTTATTATTTTCTTGTTTTCAGTTTTATTGATGTATCCTCTTATCCTTATCATTTCCTTCCTCCTGCCTGCTTTGGATTTATTTTCTGCTTCTTTCACTGGTTTCTTGAGGGAGAAGCTTAGATTATTGATTCAAGACTTCTTCTTTTCTAGCATTTAGTGCTATAAATTTCCCTTTCTGTTTTAGCTGCATTCCAAATATATTAATATGTTGTGGCTTTATTTTCTTCATTTCTATGTATTTTTATATCTTTAGTCCAAGGAATATTTCGAAGTGTATTGTTTAATTTCCAATATTTGGATATTTTCCTGCTGTTTTTCTGTTATTGATTTCTAATTTGATTCCATTATGATCAAATAGCACACTTTGCATTATTTAAATTGTTTTAAATTTGTTGAGATTTATTTTATGGCCCAGGGTATGGTCTATCTTGTTGATTGTTTCATGAGTCCTTAAAAATGTATATTCTGCTATTGTTGGATGGAGAGTTATAAGTACATCAATTATATTTTGTTGGTTGGTGATATTGTTCAGTTCTCCTGTAGTCTTGATGATTTGATATCCAGTAGTTCTATCAATTGCAGAGAGAGGGATACTGAAGTTCCAAGAATAGTTGTAGATTTGTTTATTTCTCTTTTCACCTCTATTAATTTTTGCTTCATATATTATGAGGCTCTGTTGGTTGGCACATACACAGGATTGTTGTGTCTTACTGGTGGGTTAATTTTTCTATCATTATGCAATGTAACTTTTTGTATCTAGTAATTTTCTTTGCTCTGCAGTCACTTTACCAGATGTTAACTTGGCCACTTCTGCTTTTTAAAAAATTAATGTTTGCATAGTATATATTTTTCCATCCTTTTACTTGTAATCTACTGTTATCAGTTTTCTAGGGCTTTTGTAAAAAATGTATCACAAACTGAGTAGCTTAAAACGACTAAAATTCATTCTCTCAAATTATGGAGGCCAGAAGTCTGAAATCAAGATGGACCAGGCCATGGTCTATCCAAATCCCGTAGGAGAGTATCCTTCTTCGCTTCTTATAACTTGTGGTAGCCCCAGGCATTCCTTGGCTATGGCAGCATAACTCCAATTTCTGCCTCTTTCTTCACATGATGTTATTTATCCCTATGTCTCTGTGTTTTTATGGCCGTCTTCTTATAGGAGCATGAAATGTATTGGATTAGGAACCCACCATACTCCAGTATGACCTTATCTTAACATATATCTGCAATGACCCATACAATTTACATCTATCAATGTATTTGAAGTGAGGTTTTTATAGACAGCGTATGGTTGGATCATTTCTTTTATCAATTTTTGTCTTTTAATTGATGTATTTAGATCAGTTACATCTAAGGTAATTATTCATATGTTAGGGAATAAGTCTCCATTTTATTATTTGTTTTGTCGGTTTCTCTCTCTTTTTGCTCTCTTGTAGGTTATTTGAATATTTTTCAGTATTTATATTATTCTTGAGTATATCACCTTGTATAATTTTCTTTGTGGTTGCTCTAAGGATTATTTTATATAAATATATGAAAAACACTTATTACATTCTAGTGGTATCTACCTTTAACACTGACTTAAGTGTAGAAAACTTACTTCCACTTAGGTGCCTTTACTCTCTCCTTTACAGCTTTACATTATTGGACATATTACTTTATGTAAGTAAAGGAAATGCCTTAAGCATTTGAGTACATAGATTGAGTAATATGTCCATTTCCTTTACATACATTGAGCACTATGTCCAATAATGTTGTAATGTTTGTATCAACCATCAAATATGATTTAAGAATCTCAGGAGAATAGTCTATTGTATTTACCATCCCCTCCATTTTTTTACCCATTCCAATGTTCTTCTTTCATTACTGAAGTTCTAATCTTTCTGTTACCATTTCCTTTCTGCTTAGAAAAATGTCTTTTAGTCATTCTTTAAGAGTATATGTGACAAATTTTCTTAGTTTTCCTTTGCCTGAGGGTGTCTTCACCTCCTCTTCATTCCTGAAAGATATTCTTTCCAGATATAGAATTCATGGTTGAGAGTTCTTTTCTTTCAGCACTTGAAAAATGTTATTCTACATCATTTTAGATTCTGGGGTTTCAGATGACAAATTTGCTGCCATCCTAATCGGTGTTTGCCTATAAAAGTAACACATTGTTTTTCTCTGGCTGCTTTCAAGATTTTTTTCTTTGCTTTAATTTTCAGAAGTTTAATTTTGATGGAGTTTGGCATGGATTTTCCTACATTTATCTTATTTGGGGTTCACTCAGCCTTTTTGAATATGTAGGTTTATGTCTTTCACCAAATGTCGGGAGCTTTCAGTGTTATTTCTTTAAATAATTTTTCAGTCTCTGTTTCTCTTACCCTTCTGAAACTCTAATATTACAAACATTATCTTTTTGGTTATTCTCCCTGAGATCCTGTTCATTTTGTTACAGCCTATATTCTCTCTGTTGTTTACACTGGGTAAATTCTATTGATTTGCCCTTAAGTTCATGGATTCTGTCCTTCGTCATCTCCACTCTACTATTGATCCCATCCAGTGAGGTTTTTTTTCTTTCTTTTTTTTTTTTTTTTTTTTTGAGACAGAGTTTCACTCTTGTCGCCCAGGCTGGAGTGCAATGGCGTGATCTCAGCTCACTGCTACCTCCACCCCCCAGGTTCAAGCGATTCTCTTGCCTCAGCCTCCCAAGTAGCTGGGATTACAGGTGCCCACCGCCATGCCAGCTAATTTTTGTATTTTTAGTAGAGACTGGGTTTCACCACGTTGGCCAGGCTGTTCTCGAACTCCTGACCTCAGGTGATCCACCCGCCTCGGCCTCCCAAAGTGCTAGGACTACAGGCGTGAGCCACTGCACCTGGCTCCAGTGAGTTTTTATTTGGGTTATTGTATTTTTCAGTTTTATAATCTCATTTGGTTCTTTTCTATAACTTTTATTTCTTTGCCCATATTTTTAAAATTTTTTCATTTGTTTCAAGAGAATTCATAATTGATTGCTGAAGCCTTTTTATGATGGCTGTTTTAGAATCCTTGTCAAATAATTCCAACGTCTGATTCACCTTGGTAATGGGGTTTGTTGATTGTCTCTTTTCATTCTTGTTATGATTTTCTGATTCTTGGTATAACAAGTGATATTTTATTGTATAAAATATCCTTTGGCCAGGCACAGTGGCTCACATCTGTAATCCCAACACTTTGAGAGGCCAAGGCAAGAGAATCTCTTGAGTCCGGGAGTTTGAGACCAGCCTGGGCAACATAATCAGACCCCATCTCTACGAAAAATTATTTAAAAAATAGCCAGGAGTGGTGGTGCATACCTGTGGTCCAAGCTACTCAGGAGGCTGAGGTGCAAGGATCACCTGAGCCCAGGAGGTTAAGGCTGCAGTGAGCCATGATCACGTCATGCACTGTAGCCTGGGCAACAGAGCAAAACCCTGTCTCAAAAATAAAATAAAATATCCCCTATATTTTGGATGTTATAAAACTGTGGACCCTATTTAATATTCCTTTTTTAAAAGCAGGCATTTCTTCTGTTGACTTGTAGCAGGAGAGCTAGAGGGGTTTGTATGTTCAGCTTGCCACTGGGTCCCACTGACACCAGCCCAGCAACTGTTAAGTGCTGACTTATTGCAGATGGGCGGAGTGGAAATTCAGATCCCCTCTTGGCCCTGCAGACATATTCCCAGCGAAAGTATGGAATTGACTCATACCACCTTGTTGTCTCCAAGTGGTAGTGTAAGCTCAGCTCCTTGCTGAGCCCCACTGACACCAGGAGAGGGGAGGATAGGAAGTGAAGTGCCAACTAAAACCTCCCACAACCTCCTTCTGCCTTGTTGAAGCTGAGTGGAGGTGGAGACTCAGCTCACCACTGGGCTCTAATGACACTATCCCAGCTGGGAAATAGAAACACTCGCTGGTTCTTCTAGGCAGGGGTGGAAGATCAGCTGCGTGCTTGGCCCCACTTACACTCCTCTGGCAGGGGAATTGGATTGCTGCCATCTGCTTCTCCTGGTTAAGACAAAGAAGATAATCTCCTTGCTCAGATAGTCAATACCATCCAACAGGGGAATTGGAATGTGCTGTCTGCTTTTGCTGGGTTAGGAGTGGGATGAGGTGGAATATCAACTTCCTGAGTAGGGGGGCATTGACTGAAAGGTCTTCTGTTGCTAGGCCACCCTTTTTCCAATACTTTCACTAGAGAGAACAGGCTTTTCTTAGAGTTGTTTTTTTTTTTTTTCTGAGTCTGTAGGCAGTTCTGAGTTGGAGGTTTCTGCAGCATCTGTCTGGGATATATAGGAGGCAAAAAGGAAACCAGGAAATTCATCATAGTGTTGTTTCTCAAATCTCAAGGTCCCTAGGTAGCTTGTTATCTTTTTACCATATTACAGAGCCTTCTTATGTTTTTTTGTTGTGTTATGTTTAGGGTTTTGTTGTTGTTGTTGTCAATATAGAGACTGGTTTGAGTCTCAAATTCTTCTTTGTCTCTACCCAATCATGGCCTGGAAAGGTCATGTTAACTGATTGCCTTCCAGTTCCTTTTCTTTCTTAAGCTTTTTAAGAGGCTATTCCCCAACAAAGAACTTTAAATGTTTTTTATTGAAGTACAATATACATGCATATAAGTGCACAAATCATAAGTGTACAGCTCAATGAATTTTCACAAAGTGAACACATCCATGTAATTAGCACCCAGGTTAAAATAAAATAGGACCAGCAATCCCAAAGGTTCCCATTCCTACCTGCATCCAGTGACTGCCACTCCTAGAGGTTACTATCCTATCTTCTAATAGTATAAATTAATTTTGACTATTATCTTCTGTGTGTAGATATTTGTATTGGTGATTGTGGCTTGTTCATTCTCATTGCTGCCATGTATTTCATTGTGTGAAAATACTACAATTAATTTATTCTTCCCTTTATGAGTATTTGTATGTTGTATTAGGGTTCTCTAGAGAAACAGAACCAACAGAACCAATAAGAGAGATATATATATCTCCTATTGGTTTAACAATATACATATATATTTAAAGAGAGAGATAGAGATGTATTTTAAGGAAAGGGTGATTATGGAGGCTGGCAAGTCCCAAAATCTTCAGAGTGAGCCAAGCTGGATGTTCAGGAGTGCTGATGATTTAGTTCCAGTCTGAGTCTGAAGGCCTGAGAATCAAGAAAGCTGATAGTGTCATTCCAGTCTGAAGGCCAGCAGGCTTGAGACCCAAGAAGAACTTATATGATTATGTTTCAAGTTGAGTCTAAATGAAGGAAAAAAAACCCCTGATATCTCAGTTTGAAGGCCATCAGACAAGAGGGATTTCCTCTTCCTTAGGGGAGGGTCAAGTTGCTCTATTCAGGCCTTCAGTTGATTGGTTGAGGCCCACGTATATTAGGGAGGGCAATCTGCTTCACTGAGTCTACTAGTTTAAATGTTAATCTCATTAAAAAATGCCCTCACAGAAATGCCCTGAATAATGTTTGACCAAATATCTGGGCACCCTGTAGTCCAGCTAAGTTGATGTAAAATTAACTACCACAGGTACTTTCTAGTTTGGGTTGTTATGAGTGTGCTGCTATGAACATTCTTGGATATGCCTTTGGGTGAATATATGTGTGATTTTTTGTTGAGTATATATCTAGGAGTATACATCTAGGAGGGAAATCATTCTATCATAATGTAGGTATATTCAGCTTTAGTAGATATGGCCGTCTAAATTGGATGTGCAAATTTACATTCCCATCAGTGATGTATGAGAGATGTGGTTGCTCCACATATTTGCGATGCCACAACACTTGGCATTTTTTGTTTTTTGTTTCAGTTATTTTGATGAGTGTATAGAGACATTGTATTATAGTATGAATTTGCCTCTCCCTGGTGACTAAGGATGTTGATCTCCTGTTGATGTCTATTTATCCTTTTGTTATCCTCCTTTGTAAAGAGTCTGTTCAAGTCTTCCACTCATTTTTCTATTGGGTTGGCTATCTTCTCCTTAGAAATGTATAGTATTTCTTTATGTCATCTAAAAAGGAGTCTTTTGCTGTATACATGTACCATAAATATCATCTCCCAGGTTGTGGCTTGGCTTTTACTCTTAGTGATAGCTTTTGAGGTACAAAAGTTCTTAATTTTAATATAGCTCCAACTTGTCATTTTTCCCTTTATAGTCATTGCTTTTTGTGTCCTGCTTAAGAAGTCTTGGGGCTCCTCTCTTAACATTTTCTTCTCTTTTCCAAAACAACAATTGCTCAAGAAGGAGTGAAGTGGCAGAAGAGGATGGGATGGCAGGATGGATCAGGTAGCATTCAAACTCAGTCTTGCATTGTTCCTGAAGCCACAACCACTTCAAGCACTGTTTTGTGCTAAATTGAACCTACCTTGCTCAGCTATATCCACCCATGGTGATTTCTCCTTCTAATGGCAATGCTGCTGTTCCTTTTAAATTCCGTTGATCACTTCCATCCCCATTTCATCTGTATGTGTCTAATTCTCTAATTCTGTATTGAGCTCCAGAGTTCTTTTACATTTAGCTCCTGGGCTATAGGGCAATCATGAAATGGCACATGCATTTAAGTGTTCTTGAGCATGTCCTTGAAGTTAGAAAACTTTATTCAATCCGGTTCATTGAGGACTTTGGGTGTGCTGTCTAATTGCATGAGCTAACATACTTAAGTGTCAGTTCCAGGCCAACCAAGACACCCCCATACTCACATTTCTGTTGTGCTGTTCTTCAGATTCTCTTTTTATTGTTTAAATAAGAGCATAAGCAGACTCTTAAGCTAAGACTTTACTGCAGTTCTAGAACTGCCAATTGATGTATCAGTCTAATTAGGGAAGTAACATGGAATAGCATTATGATTATAATATTTCAGAAATTATGATTAAATTAAATATTAGCAGCTCACAACTTAACAGTGATCCTTAGCAAGAAGTTAAATGTTTGAAACAAGGTGAGAATAAAAGAACAAATTTATACAAAAGGGAAAGAGAAAGGGTATTATTCCTAGAGAAATAATACTGAAATTTTGTTCCAAAAGATCATTTTAAAATCAGTATTTGGAAACTATAGTGTAATTTTCCCTGGAAGAAAGGAAGTTAGACAAACTCATGCAGTATCTAGGGTAGCCTACAAAAATTTCACCGACAATGTAGCAGCAATAGTACCATGTCTTGCCCTTAGTTCTGAGTTCCCCCAAAGTGTCTGCATCCCAGTCCTTGAGTCTACACTCATCTAAGCTCAGCAACAGAGCTTGAGCTTCATAGAGACCTAAACCCAGAGAGAGGAAACTTATGAAAGGGGAGGGGGTGGGAAATGCAGTTCCATGGCAGCAAAGGGATAAAGACTCCTATAACTGTGAGTTGAAAAGAAAGGTGACTTGGGCCTCAGGTGTCCCCAGATCTGCTAATAATATTGGGAAGGGGTTCCATGGATCCCTCAGAAACATAGGTAAAGGATGCGGTGAAGCAGCCATCACTTCTTGGCCCAGGGAGCTATGGTAGGAACACGGATGTCAACAGATATCTGCAGGCTACTTGGAAAGTGTCACCTATTTGGCACTTCTCTCTAGTCTTGATCTAGTTTGAAGGCACTGAGCATCTACATTAAATCAGAGCTGACAGACACTGTAATGCCTCTAGTTTATTAGTTCTATGGGGATTTGAAGCAAATTTACCAAATGTCTTAATTAGATTCCTGAAATTCCAAAAACACTAGGCAAAAATTCAATCTTGGCAAAAACATGTTAGTCCCACCCACACCCCCTTCTGCACACCCAGCTGCCAAATTGCTTAAATCTCTAAATAATTGCTTTCTAGATTAAATAAATTAAGCTCATTCATTTGCACTCAAGTTTTAAGACTCGACTGCCCATACTTGCTCCCAAAGTTTGTCATCAGCAAATATAAATAGTGCAATTTGTTTTGTGATATATATATATACACACACACAATTAGTAAAATGAATTTTTCAAATGATATATATGTCAGAGGAACCAAATCAGTGAGTACTTAAAAATCTATCATAAAACTGAAGTTACTTTCACTATCCAGGACAGAATAAAAAGGAAACAGAATTATTTACCTTACACTTATTAAAAGCATGTAGATTCAATAGGATTATACAAAGTACATTCTATTGTAATAAGGTGTGTCACTTATAAAGAAACATGTCTATAGAAGACGAAAGAGAAGATGAGAGAGGAAAATGTACATCATTCACCTCAGGAAGAAAAGGTGAATGTTACAGTTAACATTCTTTTTTTAAAAAAATCTAATGGTGTGTCTGGAAAATAGCTTTGCTGAGTTCCTGCTGCACCATCAGGTGAGAGGCAGAGGACAGCTTCCTCCGGAGTGAGGCTTCTTCTCTCCATCATCCAGTCCAGCAGTCCCTAGTGTTCGGTCCCCGGACCAGCAGCATCAGCATCATCTGGGAACTTGTTAGAAATGCAAAGTCTTGCTCCCTCCCTAGATAGGCTCTCAAAAATCAGTTTTTAACAAGCCTTCCAGGTGATCCTGAGGCATGCTAAAATCTGAGAACCGTTGATCTTGAAGTCTTTAAATTGATGGTGCTTCAATAACATGGCTTTCAAAACCAATAATTTATAGATTCACCAGAAACAATTACAGGGTATCTGATGAGTAGCGAGATCACATGGGCCTGGATTCAAATTCTAATTCAACTACCTACAGCAGGATCAATTTGGGTGAGTGACTATGTTTCACAGTGTGCTAATGTCTCCCTCTGTAAATGGAACCTTAAATGGTGGGATAGGGCCCACTGAAAATACAGGCCTAGGTCTCATGTCTTCATTGAAACTGCTTGGGAAGCAACCTGTGGCTTTTGAAAATTTCCCTTTCCCATTCTTCCTCATGATCTGAGGAGGCAAAAATAATGTAGATCTAGAAAGTACCACATTAAATTGAGATATCTGTAGAGAATCTAGTGAAAGCATGTTCTTGCATTCGAGCAGCTATATGTTGCATCTATAGTTGGATTCTCAGCTGTTGCTTTATGAGAACTCACCTACTTTTGCTACAGTAAAATCTTATAAAAGGAACATACTGTGGAAAATTCCATCATTTTGTAGTTATTATCAGAGATGAGCTTCTTTTGAGCTATTTCTTTAAAGATGAGTGAGTGTTACAGCTACCTTAATTCAACTGGTGAAATCAGTCTCCATTTCCTGCAGTAATCTTTCCCATTTCTGCTTATTTTCATTCTTGGAAGTAAATGGGGTGGGGACCCAGAAACCTTAGGTGAATAAGGTAAAGAAGAGAGGATTCTAGGTGTGAAATAGGCTGTGTATGTACTAAGTATGAGGAGTTAGTTTTTTACCATTTGCTTTGTGGCTGGGTATGGAATCTTCAAAATTTTACCTTCGGAATAGTTTGATGTCATAAGAAATCCCAACTTTATGGGAAAGAGGGTAACTTGGCTAGAGGTCAGTGGGGCAGAGGCTTGTCATGGCCAAAATATCCCACTGGAGTGTATTGCCCTTTTTTTTTTTTTTTACACCTTCTCAGTGGAGTCGCAGGCATCAAAATATTAAAAGATAGTGAAGATAGTGGACATCACTGCTCTTAAGCAAGTTTTAAGACTAAAAGGAGTCATAGTATATAAAGATTAGCTTTATGGCAACTGGAACACAGTCACTGTATCTTCCTGTTAGCATATGTTGATTAAAAAGATATAAACATTGTGTGCTAATAACATCCCAAATTTTTCTTCACCTTTGTGTCAGATGGTTCTTTAATAGGAAATGAAATGGCTGTCCTGTGGCCCCTGAAAAGGCTGTATCTGTATTGTTTTAGAGTAGGAGTTCTTAATCCAGGGCCCATAAATGGGCATCAGGAGAGTTCCTAAACCTGAGGCTGTATGCAGGATTTTGTGCATTTTTCTGAGATGGAAGTCCATAGATCTCAAGAGATTTGCAAAACGTTCCTAACATAGAACAGTTAAGACTCACTAAAAAGTTCTTTCCTAGTGTTTTCATTTCTTCATTATTCTTCACAATATTGCCTTACTGTAAAAATACTCCATCTTAATGGAGGGCTTGATAGCTCGTCCAACCAGTTGGTGGACAGAATATGGACACAGATCCTGGTTTTTCTAGGAAGAACAAAGTACGACTCACTGAACACTGCCAGTTCTTTTTAAAAATTATTCTGTATTTTTATGGGCAACACAAGCAAATGATACAAACTTCAAGAAGGTTTAGTGTGAAAAACAAGCCTCCCTCTCAATAGCTTCCCCCAGAGTTTCTTGTGTACCCTTCCAGTGCTATCCTATGCATATACAGGGATATAAATATGTGTATGTATTTTTACAGAAATGACAGCATAATTTACTCAATATATTCCTTGATTTTTCACTTAGAAGTACATCTTAGAAATCCTTCCATATCCATACATATACAGATCTTCCTCATTCTCTGTAATGGTAGCATAACATTCTATTGTATTATTGTGTCATACTTTCTTTGACCAATTCCCTATGGATGGATATTTAAGTTGTTTCCAATCTTTTCCTAATCAAATAGAGCTGTGATTATTATCTTTGAATGTATGTCATTTTGCCCATGGGTGTGAGCGTTGGATCAATTCTTAGAATGTAATCATTAGTTATGTATTGGGTAGCTTTGTTAGATATTCTCAAATTCCATTCATAGAGGCTGTGCTACCTATTCTCCCACCAGCAGTGTATGAGACCGTGAGTTTCCCTGCTCACATCTTTGACAAAGCTGTTAAACTTTGACAAACCAATGGGTTGAAAAATGGTATCTTGTTTTAGTTTCTATTTATATCTCTCATTATTATCTAATTTTTCATTAATAGTCTGACCGCATGCCAGAGTTCCACAGAGAACTTGGCACTAAAGTGCTTATACAGGGGCTGAATCCTTAGTAAAGCCCTGTTTTGGCATTCTGTTACAAGCAGAGCCATTGGAAATAAGGAGACATGAGCATTTTTCAATTATACTCCACTGATGCCCTATTAATAGCATCATCAACACAGATGAAGGACTGCATCCTTACTGCTAAGGATGCATTTAAAGAGATAACTCATTTAATCTATGCCTCGTTCAAGAGTGGTCTTTATAGGCAGGGCGCAGTGGCTCATGCCTGTACTCCCAGCACTATGGGAGGCCGAGGAGGATGGATCACTCGAGGTCAGGAGTTCCAGACCAGCCTGGCCAACATGGTGAAACCCCATCTCTACTAAAAATACAAAAATTAGCTGGGCGTGGTGGCACACGCCTGTAGTCCCAGCTACTCAGGAGACTGAGGCAGGAGAATCACTTGAACCCGGGAGGCAGGGGTTGCAGTGAGCCGAGATCACACCAATGCCCTCCAGCCTGGGCCGCAGAGAGAGACTCCTTCTCAAAAAAAAACCAAACAAACAAAAAAAGTGGTCTTTATAAGGGAAAACTAATTAGATAATCAGATTTTGCTCTATTTGGTATTATATAATTCTTTAATCTACCTCCTTTTCTGCTCTTTTATATGCTAGTGGCACCACCACCACCAACAACCACAACAACAACAACAACAAAACATGTTAAAGTACAAGACATTTTAAGTAGATGTTAGAAATTTAAGTGTAGCTTTCCAATTCAAAAACAGTCTCATTTCTCTTTCTATTTTCTTTTCTTTTCTTTTGGAATAATATTAAGTACATTAAAAATACAATACGTGGATATTTTGTACTAAATGTAACAGGTTCTATAAAAGACATTCTTTTGCATATAGTCTGTACCTGGGCAATATTGTTTCTTATGTGACAAATCTGACACTGCTATAAATGAATTCAAGTCTGAAAAGACACTGAGAATGAAATCTTTATGTGCACTATAATATTTGTTAAATTCAGACCAATAGCTGGAGAGGTAAAAAATAAGTATTGCTAATTATTGTATCTAATTTATTTTTATAAGACACCAATTAGGAAGAAAAGAGGTAATTAGATGAGTCTTCAACTGATGCAAATGTAATAATCCCAGACAATCCTTTAAATCACAAAGGACCTGAGGCATCTTTTAACATTAATTAATGTTAATCTCTCTGGATAGCCATTAATTATTGGGAAAATTTGTTGCTATTTAAGGTCTATCAGAAAATAAAAATTGCAAGAAGAGGGGAAAAAATATCTCCAGTACAGTTACTCCATGACCAAGATATATGCGTGTGGATCTCTCTCTCTTTTTCTCACACACACACACACACACACACACACATACACAAACAAACACACATACACACACACAAATGTTATTATCATATACTTTCAACAGGACCGATACTTATATTTCCTGAAAATAATAATTTTATTTCAACAGTTTAGATGAAAGCAATATAGTTCCTTGCCAGTACAAATAATATTTATTCTAAAGCACAGATTGTATGATTGGTACTCAAAATTTTCTGTGATTACTTCAGAACTGTGTTAAATTAAGCAGATAGTTTCTTGAATATTGAGGCTCTATGAGTATATTAATGTTTTTCTCTAATGGTTAGTACCCCAGAGAGGGTATACAGCAAAGTTCTTCATAAAAGTTACTTAGTTATCATTTTGGTAATATTGTGTTTCCAGGAATAAAAATCAGTTGAAAATATCAATGTCTGAAATCAGTAAAATGAAAAAACTAATTATGCCATGTCAGGAATTCATTTAAAATGATTTAATGTTGCTTTTCAATATTCTAAGGCTAAAGAGAGTTTACATTTTAAGTTGTAACAAATTTTTGGAACTTCCAATGTATTAAGTAGCTGACTGGAGAAACATCAGAAATAAGAATAATAAATTTTTAGAAAATGATATTAGGTTCACTCATGACACTCATCTTCTATCACCCATAAAATAACTCTAATGTTATTAAAAAATGAGAACATGGTGCATCTTAGCAGCTTATTAGATTAATTTGGGATCTAAAGATCCTAATTCCATGTTTGGCATGTAAAATGTAAGTTCAAATTAATGAATATTTATTGTGATCCTACAATGTGCAGAAAAACAATGCTAGTTTGTTTCCCTAAAAGGGCTTATAATTTAGTTTGAAAAGGTCCCACGGTGAAAAAGAATCAGTTCGTTGAAACAGTAATTAGAAGAAACTGAAAGAAAATCAGCTACCATCGTCACTGAAGTGTCAAAACTCTTAGGCCAAATAACAAAAAATTACATTTCCTTGAAAACCTTCTACACCTAGTGAAAATCTTGTAAGGTGAAAAGCTTCCATGGGTTCACCAGAACTAGCTCATACTGGCCATGAGAGCTAATTTTTAAATTTTCAGAAATTTTGTTGAGACAATTGTGAAAGACAGATATTATTAAAACTTAACTTACATAAACTTACAATTAAATACATTGTATTAAAAATAAAGGTAACGAATAACCCAAACTCATTACTTCCTAATTATTTTGCTAAATTTTTCTGTGATCCATTTTCTTGACCTTGTTAATATCTCTTTTATGTGTGTGGTGAAAACGTTATGTGATGACGTGCTACTGCACACCTCTTCCCAATTCTGCATTCAGTGATGTCACGCTGGTGGCTTGAAATCAGCCACGGTGGGAGTATTTACACCATGGAAGTTGGTAAATGCTACAAATCACAGCTTGTTGTTTCAGAGAGGCAGTTGCTAAATATTTATCAGCACACCGTTTCCTATACAGCACATCAGGCTGGAATTCTAGGTCTGAAGAAAACTTGAAATTAAATACAAAATATCTCATCAGGCAGGTGAGTAGAGTGTCTCTGAGAGCGCTTTGGGGAAGGAAATTGGGGAAGATAGGTCATATTCCAGATGAGTTAGTCAGAGTTCATGATCACTTGGTGAGCCAATGATCAGGCACTCCGTCTCTACTAGGGTATACCTGCAGTTATTTCTTGAAAGATGTACATGACATGGCTTTTCTCCAGAAGCCCAGGGGTCTATGTTGTGTTGTCTGATTGGAGTTAATGTCACACAATTTTTACCACTACTGATACTTCAAATACCATAAAGTCTGCCAGGTCATATGCCCCAAACAGCAGGGCTAATTGCATCATACCCTTGACCTTCTGCAGAGCTTTTTCCTGCTCTGAGCCCCATTAAAGCTGGAAGACATTAATGTCACCCAATATATGAGTCATAGCATTATTCCAAGGTGTGAGCATATTCCAGGTGCCTCCAGAACCCAAAAAGACCTGTAAGGTGCCATGCTCCTTCGTGGTGTGGGGGGCAAGATGAAAAAATTTTTTGTGGTTGAGGGGATGTCATGACATACCCTATGATACTGAAGTTCTAAACCTTTTGTTGATTTTGTGGCAGTCCCTTGATTTTTCATAGGGTTTATCTCCAGCTTTCTGAAATGGATGTATCTTAACATTTGGAAATGTCGTAGGCACTTTTTGCTTAACCAGTCAAATTTACAATAGAGTAGACCATCAGGATGTTCCCTGGGATGTGTAGCTGATCTAGGTCTCTTTGGACTATTTTAGGATGGAGGACAGGAGAATTAACGTATCCATGAAGTACGACTGTAAATGCATTCTGTTGCATGCTCCAAGGAAATATAAACTTTCTGATCCTCTTTTCTAATAGGGAATAGAAAAGAATGCATTCTGCAGATCAACAGCTGTATACAACGCACCTGAGGTCATGTTCATTTGCTCTAGCAATTATACTCCATCTGGCATAAGTAGCTGATGTTGGAGCTACTATTTGGTTGAGTTTGCAATAGTCTACTTTTATCTTCCAGGATCTGTCCAGGTTTTACAAGGACTAGAATGCCGACATAAGTGGAGATATGATGGGGACTATCATCCCTGCATCCTTTAGGTCTTCGAGGGTGGCATTAATTTCTTCCATTCCCCTCCTACCCCAAATTAGTTGTTGGGTTTGATTTACAATCTTTGATGTGGGAGATAAAATTTTAGAAAGTTCCGCTTGGCCTTTCTCACTATAATAGCTCTCATCCCGGAGGTTGTGCCAACTACTAAGGATGTCCATTTCAATTATACTTTTGGGGCCAAGAAAATGATCACTGAGCAGATCTGTAGACCACGTGAACAACTGTCATCCAGATCTGGGCTATGACTCCATTTATTACCTGACCTCCGTTTGCCCCCTCTAACAGGGAGCTCATAATGATGCTTCAGGTATGCAGGTATCAATGTCAACTTGGATTCTGTGTTCAACAGTCCTCAAAATGTTTGGATATTACTCCTTCTCCAGTGTACATTTACCTAAGCAAATGGCTATGGGCCCCTCTAGGGATGGACTGGGGGAATCATTACTGATGCACTTTGCATAGTGTTGCAGGGTCCTTCCTTCCAATAACTTACCTCTCCTTCAATCAAGAGATTCTGGTTCCAAAAACTGACTTAAGTCCAGGAACTTTTACTGGGGTGACTGTGCTCAGCCACCTGATCATCTATCTCTGATTTCATTTGATTTTGTGAATTGAGCAGCTGCCTTCTGTTTTTTCCCTAATGATGCTGTGTTCTGTTAAACATCACCATTACTCTTTGAAGGTCAGGGCTCCTTGGCTCTTGCTCCAAACTTGTTGCTCATCCCTACAATTATATCAACTTGGCTTTTGATGATTATAGCACTGCCACCTAACTTCTCATGTATCAGGGCCCTATTAGTCCCATTTCTATACTTTACCATCACCACTGGCCAACGGAGGATTGTCACCATAAAATATTTTGTGTGGTGTTTGTTCCCACTCACCATCACATTTCTGATTGCCTTGGTAAATGGTGTATCCACTTAGTCCTCCAAATAAATGCAGTCTTCCAGCAGGTTTTCTGTTCTTATGTATATCCACTCTAGCATTCCCACTTCTGCCATATCAATATCTGCAATGGCAATTCTGATCTTTCCACCTAACTTAAGGTGAATCATTGCTTTTTCCGTGTTTGGAAAAGGATTCTTGCCAAGGAGCTAAATCCTCTGTCCTGGAAGAGTGCTCCCAAATCAATAAACTCTCCCTTATTCAACTCATGCCAGTACATGTTAGCTGGGAACTGCAGCTCCTTTGAGGTAGAGTTCTTTTCCTCCCTTATCAGACAAGCGTTTCCGTGGACAGGCCATGATATGTCTTAACCCTAGTTATTGACCTAGTGACCAGAAGAGTGATGAGGACAGATCCTGGGTAGGAGAGGGGGCATGTGTTGTCTTATGTGGGAGACACTCTGCATCATCTTCCACCAAGTTGGGAGAGCTAACCCTCTACAGGGAAGAAAGGCCAGAGGGTTCAGGGAATCTGGGGATTTAAAATGTTAAGCATATGAACCTAGTTGCCAGGGTCCTATTTTTTGCAGCTAAGATCATGAAATTGGCAGAGCAGATCTGGTTATTTTAAAAGTTTATTTTCTTTGGATCTCTGCTGCTACTTTTAAAATTAAGTCCCAGGCCCGGTCTTCAGTTTTCTCTGCCCCTCTATCTGAAGAAGATGAGAGTTCCTTTAAAAGCATAACCAGGACCTCTGGCTTTCATACTTGGTTGTCAATTAATCACCTTATAGTTATTCTTTCCACCACATTTCTTAAATGTCTGAATCATAGCATCAGCTAGTACATTCCTTTCCATCAGTATACCATCCCATTTCTCCAGAGTGGAAGTTTTAACAATGGTACTGCTACCTCATGCCAAAGGCTCTTTATGTTCCACCCACGACCAGTGATGGAATTCTTTTCGCCAGTTGTGTGGCAGATGATCTAGTTCCTAAATCTACTCAGCATTTGCTTTCTCTGTTCTGGCACCAACTGTTGTAGATTGGGTACCTTGGGAAGTAGACTCTGAAACAGAGTTTACAGTGCAAGAAAGTTATTAGAAATCAACACCCTTGGAAAAAAAAGATTAGGAAAAGAGAGAAGTTAAACTGTGTTTTAGAATCAATGGCAGTCTCAGCTGACCCTACAGGGAGTTCTAAAGCTTAGATAATTCTTTGGAGTTATCATGAGTCGAAGTGAGATGGTCAGACCTTCAGACCTCCTCTTCAATCTGTCATTAGGTGTGGGCTGCCCTGGGAAGAGAGTATGACCTTGGGCAAGGCAGCTCTCTGAAGGACCTCTGAAGACGGCTAACAGCTGAGGGCTGTCTGTCAGTAATATTCCCAGAGGCTGGCCAGAGAGAATGGAGAGGATTTCTTTTCTTAAGAAGAATCTAGGTGGCACAGCACAGCGTACATCAACTATAACAGAAAAATATCTTTGATAATTTTTAGATTTCTAACTTTCAATACCTGTAAAACTGCCTGGAGATGATGAATGTGGTAAACTATTACAAATGTTGTTTAATGATCCACTATTACCTATTTTCTGGCTTCAATCGACTACAGGTAATTGAAATTGAGGAAAGCAAAGCATATGACACTGGCATTTCTGTAGGTCAAAATGATTGAATATTAACAATGACATACTATCCAATCTAATAGAATACATGGGGAAGGAACTTGTATTAGATATGTGGTCATATTTAAATGTTCATGCATTCTAAAATGATCTATCAAATACCTTTACCTCCCACACAACCCCTACACTCCTATTCTCCCCATTTTGGTTATATGCATTAAAAACTCTGTTATTAAAACATCTGATCTCGAGGTTGCAGTGAACCAAGATTGTGCCACTGCACTGCAGCCTGAGCAACAGAGTGAGACTCCATCTCAAAAATAAAAAATAAAAAATCTGATGTCACCCAAAACATTGATACAATGAAGCCTCATGAATGCAATGGGAATGTATCTACTTCTATTTACCACATTCATTCTACCTCTGAATCTCGAATTGTGTTTCTCCCATTACCTAGAATGCTTCTCTCTGCACTATCCCACACCCTAACCAAACAACAATAACAACACCCTTCTCCAAACCCACCTCTTCCTTGTAGCCTCTTCTGATGACACCAGGTTTGTCATAGCTTTCCAGCATTTCTCCAGCATTAAAGGCCAGTTCATCACAATCTAGGATTTAATGATGGTGTGGTGTACCTTATGAAAGGATTCCATTTCTTGGAGATTATCTTTGTTTCACCAGCTAGGTGAGCATTCCTTGAAATTAGAGTTTGTAACATTTATTTTCTCTGTTTTACCCACATCCCTAGCACCCACATGAGCCTGAAGATTTCAATTCGTGGGTTTTAAAGACCTTTGAATCTGTATATTTTCTGTTTACTTACCTTAACTGTCCCTTCAAAGTTATACATACATACATTAATTAAATCATTCATAAGTACTCAAAAACCCAAGGAACAAAATTAACGATCTGTCAAGATATTCTTGGAAGGTATGAAAAAGCTGAAGGGAGAGGAAAAGCTGTTAACACCCAGAGAGCAGAAGCTATAAATTTGGCTTCCTGATTCCCCCTCTCGTAGAACTCCACTTTCCTTAACAACACTTTTCATTGCTTCTGTGTCACATTTAATTGGTTTCTGTTCCACCCCTGCTAATTTATAAGCTCCATGAGGACAGGAACCATGTCTGCTTTGCTCATCATCATATTTCTGGTGCCTGGCTCATAACGTATGCTCAATAAATATTTATTGAAATAATTATTAAAGGCAGTAACAATGAATATCACTTGATGAAAGGAAAACAGGTATGCTTTCAGCTCCAGGGACTTCTAACTACCAAACCCTGTCCCTGGCCAATGCTCCAACATGGGCTTCTTTTTTCCTGTCACATTTTCTCATCTGGGAAGATCCCTAATGGGTAAACACCCTGAATCCTTACTCCCTGCCATGAAAATGCATCTCTCACTCTTCTGGGCAAATTTTTAGAGTAGAGGATTTGTCCTCACTCCAGAGGCTCACTGTCCTATGGCTGAGTCTGCTACCTGGACCCACAACATCCACTCATAAGTCCATCATCTTCAAAAAAATAAGTACATGTACCAGAAATGACACCTCCAAATTGACACCACAAACTTTAAATGCCCCTAAGGAACACTTTCTCATATTCTGCCCTGAAGATCGCCCTCTGGACACACCTTCCCTAAACTGACACTCACGCTTGACCTAAATATTGGAAGTGGTTTCTTGCATTTACTACTCAATACAGGATTATCATACGTATAAGCTCATTCTCTCCCTTTTTTTCCCTCTAGTTTTCCTCCACCTATCCACCTATCTCTCCCTTACGTTATTCTGGAACTCGGGCTTATGGTGTGTGTGACTGTGTGTGTGTGTGTGTGTATGTGTGTAAAGTGAATTAGGGAGTGTGGAAGAGTTTGTGGCATGGCAGAATGGAGAAGAGGCAGTATCAGAGGGAAAGAAGATAAAATCATTCCAACAACATTTTATTCCACACTTACAAGTTATGTATTGCTGCATAACAAATCACCCAACACTTAGAGGTTTAAAACAATACCAACCATTTATTTTGCTCACAAATAGGAAATCTTGGCAGGGCTTGGCAGGGTCATTTGTCTCTAACGCACATGGCATCAGCTGGGGCGGCTCAACTAGGGGCTCCACTTCCAAGATGGCTCATTCACACATGACAAGTTAGTGCTGGCTGCCAGCGGGGAGCTCAGCTATGGCTAAGGGTGAGGGAAGCAGGGCTGTTGGACTCCTCACAGCATGGTGGCTGAACTCCAAGAGCAAATATCCCAAACCTAATGAATTATGTTTGGGTATTATTAAATAATTTAGCTGAGAAGCCCAAGTATTGCCAGATCCTTTTTCTGTTCTTCATTTATAAACAGCTTATTTCCAAAAGGATTTGAGGCAGAAGCTCTCTATTTAAGGTAGACACCATAACCTTTAAACATAATTCTTACACTACGGCCGGGCACGGTGGCTCACGCCCGTAATCCCAACACTTTGGGAGGCCGAGGCGGGCGGATCGCAAGGTCAGGAGATCGAGACCATCCTGGCCAACATGGTGAAACCTCATCTCTACTAAAATACAAAAAATTAGCAGTACATGGTGGTGCCCGCCTGTACTCCCAGCTACTTGGGATACTGAGGCAGGGGAATCGCTTGAACCCGGGAGGTGGAGATTAAGCTGAGATCGTGCCATTGCTCTCCAGCCTGGCGACAGAGTGAGACTCCGTCTCAAAAAAAAAAAAATTCTTACACTCTGGATTTCAGGAGATGGTCTACATTTTTGAGAAACAAAAAAGGTATGCGCATGGTATAGGGAGGCATCCCATTTGCATGTTGTATGTGAGCAAAAATATACATAGCTGTGTGTTTTTACACACGTGTGCAACCTGTGTGTGTGTGGGCATGTGTGTACATAAGTGTGTCTACCTGTGTTGGTGACACTGTGTGCATGTGTTAGCATGTGTATTTGTGTGTCTGTATGGTGTGTAGCTTCCATAAGGATATCACTCTTTTATTGTTAGTTTTGGTTTTTTGGGGAGTTTTATTTTTGTTTTTGAGATGGGGTCTTGCTCTGTAGCCAGGCTGGAGTGCAGTGGTGCGATCTCGGCTCACTGCAACCTCCACCTCCCGGGTTCACGCCATTCTCCTGCCGCAGCCTCCTGAGTAGCTGGGACTACAGGTGCGCACTATCACGCCCAGCTAATTTTTGTATTTTTAGTAGAGACGGGGTTTCACCATGTTGGCCAAGATGGTCTCAATCTCTTGACCTCGTGATCTGCCCGCCTCAGCCTCCCAAAGTACTGGGATTACAGGCGTGAGCCACTGCGCCTGGCCTTATTGTTAGTTTTTCAATGATTTGGAGAGTTGCTGCAAGACTGACCAAATAACATGATACTTTTTAAAAGAAAATTTGGTACTATATGCAAATAAAACAAACTGTAAATGTAATTATATTTTTAGCTACATGTATGTTGGCACAAGCCATAGCACTTTCTCCAAGTGGCCTCTTCATTTACAAAACTGAATAAGGAGGCTTACCTAGGCCAATATCTTTCAAATGGTATAGTTTGAAAAATTCAGATTTTTCTGATAAAATGTGAGACGTGCTGTAAAGTAATCTACTGAATTTTCCCTGACAATTATGATTCATGCTTTCATACTTATACTTAGGACTACCTGGGAAGAATTCTTCTGAATGAATCATTTTTTCCTGGCTCAAATGAACCAGTAAAAAATAATGCAGCATATTTTTAACTTAAAAAAATACAGGTTTCCAAAGAATGGATTGCAAGACCATTCTAACCTTGATGTCTAATAATGCCGAACTTTGTTTCTGTGGTGCATGACACATTTTCAGAGTTATCTTTTGCTTATTATTGTTATTTACACGCAGTAAAATACACCTTTGGGGGGGCCTACAGTTCCATGAGTTTGACAAATGCATAGGGCTGCATAACTGCTACCATAATCAGGATATAGAACAACTCACTCATCCCAAAATAATACCTCATCCTTCCTCTTTGTAGTCAATCTTTCCCCCTTCTTTAGCCCATGGTAACCACTTACCTGTTCTGTGTTCCTATCGTTTTGTCTTTTCCAGAATGTCATAGAAATAAAATTACACCATAAGTAACTGTATTAGTCCGTTTTCATGCTGCTGATACATACCCAAGAATGGGCAATTTATAAAAGAAAGAGGTTTAATTGGACTTACAGTTCCACATGGCAGGGGAGGCCTCACAAACATGGCAGAAGGCAAGGAGGAACAAGTCACATCTATGTAGATGGTAGCAGGCAAAAAGAGAGAGCTTGTGCAGAGAAACTCCCATTTTTAAAAACCATCAGATCCTGTGAGACCCATTCACTCTCATGAGAACAGCATGGGAAAGACCTGCCCCTATGATTCAGTCATCTCCCACCAGGTCCCTCCCACAACACATGGGAATTATGAGACCTACAAATTGAGATTTGGGTGCGGACACAGAGCCAAACCATATCATTCCACACTTGGCCCCTCCCAAATCTCATGTCTCCACATTTCAAAACCAATCATGCCTTCCCAACAGTCCCCCAAAGTCTCAACTCATTTCAGCATTAACTCAAAAGTCCACAGTCCAAAGTCTCATCCGAGACAAGGCAAGTAAGTCCCTTCTGCCTATAAGCCTGTAAAATCAAAATCAAGTTAGTTACTTCCTAGGTACAATGGGGGTACAGGCATTGGGTAAATACACCCATTCCAAATGGGAGAAATTGGCCAAAACGAAGGGGCTGCGAGCCCCATGCAAGTCGGAAGTCCAGCAGGGCAGTCAAATCTTAAAGCTCCAAAATGATCTCCTTTGACTCCATGTCTCACATCCAGGTCATGCTGATGCCAACAGATAGGTCCCTGTAGTCTTGGGCAGCTCTGCCCCTGTGGCTTTGCAGGGTGCAATCTCCCTCCTGGCTGCTTTCATGGGCTGGTGTTGAGTGTCTGAAGCTTTTACAGGCACACGGTGCAAGCTGTCAGTGGATCTATCATCCTGGGGTCTGAAGGACGGTGACCCTGTTCTCAGCTCCACTAGGCAGCGCCCCAGTAGGGACTTTGTGTGGGGGCTCTGACCCCACATTTCCTTCTGCACTGCCCTAGCAGAGGTTCTCCATGAGCCCCCGAACTCTGCAGCAAACTTCTGCCTGGACATTAAGGTGTTTCCATACATATTATGAAATCTAGGTGGAGGTTCCCAAACCTCAATTCTTGACTTCTGAGCACCCACAGGCACAATACCATGTGGAAGCTGCCAAGGCTTGGGGCTTCCACCCTCTGAAGCCACAGCCGAAGCTGTACTTTGGCCCCTTTTAGTCACGGCTCCAGCGGGAGTGACTGGGACACAGGGCACCAAGTCCCTAGACTGCACACAGCATGGGGACACTGGGCCTGGCCCAGGAAACCATATTTTTCTTCTAGGCCTCCAGGCTGTGATGGGAGGGGCTGTTGTGAAGACCTCTGACATGCCCTGGAGACATTTTCCCTGTTGTCTTGGGGATTAACATTTGGCTCCTTATTACTTCTGCAAATTTCTGCAGCTGGCTTGAATTTCTCTTCATAAAATGGGATTTTCTTTTCTATGGCATTGTCAGGCTGCAAATTTTCCAAACTTTTATGCTCTGCTTCCCTTATAAAACTGAATGCTTTTAACAGCACTCAAGTCACCTCTTGAATGCTTTCCTGCTTAGAAATTTATTCCACCAGATACCCTAAATCATCTCTCTCAAGTCCAAAGTTCCACAAATCTGTAGGGCAGGGGCAAAATGCCACCACTCTCTTTGCTAAAACATAACAAGAGTCACCTTTGCTCCAGTTCCCAACAAGATCCTCATCTCCATCTGAGACCACCATAGCCTGAACCTTATTGTCCATATTGCTATCAGGCTTTTTGTCAAAGCCATTCAACAAGTCTCTAAGAAGTTCCAAACTTTCCCACATTTTCCTGTCTTCTTCTGAGCCTTCCAAACTGTTCCAACCTCTGCCTGTTACACAGTTCCAAAGTTGTTTCCACATTTTTAGGTATCTTTTCAGTAGCACCCCACTCTGCTGGTACCAATTTACTGTGCTAGTCCATTTTCACACTGCTGATAAAGACATACTCAAGAGTGGGCAATTTACAAAAGAAAGAGGTTTAATTGGACTTACAGTTCCACATGGCTGGGGAGGCCTCACAAACATGGTGGAGGGCAAGGAGGAACAAGTCACAAATTACGTGGATGGCAGCAGGCAAAAAAAGAGAGCTTGTGCAGAAAAGCTCCCTTTTTTAAAAACCACCAGATCTCGTGAGACCCATTCACTGTCACGAGAACAGCACAGGAAAGACCCACCCCCATGATTCAATCATCTCCCGCTGGGTCCCTCCCACAACACGTAGTAATTATTGGAGCTACAAATTGATATTTGGCTGGTGACACAGAGCCAAACCATATCAGTAACGTTTTGAGTCTGGTTTCCTTCACTTAGAAAAATGCATTTTCAATTCACACATGTTGTTGTAGGTATCTATAGTTAGCTCATTTTTATTGCTGAATAGCATTTCATTTTATGGACATGTCACAGTCAATAGAAGGATATTTGGGTTGTTTCTAGCTTGGTGCTATTGTGAATAAAGCTGCTATAAATATCCATGTACAGGTTTTGTGTGGGAACATAATTTTTCATTTCTCTAGGGTAAATAGCAGATACTTCAGAGTGAGATTACTGAATCATGTGGTATGTATACTTTTAATTTTATAAGAAAATGCCAAACTGTTCTCTAGAGTGACTATATCATTCTGCATGCCTATCAGTAATGTATGTCAGTTGCTCCATATCTATGGCAGTACTTTGTATTGTATTCTTTATTTTAGTCATTTTAATAGGTATGTAATGGTATCTTATTGTGGTTTTAACTTGCATTTCCCTAATAACTAATGATGATAATCATATATTTGCATGTTTATTTTTCATCCACATAGTTTCTTTAGTGAGATATCTATTCAAACATTTTGCCCATTTCTGATGAGCTGTATGTTTTCTTGCTGAATTTGCAAATTCAATGCATATTCTGGATATGTATTTTGTCATATATCTAATTTGCAAACATTTTCTTCATTCTGTAGCTTGTCTTTTCACACTCTTAACAGTGTCTTAGAAAGAAAAAGGTTTTCATTTTCACAAGGCCTGACTCATAAAGTTATTTTATTTTTTAAAAATTTTTTTAATTTTTAATTTTTTTATTTCAAAAGGTTTTTGGGGAACAGATGGTGTTTGGTTACATGAATAAGTTCTTTAGTGGTGATTTCTGAGTTTGGTACATCCATCACCCAAGCAGTGTACACTGTACCCAATGTGTAGTCTTTTATTCCTCACTCCCCCTTCCCTTTCCCCCAAGTCCCCGAAGTCCAACGTATTATTCTTATGTCTTTGTGTCTTCAATAGCTTAGCTCCCACATATAAGTGAGAACATACAATGTTTCGCTTTCCATTCCTGAACTACTTCACTTAGAATAATAGTCTCCAATTCCATCCATGTTGCTGTGAATGCCATTATTTGATCCCTTTTTATGGCTGAGTAGTATTCCATGGTATATATATGCCGCATTTTCTTTATCCACTCATTGATTGATGAGCATTTGGGCTGGTTTCATATTTTTGCGATTGCAAATTGTGCTGCTATAAACATGTGTGTGCAAGTATCTTTTTTGTATAATGACTTCTTTTCCTTTGGGTAGATACCTAGTAGTGGAATTGCTGGATCAAATGGTAGACCTACTTTAAATTCTTTAAGGAGTCTCCACACTATTTTCCATAGTGGTTGTACTCGTTTACATTCCCACCAACAGTGTAAAAGTGTTCCCTTTTCACCAAACCCACACCAACATTTATTATTTTTTGATTTGTTGATTATGGCCATTCTTGCAGGAGTTAGGTGGTATTGCATTGTGGTTTTGATTTGGATTTCCCTGATACTTAGTGATGTTGAGCATTTTTCCATATGCTTGTTGACCGTTTGTATATCTTCTTTTGAGATGTCAATTCATGTCCTTAGCTCAGTTTTTGATAGGATTGTTTGTTTTTTTCTTGCTGATTTATTTCAATTCTTTGTAGATTCAGGATATTAGTCCTTTTTCAGATGTGTAGATTGTGAAGATTTTCTCCCACTCTATGGGTTGTCTGCTTACTCTGATGGTTATTTCTTTTGCTGTGCAGAAGCTTTTTAGTTTAATTAAGTCCCATCTATTTATATTTGTTTTTGTTGCATTTGCTTTTGGGTTCTTGGTCATGAAGTCTTTGCCTAAGCCAATATCTAGAAGGGTTTTTCCAACGTTATCTTCTAAAATGTTTATGGATTCAGGCCTTATATTCAAGTCTTTGATCCATCTTGAGTTGATTTTTGTATACAGCAAGAGATGAGGATCCAGTTTCATTCTTCTACATGTGGCTTGCCAATTATCCCCCCACCATTTGTCAAATAGGGTGTCCTTTCCACACTTTATGTTTTTGTTTGCTTTGTCAAAGATCAGTTGGCTGTAAGTATTTGGGTTTATTTCTGGGTTCTCCATTCTGTTCTATTGGTCTATGTGCCTATTTTTATACTAGTGCCATGCTGTTTTGGTGACTATGGCCTTATACCATAGTTTGAAGTTAAGTAATACGATGTCTCCAGATTTGTTCTTTTTGCTTAGTATTGCTTTGGCAATGCAGGCTCTTTTTTGGTTCCATACGAATTTTAGGATTTTTTTTTTTTTTTTTTTTTTTAGTTCTGTGAAGAATAATGGTAGTATTTTGATGGGAATTGCATTGAATTTGTAGATTGCTTTTGGCAATATGGTCATTTTCACAATGTTGATTCTACCCATCCATGAGCATGGGATGTGTTTCCATTTGTTTGTGTCATCTATGATTTCTTTCAACAGTGTTTTGTAGTTTTCTTTGTAGAGGTCTTTCATGTCCTTGGTTAGGTATATTCCTAAGTATTTTATCTTATTTTATTTTTTGCAGCTATTGTAAAAGTGGTTGAGTTCTTGATTTGATTATCAGCTTGGTCACTGTTGGTGTATAGAAGAGCTACAGATTTGTGTACGTTAATTTTGTATTCAGAAACTTTGCTAAATTCATTTACCAGTTCTAGGAGCTTTTTGGATGAGTCTTTAGGGTTTTTTAGGTATGCAATCATACAGTCAGCAGACAGCAACAGTTTGACTTCCTCTTTACAGATTTGGATGTCCTTTCTTTCTTTCTCTTCTCTGATTGCTCTGGCTAGGACTTCTAGTACTATGTTGAATAGGCATGGTGAAAGTGGGCATCCTTGTCTTGTTCCAGTTCTCAGGGGAAATGCTTTTAACTTTTCCCCATTCAGTATAAGGTTGGCTGTGGATTTGTCATAGATGGCTTTTATTACCTTAAGGCATGTCCCTTCTATGCCGATTTTGCTGAGGGTCTTAACCATAAAGGGATACTGGATTTTGTCAAATGCTTTTTCTGCATCTATTAAGATGATCATGTGATTTTTGTTTTTAATTCTGTTTATGTGGAGTATCACATTTATTGACTTACATATGTTAAACCATTCCTGAATTGTTGGTATAAAACCCACTTCATTATGGTGGATTATCTTTTTCATATGCTGTTGGATTTTGTTAACTAGTATTTTGGTGAAGATTTTTGCATTTATGTTCATCAGGGATATTGGTCTGTAGTTTTCTTTTTTTGTTATGTTCTTTCCTGGTTTTGGTGTTAGGGTGATGCTGGCTTCATAGAATGATTTAGGGAGGATTCCCTCTTTCTCTATCTTTGGAATAGTGTCAATAGGATTAGTGCCAATTCTTCTTTGAATGTCTGATAGAATTCAGCTGTAAATCCATCTGGTCCTGAACTTTTTTTGGTTGGCAATTTTTTTTATTACCATTTCAATCTCACTGCTTGTTATTGGTCTGTTCAGAGACTCTATATCTTCCTGGGTTAATCTAAGAGGGTTGTATATTTCCAGAAATTTATCCATCTCTTCTAAATTTCCTAGTTTATGCATGTAAAGGTGTTCATAGTAGCTTTGAATAATCTTTTGTATTTCTGTGGTATCAGTTGTAATATCTCCCCTTTCATTTCTAATTGAGCTTATTTGGATCTTCTCTCTTCTTTTCTTGGTTAATCTTGCTAATGGTCTATCAATTTTATTTATCTTTTCAAAGAACCAAGTTTCATTTCATTCATCTTTTGTATGTTTTTGTTTCAATTTTATTTAGTTCTGCTCTGATCTTCATTATTTCTTTTCTTCTGCTGGGTTTAGGTTTGGATTGTCCTTGTTTCTCCAGTTGTGTAAGGTGTGACCTTAGATTGCCTATTTATGATCTTTTAGACTTTTGATGTAGGCATTTAATGCTATGAACTTTCCTCTTAGCACCACTTTTCCTGTATCCCAGAGGTTCTGATAGGTTGTGTCACTATTATCGTTCAGTTCAAAGAATTTTTTAATTTACATCTGGATGTCATTGTTGACCCAATGATTATTCAGGAGCAGGTTATTTAATTTCCATGTATTTGCATGTTTTTGAGAGTTCCTTTTGGAGTTAATTTCCAATTTTATTTCACTGTGGTCTGAGAGAGTACTTGATGTAATTTTGATTTTCTTAAATTCACTGAGACTTGTTTTGTGACCTATCATATGGTCTATCTTAGAGAATGTTCCATGTGCTGATGAATAGAATGTATATTCTGCAGTTGTTGGGTAGAATGATCTGTAAATATCTGTTAAGTACATTTGTATAGTTTAAGTCCATTGTTTCTTTGTTGACTTTCTGTCTTGATGACCTGTCTAGCGCTGTCAGTGGAGTATTAAAGTCCCCCACTGTTATTGTGTTGCCATCTATCTCCAGATAGACTGCAGACTTCTTAGGTCTATCAGTAATTGTTTTATAAATTTGGGAGCTCCAGTATTAGGTGCATATGTATTTAGAATTGTGATATTTTCCTGTTAGACTAGTCCTTTTATTATTACATAATGTCCCTCTTTGTCTTTTTTAACTGCTGTTGCTTTAAAGTTTGTTTTGACTAGTTTAAGAATAGTTACTCCCGCTTGAGTTTGGTGTCCATTTGCATGGAATATCTTTTTCCACCCCTTTACCTTAAGTTTATGTGAGTCCTTATGTGTTAGGTGAGCCTCCTGACCACAGCAGAAACTTGGTTGGTGAATTCTTATCCATTCTGCCATTCCGTGTATCTTTTAAGTGGAGCATTTAAGCCATTTACACTCAATGTTAGTGTTGAGATGTGAGGTATTATACTATTGTATTCATCATGCTACTTGTTGTCTGAATACTTTGTGTTTTTTTTTCATTGTATTATTGTTATATAGGCTCTGTGAAATGTATTCTTTAAGGAGGTTCTATTTTGGTGTATTTTGAGGATTTGTTTCAAGATTTAGAGCTCCTTTTAGCAGTTCTTGTAGGTCTGGCTTGGTAGTGGCAAATTCTCTCAGCATTTGTTTGTCTGGAAAAGACTGTATCTTTCCTTCATTTATGAAGTTTAGTTTCTCTGGATACAAAATTCTTGGCTGATTATTGTTTTGTTTAAGGAGGCTAAAAATAGGACACCAATCCCTTCCAGCTTGTAGGGTTTCTACTGAGACATCTGCTGTTAATCTGATAGCTTTTCCTTTACAGGTTACCTGATGCTTTTTCCTCACACCTCTTGATTCTTTATCTTGACTTTAGATAACTTGATGACTATGTGCCTAGGCAATGATCTTTTTGTGATGAATTTCTCAAGTGTTCTTTGAGCTTCTTGTATTTGGATGTCTAGATCTCTAGCAAAGCTGAGGAAGTTTTCCTCAATTATTCTCTCAAATTTGTTTTCCAAACTTTTAGATTTCTGTTCTTGCTCGGGAACACCAATTATTCTTAGGTTTGGATGTTTAACATAATCCCAGACTTATTGGAAACTTCGTTCGTTTTTTAAAATTCTTTTTTATTTGTCTTTGATGGATTGGGTTAATTTGAAAGCCTTGTCCTTCCTATTATGACTAACCCCTAGGGCTCAAAGATCAGGGAAGACTGGAAAATCTGAGATGTAGGCTGCAGACAGTTATGGTTGGTAACTTAACCTTTGGTCACATACACACCATCAGGTCAGTACTTTTCCTTTTGGAAATCACTTGTTACCTAGGTAACCAATCAACTAACTCTCTCTAATCTGGATGCTAGATCCCTAAATATATCATCACTTCTTATTTATATTCCTTTACAGAATAAGTGGAGCTAAAACTCTTCCTTATTACAAGTCCAGCACTCCTGTGTTAGATATGTAATATAACAGTGATTGACGCCCATCACAGAGAAGTTAGTGCCTAGTTGACCAATGGTATGGAGACTTTCCTGGAAATTCCTAAATGAGGGTTTGAAACACAGAAGTGAAGGCAATTTGGGAAAATTGTTCTTCCAGGTAGTAAAATTTGTGTAAATTAAACTGTGTATTTACAAAATGACCTTTGATGAAGTTGATAAGTATCCACAAAGACTCAAAGAGGCATCTGTTGGAGGAGAAAAAGAAATTTCTTTCAGCAAGAGGTAGAGCAGACCTGTGGCATTTGCATACTTCGTAGTCCTCACCACACTCTCACTCTTACCATCTCCATGATCAACAAATCACCCCCACTTCCTCTCCTCCCTCCCTCATGGCTTTGGGTGTTCTTTCATAAATTTTCTTCCTGTCATTTGTATTGTTAACCTGATTTAATGAAGATAAATTCATAAATTCCACAGGCACTACTGTGGAATGGGGTGTCTCTGTAGTTGTTTTTTCCCAGAGATAACCTACTTTACAGGCTCTGAAAAATGTAGTCTGTTGGGAGTCAGTTTTTAGATAGAAGAAATTCTAGACTGTTACTATAACTTCAGAGAGGATAGCAGCCTTGGACAGAGCTCGATTAATTTTTTAAATAAGTCTTAATTGCATAGTTACTATTGCTGAAGACAATTTGAAATTGTACCAATATTCCCATATCACGTTGTATGCAAAAATAAAGTATAAAAATAACATAAAAAAAAGAAAGCCTTGTCTTCGAGATCTGAAGTTCTTTCTTCTGCTTGTTCAATGCTATTGCTGAGACTTTCCAGTGCATTTTGCATTTCTCTGAGTGTGTCCTTGACTTCCAGAAGTTGTGATTGTTTTTTATTTATGCTATCTATTTCACTAAAGAATTTTCCTTTCATGTCCTGTATCATGCTTTTTATTTCTATCAGTTGGACTTCACCCTTCTCTGGTGCCTCTTTGATTAGCTTAATAATCAACTTTCCAAATTATTTCTCTGGCAATTCAGAGATTCCGTTTTGGTTTGTATCCAATCCTGGTGAGCTGATATGATCTTTGGGGGTGTTGAAGAACCTTGTTTTGTCATATTACCAGAATTGTTTTTCTGATTCCTTCTCATTTGGGTAAACTAGGTCAGAAGGAGATCTGGGATTCAAGGGCTGCTGTTGAGATTCTTTTGTCCCACAGGGTGCTTCCTTGATGTAGTGTTCACCCCCTTCCCCTGAGAGCTAAACTGTAGTGATTGTTTTTGCTCTTCTGGGTCTAGCCACCCCGTGGCACTACTGGGCTCCAGGCTGGTACTGGGAAGTGTCTACAAAGAATGCTGTGATGTAATCCATCTTCAGGTTACTCAGCTGCGGATACCAGCACCTGCTCTGGTGGAGGTAGCAGGGGAGTGAAGTGGACTCTGAGGGTCCTTGGTTGTGTTTTTGTTTAGTGCGCTGGTTTTGTGTTGCTTGGCCTCCAGCCAGGAGGTGGTACTTTCAAGAGTGCATCAGCTGCAGTCCTATAGGGAGGATGCAAACTTGCCCTAGGGACACCTTGTTAAGTATTTAAGTTTCTCAAGTGGTGGGGAGGGCCATAGCGCTCCCTGGTAGCTACCAGGGCAGGTAGAGAAAGACTACCAGGTTGGGGCACAGATAGGCCTGTCTGAGCTCAGCCTCTCCTTGTGCGGGGCTTGCTGTGGCTGCTGTGGGAGTAGGGGTGTGGTTCTCAGTTCAATAGAGTTATAGTCCCAGGGGGATTATGGCTGCCTCTGCTGAGTCATGCAGGTTGTCAGGGAAGTGGGGGAAGGCTGGCAGTCACAGGCAGTTGGTGACCCAGGCTAAGAACTTGCCGCAGACCACAAGCCTCCCTATTGAGAATGCAACCAGACTCACAGTTTTTTGGCATCTCAGAGAGCCTGCAGCTGTGATCCATTTCCTTCAAAGGATCTGTGAATTCTCTCAGCTTTCCTGGTATATTCCTGTGGTCACATTTGGAGTAAAAGTTCACAATGTGAGTCTCCACACACTGCTGTGTCCATCCGAGTGGGAGCTGCAAGCTAGTCCTGCCTCCTATCTGCCATCTTAATCCTCATTCAAATTTTTATTTTATGAATCATGCTTTTGTTGTGCATTTTAAAACTTGTTGTCTAACCCAAGGTCACAAAAGATTTTCTGTATTTTATTTAAAAGTTTTATATTGAATCTATGATCGATTTTTAGTCTATTTTGTATCAAATGTGAGATACAGAATGTGGTTCATTTTTATGCCTATGATGTCCATTTGTTCTAATGTCATTTGCTGGTAATATTGTTCTTTCTCCATTTAATGCTTTTGTATCAATTGGCCATATTTGAGTGGGTCTATTTCTGAATTCTATACCCTGTCCCATTGATCTTGTGTCTGTCTTTTCACCAATACCGCACTGACTTGATTACTGTAGCTTTAGAGTAAGTCATGAAATCAGGTAGTGTGAATCCCTCAACTTTGTTTTCCTTCTTCAAAATTATTTTGTCTATTCTTGTTGCTTTATCTTTCAATACAATCAGCATTAGATATCTACAAAAAATTCTGGCTAGAAATTTGATTGTGTTTGTGTTAAATCTATAGGTCAGTCCAGGGAGAATTGACATCTTACAATGTTGGGTCTTCTGACACATGATCATTGTATATTTTTTCACTAATTTAGGACTTATTTGAGTTTTTCATCATTGTTTTGTAGTTTTAAGCATCCAGATACTGCACATTTGTAGATTTATAAATATTTCATTTTTTAAGTTTTATTTTGTTTTTAATTGACACATAATTGTACATATTTATGGGATACAGTGTGATTTTTGATACATATATACATTGTATAACGATCAAACAAGGATGATTAGTATATCCATCACCTCAAACACTTGTCATTTCTTTGTAGTGAGAACATTCAAAATCCTGTCTTATAGCTATTTTGAAGTGTACAACACATTATTGTTGACTATAGTCACCCTAATGTGCAATAGAATATCTAACAATCCCACTACTGAGTATATATCCAAAGGAAATGAAATCAGTATGATGAAGACGTATTTGCATTCCCATGTTTATTGCAGCATTATTCACAATGGCCAAGGTATAGAATCAACTTAAGTATTCATCAACAGACGAATGGCTAAAGAAAACATAGTATATATACACAATGGAATACTATACAGCCCTAAAAAGAACAAAATTCTGTCATTGGCAACAACATGGATGAACCTAGAGGACATTATATTATGTGAAATAAGCATAGCACAGAAGGACAAATACCATAAGATTTTGCTCATGTGGAATCTAAAAAAGTTGATCTCATAGAAGTAGAGAGTAGAGAGCCACGCATAGTGGCTCACACCTGTAATCCCAGCACTTTGGGAGGCCAAGATGGGTGGATCACCTGAGGTCAGGAGTTTGAGACCAGCCTGAACAACATGGTGAAATCCTGTCTCTAATAAAATACAAAATTAGGCAGGCATGGTGGCACGCGCCTGTAATCCCAGCTACTTGGGAGGCTGAGGCAGGAGAATCACTTGAACCCAGGAGATGGAGGTTGCAATGAGCTGAGATAGCCCCACTGCACTCCAGCCTGGGCAACAAGAGCGAAACTCTGTCTCAAAAAAGTAAAAGGAAGTAGAGAGTAGAATAGTGGTTACCAGAAACCAGGGAGAGTAAGATGGGAGGGGATGGGGAGAGGTTGGTCAATGGGTACAAAGATACAGTGTTTCATTTTTATTATAACTATTTTAAATGGTATGCTGAAAAATTGTGGGTTTCAATAGTTCATTTCTTATACCTACAAAGATAATGTATTTTTGTATATTATCTTTATATCCTAGAACCTTGTAAAACTCATTAATTACTTCAAGGAGCTTTAACTTTTATAATGTGTTTTAATTGTTTTTTGATAATCTTTCAAGGCATTATTTTATACATTCAACTTTCTTTTAGATTTACCCATATATTTGCCATTTTCTTTGCTCTTATTTCCTTTTCACGTCTCATATTTTCCATCTCACTTTTATTCTTCTTGAAGTATATCCTTCATGCTTTATCGTTTGTACTTTTTCCTGATGAAAAACTTTCTCAATTTCTTAATATGAAAATGTATTCATTCTGCTATCATTCTTCAAAGACATTTTCTCTTGGTGTATAATTCTAGACTGTAGTTACTTTCTTTCAATACATTGAAAAAGATCAATTCACTTCCATCTGCCTTCCATTGCTGCTATTGAGGGGTCAACTATCAGTATAAATGCCACTCTTTTGAATGTCATCTGTCTTATTTTCTGGGCCTACATTTTTGTTTTCCTTTTGTCTTTGCTGTTCTTCATTTTCACTGTTAGGGGTAGGTAGAAATATTTTTAAATATCTCACTTGAAATTAAGGGGCTTCTGGAATTGTGGGTTAATGTATTTCATCAGCTGTAGAAAATTTTTACTATATTTTCATTCTCTCTCTATTGTACTTTAGGATTCTACACGAATGATTGTTAGATGTTTTCTCTCTATCACCCCATGTCTCTTAATCTCTTGTTTTATTTTCCATCCTTTATTTTCTCTGTGTTGAATTCTGGATAATTTTTTCAGACTTATTTTCAAATTCACCAGTTATCTTTTTATCCATGAGTAATCTGCTAATAATTTTATACATTATCATATATCCATATATATATTCATTTCTAGAAGTTATAACTTTTCCAAATCTGTTGGAAATCTGGTTCTTTTCCAAATCTGTTGTCACTTTATAAGGTTTCCTGTTTGCACAGATACTTTGTCTTTTATTTATGTAAATATTGAAAGCATAGTTGTTTTACAACCCTTGACTGATAATTCCAGTATCTGGAGACTTCGTGAATTTTGTTTTGTTGTCTATTATTTCTGTTTGTCCTCATGCACCGTGCTTTCTTTTTGTGTGAATAGCACTGTTTGATGCTAAAATATTTTTGAAAAATTATTTGTAGGAAAAAATTTGAGTTCTGGTATGAAAGGTACTTCTTCAAAAGAAAATGCACATTTGCTAAAGCCAAATATCTGAAGACACTATCTGTTCAAAATCACTCAGACTAAATTCAACGCTTGAGGGGTTTGGGCTTGTTTTGGCATTTCAAAAGATGTCAATTTCAGCTAACAGTACATTCAAAGCCCAATTTACTTCTGCTTCACCCTGACTGAACGGTAGAGCCCTTTGGAATTTCAGCTTAAAATGGAGAAGATCTCCTCTTAGACTCCCCACCTTGGGCAGGCGATGTCACCTTGGCTGTTAAAGTTCCAATTTCTCCAGATTGGCAAAGACCTTCAATGGCCTCTGGGCTCCCCGTACCTCTCTGGGTTCCTGCTTTCCCTTCAAGTTTGCCCTAGAAATTCTTCACTCTCTTTCAGCTTTTCAATGTTTTTTAAAAACATTTTATTTCTTGCATTTTATCCATAATATATAGGGTTTTCTCCCTGCAAAAAGATTGGTCCAAATAACCTAATTGAACATTACTAGAAACAAATTAATGGATAATATTTAGAGAAAAGCCCCATTACAGATTGGAATTGTATAGGTCCTGATGTGACAAGGCTACAGTGCATTATTTTTATTTATTTTCAGTTTGTTTTTGTGAGGAGGGGGTGCCCATTCCAGTTTCTGCAAACAACAACCTTATTTTAGGGGAAAAATGAAACATTCAATAGCAGTCTTTGTCTTTTGGTATCAGCAATGAAAAGATTTTCTTCCCCATCTATTAGTGGGGGAAGGGTCAAAAACATTTTTTACTCTATCAGTTTCTCTTTTCAGACATATTTATATAATTTTACAATTTCCTTTATGTTACAAAATATTTGTTAGCAATTCTCAAATTTACCTTTCCTATTTTGCGCTTACATGTCTTTGTTATTCCTCTTTCCTGCTTTTCTCTTATTTGTATGAGGACAAGGGTTAAGGTTTGCACGTTCCTTTTTATGGTCTTTTTTGTGGGAGGCACAGAGGGATGAAGGAGAACTTTATATTTTTCCTGTCTTACTTGGACTTTTGGTCTGCTAGCCTATATTTTTTAATTCACTTTCTTTGTTTTTCTGGGAAAGCTATCAAGTGCTGATGCAGAAGTTTCTCTGAGTTTTATGGTGATGGGATTGGATTCAGAAAAAAATTTTAAAGGTAAATAAATAAGGGAGGATTATAAGAAGTTTCGAAGAAACTACAAGTCAGACTTTTTGTAACAACTGGATTATCTCATCTATTAATAAATCCAACTTCATCAAGCAATAACTTGCTGCTCTCTCATTATAATCAATGCTTAAAAAGTGTTCCTAGTCTTGTCATTCGTGAGTCACCACTATTAAAAACTGCACTACCTAGGGGTTTTGTGAAGAAGGGAGACTCCACCCATATACACCCACACTGAATGAATCAAGAGTTGATACTTGAGAAAATAAAAGATAAGTAACAAGCCAAAATATGACAGAAGAGGCTGATACAAACAAAAAGATATCAAGCAGAAAAAAAATTAATGAGATATAAAATTAATAATTATTTGGGATTATTAAAACATTGGAGGCCATATTGTCACTTCATTACAAGCTATGCATGTCTATAAATTATCTAGGACCTCCAGTTTTCTAGATGAGATATTACACCTTCACTGTGAATTCTCTTTATTTCTCCTAAATTCAGTGATCCTCTGTTCTGATGGAGCCTTAGGAGATCCACTCTAATAATATGTTTCATCACAGTCATTCGAAAAGCTAGTAAGAGGTATCATAAGAAAAAATTCCTCATTAAATTAGACTGGGAAATACCAAATTAAACAAAGTCAACCAATTTTCTCTAGTGTACATTTCCTTGAGCCTTCAGCATGCTAATTGGCTTGACAAATCTCTAAGAGAGAAGTTAGTATATAGTAATCCTTTTTTATTGAGCATGTCTTGGAACACATGCTCTGTGGAACATGCTGCGAGAAATTTAGCTGTAAAGTGTAGAGTGAGAATTTTGAAAAAGAGGGAGAGAAAAATCTATTTCTTCATCCTGTTGGAAGTTACATTACCAGTAAAGCCCTAAGAGTCTTTATCTCATTTTCTAATATTGTGTGTAACACATTCATTATCCTTGGAAATCTAAGATATTGAAAAGTTAAGTAACTTGTCCAAGATCATACATTTGTAAGCGGAAGAACTAGGATTTGAGTTCAGAGGTTCTTGATTCATGCCCTTAACAGTATATCTATCAAAAAATCTTTCTGGTGTTTACACCCATTCCTGAGTAAGAACAATTCTTGTAAGAAAATGTACATAAACACATAAATTTCCACAGGTCGCTGACATTCTGATGGTTAAGACAACTGTGTCATCAGGGATGGATTGAATGTTACAAAATGTGTTTGGGTGTTTGTCCTGTACATACATTTTGATTAACTGGCCTAGCACACAGGTACAATTTAGAAGGACCTAACCTTCCACCTTGCTCATCAGGAATGAGAAAAATGCCTATGGCATTCATAAAGTACACCAGTCTACATAGCTTCTTCTATCACTGGGAGGGAATAGGGTCCAGTTTCACCAGCAGCATCTCCCTTCTGTCTGCTCCTCATGTATTCATTCTCTTTTACATCCCTTCCTGATTCTAATCCAAGTTTCTGTTTTAGAAGTGATTATCAAGTAAAAAAATTGCTGGTGGAATTCTTATGTGGTTCATGTTAGACGTGAGATTTACAGAGAACTTGACAGGTACCAAGTCTCATTCCTTTTAAATGATACACTAAACGTGCCCAGAGATGTTTCAGATTGTCCCAGGAACATACATACCAGGATTCGTTAGGGCATGATGTTTATCTGTGCATCCAAGTTGAAATGGTGAAAGACTTGCATATGATTCCTTCCAAGTCCTCAACAATTTATTTTTAAGGAGACAAGGTTTTATATTTAAACCAAATCCAAAAACCCCCACAAGTACAATAATAGAGAATCGGTTAAATAAAATATGACAAAAGATCAAAAAGTCTTTAAAATGTTTATAGGTTGTTAATGATAAGGAGAAACACTCATGATGCAACTTACTCATTCTGCAAATATTTATTTAGCATGTACTATGTATCAGGCTTTCTTTTAAAGACTGGGGACAGACTGAATAGAAATAAGCGGCCCCCTCGTCCATGCCCCTTTTGTCAAAGGAATCACTGGAAGGCCCACTGCCCCAGGGGACGAAGGTCCTCTGAGTCAGAAGCCACTAATCAGATGATCCAGCAGCAGGACTGAGGGTGCCCGGGGCAAGTGCCAGCCCATGCCATCACCCTCACAGAGCCCTGGGTATGCATGACCATTGAGGTCCAGGAGGTTAACTGCCTCCTGGACACTGGCACAGCCTTCTCAGTCATACTCCTCTGTCCTGGACAACTGTCCTCCAGATCTGTCACTATCCAAGGGGTCCTAGGACAGGCAGTCACTAGATAACTTCTCCCAGCCACTAAGTTGTGACTGGGGAACTTTACTCTTTTCACATGTCTTTTTAATTATGCCTGAAAGCCCCACTCCTTTGTTAGGAAGAGACATTCTAGCAAAAGCAGGAGCCATTATACACTAGAATTAGGGAAAAGAAAAGAGTAAATATATATACAGATTCTAAGTATGCTCACCTAGTCCTCCAAGCCCACGTAGCAATATGGAGAGAAAGGGAATTCCTAACTTCTGAGGGAACACCTATCAAACATCAGGAAGACATCAGGAGATTATTATTGGCTGTACAGAAACCTAAAGAGGTGGCAGTCTTACACTGCCAGGGGCATTAGAAAGGAAAGGAAAAGGAAATAGAAGGGAACCGCCAAGCGGATATTGAAGCCAAAAGAGCCGCAAGGCAGGACCCTCCATTAGAAATGCTTATAGAAGGACTCCTAGTATGGGGTAATCCTCTCTGGGAAAACAAGCCCCAGTACTCAGCAGAAGAAATAGAATGGGGAAGTTCATGAGGACATAGTTTCCTCCCCTCAGGATGGCTAGCCACCGAAGAAGGAAAAATACTTTTGCCTGCAGCTAACCAATGGAAATTACTTAAAAGCCTTCACCAGACCTTTCACTTAGGCATTGACAGCACCCATCAGATGGCCAAATCATTATTTACTGGACCAGGCCTTTTCAAAACTATCAAGCAGATAGTCAGGGCCTGTGAAGTGTGCCAAAGAAATAATCCCCTGCCTTATCACCAAGCTCCTTCAGGAGAACAAAGAACAGGCCATTACCCAGGAGAAGACTGGCAACTAGATTTTACCCACATGCCCAAATCTCAGGGATTTCAGTATCTACTAGTTTGGGTAGATACTTTCACTGGTTGGGCAGAGGCCTTGCCTTGTAGGACAGAAAAGGCCCAAGAGGTAATAAAGGCACTAGTTCATGAAATAATTCCCAGATTCGGACTTCCCCGAGCCTTACAGAGTGACAATGGCCCCGCTTTCAAGGCTGCAGTAACCCAGGGAGTATCCCAGGCGTTAGGCATACAATATCACTTACACTGTTCCCGGAGGCCACAATCCTCAGGAAAAGTTGAGAAAAAGAACAAAACACTCAAACGACATCTAAAAAAGCTAACCCAGGAAACCCACCTCGCATGGTCTGCTCTGTTGCCTATAGCCTTACTAAGAATCTGAAACTCTCCCCAAAAAGCAGGACTTAGTCCACACGAGATGCTGTATGGATGGCCCTTCTTAACCAATGACTTTGTGCTTGACTGAGAGATGGCCAACTTAGTTGCAGACATCACCTCCTTAGCCAAATATCAACAAGTTCTTAAAACATTACAGGGAACCTGTCCCCGAGAGGAGGGAAAGGAATTTTTCCACCCTGGAGACATGGTATTAGTCAAGTCCCTTCCCTCTAATTCCCCATCCCTAGATACATCCTGGGAAGGACCCTACCCAGTCATTTTATCTACCCCAACCGTGGTTAAAGTGGCTGGAGTGGAGTCTTGGATACATCACACTCAAGTCAAACCCTGGATACTACCAAACGAAACTGAAAATCCAGGAGACAACACTAGCTATTCCTGTGAACCTCTAGAGGATCTGCGCCTGCTCTTCAAGCGACAACCGTGAGGAAAGTAACTAGAATCGTAGATCCCCATGGCCCTACCTTGTCATATTTTTCTTTTTACTGTTCTCTTACCCCCTTTCACTCTCACTGCTCCTTCTCCATGCTGCTGTACTACCAGTAGCTCCCCTTACCAAGAGCTTCTATGGAGAATGGAGCTTCCCAGAAATATTGATGCCCCATCGTATAGGGGTTTTTCTAAAGGAAACCCCACTTTCACCACCCACACCCATGTGCCCCTGCACTTCAGGCCATACATTTCAATCCCTGTATCTTTAACTTCCTTGTTAAGTTTGTCTCTTCCAGAATCAAAGCTGTAAAACTACAAATTGTTCTTCAAATGGAGCCCAGATGCAGTCCATGACTAAGATCTACTTCGGACCCCTGGACCGGCCTGCTAGCCCATGCTCCAATGCTGATGACATCAAAGGCACCCCTCTGGAGGAAATCTCAACAGCTTGACCCCTACTATGCCCCAATATGCTCTAAATGCAGGAAGCATTTAGAGCGGTCGTTGGCCAACCTCCCCAACAGCACTTGGGTTTTCCTGTTGAGACGGGGGACTGAGAGACAGGACTAGCTGGAATTCCTAGGCCGACTAAGAATTCCTAAACCTAGGTGGGGAAGGTGACTGCACCCACCTTTAAACATGGGGCTTGTAACTCAGCTCACACCCCACCAACCAGGTAGTAAAGAGGGCTCACTAAAATACGAATTGGGCTAAAAGCAGGAGGTAAAGAAATAGTCAAATCATCTATCATCTGAGAGCACAGGGAGAGAGACAATGATTGGGATATAAACCCCAGGCATTCGAGCTGGGTGGGGCAACCCCCTTTGGGTCCCCTCCCTTGTATAGGAGCTCTGTTTTAACTCTATTAAATCTTGCAACTGCAAAAACAAGAAAGACTGGAGACAGAGCAGTGAATAAAATACCCATGATCATGGGACTAGCATTCTGGTGGAGGGACAGATGTCAACAAGAGTCAGATGAGTGACAGATGTGTTTCATCCATTAAGGTTCTCGTGGAGGCTGGAGCCTCTCCCTAACCTCAGCTTTACTGACACCAAACACAATTGCCCTCCTCCATTTTCTCCAGCATGCTCTTCAAATAGGATCATTTTCTCAGCGTGCCACGATGGAGAAAATGTTAGGAAGTCCTACACAAAGAAAATACACAGGTAATATCACAGTTATTGATATGAAGGAAGATAAAGCAAGGTCGGGAGAAGAAGAATAATGGCAGTGTGATTTTATGTACCTGGTAACAAAAGGCCTGTTCATGGAGGGAATTTTTGAGCAAAGCTCAGAATGAAGTGAGGAAGTAAGTCATGTGGATAGTTAGAACCTTCCAGACAGAGGGAACAGCAAGTGTAAATGTCCTGAGGAATGAGCATATTTAGTATGCTAGAAGCACAGTAAAAAAGCCGGTGTGGTTAAAGAGTGAAAAAAGATGATAGAGATGTAAGTGAGATAACTATTGAATATCCTTTAGACAGAGAAAGCATAAAAGGGAACCAGTTTATACCAAACTCAGCAAGCTGAAGTCAAAAGAAACTGAGCCTTTTTTGATGGGGCATGAACTCTCCAGACCATTATAATATTCACCTAATCAGTGTTTTTGTGTCATCTGCTTGGCTCTGGAACAGGTATTTAAGTTTAAAATCCAGGCTGTTTGTATGATATATACATCCACAAACAGCGACTATTACTGAGTGATTTTTAATTTCCTTCTCCTTCTTCTTCTTCTTCTTCTGCTTCTCTTCTCCTCCTCCTCCTACACCCCCTCCTCATCCCCCTTCTTCTCCTTCTCCTTCTTCTCCTTCTCCTCTTTCTTCTGCTTCTGCTTCTTCTGCTTCTGCTTCTCTTCTCCTCCTCCTCCTACACCCCCTTCTCATCCCCCTTCTTCTCCTTCTTCTCCTTCTTCTCTTTCTTCTCCTTCTCCTCCTTTTTCTTCTTCTTTCTTCTTCTTCTTTTTTCTTCTTCTTCTTCTTTCTTCTTCTTCCTGATAGAGTCTTGCTCTGTCACCCAGGCTGGAGTGCAGTGGCAAAATCATAGCTCACTGCAGCTTCGAACTCCTTGGCTCAAGGATCCTACTGCCTTAGCCTCTGGAGTATAATTTTTCTCTTGAAAGGTTTACTTTCCAAATTTTTACAAAGAGCATGGTCTTTTTGTTGTTGTTTGTTTGTTTACAATGAGAACAACAAAAATTAAATTGGTTTTGAAAGAATTGACTGAAAGTCTACCCAAAGAGGAAAAGACAATTTAGGATTCCATGCCACCTTGGCCAAGAAAACTCCTTGAAAATAAAGGTGGTTGGAGATGTCATTGTTCTTTTCAGCTCAAGGCAGCCAGAGAAATGTGGAGGAGAGACTATAGGGGTGAAGTGGTTCTAGGTTCAAGTTGAGCTGAAGCTGGAGTCCTCTCCTTGTGGTCTTAGCATATGCCCCTCTGAGTCAAGCAGCCACCATGTCTCAAGGAAAGCAACACATGTCACAGGAGATTTAACAGGCTCAAAGACCAGGAGGCACAAATAGCAGCCAGTTTTCAAAATTGTCAAAATGCAAGCTGATCCTCTCACTCCTGGCTCAAAATTCTTCCATGGCTTCCCATCTATTGCATCTAGAATAAAATCCAAACTCTTTCAGAGCTTACAAAGTCGTGCATGATCTGGACCCCGCTTACCTCCGTGGTTTCATCCCTTCCTATTCTCCCTCTTGCCTACCAGGACCTTTCCACCCTGAAGATATTTGTTTCCTCTTTCCACCTGTTACAGATTGGGTTCTCCTAGAAATAGACCCTGAGGCAGGGTTTAGCATGCAGGCTATTCATGAAGGGGTCAACACCCATGGAGGTAGGAGATTCAAGCAGATGTGGGCAGAGGGAGAAATCCAAGCTTCAGTGCCAGCCCAGGTGACCTGATGAGGCACTCTGAAGTTAGAATGGCCCTTCAGGATTGTTCAAAGTTGGGACAAGATGATGAGAACTTTGTACCCCTGCCTCTGTCAATCATTGGGGATGGACCACCTTGAGCAGGGACGTAGCCTCTGGGGTGGTGATTCTCTGAAGCTGAGGCAGCCCCTGTATGCACTGGCAGCTGGAGGCTGTTTGCTGGCAGCACTCCCAGCAGCTGGGGCAATAAGACCTTCCTTAAAGGGAGTGTTATAGGTTGAATTGTCTCTGCCAAAAAACAAAAAAAAATGATATGTGGAAGTCCTAACCCCCAGCACCTCAGAGTGTGGCCTTATTTGGAAATAGTCTTTACAGAGGTGATCAAGTTAAAATGAGCTCATTAGAATGGGCCTAATCCAATATGACTGATGTATTTATTAAAAAGGGAAATTTGAACACAGATGCACAGAGTAAAGATGAGGCAACAAGACACAGAAAGAACACCATAAGAAGACAGAGGGAAAACCAAGGAGTACTAAAGATTGCCGGCAAACCACCAGAGGCTAGGAGAGAGGCATGGAACAGATTCTCCCTCACAGCCCTCAGAATAAACCAACCCTGCCAACACCTTGATCTTGGACTTCTACCCTCCAGAACTGTGAGACAATACATTTCTGTTATTTTAAGCCACGCAGTGTGTGATAATTTGTTACTGCAGCCTCCAGAAAGGAATCCAGGGAGCTCTGGGCAGCACATTACACAGTGAATACCTCATCTTACACATTCCCATATGCTCTATGGAGATGATATGCTGAGTGCTTTTTCTTTAACTACTTTCTTTCATCTCTCTTGGTCATTCTAGTGATTGTCTGTTTCTGCTGAAGTGGTGCAGTAGGATTGATGCCCCCTAGATGTTTGTCAGTCACCCTGACACTAGAACTCTGTACTCCCTGGGCCAGATGCTCCACCTATTTCTGTTAGTACATTACTAGATCTCCAGTCTGTCGTGTAATAGGTGCTCAGCAAAACTGTGTTTGTGAACAAATAAATCAATTAATGAATGTTGAATATTCATGTACATGTGAACACTCAATAATGAATATTCATGTACATGTGAACACTCAGTGATGTCTGAAAGTCAGCTAAGGGGTTGCTTTGTGGAACTGGGCTGGAGTCAGAACTAGAAGAAGCACATCAAGTTTAGAAGCTGAGAATAGAAAGGTATCTGTCCTACAATAGCAATGCTGGGGACCAGGAATGAACTGAGGAATCTGGAAACCGGACTACATAAAAGGCAAATTTAAAAAGCGTCAGATCAAAACAGTGACTGAGAGGCAGGTATAAGGAAGAACATGAGGATATGGAAATACACAGATACTGGAGAGCAGGGCGGCGTCGGGAGTCTCACTCAGACAGGTAACAGAGGCTTGTATTTTCCAACATAAAGAAGTTAAAATCAGAAACCAAAAGCTCAGGAGATTCCGTGTGTTGGGAACACAGCAAATGACACGAGCAGTAGTGGAGTCTTTTGCACTCTTGAAACCGAGGCAGTCTTTCACCTAAGCCAGAAAATAGGACCATAAGGTGTTGAAGTTAGACTTTGATCCCTCTGCCAGCTCTGCCATTTGCTAGTTGGGGGACCTAAGGTAGAGAAGTTTTAAAACACTTCTGAGTCTCAGTTTTCTCTTGAACGATATGCATGTAAAAATGGCTAACTGACAGTGTTTACTAAATGTGACTTGCTTTCCTTTATGTGCCTCCTGCAAAGGTCAGAGCTGTTTGTTGGGCATCATGCACATGGTAGACAAAAGCAAGCACTTTAGGGAATTGGTGAGAAATAATAATTAGTGGCAATGGGGTATATCAAGGCAGGGTGATGGCAGCTCCCTCCAAGTGGAGAAGCTACCCTCTCAGGGACTTTCCTTGCTTAGGGAATCTGAAATCAAACCAGGCAACCTAGAGTGGTTTCAGTCTATGCCTCATTCTAAGAGCCATTCTGGAAGAAATAGAACTTTCTAACATATTGTGATATAACTCTTCCTTCTCTCCATCCTAATGCCTCCAAAAGCCCTGTATTGCTTCACATATGCCTGCTTCTCATTATAAGGGAGCATGTTTGTATTCCTCACAGCATCTAGCACATTACCTTGCACATAAAAGTTGCTCGGTAAATGTTGAATTATCCAATGTTGCTCTTGTTGCATAGGCCCTTATCTTACAAGCTTCTGTGACCATGGCAGTTATAATATCAAGAATTTTTTTTAAATAAAACCTTGACTTTCATTTCTGGTCAAATTGGACTAACTAAGGCCATATTTACTCTTCCTCTTGAAACAACTAGAAAACTAGAAAACCATATAAAACAATAAGTCTCGAGATATTAGAAACCAGGCAATGGTGAACTGTGACTCATCCCTAATAGATGGGAAACAACCAAGGTAAATCCTGCAATTACCAGTTTATTTCTTGGAAAGGGATTCCAGCATGTGGGGTGGTCACCCTGAGTTGAGGAGAAAGAACAAGGAGTCCAGGGAGGTGCAAGGTTGCTAGAGTCCACAGGACAGAGTACCAGACAGAAGAGAACTGGACACAGAGAGAGCTCCAGAGGTTTACAGATGGATCCCTTGAGTATTTAGCTGAGTAGTGATCAGCACGTGCTTGTGAAGAAACTACCCAAGACCAAATAAAGAACCACTTAACAGATAGGAGGAGACAATCTCCAAACCTCATGCAGAACAAAAAATAGTCCTTGTTCCCACCAGACAGAGTAGAAAACCTCATACATGGTAGTGGGCTAAATGATGATCCTCTAACGATGTCTATGCCGTGATACCCAGAACCCATGAATTTGTTACATGGCAAAAGGGACTTTGCAGATGTGATTACATTAAGGGCCTTGAGAGGAGGGGTGATTGCATTAAGGGTCTTGAGAGGGAATTATCCTGGATTAATCTGAATGGGTCCAATGTAATCACAAGGGTCCCTCTAAGAGGGAGATAGGAAGGTCAGTCAGAGAAGATGTCACAATGGAAGTAGAGGCCAGAGAGGGAGGGAGAGAGAGAGACAGACTGGAAGATGCTGTGTTGCTTACTTTGAATATGGAGGAAGAGCCCACAAGCCAAGGAATGCAGGCACCCTGTAGAAACTGAAAAAGACAAGGAAACAGATTCTCCCCTCAGAGCCTCCAGAAGGAACCCCAGCCCTGCTGACATTTGACTGAAGCCCAGTTAGATCGATTTTTAAACTCTTGAGCTCCCAAACTATAAGATAATAAAACTGTGTTGTTTTAAGCCACTAAATTTGTGGAAATTTCTTATAGCAGCAACAAGACAAGAAAGACAAATAAAAGCTGCCCAGATTAGAAATACTTTTTATTTATAGGCAATATGATCAAGTATGAACAACCTTATGATATTTCCCAAAACCTGGTAAGCATTGATGGGCCAGTGAATTTAATAAGATTGTAGGATAGAAGATCAATATTCAAAAACTAATTGTATGTCTATGTTATAGTAAAAAAAAATTGAAAATTAAAATTCAGCTGGGTGCAGTGGCTCATGCCTGTGATCCCAGCACTTTGGGAGACCTAGGCAGGTGGATCACTTGAGGTCAGGAGTTCAAGACCAGCCTGACCAACATGGTGAAACCCCATCTCTACTAAAAATACAAAATTAGCCAGGCATGGTGGCGCATGCCTGTAATCCCAGCTACTTGGGAGGCTGAGGCAGGAGAATTGCTTGAACCTGGGAGGCAGAGGTTGCAGTGAGCCAAGATCGCACCATTGCACTCCAGCCTGGGCAACAATAGTGAAACTCCATCCGAAAAAAAATAAAAATATAAATATAAAATCAAATTAATAAAGTAACTGAATGCTGTAAACAAAAACACATTGCTGAGATAAATTTCAAAAACACCTCAATAAATGCAGAGATATACTGTGCATAGACTTATTAGTCTACTCAATAATAAGAAAAAAATTTAGGTTGGGCATGATGGTTCATGCCTATAATCCCAGCACTTTGGGAGGCCAAGGCAAGAGGATTTCTAGGAGTTTGAGGCCAGCCTAGGCAACATAGTGAGACCCCCATCTCTACAAAAACATTAAAAAAATTAAAAGCCAGGTGTAGTGGTGCACAGCTGTGGTCCCAGGTACTCAGGAGGCTGAGCAGGAGGATGCCTTTTAGGCCCAGGAGGTCAAGGCTGAAGTGAGCCATGTTTGCGCCACTGCACTCCAGCCTGGGTGACAGAGTGAGACTCTATCTCAAAAAAAGAAAAGAAAAAATTTTGAATAAAAATGGGCACAAGATTTAAACAGACACTTTAACAATTAAGATGGTGAATGGCAAATAAGCACATGAAAATATGCTCAACACCATTCACAGTTGTGGAAATGGAAATTAAAATCATAATGGGATACCACCACACACCTAGTAGATGGCTAAAATTAAAAAGACCAACCATATCAAATCTTGGCAAAGATGTTGAGCTACAGGAACTCTTATATACTGCTGATGGTAATGTGAAACAGTGACAGAGGCAGGCGGCAGACAAATGCCTAGGCAGATCAGGAAGGGTCCCTGGAGAATCTCTGACCCACCCCACAAGTGTTTATACCAGATGTTTTTGTGCAGATAAGGGAACCTGCACAGGGTCTTCCCTGGGCATGCTCACAGTGGACTGGAGGCCCAAATGCACTGTGGGAATGGGGTAGAGCTACCAGGAATTCAGGCCCTATGCAGTGGAGGAGCCTGGTCTCTTCAGCTCATGTGTGGTGGCCTGGTATTTAGTCTGTGAGGTGAGAGCCTGCTGGTGGAACCCCCTCTTTTTGCTGACAGCTTTCTTTTCACTCAATAAATTCCATCCTCTTCACCCTTCAATGTGTCCACGTGCCTAATTTTTCCTGGTTGTGAGACAAGAACCTGCATTTAGCTGAACTAAGGAGCAAAAAATCTGCCATCGATAGTACAACCCTCTTAGAAAACAGTTTGGCATAATGTTAAACATACACTTACTATATGGCTCAGCTATTCTACTCCTAAGTATTTACCCAAGAGATATGAAAGCATATGGCCATGCAAAGATATGTACATGAATGCTTATGGCAGCTGTATCTGTAATAGCCCCAAAGTAGAATCAATCTAAATTTCCATCGACAGAAGAATGGATGAATAAATTTTGGTATACTCATACAATGAAATACTACTCAGTAAACAAATGCAATAAACTTTTGATACAAACAACATGGATGAATCTCAAAATAATTATACTGAGCAAAAAAAAAAAAAAAGACAAACAAGAAATTACATATTGTATAATTCTGTTTTACAGTAAATTCAAGACAATGCAAACTAATCCATATGACAGGAAGCAGATCAATGGTTGCCTGGGGATACAGTTTAGGAGACTGGAGGGAATGGCATGATTATGGATTGCAAAAGAGCATGAGAAAGCTTTTGCAGATGATAGATATGTCCATTATCTTAATTGTGGTAATGTTTTCATGGATGTGTACATATGGCAAAACTTATAAAACTGTACGTTAAATATGTGAAGTTAATTATATGTCATTATATATAAAAAAACTGTTCAAAAATATAACACCTCAAGATATTGTAAGAGAAAACCCCATTTACAAAATCAACAAAAAATTAAATATCTTGGAATAAATTCAACATGAACATTTTAAATCTTATATGAGGAAAATTTTAAACACTCCTGAAAGATACAAAAGTAGACTTGAACAAATGGAATGGCATCCATTTGCTTTTAAATATGTTCAACAATATAACATTATTTCCTAGGGTAATTCAGAAATACAATGCAATCCCAATATAAATAAGTTACTTTATGGGGTTGGACAAATTGATACTAAAGTTTATTAGGAGAATAAAACAAGAATGGCCAGATAAACACTAGGGGGAAAAAAACTAACTTATTAGTCGATAAACACACTCTAAGGGTCTATAATTAAAACAATGTGGTGCTGGCATATGAATAGACAAATAGATCAGTGAAATAAAATACACTTTCTGTCCATAAATAGACCCAATTATATGTTAAAATTTAGTACATGTTAAAGGTCTGGCCTTGCAAATCACTAGGGTAAAGATGGACGTTTTAATAAATGGTGCTTAGAAAATGGAGTAGCCATTTTGAAAAAGACAAACAGAAACATTCATCATACCATAAATACCATCCACAAAAATAAACTCCAATGGATCGAGACTCTACATATAAAAATGCAGCGTCATATAAGTACTATAAGGAAACATAAATGTTTATCCTTGGTATAGGAAAAAGCTTTCTAACTATGACTCAGAATGAAGAGTCAGTAAAAGAAAAGATCAATAAATCTGAGTACATGATACTAAAATGTTTTTGCATGTCAAAAAGTTCACAAAGTCGAAAGACAACTGACAAACTGAGAGAAACATTCACAATATATGCCACAAAGACTAATATCTTTAATATAAAAATTACTAAAAATTGAGGGAGAATTTCAAAATATACAGTGCATCATTAATATCTACATTATGTCAATTAAAAATGAAATTTGAAAATAAACTAATAAAAATAATTTTTGGCCGGGCATAGTGGCTCACACCTGTAATCCCAGCACTTTAGGAGGCCGAGGTGGGCAGATCACGAGGTCAGGAGATGAAGACCATCCTGGCTAACACAGTGAAACCCCGTCTGTACTAAAAATACAAAAATATTAGCCGGGCGTGGTGGCGGGCGCCTGTAGTCCCAGCTACTCGGGAGGCTGAGGCAGAAGAATAGCGTGAACCCAGGAGGTGGAGATTGTAGTGACCCGATATTACACCACTGCACTCCAGCCTGGGCGACAGAGCGAGACTCCGTCTCAAAAAAAAAAAAAAAAAATTAGCCAGGCATGGTGGTGCACGCCTATAGTCCCAGCTACTTGAGAGACTGAGGCAGGAGAATCACTTGAATCTGGGAAGTGAAGGTTGCAGTGAGCCTAGATCACACCACTGCACACCAGCCTGGGCAACAGAGTGAGACTCTGTCTCAATAATAATAATAATAATAATATTTTTTTAAATCATGGGAGAAAAAAATAGAAAAATAGTAAAAAAAAAAAAGAGTATACAATTAATAACAATAGCAACTACCACTGTGTATATATGTGTGTGTATGTGTGTGTGTGTGTGTGTGTGTGTGTGTGGGTATGTATACATGGCTCTCAAACACATAAAAATATTCAAATTCACTCATAATTAGAGCATTGCAAATTTAAAAGTATAGTACCACATTCATTCCTAAGGGAATGCAGGCACTCTCAGATTGCTGGAATACAAATTAGTATAGTCCTTCTAAAGAGAAATTTAGCAATACCTAACTAAAGTACTTATGCACTTACCATTTGACCCATCAATTTCAAGACTAGAAATCTAGTCTGAAGTCTGAATGTAGCAATACAAAAATATATACACACTAGGTTATTCATTGTATCATTGTTTGTAATTGCAAAATACTGGAAACATCGTAAATGCCCATACATGGGAGAGCAGTTGAATAAACTATGGTGTAGCCACACAGTGGAGTGCTATGTAGCTGTTTAAAACAAACAAAAAACAAGAAAAGAATGACTAAGATCTCTGAACTGATTTACAGTGGAAATATCAAAGTGCAAAAGAATATCTATAATATGCTCTATCTTTTATAATAGAGGATATAATAAAATATAAACGTATCTGCTCCTTTATCCAAAAGAAATCTAGGAAGGATAAACCAGAAACTAAAGACTTTTGTTTTCTGCAAGAGATGGTCAGCAAAAGGAGGGAAAGAAAATGCAAGTGGGAATGGCTTAGAAGAGATGAACAGAAAGCTATGCTTCTCTGATTACTCTTTTTTTTTAATAGCTTTGACTCTTAGAAACATGTTTTACATATATTCCCCCCAATAAATAACTGAAATAAACCAAGATGTGAGGGCAACCCAAAATGGAATACACATGATAATAAATGAACCAAACTGTGTTACAAAAGAATAACATAACCACACTGAAGGAGATAGAGAAGAAAAGTCCTAATCTAAGTATCCTCAGAATTAGTATTTTGACTGGATACCATAAGGCTAAAGACAAAAAGAGCTACATACAAGTATTGTACTCTAGTTAGTAAACCTGGTTATCACGGACATATGGGTTGGTAATTCTGAAATTATTTTATATAAAGTCTAGGGTTGAACAAAAAAGTAAGTATATTTTAGGTAATGGGGGTCACTTTTCTCAATGTCAGAGTTCCAAATAAGGAAAGTGTTAGAATGAACCTTGTGGTGTTGGATTGGAATTGGAGGTAGGTATCAGAAGGAACTCATGGTTTTTAACATACACATACAGATAGCTAGATACATAAATAAATCCATATATGTGCACACACATGGGTTAGTATACACACATATATTTTCTAGCTCTATCTACCGAGAGATCATAGAAGCAGTGATACCCCAGTATTTACCGCATTCACCGCATACTGTATTTATAGTATTTACCGCAATTACTGTCCAGGTCCTGTTTTCTGAAACATCATTCTTCAGTAAAAGGAGCAGAGTTCCTTGGAGAAGCAGTTGATTCCAGGGCAGGGGCAAGAAAACTACCAGGTGAGCGTGGAACATTTTGTGGTACCAAAAAATAAGAATATGCTTAGAAAAGGATAAGGGTTTGTCAAAAGAACACAGGAGCCAACCCAAAGAAGCTCCTAATAGCCAAAGATGGAACAGTCTGAGAAATGAAATGAATAATGGTAGTGTTGGATAATAACCCACACAATAAAATAAATATCCACGAATCTATGTTGACAGAAACAATTAAATACATAAATAGCAGATGGAAATGGACAGCCCTCCATTACTCAAAAATTTCAATTTAAAACAATTGCAAACAATGAGAGAAATGCAAAATCTCCATATGGCAAATACCACAGTAATAACTGTTGCAAGCAAGATCTACTGATGGATGTTAAAATCAGTGGGGGAAAGTTTGAGGAGAAACAGGATACTAGCATAGTCTAAAAATATCCCTCTGAAGATATTAATCAATTCCAAAGAGGAAAATAGTAACTTTACAGTAGAGAAACTTGGCAGACGCCACCTTAATCAAGTAATCAAGGTTAACATCTCCAGTAATAAGATATATTGGCATCATGTACCCCCTGATATGATGCAATAAAGAGAACATAACTTCTATACTATTCTTGTAAAAAATGCATAACCTCAAACTAAGCATGAGAAAAAATATTAAAACCCAAATTAAGGGCATTCTACAAAATAACTGACCAGTGCTCTTTTAAAAGTTTCACAATCATAAAAGACAAGGAAAGACTGAGGAACTGTCACAGATTAGAGGAGACAAAGGAGACACAACAACGATATACAACATGAGATCCCGGAACATAAAAAGGACATTTAGGAGGAAAATTGGTAAAATTCAAATGAGCTTCATAGCTTGATTAATTGTACCGTACCAATGTTAATTTCCTAGTCTAGATAATTGTACTATGCTTATATAAGACATTAACGTTAGAGGAGGCAAGGTGAGGTATGTAACTGAACTATTTGTAGTATTTTTGCAACTTCCCTGTAAGTCTAAGGTTATTTCAAAATAACATGTTAAAATAATCTCGTGTGTGTGTGTGTGTGTGTGTGTGTGTGTGTGTGTGTGTGTAGGCAGTAGAAAGAAAGAGATGTCACAAGAGTCACCAGAGATGTATGACAGTGATCAAATATGACATGAGCACCAGTAAATGCTAACATCCTAAATAGTGTAAAGGTGAATGCTCACCATCTAGAGACATGAGAAAGGCAAAGGTGGGGGCATTAAGCCTCCTTAAATTACAAAAATACCCCCTGGATTTCTGATACCTGATCCACTGAAAGATAAACTTATATGAGATTAGTCTAGTCAAGTCTGACAAGCCTGCAGGGGTTTAGTGAAAGCAGACCTGAGCAGGAATTAGAAGACCAGAACCAAGTGACAGCAAAAAGACAGGTGAAAACGCACCTTTACTGAGAAAGAAATGACCATTCTCTCAGAGCCTGAATGTCCTTGGAATTCCAGAAACTTCTTTGTCTCTGATGTGTGAAGTTGAGCACCCAGTGAAGCAGGTACTGAGCAGCAACAGAGTATCAAGTACCTAGTGGCTGAGTTCTTGTGCTATTATCTATTCACTGTGTTGGTTACATTCTTACCAACTTCCTTCTGTTGATCTTGGAGTAATGCCCACATGCTTAAAAGCTACTTCAAAAGATGAACTATTCAAATATCTTTGTTCTCATGCCTGTAATCCCAGCACTTTGGGAGGCTGAGGCAGGCAGATCACCTGAGGTCAGGAGTTCGAGACCAGCCTGGCCAACATGGCAAAACCCCATCTCTACTAAAAATACAAAAATTAGTCGGGCATGGTGGCACTTGCCTGTAATCCCTGCTACTCGGGAGGCTGATGCAGGAGAATCACTTGAACCCAGGAGGCGGAGGTTGCAGTGAGCCGAGACTGTGCCACTACACTCCAGCCTGGGCAACAGAGCAAGATTCCGTCTCAAAAAAACAAAAACAAAAACAAAACACAAATATCTTTGTTCTCCCTTTTATTTTTTCATTCTACACAATTTTCCTTTTATCATCTTATTGCTGCATTAGCTACTTCCAGAGGGGAAATACAATGCAACACTCGGCAAATAAATGTAGCCTCTGAACATTTTTACCACAAGCAACCACTTTAGTAGTGGAGTTTGTTAACATCACTTTTGCCCATAAATTGCCTCCATGCTAGATAAATGAATGTTAAGAGCTTTAGATTAGGCAAAGTGACAAGACAGGCAATCATTTCAGACTATTAGAGAAATGATAATTACTTTCATTTCAGGTAGGACAGGGAAAAAATAATAATGGTATAGAACAGTAAGTACAGTTTTCTGGATTAAAAGAAGTGGGGGCCAGGCGCAGTGGCTCACACCTGTAATCCCAGCACATTGGGAGGCTGAGGTGGGCAGATCACCTGAGGTCGGGAGTTCGAGACCAGCCTGGCCAACGTGGTGAAACCCCATCTTTACTAAAACTACAAAAATTAGCCGGGCGTGGTGGCGGGTGCCTGCAATCCCAGCTACTTGGTAGGCTGAGGTAGGAGGATCGCCTGAACCCAGGAGGCAGAGGTTGTAGTGAACCGAGATCATGCCATTGCACTTCAGCCTGGGCGACAAGAGCAAAACTCCGATTTAAAAAAAAAAAAAAAAGAAGTGGCTCTGAATATTATTGTGAAGGTAGGGAGGAGAAAGAGGGTTTCTTTTGTGGCAGAGCAGTTCTAACGTAGAATGATCATGAAGTGCTTTTACTAAAAGTCAGTTAAAAAAATAAGTCCGTTGATAGCACATCTGCTAAGTAACATCCTGTTTTAGCCTGGGTTATCGAGATTCTGAGGAAAGCTTCTGTTCCAACACATTATTCAAAAGGATATAATCCCAAGAATGAGAGAGAAAGAAAAGAGGGGCAGGGAATGGGAGAGAACACATACAGGTGGGAGGGCGCATGCAGGTAACAGACGGTGTGCAGGTGGCATGTTCCTGAACTGTGTTTCTGAACTGGCCACAGCCTCTCAAGAACATCTAGCTGATTCTCAGTTATGCAGGAAATTTTCAAAGAAGCCACACAGAGAAGCTCCTTCTACATCCTCTCATTTATCAAAGTCCTCCCCCACAGAGCTTTATTTTCTCCCACACTCAGGGCAGCTGGGCCTCTGTTTGTCCAGCCAGGTCACAGCTGAGCACTGGAGCAGCTGTAGCCCCTGGCATGATCATCATGGTTGAAGCTGTGCCCAAAGCCTGGCCCTTGGCCTGAGGGGAAGTTGAGACAATCAGCAGTATTGGGAGATGAGGCAAAGGTGTTCGTGGGGGCTCTCAGGCAGTGGGAACAACGATGTGAGCCTTCACAGGGTTGCTCTAGCTTTGCTCCCTGGGAAGCAGGCTCTGAGATGAAGATCAGCATGCAGGACTTTTGGGAGGGAGTGCTCTTGGAATCAACTCCTATAGGAGAGGAAAGAAAGAAAGGATGCAGAATTGGGAGGAGAAAAGTGGAGCTGTGATTCATTCCCAACAGAAGCCTCAGCCAATCCCGCAGGAAGTTCTGAAGATGGGATGGTCCTTCACCTGATCTGGTGCTGGGTAAGCTGCCCAAAATCCGTTCTAGGGATTCAGGGCTGTGACATTGTGAAATATATATTTGGTCCTTGTCCCCACCCCCACCCCCATTTCCTGGAATCTCCAAGGTGCTGTCTTTTTATATGCTAATGTTGAATGATAGCTTCAGGGTGGGGCTGGTCACTGGAAAGACCAAGGCAGGATTAGAGGGTTGGGATTTTCAGCTCTGCCCCCAGTCTCTGGGGAGCGGGGAGGAGGATGAAGGTCAAGTTGATCGCCAATAGCTAATTGTTTCATCAATCATGCTTATGTAATAAATCCTCCATAAAAACCTTAGAGGACAGGGTCCAGAGAGCCTCCAGATAGCTGAACACATGGAGATTCCCAGAGGATGGGACATCCAGGAAGGGCATGGGAGCTCTGCAACGCTTCTCTCATACCCAGCCCTATGCATCTCTTCATCTGTATCCTTTGCAAAACCTCTATAATACACTGGTAAACATAAGTGTTTCCCTGAGTTTTGTGAACCACTCTAGCAAATTAATCAAACCCAAAGAGGGCGTTGTGGAAACCCCAACTTAAAGCCAGTCTGTCAAGTTTTGGAGGCCTGGACTTAGTACTGCTGTCTGAAGGAGGGAGGGGCAGTTTTGGGGACTGACCCCTCAATCTGTGGGATCTGACACTATCTCCAGGTAGATAGTGTTGAATTTGAATTGGAGGACATCCAGCTGGTGTGCACTGCCGAATTGATTGCTTACCTGGTGGTAAGGAGAACCCCCTTCTCCCCACATTTGGTCACAGAAATCTTCTGTGTTGATTGTTAAGTAAGAAAATAGAAAAAAATAATTTGAGTTTCCAAACAAGGGGTGAGGAGGAACTCTGGACAGGCCACAGGCTCAGGTGTCATTCCAACCCTGTAGCCTCTTTTTGGTTCTGAATCGCGTCATCACAAAGTTCAGACCATGGGTCTAGATTTCCAAGATCCACATGCCTTGGGTCTTGAGAAGGTCCTGATCTTCATGAGGTCTACAAGGGCAAAAGTTCCAGAAGTAGCAACCACAGATTCAGCTCATAAGCTGTTGAGAGCAACTCTCCAGTTGCAACAAACATGAAAATGAAAGGGACATCTTCCTTCAGAGGTAGCCTTCTTAAGCCTCTGCAATTCCACAGCAAGACGTATGACCACAGCCAGTGTGACACATAATTGAAAATGCCTTCTCATAAGAGAGAGTAGGAGACTTGTCAGCAGAGAGATACCATCTATATACAGCACAGAGTCCTAGACACACAGGGCCATGGGGAAATAGAAATTAAGAGATTCCAAGTGTATTGTTTAGGGGAGAAAAGAGCAATTCAAATAATATCTGGAGTCTGTGACTGGCATCATTACAAACACTTAGACTTTGCAAGAAGGCATCAATGTCCAGAATGACAATTTCAGAGTATGACCAAGGAATTTCCCAAGAAAGTTATGGCAAATACCCAGTGTCAACATTCACCTCTTGGTAGGGGATTTCCCCAGAGTTTAGTTTCACAGGTCACAGGCACTAGACAACTCCTATAGTTAGTCTAGTGTTTTGGAGAAGCTGAAACCCAGAAGAATGTTTTTGCCTCATTTTTCCTTCAGATACCACTGAGTCTCCATTATGTCTTTGGCAGTAGTAACCCAGGATTAGATAGGTTCTGAGATTTCATTTGGTTTGAGAAAACTGCTCTAGTGCTATAAATTGCTGGAAGTAATTAATTTTAGCCAGTGTTGTGATAATTTGTATTTCCTATTGACAATCTGAAGTCTTTAAAAGAGAGACAGAAGAATGGCTAATATAACTTCTAGGACCCAAGAAGATGACACCTATTCTTACAAAAGGCATTTTGGGCCATGTTGCTGGAGGTATTGATAACTCTGCCCAGACACTGAGAACCTTTCTAGCTGACAATGAGCAGAATAAGAAATGGACCGAAACCCATAATCTCTGGATTTTAATGTGAAGTTTTAATTTTTAGATTCTTTAAAAGTTGGACACATTAATTCTCCCTGGGTAATTAATAGTAGGAGGAAATGTATATTTGAATATGGGCTGTCCCTATATATTTCGGTGGAATATTTTTATGATATCATTTAACCTCACTGAAGACATTCTACTAGGCTGAGTAGGACAATGTGGTTGGACCTAATTTGCGAGACGAAGTAAAACAGAAGGTGGATTTTCAGCCATGAAACAACCTTAAAGTAAATCTAATTGATTTATCATTCTCAACCATTTTGGAACCTTCTATTGGCAAAATCTGTCCTGCCTATCAGTGGTCAAAGGACATCTCCACCAAAGCAGAAGTTGGTAACATGGAGGTGGTTTGACAAAAATAGGAGTAGGACAACTGACCTCTTCCAGTAGAGAGCTGGCCACACTACCGGTTGACCATGGGCTTGCCAGTTCATCCAATGGCATACAAGAAGAAAATGTGGGTACAGTTATCATTATTGGAAAATTCATTGTTGTTACACATTTATGCCATGTGTTCCAATGTCAGTACAGCTAACATTTGAATCTTCCTCAGCCTACTCTTCTGTCTATATTCATTGGTACAGAGCTTAGGCATGGGTAAGAAGGGTGTTGTTTATTAACCCCTTCAATCCCAGCAGCTCTGATTATGTTATGTTGTTATGTTATTTGATATTACATATAGGAGGGAGAGAGAGAATGTTTCTGTGGTTCACAATTTTAGGCAAAGTCAGTGGTAGAAAATTCTCATATTCTCATCCTTGGAAAGTTTTGATTTAGGAAACAAAGTTAATCAAACCCAAGTCCAATGGACATGGTGAATGACTCTGGTGTGGGGAACAGGATTGCTTCTTCTTAAAATGGTTTTTAGAAAATGGTGTGAGAGGATGAGAGGAAAATGAAGAATGAGATGGGATTGAAAGGAAGTGGATGACTCTTATGACTATTTCATATAGTAACCCCACCACTGTTTCCAACAGCATAGTTTTAAACATATTTGGGTCAATGAAAGCATCTTCAGAATTAGTGTTTATTTGGTCTTTCAATGTGACTATTCTGAAACATAACACTCATTTGGACATTGAAATTCTATCTGGGATTCGTAAGGTCACCATATAATCTATCACCCCCAAAAGGGGTACTTTTGAGTGTGAAAAGTGTGCTAATAATAATTATGCTGGAACAAAGGCATAAATCAGGTATTTCCCAGGCAAACTAGAATATATGGCACCCTAGATATGTGTAAAAACACCATTGTCATTCCTTGTAGTCATCCTTTTAAATACCATCAAAAATCTCTTCTCAAAGAATCTCCATTGTGAAGTCCTATAAAAGAAGAAACATTGAAATCTCTTACTAATGTGGTATCATATTTAGATAGTGGGGAAGGACTTCATTCCTTTTATATCAGCTGTGTAGTGAACAAAAAAACAAGTATAGAAAAATTTACTCAATTGACTGAAATTTACTTGTTAGATATTTTAACTGTACCATTCCAAATGGCTAGTGGGGAATGATACGTCCTTCCTAGGTAGCCTGAACCCCTTGGCTTTGTTGGATCTAGGTAAATTGTCATAGTGTCCTCTAGCACTGATTGGGTGTGGTTGTGGTGAATGAACCCTGTAATGTGCTGCCCAGATCCTCCTTCAGAAATGAAGAACTTATTCTCCCAGCTGCTAGTACTGCCCGTTGATCACTCTCTGCTCTCAGCCACTTTCAGGGCTTGCCTTGGCTAAAAAAATACCCAAGGTCCAACAGGGGCAACACACATCCAATGTCTAAACAATGCAGCTGGTATAAAGGCCTAGCTCCCTTGCCTCAATTTGGGACGGCTCTAAAGAGCCATCCTAATACCAGAGCTTCCCAGAAGATCAGCCAAGGCCTTCATTGGGACCAGCAGTTTAACCTCTCCCTCTAACCAGTCATGTTTCCATCCCCTTCTTTCTACAGGTATTGGCTCCAAGAGCACTTCCTAATAAACACCCTATATGCTGATCTCCATCTCAGAGTCTCATCCCTGGTGGCCTCACACTGTGACAGTCATCTTTAGTTCTGATGTTAGTCTAACATTTGATCTGTTCTGATCTCAAGTCCTCAATAAAAAATTCAGATTTATTCTTGGCTCACAGACTTACTTTTTATGAATGTCCTAGATGGAGACACTAAAGGTCTCTGCTCTGAAAGCTGTCACTCTCCTTTGAGGATATAAGTTTAAGAAGGAATAACAGATATATCTGCACACCTTTAGCAATCAAACCAAACCCAGTATGCATCAAACCAAACTACAGCAAGCAGTTCTTTGAAGGTTGGAAGCCATTTACTTCATCCGAATTGTGGGGTCCTACTTCTAGTCTCTCCATAAGGCAGAAACTGTCCTACTCAGGGTGGATCCCTAGTGCCTTGCACAGAGCCACAAACAGAAGAGGCGCTTGGTATGCGTTTAGTGAATGAATGAATGTATGCCTGGGTAGAAAGATGAACCAACCAATGCAGTCCCCCATGGCAGTGCTTGAGAGCCCCTAGAACTGAAAATGACCAACTCAAGGTAAGGAGATGGGAGGGACAAGAAGGATCAAGGGAATGAGGGGCAAATAGGAAAGTCCATAAGGAGGAAACAGAAGATTGAATCAAATCAAGCCAGTCTTCTACTAAAGGAGAGTTCTGCAACCTCAACCACTCTTTAACTTTCTCTCACCTTAGTCACTTGTCACCACTTCCTCACCTCCATTCAACCTACTAAACTATAGCAGCATATTATAGTCCCTGCTTTATTGCTACATTATTTGTGGCATTGTGAGAATTTGTCTGTGGCACCAGAATAGTCCTGGCTAACTCTAAATTCTTTTTATAGTAAGCCTCTTCTGCAGCAGTTGAAATTGAAATTAGAAACATGCGGGCCTTGAGCACTAAGCTGGGGCTGATGAGCAGGAAGTGGTAAATGAATAACTACCTTATTAGATCATATTTTCATTGTACAATTCCTTAGAACAAAGACACTTGCAGCCACAAGACTTGCTACCTAGTGATATAGTTGCGCTGAAGCCAGTAATAATTGTACCATGCTAAAAGCCTATTCAAATCCATCATTGGGAAATATAAGGAAACTTCAGACACTTCAGGATTTACTATATTTTTTCTGGATAAACTATGACTTAATAAGGGAAGTTTTAAAAGTGATTCAGGGCATCAACTAACATGACAGAAAATATTTTAAACAATGGCATAAATGGATCAGTGTTCTCTTGTTTAAAACTAAAATCTATTCTTTTTCTTTTTTTCTTTTTTAAGCGAAAAGACATTTAAGACAAAAGCCTTTAGGGGTCCTTTCAAATTCTCAAATGTCTGACTAGGGTTTCAAATAACAATGGATTAGAGAAGAAACCTCCCCCAACTATACCATACTTAAACACATTAATTATTACACTAGGCTGAACAAACTAATCCTGAATGCTCAACAATGTTATTAGTACTAGAGGCAGCACTATTTGAAAGCTTTCACTTTTCCCCTAGTACTTATGCCTGATTACAGGTGTAAGAAAGTTTCCTATAGTATGTGTCTCACAAAATCCACTGTGAATGTTTGCCACATTTCATATCATGTGAAACATTAGGCATGTGTATAGATAGGGTAGAACTCAGCATGCAGCACTGATCAGATGATTATAAAGCATGAGGCAGAAACCAAATAGGTGGGCAGTTTTTTACTAACCACACAGAACTGCTTCATAAGATTACTCCCAAGAGTCCAGGTTCTAGTAAAATTATTTATGGTTAAGTGTTATAAGGTTATGCAAAGAATGTATCGACAATAACCAACTCCAGTTTTTCATGGATGCCATTATTATTTAGGGTTCCCATATTTAGTTACCTTCTAACAGTATAGGTCTGTTTCAAAAATGAACTTTGGAGAAAGTTTAAAAATTATGATCTTTTTAAAACAATTATTAGCCAAATAATCTCCCAATGAATGGATAGTGATTCAAATTTAGTAAACCATAATTTAAGAAGTTCTATTGTTTACAGTTACTCCCAGAATAACTTAATTCAGCAATGTTCCAGGTTTATCCTATGCCCACACTCTTGCAGAACAGCCTGTCAGTTACCCGCATTCCTACACCTGAGGGTGGAAGGAAATCATGTAAAATGTCAATAACGAAAGGGGTAAAAAGAATTTTCAGAACCTGATTTTCCCCATTCCTTAGGATGTGCTCAGAGCAATGGGAGGGGAGAAAAAGAAAGAATATGTACATGTTAAAGGAAACCATAAAGGTTATCCACGTTTACATAACCACAGAATGTGCAAGGTTTACCCAGGTGATAAAACCACCCACTTTCATTCATTCAGGAGGTAGTCACACTTATTTTGTGTCCAAAATAAACCTATACAACTGGAGGCATTATGGAGGGGAGGGCGTCAAAGGTTAACACATACTTAACAAGCAGGGAGAGAGGGAGAAGGAATACTGTTTGGAGAACAGGGGAATGAAATGGAGTGTTCTAAGGAAAAATTCACAAATACGCTCTTAGAGAAAATACTAATACAAGTGAATATGAACCAGAAGATGTATTCTTTAACAAATTGGTGGGAGATAAATAGACCACAAAGTTTAGTTTTATTCAAATATATTTTCTCTTTTTTAATTCCCAGCAAGTCAGAAGCATATGCCTCTTAGCAACATCATTGCCCTGTGAGAGCTCATCTCACCAGAAGGACAGCTAAAAATGGGTCCATATGTACCTTTGGCAATAAAAATGTTTCAGTAACGGCTGCTTGCGTGCTTGTAATACAGAATTTAGCCAGGTTTATTATTGCACCTGATGTTGTATATAAAACTGCGTATACTATTTAAAAATCTCTGACAGACTTACGAAATTAACCATAGTATGGGAACTCTGTGCTAACATGATGAATAAATGACTGAACATGTGAATTCCTGTCTACATTATTGGAAAACATTTCCCCTCATGTATTCTTTTTTTTTTTTTTTTTTTTTTTTGAGATGGAGTCTCGCTCTGTTGCCCAGGCTGGAGTGCAGTGGCACAATCTCGGCTCACTGCAACATCTGCCTCCCTGGTTCAAGCAATTCTCCTGCCTCAGCCTCCCAAGTAGCTGGGATTACAGGCATGTGCCACCACACCCAACTAATTTTTGTACTTTTGGAGAGATGGGGTTTCACCATGTTGGGCAGGCTGGTCTCGAACTCCTGACCTCCGGTGATCTGCCTGCCTCAGCCTCCCAAAATGCTGGAATTAACAGGCGTGAGCCACTGTGCCTGGCCCTTTCTCATGTATTCTTGAAGCTTGTTCTCCAATTTCATCCTGGGGAAGAGCTGGTATTAGAATAGGATCTATAATGCTTTTCCCCAAGAAAGTATTATCTTATAAGTGGAGAGGGGAAGAATTCATTTTTTGTCCTATTTTTTTAAAGAAAATGTTTTGTCGAAGTATAACTTACATACCATAAAATTCACCAGTTTTTAGTATACACATTAATAATATTATATGTATGTGTGTATATACATATATATATTATTATTATTTATTTATTTATTTATTTATTTATTTATTTATTTATTTTAGACAGTCTCGCTCTGTCATCCAGGCTGGAATGCAGTGGTATGATCATAGCTCACTGCAATCTCAAACTCCTGGGCTCAAGTCATCCCCTGCCTCAGCCTCCCAAAGTGTTACGATTACAGGCGTGAGCCACTGCTTCTGGCTATTTCTTATGTTTATAGAGTTGTGCCACTATCATCACAAACCAACTTTAGAATATTTCCTTCACCCCAAAAAGATCCCTCATGACCATTTGGCAGTCACTTCTCATTCCTACTGCAGCCCAGGCAACCAATAATCTACTGTTGCTCTCTATAAATTTGTCTTTTCTGGACATTTCATATACATAGAACCATACATTATGTGGACTTTTGTGACAGGCTTCTTTCACTTAGCATAGTATTTGAGTTGCATCCATGTTGTTGAATGCATCAGTTCATTGTTCCTTTTAATTGCTGAATAATATTCCATTATATGGATATATCACATTTTGTTTAATCATTCAAAAGTTGATGGACATTTGGGTTAGCTATTATGAATTATGCTGCTATGAACATTTGTGTGCAAGTCTCCCCATGGACACATTTTCATTTCTCTTAGATAGATATCTAGGGGTGAAATTGCTGGATTATATGGTAGATTTATGTTTAACTTTTTAAGAACCTGCCGAACTGTTTTCCAAACTGGCTGTACCATTTTATGTTCCCATCAGAAATATATGAGGATTCCAGTTTCTCCACATCCTTGCCAAAACTTATTGTCTGTCTTTTTTATTATAGCCATTCTAGTGAGTATAAAATGGTATTTCAATGTTATTTTCAGTTCCATTTCCCTAATGACAAATGAGCCTGAGCATCTTTTTCATGTGCTTACAGAACATTAGTATATCTTTTTGGCGAGATATCTGTTCAAACCTTTTACCCATTTTTCATTTGGTTCATTTGCCTTATTACTATTATTTTTTTATTTTTTATTTTTTTGAGACAGAGTCTTGCTCTGTCACCAGGCTGGAGTGCAATGGCACAATCTCGTCATTTGCCTTATTATTGAGTTGAAAGTATTTATATATGTGTATATATATATATATATATATATTTTTTTTTTTTTTTTTTTTTTTGAGACAGAGTCTCACTCTGTTGCCCAGGCTGGAGTGCAGTGGCACAATCTCAGGTCACTGCAACCTCCACCTCCCGGGTTCAAGAGATTCTCCTGCCTCAGCCTCCCGAGTAGCTGGGATTACAGGCACTCACCACCACGGCTGGCTAATTTTTTGTATTTTTTTTTAGTAAAAACAGGTTTCACTGTGATAGCCAGGATGGTCTCAATCTCCTGACCTTGTGATCCACCCCCCTCAGCCTCCCAAAGTGCTGAGATTACAGGCATGAGCCACCACGCCTGGCCTATATAGTCTATAAATAAATTCTTTTTTTTTTTTTTTGAGATGGAGTCTTGCTCTGTCACCCAAGCTGGATTGCAGTGGCGCGATCTCTGCTCACTGCAAGCTCCACCTCTCGGGTTCACGCCATTGTCTTGCCTCAGCCTCCCGAGTAGCTGGGACTACAGGCGCCCGCCACCATGCCTGGCTAATTTTTTGTATTTTTAGCAGAGACGGGGTTTCACTGTGTTAGTCAGGATGGTCTCGATCTCCTGACCTTGTGATCCGCCTGCCTCAGCCTCCCAAAGTGCTGGGATTACAGGCGTCAGCCACCGGGCCCGGCCAGTGTTTTCTATATACTTGATCATTTCATCTGTAAATAGAGGTTTTCTTCCTGTGAATAAAGAGAGGTTTTCTTCTTTGTTTTCCACTTGAATGCCTTTTACCTTCTTTTCTTGACTGATTGCACTAGCTAAAGCCTCCAGTACAATGCCGAATATAAGTGGAAAGATTGGACATCTTTGTCCTGTTTCTGACTTTGGGGAAAAGCATTCAGTATTTCATCATGAAGTATAACGTTAGTTCTTGTATTAGGCTGTTCTTGCCTTGCTATAAAGAAATACCTTAGACTTGGTAATTTATAAAGAAAAGAGTGGTCGGGCGCGGTGGCTCATGCCTGTAATCCCAGCACTTTGGGAGGCTGAGGCGGGTGGATCACGAGGTCAGGAGTTCAAGACCAGCCTGGCCAACATGGTGAAACCCCATCTCCACTAAAAACACAAAAATTAGCCGGGCATGGTGGCGCATGCCTGTAATGCCAGTTACTTGGGAGGCTGAGGCAAGAGAATCACTTGAACCCAGGAGGTGGAAGTTGCAGTGAGTTGGGACCAAGCCACTGCACTCCAGCCTGGTGACAGAGCGAGACTCTGTCTCCAAAAAGAAAAGAAAAGAAAAGAAAAGAGGTTTAATTGACTCACAGTTCTGCAGACTGTAAGGGAAGCGTGATGCTGGAATCTGCTTGGCTACTGAAAAAGCCTCAGAAAATTTACAATTATGGTAGAAGGCAAATGGGGAGCAGACATATCACATGGTCAGAGCAGGAGGAAGACAGAGCAAGGAGGGCGGTGCTACACACTTTTAAACAACCAGATCTCACGAGAACTCACTCACTATCAAAAGGACAGTACCAAGCAGGGGTGGTGCTAAACCATTCATGAGAAATCCACCCCCATGATCCAATCACCTCCCACCAGCCCCCACCTCCAACACTGGGGGGTCACAATTCAACACGAGGTTTGTTGGGGACACAGATCCAAACCATATCCGTTCAAGTTTTTTCACAGATGCCCTTTACTTGAAGAATCTCCCTTCTGTGAGATTGTGACATAATAAGAAATATATATATACACACACACACACACACACACACACACACACACACACACACACACATTGGTCTTTGCCCCCAGTTGCTGACATGCTACTCCTAAAATCTTTATAATATCCTGAGTGATAGGAATATCTGACACAGAGCTCCTAAGTCCCTTGAAATTTCCTGAGTAATAAGAACATCTTTTGTTCTAATGAAGCTAGTTTTGGTGGGCTCCTGGATAGCCTCAGGATGGGGGCTGGTTACAAGAGGAACCAACCATGTGATTAGAGGGTTGAAACTTTCAGTTCCACCCCTAATCTCTGGGGAGGGAAGAGGGACTGAAGGTTGAGTTGATCACCAATGGCCAGTTATATAATCAATCATGCCACATAATGAAGCCTCCATAAAAGCCCAAAGGACTGGGTTTGGGAAGCTTCTGGATAGCTGAACACATGGGTGTTCCTGGAGGATGGTGCATGCAAAGAAGACATGGAAGCTCCACACCCCTTCCTACATACCTCACCCTATGCATCTCATCCATCTGGCTGTTCATCTGTATCCTTTGTCATATTCTTCATAATAAATGGTTAAACATAAGTGTTTCTCTGACTTCTTTTTTTTTTTTTTTTTTTTTTTGAGACTAAGTCTCGCTCTTGTCCCCCAGGCTGGAGTGCAATGGTGCGATCTTGGCTCACTGCAACCTCCGCCTCCCAGGTTCAAGCAATTCTCCTGCCTCGGCTCCCCGCCCCTCACCCCGAGTAGCTGGGATTACAGGCGCCTGCCACCACCCCCAGCTAATTTTTGTATTTTCAGTAGAGACGGGGTTTCACCATGTTGGCCAGTCTGGTCTAGAACTCCTGACCTCAGGTGATCCACCCACCTCAGCCTCCCAAAGTGCTGGGATTACAGGCGTGAGCCACCACTCCCAGCCGTGTTTCTCTGACTTCTGTGATTTGCTCTAGCAAATTAATTGAACCCAAGGAGGGGGTCGTGGGAACCCTGATTTATAACTGGTCAGTCGAAAGTACAGGTCAAAACCTGATGCTTGCAATTGACATCTGAAGTGGGGGAAAGTCATATGGGACTGAGCTTTTAGCTTGTGGAATCTGACACTATCTCCAGGTAGATGATGTCAGCATTGAATTGAATTAGAGGACACCTAGCTGGTGTCTGCTACAGAATGGCTGGGTAGTGTGTGGGGATAAATCGCCACACATCTTATGTCAGAGGTGTGACATTGAGTGGTGTGTGAGAATAGGAAAAACAGTTTGGTTTTATTATATATCTTTAGACCTTCTATTCTTAGTTTGTTGAGGGTTTTTATCGGGAATGGGTGTTGGATGTTGACAAGTGCTTTTCTGTGTTTATCAAGATGATTGTGAGGTTTTTGTCCTTTATCCTATTAACACGGCACATTACATTACTTAATTTTTGGCTATTAAATCAACCTTGCATTCCTGGGATAAATCACAGTTGCCACACTGTATAATGCTTTTTATATGTTGCTGCATGTGATTTGGTAATATTTTGTCCAAGATATTTGTGTTTAATTCCATGAGGGATATTGGTATAGTTTTTTCTTGTGATGTGTTGTCTGATTTTGCTCTTAGAGTAATACTGGCTCTATTGAATGAATTGGCAAGTGTTTCTTCTTCCCATGTTTTATGGGGAAAGTTGTGAAGGATTTCTATTATTTATTTTTTTAATGTCTGGCAGAATTTACTGGTGAAGTCATCTGTGCTTGGGCTTTACTTTGTGGGAAGATTTTTATTTAGCAATTCAATTTATTTACTAGTTCTGTATTTACATATATTTTCTATTTCTTCTTCAGTCATTTTTGATAATTTATATCTTTCTAAGAATGTGGTTTATTTCATCTAAACTGCCTTATTTCTTAGCATAAGGTGGCTCATAATATTGCCACATAATCCTTTTAAATTCTATAATTTGGTGGTGGTGTATCTTCTTTCATTCTCAAGTTTGGCAGTATGTGTCTTCTTTTTTTATTGGTCAGTCTAGCTAAATTTTGCCAATTTTGTTAATCTTTTCAAGGAATCAACTTTTGATTCCATTGATTTTCTTTTTTTTTTTTTGTTTTCTGTTTCATTCTTGTTCTAGTCTTTATTATTTCCTTCCCTTTGCCGGCTTTTGGTTTAGCTTGGGTTTATTTTTCTAGTTTCTTGAAGTAGAAGGTGAAATTATTTATTTGAAATCTTTCTTCTGTTCTAACATAGGTGTTTACAGCTAGAAGTTTCCGTCTAAGCACTGCTTTGACTGGATCCTCTAAATTTTGATATAGTGTAATTTTTTTTTCATTCTGCTAAGAATATTTTCAAATTCCCCATATGACTTCCTCTTGGACCTGTGCACTATATGGATGTGTGTTGTTTAATTTCCAAATATTTGTGGATTTCCCAAATTTCCCTTTGTCATTAATTTATAATTTGATCTCATTTTGGTTGTAGTTCTACATAAATTTCTGACTGCATGTCATTCTGTTGCTTTTCCCAACTAGTACTGTGACCTCAGGCTAACTGCGATGTTGTTCTTTCCTGATTATTTGCCACTGAGCTTGGTATTGTTTTTGACAGTTATCCAGGCATGGAATTTTCCAAGTTCTGCTCCAAATAAAGCCACCACTTTCTTGCAGGGCTGCGGAGCTGCCATTTCTCACAGTCTGCCCCACCTGGGTAGAATTGTGAAGCTAAGGTAAAGGAATTAGAGAAGTCCCAGAGACTGTTTTTATAGATATTCATTAAAATTTCATGAATAAACACTCTTCAACTTGTTGTATGCCTTTAGTCAATTTTCAGTCTTTACGCAGTTGTTTTGTTTTTGTTTTTGTTTTTGTGAGACAGAGTCTCGCTCTGCCGCCCAGGCTGGAATGCAGTGGCACGATCTTGGCTCACTGCAACCTCCGCCTCCCGGGTTCAAGCAATTCTCTGCCTCAGCCTCCCGAGTAGCTGGGAATACAGGCGTGTGCCACCATGCAGGCGGGTTTCACCCTTGGCCAGGCTGGTCTTGAACTCCTGACCTCGTGATCCGCCCACCTCAGCCTCCCAAAGTGCTGGGATTACAGGCATGAGCCACCGTGCCCGGCCATTAAGTGGTTGTTTTTGATAACTTTGTCTGGTTTTATCATTGCCATTTAGAGAAAGGATTTTCTGAGCCCCTTCCTCAGACCTCCTAGAAGCCCTGCCAAATTTCGGCTTTTTAAATCAATAAGATAGTCTAAAAGCCATAGAGTTTTGGGACATTTTGTTGTTTTGGTGCAGTTGATATTTAAATATTACTAAATTCTTTAGGACTTCTTTTTAAGGCTGGGTAAATTGGCCGTAGAATTCTTTTTAGAATTCATTTAAGTAATAATAATAACTGTTACTGCCACATAATAAAGGTTTACTATGTGCCAGGCACGTAGCATACCTTATCCCATTCAATAGTAAAAACCTTTCTGTAATGTATTATTATTTTCATTTTGTAGATGAAGAAACCGAGACTTTGACTAAGAGCTCACGATTAATAACCCTGGAAGTGGGATTTGAACCCAGAAATATCAGACTCCAAAGCCTTTCCTTTCCATACACTGTAGGACAGAACTGAGCATTACCAGACATGTTTCTTCCCAAGACATTGCTGCAGGTTTCTAGATAAACCTTGGACAAGAAACAGCTTTAGATCACTAATAGGATTGGCAGTTATCTACTTGGTGTGACATTAGAGGATGAAAAAAATGCCATGTAACCTAAAATAACTTAATTTCTAGTGCCTGGAATTTCTTCTATTTATTTGCCAGTTTGTTTATGAATGATTTATGTCCTGCCTAATTCAGAAGACTTGAAGTGACTTAGAAAAGTCATTAAATCCAGTGATTTTAAATATTTGGGAGTTCATACATATTTGAAGATCAGATAAATTCTCTCCCAGAAAAATGAAAAACATATATGCACACAATTTTGGATAACATTTTTAGGAGTTCATGGGCTCCAAAAGTTATTACCCCCAGATTGGGAACTCCTGATTTAATAATGGAGATGAAGCCTAGAACAACTGCTTGTTCATAAAACACCTTTGTCAAAATTAGAAGAAGGTAGCTAACTCAGTCAAATACCCTTGTTCAGTAAAGAACCTGCACAGCTGTACATGGTGGCCCTGACAAAGATGGTGAACTTGCTAATGAAGATGTTATGCTTCCTTCGTTTTGTGTCTCTAGGTCTCAGCACAATACCTGGTACACAATAGGTGTCCAACTATGTTTGATTCATGAATAAGTGATTGCTAAAACATTTAATTTCAAAGTAAGCTATGACTAAAAATGCAAATGACCTGAGAAAGGTAATATTAAGGGCTAAAACTTCTCTTGAGTAAGGGTTAAATCCCTTATGTCAGTTCCTTTGATTGAGTGTGGGAAGTTCACAATGTGGAATTTGGGGATTTCAAAACTAAATATTTTACCAAGTCCTGAGCCAGGCAGAACTTCAGCCTTCCAGTACCTTTCTGAAGAAACTGGTTAATGAAGAGTGAAAAAATAACACACTTGCAGATTGCCAAATGATAAGTAGGCCTCCACAGCTAAAAACAACACACCCTCAGCAGTGCTAGAACACCTTAGTATTTTCCATAGCTCTACAAGTTCATTTTGCTTCCATGGAAACTACTGATTTACATTGACTCATAAAGAGCTTCTACAGGCAAATACTTGGAGAAAGTCAAATGCAGGCATATGAGTTCCATGTATTCCGAGGTCTCAAATCTTTCTGTCCATGGAAAGCTGTCAGGAGCAGCCAGTACACCTTCTGGGCCTCAGTTTACTCAACAGTCTTGTGGGCATTGCTGAAAATATCATATTGAACCCCCAAACTTCTGATTCCTACAATTCAATTCAACAAACATTTATTGAGGGGCTACTATGTGCCAGGCATGGTCCTAGGCAGTCAATGCAGTATTGACCCCAAGGAAATCAACATTTGTCTGTTATGAAATTTTTTATTACACTAGGAGACCAGACTCTCTTATTCACTAGTTTATTCCTGACATCTAGTATGAGGCCTGTTGCAGAGTAGATACCTAATAAATGCTTGTTGAATAAAATAATAATTAAAGCAACTTAAATAAGTTTAAATAGTTTCTGAGGGCAAGATTATTTTCTAAGGATAAAGAACCACCACTCTGTAGAAAAGGGTGTATGATAGGAGGTGGGGGTTAAAGCAGAACTGTCTCCCTCTAAGGTAGGGGAATTAGGGCAATTAGACCTTAAGCCTTCCTTCCCCAAAACATATCTTAATGCTGTGTCTCTAACATGTTAGTTTTCTATTCAATCAGCTGTTTTCTGCTGATAGGACTTACTAAGCTTAAGAAAAAAGAAACAAATATATATACATTAATATACACATATATTACACATATATGTGTATATATACACACATATATACACATATGTGTATATATGCACACATATATTTTTATACATTTTATATAGATACATACATATATATTATATTATACATATATGTATATTAGATATACACACATATATATTTTTATATATTATACACACACACATATATATATATTATATATATTTAAAAGAAGCCTACACTTTTTTCCCCTCTAGGGAAGGAAAGAATAGTGGACAGACTCTAAGATGGCTCTCAATGATCCCAATACCTCCTGGTATTTATGCCCTTGCAAAATCCTCTGCCCTTGAGTATAGGTGGAACCTACTCCTAACAAATAGAATATAGTAAAGGTAATAGGATATCACTTCTGTGGTTACATTGCAGAAGATTGTAACTTCTGTATTGCTAACTGGCTCTCTGCCTTGCTTGCTTTGATAAAACAACTGCCATGCTATAATATTCCCAATGAAGAGGACCAGGTGGCAAAGAACTAAAGATGGCCTTCTACAAACAGCCAGCAAAAAAACTGAGAAATTTTGTCCATCAGCCCTTGAGGAAATGAATCCTGCCAACAACCACATGGGTTTAGAAGTAGGTCCTTCTCCATTCAAGCCTCCAGATGAGGCCCCAACCCTGGCTGACACCATGATAGCAGCCGCATGAGAGAATGAAGTGGACAACCCAACTAAGTCATGCTCAGATTCCTGACACACAGAAACTAAAAGGAAATAAATGTGCATTCTTTTAAGCTGATAAGTTTGCGGAAATTGTAATGCAGCAACAGATAATTAATACAAATGGGGAGCTCATTCTTTTGCATTTTTCTTTTGTCAAATAACCTTTGCAGCTTTATATTCCATCTGTCAATTTAGTTCTGGATTTAATAGCAAGAGAACACTGGCCAAAGTGGTGGGTAAATTTCAAGGCTAATAATAGACATTGCCAGAGCTTCTAGAACCTCAGTAAAGGAATAGAAATGTGTAGTCACTAAAGAAAACCAAAAGGAGGAATAATAAAATTTTTCTTTATAGGTCATGAAAGTAATCCTGTGAAGATTCCATTTCTGGCCAACATGGAGTAATGCAGCATGGATTTAACCTGCATGCTGAAACAACTAAAACACAGACAAGTTACATGAAATAGCAGTTTGCAAGACACTGTACATCAGAAAATGAAGGACAGTGATCCATTAGAGAAAGAAAACAAAGGAGATGAGCTCTATAATTTCTCCATCTTACAGCCTTGAGAGGTTTTCCAGGCCACGCTTCAGGAAGGGTAAATGCAGACAGACCCCAGTGATTTTCTGAATCAAAGAGACAAATCTGAGAGTTCGGGAAGACCAAGGCAGCAAGAGTTCTCATAAAAGAGTACCAGAGAGGAGAGAGCTGCATATGAAGAGAATTTCAGGGATCTGCAGAGTCCTCCTGCATATTCAAATGAGTAATGATCAGTGCCTCTGTGTGAGGAAACTACCTGAGGCCAGAGGAAGAGCCACCCGAAAGGATTATAGACGATAGTGCCAGCTCTTCACATAGGGCACTAAACAGTGCCTGATCCCACCATCCAGAATGAAAAGCCTCAAAATTCACAGGAAGTTGGCTTAAGTACTCAGAAGGGTCTTGCATTAGTAGTGGTGAATGATTAGCCCTAGAATAAACACTTCTTTGGATCCAACTATCAAATCTTAATAGCAAGACTCAAAATATCACGCAGTTTCTAAGTAACTTAACTGTAAATGTGAAAAAAATGTCCAGAATAATTTTAGGCTACAAAAGTATCTGGCACTCAAAGAGGTACAGATCAAATATAAAATTTCCAGGAATAATCAGGAAAATATGACCCAAAATGAGCGGAAAAATTGCTCTATCAAAACTGACACAGAACAGATATAGTGTTTAGAATAGTAATAGTAAAAAATATTAGAAAAGTTTTAAAACTGTATTCCACATATTAAAAAAAAAAGTAGATACATAAAAGATATTTACAGGGGCCCAAATAAAATTTTTAGAGATACAATTGAAATGAATGAGATAAAAAAAAATACACCGATAGGATTAATGCCAGATTAGGCATTGCAGAAGAAAAAAATTAGCAAACTTGAAAACATAGCAATAAAAATTATCCAAACTGCAATACAGAAAGAAAAACTGAAAATAAAAAAAGAACTAAAGGAAAAAAAAAACAGAGCATCATTTAGCTCTGACTACAAGCAACCTAATGTATGTGCAATTAGAGTTTCTGAAATGGGAATAGGGAGAGTGGGGAGGCAGAGAAACACATCTGAAGAAATGATGGCCAAAATTTTTCCAAATTTCAAGATCTAAGAAACTTAATAAACCCAATCACAAGGCATATGAATAAAACTACACCTGGCGGAGCATGGTGGCTCACACCTGTAATTCCAGTACTTTGGGAGGCTGAGGCAGGCAGATCACTTGAGGTCAGGAGTTCGAGACCAGCCTGGCCAGCGTGGTGAAACCCCATCTCTACTAAAAATACAAAAATTAGCCAAGCATCGTGGCAAACGCCTTTAATCCCTGCTACTCGGGAGGCTGAGGCATGAGAATCACTTGAACCCCAGAGGCGGAGGTTGCAGTGAGCTGAGATCACGCCACTGCACTCCAGCCTGGGCGACAGAGTGAGATTCTGTCTCAGAAAACAAAACTCAAAACAAACAAAGCTACACCAAGGCACATCATAAACAAAGTGATGTAAAACAGTGATAAAGATACAATCACAAAAGCAGCAAGAGAAAAAAGACAACATATATACAGAGGAACAATAAGAATGATAGCAAATTTCTCCACAGAAACAACGCAAGTCAGAAAACAGTGAAGCAATATTTTTAAACTACTAAAAAAAACTGTGAACTTAGAAATCCATACCCAGTGAAAATGTCTTTCAAAAACAGAGGAAAGCTAAAGACTCTTTCAGACATACAAAAGACAAAATAATTCATCACCAGCAAACACACTACAAGAAATATTAAAGGATAACCTTCAGACAGAAGGAAACTGGTACCAGATGGAAATATAAGTCTATACCCCCCAAAAGGCAAATACATGGGTAAATATGTAAGTTTTTTCTTATTATTTAAATCTCTTTGAAATATCATTAAATAATATAATTTAAATAATAATGTTGGTGGGATTTGCAACATATATGAAATAAAGCTATGACAATTGCACAGAAGTTGGGAGGGGAGAAACAGAAACATAACGTTGTAAAGTTCTTATATTCTACAAGTGGTACAATATCACTAAAAGGTAGAGTGTGATAAGTTAAAGATGCATACTATTACTCCAAAGCAACCACTGAAATAACAAAAATGTTATGTCTATTAAGTTATCAGAGAAAATAGAGTAATAAAAATGCTTAAGTCATTCAAAAGAAGGCATAAAATTTTAAAAAAGGGAACTGGGGGAGATGAAACATATGAGGGGAGAAGGCAGGTTGGTAAACTTTAAACCAACAATATTAATCACACTAAATGTTAAAAGTGTGAAACATCTTAATTTAAAAATAGAGATGTCAGATTAACTTTAAAAAGAAGGCCAGACGTGGTGGCTCCTGCCTGTAATCCCAACACTTTGGGAGGCCAAGGTGGCCAGATCACTTGAGGCCAGGAGTTCAAGACCAGCCTGGCCAACATGGTGAAACCCTGTCTCTACTAAAAATACAAAAATTAGCCAGGTGTGTTGGTGCACACCTGTAATCCCAGCTACTTGGAAAGCTGAGAAATGAAAATTGCTTAAACCCAGGAAGTGGAGGTTGCAGTGAGCCAAGATTGTGTCACCACACTCCAGCCTGTGTGACTCTGTCTCCAAAAAAAAAAAGAAGACTCAACTATATTCTGCCTATAAGAAATGAACTTTAAATATGAAGACACAAATAATAAAAGAACCAAAAATATATACTATCCTAATACTAATCAAGAGAAAGTTGGAGTGGCTATATTAATATCAAAGTAGATTTCAGAGCAAAGAATATTACCAGGGATAAAAAAGATCATTCCATAATGATAAAATGCTAAATATGCATCTATTAATAAAGTATCAAAACACATAAAGAAAAAACTTTATGGCAGAATGACTTATATTCCTTTGGGTATATACCCAGTAAATCATTACACCATAAAGACATATGCACACAAATGCTCATTGCAGCATTATTCACAATAACAAAGACATGGAATCAATATAAATGCTCATCAATGACAAATTGAATAAAGACAATGTGGTACATATACACCATGGAATACTATGCAGCCATGAAAAAAGAATGAGATCATGTCTTTTGTAGGAACATGGATGGAGCTGGAAGCTATTATTCTTAGCAAACTAACACAAGAACAGAAAACCAAATACCACATGTTCTCACTTATAAGTGGGAGCTAAGTGATAAGAACTTAGGAACACAAAGAGGGAAACAGCATACACTGGGGTCTACTTGATGGGGTAGGGTGGGAGGAGGGAGAGGAGCAGAAAAGATAACTATTGGGTACTGGGCTTAATACCTGGGTGATGAAATAATATGTACAACAAAACCTCACGACACGTGTTTACCTATGTAACAAATCTTCACATGTACCCCCAAACCTAAAATAAAAGTTAAAAGAAAAAACTGACAGCACCGCAAAGAGAAATAGCCAAGTCAACAAGTCTGATATTTCAAAACCCCTCTCAATAACTGATAGAGGTAGTAGACAGAAAATTAGCAAGGATATAGTATACTTAATCAATAATATCAAGCAACTTGACAAAATTAACATTTATAGAACACCCCACCCAATAATAGCAAAATCACATTCTTTTCAAGTATACATGAAATATTTGCCAAAATAAGCTGTATTTGGAGACACAGGTCATAATAAACTTAGAATTCAAGTCATACAACATATGTTCTCTGACCACAATGAAATTACATTAGAAATCAATAACAGAATAATATCTGGAAAATCCCCAAATATTTGGGATCCAAATAATGGACTTCTAAATAATCTGTGAGTCAAAGATTAAATCTAAAGTGAAATTAGAAATACATATATATTTTATATATTTTTTTTTTCTTTTTTTTTTCTGAGACAGAGTCTCATTCTGTCACCCAGGCTGCAGTACAGTGGCATGATTTCAGCTCACTGCAACCTCTGCCTCCTGGGTTCAAGCGATTCTCCTGCCTCAGCCTCCTGAGTAGCTGGGATTATAGGCGCCCGCCACCACACCCAGCTAATTTTTATATTTTTAGTAGAGACGAGGTTTCGTCATGTTGGCCAGGCTGGTCTTGAACTCCTGACCTCAGGTGATCCACCCACCTCAGCATCCCAAAGTGCTGGGATTTCAGGCGTGAGCCACTGTGCCCGGCCTAGAAAATATTTTGAACTAAATTAAAATAAAGAGACAGCATATCAAAATTGTGGGATACTGCTTAAGCAATACTTTAAGGAAATTCTACAGCATTGAATCCTATATTTGAAAAAGAATAGTCTCAAATCAATGACCTCAGCTTCTACCCAAAGAAACTAAAAGCCAACAGGAAATTAAACCTAAAGTATAAGAAAGGAAATAAACCAATAAAAACAAAAGCTTCTTATCTGAGAAGATCCATAAAATTCATAAACCTCTAGCCAAAGTGATCAAGAAAAAAGATAAATGACCAATATCGCAAATAAGAAAGTGGACATTACTACAGATCTTTTCAATTTAAAAGCATAATAAGAGAATATTATAAATAATAAATTCAACATCTTAGATGAAATGGACAAATTACTTGAAAGACACAAAATTTAAAGTTCACCTAAGAAGAAATAGATAATCCGAGCAACCCTGTCTATTTTTTAATTGAATTTGTTGTTAAAATCTTTCCACAAAGAAAACTGCAGACTCAAAGATTTCACTCTTGAATTCTGCCAAAATAAGGAAAAAAATAATACCAATCCTACACAATCTCTCGCAAAAACTTGAAGAGGAGGGAATACTCTCTGACTCATTCTATGAGGCTGAAATTACTGTGACAACAAACTGGACAAAGATATTATTATGGGTTGAATTGAGCACCCCCTCCCCAAATTCATATATTGAAGTTCCAACTCCTAGCACCTTAGAATGTGACCTTATTTGGAGACAGGGTCTTTACCGAGGTAATAACATTAAACTGAGGTCATAAGAGTGGACCCTAATCCAATATGACTGGTGTCCTTATAAAAAGGGGAAATTTGCACACAGACTCATACAGAGAAAAGACAATGTAAATTCAAAGAAAAAAGATGGCCAAGAAAAGAGACCTGGAACAGATCTTTCCCTCACAGTCCTCAGGAGGAACCAAGCCTGCCAACACCTTGATTTCAGATTTCTAAACTCCAGAACTGTGAAATAATTTATGTTCTTTAAGCCACCTAGTTTGTGGTACTTTGTTATGGCAGCCTAGCAAACTAAGACCAATAATACTAGAAAACTATAGACAAATCTCCCTCAGAAACATAGATGCAAAAATTCTATACAAAATTTTTGCAATTCAAATCCAACAATTCATCCAGTAATATATCAAAAAGATATATTGTCATAATGTATGTAATATAGTTGCTGCCTTTTCATCCATTTTTAGGCCTAACTTAAGTTATCTGAAACCCAGTCGTACCCTGTTACCTTTGGCCTAGTTAAAACTTCCCTCCCTGTATACTTGCTTGCTATATAGCCCACTTGTTTCTCATTCCACAGACCCAAACCCAACACATCCCACAGCTGCTGACCACGATACAACCTAATTGTCAACAACAGAGTCGGGTAAATAAGTCCTCCCCCTTGCATGTGTTTTCTTTAAACTAGCCAATCTACAACCCCCATAGGAAAGGCCAAGGGATAACACCCATTGACCTTAATAAAGCATAGTCCCGCAGGTCCTCTCTCTTTTCTCCCCCACCCCCATTTATCTATCTTTCTCTCTCTAAGACTTTCCATCAGCCCTCGAGGTCACTCCTCTTCTCTCATAGATCTTTGAGTAAGGAAATGCTTCTGTTATTTGATGTGTTTTGTTGAGTTGCCTTCTCTGTGTCTCACCTGAATGACACACCTGAACCTAACTCTCCTCCCTGTCAGGGCTACCCTAGAAAGTGGCTATCTTGGTAGGAATAAACAGGACACAGGTCAGACAAGAGCCACAAGGGTGCCTGCCAGAATAAATAAGTTTCCTGTGAGAAGGACACCTATCTGGTCACAGGTCAGACACTTGGGCATTAGGCCATCCGCCAGGATGAGGAAGTATCCCATGAAGCCATGTTGTAATCATCCACAATGACCTCCCCTGAAGCCCCATTAGGGCAGGGCTAGAATGTATAGCCACTCTCCAGAGAAAGACCTCAAGACCAAATTAGAGGAAAATACAACATATATCATGACTAAGTGGGCCTTAGGCCAAGAACGGAGTCAATTTAACATTCAAAAGTCAATAAATGTAATTCATCTTATTAACAAACTTAAAAAAAATGATCATCTCAATATTCAGAAAAAGCTCTTGAAAAAATCCAACACCCTTTCCTGGTAAAACCTCTCAGCAAAGTAAGATATGACACCAGAAGCACAATCCACAAAAGAACATGTTAATAAAATGGATTTCCTCAGAATTAAAAACTGCCCTTTGAAAGATGCTAAGTGAATGAAAAGATAAGCAACAGACTAGGAGGAAGTATTTGCAAATGGTATATCTCATAAATAACTTATATTCAAAATATTTAAAGAACTCTCAAATTCCAATTATAGGAAAACAAAATCCCAATACATTTGAACAAAGGATTTGAACAGACCAAAGAAGGTATATGGAAGGCAAAGAAACAAATGAAAATCACTACGGAAATGCAAATTCAAGCCACAATGAGATGCTACCACATACTTATTAGAATATTAGAATACCTAAATTTAAGACACTCATTTGGTAAAGATGTGGAACAACTTTGAACTCTCATAAACTGCTCATACGAATGTAAAATGGTACACTTTGGAAAGCAGTTTGGCAGTTCTTCAAAAGTTAAACATACCCTGACCATATTATGCTTATCATATGACCCAGTCATCCATTCCATTCCATACCCAAGAGAAATGAAAGCACATGTCTATACAAAGATTTGCAAATGAGTGTTCAAAGTAGCTTCAGTTGTAATAGCCAAATAATAACTCAATTCTACTTTAACTTGTGAATAGATAAACTGTGGTATAGTCATTCAATAGAATATTACTCAACAATATAAAGGAATAAACTATCAATACAAGCAGCAATATGGAAGAATCTCAAAATAATTATACTGAGTGAAAGAAGCCAGAGAACAAAGACCACATGCTTTATGATTCCTTTTACACAAAACTCTAAAAAATGCAAGCCAATCTACAGTGATAGAAAGCAGATCGGTTGTTGCCTGGGGATATTATCTTGAATGTGGTGATGGTTTCACAGGTATATACATATATCAAATTGCACACTTGAAATATGTGTAGTTTCATTGTATGTCAATTAATCCTCAATAGAGTTGTTTTTTCTAAAATAATTAAAAAATATTGACATTGAACATTTGGATGGAGGGGAGAAAAAGCCTGTTGGTATGGGCACTCAACAAAGAAAACAAATATCCAGTTTATTGAAAGGGAAGTAAATTTCAAAATATTTGCAACTATAGAAAGAGGAAAAATGTATATTCTATGCATAATATTGATTGCTACTAATGTTATTTGTGTCAAATATCAGAAATACTTTCCTTATTAAGAAAAAGAATCCTCTGAAATTTGCATTCCTTATAAATCTAACATGATGAACCCTACATGGAAAAGCATGACCTGAATACCTATTACACAATCTAGATTTACAAATGTGTCACAGTTTGCTCCTAAACTATCTGGAGCTCTGTCTTTATTGCATAGTTAGTTAGGAAGCGAAGATTTGAAGGTCTCCTAAGGGACTAGCCAAATCTTTGAAATTGGGCCAGATCAAACTCTTGGGCAGGGCCCTGTCTCCTACTGGTGCTAAGTGATTTCCATACAATATCCATTCAAAGTAATCATTCTTATCCTCATTTTGCAGATAAGAAAACTGAGGCTTAGGAATAGTAATTTCCTCTGGCTCACCCAGTTGCATCAGAGGCCATCATAAAGCACTCTATTACATAGGCTAGATTATAAAGTCAAGGATATTTGCAGAGAGTAAGAATTAATGTTTGCTGAGGACCAGGCCCTTTTGCAGGCCCTCTACACATGTTATTTTATTTAATGATAACAACTTGGCCGGGCGTGGTGGCTCACGCCTGTAATCCCAGGACTTTGGGAGGCCGAGGCGGGCAGATCACTTGAGGTCAGGAGTTTGAGACCAGCCTGGCCAACACGGTGAAACCCTGTCTCTACTAAAAATACAAAAAAAAAAAAAAAAAATATATATATATATATATATATATATATATATATAGCTGGGTGTGGTGGCATGCACCTGTAATCCCAGCTACTGGGGAGGCTGAGGTGGGAGAACTGCGTGAACCTGGGAGGCGGAGGTTGCAGTGAGCCAAGATCAAGCCACTGCACTCCAGCCTGGCCGACAGAGCAAGACTCCATCTCAAAACAAACAAACAAACAAAAAACAAACTCTCAGGGTAGATTTTATCATTCCTGATTTACAGATAGGGAAACCAAACCAGAAATGGGTCAGTACTGGTGAGTCACTGAGGACCTGGGGGTGGATTGCAAATATGATAACACCATAAAGTCGAGACAGACAGATGAGTTTCAGAGAGACAGATGAGGACGAGAGAGATGGCAGAGGTGCACAACCTACATCTTGTAGCCCAGAGATGATTTTACCAGAAGTAATAGTTTGGCTGTAGCTACATTTTACTTCCATTCAAGACCCTTGAAGCCATCCTCCATTTCTTAAGAGAATAGTGGCAATCCTGAGAATGCTCTACTAGACTCATGGAGATAAATCTGTGATTGGGTCTGGACCAACCTTCATTTCCTTCTCTGAGTGTTCGTTTGTTTTTGTTTTTGTTTCTGGTTTTTTATTTGTTTTGTTTTGTTTTTGCCACAAAACTATATTAAACCCCAAAACAGAAGTACCTCTGTTTAATATTCACCCTATCCATGTTATCCCATGGTAAATTATTTGGATTCAGAAATTGCATCATCTTGGCTTTATCTAATGTTTACTCAAATATGAGAAAAGATATAAAATCTTTAAAGAACATTTTACTTCAGCACCTCTTAATTTGGACGATAAAACGCTTTATATCCAAAATGATAAAGTGTTTGTTTAGCAATGGAAACGTAAAATATATTAAAGGTCATTGCCTGTATAGAGTTCTCGTCACCTGAGAAGGCTCATAAAGCCAAAAATAAAGTTGAGTCCAGTTTTGTTGACCATAAAAAATTCATACATATATAGAAGAAATTCAAATAACTACCTTATAAAGCTGCAAACAATAAGATCAATGTTTTGAGTGTCTACTAAATGCCAGGAAGTTATATTCGTGCTCTTTTTTTTTTTTTTTTTGAGATGGTATCTCATTCTTTTGCTCCAGTTGGAGTGCAGTGGTGGGATCATAACTCACTGCAGCCTCAAATTCCTAGGCTCAAGCAATCCTTGAGGCAATCCTCCTGCCTCAGCTCCTAAGTAGCTGGGACTACAGGCACACACTACCATGCCTGGCTAATTTTTAAATTTTTTTGTGAATATGGGGGTCTCACTTTGTTGTCCAGGCTCATGCTCTTGATTATATGTCAGTATCTTCATTTTCAGAGAAGGGCATGAGATTCAGAAGGGTTGTGTAACATTTTCAAGTTCATACAACTAATATATATCGGAATAAGGATTCACACCCAGCTTTGTTTGGCTTCAGTCCCCATATCACACTGCCACCCTGGTATTAGAGAAAAGGACCACTTCTGCTCTAATTTCCTTTTCCTTAGTATACGTGTTTCAGATTATCTTAATTGAATTAGTGTGGGCTGAAATTGTAGGAAATTCTCTGGTTAGAAAAGAGCATCAAATATTGTCTAAACCTAAATTAGCAGCTACTTGTATACTTATGCTTTCAGCCTCCTTTTCTCCTCATATGCAAATTAGGTCTAATGGTGGATATTGCAGAAATATGGACCTTGAAATTGGTTCTCATCTATTCGGAAAGCTATATGATGGGCTGGGCCACCCATACCAAGATAAGTATCATACTTTGATGTATCCCTGAGGGAGAAGCTGGTCAACTGTCCTGTATGGGATTCAGGAAGGGCTGCATCCAGGGTTTCAGAGATGCTTTTTTCCTTCAAATCAGTGTCAAAGGCCTGTTCCAAGACCCTGGTGGTGTGGCAGAGGTTTTGCCATCTGTTCACAGGCTTAGCTCAATATTTATTAAATTCTTTATATGGATTATTTCATGTCATCCTCGTTGAAACTTGATGAGATAGGCAATGTTTCAGGCGAGCAATGGGTCAGAGAGAGGCAGAGTGATTTGCCTAAGGTCACATAGCAAGTAGTGACAGAACCAGGCTTCAAACCAGGTCAGTATGACTTCAAAATCTACCCACAATAATGAGGTGGGAGTATTTATTCCCTGGCTTCTTCCCTGCAGGGTCATCTCAGGCTGGCTGCGTTCCTCAAAAGAAAGTCACAATGTATGTCAGATGCCCCTCTATGGGTTATTATAACTACTCCCTCCTCTTATCCTTTCAGCTCCAGGAGTAGTAACAGCCACACCATTAGTGCACTATCCCATGAGATTCCCAAACCTCTGTAAATTGTTCCTTTAGTAAACCTTCCTGAAATCATCCTAATTTGAGTGTGTCATCTCTTTCCTCCTGGGACCCTAACTGATACACACATTATTCAATGATGGAGGTGGGATTGAAGTCCAGACCTAGTCTGGCTCCAACGCCCATGCTCTCACTTACCACTACCCTATTCTTGTATTCTGACATCTTAGCCTAAGCATATCCCAAGAAAACACCATACCTTGTGCTCACTCATTTCAATTCAATGAACATTAACAGAGGATCTACTATGTGTTAGGAATTGCCTGAAATCACAGACAAGTTGCTGAACATTTATGAGCTTCCTTTTTCTATTTCTGTGAATAATGAATGGTATTCTCTACCTGAATTGTAAGGTTGTTCTTAGGATAATATAATATTCTCTATAAAACATGCCAAGAAAAGTACATTACTCATTTTTGCCTCAGAACCTTCTACTACTGCTCAAAGCAATCTACAGATGCAATGCAATCCCTATGACGAAATTAATGTCATTTTTCACAGAAATAGAAAAAACAATCCTAAATTCATATAGAACCAAAAAAGACCCTAAACAGCCAAAGCAATCCTGAGCAAAAAGAACAAAGCTGGAAACATCATATTACCTGACTTCAAAATATAGTGCAAGGCTATAATAATCCAAACAGCACTGTAGTAGTATAAAAACAGACACATAGACCAATGAAACAGAATAGAGTACCCAGAAATAAATCCAAGTATTTATAGACAACTGATTTTCAACAAAGGGACCAGGAACAAACATTGCAGAAAGGACACTCTTTTCAGTAAGTGGTGCCAGGAAAACTGGACCCTTATCTCTTACCATACACAAAAATCAACTCAAGATGGATTAAAGACTTAAATATAAGACCTGAAACTATGAAATTACTAGAAGAAAACGTAGGGGAAATATTTCAGGACATTGGTCTAGGCAAAGATTTTATGGCTAAGACCTCAAAAGCACAGGCAAAAGCAAAAATAGGCAAATGGGACTATATTAAACTAAAAACCTTCTACACAGCAAAGGAAACAGTCAACAGAGTAAAGAGACAATCTGTTGAATGGGAGAAAATATTTTCAAACTATTTATCTGACAAGAGACCTAATATCCAGAGTATACAAGGAACTCAAACAATTCAACACTAAAAAAATAATAATGTCACTAAAAAGTGGGCAAATGACATGAATACACATTTCTCAGAAGAAGACATACAAATGGCCAACAGGTATATGAAAAAAGGCTCAACATCGCTAATCATCAGGGAAATACAAATCAAAGCTACAATTAGATATCATCTTACCCCAGTTAGAATGTCTATCAAAAAGACAAAAAATAATAGATGCTAACAAGGATGCAGAGAAAAGGGAACTCATACACTGTTGAGGAAAACATACATTAGTACAACCACTACAGAAAACAGCATGAAGTCTGAGCATGGTGGCTCAGGCCTGTAATCCCAGCACTTTGGGAGGCCAAAGCGGGCAGATCACCTGAGGTCAGGAGTTTGACACCAGCCTGTCTAACATGGGGAAACCCTGTCTCTACTAAAAATACAAAAAAAAAATTAGCTAGGCATGGTGGCCCATGCCTGTAATCTCAGCTACTCGGGAGACTGAGGCATGAGAATTGCTTGAACCCAGGAGGCGGAGGTTGCAGTGAGCCGAGATAGCACCACTGCACTCCAGCTTAGGTGAGAGAGCGAGACTCCGTCAAAAACAAAAACAAAAACAAAAACAAAAAACAATGCAGCATGGAGATTTCTCAAAAAACTAAAAATAGAACTAGCATATGATCCAGCAATCCCACTACTGGCTATTTATCCAAAGAAAGGAAATCAGTATATCAAAGGGATACCTGCACTCCCATGTTTATTGCGGCACTATTCACAATAGCAAAAATATGCTATCAACCTAAGTACATGTCAATGGATGATTAAAGAAAATGTTGCACATATACACAATTGCATACTATTCAGTCATAAAAATAATGAAATCATGTCATTTGCAGCAACATGGATGGAACTGGAGATCCTTATGTTAAGTGAAATAAGCCAAGCACAGAAAGACAAATATTGTATGTTCTCACTCATATTGTGGGAGTAAAAAAGTTGATCTCATGGAGATAGAGAGCAGAATGATAGATATCAGAGCCTGGGAAGGGTGTGGGGGCAGGGGTGGGAGATCAAGAGAGGTTGGTTAATGGATACAAACATACAGTTAGATAGAAGAAGTAAGTTCTATGTTCAGTAGCAGAGTAGGGTGACTACAGTTAACAATGCATTGTATATTTCAAAATATACATAATATAGGGAGGTTTTGAAATGTTCCCAGCACATAGAAATGATGAATACTTGAGATAGTAGATGCCCTAAATACCCTGACTTGATCATTTATACATTCTATGCATGTAACAAAATATCACATGTGCCCCATAAATATGTACAAATATTATCTATCAGAACAAATATATATAAATAATTTGGGAATGATTGTGAGATAAAATAATAAAACTATAAAAAACAAACACAAAATTTACTTATACTGTAACTCACCAGAAAAATAATAATAATCTTCTACATGCCTAGTTAATAGTGGGACTCTGGGCTGGGCGCAGTGGCTCACGCCTGTAATCCCAGCACTTTGGGAGGCCAAGACGGGCGGATCACGAGGTCAGGAGATTGAGACCATCATGGCTAACACGGTGAAACCCCGTCTCTACTAAAAAAAAATACAAAGAAATTAGCCGGGCGTGGTGGCAGGCGCCTGTAGTCCCAGCTACTTGGGAGGCTGAGGCAGGAGAATGGCGTGAACCAGGGAGGCGGAGCTTGCAGTGAGCTGAGATCGCGCCACTGCACTCCAGCCTGGGCGACAGGGCAAGACTCCGTCTCAAAAAAAAAAAAAAAAAAAAAAAAAATTGTGGGACTCTGGAGAATGTCATTTGAGTGACTGAATATCTGGATGTTTAGATGGGTGGCTGGATGGATGGATGGATGGATGGACAGATGGACGGAGCATGGTTGAGTTTTGTACATTTAGACATGCTAGAGATGTGTAATATATTAACTGCCTCTTCACCTGAGCTTTAAGCACTCAAAGGGCAAATGGTTTCCCATCTCTATTTGGGGCCCTTCTCCTTCCACTTTAAGGCTGAGAAGGCTGAGAAACAGGATAAAGTTCAAATCTCTAAACTCACCCAAGGGTCACCCTCCTAAAAATGACTGTACTGTCCAGGTGCAGTGGCTCATTACTGTAACGTGAGCACTTTGGGAGGCTGAGGTGGGAGGATTGCTTAACGCCAAGAGTTCAAGACCAACCTAGGCAACATAGTGAGACCCTATCTCTACAAAAGAAAAAAAAAAAAAAAAAAAACAAAAATTAGGCAGGCATAGTGGCACATGCCTGTAATTCCAGCTACTCAGGAGGCTAAGGTAGGAGGATCATTTGAGCCCATGAGGTCAAGGCTACAGTGAGCCACTGCACTCTAGCCTGGGCAACAGGTGAGACCCCATTTCAAAAAAAAAATAATGAATGGACCAAGTCTATACTTTTGCAAAGAACTTTACATTGATTTTAAGGCTATTAATAGAAATGTTTTCCAATACTTGGAGAAAGACTCAAAAGGCGCTTGAACACTCAATAACTTCCAAAGAAGCATTTTAATGAATTACAGTAAGTGCAAATTGATCAGAAACATATGGATTTAATTTATCCTTAAGGACATACATTTCAACATTCAAGGGGAGAATTTGTCTTCTGAAATATATTCTGGACCTTGTCCAGTATAAAACATTTAAAACAAATTTTCAAATTGTAGATGAATCCAGATCTCTGGTATGCTCACTCAGTCTTCATCGAGAGATACAGATGGAAGATTATTTTTATCTTCAAAGTGGAATTCTCAGAAGGAGCTAGGAATTGTATGGCCAGCACTCAAGCCCCAGCCTAACCATTTATTGTGTGACCTTGGCAAAGCTGTTTACCCTTGTGAGAACATTTTCCACGTGTGAAAACCAGATAATGCCTTGCACACTTCACCTGGTTTCTGTGAGGTTTAGATGAGGTAATTTATGTCATAGAATTTGTTGGCTTGGAAAGTGCTATACAAATTAAACTATTATTTGGTGCCATGCACATCACAAAATAAATTACTTGCTATTTTTTGTGTTTCCCTTTTTTTTTTTTTTTGAGACAGAGTCTCGCTCTGTCGCCCAGGCTGGAGTGTAGTGGCGCGATCTTGGCTCACTGCAAGCTCCGCCTCCCGGGTTCACACCATTCTCCTGCCTCAGCCTCCCAAGTAGCTGGGACTACAGGCGTCCGGCACCACGCCCAGCTAATTTTTTTGTATTTTTAGTAGAGACGGGGTTTCACCGTGTTAGCCAGGATGGTCTCGATCTCCTGACCTTGTGATCTGCCCACCTTGGCCTCCCAAAGTGCTGGGATTACAGGCGTGAGCCACCGCGCCCGGCCCTGTGTTTCCCTTTTATCATCACACATTCAGTTTAGAGTTCAGTTGACTCTTGCCTGTTTGGCTGAACTGTACATGGATGCTTGTTGCTGGTTTTTGACAGTAGTTTTCCACAGACTCCCAGAATCTCTGGAAGGAACGCTAACCAATCTTCATCCAATTAACACAAAGAACTTCCCATTTCATCCTTCTAGCATAATTGATTAAAATATATTCTACTAATAATTTGCTAATCAGCTATGGCCCAGGGCAGGATAAACTGTGCATGTACCTGCCCCAAACTACACCAACCTGTTCAAACGCATTTACACGGTGCAATGTTGATTTATCCTTGCTGTTCCAGTAGCAAAATCCTTTGACCTAAAGTAACCTCAGGTGTGGAAGGCAGCCATTCAAGAATTCTGGAAGCTGTTCTCTCTGGCATTCTTTTTACTTTCTCTCCCGAAACCCAAAGACAAAATTTTTGTTTTGTGGTTATTTTTTCTTACTTGTATCTCTGCCACATCTTGACTCTCATGGAGAGACTTTTTTTTTTTTACTTTTAATTTTAACTTTAGTTATAAAGAAATAATTTTAGATATAGAAAAATGTTGCAAAAATAGTGAAAAGAATTCCCATATGCTCTTCATCCACCTTCCACTAATGTTAACATCTTATATAATAATAATATAATAATCAAAATCAAGAAATTGACATTGGCACAATAATATTAACATTTAACACTCTTATTTTCATTCCACCAGTTTTTCTACTTATGTACATTTTCTGTTCCAGGATCCAAATGAGTGTCCCAAACTTCATTTAGTCATCATGTCTCCTTAGTCTCTTCTGGTCTGTGACATTTCCTCACTATTTCCTTGTCTTTTATGACCTTGACACTTTTGAGAACTACTCATCAGTTACTTTGTCTGACGTCCCCCAATTTGGGTTTCTCTGATGTTGTCTTGTGGTTATTTTGGGAACACGTATTTTTGGCAAGAATACCACAGAAATGATGCTGTGCCCTTCTCATTGCATCATATCAGGGGATACATGACATTGATATGCCTCATTACTGGCTATGTTAACCTTGATCACTTGACTAAGAGGATGTCTGCTCAGTTTCTCTACTATAAAATTCTATTTTTCTCTTTGTAGTTAATAAATATCTTGGGATAAATACTTTAGGCAATGAAAATATTCTATTTCTCCTCAAACTGTCAAGGACCAGTTTTAGCATCCGCTGGTGGATATCCTGCCTGCAGCAACTACTACTGTCACATTCTAAAGATGACTTTGTATTTCCCTCACTCCTCCAATAATAGTTGCAGACATCAATATTCCACTTTCAATAATAGATAGAATAACTAGGCAGAAGAACAAGTAAATGGAAGTTTAACAACACTAAAAACCAACTAGACCTAATGAATGTGTATAGAACACTCCACTCAACAACAGTAGAGTACATAAAAGATTCTTCAGAATAAACCATGTACTAAGACACATAAGCCTAAATAAATGTAAAAGGATTCAAATTATGCAAAGTATCTTCTCTGATCACAATGGAATGGAATTAGAATTCAATAACAAAAAGAAATTTGAACATTCACAAATATGTAAAAATTAAACAAAACACTCCTAAATAACAAATGAGTCAAAAAAGAAATCACAAGGGAAAAGAGAAAATACAAATGAAAGTGAAGATACAGGTATACCTAATTTTATTGCATTTTGCTTTATTGCACTTTACAGATAATGCATTTTTTACAAATTGAAGGTCTGTGGTAACCCTCTATTGAGTAAGTCTATCAGTGCCATTTTCCCAACAAAACATAGTCACTTCACGTCTCTGTGTAACATTTTGGTAATTCTGGCACTATTTCAAATGTTATCATTATATGTATATATAGATAGATAGATAGATAGATATAACAGATATAATAATATATAATCAGTGATCTTTGATGTTACTCTTGTAATTGTTTTGAGATGTCACAAGCCACAGGCAATATAAAGCAGTGAACTTAATTGGTAAGTGTTGTGTATGTTCTGACTGCTCCGCTGACCAGCCATTTCCCCATCAATCTCTCTCTCCTCTGGCCTCCATATTTCTTGAGACACAACGATATTGAAATCAGACCAATTAATTACCCTACAATGACCTCTAAGTGTTCAAATGAAAGAGTCCCATGCCTCTCACTTTAAATTAAAAGCTAGTAATGATTAAACTTAGTGAAGAAGCCATGCCAAAAGCCAAGATAGCCTGAAAACTAGGCCTCTTTTACCGAACAGTTAAGTCGTGAGTGCAAAGGAAACGTTCTTGAAGAAAACTGAAAGTGCTACTCCAGTCAACACACAAATGATAAGAAACCAAAACAGCCTTATTGCTGATATGGAGAAAGTATGAGTGGTCTCTATAGTGTATCAAACCAGCTACAACATTCCCCAAGCCATAGCCTCATCCAGAGCAAGGCTCTGAGAGTTGATCAGCAAGTGCTGATGGAAGAGCTGCAGCAAGTTATCCGGAAGATCTAGCAAACATCATTGATGGCTACTCTAAACCACAGATTTTCAATGCGTATGAAACAGATACATACTGGAAGATGTCGTCTAGAACGTTCACAGCTAAATAGGAAAAGTCAATGCCTGGCTGCAAAGCTTCAAAGGGCTGGCTCTCTCTTGTTAGGGGCTGATGCAGCTGGTGATTTCAAGTAAAGCCAATGCTGATTTACCATTCAAAAAATCCTAGAACCCTTAAAAATCATGCTAAATCTATCTGTGCTCTATAAATGGAACAGAAAAGCCGGGATGACAGCATATCTGTTTACATCATGGTTTACTGAATATCTTAAGCCCACCGTTGAGACCAACTACTCAGACAAAAAGATTCCTTTCAAAGTATTACTGCTCATTGACAATGCACTTGGTCACCCAAGAGCTCTGATGAAGATGTACAAGGAGATTAATGCTGTTTTCATGCCTGCTAACAAAATATCCATTCTGCAGCCCATGCAGCAAGGAGTAATTTCGACTTTCAAGTCTTATTTAAAACTACATTTTGTAAGACCTACAGGAGCTAAATCTAAAATCTAAAATCATGCAGCTAGTTAACTATGCAGAACTTGAGTTAATGACCAGGTGTCTCCATCCAGTTTTCTTTTTACTTTACTTCAATACTGCCCAAGTTATTTTCTCTTTTCCTCCTTTTAAAAAAAGACACCTTAGCAAGGTTTTTCTAAACTTGTTTTGTATATAATTATGAAAGCAAGTAGTTATGGCAGGGATGCATTCTGACATGAATATTAATTTAAATTATTGGGTAGCCTCCAAAAGGAAATAAAGAAGATTCTCAAAAAAAAAACAAAAACAAACAAACAAACAAAAACTACATTTTGGTCGGGCACGGTGGCTCACGCCTGTAATCTCAGTACTTTGGGAGGCCGAGTCGGGCAGATCACAGGGTCAGGAGTTCGAGACCATCCTGGCCAACACGGTGAAACCCCGTCACTACTAAAACTACAAAAATTATCTGGGCGTGGTGGCAAGTGCCTGTAGTCCCAGCTACTTGGGAGGCTGGGGCAGAAGAATTGCTTGAACCCGGGAGGCAGAGGTTGCAGTGAGCTGAGATCATGCCACTCTACTTCAGCCTGGTGACAGAGCAAGACTCCATCTCAAGAAAAAACAAACAAACAAACAAAAAACTACATTTCACAAGGCTGTAGCTGCCATAGATTCCTCTGATGGATCTAGGCAAAATATATTAAAAACCTTCAGGAAAAGATTCACCATTCTAGATGCCATTAAGAACATTCATGATTCATGGGAGGAGATTAAAATATCCACATTAACAGGAGTTTGAAAGAAGTTGATTATTATTATTATCCACCCTTATGGTTGACTTTGAGGAGTTCAAGACTTCAGTGGAGAAAGTCACTGCAGATGTGATAGAAATAGCAAGAGAACCAAAATTAGAAGTGCAACCTGAAGATGTGACTGAATTGCTGCCATCTCATGATAAAACTTAAATGGATCAGGAGTTGCTTCTTATGGATTAGCAAAGAAGGTAGTTTCTTGAGATGGAATCTACTCCTGGCGATCATGCTGTGAACATTGTTGAAATGACAACAAAGGATTTAGAATATTACATAAACTTAGTTGACAAAGCAGCAGCAGGGTTGGAGAGAATTGATTCCAACTTTGAAAGAAGTTCTACTGTGGGTGAAGTGCTATCAAACAGCATCTCATACTACAGAGAAATCTTTCGTGAAAGGAAGCATCAATCAACGTGGCAAACTTTATTGTTCTCTTAAGAAATTGCTACAGCTAGGCTGGGTGTGGTGGCTCACGCCTGTAATCCCAGCACTTTGGGAGGCCTTGGCGGGCACATCACCTGAGATGGGGAGTTCGAGACCAGCCTGGCAAACGTGGTGAAATCCTGTCTCTATTAAAAATACAAAAATTAACTGGGTATGGTGGCACGTATCTATAGTCTCAGCTACTCAGGAGGCTGATGCAGGAGAATGGCTTGAACCTGGGAGGCAGAGGTTGCAGTGAGTCAAGATCACGCCACTGCACTCCAGCCTCGGCAACTGAGAAAGACTCCGTCTCAAAAAAAAAAAAAAAAAAAAGAAGGAAATTGCCACAGCTGCCTCAGCCTTCAGCAACCACCACCCTGATCAGTCAGCAGCCATCAATATGAGGGAAAGACCCTCCATCAGCAAAAAGATTATGACTCACCGAAGGCTCAGATAATTGTTGGCATTTCTTAGCAATAATGTACTTTGAAATTAAGGTATATATATTGTTTTTTAGACATAATGCCATTGCATACTTACTAGACTCTGTATAGTGTAAACACAACTTTTATATGCACTGGGAAATCAAAATTGTGTGACTCATTTTATTGTGATAGACACTTTATTGTGGTGGTCTGGAACCAAACCCACAATATCTCAAAGGTATGCCTGTATACCAAAGCAAAACTTGTGGGATGCAACTAAAGCAGCACTAGAGGGAAATTTATAGCCCTAAACATCCTCATTAAAAAGGGGAAAGACCCGGCTGGGCACAGTGGCTCATGCCTGTAAGTAATCCCAGCACTTTGGGAGGCCAAGGCAGCCAGATCACTTGAGGTCAAGAGTTTGAGACCAGCCTGGCCAACATAGTGAAATCCGTCTCTACTAAAAATACAAAAATTAGTTAGGTGTGTTGGCACACTCTGGTAATCCCAGCTACTAGGGAGGCTGAGGCAGGAGAATTGCTTGAACCCAAGTGGTGGAGGTTGCAGTGAGCCGAGATCACACCACTGCACTCCAGCATGGGTGACAGAGAAAGACTCTGTCTCAAAAAAAAAAAAAAAAAGGAAAAACCCCAAATCAATAACATAATTTTTATTTTCAGACCTAGAAAAATGAAAGAGCAAATTAACCCCAAAGCAAAAACAAGAAAGTAAATGATTGCTGAAATTAATAAAAGAGAGAATAGAAAAGCAATAGAGAAAAACAACAAAATCCAAAGTGGGATTTTTGGGAATATTGGCAAAATTGGGAGACCTTCAGCATAGAATGACAAAAAAAAAAGAAAATAAAAAAAAGAAAAAAAACTAAAGTCAAGATTGAAACAGATCAAATTACTACCAACCTTAGAGAAATATAAACATAAATATGCACAACTGTCTGCCAACAAATTAGATAACGTAGATGAAATGGACAAATTGCTTGAAGGACACTATCTACAGTGACCCAAAAAGGAACAGAAAATCCGAATAACAAGTTAACAGATTGAATTAAAAATAAATGAAAAAAAATACTCACAAAGAAAAGCCTAGACCCAGATGTCTTCAGTGGTGAACTCTATCAAACATTTAAAGAAGAATTAATATGAATTCTTTCACAAACTATTTTTTATTTATTTATTTATTTATTTATTTATTTATTATTATTTTTTAGACAGAGTTTCCCTCGTTGTCCAGGCTGGAGTGCAATGGCACGATCTCGGCTTACCGCAACCTCCGCCTCCCGGGTTCAAGTGATTCTCCTTCCTCAGCCTCCCGAGTAGCTGGGATTACAGGCATACGCTACCATGCCTGGCTAATTTTGTATTTTTAGTAGAGACTGGGTTTCTCCATGTTGGTCAGGCTGGTCTCGAACTCCTGACCTCAGGTGATCTGCCCGCCTCGGCCTCCCAAAGTGCTGGGATTACAGTCATGAGCCACCACACCCGGCCCACAAACTCTTTTAAAAGATTGAAGAGGAGGGGACACTTTCCAACTCATTCTATAAAGCCAGAATTACCCTAACACTTAAGCCAGTTAAAAATATCACAAAAAAGGAAAACCACAGACCAATATCTTTTATGCATATGGACACAAAAATCTTTAACTAATACTAGCAAATAAAATCCAGCAACATATTAAAAACACTATACACCATGACCAAGTAGGATTTATTCCAGAAATTCAAAATTAGTTTAACATATGATAATTAATTAATGTAATAAAACATATCAATAGAAAAAAAGAACAAAAAACACATTATTATTTCATCAGATATTTAAAAAGCATTTGACAAACTAACAAGTTTTGATGATAAAAACAACACTCAACAAATTAGGAATAAAAGAAAACTTTCTCAAAGTGATAAAAGGCATCTGTGAAAAACCCACAACTAACAACATACTTGACAGTGAAAGATTGAATGCTTTCCCCTAAGATCAAAAAAAAAAAAAAATAGAACTCCAAAAGCACAAGCAACTAAAGAAAAAAAAATGGTAAATTAGACTTCATGAAAATTTAAAACTCTTATGCTGCAAAGGATACCATGAAGAAAGTGGGCCGGGCATGGTGGCTCACGCCTATAATCCCAGCACTTTGGGAGGCTGAGGTGGGGGGATCACAAGGTCAGGAGTTTGAGACCATCCTGGCCAACATGGTGAAACCCCATCTCTACTAAAAATACAAAAATTAGCTGAGCGTGGTGGCGGATGCCTGTAATCCCAGCTACTCGGGAGGCTGAGGTAGGAGAATTGCTTGAACCCAGGAAGCGGAGGTTGCAGTGAGTGGAGATCACGCCACTGCACTCCAGCCTAGGTAACAGAGTGAGACTCCGTCTCAAAAAAAAAAAAAAAAAAAAAAAAGAAAATATAATGGAAAAAATGGGAGAAAATATTAGCAAATCATATATTTGATAAGGACATATATCTAGAATTTGTATGAAGAATTCTTACAACTCAATAATAAAAATTTACCTTAATTGGCTGCATTTCAAGTGCCTTTCATCTCTTTGTATTGATGTAAGTTTTTATCTGGTATCACATTCCTTCTGCCCAAAGAACTTTAACTTTTCTTGTAGTATAATTCTAATTTTGTGTTTGTCTGACAAAGTGTGCATTTTTCCTTCATTTTTGAAAGGTGTTTTTGCTGGCTTTAGAAATTCTGTGTTGAAAGACTTTGCTTTTCTTGCAATACCTTAAAATTTTCATTTTTTTTCTGTTTTACATGGTTTCTGATGAGACGTCTGCTGTACTTCCTATCTTTCTTCCTCTGTATGCAATGTGTCTTTTTTGCCTCGAGATTTTCTCTTCGTATTTTGTTTTCAGGAGTTTTATTATTTTATGCCTGGGTAGGTGTTTGGGGTTTTTTTCTCTTTGTTTTTTATTTTTGATATGTGTCTTTCTTGGCATTCTCAGCTTCTTGTATCTGTAGTACATGTTATTAACTCTTGAAAATTCTCAGCCATTTCTTCTTCGAATACTTCTGCCTCATTCTCTGTCAAGTTTCCCTCTGATAGTTCAATTATGTGTATGTTACACTATATGATGTTATTCCACAGCTCTGGAATGCTCTGTTATGCCTTCCTTTTCTTTTTTTCACTTTGTGCTTCAATTGTGATCATTTCTATTGACTTATCTTCAAGTTCACTGCTTCTTCCCTTGGCTATGTCGAGTCTGCTAATGAGCCAGACACATTCTTCATCTCTGTTGCTGTGCTTTTCATTTAGTTCTTTCTTATAGTTTTGATCTCTCTGTGGAATTTACTCACTTGATTATGCATGTCATCCACCTTTTCCATTGGGGCCTTTAGCATATTACTAATGGCTATTTGAATTTCATGCCAGACAGTTCCAACATCTGTGTTATCTCTAAATCTTATTCTGCTGATTCCTTTTGTGTCCAGAATTGGTAGGTCCTTGGTCTCGCTGACTTCAAGAATGAAGCCATGGACCCTCTTGGAGAGTGTTACAGTTCTTAAAGATGGTGTGTCCGGAGTTTGCTCCTTCTGATGTTCGGATGTGTCCGGAGTTTCTTCCTTCTGGTGGGTTTGTGGTCTCGCTGACGTCAGGAGTGAAGCTGCAGACATTTGCGGTGAGTGTTATAGCTCTTAAAGGTGATGCGTCCGGAGTTGTTCATTCCTCCTGGTGGGTTCATGGTTTCTGTGGCTTCAGGAGTGAAGCTGCAGACCTTCACGGTGAGCGTTACAGCTCATAAAGGGAGCGCAGACCCAAACAGTGAGCAGTAGCAAGATTTATTGTGAAGAGCCAAAGAACAAAGCTTCCACAGTACAGAATGGGACCCAGAGCAGGTTGCTGCTGCTGGCTCTGGTGGCCTGCTTTTATTCCCTTATTTGGCCCCACCCACATCCTGCTGATTGGCCCATTTTACAGAGAGCTGATTTGTCCATTTTACAGAGTGCTGATTGGTCCGTTTTGACAGAGTGCTGATTGGTGCGTTTACAAACATTTAGCTAGACACAGAGCGCTGATTGGTGCATTTACGATCCTTTAGCTAGACAGAAAAGTTCTCCAAGTCCCCACCCGACCCAGAAGCTCAGCCAGCTTCACATCTCACTTTGTCTTCTTTTTTCTTTTCTTTTATATACCTCATAATGTTTAGTTCACATTCAGACATCTTGTGTAGGAGAGTAGAGGCCAAAGTAAATAGTTTTTATGCCTGGAAATGGGCATGCCTTTCTTCTTGCTAAGCCGTGCTAAGTGTGGCGTTTTGAGTTAACCTAGTCAGGAGTTGAGCTGGGTTTGAACTCTTTTGGCTGCTTTAGTTACCTTCAGTACACCACAGGCTTCAAATTCCTTTAGCAATATTTTGTATTTAGGCTGGATCTGGTGTGCTAGAGGGGATTTTTTCACTGTCACATCAGCTTTACGTTTTCCTTTTAAACTCTGTCTGCCTCCACAGCCTTGCAACTCTTCTGGCAGTATTCCACCATTACTTGTTACTTGTTGGATTGTTGTGAGAGAGCGTGGGGGTGGGTTGTCTATTGTTCTAATTAAACCTCAGTTTTAAGCAGGCAGTTGTGTCCTGGGATCTTTGATGTGTGGCCTTCTTGGTGCTCCAGTCCCTCCCCTATATATATCTTAAGGCCTTGTACCCATTGCTTCCCTTCCTTCAGGAATAAAGGGTTAATTTTTTCTCTGCCTGTTATGGTTTGGCTGTGTCCCCGCCCAAATGTCATCTTGAATTGTGGTTGCCATAATCCCCACGTGTCGTGGGAGGGACCCGGTGGGAGGTGATTTAATCATGGGGGTGGTTACCCTCATGCTGTTCTTGTGATAGTGAGTGAGTTCTCACGAAATCTGATGGTTTTATAAGAGTCTTTTCCCCTTTTTGATCGGCACTTCTCCTTGCTGCCGCCATGTGAAGAAGTGTGTGTTTGCTTCCCCTTCTGCCATGATTGTAAGTTTCCTGAGGTCTTCCTAACCATGCTGAACTGTGAGTCAATTAAACCTCTTTCCTTCATAAATTACCCAGTCTCGGGTATGTCTTTGTTAGCGGCATGAGAGCAGACTAATACACTGCCCTTCCCCGACTTGCAACAGATTTGCAACAATGTTCCATGGACAACAGTGTTTGTTGCCCTTCCCAGTATGTATTAAAGCTTCTGTTCCATAGAGGATACAGAAGAGAAAAGTCTAGGCAGTGTTTCCTGCCCTTTCCACAATAGCTGCTCTTCCTCTGTCCCAGGCCTTCACTATAAAAGATGCTTTCTCAGAACTCTCAGCAAGTGGGGTCCATGAAGAAAAGCTTCCCTTATATCTGCACCTCCCAGGGGCTCCACACTCCATCACCAGTCAACACTTAGCCTCCATTGATTTTAAGTGAATTTTTTATACCAGTGTCTAACCCCTTCTGCCCCAGGTAAACAAGTGCTCACAGCCAGTCTTTCCCTCCAGGTGCCTGTCTCTCCTTTGATTTCAGGCTACTTGGTTATCCTGCTACCTCAGCTCTCTCAAGAAAATTTCTGCATATGCAGTTTGTCTGCTTTTTAAATCGTAAGGGTGGGAATGACTCTTTTCAGCTTTCTGCATCCCTTTATGGAAATCAGAAATCCCCCAGGAAGGTGTTCAAGGCAATTTTTACTATCTTCATGGCAAAGAGTCTATTCTACCAAAGGCCATAGAGTTGCAGCTCTGAGTAAATGGCACTGTGCTGTGACATACAAATGACTGTTCAGATAAGCCCAGTATAAAACAAAAGACAGGGGAAGACGATATTGAACATTTATATTCTTGGAAATGCTTTATAGCATTTTCTCATCTACCCCTTAAGCCTGCAAAAACTTCCCTGTGTCCCTGGGCCCTTCCATGACCAACTGCTCAATAATAAGAAGGTCAGAATTTGATTGAATTATAAATTCACATTGTGTCTGTGCATATTATTAGTCCATTGAATTCTAAGGAGTTCAGTCTGTTTCTTCTTTTAATCCTAAGGCAAGTAGAGAAGCAGCCCTTAAATAATTAATAGTAATAAGTAAACAAGAGCGGCTTGGGTGTCTTTCATCACCGTGCCTTCAAACAGTTGCAGTAATGGATCCAGCCTACACTCACTTAATCCATTCAGCAGTCAGGGCCAGACCCTCACTTTGCTTACAAGTTATTCCTTCAAAACACATGTGACCTCATGGTGGCTCCCAAACCTGGCTACACATTAGAATTACTTAGCAAGCACACACCAGAGATTCCGATATAGTGCATCAAGGACAAGGCCTGGGAATCTGTGTATTTAACAAGTTCTCCAGATGATTCTAACATAGCTGTTTTGTCTTTAGAACCAAGAAACTTAGGGATGCAGCCTGGATCCTTGGTTCTTGATTTCATAGTTGGTGTGTAAACCACAGCCAGGTTACCTTTATGGAACATTAATACCAACAGGGATTATTCCTGTTTTCTTAACCACACAGTTTAACCCCCTTATAGCCTTTTGCATCAGTCCACCCATTGCTGAGAGGAGCCCCTGGGCTTTGATCCCAATCCAGCCAACATACTCTATCATGCAAAGCTGAGTTTTTTGGCATTTTGCAAGATCTGGGTATGATAGGCAACCACCAAGATGACTCCCAAAGATCCCTGACTCCTGATATTCACTTTTTTATTACCCTCCCATATTATACCGTGGTTCATCTATGGGACAAATAGCATATGGCAGAAGTGATGGTATTTCCCTTTCAAGATTAGGTTGGGAAAAACTGCAGCTTCTGCCTCAGGTGCCCTCTCCCAGATCACGTTCTCTAGGGGAAGTCATACTGTGAGCTGTCCTATGGAGAGACCCACTTAACCTATGCCAACAGCCATGTGAATGAGTTTGAAAGCGAATTCTCTAGCCTATTTAGGATGACAACAGTCCCAGCAAACAACTTAACTGCAACCTCCTGAGAGACTCTGAGCCAGAACCCTCAGCTATACCTCTCCCAAATTTCAAACCTTAAGAAATTCTGTGAGATAATAAGTGTTCATTGTTTTAACCGTGTACATTTTGGAGTAATTTGTTACGCAGCAATATATAATGAATACACTGGGTCAGATCCACAGCTGTTAATGGGGAGGCAACAACTGAGGACAGAGCTCTCGTAACGCTAGGAAATGTTGCTTTTCCATCAGGCACAAATAGGCTCATTTACTCAGATCATTTCCCCAGTCCATGCTATCCTGTACATCAAGGACAGGGCAGCATAACTATGAACTTTCTCAGCACAATGGAATCAGAAGGAAGACAGGCTCATCACAGCTCAGCAACCATATGATTAAAAGCATCGCTTCCTCATTCCACCCTTTCAAAAGCACCTGAACACCATGATGATTAACACCACAATAGCAGGCAGCCAGTGGGCAAGAGAACAATGAAATTTTGTGCTATAACAGAAAACGGGAGAGTTGTCTATACATAAGTCCTCTAGAAAGGAAACTTCCAGAATGCATGGAAGGGAAGAAATGTTGGCACTTGCAGAAAGCAGGAGAAGCAGGAAGCTTCTGGTGAGCATAAAGCAGCCAGAAAATGATGAGCTCATGTCCTTTGTACGGACATGGATGAAGCTGGAAACCATCATTTTCAGCAAACTATCGCAAGGACAAAAAACCAAACACGGCATGTTCTCACTCATAGGTGGGAATTGAACAATGAGAACACATGGACACAGGAAGGGGAACATCACACACCGGGGCCTGTTGTGGGGTGGGGGGAGGGGGGAGGGATAGCATTAGGAGATATACCTAATGTTAAATGACGAGTTAATGGGTGCAGCACACCAACATGGCACATGTATACATATGTAACAAACCTGCACGTTGTGCACATGTACCCTAAAACTTAAAGTATAATAAAAATAAAAATAGAAAAAGAGATTGACATTAAAGCAACAGGTCCTGTGTGTTAAGGGGACGCCATCGTGCTGCTTTGAGTTGTGGCAACATGACAGAATGGAATATGCTAGATCATTGTGCAGTCTCTGGAGTTTAAAGCAATGATGATGTTTCAACTCAATTCAAGTCAAGAAGTACTAAATATGTGCCTTGAAGCCAGGTACTAACTTCAGAAGCAACATGAGATTAAAAGGTGTGATTCCTATGCTCAAAAAGCTGACATACACACTGCAGAAATGTGGGGCATCTGCATTTAAAACTGACAGGCCGTAATCCAATATAGTTTTTCTGGTTATCCTCTGTTTTCCCACCCTTCCCATTCACATCCCTCTCCACCTTTCCATGCTCTGATCTGCACTGTACAATAGACAATCCCTTGGGCCCCTTAGACTTCTGGCTTCCAGCTGGGATCAGCCAATGTGACATCCTGGAGGTAAATTGGAAGGTGGGAGGAAAGAGAGGTTGGAAAATGTTTTCCCTGTCCCCTCCCTGCTTTGGACCATTTTTCTTGGCAGCTGCTGCATCCTTCTGTGTCTACAACTCCTGCTAAGGGGGTCCCTCTTCCACTTTTCCAGGATTCCAGCTCAGACTGGCTCCAGGAGCACTCTTCTCTCCCTTGTCCCTTCAGACCTTGAGGTAGTAATGGTTTCCTGCTGCTGCTGGTCTCTGGGGACCTCAACATCCCTACTTCGTTGCTTTAACTTACCTGTTCTTTCATGAGTACTCCTTTCATTAAAGTCTTTTAAACCATCTGAGCTTGATTACTTCCTTCCAGGACCCTGGCTAATACGGCAGACCATTCATTCATTCATTCATTCATTCATTCTTCAACTATTTATTGAGGACCTCATATAGACCAGGAACTAGATACCGGTGATTCAGAGGTAAACACAACGTATTCTGCACCTTCCTACAATATGCATTCTAGTAAGGGAAAGAGACAATAAATGAATAAATATATCATATTTCACCCAGTGTTAGATACTAGGAAGAAAATGAAAGCAGGGTAAAAAGATTAAAAACTGATAGAGATATGAGAGGGGCTGTTTTTAGATAGGAAAATCAGGGAGTGCCTCCAAGAATGTGACATTTCATCAGAAAGGTAAATAAAGTCAGAGAACAAGCCATATAGATATTTGGAGGGAAGATTATTTCAGGCAGGAGGAATACCAAGGCCTTAAGGTATATGGAAATACCTTAATGTAGATCAAGTAGAGTGAGCAAGGAGGTGAATTTTGGGTAAATGACGTTTGGGAGATAGGTGGGGGCAAACCATGTGTAGCCCTACAGGCTGTGATAAGTGCTTTGAGTTTTATTCTTACTTTGATGGAAGTCCATTGAAAGATTTGAACAGTGATATCATCTGGTTTATATTGTAGAATGATTACTCTGGCTGCTCTATAGAGAATTGGCCATAGTGGGGCAAGGGTGAATGGAAAACATTCAGTGGTTCAAGCAAGAAAGCAAGAGATGGTCGTGGCTTGAAGAACAACGGAAGTGACAAGAAGTGGTTATATTCAAGGCATACTGTATTTTGAAGGAAGGGCCAGCAAAGTTTGCAATGAACTGGGTATGAGGGTATGGACAAAATAGAGCAAGGATTGGCAAACTACAGCCCACAGGCCAAATCCAGCCCACCACCTATTTTTGAAAATAAAATTTTTATGGTACACAGCCACACTCACTCTTTTACTATTGTCTATGGCTGCTTTCTTGCTACAGTAGCAGAGTTGAATAGTTGTGACGGAGACTGTATGGTCTGCAAAGTATAAAATATTAACCCTCTGGGCCTTGGCAGAAACATTTGCTGACCCCTAAAAAGAAGTAATCAAGAATGGCTCCTATGTTTTTGGCCCAAACAGCTGTGTGAATGACAGCACTTATATTGGATAACAAGACCTGCAGGAAAGGCACCTTGTCAGGGAGAATCAAAGTTTGATTTCTGCACAAGGTACATTTCAGATAACTATTTAACACCCAACCAAAGATGTAGTGTAGGCAGTTATAAGTTGAGTCTGGCATTTAGGGAAGAAGTCAGCGCTGGAAATAGAAATGTGGGAGTCAAGCCAGGCACAGTGGCATGCTTGTAGTTCCAATTACTTGGGAGGCTGAGGTGGGAGAATCACTAGAGCCCGGGAGTTCAAGTCTAGCCTGGGCACATAGCAAGTCCCCATCTCTAAAAAAAAATAAAATAAAAAGGTAGGAGTCATCAGCACATTGGAGAAATATGTAATGACTTAAGAGCAGAGGTCCCAAAATGTTCTTGATTTACAGCACCCTTAGTGTCTCAGTAATTTTTTCACAGAATCCCATGCCGAAAGAAATACCTATCAAATCTGTTTACTAAGCAGTTAAGTCTATGCCACTTAGTAAGTATTTATGTCCTGTTAACCTAGTAGCCATTTTAAAAAGTAATACACATAAATTGAAAGACAAAATAATATTTTTATTTCATTCTTATATAACCACAACTACTTGCTAACTGGATGCATGCCCCTGTTGGGCACTGCACAACTTCTCAAACCTTGGAGTCAGATTAAATACTGCCACCCTCACTTCCAGTTTCACGTTTATTTTTGTGTGGTGTTTTCTTTTCATCACAGCAACCCCTAAAGACCCAGCTTCACAAAGGTATAATCTTATTAAATGAAATATAGAACAAAGATCAAGAACAGTGCTCACACCTGTAATCTGGGCACTTTGGGAAGCTGAGGCAGGAGGATCACTTGAGCTCCAGAGTTCAATACCAGCCTGGGCAACATGGTGAGACCCTGTCTCTAAAAAAATTTAAAAATTAGCCGGGCATGGTGACACACGCCTATAGTCCCAGCTACTCAGGGGGCTGAGGAGGGAAGATCGCTTGAGCCCAGTAGTTCAAGGCTGCAATGAGCTATGATGGCACCACTGCACCCCAGCTTCAGTGATAGAGCAAGACCCTGCCTCAAAAAAAAAAAAAAAAAAAGCAATGTGGCACAATCTAAGGTTGGAACTATGAACTGTGAACTGCCTCAAGCTAGTTGTTTCCAACTTGCAGTTGGAAAAGTTGGGATAGGCTGGTTTTCATGCCTCTTTCTCAGGATCATTAGTGCAATCTCATTTTGGCAGCTGAGAGAATAGTTCTTTCAAGAGGTATCTTTATAAATCTTGACGGTTGTCTGTTAGCTGCGTAATGTCAGCTAAGGCTCAGGGGAGCGGGAGATAGAAAAGGAAAATAAATGAAAAAGAGAAGAGAGAAAAAACAAGGATCCAAAGATCTAAGCAAGGAAAATTGGAATTTACTATAATTCTTTTGTAGTCCCTCCTCTTGGCCAAGATAAATAACTTTCAGCTCCACCAAATCTTTTGGGAGAAAAAAACCTACAAGGATGTACAATATTCAAGAATTGAGTCAAAAAGGCTTCCATACTGAATTGGAGGAGCAGTTTGGTTTTTGGACTTCTGTCCTTAATCATACTTTGGACCATTTATTTGGACAGGACAGTGCTCTTTGCCTTGATTAGACATGATTAGATGTACTTGAGAAGGGATATTCCTATCAGCAGAAAAAAAAAATGATCAGTATGCCTTGGGGAAAAGTGCATACCAAGGATTGCATCCCTGATGGAATACCCAGCAGCGGAAGAGACCATTTCCCAGCCACACAGCGATGATTCATAGGTCCAGAGGTCAGGAACATGTCATTCACTCAATGAACATCTTTGTTGGCTTCACAGATGTGTTACTTCAACAAAAAGACATGAGAAAAGTTTAGGGTGATGTATGTGCAGCAATCATTATTGACAGCTGGAGAAGTGCATCACTTAAATGCCAGGATGATATGGTTGGATTTGTGTCCCCACCCAAATTTCATGTCGAATTGTAATCCCCAATGTTAGAGGAGGAGCCTGGTGGGAGGTGATTGGATCATGGGGGGTGGATTTCCCGCTTGCTGTTCTTATGATAGTGAATTCTCATGAGATCTGGTTGTTTGAAAGTGTGTAGCACCTCCCCTTTCACTCTCTTCCTCCTGCTCCAACCATGCAGGACATGCCTGCTTCCCCCTCACCTTCTGACATGATTGTAAGTTTCCTAAGGGACCTCCCCAGCCATGCTTCCTGTACAGCTAGCAGAACCATGAGCCAATTAAACCTCTTTTCTTTATAAATTACCCATTCTCAGGTAGGTGTTTTTTTGTTTGTTTTTTTTTTTGAGACAGAGTCTCACTCTTGTTGCCCAGGCTGGAGTGCAATGGCATGATCTCGGCTCACTGCAACCTGTGTCTCCTGGGTTCAAGTGATTCTTCTGTCTCAGCCTCCCGAGTAGCTGGGATTACAGGCACCTGCCACCATGCTCAACTAATTTTTGTGTTTTTAGTAGAGACGGGGTTTTGCCATGTTGGCCAGGCTGGTCTGGAACTCCTGAGCTCGTGATCCACCCACCTCGGCCTCTCAAAGTGCTGGGATTACAGGCATAAACCACCACACCCAGCCTCAGGTAGTTCTTTGTAGCAATGTGAGAACAGACTAATACACAGGATGATGCCTAATGCCACTTGCTGGTGGAATGGAGTTCCTGCATTCCTTGAGCAAGTGTTTCAATACATTTGAAACACCTTGTGAAGGCATGGATGACTTCACAAATGACAGCATGGAAAACTCAAGCATTGCATCAAAATCTCCAGTAGACCACAGGGTTGCTCCTTCAGGAAGGACTGCAGCATAAAACCTGACCCGGGTGGTGCGGAATCCATCTGGATTGATTCCACGTATTTTAGCTCCTTCACACAGTTTCTTTTCATCCCTTATTGAGAATGGATATTTTGCAGAGAGCAGTTTCCAAAGAGAGCAGAGGGGTGCCCACACTTAAACATTGATTGCTCTGGTTCAAGAGGAGTTTGACTCCTATCCTAAAGAGATGATAAATTCAGATAGGTGAGATGACATATCCTTGTCCAATTGGCTGGCAAAAACCAGTGATTGGTAGACACACACACACACACACACACACACACACACACACACACATACAAATATTAATCCCATGGGGGCTTCAGGGTAAAAAACAGTCGTACTTTTATCATTTAGCTCTCCTGGGTGAAGCTGGCTCAATGACATTCATCCCCTTAAACTGGGCCTGGTAGGTTTTATTACAATAGCTCAGGTCCATAAATTAAGGATTAGAAACAAATGTTTCCTTTGGAGAAAAATAGGCTCCCTCTTTTCCTCTTTTGGGGGAATATACTACGTAAGGTATGCTAATCTTGGAGCTTTGTTGGAGATCTAGGTTGCGTGGGACCTTGGCTCAAATGACAGTGGAAATGATGGACAGATATATCTTGGGGTAGGGAACAGATATTTGTACTAAAGCAATGGAACTGATGGGAAAAGGAAGAGAAAGTAGCAGAATCAACAATCATAGATGACAATGGCTTCATAAGTATAAGTCTGAGCCAGAAAATACCAAAAATTTTGGATATTGAGGGAGGAAGAGGGGAGAAAAGAAGAAGGGAAAGGAAAAATAGGGAGAAGTAGAAATAGCAGAGTAAGGATGGGAAGCATTACTATGATCGATACTTGGAGGTAATTCTACAGAAATACATTCAGAAATTAAAAGGTGGAGAGTAAGAAACAAGGCTAGTATGAAAAGAGAGATAATAAAATTGATATGGAGTCTTGTTCTGTCATCTTCTTGGGGAAAGCTATCTCCTTTGTGTTGTCATCTGCTTCAGAAGAGTTTCAAGAAAGTCTGTTTTAAGTCTTCTGTTAAGGAAGAAGGTTGAACTGAGAATTATTACTGTGAAGTGTGTTGAATGTGCAGGTACAGAGGCCAGGGAAACATGGTTACACTATGTGCTCTTAAGTCTTGCATAAAGTCATTAGGATTTTTTTCCAGTAGGACAGGAATACTGCAAGGACTGGTACAAGGAATGAGTAAATCTGCAACAGTGGGTTGTAGTTTCTCTGGGTGCTTTGGGCTTTAGGAGATACTGAAACAATTCAGGAAGAGGCATTGTGGGATCTCATAAGGCTTCTATATCCTTTTTCTCACATTTGTAGATGATACAACCCAGAGGATACTGGGGACTGAGGAAAGTAAATAAGAAAATTGAGGCGATTCTAAGGGTAAGACAGTTGGAAACACAAGAGTGCCGAGCAGTCAAGGGAAGCCATCATAAGATGTATTTGGTCATCCTAGTCAAGGAGATCAAGAAAAAGTCCTTCACATGTGTGACCATCTAATAGTGGCACTTTATTTAGCCTGTCTACCTAAAATAACTGAAAGGATCAGAAACCAGTTTTAAAGAGGTTATTCAACGGGAAAGCTGGAAATGGCCATTCAGGAGACAGAGGCTCCGGAGAAATGGGGTCAGTGCTCCAAAGTTAAAAGTTAGGTTCTTGCTTATATATGCAGAACACAAAGAAATTAAACAGGGTTACAAGTTTTCTATACAAGGCTGGTTTAAGAGTTACAACAAATTAGTTAGTTAGTTACAGTCTGTTTTCTTTTTCCTATGGCTTGTTTTCTTTTCTTTACAGCTGGTTTTCATTTCCTTTCCAATTTAAAAGAGCATATTTAACATTCCATCTTAAGACAATGTGATAGCCATTAAATCTTTGTGTGAGAAAGGTAAGAGGGAGGTTAATCTACAACGAAGACCAACAGTACAGAGGGAAGGGGGTCTTCTCTGGTGCCCTTTGGTCATTTACAACATTTTACAAAACAATGCAGGTGAAGAAGAAGGTTTAATCTATAATCACAGAAACAAAATGTACAGCTGCCCTGGTTACAGCTGGCTGTCACATGACTCAGGCTCCATAATCACATTCCTTTAAGGCTCAAAATAATTTAGAGTTCCAACAGTTTATATTTTGAATTACTTATTTTCTCAACCCAAAAGGTCCCAACCTAATAGGTTGAGGGGAAGGAAGAGAATGAAAGGACTAAAAAGAATGACACATTGAGAAGTTAGGGTCCCAAGAGGACAGACAGGAAACTGTGTTGTATCTGTGGTAGGCCCTTTTTTCCCTTAAGCTGTTTAAGCTACAATGCCATAAGTTTGCGGTGTGAGGTTTTCTCTTTATTTATCATTTTATCCCCAAAATGCTGGGGTAAGTGTTGTAATTCATGTATAGGCATGATCTGCAAGCCTATTTTATGCTTCTGAGCAGCAGCTTACATTTCAGGCTTAAGGCCATTAACCAAATAAAGGTGGATATCACAGGTCCGAGTGGTTTTAATCAGTCACTAATATTAGAGACAGATTTATCATGCCCTTATTGACAGGACTGGATGATTCCCCAGTCCATGTAAAGGAGAAAAACTTCAGAAACGGTCTTTTTAAAATGTTCTCTTATTTCTAGGCCTTTTACATATACAGAGAGGGTGTTATTTCTATAAGGTTAGTTTGATCCTTATTTATAGAGGCCAGTTGGCCTTGTCAAACCAGGTTCAGGGATCTCCTGGTTCTATTGAAAGATGTGTTGAAAGATACAGATAAAGGAGCTCAGGAGCATAAGCCCCCAAAATAGCTCAATACATTTATTTCTTTTTGAGGATTTGGGAAATCTTTAATATGGCATAAAGGTCAGCTCACAACCAGGGTTTGAAGGTCACTTGTGATTGAGGTATTGGATTGGGGTCAGGAACTGCTTGGGAAGGAGCTGATGAAGGCCTGCATCTAAAAATGAGAGGGAGATGGGGAAGGGTAGGAAGAGGAGGAGAAGGGCACAGAAAGGAGGGCAAGGAGCAGGAAAGCAGGGCAGCAAGAAGGGACTGGGATTATAAGAGGCAGAAACAGAGCTAGACCAAAAGGAGGAGGTCTTTGTGGGGAGAAAGTTGAAGTTGTTTTGGAGAGACCATAGATTAGAGTCTGCCTGAATTGTTTCTTTACTTGGCTTCTTCTTACCAATTAAATAAAGCTACCTATTGTAAGTTAGCTATTTTATCTTCTTTTATTCCAAGGCACTTTGCAAATATACAAGTTTTGACTTGTTGCAAGATTCCAATATTGCCTTTCCTGAAGTCCCACAACTTAGAAATTTAATAGTTAGGACCACATTGGCAGAACATGTGCCCAGTGGGAGTCCATTGAAGGAGAAAGTTGGGTAGATTGTTTCCCAATAAAGGAAGTACTAGATAGAAGAAGGGAGAAGGGCCTTGTCCTACCTTAGGACCATCATCTAATCATCCACTTGCCCAGAGAATCCCAAAAAGACAAAAGGAAAATAGATGCAGTGACCTATCAGACAATAAGTTAATCCTTTCAAAGAATGGAAGCCTGAAACCTCTGTGTTACAAGAAAAAAACCTGAGCACAGAATCAGGAACATTATTTACCTCTCAACCCAACAGTAGTCCCCAAGAAAGGAGGAAGCAAAGATCCCTCAATGCAGTCTCTCCTCCTCTGAAACTGCAGTGGGATCCAGGGTTCATCCAGATCCTAAGTCACAGCATTAAACTGTCAAGAAAAAAATTGTTAAAGTGATCTCAAATAGAGGTCAAAGGCTTTATTCAGTCAATGTTCATCAGGGAGCACCTCAAAATTAGGTAACTCCCTGAACCAAAGTAGGAATGGAGTTGTTATACAGCAATGAGAACAGAGGGGTATGTGACTTTGGTCTTGTCCCAGGTTGTAGTTTTTGTTTTCCGTAACTGCTACAAAACTTGTGGTTGGCAAGATTGGGATAAGTTGGCTTTGAGAAATGTGAGCCCCTTTAAATTATCAGGCCCAGAAAGGCATTGAAATGTGACAGCAGTCATGTCTTACTTCCCTCTTTGTAATTGCCCAATGGGTTCTTCTTGCCCACTGCCCAGCTAGAGCTGACATTCAGACAGGAGAACTGCAATACAGAAAGAGTTTAATATACTAGAGCTGGCTAAACAGGAAACCTGAGTTTTATTATTACTCAAATCAGCCTCCTCAAAACTTCAGAGGCTAGGCTTTTTTGAAGGTAGTTTGGTGGGCAGGGGGCTATGGAGTAGGGAGTGCTGATTGGTCAGGTTGTGGATGAAATCATAGGAAGTCAAAGCTGTCCTCTTCAGCTAAGTGAGTTCCTGGGTGTGGGGCCACAGACCAGACGAGCCAGTTTACTGGTCTAGGTGATGCCAGTTGATCCATCAAGTGCAGGGTCTGAAACATACCACAAACACCAATCTTAGGTTTTATAATAGTGATGTTCACCCATAGGAGCAATTGGGAAAGTTAGGAATCTTGGGGCCTCTGGCTGCATGACTCGTGAGCCATAATTTCTAATCTTGTGGCTAAGTTATTAGTTTTGTAACCACTTGAGGTGTTCTTCCTGCCCACTGCATAAAGAAAGATCACAGGATTGTGGTAGAGAAAGACTTTAATAAACATGAGGCCGGCTACACCACGTGGGAGATGGAGTTTGTACTCAAATCACCTCATTTGAAGCTCATATGTTAGGGGTTTTCCAAAGGAAGTTTGGGGAAAAAGTCGGGGGGGGGCGGGTGGCCAGGTAACAGGTGCTTGCTGCTGATTGGTTGGGGCAGAGATGAAATCATAGGGGATTGAAGCTATCTTCCTGCAGGCAGAATGGCTTCTGGGTGGGGCCACAGTAGCAGGGTTTTCAGTCCAGGTGGAGTCATCTGGCCCAGGTGGAGCCAAGGGTGTCAGACATGCAAAAACCTGGAAAGATATCTCAAAAGACCAATCTACAAAACTGGTGTTATTTGCAGGAGTAATTGGTGAAGTTTCATATCTTATAACCTCCGGAATAATGTCAGCTCCTCACCTCTCCTCAGCCTGATGGCCTCCTATTAGCTTTGCAAAAGCGGTTGAGTTTTGGGCAAGGCCTATTATCATTTAAACTGTATCCTAAATGTCTTCCAAAGTTAGTTTGGCCCAATGGCCCAGGAATAATTAAGGGAAAGGCAAGATGGGGATTGGGTTAGCTTAGGTTACTGTTGTAATTTTCTCACTGATAAAACTTTTGCAAAGGCAGTTTCAGTTTTATAAATACAGTCTGGTCCCCAAGCAAGGAAGTGTCAGAGGCATTTGAACCAGAGCAACTCCATCTTGAATACGGGCTGGGTAAATAAGGCCGAGACCTACTAGGCTACATTCCCAGGAGGCTAGGCATTCTAAGTCACGGGATGAGATAGGAGGTCTAGGAGTTTGGCACAAGATACAGGTCACAAAGATTTTGCTGATAAACAGCTTGTGGTAAAGAAACTGGCCTCTGGTTGTCCTCACTGCTCATTATATGCTAATAATAATGCATTAGCATGCTAAAAGACACACTCACCAATGCCATGACAGTTTACAAATGCCATGGCAATGTTAGGAAGTTACCCTTTATGGTCTAAAAATGGGAGGAACACTCAGTTTCTGGAATTGCCCACCACTTTCCCAGAAAACTCATGAATAATCCAACCCTTGTTTAGCATACAGTCAAGAAATAACTATAAGTGTCCTTAGTCATAGAGCCCATGCTGCTGCTGCTCTCTCTATGGAGTAGCCATTCTTTTATTCCTTTACTTTCTTAATAAACTTGCTTTCACTTTATGGACGTGCCCCGAATTCTTTCTTGCGCGAGATCCGAGAACCTCTTTTGGGGTATGGATCAGTTATGTCGGAGAAAAAATAAATTATTTAGGCAGATAGTGAGGGTAAGAAAGTCCTCGGTAAGGTTTTCCTTTTAATAAAAAGCAGCCCCCAAATCATTTCTTTTCTAACAAAGAGCAGCCTGTAAATCGAGCTGCCGACATAGATAAGCAAGCTGGAAGCTTTCACGAGTGAATGCCGGCGGCTGTGCCAATAGGAAAAGGCTACCTGGGGGCTAGGAATGTTTAACATGGTGGCTCCATCTTCCCTTTTCTTTATCAACCACGTGTACAGTAAGGAACAGACAACATGGCACCGGCCACGGAGAGAATCCGTCTGCATAATAAAAGATTAGGGTGCGGTGGCCAGCTTCTTCAGGTTCTATGTAAATGGCACACCTGGTCCAACCAATCTTTGGCCCTATATAAATCAGACACCATCTCCTCAAGTCAGTCTATAAAACCCCATGCACTTGGCTATGGCCCGGGAGACCCACTCGGGCACCCCCCCTTTCACTGCAGGAGAGAGAGCCGTTCTCTTTCTTTCGCCTATTAAACCTCCACTGTTAAACTCACTTCTTACGTGTCCATGTCCTCGATTCTCTCAGCATGAGACAACGAACCTCAGATATTTACCCCAGACAATGACGCCGCTTCATCAGGACCCCTTTTCGGTAACAGAAGGGGTTTGTTTCAGGGAGGGGCTGTTGTCCTCTTTGTTTCAAAGTTAAATTATAAACTAAATTACTCCCAAAGTTACTTTGGCATATGTCCAGGAATAAACACAGGCAGCTTGGAGGTTAGAAGTAAGATGGCGTCAATTAGGTCAGATTTTTCTCATTGTCATCATTTTTGCCAAGTTATGTCCAGCTTATGGCAGTTCGATTGATTTATGGGTACTTGGCATCAGTCTATAACCCACATAGCAAGGTAAATGTAAATCAATGAGAATTTCTGGGAAAAAAAAAAAAAAACTTTTTTACTAATAATTGCCCTTTCCTTATTTGTCCTTTTTTCTTTTAAAACCCAAGTCTCTCCTTTGTTTCCTGGAGCATCTTCTGTGTTTCCTGGGCTGCAGTCCTCAAACTTGGCCCAAATAAGCTCTCTTATTTTTATTTATAAATTTTCTAAAAAATTTATTTTTTGTCTTCCCAAAGCGGTGGGATTACAGGCATGAGCCACCGTGCCTGGCCCCAAATAAACTCTCTATGTTAATTTTGCCTCAGTTTCCTTCTTTAGGTTGACAGTTTTCATGCCACTTTTTGCAGATCATTAGTGCAATTTAATTTTGCCAGCTGCAAGAACAGTTCTTTTGAGCGCTTTCTTGTAAGTAAGCCTTGATGTTTCCCTCTTAGCTGTCTAATGCCAGTTAAGGTTCAGGGAAGCTCCCAAGGGATAGAAAAGATGAAAAGAGCAAGAGAGAGGACAGAGGGGGAAAACGGAAAGGAGGAAAAAGTCTGAGCAAGAAAAACTGGGATCTGTTTTAATTTTTTACAATAGGAAGTGATAACCTAAGTTCAGTTAGGGGCATGACCCACTCAAGACATAACTACCTTAACTACTTGTGGAGAATTGAGTCTGAATCTGTGCTTTGCATATATTAGCTCCCAGCAGTGACCAAAATGAAATAGCTTGGTCTTTTTCCCAAGAGTTCTTTGGCCACTACAATAGTAGCTAAAGCAAACCTAATAGGCAGGTTCTCTATGACTGAAACTACAACCAGTCAGGGAAAGGGAGGCAGAAAAAGTGTTCGGACAAATTTTCTGGAACAATACATTCCTGAGCTCTGCCCAACCACACTCTTGCCCCACCCTAAGCCACCAGCCCCTCCTGAACAAGGAATTCACAGATGCCCTAGGCCAAATTCAAAATTGAGGAACACCTGGGCCTATGAGGAAATGAGCTAGTCTCATCTCTTCCCCCTTCCCAGAGGCTACAAACATAAGAGGCTCACACAGTCTTGCATTTCCCTGCCCAGCAGCAGGGGATAGGCTTACTCATTATCAAGCAAGCCTTAAACATCTACTCTGAGCCAGCCTCAATGAATACAAAAATGAATAACACCAAGCCATGAATAAAGAGCTGATAAACTTCACTTTACTCATACATTTTTGCTCAGCAATGTGTTCTCATTTACGGGATCTGAATATCAGATCATTTAAAAGCTCAAAGTCTTCAAGTATTATGTAGGGATGGGAGAGGTATCTGCTATCTGGGGGAGGTTCTGGAACCAATCCCTCATGGATACTGAGGGACAATTGTATTTAATTTTGAAATACCTTGGATCAAGAAGGGCCTTTGACATGCAGAGAAATGCAAGTGAAAAAGAAAGCATGTATTAGAATAGATATGTGGGGCAATTTACCTGGTCCAGCTCACCTAGCCAGGAACATTAGAGTGGTCATAACTATCATCCAGGAAGTGTGCCTCTAAGACTAGGCCATACCTGATCCTTTGCCCCCTGCCTGTGGTGGGGTTCCTAGAAGTAGTGCTCACACGGGAATTCCTATTGAAGTGATTTATTGAGGAAGGACTCTATGTAGGGGTGAGGAGAACTAGCAGGATGTGATGTGAGATCTAAGCAGGAGACTAGCTTCAGCCTGATCCCACAGGGAAGCTCTGGAGTACAAACTGTACCCCTTTATAAGTCAGTCATTGGCCACAGTCTGTGGTGGGCAGTGGTAGGGGGTGCATGGGGATTGCTGGGCAATTTTCTTTGGAGAGGGAGGCAGCTAGAGAAGAAGGCATCTGTAGGTTATCAACCAACAGTCACAGCAGCTAAAATATTGTTACCGGGGGGTCCTTGCTCCCAGAGCTCCCAAGATGGTGGCGGGCCTCTTCCAAAATGCTGGTGGGCCACTTTCAAGATGGTGGCAAGCCTCGTGTTCTCTGACCTGGAGTTCTTGGCCTCACGGATTCCAAGGAATGGAGTCTTGGGCCATGTGGTGAGTGTTATAGCTCTATTAGAAGCCATGGGTCACGGAAGAGAACCGTGGGACCCAGTGACTAGTGTTCAGCTCGATTAGGATGAACCCAGGCACTTAGCCGTGCAAGAACAATGGCAAGCCTTTAGCCCGATCGGGAGCGGCAATGGGCGTCTCGCTGGATCGGAAGCACAGCGGACACCCTGCCAGATCCGGAGGGATGGAAGTCAGCGGTGGGTCTGCGACGGCAGCAAACAGCAGCGGTGGGCGGCGAGTTAAAGCTCAGCTCGGGCCGTAACAAACACGGACCAGAAGAGTGCAGTTGCAAGATTTAATAGAGTGAAATAGAATAAAAACAGAGCTCCCATACAAAGGGAGGGGACGGAAAGAGGGTAGCCGTTGCTGGCTCAAATGCCTGGGTTTATATCCCGATCATTGTCCCTCCCCCTGTGCTGTCAGGCAATAGATGATTTGCTATTTCTTTACCTCCTGTTTTTACCTAATTAGCATTTTAGTGAGCTCTCTTTACTATCTGATTGGTCAGGTGTGAGCTAAGTTGCAAGCCCCGTGTTTAAAGGTGGAAGTGGTCACCTTCCCAGCTAGGCTTAGGGATTCTTAGTCGGCCTGGGAAATCCAGCTAGTCCTGTCTCTCAATATGAGTGCAGAGAGAAGAAAAAGGAATCTGGGTGAGGCCATCAACAGCATGCACTACCTAGCCCCACCCTCATTATCTTTTTCTGTCAAGGGCTAGATGGTAAATACTTTAAGCTTTTGCCAGCCGTATGGTCTTCATCACAAGCACTCTTATTTTAGCACAAAAGCAGCCATAGGCAATATGCAAATGAATGGACAAGGCTGTGTTCCAATACAATTTTATTTACAAGAACAGGCAACTGTAGCTTCTGTCTGTCCTCTTTCAGAGACAAGAAGAGATCTTGGTCTATCACTAGCACCATGTGCAAGGATCAGATACGGACCGTAGGGGGAAAGATCGGGCTTCTAATCACAGCCCTGTGTCTCTGTAGCTCTTTCAGATGCAAGTGCCAGAAACCCAATGAAACAAGAAATTTTCCTTGACCCTTTCGTGGGCCTCGCGACGGGGGTGCCTTACTTCCTCAGTCCGCAGCTCTCAACTCCTCATGGTAGGGGGAGCACGCAGGAGCACCCAGGTGAGTGGGTGCAGGAGCCAGAGCGAGTGATTTTGGGCGCTGGCAGGAGCAAAACTCTGTGCGGCCCCACAGCAGCATCTAGGGGGGTATCTGTGACCCCTGAAGCCCCAGGAGGCTTGTGTTACAGTGCTCTTTTAGCTTGGCCTCCACAGATGGCTTAAGTGTTCAACAGCTCAGTGGACCCTCTGCCTTTTCACAAAGGCAGAGGGTCAGTGTGACAGCTTTCTGTATCCTGAGCTCTTGCCCGGTGTCCAGAAAAAATCGGGTCACACGAACAAATTGAAGGATAGTAAATATGGGGGATTTTATTCTGATGGAAGTGGCTGTCAGCAGGAGGACTAACTGGAAAGGGGGTGGAGTGAGAAGGTATTCCTCCCCTAAAGTCCAGCCAGCCAGACTCTTCTCCAAAGTCCTGCTGTCAAGCTGTCTGTCTGAAGTCAAGCTGTTTCTCTCTGATGTCAAACCACAGTCTCTGATGTCCAGCTGCTTCTCCTCTTCTCCGCTTCTCTGCTCTCTGCCAGTGGAGCCTGGGGTTTTCATGGGCACAGGATGGGGGACCCGCCAGGCCATGGGTGGTTTTGGAAAAGGCAACATTGGAGCGGGAAAACAGGAATGCATGTTCTCACTTTGGGCCACAGTTCTAGGCTTGAGGGTGGGACTTCGCCAGGGACTTCCTCCTTTTCTGCCTAGAATTTTCCTGCCTCCTGTTCCTATCACTAAGTCAAATAAACTCAAGGAAAACGGTAGGGGAAAGGAAGTACTTAGTGACTCAGGTAACCTAACCATGAGTGGACTGACCTCAAGGACAACTATTCCAGGAACTCAAACTCTTTAGGACCTGCCCTCCACTTATCTCAGCATTTTGGCTTTAGTCTCTCCTACTATAGGTGGACTTTATTTCTGCACCAGGGAAGACAGACCTCTGCTAATTCTGGACTCAAACACTGATGGCTCTAGCCCTGGAGAAGAAAGAGGATCTCCTTTATCGAGGGCCAGGTAAAAAGATCCTGTGGAAAAAATTGGATTACATGCCCATCCATGGATGACAGATCACCCCACCCCCGCATCTCGCCACCCCACCCAGTGTGGTCAGGGCAATAGTGTCTGACACAAGAAATATGATGAAGAGAGCCCAGACCTGGCCGCTGGGGAATCATTTTGAACCACAGAGTCTCCCTAAATCATGTTGGTTATAGTAGCCTTGATCTACTGACCTCTGGAATCTGTGTCTTCTCCCCTCTCTCTGTTTGCCTGTGCTGAGATTTTAGTACTCAAAAAGTACAAATACTTTTTGAGCACATACTATGTGCCAGGTACCGTGCTAGGTACTGTGGATTTTGTATGAACAAGACAAAAAAAATGACTGACTTCACTTAACTTCCAGCAGGTGAACCTTGCAAAACCCAGAACAGCCAGCCCTGATCTTTGGTTTTGATGGCGTGAGAAATCACAGAACAAGGTATGTTGCTCTAAATAATAGCCTTCATGGCCGGGCGCGGTGGCTCACGCCTGTAATCCCAGCACTTTGGGAGGCTGAGGCAGGCGGATCACCTGAGGTCGGGAGTTCAAGACCAGCCTGACCAACATGGAGAAACCCCATCTCTACTAAAAATACAAAAAATTAGCCAGGCGTAGTGGCACATGCCTGTAATCCCAGCTACTTGGGAAGCTAAGGCAGGAGAATTGCTTGAACCTGGGAGGCGGAGGTTGTGGTGAGCCAAGATCGCGCCATTGCACTCCAGCCTGGGCAACAAGAGCAAAACTCCACCTCAAAAAAAAAACAAAACAAAAGGATAGTCTCCATTCACTGTCCACTTCTTTTCTCTCATTATCTCTATCCTACTGCAGTGTCTTCCACCATTCCACTGAAACTGCCCTGGAAAAAACCACCAAGAAACTTCTTATTGCCACCAAAAATGCACCATTTTTGTCCTCATTTGTATTGAACTTGGGTGCATTTCATGTTGCTATCTACTGCCTATATTCTAAAACTCTGTCTTTTCTTACCTTTGGTAACATGCACTCTTCTGGCTCTCCTAGATATCTGAATGAGAGGCCAGTTAATTATACTTTTCAATTTTCACTTTTTATACTTTTTTTATAAATAGAAAGTTTTATATTAAAAATTGAATTTTTTAAATAAAGTAATTTAAGGCTAATAAGAAAGCTAAAAAAAAAATCTAGGATTCATGAGAAAAGGAGTATTGATCTAGCTCTAATTCTATCTAACAGTCAGAATAAACTCTCTACATTTCAATAGCCTAATCTCTAAGAAAAGGAGATATTGCTAGATTTAATTGAATAAGCATTGGCTGTACATTCATTCTCTGTACCAAATCACATAGATATATAATACTAGGTATTGGGAGTACAAAGATGATGAAGACCTTACCAATGGCTCAAAGAGCAGTGGTGGAGGGGCAGGACAGATTTTGTAGATGAAATGATAATTGTCCTGAGATCCGAGCAAGTATTCATCAGGCTAACAAAGTGTCATGCTAGACAGAGTCAAAGCAGGCAGATTAGCAATAGCCAAATTTGCTGTGAGTCCCGAGTAGCATCATGGCTGAAGTATAGAGTTTGGAATAGGGAGCAGGGAGCCAGGATGAGGCCAGAAAGAGGAGACAGGAATCAGATCAAGGAAAACCTTACAGGAAATGCAAAATGTGAACTTTTTCTGCAAGCAATGGGGAGGCGGTAGAGCAGGGCTTTCTTAGCCTGGGCTATTAACGTAGTTGACCATCTTTTTGCATATGTTAACCATTTCAAAATCTACTAGATTGCTTATCTTTTTCTCATCAATTGGTAGGGCACTTTAAATATCTAGATCTTAAAAATGTACCTGTTTCCAGTGTTGCAAATATTTTCTCTCAATCTGTCACTTATTTTTTATGCTTGCCTATGTGTCTTTGCAGTATAGAAGTTCTGTAGTTTAATGTAGATACATGCAGTGGTCTTTTACTTTAGTGAATTCAAAGAATTAATTTTGTGTTTTTAAAAGTCCCTCTTCATTCTAAATGTGAAAAATATTATCTTGTCTAATTATTTCATAGTTTTGTTTTTATAGCTAGCTTTATTCTGTCTTGGATTTTACTTTGTGCATGGTGTAAGGTGCACATCAAGCTTATTTTTTCCTCAAAGGAAGAAAGACCTTTCACACCATTGTTTCTTGTGCAGTATATTCTGTCCCATGGTATGAAATGTCATCTTAATCACATTCTAAATCCAGATTTTCCTGTATACATTAATTAACATATGTAAATATGTAAAACATTCAAAAACACCAGAAGCTAAATAAGAAAATGGCCAAAGGACATGAACAGAAAATTAATGGAAGATATATTTAGCTAACCTCCAATCTCAGTAGAAGCTTAAAGTGCTGATTAAAATAATAAAATAAAATTGTTTCTTTCTAAAATCAACAAAATGTCACACTAGGGGTTAAAAATAAACCAAAGTTTCTAAAGGTAAATTTTAATGAACATTCTCATTCTCTGATGTTGAGAATGTAAGTTGGTATAATCTTTCTATTCTTAAATTTATAATTCTCATTAACACAATAAATCATCCTTTAGCAGTGTATCCTTTAAAAAAAAATCAAAGATTGTCAAGGATTTACATAAAGGATGTCCATGTCAGTGATATTTAAAACCAAGACAAATTTAAAGCAACCTAAATGTTCATCAATAGGAATTAGTTAAATTAATTATGATACATGCTTATTAGAGAATATCACACAGTTATTTATTTATTTAGAGATGGTATTTTGCTCTTTTTGCCCAGGCTGGAGTGTAATAGCATGATCTCAGCTCACTGCAACCCCCACCTCCTGGGTTCAAGCTATTTTCCTACGTCAGCTTCCCAAGTAGCTGGGATTACAGGCATGTGCCACTACACCTGGCTAACTTTTTGTATTTTTAGTAGAGATAGGGCTTCACCATGTTGGTCAGCTGGTCTCGAACTCCAGACCTCAGGTGATCCACCTGCCTCGGCCTCCCAAAGTGCTGGGATTACAGGTGTGAGCCCCCATGCCCGGGCCACACAGTTATTTAAAAGGATGCCTTCATAGTGTGATTTTTAAAACAGTTTCAATTAAAAAATGTTTCTGCACAAGACTCAATATACATTTATTAACAATGTCTTGCCAAGCTAATTTCAGTTCTTTTTTGAAGAGTTAACTAGACTAATATATAAGTGGAATTTAACACAACTAAAAGAATATATAAAGCTTCTAATATATAGAGAGAGAGCTCCTGGTACACCTGGTGGATTGTAGTTGCCAGGTACTGAAATATAGAGGTAAATAAAATGTAACCCCTGCCCTCAAAAAAGCACATAATCCAAAGACAGAAGGGAACAGACAAATGAAAAATTATAGTACAATGTTGTAAATGCAAGGAGTATTCAGACTTACCACGTAAGGGAGCAGAGAACAAGTATGAAACTCAACCCAGGGGCATCAGGGTAGAATGACTTAGAACCAGTATATCTGAATCCTGCAATTTTTGAGAAGGACTCTCCCATTCTCTGTATGGATTTGAGTGGAAAATGCTGGAAGAATGGCAAAACAACTTGGTAGGTCCATTGAACAACTTATCTGATAATTAGTCTCTACTAGCATACCTCAGGATGCTGTACTTGACATTCCTCCTTTTTTTGAAAATGTTTTAAATAATTTGGATGAAGACATATAAACATACTTTGATCATTTACAAATGACCCAAAGATGGGAGGACTAGTTAACATAAAAGATGAAGGAATCAAGAATCAAGATATAGCTGGCAAGGCTGAAATGATGGACCTCACTGATAGGATGCAAGTTAACCAGAATGCAAAGTCCCACATTTAATTCAAAGGCTGGGTTAGCCTAGAGTAGGTAGCAGTTTATAGTTTTAAAGACCAATGGGTTTTATTTGATTGCAAGTTCAATACCATCTTAAGGGACACCAATGCATTTCTGTCCAAGACATCAGCTGTGCCTGCATCAGGGCACTCTGTACTGGCTGGACTACACCTGAAACAAAACCACTATCTCCCTTTAAGGAAGGACTGTACCTTGCCAGATCACAGTGAAAACAGGAGAAAACTGAGACTCTTCTGCATGAGAAAGAGAACATGAGAGTCTTCCCCGAATATCTGATGGATCACATTTATTCTGCCTGGCAACATAGGGAACACTTAGGAACTTAACAGGAGACATATTTCTCCACATTGGAGGAAACATTTATGAGCACCTTAGGACAGGTAGCACATCTAAATAATAACATTGTTGAACGTTTACTCTCTGCCATGGAATTTCTCATTTAATCTACACTCAGTTTTATGAGGTCAGGAGTATTGTTATGCCCATATTACACACATAAAATAGATTTACTGAATTAAATTAAAATTAACTCATGCTGCCCATAAATAAAATGGACTGCCCTCAAGGTAGTAACTATCCAGGTTGATGCAGAGGGAATGTAGCACTGAGGCCCTCCCAGTCTAAAATTCTATCATTCTGTGATTAGATGAACTCAAGTTAATATGGGACAAAGTTACCATGTTCAGGAAAAGTATGTGAAAATTTGCTATATCATTATTTTAAAAGGAGCAAGAATGAAAAGTCCTCTTAGCTGGGGCAATTAGTCATGTCTTTAATAGGTAAGCTCAGCTCCATCAACTTGCTGAGTCATCCTGCCACTTGCTTGAACATGGGTGAGTTAGATGCCAAGTTCCACTATCTGGTAGAGCCTAATGGCTCATGTTTCTCCCACATCTAAGCGTTCCTACTTCCTGCTGTGGTGACCCAAGTTTAAATGTTATGACTTTTGCCTCTGTTTCCCTGACTTGCCATCCTATTCCTCACCTGAGACAAAAGTTCTACCTACCATACAGTTGACATCTTTTAGCATTTACTATGATGCTAAGTCCCATGTAACTTTTCCAAAAACCCTATAATAATAGTAAGTAGTATTGCTATTCCTATTTTATAGATGTGGAAACTGAGGTTTAGCATGTCCCTGAAGTACTAACAATTCTACAGGCTGGATCTACGATTCAAACCTAGATCTATCCACTTCCAAATCCATGCTTTTACCCATCATCCCCTGGAGCTAGTTCTCTTGACTAATACCATCATATGTTGTCTAAGTCTTGCCATGCCTAGGGCCATGAATGTATTAATGACTATAATCATGGAGCCTCTTGTCACAGGAATCCTAGGATTTCCCACCACGCAAATTGTCTCAGTGCTGTGCCCCACCAGCTTGATTAGATGCCACTCTTGAGCTGGCAGTGAGCCATCTTAATGTCCCTGAGAGCCCCCATCAAGGCTAAATTGGTTTCTCTTAAGTCCCCTTGCTCCCCTTGATAACGAACAAGGAAGGGGAGAAAATGTGTAAATCAAAAGTGAAATCATCACCTTGAAATATTTCATACCCTTCAAGCTCTTGAGAAATAACCGAATGTGTTCTCACAAATAACTGGGAGACATCAGGATAAAAGTTCATGTGAAGTTTGAAGGAGAGGATGAAGATCCTCCAAGCGCATCAGCAGAAACAGCAAAGAAGTAATAATATATTTTATGCAAGAGTCTATTGGAAAGAGGAAGCATATGGAAGAAGGCAGTAGCAGATTACTAAAAGCAGATGGGAACATTTTTACTTTGTGAAGGAAGTCTATGGAGATCCCAAGTTAGCTAGAGAAACATTCCTATTTTGAGTACAACAAACATCTCAGTCCCATGAACACTGGGCCTAGACCAAGGATTGGCAACATGTGATGGTCACAGTGCCCTGGAAAAAGGATTGGAGAGATAGGCAAAGTAGTTTAGGGGGCTTGCCTCAGCATTAGACATGGTTGCACATCAAGGAGCTGAATGTTTGAGCCCTGGGTAGACTCTATAGTATGTGAAGAAGACCCTTAGCTCTCCTGCCTGTCCCTGGAATACTGGAATTCTGAGAAATTGCCAGTCTTGCACTGTGGAGACATTCCCATACCTACACAAGAGCTTCAGGAGCTGAGGACAGCTACCTATAGTGGGATGCCAGGGCCAACATCAAGGCAATAGCAAAAGGAAATTTTCAGGAAACGGTGTGACTGGCCATGCTCTGTGTGAGCAGCAAGAGAGACTTGCCACTGTGTGTTTCCACCTGAAAAGCTGTAAAATCTGTGGAGAAGGTCTGTGAAGATATTGAAACCAGTCAGTAGAAAGACAAATAAATATAATCATTATTGAATTGTTATAATAAGTGAGTCTATTGCAAACTCATTATGATGGTATAAGCCTATTGACCAACTACATCCTTATTATAGTTATTATAATTACTGGCTCAGTGGAACTATCACCAAACTCCCTAATATAATTTGTTTGGTCTTTTTTTAAATGTTTGTTATAAAGCAGTAAGCCTCATCCTCCTGTGAGATGTATCATGTTATCTGTTACTAATACAAGTTAAATATTAAGATATAGGAATTATTTACTTCTATTACACAGAATCCAAAGTTTTCCCAATAATAATGCTATTAGCACTGTAGCAGACCCTGTTAGTGCCCTACCCAAATCCCCTGAGCCCCACCCCTACAGACTAAAGGCTGCTTACTGTGAATATCTGTGACTCTCTGCTTGAGAGTGTTTTGCTGGCTACCAGAGCATGCAGGGGCTTATGCATGGCAAAATGAAAGTTCTAAAGAATTAATTAACTCCCAATGATGAATGGGAGTTGGAAGATAAATACCCCAGTTTCCTTTCCCTTTGGTTGAGATAACTCTGAGGTGTGTCTTTTACACTAGCCCCAAGAGTTCCCCAGCAGTATTGCACTCCAGTTGCCTATGGTGGTAACTTGCTGGAATACAAACCCTTTGTTGGCTTCCCTCCCTCATATCCCCAATCCTCAGCCAGTGCTTTCTGATATTCTACCCCTCACCCAAATTAATCATTAGCACTCGAATCCTTGTCTCAGGGTCTACTTCTGCTGTAACCCAAGCTAAGACATCTACTAACTCTTTTTTTCTGACATACCTTTTTGGGTGGGAAAGACAGTGGACTGTAGACATTTGTTACCTTCAGTACATCCATGGGAGTATGATATATGTCATTTGTGTCACGGTAGAATAAAGGTTGATAATTGTCATAAAACATGCACCTGACTAGTTGATTGACTGTGACACAAGGTGGCTTCAAGAAGGGATGACAGCTCAGTAAAGAAAGGGCTCCTGGGCCGGGTGCGGTGTGGCTCATGCCTGTAATCCCAGCACTTTGGGAGGCCGAGGCGGGTGGATCACGAGGTCAGGAGTTCAAGACCAGCTTGAACAATATGGTGAAACCCCGTCTCTACTAAAAATACAAAAATTAGCCAGGCGTGGTGGCAGACACCTGTAGTCCCAGCTACTCAGGAGGCTGAGGCAGGAGAATCGCGTGAACCTGGGAGGTGGAGGTTGCAGTGAGCCAAGACTGTGCCACTGCACTCCAGCCTGGGCGACAGAGCTAGAGTCTGTCTCAAAAAAAAAAAAAAGAAAGAAAGAAAGGGCTCCTGGAGAACAGGGCCACACCTCTTATGGTCCCTCCACTCCCAGTCCCAAGTTTCATGAATGTTAGTTTGTAGAAAAAGGCCTGAGAATACCCCTTTATCTCTGAGAGGCACCAGTTGTGAGCATAGAGAGGCAAAGAAAAATTAAGAAGAGTTTCCTTTTTGTGTAAATACAGGGAAACTTTTTCTTTTCTTTCTTTATTAAGATAGGTGAAGCAGCTCAATGTCAACTTCCAGAATGGTAGAGTAAGAACCTCTGAAAATTCGCTCCTCATAAAAGCAAGGAGAACACTAGAAAAAAAGCTGTCAGAAACAACTTTTCAGGACTCTGGAAATTAAAACTTGCAACAATCTTAGGAATGTTTATTCAAGAAAAATGGCTAAATCTTGGTAAGAACAACAAATATTGTAGCCTCTTAACCTATCTTAATCCCATCCCTCTCTCCCCAGCTCCACAGTAGCCTTAAATGCCTTAAAAACTGTAACTACAATGGCTGGGAAATCCAGCAGCCTAGCATCCACTGAAGAGGGCGAAAGAGGTTTGGAGTTGGGCGGGTGCAGTGGCTCAGGCCTGTAATCCCAGCACTTTGGGAGGCTAAGGTGGGTGGATCACGAGGTCAGGAGTTCAAGACCAGCTTGACCAACATGGTGAAACCCCATCTCTCCTAAAAATACAAAAAAAAATACACACAAAAAAAGACATTAGCCAAGCATGGTGGCACACACCTGTAATCCCAGCTACTCAGGAGGCTGAGGCATGAGAATTGCTTGAACCTGGGAGGCGGAGGTTGCAGTGAGCTGAGATTGTGCCAGTGCACTCCAGCCTGGGTGACAGAGTGAGACTCTGTCTCAAAAAAAAAAAAAGAGGTTTGGAGTTTCCCAAAAGATCCAACCCCAGAGAATTATTGCTATTTAACATGTCTGACAGTTCACTAAAAAGTTCCATTCTCAGGCCTCATTTTAATTTGGCATGAGTCAGAGCCTTCTCTGTACAAAAGCCTACTCTGTGCAAATACCCTGTAGGGTATTTGTAAAAACAATAATTGGCAGTTGCATAACATCACAGCTGCCTAAGGTGGTGTTACTAGTTGGAGCCAACAAGAGACTGATCAAAAAATGTAAAAGAAAAAACTGAGGAATTAGATGTTCATAAGGGGCTTTGAGGAGCTCTGACATATTCCAGGGAACCTAAGAGGTCATGTGAATGTGCTGGTCTGTGTGCATGGTCCAGGAAAGACCTCAAAGAGCCCTACACTTAAAACCTAATACAATCTATGTGAGAAAAAGAAAACTAAACTCTCACCTCTGGCTGATCTTGAGGCTCTGCACAAGCAGGAAGAGAAGGCTAAGGCAGAGGTGCAAACCTGCCTGCTGAAACATTCAAAGCATATTCCAACACATATATGGAGCCCTTCAGCAAAGGCTGGGAGACTTATTGGTTCAAGACATTTAAGAGAAACTTCATTCCATTAATAGCTGACCACTATGGTAATTAAGCAGGGACTTCAGTGGCTATACACAACAAAGAATACAGATTTTATAGAATTAGTCCAGGAAAGTTACTAAACACATTACAAATCAATACCTCTTATGACTATAGATGCAAAAATCCTTTAAAAAATACTAGCATGGCCAGGCGCATGGCTCATGTCTGTAATCCCAGCACTTTGGGAGACCGAGGTGGGCGGATCCGAGGTCAGGAGTTTGAGACCAGCCTGGCCAGTATAGTGAAACCCCGCCTCTACTAAAAATACAAAATTAGCTGGGCATGGTGGTGCGTGCCTGTAATCCCAGCTACTTGGGAGGCTGAGGCAGGAGAATCACTTGAACCCAGGAGGTGGGGGTAGCGGTGAGCCAAGATCATGCCATTGCACTGCAGCCTGGGCAACAAGTCTGAAATTCCTTCTCAAAAAAAAAAGAAAAAAAGAAAGAAAAAAAAAAAGAAAAATACTGGCAAACTGGCAAACCGAATCCAACAACATATAAAAAGAATTATATACCATGGCCAAGTGGACTTTATCACAAGAATGCAAGATTGTTTAACATACAAAAATCAACCAATATAACATACCATATTAATAAAATATAGGACAAAAACCACATGATTACATCAATAGATGTTGAAGTACCATTGAGAAAATCCAGCACACTTTCATGATAAAAACACTCAAGAAACTGGGAATAGAAGAGATCTTAACCTGATGTTAGATATGAGTTCTACATTTCTTTTCAAAGAATATGTCAGTATGTTCAATTCTTTGCCTTCTACTTTTAAACTTAACTTCCTCGTAAAGCAACCTTTTCCGATTACCTACTCCACCCTGACTCATTCTGATCACCTGCTCCACCCTAACTCATTACGATCACCTGCTCCACCCTAACTCATTCGGATTACCTGCTACCTGCTCTGCCCTGACTCCCACCAAAGCACTCACCCCGTCATTCTCTTTAAATTAGCCAATCGGAATTAGTTTAGCCTGTGCAGTCTAACCTTAGCCAATAGGGGAAGGGGCCACGTGCATCAGGGATAAGAACCCCTTCCCCTCCCTTGTCCAAGTGTGCACTCACCATTGCTCCATCTGTAAGGGTGCACCCTTCTATAGAAGTAACTTGCCTTGCTGAGAATTAAAAAGAAAATTTTATACTCAAGTGCTATTTCTTTTGTGGCACTGAAACTTTATATATAACACTGAGAAAGGGCATCTACAAAAATTCACAGTGAATATCATACTTAATGATTGAAGACTAAATTCTTTCCCTGTAAAATCAGGAAAAAGGCAAAGATGTCCTTTCTCACCACTTTTATTCAATATTGTAATGGAGGTTATAGCCCTGTCAATTAGACGAGAAAAACAAATAAAAGACATACAGATCAGAAAGGAAGAAGTAAAACTATCTATATTCACAGATGACAAGGTCTTATATAGAGAAGATCATAAGGAATTGACACCAAAATTATTGGAACTAATAAATAAGTTCAGCAAGATACAAGACCAGTATACAAAATCATTTGTACTTCAATATACTCACAATGTATAATTTGACAATGAAATTAAGGGAACAATCATATTTAGAATAGCATCAAAAAGAATAAAAATGTCTCTGCTGAGAAGAGGACCCAGAAAAAAAAAAGAATAAATAGGAATAAATTTAACAAAAGAGGTTACAACATAAAATACAATATAAAAATAAAAAGACAAATGACCCGAGCCTGGATAACGTCTCAAGACCTCATCTCTGCTCTTGCTCTCCCTCTCCCTCTCCCTCTCCCTCTCCCTCTCCCTCTCCCTCTCCCTACGGTCTCCCTCTCTTTCCACGGTCTCCCTCTCATGCGGAGCCGAAGCTGGACTGTACTGCTGCCATCTCGGCTCACTGCAACCTCCCTGCCTGATTCTCCTGCCTCAGCCTGCCGAGTGCCTGTGATTGCAGGCACGCGCCGCCACGCCTGACTGGTTTTGGTGGAGACGGGGTTTCGCTGTGTTGGCCGGGCCGGTCTCCAGCCCCTAACCACAAGTGATCCGCCAGCCTCGGCCTCCCGAGGTGCCGGGATTGCAGACGGAGTCTCGTTCACTCAGTGCTCAATGGTGCCCAGGCTGGAGTGCAGTGGCGTGATCTCGGCTCACTACAACCTACACCTCCCAGCCGCCTGCCTTGGCCTCCCAAAGTGCCGAGATTGCAGCCTCTGCCCGGCCACCACCCCGTCTGGGAAGTGAGGAGTGTCTCTGCCTGGCCGCCCATCGTCTGGGATGTGAGGAGCCCCTCTGCCTGGCTGCCTAGTCTTCAAAGTGAGGAGCGTCTCCGCCCGGCCGCCATCCCATCTAGGAAGTGAGGAGCGCCTCTTCCCGGCCGCCATCACATCTAGGAAGTGAGGAGCATCTCTGCCCGGCCGCCCATCGTCTGAGATGTGGGGAGCGCCTCTGCCCCGCCGCCCCATCTGGGATGTGAGGAGCGCCTCTGCCCGGCCGTGACCCCGTCTGGGAGGTGAGGAGCGTCTTTGCCCGGCCGCCCCATCTGAGGAGTGAGGAGACCCTCTGCCTGGCAACCACCCCTTCTGAGAAGTGAGGAGCCCCTCCGCCCGGCAGCTGCCCTGTCTGAGAAGTGAGGAGCCTCTCCGCCCGGCAGCCACCCCATCTGGGAAGTGAGGAGCGTCTCCGCCCGGCAGCCACCCCGTCCGGGAGGGAGGTGGGGGGGGTCAGCCCCCCGCCCGGCCAGCCGCCCCGTCTGGGAGGGAGGTGGGGGGTCAGCCCCCCGCCCGGCCAGCCGCCCCGTCCGGGAGGGAGGTGGGGGGGTCAGCCCCCCGCCCGGCCAGCCGCCCCGTCTGGGAGGTGAGGGGCGCCTCTGCCCGGCCGCCCCTACTGGGAAGTGAGGAGCCCCTCTGCCCGGCCAGCCACCCCGTCCGGGAGGGAGGTGGGGGGGTCAGCCCCCCGCCCGGCCAGCTGCCCCGTCTGGGAGGGAGGTGGGAGGGTCAGCCCCCCGCCCGGCCAGCCGCCCCATCCGGGAGGTGAGGGGCACCTCTGCCTGGCCGCCCCTACTGGGAAGTGAGGAGCCCCTCTGCCCGGCCAGCCGCCCCGTCCGGGAGGGAGGTGGGGGGGTCAGCCCCCTGCCCGGCCAGCCGCTCCGTCCCGGAGGTGAGGGGCGCCTCTGCCCGGCTGCCCCTACTGGGAAGTGAGGAGCCCCTCTGCCCGGCCACCACCCCGTCTGGGAGGTGTGCCCAACAGCTCATTGAGAACGGGCCAGGATGACAATGGCGGCTTTGTGGAATAGAAAGGCAGGAAAGGTGGGGAAAAGATTGAGAAATCAGTTGGTTGCCGTATCTGTGTAGAAAGAAGTAGACATGGGAGACTTTTCATTTTGTTCTGCACTAAGAAAAATTCTTCTGCCTTGGGATCTTGTTGATCTGTGACCTTACCCCCAACCCTGTGCTCTCTGAAACATGTGCTGTGTCCACTCAGGGTTAAATGGATTAAGGGCGGTGCAAGATGTGCTTTGTTAAACAGATGCTTGAAGGCAGCATGCTCGTTAAGAGTCATCACCACTCCCTAATCTCAAGTAATCAGGGACACAAACACTGCGGAAGGCCACAGGGTCCTCTGCCTAGGAAAACCAGAGACCTTTGTTCACTTGTTTATCTGCTGACCTTCCCTCCACTATTGTCCCATGACCCTGCCAAATCCCCCTCTGTGAGAAACACCCAAGAATTATCAATAAAAAAATAAATTAAAAAAAAAAAAAAAGACAAATGACCCAATTACAAATTGGGCAAAAGTTTGAGTAGACATTTCTCCAAAGACATATAGGCCAATAAACACATATCATTAGTCATTAGACAAATAAAAATCAAAACCATGATGAGATATCACCTCATACCCACTAGGATGGCTATAATCAAAAGGACAGATAAGAACAAGTGTTGACAAGGATGGGGAAAAGTTAGAACCCTCATACGTTGCTGGTGGAAATATAAAATGGTGTAGCCACAGTGAAAAACAGTCTGGCAGTTCCTCAAAAGTGAATCACAGAGTTACCACATGACCCAGCTATTCCACACCTACTTATTTCCCCAAAAGAACTGAAAACATGTCCACACAAAAACTTGTACATGAATGTCTATTACAGCATTTTTCTTTTTTTTTTTTTTTGAGATGGAGTCTCACTCTGTTGTCCAGGCTGGAGTGCAGTGGCGCAATCTCACTCACTGCAACCTCCGCCTCCAGGGTTCAAGCTATTCTCCTGCCTCAGCCTCCCGAGTAGCTGGGACTACAGGCACCTGCCACCACGCCCAGCTAATTTTTGTATTTTTAGTAGAGATGGGGCTTCACCGTGTTAGCCAAGATGGTCTCAATCTCCTGACCTCGTGATCCGCCTGCCTCGGCCTCCCAAAGTGCTGGGATTACAGGCGTGAGCCACTGCACCCGGCAGGGCTGGGGTATTCTTTTCCAGAAATCTCCTAAAACATCGAGCTTCGGTGCAGTTTGTGGGGGCAAATGAGGAGAATGAGCAATCCTGCTTCAGCACGTGTCCCTCGGCATGCCAGATGACAGTGATGAACACCGATGCATATTTATAATTTATAAACTACTTTGAAAATGATTCGGAGAGGAAGTAGCAAAGGTGACATGCCTGCTAAAGGGGAGGAAGTTAAAGGAAAAGATGGCCTCAGGGCCAACTTCATGAGTGTGCCACCTGTGCAGTCACACAGGGCTTCATACTCTAAGGGGTCTTGTGCTTGGTTTAATGCCTTGCTGTTGCTGTCTCGAAGTTCTTAGTAATTTAATCTTCAAACTTGTATCTTGTAAGTGAAGTCTGATGGAACAATGGAGCATGAGCATAAGCAGACAAGATATGAGCAGGATGTGTGTCCACTAGTTCTTGTTGCCTTATTCACATAGAACATTTTAATACCTCATGAGCACAGAACTCCAGTGGAACCATGATGCACCAAGAGTTCGCTGACACTAAAAGTGAATCAACTTAAGGGTGTTACTTCTACAGCTGAGTAAGTAAGGGCACTGACAGTGCAAAAAGCCATGTTACCATTTGAACCAGAATTTTTTTTTCTTTGAGACAGAGTCTTGCTCTGTGGCCCAGGCTGGAGTGCAGTGGTGTGATCTCGGCTCACTGCAACCTCCGCCTCCTGGGCTCAAGCGATTCTCCTGCCTCAGCCTCCAGGGCAGCTAGGATTACAGGTGCCCACCACCACGCCTGGCTAATTTTTGTATTTTTGGTAGAGACCAGATTTCGTCATGTTGGCCAGGCTGGTCTCAAACTCCTGATCTCAAGTGATCCTCCCGCCTCAGCCTCCCAAAGTCCTGGGATTATGGGCGTGAGCCATCGAACCTGGCCTGAACCAAAACTTGCCGAGAAGGTAATGGTGTTCTGGCCAGGTGCTGTGGCTCACGCCTGTAATCCCAGCACTTTGGGAGGCTGAGGCGGGTAGATCACCTGAGGTGGGGAGTTTGAGAGAGCCTGGCCAACATGGCAAAACCCAGGCTGTACTAAAAATGAAAAAATTAGCTGGGTGTGGTGGCCCACGTCTATAATCCTAGCTACTCGGGAGACTGAGGCATGAGAATCGCTTGAACCCAGGAGGCGGAGGTTGCAGTGAGCCGAGATCACGCCACTGCACTCCAGCCTGGGCAACAGAGTGAGACTCCGTCTCAAAAAAAAAAAAAAATTAGAAAGTAATGATGTTCTAAGAAACACAGACAAGAGACCCCATTATATCCTATCTTACCCTTCTTGCTTTCCTTTATTAGCCAACCACTTTCTCTGAAAATGATGGTATAAAAGGAAACAGAAAATAGGCCAACTCATAGTTCCTTTTCCTTTCAGTTTAACCTTATTCATCAGTAAGCCAAAGGTAGGGAGTGTTGGTAGCATGTGTGCATATCAAGATGTGAAATAAAAGTATTTGGCTTTGTTCTGTGTAGTGTTTTCCACTGTTCTGGTAAGAATGAAATACATATCCGTGTGACCTACAAAATACTAATTGCATAATTTTGGTGATTCTGCATATGGGTTAAATGCTCTTATATTTTGATTTAAAAGTAGCACTGGGTAACATAAAAATAAATGACCCAATTCATGCTAATAATTCAAATTTTTAACTTTTCTTTACTTAGAACCACATTAGCAAATAAAAGACATAATGACTAGTTGTGAAAAAGAGATCACGGAAGAAAGGATAAAGCTTCACATTTTATTACCGCTAATGTACTTTGTTACTGCGTTTTGAACAAGGAGTCCTGCATTTTTATTTTGCACTGGGCCCTGCAATTTATGTAATTGGAGATTGCCTTGATATCTGCATTTGTGGTTTTCAAAAAGTCTGCCACTTCACAAGCCCACACTTTATGTTGGAGTCATTGTGTGGGTGTAAATTGTGTGAGTAGGTGTGTGTTAGCAGGGTTGGAGTGAGGAGGGGAAAGCGCTGGAGAGCAGGCGACAGTGGCAAGACCAAATTAAGAGCACACAGATTTCAGAAAAGGAAGTGGTCATTGGATTCTCTGAAGGGCTCACAGTATTAAAGTCACAGGAACAATGCTGAGATATTATCATGTTAAATTTTCCAAGTCAAATGGTGAAGAGATGGAGGTCGGGGGAGGAGTTTCAGCTTCACCATGGCAGCAAAAAGGTTTTCAGAAGCCTGCGTGAAGCAGTTCTCTCTCAGAACTAAATGTACAGAATGTAAAAGACAACCAGAATTGGTTGTAAATGTCATTTGTTGTGAGATGGAAAGTAATCTCAAGATTTTTCCCATATTTAACCCTTGGCATTTTTGTGAAAAAGAGTTGCTGCCTCCCAGTGCCCATGCAGTGAATGTTTTCAAACATACCACCTCTCATTGCATAAAATGAGGTTTGGATTATTTTATCCCTATTTCTTAACATCTACTTGAGGAGCTCAAGCATTTAATATATATTATCCTGCAATAAGTAAAAAATATTTTGAAGATACAAAATTGTGGCTCAGTAAAATTGAGTAGTTTGCTCAATGTCACACAAAAGGCTGAAGAAGAACCCAAATCTTTTGCTTCTTGATATAATGAATGGGATGCTGGATCCTATTCCCTTACTCTGTAAAGACAGAACATGATTTTCTAATTTGGTGTTGGTTATGTGCTTTTGTGGGCAGGAAGGAATGATGAATCATTTTAGACTAAGAGCTACTTCCGGTATTGTTAAGGTCAGCTGATTAGACATTTTAGTTTCACCTCCCACCATAATTATCTTTTGCCATGTAATATAACATAGTCATCGATTCTATGACTCAGACATATTTGGGGAGCCATTATTATGCCTACAGCGTACATCAATCAAAAATGGAGAAATATACAACTCAACAATAAAGTTTTAGACTTCAATATTGGGCTCTCAATAATTGATAGAATGATTAGACAGAAAATCAGCCAGGATATATAAGACTTCTGTGCCTTATATGTATTTCTATACATATATCAAACAACTTGACCTAACTAACATCTATATAACACTCCACCAAACAACATAATACACACATACATATTCTTGCTTTGTGCAAGACCAACTGAGATTTATCCCAGGAATGCAAAGTTAGTTTAAAGCCAAAATTCAATTATCATAATAGATACAGAACAGGCATTTCACAAAATTCAATACCTTTTTATGATAAAAACGCTCAACAAAGTTGTAGTAGAAGGGAACTTCCTCAATCTGAGAAAGGGCATCTATGAAACACCTACAGTTACCATCGTCATCCTATTTCATGGTGAAAGACTGAATGCTTTTCCCCCAAAATCAGAAACAAGGAAAGGGTGTCCATCTCACCAATTCTACTCCACATTGCACTGGAGGTCTGGCCAGTACATAATTAATCATGTAATTAAAAAGAAGTAGAAAGCATTCAGCTAGAACGGAAGAAGTAAAACTTCACAAATGATCTAATCCTGTTTATAGAAAATCCTAAGGAGCTCCTGAAACACTTATTAGAACTGATAAACAAGTTCAGCGAGGTTGCAAAAGACGATACCAATATATGAAGATCAATTGTATTTATAGATGTATATATAAAGAATGAACAATCCAAAAGTGAAATTAAGAAAATAATTCCATCCAAAAGATTACCAAAAAGAATAAAAATTTTGGAATACATTTAACAAAAGAATTGCAAGACATATGCAATGAAAATTATAAAACATTGTTGAGGGAAATTAAAGAAAATTTAAATAAATGGAGAAGGTCCATGTTCATGAATTGGAAAAATTCTTATTCTTAAAATGGCAATTATTCCAAATTAATCAGTAGATTCAGTGCAGTCCCCATCAAAATTCCATAAGCCTTTCTCTTTCTCTCAATTTCTCTCACAAAAATTCATGAGCTGATCCTAAAATTTGTATGAAAAACCAAAAGACACAGAAGAGCTAAAATGATTTTTTAATAGAAATGTCGTGGACTTTCACTTTGCAATTTTAAAAACTTACTATAAAGCTATAGCAATCAAGACAAATCAAAAAATAAACAATAAGAAATGTTGGCAAGGATGTGGATAAACAAGAACTTTCATTTCCAAAGTGGTGTAGCCACTTTGGAAAATGGTTTGGCAGTTTCTTTAAAAGTTAAGTATACTTTTCCCATACTACCTATCAATTCCACTCCTTGGTATCTATCCAAGCTAAATGAAAACATTTGTCCACACAAAAAACTCGTACACCAATATTCATAGCAGAAGCATCCATAAAAGCCAAAACACGGAAGCAAACCAAGTGTCCACTGATGAATGAATGGATAAACAAAATGTAGTATAGCCAAACAATAGAATATTTTTGGCAATAAAAAGAAATAAAGTAATGATACATGCCACAACATGGAAGAGTCTCAGAAACATACTATGTGTAAGAAGCCAGACACAAAAGACCACATATTGTATGATTCTTTTTATATGGAATGTCAAAAAAAGAAAAAGCAAATCTATAGAGACAGAAAGTAGATTAGTGGTTGCCTGGGACTGGAAGTAAGAATGGGAAATGACTAGAAATGGGCACAAGATTTCCTTTCAGGGCAATGAAAATATTCTAAAAGTGGGTGGTGGGAGTAATTGCACAACTCAGTACATTTACTAAAAATCATTGAATTGTGTACTTAAAGTGGATTAATTGTATGGCATATAAATTATATCTTAATAAGTTTAGTTAATAATTCTAATAGAAATCAAATTCTCCATTTAGGCACAGAACACACTTCAGTTACTTTAGAGTATTGGCTAGTGGTTGCTGCCCATAAGGCAAGGCCCTTAGAGGCATCTTTTTTATATAAAGGTAATAACTATAATAGCATTTCTTGAGTTCTTACTATAAGTCATACGCTATCTTAAGCACTTGAAATGCATTTGTTCTTTTAATGCTCATAATAAATTTATGAGTTAAGTAACTTGTTCAAAGTCACACAGGTGGCCAAACCAAGATTCAAGTGTATGTCTGCCTGACTCTAGTTTTTGCTCTATATTCTCACATTCTTGAGTTCTTACGTGAAACCAGAAAAAAGAAGAAAAAAATCACCACCTTTAAAGAGGTCTAGAAGACCTGATACCTGCTTAACAAAATGGCGTAATAGCAATTATGATCACAGACTTCAAGACAAAGAAAATGAATTAGTCTCTAATGCTGTGTAAAAAAGGATCACTGCAGACTTAGTGGCTTAAAACAACAATAAACATTTAATATCTTCCACAGTTTCCAGGCATCAAGAATCTGGGGACAGCTTGGCTCAATGGTTCCAGTTCTGGTTTCTCATGAGGTTGTACTCAAGATACCAGCCAGGGCTGCAGTCAAATAAAGGCTCAACTAGGGCTGGAGCATCTGCTTCCAAGGTGGCTCACTCACACGCCTAGGAGGTTGGTGCTGACTGTTGGTGGGAGGCCTTAGTTCCTCTCTCCATATGGTCCTCTCTACAGGGCTGTGTATGTGTCCCCATGACAAGGTTACTAGCTTCTTCCAGAGCAAACTGTCCAAGAGCCCAAGGTGGTAGCTAGGCTGTCTTTTATGATCTAACCTCAGAGGTCACACATCTGCAACGTCTTATTCAGTATAGGAAGGATCTACACAAGGACTTGAATGTCAAGAGGCAAGGATCATTACAGTCCTCCTTGGAGGTTGGCTGACACAGCAAATGTTTAGCTCACTCTGCTAGGGCTGGGAGAGCTGGAACTGTCAAGCATTTCATACCACATTTACCAGAGACATACACATGACAGTCCAAATAAAAAATACTCTAAAGTCATGGACAGCCACCTGTCTCTTTGGGCTGCAGCCCTGCTCTGCTCACTGCACATAGCAGTCCTAGTGGACTCAGATGGTAAATGGGGAGCCAAAAATGTGGCTTTTGGTGCCTCTACAGGCCCCTCATCCTGTCCATCTGATTTCCTATCCTGGACATATCTCTTTGCACATCCCACATCCCCTACTTCTTATCGAAATGGGCCTGGTCCTATATTTCATCTTCTTAAATCTTTCGTTTCATCTAGAGCTTGTAAAGCTCTAAGTCTGGAATACTAATTCAAGGTAGTGGGTTAGAAACTCATTTGGTGGCTGGGCGCGGTGGCTCACGCCTGTAATCCCAGCACTTTGGGAGGCCAAGGCGGGCAGATCACGAGGTCAGGAGATCGAGACCATCCTGGCTAACACGGTGAAACCCCGTCTCTACTAAAAATACAAAAAATTAGCTGGGCGTGGTGGCGGGCGCCTGTAGTCCCAGCTACTCGGGAGGCTGAGGCAGGAGAATGGCGTGAACCCGGGAGGCGGAGCTTGCAGTGAGCCGAGATCGCGCCACTGCACTCCAGCCTGGGCGACAGAGCCAGACTCCTGTCTCAAAAAAAAGGAACTCATTTGGTATAGTTGCACTCTAACTGCCTTCTAAAGCTTTAACCCCCCAAAATGGATGCATATGGGAGTTTTGTCATTTGCAGGCAGAGAGGAAGCATTTCTGTTTCTTTAAATCATATCAAGTTGACTCAAACCATAGATTCATGCATTTATTCATTCAATCAGTCAGCCAACCAGCATTTATTGAGTGCCTACTATGTACCAGGCACTTTCCTAGGTACTATATAAAACTCATCTTGCATACTATGAATGAATGGCAGCAAAACATGTTATAGGTTCCACAGCTGCAGAGTGTAGAAAGATCAAATGTAGCGCTCCTTCCTAAGGTTCCAAGGGAAGATACAGAGTCATCTTCAAGTAGAGCACTCTATGATATGCATACATTACTACTGGAAAGGTACATTTGTTAGCATCTCAGCCATACCTAGGAAAATCTTGTCAGCCAAAAAAAAAAAAAAAATCAAATTAGTTCCTCTGAGTGCAGCTTTTTAAAAGTACATTTAAAATACCACCCCCATGAAAACTTCAAAAGGTACATTTATGAACCCTATGAATATGAAAATATAATTCCCATCTAAGAGTTGATATTGTGCTTAAAATAAGGCAGCTAACAAATGTTGCCTCCTGAATAATTAGATATTACAAGTGCTAAGAGCTGTCAGGACAGGGTACCATAGTTATAGAAACCAGATAATTAAAATTGTCTTAGATTCCTCAGCAACTTGTCTTTTCCTCATTAACAAAGAGAAGTAGAGGAACAGATCATTTATACAATCAACAAAAGCTCCTTAATGCTCACTCTGTACAGTAACTAACTGTGCTGGAATTTGGAAAGCAGAGGTGGACAAAAAGACAGAGTCCAACGTCACTGAGCTTAAAATGCAGTAGGAAGGCATGAATCAAATAAATATTTCAGAAATGTATTCACAAGGGCAATGAGTGTAAGAAGGAAAAGATGGTCCAAAAATAATTTATGCTACCATGCACTTCAAAAACAACATTTTATGACCAAGACTGTGCTCCTATTTTAGCATACAGGGAAGCAGTATAACATATTCATCTTGGAAAGTAAGTTCTAAAGTCTCACTACTTGAGTTCCAATTCCAGCTCCACCACTTAGAAGCTGCAAGACCTTGGGTAGTCTAAATGCTCTCTCTAAGCTCCAGTTTCCTCATCTGAAAATAAAGCCTTCTTTAAGGTGCCCTTGTGATAATTGAGATGATATCTGTCAAATCATACTGCCCGACATACAACGAATATCTATAATTTTATTAACCATGGCTTATTTAAGGTAATATTAAAATTACTTTCCATTCCTTGAAGAAACATTAGCATTATAAAAGAAGGTTTGGGTTTATATTTTCTCCACGTATTTATTCAACCGTTTATTTATATCTTTGACATTTTTCTTGCCAAAGCTAAGGAGAATATAGAATACCACTTTATTTTTGTTGTTGTTTTGTTTTTAAAATGTATTTATTTTTAAATTGACATATAAAATTGTATGTATTTATCATGTAGAAAATAATGTTTCAAAGTACATATACATTGTAAAATGGTTAACTCTAATCTAGCTAATTAATAAATGCATTACCTCACATAGTTGTCATTTTGTGGTAAGAACACTTAACATCTACTCTCTTAGCATTTTTCAAAAATATAATATATCATTATTAATTATAGTCACCATACTATACAATAGATCTCTTGAACTTATTCCTCCTAGCTAATAGTAATTATGTATACTTTCACCAACATCTCCCGAACTCCCCTCCCCGCAACCACCCTAGCTTCTGGTAGCTGCCATTCTTCTTTTTAATTCTATGAGATCAACTTTTTTAGATTCCACATATGAGTGAGAATATGTGGTATTTGTCTTGCTATGCCTGGCTTATTTCACTTAACATAATGTCTTCCAGGATCATCCATTTTGCTGCAAACAACAGAATTTCCTTCTTTTTTGTAACTGAACAGTATTCCACTGTGTATATGTACCACGTTTTCTTTATTCATTCATTCATTGATGGACTCTTAGGTTGACTTAACATCATGGCTATTATAAACAGTGCTGCAATCAACATGGGGGCACAGATATCTCTACAACATACTGATTTTATTTCCTTTGGATATACACCCAGTAGTGGGATTGCTGGACCCTATGGTAGTTGTATTTTTAATTTCTTCAGAAACCCCCATAATGTTTTCCAAAATGGTTGTACGAATTTATATTCCCACCAAGAGCATGCAAGGGTTTCTTTTTCTCCACATCCTTTCTAAAAGTTGTCCTTTTGAAAATAGCCACTCTAACGGGTGTGAGCTTATCTCATTGTGGATTTGATTTTCATTTTCCTGATGATTAGTGATGTTGAGCATTTTTTCATATACCTGTTGGTCATTTGTATGTTTTCTTTTGAAAAATGCGTATTTAAGTGATATGGTTTGGCTGTGTCCCCACCCAAATCTCATCTTGTAGTTCCCATAATCCCCATGTGTTGTGGGAGGGACCTGGTGGGAGGTAATTGAATCATGGGGGCGATTACCCCCATGCTGTTCTCGTGATAGTGAGTTCTCACGAGATCTGATGATTTTATAAGGGGCTTTTTCACTTTTGCTCAGCACATCTCCTTCCTGCTGCCCTGTGAAGAAGGTGCCTTTCTTCCCCTTTGCCTTCTGCCATGATGGTAAGCTTCCTGAGGCCTTTCCAGCCATGCATAACTTGAGTCAATTAAACCTCTTTTCTTTATAAATTACCCAGTCTTGGGTATTTCTTCATGGCAGTGTGAGAATGGACTAATACATTAGGTCTTTTGCTCATTTTAAAAATCAGATTTCTTGTATTTTCGCTATTGATTTGTTAGAGTTCCCTACAATTTTGGTTATTAACCCCTTATAAGATGTATGGTTTGCAAATATTTTCCCCGTTCTTTAGGTTGTATCTTCTGTAAATCAAAAAGTATCTGAGACAGGTCTCAATCAATTTAGAGGTTTATTTTGCCAAGATTAAGGATCATGGCCCATGACACAGCTTCAGGGGGTCCTGAGAATATGTGCCCAAGATGGTAGGATTATAAGGTGATTTTATACATTTTGGGGAGACAGAAGTCATAGGCAAAGACATAAATCAATATAGGCAAGGTATACATTGGTTCTGCCCACAAAGGTGGGACATCTCAAAGCAGGGGATCTTCTAGGTCATAGGTACATTCAAAGGTTTTCCTGATTAGCAAATTGGTTGAAGGAGTTAATCTCTGCCTGAAGAGTTAAAGTCAACTTGACTTAAGGTAAGGAGGTGGTTGTGGAATCCAAGATTCTTGTGATATAGATGAAGGTTCCAGGTAGCAGGCTACAGAAAGAATAGGTGGTGAATGTTTCTTATTGGACCTTAAAAGGTGTCAGACTCTTAGTTAATTCTCTCCTGGAACAGGAAAAGACCTGGAAAGGGAAGGGCATTCTCTACAGAATGTAGATTTCCCCCACAAGAGATGGTTTTGCAGGGCCATTTCAAAATATGTCAAAGAAACATATTTTAGGATAGAATACTTTGATTTCCTTTAGGGCCTGTTATCTGTCATGTGATGTTATACCAGAGTAAGGTTGGAGTTAGTATCTTTTTTTTTTTTTAAGGTGTGCTCTTTTATTCAACTGGTCTCAAGTCAGTGTACAGGTAAGCCCTGGCTGCCTCCACACCTCCACCCACTCCCAGAAAGACCAAAAACCTTCATACACGTCAAGTTGAGGGGCAAAAAAGGGGGATCACAATGGCTGATCATTCAAAATAAAACAAAATTTAAAAAGTATTAAGGTGAAGATTAAACATTTTTTGCATTACATAATTTATATGAAAGCAATGCTATCACCTCCCCTGTGTGGAGAGGACTGGGGCATTCTCCTTAGAGAGAAGTGGGGTGGCTTTTGGGAGGGCAAGGGACTTCCTGTAACAATGCATCTCATGATATTTGGAATGACTATTTAAAAAAAGAACAATGTACAATCAAAGTCCTTGGCCACATTGTAGAACTTTGAGGGGTGCTCACTCCAACTGACTGCTGTCGCCTCCACCTTTCCAGTTTTCAAATCCTGAGTCAAGCTAAACAACAACAACAACAACAACAAATAATAATAATAATAATAATAATAGTAAGGCCACACCAATCTCATCTTGTTTTCTGGCAAGTTGGGTTTTTGTCAAGAATGGGTGTAATGCAACTAAGTAACAGTCCGCCTAGAAGCACTTGCTGTGGGTGATGAAGGGGCCGGCCTCTTGGTATTTTTGCTTGCTGATCCACATCTGCTGGGAGGTGGACAGGGAGGCCAGGATGGAGCCATCGAAACACACAGAGTATTTATGCACAGGAGGAGCAATGATCTTGATCTTTACTGTGCTGGAAGTCAGGACAGTGATCTCCTTCTGCATCCTGTCGGCAATGCCAGGGTACATGGTAGTGCCGCCAGACAGCACTGTATTGGCGTACAGGTCTTTGCAGATGTCCACATCACACTTCATGATGGAGGTGAAGGTAGTTTCGTGGATGCCATAGGATTCCATGCCCAGGAAGGAAGGCTGGAAGAGGTACTGGGGCAGTGGAACCACTGGTTGCTGATGGTGATGACCTGGCCGTTGAGCAGCTCCTAGCTCTTCTCCAGGGAGGAGCTAGAGGCTGCAGTGGCCATCTCCTGCTCGAAGTCCAGGGTGATGTAGCACAGCTTCTCCTTGATGTCAAGCATGATTTCCCGCTCAGCAGTGGTGGTGAAGCTGTAGCCGCCCTCCTTGAGGATCTTCATGAAGTAGTCAGTCAGGTCCTGGCCAGCCAGGTCCAGAGGCAAGATGGCATGGGGGAGGGTGTACCCCTCATAGATGGGCATAGTGTGGGTGATCCCATCGCTAGAGTCCATCACGATGCCAGTGGTACTGCCAGAGGCATACCAGCTTGGATGGTCAAGTACATGGCTGGGGCATTGAAAGTCTCAAACATGATCTGGGTCATCTTCTCATGGTTGGCCTTGGGGCTCAGGGGGGCCTCGGTCAGCAGCATGGGGTGCTCCTCGGGAGCCGCACATAGCTTGTTGTAAAAGTTATGGTGCCAGATCTCCATGTCATCCCATTTGGTGACAATGCTGTGCTCCATGGGGCATTTCAGGGTGGGGTCAGGATGCCTCTCTTGCTCTGGACCTCATCGCTCATGTAGGAGTCCTTCTGACCCATGCCCAGCATCACGCCCTGGTGCCACGGGCACCACATGATGGAGGGGAAGACAACTGGGGGGCATCATCGCCCATGAAGGCAGCCTTGCACATGCCAGAGCCTTTGTTGAAGACGAGAGCAGTGATATCATCATTCATGGTGATCTGGCAGTGGGTGTGGACTGGTGATGGAGTGGGGAGGGTGAGGCTCTGTGCCCGCCAGGAAGATGCAGTCTCCACAGTCTGGAGTTGTTATCTTATTGCTACAAAGAATTTCTTCTGTCACTCTTAGGATCTCTATTTTAATAGTAATGCTGAGTTGTGTCTAAACTCCAAAAGGAAGAGGGTATAATGAGGCATGTCTGACCCCAGTCTCCTTCCTGTCATGGCTTGAACTAGTTTTTGAGGTTTCTTTGGGATCCTCTTGGCTGAGAGGGAGATCCACTTACTCAGTTGGGGGGCTTAGAACTTTAATTTTAGTTTACACTTCAGTCTGTCAATTATTTCCTTTGCTGTGCAGAAACTTTTCCATTTGATGTAATCCCATTTGTCTATTTTTGCTTTTGTTACCTGTGCTTTGAGGTCATGTTAAAAAAAAAAAGAGAAAAAGAAAAAAAAGAAAATTCATTGCCCAGACAAATGTCTTAAAGCTTTTCTCCTGTTTTTGCTTCTAGAAGTTTCATAGTTTGGGGTCTAACATTTAAGTCGTTAACCGTTTTTGTGAGTGGTTTTTATACAGTGAGAGATAAAGGTCTAATTTCATTTTTCTGCATGTGTCTATCCAGTTTTCCCAACACTATTTGTTGAAGAGACTGTCCTTTCCCTATTGTATGTTCTTGGCACCTTCATTAAAAATCAGTTTGCTATAAACGTGTGGATTTATTTCTGGGTTCTCTTTTCTGTTCCATTGGTCTACGTGTCTGTCTTTATGCCAGTATCATGCTGTTTTGATTACTATAGCTCTGTAGCACATTTTGAAGTCAGATAGTGTGATGCCTCCAGCTTTGCATTGTTTTTCTGTGTTTTGTTTTTGTTTTTTTTGCTCCAAATTTCTTTGGCTATTCAAGGTCTTGGATGGTTCCATACAAACTTTAGTATTTTTTTCTATTTCTGTGAAGAATGTCATTGGTATTTTGATGGGAATTGTATTGAATCTGTAGATTGCTTTGGGTAGTATGGGCATTTTAACAATTTTAATTCTTACAATCCATGAACACAGGATACCTTTCCATCCTTTTTATATCTTCTTCAATTTTTTTTCAGCAATGTTTTCTAGTTTTCAGTGTAGAGATCTTTCATCTCCTTGGTTAAATTTATTCCTAAGTATTTTAATTTTTGTAAATATTATAAATGGAATTTTTATTTATTTTTCTGATAGTTTGCTATAAACGTATAAAAATGCTACTGAATTTTGCATGTTGATTTTCTATCCTACAACTTTATTAAATGTGTTTATTAGTTCTAACATTTTTTGATGGAATCTTCAGGGTTTTCAGTATTTAAGATTGTGTCATGTGCAAACAGGGACAATTTAACTTCCTCCTTTCCAATTTGGATGCCTTTTATTTGTTTATCTTAGCTAATTGCTCTGGCTAGGACATCCAGTACTATGTTGACTATAAGTGGTGAGAGTAGGCATCTTTGTGTTGTTCCAAATCTTGAAAAGCTTTCAACTTTTCCCACTTTTAGTGTATTAGCTGTGGATTTATAATATATAGCCTATATTGTGTTGAGGTACATTCCCTCTGTACTTAATTTGTTGAGGGTTTTTATCATAAAGAGATGTTGAATTTTGTCAAATGCTTTTTCTGCATCTATTGACATGATCATATGGTTTTTTCCTTCATTGTATTAATGTGATGTATCACCTTTACTGATTTACATATGTTGAACCATTCTTGCATCCCTGGGATAAATTTCATTTGCTCATGGTGGATAATCTTTTTAATATGCTGTTGAATTTAATATTTTATTAAAGATTTTCAAATATCTATTCATCAGGGATATTGGCCTGTAGTTTTCTTTTTTGGTTGTGTCCTCATCTGGTTTTAGTATTGTGGTAATGCTGGCCTTGTAAAATTAGTTTGGAGGTATCAGTTTGTTCTCACATTGCTATAAAGAAATACCTGAGACTGGGTAATTTATAAAGAAAAGAGATTTAATTGGCTCACAGTTCCACAGACTGTACAGGAAGCATTATGCTGGCATCTACTCAGCTTCTGGGGAGGCCTCAGGAAACTTACAATTATGGCAGAAGGCAGAGGGGAGCACACATATCACATGGCTGGAGTAGGAGCAAGAGAGAGAGGGGAAAGGTGCTACACACTTTTAAACAGCCAGAGCTCACAAGAACTCACTCACTATCACAAGAACAGCACCAAGTGGATGTAACAAACCATACATGAGAAATCTGCCTCTGTGATGTAGTCACCTCCCACCAAACACCAACTTCAACATTAGGGATTACAATTTGACATGAGATTTGGACAGAGACACAGATCCAAACCATATCACCCCTCTTCAATTTTTTGGAAGAGTTTGAGACTTCAAGTTACTGTTTCTTTAAACGTTTGGCAGGATTCAGCTGTGAAGTCATCATGTCCTGGGCTTCTCTTTGATCGGAAACTATTTGTTACTGAGTCAATCTCCTTATTCATAATTAGTCTATTTAGATTTTGTATTTCTTCATACTTCAATCTTGATAAGTTGTATGTGTCCGGGAATTTACCTGTTTTCTAGGTTATCCAATTTGTTGGCATATAATTCTTCATAATAATTTCTTATGATCTTTTGTTTCTATGGTATCAGTTGTAATGTCTCCTTTTGTGCCTCTAATCTTATTTGAGTCTTCTCTCTTTTTTTCTTAGTCTAGCTAAAGGTTTGTCAATTTTATCTTTTCTTTTCCTTTTTTTTTTTTTTTTTTTGAGACAAAGTGTCACTCCTGTAGCCCAGGCTGGAGTGCAATGGCACAATCTCAGCTCACTGCAACCTCCGCCTCCAGGGTTCAAGCAATTCTCCTCCTGTCTCAGCCTCCTGAGTAACTGGGATTACAGGCACCTGCCACCACGCCTGGCTAATTTTTGTATTTTTAGTAGAGACGTGGTTTCACCATGTTGGCAGGCTAGTCTCGAACTCCTGACCTCAGGTGATCCACCTGCCTTGGCCTCCCAAAGTGCTGGAATTACAGACGTGAGCCACTGCCCCCAGCCTTGTTTATCTTTTAAAAACAGCAACTCTTTGTTCCATTTATCTTTTCTATTGTTTTTCTAGTTTCTATTTCATTTATTCCTGCTCTGATCTTTATTATTTCCTTCCTTCTACTAATTTTGGGCTTAGTTTCTTCTTGTCTTTCCAGTTCCTTGAGGTTCAAGGTTAGGTTATTTATTTGAGATCTTTCTTCTTTCTTAATATAGGTGTTTATTGTTATAAACTTCTTTCTTAGAACTGCTTTTGCTGTATCCCATAAGTTTTGGTATGTTGTGTTTTCATTTTCATTTATCTCAAGAAAAGTTTTAATTTCCCTTTTAATTTCTTCATTGACCCATTGGTTGTTCAAAGCATCTCTTCCCAGGTGCTGCATTTTGTCAGCTGGACCTTAAGAAGCACTGTTTGTCCCCCCAAGTAATATATAGACCCTTGTGAGAAAACCTCCTTTAGTTTCTAATTAGAATCCCCCTCTGCTCATGGGCCTCGGACTTTGTCCCTGGCAACAAACTGGAGAGAAAACCATGTTTTCCTCCTGCATCACATGCTGATCTTGTCCCACCCATAGCTTGTCAGCCCTTGCCAACTGCCAACATCTGCATCTCTTTGCCTGAGATTTCTTCAGTAGCCTGTCTTCCCTGCTTATGGACAAGTTTCTTGCATACCAATGACCCACAAGTGTAGATGTAGATAACTCCGCTGCTTGTGTTCTACATTGGCTTCTAGAGTTCCCCAATATAATGGAGCTCTAATTAACCATGGTGGTAACTAGCTTGATAAAGCACCATTTATTGGCTCTCTTCTTACCTGTCTCACTCCTCCACTCTCTTGTCGGTATTTCTTAGGATTATCTCCCAAATAAACTATTTGCACTAAAATCTTTGTCTTAGGACCTACTCCTTGGAAAACCTACACTAAGTTGCCTTCTCATCTCTCAGTCTTTCTCTCCAGGAACAAAGAGCACAGGCCCACATCCCCCATGTAAAATCAACACATGCCAACAGATGCTTGAGGAACTACCAGTTCCTCAGTCATAATCAGGCTTTGAATGCAACTCAGCCCCTCTGCTACAAATATAAGTATCCTCCCATACACAGAGGTCCTCTTCCTCTATCCAGAATTTTGCCTGGGTTGGGTGTCCCGTCTATACACTTCTCAGGTTCCTGTAATTCCTCAATTGTCATAATGGCAATATTGTATTATATTAACATGTTTTATTAACCATTGATGGCATCACACTCTAAGATCTGTGAGGGCAAAGACCATGTCTGTCTTGTTTACCATTTATACTTATTATGTATGATAGTGTATGGTGCAGAGTCAATCCTCAATAAGCATATGTTAATTTCATGTAAATTTCCAGGGAATGATAAAAGCCTGACACCTCAGATAGCCTAAAATCATGGGAAAGGAGTAAAGTCATTAATAATACCACTTGTGGAATGTCAGCAATATACCTGGCCCTATGTTAAGTAATTTACAAGCATTATTGTATTGGTTACTCATATTAACCCTATGAGATAAGTTCCACTATTCTCATTTTAGAGTTGAGGAATCAGAAATGAAGTTCGCCCCTGCCAGAGATACACTTCTAAGTAGCAAAACTGGAATTAAACTCAGATCTTTCTGATTCCAAGAGTGAGCTTATTAAGCGCTAGACTGTGTTGAGAATCTCACAAGACTGTTCTGCTTTAAGCACCACCACAGGCAAAGCACTATTTATTGATAATAGCGATAGTGTAATGACCATTAAAATGAGTACAGTGGGCTGAATGGTGGTCCTCAGATGATATGTCCATGTCCTAATTTTCAGAATCTGTGAATGTTATCTTATTTGAAAAAGGGATTTTTGCAGATATAATTAAATTAAGGATCTTGAGATGTGAAGCTCATCCTTGATTATCTGAGTAGGCTCTAAATCCAATGACAAGTAGCCTTATAAGCAACACAAAGAGGAGGAAGACAGAAAAGACGGCATTGTGACCACAGAACCGGAGATTGGAATGATGCAGCCACAAACCAAGGAATGCCTGGAGCCACCAGAAGCTGGAAGAGGCAAGGAACAGATTCTCCACTAGAGACTTCTGAGAGAGTGTGGACCTGACAAGAACTTGATGTCAGACTTCTGGCCTCCAGAACTGTGAGACAATAAATTTATGTTGCTTTAAGCCACCAAGTATGTGGTAATTTATCCACTTAAGTCCAATACCTTATGCCTGGGTTATGTGGCATTCTACTGACTCTGGCCAGACCAGATATTTCTCTGGCCAGCCCACAGCATAATTGTGTGGCAAGCTGGAATGCTAGGCTGTCAATGGAAATCTCTGAATGTCTACAATATGTCTCTCTCTAGTGCAGGAGATCACAGGGTCATGAAACTTAAGAGATGATAGGGATCTTGAAGAGCATGTGGTTTGACCTCTCCCCTAGGCAGGAATTCTGTTTTCCAGAGTTACTAGTAGTTGGCCAATCAGCCTCTTTTTGAACACTTCCCCAATGAGTAGTGTACCCCTCTCATACCATATCCCTCTTCATTTATGGACAACTTTCACTGGAGAGTTCTTGATATCGCTGAGCCCTAATTTTCCCATTACATTTTCCATCCAGTTACCAAAATTCTATCTTGAAGACCCATAAAAGTAAGTCCTAATTCTTCTTTCATATTAACAATTTCTCAAGTTATTGAAAATACCTGTTATGTTCCTCAACTATCTAGCAACTAGCCCCGTTCCACTTACCATTACTCAGGTGAAGTCATTTTTAAACCTCTCATCATATAATATTCTTCTCATTTATTCATACAATTTAAAATATGGCACTGAAGGCTGGGCATGGTGGCTCATGCCTGTAATCCCAGAACTTTGGGAAGCCAAGTCAGGAGGATTACTTGAGCCCAGGAGTTTCAGACTAGCCTGGGAAATATAGTGAGACCTTGCCTCTACAAAAAATTTTAAAAATTAGCCAGGCATAGTGGCATGCATCTGTAGTCCCTGCTATTTGGGAGGCTAAGGTGGGAGGATCGCTTGAACCCAGGAGGTTGAGGCTGCAGTGAGCTATGATCACATTACTGCACTCCAGCCTGGGCAACAGAGCAAGATCCTGTCTCAAAAACATATATGTAGAGAGCATTGAGAACAGAACACAATCTACACATAACTCAAGCAGGGGAGAGTGGGACCATTACCTTCCTTATTTTAGGTTTAATTCGTGCATCCTAAGACTGCATTCACATTACAGATAATGGTGTCATATGATTGACTCATTCCCACCTTCCTGGCAGCTGAAATCTAAGAGTTTTACAGAATTTCTGTTAAACCTAATTGATTTTGGAATCTATAGGAAGTGTTTTTTTATTCACTTCTGGAATTGCCTCTTGTTTGTTTCAGCTAATTTTTCCAGGCTGTCACAATACTTTTAATGCTAATTTATCATCTGGTATATTAGCTTGCTTTGGCTGACTCTCATTCCCATGCTCCTCATACCTGGAACCTAACACTCTGTCTCCAGGCTCTGGTTTAAACCCTTCCTTGCTGGACTCTTAGAACATGCTCACACACTCCTATTATAAGCCATTTCTCCTTACCTTTGACTCTTCTCAAATCATAACAACCAATTTCTGGGCCAGGGCTCCAATCTCTAAAATATCTTCCTGCTCTGATCTTCTTTCATTCTATTATGTCAGAAACTCACAAGTACTCAAACCTATTGAAACATAATAGGATGCATGTAAGTGCAAGGGGCAGCTAGCACCTTATGAGACCCAGAAAGACAACCGACATTTGATAAATGGCATCAAAGAAGTATGCTGGGTGTGACCCTGGGAAATTACAGCAACTTTAAGAAGGTTCACAGCAAGGCTTTGGCAACCTTTTTGGATTCTATTCTCTGAGCTGCAGGTATGAACTTGAAGAACCTAAAAGCAGCTCTCATAGGCCTAGTGGACTAGTTCCAAAGTGATAGGGGCATCATCATCTGACATTATCAAAACTGACTCAGCAAGAAGGGTCCAGAGTTCAGTAAGGTTGATGGGCATAACAAATAGTATCTTGTCAACACTTTGCAGTTGCTCTTTTTTAAACTAAAAAGCATGTTGATAAGAGAGGTGAATGGGAGTGGCAGGGAGATATCACATGCTTGGAAGAAAAGAAATCCTGTTTCATGCCACCATTTCTGATTATTTTTCTCCATTTCATTTCTGAAAAAAAAGTGTGAAAGGAATACTTCGTGGTGGTGAAGAGATAATGTAAGAAAAATAGAGGAAAAAAACTACTATTTAAAAGCTGCTGTATTGTTATTTTCCAGATTTTTACGTTACTTATGCTATTGAGATGCTGTCCATTTTAAAAGTATTTATGACAGATGATGGAATTGAACAGCTAAAAATAATAAAATTTAAGCAAGTCCCATCAACTCACACAATGATACTTTATACCTACATAGCACTTTACTGTTCTCAAAGCACTTTTTCATGCATTAAAACCTCACAACAACCTCATGGGATTACCATTATTATCACTGCTTCAAGATGATATTTAGTAAAGTGAAGAGATTCACCCAAGTTCATAAAAGTAGTGTGCAGAGACAAAACTTGGACTTGAACCAATATATTCCAAGCAGTATTCTTTACACCATGACACAGTTATCTTGAAAGAAAAAGAATGAATCGTTACTAGCATAGCTCCCTTAAAAAACTGCAATTATCTTTAGATTTCATAGCAAAGGCGTAGAGATTCTCTTCAGTTATACATATATGAAAATAAAACAATTCTTCTCCAAGTCTTCCATCCCAATTAGTCTCTCTCAGTCCACAAAGATGTCTCTAACTACTTTAATTTAACAATTCAACTTAACAAATATTTAGTGAATGCCGGCAATGAATAGGTGCTATGCTAGCACAGCAGAAATTCAGTTATCTTGGCTTTTAGAAATCTTACCAACTAGTAGAGAACACAGTTGTCTTAGATATCTATTGCAGCAAAACAGACTATCCCAAGATTTCGTGGTTTGAAAACAACCACTTATTGTTGCTCACGATTCCATAGGTTGGCTAGAATGCGCTGGACAGTGCTTCTTCTTCACTGCCATTCAGTGGTCCCAACACCAACATCAGGTTCAATGAGAAGGACTCACAGAACTCAGAAAGGCTGTTATATTCATGGTTAAAATTTATTACAGTGAAAGGATAGAGCAAAGTGCAGGAAAGACCAGGCATGAGCTTCTAGTTTTTCCTTCCCAGTGGAGTTTAGAATAAGGACAGCACTTAGTTTCTCCCAGAAATGATGTGTAGCAATATGCACGGAATTTTGCCAACCAGAGAAGCTAACTTGAGCTTTTCTGTCCAGAGTTTTTACTGGGGTTTGGTAATGTAGGCGTGGCTCCTACACAGCTGACCCTATTCTACAGCTCCTCCAAACTCAAGCTGATATACTACACAGCCCAAGGCCCCACCACAAATGACATTATTTGCAAAAAAAATCGAGTGTGGCCTGTAACACCCAGGTTAAATAATAAATAAAAACACTCTTTTCAATCAGGACCAAACTTTCTTTTGGCAAGGTTAATTCTTTGCTACATATCCACATAGTGTCTGCTGGGACTACAGACATTTGGAGACTTGATTAGACTGAAACATCCAAAATGGCTCACTCAGATGGTGACAGTTAGTGTTGGCTATTGGCTGGGAGCTCAGCTGGGGTTGTCAACTAGAACATCTTATACATGGCCTCTTCACATAACTTGGCTATCTCATAACATAGCAAGTGGATTATAAGAGGAAGCCTTCTAAGCATACAAAAAGAGAAGTTGCAGATCTCCTAAGGCCCATCCTTGGAATTTCCAGTGTCACTTATTCTGTATTCCACTGATCAAAACAAGTCACAGACTAGGCCAGATCAAGAGGAGGGGAAATAGTCTCCATCTCTTGGTAGGAGAAGTAAAACATAATTTACAGCCATATTTAATGCATGAAACAGCAGATACATATCTTTCTCAAGGGACAAAGTTCCCCAAACTACAGTGACACTGCCCTAAAGACTCACTGTGAATGCTTGTTGGAACAGCACAGCTGGAGAGAAGTCTGAATCCTACTCTGGGATTTCAGAACTGCAAACGAGTTGGAGCCAAGGACAGACCACATTGGTAGGCCATATAAGAGTGTATAAGAGGCATACACTCTGGGCCGGGCGTAGTGGCTCACGCCTGTAATCCCAGCACTTTGGGAGGCCAAGGTGGGTGGATCACGAGGTCAAGAGATCGAGACTATCCTGGCCAACATGGTGAAACACCGTCTCTACTAAAAATACAAAAATTAGCCAGGCGTGGTGGTGCACACCTGTAGTCCCAGCTACTTGGGAGGCTGAGGCAGGAGGATTGGTTTAACCTGGGAGGTGGAGGTTGCAGTGAGCCGAGATTACACCACTGCATCCCAGCCTGACGACAGAGCAAGACTCCGTCTAAAAAAAAAAAAAAAAAAAGACATACACTCTGTGTGACAAGCTGGAGGAGAGATTGTGAGTGCTTTGTAGTCTGCAGCTGCTGACTACAGTCAACGGAAGACAAATACATATATACATACATACGAATACATACATACTAAACAACCACATAAAAGCTGTCACTTTACCAATGTCCCTGATGACCCCAAGAAAGCTACTGTCTCTGTGCCCCTTTCCAGGACATAAACCAGTTGCTACAAACTTTACACATTTAAGGGTCTTACTTTTGCAAATCTGTACCACTGAACTGGCTTCACTAGTCCTAAATTTAGTTTTGGCCACATGAGGAAGGCCTTGAAAACCAACTGTACGTGTGACAGCTCCATGAGACAGGCATTTTCTGGACTCCTTTCAACCCTAAAAGAATTTGATAAAACAACAAAATGGTTCACCAAAATGACCAAGCAACCACAAGTTCAAGACACCATTTCCAGTTTGAGTTTAAGAGAAGATTTTTTTATGGCTTTAGTTAGTGATGCCCTACCTCATTAAAAAAGAGATCAAATTTTCAAAATAAATGAAGAGGATTTCTTAAACATCCTAACAATAGCGTGTTAAACATTGATATAACTGAAAGAAGAAACAGATAAATCCACAATTATAGTTGAAGTCTTCAACAATCCTCTCTCAATAACTGATAAAACAGGCAGACAAAATCAGTAAGTATATACATTATTTGAACAGCACTATCAAATAACTTAACCAAATAGACGTTTACAGAACACTCCATCCAACAAGAGCAGAATACACATTTTTCTTAAGTGCACAGGGAATATTCACTAAAATAGGCCACATTCTGAGACATACAACAAATCTTAATAAATTAAAAAGAATAGAAATTATACAAATAACATTTTTAGACCAACCATAACAAAATTAAGCTAGAAATCAATAACAGAAAACTATCTGGAAAATCACCAAATATTAATAAATTAAATAATACCCTTCTATGTAATCCATGGGTCAAAAGAAGAAGTCTAAAGGGAAATATTAAAATACTTTAAGCTGAAATAAAAATAAAAACACAACATATAAAGATTTGTGGTGCTACAACAGGGATGAATCTTAAAAATATTGTACTAAGTAAAATATGCCAGCATGAAAGGACAAATATTATATAATTCCACTTGTGTGAGGTACCTGGTATAGGCAAATTTACAGATACAGAAATTAGAACAGAGGTCAGCACATCTAAGGGTAGGAAGAAATGAGGAGTTTAATGGGGATAAGTTTCTGTCTGGGATGATGAAAAAGTTCTGGAAATGAGTGGTAATGGCTGTACAACATTGTGAATGTACTTAATGCCACTAAATTGCACACTTAAAAGTGGATAAAATGGTAAATTTTATGTTATGTACATTGTACCACAATTTTAAATGTATTAAAAAATTAGTGGGACCCTGATAAAATAGTCCTTAGAGGGAAATTTATAGCATAACATCAAATACAAATATTAGAAATGAAGAAATATCTAAAATCAATAGCCTAAGCTTATAATTTAGGAAACTAGGAAAAGAAGAGTAAATTAAATAAAGCAACCTGAAGGAAAGAAGTAATTAAAAAATAGAGAAAATCAATAAAGTTAAACCTGGCTCTTTTGAAAAGATGAATAAAATTGGTAAATCTTTAGACAGCCTAACCAAGAAAGTAAAAAAGAAAAGACACAAATTATCAATATCAGGAATAAGAGAGGGAGTTCACAGCCAATCACACAAACATTAAAAGCTTAATAAGGGAATACTATGAACATCACTATGACCATAAATTCAATAACTTAGATAAATTGGGTCATTTTCTTGAAAAACACAAACTACCAAATATCACTCAAGTTGAAAGAGATAACCTGAATAGCTCAATATCTATTGAAAAAAATGCAATTGATAGTTTAAAACCTTCCCAGAAAAAGAACTACTGGCCCACGTGGTTTCACTGATGAACTCTACCAAGCAGTCAAGAGAGAAACAATATCAATACTACATAATCTCTCACGGAAAATAGAAGGAAGAAACACTTCCCAACTCATTCAATGAGGTTAGCATTATCCTAATAACAAAGCCAGACAATGATATTACAAGAAAAAAGACCACTACAGATGACTATGTCTCATGATTATAGATGCAAAATTTTTAAACAAAATATTAGCAATTTAAGTGCAACCGTGAAGATAAAAAGGACTATATATCGAGACAAGGTGTGGTTTATCTCGGGAATACAAAGCTGCTCCAACATTCAAAAATCTATATTAACATTTTTGAAAACATATTAAGAGACTAAATAAGAAAAACCATATGATTACATCAACAGATGCAGAAAAGGCTTTCAACAAAATTTAACATCCATTTATGATTTTAAAAAATTTCAACAAACTAGGCATACATGGCAACATTCTTAACCAAATAAAGGTTATCTGCAAAAACCCATAACTAACATCATAATTTGTCACAGCCTGATGGCTTCTTGTTGCTCACTGCCCTGAAAAAAAATCAATGAGAACAGCAGGTGTTGCAGCTAAGAAAGAGTTTAATCACAGGGCTGGCCAAGCAAAGAGAACAGGGAGAAATTTTTCAAATCTGTCTTTCTGAGAATTCAGAGGGCAGGATTTTTTTAAGGGTACTTTGGCAGGCAGGGGGCTGAGGAACTGGAACAATTGATTAGCTGGGGATGAAATCACAAGGGGCATCTAAAACTGGCTTCGTGCAGCTGAGTCAGTTCCCAGGAGGCGGGTGCTTCTCAAAATCTGATTGGCATCTCTCGGTGTACCAAAATGCTAAATCTGAAAAATATCTCAAAGACCAGTTCTTTAGGTTTCACAATAGTGATGTCATCTATAGGAGTAGTTAGTGAAGTTAGAAATCTTGTGACCCCTAGTAACGTGACTCTGGGGCAGTAAGCAACTTATAGGAAAACATGCTAAGCAATGGAAGGTGATTGTTTAACTCTGCCCATTCTTTAGCAAAGTTCAAGCCCCTACCATAATTTTAAACTTGCCTTATGAATGTGGCATCAATCTTTAAATAAGGAGGGGGTCAGTTTCCTTTGTCTCAAAGTTTAACTGTAAACTAAATTCCTCTCATAGTTATCTTGGCCTCTGTGCTAGTATAAGAAAAAAAAATTAGCTTGTGACATTAGAAACAAGATGGAGTGGAGTCAGTCATGTTAGATTTCTCTCATTACTTATAATTCTGCAAAGGTGGTTTTAAGAATTAATGGTGAGAGACTGAATGCTTTCCCCCAAGATCAGGAACAAGACAAGGGTGTCTTCTCTCACCACTCCTATTGAAAATTGTATTGGAATTACTAGTTAATGCAATAAGGCAAGGGTAAGAAATAAAAGGCATACAGACTAGGAAAGAAGAAATAAAATTGTCTTTAGTCCCAGATGACATGATTATATGTGTTAAAAATCCGCAAAAATCTACAAAAACAACTATCATAAAAATGCTTCGATAAGCAATTATGAATATTCTTGAAAGAAATTAAAAAATAGAAAATCTCAGCAAATAAATATAAAATATAAAGAAAAAACTAAAGGAAATTTTAGAACTGAAAAATATATTGACCAAAATTAAAAACTCATTGGAAGGGCTCAATAGTAAAATAGAAGTGACAGAGGAAATTATCAGTGAATGTTAATATAGATCAAAACAAAGAATCCAATCTGAACAACAGAGAGAAAATAGATTGGACAGAGAAAGAGAGAGAGAGACCTGTGGGAAAATAACAAAAGATCTAACACTCACATCATCAGAATTCCAAAAGAAGAAAAGAAACTGTGGGGTTGAAAAAATATTCAGAGAAATAATGGCTAAATTTTTCCCAAATTTGCTTTTAAAAATACCCATAAACCTACAGATTCAAAAAGCTGAACAAAACCCAAATAGTATAAACTCATATTCATACCCAAATATATTTAAATCAAATTTCTAAAAACTAAAGACAGAAAACGTCTGCTTTAAATTGTGCTTTAAATTGGAAACTCAGAGATATCTGCTTAACTACTTCCTTCTGAAAAATGGAAGGCAGTAACTAGAAACAAGGATGGAAGATCTGTGTTCATTCTTATTTGGTACAAAATAGGATAATGATTCATGTTTTTCTTCAATATCAAAACAGCATTTAAACCAAATGTATTTATTTATTTATATCCAGCCTTACTCAAAGAAATGAGACCAGTCACAAAAACAAATATACTTAAATATTTAACCCAGCTATTTGGTTTTATTAAATCTGGAAAGATCTCAAACATTATTTAGCTTGCATGGTTGGCAGAATAGTGCCCCCCTCCCCCCCGCCCAAAGACATTGGCTTCCTAATCCCCACAATCTACAAATACATTATGTTATATGGCAAAGGGACTTAAGGTTGCTAATCAACCTTAATAGGGTTGATTATCATAGCTTATCTGGGTGAGCCCAGTGTAATCACAAGAGTCCTTAAAAATGGATGAGGGAAGCAGAACAAGAGGTCAGAGTGATGCGAATAGAGAAGGATTGAACCTGCTGCTCTTGGCTTTGAGGCTGGAGGAAGGGGACCATGAGCCAAAGAATGTGGGTGGCCCCTAGAAGCTGAAAAAAGCAAGAAAATTAATTCTCCCCAGAGCCTCCGGAAAGAATGCAGCCCTACTAACACCTTGATCTTAGTTCACTGAGACCACATTGGACTTCTGACCTCCAGACCTATAAGATAATAAATTTGCATTGCTTTAAGCCACTAAGTTTTTGGTAATTTGTTACAGCCACCATAGAAAATTAATACAACTAAGGAAATGTTTCTCCAAGCTCACATTTGAAGTTAATAGAAATTTAAATCAGCCTTACAAATAATTGTTTTCCCTTTATGATCAAATATTATTGGTATCTTACTTCGTTTTCTTGCGACAACATGGATACACATTCATTTGCAAACATAATTTGGACCCATTTTTTTTTCCCCACAGCTTAAACTTTTAGGAAGGCAAAACCTTTAGGAAGCATTCTTCTACAATTAGCCAACATCAGATTTGAATGGCATTCTTAAAGACCATCTAATTTTATAAACAGAAATTTAAATTGTAGAAAACATTAAGAAAATAAAATTGTTATAGATGAATATCATATTGCTGTTGGGAATACCGTTAGACATTCTGAATTAGAATACTGATGGAAATTGCATGACTTTTTGTTTGATTGACTAATGCTAGATTTTACCTCTGGAAAACATTTCCAAAAACATTTGCAAATAAAAAGAGCAAAGGCATTAGCTGTTTACTAAATGGGCCTTTAGTCTGGTTTAGAGCTTAATGCCCTCCCACCCAACACAGCTGCAGACACACACACACAGAATTTTTTCCTACAGAAAAAGGCATAAATTTCTGAAGAGTTAAAATACATTTGGAGATACTACAGATACTCAAGAATCTGCTGTGATGGAAGTAAAATGGGAATTTGTGTAACTCAAAATAGCTGATATATCTATAATCCTTAATATTTGTTTGTGAAATATGCTATATACAATACTACATATAAAGTGTTCTTACCAAAAAAAAAAAAAAAACCCTCAAACCCAAATCTAATCAAGCCTCTAGTTCAAATAACATTTTACAGGAAGTACACAGGACAAGAGAACATATTAAATGACAAATCAGTTGCAAGAAGAGAGAGAGATTATAGATTTAAAGAGATCTAAAAGCCTATTAACCGAATTACAGTGTATGGACCTTATCTGGACCCTGATCCAAAAAAACAAATAATTTACGCTATGTATGAGAAAATTTTTAATTTGAACACTTAATGGATACTTGATGATGTTAAAGAATTTTTGTTACCTTTTTCTAAGTGTGATAATAGTATTGTGGCTGTATATTTTCTGAAATTCTTACCTTTTAGAGATACATGCTGAAATATTGGTAGATAAAATAATATGACATCTGAGATTTGCTTCCAAAAAATATGGGAGGTAAAAATAGAGATGGGGACATAAATGAAACAAGATTGCCCATGAGTTGAAAGTTGTTGAAGCTGGGTAATGAGTCAGTGGGTTTTCATTATACTATTCTGTCTACGTTTTTCTATGTTTGAAATTCTGTTTGAAATAATAAAGAGGTTTTTTTAAATAAATGCTTTTAAAATTCTATATGATGTTTTACACATACAATTTTCATTCCTTATCACCATTCACTGGGGAAACATTGAAATAGAATCACTTTTCGCTAAAGTAGACAGTTGCTGTAAGTGCTGAGCGGTATAGGGCACAGAAGTGTGTTGGGAAAAGGCAAACTTTTTTCATTTTTGGTTTGCTTTGCATGTTTAATGAGAATAAAAATTCCACTTTGGGGGTAAACCATACCCAGCTTTTTTCACTCCCCTCCTAAAGGATGCTTAATATTTTCAGTTGTGCTTTGTATTTGGTAATTTAATCTCAGCAACAGATGGGGTTACCCACTACTGAGGAGTAAGAAAGAGTATTCTACTATGCAGCTGTAAAAAAGGATGAACTCATGTCCTTTGCAGGAACATGGATGAAGCTGGAAACCATTATTCTCAGCAAACTAACACAAGAGCAGAAAACCAAACACCACATGTTTTCTCTTGTAAGTGGGGGTTGAACAATGAAAACACATGGACACAGGGAGGGGAACATCACATACCGGGGCCTGTTGGGGGATGGGGGGCTAGGGGAAGGATAGCATTAGGAGAAATACCTAATGTAGACGATGGGTTGATGGGTGCCACAAACCACCATGGCATGTGTATACCTATGTAACAAACCTGCACATATATCCCAGAACTTAAAGTATAATAAAAAAAAAGAAAGAGTATTCTTCTCCTCCTATACATTCTATTAAGTACTCCTGTACACTAAGTGTTACCAATACTCCTGTACACTGAGTGCTGCCAAACACCAGGGGCTGGTCTAGGTCCTGCTGTTTGCCACACAAAAAAACAATCACTGAGAGAATGATAGGGAAGAAGGCTTTAATCGGGTGCTACAGCCAAGGAGAACAGGAAATAAAGTCTCAAATTTCCAACCAACTAGAATTGGAGGTTTAAATAGCAAGAAAGGCAGGAAAACAGGAATTAGGGAGGGCTAAGGAAGCAGCCATGATGAATGAGGGGTCTGGCATCTCATTGTCTGGATGCAGTGATCTGGTGAGTTTCAGTTCCTTGCCTGAGGGTCGGTTTCCTGAGGAAGTCTATTAGTCCATTTTCACACTGATATAAAGATACTATCTGAGACTGGGTAATTTATAAAGGAAAGAGGTTTAATTGACTCACAGTTCCACATGGCTGGGAAGGTGGCATGAAACTTACAATTGGCAGAAGGCAAAGGGGAAGCAAGCACCTTCTTCATAATGTAGCAGGAGAGAGAGAGAGGGGAGAAATGCCAAATGCTTTTAAACCATCAGATCTCGTGAGAACTCCCTCATTATCACAAGAACAGCATGGGGGAATCTCCTCCCGTGATCCAATCACCTCCCACAAGGTCCCTCCCTCAGCATGCAGGGATTACAATTCGAGATGAGACTTGGGTGGGGACACAGAGCCAACCCATATCAGGAAGGAACTCAGATGAGAGAGATGTAAGTTCCAAGTTTTAAGACTGGGAAGGTCAACTTCTATGTTTATTCAAAAAACTTGTAAATGTCAGTTATATGGGACAATTGAACCGGTTTTGTGAGTACACTCCTGTCCTTTCTATTGAGTACTCTTGTACACTGCTGAGGGATAGGAGTACTCTCCTGGAGTTTGGGTAGGGATAGGATGGCAGGACTGTGAAAATGCTTCAGGTAAAACAACCTGAATGAAAATCCATAGCAAGAAGTTGGCAGAAAATTATTATTCACTGTTGAACACCAAATCCCAGGGCGGACCCATTTTGCTTGGTAGCTCCTCACTCTTTTCCACTTCATCCCATTTTTCCCTACTTCCTTGGGGCTAGGACTTCAAGGTCTGACGAGCAAAAGGAAGGGACTAGGCATATTAAGAGTGCAGGGAAAGTGAGCCTTTCAGGGGAAATATGCCTAACTCTAATAATAAGAGAAGGAAGATGAGAGAAAAAGTTACTCCTGCCTGGCTGGGCGCGATGGCTCACGTCTGTAATCCCAGCACTTTGGGAGGCCGAGGTGGGTAGATCATAAAGTCAGCATTCGAGACCAGCCTGGCCAACATGATGAAACCCCGTCTCTACTAAAAATACAAAAATTAGCCAGGCGTGGTGGTGGGCACCTGTAATCCCAGCTACTCAGGAGGCTGAGGCAAGAGAATCACTTGAACCTAAGAGGCGGAGGTTGTACGGAGCCGAGATCGTGCCACTGCCCTCCACCCTGGGTGACACAGTGAGACTCTGTCTCAAAAAAAAGAAAAACAAGTGACTCCTGCCTAAAGCCCAACATCCAGGAGTAGACTGATGATGTCTGTACCACATGGGCAAAGGGGAGCAAACTGGAGCTGAAACACTAGGTCCCCTGGAAAAAGGAAACATTTGGGAACTGAGGGGCTGGATGAAGGGCATTTCCTGACATCTGCTAGTGAAATGGGAAAAATTCCCTTGTCCCCCTCACAGGGCATGTGATGGGGGTGTGGCTCGCTTCTTCAGTGCCTTGCGGCTCAAACCTCTAGGAGGAGTATGCAGACCGGCAGGTTGTGGGGCTCCGACTCCACAACAGCGTCTGGGGTGAATGTTTACAGCAGAAGCCCCAGTGGGTGTGTGCTGTAGGGTGCTCTTTCAGTTTAGCCGTCTGTAGGCAACTTGTGTTACACAGCTCAATTAGACCCCCTGCCTTATCGCAACGACAGAGGGCTTTCGGTATCCCAGGGTTTCTTGCCTTGGTGTACCGGAAGAATCAGATCACACTTGGGCTTGGAGAATGAGTGCAAGGTTTTATTGAATGGAAGTAGCTCTCAGAAGATGGGAGAGCCAGAAGGGAGATGGAATGGGAAGGTGTTTTTTTCCTGGAGTCGGACTGCTCAGCAGCTGGACTCTCCTCCGACTGCCCAGGCCAAACTCCACATCGTTCTGCAGGTTGATGGCCTGCCGGCGTGCCCCAGCGTGCCGTTGTCTGCTGGTGCTTGTCAGTGTGCTCTTCCGCCAGTGTGTTCCTCTTGACATCCAGCCACCTGTGAGTTCCTCCACCAATGTGTTCCTCTCGACGTCCAGCGGCTTGTGTCTCTGCCTGCGAGGGTCTCAGAGTTTTTATAGGTACAGGATGGGGGCATGATGGGCCAGGGTGGTCTTGGGAAATGCAGCATTTGAGCAGGAAACCAGAAATGCCTGTCCTCACCTAGGTCAGTTCGGCACAGGTCCGGGGGTGGAGCCCTAGCTAGGGACCATGCCCTTCCCGTACCAGCACTTCCCCATCCTCCCATATCACTAGCAAGGATTAGTTTTGTTTTTCTCTTCTTTTCTCTTCCCCTCCCCAACCCTGACTTTTTTTTTTCCAGATAAAGAAGGGGACAAGAAAGGAAATATAGTGAGCCCCAGAGGAAAAAAGCCAAGATATCTCCCCTCCCCTTAGCTCCCTCCATGGCTCACACTTTAAAGCCATAGTTTTCAAAATCACCTGCAGAACATGTCAAAACTCGCTAGGCCCCCATCCCCAGGGCTTCTGATCCTGTGGGGCTGGAGTGGAGCCCAATAATTTGCATTTCTAACAAGTCCCTAGCTGCTGCTCCTGCTGCTCTAAGCCAAGCTTTAAAGAACAGCTACTCTAAAAGGGAGCTGGTGAAAACCACACCAAAGGTCCCCAGCACCAGAACGCGAGGCTGGGAGGTCTTGAGCTTGGGTGAGTGAACCAGCACCAAGTGAAGTAAAGGAGAATTTGGCTGGATTTCAGCTTTCCTATATCATCACAAAATAAATGTTTTAAATTGGTGGATTGGATTTCTTTTTAGTTGAAGATGATAAACATTTCTTAAGCATCTGCTAAGTGTTAGTCCCTGTTCTAAGTTCTCTATCTTAATTCTTTTTTGTTTGTTTGTTTTGAGACAGAGTTTCACTCTTGTTGCCCAGGCTGGAGTGCAATGGTACAATCTGGGCTCACTCCAACCTCCGCCTCCCAGGTTCAAGCGATTCTCCTGCCTCAGCCTCCCAAGTAGCTGGGATTACAGATGTGCACCACCATGCCTGGCTAATTTTGTATTTTTAGTAGAGACAGGATTTCACCATGTTGGCCAGGCTGGTCTCGAACTCCTGACCTCAAGTGATCCACCCACCTCAGCCTCCCAAAGTGCTGGGATTACAGGCATGAGCCACCAAGCCTGGCCTAATCTAATCTTAATTCTTATAGCAACAACTTTGTAAGGAAGTATTATTACCAGTTTTACAGAAGAAGAAATAGTTTAATTAACTGAGAAGAAGAAATAGTTTAATTAACTGAGATTTTTTTTTTTTTTTTTTTTTTTTGAGACGGAGCCTCATTCTGTTGCCCAGGCTGGAGTGCAGTGACACGATCTCGGCTCACTGCAACCTCCACCTCCCGGGTTCAGGCGATTCTCCTGCCTCAGCCTCCCTAGTAGCTGGGACTACAGGCGCGTACCACCATGCCTGGCTAATTTTTGTATTTTTAGTAGAGATGGGGTTTCACCATATTGGCCAGGCCGGTCTTGAACTCCTGACCTTGTGATCTGCCTGCCTTGGCCTCCCAAAGTGCTGGGATTACAGGCGTGAGCCACCCCACCTGGCCAACTAATTGAGATATTAATTAAACTAATTTACTACATTTACTAACAACAAACTACTACAACAAATCTTACTATTACTAACCATGTGATAAGAATCCTTACAGAAGATAAGTAGAGAATATTGGGTTACCCAGTATAGGGAACTTTAATTTTTTTAACTTTAAGTTTAAACATTAAAGTTTAATTTTTCCCCTGAAGGCTTGACAATTTGAGTCTGTGAAACAAATTGATAATAGATTAACAAGGGGAAAGGCATACAAATTTTATTAATGTGCATATGGGCACAGGAGTCATACAAAATATAAAAACTCAGCCAGGTGTGATGGCTCATGCCTGTAATCCCAGTGCTTTGGGAGGCCAAAGTGGGAGCATTGCTGGAGCCCAGGAGTTAAACCAGCCTGGGCAACATAGCAAGACCCCCATCTCTACAAAAAAATTTAAAATTAGCTAGGTGTGGTGGCAGGCGCTTGTAGTCCCAGCTATTCTGGATGCTGAGGTGGGAGGATCGCTCAAGGCCAGGAGTTCGAGGCTTCACTGAGCTATGATCTCACCACTGCACTCCAGTCTGGGCAACACAGCGAGACCCTGTCTCAAAACAAACAAACAACAAAAAAACCCTCAAAGAAATGGCCAGATGGTTGACACTTTTATACCGTCTTGAGGTTACAGAAAGAACAGGGGCTTGGAAGGTGGGAAAACATGTTATGGTGGCAAGACAGGTTACAGGAGGGAGAGAAGAGGATAGGCTTGGCTAACAAAGGCGGTCTTTTTTTTCCAGCATCCATTAACTAAAGCTCAGAGCAAAGGCAGTCTTGATATGCAGATAAAACCTCAGAGGTAGCAACCCTCAGGAAGAATAGATGGGTGTCAGGCTCAGTTAATCTTTCCTGGACCCAAACAAGGGGGGCTTCAGAGAAAGCCTGTTTGCATCTGTTGTTTACCTCACTTTATTTCCTCTACAGATGTAAATCTCCCCAACAAAAGACAGCTTTGCAGGGCTACTTGTGTTCGCAGGTCCTCTGAACAGTCATCTCAAAGTACGTCAAAGAAGTATATTTTGGGGTGAAATATTTTTGTTTCCTTCACTAGCATAGTGAGCTATTTCCAGTGTGTTCTGTGGGGCTGGGTTCAAGTAAACTTTCTACAACAGAACCAAGTTTTCTACAACAGAACCAAGACCAGGATCACTGATGTGGCACCGGATGTCTTGCAGTTTGCATAACAAAGAGCCATAACCAGAGAAAGGTCAGTCTTCTGGGACATTGCAGAGAAGCTCTTGGGTACAGAGGCCGATGGCACCACTAACCAAGAATTGAATGCCTTCTCTGATTTCTATCTGGTGCAAATCTCATGAGGACACAAGGAAAAGAGGGTCTTTCCTTAGTAGCATGTTGTTTGCTGAAAAAGATACACAATCCAAAGAATTCCATCCATCAGTGGCCTTTAGCTAAATCAATCCCAATAAAATACCACGTGGCCTGTGCTGTGACAAACATGTGCATGAATTACAACTTTACCATGATCCTAAGGAGAAAAAGCAAAAGTCAGCCATTCAAACTGTGATCTTCATTTTCCTGGTTATTCATTGGCATGAATCAACTTAGAACTCAATCCTTAACAGATTAAAAGGTTACATTTGTTTCCCAACCAGCTAGTTTCTACATGCTCTATCAGAGCTGTTGAGTTTTTGTTCGGTTTGGTTTGGTTTGGTTTCGTTATTGCTTTGATTTAAGTCATGCAATAACCATGCTCAGCCTAAGAGAAGGATGTGAGGAAATGCAAACCTTTCTAGACTGGGAAAGCACTGCCATAAAGAACATGAGAGGGGGAAAAAAAGAAAGAAATCAAAGCCTAGCATTTGCCCAAGCGAAGGAAATACAGCAGGTTGAAAGTGCTCTTAGTGTGTGCATATGGGCAATGTTTTGTAACTCTGATGAAGACACGGTTGTTTTGCATTTTTCAGCCACAACAACCTGCTTTGACTTCATAGGGTTTTGTGAATCATTAGTGAAGCTGATGTTCCTCAGAGCCTGGCATATTTCCTCCCAACTCCAACCAGCATCTGCTTCTCAGGCTGAGGCTGGAGTCTAGGCATCTGCACACAGGCTGCAGTGCCCAACCTGGGAACAGTGCTGGGGGCTGCTTTCCTCCAGCTTCACTGCCTCTCTTCCAAGAAGTAATGCTGTCTCCAGTTCTTATTCACTGTGATGTTCCTCTGTTTCTCAAAAGAAACTCTCTAACTAGATTAGGTGGAACCATCAGCCATTTCACATGGTTCAACCTAATAAAATGAAACAATCTGACACCGGTTTTATAAAGGATGGGCTTTTGAGAGGAGACAGCTGGAAATAGGGGGGTAGATATTTAAATAAGAGGACTTTAGGGGATTTGGGGTTGGGAAGAAAGGCTTCACATCACTAATTACACTAGCCTAGAGCAATTTTGTCTTAAAGACAGAGGAAGTTTCCTGACTCAGCCATTTCACAGTTGCAGTTGCCCCTGTCCAAAAAGTAACTGCGACACCAAGGGTAAAATTCCTTTTAGTTTTTCTTTCTGTGGGTGGAGTGAGCAGCAGCAACCAACCGCTAGAAAAATTCTTGAGCTGTCACATGCATTTTGGTCTCTGGCTTCTAGGAAGAAATGCAGTGAAGGCCCTGATGCTGTGTGCCTGCTGAGCCTGGAAATCAGTCTATAAAATGGTCACAGCCACAAGGAAAGAGTTACATCTTCCTGAAGCCTCTTCCACATCATCCCGTGATAGTAGGACAAGTGTGGGGTTAAGGAGAATAGATAAAGGCAGCATAATGTCAGGGCTTTGACACCCAATCCACAATGATTAGACTGGTGTGAGTGTTCGCCCCTGCACTCCTCCACGTGTCTAGTTTAGGCCTGCCTGGCTGAGACTCAATTCTTCTAACTAACACTTTTTTCAAAAAGCTAGAAATTATAAAAGAAAACGCTCCAGGATAGTTCCAGGCTTCTAGCTTTAACATTTAAAAAGAAAGAAAGAAAAAACTGCAGTCTCAAAAATACATTGCTGCTCCACCACCAAGAAGTAAGTTTAAATAGCAGAAGATTCCACCCCGAGGATGCACATACCTCTTGCAAGAAGCCCGTTTGTGACCCGAGCAGCACACTTTCAGGAAGTTGCTCTAGCAATTCTGGGAGGGGGAAGAAGGGGAGAGGCTCAAGCCCTAACCCCATTACCACCCAAAGCCTCTGGATAAAATGACCAAGCCATGGACTGACATGTGAGAAATGGTGCTGCTTCATAGCCTTAGAGCCACAAAATCATTGTGTCCTCAATATCAGAGCAGGCCCAGCAAACCCCATAGTCTCCCCTGCATCCCCAGGCTTTTTTATATTGGAGACTTGAGTTAACTTGGCAACCTTTTCTGAGGTTGACTTTTTTCAAATTATTATCGTTATTATTATTATTATTTTTTTTTTTTTTAGTAGAGACGGGGTTTCACCGCGTTAGCCAGGATGGTCTCAATCTCCTGACCTTGTGATCCGCCCGCCTTGGCCTCCCAAAGTGCTGGGATTACAGGCATGAGCCACTGCACCCAGCCTATTATTGTTATTATTAAGAGACAGGGTCTCACTCTGCTGCCCAGGCTGGAGGCAGTGGCGCAATTATAGCTCACTGCAGCCTCCATTCAAGTGAGTTCAAGTGATCCTCCCACCTCAGCCACCCGAGTAGCTGGGACTACAAGCAGGCGTCACCACGTCTGGCTAATTTTTTAATCTTTGTAGAGACAGGGTCTCCACTTGTTGCACAGGATGGTCTCAAACTCCTGATTCAAGCGATCTTCCCACTTTGGCCTCTCAAAAGACTGGGAGTACAGGCCTGAGCCACTGTGCCCAGCCTTTTCAATTTATTATTCTCTTAGCAAACATAGTTTGGCAAATGTTTATTGAGAGGTTACTCACACTCTCTGAGCCTCAGTTTCCTCATCTGCAAAATGGAGATAATAATAATACACACCTCATAGGGTTGTTATAAAGATTAAGTGAGTTAATGAATATAAAGTGTTTAAAATAGTTCCTGGGCAATAGTTAGCACTTAATTTTAGATATTATTATTATTATACTTTAGTTATTACTATTGTAAATACAATAGTCCTCCTTTATCCACAGTTTTGCTTTCCATGGTTTCAGTTACCCATAGTCAACGTGGTCTGAAAATATTAAATGGAAAATCCCAAAAATAAACAATTCAGAAGTTTTAAGTTGGGTCCTATTCTGAGTAGTGTGATGAAATCTCATGCTGTTCCACTGGGTCCCACCTAGGACGTGAATCATCCCTTTGTCCAGCGGATCCACGCTGTCTATTCTACAGCCTGATAGTCACTTAGTAGCCATCTTAGTTATCAGATTGTTGTTGTATCACTGAGCTTGTGTTCAAGGAACACCTATTTTACTTAGTAATGGCCCTAAAACACAAGAGTAGTGATGCTGGCAATTCAAATATGCGCAAGAGAAGCCACAGAGTGCTTCCTTTAAGTGAAAAGGAAAGAATAAGACTGAATTATTGGGATTGTAACATATATTGACATGTTATATATGACAGTAGAAGCCACAAAAGTTAGCCAACTATACAATTAGAGGGAGCAGTCCACAGAAGACTGCTCTGACTTCTGACATCAACTGCAAGTTTGAGAGTTTGCTAAAACCACCCCAAGGTTTGAAATTCACTAGAAGGACTCACTAAAGCTGTTCTACTTATGGTTACTGTTTATTACAGGGGAAAGGATACAGATCAAAATCGGTCATGGGAAGAAGCAAATGGGACAGAATCCAGGAAAAGTTCCAAATGCAGAGCTTCTGTGGTCTTCTCCCTGTAGAGTCATGGACCATGTTACTTTCCCTTCACTAATGTATGACAACACACACAAACTATTACCAACGAGGGGAGCTCACCTGAGCCTTGGTGCCCAGAGTCCATCTTGGGACTCCATCACATAGGCACCATTGACTGTCCACATAGCTAACCTCAGTTTCCAGTACCTCAGGAGGTCTAGGTGATACTGCATGACCCAAAGCCCCCACCCTAAATCACATTGTTAAACTTTCTGGAATGGCCAGCCCCACCCTAAACAAAAAATAACCTCTCAAGCATGACATGCCAAGGGCTTAGAGATTACCTCCTAGAAGTCAAGGGCAAAGGCCAGACATCTCTTTGGGCAAGGTTAAATTCTTTGCTACACAATAATACAAAGGAAGAGGAAAGGAGCTCCCTTGTAGAAAAATTATATATTTACTGGAATTTAGTATAAATCTGAAGTGCATTCTAATACATTAAGATATGTATTCTAATCCCTAGACTAACCACTAAATTTTTTTAAAAACCCCTATGTAGCTTAAAAACCAGTAGAAGAATTAAGATGGTACATTAGAAAATATCCACTTACTACTAAAGAAGGCAGGAGAGAAAGAACAGAGGAATAAAAAACACATGAGACTTCCTGCTTCATGAGTGGGCTTTTGAACAGGAAGATAAGCACTCTTTCTTCCAACATTGGGCCTTTTTGAGTACGCATGAACATTTTTTTTTTTTTTGAGATGGAGTTTCACTCTTGTTGCCCAGGCTGGAGTGCAATGGCATGATCTTGGCTCACCACAACCTCCACCTCCCGGGTTCAAGTGATTCTCCTGCCTCAGCCTTCCGAGTAGCTGGGATTACAGGCATGCGCCACCACGCCCGGCTAATTTTGTATTTTTAGTAGAGACGGGGTTTCTCCATGTTGGTCAGGCTCGTCTCAAACTCCCAACCTCAGGTGATCTGCCCACCTCGGCCTCCCAAAGTGCTGGGATTACAGGTGTGAGCCACTGCGCCTGGCCGCATGAACATTCTTGAACACATGACAGGTTTATATTCCTTTGAGGTCTTTTGCCTGCTCTGATTGCCTTCTAACACCACTTACCCCAGAAATGTGTAGAGGCCCAGAGACCTTCCAGGTCCCCTGCCAGTCCAATCCTTGGCCTAAGCCTTCATAATTGGAAGATAAATTACATGCTCAGTATTCTCACTCATAGGTGGGAATTGAACAATGAGAACACATGGATACAGGAAGGAGATCATCACACTCTGGGGACTGTTATGGGGTGGGGGGAGGGGGGAGGGATAGCATTGGGAGATATACCTAATGCTAGAAGACGAGTTAGTGGGTGCAGCGCACCAGAATGGCACATGTATACATACGTAACTAACCTGCACATTGTGCACATGTACCCTAAAACTTAAAGTATAATGATAATAAAAAAAAAATTACATGCTCAGTTCTTAGCCAGTGGATCTCAGCATATTCTGTAGAAGTGCCCCCATGAGTTATTAATTGAAGCCCAAGCAAAGAAAATAATACATTAAAAAATTGTCTGCTATGTAGGCTGGCTACCATGGTAACCACCAATTTCTTCCAGATCTGAGCAATTTTAAATGCAAAGTGGGTTGAAAAAATCCATTTGTATTTACGGGACTCAAAGCTTCATGAAGGGTCACATGTGGTAGGTGCTACAGATTAACCACACAGCTAACACCGATGTCTCCATTTGTGAAACACCTTGCTCAATTGACTCCATCGTTCTTGGTATATCAGGCAGCCCTTGGTTCTCCCTCTTTCTGTAGACAATGGAGGCTATTTCTCCACAAAAGCCTTTGTTCACATTCCAGGGCTCTGCCCCGTGCCAGAATCCACTGTGTAGGCTCTGGCATGGGGTTTGATGTCATCAACAAGTTGATGAACCTCATGAAAATGCTCCCTTATCAGGCTAGTATCCTGACACACCTTGGGAAGGGAAGGGGTACAAGAACATGTCCTTTCAAATGTATTTGTATTTTTCTAAAGTACTTGTTATAAATGCACCAAAATGTCAGTGGATATAGCTGTCATAAAATATTCTTAAGACTCAGAGTAATAAATCATGGATATGTAGAAACAGAAGAAGTGCCTGTATAGTGTCTTCAAATAATCAAGGCCAAAATCACATGTTTCCTTAAATACCACACACTCGATGGTTGTATATCATAGGTACCAAGTTTTACTTAATTATTGGAATGGTACAAAGATTCTGGAGTCAGACTACCTAGTTCAGTCTACAGCTCTTCTGCAACTGCTTATGTGACCTTGGACAAGCTTCTTGGCTTTTTAGCTTTTTTTTTTTTTTTTTTTGGAAACAGGGTCTTGCTCTGTCACCCAGGCTGGAGTGCAGTGGCTCAATCACAGCTCACTGCAGCCTCAAATTCCCAGGCTCATGTTATCCTATCAACTCAGCCTCCTGAATAGCTTGGAACTACAGGCATATGGAACCATACTCGGCTAATTTTTTAAACATTTTTTTGTAGAAACACGGTCTCACTATGTTGTCCAGGTTGGCCTCAGACTACTGGGCTCTAGCCATCCTCCTGCCTCAGCCTCCCAAACTGCTGGGATTACAGGCATAAACCACTGCACCTGGCCCTTTTTCAGCTTTAGTCTCCTCATCTGCACTTACTTCATAGGGTTGTGAGGATTAAGCAGGGTTAAGCGCACAGCACCTGGCATATAGAGTAAGATGCAGTACAATGTATCTTGGTAAATAAATATAAAGCCAGAGGGCTGTGAGAGCAAAGAGGAGTCTCAGACACTTCTGAAAGGTTTCCTACAAGATTTGCTGGAATCTCCATGGTGGGGGGAAAAGAGAAACCTGGGACCAGAAGGACCAATAAAAGAAAGGTAGAGAGACAGCTAGGAAAAGCATTATGGAAGCACTTCCTCACTAGACGGTGAGCATGAGGAAGGTGGTGAGCATGAGGAAGGTGGTAAGCAGGCGTGATTTACATCTGTATCTCCTGAGCCCATCTGAGTGCCTAAGTATAGTGAAATTAAGTAGAAATCTATTGAACTAAAAGGATCTGGAAGCCTCCCAGAACTGGAATCAATGCAAAGGAAAACAGAACAATTCTCTTCCTGATCACCAGGCTGAGGCTGGGAACAGTTAGTCACAATCACAGGTATTGTTAGGGTCATTTATGAGGTGAGTCATAAGTAATTTGTTAACAATAACAAAGCGTGGAAGTGTCCCAATGATGTGCTCCTTCACAGATTAGAGCAGATTCAAGGTTATCACTATAGCAATGATGTAGCCCAATATGCTTTGTTGAGTGAGTTTGCTCCTGAGAGTGTGTTGCACACATTTGCATACTGATTGCAATGTAGATCAAGGCAAACAAGAAAAAATAAAAACAAATGAAAGTCAACTGATTCAGGCTAGAGAAGTATTGGACCTCTTCTGATTTTCACTGTGAGCGAGAAGTCAGTTCGCTGGCTCCATCTTTCCTCCCATGACCCACAGTAGGAACAGATCGGGGGAGGAGGGCAATGCTGCCTTTATTTATAGGAAGCAGCAGAGAAATCCTTTTTAAATGATTTATTTTAATAATGTAAAAAGTGAAACCATATAATTTGTATTTTCTTAGCACTTTGTGGATTATAAATATTCTCACATGCCTTATCACTTAGATGATCAGTTTGGCTTATGTGAAAGACCTGCAGTTGAAGGCTGACTTAGCAAGGATGTCATCTAAATGGGATCTGAGGGTTGGAGTCTTTATCCATGGAATACAAACCAGCCTGTGTTAGGAATTATGTAATCCATACTTTCCCAAAAGCACACCTCACACCCAATGCATCTTTAAAAAAAAAAAAAGGTTGGAAGTGAAGGGGATCAGGATATGCCACCATAAAATATGCTATTTCGGCATAAGGATTATTTTGAGCTGAAAGCAATTGAGAATCAACTGGTGCTGCAAAAGTTCTCTGCCTCCCTTTTGTCTGCATAAAAGTAGGGCATAAATTTATCATGAAAAAGGTGCCCTCCCTTTATCAGGAAGAGAAGCATAACTCTTATCACTGAAGATGGGGAGTTGATGCTGAGATCAGTCTGCATAAACAGAATTTACTAAAATAATCCTTCTCTTCTATTAGTTCCCCCCATATATTTCCTAGTGACTTTCCCACAATTTATCACCCCTAGAAGCTCCAACTCTCTTTGCTTTTTCTAGCCACTTTCTCACAATTTATTGCCCTTCATAAAAATGATATATAAGCCCTCATTATAACCACTTCTTTGAGACTTCTTTTCTGCGAACAGTCATGTACATAAAAATACTAAATAAAAACTGTACCTTTTCTCCCGCTAATTTGTCTTTTGTCAGTTTAATTTGCAAGTCCCAGGTATTGAACCTAAGACGATAAAGGAAACGTTTTTTCTTCCACAACAGAAGGAAGGGATGGAGGAAGGAAAGGACTGAGGGAGAGAGGGAGGGAGCAAAGGAGGAAGGGAGCGAGGGAGGGAGGGAGAGAGGAAGGAAGGAAGGAAGGAAGGAAGGAAGGAAGGAAGGAAGGAAGGAAGGAAGGAAGGAAGGAAGGAAAATGTTTTTCTTTTATTTGTCTGACACTCAAGCAACTTTGGGATTGTATCTCTTGGCTTCCAGTTTGTCCTCCAGTCTCACAAGGCAGATAATAGCAGGAAGGCCTAGATGCTGACCATGGAAACCTGAAATACATAGTTGAGGGCATATCACTTTCTCTCCAGAACCAAAGCCTTTACCCTGTTCTCCCACAAAGCCTCCTAGAGTCCACATCAGCCCCACATCAGCACTCAGTAGAGACTGGCTCTAAATCTCTCATCACCGTGGGTTGTCACACCTAGATAAGTCCTGTGATTTAAACAGTGACCTTTTCAAATGGCTTTGCCACTTAATTACACAGACTGTACACTTATGAGTAAAAAGAAACATACCTCCACGTACAATCACTGAGACAGACAAGGTAGAATTCTTTATTTATTATTATTTCAGGATTTTGATGTGATTGTTTGGTATCTGCTAGACTCAATGGACATGTAACTTCACAACTGAAGACTTCTTTTACTTCATTTCACACCCCGCAACATGCCAGTTATTTTTCTAAAATACAAATCTTTTTATGTCATTCACCAACTCAAAATTCTTCGGTGGTTAATTCCCCCATTGTCTATAGAGAAAAATTATAATTCTTTAGCTTGACATACAAATCCCTTTCAATATTTGAATCCTGCCAAATTTGTAGCCACAACTACCAATAGTCTACTCCTCCCCATCCCCCACAATAACATATTAACTCCAGTCATATCATATTAGTTCTGATTCCCTGAAAAACACCATGATTTTAAGGTAGAAGTCTTTATTCCCATTTTAGTGAATGTGATTCACTCCAATACCTTCATCCCCTAACAGGACTGTAAACATCTTGAGGCCTTTGATCATGTCTTTTTGCATTCTTTGCAATGCCTTGGCTAGAGCTAGACACATAATGACAAATGTTAAATGGTTACCTATAGAAACATTGGCCTCCCTTGGTTTTATTAAATTCTTGCTACCAAGTTTTTGGTGCTGTTATTGTTTTTTTGGGCTATTTCTCTGCCTGAGTGCTATCCTTCTATGAGGACACCCCAAATGGAAGTATACTATGGGTAACTATTTTAAAAATAAACAAATCAGCAAAGTAAAACCCAGGCAGGCTGAAGCCAAATGTATCACTTCTTGCACATGCTAATGGGTGGCATGGGGCACCGTTTGCAAGAGACAGTTACAAAGTTCTAACTTACTTATCTAGTAATGTATTTACAATGAATCCTTTGTAGCAACAGATCAAAGAACAGCATTTATTAACCTATATCTGTATTTGATTGTACAGCAAATTAGCACAAACACACACCCAGAGATCAGCTTCAATTTCCTCATGCAACACTGGCTCTCTAAAGAGAAATAAATTTTCTGACCCAGAACAAAGTTTTGGAAAGACAAATTTTTGAAAAACAAGCATTTATAACGGCATTTATAATGTTAATGGGGTTCAACTTGAAAAATTACCCAATTGGCTCATGAGAAAACATACTTCTTTAATAAACTGCTATGAGTGGGAGTGGGCAGGAGTTGGGGAGAGAAACAGTGGAAGTAGTGAGAGCATGATAAGTGAAGCAAAGAAGAAGACGTGTGTGTGTGTGTGTGTGTGTGTGTGTGTGTGTGTGTGTGTGTGTGTGTGTAGACCTGTACACAAAACCTCCATTATTTTTATGCTTTCATTTCTACACAGCCAGATAATGTCAGGTAAAAGTATAACTTATGACTCAGTCAGAGCAATGCTTTTGCTTTGATATATCGATGTTGGCTGAGTCAAGTAAGGGTGGAGATGGCAAGAGAAAGATAATAAGTAGCAAATATATGTGTTCAGCGGAAAGACAAAGCTCTCACTTTGAAGAGCTGAGTTCAGAGGTTTCAAAGGGCACACAGGAAATGCTCCAACAGCATAAACTGGGCCCCAAGCGCCATTCCAGCCAACTTTCAGCCCTCCACATGGCTTTATCTGATCTCATGATTCTCTGTCTCCAGAACCAAAGTACCCACAAAGAAGAATGGCTTTGTGATAAAAATCAGATCAGGGCTTCGATCACTTTTATGATCACTAGAGACCTGGAGGTATAGAGATGAGAAGGTAAAAGGCAGACAGTCAGACTATGGTGGGTTCCCCTGAGTTATGGGGAAAGTTATAAATTATTTACTAAGGCACACACAGTGCCTGTTTTTATGACGAATATAATAGCCTGAATACCAAAAGAAAAACTAAATTGAGCTCTGAATCAGGTCTGAAAAACATTACAAACCCATCTCTATCTTTCAAAACTATATACAAGACAGCATTTTGGTAATTTGATGTATGTAAACTGAGCCTCAGTTACCCACTTGGGCCAAAAAAGGAGAAAAACAGGCATTTAGGGCTTGCCGTTTTCCTCTTTGAGGTTAAAAAAAAGTCACCAATATGAAGTAATTAGAAATTAAGTCCAGGAGACCAAATTATGAGTTCTACTATTTTCCCAACATAAAACGCCATCCGCAGAGCAGAAAGATGAAATTTCATAGAAAGTCTTCAAAGAGGAAAAGCAATGGTCTTTTCCCTCTGCTACTCTGTAGTTTGTCCTCATCTTGTGGGAATTGGGGCCCATGGTTAGGAGAAAAGAGTGTGTACTTTCAGTATAATAGCAAAACAGTTACAGTCAAAGACATTGTGTGGGAGAAGAGTATATGCTAGATTTACATCAGATTTGAGAATCAGGTACCACTGGTTAACATGGAAGGTTTCACAGAAAATTGTTTATGTCAGAGGAGATGGTGCCCAAGATTTCAAACATCTGGCTATATAAACATCCATGGGGAATCAGTATAGACATCACAGATAATTCATGGGAGGTAGTTTGTACTCATAATTGGATATTTTCACAAATGTTTTCTTAAGAAAAACCATAGAAAATGAAGTTGGCCTTAGAATAACTGAACACTCTGATAAGCAATATACCCCCAGAAATGTTCCAGACTTTTGCTGCTTTACTCCTATCTCTTTAACAAGTGGAAAAACTCTTCTTCTTTACAACCTATGTCTGTATCTGGTACTGCAACACTCAAAATATCCACTTTATTGAGAGGCTACTGATCATAAAGAAAGAAAAAAAATGTAGATAGCAATGCTGTGGTTTATCACATGCTGCACAGAACCAATGTGAACTTCCCTTTTTTGATTCATAGAATTCTATGTATTCATAAAATTCAAACAATAAACATGGCTCCTCTAATGATTTCTCTCTTTGCTTGATTTCACTGGGAGACTAGCCTAGTGCCTCCCTCTGATAGCTCAGGAGTCCCTGGGCCTCTGTTATCAGCCTTTGGACTTGGATTAGAGAAGTTATTTTCTTTAATTGATCATGAATTTACAGTCAATGGTATATAGTCACTCTGTCTAAGCAGTTCTGTGAGTGGAGGGCAGGAAAAATAAATTTTCAGAATAATCGGAACGTCTGAATCCAGGAAATTTTCCTGGACTGCTGGGACTTAGTAAGGCAGCAATGTAAAGGTAAAAAGCAGTGGCCCTCAAGGCAGCAAACCTTGGATGCATGGCCATGAGGGTCTTACTTGCTATCTCTCAGAAGAAGCAGCATGCTAGAGCGGCCTCTAAGAAGAGCTCAAATCTCTGCTCTTCTAGCACAATGCTAAATCATGTGTTTCATAGAAATGGGGATGGGAGTGGGTGAGTGGGTGCAAATCCACTAACTTTTCTTGAGCAGTCAAAGTCAAGCAAGCACTGCTAATGGTGGTGATTGCATCTGGATCAATGTAGGGGAGGAAAAATATCCTTTTCTCTACCTATCCTAGGTTTATGGCCTGTAACAAAAAGCAGCTTAATCAGAAAACCATACAGGTTTATTTCAAATAAGTTTTACGTGACATGAGAGCCTTCATAAGGAAATGAAGACCAAAGAAACAGGTACATTTGAGTGTTTTTATTCTAGGTTTGATGAAGAATGAACAGTCATGGAGAAATATGATAGGACAAAGAATATTATCTAATGGTAATAAATGGGGCAGGGACTTAACGAGGCCTGTTTGTTTGAATTTTTCTCTGTGTTCCTCCATTTTCAGAGATAAGGATGCTTTTTCCTTCCCTGTAGGTCTAAGGAGGGCATCTGTCAGATGAGGGTCATATAACCTACTTTAGGGGAAGGTCAGTGTATTAGTTGGTTTTCATGCTGCTGATAAAGGCATACCTGGACTGGGCAATTTATAAAAGAAAGAGGTTTAATGGACTTACAGTTCCACGTGGCTGGGGAGGCCTCACAATCATGTTGGAAAACAAGGAGGAGCAAGTCACATCCTACGTGGATGGTGGCAGGCAAAGAGAGAGAATGAGAGCCAAGCAAAACGGGCTTCCCCTTATCAAACCATCAGATCTCATGAGACTCATTCACTATCACAAGAACAGTGCAGGAAAGACTCGCCCCCATAATTCAATCACCTCCCACTGGGTTCCTCCCATGACATGTGGGAATTGTGGGAGTTACAATTCAAGATGAGATTTGGGTGGAGACACAGCCAAACCGTCTCAGTCAGAGAGTCCTTCCTAGGTTTTATAATCCACTTCAGGGGAGAAGTATGGGGAAAGGTAAGACCAATGGTCCAGTTTCTGCTATTTTCTTCAATATGACAAGATGCCATCTTTTGGAGTAGTGTGTCCTGAACCCCATCGCCTATGTGGCAACAGATTTCATCTTTCCTTTGCAGAGGATACAGAAAAACAGGACACAGAAGCTAACAAGAAACTCCCAGGAACTCGAGGCACAGGGGCAGGTTCATGTCACAATACTCTTTCTCTCCATCTTTTCCTCTCCTTCAGCCATTTTTCGGGACCTAAGATGCTAAACTTAGGGTCCTTCTTTCTCAGGCCTTTCCAGGAGTTCTTCCTCATCCTTGGCTCCCATCTCCCCTTCTGACTCCTCTGGGCCCCTGAGTCCTCTACTCAGTTGGAGGAAGTTGGCTTTATCTGCCATGGCCTCTGCATCTCTAGGCCATGCTAGAAGCCCACTATATAACCATCCAATAAGTTCTTCTTGCCTGCTTCCCAGATGAAGCTAATTTATCAAGACAGGGTTATTGCAATAGAAAAAGAGTTTAATACAAGAAGAGCCAGCTAAATGGGAGACCAGAGTTTTATTATTACTCAAACGAGCCTCTCTGAAAATGTGGAGGCTAGGTTGTTTTTTTTTTTCCTTGAGACAGAGTCTTGCTCTGTTATCCAGGCTGGAGTGCAGTGGAGTGATCTCGGCTCACTGTAACCTCCGCCTCTGGGTTCAAGCAATTCTCTGCCTCAACCTCCCAAGTAGCTGGGATTACAGGTGCCTGCCACCATGCCCGGCTAATTTTTTTTGTATTTTTAGTAGAGACAGGGTTTCACCATCTTAGCCAGGCTGGTCTTGAACTCCTGACCTCGTGATCCACCCACCTCAGACTCCCAAAGTGCTGGGATTGCAGGTGTGAGCCACTGCGCCCAGCCAGGTTTTTTAAAAGATAGTTTGGTGGGCAAGGGGCTAGGAAATGGTCCTGCTGATTGGTTGGGGATGCTATCATAGGAGTGTGGAAAATAGTCCTCATGCACTGAGTCCACTTCTGGGTGTGGGCCACAAGGCCAGCTGAGTCATGAGTTGGTGTCTCCAGTCTAGATGGGGCCATTGGATCATCTGAAATGCAAAAATCTGAAAAGACATCTCAAAAGGCCAATGTTAGGTTCTACAATAGTGATGTTATTTACAGGAGTAATTGCGGAAGTTGCAAACCTTGTGGCCTCCAGAATAATGGCCGGTAATCATTTATGCCTACATCTTAGTGGAATTCAGGCCCCAATCATCCTCCCAACCTGGTGGCCTTTCATTAGTTTTACAAAGACAGTTTAGTTTTGGGGAGGGCTATTATCATTTAAATTATAAATTTCTCCCAAAGTTAGCTTGGCCCATGCCTTGATCAAGGGCAATTTGGAGGTTAAAGGCAAGATAGAGTTGGTTGGATCAGACCTCTTTCACTGTCATAATTTTCTGACTGTTATAATTTTTGCAAAGGCAGTTTCAACTTCAGTTGCTGAAGCTTGCAAATAAAACTGATAAAAGGCAGATTAACAGAAAAAAAACAGATTTAAGTATGTGCATACGCACAGGAGTTCACAAAGAAATGTGACTCAAGGAAGCAGTTAGAATTTGGGGTTATATACTATCTTAGGCTAGACAAAAGCAAAGTGATCTGGGGCTTCTGGGGAGGAGATAAATTATAGGAAGGTGAATAGGAAATGTACAGGAAATAAGGGTCATTTAGTAAGGTTTGTTATGTGGATAAGAGACATCCTGGGTGCTAAGAGTTGCCTCCAGAGTAGTTTTCTTGCTGGTACAGGAGAGGGAGACACCTTTACAAATGGAAATTTGTAAATTTTCAAAAGGAAATTTATGTCCTACTTTTAGACAGAAAAGGGGAAGGCAGAGAGCTAATTGCTTTCAAATCAAAACAATCCTTATGCCAAAGTGGTATATTTTGGGGTGGCAGATTCTGGTCCCCTTCACTATCTCACTGTCTGTCTGGTGGATAAATACGTGTTGAGTGGCAGACTAACAGAAGAGTCTACATGTACCACAACCCCTCGTAGGTAAGAGCTTTCAGCTCAGTGGCAGCTGTGCCATGTCCATTTAACCAAGCTTGGCAGCAAGTCTTAAGGACTAGTCACAAAAAGAAAGTGCAAAGGGGCACAGCTTCTCTTTGGAGAGTGCCAAGATACCATCAATCTCTGCCCCAGCCCAGGGGAGGCTGGAAAAAGTGCCTCAAGCACTAAGGGGGCGGGGAGCAGGGGCAAAGTGGGTAATGAGTCAGAAAGGAATGTCTGTGAACCCACACCCGCATACCTGAGTGCCAATGTGAAGAAAACCCAGAGTAAATTCCTTTACACAGACTAGGGTCTCACATGCACTTCTGAGGGTAGTTTTTCCGTATAAGAATCTGCCCTGTGCTTTACAGAACAGTGAGTCACTTACTTGCTTTTGGATGGAACGCTGCAGAGTGTGCTGTCATTGTGATATCTTTTTTTCCCTCATGCATTCTCAGCATTGCCAGCCTTGGCTTTGCTCATTAGATAAATAATAGAGTAAAATTCATGCAGTGGCCCCACAATCACTACTCCAGGGAGAAATGGAGGCGGGGAGGGGAGATGGTGGTCCATAAAGACCTGGGCTAGTGAATTTGGTGTTTTTGTTTGTTGGTCTTTAAATAAATGAACTTAAAATAAGATTTTCCAAATTTGAAAATAGATGCCTTATAGAGTAGATTTCTTATGCAACAATATAAAAATAAGAAATTAAATCTGGGAACGAGACTTAATTCTCCAACATGATTTTGTTTTGAAGTTCAGCCTCTTCAATGAGATGCAGGTATGGGGGAAGGGCTCCATTTAAAGAGCCCAAATTCCTATCTGTTACTTCAGATATCAGGTCAGATTAGTACTTTTAGAAAGTTTAACAGACCCCTTTGATGCAACAGGAAAGAAAAACAAGCTCTCTAAGCAGGAAAATTCAGGACATCCTTTTTCTTAGTTTTACGTGATGCAGTGAGTCACTTAGAGACTCTCAGGAAAATAAGCCCAGGATGGCCATCAAGATTAGGGAACATACTGGCCCAAACAGCTGCAGAGCAAGTAGCTTCTCTGTCCCTGGTTCCCATCCTCCTAGTGTTTTCTCTTTAGGGCCAAGTGCTGTAAGAGAGAAAAGAACAAGATGACAAGGTCAAGACAGCCTCTTTGTAATCCTTCTCAAATCACCGAGAAACAAATCAACCACGATTGTATGCATTTTGATGTGACAGGGAAATAAAGTAAGGTAGAATATTGTGGAGGTTTGGGGGGCAACTTTGACCAAAGATTCTCAAGTTCATCTCACTCTCTTGGGTTAAAAAAGCATGTGAAGCCAGAAGTTTGAGACCAGCCTGACCAACATGGAGAAACCCCATCTCCACTAAAAATACAAAAATTAGCCGGGCGTGGTGGCACATGCCTGTAACCCCAGCTACTTGGGAGGCCAAGGCAAGAGAATTGCTTGAACCCGGGAGGCAGAGGTTGCAGTGAGCCGAGATCGCGCCACTGCACTCCAGCCTGGGTGACAGAGTGAAACATTGTCTCAAAAAAAAAAAAAATTCAGAAAGCAAAATTTCTTGCCCCTGTAAATTCACACTTCAATAGAAAACTATTGCCTGTAGTACGTGCTTTCAGGCGTTATCTGATTCTGATTCTACTGGAGCTATTTGCCACTCCCTAAGTTGTAGGTCACTGATAGATATGCAAATCCTGTCCTATCTGGTTCAATTGACTTCCTTCCCCCTGTGTGTGTGGCGGCGGGGGCGGGGTGGGGGGCAATAAACAGTTTGCTTCCATTTGCAATTCATCTCTAAATTCCTTTACTCCACATAAATTGGGGCTGTTTCTTTTTTAAACCAGTTATAACATCTGCCTGGCTCTCTCAGTTATGTAAGTAAAATAAAGTCTTTAACACATGTTCGTTTTTATATCTGTATAACGGTCACGATTTTACCTCTTTCTGGAAATTACCTTTTAACACCCTTGTGAGATTTCTTTCTTAGGTAGCAGCAGCAGGAGACCTGGTGGAGGACCTTCAGTCTAGAGAAGACCAGTACCAGGCCATCCGGTCTATAGGTAAAGAGCAGATGCCTCCCACAGAGCTGTGCTCCACAGAAGAAACAAAGGGGCTCTTCGAAAGGGACATGTCCCTTCTCCCACCTGCCTCCCTTCCAACCTCCCAAATTAACACCACCATCTAAAACAAGAATTTGGTCACCTTTCGGAAGGCATCTTTCCCGTTTTAGAAGGGGTTACTTCTGGATCCTCTCTCAACTTGCTGGTTTCCCACGCTCTCGACTTGCAGTTTCACCCAGTGGGCAGGGCTGGGTTTCTGTTAGCCTGGCTGCAACCTCCTGCGCCCTGCCAACACACAATGATCAGTGGCATTCCTGGAATTCCTGACATAGCAGAGAAGCCAGGCTTGGCCCTGCAAATGCCCTTGAACTGCAGTTCTGACCCCAGTGGGGCATTTTATCTTTTATTCACAGCCAGAGGTTAGGACCTATTTATGTAAATCCTCTGCCAAGGGTCGATTCATCTTGACCCCCTGGTTTTCATTTCTCTAATTGTCCCAGGTATTTTTTAGACCCCTTGGAAACTCTTCATTCAGTGAAAAACCTTGGGGTCAGTAAGAATGCGGTAACAAAGGAAAGGGGGTGGGGGCCTGGAAGAGTTGAGGAGGCTTCCTTTGAAGTGTTGTAAAGAAGCTTTCAGAGGCCACCCAGTTTACAAAGTAAAAACAGCAATGACCTCATGCACCCCATTTTATTCACGGAAAATAAGCTTTCTTGAAATGGTGTCTTCACCTAAGAAGTTTCTTAGAGCATGCATTGTTCAATTTTGTTTCCTAAAGCACACATTGTCCAATCTCAGTGGTGGTAAGGGGTTGGGGAAGGAGCTGTCAGAATTGCGGGCCTTTGGGCAGGTGGTGGCTCCTCAGACAATTGTTCCCACTTAATGGGCCCAGGATCCCTCCCAGATTTGCATTTTAAAAGGGGGCACTGCCTCCCCAATAGTGAGAAAATACTTGATCCCTGAGAATTGACCCAGGTGACAGAAATTTCAGGCCACATGGAAAGCCAGCAGGGGAGATACTTGGAGGTCAGCAGGGCTTTTGGAGGCCTTCAAATAATTCTTGATTGAGGGCCTTGTGCTCTAACCTCCAACTCACAGTAATAAAGGGAAGGAATTGCTTGGAAAACAGCCCAACTGTTTTACAACCCTAACAGCAAATTTTACTTTTTCACTAACTGAATTTTCATGTACGTTTTAAGCCAGTTGGATTTTTTTAATGCTCTATTTTCAATAGAAAGATGGGGGAAAAAAATCTTCTCTTAAAAAACTATTTTTCTTCATTTTCTGTCAACTTTTTATTACGAAAAACTTCAAACATGCAGAAAAGTTGAAAGAATAGCACAATGAAAACCCCTATACCCACCATTGAAATTTGACAAATGTTAACCTTCTGGTATATTTGCTTTATCTATATACACAGCTATATATACAGATTTGCTTCATGAATATATACTTTTTTTTTTGCTGATCTATTTAAAAGTAAATTAAATTAAAAGTGACATCATGACACTTCATCCCAAATACTTCAGCTTGCATCATTCTAATATAAGTTAATTCTCTTATATAACTATTGTACAATGATTACCTCTAAGAAAATCGACAGTAATTGCCTAATACCACCTAACTCTCAGAATACCCAGTCCACATTCAAATCTCCTCAACCTGTACTATGTCTTGTAGCAGTTTCTTAATTAAACCAAAATCCAATCACAATTCATACATTTGGTTTTTTTAGTCTTTTTGGAATAGTCCCTCTACTTTTTAAAAATGACATTGTGTTTTTGAAGAGACTTTGTAGAAAGCCCCACATTCTAGATTTGTCTGATCAATTGTGTGTGGTGGTGTTCTTGTTCTGCCCCACCAGATTTCCTGCAATGAGTTCAATTGTGTTTGTCCCCCAAAATTCATATGTTGAAGCCCTAACCGCCAGTACCTCAGAATGTGACTTTATTTGGAAATAGTCACTGTAGACATAATTGGTTAAGATGAGGTCATACCAGAGTAGGGTAATAGGGTGGGTCCCTAATCCAATATGACTAGTGTCCTTATAAAAAGGGGAAATTTGGAGATAGACATGCACATATAAGGGGAATGCCCTGTGGACATGAAGGCAGGGATCAGAGTGACACTTCTACATGTCAAGGAATGTGAAAGATTGCTAGCAAACTACCAGAAACTAGAAGCAAGTGAAGGGGGCCAGAATATGCCACCCCCAAACATGTCACTCAAAAAGGATGGTTTTGAGCTGAAGGCAATTAGCTCTCTGCCCTTCCTGCTTCTGACTAAAAGCAGGACATAAATTTCCAGTTGTAAGGTGTCTCCCTCTCCTGTACTAGGAAAACTCTTAGCACCTGAGATGTCTCCTATCTAAATAGCAAGACAATCCTTATTTACCATACATTTCCCATAACTTACCACCCTCCAAAAAGCCCAAAACCTCCTTTCCTTTTGTCTAGTTTAGGATGGTATGTAAGCCCCAAATTCTAACGCTTCCTTGAGTCACCCTCATTTGTTAACTTTTGTGTGTATGTATATAATTAAATCTATCTTTTTCTCAGGGTAACCTGTCTTCTTTTTTTTATGAAAAAAAAATTTATATAGATGGGGTCTTGCTATTTTGCCTAGCCTGAGTAACCACCCAACTGGTTCATCTTGCCTGCTGCCCAGATGCAGTTCATTTATCAAGACAAGGGAATTGCAATAGAGAAAGAGTTTAATAGTTTAATACACAGAGAGCTGGCTAAACACGAGACTAGAGTTTAATTATTACTCAAATCAGCCTCCCCCAAAACTCAGAGGCTAGGCTTTTTTAAAGATAGTTTGGCGGGCAAAAGGCTTGGAAATGGAGAATGCTGATTGGTCGGCTCATGGATGAAATCACAGGGAGTCGGAGCTTGTATTCTTGCACTGAGTCAGTTCCTGGGTGTGAGCCACAAGAGCAGAGGACCCAGTTTACCAGTCCGGGTGGCACCAGCTAATCCATCAGAATGCAGGGTCTGAAAAATACCTCAAACACCAATCTTTGGTTTTACAATAGTGATGTTATCCATAGGAGCAATTGAGAAAGTTAGGAATCTTGTGGGCTCTAGCTACATGACTCTTGAGCCATAATTTCTAATCTTGTGGCTAAATTGTTAGTTTTATAAACATGATCTGGTCCCCAAGCAAGGAGGGAGTTTGTTTCAGGGAGGGACTGTTATCATCTTTGTTTCAAAGTTAAACTATAGACTAAATTCCTCCCAAAGTTAGTTTGACTTATGCCCAGGAAGGAACAAGGGCAGCTTGGAGCTTAAAGGGAAAATGGAGTCAGTTTGGTCAGATCTCTTTTACTGTCTCACTTTATAATCTTTGCAAAGGCAGTTTCAGCTGGTCTTGAACTTCTGAACTCCCGCCCCAGCCTCCCAAGTAGCTGGGATTACAGGTGCACACCACTACACATACCCAGCTCAGTAAACTGTTTTTTGTCACTTTAATTCACAGGGCTACGAGCCATTGAGCCACTCCCCAAGAAGAGGTCTACAAGAGTTCATTCTCTCACAGGCTTCAAAAGGAACCAACCCCACCAGCACCTTAATCTCAGACTTCCAGCCTCTAGAACTGTGAGACAATAAATTTCTCCTGTTTATTCCACACAGTTTGTGGTACTTTGTTTCAGCAGTCCTGGCAAGCTGAGACACCTGTAAACTGGATGTTAGGTCTAGAGGCATAATTAGATTCAGGTTAAACATTTTTGGCAAGAATACTACATAGGTTATGTTGTGTAGTTCATATTGCATCACCTCAGGAGGCACATAACACCAGGCTGTCTCACTATAAGTGATGTCAAGTGTAATCACTGGGTTAAGGTAATGAGAACCAAGCTAAATTCTTCCCTTTGCAATTAAAAAGTAACATGAGGCCACATGTGGTGGCTCATGCCTATAATCCCAGCACTTTGGGGGATGGAGGCAGGAGGATCCCTTGAGGCCATGAGTTCAAGACCAACCTGGGTATCATGTGAGCCCCTGTCTCTACAAAAATTTTAAAAATTAGAAAAAGAGTAACTTGAGGGCTGGTACATTGGAACTACATAAGTATGCTGCCTCCACCAGTCTGTCCTCCAATTATGTTAGCAGTCATTGATGATCCTTGCCTGAATTGATTCTTTTATTGGAAAATGGGAAAATGATGATATTGTATAAATTTGTTTGTAATTGTTACCTGACATTCCTCTATAAAGAAGAATCAAATAGGGATTAACTAAAAAGTCAGGGTAAATGCCTAAATCTTTCCCTTAGTTATAAAATTTCAGGAAAAAAAGAAGTTGATATAATTGTCATCATTGATCACTAGTGAGTTTTCACTTGTTTATCATAATATATTCATGGTTTTAATTTACTCAGTGATTATAAGCAATTATGATCATTATTCTTCTTGATGCTCAATTGTCCCAAATTTGGCCAAGGAGAGAGCCCCTTTAACCTGACTCCTGAGTCCTTTTGACACAATCCCACTGGTCTTTTGGTGCTTTCCTATATCCTGGCACAAGAAGTCCCAGCCTCACCTTGTACTTTGCCTGTGCCAAGACAGGAATCCACCATTTTTCCAAGAAGCACTGCTTTTTTTTTTTAATTAGGAAATGGTATTTAGAAACCAAGATCTGGTTTCAAGGTATGCTTATTGCTACTGGGATACCATTGCTTCTAGGCCACAGCAGTGCACAGCACTAGGAAATGTGAAGGACTAGCTTTATTGGTGTACTTGTGTACTCCTGCTCAGAAGGGCCTGGTGCTTGGGGTTTAATGCTCTGTAATCACTGTCTTGAAACTCTATGCAATTTTATTTTTATATTTGTGCTTTGTAAGTAGAGTCCAGTAGATAAGGAAGCACACACCAGGGGCTCGGAACCTTGGCTCATATGTGGCTCCCTAACCTCCCCAGGGTGGGTTCTCAGGGGTTGCTCCCCAACTCCCTGGAACCCTGGGCACTGCCTGGTCTCTCCATTTCCTCCATCTCCAACCCTTCCCAGCAACCACTGTTGCTCTCTGTCTCAAACTGGTGTGAGTGCAGGGAAGGTCAGGTTAAGTGTGTTTGCCCTGCAGTATCTTGGAACAAGGAATGGCGGTAGCATTTCCAATCTGGATTGGCAGTGCCACATCGCATTCATTAGGTGACTAGGCAGGGGTAACCTATTACCCACCACCATCCGGTTACCTAGTGCATCCTAGCATGGAGGCTGCAATATGTTTGGAAGCCTCCCATTTGTAATGTGTTGGGGCAGCAGGACCATGGGAGGGAAAAATGCCTGGCTTGACCTCCCTGCCTTCAGCTGGGGCACGTTATATCAGCCTAGACACCAGAAGGAGAGGGAACCTGGCAGCTCTCAGGCTCAACGGATCACACATGCCCCATCACATAGGGCAGGCCTCCTGAGTGCCTGTGAGCATCTGCACTTCTCCCTCAAGTATCCCATGCAAGGGACATAGAGTAAGTCTTCACTTAACATCATCGATAGGTTCTTGGAAACTGCAAATTTAAGTGAAATGACATGTAACAAAACTAATTTTACCATAGGCTAACTTATATAACAAGAGTTAAGTTCCTAGGGCACAATTTGTGGTCAGAAAAACATCACCAAACTTCTAAAATAAAGACCCAAACATTTCTAATATTAAATATAGAAATAAATGTGAACTATGATCATCATGGCAGATGGGAGGCAGGACTAGACTAGAGCTCCAGACAGAGCAGCATGTGGAGGCTCGCACTGTGAATTTAAGCTCCAGATCAACTGCAAGAACAAAGCAGCAATCCCAAGGGGACCCACAGACCCTCTAAAGGAAGCAGACTGCTTTTGCAGGACCTGGGAGACACCCCAAATACTGTGAGTGCCCCAACTGTGGAAGTGGGAAAGGGAGACCCTCCTCTCCTGAACACTCACCCCCGCTGGAGAAACTGAAGGTCTGTTTGTGGGAGAAGTTTCCGACCTTACTTGGAGCTGAGTCAATTTAGAGAGCCAAGTGAAATACAGGGGTAGAGGATACAGCAGAAAGGTCTGGGAGCTCAGTGGGTCCCCAAGCAGCCATTCCTGCCTGGCACCACAAGGATCCATCGGGAGGGTGGCCAGAGGAGCAAGAGGTAAAACTCCACAGGGAGAAGGAAATCTCTAGCTGAACTTTGTAACAATTTGAACAGGGTGAGAAGCCTCCTGGCCAGAACCTGGGGGAGGGCACAAGTTCACTGTGCAGACTCCACAGGCGGGGAAAGAACCAAGCCCTTTTCTTTTCCCTACCTGCAGCTGGGAAGCAGGTAGCCTGGGGCAAGGTTTCAAGCCCATCTCACCCACCACCAGGAAACAGACTGGGGGCTGTTTGTGGGAGCACGGTGGGAGTGAGACCGGCCCTTCGGTATGTGTGGGAGCTGGGTGAGGCTTGTGACTGCCGGATTTCCCCCACTTCCCTGAAAACCTTCATGACTCAGCAGAGACAGCATTATCCTCCTAGGTACACAACTCCAGTGACCTGGGAATCTGACCCCCATCCCCCACAGCAGCCACAGCAAGACCCACCCAAAGAGAGTCTGAGCTCAGACATGCCTAGCCTGGTGTTTCTGAGAAAGAAGAGAATTCTAAAAGCTTGGAAAACATATTTGGGGGAATAATTGAGGAAAACTTCCCCAGTCTTGCTGGAGACCTAGACATCCAAATACAAGAAGCCCAAAGAATGCCTGGGAAATTCATCACAAAAAGATCATCGCCTAGACACATTGTCATCAGGTTATCCAGAGCTAAAACGAAGTAAAGAATCTTAAGAACGGTGAGACAGAAGCACCAGGTAACCTATAAAGGAAAACCTATCAGATTAACAGCAGATTTCTCAGCAAAAACCCTACAAGCTAGAAGGATAGGGGCCCTATCTTCAGCCTCCTCAAACAAAACAATGATCAGCCAAGAATTTTGTATCTAGCAAAACTAAGCATCATATATGAAGGAAAGATATAGTCTTTTTCAGAAAAACAAATTCTGAGAGAATTCGCCATTAACAAGCCACCACTACAGGAACTGCTAAAAGGAGTTCTAAATCTTGAAACAAATCCTGGAAACACATCAAAACAGAACCTCTTTAAAGCATAAATCACACAGGACCTGTAAAACAAAAATACAAGTTAAAAAGCAAAAACAAAAAAACCAAAGTACACAGGCAACAAAGAGCACAACCCTAATGAATGCATTGTTATTGAATCGCCCATTTCAATACTAACATTGAATGTAAATGTCCTAAATGCTCCACTTAAAAGATACAGAACCACAGAATGGATAAGAACTCACCAACCAACTATCTGCTGGCTTCAGGAGACTCACCTAACACATAAGGGGACTCACATAAACTTAAAGGAAAGGGGTGGAAAAAGGCATTTCATACAAATGCACACCAAAAGCAAGCAGCGGTAGCTATTCTTATATCAGACAAAACAAACTTTAAAGCAACAGTGGTTAAAAGAGACAAAGAGGGACAGTATATAAAGGTAAAAGGCCTTGTCCAACAGGAAAACATCACAATCCTAAACATATATGCACCTGACACTGGAGCTCCCAAATTTATAAAAATTTATAAATTTTTATAAATTATGAATTTTTATAAATTATGCACCTAACACTGGAGCTCCCAAATTTATAAGAAATGAGATAGCAACACAATAATAGTGGGGGACTTCAATACTCCACTGACAGCATTAGACAGGTCATCAAGACAGAAAGTAAACAAAGAAACAATGAATTTACACTATATCCTGGAACAAATGGAATTAACAGATATATACAGAACATTGCATCCAACAACCGCAGAATGCACATTCTATTTAACAGTGCATGGAACTTTCTCCAAGATAGACCATGTGATAGGCCATAAAATTAACCTCAGTAAATTTAAGAAAATTGAAATTATATCAAGCACTCTCTCAGATCACAGTGGAATAGAACTGGAATTCAACTCCAAAAGGAACCTTCAAAACCATGCAAATACATGGAAATTAAATAAATTGCTCCTGAATAAGCATTGAGTCAAAAACAAAATCAAGATGGAAATTAAAAAATTCTTCAAACTGAATGACAATAATGACACAACCTACCAAAACCTCTGGGATACAGCAAAGGCGGTGCTAAGAGGAAAGTTCATAGCCCTAAATGCCTACATCAAAAAGACTGAAAGAGCACAAGCTGACATTCTAAGGTCACACCTCAAGGAAGTAGAGAAAGAAGAACAAACCAAACCCAAACCCAGCAGAAGAAAGGAAATAACCAAGAGCAGAGCAGAAGTAAAGGAAATTGTTTGTTTGTTTGATTTTTTAAGATGGAGTCTCACTCTATTGCCCAGGCTGGAGTACAGTGGCACGATCTCAGCTCACTGCAACCTCCACCTCCTGGGTTCAAGTGAATCTCCTGCCTCAGCCTCCCGAGTAGCTGGGACTACAGGCATGAACCACCATGCCCAGCTAATTTTTTTTGTATTTTTAGTAGAGATGGGGTTTCACCATGTTGGTCAGGCTGGTCTCAAACTCCTGACCTCAAATGATCTGCCCACCTCGGCCTCCCAAAGTGTTGGGATTACAGGAGTGAGCCACCACAGCCAGCAGGACATTGAAACAAACACACACACACACACACACACACACACACGATAAATGAAACAAAAAGCTGTTCATTGAAAAGATAAATTAAATTGATAGACCATTAGCAAGATTAACCAAGAAAACAAGACAGAAAATCCAAATAACCTCACTAAGAAATGAAGCAGGAGATATTACAACTGACATCACTGAAATACAAAAGATCATCCAAGGCTACTGTAAACACCTTTACGCACATAAACTAGAAAACCTAGAAGAGATGGATAAACTCCTGGAAAAATACAACCCTTCTAGCTTAAATCAGGAAGAATTAGATACTCTGAACAGAAATAGCAAGCAGTGAGATTGAAATGGTAATTTAAAAATTACCAACAAAAAAAATCCAGGACCAGACAGATTCACAGCAGAATTCTACCAGGCATTCAAAGAAGAATTGGTAGCAATCCTTTTGACACTATTCCACAAGATAGAGAAAGAATGAACCCCTCTTAATTCATTCTGTGAAGCCAGCATCACTGTAATACCAAAACAAAGGAAGGACATAACCAAAAAAGGAAACTACAGACTGATATCCTTGATGACCGTAGACGCTAAAATCCTTAACAAAATACTAGCTAACTGAATCCAATAGCATATCAAAAAGATAATCCACCATGATTAAGGAGGTTTCATACCAGGGATGCAGAGACAGTTTAACATATGCATGTCAATAAATGTGATACACCACATAAACAGAATTAAAAACAAAAATCACATGATCATCTCAATAGATGCAGAAAAAGTATTCAACAAAATCCAGCATCCCTTTATGATTAAAACTCTCAGCAAAATTGGCATACAAGGGACATACCTTAATGTAATGAAAGCCATCTATGGCAAACCCACAGCCAACATAATACTGAATGGAGAAAAGTTGAAAGCATTCCCTCTGGGCACTGGAACAAGACAAGGATGCCCACTCTCACCACTCCTCTTCAACATAGTACTGGAAGTCCTAGCCAGAGCAATCAAACAAGAGAAAGAAATAAAGGGCATCCAAATCAGCAAAGAGGAAGTCAAACTGTCACTGTTTGCTGAGGATGTGATCGTTTACCTTGAAAACCCTAAAGACTCCTCCAGAAAGCTTCTAGAACTGATAAAAGCATTCGGCAAAGTTTTCAGATACAAAATTAATGTACAAAAATAGGTAGCTCTTCTATACACCGATAGTGACCAAGCAGAGAATCAAATCAAGAATTCAACCCCTTTTACAATATCTGGAAAAAAAAATAGTTAGGAATATACCTAACCAAGTAGTCAAAAGACCTCTACAAGGAAAACTACAAAGCACTGCTGAAAGAAATCATAGATGACACTAGCAAATGGAAACACATCCCATGCTCATGGATGGGTAGAATCAATATTGTGAAAATGACCACACTGCCAAGGACAATCTACAAATTCAATGCAATCCCCATCAAAATACCACCATTATTCTTCACAGAATTAGAAAAAACAATTTTAAAATTCATGTGGAACCAAAAAAGAGCCTGCATAGCCAAAGCAATACTAAGGAAAAAAAAAAAATCTGGAGGCATCACACTACCTGGTTTCAAACTATACGTAAGGCCATGGTCACTAAAACAACATGGTACTGGTGTAAAAATAGGCACATAAACCAATGGAACAGAATAGAGAACCCAGAAATAAACCCAAATACTTACAGCCAACTGATCTTCGACAAAGCAAACAAAAACATAAAGTGGGGAAAGGACATCCTTTTCAACAGATGGTGCTGGAATAACTGGCTGGCCATATGTAGGAGAATGAAACTGGATCCTCATCTCTCACCTTATGCAAAAAGCAACTCAAGATGGATTGAGGACTTAAACCTAAGACCTGAAACTGTAAAAATTCTAGAAGACAACATTGGAAAAACCCTTCTAGACATTGGCTTAGGCAAGGATTTCATGACCAAGAACCCAAAAGCAAATGCAATAAAAACAAAGATAAATAGCTGGGACCTAATTAAACTAAAGAGCTTTTGCGTGGCAAAATGAACAGTCAACAGAGTAAACAGACAACTCACAGAGTGGGAGAAAATCTTCACAATCTGTACATCTGACAAAAAACTAATATCCAGAATCTACAACAAACTCAAACAAATCAGTAAGAACAAAACAAACATGGCTGGGTGGGGTGGCTCACACCTGTAATCCCAGTACTTTGGGAGGCCAAGGCAGGCAGATCCTGAGGTCAAGAGATCAAGACCATCCTGGCCAACATGGTGAAACCCCATCTCTACTAAAAATACAAAAATTAGCTGGGTGTGGTGGCATGCTCCTGTAGTCCCAGCTACTCAGGAGGCTGAGGCAGGAGAATCGCTTAAACCCAGGAGGCAGAGGTTGCAGTGAGCCGAGATCACACCACTGCACTCCAACCTGGTGACAGAGCAAGACTCCATCAAAAAAAAAAAAAAGAAAGAAAAAAACAATCCCATCAAAAAGTGGGCTAAGGACATGAATAGACAATTCTCAAAAGAAGATATACAAATGGGCCAGGCGTGGTGGCTCACGCCTGGAGGCCGAGGTGTGAAGATCACAAGGGGAGGCCGAGGTGGGTGATCACAAGGTCAGGAGATCGAGACCATCCTGGCTAACACGGTGAAACCCTGTCTCTACTAAAAATACAGAAACTTAGCTGGGCATGGTGGCAGGCGCCTGTAGTCCCAGCTACTTGGGAGGCTGAGGCAGGAGAATGGTGAACCCAGGAGGCGGAGCTTGCAGTGAGCCAAGATCACGCCACGGCACTCCAGCTTGGGAAACAGAGCGAGACTCTGTCTCAAAAAAAAAAAAAAAAAAAGATATACAAATGGCCAACAAACATGAAAAAATGCTCAGCATCACTAATGATCAGGGAAATGCAAATCGAAACCACAATGCAATACCACCTTACTCCTGCAAGAATGACCATAATAAAAAAAATCAGAAAACTGACACTGCTGATGGGAATGTTAACTAGCACAGCCACTATGGAAAACAGTGTGGAGATTCCTTAAAGAACTAAAAGAACCACCATTTGATCCAGCAATCCCACTACTGGGTATCTACTCAGAGGAAAAGATACTTGTGCACGCATGTTTATAGCAGCACAATTCACAATTGCAAAATCGTGGAACCAACCCAAATGCCCATCAATCAATGAGTGGATAAAGAAACTGTGCTATATATATATATATATATATATATATATATATATATATATATATATGAATGATGGAATACTACTCAACCATAAAAAGGAATGAATTAAGAGCATTTGCAGTGACCTGGATGAGATTGGAGACTAATATTCTAAGTGAAGTAATTCAGGAATGATTAAACCAAACATCGTATGTTCTCACTGATAGATGGGAGCTAAGCTATGAGGACGCAAAGGCATAAGAACAATACAGTGGACTTTCGGAACTTGGGGGAAAGAGTGAGATGGGGGCGAGGGATAAAAGGCTACAAATATGTTGCAGTGTATACTGCTCGGGTGATAGGTGCACCAAAATGTCACAAATCACCACTAAAGAACTTATGTAACCAAATATCACCTGTACCCCAATAACTTATGGAAAAAAATAATTAAAAGAAAAAGAAAGAAATGTGAACTATGCATACATTTAAGAAAGATAGAAAAAAGTTAGTAAGATAATTATTTCCACCATTTTTGGTGAATCACTGAGTGACAGCTTTGGTTGTGGTGGTGGTGGGTTAAATCAGAGAATAAATGTTTGCATAATGAACATTGCAAGGAGTGTAATCACCTGGCAGGCTCTTTCTGCCTGCTGCACAAACAAAACCAATTCAGTGAGACCACTGTATTGCAGTAAAGAAAGAGTTTAATTAACACAAGGCTTCTGAGTGAAATGACTGGAGTTATCACTCAAATCTGTCTTTCCAAAAGCTCGGAGGTTAGGGTTTTTCAAGGATAGTTTGAGGGACAGGGGACTAGAGATTAGGTGCTGATGATTGATTGGGGATGCAATCACAAGGGTGTGGAAAACAGCCGTCATGCACTGAGTCCACCTTTGGTTTGGGGGCCACCAGGCCAGTTGAGTCATGAGTCACAAATCCCGATGGGGTCAGCCATTTGCTGTTATTTGAAAGTCTGAAAAACATCTCAATAGACCAGTGTTAGGTTCTACAATAGTGATGTTATCTACAGGAGCAATTGGAGAAGTCACAAATCTTGTGACCTCGGGCCACATAACTCCTGAGCAGTAAGGGATTATAGAAATTATGCTTACATTTAGGCCAGGTGCGATGGCTCACGCCTGTAATCCCAGCACTTGGGGAGGCTGAGGTGGGTGGATCACGAGGTCAGGCATTCAAGACCAGCCTGCCCAACATGGAAACCCCATCTCTACTGAAAATACAAAAATTAGCCGGGCTTGGTGGCAGGTGCCTGTAATCCCAGCTACTCAGGAGGCTGAGACAGGAGAATCGCTTGAACCCGGGAGGCGGAGGTTGCAGTGAGCCGAGATCGTGCCATTGCACTCCAGCCTGGGCCACAGAGCAAGACTCCCTCTCAAAAAAAAAGAAAAAAAAAAAGAAAAGAAATTATGCCTACGTTTTAGCAGAATTCAGGCCCTTTGCAGAATCCTAATCTTAAGGCCTTTAATGAGTCTTACAAAGGCAGTTTCAGCCCTTGAACAAGGAGGTGATCAGTTTTAGGGAGGGACTATTATCATCCTTTCTTCAAAGTTAAACTATAAATGAAGTCCTCCCATGGTTAGCTTGGCCTACATCCAGGAATGAGTAAAGACAACCAGCTTGTGAGGCTAGAAGCAAGATGGACTCAGCCATGTTAGACTTCTCTTGCAGTCATAATCTTTGCAAAGGCAGTTTCAGAAGCACTTCCTCCCACCACCACACAGTTCAAAACCAGTCACAAATATAGTGGGCTCACTGAGTGCTTTTGTGCTGTGTCTTGTATTGTCATGCATTTGTATGATTATTGTAGACTTTTTGAATTTTTATTTGACAATCATTTGTATTCATTCTTTCATTCATTTTTCAACTTGCTTATTCCAATGCAGGGTCATAGGTGGCTGGAGCCCATCCCAGCAGTTTGAGGCATCAGGTGGGTATGTGCTCTGGACAGGATGTCATCCCATGGCAGGGCTCACCCACACATATACCCACACTCGCTCACACTGGGACCATGTAGACATGCCAGTTGACTAAAGGTGCACAGTTTTGCAATGTGAGAGAAAACCAGAGTCCCTGGAGAAAACCCACACACATGAGGAGAATGTGCAAATTCCACAGAGACAATAGCCCCTGCCCAGAATCTATTCTTTTTCTCATTGACATGTATCTGTAATAGGTTCATTGCCTCATGCACACAGCAAGTCAATATGCTGAGACACCAGGTTGCAGTAGAGAAAGAGGTTTAATTGTAGGGTCAATGAACAAGGAGATGAGAGAAAATCTCAAATCCGTCTCCCTGAGGAATTTGTGTTTAGTGTTTTTAAGGGTTTTGGAGTGGGCTGAAGGGTGGAGATCCTTGATTTGTGAAACGAGCGGGGGAAGTGATGGGGCAGGGAGATGAAGAAGCTGTATTTTCATGTTGATCCTCTTTCTCTGCGGGGGTCTTCAAACTAGTTGTTGGAATTTGGTGCCAGAAAAACATCTTAAGTGATCCTTAAACAAAAGCCTTATGATTCCAATGTCAGAGATCCTGTCTATAGGAACAATGGGGATACAAATCAATTCTTAAACAGTCAATGTCAGAAAGCCAGTGGAAATGCAAATGGTCACTATCTAGTGTTACCTGACTTTTAGGAACAAGGAAGTGGACCAAAGTGCAGTGTGATTAATGCTTAATTATAACTATATTTCTGTCCAGAACCTGCCATGAAATTCTTATCGACACTGTGGGGACAGTTTCAAACATTATAAGGAAACAACATTGAATGAAACAATGTTATCTCAGGACTTGCTGTATCCTGTGCCTAGAGAGACCCTTTCTTCCTCCTTCCAACCTTCCTGAATCTGGTTTGTGTTAGTCTCTTCTGGCCAGCTCCAGGCAGTCTCTGGGACAAGTCACAAAATATAGATTGTGAAATTTCAGTTATTCCACATAGGACTTAAAGGTTCTTACATTTGCTTTAAAAACAAATATTGCACAATATAAAGATAAAAGGTAAAATTAATGCAAAAAATTTAAATTTGTAATATTCTTCAGAACAACACTAAATAGCAATAAAAACACCATTACAAGTTGAGAGAGTAAGAGGCTATGGAAGGGAAAAACTTTATATTTTAATACCTTTAAGGGCATTATTATTTAGAGCATTTATTAATGCTTTTTGAATAAGTGACCACATATTTTTATTTTGTGCCAATTACGTTGTCAGTCTTGGAAATGTGTGTGTGGATAGATAGATTGATGTAGGTAGACATAGATATTTTTCATTCAAATTCGCTTTATCTGTAATACATACATACATACACATATAAAGATTTCAAAATTTTAATACCAGTGTTACTACTCAAAGTAAAACTACCAAGTGATATTCAAGATTTCTTTTGACTTCTTTTTTACTTTGGTACAGTCTGTGTACTGTATTCACAAATTATTTGAAATAATTCTTGCCTCTGTATGATTCCATTATCTTTGATATACATTTAGGTCCATTTGATTGTTTTCAGTTATAGACTGGTTTGTCTTCTTTTTTAATTTTGTTTTTTGGATGTTAAACATTTATATATTAAGTCAAAATTATATTAACAGGCATACTCAGAAATCTCTTTTCAATTCTTATCCTCTCCTCCTCAGCCCCCCTCCAAGCCCTCTGTAGGTAACCATTTCCATTAGTTTCTGGTTATTCTTCCAGTAATTTTTGGGGAAAAATTTTAGCAAATACACATGATATTATTTTCCTCCTTTCACATAGAAAAGATAAAACACTATATACATGTTCTGCACCTTGTTTTTAAAAAAATAACCTTCATATCAGAACATAGACACCTTGTCATTCTTGTTGTACACCTGTCTAGTACTTCATTATGAGATGATAGCTTAGTTTATTCAATAAGTCCTTTATTGGTGGATATGTCAGATGCTTCTAGTCTTTACTATTAAAAATAATGCCAGAAAAATAATCTTGTACATGTATTATTTCATAATTATGGAAGCATGCCTTCAGGGTAAATTTCTAGATGTGGGATTGCTAGGTCAAGGGGCAAATGTAATTTTATTACATATTGCCAAATTCACCTCCTTGGGACTTGTACCATGTTACACTTTCACCAGCAATGTATAAAAGTGCTTATTTCTCCACAGGTCTGTCTGTCAACAGTGTGTTTTGTAAAACTTTGGAGTTTTGGCCAGTCTGATTTGTGTAAAATGGTAACAATACAGTTTTAATTGGCATTTCTATTTTTGTGAGTAATAATGAGCACTTTTCAAATGTTCATTTGCATTTCTCTGTGAACTCTCTGTGCCTTTTGGTTTTTTTTTCTATCAAGGTTTTAGTCTTTTTCTTCTTAATTATTAAGATCGCTTTATTTATTAGGGAGATTAATCTTTTGTCTGATATATATATAAAATAGTTCCTCTATGTTTACCATTTTATATTTTATTATGATTATGTGTTTTTAATGTAAGTAAATTCATTAATCTTTTATTTATTGATTCTGAATTTTGAGACATAGTCTGAAAAGCTTTTCCTGCTCTCATGTTAAAAAGAAAAACAGGGAACTTCTGCATCTGATGAAGATGGAATGTCCCCTTCCTCCCAGGGTCTTCTCCTAAGAAACCCTGTGCATAACACAGCAAACAAGAATAGGAAGACTCTGAAAGGTTGAAAGGAGAAAGCAGAATTCTTAGGGACCTTAGTTAGACTGAGGAACAACACAACAGTGAATTTCCTGGGTTTCCTTATCACCTCCCTTACATCCCAGAGAGGGCACTGTGCAGAAGCCTCCAACTCTCCAACCCAGAACTGCCAAGTACAGATTAAAAAAAAAAAAAAAAAAAAACAACTCCATGAAAAGCCTGATAGCTCTAGCTGTCAGGCATAACAACAGAAAACTTTTTTGGCAATACCTGCCCTACTCCAACCAAACACCAGTAGAAAATCTGTACCCTTCCCTGCTGTGGGATCTTCCAATGCCCACCAGGCAAAAGCAGCTGGTGCTCTGATTCCCATGCAGAGGTACTGGTAAAGCTGAGCAGAAAGCTGACCTTCTACTCCCTGCCAAACAAAAGCAGGCAGTTTGCTGATTGCCCCACAGTGTAGTGTCAGTGGGGTCCAACAGCAAACTGAGCCTCCATCCTCACCAGGTAGCAATGAGACTTAAAGAGGCAGAAAGATATAGTTCATACCCTGATCACCCCCCATCCCAAGTGTTAGCAGAGCCCAGCAGCAGGGAGCTAAGTATCCAGCCCCACATGGCATAAATAGGACTGAACAAGGCAATGCCAGTCAGATCTAATCAGCACTCCACTGTCCACTATCCCCCCGCCACTAATGTCAGCCGGGCTCAGTAGGGAGCTGAGCCTCCGAATCTACCCGACATTAACAAGGCAGAATGAGGTGACATGAGGTGGGTTTAGTACAGTCTTTGCTTTCTCCCACCCCTAGTATTAGTGGGGCCCAGTTGGGAGATGAACCCTTCCACACCAGGCATTGATGGGACAGAAGGAGGTGGTGAGTGGTGGGGTTTGTTGGCATTCCACTTTTCCTTTTCACTCCCTTGGTGTCTGCAGGGCTCAGCACAAAGCTGAGCTACTGCCTCCACTGTAACAAAAAAGCAGAGTGAGTCAACCCTTGGCTTCCCCGCACCCTCACTAGTGTCAATGGGAACCAATAAGGATGCAGGCTTACATTCCCATTAGGAGGCAGTGTGGTGGCAAACGTCAGTGCCCCATTTTCACTGGGAAGGTGTTGATGGGGCCAGTGTGGGAACTGAATTTCTACCCCACACATCTACAACAAGGCAACAGGAGTCAGTGCCTACTTTTGCCAGAGTAGTATCATTGGGCACCAGAGAGCAGCTGAACATACACACCCACTCAGCCTTCATGCTGTACCTCAACCAGGGGACAACCTGTTAAAAAAAGAAAAAGAAGAATTAGTAGAATCCATAGTCTAATAATATAATATCCAAATGTTCAGGATATAGTCAAAAGTCACTCATCATATCAAGAACCAGGAAAATCACATGAATGAGAAAAGATAATCAACAGACACCAACGAGGAGATGAATCTGATGATGGAATTATCTGACAAAGATTTAAAATCAGCCATCATAAAACGCTTCAACAGATAATTACAAATTATCTTCAAACAAGTGAAAAAATATAGAAAATCTCAGCAAAGAAATAGAAGTTATTTAAAAAGAACCAAAGGGAGATTATAGAACTGAAAAACACAATAACCAAAAGAGTGGATTTGACAGAGGATAAAATCAGTGAATTCAAGGACACATCAATAGAATTTTCCCAATCTGAGCAAGAGAAAAAATAGACTGAAAATAATAGGCATTCCTCACATTTTCATATTACAGATGAGGATAAAGAGGCCCAGGCAGGGCTCAGCAGGTGACAGAGTTGGTATCTGAATCAAAATAAATGTCCCTGTCATTATATCTCATGTCTGATGCAATTCAGTGTATTTAAGGGAAACTGCCTTGCAATTAAGGTTGTTAAATAGTAAAATGGATTGGTAAAGGGGTTGGTAACTAGTACTTTAACATGTATTGTATGTTAACATTGTTAACATGTATTTGTTTGAAATAGCTTAGGCAGACTTCGCCCTAAAGAATGAAATATAGACAATGTAGCCTTTACTACAAGCTAGGATCCCTGTTATGAGAAGATTTTTAAATTAATAAATACTTTGCATTTTCAAAGGAAAAAAAATGGACTGAAAAAAATGAACAATCTCAGGAACTGGTGAGATGATAAAATAGATAACATTTGTCTCATGGAATACTAAAAAGAAGAGACAGAGGGCTGATAAAATGTTTGTAGGATTGAAAAAGTACTTGAAGAATAATGGCTGAACACTTTCCAAATTTGGTGAGAGACAGAAGCTTAGAGATTGATTCAAGAAGTGGAGTGAATCCCAAACAGGATAAATCTAAAGAAAAACATGCCAAGACACATAACTTCTGAAAAGTTCTGAAAATGAAAGACACAAAACAGAAAGAAAAGGAACCATGAAATCCAAAAAGAAATAAATGCATTATTTATGGTGGAACACCAATTTGAATCACAGGGTATTTCTCATGTGAAACCATGAAGACCAGAAGGAAATAACACATTTTTCAAGTATTGGAAGAAAAGACCTGTCAATTGCAAATTCTATATCAAGCAAAAATTTTGTTCAGTAATAAAGAAGAAGTAAAGATATTCTTGGAATAAGGAAAACTAAGAATTTGTTGCTAGCAAATCTATCCTTAAAGAATTGCTAAAAGAGACTTTCTAAAAAAAAAGTGGAAATGATAACAGAAGAAGGTGTGGAACTTCAAAAAGGAAAGAAGAACATCAGAATAAGTAAAAACAAGAAACTAGAAAGAGAAGAGCAAAATAAACTAAAAAGAAGAGGAAGGGAAATAGTAAAAAGCAGAAATCAGTGATATTAAAAACAGGAACACAATATAGAAAATCAATGAAGCAAAACTAAATTGTTTTAAAAATCAGTGAAATCAATAAAACTTTAGCAAGCCTGGCAAAGATAAAAAAGAGAGAAGACACAAATTACCAATCTCAAAAATAAAGCATAGGATATCACTACAGATCCTGCAGCCATTAAAGGAATATAAAGGAATACTATGAGCAACTGTGTGTTCACAAATTCAAAAACTTAGGAGTGGAACAATTTCTCAAAATCCACAAACTACCATACTCAATCACAATAAAATAGACAACCTGAATAGTTCTATAACCACTGGGTGAAAAATGATTTTGTAATTAAAGGGCTCCTGAATGATTTCACTGGAAAATTCTATCAAACATTTTAAAAAGAATTAATACCAATTTTACACAATATCTTCCAAAAAACAGCAGAGGTGGGAACACTTGCCAACTCATTTTATGAGACTAATACTACCCAGATACCAATAACCATACAAAGACAGTACCAAAGAAAAGAAAGAACAAAAAAACTACAGAATACCTCTCATAAACAAAAAAAATCCTCAATAAAATATTGACAAATCCAGGAATATACTATAAAAAGAATTATACATCAAGACCAAATGGGATTTATTTTAGGTATGCAAGGCTGGTTAAACATTTGAAAATAAATCATTGTAATAGACCCTATCAACAGGCTAAGGAAGGAGAATCATACAATCATATTAATTGACATAGAAAAAGCATTTGAGAAAATCCAACACCTAGTCATGATAAAAACTCTCAGGAATAAATAGGAACCACCTCAACTTGATGAACATCTACAAAAAACCCACAGCTAACATCATACTTTTTTTTTGAAACAAGTTCTCACTCTGTTGCCCATGCTGGAATACAGTGGTGCAATCTTGGCTCACTACAGGCTTGACCTCCCAGTGTCAAGTGATCCTTCTGCCTCAGCCCCCTGAGTAGCTGGGACTGTAGGTGTGTGCCACCACACCCAGCTAATTTTCATATTTTTGTAGAGACAGGGTTTCACCATGTCGCCCAGGCTGGTCTCGAACTCCTGAGCTCAAGGGATCTGTCTGCCTCAGACTCTCAAAATGCTGGGATTACAGGCATGAGCCACCTCATCTGGCTTCAACATCATACTTTATGGTACAAGACTAAATGTTTTCTTCCTAAGTCTTGGAACAAAGCAAGAATGTCCACTCTCAGCATTTATTCAACATAGTGCAAGAAGTTTTAGCCACCATAAAAGGTATATAGATTGGAAAGGAAGAAATGAAACTACCTCTATTTGCAAATGACACAATTATGTATATAGAAAATTCCAAGAAATCTACCAGAAACTCCTAGAAATAATAAGTGAGTTCAGCAAGGTAGCAGGATACAAAAATCAACACACAAAATTAATCATATTTCTATATACTACAATAAACATGTAGAAACCAACTTTCAAAACAATACCATTGCATTCTCCACAAAGAAAATGAAATACTTACTTATAAACTTAAGAAAGCATGCACAAGATCTATATGGTGAAAATTACATACTGATGGAAGAAGTAAAAGAATAAACAAATGGAGAATCAGTGTTCATTGATTAGAATACCCAACAAGGTAAAGTTGTGAGTTTTCCCCCAAATTACTGTATAGGCTTAATGCAATTCCTATCAAAAGCCAACAAGGTTTTTTGTAGACACAGACAAGCTTATTCTAAAATTTATTTGAAAAGGCATAAGCCCTAAAATAGCTAAAACAATATTGAAAAAGAAGAATAAAGTGGGAGGGATCATTCTCCCCAACATTAAGACCTACTATATGTCTACAGTAATCAAAACAGTATGGTATTGGTGGTGGAATAGACACATAGATAAAGGAAACAGAGTAGAGAACCTGGGTTCTCTAGACTCACATAAATATGCTCAACTGATTTTTGACAAAGATGCAAAAGAAATTCAATGAAGGAAGGACAGCCTTTTCAACAAATGGTGCTGGGGAAATTGGACATCCATAGGTTAAAAAACAAAACAAAAACCTTTACTAAATCTCATACCTCAAGTAAAAAATTAACTCAAAATGGATCACAGACATAAATATAAAATGTAAAACTATAAAACTTTTAGAGAAAAACATTATAGGAGAAAATTGTCATGATCTAGGACTAGGCAAAGAGTTCTTAGATTTGACCCCAAAAGCATGATCCAGGAAAACTGATAAATCAGACCTCATCAAAATTTAAAACTTTGATCTGTGAAAGACCCTGTTGAAAACATGGAAAAACAAGCAACAGACTGGGAGAAAATATTTGCAAACTACATAGCTGACAAAGGAATAATATCTAGAATATATAAAGAACCCTCAAAAACCCAAAGTTAAAAAAAAATCCATAAGAAAATAGGCAAAAGACCTCAACAGACATTTCACCAAAGAGGATATTCAAATGGCAAATAAATGCATGAAAATATGTTAAATATCATCAGCCATCAGGAAAATGCAAATTTAAACTACAATGAAATAGCAGTACACACCTATCAGAATGACTACAATAAAAAATAGTGAGCTGGGCACGGTGGCTCACCCCTCTAATCCCAGAACTTTGGGAGGCCGAGGCGAGTGGATCACCTGAGGTCGGGGGTTCAAAACCATCCTGGCCAACATGGTGAAACCCCGTCTCTACTAAAAATAATACAAAATTAGCCAGGCATGGTGGCACATGCCTGTAATCCCAGCTACTTGGGAGGCTGAGGCAGAAGAATCGCTTGAACCTGGGAGGCAGAGGTTGCAGTGAGCCAAAAAATTGCGCCATTGCACTCCAGCCTGGGCAACAAAAGTGAAACTCCATCTCAAAAAAAAAAAAAAAAGTGAAAATACCAAATGCTTGCAAAGATGTAGAGAAATGGAATCACTTATAAATTGCTAGTGGTAATGGGAAAATGGTACAGCCACTCTGGAAAAGAGTGTAAAACTTTCTTAGAAAACTAAACATGGCTTACCATACAACCCAGCAATTGCACTGACTTACATCCCTGTCTTAGTTCATTTTTGCTGCTATAACAGAATACCATAGACTAGGGGGCTTATAAACAAGAGAAATTTATTTCTCATGGTTCTGAAGGCTGGGAAGTCCAAGATCAAGGCACCAGCAGATATGGTACCCAGTGAGGGCCCATTTCCTGATTCACAGATGGCCATCTTTTCACTGTATCCTCACAGAGCAGAAGGGGCAAAAGAAGTCTCCGGGATCTCTTTTATGAGGGCACTAATCCAATCATGAGGGCCCCACCCTCATGACCTAATCACCTCCCAAAGGCCCCAATCTCCAAATACCATCACCTTAGGGATTAGGATTTCAACATATGACTTTTGGGGGTACACAAACATTCAGTATATTGCATTCTGTCCCTGGTCCCCCAAAATTCATGACCTTCTCACATGTGAAATATATTCATTCCATTCCAATAAACCCAAAAGTCTTAACTCATTTCAGTATCAACTTTAAAATCTAAGTCCAAAGTCTCATCCAAATATTATCTAAATCAGATATGGATGATATTCAAGATAGGATTCATCCTAAGGCAAATTCCTGCCAGCTGTGAACCTGTGAAACCAAACATGTTATGTGCTTCCACAGTTCAATGGTGGGACAGGTATAGACAGACATTCCCATTCCAAAAGAGAGAAAGAAGAAAGAAGAAAAAGGGGACAGGTCTCAAGTAAGTTTAAAACCTAACAGGGCAAATTCCATTAGACCTTAAGGCTTGAGAATAATTTCTTTGACTTGATGCTCTGACATCCAGGCCCACTGGGTGACAATGTTGAGTGGCAATGTCACTTTCACAGCTTTATGGTATGACTCCATGGCAGGATCTGTGCCCTCATGCCACAGATCTTCCAGGTTGTCACTGTGTGCCTGCAGCCATGGTGTTTCAGCCTTTGAAACCTAGGTGCAAGCAGCCACGCCCCCACCTCAGCCTATGCATTCTGCATACCAGAGAAGACAGTACCACATGGACATCACCAAAGTTTGCTATCTGCACCCTCCAGAGGGGCAGCCACCACAGTCCATGCTGCACCAGGACCCATGGGAGCTGCACCTGGGGTGACAAAGTAGTACAGTGAGTGGAGACCACAAAGTGAGCTGGCAATGAGCAGGGTGCGCTGAAGTTCCACAGGCACTGGCAGTCTCAGATAGAATGGCTAGCCTGATGATCTCTGAATTGCCTTTGGGGTAATTCTTCCATTGTCTTGAAGAATAACACCTAGTTTCCGTTGAGATGGCTGATCTACACTAATCTCCTTATCAAACAGTCATTTGGCCACATCTTTAATGTCCTCATTTTTTGCAATATGTATAGGCTAAGAATTTTCCTAAGAATCTTTCATTTCTGCTTCCTTTTGCTTAACAATTCCAACTTTAAGTCACTTCTCTCTTCTCACATTTTGCTATAAGTAGTTAGAAGAAGCCAAGCTGCACCTTCAACACATTGCTTAGATATTTCCTGAAATAAATATCTAGTTTCATCACTCACAAGTTCTACCTTCCACAAAACACTAGAGCATATGCACAAGTCAGCCAAGTTCTTTGTCACTTTATAACAATGATCATCTTTTCTCTGTTGTCCAATAACATGTTCCTCATTTCTGTCTAAGACCTCACCAGAATGGCCTTTACCACCCATATTTCTCCAACATTCTATTCAGGATCACTTAGATGTTCTCTGAGAAAACTGAGGCTTTCTCTACAGCCCTATTCTTTTCTTTCTGAGCTCTCACCAGAATCACCCTTAGTGGTCTCTTCATAGCAACATAGACTTTTTCCATCATGCACCTCAAAACTCTTCCTATCTTTACCTGCTATCCAGTTCTAAAGCCACTTTCATATTTTTAGGTACTGCTTCCACCCCACTCTCAGTACCAAAGTCTGTGTTAGTCATGGTTCTATAGAGAAACAGGCCAATAGGATATATACAGAGAGAGAGAGAGAGTTTTTTTTAGATGGTTTCATCACCCAGGCTGGAGTGCAGTGGCTCAATCTTGGCTCACTGTAGGCTCAACCTTCTGGGCTCAAGCGATCCTCCCACCTCAGCCTCCTGAGTAAATGGGACTTCAAGTGTGCACCACCACACTCAGCTAATTTTCATATTTTTTGTAGACATGGGGTTTCATCATATTTCCCAGGCTGGTCTCTAACTCCTAAGACCAAAGGATCCACCCGCCTTGGCCTCCCAAAGACATGAGCCGCTGGGTGGGCATGAGCCGCCACACCCAGCTGGAAAGAGATTTTTTATGGAGGATGGGCTCATGCAATTATAGAAGCTAAGAAGCTAAGAAGTCCCACAATTTGCTGTCTGCAACTTGGAGATCAAGGAAAAACAGCAGTGTACTTCTAGTCCAAGCCTGAAGGCCTGAGAATCAGGGGAGCCAATAGTGTAACTCTCAGTCTGAGTCCAAAGGTCTAAGAACCAGGGAGCCAGAGGTGTAAGTCCCAGTCCAAATCCAAATGCCCAAGAACCAGGAACTCTGATATCTGAGGGCAGGAAAATATGGATGTCTCAGCTCAAGCAGAGAGAGCAAATTTGCTCTTCATTTGCCTTTTTGTTCTATTTAGGCCCCTCAATGTATTAGATGATGGCCACTCACATTGGTGAGTGTGATTTTCTTTACCATGTTTACTGATTCAAAGGTTAATTTATTCCAGAAACACTCTTACAGACATACTCAAAAATAATGTTTTACCACCTATCTGGGCATCCCTTAGACCACTCAAGTTGACATATAAAATTAACTGTCACAAGTTCATCTTTGTCAACTTGGCACCCATAGGCATCTCCTTAAACCATACTTAATCTCCAAGAGAAGACAATAACAAGGTCATAATTCCACCTAACATGATATAACTATTCTATATACAACTGAAAATGCACTAATCCCTTCCCCAGAAGAGGAAAGTCCTTGAGTGATGTTTACTCTTCTCCTGATATCCCATAACTTAAATACTATGATATAAAGTTAACAATACTTAAATACTGATATAAAGTCAATACATATTATGTTATATGATAAGAGATAAGATGAAAGAAAGCAAAGATATTTGCTACACACAGACACACGAGTATATTCACAACAAAATAAGGTGGAAATACTCATGATAATTACAGTCTTCTTTTCTGGTCATGTGGATTGTAGTTGGCATTTATAACTACCTTCATCCACTACCTATTCCATATTCTCTTTGCATTCAGTAAGCACCTCAACTGGTTGTGGTTCTTTAGCTGGTGGAGTGACCCAAATCTTTATTCCTAAAGAGTCTTGGCTATTAATAGTCCTGCCTGGATTGAGTTGTTACAGTTTTCCATTGACCTTAATCACAGGGAATGATAAAACTAGAGACATCCTAAGGGGTCCCTGTATTCCCAACATACTCTTTCTTACCTCCATGGTGGAGTAGTAGTTCAATTCCCTCTTGGTAGTCTGGATTAATCACCCCAGACAACACTATAACTCTCTTCTTGGCCTTGACTCAGGGGCATGAGAGCCCAAAGTGGCTGGGTGACAGTCTTAACTTCCAGTTCAATGGAATTATTGTTATGACTCCTGGTGAAAGCATTCCTCCCTCTGCAACTAAGATCGCTAGCCAGCAGAGCATAAAATCACAGGAACGGGAAGCAAAAGTTTTACTAGTGGGTCACTAGGGGCAATAGTGAGTGGAGCCACTCCCATTTCCATCCCTTGATTCTTGGATCCATGAATCTTGGCTATCAGATAAACAGCACCATATATTGGACATTTATTCAGAGAATATACAACCTTCTGAAGAACCTTGCCCCCAGCCCTGCAAGGTATTACTACCTAGCTGATGCTGTAACTGAGTCTTCAAAAGGCCTTTCCACTGTACTATCAAGTCAGCTGCTTCAGGATTGTGGAGAACATGATAAGACTAATGAATTCCATGAATCTGGCCCATTGCCACACTTCTTTTGCTATGAAGTGAGTTCCTTGATCAGGAGCAACACTGTACGGAATACCATGACAATGGATAAGGCATTCTATAAGTCCATGGATGGTAGTTTTTAGCAGAAGCATTGCATGCAGGAAGGGAAAATCTGTATTTAGAATAAGTGTCTATTTCAGTAAGGACAAAATGCCGCTACTCCCATGATGGAAGCAATCCAATGTAATCAACCTGCTACCAGATAGCTGGCTGGTCACTCCAGGGAATGGTCCTATATTGGGGGCTCAGTGTTGGTCTCTGCTGCTGACAGATTGGGCACTCAGTGGTGGCCATAGTCAGGTTGGCCTTGGTCAATTCTGAGCCCATGCATAAACTCCATCTCTGGAGCCTGGCCACTTACTTCATTAGCCCATCGAGCAGTGACAAGGGTGGCTAGGGAAAGAGGCTGACTGGTCTCCACAGAATGGTCATCCTAGCCACTTGATTATTGAAATCTTCCTCTGCTGAGGTAAACCTTTGGTGAGCACTCACATGAGATGCAAATACCTTCACATTCTTTGCCCATTCGAAGTAGTCTATCTACAGACCTCTTCCCCAAATATATTTGTCACCAATTTTCCAATTATATTCTTTCCAAGTCCCTGACTATCCAGCCAAATCATGGGCTACAGCCCATGAATTGGTATATAATTGCATATCTGGCCGTTTCTCTTTCTGAGCGAAGTGCATAGCCAGGTGTGCTGCTCAAAGTTTTGCCAACTGAAAGGATTTCCCTTCACCACTGTCTTTCAGGGATGTCCCAGAGAGGGGCTGTAGTGCTGCAGGTGTTGAAAACCTATACATAAATGTTCATATAAGCTTTATTAATAATAATCACAATGGGTGAATAGTTTAAAAACTGTGTTACATCTATACCAATGGAATGCCACTTAACAATGAAAAGTAAAAAACTATTCATACAGCAGCAACTTGGATGGATCTCAAGGGAACTAAGCTGACTAAAAAAGAAACATTATAGAAATAGAGAACAGATTAGTAGTTACCAGGGGTCAAGGATGAGGGCTGCAGGGAAGAAGAAGGGAGCATGATGTGGTTACAAAAGGGCGACCTGATGGATCCCTGTGGTGATACAACTATTCTGTATCTTAATGGTATTAATGTCAGTATTACAGTTGTGATATTGTACTATGGGTTTGTGTTAGTCAGCTCAGGATGCTAAAACAAAATACCATAGTCTGAATGGCTTCAGCAACAGATGTTTATTTCTCACAGTTATGGAGGCTGGGAAGTATAAGATTATGGTGCCAACATATTCAGTTAATGCAGAGGGCTCTTGTCCTGACTTGCAGATTGTCACCTTCTTGCTGTATTCTCACATGGTGAAGAAAGAAAAAACTGGTCTCTCTTTCCCTTTGTATAAGAACACTAATTTAATCACGAAGTCCCCACCCTCATGACCTCATCTAAATCAAATTACCTCCAAAATGCCCCACCTCCAAATACCATCCCACTGGGGGTTAGAAATTCAACTTATGAGTTTTGGGGGTACACAAACATTCAGTCTCTAAGAAGGTTTTTAAAAATTATTTTAGTAAAATACAAAACATGAAGGTTAGCATTGTGACCATTTTTTAAGTGCACAATTCAGTGGCATTAAGTATATTCACAATGATGTGTAGCCATCACTACTATCTCTCTTTTTTTTTTTTTTTTTTTTTTTTTTGAGACGGAGTTTCGATCTTGTTGCCCAGGCTGGAATGCAATGGCGCGATCTTGGCTCACCGCAACCTCCACCTGCCAGGTTCAAGCAATTCTCCTGCCTCAGCCTCCTGAGTAGCTGGGATTACAGGCATGTGCCATCATGCCCGGCTAATTTTGTATTTTTAGTAGAGACAGGGTTTCTCCATGTTGGTCAGGCGGGTCTCCAACTCCCCACCTCAGGTGATCCACCCACCTCGGCCTCCCAAAGTGCTGGGATTACAGGCATGAGCCATCACACTCGGCTGACCACTATCTATTTCTAAAACTTTTCCATCATGCAGAAAAATCCCCCTAAACCATTAGGTAACAATCCCCATTGCTCCTTCCACTCACTACTGATAACCTTATTCTACTCTCTGTCTCTATGGTTTTCTTATTTGTAGCATACTTTTGCAAAATGTTATCATTGGATGAAACTGGGCAAAGAATACACAGAATCTCTCCATATTATTTCTTAAAACTGCAAGTGACTCTGGAATTATCTTAAAATTAAAAAAGTTATTTATGTTTTCTTATATTATTTATGCGGTTATTTTTATTATTATTACAAGCATATCTTGGAGATAGTGCAGGTTCAGTTCCAGACCACTGCAATAAAGTGACTATAACAATAAAGTGAGTCACACAAATTTTTTTGTCTCCCAGTGCACATAAAAGTTACGTTTACAGTGGCTGGGCATGGTGGCTATAATCCCACACTTTGGGAAGTGAGAGGATCACTTCAGCCCAGCAGTTCAAGACCAGCCTGGACGACATAATGAGACACTATCTCTATTTTTTTAAAAAAAGCTATATTTATGTTATCATATAGTCTATTAAGTGTGCAATAGCATTATGTCTAAAAAGGCAATGTACATATCTTAATTTAAACATACTTTATTTCTAAAAACTGCTTACAATTATCTGAGCCCTCAGTGAGTTGTAATCTTTTTGCGGGTGGAGGGTCTTGATTCCTTGTTGATGGCTGCTGGCTAATCAAGGTGGTGGTTGCTGAAGGGTGAGGTAGCTGTGGCAATTTCTTAAAATAAACAACAATGAAATTTGCTGCATTGATTGACTCTTCCTTTCATGAAAGCCTTCTCTACAGAATGCAATGCTGTTTGATAGCATATTAGACACAGTAGACCTTCTTTTAAAAATTAAAGTCAATCCTCTGAAACCCGGCCCCTTTGTCAAATAGTTTCCAGCATATTCTAAATCCTTTGTTGCCATTTCAACAATATTCACTGCATATTCAGCAGAAGTAGATTCTGGCTCAAGAAACCACCTTCTTTGCTCATCCATAAGAAGCGACTTCTCATCCATTCAGGTTTTATCATGAGATGGCAGCAATTCAGTCACATCTTCAGGCTCTATTTTTTATGAAAATTTTTGTGGGTACATAGTAGGTGTATATATTTATGGGGTATATGGGATGTTTTGATACAGGTATACAATGTGTGATAATCACATCAGGGCAAATGGGGTATCCATCACCTCTGGCATTTATCCTTTGTGTTACAAATAATCCAGTTACACTCCTTTAGTTATTTTTAATTTTAAATGTACAATTCAATTATTATTGACTATAGTCACCCTGTTCTGCTATCAAATACTAGATCTTTTCATGTTTTCGAACTATTTTTTGGTACCAATTAACCATTCCCATTTCTTCCCCCACTCTATCCCCTCCACTACCCCTCCCAGCCTCTGGTAACCATCCTTCTACTCTCTAACTGCATGAGTTCAATTGTTTTAATTCTTGCCTCCCACAAGTACGTGAGAACATGAAAAGTTTGTCTTTCTGTGCCTAGCTTATTTCACTTGATGACTCCCAGTTCCATCCATGTTGTTGCAGATGGCAGGATCTCATTCTTTTTCATAGCTGAATAGTATTCCCTTATGTATATGTACCACATATTTTTAACCATTTGTCTGTTGACAAAAACTTGAGTTACTTCCAAATCTTGGATATTGTGAACAGTGCTGCAATAAACATGGAAATGCAGCTATCTCTTCAATATACTGATTTCCTTTCTTTTGGGTATATACCCAGCAGTGAGATTGCTGGACTATATGGTAGCTCTGCTTTCAGTTTTTTGAGGAACCTCCAAACTGTTCTCCATAGTGGTCATACTAGTTTACATTCCCACCAACACTGTATGAGGGCTCCCTTTTCTCGACATCCTTGCCAGCATTTGTTATTGCCTGTCTTTTGGATACAAGCCATTTTAACTAGGGTGTGATGATATCTCACTATGGGTTTGATTTACATTTCTCTGATGATCAGTGATGCTGAGCACCTTTTCATATATCTGTTTGCAATTTGCATATCTTTTCAGAAATGTCTATTCAGATCTTTTACCCATTTTGAATTGGATTATTAGATTTTTTCCTATAGAGTTGTTTGAGCTCCTTATATATTCTGGTTGTTAATCCTTTGTCAAGTGGATAGTTTGCAAATATTTTTTTCCCATTCTGTGGGTTGTCTCTTCACTTTGTTGATTGTTTCCTTTGTGGTGCAGAAGTTTTTAATTTGATGTGATCCCCTTTGTCCATTTTTACTTTGGTTGCCTGTGCTTCTGGGGTATTACTTAAGAAATCTTTGCCTACTGCAATGTCCTGGAGATTTTCCCTAAGGTTTCTTAGAGTAGTTTCATAGTTTGAGGTCTTAGATTTAAGTCTTTAACCCACTTCTATTTGATTTTTGTGTATGGCGAGAGATAGGGATCTAGTTTCATTGTTCTGCATATGGATATCCAATTTTACCAGCACCATTTATTGAAGAGACTGTCTTTCCCCCAATGTATGTTCTTGGCACCTTTGTTGAAAATCAGTTCACTGTAAATATATGAATTTGTTTCTGGGTTCTCTATCCTGTTCCATTGGTCTATGTGTCTGTTTTTACGCAAGCACTATGCTGTTTTGATTATCTCTGTAGTATAGTTTGAAGTCAGTTAATGTGATTCTTCCAGTGTTGCTCTTTTTGTTCAGAATAGCTTTGGCTATTCTGGGTCTTTTGTGGTTCTATATAAATTTTAGGATTTTTTTTTATTTCTATGAAGAACTTCATTGGTATTTTGATAGGGATTGCACTGAATCTGCAGATTGCTTTGGGTAGTATGGACATTTTAACAATATTGATTCTTCCAATCTATGAACATGAAATATCTTTCCATTTTTTTGGTGTTCTATTCAGTGTCTTTCATCAGTATTATATAGTTTTTATTATGGAGATCTTTCACTTCTTTGGTTAATTCCTAGATATTTAATTATACTTGTGGCTGTTGTAAATGGGATTTTAAAAAATTAATTTTTCACATTGTTCACTGTTGGCATATAGAAATGGTATAGTTTTTTTTGTTTTTTTGTTTTTTTGTTTTTTTGTTTTTTTGAGATGGGGTCTTGCTCTGTCACCAGGCTGGAGTGTGGTGGCATGATCTTAGCTCACTGCAACCTCTGCCTCCTTGGATCAAGCGATCCTCCCACCTCAGCCTCCTCAGTAGCTGGGACTACAGGCATGTGCCACCACACCTAGCTAATTTTTGTATTTTTTGGTAGAGATGGGTTTTCACCATGTTGCCCACACAGGTCTGGAACTCCTGAGCTCAAGTGATCCACCTGCCTTGGCCTTCCAAAGTGCTGGGATTACAGATGTGACCCACCGCGCCCAGTCAGATTTTTGTATGTTGATTTTGTATCCTGAAACTTTACTGAATTTATCAGTTCTAATAGTTTTTTTTTTTTTTTTTTTGTGGAGTCTTTAGGTTTTTCCAAATCTATCATATCATCTGCAAACAAGGATAATATGACTTCTTCCTTTCCAATTCAGATGTCCTTTATTTCTTTCTCTTGTCTGATTGCTCTAGCTAGGACTTCCAGTATTATGTTGGATAACAGTGGTGAAAGTGAGCATTCTTCTCATGTTCCAAATCTTAAAGGAAGGGCTTTCAGTTTTTCCCTGTTTCTTTGTTGATTTTCTGTCTAGATGATCTGTCCAATGCTGAAAGAGGAGTGTTGAAGTCTCCAGCTATTATTGTATTGCGATCTTTCTCTGTCTTTAGTTCTAATAATATTTGCTTTACATATCTAGGTGCTCTGGTCTTGGGTGCATATATATATTTAGAATTGTTATATCCCCTTGCTGAATTGACCCCTTTATCATTATATAATGACCTTCTGTGTTGCTTTCAATAGTTTTTGTCTTGAAATCTATTTTGTCTTATAGAACCACATCTATTCCTCCTCTTTTTTGGTTTTCATTTGGATGGAATATCTTTTTCTATTCCTTTATTTTCAGCCTGTGCGTGTGTTTATAGGTGAAGTTTGTTTCTTGCAGGTAATAAATCAATGGATCTTGCTTGCTTAATCCATTCAGCTACTTTGTCTTTTGATTAGAGAGTTTAGTCCATTTACATGTGTTATATGTAAAAATGTTTATTTAGAAATAGAATGCTTGTTCCCCAGTGCCACAAAGAAATAGCACTTGAACATAAATTTAATTCTCTCAGCAAGGCCATTTTAACTTTCTGCAGAAAGGGTACACTTGCCAGCAGTTTTGCCATGAGAGTACACTGAACAAAGAAGACAGGGTCATTTATAACCTGATGCGTCCACCCTACTGCTGTGTCCAGTTTCCATTGGCTGGAATGGGACCTCACATTCTGTATTTGTCCCGATTGGCTAGCAACTTAGAACTTTCCAAAAGAGGCAAAGGCAGAGGAGAACAAAGGAAGGAGGAAGTAACTTGTGCAATGCTGAGAAAGGTAAAAACACCTCCAAATAAGGAAGATGAACAGGCTATGACCTAATGCTTGCTTGGACCAGTATAAGCACACCAGGGTAAATATTTAGGCTAAATTGTGGGAGCTAAGAATACAAAGTACATTGATTTCTTTATTACAGCTAGCAGATATTTCAGAATGTTAGCACAGATATTTAAGAATGTTAGCACAGGACTTTGAATAAATTTTGCTTCTAAGAGAAGTTACTATTTATTCCTAAGTAGACAGGGAGGAAAGTCTCTGAAGAGGAACCTCTACTTTACTTTTTACACATGCAACATTATTATGGACAAGTAAAGACTTACTCTTGCCATTTTTAAATTTGTTTTCTAGTTGTTTTGTGGTCTTCTATCCCTTCTTTCTTTCCTTCTTGTCTTCCTTTTAGTGAAGCTGATTTTCTCTGATGATATAATTTAATTTCTTCCTTTGTATTTTTTGTGTATCTGTTGTATATTTCTAGAGTTGAGGTTATCATGAGTCTTGCAAACAATATCTTATAACCCATTATTTGAAGCTGATGGCAACATAACACTGATTGCATAAACAAACAAACAAACAAGCAAAAAGAAACCTAATAAAAACTTTATATTTTAACATTTTCTCCCCACATTTTACCTTTTTGTTGTTTCTGTTTATATCTCATTGTACTGTCTATGTCTTGAAATGTTGTTGTAGTTATTACCTTTTTTTTTTTTTTGAGATGGAGTCTTGCATTTTTGCCTGGGCTGGAGTGCAGTGGTGCGATCTTGGCTCACTGCAACCTCTGCCTCCCAGGTTCAAGCAATTCTCCTGCCTCAGCCTCCCAAGTAGCTAGGATTACAGGCGCCCGCCACCATGCCCAGCTAATTTTTAGTAGAGACAGGATTTCACCATATTGACCAGGCTGGTCTCGAACTCCTGACCTCATGATTCCCCTGCCTCAGCCTCCCAAAGTGCTGGGATTACAGGCATGAGCCACCGCACCCAGCCAGTTATTATCTTTGATCAGCTCATTTTTTCCATCTTTCAACTAATGATGTGAGTAGTTTACACACCACAATTATAGTGTTATAATGTTCTGTGTACTTACTTTTACAAATGAGTTTTGTACCTTCAGATGATTTCTTATTGCTCATTAAGGTCCTTTTCTTTCAGATTGAAGAGCTCCCTTTAGTTTTTCTTGTAGGACAGGTCTGGTGTTGAGGAAATCCCTCAGCTTTTGTTTGTCTGGAAGGTCTTTATTTTTCCTTCATGTTTGAAGGATATTTTCTTTTCTTTCTTTCTTTCTTTTTTCTTTTTTTTTTTTGAGACAGAGTCTCACCCTATCCCCTAGGCTGGAGTGGAGCGATCTGCAACCTCCACCTCCCGGGTTCAAGCAATTCTCCTGCCTCAGCCTCCCAAGTAGCTGGGATTACAAGTGCCTGCCACCATGCCCAGCTAATTTTTGTATTTTTAGTAGAGATGGGTTTTTGCCATGTTGGCCAGGCTGGTCTCGAACCCCTGACCTCAGGTGATCCACCACCTCGGCCTCCCAAAGTGCTGGGATTACAGGTGAGAGCCACCATGCCCAGCCCTGAAGGATATTTTCACCAGATATACTATTCTAGGGTAAAGGTTCAGCACTTTAAATATGTCATGCCACTCTCTCCTGGCCTGTAAGGTTTCCACTGGAAGGTCTGCTGCCAAATGTATTGGAGCTCTATTATATGTTTTTATTTTTGTTTTTGTTTTGAGACAGAGTCCGGCTTTGTCACCCAGGCTGGAGTGCAGTGGCGCTATCTCGGCTCACAGCAACCTCCCCTTCCTGGGCTCAAGCCATCCTCTGACCTCAGCCTCCCAAGTAGCTGGGACTACAAGCGCATGCCACCACGACCAGCAATTTTTGTATTTTTTGTAGAGATGGGGTTTCACTATGTTGCCCAGGCTGGTCTCAAACTCCTGACCTCAAGTGATCCGCCCACCTAGGCCTCTCAATAATAATTTCTTTTTTTTGTTTTTGAGACGGAGTTTTGCTCTTGTTGCCCAGGCTGGAGTGCAATGGCGTGATCTCGGCTCATCGTAACCTCTGCCTCCCAGGTTCAAGCAATTCTCCTGCCTCAGTCTCCCAAGTAGCTGGGATTACAGGCATCTGCCACCACACCCAGCTAATTTTTGTATTTTTAGTAGAGATGGGGTGTCATCACATTGGCCAGGCTGGTCTTGAACTTCTGACCTCAGGTGATCTGCCTTCCTCAGCCTCCCAAAGTGCTGGGATTACAGGCATGAACCACCTCGCCAGGCCCCAATAATAATTTGTATTGATCTATCTTCAAGTGCACTGGCTCTTCACTCTGTCATCTCTATTCTGCTGTTGTGCCTACCCAGTGATTTGCTGTAAACAGATGTGTTGTCATCCAGGCTTTGTTGTTCCATTTGTAGAGCACAGGCAGAGTAGATTTAGCATAATTCTTAGTGGTCCTAGGATTTTCAGAATGGTAAATGAGCATTGGCTTCAACTTAAATTCACCAGCTGCATTAGCCCCTAACAAGAGAGCCAGGCTGTGTTTTGAAGCTTTGAAGCCAGGCATTTATTTCTTTCTAGCTATGAAAATTTTAGGCTGGCATGGTGGCTCATGCCTGTAATCCCAGCACTTTGGGAGGTCGAGGCTGGCAGACCACCTGAGGTCGGGAGATCAAGACCATCCTGGCTAACACGGTGAAAGCCTGTCTCTACTAAAAATACAAAAATTTAGCCGGGTATGGTGGCACATCCCTGTAATCCCAGCTACTTGGGAGGCTGAGGCAGGAGAATCGCTTGAACCTGGGAGACGGAGATTGCGGTGTGTCAAGATCGTGCCATTGCACTCCAGCCTGGACAACAAGAGCAAAACTCCATCTCAAAAGGAAAAAAAGAAAAAAGAAAAGAAAAGAAAAGGAAATTTAGATAACACCTTCTGCCAATAGAAGGCTGTTTTGTCTACATTGAATATCTGTTGTTATCGTAGCCTCCTTCATCAATGATCTTAGCTAGATCTTCTGGATAACTTGCTGTAGCTTCTTCTCCATCAGCATTTGCTGCTTCACCTTGCACTTTTATGTCATGGAGATGGCTTATTTTCTTAAATCTCATGACCCAATCTCTGCCAGCTTCAAGCTTTTCTTCTGCAGCTTCCTCGCATCTCTCTCAGCCTTCATAGAATTGAAGACAGTTAGAGCTTTGCTCTGGATTAGGCTTTGGCTTAGGGGAGTGTTGTGGCTGGTTTGATCTTCTTATCCAGACCACCTAAACTTTCTCCATATCACCAATAAGGCTACTTTTCTTTCTTGTCATTCATGTGTTGACTATAGAAGCAGCTTTAATTTCCTTCCAGAACTTTCCCTTTGTATTCATAACTTGGCTAACTAGTGCAAGAAGCCTAACTTTTGGCCTAAGTTTTCAATCTGCCTGTCTCAATAAGCTTAATTTTTGTTAAAAAAAAAAAAATTGTGAAAAACACAATATCTGCAAAGCGCAACACAGTAAAATCCAGTAAAACAAGTTATGCCTGTAGATAGTGAGTACTGTTTTTCTAAAAGATGTTTAAATTGCTGCATTAACATTTTAAATGTAATCAGCTTATTTATTTATTTATTATTGAGACAGAGTCTCACTCTGTCGTCCAGGCTGGAGTACAGTGGTACAATCTCAGCTCACTGCAACCTCTGCCACCCAGGTTCAAGCAATTCTCCTGTCTCAGCATCCCAAGTAGCTGGGACTACAGGCATCTGCCACCACGCCTGTCTAATTTTTGTATTTTTAGTAGAGATGGGGTTTCACCATATTGGTCAGGCTGGTCTCGAACTCCTGACCTCAAGTGATCCACCCGCCTTGGCTTCCCAAAGTGCTGGGATTACAGGCGTGAGCCACCACGCCCAGCCTTAAGTGTAATCAGCTTCTGATTTAAAGTAAGAGACTTGTGACTCTCTCACTTGAACACTTACTTAGAGGCCATGGTGGGGTTATTAGTTGGCCTAATTTCAATATTGTATCTCAGGAAATAGGGAGGCTCTAGGACAGGGCTAAGGATAGGGAAATGGACAATCAATGGAACAGTCAGAATACATACATTTATCCATTAAGTGTGCTGCGTTACATGGCCGGGGTTTGTGGCACCCAAAAACAATTACAATAGTAATATCAAAGATCACTAATCACAGATCAGCATAACAGATATAATCATAATGAAAAAGCTTGAAATATTGCTAGAAATACCAAAATGGGACATAGAGATATAAAGTAAGCACATGCTATTGGAAAAATAGTACTGATAGACTTGCTTGAAGAAAGGTTGCTACAAACATTCAAGTTGTAAAAAACACAATATTTGCAAAGCACAACAAAGCAAAGTGCAGTTAAACAAGGTATGCCTGCAGATACTGAGTATTCAGTTTTTCTAAAAGATGTTTAAATTGCTCCATTAACATTTTAAGTTTAATCTTTCAAACTGCGCTATCCAATAATGGTAGCCACTAGCTACATGTAGCTTTTTGAATTCCCATCAACTAAAATTAAATAAAATTTAAAATTCAGTTATTTAGTCACACTAGTCACCTTACAAGTGCTCAGTAGCCACATGTGGTTACTGGCTATTAAATTGGGCGGTGCAGATGTAGAACATTTCCATAATTGCAGAAAGTTCTATTGAAAAGTGCTGTTCCAGCCCGCCGTGGTGGCTCCCACCTGTAATCCCAGCACTTTGGGAGGCTGAGGCGGGTGGATCACGAGATCAGGAGTTCAAGACCAGCCTGGCCAAGATGGTGAAACCCCCCGTCTCTACTAAAAATACAAAAATTAGCCAGGTGTGGTGGCAGGCACCTGTAATCCCAGTGACTCGGGAGGCTAAGTCAGAGAATTGCTTGAACCCAGGAGGCAGAGGGTGCAGTGAGCCAAGATCATGCCACTGCACTCCAGCCTGGGCGACAGAGCAAGACTCTGTCTCAAAAAAAAAAGAAGAAGAAGAAAATAAAAGTGCTGTTCCAGAATCTGGAACTGAATGCAAAATTTCTAAAGCACCAAAAGGAAAAAAGAAAACAAAAGTAACCTAATAAATGCAGGAAATAACATGAAAGGAAAAGAAAAAAATAATAAGGTATTATAGTAAATAGAAAAAGCAAAATAAGATGCTAAAGAAAAGTCCAAATGTATCAGAAATTATAATAAAAGTGAAGAGCTTAAATTTCTCTAACAGAAAGAAGCAGGGGCTCTTTTGTATCTTAAAGGGCAAAATGTCAGAAATATCAACAATAAATGAATGACCAAAGATATATCATAAAAATTTTAGGCCAGGCGTGGTGGCTCATGCCTGTAATCCCAGCAGTTTGGGAGGCTGAGGTGGGCTGATCACGAGGTCAGGAGTTCAAGACCAGCCTGGCCAACACAGTGAAACCCTGTCTTTACTAAAAGTATAAAAATTAGCCGGTTGTCACGGCACACGCCTGTAGTCCCAGCTACTCAGGAGGCTGACGCAGGACAATCGCTTGAACCTGGGAGTGAGCCGAGATTGCGCCATTGTACTCTAGCCTGGGCGATGGAGTGAGACTCTGTCTCAAAAAAAAAAAAAAAAAAAAACTTAATCAAAACCTAAGCAATAGCATTATTTATCAGAGAAAATTAGAGTTAAAAATTAGACATAGAACCATATTTTAGATTGATAAAAATAAAGTGTGCAAAGAAGGTATATGTCTTGAATCTGTATGCAGAGATTTAAAAAATAACTTTTTTTTATACGGAGTCTCACTCTGTCGCCCAGGCTGGAGTGCAATGGTGCGGTGTCGGCTCACTGCAACCTCCACCTCCCTAGTTCAATCAATTCCCCTGCCTCAGCCTCCCGAGTAGCTGGGATTACAGGCACCCGCCACTGGGTCTGGCTAATTTTTTTGTATTTTTAGTAGAGATGGGGTTTCACCATGTTGGCCAGACTGGTCTCGAACTCCTGACCTCAGGCAATCCGCCCGCCTCGGCCTCCCAAAGTGCTGGGATTACAGGTGTGAGCCACCATGCTCGGCCTAAAAAAATAACTTTTTAAGAGTACTGAATACTGAACTACATAAAGTAAAAACTGACTAAGGGAAAAAGTTGGCAAAAGCAGAAATCTAAAGCTTTACTATGATCTTATTTTGACCTTCAGGGCCTTGGACTACCTCTCCCTCACCATGGATCCTATAGCTCTCTGTCTCACTCTGCCATTTCACAAGCACACTCTAACTTCAGCCTTTGCACATTCTATTTCCTCTGCTTAGAACATATTTCCTCCAAATAATCACATGCCCTGCCCCCTCCTTTCATTTAGGTCTCTGCTCTAGTGCAGGACACCTGAGAGCAGGTTTAAGGTTCTGCATAAACAGATGAGGTAAGAGCATTTACATGGGATTTTTATTGGTATTTGACATAATTGGCTCTAGGATCCCTTTCTGGAACCCTGAGTCCCAGCTATCTGTGGTGGATTCCCCATCTGTCTTGCCCATCTGCTCAAGTGTTACCCTATCAGAAAGGCCTGCTCCCACACCCTACCTAAAAGAGCACCCATCCCCCATGCCCATCATCCTGATCATTCTCTGTCCCTTTATTTGCTCTGTTTTTCTTCTTACTACTTCTTACCACCTGAAGCATTTGTTAAATAAAGATTATAGGAAGTTATTGGTTTGGATTAAGCTCCTGTACTAGGCCCCAATAGATCAGACTAGAAAGCAAATGGAGTCGCTCATGCTAAAGTTTCACATCGCCAAATCCAAACTAATTTATCATCTGAATTTCTGAGAAATTAGGAGAGAGCCAATTTCCCAAACAGGCCAGTTTAAATCTTCAGTTGGCATGATAATGAAGTTCTCTCTGTTTTAAATCCTTTCACAAAAGAAGTAGCCTGAAGTAACCTGTCATTAACTAATCTATTATCTTTCTATTGTTCTGTCTCCCTGTCCCCCTCTCACAAGAAAAGTAGCTTTGAACCCCTTAGTATACTTTGTTCTTTGTTTCTGCTTTCTCCAGCCCTTCTCTGTCTATAAAGCCAGTCTCTTCTGCTCAGCTCATGGGAACACTTAATTCTATTTTATGGAATAAAGTTTTGCCTGATTCTAGAATTCCAATAAAGCCAGTTGAGATCTTTAAACTAAATTTGTTATAATTTTGTGTGTTGACACATGCATTATAGATATTTTTATTTATTTACTTATTGTCTGTCTCCTCCAATCACAAGGTAAGTTTCATGAAAGCACAATCTTTGTTTCACTCATTGTTAAATCCCAGCACCTAAAACAGGGCCTGGTACATGGTAGGTCCTTGACAAATATTTGTTGTATAACGAGTGAATTCCAGTGAGTAATGTACACCCTCGCTCATGTATTAACAGATTCAGTGACCTAAGATACATTAGAATATGGAAGAACTGAACCCAATTACAAATTTGTCTTGACAAACCTATATAGAATATTGAATCCAACAAATAGAATTCCTGACCTCAAGTGATCTGCCCTCAAGTGCTTCATTCAATTAATGAAGCAGTTACTAAAACAGACCATGCATTATGGCTCAAAGAAAATCTCAATAAATCACAAAAGGCCAATATTATAAAGGCCCACTATTTCGCAACATGCAGTAACATTATACATTAACAACAAAAGAATATCCAAAAAAAAAGCTATGTGCTTAGAAATTATAAATAATTTTTTGAAACTCTTCTAAGTAACTCAAAGAGGAAATAAAAACTGAGATTATGAAATATTTGTGAATGAAGACCAAAGAAAACATTATATGTCAAAATGTGTAAGATGCACGTCTCCACTCTCCCTTTCCTTTGTGCCCAGAGAAAAATCCTAATTGTGAATTTGGTAAAATGCCTTCCAGCTGTCACTGGAAAGGGGGCCTGGATCCAGGCTCCAAGAGAAGGTTCTAGGATTTTGCACAAGAAAGAATTTAGCCGGGAGCAGTGGCTCATGCCTGTAATCCCAGCACTTTGGGAGGCCGAGGCAGGCGGATTACTTGAGGTCAGGAGTTCGAGGCCAGCCTGGCCAACATAGTGAAACCCTGTCTCTATTAAAAATACAAAAATCAGCCGGGTGTGGTAGCCCACGCCTATAATCCCTTCTACTCGGGAGGCTGAGGCAGGAAAATCACTTGAACCCAGGAGGCGGAGTTTGCAGTGAGCTGAGACCACGCCACTGCACTCCAGCCTGGGTGACAGAGCAATACTGTCTCAAAAAATAGAAATAAAATAAAATAAAATAAAAAAGAAAGAAAGAATTCAAGGCCAATTCATACAGAGTAAGTGAAAGCAAGTCTATTAGGAAAGTAAAGGAATAAAAGAATGGCTACTCCACAGACAGAGCAGGCCTGAGAGCTGCTGGTTGCCCATTTTTATGGTTATTTCTTGATTATATGTTAAACAAAGGGTGGATTATTCATGCCTTCCCTTTTCAGACCATATAGGGTAACTTCCTGACACTGTCATGGTATTTGTAAACTGTCACGGTGCTTGTGGGAATGTAGTAGTGAGGATCACCAGAGGTCACTCTCGTCGCCATCTTGGTTTTGGTGGGTTTTAGCCGGCTTCTTTACTGCAACCTGTTTTATCAGCAAGGTCTCTATGACCTATATCTTGTGCCTACCTCCTATCTCACCCTGTGACTTAGAATGCCTAACCATCTGGGAATGCAGCCCAGTAGGTTTCAGCCTCATTTTACCCAGCCCCTATTCAAAATGGAGTTGCTCTGGTTCAAACACCTCTGACACAACCTCTAATCAATATTTGAATAAAGATAAGAAAGGTTAGAACAAACTAATAACACCAGATTAAACAAAATAATCACTGGTTACATTCTTTATATATTCTGGCTACTAATCTTTTTTCTGTTATATGTGCTTACAAATATCCTCTCCCATTCAAATTACAAAAATTGCCTGAAAATAAGACAAAGTACCAGAGTTTTCTAAAGATGAAGGAAATTTTGAAGTTACTAAAAACTCTACCTTTCCCAAAACAATGACACCAGACAAAAATGACTTGAGATGAAAGTTCTATCAAAACTTCAAGGATACTTACCTAAAGGTTCCAATTTAAATCTGGAAGGAAAGACACTAATAGTTGCATAACTCATTCTATGTGACTAGCATAACCGTCACATCAAAACCAGACAAGGTGAACACACGCACGCACGCACACACGCACACACACACACAGGCAAAAATCAGATACTAATTTCACTAATGAATATAAAAAACAATGTAGCTACATTAGCAAATATATTCCAGAAGTAATCCATTTTGACCAAAAAAGGTTTATCCTATAAAAGCAGGAGTGTTTCAGCATTTAAAAAACATTTAAAATTAATCTTATACTGCATATAAATAGATTAGATGAGAATAAAATCTTAGGTCAGCATTAAAAGTCACCAAAAACCCAGGCGTGGTGGCTCACGCCTGTAATATCAGCACTTTAGGAGGCCGAGGCGGGTGGATCACTTGAGTCCAGGAGTTGGAGACCAGCCTGGCCTACATGGTGAAACCCCATCTCTACTAAAAATACAGAAAATTAGCCAGTGTGGTGGCACTCACCTGTAATCCCAGTTACTCAGGAGGCTGAGGCAGGAGAATTGCTTGAACCCGGGAGACAGAGGTTGCAGTGAGCTGAGATCACTCCACTGCACCCCATCCTGGGCAAGAGAGCAAGACTCCGTCTCATATGGTAAAATTTAACACTCATTCCTGCTAAACTTCTTAGCAAACAAATAATAAAAATAAACTTTATTTGAATAATAAAATGAAACCTATAAAATAAAAGGTTCCTATAAGAAAGCATCAGAAAGTATCGCACATATTAGTGAAGTAAATGTTACAAGGATTCCTATTAATGTCAAGATTTTTAAAAAGATGATCGTTGTGACTGCTATGATTTCATTTTGCCCTTGAGAACATAGCCAATGCAATAAAAAAGGAACTATATTATTGTCTCAAACTCCAAGGTAGACCTAGTAAGACAGTTGAATAACTGTCTCAAACAAGATATACAAAATAGACATCAAAAAAGCAATAGCTTTCCTACATCAATTACCGTCATGCCTCATTTAACAATGGAACTTCAGGCCGGGTGCAGTGGCTCACGCCTGTAATCCCAGCACTTTGGGAGGCCGACGCCAGTGGATCATGAGGTCAGGAGTTCGAGAGCAGCCTGTCCAATATGGTGAAACCCTGTCTCTACTAAATATACAAAAATAAGGTGAGCGTGTTGGCGCATGCCTGTAGTCCCAGCTGCTCGGGAGGCTGAGACAGGAGAATCGCTTGAACCCAGGAGGCGGAGGTTTCAGTGAGCCGAGATTGTACCACTGCACTCCAGCCTGGGCGACAGAGCGAGACTCCATCTCACACACACACACACACACACACACACACACACACACACACACACAGAAAGGAACTTCATTCTGAGAAATGTGACATTAGGCAGTTTTCATTTTTGTGAGAACATCATGGAGTATACTTACATAAACCTAGATGGTAAAGCCTACTGCACACCTAGGCTCTATAGTATAGACCATTGTTCCTAGGCTACAAACCTGTACAGCATATTACTGTACTGAATACTGTAGGCAATTATAACAAAATGGTATTTGTGTATCTAAGCATATCTGACCAGAAAAGACACAGTAAAAATATGATGTAAAATATAAAAAATAGTACACCTATACGGGCACTTATAAATGGAGCTTGCAGGACTGGAAGTTGCTCTGGCTGAATCAGGTGAGTGGTGAGTGAATGGGAAGGCCTGGGACATTACTGTACACTACTGCAGACTTCATAAACACTGTATACTTATGCTACACTAATTTAAAGTTTTTTCTTTCTCCCAGGCACAATGGCTCACATCTGTAATCCCTGTGCTTTAGAAGGCCGAGGCAGGAGAATTACTTGAACCCAGGAGTTTCAGACCAGCCTGGGCAATATAGTAAAACCCCATCACTACGAAAAATAAAATTAGCCAGGTGCGATTGTGCATGCCTGTAGTCCTAGCTACTCAGGAGGCTGAGGTGGGAGAATCGCTTGAGCTCAGGAGTTTGAGGCTACAGTCAGCTACGATCACACCACTGCACTCTAGTCAGCCTGGGAAACAGACAGAGACCCTATCTCTTAAAAAAAAAAAAAGGCCAGGAGCCGTGGCTCGCGCCTGTAATCCCAGCACTTTGGGAGGCCGAGGGGGGCGTACCACAAGCTCAGGAGTTAGAGACCAGCCTGGCCAACATGGTGAAACTCCGTCTCTATTAAAAATACAAAAATTAGCCGGGCATGGTGGTGGGCGCCATGTAGTCCCAGCTACTTGGGAGGCTGAGGCAGGAGAATCGCTTGAACCTGGGAGGCGTAGGTTGCAGTGAGCCGAGATGGCATGACTGCACTCCAGCCTGGGCAACAGAGCGAGACTCCGTCTCAAAAAAAAAAAAAAAAAGTCAATAATAACCTTAGCTTACTGTAACTTTTTTACTTTATAAACTTTTCCATTTTTAAGACTCTTTTGTATTAACATTTAGCTTAAAATATAAATACATTGTACAGCTATACAAAAATATTTTCTTTATATCCTGATTCTCTAAGCCTTTTTATTTTTAGATTTTTTATTTTTTGTTTTTTAAACTTTTTTGTTACAAACTAAGACACAAACACACATATTAACCTAGGCTTACACAGGGTCAGGATCAGGATCATCAATATCACTGCCTTCCATCTCCGCATCTTGTCCCAGTGGAAGGTCTTCAAAGGCAATAATATACATGGAGCTTTCTTCTCCTATGATAACAATGCCTTCTTCTGGAATACTTCCTGAAGGATCTGCCTGAGGATGTTTTATGGTTAACTTTTTTTTTTTTTACAAGTACAAAGAGTACACTCTAAAATAATGATAAAAATTATAGTATAGTAAATATATAAACCAATAACATAGTTGTTTGTTATCATCATCAATTAGTGGATCTGCTTCAAGGAAGAGATAAGGTATGTTTGTAATTTGCACAACCCTAATGACAGGCAATTAAAGATATTTGATATCTTTCTATTCTCTTAAGTATTCAACCTCTCATTCTTGAGTATCATAAAATTTTTATTGGTAGTGTCTGACTAAATAAAATTTTATTCTACATGGATTAAGTCCATAATTATTTACTTTCATATTTTTCCAAGACGAATGAATTCATAGCTGAATTCATGTTGGCAAATCTATGCAGTTATCTCCTTAACTTAGTAAGTAGACAATTGTTGATTCATAATTCCTTTAATTCTGAAATCCCATAACCTCTCCTAATCCTACATTACCTGATTATCAACTTGTCTGTTCTAAACAGCCCATGGGCATTCTTCATCATGATGCTCACGGCAGGCGGAAAGAAAACCTTCATGCTCTCCTTTAATATCAAGAAAACCATCATTTCTCCCATAGAAGTAGATAGGAATGCTTGATTATTGGTCAATAATTGATTCTGTGTTCTGTATGCCCTCAACTACGGCTTGGCACCTCTTCTAGGACATGTCAAAGGACTTTTTGTCTTCATGAGAGAGTCATTTCTAGTTTTATCGGTGATGAAATGGGAGAACTTTGAATCCCTTGCCTAATAGTCTAATCGAATAATCCTTTAAATCAGAGCAGGGTAAAAAAAAGAGATAGAATAAAGATATACACTAGGAAAGTGATATACAGCAAAGCCTGTCTTATAAGAGATGCAGCCAATGAGAAATAGATGCATGAGACATCACTTGTTCTGCATCACTTTCCAGGGTTACATACTGTGCTTCAGGAGGCTTATATACCAGTGTGATCCATAAACCATCCATCTTCTTGGCAGACTTCAACAGTTTTGAGACTATTCATTTCTGTTTGATGCACTCTGAATCCTCATTTCACTCATACTTGTCTGCACCACCCAACATTCCTTTGAAATACCATCTCTACCTTCTTTTCTTACCTAAAGCTTACCTACCCTTCTAAGTACAGATCAAGTCTCACCTCTTTGACCCCTTCTTTGACCTTACCCCCGGGGATCACTGTCTTCTCTGAACTCCCAAGTCACTTCTCAGGGAGCAATGCACAGCAAGGAAGTCAGTGTGAGGAACAAAAAATACATTGTTCCTGCCTCTCACTTCATGTCCACTCTCCCCAAGGGGTTGCCTATCCATTTAGACAAACGAAACAAAACAAAAATATACTACCGTAAAAAAAGGTCACCAGTAATTAATTAATTGCTTGAGAATGTACAGAAGGGAAAAAAATCACTGAGCCCTAAAGTAGTTTGGAAAGGTTTTGCCAAGAGACACTTGACTTAGGTGCAACAGAATGAGTAGATTTAGATAAATGGAAAAGAGACCATTATAGGTGGACAGGACAGAAGTAAATGAAAAATTGAGATAGAAAAAAACTAGATGTGTTCTAGGAATAGGAAAATCTTCTCTGAACTGTATTCTTCAATGTGCCCAGTCCTGTACCTCACTATAGTAGGCGCTCAGAAAGCATCATTGATTGAATGAACTGAAAAAGTAATAATATTTTTTGCTAGGTAATAATCAGCCATTTGGTCAATACATGAACAGAAAATGGCTTCATTTTCAGGAAGTATAAGAGCATTAATTTCCCACATAATATGAAATAGTAGCTTACCATATCTTACTGATGGACACTTTTAATAAGACAAACTAAAAAAACTCATCTTTTAAAATTAGTTGAAATTAATAATAGAAATAGAATCCCAATCAGTAGCATTGCTAATAGTTGTTCTCTATTTATATTCAGTGGTCCAAAATGTCACTATTTAAGTCAAATATCTATAAAAATGTGTGCAGTTATTCAGTGGTCCAAAATGTCACTATTTAAGTCAAATATCTATAAAAATATGTGGAGTAAATTTCAGCATACTTCCCTCTTATTACAAGTGCTGACCTTTTTCATTTTTGAAAATGCCTGTTTTGAGATAATGCTTCACAATGTCTTCTACAAATACTTAGGTACTTAATTAACCATTGGATTTATGGTTTACGTGAGAGCAATAAATGACTACAAGAAGAGCATGTCTATTTCTGGTTCCCAGAATCATCGTTCCACAATTGCTTGAGGCATTATCACAGCATCCTTGAGTAAAGGCTTTTCTCGTGCTGAAGTGTGTGACCTGTGTCAGCGAGAATCAGGATGGCTGCTGTGGATTCATGGGACCCCCCTCCCTCATACCTGGCTTTGAGCAACAAACTGATCACATAACAGCCTTTTTCCCCTCTAAGTCTCAGACAACCTGCCTCAACTTTGAAAAACCTAACTGTCCAGTTACTTAATTTCATTAACCAAATAAACTGATTTGTGTTGTGTGGGTGTGTATGCACATGTATACATGAGCTGAGAGGGATGTTTACAGACTGTAAAAATACGAGCTTGAAAAGAAAACTAGATCTCAGGAAACATAAACCAACATGTCAAAACCATGAATGCCTGTGGGGAAGATTTCACATATTCCCCCACTTAAGACACCTTTAACAAGATCAGTTTCTTCAATCCCATGAACAACTTTTTGTGAGTCATTAATTAGGCCCTTACACAATAAACAAAGAAATTAATAAGGAAGTTCAATGTTTTAAAAAATGGGAAAAGAGTTATTTCTTGAAAAGAAAGAGCAAAGTTATTTTCAAATACTTAAGCAAGTGAACTGAAGTGGGGTTTTTTTCTTGAGTTAGACACAGGTTTAGTTAATTCTCACAAACATATCTGGGAAGATAAGGAGTTTTCAGTAGAAATGTTATCCTCAAAGAATATTCATGAGGGAGAAAAAGTGCAAGTGAAATCAAGTTGGAAGAGAAAATTAATACATACGTTGCTATGAAAGACCAGCTAATATTGGTCTCAAAACTCAGTTATGAGAACTATATGAAAGCTGAACACAGTTTAATACACGTGAAAGTGAGCAGAATCACTTTCTGCTTCCACTTGTACCAAGAACTAGTAAAAAGCATGTGGAAAATAGTACAGAAATGAGATGGGCACAGCACAAAGTTTACAAATTTCATCTCACAGCTAACCATCCTCAAACACATTGTACTCTGAATTTAAGCTAGGCATAGTACATAAAAAATCTTCTAGATCACATCTAGATACATCTCTTTTCTCTCTTTATCACAGAGGGCAGTGCTCCCCAGAATGGTAGAATTTGCCAGTTTTCTGAAAAGGTGATGGGGAGAGCACAACAGTAACAACTTTGCTTTGACAGGCAACTGACACCCATATGATTGATCATGCCAATTATTTCTCCAATGGTGGAATGAGGATCGATTTTTAATTGAAGATGGAATTCTAGCATTCGGAGATTTTTTTTTTCCTTTCTTTCTTTTTTTTTTTTGCTTGAACCAGAGCTATCCAGTTTTTGAAATGGCATGGCCTTCAGGGCCCATAGCCCTTTCTTGGACCTCCCACACTCTTCATATCACAAGGCCAAGAAAATAAGTACCTGCCCATAGCAAATAGCTATGGGCTATTTTTCCTAAACAGCTATGGGCATGTTTGCTCACCATTTCCTAAATCCCATGGAAACTGGGACAAAAGGACCCAAGAAACTTGAAGGGAGCACATTTTAAAACAACCCTACAAAACAGGCACTTTTTCTTGTATATTTTACCACCACTTTGCTTGTGCTGGTGAAAGTGGAGGGGAGATGAGAAAAGGCCTCATTTTGTATGTTAGCTCTTAGCTATTTGGTTTAAGGGATTTTTTTTTTCTTATAAAACATGCAACTGAAACTGGAAAGTCCTTCAGCTAGATGGTCAATGTTTTTTGTGGAATGTGAAAAGGATGGCTTTTTATATCACTGGGTAATTTACATACGCTTGGTAGGTTACTCCCAGATTTCCAGGGTAGAAAGTGACAGTGGGAGACGATGATTCAAATTGTTCAAATATCCATAGGGAAGACATATAAACTCACCACAGACTTTGATAACGTATTAGTCATTAGATATCTCATCCTGACCCCAGCCTCAGATTCACCTGCTGAATACCTGAGCTTAAGTAAGCCATACTTGGAAATGTGGAAACAGAACCCTACTGAGAAAAAAAAACTTATCAAGAAAAAAAAAATCTCTCTTTCCTGTGCCTAAACAATTTCCCCCCAAAGAGCCAGAAGCTAACACAATATTCCCCCCTAAAGAGCCAGAAGCTAACACAGTAACACAGGAAAAAATGAGAATACAAAAGGTAACATCTCTAAAAGGTACTTCAGCTTTCACACCACGATTCCACATCACTACATTGATGACATGCAGAAAGCAATCAAATGCAGGAATACTCTGGGTTGACTGAGCAGAGGCACAGAGTAACAGCCTGGGTAAGCAGCAGCCCTGCTCCTGGGCCAACAGCTGAGCACACCCAACAGAAATAGAATGGTCACTGACGCTGACCACAAGGCAGGCCCCACACAAGTAAGTGCTTTACCTGCCCTTTATCATGTAACTCTCATGGCAACCATCTGAAATAGGCATTTTTAATTTCCATCTTAAAGATGAGGAGACAGAGGCACTGAGGGGCTAAATAGCTTGTCAAGCTATTTGTATAGAAGTTAACACAACCGGCAAGAAGCAGAGAGTCAGGAGCCCGGGTCTTTCTGTTTCTTTAAGCAACATTGCCTCCCTGTGTTCAGGGCTGACTATTCTCTCTCAGGTTTTCAGAGCCATTTACACAGATGTTCAAAGAACAATGCCATGGTTCACTCATACAACATGGAAAAACATCATCATAAAACTCACAGAGTATCTCTCTAGTCTATAGAAGCCAAAATATCAGTGTGAAAAATAAAATCCACAGTCAATCTTACATTAATTCACTATGTCTTCTGAGTCCATTTTTTATTTGCTGATATATCCCATTCTTAACAGTGTTTTACAGATGCGATTTTTATTTTAAATTAAAATGGAAAAATAAAGGTTTCAAAACTGTTAAAGATATCATGACCGTGCTTAAAATTATTTTTTAAATAATACTGAGAAATCCCAAATCCAGAGCTCAGATAGCTTGTTTGAATCATTTTTCTTAAAAAAATAGTTTAGTGGACTTAGCCAGATGAAGCTCACATCTTGGCACCGTGATGTTCTGGATTATCCTTTGGCAGAGGGAAGGAAGTGGGACAATCTATTATCATTATTATTGTTATTATTACGTTTTTTCAAGATGGAGTGTCGCACTGTCGCCCAGGCTGGAGTGCAATGGTGTGGTCTCGGCTCACCGCAACCTCTGCCTCCCAAGTTCAAGTGACTGTCCTGCCTCAGCCTCCTGAGTAGCAGGGATTACAGGCACACACCACCACACCCGGCTAATTTTTTGTATTTTTAGTAGAGACGGGGTTTCACTACTTTGGCCAGACTGGTCTCGAACTCCTGACTTCGTGATCCGCCCACCTCGGCCTCCCAAAGTGCTGGGATTACAGGCGTGAACCACCATGCCTAGCCTATTAATATTATTTTTTAAGAATACAAGTGCAGAACGTGTAGGTTTGTTGCATAGGTAAACGTGTGCCATGGGGGTTTGCTGCACCTATCAACCCTTCATCCGTCATCTAGGTGGTTTTTTTGTTTGTTTTGTTTTTGTTTTTTGTTTTTAGAAGAGACAGGGCTTCACCTTGTTAGCCAGGATGGTCTCGATCTCTTGACCTCGTGATCCACCCGCCTCAGCCTCCCAAAGTGCTGGGATTACAGGCGTGAGCCACCGTGCCCGGCCCCCGTCATCTGGGTTTTAAGCCCTGTATGCATTAGCTATTTGTCCTAATGCTCCCCTCCCCCCGTCCCTCACCCCCCAACTGGCGCCAGTGTGTGTTGTTCCCTTCCCTGTGTCCACGTGTTCTTATTGGAACAATCTATTATAATCTGCACCTCAACTTCCCCCTCCTGTGCTTGCAGTCTCTTCAATAGCAATAACTTTTCTTTTTTTTTTTTTTTTTGTTTTTTTTTTTTGAGACAGAGTCTCGCTCTGTCGCCCAGGCTGGAGTGCAGTGGTGCAATTTCAGCTCACTGCAACCTCCACCTCCCAGGTTCAAGCAATTCTCCTGCCTCAGCCTCTTAAGTAGCTGGGATTACAGGCGTGTGCCACCACACCCAGCTAATTTTTATATTTTTAGTAGAGATGAGGTTTCGCCATGTTGGCCAGGCTGGTCTCAAACTCCTGACCTCAGGTGATCCACCCGCCTCGGCCTCCCAAAGTGCTGGGATTACAGGTATAAGCCACTGTGCCCGGCCAATAACTTTTCTTTCAGGCTTAAAACCTCTTCAGCAGCTCTATGTTCCATCAATTGCTAATTACCATAATTCCATCTCTGCAATTTTTTTCTTCTCTCTCCCTTTCTGTTGCAATGGCCCATATTCTAGTTCAGATCCTTCTTAACTCTTGCCTCTGAAGTGGCTTCCTTCCCTTCACCCAGTTCTTCCAACTGTCTCATATTAAGCCAAAGTTCATCTTCTAAAGCACATTGGTCTAACAGCATAAAGCACCCAGATCATCTTCAAAACTTCCAGTGGTTCCCTATTGCCAAGCCAGAAACAAACAAAGCAAAACAAAATGAAAAGCAAAATACACCTCAGTTTGGCATACAAGGCCATTCATGATCTGACTTCTGTTTACTTTTCCAAGCCAGATGATTTCCCACTATCCCAACCCCCTGCAACCTATTCAGCAGCCACAGAAGACAACACAATATTTCCCTAAAATGCCTTACATTCACCCACCAGAGCATTTTTTTTTCTTCAAAATACCTTCACAATCTGACATGTAAGTTCTATGAAGACAGAAACTTTGGTGCACCAAAAGTATACCCAGTACCTAGGCATGTGATAAACATTTTTTAATTGTGTTGCCGAAATGCCAGGGATTCAGTCCAGGCCCTGCTGATGGCCACACAGAACGCCAACCACTGAAACAATGAGTATTACCAGGGAAGAAGGCTTTAATTGGGTGCTGTGACCAAGGAGAACGACAGATAAAGTCTCAAACCCATCTCTCCAACTGGGGGTTTTATATAGTAGGGAAGGTGGGAAAACAGGAATTAAGGAGGGGAAAGAAAGCAATGATGATGGATGAGGGGTCTGGCATCTCATTGTCCAGATGCAGTGATCTGATGAGTTTCAGTCCCTTGCCTGAGGGTCGGTTTCCTAAGGAACGAACTCAGATGAGACAAATGTAAGTTTCTAATTTTAAGACCAGGGAGGGTCAATTTCTATATTTATTTAAAAAACCATAAATATTAGTTCTATGGGACAATCAGACCAGTTTTAAATGAATGATGTTCACCTTGTGAGAAATGTCCTTTTCTGATATCCTTACCCATTTATGTACTATCATTTCTTTCTATGCATCATTCATTCCTTCTCCACAACCCATCGCAGATGATCCTCACAAAGTCAGTCTCTTGTTTATGTCTTCTTTTCCCTTGTTTGTCTTCTTCTCTAACACTTTCATTGGCTGCCTCAGATTACAGGCACTCCTGCCTCTGGTTCTCCTGATGAAAAGCCCCTGGAAGGCAGAGAATATGTTCCAAGTATGAAGTCTGGCACTTAATGGGAGCTCAAAAAAAAGGATTATGTATTAAACAAAAGTTTGTTAACAATAGCCAGACCATCCAATACGTTCCATTAACAAGGTTTTTTCCATAGGAGATTTTCTTCTTTTCAGAGACAAAATGTGGACATTATAAATTATATTATATAATATCAGGGATCAGAAAACTTTTTCCAAAAAGGGCCAGATAGTAAATATTTTAGGCTTTGTGGACCATAAGGTCTCTGGCAGCCATAGAAAATACATAAACAAGGCTGGGTGCGGTGGCTCACGCCTGCAATCCCAGCACTTTGGGCAGCCTAGGTGGGAGGAACAATTGAGGTTAGGAGTTTAAGACCAGCCTGGCCAACATTGTGAAAAACCCTGTATCTACTAAAAATACAAAAATTAGTTGGGCGTGGTGGCACGCATATGTAATTCCAGCTACTAGGGAGGTTGAGGCAGGAAAATCGCTTGAACCCTGGAGGCAGAGGTGGCAGTGAGCCAAGATTGTGCCACTGCACTCTAGCAGCCTGGGTGACAGAGCAAGACCCTATAGAAAGAAAGAAAGAGAGAAAGAAAAAGAAAGAGAGAAAGAAAGAAAGGGGATAGATAAAGAAAGAAAGAAAGGAAGAAAGAAAGAAAGGAAGGAAGAAAGAAAGAAAGAGAAAGAAAGGAAGAAAGAAAGAGAAAGAAAGAAAGAAAGAGAAAGAAAGGAAGAAAGAAAGAAAGAAAGGAGGGAGGGAGGGAAGGAAGAAAGAAAGTGGGAGGGAGGGAGATAGAGAAAGAAAAAGAAAGAAAGAAAGAAAGGAAGGAAGAAAGAGGGAGGGAGGGAGATAAAGAGAGACAAAGAAAAGAAAGAGAAAGAAAGAAAAATAAATAAATAAATAAATTACATAAACAAATGGACACTGCTGTATTCCAATAAAACTTTATCTATAAAAGCAGAGAGTGGGCTGGATGTGGCCCATGGGCTATAGTTTGCCAACCTGGTATTAAATCATAACATCAAAATTAGCAGGCACGATGGCTGCTGCGTTCTTCAGCTTCTCCTTTCACTAAGGCAGACAAAACACTCTCCAGTTAGGATCAAAACACACTCATTCCCATACTTCAATAAACGGCTTCTCAGTGCTGATGTCGGTTCCTGCTGGAGGGATCCAAAAATAAATATGTGAAACTCACTTGTGAGAGTCCACTACATAAATATTTGACATTCTGCAGTATCATTTCCTTCCTCTGTATTTCTCAGTTTATAGCTCGTTGATTTTTAAACTTCATTTCCTAATTTTTTAGCATTAAAAACTAGATTCTGTTTTCAGAGTGGTGTGCCATTCCACAAATATATAACATTTTCCTCTTCTAATGAATTCCTTTCTAATTGAGAAAAAATAAATCAGAATACTGAATTGAATATTCATTATAGTCTAAACTATATAACAAATGTTCACAGAATTGGTAAGTGAATATTTTTCAGTACTATAAAGAAAAATTTTATTTCGGTGGAAAACTCTGTATCATCTGTAGCACATATTTCTGGTTTATCAGATTCTGGTCCTGTTCATTATCTTTGAACTATTGTGCATCACTTTATAAATTGAAGGAAACTGATATATATCATACAAACTCTGTCTTGTCTGATGGAGATTTAGTTGACTTTCTCTTCCTCAGGAAACACCAGTTAGGGTTCCTACCTGCAAATTAGACTGGATCCTGCTACCTTGCCCAGATTCTTGGTCAGTTGTTTAACAAACTTTCAGTTCTTTCCGTTTTCTTCAATATCTGGCTACGACCCTTCAAACGAACATTTCCAATTTTTCTCTCTCCTGCCTGACTCCTGAATCACCAAGAACTAAAACCTGACTGCCCAAAACCCTATTGAGATGCTGGACTTCCTTGCACTTGACCTTTTCCTCCAGGACTTAAAGAAACCTTGCAAATCGAATCCCAAAAACTTGATATAAACCTCAAAGGACTCACTCTCACAGATGACCATGCATGGGCTGGAATTTCTGTCTGAACAAACCACTGCCTTGACCACTAAGAAATCCAAAGAAATGCCCAGGTCATATACACACACTCTTACATGAGTAGTAGCCACAACCATGGACAATATTATCAAGAGCATAGACATCCTAGCTTGAGAGCATCAAGAAAATCAGCTGTGCTGCCTAACCAACTGGTGCTCTCATAATTTGGGCCTGCAGAGGGAGCGCATGTGCCGTAGCCAGAAGCAACCACTATACCTTTGTTCCCCAAAACTCTGATATCTTAATCACATTAGAGATGCCAACAAAGAAATTTGCTGAATATCTTCAATTCTCCTGATTCTTAATCTGAAGAGTTTCCTCTATCCATTTCTTGGAATCCAGTAGCCTGGTTGCCCTCAGGGTTCAACTCCTAGCTCTTTATAGGTTAACATAACCTTTTATTTTTATATCAGTGTTTCTGTATTTTACTTTAAGCATCCCTCTTTTGAAATGCCTGATTTCTAGGCCCCTAAAACAATTTACCTTTGCTACCGCCTCTCAAAAGATAGATCAACTGATTTTACCGGACATTGCTGTGGGGGAGAAAAAATAAATTTCTCTTTACCCTTCACCATTCTTAACTGGGACTTCCTGTAACAAAAGGCAGATTCCTGGCCGGGCGCAGTGGCTCACACCTGTAATGCCAACATTTTGGGAGGCTGAGGAGGGCAGATCACTTGAAGTTAGGAGTTTGAGACCAGCCTGGCCAACATGATGAAACCCCGTTTCTACCAAAAATACAAAAATTAGCCGGGGGTAGTGGCAGGCGCCTGTAATCCCAGCTACTCGGGAGGCTGAGGCAGGAGGCAGAGGTTGCAGTGAGCTGAGATTGCACCACTGCACTCCAGCCTGGGTGACAGAGTAAGACTCCGCCTCAAAAAAAAAAAAAAAATTAACAAGAGAAAAAAACAGAAGTTTATTAATACATATGTTGACAAAGATTCTTTGCTTGGTCAAACTTTACTCAGGCTTTTGAACCTTCTGCTAGGCCCATCTGTGCACTTCTCTGTAAAATTCAGTTTTAGCAAAAACTCTGCTAAGTCAGTTTAGCAAGAATCCCCCAGCCTTGACATCTGATCGAGTTCCTCATACTCCACCATCCCCCAGGTGATATCTGTTCACCCTGGCCTGTCCTCAGCAAGAATCCTGTTAGATCAGTTGAACCAGAATCTACATTACTCTTGATGTTCCCCTTAGTCGTTGTCCATCCACAGACCCCCACACTGCTCCTTGGCCATAAATTCCCACCTGCCCAGGCTGTATTCAGAGTTGAGTCCAATCTCTCTGCCCTGCTGCAAGGCCCTGTTGCAGTGGTCTCTATAAATACCATGATGGTCTTGGGTAAAGTATTCCTTACAGTGCTTTAACAAGTAACATTAAGTATTTTTTCTTTAACAATATCTTGGGCCAGGTGTGGTGGCTCATGCCAGTAATCCCAACACTTTAGGAGGCCAAGGCAAGAGGATTGTTTGAGCCCAGGAGCTCAAGACCAGCCTGGCCAATATAGAGAGAACCCATCACTACAAAAAATTTTAAAAATTATCCAAGCGTGGTAGCACACGCCTGTAATCCTAGCTACTTGCAGAAGGATGCTTGAGCCCAGGAGGTTGAGGCTGCAGTGAGCAAAGATTGTGTCACTGCAGTGCAGCCTGGGCAACAGAGTGAGACCCTGTCTCAAATATATAATATATACTATATAGTATATATTAATATATTATATATTTTTATATATAGTATATATTCATATATATTATATATTTTTATATATAGTATATATATATTATATATTTTATATATAGTATCTATAAATACATATTATATATTTTATATATAGTATATATATTATATATTTTACATATAGTATCTATAAATATATATTATATATTTTACATATAGTATCTATAAATATATATTATATATTTTATATATAGTATCTATAAATATATATTATATATTTTATATATAGTATCTATAAATATATATTATATATTTTATATATAGTATATATATTAATATATTATATATTTTATATATATTATATATTTTATATATAGTATATATATTAATATATTATATATTTTATATATAATATATTAATATATTATATATTTTATATTATATATTTTATATATAATATATTAATATATTATATATTTTATATATAATATATTAATATATTATATATTTTATATATAATATATTAATATATTATATATTTTATATATAATATATTAATATATTATATATTTTATATATAGTATCTATAAATATATATTATATATTTTATATATAGTATCTATAAATATATATTATATATTTTATATATAGTATCTATATTAATATATATTATATATTTTATATATAGTATCTATAAATATATATTATATATTTTATACATAGTATCTATAAATATATATTATATATTTTATACATAGTATCTATATTAATATATATTATATATTTTATACATAGTATCTATAAATATATATTACATATTTTATACATAGTATCTATATTAATATATATTATATATTTTATACATAGTATCTATATTAATATATATTATATATTTTATACATAGTATCTATAAATATATATTATCTATTTTATACATAGTATCTATAAATATATATTATATATTTATACATAGTATCTATAAATATATTATATATTTTATACATAGTATCTATATTAATATATATTATATATTTTATACATAGTATCTATATTAATATATATTATATATTTTATACATAGTATCTATATTAATATATATTATATATTTTATACATAGTATCTATATTAATACATATTATATATTTTATACATAGTGTCTATATTAATATATATTATATATTTTATACATAGTGTCTATATTAATATATATTACATATTTTATACATAGTGTCTATATTAATATATATTATATATTTTATACATAGTGTCTATATTAATATATTATATATTTTATACATAGCATCTATATTAATATATATCATATATTTATACATAGTATCTATATTATTATATTAATTATATATATTAAATATATATAATTATGTATAATTATGTATATATTAAATATATAATTATATATAATATATAATTATAATATATAATTATAATATATATTATATATTTTAATTTATAGTTTATATATTAAAATATATTATACATATTAATATATTATATATTAATATATAGTATACATGAGAGAAAATTTAGAGAAATTAGTAAATATCCAGAGTAGATCTCAAAGAAAGAGTATAAACTTCAAGCATGAATACCATTGTTTGCTGAAACTAATAAGGGTGTGGGGAAATCCCACGCCAAGACAGATTGCCAGGAAAAGCACCATAAATAAAAGCAATATTTGTCATGCTGATTTAAGTCATGCCTTCTCCGTTGTTTAATAGTGATTTAATCATTCTTCTCCTCCGGTTACTGAGAGGGAGAGACCCTTATGAAAGGAGATTTCCTTTATACATATAAATTTCTCTTCCAAAAGAGCAACTTTCCAGAACTACTCCTGTATTTACAGTTTTTCAAAATAACCAATATGCCAAAGGGGCATATTCTGGTCTCTGGTCATATTTTGGGGTGGTGTGTCCTGATCTGCAACAATGTCAAGAAGAGTCCTGGAAAGATTATTTCTTAGACCCTACCTCCCCTATTCAGGAGTTTTATAATCACTGAGCTTTTAAGCAACTCATGATTCATCTTGAACAAAAGGGGAGACTGAGCACATTGAATTTTATCTGAGCCCTCTCTCAGAAAGTAGAAATGATTATGAAATAAATTCCCTACCTCTTTACTTTCCAGGAAAGGGTAAGTGCAAAGGACCACCTTGCCAATGGTATTCAGAAATAAGACCCACCTCTACCCTTCCTCATGGCTCCTCATGACTCCCATAAGACTTCCTGCCCACCGTTTCCCAAGACTCCTTGGTTTTTGTGCCTCTATAAAACCTCAGGTGCTAGCCATCTTCTTTAATGAAGAATTAACTAATGAATATTCTCCCTATTGTACTAATCTGAACTAAATCATCTCCTTAATTATCCAGTGCACTTTGCCTCTGACAGTATTTTCACAAATTTTAAAATGAGCGTTTATTATTCTTACAGTAAAAAAAAGAATTTAAGTAGCACAAAAGTCCTTTTTTGTATTCCTTTCAGAAAGTGTTTTGGTTTTCTTGATCAGATGATGATTTTCCAGTGGAATAAAAGGAACAAATGGTTTTTGAGCTTCGTATCAGTTACTTTGCATGCATTCTTTTTGGAGATGGCCATAGTTGCAGATGTTAGGACCTCTATTTTACTGGTGAGGACACAGGCTCAGGGACAATGGTTTGCTGTGTTGGACATAGGCTGTGCTGACGTTCAGCATTCTTTGCACCTCCTTCTATGCTCTCCTGGTTTTCAAAGGTTAAACACATGGAATCACATGTCCCAGACTCTTTCACCAGCAGGATTCTGGATTCATTTTAGGTTTGCCTGATGAAATGTATTTGCATAAGATTTGGAAGGTAAAGGAAAAGCACCAGTGGGTAGACCTGTATGTGTCAGTAGATGTTAATTTTTTCATCAGCTTTCGAATGTTTCTCTGTTAATCTCCCTCCCTGATGCTGCCAGCTCCCTGTCACCATCAGAGGTGGCCTCTTGAAATTCCTTTCTTGGACAACAGAAGCAACTTCCTAAGTCTCTGAAAGTGACCAGTGTGTCTGAGAGCTAGCAGTGGCCTTTCCTGACCTTTGCTCCTCCAGCCCTCCCAACAATCACATAAGTACCTAAGCCTCTCTGTTATCACCACTTTTTTATTGAAATCCTGAGTAATTTCTGTTTTCTTTCCATAACACAGGGATGTCTGATATTACAAACCTCAGAAGCACAGAGCTAAACCTTTGATCTAGCTCTGTTTGATTCCATAGCCCAAGTTCTTAGTCTGAAGGGTACCAAAATATGCCACCCCAAAATAATGCATCTTTGGCATATGGATTATTTTGAGCTAAAAGCAATTGAGAAGAAGCAGATGCAGGAAAAGCTCTCTATCTCCCCCTAACTGCCTAAAATGGAGTATACATTTTATCCTTTTAAAAGGATTTTACATTTATAAAGGAAATTTCCATTTTTAAAGATATTTCATAAGAGGAAGAGAACTACTCCAGAGTTTTATCACCTGAGAGATGTATCTGCATAACCAGAGAACCCTTATTTACTAGATACTTCCTCTCCTCCCCTTCTTATAACTTGCCTCCCCCACCCAGAAGCTCCAAACCCCTTTTCCTTTGTTTAGCCTAAGATGGTGTATAAGCCTCAATCGCCTCAATCATCCGGCCACCTCCTTGACTCTCATTTCTTTGTAAGACTCCCATATGTATGTAATTAAAACTATTTTTTTCTCTTGTTAATCTCTTTTACCAGTTTGATTCACAGGCTTTAGCCACTGAACCTAGGAGAGTACAGGGAAAAGGATATTTCCTCCCCTACATCTACTACCACTCTGGTTCATCAGCAGTACTTGCATTCCATCCTGGAATGGCCTCCTTCATGGAGGCTCCTTGGTGCCAACGGCCAACTCAATGGAGTCTTGAGAGCAAGAAGGGAGATAAGAGGAAGAATGAGGAGAGTGAGTCTTCTAAGGCAACTTCCTAGAACGGAAAAACATGCTATAGCTGTTGGACGCATGAGGGAAATGTCAAAAAAAAAACCCACACATCAAGTAAATATTTACTCTGTATAAGGTAAACTTTTAAAAGTTTCATCAAGAGGATACCACAATGGAGCCAGAATCTAGTTCGTGTAACCTGAGTCCTACTCAAACCCTCTCCCACCTGCTGTGCCTAGGGTGCAAGAGAGGGCTATAGGCTAAACTTGGAAGTGGTCAAAGTCTGCCCTTTGGCTCCAGCTCACCACTTCTGATGTCAGCCCCTTTTTACCCTGCCAGGTTCCCACCCCACCCACTGTAGATATCAATCTCATTAATCCTTGTTAACTGATCATAAATTAAAGTGTGACAGTCTGCCAGGATATTTGAACTTCAATAAGGAATACCCAGGCAAAGTCTTCTCGGGCTCTGCCGCCCAAACCCATGAAGGAGGATTTGGCAAGCCACTTTAGATACACCTCTAAACCCTGATTTTGCCCACACCCACGAAGCATAACATAGACACTATTGCTATAAGATGGAAATCTACCCTTTCCTTGGAAATCTTCAGAGAAAGCCCTTCTGCCACCAGGTTCTAGTTTCGAACAATTCAAACTTGGGGGTTACTACCAAATTTTTACTAAACCGAGGCACAGAAGAATTTCCTAAATAAAAAACTATAAGCCTCTCTGTCCCTAGAAATGTGTGAAGGGATTTAAGGGAACAGGAGAACTTTGACTCAGCCGTATCTCAACTTCTCCACAGATCATGTAGATTTCCTTGGATTAGTATCAGACTGGAAGCAGGAATATCCTGCATACATGTGACAACACACACACATACATACAAACACACACATACACACACACACACACACAGACACGTCTTCCCTTCTTTTTCACCTCCAGTCTTTCTCAATTGTGTTATCTAAAATTAGATCAACTCCACTCTTCCCACACACATGTATTATGCTCAAATACCTTAAGGTTAAATTCCTAGCTGTTAACAGCATAAGGGGTACAGTTAAAGACAGCTCCTAAGGTGAGCCTCACCAAACTCTCTCCCCTGATGGGTGAAATCTTGGGGAGTTTGGATCATTTCCACTTCAAAAGGGTTTTAAGAGTTGCTTGCTGGTCTCCTCTGACAAAAGCCTTTTGAGCCTTTAACAGAGTATTTTATTTCTTAAAAGATCAAAGTCACACAACTCCATGAATAAGTGAATTCAAGATTTCAAGATTAAGGCATTCAAGTTCAGTATAAAAATCTAACCTCTGGCCCAAGTTGGGCTGCCAATTTAACAAATATTTTTAAACTTATATTTGATTAAAAAAAAAAAGACTATGCCTGCCTGCAACTCTCCATGCCTCCTCCTTCTCCTTTATTTGTGTTGTCTTTCATTTACCACATCCCACAACTACATTTTGTGATTTCCTTTGTTTGTACAATCTTTATTTTTATCTTTATTAACAATCACAATAATTTAAATTATCCCAGTTCTAGCACATACATGACATAATTTAACACCCTATGAAGTTTCTATTGTGATGCTTAACATTCAAGTAAAAAATTGAGGCTCAGTGACGTCAATGGTTCCATTCAAGAAGTGGCAAAATAAGATAGGCACTCTGCTCATCTGATTCCAAAATCAGTACTTATTCATGGAATTTTTTTCAACAGATATTAAGAAATGACTTTATGCTAGGTACTGTACTAAACACTAGGAATAGTACAGTGATGGACAGGTAGCTTATGAAACCACCTTTGCAAAATTATGGCAATAAGAGAAATATGACATAGTTGACTCCATCTTGCTTCTAACCTCCAAGCTGTCTTTGTTCATTCCTGAGAATAGGCCAAGCTAACTTTGGGAGGGATTTAGTTTATAGGTTAACCTTAAAGCAAAGATGATAATAGCCCTTCTTAAAACTATCCCCTTCTTGTTTGGAGACTGAAACTGCCTTTGTGAAGCTAATAAAAGGCCACAAGTTTAGGATTATGGGAGGGGCCTGAACTCTGCTAAGATGTAGGGGTAGTCAAATGATAACCAGCCATTGTTCCAGAGGTCACAAGATTTATGACTTCCCCAATTGCTCCTATAGGTAAAATCACTATTGTAGAACCTAAGATTGGTCTCTTGAGATGTCTTTTAGACTTTTGCATTCTGGCAACTGAATGACTCTACTCAGACCTATGACTTGTGACTCACCTGGTCCTCTGGACCCTGCCCAGAGGCTGACCCAGTGAACAAGGACCATTTTCCACACCCCTGTGATTTCATCCCCAACCAATCAGCAGCACCCATTCCCTAGCCCCCTGCCCACCAAATGATTCACAAAAATTCTAGCCTCTGAGTTCCTAGGAAGACTGACTTGAGTAATGAACTCCTGTCTTCCACATGGCTAGCCCTAGATTAAACTCTTTCTTTATTGCAATATTGCTGTCTCAGTGAATTGGCTCTATATGTGCAGAGGGCAAGAAGATCCTGTTGGGTGATTATACATTATACCCCAACTGCCTATATTCACTCTATTTGCCCCCAATTATTTCATATTTCCTTTATTTTGGGGCATTATAAATGTTCAATATATACTTATTGAATTGAATTGAATTGAAAATGCCCTATTATGTACATGAAAGATGGTTTGAATGGCAAGTGTCATATTCTCAACTGGATAGGTTTCTGCAGGGTACATCTGTTGAGGGATGAGTTTCTAGCTTAAATTATATTGATCAAGTAGATAGTGACAGACTCTCCTTGACCAAACTTTAGTCAGGCTCCCCTGAATTCTTTTCCCAAATGGGCCTCAACTTTTGGACTTCCATGTCCATCTTTGCATCACTCAACTTTAGCAAGAATCCTGCTACATCAGTTTGGCCAGAAACTGCCCCCCCAACTCAATATCTGATCACCCTCAATATCTGATCGGGTTCCTTGTCCTTCACCATCCCCCAGGTGATTTGTGATCCCCCTGGCCTGTCTTCAGTAAGAATCTTGTTAGGCCAGTTTAGCCAGAAATCCCCCTTACCCCTGATGTTTCCTCTTAGTAATTTCCCAACCACTGATCCCCATGGACCCTGCTCCCTGGCAATAAATTCCTACAGTTTTTGTTGTATTCAAAATGGAGTCCAGTCCTATACTGAAGTCTCTTTTCCCCTATGGCAATAGTCCTAGATAAAATCTGTTTTACCACTTTTACCACTGTCAGGCTCTGGTTTGTCTTTAACAATAGCAGAAAGGAGCCTCAAATTCAGTTACCAGAAGCTCAACCAAGACTCAATATGATGGCATCTGCTTTCTTCCTTTTTTGTTATCAGTCTGTTCAAACAGCAATCAAAGGGGCCTTGTAATTACACAAACTGTAGGGGAGGAAAACTTGTTTCCTTCTGCATTTCTAGGTTCTTTGGCTAGTCTACAAATTACATTGGCGTAAGACAAATTAACAGGATAAAAAAAAATTTAATTATGTAAATAAACACAGAAGTTCCACAAAAATATGAGACTCAAGGAAGCAGCCGGATGATTGAGGCTTATCTATCCTGCTGAGCTATAGAAAAGAATAGGGGCATGGGACTTTTGTGGGGTGGTGGAGACAGATTATGGAAAGGTGAAGAGAGAAAATGTATGGTGAATAAAGGTTGCCTTGTTTTACAGATAAAAGTCTCTCAGGTGATAAAAGTTGTCTTGAACTAGCTCTCTTCCTGGTACAGATACCTCTACTAATAAGATTTCCTTTATAAATGCAAATTTCCTTTACAAAAGGGGAATTTTATATTTTATTTTAGGCAGTTGAGGGGGAGGTGAAGAGCTTTTTTCCTGCATTGGCTGGTTCTCAATTTCTTTTAGCTCAAAATAATCAATATGCCAAAATGGCATATTTTGGGGTGACATGTTCTGAACCCCTTCAAAATAAAGTTTCAAACCTGCTTAACATCCTGCTTAAAATAACCTCAATAGCTTCCCATTGTTATTAAAATAAAATCTAAGCACCTTCCCTTGGCCTAACAGTGGTTCTTAAAACGTGGTCCCTGGACCCAGCAGCAGCAGCAGCATCTGTAAACTTGTTAAAAACGTAAATTCTCAGACTCACCCAGACCTCCAGAATCAGAAACTCTAGGGGTGGGACCCAAGAACCGGTGACTTAATCCCTCCAGGTGATTCTGATGTTCGCTGGAGTTTGGGAATCATTGGCCTCTACTACCCCATCCAGCCTGACCCTTGCAGGCATTTCTGACCTCCTCCAGTTCAACTTCCTCCATGGTCCACTCCACTTCAGCTACTCTGGCCTTCTTTCTTCCAATTAAATATCCAAGTGGATGCCTAACCCAGGAATTTTTCGCTTGCTATTCCCTCTGCCTGGAATACATTTTCTAAGATCTTGGTATGCCCCAGGCCTTTTCATATTACAGGTCTCTATTAAGATGTCATTTCCAGGCTGGGCACAGTGGCTCATGCCTGTAATCCCAGCACTTTGGGAGGCCGAGGTGGGCAGATCACCTGAGGTCAGGAGTTCGAGACCAGCCTGACCAACACGGAGGAACCCTGTCTCTACTAAAAATACAAAAATTAGCTGGATGTGGTGGCAGGTGCCTGTAGTCCCAGCTACTTGGGAGGCTGAGGCAGGAGAATCACTTGAACCCAGGAGGCAGAGGTTGCGGTGAGCTGTGATCGCACCACTGCACTCCAGCCTGGGCAACAAGAGTGAAACTCTGTCACAAAAAAAAAAAAGAAAGAAAGAAAAAAGATGTCGTTTCCTCGGAGGAGCCTTTCCTAACTACTTATATCCAAAGCCACTTTCTTCCATCCACTATTGTATTACTTCCTGTTATTTTCTTCATAACAGTTATCACCACCGTAGGGGAGAAAAAACTTTTCCTCTACCCTCTTATGTTTATTAGCTGGGGGCCTGTAAATTAAACCAATACAAGACAGAGTAACAAGAAAAAAACAGCATACATATTTAATTGATGTGTTTAATTAATTGTACATGCATAAGGGCAGGGGCCACACAGAAAAGGAGTGAAAACCTCAGAGGTGGTTAGACTCAGGGGTTTCTATATGATTTTAACAAAAGGGTGATTTGGGGGAGTTTGAGGTGGAAGGATTGCTTGAGGCCAGGAGTTTGACACCAGCCTGGACAATGCAGAGACCCCTCCATCTCTACAAAAACTAAAAAAAAAACTAGGCAGGTATGGTGGTGCATGCCTGTAGTACCAGCTGACGTGGGAAGATCACTTGAGCTCACGGGGTTGGGGCTGCAGTGAGCTATGATCATACCACTGCACTCTAGCCTGATCAACAGAATGAGACCCTGTCTCTAGAAAAACAGTAACAAAAGTGTGGCTGGGCGTGGTGGCTCATACCTGTAATCCCAGCACTTTGGGAGGCTGAGGCAGATCACCTGAGGTCAGGAGTTCAAGACCAGCCTGGCCAACGTGGTGAAACCCTGTCTCTACTAAAAATACACAAAATTAGCCAGGCATGGTGGTGCACACCTGTAATCCCAGCTACTTGGGAGGCTGAAGCAGGAGAATAGCTTGAACCCTGGAGGCAGAGGTTGCAGTGAGCCGAGGTCGTGCCACTGCACTCCAGCCTGGGCATCAGAGTGAGACTCTGTCACAAAATAAATAAATTAATTAGTTAAAAATAATAAAAAATAAAAAGTATGATAAATTATGGAGATGTGACTAGACCAAGGAAAAGGGATTTGGGCTTCTAGGAGTAGTTAAATTATGGGAGGGTAAATATATGGAGGAAACTAATAGTAGATAAAACATGCTTAGTAAGGTTTGGTGTGCAGACTCAAGTTGGTGCTGTCTTTAGTGATAAGAGTAGTTCTTTTCTTGGTACAAGAGAGGGACACACCATTATAAATGGAAATTTTTGTCCTGCTTCTAGATAGAAAGAGGACGGGCAGAGAGTTTCTTTTGTGTCTGCTGTTTCTTAATTGACTTCAGCTCAAAATCATCTTTAAGCCTAGGTAGCATATTTGGGAGTGACATATTCTGATCTCCTTTACTACCTTGAATTATCTTTTTTATTTTTGAGACAGAGTCTCCCTCTGTCTTGCCCAGGATGGAGTGCAGTGGCACAATCCTGGCTCATTGCAACCTCCACCTCCAGGGTTCAAGCGATTCTCCTGCCTCAGCCTCCCGAGTAGTTGAGATTACAGGCACGTGCCACCACGCCTGGCTAATTTTTTTTTTAGTAGAGACAGGGTTTCACCATGTTGGCCAGGCTGGTCTCAAACTCCTGACCTCAGATGATCCACCCGCCTAGGCCTCCCAAAGTGCTGGGATTACAGGCATGAGCTACCGCACCCGGCCAAATTATCTTATTTAATTTTCACTTCTTAAATTTCTGCATCCCCCCAACCAACTAGAGTGTAACCATGGTGGCTGGGACCTTATCTGGATACCTGGCTCAATAATTATTTGTTGATGAACTATCAAGTGTGTGGTATTTAAGCAAACGTGATTTTGGCCATGATTATTTGAAGACACTATATAGGTACTTCTCCTGTTTCTACATATCCATGATTTATTACTCTGAGTCTTAAGAATATTTTATGACAGCTATATCCACTGAAGTTTTGGTGCATTTATAACAAGTACTTTAGAAAAGTACAAATAAGTTTGAAAGGACCTGGTCTTGTACCCCTTCCCTTTCCAAGGTGTACCAGGATACTAGCCTGATAAGGGAGCATTTTCATGAGGTTCATCAACTTGTCCCTGCCCAAGTGTTCCCCCAGGTATGTCTCACATCAAGTAATGAACAAAAGAATATTGCTGGCTGGGCCTGGTGGCTCATACCTGTAATCCCAGCACTTTGGGAGGCTGAGGCGGGCAGAACACAAGGTGAAGAGATCGAGACCATCCTGGCCAACATGGTGAAATCCGGTCTCTACTAAAAATACAAAAATTAGTTTGGCGTGGTGGCGTGCGCCTGTAATCCCAGCTACCTCGGGAGGCTGAGGCAGGGGAATTGCTTGAACCTGGGAGGCAGAGGTTGCGGTGAGCCGAGATCACACCACTGCACTCCAGCCTGGGTGACAGAGTGAGACTCTGTCTCAAAAAAAAAAAAAAAAAAATTGCTGTAAATTGATTAAAAGGGCTCTTCCTTTAAACTTAAAAACGCAAAAATATGTGAAAACAATTGTAAAACAAATGATATTGAAGAAGTCACTTCTAAAGAAAAATTGATATGTACCTACCATGAAATATTTTTTGCAAGAAATATTTTGAGTTAATAAAACTCATTTTTCCCCTTTGAATGTATCTTTATCAAGTAGGAGATAGCTTCCTTTTCAAGCCTACCCTAGAAGTTACAAAAACAAACAAAAATTTCTTTTTTTTGTTTTGTTTTGTTTTGTTTTGTTTTGTTTTTTTTATTGATCATTCTTGGGTATTTCTCGCAGAGGGGGATTTGGCAGGGTCACAGGACAATAGTGGAGGGAAGGTCAGCAGATAAACAAGTGAACAAAGGTCTCTGGTTTTCCTAGGCAGAGGACCCTGCGGCCTTCCGCAGTGTTTGTGTCCCTGGGTACTTGAGATTAGGGAGTGGTGATGACTCTTAAGGAGCATGCTGCCTTCAAGCATCTGTTTAACAAAGCACATCTTGCACCGCCCTTAATCCATTTAACCCTGAGTGGACACAGCACATGTTTCAGAGAGCACAGGGTTGGGGGTAAGGTCACAGATCAACAGGATAAGAATTTTTCTTAGTACAGAACAAAATGAAAAGTCTCCCATGTCTACCTCTTTCTACACAGACACGGCAACCATCCAATTTCTCAATCTTTTCCCCACCTTTCCCCCCTTTCCATTCCACAAAACCGCCATTGTCATCATGGCCCGTTCTCAATGAGCTGTTGGGTACACCTCCCGGACCGGGTGGTGGCCGGGCAGAGGGGCTCCTCACTTCCCAGTAGGGGCGGCTGGGCAGAGGCACCCCTCCCCTCCCGGATGGGGCGGCTGGCCGGGCGGGGGGCTGACCCCCACCACCTCCCTCCCGGACGGGGCGGCTGGCCGGGCAGGGGGCTGACCCCCACACCTCCCTCCCGGACTGGGCGGCTGGCCGGGCAGAGGGGCTCCTCACTTCCCAGTAGGGGCGGCCGGGCAGAGGCGCCTCTCCCCTCCCGGACGGGGCGGCTGGCCGGGCGGGGGGCTGACCCCCACACCTCCCTCCCGGACGGGGCGGCTGGCCGGGCGGGGGGCTGATCCCCCCACCTCCCTCCCAGATGGGGCGGCTGGCCGGGCGGGGGGCTGACCCCCACACCTCCCTCCCGGACGGGGCGGCTGGCCGGGCGGGGGGCTGACCCCCCCACCTCCTTCCCGGACGGGGCGGCTGGCCGGGCAGAGGGGCTCCTCACTTCCCAGTAGGGGCGGCCGGGCAGAGGCGCCTCTCCCCTCCCGGACGGGGCGGCTGGCCGGGCAGGGGGCTGACCCCCCCACCTCCCTCCCAGACGGGGCAGCTGGCCGCGCGGGGGACTGACCCCCCCACCTCCCTCCTGGACAGGGCGGCTGGCCGGGTGGGGGGCTGACCCCCCCACCTCCCTCCCAGACGGGGCGGCTGGCCGGGCAGAGGGGCTCCTCACTTCCCAGTAGGGGCGGCCGGGCAGAGGCACCCCTCACCTCCCAGACGGGGTGGCTGGCCGGCCGGGGGGCTGACCCCCCCACCTCCCTCCCGGACGGGGCGGCTGGCCTGGCGGGGGCTGACCCCCACCTCCCTCCCGGACGGGGCGGCTGGCCGGGCAGAGGGGCTCCTCACTTCCCAGTAGGGGCGGCTGGGCAGAGGCGCCCCTCACTTCCCGGACGGGGCGGCTGGCCGGGCGGGGGGCTGACCCCCACCTCCTTCCCGGACGGGGTGGCTGCCGGGCGGAGACGCTCCTCACTTCCCAGATGGGGTGGCTGCCGGGCGGAGGGGCTCCTCACTTCTCAGACGGGGCGGCTGCCGGGCGGAGGGGCTCCTCACTTCTCAGACGGGGCGGCTGCCGGGCGGAGACGCTCCTCACTTCCCGGACGGGGCGGCTGCCGGGCGGAGGGGCTCCTCACTTCTCAGATGGGGTGGCCGAGCAGAGACGCTCCTCACCTCCCAGATGGGGTCGCGGCGGGGCAGAGGCGCTCCCCACATCTCAGACAATGGGCGGCCGGGCAGAGACGCTCCTCACTTCCTAGATGGGATGACGGCCGGGAAGAGGCGCTCCTGACTTCCCAGACTGGGCAGCCAGGCAGAGGGGCTCTTCACATCCCAGACGATGGGCGGCCAGGCAGAGACGCTCCTCACTTCCCAGACGGGGTGGCGGCCGGGCAGAGGCTGCAATCTCGGCACTTTGGGAGGCCAAGGCAGGCGGCTGGGAGGTGGAGGTTGTAGCGAGCCGAGATTATGCCACTGCACTCCAGCCTGGGCACCATTGAGCACTGAGTGAACCAGACTCCGTCTGCAATCCCGGCACCTCGGGAGGCCAAGGCTGGCAGATCACTCGCGGTTAGGAGCTGGAGACCAGCCCGGCCAACACAGCGAAACCCCGTCTCTACCAAAAAAATACGAAAACCAGTCAGGCGTGGCGGCGCACGCCTGCAATCGCAGGCACTCGGCAGGCTGAGGCAGGAGAATCAGGCAGGGAGGTTGCAGTGAGCCGAGATGGCAGCAGCACAGTCCAGCTTCGGCTCGGCATGAGAGGGAGACCGTGGAAAGAGAGGGAGAGGGAGACCGTGGGGAGAGGGAGAGGGAGAGGGAGAGGACAAACAAAAATTTCTAAATCAAGACCCATATTAAACAACCAGCAAGGTCCCTCTCATTCCAACCCTCTTCCAAAATCATCATCATCGTCGTCGACATTGTCATTGTTACTCAGTAGTCTGCTCTTATAATTCTATTCTCATTTATATATCGAGTTTCAGATATTTGATCTGTTTTTTCTCAACAGGAAGTTATTGGTCTTCACCATTTGTGTGAAATGGGGATAATAATTGCTTTTGATTCATCCATGCATGTATTGTTTGAAAGAGTGATACCACTATATATGCCAGGCGCAGTGGCTCACACCTGTAATCCCAGCACTTTGGGAGGCCAAGGCAGGTACATCACCTGAGGTCAGGAGTTTGAGACCAGCCTGAACAACATGGTGAAACCCCGTCTCTACTAAAAATACAAAAATTAGCCAGACGTGGTGGTGGCCGCCTGTAATCCCAGCTACTCAGGAGGCTGAGGCAGGAGAATCGCTAAAATCCAGGAGGCAGAGGTCACAGTGAGCTGAGATCACGCCATTGCACTCCAGCCTGGGGGGGACAGGGCGAGACTCCATCTCAAAAAAAAAAAAAAGAAAGAGTGACAGCACTATATAAAGAAAAGGTATTATCATTATGTTATTTCAAGGATATCTGTGTGGGAGAAGGAGCAGATGCTTCTATTTCCTCTAAAGATTCCCTATAAGCCATTCCCTATCATCTATATCCCCCAGAATGCATTGATTTTACATAGAATCAAGTAAGATTGATTACTCCTGAAGATACCCAACTTTAGGTAAAGGAGAGTAGCTGGGTAGTACAAAATCTGAATCAGAACTCATCTTAAGGAGGAATCTGAAGGAAATGAACCTCCAAAAACAAACTCCAAGTGCCGCCATGAGTCCCCTATCATTCGTCTGCTCCGTACATCAGAGCAGGCTTCATAAAGTCAGCTATATCAATATCTAAAAAGTAAAGGAAGCCATTACCATGTCTCACTACATTAGAAATCCTCTTTTGAGATACATTCACACAAAGGCCACACTACTCCCCTTGCACAGATTAGAAACTTCTAGAAACATTGCAATTCTTTTTTGTCACTAGTCTGTTGCTCAAGCTGCTGCTTCTGTATAGCAAATAGAACTTTGGATCCTGCCCAAGACCTCACACCTTCCAAAGCATCTGTCTAACCTGCAAAAAGAGAACAGCTATTCCAAGAGAGCACCTTGGATTGTGAAACAACATGATGCAGTGTCTCATGTGGTTTGCTTCTGCATGGCAAGGATTTGCATCTGTGCCTGTGAGGCCCACGGTATTGCAGGCTCCTTATTCATCATAGCACACCATGTAAGAATTGGCACAGAAGGCCATAAATGTAATTGTAATTCAGAGGACAGTTGTGAAGTCATAATCATATATAATAACACCTTGTAATAATGTCACTCCTGCCCCCTTAGGAGCCTCTGGTGCTTCACAGACATCTCTTTGTGCTCAGCTCCTGCTCTGCTAACTAGCACTAAGTTTTTCTCACCCTACCTCAGCAGAGGGAGTGAAAGAAATTTTGTCCTCACTCTTCCTGAGCTGACCCTTCAGAGTCGAGGCCCTTGCATTCGTTTTCTATTGTTAAGTAAGAAGTTACCACAAATGTAGCAGCTTAAAACAACACTAATTTATTAGCTCACAGTGCGTGTAGGTCAGAAGTCAGCCACGGCGTGGCCGGTTCTCGGCTCAGGGTATCACATGGTTGAAATCAAGGTGTTGGCCTGGCTGGGTTCTTGTCTGGAGACTCTGGGGAAGGAATTGACTTCCAAGTTAATCCTAACTGTTGGCAGAATTCAGGTCCTCGCAGCTGTTGGACTGAAGTCTATTTCCTCCCTGGTTCTCAGCTGGGGGCCATGCTCTGCTCTTAGAAATGTTCTCGCATTCTTTCTCACATTCTCCCCTTCATCTTCAAGCCAGCTACAGTGCACTGAATCCTTCTTGGGCTTGAAATCTCTGACCTACTCTTATGGGAGCAGCCAGAGGACACTATGCTTTTAAAATAAGCTCACCTGATTAGGTGAGGCCCACCCAAGATAATCTCCCTTTTGCTGTATAACATAATGTCAGCACAGGAGCACTATCATATTCACACTAAAAGGGAAGAGGATTATACAAGGACAAGGTTTATTGGAATCATCTTAGAATTCTGCCTACCACAGCCTGAAGGGATAAAGGTGATAGCAATAGTGAATATGGGCAAATAGAACGTATAACAAGCTTTGAGGGTCACTTCAAAGGGACAAAACCCTTCAGATCCTCATTTCCCCAAGCCTGTGTACCGCCATTTTTAAAGGATGATATTGAACTCAGTGTATCATTCCAGGCAGCAATACTATCTCTAAAAAGTGTGCTTCCCATGGGAGCTTCCCCAGGTCCCCAAAATTCAGGAGACCTGCCCATGTTTACTTTGTCATACAGTTTATCACAGGGGACTCTGACAGGCTTTGGTGTGTTCTCCACAAGATTCCAACTTGAGAGTAGGACTGTGTCTTCTTCATTGCTGTATCCCCATGGTGCCTGTAGACAGCAGGTTCTAAATACATGTCTGTTAAACGGATGGTGTACCAAAATGATAGAACTGTTTTGTGAATCCTCGATGACATCTTCGGGTTTGATCATTGTATTAGTCCGTTCTTGCACTGCTATAAATACCTGAGACTGGGTAATTTATAAAGAAAAGAGGTTTAATTGGCTCATGGTTCTATGGGCTGTACAGGCTTCTGCTTCTGGGGAGGCCTCAGGAAACCTACAATCATGGCAGAAGGCAAAGAGGAAGCAGGCACATCTTCACATGGCCGGAGCAGGAGAAAGAGAGAAGGGGGAGGTGCTACACACTTTTAAGCAACCAGATCTTGTGAGAACTCACTCACTATCAGGAAAACAACAAGAGGGCAATAGCCCCCATGATCCAATCACCTCCCACCAGGTCCCTCCTCCAACATTGGGAATTACAATTCCACATGAGATTTGGGTGGGGACACAAATCCAAACCATATCAATCATTTTTGCTGGCTCATTAACCATTGCTTTTACTAGCATGCATAGTATTTATAAAACCCCATTTAGATGGATGAGCATTTATCAAGTACCTATTCTATGCAAAATTCATGGGAGAAACAAAAAATAATGAAGATAAAATCCCTGTCAAGGAAAGACTGGCATATAAACAATTAGAACAATGACACAAATCTGACCTTGCCGCTCCCCTGATTAAAACTCTCAGATATCCCTCAGTTGCACTTGGGTTAAAATCTAAAATCCTGGCTGGGTGTGGTGGCTCACACCTGTAATCCCAGCACTTTAGAAAGCTGAGGTAGGCAGATACCTTGAGCCCAGGAGTTCCAGGCCAGCCTAAGCAACATGACAAAACTCCATCTCTACCAAAAAAAAAAAAAAAAATTAGATGGCCTTGGTGGCATGTGCCTGTAGTCCCAGCTACTCAGGAGGCTGAGGTGGGAGGATCACTAGGCCTGGGAGGTGGAGATTGCAGTAAACCAAGATCGCACCACTGCACTCCAGCCTGGGAGACAGATCAAGACACTGTCTCAAAAAAAAAAAAAAACCTAAAATCCTTACTGAGATCTTCAAGACCTTACATGTCCTGGCCTGTTCTTCCCCTCCAGTCCACACTTCCTTATAGGCCAGCCATGCTAGACACATGTCTTTTCAGATACAAGGCCTTCAAACCAGTGGTGTGCTGGTAAATGTTTAACAATGGGTTCTCCAGAAGAAAAATAAACAAACATGATTTGTGGCATTTGTCAATTTCCACAATGCAAATACTCACACTGTGATCAATTTCAAGTTACTAATGTCTACCAGATAACAAAATTGCTGAAAATTTAACAGTTGGCTCTTGATAGCAGGTTTGAGTCAGCTCCAACACACTACTGCTTCAAACATGTTATTTCTTCTGTTTGTTCCCTGTACGAGGTTGAATAGTGTTCCTCTAAATCACGTCCACTCAGAACCCCAGAATGTGACCTCATTTGGTGACTGCATGCCATGTATCTGAAAAAAATAAAATTTATTTCTTAAAAAGAATGTGACCTCATTTGGAAATAGCATCTTTGCAGACATAACTAATTAAGGATATCGAGATGAAATCATCTTAGATTTAGGGTGGGCCCTAAACCTAATAATTGATGTCCTTTTAAGAAGAGGAGAGGACACAGAGACGCACACACAGATAAGTAGGCCATGTGGAGACAGAGATTAAAATTATGCTGTCATAAATCAAGAAATGCCTGGAGCTACCAGGAGCTGGAAGAGGCCAGAAAGAATTCTTCTGCAGAGTCACAGAGAGCATGCATGGCCTTGCTGCACTGTGATTTCTGACTTCTAGCTGCCAGAACTGTGAAAGAATAAATTTCTTGTGTTTTAAGCCACTCAGTTTATGGTATTTTGTTACAGCAGCCTTGGGAAACTAATACATCCTCCAAATTTGATCTTAGAAAATCCCTTTTCATCCATCAAGCTTCAAGTTAAACATCATTTCCTCAGAGAAGCCATTCCTAACTAAATCAGATCCGCCCCCCCACCATCAAAAGTTACATTTCTGGGCTGGGCGCGGTGGCTCACACCTGTAATCCCAGCACTTTGGGAGGCCAAGGTGGGCGGATCACCTGACGTCTGGAGTTCAAGACCAGCCTGACTAACATGGAGAAACTCTGTCTCTACTAAAAATACAAAATTAGCCAGGAATGGTGGTGCGTGCCTGTAATCCCAGCTACTCGGGAGGCTGAAGCAGGAGAATCGCTTGAACCCAGGAGGCGGAGGTTGTGGTGAGCCGAGATTGCGCCATTGCACTCCAGCCTGGTCAATGAGAGTGAAACTCTGTCTCAAAAAAAAAAAGTTACATTTCTTTTTAGCCTGTGTTATACTTCATAACAAAATATGGGAAGATAAGTACATAGATAGATGGAATTTTTTTCCATGCCTTTTTTTTTTTTAACGTGTCATGTTTTACCCCACTTGACACGAGGGCAGGGAAGGGACCTGGATCTTCTTCAATGCATATTCCCAATCCTTATGGCAGAGTTCCTGTACTTAGTACTCTTTCTTTGTTCTCACTCTCTCCTGGGTCTCCTACATCACCATCTGCTCCTCTCAGTATCCTTTGCTGTTTCCCTTTCATCTCCCCAGCCATTAAACGTTAGAAGGTCCCACAGCTCAGTCTTCAGACTTCTTTTCTTCTCTATCCACATTTACTTCCTAGGTAATTTCATCTTGTTTCATGGCTTTAACTGCCATCTGTATGCTGACAAATCCCACATTTATATCTCCCCTAAACTATAGAATTGTCTATCCAAGATGCCTACTTGTAATCTCTGCCTCTGGGTCTGTTGGAGTGTTTTATTTCTTAGTCTCGATGCAAATTACAGGTGCAGTTGTTTTGTGAAAATTCGACAAGCACTTTTCTGCTAGAATGTGATATTTCAATTAAAAATTATTTTTAAAGTAAAAAAGTTATTAACAAGTCCCAAAGCAAAACTCCTAATCTTGCCCCCCTTGCCTGTTTCTTGCACCACCTACCCCATGTTGGTATCTGGAAACTCCATTTTTCCACCTACTCAAGGCAGAAACATTGGAGGCATCCTTGACTTCTGACACCCATGTCCAATCCATCAATTCTGCAATTATGTTCTTACTTCAAAATATATCTAGAATATAACCACTTCTTACCACTTCCCAGTGCAAAACATCATTCTCTTCTCCCTTCACCAGTCAACGGTCTATTCTCAGCACTGCAGCTCCATCACTCCTCGGCTGAACACCTCCCAATGACTTCACTTCCCACTCAGAGTAAAAATCCAAGTGCTTTTCAGAGCCTGATCCTATCCCCTTATGCTTTTCCCCTCACTCACTCCACATCACTGTCCTCCTTGCTACTCCTCAAGTGAGCCAAGCACGGTCTTTTGTATTGTTACTCCCTCTGCTTAGAATTCTCTTCCCCAAAATATCTGCCTAGCTCACACCCTCCCTTCCTTAAGGTTTCTGCTCAAATGTCACTTTCCCAGTGAGGCATCCTCCAACCACTCAATACAAAATAGTAACCCACTTCTCCCTGGCACTCGTTAACTCCCTTCCCTTGCTTTTTCTTCCTCCCAATACTTATTCATTTATTGTCATGTCCACCCACTAGAGTAATAACCTCCATGAGACTGGAGACTTTATCTGTTTTGTTCACTGTTCTATCTATCCCTAGGCTTAGACCAGTGCCTGGTACATAGTAGGTACTCAACAAATAAATGAACTCAGAGGGTAGAATTAACTAAGTGTTAGAATAGATGCCTGATGAAACACTCTTGAGAATATTGAAGAGGAAGGAATTTATTCTAGAACCTGTGAAGGGGTTAGAAATCAATAATACCTCACAAAGAAACTGATATTGAAACACAGTTATGGAAAATGAATAGGACTTTCATTCTTTGAGAAAGGATAAAGGACAGTCTGCAATTCCCATACAAGCAAAAATATTATTATTTAAAAATAAAATCCAAAAATAAATGAAAAGAAAAAGAGGAATCACCTCACCTCATATTATAAACCAGGACCTTTCCCCATCAACTGTGGGACTAGTTAAAAATATAGGGTAAAACTTTTGCTGGATTAAACAATCTCAAGTAATATGTCCTTCTTAACAGAATCTGTTTAAGAGTAAGGAATTCACTAACTTAACTGTTTGTTAAAATAAAAACATTAAAATTTCACCAGCAATGCCTCTTGAAATCCAGTTGATAAGCCCGCCTCAATCTGGTTTCAGTTTATTCTAAGCCTGTGCTTATAGGTATAGGAAAGCAAGTTTTTTGACTACTGGCTTGAATGGTAGTTTCTTATAATAAAACTAGGTTTACACAATGAAATTTCAAGAACATTTTTAAACAAGTCTATTCCACTAAGATAAGATTTCTAAACCTAACACTGTAAAAGCACACAAAAGTGACTTATTTAATTTTGTATGTGCTTCATGTGACATAACATGTATCACTTAATAACAGAGTGGCAAATGGAATTTCAACACTTCTTTGTTGTACTACTTTTTGTAAGAAAAGGAGCAAAATATTGTACTGAATGAATCTAAAGTAGAATTCATTCAACAAACGTATGGCATCAAAATTTGTTTGGTAAAAACAAAGGCAATCTTGCTCAAAAGACAAAGCTGTACATTCTGATATTCTAGTCTTGGTTTTGCCACTTATTGGATTGTGCAAGTCAGTGGGCCTCATTTGATCCACGCTATTTACAAAGTCAATTTCTGCTCTCATGTTGTATCTGTAGGAGGTAATGCATTTGGAATTAAATCAAGCCGTCATTACGGAAGCTTAAATGTTTTGAAATGCTAGTGCAAAAAAATCATACACTTTCCCAAGGTAATCTGAGATTCAAGAGGAAGTTATTTGAATTGGTACAGATTCTGATTTTGATATACCTATGGCCTTACACCATAGGTCATTGTTTCTCTGGCTATATTCTCCCTCCCACAATAAACCGTGGAATGTTCCCATCCATCATTCAAATTTTAAAATAATCAATTTATAAACCCAGTAAATAGGTTATGAACCTGAGAACCCCTATAAGTTCCAAATAAATGAAATGATACCAGCCTACACTCAATGAAGGCCAAATAAAATTATGAGCTTTCTGTTTTCTCCTGGTCTAGTCTCATGTGACAGCAGAGAGAAAGGGAAAGAAACCGAACAGTTTTTCATCATGTGCCCCTACCAATTCCCTTCCTAACTGGTGTCGAATCAAGCATAGGGGGGTATCATTCAAGGTGACACTTACTGATTCCCTTTCCTTCTGCTTAGGGGCCAGCACATGCAGCAGCCTGAAACCTGACCTCAGACACTGGTCTCCTATTTGACCCATGAACCTAGCCAGGGACAGTTCGGTTACACACATTCATGAATCGTGCGGCTATCGCTTTCCCTGTCACAGCTGGTTAACCTCGGGGAATTACCATGGGAACAGTCTTGTCCCACCAAGCACTCATGAGATCCAGCATAGATACTCTGTACCTGCCCCAATTGAATTTCTGGGAAAGTGTGTCTCTTTTCTCCCCCAGCCTCTGTCTCAGTGACAGAGACACTGAGTCTTTTTGTGTGCCCCCTATGGACCCTGAGTCTTGCACTTCTTTAATGAATTCCAAACCCAAGAAACTTATTTCCAAGCTTTCTAAGTGTTTAGATTTGAACTGGGATCTTTGAAACTTAGAGGTTTCCTCATTATATAGGGTTAGGAATTCCAAATATGTTAACCTGGGTGTATTACAGGGGTAACTCCAACACAGAGAAAAGGAGCTTCCTGGATGCCAGTGAACCCAGGGTCATGCCAATGGCTTTAGCATGCTACGGTCCCCTTCTAGAAATTCTAGTGTTGCTTCTAGAGAGCTGCCAGGGCAATAGAAGACCCTGACAATCTATGGTTCCCTGACATTGCCTGGGTCTGGAAATACTCGGCAAACTTGAAGTCTTTTGTTGTTTGAGTTAAGAATATGCTTGGAAAAGTGCATCATTCAGCTCTCAAACTAAGTGATGTAGGCTCTAAATAGCTCCCATGACAGTCTGTCTCAGAAAAGAATGCATTTCACAGAAATATTCAGGGACTCCATTTTTTAAAGAGTTCTTGTAAGCCAGTAAGAACTGAGCATATAAGATATTAGAAAAAAAAAAGGCATGGAAAAAGCTCCTTTAAAAGGCACTCCTGGAAACTTAATGTAATGCCCTTAAAAAATTACTGCCATCCACTGCAACCAAGGATTTGCTGGAGAAGAGGTCAGGCTTTGGGGGAACTTCAATTCATTTTAGAAACAAAACACAAACATCAATATCAGTGGCATAGATATTTACTTAAGCTCATTGGCATTAATTGGTATACCTTTACTGAGATTTAAATGCCCACAACAAATACTCAATGGCAGCTTTCTCAGCAAGTGGGACCAAGTAGATCTTTGGGAAACCAGCTACTGCTGTCACACTCAAGGCAATTCTGGAAGACTCTGTCAAAAACAGAGCACATTGGGCCAGGCCCTGTGGCTCACACCAGTAATCCCAGCACTGTGAGAGGCCAAGGCGGGTGGATCACTTGAGGTCAGGAGTTTGAGACCATCCTGGCCAACATGGTGAAACCCCATCTCTACTAAAAATACAAAAATTAGCTGGGCTTGGTGTGCGCACCTGTAATCCCAGCTACTCGGGAGGCTGAGGCAGGAGAATCATTTGAACCCGGGAGGTGGAGGTTGCAGTTAGCGGAGATCGCGCCACTGCACTCCAGCCTGTCTCAAAAAAAAAAAAAAAAAAAAAAAAAAGAGTGCATTGGTCAGGCCATATCTGAATTCACAGACTTTCACTGCTACCTGGATCAACAAGGTTTTTTAGAAATCAGAAACACAAATCCAGGTCAGGAGGAGAGTTCTTTGCCTATAAAGACAACTGTTTTTCCAACAACTGCAGGTCACCAGGGATGGTGGACGATGAAGGGCTATGAACTTCACTGGAATTTCACAGAGAAGACAGCAATCAAAATAATTTTCTTCTCCCACAACACAGACTTTGAGAGCACTATCTTGCTACTGACTCTTGGCTGGGTGGTGGCTCATGCCTGTAATCTCAGCACTTTGGGAGGCCGAGATGGGTGGATCACGAGGTCAGGAGATCGAGACCATCTCGGCCAACATGGTGAAACCACATCTCTACTTAAAAAATACAAAAATTAGCTGGGCATAGTGGCGTGCGCCTGTAGTCCCAGCTACTCAGGAGGCTGAGGCAAGAGAATCGCTTGAACCCGGGAGGCAGAGGTTGCAGTGAGCCAAGATCGCACCATTGTACTCCAGTCTGGTGACAGAGCGAGACTCCGTCAAAAAAAAAAAAGAACACTATCTTGCCACTGACTCTTAAAATGCTAGAGAAGTTGGGACAATAGTTCATGGGTAGGGATGAGGTTTGAGAGGACAAAAAGAAGATATGGGTACAGATAGCAGGACAAACAAACAAACAAAAAAAAGCATTACTTATTCCAGAAACCATGTTCACTTCTGTCAGGTTTCTCAACTCCAAAGCTAAGCATGTGAAAATTCATTCAAAAGTAGAAAATGACCTATTCCCCACAAGATCATAAATTCCAGGAAATGCCAGGCGCTTTGATTATTATGGCCCATATGCCACAAATTCATTAAAACACAGACCTGTTTAAGTTACAGGAAGCACAGCTTTGTGGAATGAGCACCAGACTGAGTTCTGGCTTGACTGTTCTCTTTTAAGTGATGCTAGGCGATTTGCTTAATCTTTCTCTGAATTCTAACTCTCCAACTGTAAGGAGAAAGAGAGACAGCGGAGAGAAGAAGGCAGGAAAAACTTTCTCCATTTCTCTTGCTTATCATTGAAGGATTCTGTGAGAATTGACGAATAGTATCCTTAGAACACTGAGAGGCTTCTGGAAGCCATTCACATCTTAATGCCACTAACAGCTGCTGCTGATGTGAAGGCATCTTTCAGAGCCGCACGCATGGAGCTTGGTGCATATCCCCATGGGACCCCACAGTGCCTGGGATATCCACAGAGGTTCATACTACACACTTCCTTCTTCAGCAAGTCCCACTTGTAAATGATGGTTCATTGGTATTCTCTGATGTTCCTTGTGTAGGAGGTAGAAGCTGACTGCTTATTTTTAAAATAATTTCTTAAGAGAGATTAAAAAAAAATCAAAGCATTTTAACTGGGGAAAGGAAGGGAAAGGAAACATCTCATTCAGGGATAAATGAATTGATTCATTTGCTCACTCCACAAACTTTTCTGGAGCAGCTCCAATGTGCCAGAAACTCTGCTGGCCTCTACGGATTCAAGGCCGAATGAGGCAGGGCTCTGAGCACAGGGAGCTTGTGGTTTCATGGGAGAGGAAGATGACCAAGCCTGTGATCCTAACAATGTGCTGAGGATAAGACCATGTGCTTACAAGAGCCCATTTTGGCTATATCTAAACTGTTGTGGGGTTTCTAGAAGAGCATGTCATGAGCTGGATTGGAAAGACATATAGGAATTAGACTGAGAAGAAGGAAAGGGTATTCCAGGCAGAAGGACGAGCATCTGCAAACATAGGCATGAAATAGCTTTCCTACATAGAGAAATGGTAAATGAGATGATGTATGAGGATTGCTTAAGAAAGAGTGGGCATTCAACAAATGTTGAAATGAATAGGCAGGGGGCATCAGTGAGAGGCCTAAAGAGCCAGGCAGCTGGTGGTGCCAGCCTAAGTGCCTCACCTCATCCATGAGGCCCTGATTAGGGCTGATTAGGCTGTTAGGGGAAGAGGGAGGAGGGATGGAGTGGTATACCCAGGATCGCAATCTTGCCACACCTGTGCTCACCTTCCATCCTCAAAATTCCATTTGCAGTTTCTGCTGCAGCACCACACAGGTAAAGAGAAAGTGACTGTGTCGGATATGCTTTTCTCAGAATCACTGATTTGACAAGGTGCTTGTCTCTAAATTCATGACTGTAGAACTGCAGAAAATGTGTAGGACTGCTAGACAATGTGAACACTCTTAGCTAAAGAGATACAGCCTTCCCTGGATACCGTGGTCTGAGATCTTAGAGAATGTGTTTTGGTAAGTTGGAGCAGTTATCTTCCAAAAAACACTAAGGATAACCAACGTTTACTAAGCTATCATTAGATGCCAGGCCCTATGATTGTCAGAGGATATCCTGATAGCTAAGAAATGACCTGTGAGAAACTAGCCATTAGAAACACAAAAAGAGCAAGCCCTTGCCAACTTCTGATTAGCACGTGAGATTTCTTTGTTAGTATTTTAAAGATATTCATTTCCCCCAGTTCGGCAATATGGAAGAGACATTTAGACTAAAGAATAAACGTGGAAAATCTTTTAGCACAAATTTCTGGAGCTCAAGCTTGGAAAAGCAGGTGTCTGCTGCCCCCATGTGGCCACAGTCATCTTTTGCTTTCAGCAGTCACATGAAAGTGCATTTCATACACCAACCACGTAGAAGTGTAAAATTAAGACTTTTGGTGGAAAAGACTACAGTCTTGTGTAAGAGTTTTCTCCTTTTCCATGTCTCCAGGGAAATTCTATGATAAAAACTGAAAAATTAAAAAATTTCTCCGGAACGGCCTAGGAGATCCCAGTGGTAAACTCTGGTTTCTCCTTGTTAAATTGAAGGCCTTTGTCTTGGCATTCTGAACTCCATGAATTTCTGAAATGTACAAACTCTTAAAACAGTTCATTTCCAGGAATTCAGTAAACCAATTCTGGAAGCTATTTCAACTAAAGTCTTATCCATGCGCTGTGACAATTGTGAAGAATTTCAACCAAATTTCAAATTGGTAATTTTCAGGTCTTTTTCAACTATCCTCTCCACCCTACACACACTCCTTAAAAATCTGTCATGTAATAATCTTAGCCAAGCAAATACATTTGTTCTTCTCTACACATAGGCTAACAACTACTCAATCAAATTCTTCCCCCATATTTATTTGCCTTTTCTGGAACATTTACTTTATTCTCTTCACACCACAAATTCCTTCTACTATAAGAAATTTCTACCCAGAAATTAATGTTTTCTGCAAGGAGTTCCCAGACTCCACTCAGAAAACTTTGTCAAGCCAATGATTTCAGCATCTTCCACTTGGAGGAAAAAAAAAAAAAACAGGGACACAAATAGAAAGAGAGAAAGAGAGAGAATGACCAGGAAGCCTTTATTATTTACATATTTGCACATAAACTATTCAGAAGCAAGAATCGCATGTAGTCTTTCTAATTTTGCCTTCTCTTACATTATATATATATATATAATATATATATATTTTTAAAATTATTATTATACTTTAAGTTTTAGGATACATGTGCACAATGTGCAGGTTTGTAACATATGTATACATGTGCCATGTTGGTGTGCTGCACCCATTAACTCGTCATTTAGCATTAGGTATATCTCCCAATGCTATCTCCCTCCCCCCTCCCCCCACCCCACAACAAGCCCCAGTGTGTGATGTTCCCCTTCCTGTGTCCATGTGTTCTCATTGTTCAATTCCCACCTATGAGTGAGAACATGTGGTGTTTGGTTTTTTGTCCTTGTGATAGTTTGCTGAGAATGATGGTTTCCAGCTTCACCCATGTCCCTACAAAGGACATGAACTCATCATTTTTTATGGCTGCATAGTATTCCATGGTGTATATGTGCCACATTTTCTTAATCCAGTCTGTCATTGTTGGACATTTGGGTTGGTTCCAAGTCTTTGCTATTGTGAATAGTGCCGCAATAAACGTATGTGTGCATATGTCTTTATAGCAGCATGATTTATAATCCTTTGGGTATATACCCAGTAATGGGATGGCTGGGTCAAATGGTATATCTAGTTCTAGATCCCTGAGGAATCGCCACACTGACTTCCACAATGGTTGAACTAGTTTACAGTCCCACCAACAGTGTAAAAATGTTCCTATTTCTCCACATCCTTTCCAGCACCTGTTGTTTCCTGACTTTTTAATGATCGCCATTCTAACTGGTGTGAGATGGTATCTCATTGTGGTTTTGATTTGCATTTCTCTGATGGCCAGTGATGATGAGCATTTTTTCATGTGTCTTTTGGCTGCATAAATGTCTTCTTTTGAGAAGTGCCTGTTCATATCCTTCACCCACTTTTTGATGGGGTTGTTTGTTTTTTTCTTGTAAATTTGAGTTCATTGTAGATTCTGGATATTAGCCCTTTGTCAGATGAGTAGCTTGCAAAAATTTTCTCCCATTCTGTAGGTTGCCTGTTCACTCTGATGGTGGTTTCTTTTGCTGTGCAGAAGCTCTTTAGTTTAATTAGATCCCATTTGTCAATTTTGGCTTTCGTTGCCATTGCTTTTGGTGTTTTAGACATGAAGTCCTTGCCCATGCCTGTGTCCTGAATGGTATAGCCTAGGTTTTCTTCTAGGGTTTTTATAGTTTTAGGTCTAACATGTAAGTCTTTAATCCATCATGAATTAATTTTTGTATAAGGTGTAAGGAAGGGATCCAGTTTCAGCTTTCTACATATAACCAGCTAGTTTTCCCAGCACCATTTATTAAATAGGGAATCCTTTCCCCATTGCTTGTTTTTCTCAGGTTTGTCAAAGATCAGATAGTTGTAGATATGCGGCATTATTTCTGAGGGCTCTGTTCTGTTCCATTGCTCTTTATCTCTGTTTTGGTACCAGTACCATGCTGTTTTGGTTACTGTAGCCTTGTAGTATAGTAGTTTGAAGTCAGGTAGCATGATGCCTCCAGCTTTGTTCTTTTGGCTTAGGATTGACTTGGCGATGCGGGCTCTTTTTTGGTTCCATATGAACTTTAAAGTAGTTTTTTCCAATTCTGTGAAGAAAGTCATTGGTAGCTTGATGGGGATGGCAATGAATCTATAAATTACCTTGGGCAGTATGGCCATTTTCACGATATTGATTCTTCCTACCCATGAGCATGGAATTTCTTCCATTTGTTTGTATCCTCTTTTATTTCACTGAGCAGTGGTTTGTAGTTCTCCTTGAAGAGGTCCTTCACATCCCTTGTAAGTTGGATTCCTAGGTATTTTATTCTCTTTGACGCAACTGTGAATGGGAGTTCACTTATGATTTGGCTCTCTGTTTGTCTGTTATTGGTGTATAAGAATGCTTGTGATTTTTGCACATTGATTTTGTATCCTGAGACTTTGCTGAAGTTGCTTATCAGCTTAAGGAGATTTTGGGCTGAGACAATGGGGTTTTCTAGATATACAATCATGTCATCTGCAAACAGGGACAATTTGACTTCCTCTTTTCCTAATTGAATGCCCTTTATTTCCTTCTCCTGCATGATTGCCCTGGCCAGAACTTCCAACACTATGTTGAATAGGAGTGGTGAGAGAGGGTATCCCTGTCTTGTGCCAGTTTTCAAAGGGAATGCTTCCAGTTTTGGCCCATTCAGTATGATATTGGCTGTGGGTTTGTCATAGATAACCCTTATTATTTTGAGATATGTCCCATCAATACCTAATTTATTGAGAGTTTTTAGCATGAAGGGTTGTTGAATTTTGTCAAAGGCCTTTTCTGCATCTATTGAGATAATCATGTGGTTTTTGTCTTTGGTTCTGTTTATATGCTGGATTACGTTTATTGATTTTCGTATGTTGAACCAGCCTTGCATCCCAGGGATGAAGCCCACTTGATCATGGTGGATAAGCTTTTTGATGTGTTGCTGGATTTGGTTTGCCAGTATTTTATTGAGGATTTTTGCATCAATGTTCATCAAGGATATTGGTCTAAAATTCTCTTTTTTTGTTGTGTCTCTGCCCGGCTTTGGTATCAGGATGATGCTGGCGTCATAAAATGAGTTAGGGAGGATTCCCTCTTTTTCTATTGATTGAAATACTTTCAGAAGGAATGGTACCAGCTCCTCCTTGTACCTCTGGTAGAATTCGGCTGTGAATCCATCTGGTCCTGGACTTTTTTTGGTTGGTAAGCTATTAATTATTGCCTCAATTTCAGAGCCTGTTATTGGTCTATTCAAAGATTCAACTTCTTCCTCGTTTAGTCTTGGGAGGGCGTATGTGTCCAGGAATCTATCCATTTCTTCTAGATTTTCTAGTTTATTTACATAGAGGTGTTTATAGTATTCTCTGATGGTAGTTTGGATTTCTGTGGGATCAGTGGTGATATCCCCTTTGTCATTTTTTATTGCGTCTATTTGATTCTTCTCTCTTTTCTTCTTTATTAGTCTTGCTAGCGGTCTATCAATTTTGTTGATCTTTTCAAAAAACCAGCTCCTGGATTCATTGATTTTTTGAAGGGTTTTTTGTGTCTCTATTTCCTTCAGTTCTGCTCTAATCTTAGTTATTTCTTGCCTTCTGCTAGCTTTTGAATGCGTTTGCTCTTGCTTCTCTAGTTCTTTTAATTGTGATGTTAGGGTGTCAATTTTAGATCTTTCCTGCTTTCTCTTGTGGGCATTTAGTGCTATAAATTTCCCTCTACACACTGCTTTGAATGTGTCCCAGAGATTCTGGTATGTTGTGTCTTTGTCCTCGTTGGTTTCAAACAACATCTTTATTTCTGCCTTCATTTCGTTATGTACCCAGTAGTCATTCAGGAGCAGGTGGTTCAGTTTCCAAGTAGTTGAGTGGTTTTGAGTGCGTTTCTTAATCCTGAGTTCTAGTTTGATTGCACTGTGGTCTGAGAGACAGTTTGTTATAATTTCTGTTCTTTTACATTTGCTGAGGAGTGCTTTACTTCCAACTATGTGGCCAATTTTGGAATAGGTGTGGTGTGGTGCTGAAAAGAATGCATATTCTGTTGATTTTGGATGGAGAGTTCTGTAGATGTCTATTAGGTCCACTTGGTGCAGAGGTGAGTTGAATTCCTGGATATCCTTGTTAACTTTCTGTCTCATTGATCTGTCTAATGTTGACAGTGGGGTGTTAAAGTCTCCCATTATTATTGTGTGGGAGTCTAAGTCACTTTGTAGGTCTCTAAGGACTTGCTTTATGAATCTGGGTGCTTCTGTATTGGGTGCATATATATTTAGGATAGTTAGCTCTTCTTGTTGAATTGATCCCTTTACCATTATGTAATGGCCTTCTTTGTCTCTTTTGTTCTTTGTTGGTTTAAAGTCTGTTTTATCAGAGACTAGGATTGCAACCCCTGCCTTTTTTTGTTTTCCATTTGCTTGGTAGATCTTCCTCCATCCCTTTATTTTAAGCCTATGTGTGTCTCTGCACATGAGATGGGTTTCCTGAATACAGCACACTGATGGGTCTTGAATCTTTATCCAATTTGCTAGTCTGTGTCTTCTAATTGGAGCATTAACCCATTTACATTTAAGGTTAGTATTGTTATGTGTGAATTTGATCCTGTCATTATGATGTTAGCTGGTTATTTTGCTCATTAGTTGATGCAGTTTCTTCCTAGCCTTTATGGTCTTTACAATTTGGCATGTTTTTGCAGTGGCTGGTACCGGTTGTTCCTTTCCATGTTTAGTGCTTCCTTCTGGAGCTCTTTTAGGGCAGGCCTGGTGGTGACAAAATCTCTCAGCTTTTGCTTGTCTGTAAAGTATTTTGTTTCTCCTTCACTTATGAAGCTTAGTTTGGCTGGATATGAAATTCTGGGTTGAAAATTCTTTTCTTTAAGAATGTTGAATATTGGCCCCCACTCTCTTCTGGCTTGTAGAGTGTCTGCTGAGAAATCAGCTGTTAGTCTGATGGGCTTCCCTTTGTGGGTAACCCGACCTTTCTCTCTGGCTGCCCTTAACATTTTTTCCTTTATTTCAACTTTGGTGAATCTGACAATTATGTGTCTTGGAGTTGCTCTTCTTGAGGAGTGTCTTTGTGGCATTCTCTGTATTTCCTGAATTTGAATGTTGGCCTGCCTTGCTAGATTGGGGAAGTTCTCCTGGATAATATCCTGCAGAGTGTTTTCCAACTTGGTTCCATTCTTCCTGTCACTTTCAGGTACACCAATTAGACATAGATTTGGTCTTTTCACATAGTCCCATATTTCTTGGAGGCTTTGTTTGTTTCTTTTTATTCTTTTTTCTCTAAACTTCTCTTCATGCTTCATTTCATTCATTTCATCTTCCATCACTGATACCCTTTCTTCCAGTTGATCACATCAGTTACTGAGGCTTGTGCTTTCGTCACGTAGTTCTCATGCCGTGGTTTTCAGCTCCATCAGGTCTTTAAGGGCTTCTCTGCATTTGTTATTCTAGTTGTCCATTCGTCTAATTTTTTTTCAAAGTTTTTAACTTCTTTGCCATTGGTTCGAACTTCCTCCTTTAGCTCGGAGTAGTTTGATCTTCTGAAGTCTTCCTCTCTCAACTCATCAAAGTCATTCTCCATCCAGTTTTGTTCTGTTGCTGGTAAGGAGCTGTGTTCCTTTGGAGGAGGAGAGGCACTCTGATTTTTAGAGTTTCCGGTTTTTCTGCTCTGTTTTTTCCCCGATCTTTGTGGTTTTATCTACCTTTGGTCTTTGATGATGGTGATGTACAGATGGGTTTTTGGTGTGGATGTCCTTTCTGTTTGTTAGTTTTCCTTCTAACTGTCAGGACCCTCAGCTGCAGGTCTGTTGGAGTTTACTGGAGGTCCACTCCAGACCCTGTTTGCCTGGGTATCAGCAGTGGTGGCTGCAGAACAGCGGATATTGGTGAACCGCAAATGCCGCTGCCTGATCGCTCCTCTGGAAATTTTGTCTCAGAGGAGTACCCGGCCGTGTGAGGTGTCAGTCTGCCCCTACTGGAGGTTGCCTCCCAGTTAGGCTACTCGGGGGTCAGGGACCAACTTGAGGAGGCAGTCTGCCCGTTCTCAGATCTTAAGCTGCATGCTGGGAGAACCACTACTCTCTTCAAAGCTGTCAGACTGGGACATTTAAGTCTGCAGAGGTTATTGCTGTCTTTTGTTTGTCTGTGCCCTGTCCCCAGAGGTGGAGCCTACAGAGGCAGGCAGGCCTCCTTGAGCTGTGGTGGGCTCCACCAACTTCGAGCTTCCTGGCTGCTTTGTTTACCTACTCAAGCCTGAGCAATGGCGGGCACCCCTCCCCCAGCCTCGCTGCCACCTTGCAGTTTGATCTCAGACTGCTGTGCTAGCAATAAGCAAGGCTCCGTGGGCGTAGGACCCTCCGAGCCAGGTGTGGGTTATAATCTCCTGGTGTGCCATTTGATAAGCCCGTTGGAAAAGCACAGTATTAGGGTGGGAGTGACCCGATTTTCCAGGTGCTGTCTGTCACCCCTTTCTTTGACTAGGAAAGGGAATTCCCTGACCCCTTGTGCTTCCTGGGTGAGGCGATGCCTCGCCCTGCTTCGGCTCATGCACGGTGCGCTGCACCCACTGTCCTGCACCCACTGTCCGGCACTCCCCAGTGAGATGAACCTGGTACCTCAGTTGGAAATGCAGAAATCACCCGTCTTCTGTGTCGCTCATGCTGGGAGCTGTAGACTGGAGCTGTTCCTATTCGGCCATCTTGGCTCCACCCCACCATATATATATATATATATATATATATATATATATATATATATATACACTTAATAATGACAGGAGGGTTCAGAACACCATCTTTTCCAAGAATTATGGATTTTGAGATTAGGAATGAAACATAATGAGCAAAAAAAACCATAGCATATTGAATATATGTCTTTAAATAAAATTAACTCAAAACATTACATTTATTTGCAGATGTGTCTGTCTTCTCTGTTAAATGCCAGGCACCTCGCACCTTGTGAGTAAGAATCATGCCTGCTTTGACTTTTTTAAAAAACAGATCTATTGATGAATAATTCATATGCCACAAAATTCTCCTATTTCAAGTATACAATTTAATGATTTTTAGTGAATTTATAGAGTTGAGAAATTACCAACTCAATCCAGTTTAAGAATATTTCTGGCCGGGCATGGTGGCTCATGCCTGTAATCCCAGCACTTTGGAAGGCCGAGGCCGGTGGATCACCTGAGGTCAGGAGTTCGAGACCAGCCTGACCAACATGGAGAAACCCTGTCTCCATTAAAAATACAAAATTAGCTGGGCATGCTGGCGCATGCCTGTAATCCCAGCTACTTGGAAGATTGAGGCAGGAGAATCGCTTGAACCCGGGAGGTGGAGGTTGCAGTGAGCTGAGATCACACCATTGCACTCCAGCCTAGGCAACAAGAACGAAACTCCATCTCAAAAAAAAATAATATTTCCATCACTCCAAAAAGATTATGCATGCTGTCTGCAATCCCCACCCTCTACCCTCAACACTAGGTAACCTTTAAATTGCTTTCTGTCTCTATAGATTTCTCTATTCTGATTATGTCATATACATGGAATCATATAACATGTGGTCTTTTGCATCTGGCTTATTTCCCTTAGTGTAATGTTTTTGAGGTTCATCCATGTTACCACATGTATCAGTACTTTGTCCTTTAATTACTTATTTATTTTTTGAAACTGGGTCTTACTCCATTGCCCAGGCTGGAGTGCAGTGGTGCAATCAGGGCTCAGTGCAGCCTGGACACCCTGGGCTCAAGTGATCCTCCCACCTCAACCTCCCACATAGCCAGGACTACAGATGCGCACCACCGCACCCAGCTAATTTTTGTATTTTGTGTTTTTTGTAGAGATGGTATTTTGCCATGTTGCCGAGGCTAGCCTTGAACTCCTGGGCTCAAGCTATCCACCTTCTTCGGCCTCCCAAAGTGCTGGGATTACAGGTGTGAACCACTGTGCCTGGCCCACACATTTTTTAATCCATTTATCAGTTGATGGACATTTGGATTATTTCCATTCTTTGGCTATTACAAATTACATTCCCATGGACATTGGTGTACACATTTTTGCATGTTATAAAATGTTTTCATTTCTCTAGATATTTAGAGAATTGCTGGATTTTATGGTAACTTTAAGAAACTGCCAAACTGATTTTTAAATTGGCTGTCCTGTTTTACATTCCCACCAGCAATGTATGAACGCTTTAGTTTTTCCACATCCTTACCATCATTCTATGAGTATGAAATGGTGGTTCATTATGGTTTTAATTTGCATTTCCCTGAAGATTAATAACGTAGAACACCTTTTCATGTGCTTATTGGTCATTTATAGATCTTCTTTGGTCAAATATGCATTCAAAACTTTGGCCCATTGCCCATTTTTTGAGTTGCTTGTCTTATTATTATTTAGTTGTAGGAGCTCTTTGTACATTCTGGCTGGACGTAAGTCCTTTACCAGAAATATGATTTGAAATATTTTTTCTGGTCTATGGATTGTCTTTTCATTTCCTTTTTTTCTTTTTCCTTTATTTTTTTGAGACGGAGTTTTGCTCTTGTCACACAGGCTGGAGTGCAATGGTGCGATCTTGGCTCACTGCAACCTCCACCTCCCAGGTTCAAGCGATTCTTGTGCCTTAGCCTCCTGAGTAGCTGGGATTACAGGTGCGTGCCACCATGCCCAGTTAATTTTTGTATTTTTATTAGAGACAGGGTTTCACCATGTTGGTCAGGCTGCTCTAGAACTCCTAACCTCAGGTGATCCATCTGCCTCAGCCTCCCAAAGTGGTGGGATTACAAGCGTGAGCCACTGTGCCTGGCCCTTTTCATTTTCTTAATAGTGTCATTTAAAGCACAAAAATTTTATAATTTTGATGAAATCCAGTTTATCAATTTGTTCTTTCATGTTTTGTGCATATCTAAGAGATTTTTGCCTAACCCAAGGTAACCAAGCGTCTTAGTTCATTTTGTGATGCTATAACAGAATACCTAGGTACTTTATTTTATTCTATTTATTTGTTTTTTTAAACAAAACTAGCTTTAATTTGTCCAAAAGCCACACACAGCTGTCTAGAAACTGTTTCTGGAAGGGAAGCCAAGAGGGAGTCCATTATGCACAGGGTCAGGAGGCCTCTAGAAGTTTTCAAGCAAGCCCAGGATGTGCTTTTGCTCCTTCTCCCGGAACTCCGCATACCCCTTGATGATATGCCTGACAATTTTGATGGAGCGTCCTCACATGTTTAGGATCTGGTGAACCCTCTGGCAAATCTGGGGGACACTGGCATTGCAGATCTTGGACATAATGCAGCAGATGCACTGGAGAACAAACAGCTCTGCATCCAAGCACTGGAGGTAGAACTCATCCCCCATGTCACTGTCTATGATCTCTCCACGCTAGACCATGTCACGTTTTTCCCCTTCATTCCTCTTGTCTGCCACCTGCATTGCACCCAGATATTGAAAATGCAACTCCATTAGTCTGTCAGCCTACTCACTGTCATTTTCAGTGAATTTATTCAGAAGCCGGGTTCACTGATGCCCTCTCAGGTTCCACAAAAGGGAAGCCAGAACGGAACAGACATGCTGTTTGTGTTCCTTGTCAGTGGTACCCACTTTCTTGATCTTCCTGGGAAATTCCATAAAGAGGGGAAAGATGGTTCATAAGCCAAGAATGTCAACAAATTTACCGCAGTTGTAGATGCCCTCGGGTGCAATCAGCACTTTCAGGACCCTGCTCCGTGAGATCTTCTTTTCCCTGAGCATGAGATTCATTACCTGAAGACCCTCGCCCTTCAGGAAGTGCTCACGATTGGAAGTGAGCATTAGTTAGAAGCAGAGTGAATCAAACAGATTCTCCATCATCTCCTGCTCCTTTGCTGTGCTGGGATTGTGTCTTTTAAACACAGATAACTGTGAAGAAGTGCATCAATTCTATCCAGCTCCCCAAGCAATTTCCTGTTTTCATCATTGTCCTGGAGCAATATGGCCTGCATTTCACTGCAATACAGTTTGTTGGCATCAAAAGGCTTCTTTGCCTTCAGCCTCTTCAACAGCCACTGAGGAAGACCCTGCTGCGCACCTTTTGTACACATCTCCAGCTAGAACTCAGCCATGTTTTCCACAATAACAAGAGTGTTATGGACACCATTGACCTGCTCCTTCACAGACTCATCCAGGCGCTCCACGTTCTGCACCAGCAGCGCTATCACGTGCCCATCCACCAGAGCATCAATGAGTACTTCTGCTCCCTCTCCACTCTCATAGAAGATGTCTATATCTGTTAATTCCTGACTCAAATCAACCCCAGCTATGGACACGTCTGTATTATTGTGTCCAAGCAAACCAAGAAGTGACTGCACAGCATTCAGCTCCAGCAAGAGGTACAGGTCTGGCATGGTGGCCACCAAGTGCATCTTCTGAATGATGTCATGTAGGTCCAGTTGGGATTCCATGAACTTCTCTGGATTGTCTGGAAACTTAATCTGCAATTCTTGGTTTTTATATGCTCACTATTCAAATGCAAGGATCATTTTCTTCACTGAGCTTTCATCCAATGGCTCCTCCTCTTTCTCTTCCTCCTCACCCTCTGTGTCAATAATCTGAAGCAGCAAATGTTTGTCATCCTCTGCTTCTTCCACCACAATCATTTCCTCTTCCCAATCTTGAGTACTAGTTTGTTTCTGATGCATCTTCTGCTCCTCCTCTTTGCCATCTCGGGGACGTTTTATGCCCCTGTTGGGCTGGTAGCTCAGAAGTTTGCCCATGTCCGTGGTCCCTGGCACAGCCAACCTGTGTAATTCATAAAGAACAGAAATTTATTTCTTACAGTTTTGGAGGCTGGAAAGTCCAAGATCAAGGCACCAGAAGGTTTGGCATCTGGCTAGGGCCCAGTCTCTGCTTCCAAGGTAACACCTTGAATGCTGTATCCTCCAGAGGGGAGGAACACTGTTCTTCATGTGGCACAAGAGCAGAAAAAAAGAGAGAACCCATTCCAGAAATCCTCATTTTAAAAACATTAAACCCACCCATGAGGGCAGAGCCCTCACAACCTAATCACCTCTTAAAGGTCCCATTTCCCAATTCCATTACAATGGCAATTAAATTTCAACATGAGCTTTGGAGGGGACAAACATTCAAACCATAGCATTCCACCCATTGCCCCCCAAAACTCACATTCTTCTCATATGCAAAACACTTTCATTCCATCCCAATAGACCCCAAAATCTTAACCATTTTAGCACCAACACATAAGTCCAAAATCTAGAATCTCACCTAAATCATATATGGGTGAGACTCAAGGCATGATTTATTCTGCGGCAAATTCCCTCCAGCCATAAGCCTGTGAAATCAAGTTATCTACTTCCAAAATACAGTGGTGGAACAGGCATAGGATAGACATTCCCAGTCTAAAAGGAAGTAACAGACAAGAAGAAAGGGGTAACTGATCCCCAATATGTTCAGAACCCAACAGGGTGAACAACATCAAATCTTAAGGCTCCAGAACAATCTTCCTTGAATCCATGTCCCACCTTTTGGGCACACTAGAATGGGCTATGTGCTTCCAAGACCTCAGGCAGCCACTCCCCCATGACTTTGCTGGACTCAGCCCATGCAGCAGTTTTCATGGGTTGAAGACTTGGGCCTGCAGCTTTCCCAGACTAGGACTGCATACTGGTGAGTCTACATTTCTGGGGTCTCTGCAGCAGCCCTAAGCCCACAGTTCCACTGGGCATTGTCCTAGTGATAGCGACAGGAGGCAGCCAAATGCCTAGGCAGTTGGGATGGGTACCCAGTGAAACCCCAACTCCAAGCCAAAGACAGTTTAAAGCCTGAAAGCCAAGCTACAAGTTAAATCCTCAGACTGGATTGAGAACTTGTCTTCCTGTGTGGCGCACTTTCCTCTGATTGATCCCCTCCCTTTACCTATTTTACCTATACCTACCCTTCCCTAATTGGTTTTCTACAGTCATGCCCATCTTTGAGTGGTGTCTTTGCTTTAACCTTTTTTGCATACTCACAAACCAATCAACATGCCCTCCCCATTCTGAGTCCATAAAAGGTCCCGGATCCAGCCACATGGGGGACTTTTCCCGCCTTCAAATAGGGAAACCTCCACCCCTTGACATCCCCTCTCTGCTGAGAGTTTTCCTTTCACTTAATAACTTCTACTCCACTCACTCTCCGGCATTCACATGCCTAATTCTTCCTGCTTGTGAGACGAGAACTCAGACTTAGCTCAGCTAAGGGGCAGAAAGACCGTAACACTAGCGGAAGCTCTCTGTGGTAGCTCTGCCCCTATGACAAGTTTCTACTTGGGCCCCCAAGCTGTCCACGACATCCTTTGAAATCTAGGTGAAGGAAGCCATGGCCTCACATTTCTTGCATTCTGTGGGGCTGCAGAATTAGCACCACCTGAATGTAACCAAGGCTTAATGTTTGAATCTTTCAGAATAGCAGGTTGAATTGCACCTGGGCTTGCTTGAGCCATAGCTGGAACAGCCAAGGAGTGCTGCACTGGAATGCAGGAAGCAGATACTTGAGGTAGCAAAGGGCAGCAAATGCTGAGATCCCATAGCCCTCTCTCTAGAAACCTTGCCCTCAAGGTCCCAGTGCTCTGAGACTGTGATGGAAGGGGCAGCCTCAAAGATCACCATAATGACTTTAGGTTAATTCTCCATTGTCTTGATGAATAGCATCTGGCTTCCTTTTATCTGTATTAATCTCCTTATCAAATGGTCCTTTGGCCACACTTTTGGTTTTCTCTCCTAAACATGCCTTTTGATTCTTTACTTAGCCAGGATTTTCCAAATCCTTATGTTCCTCTTCCCTTTTAATTATACATTCCATGTTTAAATCATTTCTCTCTTCTTGCATTTAACTATATGCAATTAGAAGAAGTCAGACAACACCCTGAATGCTTTGCTACTTATATGTTCTTCTGTCATATCCTAGTTCATTGCTTTTAAGTTCTGCTTTCCACAAAACCTTCAGACATGGGTACAATTCAGCCAAGTTATTTGCCATTTTATGACAAAGAAGGACTTTACTGTAGTTTATGATACCTTGTTTCTCATTTCCATCTGAAATCTCACCAGAATTACCTTTACCATTCATATTTCTACCAACATTCTGATCATGACTACTTAGTGATCTTTCAGAAATTTCGGACTTTCCTGACTGCTCTCTTCTTCTGAGCCCTCACCAGAATCGCTCTAAACACTTTATTCATGGCAATATAGGCTTTTGCTAGGATACTCCTCCAAGTTCTTCCAGCCTATAACCACCACCCAGTTTCAAAGTAGCTTCCAGATTTTCAGGTATATGTTATAGCAACAGCCCTATTTCTGAGTACCAAAATCTGTATTCGTTGGGGTTCTCCAGAGAGAGACAGAGCCAATAGGATAGATACATGATAGGTAGATAAGTGATAGATAAATAGATAGATAGATAAGAGGGGATTTATTAGGAGAATTTGCTCATGTGCTTATAGAGGCTTAGAAATCCCATGATAGGCTATCTGCAAGCTAAAGAACCAGAGAGGCTGGTAACATGGCTCAGTCCAAGTCTGAAGGCCACAGAACCAGAGAATCGAATGGTGTAACTCTCGGTCCAATGTCAAAGTCCTGAGAACCTAGGAGGTTGCTGGTGCAAGTCCCAAAATCCAAAGGCTGGAGAACTTGAAGTTCTGATGTCCAAGGGCAGAAGAAGAAGGGTGTCCCAGCTCCAGGACAGAGAGAGAGAGAGAGAGAGAGAGAAAGAGAGAGAACACGAATTCACCTTTCCTCTGCCTTTTTCTTCTATCTGGGCCCCCAGCCAACTGGATGGTGCCCATCCACATTGAGGGTGATCTTCCCCACTCAGTCCACTGACTACACACCAATCTCTTCTGGAAACACCCTCACGGATACACTCAGAAATAATGTTTTACCAGTTTTCCAGGTATCCCTTCATCTAGTCAAGTTGACACCTAAAATTAACCATCACACCAAAGTTTTCTCTTATGTTTTTCTCTAAAAGTTTTAGCACTAAAATTTAGGTCTTTGACCCATTTCAAGTGAATTTTTGTGTATAGTGTGAGGTAAGAGTGCAAATTCATCCTTTTGCATGTGGACATCCAATTGTCCCAGCAACTATCATTGAAAACACTATCCTTTCTCCATTGAATTGTCCTGGCACCTTTGTCAAAAATCCATTCACCATAAATGGAAGGGTTTATTTCTGGACTCGATTCTGTACCATCATCTGTCTTCATGACAATATCACACTGTCTTTTTAAACTTATTTTTAGAATAGTTTTTAAAAATTTTTAAATTGACAAATAAAAATTGTGTGTATTTATGTTGTACAACATGATATTTTGAAATATGTATACACTGTGGGATGGCTAAATCAAGCTCATTAACATGTACATTACCACACATACTTATCATTTATTTGTGATGATAATATTTGAAATCTACTGTCTTAGCAATTTTCAAGTATACAATACATTGTTATTAGCTGTAGTCACTGTATTGTACAATAGATCTCTTACACTTATTCCTCCTGGCTGTAAAATTTTGTATCCTTTGACCAACGCTGTCTTGATTACTGCGGCTTTATAGTAATTTCTGAAATCAGAAAGTGAAAGTATTTCAACTTCTGTTTTTTTTCAAAAATCTCTTTGTTATTCTGAGTCCTATTAAGATCAGCTTATAAATTTCTGAAATAATTCAGATGTCTTTACTTATGTATAGTTCTATTTATTTATCATTATTATTTTTTTTTGAGACAGAGTCTCACTCTGTCGCCCAGGCTGGAGTGCAGTGGTGTGATCTCGGCTCACTGCAACCTCCGTCTCCCTGGCTCAAACAATTCTCATGCCTCAGCCTCCTGAGTAGCTGGGATTACAGGCGCCCACCACCACCCTCGGCTAATTTTTGTATTTTTAGTAGAGACAGGGTTTCACCATGTTGGCCAGGCTGGTCTCAAACTCCTGACCTCAGGTGATCTGCCCCCCTCGGCCTCCCAAAGTACTGGGATTACAGGCATGAGCCACCTCGCTTGGCCCACTTATGTGTAGTTCTATTTTGATTCTCTGTCTCTACTTGAATCATTTTTGGTAATTTGTTTATTTCTAGCAATTTGTCCACTTCACCTACATTGTCTTTAAATTCCTTTGTTGAATTGTTTTGCTACATATTTAAAAGTTATTTTCTTAGTTGTTGCTCTAGGGATTACAATATGAATCTTAACCTGTCACTCTCTATTTCATAGTCATTACTAATTACCTTTGGCAAAATATAAAAAATTTGTACTAATATCATATATGTCCACTTCTCCCCCCTACACACACTCTGCTATTATTTTCATATATGCATTATATTTTTATATGTTATAAGCATAAAAATCATTTTATAAGAATTGTTTTATGTAAGGCTGGGTGCGGTGGCTCACGCCTATAATCCCAGCACCTTGGGAGGCTGAGGCAGGTGGATCACTTGAGGTCAGGAGTCTGAGACCAGTCTGGCCAACATGGTGAAACCCCATCTCTACTAAAAATACACAAATTGGCTGAGCGTGGTGGTGCACACCTGTAATCCCTGCTACTCAGGAGGCTGAGGCAGGAGAATCGCTTGAACCCGGGAGGCAGAGATTGCAGTGAACCGATATTGCACCACAGAACTCCAGCCTGGCGACAAAGCAAGACTCTGTCTCAAAAAAAAAAAAAAATGAGTTGTTTCATGCAATCTTATGTCATTTAGATACATTAGGAAAAAAATATATATTTATATAATATTGTATATTTACCTACAGATTTACCTTTTCTGGAGCTTTGTATTTCTCTGAGTGAATCAGAGCTACCATCTAGTGTCATTTCCTGTCAGTGTGAAGGATTTTATTTTTTCTAGAAAAACACCTATGTCTATGAGAAATAAGGTTACTTTGGGTTTACAAAATACTGGATAACTAACCCAGAGGCAGATACAAGGCTAAAATGGAAAGGATACAAATATTCTATTTGTATCCCATTAATTCCTGGTACATTCATATTTTGACATGGTGTTTCTACATATTTTGGAAAATGCAACCATGAGGTGGCCAACAAATCTTTGGATTATCCCCCTCCAACCTATGTGAGAGTAGGTTGCAGATTCCTTCTTTGAAAAAAAACGTTAATAGGAAAATCTTGCAGTAGAGAGCACTTCGTCACTTTGATATGGACATCACCACTACCACCTCAAGCTAAGAGAGGGTCCACGAGATAACTCAGAATAACAGAGGTTGCCTTCCATATGGAGAGACTGACATCTGCTTCTGCCCCAGGTGCTGAGCTGTAGAAACGTATAGACCTACCCAATTCTGTCTCTGGGATACAGCTTGAGGGAGTTTTTGGTAAAGCTTGACATGTCCTCAGAGTTTTAGAATGTAGATAAGGACAGAGACTGATGACTGCTTCTACCTGGATAAACCTGTAGAGAGGAGGCTCGTGTAGCAGCCTGACATGGCAGGGTAAGGAAAGCGAGTCTAGACAGCGTGTATGTCCAGAGTTTGGTGGGGTGAAGATGTGTGGGTTTTTCCCAGGGGCCAAGAAGGCAGCCAGTTGGAAGAATCTTGAAGGGTGGTGACCCAAGTGGACAGGTTGTCAGGTGAGGAAACTGGTGGTAGGAGTAACTCCTGTGGTAGAAACTGAGACAGTAAGTAATTGAGTTCAGGAGTATTTGCAAATTCGGTCTTTTTGGGCTTTTGGGGGCCATCAGAACATCCCTATATATTCTTTTTTTTTTTTTTTTTTTTTTTGAGGCAGAGTTTCACTCTTGTTGCCCAGACTGGAGTACAATGGGGCCATCTCGGCTTACTTCAAGCTCCACCTCCCAGGTTCAAGCAATTCTGCTTCGGCCTCCGAAGTAACTGGGACTGCGGACATGCACCACCACACTCGGCTAATTTTTGTATTTTTAGCAGAGATGGGGTTTCACCGTGTTGGCTAGGCTGGTCTTGAACTCCTGACCTCATGATCCACCTGCCTCAGCCTCCCAAAGTGCTGGGATTACACCCCGCGCCAGAACATCCTTATATTCTCTCCACTACTTCTCTGTATTGCTGCTAAACCTGTACAGGACCTACAAAGGTCTTGCCGTTGTCAATGGTTTGGTTGCAACCATTTGCATTCTGGTGTTCCTGGGGATGCTCGTCACCTCGTTTTGTTCATAATGTAATCTGGGAAATTTTTTCTTTTGCCATCATAATGGTTCTTTGCTATCATAATGGTTTTAAGATAGCATTTAGGGAGATCAAAAACTACACTATAAGCAAGGCCCTATGGCTCATGCCTATAAGTCCAGCACTTCAGGAGGCCAAGGCAGAATGATTGCTTGAGACCAGGAGTTTGAGACCAGCCTGGGCAACACAGGGAGACCCCGTCTCTAAAAAAAAAAAAAAAAATTTAAATTAGCTGAATGTGGTGGTGCATGCCTGTAGTCCCAGCTACTCGGGAGGCTGAGGTGGGAGGATAGCTTGAGCCAGGGAGGTCCAGGCTGCAATAAGCCATGATTGTGCCACTGCACTCCAGTCTGGGTGACAGAGCAAGCCCTTGTCTCAAAAAAACCAAAAACCCAAAAACTGCACTACCATTATTACCTTGCATTGGCCTGTTAGTCCAGTACTGACTTGTTAAAGAAACCAGGCCAGTTAACTTGTAGACTGTCCCACATTCTATATCATCTGATTGTTTCCTCATGATGTCGTCTAACTCTTCCTTTATCTCCTGTATTTTCTGTAGACTTGAAGTTAGGTCTAGAGGTTTGATCAGTTTCAGGTTAAGCATTTTTAACCAGAATACTTAATAATGACCAAGAACACTTCATGGGTAATATTGTGCAACCACTTTAATGATGCTAAGTTTTCTAACTAGCAAGTAATCTGTGGACTGACATTTTAGAGAGCGGGATGTTAGCATCGTGTTCAAAAACAACTTTTATTGAATGTTTTTAACATCCCTCAAGGATCTTTGCCTGAATCAATTATTACACTGAGGCTTGCAAAATAGTGATTTACTAATTACACAATTATTTGTATATTTATTAGGTGGCATTCTTTTATAAATAATGGCTGTAGTAAATAATGTGTTGCTCTGCTCAGATCTCCTCTTCAGGGCCAACACACTATCCTCCTACTTCTGGGAAAATCAGCTACTGACTTCACAGCTATGTCCCTCATTTCAAACTGACCTTGGCTACAGAGAACTGCTTTACTCAAGGCTACCCACCCCTTTCACCCCTCAAGGAACAGGCAGTAGTCAATGAGTATCTGATGTAGAAATACAAGTCATGCATGGCTTACTGATGGGGATACATTCTGAGAAATGCTCGCTCCTTTAGACAATTTCATCCATGTGCGAACATCATGAGTGTATTTACACAAACCTAGATGGTATCATCTACTGCACACCTAGGCTACATGGCATAGCCTATTGTTTCTAGGCTACAAACCAGTACAGTGTATGACTGTACTGGATACTATAGGCAATTGTCACACAATGGTAAGTATTTGTGTACATAAACATATCTAAATGTAGAGAAGGTAGTGCATCATGCTAAGATGTTATGACAGCTACAATATCACTAGATGATAGGAATTTTTCAGCTTCATTATAATCTTGTGGGATCACAGTTGTATATGCGGTCTGACATTGACTAAAACATTCTTAGGCAGTGCATGACTCTACAAAGGTTCAGCCCACTCTCCTTAATTTGAGACAACTCTGAAGGGCCATCCCAGCTCCAGAGCTCTCTGTAGAATTGTCTCAGGCCTCAGTTGTAACTGCATTGTAGGTCAACTTCTCTCTCGGTCCAGTCTTGTCTTCCTCACCCTCTTACAGATGTTTCTCCACAGATCTCTTCCCAATAAACTTTCTGTATCCAGCTTTCCATCTGAGAGTCTGTTAACCTGAAATCCATTATAAGACAAAACAAACAGCTTTCACCTTTTTTCCTTTTAACCTTTCCTTATAATGTTTTTGAAGTATCATTATGAATTTAGGGAATTTAATTTATCGAATGTGTTAGAATAAATTACGGCCGTTATTCTTTTTGATGTTGAAATGATCTCAAATGTGGCCAGTGAAGGCCCTTCATGATGCTGCCTATGTCATGGGGCCCCATGAGTCTTTAAGCATTTCCTTGCTTTTTAGCACAATAAGATAGCCCATGAGCAACATGTATTTTTCTACCCCCAGACCTGGAATTAGACATTACCCAAAAAATCTCTGGTGCCCTTTTAGTGAGAATGGTGGTTAGAGATCAAGATAATGGGCACTAGGGGTAAACTATTTTGTTTAATTTCATTATCTAAACGTCTTTTTGTTGATATACAGAAATGCAATGTATTTCTGCACAGACATTCACTGGGGTTGCATTAGAATTAAAATTAAGTTCTCCTAAATCTCAATGTATATTAGAAATATTTTCAGCTGCAAGTAACAGGAAGCTCACTCACAATGGCCTACAAAAACAAGATGTTTAGTTAGCTCACCTGATAAGGAGTCTGGTTACAATCAGTCTGGGACTAATGCAATGGCTCAATGATTCTGTCAGGGGGGACCCATACTGTTACTATTTAGCTCTTAGTTTGTCCTCTTGTTTTTTGCCTCATTGCTACAAGATGACTGGCCTACACCAGGTATTGTCTACATTCCAGGCAAGTGTAAGGAAGGATAAAGAAGTTAATGACAAAAATATATTCTCCTTTCCAGGTTTTGCTTTTTTATTGGGGAAAGATGCCCTCTCTGGCCGGGTGTGTTGGCTCACGCCTGTAATCCCAGCACTCTGGGAGGATGAGGCAGAAGGTTGCTTGAGCCGAGGAGTTTCAGACCAGCCTGGGCAACATGGCAAGACCCCAGCTCTACAAAAAATACAAAAATTAGCCCAGTGTGTTGGCCCGTAGTTCCAGCTACTCGGGAGGCTGAGTTGGAAGGATTGATTAAACCCAGAAGTTGGTGGCTGCAGTGAGCTGTGATCATGCCACTGCACTCCAGCCTGGGTGACAGAGTGAGACCCTGTCTCAAAAAACAAATACCCTCTCCAGATAATTCCACTTGCTCATTATTAGACAGAACTGTCACAAGTCCAACTCTTGATGTATAATAAAGTAGTTTAGAAAATTGAGTTTTATTTTTAGCTGCTAGCCCAGAATTATATTCCCAGTGAAAATATCCTTTAAAATGAACATAAAGTAAAACTAGTCTCAGAAAAACCAAAACTGATACAATTAATTGTCACCAGAGTATTTATTCAGGTTAGAAAATAATGAGCCCCAAAATATGAAAATGCAAAAAGGAATAAAGAGTACAGGAAAGGATAAATATGTAGGTCAACCTATATGAATACTGATTGTATTAAACAATTATCATAATGTATTGAAAGGCTTAAAATATACATAGAACTGACATTCACAGCAACAATAGTACAAAATATAAAAGGGAATTAATTGAGTTGAAATATTTTACATCATTGCATTGTTGAGGAAGTAGTAAATATACTAATCTGTAGTGGACTAATAAATCAAGGGTGTACATCATAATCCTTAGAACCATTAAAATAATGATTAAAGAATGCAAAACTAAGAAGGTGAAGGAAGGGAAATAGAATAATAAAAGTTAATTGATTAATCCAAAAGTCAGGAAAGGAGAAAAAAAAGGAACAAATAATAGGAGACAAAACAGGTGAGAAGTAGTAACATAGTATACTGAAACATACATATATCAGTAATTATGATGAAGCTCAAATTGTCAGAATGGATTTTAAAAAGAAGGGTAACTATATGTGGTTTACAGGAAATATATCATTAATATGAAAACAGAGATGAAAAGCAAAATGATGTAATATAATATACAATGCAAATACTAATCAAAAGATGGTTGGTGTAGCTATGTTAATATTGTGGGTTGAATGGTAGTCCCCAAAAAGATATGTCCTAACCCCCAGAACCTGTGAATGTAGCCTTATTTGGAAAAGGGATCTTTGCAAAAGTAATTAAATTAAGGATCTTGAGGTGAAATTATTCAGGATTATCCAGATGGGCTCTAAATCCAACGACAAATGTCCTTATTAGAGACTTAAGAGGAGAAGAGAGAGAAGAGGAGAATACCAGTAAAGACAAGCAGAGACTGGAGTTATGTAGCCATGAGCCAAGGACTCCTCAGAGCCACCAGAAGGTGGAAGAATAGGAAGCATCCTTCCCCAGCACCTTTGGAAGAATTGCATTCCTGTCAAACCTTGATTTTAGACTTCTGCCCTCCAGAACTGTGTGAAAGTAAATTTCAGTTTTTAAGCCACTAAATTTGTGGTAATTTGTTATAGAAGCCCTAGGAAACTAATAAAGATTTTGGTACTAGGAAGCAGGGTGCTGGAGTAACAAATAGCTAAAAATATGGAAATGGCTGTGGAATTGAATACCGGACAGAGGCTAGAAAAAGTTTAAGAAGCATGATGGAAAAATTCCAGATTGCCTTGAAATGATTGTTAGTAGAAATATGAACATCAAGGCAATTCACGTCACGGCTCAGGAGGAAATGAGGAGTATGGTAGAGAAGGCTTCTATAACCTTAGAGAATACATATATTGTTATGCAGAATGTTGATAAAAATATGAACAATAAAGGCATGTATAGTAAGAATGCAGAAGGAAATGAGGGACGTGCATTGGGAATGGAGAAAAGGTGATCCTTGTTATATAGTGGCAGAAAACTTGGCTGAGTTGTATTCCACAGTTGTGTAGAAAGCAGAACTTGTAAGTGATGAATTTAGGGATGTAGCTGAAGAGATTTCCAAGCAGTGCTAAAAGTGTGGCCTAGTTTCTTCTCGCTGCTTAAAGTAAAATGCAGGAGGAAAGAGATAAATTGAGAAAGAAATTGTTAAACAAAATGGAATGAGCATTTGATGATTTGGGAGGTTCTTGGCCTACCAAGTTTGCAAAAGATGCTAAAATTAGAAAATTCACTGTTGAGAAAAAAAAAAGAAAATTTACTGTCGGGAAAAAAAAAAGAAAATTCACTGTTGGGAATAAATGTTCCAGGGAGAGGGTTAAGGGTTTTGCTAAATAACTTTTTGCTGAAGAGATTAGGTGTGTTACTCATGGACCCAATCAACCATCTCAGCAGAGGCCAAGAATCAAGGGATGGAAATGAGAATGGCACTACCCACCCCTAGAGATCCACTAGCAAAATTTTTGCTTCCAATCTCTGCGACCTTATGTTTTACTGGTCTAGAGATCTTAGTTTCAAAGGAAGGAATGCTTTCCACTAGGAGACACAACAATGATTCCATTGAACTGGAAGTTAAGACTGCCATCCAGCTGCTTTGGGTTCCTCTTGCCTCTAAATCAACAGGCAAAGAAGGAAGTTACTGTACTAGCTGGGGTGATTGGGCCTGATGAGCAAGGAGAAACTGGGCTGCTAATACAATTGAAGGTAAGAAGGATTTTATCTAGAGTACTGGAGTTTCCTTAGGGCATCCCTTGGTACCACCATGTGCTGTGATTAAAGTCAATGAAGAACTACAACTCAATCCAGGCAGGACTCATAATTGTCCACACCCCTCAGAAATGAAGGTTGTGTAACCCCACCAGGCAAAATACCACAACCAGCTGAGGTGTTTGCTGAGGGCAAAGGGAATATGAAATAGTAATGAAAGATGGCAGTTATAAGTACCTAGCTATGAGCACATGACTGGTTGCAGAAATGAGGACTATAATTGTTATTTCTTCTTTGTTTTTGTATGAATATGTGATATTTATGTGTGTGTGCATATGTAGTATTTTTGTTTTCTTCCCTCTCTTATCCCTTTATAATCTAACATAAGATGTATTAATAATAGTTAACTTCACGTCACAGTATTTATTTCAGTTACAGGATGTCAAGGAGAAGAGTGAACATTATTCAAAGGTATTTGCATCCTCTTCTAGGGAAAGAGTTGGTGCAGTTTTGGTTGTATGCTGGATAATTGTATCATGTTAGGTGGAAATATGACTTTGTTATTATCTTTATTTGAAGATTAAGCATAGTTTAAGGAGATGTGTATGGTACCAAGATTACAAGGGGTAGACGGTGATGATTAGTTTTGTGTGTTAACTTAGCTAGGCTATAGTGTCCAGTTATTCAATCAAATACTAATCTAGGTGTTGTTACAAAGATATTTTGGAGATGTGATTAACATCTATAATCAGTTGACTTTAGGTAAAGAAGATGATTCTCAGTAATCTGGGTGGGCCTCATCCAATCAGCTGAAAGATCTTAAGAGCAAAACTGAGCTTTCCCTGAGGAAGAAAATTCCACCTGTGGACTGCAGCATCAGGTCTTTCCTGAGGGTTTCCAGCCTGCTGCCCAGCCCTACAGATTTCAGATTTGCATAGCCAGCCCCCACAATCATGTAAGCCAGGGGCCCCCCAACCCTTAGGTCATGGACGAGTACTGATCCGTGGCCTGCTAGGAAGTGGGCTGCACAGCAGGAGGTGAGCACCCAAGAGCATTATTGCCTGAGCTGTGCCTCCTTGTCCAATCAGCAGCGGCATTATATTCTCACAGGAATGAACCCTATTGTGCATGCAAGGGATCTAGGTTGAGTCCTCCTTATGAGAATCTAATGCCTGGCAATCTGAGGTGGAACAGTTTCACCCTGAAACCATCCCCCTGCCCCTATCAATGGGAAAACTCTCTTCCACGAAAACTGTCCCTGGTGCCAAAAAGGTTGGGGACCGCTGATGTAAGCCAATTTCTTGTATGTATCCTACTAAACTCCAACTGATATAATTAATATTAGACAAAGTAGATTTTATGGCAAGAAGAACGATTGGATGATTGGAGATAATCATATAATATATATATAGTTTTTGTTTGTTTCTGTATATATATATATACACACATATATATAGTTTTTGTTGGTTTGTTTGTTGGTTGGTTTGTTTTTGAGACAGAGTCTCACTCTGTCACCCAGGCTGGAGTGCAGTGGTGCAATCTCGGCTCACTGCAACCGCCACCTCCCAGGTTCAAGCGATTCTCATGCCTCAGCCTCCTGAGTAGCTGGGACTACAGGCACGGGCCACCATGCCCAGCTAATTTTTTTTTTGTATTTTTGGTAGAGACGGGATTTCGCCTTGTTGGCTAGGCTGGTCTCAAACTCTTGACCTCAGATGATCCACCTGCCTCAGCCTCCCAAAGTGCTGGGATCACAGGCGTAAACCACCGTGCCCAACCTAAACAATGTTATTTTGATAGGCCAATTAAAAAGGCCAATTAACCAGGAAAATGTTGCCAGTTTAAATATTTAAGTGTATCTTTTTGAACAGGAAAAGGCCATGCTGAAAACATATAATATAACACATTGAATAGCTTCCATCCCCTGGTAACAGTCATTTGGGGCACCAGTGCTTGTAACTTCAGAGCCAATATTGTGAGGGCAGCAATAATACACTCTACAAGAAAAAACGACGCTCTGTACAACAACAAAATTACATTGAATTGACACATGTCTGTTTCTGTCTCTAACTACAAAACAGTCTCTTCTAAAGTAAGGTTTTTTATTGTAATGTTCTTGCTATTTGATGAAGAAAAGAAGAATGTTTTCTGGGGTTAGACATATCCATGCCCAACCAACTACTGTTTGACATTCCACTTGGGAGGAGCCAGACAGTCTATCCTCTTCTCAGAGTACATTCCACAGAGACCCAGGAATTACCATTTTATCAACACAAATGACCTCAGAAGAAGACTGTGTCTGCTGAACCAATGGATGCAAAGCCAGATTCCTTAATCTGAGCAATATGAGCCATTCGTCCCCACACCCAGATGAGCACCCATTGGGCAGCTGCCAAGTTCAGTGTGTGCACATGATGGCAGCCTTCGATGAAGAGTGGAGCAAGGCTGACAGTGATGTACTCCAAAGGAGAAGCCATACCTCCATCTACTCCTCCAACATGAGGACACAGGGATACCTCCTTGGGAGTCTGAGCCCCTCAGATTTCACACCACCCTCTGTCATTGGCCTCTGCACATGTGCCCCATCATGTGGTATCATGTAGGCAGAGGAAGGTTAGCTTTGTCTTCATCCCATCCCAGTAGGTACAGAGAAGATGACCCTGGGAATCCATGTAAGATGTAGGGGATAGGCATTATGGAGGACATCACACGGAGAGGGGGATTCTGTTCCCCCCTCCCCACCTTCTGACTCCTGGAACTCATGAGCCCTCCCCAGAGTAGAGAGACCAGAAGTCATGATTGTTTTTTTGGTTGACTTTTCATCAGTATTCCTTCTTACAGTAAGTCACAAGACTAATTGTTTTGGAGGCCATTATCACAAGTCTAAATGAATGAGTCCAGTCCAGCCAGACTTGGGCTACTTTGTAGGACCCCATGTCTCTTATCCCATAAGACAGAGTATGTGGATCCAGCATGATGATTATCTCATCCATTATGATATTCTCTGGTTGAAGGAGAAAAGTTAGGGGCATCTTCCACTTAAAAGGTCGCACCATATTCCCATTCACCATTTTGAGTCAAGGCTTATCACTGGACTCCCAGGAACTTTGACTCCCAAGATTCCCACGTAAACCATACTAAAATGGCAAGCTGTTTCAAAGCAGTTCCAACCTTGTAGGGATATTACCTCTACATTCAGGAGCTCAGGGATGCTCCTGCCCCATGTGTGTGTGAACCTAATTCCCCTGAACCCCCATTTCAGGAATAGACATATATGACATATTCCAGATATGTCAGTAGACATATCTGATCCCTCCTGTTGACTGTTGGGTCAGTGCTCATCAGAGTCATTCTGCTGCAGAGTTCTGTACTGAACACCATTTTACTCACCACTTGCTTCATTCAACTGCATGAATGTCACCCCTTTATCATGTAGACAAATAATCCAGTCTCCCAGAGATTTCTTCAGCCCCGCATGGTACTACCAGTCTTGGGAGAAGTCTTATTATTATTTCCATGAATTGTAACAGTTTTACCTATACCTGATTTTATCCAAAAGTCCTCTGTCTGGTACATTGTATAATGATTGAATCTGAGGAGTTGGGCTGCATCAGCTGCCACAGTGATGACCAGATTTGGGGGTGGGGTGGGCTCTCTTTTGTCCCTTTCTCTTCTTCTTTAAAGTTCAAACACAGAAAAGCTGAGAAATATAACAATAGGCAGCCTTGTATCTCAGCCTCTTTTTTTTTACCATAGTGATGTAGCCAAATTATCTGCTCATTCAGGTTTACATCTGTGGCCTCCAGACATTGTAACTACCCAGTGACTAGCTACCTAGGGCCAAATGAACTGCCCATTCAGGAGTGTTTCTGTGACCTAGAGACATTCTGGCCATACAATCAAAAGGCTATCAATTCAAATTGCCTGTCAGTTTAGGGGCATTTATGGGCCACAGAAAATGAGGCCATTCAATCATGAGCATTATGGGTGATTTGTCCTCAAACCCAGAGAGTATGCTTCGCAACCCTTGAATGAAACAGTGAAACTTTTCTGCCATGATCACTCCACATTAGGCACTACTATCAAGCAAAGGGCCTAGTCAATCACCAGAAAGTATCACTGAGGCAGGCAGGGTCACACATGCATGGGTCAGCAAAAAGCACAGGTCTCCCATTCCCTTATTATCTTGCAGAGACACATGCTTGGGCTGGGTGCAACTGGATGAACCAGGAAAGGACCCCCATCCCCTACTTCTCTTCCTTTTCATAGGTAGAGCATGAAAGTGCCATTGTAAGTAGAATCTGAGCTTGGATGCCGGTTGTTCAGGGGAGTGCTAAAAATGACAGCTGCCCAGCAACCTTGTGAGAAGTTGAGATCATGAGCAGTCCCTCATTTAATTTGGAGGATCAGCAGCCATTTATCCCACTTAGCCCATTTTCAGGCAACTATAGGACACATTATTATTCAGCAAATAATCTTTTTCGTCTCTCTATATGATCTTCGCAATAAGTTCTATAGTGAGACACACTTGGAAAACGTATTATGGGAGACCTATACAGTAAATTAGCATTTTACAGGTTCTAGAAGTCCTAACATGACAAAACATTTGTACACAATGTTTCCCAAGTTTTCACAATTACAGAACTCTTACATCATACTTGCTAATAAGCCAGAGAACCAATGTTTTGTGGAACACGTTTGTGAAATGCTACACTTAGGCAGGCATGGTAAATAAATTTCAAAATATTTGCCAACTCTGATTGGTAGAGATAGTCTAGAACATACCATTGAGAATGATTTTAAGACCTTGTCTGACCTCAGCTGGAAAGAGTACAATTATTGACAAACAATAGCGGCCATGGATGTAGAAGAATATAACGGCAGCACGAGGGCAATGGGTTTATCAGTCTTAATCCAGCTCATTTAGCTTCATTTTCTCCAGCAAAAGATTTCTCTAGGTCAGAATCATTGACTCAAGAACTCCTTCATCAGGAACCCCACTTGGGAAACATGACTCTTCATTCATTATAGTTTGCTCATGCTCATTGAGTGTTCACTGAGTAGATGGGGCTCTCAGGAGGGTGAGTAGGTTGTTTCTATTGATGGGACTGCTCTCAAAGGTGCCACACAAAAGAAGTCCTGGAATTTTCCTCCAAGCCCAGTGCACAGGAGGATGCTCCATGCCTGAGGGCCTCCATGATTGCAGACTTGGCTCTCAGGAGGGTGAGTAGGTTGTTTCTATTGATGGGACTGCTCTCAAAAGTGCCACACAAAAGAAATCCTGGAATTTTCCTCCAAGCTCAGTGCACAGGAGGATGCTCCATGCCTGAGGGCCTCCATGACTGCAGACTTGGCCTCTGAGGCCAGTGGCATTTGGGCAGAATCTACGAAGTTCTCCCAACTCATCTGAAGCAAACTTTGTCTCATGATTTAGGAATGTTTTAAGCTTCTCCACTGTGACACTGGGAGATTTTCTGTCTGAGATATGGGTCTGCAAGTGCATGTATATGCACATGCACAAGTACATACATGTACAAGTGTATACAAGTGTCTTAGTTCATTTTGTGCTTCTATAACAGAATATCACAAAATGGTAATTTATAACAAACGGAAATTTATTTTGCATACAGTTCTCGAGTTTGGGAAGTCCAAGATGAAGGGGCCACATCTGGTGAGGGCCTTCTTGCTGCATAACATGACAGAAGGCATCATATGGGTGAGAAAGAGAGGAAAGGGAGTCAAACTCATCTTTTTATCAGGAAACTATTCCCAAGATAATAGCAGTAATCCATTCATGAGGGCAAAGCTCTCATGACCTAATTATCTCTTAAAGATCCCACCTCTCAACACTGCTGCATTAGGGATTAAGTTTCCAACACATGAACTTTGGGAGACACATTCAAACCATAGCATTCCACACCTGGCCCCCAAAATTCATGTCCTTCTCACAGGCAAAATACATTCATTCCATCTCAATAGCCCAAAAGATTTTAACTTGTTTCAGCATCAACTCAAAAGTCAAAAGTCCAGTCTCATCTAAATCAGATATGGGTAACACTCAAGGTATGATCCATCCTGAGGCAAATTTTCCCCCAGCCATGAGCTTGTGAAATTAAACACGTTATCTACTTCCAGAATACAACAGTAGGACAGGCATAAGATAGACATTCTCATTCCAAAAGCGAGAAAGAGGCAAAAATAAAGGGGTAACTGATCCCCAATAAGTCCAAAACCCAAGAAGGAAAGTAATATTGAAACTTAAGAAGACAGAAGAATCTCCTTTGATTCCATGCCCTACATCCTGGGCACACTAGGGTGGGGGTTTGACCCCTAAGGCCTCGGGCAGTGCTGCCCCTATGGCTTTGCTGGGCTCAGACCACCCAGGAGCTCTCACTGGTTGAAGTCTCATGCCTGCAGCTTTCCCAGGCTGGAGTTGCATGCTGCTAGCCTTACAGTTCTGTAGTCTCAGGAGATGCCCCACTCCAATGACTCCACTAAGTAATACCCTAGGAGGACTCTGTGGTGGCTCTACTTCTGTGACAAGTCTGCCGGGGCTGCCAAGCTGTCCATTACATCCTTGAAATCTGACATGGCCCTATAGTTTTTACATTCTGAATGCCTGCAGAATTAGCTTCTTGTGGACGCCAGCAAGATTTACAGCTTCTACCTTCTGAAGTGGTAGGATGAGCCCTACCTGGGCCTTCTTGAGCCATGGCCAGGTGGCTGAGGAGCACTGTGCAGAACTCAGGGGGCAGAGTCCCAAGTTGGCACAGGGCAGTGAATGCTGAGGTCCTGCAGGGAACTCTCTGGAAACCCTGCTTTCAAAATCCTAGCTTGCCTTTAAGATTTCCGAAATCCCTTTGGGGTCATTCTCCCCAATATACTGATGAACAGAACTTTCTATCCATATTAATCTCTTTAGCAAACAGTGGCTTGGCCACACCCTTAGTATTCTCTCTCAAGCATCCTTTTTTATTCTTTACATGCCAGACTGGAAGTTTTACAAATCTTTCCATTCTGCTTCCCTTTTAATTATAAATTCTGCCTTTAAATCATTTGTTTTCTCTGATTTTACTGTGAACAGCCGAAAGAAGCCATGCAGCATGTTGAACACTTTACTGCATAGATATTTCTTCTGCCAGATATCCTAGTTCATCACTCTTAGGTTCTGCCTTCCACAAAATCTTAGGACATGAACACAAATTCCACCAAAGTCTTCGCAAATGTATAGCAAGGATGGCCTTTACTCCAGTTTCCAATACCTTGTCCCTCAGTTCTGTCAGACCTCATCAGAATGGCTTTTACTGTCTGTATTTCTACCAACATTCTGATCACAACTGATATAGTTTGGATGTTGTCCCCTATAAATCACATGTTCAATTGTAATCCCTAATGTTGGAGGTGGGGCCTGGTGGGAGGTCACTGAATCATGGGGCTGGATTTCTCATGAATGGTTTAGCATCATCCTCTTGGTGCTGTCCTTGTGATAGTGAGTTCTCACAAGATCTGGTTGTTTAAAAGTGTGTGGCATCTTCCCCTTCGCTGTTTCTTGCTCCTGTTCTTACCATATGACATGGCTGCTCCCATTTTGCTTTCCACCATGAGTAAAAGCTCCCTGAGACCTCCCCAGAAGCCAAGCAGATGCTGGCACCATGTTTGTGCGGCCTGCAGAACTGTGAGCCAATTAAACCTCTTTTCTTTATAAATTACCCAACCTCAGGTATTTCTTTTCTTTTCTTCTTTTTTTTTCTTTGGCTGAGCACAGGGGACTTTACTGATGGTACACGACAAGGTGGGGCTCCCTAGGTCCCTCCCTCTTCAAGTGGTCTGCATGGAAACTGTGAGGAGGGGAGTGTGGTGGGGGACTGAGTGTGGCAGGAACTCCCCAGCAGTGAGGGTCTCTCTCTTCCTCTTGTGCTCTCGCTGGAGTTGGTGGTCCAGGAGTCCCACTCCTTGGAGGCCATGTGGGCCATGAGGTCCACCACCCTGTTGCTGTAGCCAAATTCATTGTCATACCAGGAAATGAGCTTGACAAAGTGGTCGTTGAGGGCAATGCCAGCCCCAGCATTGAAGGTGGAGGAGGGGGTGTCACTGTTGAAATCGGAGGAGACCACCTGGTGCTCAGTTTAGCCCAGGATGCCCTTGAGGGGGGCCTTCAACGCCTGCTTCACCACCTTCTTGATGTTGTCATATTTGGCAGGGTTTTCCAGACAGCAGGTCAGGTCCACCACTGACACATTGGCAGTGGGGGCATGGAAGGCCATGCCAGTGAGCTTCCCGTTCAGCTCAGGGATGACCTTTCCCACAGCCTTGGCAGCGTCAGTAGAGGCAGGAATGATGTTCTGGAGAGCCCCGTGGCCGTCATGCCACAGTTTCCCAGAGGGGCCATCCGCAGTCTTCTGGGTGGCAGTGATGGCGTGGACTGTGGTCATGAGTCCTTCCACGATACCAAAGTTGTCATGGATGACCTTGGCCAGGGGCGCTAAGTAGTTGGTGGTGCAGGAGGCATTGCTGACGATCTTGAGGTTGTTGTCATACTTCTCATGGTTCATGCCCATCACAAACATGGGGGCATCAGCAGAGGGGGCAGAGATGATGACCCTTTTGGCTCCCCCCTGCAAATGAGCCCCAGCCTTCTACATGGTGGTGAAGACGCCAGTGGACTCCACGACGTACTCAGCACCAGCATCGCCCCACTTGATTTTAGAGGGATCTTGCTCCTGAAAGATGGTGATGGGATTTCCATTTGATGACAAATTTCCCGTTCTCAGCCTTGATGGTGCCATGGAATTTGCCATGGGTGGAATCATACTGGAACATGTAGACCATGTAGTTGAGGTCAATGAAGGGGTCATTGATGGCAACAATATCCACTTTAACAGAGTTAAACGCAACCCTGCTGACCAGGCGCCTAATACGACCAAATCCGTTGACTCCGACCTTCACCTTCCCCATGGTGTCTCATGGATGCGGCTGGCAATGCAAGAGAAGATGTGGTTGTCTGTCGAACAAGAGGAGCAGAGAGCCAGGTATTTCTTTACAGCAATGCAAGAATGATGTAATAAAATGTCCACTTAACTAATCTCTAAGAAGATTTAGGCTTTTGCTACAGCTCTTGTCTTCTTCTGAGCCCTCACCAGAAATGACCTTTATGCTCCATTTATGGCAATCTAGGCTTTTTCTAGTCTGCTCTTCTAAATTCTTCCAGCCTCTAACCATTACCCAATTTCAAAGGTGCTTCCACATTTTCAGGTATTTTTTATAACAATTGCCCCACTTCTCAGTTCCAATTTTCTGTCTTAGTTCATTCTATGCTGCTATAACAGAATACCACAGACTAGGTAATTTTTAGTTAACAGAATTTATTTGGGTCATGGTTCTGGAGTCTGGGAAGTCCAAGACTGAAGGGCCACATCACATCTGATGAAGGCCTTCTTGCTGTGTCATAACATAGCAGGAGGCATCACAGAGGAGAGACAGAGCAAGAGAGGGGGACAAACTCATCCTTTATAAGAACTCCACTCCCACAATAATGAACCCCGTCCCACATTAATCCTACTCGCCTCCTAAACTTAAAGGCCCCACCTAAACAATGTTCCACTGGGGATTAACTTTCCAACACATGAATTTTGGGGGACACATTTAAACCAGTGGAACAAGAATACTGGGGAATATAAACTAGGACTAACTTTATACCCAGGGAGTTTAGGGCCTGGAAAAGAAAATTTCATGACACAAACCACTGTTGCTTGCCTCAGCAGCTGACGCCTCAGTTTGCAGCGACACTAGAGGGTTCTGCAGTCTTCTACTTCAGTTTGGAAGGAAGAAAAGGGAGATAAATCTTTCAACTTTAATGTGAATTTCAAAGATGCACCAGGTATTGTCTATTGACACTCCACAACATTCCCACTCTTATTCCCTTCCCTGGATTTCAGAGACTGGAGGCCTTGAGACAATATTTCTCAGACTCCCTTGCGAATGCAATCTCTGAAGAAAATTTGGAAGACAGAAGGGAGCTAGAAGCCATACTTTTCCTCTAGCAGGAAGAGTAGATGTGAGTTTTCACAGCACCCTGTTAAACTCCTTTCTAAGCTAGTCATCCTGGGGCCAATGGGATACTCATGCTATCAGCAATGGCTTTCTGCAATTTTCTGACCTCTGGGTGGCAGAAACAATTTCCTGACCATGGTTATCCTGAAAGCTAGTTGTAAACCCTGAGCTATGCTCGTCCACGTTCTTTCTTACTTCCAGGAATGATGATGACCAGAGTGCCTTGGAAGCCATTTTGAAGAGGGCAGAGATGATAACAGGCTGGGTCTACATGAAGGGGCACTGCCTGTCAATATGGAATACCCATGGTTGATTCTTGTGTGAGCAAGAAAGAGACTGTATCTGAGCCATTAAATTTTGGGTCTAATCAGTAGTTTGGCCTAACCATAGTACTACAAAAGTTGTAGTAAGCATCTAGTTACTGGTAGTTCCTGGAGTTTGTGGACAAGCAACCGGGCTTACAAATGGTATCTGAGCATCTGAGAGGTTGCTGTAGTTACATTTTCCCCAGGATGGTAGCTGCATGGGCAAGCAGATTTCTGAAGGGAACCATTTTGACCTTTCTCCTAGGCACAGTACAGTTGGATCCTCCCGGGCAGCTAAATCATGTGTTCAGTACAGCATGGTGGGCAAGAAGATCTGGAATGAGGATCACCTTGTTTTCTTCCTGCAAAGTCATGAATAATGTGATATTGAACAATGCCCATTCCTTTACTACTGTTCTCCCCAGAAACCCTCATGCAACAGAGGAAGGAACGTGGAAGGGAGGAACACTGGCTGAGAAGTCAAGTGGAATGGGTCCTAGTTCCAGTCTGCTAATAACTCCCTGAGGAGTCTTTTCCCTCCTTGGGCCTCAGACTCTTCACCCCAGAAGGGAATTGTTAAGGGGTCTCAGAAGTGAGACTCAGAGAACACACCTGCTGTGTCTTTGTGTGTGTGTGTGTGTGTGTGTGTATGTGTGTGTGTAGGTAGATATGTGTTTAAGGAAATTCTCCTGCTTGGAAGCCACAGCTGCTAAACCAGGGGGTTGCTCAAATCTTCTTTTGACTGAAAGCATAGTCTGAGGACCGGCAGTAATAGCATCACCTGGGAGCTTGTTAGAAATGCAGAATTTCAGGCCCTTTACAGAAGTATTGAATCAGAATCCCCAATTTAACAAGATCCTTAAGGGGATACCAATGTGCATTCAAGTCTGAGATGCACTGCTCCAGAGGACCTGGGATAAGACAAATGTCAGCCTGAAAAAAGAATGGGATTTGAAGTCAGGAGACCTAGGTGTTAGCTTTAATTCTGGAACTCACTGGCTGTCCAAATTGAGCAAGTCATGTAATCACCCTGATCCTTTTTTTGTAAATGGGGTGCTCTAGTAACTACAGAATGGTGTCAAGATCAATGGTGTATGTTCTGGAGCCAAACTGGCTAACCTTAAATCTTGAGTTCGTTTATCAGCTATGAAGCTTTTGGTGAGTTGCTTGATATCTGTGGGCTTCAGTCTCTTTATCTGTAAGATAGGGTATCATAATAATGACAGACATTGAGAATTTTAAAATGGGCCAGGTGCGGTGGTTCATGCCTGTAATCCCAGCACTTTGGGAGACTGAGGCGGGCTGATCACCTGAGGTCAGGAGTTCAAGACCAGCTGGCCAACATGGCGAAACCCTGTCTCTACTAAAAATACAAAAATTAGCTGCGTATGGTGGCACGCGCCTGTAATCCCAGCGACTTGGGAGGCTGAGGCAGGACAATCGCTTGAATCCAGGAGGTGGAGGTTGCAGTGAGCCAAGATCACACCACTGCACTTCAGCCTGGGTGACAGAGCGAGACTCTGTCTAAAAAAAAAAAAGATTTTAAAATGAAGTAATTAATGTAAATCACATAGCACAAGGCCTGGCATCATCTAAATTCACTGTACATCTTATTATACTCTGACTTCCTGTACCATCTTTCAGGAACAGAGAGAGACCTCTAAAATAGAGCCACCTGGAGGCTAGCTGAAGACTCCCACCTTTGGTGTTTATCATAGTATACATACTTCTCAACAATGGGCACAGTTGCTCAAAGACTGGAGCTCTAACCTCTGAACCACCAGACAGGCATGAGATTGGCTTCATGGTGTTAACTTAGGCCATCAACCAGTTCCCTTGCATGTATTCCCCATTTCTTTGTTGTCTATTCCAGTTACACTCAAGTCTAGATACTCCCTTCCCTGTGAAAATCCACAGGGCAGCCATATACAGAGCAGTGCCATCCAGGTAGGAGATGAGCACTTGCAACTGGCTTTCCTTTCCCTACAGGAACTCACACAGTTCAAAGAGTGGAATGTCATCAAGGCATTGCCTGATGGGCCTGTCACCACACTCACTGGAGGGAAAGGATCTAGAAAGAGGCAGGTTCCAGGGATCATTAGCAACATACCAAACCACAGCAAGAAACCAAGCATGACTCAGCTCCTGCCCACTGCAATTACTCAGGACCTCTGCCCTTCAGATGTGGAAAAAGCCCAGCAGTGCCTTGCAGTAACTGCTGCTAAGGTCTGGAACTTCCTGACAAATAACCTTGCAAGTCTTTTGCTACAGGGAGGCTCAAACTGGATTTCAGAAGGCCCACCCCACCAGGATGACTGAAACAAATTGTGGACTGGGTATCAATGCAAATAATATTGTAGCATCAGGAATAAAATAAATTTCAACTCAATAAGAGGCCTAACTTATGCATTTAAAAATGTCTGCAGGTGGATACAAGTGGTGATCCTGGGCAAAGCTGGTGCCAGGCACAGGCACAACTGTGCAAGGAAATGGCAAAAGGGAAGCCCACAGTATGGAAAAGTCCAAAAGGGGCACCAGCATGTTCCATAGTGTGGGAGAGAGGAAAATGAAAACACCATTTACCAGATGCCTGCCAAGGGCTATTCCTGGGCCTGCAGCTCTAGAGATGTTCCTCTGAACAAAACAGGAGCCATCTAGGACAGGTGGTGCTTGGCTATGGCAAAGAGGAGGGAACTTAAGCCCAACGGGTCAGTAAATGATGGATTTGAGCCTTCTCTTCTATTGGATTAGTAGATCCCAACAGTCAATACAGTGGGGGGTTGGAAAAACCTTCCTGTGTTTCATGATACCCGAATGCCAATGTCATGAATGGCAAATGCTAGCATCCCAATAACGGTGTGCCCTTCATGAAACCCCATCCAAAGATTCAGCCCCTTCTCTTAATGTTCAAGCACCTGTTCCTGCAGAATCGGGATATGAAGAGAGGCTGGCAAAGGCCACAAACCAGGTACTTCTGCAGCTTGCGGGCGGGTGGAGGTTGGGGAGGTTTCTATGCTGTCCACACTACACTGTCACACTAACTCTATTAACCCTTTCCTACCTAGAGATAATGATATGAGAAAAGAAGGTTATCAGTTCACCTTTCCTCTAGAAGTAAATAGGGTGGTATCTCTGAACCTGGCCATCGTTACAGATGCAAATAAAATACAGAGTGGGCAATAATGCAATGCACATATGCCTAAGACAAAACGGGCTGGCACAAATAAGGAAAGGGGCTTCATTTCTGAAAATACCAGCTCCACTTAACACTGGATATTCTCCTGCCTATGGAAATCCACAGGGTCAGTTGCAGAGAGTGCTGCATGTTTCATAGTGTTGGGAGAGGCAGTGAAAACTAACATTTACCAGGTGCCTGCCACGGGCTATTCCTGGGCTTCAGGCTCTAAAGATGTTCCTTTGAACAATTACAGCAGCCATCTAGGTTAGGTGGTCCTCAGCTATGGGAGAAAGCGGGGGAATGAGACCCAAGAAGCTAGCAAGTGGTGGATTCCAGTCTTCTCTTCCAATGGATTAGTAGACACCAATGGCCGAGGCAGGGTGTTTCTTAATTTTTGAATACTAACATCATGAATAGCAAATGCTGGCATGGCAATAAGAGCGTGCCCTGCATCTGGTCACATCTAAAATATCAGTCCCTTCTCTTTCTGAAGAAATACCTGTTCCTGCAGAATCTCCATATCCTGAAATGGAGAGATGCTGGTCAGGGCCACAGACCAGGTGCTTCTGCAGTTTGCAGTTTCTCTATTGTCCTCAGGACACTGTCATACTATTAGCCCTTTCCTGCCTCGTGATAGTGATGTCTGAAAAGAATGTTATCAGTTCACCTCTCCTCTAAAAATAAATAGGTTGGTTTCTCTAAACCTGGCCATCAGCAACACATACACATGAAATTCTGAATGAGCAATAATTCACTGCTCACATGCCCAAAGGAAAACAGGTTCTTTTCCTAGGACTTGTACAGGAGGCTTAGACAGGGTAACTTCCCAGGGGATGGCTGTACTGAGTTTGCAAATTTGGGCTGAGACTCATTCAAACTACCTGGGGAATGCAAGTTAACCTGCAGAGGAGAAAGCGAAAAAGAAAAAGGAGAAAGACCCATGTTCAAATGGAAATTAAATACATATCTGATGGATTCCATGATCAGCTTTAACACTTTCATCTATAAACAGTGTCTGGCACCAGTTGGCTCCAGCACAGAAGGGATTGCTTTGTACCTGGTGGAGACCCTGCCATGCCTGACCCAAGGAAGCCTGCTTGGTGACTAGGCAGGCACAGAAGGATGGAGAACACACTTCGTCTGTTTCCCCCAGGCCCAGACAGGAAACAGAAAACTTTCCTCAAGGCCATTACAGGCCTTTTTAGGGGACCATGTTGCCACTGGCTGGCAATCTCACAGAAAACACCTCTTTGCTATTTACAGTGCGTTTTCAAAAAAGTAAAATCCAGATTCTCCCAGGGTGTCTAGGATCTCAGGAATTGGAGCCCCTCTATTGCGTAGAGAAAAATCAGAATGAGGGTTTCTTTCCTCATTTCAAGAGATCGCTGGCTCTGCAGCCCAGCTCAAAAGCCCATCCTCCAGGCCACTTCCCCGGCTGAGCCAGACCCCTTGCTCCCATGACTCTCTGAGAGCCAGGCCCAGGGTCGGGTTCCCTGAGACCAGCCTGGACCCTAGATGGCCACGCCTCCGAGCGCTATTGGCGCCGGAGGCGCGACTCTTTTTCCTATTCCCAGGAGGGTAAAAAAGCGGGAACAATGGCTTTCAGGACGGAGGGACACAAACACCCAATGCCGCAGCGACTGGGAGGGTCGCGATGCAGGAGGACGAAATGGGAGAAGGGGGACAAGGGGGACTTCGGCCTCCCTGCGGGCGGGAGCTAGGCCGCTGGAAAGTCCGCTCGCCTCTCGCCGGCAAGGGATGACGCCCTGGGCCTTTTGTACCACTCGCCACGGAAAATGGTCACACGCTTTTGTCCTCAAGCCGAACACTATCAGAAACACGGGGTCCCTGGAAGCCGCCATCTTGGCCATTGGCGGTGGCGCACCCACCCCCGTGCTACTGCGCGTGCGCGGCGCTGCGACACACTCCGACCCCATCCCGCGTTCCCAGGGGGCGGTGGGAAGCGGAAGTGCTCCGCTGACCCGGGAGGGCGGTCCCTAGTTCACACTGGCTGTTGTCAGCGGCCTCTGAGGTTTCAGGCTCTTGGCGGTGAAGTAAGAGGGACGCGGAGGTGGTGATGGTTTTGATGGGGGCGGGGGTTGACGGGGTCGTGGGGTCATGGGGCCATGGGTGAACGCCTTTGTGGGTGACAGGGTGGCTCTACAGCCCAGCTCAAAAGCCCATCCTCCAGGCCACTTCCCCGCCTGAGACAGGCCCCTTGCTCTCAGGACCCTCTGAGCCAGGACCAGGGTCCGGTTCCCTGAGACCCGCAGGCCTGTGGGCGTGAGTGCTGGGGACGAGGTTCAGGGCCAGCGAGTGACTGATTGAGTCACTCCGCGCCTGTTTCCTGAGCGCCTAAAAATGCCAGGCAACCTTGCAAATGTTTCACATTAATCTTCACAGGAGCCCTGTGAGGTGTTACGATGATTATTTTCGTGTTATAGAGAGAAAATGGCTCAGTGTGGCTTGACAACCTGTCCAAAGTCACGTAGGTAGCAAACCCGAGGAATCTTTTTTTTCTTTTCCTGTGCTTCGTTTATCATGTTTATTGTTTCCTGTGTGTCTCCCCCGCTGGACTAGAAACTCTGCGGGAGCTGGGACTTTGAGATTTTGTTCCCTGATGTATTTCCAGCACGGAGAACGGGCTCATGGAAGGAAGGCACCCATTTCTTCAGTGAATAAAAGTGGCACAGCAGTCAGTCAGTTGATTCCAAAGCCCGGACTCAGGAAGGCAGGGTTTCGCTCACTGAGGATAATTGAGCTGTGAATCAATGTTAACTCTTAAAGCTAGAATGAGGCATTGTCCCTCTTCTGCTGGGTAAAACCTTTGGGTTTTACTCAACTTCACTGCATGGAAGGGAGCATAGGTGTTGCTAATTGAATCTCCTGTGGTCATTGTGTTTCCAGGGTCAGAGTGCAGACCTGAGACCACTGCTCACCGACTTCAGACTCCAGTTTATCTGTGCCCCAGCTTCCTCACTTAGTCTCAGAAGACTTAGGCTGAGGCCTCAGAAGGAGGTGAGTTCCCTGGGTCACAGGCAGAGATCTGGTGCTATAGTGATGGCCTCAACTGGGGCGTGTTTGTCTCTGAATCCCTTGGTCCTGCGGCCTTGGACACAAGAGAGGTACGCTGAGCTGAGGCGAGTTGGAGGAGAAGCCTCAGCCCAGAGCCCAGACCCAGATCCTCAGGGCAGAGAAAGGAGGCTCACAGGATAGCAGGTCCTAGAAGAGCTGGACCCATAGTGGCCTTTGTCCCTCACTTCAGCTGAGACAAAGCAAAGCTGGCTCAACTTCCAGATGCCATCGAGGACCGTGTGACAGTGCAGTTTGATTCCTGCTGGAGGAGGGACAGGTGAAAGTCACAGGTGGATGGAGGCATGGATGTCCCCCCATGGGGCAGGTGCCCTGCTGTAGTGCCTGTAAAGGCGCTATGAGGCTGGGAAGGATCACAGCCAGCCACAGAGGATTGGCCTCTCCTAGCACACCTATTTGTGCACCCCTGTGTTCCCGTCTCTTGCCATTGGCTATTTCTGAATTTGAGTCAGCCCCACACCATCAATCAGGCACCTGCTTCCAGGGGAAATGCTGAGTGTCCCTTCATCCTGACCAAAGTGCAGAAAATATATTTTTAGTTTATAGAATTTCCAAGTAGTCTCTAGGTACGCTGTCATCCATCTCTGCTGCCTTATTTCAATGCTTAATGAAAGTGGGCCAGGGGACATGACCTGCTAAGCCACACCAAGCTGAACCCTGTTGTCCTGATACTGTCACAATGATTGTTGCAGTATGCAATGGTTACTCTGCACAGAAGCTCCTTGCTGGAACTTTATTTGAAAAACTACCAAAGAAGGAGGAGCCTGGTAATCAAAATGCAAATTGTGAGAAAGGAGAAAATGATGGGGTGGGAACAGGGTAGGTGGCCAGTTAAAGAGGCAGATGCAGGGGAGCAGGCACGGTGGTTTTCAGCCCCTCACAGAACTGACAGTGCTGGGCTGTTACCCACCCAGCCCCACACCTCTCCTCCACTGTGGCCCTCTGAGCCCCTGTTGGGCTCCTTCCTCCAAACCACATCAAGAGATCCTACTTATACACACTTGCAGAGGGTCTTTTCACCTCTAGGGCTCGGTTTGATAAGTGGTGATTTTTAATAATTTTTAATTTTTGTTTTACTAGTGATATTCTTTGTCAAAAATTGAGAAAATGCAAATAAAAGAAGAAAATTGAAATCACCACTCAAAAGTAACCAATATCAGCATTTTAATAAATCCTCTGAGACATCATATATGTGCATATTGATTATCAAAAATGAGATCACACTGCGCTTGCTTTCTTGGAACCTGCTTTTAAACACATTAGGAACTAAAAACAAATTCCATAGCATTTTGAAAGGCTGTTCAGTATACCTGCTTTTGCATGTGTCATATTTTTTAACTGTGTCCTCTTTGCTGGATATTTAGTTGCTTCCAATTTTTTTGTTTATTTGTTTTTTGTTTAGACAGGGATTCCCTCTGTCGCCCAGGCTGGAGTGCAGTGGTGCCATCTTGGCTCACTGCAACCTCCACTTCCTGGGCTCAAGTGATCCTCCCACCCAGCCTTCAGAGTAGCAGGGACTACAGGTATGTGCTACCATGCCTGGCTAATTTTTGTAGAGATGGGGTTTCGCCATGTTGCCCAGGCTGGTCTCGAACTCCTGGGCTCCAGTGATCTGCCCACATCAGCCTCCCAAAGTGCTGGGATTATAAGCATGAGCCACTGCACCCGGCCGCTTCCACATATTAATATTTTAATGGTAGAAATGACTACAGTTAACATTCTTTCAGCTTTTCCACATTTAGGAATGTTTCATTATGACAAATGTCTAGGAATAGAACTCTTAAGATAAAGGAGATGTTAATTGTTACTGGTTTCTAAAATAGATATCTTTAGACGTAAGTCATACATCTGTCCAGTAAGGGAAACAAAATTTCATGTGGAAAACCTACATGATCTTAGTAGAGTTTCATGGAAACAGGCTGGAGCTACCAGGTCATGTTTTTAGATCACTCTCCCTAGGGTACAAGGGTAATTATTATTGGGATGGTAATGATGGTCTAATGGCTGTACCTACCGAATGTACTCTCCTAATTTTGCCTTTATAGATCTCCATCCTTTGTCCAGAGCAGAACAGGATGGCCATGTCCCAGGTGAGTTTCTAATTTACCCATACTTTGTTTCCAGTGAAATTGAGGCAAGGTTTGGAATCTATATAGCAGACTTGAAAATACCAATTATCCCCTCTTCTCTGGCTGTTTTCTATTCAACTTGTTCTCAACCTCTGGTTTCTCTGATCCTCCCCGTCACCAGGAGAGAGGAAAAACAAAGAATCCTCTCTCTACTTCTTGTTCTTTCTTTTTCTTTTTCTTTTTTCTTTCTCTTTTTTTTTTTTTTTTTGAGACAGTCTCACTCTATCACCCAGGCTGGAGTGCAGTGGTGCAATCTCAGATCACTGCAACCTCCACCTTCCGGGTTCAAGCGATTCTCCTGCCTCAGCCTTCTGAGTAGCTGGGATTACAGGTGCCTGCCACCACGCCTGGCTAATTTTTGTATTTTTAGTAGAGACGGGGCTTCACCATGTTGGCCAGGCTGGTTTTGAACTCCTGACCTCAAGTGATCCCCCCACCTCGGCCTCCAAAGTGCTGGGATTACAGGCGCGAGCCACCATGCTCTCTACTTGTTCTTCTGAGAACTGTACCTCATCTTCTCTTCATTTCCTTCTCACAGAAGATTGTTTACATACATAGATTCATCTTGCTCTTTCCTCTTTCTTCACTTCTAGATCACTTGGTCTTTTTCATCATTCATATTTATGATAATAAGTTTGTGCATAATGTTTTGATGTGCGTAGAAAAAGCTAGTAGCCCAAAAGATTCTATTCCTTCTCCCCCAAGTACCATGTTCCTCGTCAGAGATGCCCACTGTTAACAGTTGGGTTAAATGGTGGGGTAGATGCATTTATGTCAATTTAATGAACCAAAAACATATACACATGTATTGTTTTCATGCTTTTACACAAATGGCATCATACTCCCATACCCATCTTGCCTTTTGCACCTGATTACTTTCTGGGTGGTGTTCCTTGTCGATATATAAAGATTGTTTTAATTTCTATCTCATAGTATGGATGTCTTAATATCATGTAACTATTTATTTATGGATATTTAAGTTTTTAATTTTTTTTTACTGTTGTAAACAGTGCCTCATAAACAACTTTCTCTGTATCTACTTGCTCTGTAGTACCAGTGTTTATGGAGGTTATACCTGGAAGTCGGGTTTTGACTAAAAGGTACTGAAACTTAAGTTTTGCCCTCCGAAATCCTTCATAATTACTCCTTTCACTAAATGTAAAGACCAGATAATTTCTGTGTTCCAATTTTCCAGGCTATTAAAGATGAAAAGGCACCCAGTTCATTTTGTGAAGCCACTTAACCTGAAATTTGAGGAAGATACTACAAAAAAGAAAATTATAGACCAGTTTCCCTTAAGAATATAAATGTCAAAATATTAAAAATACTCTGAATAGAACATTAACAAATTGCATTGGGCATTTCAAAAGCAAATGGATACACATTGTAAAAAAATTCAAACAAAAGCTTTGTTCAGCAAAAAAAAGTTTTTTGTGGTTTTTGTTTTTTGATGCAGGGTCTGGCTCTATCCCCCAGGCTGAAGTGCCGTGGCACAATTTCAGCTCACTGCAACCTCCGCCTCCCAGACTCAACAATCCTCCCACCTCAGCCTCCCAAGTAGCTGGGACTACAGGCACATGCCACCATGCCCAGCCAATTTTTGTATTTTTTGTAGAGATGGAGTTTTGCTATGTTGCCCAGGCTGGTCTTGAACTCATGAATCTCTTTCTCTGCCTATGCACAATCACTCGTTTTCTCCTGCATGTGCTCTCTCTCTCTCTTTCTCTTTCTCTCTTTAACAAGTTACAGTACATCCTGGTCTTTCTGGTCCTTTTTTTTTTTTTAACGAACTTTTCACTTGTATTAACTCTACACCAGGGTTTCTTAGTGTGGCACTATTGACATTTTGGTTGAGGTCATTATTTGTCATGGGTTGCTTTCCTGTGCATTGTATATGTAACAGCATCCCTGGACTCTCTCTACTAGATGCCAATAGTGCTCCCTCCTCCAGTTTTGGCAACCAAAATATCTCTTGTCATTGTCAAATATTCCCTGAGGAATAAAATTATCCAGTGTTTAAAACCAGTGGCCTACCCCGCTTACAAAAATGGCTGCTTTCATTTGATGGCAATACCACTATTTATTTACCTTTCTCCTAATAATAGATATTTAGGATATTCCTAGTCTTTTGCTACCATAAACAACATAGCAGTGTATAGTAGATTCCCATTGTGTACATGTGAGAACATTTATAGGATAACTTTCTAAATATGAAGTTTCTAGGTCAAAGTTTATACATCTTGAATTTTGATTCAGAACTGTCAATTGCCTTCCAAATAGGATGTACTGATTTGCATGGCTGGCAACATTATAATGCCTTTTCCTGTAAATGGGAAATCACAGTGTATTATCCGCTGTGATTTTTGCCATTGTGAGGGAGAAAAGAGTCGTGCATTTTAATTTGTTTTTCTTGATTTGAGTGTCTTTTTTCATTTTTAACCACCATTTGTACTTTTTTCTTTCAAATATTTATTCTAGTCATTTGCCCCCTTTTCTCTTGGGTGTGGAATTACTTTGATTGCTGGATGTTAGCTCCTTGGGTTAACTTAAGCAAATGAGATCTCTGTCATACATGTTGTCAATATTTTTCATAGTTTATTATTTGCTTTGATTTGTCTTATACATCTTGGGGAGTGGACACTTAATGTGTTTTTAATATCTAATTTTACAATATTTTGTGGCTTCTAGAGTTCTTGTATTGCTTAAATAGGATTCTGTGAGTTGAGATTATAAAAATGGCATTTCAGTTATGTGGAAAAAGTGGTTACTGAATGACGGTGGCACCGTTGAGTCTCCGTCTGGATGGAAAGAAAGTGAAACTCTTCTACATCATATAAAAGTGAATTCCAGATTGATCAAATACCTAAATATATATTTGAAAAATTAGGTGACAATTTAAGAGGATATTGGTATAACTTTGCTTAGTGCAAGAAACTTTTTTTTTTAAATGGTACAATGTTTTTCTTTTAATGATCATTGGGACATCTTAAAATTAACTACTAAGTAACCACATAAATAAGGAAACATAAGAAATGCCATAACCCAAGTACTTTTGAAACTACTTCTTAGTTCCAAGCCCCAGCATGTATCAATTGTATGAATTAATTTTTTTTATTCAGAACCTGGATCTTTGTTTTAAGACTAGTATAAACAAAAATAAAATGTAAACAACTTGTTATTAACATAATAGCTGCAGTTATTAACTGCAAGAATACAGTAAAAAAGTCATACTAAATGTTAATGTTCTTGTAACAGAATTATCCATATCACCTTATGGTAGCAAATTCTGGCAAGAAATGATCATTCATTTCTTATTAAAAATACTTATTTCCAAGATCAGTTATACCACAAATAAAACCACAGTTTATTCAATAGAGCCCTTACCTTTCTCTTTTTTTCCTGAAAGATCTGCCATTTACAGGGAACTACTAATTTCAGATCAGTTACTCAAACCAGGGTTATTCCTGTAAATGTACATCTTAACTTTATATATAGTAGGTGTACACTCATATTCCCTCTCTAGTCTTGAAGCTAAACACTTTCACAAAAGAAACAACCTAAAATCACTTCATGTGAATCTTGGTTCTTACTTTTCTTCTACCTCATTTGTTCTTCCTCCTCATCACAAAAATTATCTTCCTGCATGGTGGTAAAGGAGAGAGATCTAGCAGCCACTTCTACAGCAAAGCCATCAGTGAAGGTAAAATTCAGTGACAGCTGTAGCTGTGCCAGCCTCTGCTGAATGGAAGTCTGTAAGGACTCCCTGGGAGATGGAGGGGTAGTGGCCAGAACGCCTCCATCTGCTTGAGATTCATCTTCGCCCTCACATTGGTAACACATTCTGTCTTCTCTCCTTGGAGGAAGACTTCATTTGCAGAATTGTCTTTATTTTTACCCTCTAGATCAAGCTTGTCCAACCCATGGCCCCGGGCCACATGCAGCCGAGGACAGCTTTGAATGCAGCCCAACACAATTCGTAAACTTTCTTTAAACATTATGAGATTTTTGGCTGGGCGCGGTGGCTCATGCCTGTAATCCCAGCACTTTGGGAGGCCGAGGCAGGCGGATCACAAGGTCAGGAGTTTGAGACCAGCCTGACCAACATGGTGAAACCCCGTCTCTACTAAAAATACAAAAATTAGCTGGGCGTGGTGGTGCGTGCCTGTAATCCCAGCTACTCGGGAGGCTGAGGCAGAATTGCTTGAACCCAGGAGGCAGAGGTTGCAGTGAGCTGAGATCGCGCCACTGCACTCCAGCCTGGGTGACAGAGCGAGATTCTGTCTCAAAAAAACAAAAACAAACAACAATAAAAAACATTATGACATTTTATTGTAGTTTTTTTTTATTTTTATTTTTTTTAGCTTATCAGCTGTCATTAGTGTTAGTGTATTTTATGTGTGGCCCAAGACAGTTCTTCTTCCAGTATGGCCCAGGGAAGCCAAAAGATTGGACACCCCTGCTCTAGAGAGTCTTCACATAAATACTCAGTCTTACTTACTTCATTGTCACTTGTGGAGTGTTTACTATTTTCCTCTTCAGTATCATTTTTACTGAATTTTCCTGTATCTGAATTCATTGATGGTTCTGAATTACTTGTGGGTTCCACTAGGTTTACAGGAGACAAGGATTTCAACACAGCATGATCACTAAGTAGAAGTTATAACCACTTCTGCCTTTCTGCCTCTGAAGCTTTAAATCCCAGCACAGATTTTAATTCTTAGAGCACCCTCTTGGATTCTTCATGCTCGTGCTTCTGTCTTTCTTTGTCTTCCTGAGACAAGTAATAAAAATCATCCTTTCTGCAATCACTGTCAATATCTATATCATCTACATAAGCTTCTAAGTCCTATTCATCCTCCTCAGGGAGTGGATCTTTGTCGGCAATGTGTAGAGTAGGCTGCATCAAAGTTACCACTGTACAGTATGGGTTTTCACACACTACCTCAGGCTTGCCTTTTTTAAATCTGTATTTCTTCATAGCAGTTTGTCCACCTGAGAAATGGCCTCTTCCCAGCAATTGTTGCTAGTTTAAACATGGGGCTGAATCAACTTTAATTTCTGTTCTAGGATTTGATAAGCCTCTGACACTGTTCTTGTTTCTTTAATACAAAAAAGCTTTTCAAATTTATCTTCGAGAATTATTACCTTATTCAGTAATGCTTTCACATGGAGCTGCAAGTTGTACACTGCTGTGTGAACGTTATTCAGTTCTTTTGACTTCTGTTGAGTTTTGGATAAACACTGGTACTGACTGGTGCTGAGTTTCAAAGTACTGATAGAATTCAGAGTTGCTCTTAAGCTCTTCCAAACAGGCATAGTAAGCATGAGGTAGACCTTGAGTCAAATCAGATAACATATGATGAGGCAAAAGTGCTGAAGTAAGTAAGGGCCCAGGAGGTGAATTGGCTGTAGGAAGTAATAAGACTAACCATCTGTAGAATTCTGAACGCTGCCATCCAGAGTTGGAACAAAACCTTCAATGTAGGCAGGCTAAAGTCATCTGTAAAGTTAGGTGCTTCCTCTTCTGAAATCTACTCTTCACTAAGTCCAAGGCCCAGCTCCTTAAAAGGCACGACACAGATATAGCTGGTTGCATTGTCACTTTCAGAGTTCAGGGGGTAGTTTTTCAGCATCTATAGGATAGATAGCCTTGCTGCTTGGAAGTTCTGTAGACAGCTTTCCAGAGACTGATGAGGTACTGAGTGGGATGCCATCCAGCTTTATTAAATGGGATAAATAATCATTTATCATTTAATAATAATTTAATAATGTATTATTAAATTATTATATATTTTATAAATATAAAGTATAATTTATTAATTATTATAAATTTAATAATTTATTATTAATCATTTAATAAATTATCTCATTTATTAAATGGGATAAAGCACTGACCCTGTCAAGCAAAAGTATAAATCCTCTGGAAATCACTTCAGTTTCTTGAATGAGATGTAAAGCTTTTCTTACAAGGTTAGTAAAAGCTCAGCTATTTGCTGCCATATCTTCCAAGTGAACATTGTATTTTTTTCAGGTCACTTGTAGTTTAGCTGTCCTCCATACTCTCAAAGCTCTTATGACCAAATAAACAAATAGAATCACTCCCCATACCAGCCAGGAAGATAACATCCACCAAGCAGGAAGCATAACGAGCAAACTAATGAAGGCAAATAGCATTGAGACATCCCAAATATTAGGGGTTGCCAGGGAGCAAAGTGTTGGAAGGTGTCCACTTTCCTGTTGTTGAGGTTGTCCTGCTTACAGGATACTGGAATCAAGTAGCTCAGTGAGCTCCACATCCTCTTGAAACAGGACTTCCTGTTGCAGGATGGTATGTAATGAGTTGAGTCGGAATCCAATATCCAACTTGTGAAGTAAGTCATCTTTCTTACTGCGCTGAGAAAAAACCCAACTTCTGGTGGTTTTAGCCACTTTTAACAGAATGCGTTGCTTAATAACCCATTCCCTGAGCATGCCAGTAAGTGGAGTTTATGTTCACCGAGTGATTACTGTATCCCAGGTATTTTGGTAGGACTCTTGTAGGAGGCTTTTGTTGTCCCTCCGTGGCGCATTTTTCTGTTTTTGGTGACAAAGAACATATTTCAAAGTCTGTGTGTCCCGGATCCTGTAAGTACTGATAAAGCGGAGAATTCCAAAAGCTACCTCCTTGTCAAACTCCAATGTCATCCTTCTCTGCCATGCCACCCACTTCAGCACGATGGGAAATCAGAAGAAACATTTTTAATGAAGATGGGAAACCTAGAAACCATAACGAGAAAGATTGTCAGATTAAACTGTATTAAAATGTTAAAACCCGTAGAATCAAAAGACATATTTGAGGCTGAGAGAAAATACATGCAATGCATATGATATGCAAAGGATTCATATATAGAAAATGAAAAAGGATGAAAGAAGATGAAAAATGTGGTGGACATATAGTCAAAAAGATAAGGCAAGCAATTTATGAGAAAAAAGTGTGATGCCATTTGAAAAGATGTTTACTTTCCCCAGTTTTCAAGCCATGAAAACAGGGCTGATTTTCATTCCTCCCTTTCTGTTGCATTCCAACAAATGAACCCAGTCTCAGCCCTTCTACTGTTTGCCTTTCAGAGTTTTTTTTTTTTTTTTTTTTTTATATATACAAAACCACAACATTTTGCATGGGTTGTTTTTAATGAAAATATGCTCCTCCTATGCTTTTCTGTTTTGGGGTTTTTGTTTTTTGTTTGTTTGTTTGTTTGTTTGTTTTTTGAGATGGAGTTTCGCTGTGTCACCCAGGCTGGAGTGCAGTGGCACAGTCGGCTCACCGCAACCTCCACTTCTCGGGTTCAAGCGATTCTCCCGCTCAGCCTCCCAAGTAGCTGGGATTACAGGTGCCTGCCACCACGCCCAGCTAATTTTTGTATTTTTAGTAGAGATGAGGTTTCACCATGTTGGCCAGTCTGGTGTCAAACTCCTGACCTCAAGTGGTCCACCCGCCTTGGCCTCTCAAAGTGCTGGGATTACAGGCATGAGCCACCGCACCTGGCCCCGACGTTAGAAATTTCTAAGCACAATGAAAATCTTAAAAATTATCAAACATCCATATCAAAGTGAGAAAAATATTTGAAGTATACATAACAATGGGCTGCCTTCTTTTATACACTAAAATTCTAACAAATCATTGAAGATCACACCTAATATATAGCTGAAAGAATATGAAATGTATGTAGAATAGTATACCATGTATCATACTTCATATTCTTAAACATTAAAAAGGTTGATAATAGTACAGTCAAGTATGTAGAAAAAACACCAAAGAAGTTATAAACTGTATACAGCATTTTGTGGTGGAACAGTTGGTTTACATATATCAACATTTACAATGCAAATACCCTTAACACAGTAATGCCCTTTCTAGAATTTTACCCTAGACCTTTAATATATCAATAAGACAAGACAACCCAACAGAATGAAGACTCATAGTAACAGAAATATTAGTGGCCTAGAAACATACAAAAAGATTATAATCCTCACTAAAACTCACATACCTGCTGTCATTTATCTGTAAGAGTGGTAAACTTTGAAAAGATAGATAAGAGCCACTGTGGATGAGAGTACTGGCTGGTTGAGAGGTAATTTGGCTGTACTTATTAAATATCTTTTTCTTATTTTAATCAGCAGTTGCATTGATAGGACTCCATCCTAGTGAAATATTTATATGTCCACAAAGATTTCCAAAGCAGTTCTATTCATACTAGCAAAAAGTAGAAGGAGAAAGCCCTAAGTGTCCCATGTTCCTGAGAATCCAATAATGGTAGAATGATAGCTATACTACCAGGTGGCATTGCTTATGATAAAAATGACCCCTGATTGGTAAACAAACTTCACATGGATGAGGAGGACTATAGAATAGTTAAATAAATTGCCACATCCATACTCTGGAACTGTTATGATAAAAATTGACTCATATGTAAGAATGTCTGGGATACTTTTGTCTAAGTGAAAAAAACCAAAGTTCAGAAAAGCATAGTAGGAGCAGCCGGGCATGGTGACTCACACCTGTAATCCCAGCACTTTGGGAGGCCGAGGTGGGTGGATCACCTGAGATCAGGAGTTCAAGACCAGCCTGGCCAACATGGTGAAACCCTGTCTCTACTAAAAATACAAAAAATTAGCCAGGCATGGTGGCGCATGCCTGTAATCCCACCTACTCATGAGGCTGAAGCAGGAGAATTGCTTGAACCTGGGGGGCAGAGGTTGCAGTGAGCCAAGATAGTGCCACGGCACTCCAGCCTGGGCAACAGAGCGAGACTGTCTCAAAAAAAAAAAAAGAAAAAAAAAAAAGAAATTTCTGATGTCTAGGTAGTCAAGTTTATCACTCTGTAGCTATGTATTTTCTGAATTTGGGGATTGCTTAGAAAGGCCATCAGCCACTACAAAACTATCAAAACTTTTAACTTATCTATCATTTTTATGGTTATTTTGTACACATTTAAATCTCTAATCCATCTGTAATTTACTTGGGGGCTCAGAGTAAGATGAGTAATTTACTTTTATGGAGTTTCTTCCCTCCATAAATGCCTAGCCAGATTTTCCTAATGACATCTTTTCTGCAGAGATTTAAGATACTTTTATTATGAAGTAACCTCTGACACTGTACTTCTAGGATCTGTTAGTGGTTATTAACTCTCATTATCATTGTCATGTTTAGCTATGTGTTACTGGAAGCCTGATAATGGAATGACGGCTGTTTTACTAGGTCTGAGAGATAGGGAAGGAAACCCAAGTTTTTCCTACTGTCTCCTCTCACTTGACACAACACTTCTGACACCATATGTAATCCCAGGCCCCAGGCTGTTCCCTCACATACCAAGCAGTTTTCCCTGGACACCAGCTCGGTGTGCTGTGAAGTCAATTCCATTCTGACACCATCTACCTGGAGTTAGCGTGAGCTCCCACAGGTTGAGGGCTTAGTCCCACAAGACTGCCCTGACTTGAGATGCCAGTCACAAGTAGGGTGTCACCTATACATCTGACTGATGGGCCACAAATTGGGGGTTCCCATGAACCCCTCCTGAAGATTGATTAATTTGCTAGAGTGAGTTTCAGTTTCCCTGAGTTTCCCCTATTTGTTATAAAGGATATTACAGGCAAAGCGCGGTGGCTCATTAATCCCAGCACTTTGGGAGGCCAAGGCGGGCGGATCACCTGAGGTTGGAAGTTTGAGACCAGCCTGACCAACATGGAGAAACCCCGTCTCTACTAAAAATACAGTTAGCCGGGTGTGGTGGTGCATGCCTATAATCCTAGCTACTCAGGAGGCTGAGGCAGAAGAATCACTTGAACCTGGGAGGTAGAGGTTGCAATGAGCCAAGACCACATCATTGCACTCCAGCCTGGGCAACAAGAGCGAAACTCAGTCTCAAAAAAAAAAAAAAGCTGGGGGCAGGGGGGTGGATATTACAGAGGATACAGATGAACCGCCAGATGGAAGAGATGCATAGGGCAAGGGATGTGGGAAGGTCCACGGACCTTTCATGCCCTCTCTGGACTCACTACCATCCGGGAACCACCAAGTGTTCAGCTGTGTGGAAGCTGTCTGAACCCACCCAGCCCTTTGGTTGTTGTCGTTATTGTTGTTTTTGAGAAACAAGGTCTTGCTCTGTCCCCCATGCTGGAGAACAGTGGTGCAGTCTTGGCTCACTGCAGGCCCAACCTCCTGGCCTCAAGTGATCCTCCCTTCTCAGCCACCCTTAGTGCTGGGATCACAGGAGCCAGCCACCACACCCAGCCACAGTGGGGTTTTTATGGAGGCTTCATCACAGAGGCATGATCATCATTGGCCCTTGGTGATCAACTCAACCTTCATCTCCTCTCCCCTCCCAGGAGTTTTGAGGATGGAGATGAAATTCCCAACCTTCTAATCCTGTCTGGTTTTCTGGTGACCAGCTTCCATCCAGAAGCTACCTAGGGGCAGCCAGCTAACAGTCATCTCATTAGCATATAAAAGATACTTTGATCACTTCAGAGGCTATTCCAAGGGTTGCAGGAGCTTCTTGCCAGGAGACAGGACAAAAACCAAATATATATTTCACAATATCAAACCAGGTGACATTACTCCAGATAAAATTGACTCTGGATTGGTAAACAAACTGCATCTGGACTGGAGGACTGAGTAAACTATGACTGGCTGGTAGGAAGCCATGGATTGGGGTTTTCTGAGCACATTGCCACTCAGTGATAAGTAACTGGGCCCATCTTTTGCTGGGATCCTCGAAGCCATGCCACTGGGACCATTACAAGAGATACTGGTCTATGGAACAGGTTAGGGCTTCCAAGCAACATCATCCTAGCACTCAGCAGTGTGGTTTTGTTCCCCAGCACCGGAGCTATCACGAGGGAGGGGCAGATTGGGCTAACAGCTCCTGGATTGCTCTGAGAAGCCCTCCTGCTGGAGAAGCCTGCCTGTCCCCACCCTCTGGCACGCTGGCTTTCCTGCCCCTCTCCTGCACAGCTGGGTAAACTGGTGCCACTGTGGCTGATTTGGGCCTTATGGGTGCAGCGAGTGGCTTGAATTGAAGGCCACCAAGTGTGGGCGTGACAGGATGGGATCTGGAGCAGAAACAGGCGGGTTATTAGTCTTTGCAAGGAATTGGGGCGCTTGTAGAAGTGAGTTCTTGTTTGGTGGTGACAAGGCCAAGCACAGACCTTTCCCCTTTTGCTTCAGTCAGCTGCCCAGGCCACAAACCTCTGGCTTCCTGTTCTTTGTTTCATGATTGATTAGCTATGTTTAGAACTGTTTGTTGTAGCTCTGTGTCCCCTGTGAAGGCTGCTCTGTCAGCCCCAGGCAGGATTGACTTCCTCCTTTGTGGACCACCCGGACCCCTTCCTACATCTGTCACTGTCCCTGTGAGGCAGGCTTCCTCCCTGCCTCTGTTTCATCTATGAGTGTCTTGAGTGTCTTAAGTGTCACTTTTCTCCCTCCACTAAACTGAAGCTCCTTGAGTTCAAGAGGTGTGGTTTTGTATCAATCTTTACTTCACAGGACTTACCAGCCCGGCCTCTGTTCAGTAAACATGTGTTGAATGAATGAATTTCCAGGGTAAAATATTTCTCATACCCTATCTGTTTCTCCTATAAAGTTCAAAATGATTTTAGTCATATAGATACTCTATGTAATATACTATGCCAAACTGACTAGTGACTGGCATAAGAACAATTATATGAGAAAGGCCAGGCCGGGCGCGATGGCTCACGCCTGTAATCCCAGCACTTTGGAAGGCTAAGGCGGGCAGATCACAAGGTCAGGAGTTCGAGACCAGCCTGGCCAATATGGTGAAACTCCGTCTGTACTAACAATACAAAAATTAGCCGGGCGTGGTGGCGGGCTCCTGTAGTCCCAGCTACTCGGGAGGCTGAGGCAGGAGAATCGCTTGAACCCGGGAGGCAGAGGTTGCAATGAGCCAAGATTATGCCACTGCACTCCAGCCTGGGCGACAGAGCAAGACTCGGTCTCAAAAAAAAAAAAAGAAAGAAAGGCCATTGTGGGTGTGGGAACCAGACCGTGTGGATTCGACTCCCCTCATTCCTGGCTGTGTGACCTGGGTTAGTTACTTAGGCTCTGTGCACCTCACGCTCTTCATCTGTCAAGTTTCTCCTAGAGGGCACAGAGTAAGCCCTCCGTGTGCGTGAGATGCCATGTCCCAGTGCCCCAGGCTGGTCCTGGGGTGCTAAAGAGGAATGTGCCATTACAGGAATCATTGACCTTCAAGGACGTGTTTGTGGACTTCACCCTGGAGGAGTGGCAGCAACTGGACTCTGCCCAGAAGAACCTCTACAGGGATGTCATGCTTGAGAACTACAGCCACCTGGTGTCCGTGGGTGAGGGACCGTGCCACAGGGTGATGCAGAATGCCTCCAGTACTGTGTTTCTTTCTCAGCTGCTCCAAGCTCTGGGGCCTAGGAACAATGAGTGTGGGTTACCACCCTCAGTGAGTTTGGGTTACTGCCCACTGTGTAGTATTCGTAGTCTCCTTTGGACACTGGAGAGCATATTGGTGCCCTTGCTTGCTATGTGAATGTTCTGTACTGAGGGGCAGATAGCTGTGTGCATGGGGCCATCACCTTCAGCCTGCAGGGGTGGGCCTAGGTTCTGGAATTCCTCAGCATTAATAACGAAGTCCTATGTCATTTCCCCCGAACAGGGTATCTAGTTGCGAAGCCAGATGTGATCTTCAGGTTGGGACCAGGTGAAGAGTCCTGGATGGCAGATGGGGGGACCCCGGTACGGACCTGTGCAGGTGAGGACAGGCCAGGTGAGTCAGGCCGGGGAAAGGAGACCAGGTTGGTTGGTGAGAGCTTGGCCTCTGGGATGTGCTCAGGAGCCCTTCTCAGAGCCTCGGACTTGTGGACATGCCTAGGCTCTGATGAGCAGAACTGTTGTCATGTCCAAATGAGGCCTCTGCCTGGCCGCCGGTTACAGTCTCTGTGTTCTTTGTTTGGCATTCACATAGATTGTGGCCACTTGTTCTGAGATCCCATTTCTACCTTCCAGCCTCCTGGCTTGTTAGTGAGAAGTGCCAAGCCCCTTCTCATTCCTCTCCCACCACCTTTCTGGAAGCTTTTAAGACTTATTCTCCCACCTTCTTGGCCTTTTGTATTTTCACCATAGTAGATGTATTAATAGATGTCAGCATTTTCTCTTTATTGGGCATACTGTGGGCCCTTTCAGGCTGAAATTTGGCCTTTTTTTTTTAGCCTAAGGTAGATTATCGTACCTGTTTTTTTGTTTGTTTTTTGTTTGTTTGTTTGTTTGTTTTGAGTCACTATGGACACCAAAGCTTTGCCAGTGACCTTTACCCAGCCAGGTACCCACCACGTTCTTGCCTGCTTTCACTTTGTGGTTAACACTGTAAACCTCACACCATTTTCTGTTTTCTCTACTTATTTCTTCTCAGACTCTTACAAATCTGACTTCATACTACTTGTTATCAGATTCCTCCATTTTTCAATACGTCCTTCCTACTCAACTCTTGTTTTTGTTATTATCTCTTTACTTTTTCAAAAAAAAAAAACACACTTGAGAGGACATTACTCCCAGGGTGGAATACTTCAGTGAACCGTATTTTAGTCCTGCATAGAACTGCTTTTTCCTTGTCTATTTTTCCTGTGGGCTACCTACAAGGATCCAGAAACTCTTCAGATACACTGGTCTACTCTTTCTCTCCCCTTCATAGTACCCCCTTCACTGGCCCATGGCAAAGAAGCCTGTTTAGAATGCTATTACTCTTCAGAGGGTGATCCCTGCCTGGGCATTGTTGGGGCACTAAGTAGAAAATCAGAATCAGGCCCCACTCTAGATTTTCTGAAAGAGAATGTGCATTTCAACAAGCTCCCCAGGGACCCCATAGGCACAGTAAAGCTTGAAAAGCACTGCTCGTTAGAGATTAATTTCAGAGCATCAGCTGTAGTCAGGTGCTGGCCCCAAGGACCTACAGGTGACTCCTCAGATGGCTTCCTCCAGAACCCACTCCTCAGCACACACTCTCTGAGATCCTCCCTGTGCTGGCATTTGTGGCTCCCACCACTCTAGCTTCCCCCAGGAATGTTTTGGGTGATGATAACCTCTTTGTTGCTCAGTGTAATTCCCTATTTGCTGCTTAGAGATTCATCAGGATTTCTGATGTGCTGATGGTATGCTTGCTTTTTTCCAGTGATGCCTGGAATTGTAATGACTGTGTGTCTTGTTCTCATTTCAGTGCTATCCCAGAAGGGAGGAAAAGCAAATTCAGGCACAGTCTACCCTCCTGAGTCCCAATTCCCTAAGAAAAACTATATTATATTAAAATACAGACATTTATATATTCAGTCTAAGAGTGCAGAACAGTATAGGCTAAAAGGTAATCTTAGGTGCATTCCCAATCACACCTCCCAAGGGCAGCTTCTTCTAAAGATTTCTCTTTTGGTTCTGGTGAGCACCTCCATAGGTTTAGGGAATGCCTTTATATCTGCATTTTGCGGGTTTTCAGTTTTATCTTCTCTCTATGAAAAGTAAGGATTTCCCTCACACTTTGGCCCTCCACTCCCCAGCTCTTCACAAGTTTGTTATATGCTTATTTTTAGTTCCTTTATTGGTTACATTTGTAACTTTAAATAATATAGCTATGCATTTCATATGGTAACTTTTAAAAAATCTAGCTAAGTGCCAGTGGCTCATTTCTTTAGCTCAAACACAACCCCTAGACATAAGAGCCTACATCTTGTTCTGACTTGTTCCAGTGTGGGACTGGTGGAAGACATTCAATAAATATTGCACTGATTGTTTTGGACCTGGGCAGAGGAAGGAGCTTTGTTATTCATCCACATACAAGTGGCTAAGAGCATGGACTGTGGAGCCACATAGCCTGGGCTGGAATTCTGGCCGCTTCCCTCACTAGCTATCACTGTGTACACATTGGTTGGCCTCTCTACCTGTTGTAGAATGGGGCTAATGATAAAACTGAATTTTCAGAAATTAATGAGTTGATCCATGTAAAGCACCTAAAAGGGTGCCTGGCATAAAGGAAACAACAAATGATATCACTATTTTTATTGTTGTTATTATCCATAAAAACAGTTTTTTTTAATTTAATGTGGTTGTTAACCAGAGATGTATTACATAGTTACCTGTGGATCTGTCAGAATACTCATGAGTAGGCCCCACTCTAGAAATTGTTTCAGAAAGCCTGGGGTAGGCCTGGTTATGTGCATTTTGAGTGACACTCCAGAGGGTTCTGATGCCCATCTTTGGTTAAGATCCACTACTTGAAATATCTGCTGAGAGGAATTGCAAGGAAATAGGAGACGGCAATGAGCATGCGAGCAGGATGGGATGGGAAGACAGGAGCACATTGACTCACTCCTAGACAGCTCTCCAAACTCCCAGGGTTGGAAGCAGAAAACAGCAGAAAGCAACTTGAATTTCTGCCCTATTTCTCCATATTTAAATCTATTTCAGGAACTATATTTTTCCCTCTGTCTCCTGGATGAAACCTCTGGTTGGTCCCATAAGTTCACTGGTCATTCTGAGATAATAAAAATCTTCTAGGAACTGTTACTTTCAAGAGTAGCCTCATTATAGTAATGAAAACTGTCCAGTCTCATGTAGTAGTACAAACTGAAATTTATTTCAAGTTTGTTGATCTTTTCTTAGAAGTTTTAGCTTTGTTAATTTTCTCTACCATTTTTCTGTTTTATTGATTTCTCCTTTTACTTTTATTTGCTTTTTCCTACTTACTTTCAGTTTACTTTGCTGTTCTTTATCTAGCTTCTCCCCCGACATTTTATTATGAAAATTTTTGTATAAAACAAGTAAAAGAATTGTAGGTTGAACACCCATATAATACGTCCACCTAGATTTATAATAACTATAAAAGGCCTACCCCAGGCTTTGCTATATTTATCCCCTGTCCATCTGCCAATTCCTCTGTCCTTCCATCAATTCGATTTATTTTCTTGTGGTGCATTTCAAAGGAAGTTACAGAGATCAGTACCCTTAACACCTAAGTACCTCCACAGGCATATCATTAATTAGAGTTCCATATTTGTTAGTACTTTATCATTAGTGCTCATGAAGTATTTTAATAAAACAAAATGCCCTTATGGCACCATATGATCTTTGGCCATACATGTTAATGTTTGAACATAATTTTCTATATGTGTTTTTATGTGTGGTCATTATATATTTATGTTGATGTGACTGCATTCCTTTTATTTTTTCAAATGAAATTGATTAAGGTATAATGTACATACCATGGAATTTATCTTTCTTAGGTGTATAGTTGTATAGTTTTGACAAATATATAGCTGTGTAACTACTACTACAATCAAAGCATTGGACATTTTCATCCCCTGCAAAAAACTCCGTGTTTCCTTTTATAATTCAGTCTTTCTCCTCATCCCAGGCTTGACCTCTTTTCCTTCTAGTTTGGTTCTTTCTAGAATATCATGTGGCTGGCTTCTTTCACTTACCTTAATGCATTTTAGGTTCATCTATGTTGTGGCATGTATCAGTTTGTTCCTTTTGATAGCTGAGTAGTGTTCCAGTTTATCTGTCGATGGACCAGTTAATGCACATTTGAATTGTCCCTGGGGTTTTTTTGGTTATTATGAGTGAAGCTGGTGAACATTCTTGTACAGGCATTTCTGTGGATCTGTGTTTTCATATCTCTTGGGTAAATATCTGGAGTGAGATTGCTTAGCCATATGGTAAGCATATGTTTAACTTTATAAGACATTGGGCCGGGTGTGGTGCCTCACGCCTGTAATCCCAGCACTTTGGGAGGCCAAGGCGAGCAGATTACTTGAGCTCAGGAATTTGAGACCAGCCTGGCCAGCATATAGTGAAACCCCGTCTCTACTAAAAATACAAAAATTAGCTGGGTGTGGTGGTGCACGCCTGTAATCCCAGCTACTTGGGAAGCTGAGACAGGAAAATTGCTTGAACCCAGGAGGTGGAGATTGCAGTGAGCCAAGATCACGCCACTCTACTCCAGCCTGGGTGACAGAGTAAGACCCTGTCTCTCAAAAATAATAATAATAATAATAAGATATTGCCAAACTGTTTTCTAGTGTGGCTGTACTATTTTGTTTTCCCACCAACAACACACCTTTCTAGTAGGTATATAGGGGGATCTCATTGTGATTTAAATTTGCATTTCTGTATGATCAGTGATGTTGAGCATGTTTTCATGTGCTTATTTGCCATCTGTATATGTTCTGTGGTGAAGTGTCTATTGTAATCTTTTGCCATTGTTTGTTATTAAACTGTGAGAGTTCTTTATATATTGTGGATATAAATCCTGACCAGCTATGTGTTTTACAAGTATTTACTCCTAGGCTGTGGCTTGTTTTGTTCATAACAGTATCTTTTGAAAAACAAATGTTTCTGTTTTTATAAAGTCCAATTTATTAAATTTTTCTTTTATGGTTCATGCTTTTTGTGTCCTCTTTAGCAAATCTCTCACCAACCCCGGGTAACAGAGATTTTTTCTGTATGTTTTCTTCCAGGAGATTCATAATTTTAGTTCTTATATTTATAAGTCTGTGACTGTTAATGACTTAATTTTTGTATCTGATGTGAGGTAAGGGTCAACATATTTTTATATTATTTTTACATATGCATTTCCAATTGTTCCAGTAATATTTTTGAAAAGAATATTCTTTCTTTTTCTCAGATCAACAAGTGATCCGTTTATTATTTGACATCTACTTTAAAATGATGCCAGGTGTGGTGCCTCACACCTATAATCCCAGCACTTTGGGAGGCTGAGGCAGGAGGATCCCTTGAGCCCAGGAGATCAAGACCAGCCAGGGCAACATAGTGAGACCCCGTCTATACTAAAAAATTAGCTGGGCATGGTGGTGCGCACCTGTAGTCCTAGCTACTTGGGAGGCTGAGGCACAAGAATCGCTTGAACCCAGGAGGCAGGGGTTGCAGTGAGCCAAGACCGCACTGCTGTACTCCAGCGCTCCAGTACTCCAGCCTGGGCAACAGAGCAAGACTCTGTCTCAAAAAAAAAATGTTAATAGTAAGAATTTCACTGGGGAACTAGGATATATAAAATAATCTAATGAAAATTGAAAATTAAGAATTTAATATATATAAAAAACACAAAATTTAAAAAGCAACAACAAAAAAAGAATTTAATATATAGACTTAATAGCAGATTAACCAGAGCAGAAGAGAGGTTAAGTAAGAAAGATAAGTTACTATCAAATATTCAGTCTATTCTAGACTGTTCTTTCTTAATTAACTTACTTTGGCATCCTTTTTGAAAAGTATTTGAACATATGTGTCACTCTGTACACCAATACAGGTTGAGTATCCCTAATCCAGAAATCCAAAATCCTAAATGCTCCAAAATCCAAAACTTCTTGAGCACCAACATGGCATCCAAAGGAAATGCTCATTGAAGCTTTTCCAATTTCATGTTTTCAGGTTAGGCTGCTGAACCAGTAAATATATAATGTAAACATTCTGGAAACCAACAAAATCTGAAATCCAAAACACTTCTGGTTCCAAGCATTTTGGATAAATGATACACAACCTGTACCACATGTCTTAATTGCTGTAGCCTTATATTATGTGTTTAAATCAGGTAGTATGAGTCCTCTTACTTTGTTCTTCCTTTTTGTAATGTTTTAACTAGTCTAGGTCCTTGGTATTTTCCTAGAAATTTTAGAATCAGCTTGTCAATTTTTGCAAAAAAGCCTGCAGGGGATTTTGACATTGCATGGAATTTGTGGATAATTGATGTGCAATATTGAGCCTTCTAAATCATGAATATGGTATATCCGTCTATTTCAGTTCTTTTAAATTTTATTTCAGTAATATTTGATAGTTTTGAATGGATAGGTCTTGCACATATTTTGTTTAATTTTCCCCTGTGTTTTATGTTCTTACAAGGTAATATAAATGGGGTGTGTGTATGTACCTAGTTGTTTTGTATTTCATTTTCCTATTGCTCATTGCTAGTTTATAGAAGTGTAATTGATCTTTCCATATTGGCTTTGTATCCTGGAACCTTTCTAATAAGCTCACATATTAGTGCTAGTAGCTCTTTTATAGATGGTTTGGTATTTTCTACATAAACAATCATGTAGTTATGAATAAGGACAGTTTATTTCTTTTCCCAGGCTAGATGCCTTTACTTCTTTTTCTTACCTTATTGTACTTACTGGCTAGGATCTTCAGTATAATGTTGACTAGGGTAGGGAGGGCAACATACTTGCCTTGATCCTGATCTTAGGACAAAAGCATTTACTCTCTTACCATTAGGCATAATTTTACTTGCAGGTTTTTTCATAATGGCCTGATATAGGTTGAGGATATTTCCTTCTAATCCTGATTTTCTGAAAGTTTTTTTTATTATGAATGGATGTTATAAATTATTTTTATGGATCAGTTCCTATGATGGTGTTTTTTTCTCCTTTAGACCATTACTTCCTATGTAATTATTGATATTATTGGATTTGCATGTACCATTTTTTTATTTATTTTCTGTTCATCCCCCCAACCAAACTTCTTTTTGGTTTTTTGTTGTTATTTTACTTCACCATTCTTCTCTTTGGAATATTTGACTATTTTTTAAATTAAACATTCTGTATTGAGATAATCATAGATTCCCATGCCCTTGTAGGAAATAATACAGACAAATCTCGTGTATTCTACCCAGTTTCCACTAATGGTGACATCTTGAAAAACTATACTACAAATCACAACAAGGATATTGACATTGAGAAAGTCAAGATACAGAAAATTTCCATTACTACAAAGGTCCCTCATACTGCTTTGTATAGCTATACCCATTCCTTCCCTCCCCACCCATTCTTAAGCCCTGGCAACTACTAATTTGTTCTCCATTTCTATAATTTTGTCATTTCAAGAATATTACATAAATGAGGTCATACAGTATGATGCTTTATGGGATTAGTTCTTTTCACTCAGCATACTTCTCAGTTGGATTCATCCTGTTGTGAGTACCCAGAGTTTCTTCCTTTTTGTCACTAATATTCCACCAAATGGATGTACCACAGTTTGTTTAGCCATTCACCATTTGAAGAACATTCCTGTTTTCAACTTCATTGATTTCTGCTCTTATTATTTCTTTTCTTCTGCTTGATCTTTATTTCTAATATATGCATTCAGTGCTATAAATATCCCTCTAATTGCTGTGTCCCACAAATTATGATATGTTGCATTTTCATTTAATTCAAAATAGTTTCAAATTCCCCTTAAGACTTATTTAGAAGTAAGTATATCTTTAAATTTCCAAATATTTGGGGTTTTCCAAGTATCTTTTTTATTGATTTTTGTTGTAATACTGTTATTGCACATAATATGATTTTGTATAAATTTGTACAAGTTTGTTTTAAGACCCAGAATATGTTCTATCTTGGTGAATGTTTCATATGCACTTGAAAAGAATGTATATTCTGCTGTTGTTGGATGCAGTGTTCTCTGAATGTCAATTAGGTGAAGTTGGTTGATGGTGCTGTTCAGATTATCTATATCCTTGCTGGTTTTCTGTCTACTTGTTCTATCAATTATTGAGAGAAAGTGTTGAAGTCTCCAACAATAATTGTGGATTTGTCTGTTTCTCTTTCAGATGTATCCATTTTTGCCTCATGTATTTTGAAGTGCTGTTATTAGGTACATACACTTTTAGGATTGTTATTTCTTCTCAAAGAATTGACTGTTTTATCATTTTGTAATGTCCCTCTTTGTGCCAGAAAATCCTTCTTGTTCTGAAGTCATTGTCTGAAATTAATGTAATTTCTCCAGCTTTCTTTTGGTTAGGTTTTCATGGTATATCTCCATCCCTTTACACATCTCTCTACAGAGAGTTTCCTTATACCTCTCTCTACCCACCCCCACCCTGCCAATTTCCCCTAATAGTAACATCTTGCATTAGTATGGTACGTGTGTTACAACTGGTGAATGAATACATTATTATTAACTAAAGTCACATCTTACATTAAGGTTCACTCTTTGTGTTGTTCAGTTCTATGGGTTTTGTCAAATGCATAAAAATCCACCATTACTGTTTCATACAGAATAGTCTTACCGCCCTAAAAATCCCCTGTGCTTTGCTTTTTCATCCCTTTTTCACTCTCTCCTGGCAAGTACTGATCTTTTTACTATCTCTATAGTTTTGCCTTTTCTAGAATGTCATATAGTTGGAATCATATAGTATGTAGCCTTTTCAGACTGGCTTCTTTCAAATAGCAATATGCGTTTAAGTTTCCTCCATGTCCATGGCTTGATAGCCCATTTCTTTTTATTGCTGAATAATATTCCATTGTGGATCACTTTGTTTATCCATTCACCTATTGAAGGACATCTTGGTTGCTTCCAGTTTGGGGCCATTATGAATGAAGCTGCTATAAACATCACGTGCAGGCTTTTCTGTAGACATAAGTTTTCAACTCATTGTGGTTCATTTCCTTTTGAAGTTTGTAATTTTTTTTTTACTGTGAACTCCTTTTCAGTGAGAGTTATTTTCCATGGAAATTCTGTGTACCCTAAGCTATGAAAGCATCACTGCAGAACTATTTGGATTGCCACTGCTGGGGCCCACTGGTTTCACTAATGCAGGAACAATTTATAGGTGAATTTATCAACTTCGGGGGTTTTGTATTATACTTCAAATGTCCATTTGGAATGCACTCCTACATGTGGTACAGGACTGTGGTTCTGACTTCTTGTAAGTAACCCCTGATTCTTCTTAACATTTTCATTAGCCAGTGGGTGACATCTTTCTAGTTCCTATTTTACACACAGAGATGTCCTTTGTGACTCCCAGCTTTAAGCAGGTAGCTCAATTCTAATTCTCTGCACATTTGTGCCCTGTGGCCTAGAATTCACCTCACACTCATGATTAGAGCCTTAGTCCCCCAACTGCAAAGCCACACAGCTTCAATTTCTGTTCACTCCCTCACTTTAAATTTCTTCTTCATTTTTGTCACATAATAAATTTATTTTCTGGTTTGAGCTTGGCTGCATATTAAATTATTTTTGTTAAATTTGAGCCAGCATTTCTCTGTACTTGCACTCAGGGGAGGTGGTGGTGGTGGGACATGGGGAGGGTCCATCCACATCAGCTCAAGTCATGTTGATAGGAGTTCACTGCTTGGGCATTTAGGGATTAATGTTATTCCATAACATTCTAGTGGAAAGACTTAACAAGTTTGATGATTCATTCATTTTCTTCTAGAAGTCTGGCAAGTTGATGAGCAGATAGATCACTACAAGGAAAGCCAAGACAAACTTCCTTGGCAAGCTGCATTCATAGGCAAGGAAACACTGAAGGATGAAAGCGGTCAAGAATCCAGAACATGTAGAAAAAGCATTTATCTGAGCACAGAATTTGATTCTGTAAGGCAAAGACTCCCTAAATATTATTCGTGGGAAAAGGCATTCAAAACATCATTTAAACTTTCTTGGTCAAAATGGAAGCTATGTAAGAAAGAAAGATGATGGATGTAAAGCATATTGGAAAGTATGCTTCCATTATAATCTTCATAAAGCTCAACCTGCAGAGAGATTTTTTGACCCTAATCAACGAGGGAAAGCCCTCCACCAAAAGCAAGCCCTTAGAAAAAGTCAGAGAAGTCAAACTGGGGAGAAACTCTACAAATGTACTGAATGTGGAAAAGTGTTTATCCAGAAAGCAAACTTAGTTGTACATCAAAGAACTCACACCGGAGAGAAACCTTATGAATGCTGCGAATGTGCAAAAGCCTTCAGCCAGAAGTCAACCCTCATAGCACACCAGAGAACTCACACAGGGGAGAAGCCCTATGAATGCAGTGAATGTGGAAAAACCTTTATCCAGAAGTCAACTCTGATTAAACATAAGAAAATTCATATGGAGAGAGACCCTATAAATGCAGTGTCTGTGAGAAAGCCTTCAGTAGGAAGTCAACTCTCATTAAACATCAGATAATTCATATGGGAGAAACCTTATGAATGTAATAAATGTGGGAAATCTTTTAGTGTTAAATCAACTCTCATTGTATGTCACAGAACATAAATGCATAAGTTGCATGCTATTGTGAATAGTGTGATGAAATTTTGCACTGTCCTGCTCTTTCCTGCTCAGGATGCAAATCAGTGAATCTTTTTTTTTTTTTTTTTGAGACAGAGTCTTGCTCTGTCATCCAAACTGGAGTGCAGTGGCACAATCTTGGCTCACTGCAACCTCCGCCTCTTGGGTTCAACCGATTCTCCTGCCTCAACCTCCCAAATAGTTGGGATTACAGGCACATGCCACCATACGCAGCTAATTTGTATTTTTAGTAGAGACAGGGTTTCACCATGTTGGCCAGCCTGGTCTTGAACTCCTGACCTCAAGTGATCCGCCTGCCTCAGCTTCCCAAAGTGCTGGGATTACAGGCATGAGCCACTGCACCCGGCTTGAATCATCCTTTTGTCCAGTATTATATCCATGCTGTATATGCTACCCGCCCACTAGTCCCTTAGCTGTCTCAGTTGTCAGATTGACTGTCATGGGATTGCAGTGCTTGCATTAAAGCTACCCTTATTGTATAATGACCCCAAAGTGCAAGAGTAGTGATGTTGGCAATTTGCATACACCAAAAATAAGTTATAAAGTGCTTCCTTAAAGTGAAATGGTTAAAGTTCTTGACTTAATAAAGAAAAAAAATGTATGCTGAGGTTGTTAAGATTTACAGTAAGAATGAATCTTCTATCCAAGAAATTGTGAAGGAGGAAAAAGAAACTTGTGCTAGTTTTGCTGTCACATCTGAAACTGCAAAAGTTGTGGCCACAGTGCATCATAAGTGCTAAGACGAAAAAGACATTAAATTTGCGGATGGAAGGCGTGAATAGAAATGGGTTCTGACAGCAATCAGGTTCGGTACTATTCACAGTTTCAGGCATCCGCTAGGGATCTTGGAACATATCCCCCATGGATAAGGGAGGGGTACTGTACCTTGTCATATTGTGCATTAAAGAATTCATTGAGTGTAATCATGTAAGTCTAACACACATTTAAAAAGCTCTCAGATATCATTTCGCCTTCGGTTGATGTAAGAAAATTCAAAAGCTACTCAAATCATTCAATAAATGATAAAATTATTTATTTATTTATTTATTTATTTTTGAGACAGGTTATCGCTCTGTCACTTAGGCTGGGATGCAGTGGCATGATCACGGCTCATCAGAGCTTCGACTTCCCAGGCTCAGGTTATCCTCCCACCTCAGCCTCCCGAGTAGTGGGGACTACAGGCACCCACCACTACACCCAGCTAATTTTTGTATTTTTTTAGATGGGATTTTGCCGTGTTGCCCAAGCTAGTCTCGAACTCCTGGGCTCAAGTGTTCTGCCCACCTCAGCCTCCCAGAGTGCTAGGATTACAGGTGTGAGCCAATAAATGATAAATTCCTTACCCATGAGTTTTAGTAACATTGTACATCAAATAATTTATGAAGGGTCGAAACCATGAAGCTAGCAAACACTGGAATGCCTTCGGAAAGAAGTGAGGTGTCATCTTATATCAGAGCACTTACATTCAGGAAACATCAATTTAATCAATTTGATAACCCAGCTTTCCTATATAATATAAGGAAAGTCATGTCTCAGATATGTCATCATCCATTTTATAGAAAAGATCGCAGTGGTTACAGTCAAGCACTCAATTATAAATAATACACATATTCTCTGTAGAATAGGTTTAAAAGCTTCTGAAAGTATAAATATATTTTCTAATCAGGAGGGCAGAGGAAAAAAATATTAATCCTTACTAGACCAATCTCCAAGATTATCCGTAAATAGATAATCCCTAAATAGATTAGTTTGAGAGCACATGAGCCAGCAGGATTGCCAAATAGACCTTGCACATGTATTTTATCTATCATCAGTACAAAAGTGGAAGCATCTTATGGAGAAAGGTTATACTCTTCTGGGATACTTTTCTTTGAAAAGTCAAAATTTATTATTCTCTCTTAAAAAAGTAATTATGGTGGAAAGATCCTGTAAGAGCAGTATTAATTGAAATAAAAATAAGCAACTTGAATATCCAGTAATAGGTGATTGAGTTGATATATTCATAAATTGGAATCATGCTTCCATTAATGTATTCATATTTTAAGGAGTGTGGAAAATGTTCATAGTAAACTAAGACTATAAAACTACTTTATGATTTGTGTTGTAAAATGGCATATATAAGAAGGATATGGCTGGGCGTGGTGGCTCACTCCTGCAGTCCTAGCACTTTGGGAGGCCGAAGCAGGCGGATCACCCGAGGTCAGGAGTTGGAGACCAGCCTGGCCAACATGGCGAAACCCCATCTCTACTAAAAATACAAAAATTAGCCAGGCGTGGCATCATGGGCCTGTAATCCCAGCTACTCGGGAGGCTGAGGCAGGAGAATCCCTTGAACCCAGGAGGCGGAGGTTGCAGTGAGCTGAGATCGCACCACTGCACTCTAGCCTGGACAACAGAGTGACATTCCATCTCAAAAAAAAAAGAAAAAGGATATGCGATATGCACCATTATGAGTTCAGTGTCTCTGGGTTGTAGGAATATAGGCAAATTTTTTATTAGTAAAAAGTTAGATACATATGTATATATTTATATTACCTTTCTATCTTGTCTATGTGTTTATTCTCACATGTGGAGAGAAACACACAAAAAAAGCTAGGAAGAAACTACACCCTCTATTAATAGTTATATTTAGAACAAAAATTATTGATTTTTAATGCCTCTGATTATACTCTCAAATTTCAAGAAACTACCAAGAAGGATTATTTACAATGTCTTTTATATAGTTTTCTTTATCCCTCCTTATTTTTCTATTCAGTTTTATTTTCAATATATTACACTACTCTGCTACTTTCTGTTCTGCACACATCATCCCACTTTGACATGTCTACACATACTCTATTTTCCATGTGGTTGTCTGTTTGATCTCATTGTTAGAAGAATATATTCTACAACTTTGAGAAAGTATCTCTTATGATTTTAACTTGGAGAGTGATTTTCTAATGAGAGCTAAAACATTATCTTGCTTTTACACTTCATCCTCACAAATCCTGTGACCTAAATTGGAAGATACCAGATTTTACATATGAGAAAACACTGTAGTGAGTAACTCAAGGTCCCATGGGTAATAAGAACAAACTGACGAAAACCCAAATCTCCAGAAACCAAATATAAATTCTGATACTGGTGATTGCTATTGGATAACTATTTTCTCTTTTCCTCTTTTTTCCGTATTCCCTATCACCAGCTCACAAAATGCACTGTGGTGAGTATATCTTAATATTGATTTGTTATGAAAGTAAAGGCTTTTCATTTTATAAAAGCATTACATTGATGAATTCCACTGATTGTCTTGGTAACACTATTAAGAGGGAAGACAATGACAGTCCCACCTCCACTGATCAGACATACCTTCTGATATTTTATAGATGAAAAAGCAAAATCATAAGGAGTTTACTTAAAACTCATGGAAAACAAGAAGTATAGCAACATTAGCCACTGATACACATTCCGTGTGGCTCCATGCAGCCAATCTGTGCTCCTCTACGATGTCTTTCATCCCTCTACACCTCACCCAGTGGAAGAGAGGAGGGAACATCTTATGTGGTAATTTAGTATCTTCTCATTTTTGTCTTGGATTTAAATGTTGAATAAGAACAGACCCTCATTTCCATGTATATTGTAGTTGGTATTGCCAGGCCAGCAATCATGCTGCAACAAGTTGTCGGGGGGCAGGGGGTGGGGGATGGGGAGATAAGTTGAAAAAAGTTTAAAGGTATTGCCAAGCTGCGGAAACAATGAGTTCTAGATGAATTAAAATTCCAGAAAGTGAAGTGCTTTTTCTAGGGGAGTTGACAATTGCTGACCATTATCTCATCTGGGGGCACTTGCTGATTTTCATTGTGAGCTGAGGATGGGGCTTGGTCTAGGCTGATAGACTTTACAAGAGGAACAGATCCAGAAGGGGTTTTGGAAGTTATATAGGGCTGACTTAGAAACTAGAAGAGCTTCAAGCACATGATTAGTTTTGTCCACCGGACATTTGCTAAGTTTGTGATCGTGTGGGAAGTTAGGGAACTGGGCCAGAAAGGCAGTCTCTCTGCTTTGGAAACAGTCCAAATAAGAGAATGGGCTTGCCACAGTCATGAGAAAGAAGGCTAAAGAGCTCAGCTCAAAACCCATGAAGGGGAGAACTAAATCTCAAGCAGTTTTTCTAGTCTGAGGAGATAGACCAAACAGGCTCTCCAGCAAAAGTGCAGGAGGGAAACACCTGAGGCACAGTGATGAACAAGAGCTGGGTTGTGTTCGTAACACCAAAGCCCTGATTGTTTAAGGTGATTAGTGCCTTACCTTACCTCTCTTATCTTTAGAGGAAAAGAAAATAAACTACAGTCTCTACAGTTTGTTTTGTTTTTTTGACTTAGGGTCTCACTGTCACCCAGGCTGGAGTGCAGTGGTGTGACCCTGGCTCAGAGGCCTCAACCTCCTGGGCTCAAGAAATCCTCCCACCTCAGCCTCTTGAGTAGCTGGGACTACAGGCATACACTACCATGCCTTGCTAATTTTGTATTTTTTGTGGAGATGGAGTCTTGCTATGTTGCCCAGGCTGGTCTCTAACTCCTGACCTCAAGTGATCCTCCTGTCTCAGCCTCCCAAAGTGCTGGGATTACAGCTGTGAGCCACAACACCCAATCATCTACAGTTTTTAAAATGCACAATGACCACAAAATTAAAGATTACTAGATGCGAGAAAAGGCAGAGAAATTCAGCTGTTAGGACAAAATGGGCCAGGCACAGTGGCTCACACCTATAATCCCAGCACTTTGGAAGGCTGAGGTGGGAGGACCAATTGAGCCCAGGAGTTTCAGACCAGCCTGACTGATAAGGTTTGGCTGTATCCCTACCCAAATCTCATCTTGAATTGTAGCTCCCATAATCCCCACATGTCGTGGGAGGGACCTGGTGGGGGGTAATTGAATCATGGGGGTGGTTATCCTCATGCTGTTATGATAGTGACTGAGTTCTCACAATATCTGATGGTTTTATAAGGGGCTGTTCACCCTTTGCTCAGCACTTCTTTGCTGCCACCATGTGAAGAAGGACATGTTTGCTTCTCCTTCTGCCATGATTGTAAGTTTCCTGAGGCTTTCCCAGCCATGTGGAACTGCAAGTTAATTCCTTTATAAATTACCTTTATAAATTACCTTTATAAATTACCCAGTCTCGGGTATTTCTTCATAACAGCGTGAAAATGGACTAACACAGTAAATTGGTACCAGGAGTGAGGTGCTGCTATAAGGACACCTGAAAAGGTGGAAGCAGCTTTGGAACTGGGTAACAGAGGTTGGAACAGTTTGGAGTGTTCAGAAGAAGACAGGAAAATGTGGGAAAGTTTGGAACTTCCTAGAGACTTGGAGGGCTCAGAAGACAGGAAGATGTGGGAAAGTTTGGAACTTCCTAGAGACTTGTTGAATGGCTTTGACCAAAATGCTGATAGTGATATGGACAATGAAGTCCAGGCTGAAGTGGTCTCAGATGGAGATGCAGAACTTGTTGGGAACTGGAGCAAAGGTGACTCTTGCTATGCTTTAGCAAAGAGACTAGGCCAGGCATGGTGGCTCATGCCTGTAATCCCAGCACTTTGGGAGGCTGAGGTGGGCAGATCACTTGAGGCCAGGAGTTCAAGACCAGCCTGGGCAACATAGTAAAACCCTGTCTCTACCAAAAAATACACAAAATCAGCTGGGCATGGTGGCGAATGCCTGTAATCCCAGGTACTTGGGAGGCTGAGGCAGGAGAATTGCTTGAACCTGGGAGGTGGAGGTTGCAGTGAACCAAGTTCAAACCACTGTAGTCCAGAGCCTAGCTGACAGAATGAGACCCTGTCAAAAAAAAAAAAAAAAAAAAAAAAGACTAGCAGCATTTTGCCCCTGCCCTAGAGATCTGTGTAACTTTGAACTTGAGAGAGATAACTTAGGGTATTTGGTGGAGGAAACTTCTTTTTTGTTTGTTTTTTTTTTTTTTTTTTTTTTTTTGCTCTCCTTTTTTTTTTAAAAAAAATCATACTTTAAGTTCTAGGTTATATGTGCAGAATGTGCAGATTTGCTACATAGGTATACATGTGCCATGTTAGTTTGCTGCACCCATCAACTCGTCATTTACATTAGGTATTTCTCCTAATGCTATCCCTCCCCCAGCCCCCCACCCCCCGACAAGCCCCAGTGTGTGATGTTCCCCGCCCCGTGTCCAAGTATTCTCATTGTTCCATTCCCACCTATGAGTGAGAACATGCGGTGTTTGGTTTCCTTTCCTTATGATAGTTTGCTGAGAATGATGGTCTCCAGCTTCATCCACGTCCCTGCAAAGGACATGAACTCATCCTTTTTTATGGCTGCATAGTATTCCATGGTGTATATGTGCCACATTTTCTCAATCTAGTCTATCATTGATGGACATTTGGGTTGGTTCCAAGTCTTTGCTATTGTGAATAGTGCCACAGTAAACATATGTGTGCATGTGTCTTTATAATAGGATGATTTATAATCCTTTGGGTATATACCCAGTAATGGGATGGCTGGGTCAAATGGTATTTCTAGTTCTAGATCCTTGAGGAATTGCCACACTGTCTTCCACAATGGCTGAACTAGTTTACAGTTCCACTAACAGTGTAAAAGCATTCCTATTTCTCCACATCCTCTCCAGCATCTGTTGTTTCCTGACTTTTTAATGATCACCATTCTAACTGGCATGAGATGGTATATCATTGTGGTTTGGATTTGCATTTCTCTGATAAGCAGTGATGATGAACATTTTTCCATATGTCTGTTGGCTGCATAAATGTCTTCTTTTGAGAAGTGTCTGTTCATATCCTTTGCCCACTTTTTGATGGGGTTGCTTGTCTTCTTCTTGTAAATTTGTTTAAGTTCTTTGTAGATTCTGGATATTAGCCTTTTTTGCCTGTTCACTCTGATGATAGTTTCTTTTGCTGTGCAGAAGCTCTTTAGTTTATGTAGATCTCATTAGTCTATTTTGGCTTTTGTTGCCATTGCTTTTGGTGTTTTAGTCATGAAGTCTTTGCCCATGTCTATGTCCTGAATGGTATTGCCTAGGTTTTCTTCTAGGGTTTTTACGGTTTTAGGTCTAACATTTAAGTCTTTAATCCATCTTAATTTTTGTATAAGTTGTAAGGAAGGGATCCAGTTTCAGCTTTCTACATATGACTAGTCAGTTTTCCCAGCACCATTTATTAAATAGGGAATCCTTTCCCCATTTCTTGTTTTTGTCAGGTTTGTCAAAGATCAGATGGTTGTAGATGTGTGGTTTTATTTCTGAGGCCTCTGTTCTGTTCCATTGGTCTATATATCTGTTTTGGTACCAGTACCATGCTGTTTTGGTTACTGTAGCCTTGTAATATAGTTTAAAGTCAGGTAGTGTGATGCCTCCAGCTTTGTTCTTTTTGCTTAGGATTGTCTTGGCTATGCAAGCTCTTTTTTGGTTCCATATGAACTTTAGTTTTTTCCAATTCTGTGAAGAAAGTCATTGGTAGCTTGATGGGGATGGCATTGAATCTGTAAATTGCCTTGGGTAGTATGGCCATTTTCACGATATTGATTCTTCCTATCCATGAGCATGGAATGTTCTTCCATTTGTTTGTGTCCTCTTATTTCATTGAGCAGTGATTTGTAGTTCTCCTTGAAGAGGTCCTTCACATCCCTTGTAAGTTGGATCCTAGGTATTTTATTCTCTTTGTAGTAATTGTGAATGGGAGTTCACTCATGATTTGGATCTCTGTTTGTCTGTTATTGGTGTATAGGAATGGTTGTGATTTTTGCACATTGATTTTGTATCCTGAGACTTTGCTGAAGTTGCTTATCAGCTTAAGGAGATTTTGGGCTGAGATGATGGGGTTTTCTAAATATACAATCGTGTCATCTGCAAACAGATACAATTTGACTTTGTCTTTTCCTAACTGAATACTGCCGAGACCAGCTCAGTCGGGGAGACCCTAACCCAGCAGCGCTAAAGAAATTAAAGACACACACACAGAAATATAGAGGTGTGAAGTGGGAAATCAGGGGTCTCACAGCCTTCAGAGCCGAGAGCCCCAAACAGAGATTTACCCACATATTTATTAACAGCAAGCCAGTCATTAGCATTGTTTCTACAGATATTCAATTAACTAAAAGCTTCCCTTATGGGAAACGAAGGGATGGGCCGAATTAAAGGAATAGGTTGGGCTAGTTAACTGCAGCAGGAGCATGTCCTAAGGCACAGATCACTCATGCTGTTGTTGGTGGCTTAAGAATGCCTTTAAGCGGTTTTCCGCCCTGGGCAGGCCAGGTGTCCCTTGCCCTCATTCCCGTAAACCCACAACCTTCCAGCTTGGGCGTTAGGGCCATTATGAACATGTTATGGTGCTGCAGAGATTTTTTTATGGCCAGTTTTGGGGCCAGTTTATGGCCAGATTTTGGGGGGCCTGCTCCCAACAGAATACCTTTTATTGCTTTCTCTTGACTGATTGCCCTGGCCAGAACTTCCAACACTATGTTGAATAGGAGTGGTGAGAGAGGGCATCCTTGTCTTGTGCCATTTTCGAAGGGAATGCTTCCAGTTTTTGCCCATTCAGTATGATATTGGCTGTGGGTTTGTCATAAATAGCTCTTATCATTTTGAGATACGTTCCATCGATACCTAGTTTATTGAGAGTTTTTAGCATGAAGAGCTGTTGAATTTTGTCGGAGGCCTTTTCTGCATCTATTGAGATAATCATGTGTTTTTTGTCATTGGTTCTGTTTATGTGATGGATTACGTTTATTGATTTGCATATGTTGAACCAACCTTGCATACCAGGAATGAAGCCAACTTGATCATGGTGGATAAGCTTTTTGATGTGCTGCTGGATCTGGCTTGCCAGTATTTTATTGAGGATTTTTGCATCGATGTTCATCAGGGATATTGGCCTAAAATTCTGTTTTTTTTATTGTGTCTCTTCCAGGCTTTGGTATCAGGATGATGCTGGCGTCATAAAATGAGTTAGGGAGGATTCCCTCTTTTTCTATTGATTGGAATAGTTTCAGAAGGAATGGTACCAGCTCCTCTTTGTACCTCTCGTAGAATTCGGCTGTGAATCCATCTGGTCCTGGACTTTTTTTGGTTGGTAGGCTATTAATTATTGCCTCAATTTCAGAACCTGTTATTGGTCTATTCAGAAATTCAACTTTTTCCTTGTTTAGTCTTGGGAGGGTGTATGTGTCCAGGAATTTATCCATTTCTTCTAGCTTTTCTAGTTTATTTGCGTAGAGGTGTTTATAGTATTCTCTGATGGTAGTTTGTATTTCTGTGGGATTGGTGGTGATATCCTCTTTATCATTTTTTTATTGTGTCTATTTGATTCTTCTCTCTTTTCTTCTTTATTAGTCTTGCTAGTGGTCTATCAATTTTGCTGATCTTTTAAAAAAACCAGCTCCTGAATTCACTGATTTTTTTGAAGGGCTTTTTGTGTGTGTGTCTCTATCTCCTTCAGTTCTGCTCTGATCTTAGTTATTTCTTGCCTTCTGCTAGCTTTTGAATGTGTTTGCTCTTGCTTCTCTAGTTGTTTTAATTGTGATGTTAGGGTGTCAATTTTAGATCTCTTCTGCTTTCTCTTGTGGGCATTTAGTCCTATAAATTTCCCTCTACACACTGCTTTACATGCGTCCCAGAGATTCTGTTATGTTGTGTCTTTGTTCTCATTGGTTTCAAAGAACATCTTTATTTCTGCCTTCATTTTGTTATTTACCCAGTAGTCATTCAGGAGCAGGTTGTTCAGTTTCCATGTAGTTGTGCAGTTTTGAGTGAGTTTCTTAATCCTGAGTTCTAATTTGATTGCACTGTGGTCAGAGAGACAGTTCATTGTGATTTCTGTTCTTTCACATTTGCTGAGGAGTGTTTTACTTCCAATTATGTGTTCAATTTTAGAATAAGTGGGATGTGGTGCTGAGAAGAATGTATATTCTGTTGATTGGGGTGGAGAGTTCTATAGATATCTATTAGGTTGGCTTGGTCCAGAGCTGAGTTCAAGTCCTGAATATCCTTGTCAAGCTTCTGTCTCGTTGATCTGTCTAATATTGACAGTGGGGTGTTAAAGTCTCCCATTATTATTCTGTGGGAGTCTAAGTCTCTTTGTAGGTCTCTAAGGACTTGCTTCATGAATCTGGGTCCTCCTGTATTGGGTGCATATATATTTAGGATAGTTAGCTCTTCTTGTTGAATTGATCCCTTTATCATTATGTAATGGCCTTGTTTGTCTCTTTTGATCTTTGTTATTTTACAGTCTGTTTTATCAGAGACTAGGATTGCAACCCCTGTTTTTTTTTTTTTTTGGCTGTCCATTTGCTTGGTAGATCTTCCTCCATCCCTTTATTTTGAGCCTATCTGTGTCTTTGCATGTGAGATGTGTCTCCTGAATACAGCACACTGATGGGTCTTCACTGTTTATCCAATTTGCCAGTCTGTGTCTTTTAATTGGGACATTTAGCCCATTTACATTTAAGGTTAATATTTTTATGTGTGAATTTGATCCTGTCATTATGATGCTAGCTGGTTATTTTGCTTGTTAATTGATGCAGTTTCTTCATAGGGTTGGTGGTCTTTACAATTTGGCATGTTTTTGCAGTGGCCGGTACCAGTTGTTCCTTTCCAAGTTTAGTGCTTCCTTCAGGAGCTCTGTAAGGCAGGCCTGGTAGTGACAAAATCTCTCAGCATTTGCTTGTCTGTAAAGGATTTTATTTCTCCTTCACTTATGAAGCTTAGTTTGGCTGGATATGAAATTCTGGGTTGAAAATTCTTTTCTTTAAGAATGTTGAGGCCAGATGCAGTGGCTCACGCCTGTAATCCCAGCACTTTGGGAGGTCGAGGCAGTAGATCATGAGGTCAGGAGATCAAGGCCATCCTGGCTAACATGGTGAAACCCCATCTCTACCAAAAATACAAAAAAATTAGCTGGGCATGGTGGCACGCACCTGTAGTCCCAGCTACTCGGGAGGCTGAGGCAGGAGAATGGCATGAACCCAGAAGGTAGAGCTTGCAGTGAGCCAAGATCGCACCACTGCACTCCAGCCTGGGCAACAGAGCAAGACTCCATCTCAAAAAAAAAAGAATGTTGAATATTTACCCCCACCCTCTTCTGGCTTATAGGGTTTCTGCAGAGAGCTCCCCTGTTAGTCTGATGGGCTTCCGTTTGTGGGTAACCCCACCTTTCTCTCTGGCTGCCCTTAACATTTTTTCTTTCATTTTAACCTTGGTGAATCTGACAATTATGTGTCTTGGGGTTGCTCTTCTCATGGAGTATCTTTGTGGTGTTCTCTGTATTTCCTGAATTTGAATGTTGGTCTGCCTTGCTAGGTTGGGGAAGTTCTCCTGGATAATATCCTGAAGAGTGTTTTCCTACTTGGTTCTGTTCTCCCCGTCACTTTCAGGTACACCAGTCAAACGTAGATTTGGTCTTTTCACATAGTCCCATATTTCTTGAAGGCTTTGTTCGTTTCTTTTCACTCGTTTTTCTCTAATCTTGTCTTCTTGCTTTATTTCATTAATTTGATCTTCAATTACTGATATCCTTTCTTCTGCTTGATTGAATCAGCTATTGAAGCTTGTGTAAGCTTCACGAAGTTCTCGTACTGTGGTTTTCAGCTCCATCAGGTCATTTAAGCTCTTCTCTACACTGGTTATTCTAGTTACCATTTCATCTAACCTTTTTTCAAGGTTTTTAGCTTCCTTGTGATGGGTTACAACATACTCCTTTAGCTCAGAGAAGTTTGTTATTACTGACCTTCTGAAGCCTACTTCTGTCAATTCATCAAACTCATTCTCTGTCCAGTTTTGTTCCCTTGCTGGCGAGGAGTTGTGTTCCTTTGGATGTTTAGAGGCATTCTGGTCTTTGGAATTTTCCGCCTTTCTGCTCTGGTTTCTCCCCATCTTTGTGGTTTTATCTACCTTTGGTCTTTGATGTTGGTGACCTACAGATGGGGTTTTGGTGTGGATGTCCTTTTTGTTGATGTTGATGCTATTCCTTTTGTTAGTTTTCCTTTTAACAGACAGGCCCCTCAGCTGCAGGTCTATTGGAGTTTGCTGGAGGTCTACTCCAGACCCTGTTTGCCTGGGTATCACCAGCAGAGGTTGCAGAACAGCAAATATCACTGCCTGATTCTTCCTCTGGAAGCTTCATCCCAGAGGGGCACCTGCCTGTATGAGGTGTCTGTCGGCCCCTACTGGGAGGTGTCTCCCAGTCAGGCTACACGAGGGTCAGGGACCCACTTGAAGAAGCAGTCTGTACATTATCGGAGCTTGAACGCTGTGCTGGGAGAACCACTGCTCTCTTCAGAGCTGTCAGGCAGGGACATTTAAGTATGGAGAAGCTGTCTGTTGCCTTTTGTTCAGATATGCCCTGCCCCCAGAGGTGGAATCTAGAAAGGCAGTAGGCCTTGCTGAGCTGTGGTAGGCTCCACCCAGTTCGAGCTTCCTGGCCTCTTTGTTTACATTGTGAGCACAAAACCGCCTATTCAAGCCTCAGCAATGGCCAACCCCCCTCCCCTCACCAAGCTCACGCATCCCAGGTCGATCTCAGATTGCTGCACTAGCAGCGAGCAAGGCTCCACGGGTGTGGGACCTGCCGAGCCAGGCATGGAAGGGGATCTCCTGGTCTGCTGGTTGCGAAGACTGGGAAAAGCACAGTACTTGGGCAGGAGTGTACCACTCCTCCAGGTACAGTCACTCCTGTCTTCCCTTGGCTAGGAAAGGGAAATCCCCTGACCCCTTGCGCTTCCTGGGTGAGGCGACACCCCGCCCTGCTTCAGCTCGCCCTCCATGGGCTGCACCCACTGTCCCAATGAGATGAACCAGGTACCTCAGTTGGAAATGCAGAAATCAGCCATCTTCTGCATCAATCTCACTGGGAGCTATAGACCAGAGCTGTTCCTATTTGGCCATCTCCTGGAAGATAAGCAGCCCAGACTTGAGTTTCTAGATGGATACAACCAGGTGCATGTTCGAGGCACAGAGCAGGGTATTTATAACCCATGGTAACATTAAATGCAGTGCCTTCTTCTCCTGGTTCAGCAGGGCAATGGTCATCTGTAACTGATAAGCCCAATAAGAATAATTACGTGTAGCAGGTAAATCAGTGTGAGAGGAAACTGGTGAGACAGAAAGTATAAGGAGGAGAATCATTAAATAAAACCTAGTGTAAGCGAGATTCAGTGCTGAAGGAGGAAGAGAAGAACAGAGGGATGTTATTTTAAGGCTAATAGAAATGGTGAGATTTTTAGGTTTGTAAGGAGAAAAAGAAAGGTAATCAGGAGAAGTGGGATTAGTTAGATGGGTCTCCATTGCCATCAGGAAGGATTGAATCAGACCCATTGTGATTTGGCATGCCAGCTTCTGAGGAGTTGGCACAGATCTCACCACGTCTGAGGACGGTCTCTGACACAGACATCTTTTCTCTGTGGTTTTCTTTTGATGATCTCCTGGTGAAACACAAGCATATCCTCTTTCCCACATTAAGCAGAATAAGAGACAATATTTAAAAGTTTGGGGAAATCCTGTAAGGCAGTAATTACAGCAATTAACTCTGCCTTTTGAGCAGAGGTATAAGAGGTAGAAATAAGCTTGTCTGTAGGTCTTAAATAATTAATGTTACCCAAAAGTTTTTGGAAGTCATTTAAAGTTTTGAAGGAATCTCTCCTAATTTGAACTTTTTGAGGTTGAATACGTTGTTTATCGACCACATTCCTAAATATTGAACAGCAGTGGTCTGTTGAATTTTATCCTGAGCAATGTGTAATCCAGCCTCTATAACACAGTGGCTCAAACTTTGATAACAGTCAATTATTTATTTATCAGTGGGGGCAGCAATTAAAATATCATCAATATAATGAAGAATATAGGCCTGGGGAAATTGGGCTCAAACTAGTGAAAGCACTTATCCAACATAAAGCTGGCAGATTGTAGGGCTATTTAGCATTCCCTAAGGAAGTATTTTCCATTGATAACGAGCTGCAGGCTCCTGATTATTGATAGATGGTACAGTAAAATCAAATTTTTTACAATCCGATTTATGTAAAGCAATATGAAAAAAACAATCTTTAAGATCAATAACTAGGAGAGGCCAATTTTTAGGTATTAAAGCAGAGGCAGGCATGCCAGGTTGGATGGCTCCTATAGGTTTAATTACAGCATTAATGGCCCTTACATTGGTTACCATCCGCCATTTGCCTGATTTCTTTTTTACTAGAAACACAGGAGAATTCCAGGGGGAAAGAGAAGGTTCCACATTTCCAAGTTGTAACTGTTCAGAAACCAATTGAGTTAAAGCTTCCAGTTTTCTTTAGAAAGCGGCCACTGCTGAATCCAAACGGGTGTGTCAGATTTCCACTGTAAAGGGATAGGATCAGGAGGCGTGGCAGCGGCCGCCACTAAAAAGGATAACCTAAACCATTACTGTCTTATTTTATAGTAATTGGGAGGGGTTTAGTAATCCCTTCATGCTTTAGACCCAGACCAAGCCCAGGAACAAACCCCATGTTTTCCATCATATGCTGACTGGGAGCACTATAAGAGTTATGTGGAATATTAATTTCAGCCTCAGTATCTACTAGGCCCTCAAAACTTTTTTCCTTGAATGTGTATGGTAAAGGTGGGCCATTGTTTAGAAATTACATTAATCTACTAAGTGGCCTTTTCACCACCAGAGCCCATCCCAGGGCCACGTGTGTTATCTCCTTTGTTTAAAACGATATTAGGTAGTAAAAGCAATTGAGCTTGTTTAAAGGTAGTAAAAGAAACAGGAGCTTGGCCTGGGGCGCGTAATTTATCCCAAGCTCTCATACACACCTTTGTTACTTGTTTTGTGGTAAGAGCATCAAAGCCTAATTGGGCATAAGTATCAGAGAAACTATCGGAGCCTGTGAGCTGAGCCTGAGTAGTTAGAATGCCATTAGTCCGATTTAGCTGAGCCTGCAGACGGGCCTCCTCTGCCCACCAGGCTGAGAGGGGGTTAGAACAGCTTTTGCCAAAAGGTCCGAGTGTAAAGGAAGCAAAGTGACCTCTGTATAAAAAGTTTACAATACCATTTTAACGTAAGGAGAAGTAGGACTCTACTGAGTACAAGCATCTTTAATTGTTTTAAAAAAGTAAGATTAAGTGGCGCATATTGACACAGACCAGTTGAGGAACTGAAACGACAGGAGGGTGAGGGGCTGTAGTGGATCGGGGAGGGCCTGGAGAATTATAGGTAAGTTGTAGTTTGGTCTTGGAGCCATTAGCTGACACTGGAGGTTTGAAGAGAGAAGAATTAGCATATGTATGGTCCCAGGCTGTGTGAGTCGCGGCCGCGGGAGCTTCAAGTACCGGCTCTTCATGAAAAGAAGATCATTGGGGGTAACGTTAAGCCAAAGTTACCAGAGTTAGACATTGAATTTTTAGTATTGTTAGGTGGGGGAGGAGTAGGCGAAGGGAGAGGCTGAGCAGATAACAAAGGCTGTATGGGAGAGGAAGGCTGAGGAAAAGGCAGAGAAACTGAGGAAAAGGCAGAAAACTGTGACAACTGCAGGGGGTCACGGGATCGGCACACCACCAAGACGGCACGCACCAAGGCCCAACCACCCCAAACAGTGACGATAACATAATTCCTTGCCGGGACCAGCTCCCAGAATGTTGAACCAACATGATCCCATACTTTTACATATACGGTTCCTTTTTCAGGAAACCAAGGACAGTATTTTTCCACTGCCCTGAATAGAGTGACCATATTTTCCATGGTTACTCGGACCCTTCCCTGTTTCAACAGGTCTACATCTAAGGTTCCTTTTTCAGGAGACCAAGGACAGAATTTTACCACTGCCCTGAATAGAGTGACCATATTTCCCATGGGCACTTGAACCTTTTTCTGTTTTAACCGGAGTTTAATATAGAAGAGATAAGTATAATTTTTATACTCCGTGTGACCCATAGTTAACCGGGACCATACACAGACTACTCACCAGTCGTCAGGGAGTCGAACACGTGCATCTGTGGACCCAAACCAATGACATTTCTCCGCACCTACCAAAGGGAATCGGGTTCCCACATGCACTTAGGGAAAAAGAAAGACCATGTGGGCGCCAGATATTGGGCGAAATTCACCCCCGATATTTCACGTAGGTTCTTTTCTATTTTCCCTAAGTGTCGGCCGGTCTGAGAAATAAAGGGACAGAGTACAAAAGAGAGAAATTTTAAAGCTGGGTGTCCGGGGGAGACATCACATGTTGGCAGGTTCCATGATGCCCCCAAGCCATGAAACCAGCAAGTTTTTATTAGTGATTTTCAAAAGGGGAGGGAGTGTACGAATAGGGTGTGGGTCACAGAGATCACATGCTTCACAAGGTAATAAGATATCACAAGGCAAACGGAGGCAGGGCAAGATCACGGGACCACAGGACCGGGGCAAAATTAAAATTGCTAATGAAGTTTTGGGCACACATTGTCATTGATAACATCTTATCAGGAGACAGGGTTTGAGAGCAGACAACCGGTCTGACCAAAATTTATTAGGTGGGAATTTCCTCGTCCTAATAAGCCTGGGAGCGCTACGGGAAACCGGGGCTTATTTCATCCCTCAGCTACAAGCGTAAAAGACAGCCATCCCCAAAGTGGCCATTTCAGAGGCCTCCCCTCAGGGATGCATTCTCTTTCTCAGGGATGTTCCTTGCTGAGAAAAAGAATTCAGTGATAGACCCTCTTCATTGTATCATTCCCTCCACAGTTTGAGTGTCTGGAGAACCTGTGAATACAATAAAATATCACTTCTGTGATTATGTTACTTTAAATGGCCAAAGGCAGATTGTCTGAGTGGGCCTAATGTTTTCACATGAGCTCTTTAAAAGCAGAGAACTTTCTCCTGTTGGGTGGCAAAAGAGGGAGTCACAGATTTGAAGTACAGGAGGGATTAGAACACAAGGGAGATTCTGTTACTGATATGGAGAAGGCTCATAGTAAGGAACTTTGAACAACCTCCAGGATCTGAAAGTAGCCCTTGGCTGACAGCCAGCTAGAATGAGGCCCTCAATTCTACAATCAAAAGAAATAGAATTCAGCCAAGAACCTTAATGAGCATATAAGCAGATTCAACCTCCAGATAAGATCCTAGCCTGGCTTACATCATGATTTCCACCTTGTGAGACAGAACTCGGCTAAGCCCATCTGTAATTCTGACCTACAAAACTATGAATTAATAAATGGGTGTTGTTGGCTGGATGCAGTGGCTCACACCTGTAATCCCAGCACTTTGGGAGGTTGAGGCGGGCGGATCATTTGAGGTCAGTTCAAGACCAGCCTGACTAACATGGTGAAACCCCATCTCTACTAAAAATACAAAAAAATTAGCTAGGCATGGTGGCGTGTGCCTATAGTCCCAGCTACTTGGGAGGCTGAGGCAGGAGAATTGCTTGAACCTGAGAGGCAGAGGTTGCAGTGAGCCAAGATTGTGCCATTGCACTCCAGCCTGGGCAAGAGAGTGAGACTTTGTCTCTAAATAAATAAATAGGTGTTGTTTTAAACCACTAAGTTTTTGGAGGTTTGTTTTGGCAGCAATAGAAAACTAATGCAGAAAACTTAGATGATTTTAATACTGGAATTAGCCAAAAGCACTTTAAATTACCATTAATATAACAGATGTAAAGGAAATGGATTAAAATATGAAGGATTTCAAAATATTTGTAATATCTAAAAATGAATGAAATATTTATGCTACAAACTGAAACAAAATACAGTACCCAGGAACTTACTGTATGGGTTTTAACAGCAGATTGGACACAACAGAAGACAGGATTCATGAACGTGAAGACAAGTCAATAGATTTGTCTCATGGGGAGGGAAAAAATGCAAATAACACAGACAGTGTTAGGCATTTGGGACACAGCCAAAAGGTAAAGCACATATAACTGGGGTCCCAGAGAAGAGAGAAACATTGGAACAGGAATAATATTTGAGACAATGGTTAAAATTGATAAAAATCCAGTGAAAGAGATCAAACTATGGGGTCAAGAAGCTTTGAGAATCCCAATTCAAATAATATACCAAAATTCATTTCCAGCCATGATGGAGTAATCAGGTCCAAACTTACCCACCTGCTATAAACAACTAGAAATAATATATATACACTATATGAGGTAACAGTTTTTGTATATTGAACAAAGGCAGCACAGGATTATAAAGCTGAGAAAAGGAAAACAAATGAGGTGAGCTCTATGATTGCCCTGGCTTCCTGCCTGGAGGTACTTTGCAAAATGTGATACAGGGACGGGGGTTTGAAGAAGAACATGATGGTTCACAGAGTTAAGAGGTCAGTACTCAGGAAGTCCAAAGCTACTGGAAGTTTCAGCAGAAAAGGGAGTTGTTGACAAGAGAGAATAAGAGAAATCTGCATGAGGTCCCCTTGGGTTTGTAACTGAATATTAAGCTGTGTATAGTGGAACTCCACAAGGCAAGGGAAAGAGCAGTTGGGGAGCTGTAAGCTGAAGAGTTTCCAGAGGTCACACAGGGATGGAATGTGTGAGTTCTAGCAAGTCAGAGTGGAGAGTTCTTGTCAATCACCCCCAGGCAATCAGTGGAGACCCCACGGGAGTCATGTCTTAGTAGTGGGGATAAAATAGCCCTCGAAGGGAATGGGAGAAAATTTTTGCAATCTACCCATTTGACAAAGGTCTAATATCCAGAATTTACTAGGAACTTAAACAAATTTACAAGAAAAAAAAAACCATCAAAAAGTGGGCAAAGGATATGAACAGACAGTTCTCAAAAGAAGACATTTACGTGGCCAACAAACATAGGAAAAAAAGCCCAACATCACTGACCATTAGAGAAATGCAAATCAAAACCACAATGAGATACCATCTCAGGCCAGCCAGAATGGTTATTATTAAAAAGTCAAGAACAATAGATGCTGGTAAGGCTGTGGAGAAATAGGAATGCTTTTACACTGTTGGTGGGAACGTGAATTAGTTCAACCACTGTGGAAGACAGTGTGGCGATTCCTCAAGGATCTAGAACCAGAAATACCATTTGACCCAGCGATCCCATTACAGGGTATATACCCACAAGAATATAAAGCATTCTACTATAAAGACACATGTACACATATGTTTACTGCAGCACTAGTTACAATAGGAAAGTCATGGAACCAACTCAAATGCCCATCAATGATAGACCAGATAAAGAAAACATGGTACATATACACCATGGAATACTATGCAGCCATAAAAAGGAATGAGATCATGTCCTTTGCAGGGACATGGATGAAGCTGGAAGCCATCATCTTCAGCAAACTAACACAGGAACAGAAAACCAAACACTGCATGTTCTCACTCATAAGTGGGAGCTGAACAATGAGAACACAGGGACACAGGGAGGGGAACAACACACACCAGGGCCTGGTGGGAGGGAACTTAGAGGACGGGTGCAGCAAACCACCATGGCACACGCATACCCATGTAACAAACCTGCATGTTCTGCACATGTATCCTGGAACTTAAAGTAATAAATAAATAAATTAATTAATTAATAAAAATATCCCCAGAGGGAAGGATACCATTAAACTTACCCTAACAAAGGTACAAATTAGTCTTGAAAGAATGAAGCATCTTAACCACTTGCTAGAATGAAGTCCAACATTCTTTAAAGGAATACAACAAAATCTAGCATTCAACAATGTAAATTTATTATGTAAATTTATTTAATATCCAATCAGATATTAAGATGTGAAGATATAGGAAATGTGATGCCTAGCTAAGAAAAAAATCAGATAATGAAAATAGACCAAGAAATTACAAATATGGTGGACTTTTAAAAATCTATTAAAATATTAGAACTATTCTTGAAGATTGAAAGGAAAGGTGAGGAATGGAAGATAACTTCATGTCAGAAATGATGCAACCCAAAACACAGAGGAATGAAAGCTTTAAAAGGCAGAAAGAAAAAACAAAATTGTTGATATTGAATTCAAAACCCAGAAAAAATATTCAAAAATGAAGGCAGGCCAGACACAGTGGCTCACACCTGTAATCACAGCACTTTGGGAGGATTTAAAGAAGGATTGCTTGAGTGAAGGAATTCAAGACTAGCCTGGGCAACACAGTGAGACCCCATATCTACAAAAAATTTAAAAAGTAGCTGGGTGTGGTGGTGCATCCCTGTAGTCCCAGCTATTCAGGAGGCTGAGGTGGGAGGATTGCTTGAGCCCAGGAGTTCAAAACCAGCCTGGGCAACATAGGGAGACTGTTTCTACAAAAAATTAAAATATTAGCCAGGCGTAGTGGTGCATGCTTGTAGTCCCAGCTACTTGGGAGGCTGATGTGGGAGGATTGCTTGAGCCCAGGAGGTCAAGGTTGCAGTAAGCCATGGTTGCACCACTGCACTCCAGCCTGGGCAGCAAAGTGAGATGCTGTCTTAAGAAAAAGAAATAAACCATGATCATCTCAATGGTTGCAGGAAAATCACTTGGAAAGTTAATATATATTCATGAAAGAAAATAAACACCTCTCAGTAAACTAGGAATAGAAGGGAAATTCCTCAGTCTGTTAAACAGCAGCTACAAAAAGCCACAGCCAACATCATATTAAATAGTGAAACCCTGAACGCTTACTCTCAAGCTCATTAATTCTATTATTTAAAAAAAATTTTTTTAGAAACAGGGGGTCCTGCTTTGTTGACCAGGCTTGAGTATAGTGGCATGATCACTGTAGCCTCCAATTCCTGGGCCTAAGCGATCCTCCCACCTCAGCCTCCCAAGTAGCTGGGTCTCTCTCTGTGGTGTGTGTGTGTGTGTGTGTGTGTGTGTGTGTGTGTGTGTAGAGACGGGTTCTCACTTTGTTGCCCAGGCTAAGCTGGGAATGTGTGTGTGTGTGTGTGTCTGTGTGTGTCTGTGTGTGTGTGTGTGTCTGTGTGTGTCTGTGTGTAGAGATGGGTTCTCACTTTGTTGCCCAGGCTGAGTCTCAAACTCCTTGCCTCAAGTGATCCTCCTGCCTTGGCCTCCCAAAGTGCTGGGTTTACAGGCATGAGCTACCATGCCCAGCCTCAAGCTCATTAATTCTTTTCTCAGTTGTATCAATTCTGCTGATAAGCCTGGCATTCCTAAGAGTTAAATTGATGGGTACCCAAAAGGTCAGCTATTTAATATTACAATCAGAAAAAGGAAAGATTCAAAGAGCAGGTGTCTGAGGACAACTACCTCAGTAAAATATGAGTGTTCCTTGCTCAGTTCCCAGACCTGAGCCAATCTTCAGATCTAGAACCATTTGTCTACAGAGTTGTCCATGTGCCTCAGAGGAAGAACCTTAGTTTTATGGCAGGCATAGATTATAATGCTTACCCTAGTCTCTCCCCAAAGTAACCTATGGCCATTTATTTGGGTGACTATACACTTGGGAAAGGAAATACCAAGAAATTTTTAGGACTATCAGAAACAGCTTTCAAAGTTGACATCAATACACAGACACTGAAACCATCATCATGGCCCTCCTATCATGTGGGGACTTAATGGGTCCAGGCAATAATGGTGTCCTGGCCAAGATGGTAAATTTAAAACAATATTGCACTCTAGGGGATGATAGTGTCACCATTAAAGACCTAAATGATGGAGTGGTGGTTACTATTATATTTCTGTTTAATTAATCATTCTGGCCTTTTCAAAAACCAGATAGATCCTACAGAATGACTGTAGACTATCGCAAGCTCAACGAGACCAAGTTTAATTTTGCAAAAGAGAAGTACAGCCCATGTTAAGCCTCCTTGGGATCTAAAGGTAACATATCACACGTCTAGAAGTGCTTCTCTGGCCCATATACCAAGTGATACAGAAGGCTGCCAGCTTTGAGTGGGGCCTAGAGCAGGAAAGGCTCTACAGTACACAGTCTTGGTACACACAGCCTTGTTGCTTAGATCATATGATCTGGCAGACTTTGGGGTGGAGGTGTCAGGGGTGGAAAAAATGAAGTGGGAGAGCATCCCTGGGATTTTGGAGCAAGGCCATTAAATCTGCAACAGAGAATTATACTACTTTTGAGAAACCACTCCTTGTGTTAGGCGCCATAAACCTCATTTTGTCATGCTGCTCCAGTCCATTTACTGACTAACCCACAAAATTGCCAATTTTCACTGTGGCCCAGAGCAAGAATAACTTTTAAACAGACCTGATCTGTCATGCACACTGTCTCTTGGGCCATATGACCTAGCATATCATATGGAGCTGACATGTCTGTGCCAGATGGAAATGTTGTATGACACCCTTGGAAAGTCCCTGTGTGTCACAGTACAATCCATTAGGATTTGGAAGCTGTATTAATCCATTTTCATGCTGCTGATAAAGACAGACCCGAGACTGAGCAATTTACAAAACAAAGAGGTTTAATGGACTTACAGTTCCATGTGGCTGGGGAGGCCTCACAATCATAGTGGAAGGCAAGGAGGACCAAGTCACATCTTACATGGATGGCAGCAGGCAAAGAGAGAGAGCTTGTGCAGGGAAACTCCCATTTTTAAAACCATCAGATCTTGTGAGACTTATTCACTATCACGAGAATAGCACGAGAAAGACTGGCCCCATGATATAATTACCTCCCACTGGGTCCCTCCCACAACACATGGGAATTGTGGGAGATACAATTTGAGGTGAGATTTGGGTGGGGACACAGCCAAAGCATATCAGAAGCAAAGCAATATCATCCTCTGCAGATAACTTTTCTATAGAGAAGTTTCTAGCTTGCTATGGAGCCAGTACCTTTTCTCTAATCCAGTCCCACCCCTCAAAGTTAATAACTATCCAGAATTGTAATGCCAAAGAAAAGGGAAGTTCCATAAATTAGATGGTATATTTGAGACCCTAGACAAACAAGAAAATAAACTCCAGGAAAATTTTTAAATAAGCATAAATGATTATTGAAAATAATTCACATTTTCTTATGAATGTTATATATTTCCTTGACCATATTATTCAATTATTTTAGAATCCATGATTCATAGCTTTTATATCTGAAAGGCCTGTGGGCCTGCTTCTATTGTCCACTTTTTTCTTCTGACTCTGGGTATACCTGGCAATTTTTGATTGAATGCCATTGTGCATAAGAAATTGTAGAAGCTCTAGATGAGCTTTTGTTTCTTTTGTTTGTTTAGAGACAGTGTCTTGCTCTGTTGGCCAGGCTGGAGTACAGTGGCACAATCATAGTTCACTGCAGCCTTGAACTCCTGGGCTCAAACAATCCTCCCACCTCAGCCTCCTGAGTAAATGGGACTACAGGTGTGAGCCACCACACCTGGCTACTTTTTTATTTATTGTAGAGACAACGTTTCACTATATTGTGAGGCTGGTTTCGAATTCCTGGCCTCAAGTAATTCTCCCACCTTGGCCTCCCAAAGTGCTGGGATTACAGGCATAAGCCACCACACACAGCCAAGCTTTAGTTTCTGAAGGTAATTATAGCAGGAGCAAATTACCTGAATTCAGTTAGTGAGCTCATTCAAGGTGTGGTATCAATCTTAAGATCTGGTCTATGTTTACTCCTTCCTAATTCCTAGGTACAGTCCTTCAGAGATTCCAGCTGAAAGCCTGTGGTATTTAACAAGGCCCATCATCACTGGTGGAATCTGAACTTCAAGTCTGATTTCCTTGGCACATAATTTTCTACTAAAAGCTCTGCACCTGGCTGCTGTGAATTTCCAAATCTATCCCAAGTCCCTGTGTGTCACAGTACAATCCATTAGGATTTGGAAGCTGTATTAATCCATTTTCATGCTGCTGATAAAGACAGACCCGAGACTGAGCAATTTACAAAACAAAGAGGTTTAATGGACTTACAGTTCCATGTGGCTGGGGAGGCCTCACAATCATAGTGGAAGGCAAGGAGGACCAAGTCACATCTTACATGATCTTGCTGTCTCAGTGGTGGCACATATGGAAGAAAATCCACATATAAGTGGACATACACAGTTCAAACCCATGTTGTTCAAGGGTCAACTATGTACACACTCAAACCTGTAAACTCAATCATATGGAAAACAAATAGGCAATATGTATACATATGTGAAAATGGGGTCATTTTAAGAAGAGAATGATGTTACATATTAAAGACAAAGCTGAGTGGCAAAATGGATGGGAAAAGAAAATAAGCATGCGTAATATACACTTTAAACGATATACTTTATTGGTGATTTCTGGAGACTACAATCAAAAAAATTTTTACACATCAATAATCCCCACATTCAAATGCCAATTTACTTAATAATTTGGTGTATTTCTTTCCTAGCTTTTTCCCTCCACACTACACAGATATACCTAACTTTTTGTTCCATGTGTTTATCTATACACACACACTCACCTATGAAATAGGTGAATACAAATTTATACTTAAATAAATACAAATTTATACTTATATGTGCATATAACTTTACTCATCACAAAATTTTTATATGTCAACCACCCAGAATCACTGATATAATGGTTCATATACTTCCTGTTTGTACAATATTAATCATATGGTTATTGTTTTATAATATTTTTTACCTAATGATTTACCACGAACATTTTCCCAAATTTGCCAGTAGTCTTAATTGGTGCATGTTATTTCACCTGACATACCAATTTTTAATCATCTATCATTGGATATTAAATTGTCTTATTTTTTCACTACTTTAAATAATACTGCTGTTATGGAAGATACTCTGAAAATTTTAAATCTTATATTGCTTCACCATAAAATTATTACTCTTTATTAAAACATGGAGAATTTTAAGTTCTAAGCACTGTTCCTAAGGAAAGTATGTAAAAGCTTACTATGTGCCCTTTCTGTAATGGCTTTGCATTTTTGCACTGAAGATATTGATGAATAATATACGTAAGGTCTCCTGTTTGAGATCTTTGTTTCAGGGATCCTGATGACTCATCCTCTCTTACCCTATTTCAGGAAGCATTTTTTCTATTTGTTTAGGAAAATAATCTGGGAGTTTGCCCCACATGGGATATTTTATGCTTTATACTGTTCTTTTAAAAATGTCATACTCACTGAGCGTGGTGGCTCTCGCCTATAATCCCAGCACTTTGGGAGGCTGAGGCGGGCGGATTACCTGAGGTCAGGAGTTCGAGACCAGCCTGCCCAACATGGCAAAACTGCGTCTCTACTAAAAAAAAAAAAAAAAAAAAAGAATTAGCCGGGTGTGGTGGTGGGTGCCTGTAATCCCAGCTACTTGGGAGGCTGAGGCAGGAGAATCACTTGAACCTGGAAGGCAGAGGCTGCAGTGAGCCAAGATCGTGCCACTGCACTCCAGCCTGGGCGAGAAGAGCGAAACTCCATCTCTAAATAAATAAATAATCATACTCTACTCCACAGTGAACATATCTTAAATTTATAATTGTTTGCCACCTCTACACCTCTTCCACAAAATGTTTGGTAAAGAACATGGTAAGTGTGGTGGCTCATATCTATAATACAAGTGCTTTGGGAGGCAAAGGTGGGAGGATCAATTAACGCTACGAGTTCAAGACCAGCCTGGGCAACATAGCAAGACCCTGTCTCTATTAATAAAAGAATATAGAGCATGATTCCTCTCATTTATACCATGGGTTTGTTTATTTATTTATTTGACAAGGTCTGGCTATAATGCCCAGGCTGGAGTGCAGTGGCACGATCTCAGTTCACTGCAACCTCTGCCTCCTGGGCTCAAGCCACCCTCCTACTTCAACCTCCTGAGTAGCTGGGACTAAAGGTATGCACCACTACACTCAGATAACTTTTGTATTTTTTGTAGAGACAGAGTTTTGCCATGTTGCCCAGGCTGGTCTCAAACTTGTGAGCTCAAGCAATCTGCCCACCTCAGCCTCCCAAAAGTGCTAGGATTACAGGTGTGAGCTACGTACCACGCCTGGCTACCATGGTTTTATAAGCTCACTAAATTCTTAGTTTTCCTCGGCATACATACTCTGATAAACAGTGCCATTTAAATTATTTCTGAAGGCTTTCCCACATAACTACATTCAGTTTTGCCCCTTTTGAATTATTTGACATACAGTTCTTCACTCCTGGGTGAAGAATTCTGGGTGAAAAAACTGATCACATTTATTGACACCTCTGGAATTATACTTTTGTACTTTGTATTAAGTTAAATGAACATTAACATATGAAGAATTTCCAATATTCTGGACATTTATAAGATTACTCGCCATGATTATTTGACAAATAATGAGACTAGTAATAGTCAAATGACAAATAACTACTAGTATAATTATCCCACTCTCAAGTATAATCATAGGTTTTTATCTCCTGTGTGACTTCTCTGATGTTTAATGAGAGTTGACTTCCCACTGAATGCTTTCCCACAGTCTCTGCATTCATAAGGTTTCTCTCCTGTATGAGTTCTGTGATGCACAATGAGAGTTGATTTCACACTGAAGGCCTTCCCACATTCACTACATTTGTAAGGTTTTTCTCCTGTATGAATTCTCTGATGTTTGATGAGAGTTGACTTCCTACTGAAGGCTTTTTTACAGTCAGTGCATTCATAGGGTCTCTCTCCTGTATGAATTCTCTGATGTTTAATCAGTGGTGACTTCTCACTAAAGGCTTTCCCACATTCGTTGCATTTATAGGGTTTCTCTCCTGTATGCATTCTCTGATGTACAATAAGGGTTGACTTCTCCCCAAAGGCTTTCCCACATCTTCTGCATTCATAAGGTTTCTCTCCTGTATGAGTTCTATGATGGACAGAGAGGTGTGACTTTCCACTGAAAGTCTTCCCACATATACTACATTCATAGGGTTTCTCTCCTGTATGAATTCTCTGATGAACAGAGAGGTGTGACTTTCCTCTGAAGCTTTTCCCACATTTACTACACTCATAAATGTTCTCTTTTGTATGAGTTCTCCAATGTTTAGTGGGACTGGGCTTCTCATCAGAGGCTTTCCCATGTTCACTGCACTGAGGTTTCTCACTTGTGTGAATTCTTTGATATATAAGGCTGGACGTAGTACATTTAATACCTTTATAAAATGCTTGTCTAATGTGTGTTTTTTCATGTCTAATAAGATGATATGAACTCTTAAAGGCTTTTGGACATTTGTCACATACAAATGGTTTCTCTCCTGTATGAGTTCGTTGATGTTTAATCAGAGTTGACTTCTGGATAAAGGTTTTTCCACATTCACTGCATTCATAGGGCTTCTCCCCTGTGTGAGTTCTCTGGTGTGCTATGAGGGTTGACTTCTGGCTGAAGGCTTTTGCACATTCGCAGCATTCATAAGGTTTCTCTCCGGTGTGAGTTCTTTGATGTACAACTAAGTTTGCTTTCTGGATAAACACTTTTCCACATTCAGTACATTTGTAGAGTTTCTCCCCAGTTTGACTTCTCTGACTTTTTCTAAGGGCTTGCTTTTGGTGGAGGGCTTTCCCTCGTTGATTAGGGTCAAAAAATCTCTCTGCAGGTTGAGCTTTATGAAGATTATAATGGAGGCATACTTTCCAATATGCCTTACATCCATCATCTTTCTTTCTTACATAGCTTCTATTTTGACCAAGAAAGTTTAAATGATGTTTTGAACACCTTTCCCATGAATAATATTTAGGGAGTCTTTGTTTTACAGAAACAAAGTCTGTGTTGAGATAAATGATTTTTCTACATATTTTACATTCTTGACCACTTTCATCCTTCAGTGTTTCCTTGCCTATGAATGCAGCTTGCCACAGAAATTTGTCTTGGCTTTCCTTGTAGTGATCTATCTGCTCGTCAACTTCCCAGACTTCTAGAAGAAAATGCAATGAATCATCAAACTTGTCTTCCCACTATAATTTATGAAATAACTAATCCCTAAATGCCCAAGCAGTGAACTCCTATCAACATGACTTGAGCTGATGTGGATGGAGGACCCTTCCCATGTCCCAGGCTCAAAATCAAGAAAAGAAATGTATTAGGTATCAAAATGAAGTGGGAATTTAAAGTGAGAGAGTAAACAGAACAGCTTGAGGATTTGAAGGGGACCATAAGGCACAAATGTTCAGGAATTCAGCAAAGTCAGAGTGTAATTTTGGCTTAAAGCTTATATATATATATACATATAATTGTATATATATGTGTGTGTGTGTGTGTGTGTGTGTATACATATATGAAAGGTTGCCACTGCTATGAACCTACCAATAACAAGACCAACTTTAAAAATTTTTCAGTTTATAGGCTCTGTACTATGCTTGTAATCATTTGGATTGAGTTACAGAATTAGGCTTTTGATGTCTTATATATAACATCCTTCTTGCCAATTTCTCTGGCTAGTGGGGAATCCTTCTAGTTCCTGTTTAACAAGCATGGGAGCCCTTGCAGTTATATATATATATATATACACATACACACACTCATGTCTTTATAGCTGAAGACATCACAGAACTTCTAGGGAAAACCAACTCTCATTGAGGAGTTCACAGTAGAAAATTTAAAACCTGGCTGGGCGCGGTGGCTCACGCCTGTAATCCCAGCACTTTGGGAGGCCGAGGTGGGTGGATCACGAGGTCAGGAGTTCAAGACCAGACTGGCCAACATGGTGAAACCCTGTCTCTACTAAAAATACAAAAATTAGCTGGGCGTGGTGGCAGGTGCCTGTAATCCCAGCTATTCAGGAGGCTGAGGCAGGAGAATTGCTTGAAGCTGGGAGGCGGAGGTTGCAGTGAGCTGAGATCCCACCACTGCACCCCAGCCTAGGTGACAGAGCAAGACTCCGTCTCAAAAAAAAAAAAAGAAAAGAAAATTTAAAACCTTAGAAGGAGCTGATCCATCATTAGAAAGAATTGACCGATACATTTAAATATACTCACATTCCTAGAACTGTAGATAATAGAACAATCTGTACTTTAAAATAAGTATATTTCAAATGTACAAAGATAAGGTAAGAACTAGACTATGAAGGAAATAGCAGGAAATTTTGAAAAAAGACAGATGAGTATTTTTAAGGTAGGCATTATTTAAAAAAAAAACTCTAAATAGGTTGAACAGTAGACTAGCCACAGATAAGACAGATTTAATAAATTAGATGACAGATCTTGGGAAATCACTTAGTCTCTAATAGGCTTCCCTTGGCATAAACATCACACATGTTGGTGCATCTTTGATACTGGAGTTAGAGTGTGCTCTGTGTTCATGATAGGCAGACAGCATAAGGAAGTTAGAGTGTGCTCTGTATTCATGACAGGCAGACAGCATAAGGAAGCCTGCACATGGATGCCTCCAGATTCTGCCTGTGCCTTTTTCCCTTATAATCCAGTTGTTTATCATTACTACATCACTGTAATAAATCTTACCCATGATTACAACTATATGCTGAGTTCCATGAATTTCTCTAGAGAATATCTGAGTATGGGAGTCGTCTTGGGGACCCCTGATCTAGGCAGTATTTGAAGATACAATGACTGATTCTTTTCTAAAATGGAAGAAAGGCATGTATCCTACCACTGAATGTCCAAAGTCCTTGAGTGTGGAAAATAAACAAGTCTGCACTTAGACAAAGTTCAGTGTAGCCACAAGGCTTTCAAGTCAGAAAGAAAATATTGTAAGCTACCATGAATAAGTAAAAATATCCCCTATAAAGAAATAATTATATCAACATCAGACTTCTTCAAAAAAGAAGGCAGAAGATTAAAGAATAATATCTTCTCTGTCCCGAGACAAGCTTTCATCTTAGAACTCTATACCCAGATAAATTATCATAAAGAAAGATGACAAAGACATTTTTGGACAAGAAAAGACAAAGAATTTGCCATACACAAAACCTGGCTAAGAATAATGCTTGATACTTCAGTAATTCAGAAAGATAATGACTAAAGAGGAAAAAGCGGGTAAGGAAAATCCAGCAAAGGCAAGAAAAAAGAAGTAATGAAAAGCAGGCTATGTAGAAAATATACTAAAAGAAGAAATACAAATATAGTAATTTCACAATAACTATATATTAACCCTATTAGTTAAATGCCAACCATATCAAATTGCATTTTAAAAAAATCAGCTCCATGTTTTCAGAAGACAATTAGGGCAAAATGACAGAGATGTGTTGAAAATAAAATTACGGGAAAAGCTACATCTGGCACTTAGTAACCAAAATAAAATTGGCAAGATAATGCTTATATGCCAAAAGCAAAGAAGGATAAAAGACGAGAATATTATAAAGCAATTTTCACTTACAAAGATGTGAAACTCTTAAATATACATGGCAAATTGATTCCACTTATGACGGATAAGAGGTAATACATTTAGTATTATTGAAAATATACAGCCTGGGCAACATGGCAAAACCCGTCTCCACAAAAAAATACAAAAAATTAGCTGGGCATGGTGGCGCACACCTATAGTCCCAGCTACTTAGGAGGCTGAGGCAAGAGGACTGCTTGAGCCCAGGAGGTCAAGGTTGCAGTGAGCCATGTACACAACACTACACTCTAGCCTGGGTGACAAAGTAAGACCCTGTCTCAAAAAAAAAATACACACATGTGCACACATGCACACATATACACACATACACACACATGCCTTACTACCTATTCCACTTGTAGTTCATACCATAGGGAAATTATGGCAAATTTTAACATGTACAAGAATGACAACAAAATTTTAGAAACCACCAAATATCCACCAATAAAGGTATGGAAAGTGAACTATGACACTCATATTTCCGCTAGCACAGCAGTTAAAATAAATGATCTAAATCTAAAGTATCAGCATAAAGCTCAAAAGGTAATACTGAACACAGAAAGCAAGTTGCAGAAAGATCCCTATAATTTTTTTTTTTTTTGAGATGGAGTCTCGCTGTTGTCACCCAGGCTGGAGTACAGTAGCGTGATCTTGGCTCACTGCAACCTCTGCCTCCTGGGTTCAAGCAATTCTCCTGCCTCAGCCCCCTGAGTAGCTGGGATTACAGGCACCTGCTACCACGCCTGGCTAATTTTTGTATTTTTAGTAGAGACGGGATTTCACCATGTTGGCCAGGCTGGTCTCAAACACCTGACCTCATGCGATCCACCCGCCTCGGCCCCGCAAAGTGCTGGGATTACAGGCGTGAGCTACCGTGCCTGGCCAAGATTCCTATAATTTGAGTGTAACAATCTGGTAATTTTACAAAAAGAATTCTGTATTGATTACAGGTACAAATATATGTAGCAAAAGTATAAAAACATAGTTTAGAAGGATACTCACAAAATTCATGATACTGTTTACCTGGGGAGGAGATAAGAGGAATAGGCCTCAGGAGGGGAAAAATGGGACTTCAACTTTATTTGTAAACCTCTGTTTCTTTTCTTTTCTTTTTATTTTTTTAATTTTATTTATTTATTTATTTATTTTGAGATGGAGTCTCCCTCTGTCGCCCAGGCTGGAGTGCAGTGGTGGGATCTCGGCTCACTGCAACCTCCGCCTCCCGAGTTCAAGAGATTCTCCTACCTCAGCCTCCTGAGTAGCTGGGATTACAGGTGCACACCACCACACCTGGCTAATTTTTGTATTTTTAGTAGAGACGGGGTTTCACCGTTTTGGTCAGGCTTGTCTTGAACTCCTGACCTTGTGATATGACCGCCTCGGCCTCCCAAAGTGCTGGGATTACAGGCGTGAGCCACCGTGCCTGGCCTGTTTCTTTTATTTTTAAAAAAATGACAAAATGTTAATATTTGCTAATACTGGGAAGGAAGTACAAGAGTGTTTGTTAAAATTATGATTTTCTGTACTTTTTTGCAGTTTTAAAAGAAAGGCTTTTAGGCTGGACTTCTGAAATGACAGAGTGAGAGGAAGGACCTCAGTAAATCCTCTTCCCCCAAAAAGTAATGAAAATACTGGCAAAATCAAAAATTATCAAAATCAATCATTTCACGACTTTAGAAATTAACCAAAGGCAAACAATCAATTAAAAATCATTTATTCAAGAAAAACTATGCCAGACGTGGTGACTCATGCCTATAATCCCAGCGCTTTGGGGGGCCGAGGCGGATGTATCACCTGAGGTCAGGAGTTCAGGACCAGCCTGGCCAACATGGTGAAACCCTGTCTCTACTAAAAATACAAAAATTAGCAAGGCATGATGACAGGCGCCTATAATCCGAGCTACTTAGGAGGCTGAGGCAGGAAAACCGCTTGAACCTGGGACACAGAGGTTGTAGTGAGCCAAGATTGTGCCATTGCACTCTAGCCTGGGCTAAAAGAGCAAAACTCTGTCACACACACACACACACACACACACACGAAAAAAAAAACTAGTAAACCTCACTAAGAACAGCCAGGTCATGGTTCACTTGGCACTACTACTACTCTTCCTGCTCTCCCACTGGCTCCCCAGCTCCATGAAAACTGGTAGCCTCACAGCTACCCAAGGGGATGAACTGTTTTGGAGCTCTACCAAAAGCCCTATCCCCAGACAGCTGTTGCTATTTGATCTAACTTAAAGCTCAGCTCCAAGAAAATAAAGGACACTCTATGGTAACTCAAATCCACACAAAGAAATAAAGAGCACCAGTAAAGGTAACCTGTAGGAAAGTGTTAACACAGCAGAACTGATCTTTAGAAGGACCTGCTCACAGGGCTGGCTCCTGGCTAAAGTCTGGGAACTTGGCTTGTGAAATATTCCCTATGTTGATATGATGGTTTTGCCTGCCTAGGGCACTGAACACCTGTTTTTCTTCTGGGAGTCTGGATGCCCGAACACTAGAGGCTGATGATTTTCTGGTATGATGTGCCTATTTTTAGTGGGTCAAACTGGACTTGCCCACAGACAAAGTGAAAGGAGCTTAACAAAAAAGGCCTAGCTTGCCACTTGGATGTGCAGTGCAGCTGTCTGGCCCTGTAGCATCTTGGCTTTGCATGGGAAAAAAAAAAAAAAAACTATCCCTGTGGGGATTTATTTCCTATCAGGCACCCAGAACTACTGGTGGCAGTGATCCCATATGGGGATATGTCAGAGCACCTGAGATAAAGGGGGTAAAATCTTATAAGCTGAAACAGAGAAAAAAATTATATCAAGTATCAATAATCAGAATAGCTTTACACTGAAAATTAGATGACAATGGAGCAATGCCTTCAAAAGTCTAAGGGAAAGACATTTCCATCCTAGAACTCTACTTCAAGCCAAACTCTCCATTAGGAGTCAAACACTTGTAGACATCCAAAAATCTCAAAACTTCATCTCCCATGGACCTACATCCTTTCTTACGAAAGTACTTGAAGACTGTGCTCCAACCAATGAGGAAGGGGGCATGGCATAAAGAAAATATGGAACCCAGCAATGCAGAGGGTGAAGGGAATCCCCAGAGTGACACTGAAGAGCAATGTCAGGATGGTAGCTGTACAAGAAGGAATGAGGGTAATCCACCCAGATGAGAGCAGGTCAGAAGGCTCTAGAAAAACTCAGGGATATGACACTGAGGAAACCCTTGATATCTCCAGAAGCGCTCAGAGTCACTCTAGACAACTGGTGATAAGTATATGGAGAAAGAAACAAATGAAAGAAACAAAACAAGCCAGGAGAAGTGGTTCACTCCTGTAATCCCAGCACTTTGGGAGGCTGAGGCAAGAGAATGACTTGAGTCCAGGAGTTTGAGACCAGCCTAGACTCTCAGTCCAGTGAGACCCCGTCTCTATGAAAAACTTAAAAAATTAGCTGAGTGTGGTAGTGCACAGCTATAGTCCCAGCTACTCGGGAGCCTGAGGTGGGAAGATCGCTTGAGCCCAGGAGTTTGTAGCTGCAGGCTGCAGTAAGCCAAGACCATACCACTGCACTCCAGCCTGGGCAACACAGCAAGATTCTGTCTCAAAAAAAATAATTATTAACCAAAGGAACACAGTTATGCAGGGAAGGTAAATTAATCATAGATTACTATGTGGCTTGGCTGTGTATAGTATTTATATATACAGTTAGCCCTCTGTATCCATGGGTTTTACGTCTGTGGATTCAACCAACCAAGGATCAAAACCCACAAATACGGAGGGCCAATTATACCATGCCATTTTATATCAGGGATTTGAGTATCAATGGATTCTGGTATCCATGGAGGTTCTGGAACAAATCCCTTGCAGATACAGAGAGCTAACTGTATAGTCATATTGTAAAAAATAGTACTGATGGAAAACAAATTTATGGTATAATCACATTGGGACTATTGGGAAACAAGAAGTCTATGTACATACGCATGCCTTTGGGTGGGTGACAGGAGCAGCGTGGTGAGTTCAATCTTAACCTTCCACAGTGAAACATTTCAAATAAGTTTTGTAAAATATATGTAAGTTATAAAGAATAGTAATACCAAAAATAATACCTGGGTATCCACCACCCATTAAAACTAATTATAGTTATCTTTGAAGTTCTTCATATGCCCGTTTCATTTTCTTTCTTTTCAGATAATCAATATCCTAAATTTTATGTTTATCATGCCCTTCACTTTCTTTACAGTTTCACCACATTTATTTTATTCTTTAAACCTCAGGCATGACCTACGTTAATAAAACTAAGAGTTTTTTTTTTTAAATCAAGAGAATACTGCCTTAGGTTGGTAAATCGGACATCTCAGATGAAACATAATGGTCTAGAAAAATGACCAGAATTGACAGAAAATACAAGAAGCTTGAATAATTCAATAATTGTTTTTTTAAATGATAAAAACTGACTCCATAATCAAGTCTTGCCATATCCAGATGGTTTTGAAAATGACTAGTATCAAACTCTCATGAAACTAAATTTCAGTCACAGTTTCAAAAATTACAAGAAGGAAAAGTACTCAGTTTATTTTATGCAGCTAGTATAACCTTGGATACCAGAATAAGAGAAGAAAGTACAAAAAAAGAAAATCTAAGATCTATTTTACTTCTAAACATTAATGCAAAATTCATAGGTTAAATACTAGTAAAATCAATTCTAAATTAATTTTTTAAAGTAGTTTTTTTCCAATTCTGTGAAGAAAGTCATTGGTAGCTTGATGGGGATGGCATTGAATCTATAAATTACCTTGGGCAGTATGGCCATTTTCACGATATTGATTCTTCCTACCCATGAGCATGGAATGTTCTTCCATTTGTTTGTATCCTCTTTTATCTCATTGAGCAGTGGTTTGTAGTTCTCCTTGAAGAGGTCCTTCACGTCCCTTGTAAGTTGGATTCCTAGGTATTTTATTCTCTTTGAAGCAATTGTGAATGGGAGTTCACTCGTGATTTGGTTCTCTGTTTGTCTGTTATTGGTGTATAAGAATGCTTGTGATTTTTGTACATTGATTTTGTATCCTGAGACTTTGCTGAAGTTGCTTATCAGCTTAAGGAGATTTTGGGCTGAGACAATGGGGTTTTCTAGATATACAATCATGTCATCTGCAAACAGGGACAATTTGACTTACCAAAACAGAGATATAGATCAATGGAACAGAACAGAGCCCTCAGAAATAATGCCGCATATCGACAACTATCTGATCTTTGACAAACCTGAGAAAAACAAGCAATGGGGAAAGGATTCCCTATTTAATAAATGGTGCTGGGAAAACTGCCTAGCCATATGTAGAAAGCTGAAACTGGATCCCTTCCTTACACCTTATACAAAAATTAATTCAAGATGGATTAAAGACTTAAATGTTAGACCTAAAACCATAAAAACCCTAGAAGAAAACCTAGGCATTACCATTCAGGACATAGGCATGGGCAAGGACTTCATGTCTAAAACACCAAAAGCAATGGCAACAAAAGCCAAAATTGACAAATGGGATCTAATTAAACTAAAGAGCTTCTGCACAGCAAAAGAAACTACCATCAGAGTGAACAGGAAACCTACAAAATGGGAGAACATTTTCGCAACCTACCCATCTGACAAAGGGCTAATATCCAGAATCTACAATGAATTCAAACAAATTTACAAGAAAAAAACAAACAACCCCATCAAAAAGTGGGCGAAGGACATGAACAGACACTTCTCAAAAGAAGACATTTATGCAGCCAAAAAACACATGAAAAAATGCTCACCATCACTGGCCATCAGAGAAATGCAAATCAAAACCACAATGAGATACCATCTCACACCAGTTAGAATGGCAATCATTAAAAAGTCAGGAAACAACAGATGCTGGAGAGGATGTGGAGAAATAGGAACACTTTTACACTGTTGGTGGGACTGTAAACTAGTTCAACCATTGTGGAAGTCAGTGTGGCGATTCCTCAGGGATCTAGAACTAGAAATACCATTTGACCCAGCCATCCCATTACTGGGTATATACCCAAAGGACTATAAATCATGCTGCTATAAAGACACATGCACACGTATGTTTATTGCGTCATTATTCACAATAGCAAAGACTTGGAACCAACGCAAATGTCCAACAACGATAGACTGGATTAAGAAAATGTGGCACATATACACCATGGAATACTATGCAGCCATAAAAAACGATGAGTTCATGTCCTTTGTAGGGACATGGATGAAACTGGAAATCATCATTGTCAGTAAACTATCACAAGAACAAAAAACCAAACACCGCATGTTCTCACTCATAGGTGGGAATTGAACAATGAGAACACATGGACACAGGAAGGGGAACATCACACTCTGGGGACTGTTGTGGGGTGGGGGGAGGGGGGAGGGATAGCATTGGGAGATATACCTAATGCTAAATGACGAGTTGATGGGTGCAGCACACCAGCATGGCACATGTATACATATGTAACTAACCTGCACATTGTGCACATGTACCCTAAAACTTAAAGTATAATAATTAAAAAATAATAAATTTATTAATTTTTTAAAATGCTTCACAATTAAGTAGAGTTTAGCACAGGAACACAAGAACACTTCAATATCAGAAATTTATTCACGTAATCTACCACATTAATAGATTAAAGGAGGAAAAACTGTCTTCTCAACATATGCAGAAAATAAGCATTCAAGAAAATACAACACTCATTAGTGATTTTTTAAAAAGTCTTATTAGGCCGGGTGTGGTGGCTCACGCCTGTAATCCCAGCATTTTGGGAGGCCGAAGTGGGTGGATCACCTGAGGCCAGGAGTTCAAGACCAGCCTGGCCAACACGGTGAAACCCCATCTCTACTAAAAAATATAAAAAATTAGCCAGGCATGGTGGTGGATGCCTATAATCCCAGATACTTGGGAGGCTGAGGCAGGAGAATTGCTTGAACCCAGGAGGCGGAGGTTGCAGTGAGCCGAGATCGTGCCATTGCACTCCAGCCCGGGTAACAGAGCGAGACTCTGTCTCAAAACAAAAACAAAAACAAAACAAAACAAAAGTCTTATTAACAAAATAGGACTAATAAAAGGGGCTCTTGATGAAAGATATCTTTCAAAATACCACAGCAGATATCATATTTAATAGTGAAAGCTATAGAAGTTACATCATTTCTGTGCCTCAGTTTTTTTCATATATAAAACAGGGATAACAACCAGCCTACTTTACAGGGTCATTGGGAGGATTCAACTATTTAATATGTGCAAAGCATACAGAACAATGCATTTGTGGCACATGGCAAGCATTCAAATGCTGCTTATTATTTTATTACAATCATTGTCTTCATGATTATTTCCACTAAAATCAGAAACAAAGAATGCAATATCATTGTATCTATTAAACATTGTACTACAGGTCCTAATTCATTGAGAGAAGAAAAAGAAATAAAATGTATAATTGGAAAAGACAATTGCCTTTATAAAGATAATTATTCACATAGAAGACCGAAGAGAATTAAAAAAGATTAGTATTAATAAAAGCCTTCAGAAAGATTTCTGTACACATGATTTTATGAATATCACTAGCATTCTCATATACTAATATTAACCAATTAGAAGATGTGATAGGAAAGAAGATCCCAATCACAAATGCAACAATAACTCAGAGGTATCTAGGAAGAAATTCAACAAAAAATGCACAAGATCTTCCTGAGAAAAAATTTGAAACATTATTAAATGACATAAAAGGATAACTGAGTAAGAGTTCACTGAAAGGAAAATTCAATAGTATAAAGATGCCAATTCCCAACCCACTCCCAACTCATTTCTAAACACATGCAATTGCAATTGGAATCCCAGAGTTTTCCTTGGAACTCAACAAACGAATCCTAAAATTCCTATGGGAGACCAAAGGATCAAAAGAGATAAGGGGACTAAAGCCTATTAGCTCTTAACAGCATTAATTGATAAGAATGGTACAACAGGCCGGGCGCAATGGCTCATGCCTATAATCCCAGCACTTTGGGAGGCCGAGGCAGGTGGATCACCTGAGGTCGGAGTTCAAGACCGGCCTAGCCAAGATGGCGAAACCCTGTCTCTACTAAAAATACAAAAATTTGCTGGGCAGGGTGGTATGTGCCTGTAATCCCAGCTACTCAGGAGGCTGAGACAGGAGAATTGGTTGAACCCAAGAGGTGGAGGCTGCAATAAGCCAAGATAACACCATTGCACTCCAGCCTGGGCAACAAGAGTGAAACTCCATCTCAAAAAAAAAAAAAAAGGGTGCTTGCCTGGGCACAGCAGAGCAACTGGGTTTTGGCCGGGCGCCACAGTGGCTCACGCCTGTAATCCCAGCACTTTGGGAGGCCGAGGCGGGAGGATCACCTGAGGTTAGGTGTTTGAGACCAGCCTGGCCAACAAGGTGAAACCCCATCTCTACTAAAAATACACAAAATTAGCCGGCCGTGGTGGCACATGCCTGTAATCCCAGCTACGCAGGAGGCTGAGGCAGGAGAATCATCTGAACCTGGGAGGTGGCAGTTGCGGTGAGCCGAGATCACGCCATTGCACTCCAGCCTGGGTCTCTAAATAAATAAGTACATAAATTCCAGGCAGGTTTTAAGAAAATAAACAGCAAATATTTAAATTTTTAAAAAATTATATAAAAATATTTTTATGTGCTCAGCCCCCCAAAAAAAATACTTAAAATTACACAAAAAGGGTCGGGCATGGTGGCTCATGCCTGTAATCCCAGCACTTTGGGAGGCCGAGGCAGGAGGATAACCTGAGGTCAGGAGTTCGAGTTCAGCCTGGCCAACATGGTGAAACCCCATCTCTAACAAAAATATAAAAAAAATTAGTTGGGCATGGTGGCACATGCCTGTAGTCCCAGCTACTCAGGAGGCTGAGGCAAGAGAATCACTTGAACCCGGGAGGCAGAGGTTGCAGTGAGCCGAGATGGCACCACTGCACTCCAGCCTGGGTGACAGAGTGAGACTCCATCTCACAAAAAAAAAAAAAATTACACAAAAAGCAAACTAAAAATTGATACATTTGATTATTTTACAATTAAAACTTCTACTCAAAAAGACACCATAAACAACCTAGACTAAGGAAAGATATTGACTATACACAAAATTGAAATCTAGAATATACAAAGAATTCATATAAAGCAATAAGAAGAGACAAACTCAACAAAAACATGAATAAAGAATATGAACAGGTGGCTGGGCACAGTGGCTCATGTCTGTAATCCCAGCACTTTGGGAGGCCGAGGCAGGCAGATCACGAGGTCAAGAGATCGAGACCATCCTGGCCAACATGGCGAAACTCTGTCTCTACTAAAAATACAAAAATTAGCTGGGCGTGGTGGCACACACCTGTAGTCTCAGCTACTCAGGAGGCTGAGGCAGGAGAATCACTTGAACCCGGGAGGCAGAGGTTGCAGTGATCTGACATCGCGCCACTGCACTCCAGCCTGGCAACGAGTGAGACTACGTCTCAAAAAAAAAACAAAAACAAAAACAAAAAAAGAATATGAACAGGTAAGCCACAGAAGAGGAAATCTAACTAGTCAATAACATATGAAATGATAAATACTTTCAATAGTAATCAGGGAAGTGAAAATTACAATAATATACCAATTTACCCTTGCCATATTACCAAAATTCAAAATCTATAATTCTGTGTGTGTGTGTACACGAGTCTAAATCACACACTATCTGTAACATTAATTTTGCCACATAAGGTCATAGAGCTTTGCATTTTAACATTGATGATTCCTATTCAAAAGCTGAATTCCATACATTTCACGAAGCTGTATCTGCCCACCTGGCTGCAATCCATGCTTTTAGGGGATTAATTTGACATGATGTTAAAACCAGCTCTTTTTATTTCAAAGACTGGTAATAAAATACTATCAAGTATTTTCCCAGTCCGCAGGCCTTTACGGGACTCAAAAGGAATAGGTCAAAACCACTTAATGTCCTTTATCTCTAACATACCCTTTAAAAGCATAAGAGTGTTGGCCGGGTGTGGTGGCTCACATCTGTCATCCCAGCACTTTGGGAAGTGGAGGCAGGCAGATCACTTGAGTCCAGGAGTTCAAGAGCAGCCTGGGCAATATGGCAAAACCCTGTCTCTACCAAACAAACAAACTTAGCCAGGTGTCGTGGCATGTGCCTGTAGTCTCAGCTATTCTGAAGGCTGAGGCAGAAGGATCAATTGGGCCCAGGAGGTTGAGGCTGCAATGAGCCAAGATGGCGCCATTGCTCTCCAGCCTAGGCAACAGAGAGAGACCCTCTCTCAAAAAATTTTAAAAAGAAGAAAAACAAAGTATAAGAGTGTTAAGGTTAAAGACGCTAAGGAAAATAATTTCTTTAGAGATAGCCATTGGAAAGCTGCGGCATTTTCTCTCTCCAATAGGTGAGTGAGGAGTGTGTTCACCCCACCCCAATCTGATGAGAAGGATTTCAAAGAGATGACCTGTTCGATGTACATCCACTAGACTTTAGGGGACACAGAGAACTTGGCACCTGTCTTTCATGTAGAAAAACTATAAATGACAGGCTGAGGCAGTCTGTGGTAGTAGAGAAGAGGTTGCGTGGGGGTGAACTGTGGGTCTTACTCCCACAATCACACACACTCCACAAGCCAGATGTGGACCCTCTGGACATGAACAGGCTGGGTTACTTTAGAAAGAGGGCTTTTTGCTAGCATCAAGGTGACCTCAGCAAAAGGAGACTGAAGGTACACCATGGGGCCCGGGGATATATTAAATAACTGGTTGGGAAAGTGGCCCTTCCTGCATCAAGGAAATTGCAGTCAGGGGACTCCAGCTAGGACATCTCCAAGGAAACCATAAAGTGTCAAGAACAGGAAGAATCAGTCTTTGGAATCTGCAACATAGAGAGGGCATCAGTATTAGATTACAACTTTGTTAGTTAGGTCAAACTTTTTTTGCCCATTGTATCTCCTTCCTTCCTTCCTCACCCACTACACTCAAGGGCCAGAGATGGCCTAGGTGTTGAGTGGGGGAGAAAGGGAAGGGAGAAGAGCTAGCTGGAAGAGTAAAGAAAGAAAACACTGAGCATGTTCTTTTTGCCACTAAAATCTTTCAGCCTGAAGCAGGTATTTGCTGGGAGAGAGCTTTTCCTTTAAATGAACTTTATTGTTTTCAATACTATATGTGATTAGACTTACTTTAAAACTAAAATAAGACTACCACTGACCCTCAGAAATTGAAAGGATAAGGGAATATTAAGAACAACTTTATACTAATAAATTTGACAGACGAAACTGATAAACTCCTTGAAAGACACAAATTATTGGCTAGGCGTGATGGTGCATGCGTATAATCCCAACACTCTGGGAGGCCTAAGTGGGCGGATCACATGAGGTCACGAGTTCAAGACTAGCCTGGCCAACATGGCAAAACCCCATCTCTACTAAAAATACAAAAATTAGCCAGGCATGGTGGTGTACGCCTGTAATCCCAGCTACTCGGGAGGCTGAGACACGAGAATCACTTGAACCTGGGAGGCAGAGATTGCAGTGAGCTGAGTTGGTGCCATTGCATCCTAGCCTGGGTGACAGAGCGAGACTCTCTCAAAAAAAAAAAAAAAAGGAGAAAAGAAAGACACAAATTATGAAAGCTCATTCAACAAGAAATAGATCATCTGAATAACCCAGTATCTATCAAACTTTTAAGGAAGAAAGAATACAATTCTACATAAACTCTTCCAAAGAATTGGAAAGAGGAGGGAATACTTCCCAGCTTGTTCTGTGATCTTATTATCTTGATTGTGGTGATGTGATCCTGGGTATATACATGTCAACACTTACCAAACTGTTTGCTTTATTTTTTATTTTTTGGAGACAGGGTCTTGCTCTATCACCCAGGCTAGAGTAGAACAATCATAGCTCACTGTAACCTCAAACTCCTAGGCTCAAGTGATCCTCCCACCTTAGCTTCCTGAGTAGCTACGACTACAGGCATGTGCCACCATGCCCAGCTAATGTTTTTTATTTTTGGTAGAGATGGGGTCTTGCTATGTTGCTTAGGCTGGTCTTGAACTTCTGGTCTCAAGCAATCCCCCCCACCTCAGCCTCCCCAAGTGCTAGAATTACAGGTGTTAGCCACTGTGCCCATCCCTGTTTAAGTACGTATAATTTCTTGTATGCCAAATTAAACCACAGTAAAGGGTTTAAAATAGCTAAATCAGTACTTAGAGATAGTTATGGCATTCACAATGCTTATATTAGAAAAGAAGGGTCTCAAATGATGACCTAAGCATCCACCTTATGAAACTAGAAAAAGAGCAAATTAAATTCAAACTAGCAGAAAGACAGAAATAAAAAAGATAAAAGCAAGAATGAATGAAATCGAGGTTTCCATTTCTAGCCACAATAGAGTAAGTCTACTACAGCCTCTCCTACTGATTATTGCAACAAAAATCTCTGAACAAAATACATAAAGTAACTACCCGAGGACTCTGACAAGTCAACAAAACCAGGAAGACTACGGAGGTGAGCCAAAAAGTAGAGAAGCAACTCATACATCAGTGGGTTCCCCTTTTATCCCTCATATTCTCTCTCAAGACTCTGACCCAAATACAGGTCCCAGTGACTTATGAACATACAGAAGTCCTGAGTTCATCCAGGAACTCTTCACTCAAGAGAAAGCAAAGCTACATACCAAGCCTTGAGAACTGAACTAAGATTTAAGCCACAGCTCAAGTCTGAGACTAACACCTGAGTGACAAATGTAAGCAGGGCAGTGAAGGCTTTGAACACTGCACAAAGACTGAACCCACCACTCGAGTCTCTAATCCCTAAATGGCACATGCACACGACAGATCAAAAGGCTTTGAAAACTGAACTGGTTGGAACTGACACCCATAGAAGGTGAGACAGACCTAGTGGTTTATTACCTGATAAAGATGAAAAGCAATAATGGACTGGGCGCGGTGGCTCTTGCCTGTAATCCCAGCACTTTGGGAGGCCAAGGCGGGTGGATCACTTGAGGTCAGGAGTTCAGGACCAACCTGGCCAACATGGCGAAACCCGTCTCTACTAAAAACACAAAAAATTAGCCGGGCATGGTGGCAGGCACCTGTAATCTTAGCTACTCGGGAGACTGAGGCAGGAGAATTGCTTGAACCTGGGAGGCAGAGGTTACAGATTGCAGTGAGCTGAGATTGTGCCACTGCACTCCAGCCTGGGCAACAGAGTGAAACTCTGTCTCAAAAAAAAAAAAAGAAAAAGAAAAAAGAAAAGCAATAACGACACAGTCCACCACTATCCAGGATGGAATCCAAAATTATTCAACATAAAAACCAATCACAAAGATGTGACCAATTCTCCAGGGAAAAAGACAATAACAGATGCCAATCCTGAAATAACCTAGGTGCTGGAAATATCAAAGACATTTAAGTAGTTATGACATCTAAGCTCCATGAGGTAATGGCAAACACCTGAAATGAATGGATAAATAGAAGTTCTCAACAGAGAAACAGAAACTGTAAAAATAAAAAAATTATAAAAATGATTGGAAAAAAAAACAGGGTCTCTGGGGACCTGCAGGACAATACCAAAAGGTCCAATGTTCATGTTATTAGAGTCCTCAAAGAAGGAGAAGAAGAGACTACTGTAGAAAAAAAATTGCAAAAAATAATAACCAAAAACTTCCCATATTTGGAAAAAGACATATATTTACAGACTCAAGAAGCACAGCACACCAGAATCAATATAAACTCAAAAGAAACACCAGAAACATTATAATCGAAAGCCTGGAAAGCCAACTTAAAACATTTCTAATGCAGCCAGAGGAAAAAAAGGTACACTGCCTACAAGGAAACAAGGATTCAAGGACTGCAAAATTCTCATCAGAAACAGTGGAGGTCAGAAAACAATGGAACATCTTAAAAATACTAAAGGAAAAGAAATATCAATCCATAATTCTACATCCAGCAAAAACACCCTTCAAGAATGAAGACAAGTGCTCACTGTCTAAAATTGGAACATATACTAAAATTGGAACAATACAGAGAAGATTAGCATGGCTCCTGTGTAAGGATGACGTGCAAATTTGTCAAGGGTTTCATTTTTTTTATAACACAAAGGATAAATGCTTGAGGGGATGGATACCCCATTCACTCTGATATGATTATTACACATCATATGCCTGTATCAAAATATCTGATGTACCCCATAAACATATATACCTACTATTTACCCATAAAAATAAAAATTAAAAAAAAAAGAAGACGAAATGTAAAAATTATCAGGTAAAGGAAAATTAAGAGATTTTTGTCAACAGCAGACTTCTTCTAAGAGAAATGCTGTAGGTTCTTCTTCAGGTGAAGGGAGATGATATCAGAGGGAAACATGGAACTTTGGGAATAAATGAGGAGCAACAGAAATGGCAAAATATATGGGTAAATGTAATGTATAATTTTTCTCCTTTTGAATTCTTTAAGATATATATGATAGTTGAAAGCAAAAAAATATAACACTGTCTGAGGGATTTAAAATGTTATTAGATGTAATATGTTCGAAAACTGTAACATGAAAGAAATTAAAGATATCTATACTGTTGTAAAGCTTCTACATATTACTTGAAGTATTAAACTATAAGTAGAATGTGAAAGGTTGTGTGTGACTATCTTAGTATCTACAGCAGCCACTGATTTTAAAAAATAACAACCAGGCATGACATCACACTTCTGTAGTCCAAGCTACTTGGGAGAGTGAGGCAAGAGGATTGCTTGTGCCCAGGAGCTCAAGATCAGCCTGGGCAACATAGTGAGACCCCATCTTAAAAAATAAATAAATAGGCCAGGCACGGTGGCTCATGCTTGTAATCCCAGCACTTTGAGAGGCTGAGGCGGGCGGATCACGAGGTCAGGAGATGGAGACCATCCTGGCTAACATGGTGAAACCCCGTCTCTACTAAAAATACAAAAAAAAAAAAAAAAATTAGCTGGGCATTGTGGTGGGTGGCTGTAGTCCCAGCTACTCGGGAGGCTGAGGCTGGAGAATGGTGTGAACCCGGAAGGCGGAGTTTGCAGTGAGCTGAGATCGCATCACGCCACTGCACTCCAGCCTGGGTGACAGAGCGAGACTCCGTCTCTAAATAAATAAATAAATAAATAAATAAATAGGGCAGGACACAGTGGTTCACGCCTGTAATCCCAGCACTTTGGGAGGCTGAGGTGGGTGGATCACCTGAGGTCAGAATTCAAGATCAGCCTGACCAATATGGTGAAACCTCGTGTATACTAAAAATACAAAACTTAGCTGGGCGTGGTGGTGTGTGCCTGTAGTCCCAGCTACTCGGGAGGCTGAGAAAGGAGAAACGCTTGAACCTAGGAGGCAGAGGTTGCAGTGAGCCAAGATTGCACCACTGCACTCCAGCCTGGGCAACAGAGCGAGACACCATCTCAGATAGATTAGATAGATAGATAGATAGATAGATAGATAGATAGATAGATAGATAGATAGATAAAGATAGATGATAGATAGATAGATAGATAGATAGATAGATAGATAGATAGATAGATAGATAGGCCAGGTGTGGTGGCTCATGCCTGGAATCCCAGCACTTTGGGAGGCTGAGGCGGGTGGATCACTTGAGGTCAGGAGTTCGAGACCAGCCTGGCCAACATGGTGAAACCCCGTCTCTACTAAAAATACAAAAATTAGCTGGGTATGGCAGTGTGCATGTGTAGTCCCAGCTACTTGGGAGGCTGGGGCAGGAGAATCGCTTGAACCAGGATGGTGGAGCTTGCAGTGAGCCAAGATTGTGCCACTGCACTCCAGCCTGGGCGACAGAGCGAGACTCGCTCTCAAAAAAAAAAAAAATAAATAAATAAAAATAAATACATACATACATAAAAATTTAATTTAAAAACAAGGAGACAGTGACAAACAGTAAAGAGGTATGTTTAAAATATAATATTTAAATTATAATTGCACTACTGGAAATTCATCCCAGGGAAATAAAAACTTATTACAAAAACCTACAGAGAAATGTTTGTAGCAAATTTATTCGTAATAGCCCAACACTGGATACAACCTAGATGTCCTTCAACAGGTGAACGGTTAAACAAACATGCATACCATGGAATGCTACTCAGCAATAAAAAGAATCAAGCTTGATACATACAACAACCTGAACGAATCTCTGGAGGATTATGCTGAGTGAAAAAGAACTAATCCCTTAAGGTTACATACAGTATGATTCCATTATATAACATTTTTCAAATGACAAAATTATAGAAACAGAGAACATATTAGTAGTTACCAGGCTATAAGAGGAGATGGGCTGGGAGAAAATCGGTATGACTATAAAAGAGTGACGGTCAGGTGTGGTGGCTCGCGCCTGTAATCCCAGCACTTTGGGAGGCCAAGTTGGGCAGATCACTTGAGGTCAGGAGTTCGAGACCAGCCTGGCCAACATGGTGAAACCCCATCTCTACTAAAATACAAAACTTAGCCAGGTGGTGGCGGGTGCCTGTAATCCCAGCTACTCGGGAGGCTGAGACAGGAGAATTGCTTGAACCCAGGAGGCAGAGGTTGCAGTGAGACCAGATCGCACCATTGCACTCCAGCCTGGGCCACAGAGCGAGAATCCATCTCAAAAATAAATAAATAAATAATAAAAAGAGTGACATGAGGGATCCTTGCAGTGACAGAAATGTTCCATATTTGATCTGTATAGATGTCAATATCCTGGTTGGGATACTGTACTACAGTTCTGCAAGATGTTACCTACCAATGGGGGGAATTGGATAAAGGGTACATTACGATCTCTTTGTATTACTTCTTACAAGTGCATGAGAATGTATAATGATCTCAAAACAAAAAGTTTAAGAAAATATTCAAATGTTCCAAAGAAGAGAGGAATGGGAAAATAGAATAACAACAATCAGCAAAAGGGGGACAAAGAAGAAAGAAATAATAAAATGGTAGACCTACATCCAACAATATCAATAATTACAAAAACACACCAATTAAAAGGCAGATTGTCAGTTGAGATTAAACACACAAGATTCAACTATATCATGTCTACAAGAAACGCAATTTAAATATAAAGAATCTGTGTTCAACAAGAGACACAAGAAAGACAGTGAAAAGACAATCTAGACTGGGCGCAGTGGCTCACGACTCTAATCCCAGCACTTTGGGAGGCCGAGGTGGGTGTATTGCCTGAGCTCAGGAGTTTGAGACCAGCCTGGGAAACATGGTGAAATCCCATCTCTACTAAAATACAAAAAATTAGCTGGGCATGGTGGTGCATGCCTCTAATCCCAGCTACTTGGGAGACTGAGGCGGAAGAATCGCTTGAGCCCGGGAGGTGGAGGTTGCTCAGGAGGTGGAGGTTGCAGTGAGCCAAGATCACACCACTGCACTCCAGCCTGGGTGACAAAGCAAGACTCTATCTCAAAAAAAAAAAAAAAAAAAGACAATCTAACAAAGGGACAGTATGCTTGCAATAAAGCATTGATTAATATGTACTCTACCGAAAATAGTGCCACTAGGCATGGTGTCTCATGCCTGTAATCCTAACACTTTGGGAGACTGAGGCAGGTGGATCGCTTGAGCCCAGGAGTTTGAGACCAGTCTAGGCAACACGGCAAAACCCCATCTCTACAAAAAAATACAAATATTAGCTAGGTGTGGTGGTGCATGCCTGTAGTACCAGCTACTCAGGATGCTGATGAGGAAGTAGGATCACCTGAGCCCAAGGAGGTTGAGGCTGCAGTGAGCCATGATTTCCTGGGCAACAAAGTGAGACACTGTCTCGAAAAAAAGAAAGAAAATAGTACTATGGGCCGGGCGCAGTGGTTCACACCTGTCATCCCAGTACTTTGGGAGGCCAAGGCGGGGGAGGGGGGGGAGGTGGATCACCTGAGGCCAGGAGTTCAAGACCAGCCTGGCTGACATGGCAAAACCCCATCTCTACTAAAAATACAAAAATTAGCCGGGTATGGTGGCACATGCCTGCAATCCCAGCTACTCGGGAGGCTGAGGCAGGAGAATTGCTTCAACCCAGGAGGCAGAGGCTGCAGTGAGCTGAGATCTCCCCACTGCACTCTACCCTGGGCGACAGAGCAAGACTCTGTCTCAAAAAAAAAGAAAAGAATAGAATAGAATAGAAAAGAAAAGAAAAGAGTGCTATGAATAAGTAGGAGGAAGGCACATACCATAAGAAATAAATGAGTTGAAGACTTACGCAGGCACCGTGTAAGATTTACACAAGTCACTCAAGTTCTCTATAAAATATGAAATGAGGATCAATTACATTACTAATCAAGGAAATGAAAGTTTCAATCACAATAAGATACTAATACACACCTACCAGAATGGGAACAAATAAAAGTCTGACAAGCAGAAGTGGCACGGAGGGAGCATCTACAAATGTTTTACAAACCAACAACATTTGGCCTTATCTATAAATTATTCACACCTCCAGAACCCAGACACCACAACCTAGGTATATACATAGGAAAGCTCTCACAGCAAATGTTCCTAGCAAACATGTAAAATAATGGCAGTATTATCATTAACTATACTAGCCTTAAACCGGAAACAACCCAAACACCATCAAGAGAGTAAATACTGGCTGAGTGCAGTGGCTAATACCTGTAATCCCACACTTTAGGAGGCCAAGACAGGAGGACTGCTTGAGGCCAAGAGTTCAAAACCAGCCTAGGTGACATAACGAGACCCCATCTCTATATGAAAAACAAGAATAGCTGAGCACAGTGGCACATGCCTATAGTACTGTCTACTCAGGAGGCTGAGGCAGGAGGATTGCTTAAGCCCAGGAGTTCAAGCCTGCAATGAGCTATGATCACACCACTGCACTCCAGCCTAGGTAGCAGAGTGAGACCCTGTCTCTAAAAAATAAATAAATAACTTAAAAGAGAGAAGAGTAGGTACTTTTAATTGTGTGATACCCAAACTAGAACACTATCCTGCAATGAAAATAAACATCATGGCTGAATCTCACAACTATAGTAGTGAATAAAAGAAATAAGTCACAAAATAATTCATATGGATGATTCTGTTTTTACAAAGCTCAAAAAAGAAAAGTTCAAACTAAACAATATATTGCCTGTGTATACAAATATAGATAGCAGAAGCTCTAACAAAAATCTTAAAAATAATTACCCCCGAATTTGGGATACAGGTTACATCCAGGAGAGAGGTAGGAGGATGCCATCTGGAAGGGGTAGAGTCGTAGTTCTCAACCTGAGTGGTGATTATCCAGGTGTTAGCTATATATTTCTTCTGAAAAGTACGCACGTGTTCTAAATGCTCTTCTGTATGCAAGATATAGTAATCAATAAGGATTTCTTTCTATCTCAAAGAAATAGAAAATGAAAAACACAAAAATAAACACAATCAAAAGCTGGTTCTGTGAAAAGATCAATACAATGGATAAATCTTAAGTCAGACTGATCAAGAAAAAACATACATTATCAATATCAGGAGAACAACATTACAGATCCTACAAATATTAAAAAATAATAAGGAAATCTTATGAAAAAAACTTTATTTTATTTTATTTCTTTATTTTTTTGAGATGAAGTCTCACTCTGTTGCCCAAGCTAGAGTGCAGTGGCACGATCTTGGCTCACTGCAACCTCCGCCTCCCGGTTTCAAGCGATTCTCCTGCCTCAGCCTCCCGAGTAGCCGGTACTACAGGCACGTGTCACCATGCCCGGCTAATTTTTGTATTTTTAGTAGAGACAGGGTTTCACTATGTTGGCCAGGCTGGTCTTGAACTCCTGACCTCGAGATCCGTCTGCCTAGGCCTCCCAAAGTGCTGGGATTACAGGCGTGAGCCACCCCACCTGGCCAAAAAAAACTTTATATCAAAAACTTGGTAGTTTAGATGAGACAAATTCCTTCCAGGCCACAAACCACCAAAGCTTGCTCAAGAAGAAAAGAGTTATCTGAATATACCTATAATTATAAAAAAACAAATTTGTAGCCGGGTGCAGTGGCTCACACCTGTAATCCTAGCACTTTGAGAAGCCGAGGCTGGTAGATCACCTGACATCAGGAGTCTGAGACCACCCTGGCCAACATGGTGAAACCCTGTGTCTACTAAAAACACAAAAATTAGCTGGGCATGGTGGCGTTTGCCTGTATTCCCAGTTACTCAGGAGGCTGAAGCAAGAGAATTGCTCGAACCAAGAGGTAGAGGTTGTGGTGAGCCGAGATCGTGCCATTGCACTCCAGCCTGGGCGACAAGAGCAAAACTCCATCTCAAAAAAAAAAAAAAAGAATTTGTAGTTCAAAACTTACCCTCCAAGAAAACTCTAGGCCCAGATGTTTTCACTGATGAAGTCTACAGAACATTTAAGAAATAATGCTAGTCCTATATAAATTTCAGAAAACAGAAGAGGAGGAAACACTTCCCAACTCATTTTATGAGGCCAGCATAACCCTGACGTCAAAACCAGACACAAACAGTGTAAGTGAAGAAAACTACAAATGATTATGACACATAGCATAGATGCAAAATAACAAAATATGAGCAAAAATAAATAGGAGCATATCAAAGGAATGATAGGTCATTATCAAGAGGGGTTTACACAGGTAATGAAAGGCTGGTTCAGTATCTGCAAATTGGCTAGGCATGGTGGCTCACACCTGTAACCCCAGCACTTTGTGAGGCCAAAGCGGGTGGATCACCTGAGGTCAGGGGAGTTCGAGACCAGCCTGACCAACACGAAGAAACCCCGTCTCTATATATATACACACAAAAAAAATTAGCCAGGCATGGTGGCAGGTGCCTGTAATCCCAGGGATGCTGAGGTGGGAGAAACGCTTGAACTTGGGAGGTGGAGGTTGCAGTGAGCTGAGATCGTGCCACTGCACTCCAGCCTGGGCAACAGAGATTCCGTCTCGAAAAGAAAAAAAGAAAAAAAAAAAAAAGAAAAATCTGCAAATTGACTAGGCATGGTAGCTCACACCTGTAATCCCAGCACTTTGGGAGGCTGAGATGGAGGATCACTTGAGGCCAGGAGTTCAAGACCAGTCTGGGCAACACAACAAGACCTCATCTTTACAAAAAATTTAAAAAATAGCTGGGCATGGTGGTACATGCCTGTAGTCCCAGCTACTCTGGAGGCTAAGGCAGGAAGATCACTTCAGCACAGGCGTTCGAGGCTGCAATGAGCTATGACCATACCACTGCACTCCAGCCTTGGGAACAGAACGAGACTCCATCTCTAAATATAATAATAATTAATTAATTTAAAAATAAAGGAGAAGAAGTATGATCATATTCATTGATGCAGAAAAAGCATTTGCAACATTCAGCATCAATTCATGATAAAAATTCAAAAAACTAAGATTAAAAGGAATAATCCTCAAGCATTGTCAGCCCACCAATGGAAAACTCTACAAATAAAAAATTATACTTAATGATGAGAAAGTGAGTACTTTTGCCCTAAAATCAGGAATAAAGCAAAGAAGTCATTCTCACTATGCCTATTCAACACAATACTAAAGATCCTAGCCAGTAAAAAATGGCAAAAAGAGGCCGGGCATGGTGGCTCATACCTGTAATCCCAGCACTTTGGGAGGCCGAGGCAGGCAGATCACCTGAGGCTGGGAGTTCGAGACCAGCCTGATGAACATGGAGAAACCCCATCTCTACTAAAAATACAAAAAAAAAAAAAAAAATTAGCTGGGCATGGTGGTGCATGCCTGTAATCCCAGCTACTTGGGAGGCTGAGGCAGAAGAATCGCTTGAACCCAGGAGGCGGAGGTTGTGGTAAGCCAAGATCATACCATTGCACTCCAGCCTGGGCAACAAAAGCGAAACTCCTTCTCAAAAAAAAAAAAGAGGGCAAAAAAAGAAGTAAAGGACATCCAGATTGGAAGGGAAGAAATAAAACTGTCTTTATTTACAACTACATGATTGTTTACATAGGAAATGTCAAGCTATCTACAAAAAAGTTACAAGCTATCTACAAAAAAGTTACAAGTTTTAATATGTACACTTAGAAAGGTCCCAGGGTACAAGATCAATATACAAAAATCAATGGCATTTCTATAAGATAGTACTGGCCAATGGGAAATTGAAATTAAACAAAATACCACTTATAGTATCTTATAAGAACAAAAAAAGCTGGTATTAATTAAACAAAATGTGAAAGACTTATGCATTCAAAACTACAAAACATTGAGATAAAATTTAAGAAGATCTAAATAGAGATACATGCTATTCATTAATTGGAAGACTCAATATTGTCAGTATATCAATGATCCACAGATTCAGTGTAATCCCATACAAAAATCCCTGCGGGCTTTTGTGTACAAATTCACAAGCTGATTCTAAGATTTATATAAAAATACCAAGGACCTAGAATAGGCAAAACATTAGGAAAGGAAGAACAAAGTTGGAAAACTCATACTTCCTGATTTGAACACTTAATGTTAGGCTACAGTAATTAAACAGTGTATTAATGATGTATAGACAGACACATCTCTGTTCAACTGTTTGGTTTTTTTTGAGACAGGGTCTTGCTATACCCCAGGCTGGAGTGGCAGTGGCGTGATCACGGCTCACTGCAGCCTCGTCCTCTCGTGCTCAAGCAATCCTCCCACCTCAACCTCCCAAGTAGTGGGGAGTACAAGTGCATGCCATCATGGTTGGCAAATTTTTTAAATATTTTATACACGGGGGCTCACTATGTTGCCTAGGCTAGTCTCAAGCTCCTAGGCTCAACTGATCCTCCCACCTCAGCCTCCCAAAGTGCTTGGATTACAAGTCTGAGTCACTGTGCCCGGCCATTCAAAGGTTATCAGCAACGATGGCAAAGTAAGTCAACAACAACAACAACAACGAAGAGTATTTTCAAAACTGCTGCTGGAAAAATTGGATATACATATGCAAAAAGCCCCCTGACCCTCACCTCATGTCAGATTTACAAACTTAACTCATTCTTTGTCATAGGTCTAAATTTAAGAGCTAAAATTATAAATCTTCTGAAAGAAGGCATAGGAGAAAAATCTCCATTGCTCTGAGTCAGAGATTTGTTAGATAGGATACAAAAGGCATGAACCATAAAAGAACTTGATAAACTCAGCCTTATCAAAATTAAAAACGTCTACTCTACAAAGCACAGTTAAGAAAAAAAGAAGCCATAATCTGGGAGTACATACTTAAAGGACTTGCATCAAGAATATATAAAGAACCTGCTGGGCACAGTGGCTCACACCTGTAATCCCAGCCCTCCAGGAGGCCAAGGCAGGTGAATCACCTGAGGTCAGTTCGAGACCAGCCTGGCCAACATGGCAAAACCTCGTCTCTACTAAAAATACAAAAATTAGCTGGGCATGGTGGCGGGTGCCTGTAATCCCAGCTACTCGGGAGGCTGAGGCAGGAGACTTGCTTGAACCCAGGAGGCGAGGTTGCAGTGAGCTGAGATTGCACCACTGCACTCCAGCCTGGGCAACAGAGCAAGACTCCATCTCAAAAAAAAAAAAAAGATATATAAAGAACCTTACAATTTAATAGCAAAGAAAAATGGCAAAAGATTACAACAAATACTTCCACAAAGAAGATATAAAGATAGCAAATAAGGGCTCAACAATATTCATCATTAGAAAAATGCAAAATTAAATCACAATGAGATCCCCCTACACACCTACTAGAAAAAAGGACTAACACTAACAATACCAAGTGCTGGCAAGGATGTGAAACACGTGGAACTCACATACATTGCTAGCGGAAAAAAAAAGTGGTATAGCCATGTTGGAAAACAGTTTAGCAGTGTTTTATAAAGTATTCCAACCTGGGAATAATGTTCTCTCAAGTTTATTTTTGAATAAATAAAGAGATAATATAAAAAACAAGAGTTGAGTGGGAGGAAGGTACTGAAAACAGGAGGAATCTGAAAACAGGTGGCATCAAGTCAGATTTGTAAGAGTCTGGGAAGGAATACAAAGAGAAAATAGAAAACAGTGTGAGGTTTACAGTGTTTACCACAAAATAAGAGCAGGCAAGAACATGGTGGGTACCAGGCTGGGTAGAGTAAAGGTCACCAGCAAAGCTTTGTTGCCTATACCAACTCCAAAAAATAATGTATGATAATTTCCTTGAGTCTAAAAAAAAAAAAAAGACTCCAACTTTCAGCCTGAAAGGGCCCACAGTATGCCCAATAAAGAGGAAATGCTGACATTTGCATCTAGTCTGGTAAAAATACATAAGCACAAGAAGGGAGAAAAAGTTCTAAAAGCTTCCAGAAAGGACAGGGTGAGAGGAATGAGAAGGGGCTTGGCACTTCTCACTAACAAGCCAGGAGGCTGGAAGGTAGAAATGGGATCTCAGAACAAGAGTGGCCACAATCTATGTGAATGCCAAGCAAAGAACACAGAGCCTGTAACCGGCGGCCAGGCAGAAGCCTCATTTGGACATGACAACAGTTCTGCTCATCAGAGCCTAGGCATGTCCACAAGTCCGAGGCTCTGAGAAGAGCTCCTGAGCACATCCCAGAGGCCAAGCTCTCACCAACCAACCTGGTCCCTTTTCCCTGGCCTGACTCACCTGGCCTGTCCTCACCTGCACAGGTCCGTACCGGGGTCCCTCCATCTGCCATCCAGGACTCGTCACCTGGTCCCAACCTGAAGATCACATCTGGCTTCCCAACTAGATGCCCTGTTTAGGGGACATGACATAGGACTTTGTTATTAATGCTGAGGAATTCCAGAACCTAGGCCCACCCCTGCAGGCTGAAGGTGGCACGGCCTCGGTGATGGCCCCATGCACACAGCTATCTGCCCCTCAGTACAGAACATTCACATAGCAAGCAAGGGCACCAATATGCTCTCCAGTGTCCAAAGGAGACTACAAATACTACACAGTGGGCAGTAACCCAAACTCACTGAGGGTGGTAACCCACACTCATTGTTCCTAGGCCCCAGAGCTTGGAGCAGCTGAGAAAGAAACACAGTACTGGAGGCATTCTGCATCACCCTGTGGCGCGGTCCCTCACCCACGGACACCAGGTGGCTGTAGTTCTCAAGCATGACATCCCTGTAGAGGTTCTTCTGGGCAGAGTCCAGTTGCTGCCACTCCTCCAGGGTGAAGTCCACAAACACGTCCTTGAAGGTCAATGATTCCTGTAACGGCACATTCCTCTTTAGCACCCCAGGACCAGCCTGGGGCACTGGGACATGGCACCTCACACACACGGAGGGCTTACTCTGTGCCCTTTGAGGTCCTTTACATGTACTAAAGATTTCAGTCTTCGCCGCCACCCTAGAAGGAACTTGACAGATGAAGAGTGTGAGGCACACAGAGCCTAAATAACCAGTCCAGGTCACACAGCCAGGAATGAGGGATTCGAATCCACGCAGTCTGGCTCCCGCATCCACGCTGGCCTTTCTTTATATAACTGTTCTTATGCCAGTCACTAGTCAGTTTGGCATAGCATATTACATAGAGTATATGACTAAAATCATTTTGAACTTTATAGGAGAAAGAGATAGAGTATGAGAAATATCTTACCCTGGAAATTCATTCATTCAACACATGTTTACTGAATAGAGGCCAGGCTGGTAAGTCCTGTGACATAAAGATTGATACAAAATGACACCTTGGCCGGGCGTGATGGCTCACGCCTGTAATCCCAGCACTTTGGGAGGCCTAGGCGGGCGGATCACAAGGTCAGGAGTTCAAGACCAGCCTGGCCAATATGGTAAAACCGCATCTCTACTAAAAATACAAAAAATAGCTGGGCATGGTGGCGGGCACCTGTAATCCCAGCTACTCGGGAGGCTGGCGTAGGAGAATCGTTTGAACCCAGGAGGCGGAGGATGCAGTGAGCCAAGATCACGCCATTGCACTCCAGCCTGGGCAACAGGGCGAGACTCCATCTCAAAAAAAAAAAAAAAAAGACACCTCTTAAACTCAAGGAGCTTCAGTTTAGTGGAGGGAGAAAAGCGACACTTAGACACTCATAGAAGAAACAGAGGCAGCGAGGAAGCCTGCCTCACAGGGACAGTGACAGATGTAGGACGGGGTCCGGGTTGTCCACAAAGGAAGAAGTCAATTCTGCTTAGCGCTGACAGAGCAGGCCTTGCAGGGGACACAGAGCTACAACAAACAGTTCTAAACATAGCTAATCAATCATGACAAACCGTTCTAACCTTCACTCATCAATCATGAAACAAAGAACAGGAAGCCAGAGGTTTGTGGCCTGGGCAGCTGACTGAAGCAAAAGGGGAAAGGTCTGTGCTTGGCCTTGTCACCACCAAACAAGAACTCACTTCTACAAGTGCCCCCAATTCCTTGCAAAGACTAATAACCCGCCTGTTTCTGCTCCAGATCCTATCCTGTAACGCCCACACTTGGTGGCCTTCAATTCAAGCCACTCGCTGCACCCATAAGGCCCAAATCAGCCACAGTGGCACCAGTTTACCCAGCTGTGCAGGAGAGGGGCAGGAAAGCCAGTGTGCCAGAGGGCGGGGACAGGCAGGTTTCTCCAGCAGGAGGGCTTCTCAGAGCAATCCAGGAGCTGTTAGCCCAATCTGCCCCTCCCTCGTGATAGCTCCGGTGCTGGGGAACAAAACCACACTGCGGAGTGCTAGGATGATGTTGCTTGGAAGCCCTAACCTGTTCCATAGACCAGTATCTCTTGTAATGGTCCCAGTGGCATGGCTTCGAGGATCCCAGCAAAAGATGGGCCCAGTTACATATCACTGAGTGACAATGTGCTCAGAAAACCCCAATCCATGGCTTCCTACCAGCCAGTCATAGTTTACTCAGTCCTCCAGTCCAGATGCAGTTTGTTTAACCAATCCAGAGTCAATTTTATCTGGAGTAATGTCACCTGGTTTGATATTGTGAAATATATATTTGGTTTTTGTCCTGTCTCCTGGCAAGAAGCTCCTGCAACCCTTGGAATAGCCTCTGAAGTGATCAAAGTGTCTTTTATATGCTAATGAGATGACTGTTAGCTGGCTGCCCCTAGGTAGCTTCTGGATGGAAGCTGGTCACCAGAAAACCAGACAGGATTAGAAGGTTGGGAATTTCATCTCCATCCTCAAAACTCCTGGGAGGGGAGAGGAGATGAAGGTTGAGTTGATCACCAAGGGCCAATGATGATCATGCCTCTGTGATGAAGCCTCCGAAAAACCCCACTGTGGCTGGGTGTGGTGGCTGGCTCCTGTGATCCCAGCACTAAGGGTGGCTGAGAAGGGAGGATCACTTGAGGCCAGGAGGTTGGGCCTGCAGTGAGCCAAGACTGCACCACTGTTCTCCAGCCTGGGGGACAGAGCAAGACCTTGTTTCTCAAAAACAACAACAAGGACAACAACCAAAGGGCTGGGTGGGTTCAGACAGCTTCCACACAGCTGAACACTTGGTGGTTCCCGGATGGTAGTGAGTCCAGAGAGGGCATGAAAGGTCTGTGGACCTTCCCACATCCCTTGCCCTATGCATCTCTTCCATCTGGCGGTTCATCTGTATCTTCTGTAATATCCTTTATAACAAATAGGGGAAATTCAGTTTCCGTTAGTTCTGTGACTCACTCTAGCAAATTAATCAAACACCAGGAGGGAGTCAAGGGAACCCCTGATTTGTGTCCCATCAATCAGATGTATAGATGATACCCTACTCGAGACTGGCATCTCAGGTGGGGGTAGTCTTGTGGGACTAAGCCTCAACCTGTGGGAGCTGACGCTAACTCCAGGTAGATGGTGTCAGAATGGAATTGACTTAGAGGAGACCCAGCTGGTGTCCACTGGAGAATGACTTGGTATTTGGGTAAACAGCCTGGGGCCTGGGATTACATCTCGTGTCAGGAGTGTTGTGTCAAGTGAGAGTAGACAGTAGGAAAAACTTGGGTTTCCTTCCTTATCTCTCAGACCCAGTAAAACAGCCATCATTCCACTGTCACGTTTCTAGTCACACACAGCTAAATATGACAATGATGATGAAAGTTAATAACCACTAACAGATCCTCTGAGTAGAGTGTCAGAGGTTACTTCATAAAAATGATACTGCCTGTGCACATGTACCCTAGAACTTAAAGTATAATAAAAAATAATAAAATAAAATAAAATAAATTAAAAAAAATAAAACATATGTATGTGGCCAGGCGCGGTGGCTCACGCCTGTGATCCCAGCACTTTGGGAAGCCGAGGCAGGCGAATCACGAGGTCAGGAGTTCGAGACCAGCCTGGCCAACATGATGAAACTCCGTCTTTACTAAAAATACAAAAATTAGCCAGGCGTGGTGGCGGGCGCCTGTAATCCCAGCTACTCAGGCGGCTGAGGCAGGGGAATCGCTTGAAACCAGAAGGTGGAGGTTGCAGTGATGAGCCGAGATCACGCCACTGCACTCCAGCCTGGGCAACAAGAGCAAAACTCCGTCTCAAAAAAACAAAAAACAAAACAAAACAAAGTATGTATGTGACTCTCTTAACAACTAAACCTCCTCTATTAGGAATCTTACTACTGTGTTACTTCATCTCAAATCTTTTAATAGTCTCCTGGTGACTTTGAGAAGTATCATGCAGAAAACCTCTGCATTTTCACTCCACTTTGAAACTGGTCATGTCTTGGGAACTGACTCATTCTACTAATCATATAGCAAAGAGAAAAAACATAGTTCTTAGTTTAAAACATGAGCAATTCATTGTGTCACATATCTTTGTGTTTTGGTAAATTCATCATTAGAGAGAGAGAAAAAACATCAATGGAGTTTAAACCCTTTGTCTCGTTAAGTCGCAAAAAAAATTATTGGACTAAATAAACCACGCAGTGTCAAGTTCAAAAAAGAATGATACTGCCTTCACAAAAATTGTAAGAGTGAGAAAATTATGACATTGAAAGAGATCTGATCTAACCAACCCCTATCTTGCCTTTAACCTCCAAATTACCCTTAATCATTCCTCGGCCTGGCCCAAGAAAACTTTGAGAGACATTTGTTTTATAGTTTAAAAGATAATAGACCACAGGTGTCCAATCTTTTGGCTTTCCTGGGCCATATTGGAAGAATTGTCTTGGGCCACATATAAAATACACCAACACTAAAGATAGCCGATGAGCTAAAAAATAAAAATCACAAAAAAAGTCACAATAAGTCTCATAATGTTTTAAGAAAGTTTACAAATTTGTATTGGGCCGCATTCAAAGCCATCCTGGGCCGCATGTGGCTCATGGGCTGTGGGTTGGACAAGCTTATAATAGCCTTCTGCAAAACTCAACCACCTTTGTAAAGCTGAGAGGCCACAAGGTTAGGAGGATATGAGGAGGCTAAAATCTGCTAACATGTAGACATAAAAGATTTCCAGCTATTATTCCGGAGGTCACAAGATTTGGAACTCCCCAATTACTCCCGCAGATAATATCACCATTATAGAACCTAAGATTGGCCTTTTGAGGCATTTTTTCAAGTTTTTGCATTTCTGACGACCAGTGGCTCCACCAGGACTGGCCAACCTCCACCAACCGGTCCTATGGCCCCACCCAGAAGCTGAATCCATGGCCTACCAAACTATCCTTGAAAAACCCTACCCTCCAAATTTTCGGAGATTGATTTGAGTAATAACTCCATCTCCCATGTGGCATGGCCAGACTTACATCAATTAAACTCTTTATTGCAATGCCGTGGTCTCAGTGAATTGGTTTTGACTGTGCAGTGGGTGGGAATAACCCACTGGCTGGTTACAGCAAAAATAAATCAGCCAGACACGGTGGCTCACACCTGAAATCCCAGCACTTTGGGAGTCCGAGGCGAGTGGATCACTTGAGGTCAGGAGTTCGAGACCAGCCTGGCCAACATGGAGAAACCCTGTCTCTACTAAAAATACAAAAATTAGCCAGGTGTGGTGGTGCACGCCTATAATCCCAGCTACTCGGGAGGCTGAGGCAGGAGAATCACCTATAATCCCAGCTACTCAGGAGGCTGAGGCAGGAGAATCGCTTGTACCCGGGAGGTGGAGGTTGCAGTGAGCCGAGATCATGCCACTGCACTCCAGTCCTCCAGCCTGGGTGATAGAGTGAGACCCTGTCTCAAAAAAAAAAAAAAAAAAATATATATATATATATATATATATACACACACACACACATAAAATCTATGCAGAAAAGATGACATTAGGAAAATCTGGTGGATTAGTCCGTTCTCATGCTGTTGATAAAGACATACCTGAGACTGGCTGATTTATAAAGGAAAGAGGTTTAATTGACTCAGTTCAGCATGGCTGGGGAGGCCTCAGAAAATTTACACTCATGGCGGAAGGTGAAGGGGAAGCAAGACACCTTCTTTACAAGGTGGCAGGAAGGAGATGTGCAAGCAGGGGAAATGCCAGAAGCTTATAAAACCATCAGCTCTCATGAGACTCACTTATTATCATGAGAACAGCATGGGGGAAACCGCCCCCATGACCCATTACCTTCACCTGGTCCCGCCCTTGACACGTGGGGATTACAATTCAAGATGAGATTTTGGGTGGGGACACAGCCAAACCATATCTTCTGGCTAGGTATTTATGGAGGAAAATAACTCAATAAAACTGAATTACCCATCTCACTCTGAACCCTCAAATAAATTACACAGGGATGAGACAGGTCTCCCTCTGTCATCCAGGCCGGAGTGCAGTGGTGAGATTATGGCTCACTGCAGCCTCAACCTCCCGGGCTCAAGCGATCCTCCTGAACTCAAGTGATCCTCCTGCCTCAGCCCCGCAAAGTATCTGGGACTCCAGGCACACGCCACCTCACCCAGCTAATTTTTGTATTTTTTGTAGAAACGAGGTTTCACCATATTGCCAGGCTGGTCTCGAACTTCTGAGCTCAAATGATCCACCCGTGTCAGCTTCCCAAATTGCTGGAATTACTGGTGTGAGCCACCGCACCCAGCCTTAGAGATTTAAATGTGTACAAGATAACCATAAAATAGATCAAAGTTTTTATAATTTTACAGTGGCTAAAAGCCTTTCTTTTCTGTGTTTTTTTTTTCAAGACATAGTCTCACTCTGTTGCCCAGGCTGGAGTGCAGTGTTGTGATCTCAGCTCACTGCAACCTCTGCCTCCTGGGTTCGAGTGATTTTCCTGCCTCAGCCTCCCAAGTAGCTGGGACTACAGGCACCCGCCACCATACCCAACTAATTTTTGTATTTTTAGTAGAGACGGTGTTTCACCATGTTGGCCAGGCTGGTCTCGAACTCCTAACCTCAAGTGATCCACCAACCTCAACCTCCCAAAGTGCTGGGATTACAGGTGTGAGCCACCGCTTCCAGCCGGCTAAAAGCCTTTCTAAGCAATCCCCAAATTCAGAAGACATACAGTCACAGACTGATCAACATGACTGCCTAGACATTAGAAATTTCTAAATAGCAGAATGAATTTTTTTTCTTTTTTTTTGGAGACAGGGTTTTGCTGTTGTTGCCCAGGCTGGAATGCAGTGGCATGCTCACAGATCACTGCAGCCTCGACCTCCTGGGCTCAAGCGATCCTCCCACCTCAGCTTCCCTCGTAGCTGGAACTATAGGCACGCACCACCACGTCCAGCTAATTTTTGTATTTTTTGTAGAGACAAGGTTTTGCCATGTTGCCCAGGCTAGTCTCAAATTCCCGAGCTTAAGCAATTCTCCTGCCTCAGCCTTCCAAGTGCTGGGGTTACAGGCATGAGCCACAGCACTTGGCCAAAAATTATATTATGAAACATCAATATCAAAGTGAGAAAAGTATTAGAAATATACAAAACAATGGGCTAATTTCCTTTATACACTAAAATTCTAACAAATCATTATGAAAAAGACCACAACCTAACATATAACTGAATGAATATAAAATAAATATATAACTTACCATGTATCCCTTTCATAGTCTTAAAAACTAAAAAGGTTAATAATACTTAGTACAGTCAAGTATGTAGAAAAAACACCAAAGAAGTTATAAACTATTTACAGCATTTTTGGGAGGAATAATTGGTTAATATATATCAAATTTTACATTGCAAATACCGTTTAACAAAGCAATGACCTTTCTAGGATTTTACCCTATACCTTTAACACATCAGTAAGAAGAGACAGCCCAACAGTATGAATAAAATGCTCATAGCAACAGAAATGTTAGAGGCCTAGAAACACAAAAAGATTATAAGCCTCACTAAAAGTCACATATATGCTCATTAAATAATAAGATATTGTCTTTTATCCATAAGAGTCACTGCTGATGAAGAGTATTAGAAATTAAATACTCTCATATAAAGGCTGATTGATACATAATTTGGTTATACCTATTAAAGGTATTTGTTTCTTACTTTAACCAGCAGTTGCATTTACAGGACTCTATTCTAGTGAAATATTTATGTGTACATAAGGATGTCCAAGGCAGTCCTATTCGTATTAACAAAAAGTAGAAGAAAGCTCTAAAAGGTCTGGCACAGTGGCTCACACCTGTAATCTCAGCACTTTGGGAGGCCAAGGCAGGTGGATCGCTTGAGCTCAGGAGTTTGAAACCAGCCTGGGCAACATGGTGAAACCCCATCTCTACAAAAATAAAAAAGGGCTAGGCGCAGTGGCTCACTCCTATAATCCCAGCACTTTGGGAGGCTGAGGCAGGCGGATCACGAGGTCAAGAGATCGAGACCATCCTGGCCAACATGGTGAAACCCTGTCTCTACTAAGAATACAAAAATTAGCTGGGCATGGTGGCACGCACCTGTAGTCCCAGCTACTCAGGAGGATGAGGCAGGAGAATCGCTTGAACCTAGGAGGCAGAGGTTGCAGTGAGCTGAGATCGTGCCATTGCACTCCAGCCTGGCAACAGCAAGACTCCGTCTCAAAAAAAAAAAAAAAAAAAAGTTAGACGGGCATGGTGGTTTGTGCCTGTAGTCCCAGCTACTCAGGAAGCTAAAGTGGAAGAACTGCATGAGCCCAGGAGGCTGAGGTTGCAGTGAACCAAAATCATGCCACTGCACTTCAGCCTGGGCAACAGAGTGAGACTCTGTCTCAAAAAAAAGGAAAAAGAAAAAAATAAAAGAAAAAGAAAGAAAACCCAAATGTCCTGTGTTCCTGGGAACCCCAAAATGGTAGAACAACAGCTGTATTACCAGGTGACATTGCTTATGAGAAAAATGACCCCTGATTGGTAAATAATCTGCATGTGGACTAGGACTAGAGCGTAGTTAAATAAATTGCTCCATCTATACTCTGGAACTGTCATGATAAAAATTGACTCACACAGGACGGGTGTGGTGGCTCACGCCTGTAATCCTAGGACTTTGGGAGGCCGAGGCAGGTGGATCAACTGAGGTCAGGAGTTTGAGACCAGCCTGGCCAACATGGCAAAACCCCATCTCTACTAAAAATACAAAAATTAGCTGGGCCTGGTGGCGTGAGCCTGTAATCCCAGCTACTCAGGAGGCTGAGAAAGGAGAATCTCTTGAACTCGGGAGGTGGAGGTTGCAGTGATCCGAGATCGCACCACTGTACTCCAGCCTGTAGAGCAAGATTCTGTCTCAAAAAAAAAATTGACTCACACATAAGGATGCCTGGGATACTTTTGTCTAAATGAAAAAAAAAAAAGCAAATTTCAGAAAAGCACAGTAGGAGCATATTTTCATTAAAAACAACCCATGCAAAATGTTGTGGTTTTGTATATATATAAAACAAAAAAATTCTGAAAGGCAAACAGTAGAAGGGCTGAGACTGGGTTCATTTGTTGGAATGCAACAGAAAGGGAGGAATGAAAATTGGCCCTGTTTTCCTGGCTTGAAAACTGGAAAAAGTAAATATCCTTTCAAATGGCATCATATTTTTTTCTTATAAATTGCCTGCCTTATCTTTTTGACTCCTTTCTACCACATTTTTTTGTTTTTTAATCATTGTTCATATTACATACATAAATCCTCTGTGTATTATATGCATTGCAGGTATTTTCTCTCAGCTTCAAATATGTCTTCTGACTCTACAGGTTTTAACATTTTAATACAGTCTAATCTGACAATATTTCCCTTTATGATTTCTGGGTTTTCCATCTTCATTAAAAATGTTTCTTGCAGGGCCAGGCGTGGTGGCTCACGCCTGTAATCCCAGCACTTTGGGAGATTGAGGCAGGCAGTTCAGTTGAGGTCAGGAATTCAAGATCGGCCTGGCCAGCAGGGTGAAACCCCGTCTCTACTAAAAATACAAAAATTAGCCAGGTATGGTGGCACATACCTGTAGTCTGAGCTACCTGGGTGGCTGAGGTGGGAGAACTGCTTGAACCCGGGAGGCGGAGGTTGCAGTGAGCCGAGATCGTGCCACTGCACTCCAGCCTGGGCCACAGAGGGAGACTCCATCTCAAAAAAAAAAAAAAGTTTCTTGCACTGCATAAAGTTATCCATATATCCTCCTAAATTTTTACCCAATTTTTCAAATATATATTTAGGTCTACAACCAATCTAGAATTCACTTTTATATGATATAGAAGAGTCTTTGTTTCCATACAGATACTCAACTGTGCCACCATCATTCAGTAACCACTTTTTCCACATAACTGAAATACCATTTTTATAATCTTGACTCACAGAATCCTATATAAGCAATAAAAGAAATCTAGAAGTCACAAAAGATTGTGAAATTAGACCACATTAACAAAATGTAAGTGTCCACTCCCCAAAATTAATAAGACAAGTCAAAGCAAATGAAGTATGAAAAAATATTTGCAACATATATGATAGAGATCTTATTTACTTGAGTTAACATAAAGGGCTACCATCCAGCAATCAAATTAATTCCACACCCAAGAGAAAAGGAGGCAAATGACTAGAATAAATAATTGAAATAAGGAAGTACAAATGATGGTTAAAAAAAATGAAAAGAAGACTGGGCACAGTGGCTCACACCTGTAATCTCACCATACTGGAAGGCGAGGGTAGGAGAATTGCTTGAATTCAGGCATTGGAGAACAACCTGGCCAACACAGTAAGACTCCAGCTCTACAAAAAATTGAAAAATTAGCCAGGTGTGGTGGCATGTACCTGTATTCCTGGCTACTTGGGAGGCTGAGGTGGAAGGACTGCTTGAGCCTGGGAGGTTGAGGCTGCAGTGAGCCATGATCACACCACTGCACTCCAGCCTGGGCAACACAGCAAGACTCTGTCTCAAAAAACAAATAGCCCAGTGCAATGGCTCCCACCTGTAATCCCAGCACTTTGGGAGACCAAGACAGGTAGATCACTTGAGCTCAGGAGTTAGAGACCAGCCTGGGCAACATGGCAAAATCCTATCTCTACAAAAAATACAAAAATTAGCCAGGTGTGGTGGCACACGCCTGTGGTCCCAGCTATTCAGGAGGCTGAGGCAGGAGGATCACCTGAGCCTAGGAGGTCGAAGCTGCAGTGAGCTGTGATCGTGCCACCATACTGTAGCCTGGGTGACAGACTGAGACCCTGTCTCCAAAAAACAAACAAACAAAAAATATGAAAAGACACTAATTTCAGGAAATGTGAATTAAAATGCACCATTCTTATATGCTGCATCATGGCAAAAATCAAAGCATTGGATAATGCACTGTGATTGCCCACTTACGTGAAAAGGCATATACTGCCGCTAGGAGTACACATCAGTATATTCTATTTGGAGGGCAAATTGACAGTTCTGAATCAAAATTCATGATGCACATGAATCTGACCTAGAAATCTCACATCTGACATACTCACATGCAGGCAACGGAATGTACTGTACATTGCTATGCTGTTTATAGCAGCAAAAGACTAGAAATGTCCTAAATGTTCATCACTAGGAGAAAGGTAAATGAATATTGGTGTTCCCATGCAATGAAATACCAAGCAGTTGCTTTTGCAAACAAGGTAGACCACTGGTTTTAAACATTGGATAATTCTCTCCCCTAGGGGATATTTGGCAATGACTACAGATACTTTGGTTGCCAAAACTTGGGGAGGGATTCTACTGGCACCTAGTAGAGATAGAGGCCAGGGACCCTGCTACACATACAATGCACAAGAAAGCAGCCACAACAAATAATGATCAGAACCATAATGACAATAGTGCCGCAGTAAGAAACCCTAGGGACAACTAAATACAAGTAAAGTGGAATGATCATGAAGACAAGACCAGAAGGACCAGAATGAGCTCTAATTTGTTAGAGAAAAAGCGTGTCAGAGTGAGAACTAGCACACACAGGAGTGAGCAGACAAAGAGATTCATACATCCTGGCCGGGTGCGGGGGCTCACGCCTGTAATCCCAGCACTCTGGGAGGCCGAGGAGGGCGGATCACGAGGTCAGGAGATCGAGACCATCCTGGATAACATGGTGAAACCCCGTCTCTACTAAAAATACAAAAAATTAGCCGGGCGTGGTTGCAGGCGCCTGTAGTCCCAGCTACTCGGGAGGCTGAGGCAGGAGAATGGCGGGAACCCAGGAGGCGGAGCTCGCAGTGAGCCGAGATTTTGCCACTGCACTCCAGCCTGGGCGACAGAGCGAGACTCTGTCTCAAAAAAAAAAAAAGAAAGATTCATACATCCAGACAGATAAGCATACATATTCTCTGAAAGACTGTACCAAAAAATGAAGGAATCTTGAGGATGGGAGAATTATTTTTTGCCTTTTCTTGAACAAAACTTTCATTTGAATTTTTACTATGTGTATGCATTACTTTTAAATGTTCAATTTTTTAATGCTCTATTCAGAATACTTTTACATTTTGACATCCATGTTCTTAAGGGAAACTGGTCTATAATTTTCTTTTTTGTAGTATCCTCTTCAAATTTCAGGTTAAGTGGCTTCACAAAATGAACTGGGTACCTTTTCATCTTTAATAGCCTGGAAAAATGGAACGCAGAAATTATCTAGTCTTTACATTTAGTGAAAGGAGTAATTATGAAGGATTTCGGAGGGCAAATTTAAGTCTCACTACCTTTTAGTCAAAACCCGACTTCCAGGTATAACCTCCATAAACACTGGTACTACAGAGCAAGTAGATACAGAGAAAATTGTTCATGAGGTACTGTATACAATAGTAAAAAAAAATTAGGCCAGGTGCAGTGGCTCATGCCTGTAATCCCAGCACTTTGGGAGGACGAGGTGGGTAGATCACCTGAGGTCAGGAGTTCGAGACCAGCCTGGCCAACATGGTAAAGCCCCGTCTCTACTAAAAATACAAATATTAGCCGGGTGTGGTGGCACGTGCACGTAATCCCAGCTACTTGGAAGGCTGAGATAGGAGAATCGCTTGAACCTGGGAGGCAGAGGTTGCAGTGAGCCGAGATCACGCCACTGCACCGCAGCCTGGGCGACAAGAGCAAAACTCCATTTAAAAAAAAAAAAAAAAGGCCAGGCACGGTGGCTCACACCTGTAATCCCAGCACTTTGGGAGGCTGAGGTGGACAGATCACCTGAGGTCGGGAGTTCGAGACCAGCCTGACCAACATGGAGAAACCTCATCTCTAGTAAAAATACAAAATTGGCTGGGCATGGTGGCACATGCCTGTAATCCCAGGTACTCGGTTGGCTGAGGCAGGAAAATCGCTTGAACCTGGAAGGCGGAGGTTGCAGTGAGCCGATATCGCACCATTGCACTCTAGCCTGGGCAACAAGAGTGAAACTCCGTCACAAAAAAAAAAAAAAAAGAAAAAGAAATTAAAAACCTAAATATCTGTGAATAGAAAAATAGTTACATGATACATCCATACTATGAAATAGGAATTAAAACAATCTTTATATATTGACAAGGAACACCACCCAGGATATAATCAGGTTCAGAAAGCAAGATGGGTATGGGAATATGATGCCATTTGTGTAAAAGCATAAAAAAAATATATACGTGTACGTTTTTAGTTCATTAAACTGACATAAATGCATCTACCCCACAGTTTCACCCAACTGTTAACAGTGGACATCTCTAAGGAGGAACGTGGTACTGGGGGGAGAAGAAATAGAAACTTTATTGGCTACTAGTTTCTTCTATGTACATTAAAACATTATACACAAACTTATTCTCTTAAACACAGTAAAAAAGACCAAGCGATCTAGAAGTGAAGAAAGAGGAAAAAGCAAGGTGAATCTATGTATTTAAACAATTCTTCTCTGAGAAGAAGAAGAAAAGATGAGGTACAGTTTCTGGAAGAACAAGTAGAGAGAGGTATCTTTTTGTTTTTCCTCTCTCCTGGTGAGGGGAAGGATTAGAGAAACCAGAGGCTGAGGACAAGTTGAACAGAAAACAGCCAGAGAAGAGGGGATAATTGGTATTTTCAAGTTTATTATATAGATTCCAAACTTTGCCTCAATTTCACTGGAAAAAAAGTAGGGGTACATTAGAACTCACCTGGGACATGGCCATCTTGTTGTGCTCCTGCAAAGGATGGAGATCTACAAATACAGAATTAGAAGGGTTGAGTTCAGTGGGTATAGACATAAGATCATCATCACCACCCTAATAATAATTACCTTTGCACCCTGGGAAGAATCATCTAAAAATAAGGCCTGGTAGCTTCAGCCTATTCCATGGGACGCTACTAAGATCATGTGGGTTTTGCACATGAAACTTTGTCTCCCTTACTGGACAGATGTATGACTTGTGTCCAAAGCCATCTACATGTCAGAAACCAGTAACAACTTAACATCTCCTTTATCTCAAGAGTTCTATTCCTAGCACAAAGATGCAAAATGTTCACCATTGTCATTTCCACTATGAAAAATCTGCCTATAATCCCTGCATGCGGGGGGCGCTGAAGGAGGATTGATTGAGGCCAGGAGTTCAAGACCAGCCTAGACAATATAGCAAGGCCTTGTCTCTACAAAACCGAAAATTAAAAAAATTAGCTGGCGTGGTGGTGCATGCCTGTAGTCCCAGCTACTCAAAAGGCTGAGATGGGAGGGTCTCTTGAGCCCAGGAGTGCGAGGTTAGTGAGCCATGATCACGTCCCTGCACTCCAGCCTGTGTGACAACGTCAGAGCCTGGCTCAAAAATAAACAAAAAAATAAAAAAATCTTCGAAGCAACTAAATGTGCAGCAAAGGGGACTTAGTAAAAAAATATGACACGTGCAAAACAAGCATACTACACAGGCTTTAAAGATGGTTTCTGAACTTTGTTTTCAGTTCCTGGGTGTTTAAAGGGAGGTTCCAACAAAGCAACTGCAGTGTAATCTCATTTTTGTTAAGCAATATGTACAAATATGAAGTCTCAAACAGCATTTATTCTTTTTTTTGTTTTTTTTTGAGATGCAGTTTTGCTCTTGTTGCCCAGGCTGGAGTGCAGTGGCATGATCTCAGCTCACTGCAACCTCCACCTCCCGGGTTCAAGCGATTCTCCTGCCTCAGCATCCCAAGTAGCTGGAATTATAGGCATGCACCAACATGCCCAGCTAATTATTTTTGTATTTTTAGTAGAGACGGGGTTTCATCATGTTGGTCAGGCTGGCCTCAAACTCCTGACCTCAGGTGATCCATCCGCCTCAGCCTCCCAAAGTGCTGGGATTACAGGCATGAGCCACCGCGCCTGACCTCAAACAGCATTTATTCAAATGCTGACATTGGTTACATTGTTCGGTGATTTTAATTTTCTTGTTTATTTGCATTTTTGACAAGGAATATTAATTACTAATGAAACAAAAATTAAAATTTATTAAAAAATCACTTCTTATCAAACAGAGCCCTAGAGGTGAAAAGACACTCTCCAAGTGTGTATGAGTAAGATCTCTTCATGTGGTTTGGAGGAAGGAGCCCAACCAGGGCTCAAAGGGCCGCAGGGAAGGAGAGGTGTGGGGCTGGGTGGGTAACAGCCAAGCACTGTCAGTTCTGTGAGGGGCTGAAAACCACTGTGCCTGCTTCCCTGCATCCACCTCTCTAACTGGCCACCTACCCTGCTCCCACCCCACCACTTCCTCCTTTCCCATGATTTGCATTTTGATTGCCATGCTCCTCCTTCTTTGGCAGATTTTCAAAAGAAAGTTCCAGCAAGGAGATTCTGTGCAGAGTAACCATTTCATACTGCAGCAATCACTGTGATACCATCAGGACAACAGGGTTCAGCTCCGTGTAGCTTAGCAGGTCATGTCCCCTGGCCCACTTTCATTAAGCATTGAAATAAGGCAGCAGAGCTGGATGACAGCATACCTAGAGACTACTCTGAAATTCTATAAACTAAAAATATATTTTCTGCACTTTGGTCAGGATGAACGGACACTCAGCATTTCCCCTGGAAGCAGGTGCCTGGTTGATGGTGTGGGGCTGACTCAAATTCAGAAATAGCCAATGGCAAGAGAAGGAAGCATGGGGGTGCACAAATAGGTGTGCTAGGAGAGGCCAATCCTCTGTGGCTGGCTGTGATCCTTCCCAGCCTCATCCCGCCTTTGCAGGTACTACAGCAGGGCACCTGCCCCCATGGGGGACATCCATGCCTCCATCCACCTGTGACTTTCACCTGTCCCTCCTCCAGCAGGAATCAAACTGCACTGTCACATGGTCCTCCATGGCACCTGGAAGTAGAGCCAGCTTTGCTCTGTCTCAGCTGAAGTGAGGGACAAAGGCCACTACGGGTCCAGCTCTTCTAGGACCTGCTGTCCCGTGAGCCTCCTTTGCTCTGAGGATCTGGGTCTGGGCTCTTGCTGAGGCTTCTCCTCCAACTCGCCTCAGCTCAGCGTACCTCTCTTGTGTCCAAGGCGGCAGGACCAAGGGATTCAGAGACAAACACACCCCAGTTGGGGCCATCACTATAGCACTAGATCTCTGCCTGTGACCCAGGGAACTCACCTCTTCCTGGGGCCTCAGCCTAAGTCTTCTGCGACTAAGTGGGGAAGCCGAGGCACAGATAAACTGGAGTCTGAAATCGGTGAGCAGTGGTCTCAGGTCTGCACTCTGACCCTGGAAACACAATGACCACAGGAGATTCAATTAGCAACACCTATGCTCCCTTCCATGCAGTGAAGTTGAGTGAAACCCAAAGGTTTTTACCCAACAGAAGAGGGACAACCCCTCATTCTAGTTTTAAGAGTTAACATTCATGCACAGCTCAATTATCCTCAGTGAGCGAAACCCTGCCTTCCTGAGTCCGGGCTTTGGAATCAACTGACTGGCTGCTGTGCCACTTTTATTCACTGAAGAAATGATTGCCTTCCATGAGCCGGTTCTCCGTGTTGCAAATCCATCAGTGAACAAAATCTCAAATTCCCAGCTCCAGATTTCTAGTCTGGAGGAAGAGACACACTGGAAACAATAAACATGATAAACAAAGTACAGGAAAAGAAAAAGAAAAAGGATTCCTCGGGTTTGCTACCTACGGGACTTTGGACAGGTTGCCAAGCCACACTGTACCGTTTTCTCTCTATAACATGAAAATAATCATCGTAACACCTCACAGGGCTCCTGCTAATGTGAAACATTTGCAAGAGTGTCTGGCAGTTACCACCGGGTGAGGATACAAGCGCTGAGTGACTCAATCAATTAGTCACTCGCTGGCCCCGAACCTCGCCCCCAACACTCACGCCCACCGCCTGTGTCACTCAATCCCCACAAGGACGCTCACCCGTGGCCCCATGACCCCACGGCCCCGTAAACTCCCGTCATTCCTCCCGTCCCCCCTTCCCCCGATCAAAACCATCACCACCTCACCCTCCCGCTTACTTCACTGCCGACAGCCTGAAACCTCAGGGGCGGATGACAACAGCCAGTGTGAACGAAGCGCCACCCTCCGGGTCAGCCGAGCATTTCCGCTTCCCACAGCCCCCTGGGAACGTGAAGTCAAAGCAATGCGCACGCGCAGTGGCTTTGAAGGCGGGGCAACAAAGCCTGTGGCCGATGTGGCGCTCCTCGGCCCGCGCTTCAGTGGTTATGACAGTGTTCGCTCTAAGGGGAGAAGGAATGTGTGACCATTTCCAACGGTAAGTCGTACAAAAGGTCCGGGGAGGCGTACCTGGGCGGCGAGAGGCGAGAGAACTCCGCGCGGGCTTTCCAGTGCCCAGGCCCCTGCCGGCTCCGAAGCCGAAATCCCTTCTTCCACTTCGTTCTCTTGCAGTGGACGTGGGGTGTTCCCACCCCTCTGTCCCCAAGGCCACTGTTTCTGTCTTCCGCTCCTAGGAATAGGAAAAAGAGTCGCGCCTCTGGCATCTGTGGCAGCTCCAGAGCGCGGCCCTCTAGGGTCCAGGCAGGCCACATGGAGCGGGGCCCTAGGCCTGGCTCAGAGCGTCCTAAGAGCAACAGGTCTGGCTCAGTCGGGGAAGTGGCCTGGAAGAGGGGCTTTGGAGCCGGGCTTCAGAGCCAGCAACCTCCCGAAGTGAGGGAAGAAAGCCTCATTCTGATTGTTCTCTACCCAGTGGTGGGGCTCCGGTTCCTAGGATCTTAGACACCCTGGGAGAATCTGGATTTTACTTTTTAGCGGAGAGGTGTTTTCTCTGAGAATGCCAGCCAGTGGCAACATGGCCCGCTAAAAAGGCCTGTAGTAAACTTGAGGAAAGTTTTCTGTTTCCTGTCTGGGTCTGGGAGAAAGAGAACAAGTGTTGTTCTCCATGCTTACTATGCCTGCCTGGTCACCAAGCGGGCCTCTTTGGGTCAAGTATGACAGAGTCTCCCTCAGGTACACAGCAAACCCTTCTGTGCTAGAGCCAGCTGGTGCCAGACACTGTTCATAGATGTGTCCAAGACATTTGTGTAATCTATCAGACACGTATTTAATTTCCATTTGAACATGAGTGTTTTTCCTCTTTCTCTTTCTCCTCTCAGGTTAACTTGCATTCCCCAGATAGTTTGGATGAGTTACAACCTAAATCTGCAAACTCAATACAGCCAGACCCTGGGAAGTGACTCTCTCCAAGCCTCCTGTACAAGTCCCAGGAAAAGAGCCTGTTTTCCCTTGGACATGTGAGCAGTGAATTACTGCTCATTCAGAATTTCATGTGTATGTGTTACTGATGGCCAGGTTTAGAGATACCAACCTATTTATTTCTAGAGGAGAGGTGATTTGATAACCTTTTCAGATATCACTATCAGTAGGCAGAAAAGGGTTAATAGTATGATAGGGTTAATATGTCCTGAGGAGAGTAAAGAAATTGCAAACTGCAGAAGCACCTGATCTGTGGCCCTGGCCAGCATCTCTCCATATCCTGATTCTGTAAGATCAAGTGTTTATGCAGAAAGAGAAGGGACTGATGATTTGAATGTGACCAGATGCAGGGCATGCCCTTATTGCCATGCCAGCATTTGCTATTCATGATGTTAGTATTCAAAAATCAAGAAACACCCTTCCTGGGCCATTGGTGTCTACTAATCCATTGGAAGAAAAGACTGGAATCCACCACTTACTAGCTTCTTGGGCCTCAGTCCCCTCTTTTCTGCCATAGCTAAGGACCACCTAACCTAGATGGCTGTTGTTATTGTTCAAAGGGACATCTTTAGAGCCTCAAGCCCAGGAATAGCCCGTGGCAGGCACCTGGTAAATGTTAGTTTTCATTGTCCTATCCCAACACTATGAAACATGCAGCACTCTCTGCAACTGCCCCTGTGGATTTCCATAGGCAGGAGAGTATCCAGTGTTGAGTGGAGCTGGTATTCTCAGAAACGAAGCCCCTTTCCTCATTTTGCGCCAATCTCTTCAGTCATTTTTACCCTAGTAGTATAATGCTTTGTCAAAGTCACTGTCATCTGATGTTAACAGTTGTTTTCGCCAGATGACTTTTCAAAAGGTAACTTCACCATAATACCGGTTAATGTGATAAAAACACTGCATGTAGCCAATTTTTTTTTTTTTTGAGATGGAGTTATTGGCTCTTGTTGCCCAGGCTAGAGTGCAGCGGCGTGATCTTGGCTCACTGCAACCTCCATCTCGTGGGTTCAGGTAATTCTCCTGCCTCAGCCTCCCGAGTGGCTGGGATTACAGGCACACGCCACCATGCCCAGCTAATTTTTTTGTATTTTTAGTAGAGTCGGGGTTTCACTATATGTTGGCCAGGCTGGTCTCGAACTCCTGACCTCAGGTGATCCGCCTGCCTCAGCCTTCCAAAGTGCTGGGGTTACAGGTGTGAGCCACTGCACCCAGCCAAATATTTTCTTATTTATTTATTTATTTTAGAGACAGGATGCCATTATGTTGCCTAGTTTGGAATGCAGTGTCTATTTAGAGGCGTGATCATGGCATACTATAGCCTCGGCTCAAAGGACCCTGGTCTCAAAGGACCCTGCCACCTTAGCCTCCTGAGTAGCTGGGACAAGTGTGCGCCACCACACCTGGCTAATTTTTTAAATTTTTTGTAGAGATAGTGTCTCGCTATGTTGCCCACGCTGGTCTGGAATTCCTGGACTCAAGGCCTCTTCCTGCCCTCAGACTTCCAAAGTGTTAGGATTACAGGGTGAGTCACCACGCCCAGCCAGTGTGAATTTTCTAATGCTGAGTAAGTTGTGATCCAGAAGTAAATGTATCTGCAAGCTGATTTAAATTGTAGATTTTCTCTTCATTGCATATTTTCTGATGTTGAATAAAGTCTGAGTATTAACTAAAGTTTTTGCTTCTTAAATATGTAAGAATTGTCCTCAAAATCTCTATTCTTGAGCACAGTAGTAAAAATATTTTTACATACATTGTATTTCAAGGGTTCTGCATAAGCAACCTTGTTTTATTGTGACAATTTATTTGGGAATTGTATCAAATATATAATACTGAGATGTTCTCATTCCTTTTGTGAAAATACTTTTGTTTAAAAACCACTGCCTTCAAATGAAAACCACTAGGTTTGTTATGCTTGCCTCATCTTTTCTCGGTGTTTTTCTTTCATTTTTTAAAAATACATGTCTTTCTTTTTTATACCTAAAACAGTGGGTTTTTAAAATGTGATATGTGTATGCGTTGTATAATGGTTACCACAATCAACTAATACATCCATCACCATCCATACTGTACCTTAGATCTGCAGAACTTGTTCATCGTAGAATGTTTTTACCTTTTAGGTCAGACGTGGTGGCTCACGTCTGTAATCCTTGCACTTTGGGAGGCCAAGGTGGGTGGATTGCCAGAGCTCGGGAGTTCAAGACCATCCTGGGAAACATAGTGAAACCCTGTCTCTACTAAAAATACAAAAAATTACCCACGTGTGGTGGTGCGCACCTGTAGTCCCAGTTACTTGGGAGGCAGAGGCACGAGAATCATTTGAACCTGGGAGGCAGAGGTTGCAGTGAGCTGAGATCGTGCCGCTGCACTCCAGCCTGGGCGACAGAGCAAGACTCTGTCTCCAAAAAAAAAAAAGAGTGTTTTTATTTTTTGACCAACATCTCTCCATTTCCTGTCTCCCACTCCTGCATCCCCAGTCCTTGGTAACCACTGTTCTACTCTCTGTTTCTATGAGTTCAACTTTTTAAGATTTCACCTTTAAGTGAGATAATGCAGTATTTGTCATTCTGTGTCTAGTTTATTTCATTTAGCATACTATCTTCCAGGTTCCTTTTTCCCTCTGTGTCTCAAGTCCACCTTTGCATTGTCACTTTCTTTTCTGAAATGAAAATGGTATTGTGGCTATTACCTAGCTAGATACCAACTATGGGCTTTGTAGTATCTGGATTAGCTGTAATGTACATGTGAATGATGACTAGTAAAATATATATAGTAGGAAAAATGATGCAATTCAAAAAGCAAGAACACAAGTATAAATAAGCCTAAGAAGGTTGGACATCATCTATATAAAGGAAAATAAACTGTACTCCTTAGTGAAGACTTAATACTGTAAAACCTGGCCGGGCACGGTGGCTCACGCCTGTAATCCCAGCACTTTGGGAGGCCGAGGCGGGCAGATCATGTCAGGAGATCGAGACCAACCTGGCTGACATGGTGAAACCCCGTCTCTACTAAAAATATAAAAAAATTAGCCGGGCATGGTAGCGGGTGCCTGTAGTCCCAGCTACTCGGGAGGCTGAGGCAGGAGAATGGCATGAACCCAGGAGGCAGAGCTTGCAGTGAGCCGAGATCACGCCACTGCACTCTAGCCTGGGCAAGAGCGAGACTCCGTCTCAAAAAAAAAAAAACCGAAATTGTCCCTAAGCCTAATTGATAGATTTAAGGCAATTTAACCAATATGCTAAATGGGATCAGGGGCCTATAGTACAATTATACTTCATTTTAATTGGCAGAAAAAATATATGAACAACTAAGAGTATTTGGTGGATAGAGGTAACATGGGAAGACTCATCTTACAAGATATTAGAGGGCATTATAAACTAAAGTAAATAATGTGGCATAGAGCAGAATTAGATCACTGAAACAAAAAAATCCAGAATCAGAATATATGGAATGTGGAGTCCTGATAAGTAAGCAACAAGAAGGAAGGGGTCCCAGGTGAGAGAGAACAATTGTTCTATAGATGGCTAATTGCAGACAACCTGCTGGCACACATCCTGTTCCCAGATACCTTGTTTTGCATGTGGCCTTTCCAGCACAACCTTATAAAACTTAAAACCTCCAGCCCCTGCCTCTCAGACAGCCTCTTCTCTGCTGTGCTGCCCATTGAACCCTTACAACGTATCTTCAAACTTTCTCTGATAAATCTGCCTTTCTTTACCTATGACTGTTTTGGCAAAATTCCTTTACTGTCCACAACACCATCCCCACTCAGTTGTACCCAAGACAGGGAAGACTAAATGTCTGACGTTTACCTTAAAAAGTATGAAAAAATAAGTTGAGAGGGGCCAAGCATGGTGGCTCACGCCTATAATCCCAACACTTTGGGAGGCTGAGGTGGGAGGATGGCTTGAACCTAGGAGTTTGAGACCAGCCTGGGCAACATAGTAAGACCTCATCACTACCAAAAAAAAAAAAAAAAATCTGGGCATGGTGGTGTGTGCCTGTAGTCCCAGCTACTTAGGAAGCTAAGGTGGGAGAGTCACTTGAGCGCCAGAGCTTTGAGGCTGCAGTGAGGCTTGATCATGCCACTGCACTCCAGCCTGGGCAACAGGGTGAGACCCTGCTGCAAAAAAAAATTATTATAAACCTACTTATGCTAAGTTATAATGGTTGACAAAAACGTCAGTAGAAGGCAGAGTTCCAATGTATATCCATGTATGTATTGAAAATTAAAGGTGTTTTCAGTTTGTGAAAATTGACAGGATTGATGTGATATAAATCTGTAAGGAAAAAATCCTGGACCCCTACATATTATATATAATGACAAATTCCAAGTGGATTAAAATTAAATATGAAAAATAATAAAATATATACGGGCTGGGTGTGGTGGCTCACGCCTATAATCCCAGCACTTTGAGAGGCCGAGGCAGGTGGATCACGAGGTCAGGAGATTGAGACCAACCTGGCCAACATGGTGAACCCCTGTCTCTACTAAAAATACAAAAATTAGCTGGGCGTGGTGGCACCTGCCTGTAGTCCCAGCTACTCGGGAGGCTGAGGCAGAAGAATCGCTTGAACCCGGGAGGTGGAGGTTGCAGTGAGCCGAGATGATGCCACTACACTCCAGCCTGGTGACAGAGTGAGACTCTGTCTCAAAAATAAATAAATTATATATATATGAATATTATATAACATCATGATGGAGCATAAACCAGAAGGACAACCCTGAAGCCATAAAGTAAATCCTAGACTTCATTTAAAAATGTATATATATTGGAGACAGTGTCACTCTGTCACCCAGGCTGGATTGCAGTGGCATGATCTCAGCTCACTGCAACCTCTGCCTCCCAGGTTCAAGGGATTCTCCTGCCTCAGCCTTCTGAGTAGCTGGGATTACAGGCATGTGCCACCACACCCAGATAATTTTGTATTTTTAGTAGAGGTGGGGATTCTCCATGTTGGTCAGGCTGGTCTGGAACTCCCGACCTCAGGTGATCCGCCTGCTTTGGCCTCCCAAAGTGCTGGGATTACAGGCGTGAGTCACCGCGACCGGCCGGTTTTAGGTATTCTTTAGATGACAGTTGGTTGAGAGAGTTAAGCTGTTGTCTGAAGACATGAAGTCAGTAGAAAGGAATGCTTGAGTTAAGATAAGGGGGTTATGGGGGCTGAGGACCTTGTTATGTAGATGAAGGTTCCTAAGTAGCAGCCCTCAGAGAGAATAGATGGTAAATGTCTCTTTCAGACCTTAAAGACATCAGACTGGCAGTTAATCTCTCCTAGATCTGGAAAAGGCCTAGAAAGGGAAGGCCTGGGTGCATTAATGGAGATTCTCTACCAATGCAAATTTCCACTGCAAAAGGCAGCTTTGCAGAGTCACTTCAATGTGTTGGCCCTGTGGCAGCCATTTTAAAATATGTCAAAGAAATATATTTTGGGATAAAATAATTTGGTTTCCTTCAGTGTCTGCTATCTATCATGTGATGCTATACCAGAGTCAGGTTGGAAAGTAAGCCACATTGTGTCAGGTTAATTTTAAAAATCGAATTAGATTTTTATAGTTTGTAGGGCATGACTCCCCAGACCCCTTAGATAGGAATTTCAAGATCAGAGTTTAGTCCTCATGCCATAGGAAATCAAAAGACAAGTTATAGACTGGGAAGAATATTTGCAACACTTAAGAAGAGAGGTGATATTGAAACTGCCTTTGCAAAAATTTTAACAGTGAGAAAATTATAACAGTGAAAGAGATCTGATCCAACCAACCCCCATCTTGCCTTTAAACTCTAAACTGCCCTTGGTCATCCCTGGGCATGGGCCAAGCTAACTGGGGGAAATGCAGTTTGCAGTTTAGATGATAATAGCCCTTCCCCAAAACTAAAGCACCTTTGTAAAACTAATGAGGCCGGGCACAGTGGCTCACCCCTGTAATCCCAGCACTTTGGGAGGCCAAGGTGGGTGGATCACCTGAAGTCAGGCATTCAAGACCAGCCTGACCAATATGGTGAAACCCCGTCTCTACTAAAATTACAAAAATTAGCCGGGCGTGGTGGCCGGTGCCTGTAGTCCCAGCTACTCAGGAGGCTGAGGCAGGAGAATCGCTTGAACCAGGGAGGCAGAGGTTGCAGTGAGCCGAGATAGTGCCACTGCACTCCAGCCTGGGCAACAGAGCAAGACTCAATCTCAAAAAAAAAAAAAAGAAAGATGAAAGGGGCCTGAATTTTGCTAAGATGTAGGTGGAGTTAAATGATTAATGGCCATTGTTCCAGAGACCACAAGATTTGCAACTTCCCCTGTTAATCCTGTAAATAACATCACTATTGTAGAACCTAAGATTGGCCTTTTGAGATGTCTTTTCAGGTTTTTGCATTTATGGTGACCGGATGGCTCCACTCCGGACTGGCAAGATGGACTCATGACTCAACTGGTCTTGTGGCCCCCACCCAGAAGCAGACTTGGCACACAAGGACCATTTTCCACACCCCTATAATTGCACTTCCAACCAATCAGCCCCCTGTCTGACAAACTATCCTTGAAAAACCCTAACTTCTGAGTTTTCAGGGAGATTGATTTGAGTAATAATTCATCTCCCACGTGGCGTGGCCAGCCTCATGTCAATTAAACTCTTTCTTTCTTTTCGAGATGGAGTCTCACTCCATCACCCAGGCTGGAGTGCAGTGGCATGATCTTGGCTCACTGCAACCTCCACCTCCCAGGTTCAAATGGTTCTCCTACCTCAGCCTCCTGAGTAGCTAGGACTACAGGCATGCGCCACCATGCCTGGCTATTTTTTTTGAGACTGAGTCTCGCTCTGTCACCCAGGCTAGAGTGTAATGGCATGATCTTGGATTACTGCAACCTCTGCCTCCTGGGTTCAAGCGATTCTCCCACCTCAGCCTCCCAAGTAGCTGGGATTACAGGCACATGCCATCATGCCCAGCTAATTTTTGTATTTTTGTAGAGACAGGATTTCACCATATTGGCCAGGCTGGTCTTGAACTCCTGACCTCAGGTGATCCACTTGCCTTGGCCTCTGACATTGCTGGGATTACAGGCATGAGCCACCATGTCCGGCCTTAATTTTTTGTATTTTTAGTAGAGACGGAGTTTCACCATGTTGGCCAGGCTGGTCTTGAACTCCTGGCCTCAAGTGATCCACCTGTCTCAGCCTCCCAAAGTGTTGGGATTACAGATGTGAGCCACCACACCCAGCCAAACTCTTTATTGCAATGCCATGGTCTCAGTAAACTGATTTTGTCTGTGCAGTGGGCAGGAAGTGTTACCAGCAGCAAATCCAACGGGTCTATACAGCAAACTCGATTCTTGCCCCCTTGGAGGAAAGAACTTGGCCAAGGGGCAGAAGGCAGAGTGAGAGACCAAGGCAAGTTTTAGAACAGGAGTGAGAGTTTATTTAAAAGTTTTAGAGCAGGAACTAAAGGAAGTAAAGTACACTTGGAAGAGGGTCAAGTGGGCAACTTGAGAGATCCAAGTGTGCTGTTCAGCCCTTGACTTGTTTTATACGCTGGCATGGTTCTGAGATTTCCATTTCTCCTCTGTTTTTCCTTGGAGTGGGCTGTCTGCATGCACCATGGCCTGCCAGCACTTGGATGAGGCTGCACGCACAGTGTGTTTACTGAAGTTAGGCACATGCTCATTTGAGGCATTTTTCCCTTACCAGTCAAGCGTTCCTAGAGGAATGTCATACACCAGTTAAACTCCGCCATTTTGCCTCTTAGTGCACATACTTGAGCCCGTTTGCCTAACTCCTGATATCTTATTTGGAAGTTGCTCATTACCAGCTTCAGGTGTTTCTATCCATTGAGAGATTGCCTTTCTCTGGTGCCAGCTGCGACCAATTATTATTTTAGCAAGACAGTTTAACAACCACCTGACCATCACCTGATGGTTGCCTGGGGATTTGGGGGCCTTCTCCTGCCCTGTTCATGTCTGCCTAGCTACCTATTCTAACAGAAGGACCCACTGGATGATTACAATGTCTCTAATAAAAAAATATCCCCACAAACTGCTATTTGTAAAATATGTAAAAGTGTTTATGTAAAAGTGTACGTATGTAAAAGTGAACATATGAATAGAAAATGGAAAAGGAGTCTGGGCGAGGTGGCTCATGCCTGTAATCCCAGCACTTTGGGAGGCCAAGGCAGGAGGATCACTTGAGGTCAGGAGTTCAAGATCAGCCTGGCCAACATGATGAAACCCCATCTCTACAAAAATACAAAAATTAGCTGGGCATGATGGTGTGTGCCTGTAATCCCAGCTACTCAGGAGGCTGAGGCGGAGGTTGCAGTGAGCCGAGATCGCACCATTGCACTCCAGCCTGGGCGACAGAGCGAGACTCAAAAAACAAACAAACAAAAAGTGCTACTTGTTAAAACATTTTAAAGGATAATTGATCTGAATTGCCCATTGGAGAAAGAATATCCTCAAACAAAGCACAGTGGTGAATAGTATTTGCCTATGTGTTCTGGTAATTTTTCACCAGCTGAGCTAGTGTAATCATCTTGCTAAAGAAAAGTTCTACAGTTCTAAGTAATCATGTTGATTTGAAATACCACTTACGCAACAAAGTTGAATTGTACATCTTTTCTTCCCCCAGCAGATGGTGACATTTTATAGAATATGGAAAAATTATCCAAATGGATGAGTGAGCTATATAACTGAAATATAATCGTCTCTATTTCATTTCTCATTTATCTACATCTTGAATTCATTTACAAAAAGGCATTCATCAGGAAGTAACATTTAAAGACTATGCTTTCAGGGGTCATTTGTTTTTCTTTTCTTTTCTTTCTTTCTTTTTTTTTTTTTTTTTGACAGGGCCTCACTCTGTCAGCCAGGCTGGAGTGTAATAGTGCCATCATGGCTCACTGCAGCCTTGACATCCCAGGTTCAAGCAATCTTCCCACCTCAGCCTCCTGAGTAGCTGGGACTACAGGCACACAGCATCACACTGGGCTATTTTTAAAATTTTTCTGTAGAGACAGGGTCTCACTGTCTTGCCCAGGCTGGTCTCAAACTCCTGGGCTCAAGCAATCCTTCCTCAGCCTCCCAAAATTCTGGGATTACAGGTGTGGGCCCCCATGCCCAGCAAGGGATCGTTTCTATAGTTCCTTCCTAGGAAAGTTTCTCTGAACATGTAGAGCATGTTTTTTAAAAAGTAACATTTATGAAAAGAAGACTAAGAACAATTAAAAAATAACATATAGAAAGTAGAATTTTTCAGGCCAGGCATGTCATGCCAGCACTGTACACCTGTAATCCCAGCACTTTGGAGGCTGAGGTGGGCAGATTACTTGAGGTCAGGAGTTCGAGGCCAGCCTGGCCAACATGGTGAAACCCTATCTCTACTAAAAAAATACAAAAATTAGCCGGGCATGGTGGCAGGTGCCTGTAATCCCAGCTACTTGGGAGACTGAGGCAGGAGAACCGCTTGAACCTGGGAGGTGGAGGTTGCAGTGAGCCGAGATCGCACCACTGCACTCCAGTCTGGGCGACAGAGCAAGACTATGTCTCAAAAAAAAAAAAAAAAGAATTTTTCAATGTCTTCAATTCTTAGTTTGCACAGTGTTTTTACTAGATATTTTCTCATCAGGTCACATCAGCCTACCTATTTACAAAAATAAAATAGTAAGGACAAAATGCTAAAGAGGGCAAATCTGTCTTTAATTAATGTCCATCTCAGGCCAGGCATGGTGGCTTACACATGTCATCCCGGCACTTTGGGAGGCTGAGGTGGGAGGGTAGCTTGAGCCCAGGAGTTCAAGACCAGCCTGGACAGCATAGTGAGACCCTGTCTCTAAGAAAATGTCCACCTTTGATTTCTCTTCACTCCTTTTTTCCATGCAGGGCCTTCACTCTTCTGTTTCTCAAATTCCTTCTTTAGTATTATTTCTTCCTTCCTTTAAGCTTCACACAGTAAAGTTTGCTTCCCTACTTTCTAACCGAGAGTATAGCATATAATTAAAATTCATTCTTAGGTATATGTAATTAGTATTCTCAGCTTAATGTGCCAATTATACCAGGGATATTTCATTCACTAGTTCAAACGGAACATCAATTGGAGATCTCTCATCTTTCAGATATTCTTGCTGAGCTCACAGTCCATCCAGAAAGAGAAACAAATTCATAACACTAATGTAAGAGGTTTTCTTTCTTTTTGAGACGGAGTCTCACTCTGTCCCCCAGGCTGGAGTGCAGTGGTGCAATCTCAGCCTGCCGCAACCTCTGCCTCCTGGGTTCAAGCGATTCTCCTGCCTCAGCCTCCCGAGTAGCTGGGATTATAGGCACCCACCACCAAGCCTGGCTAATTTTTTTATATTTCTAATAGAGATGGGGTTTCACCATGTTGGCCAGGCTGGTCTTGAACTCCTTACCTCAAGTAATCCACCCACCTCAGCCTCCCAAAGTGCTGGCATTACAGGCATGAGCCACTGTGCCTGGCCATAGGAGATGTTTTAATGCAGCTGTGTACAAGGTGGAAACCTAGAAAATGAATCATTAATTCTGTTGAATGAACTTTATATGTGAGCTTCAAATTTAAGTGAGATATGACAGACTGAAATGTGAACAAAAGGTATTTTAGGCAGATGGAACAACTTGAGCTCAGATATAGAAGCATCAAACTGTTCAGCATTTTTGTGAAACCCAGAAAATTCTGACTAGAACTCACAGTATTAAACAGTCAGTGTGCCAACAGAATTGGGATACAGGACGGAGGAGGAAGAGAGAGGAAGCAGTGGAAAGAGACTGCAGAGGTAGATGAGAGCCAGACTGGGAAAATCCTTAGAAGGCAGGCCAAGGAATAAGGACAGCACTGTAAAAACCCTTATGAGGTGTCCTAAGGAGTGTGGACTTGATTCTGCTGGCCCCAGATAGCCTTCTTAAGAAGGTGTGGAGATGGTAGAGGATGGAAGCAGAAAGACCAATTAAGAGATGATGGATCACACAAAGCTAGAGAGGAAAAGCACAATGTGGATTGATGAATGGTGGCGTCTTGTTGGGGGGAGAGTTAATGATGGAGGCATATTTAAGAGATATTTGCATGGTAGACTTATGGGGCTAGGATGTCTGATTGGATGTGGTGCCCGAGAAAGGGAGAGGCATGCCCAAAGATGACTGTGGGGTTTCTAATTCTGGCATCTTGCTGTGTAATAATAACATTCAAAACAGAAATTCATGAGGAATAGCAGATTTGTAGAGGATTTGCTTGGGGACAAGATGAATGTGGGGCACCTGGGTTGGGGGGACATCAGGTAGAGGTGCTGAGACAGAATTGAAAACATGAGACTAACTGGAGTTCAGGAGATAAATCTGGAGATGATTTTTCTTTGGGTGGGGGAGGGACAGAGTTTCACTCTTGTCACCCAGGCCAGAGTGCAATGGCGTGATCTTGGCTCACTGCAACCTCCGCCTCCTGGGTTCAGGCGATTCTCCTGCTTCAGCCTCTCGAGTAGCTGGGATTACAGGCAGGCACCACCACGCCCAGCTAATTTTTGTATTTTTAGTGGAAACGGGGTTTCACCATGTTGGCCAGGCTGGTCTCGAACTCGTGACCTCAGGTGATCCACCTGCCTCGGCCTCTCAAAGTGCTGAGATTACAGGCATGAGCCACCATGCCCAGCCTGGAGATGATATTTAAGAGTGAATAATGTAAACTTGTTGGGAGAAGCCATGGGAATTGAAAATCTCAGGTGGTTGAGTACAAGAAGAGGGGGCCCAACATGGAACCTTGGATTCCCAATATTTTAGGTTAGGTAGAGGCTATGAAGAGGATTAAGGAGGAGCAAGAAATGAAGCGATGTTTAAGTACAAAAGATGGTGAGAAACTCCTCTCACAGCACAACTTGTATACTCATGGGAGATGGAGTGGTATACAGTGATATCCTAACAATCTCTCTAGAGTAATCCTTGCCCCACTTTGACCAGAGCTTGGAAGCCTGTCCAGTCTTCACATTAGAAAGTCAACATTTTAAGAATGTGAAGAAGTAAGAGTGTTATAAAAGATGCCTGACCTACACCATGTAATTAATTTTCCTTTTTGTTAAGAAAATGTTGAAATTAGCAAACGTGGCTGGGGGCGGTGGCGCACACCTGTAATCCCAGCACTTTGGGAAGCTAAGGCAGGAGGATTGCTTAAGCCCAGGAGTTCAAGACCAGCCTGGGCAACATAGTGAGACCCGCATCTCTACAAAAATAAACAAAATTAGCCGGGTGTGTTGGCACATGCCTGTGGTCCCAGCTACTTGGGAGGCTGAGGTGGGAGGATCGCTTGAGCCCCAGAGATTGGGGGCTGCAGTGAGCTATGATTGCCGCCACTGCACTCCAGTCTGGGCTTCAGAATGAGTACCCATCTCTTAAAAAAAAAATACTAAAACTAAGTTCTATTACAATTTATGTTTTACTTCTCATAAAATAAATTATACATATTATCACAAGGAAGAAAAATGTGTAAAATTAGAAAAAATTCCTGTGAGAAGCCACTCTTTGCCCAGAAAATATGTTTGTTTATTGATTTATGTTTTTATTAGAAAACTCAAAAGGACCTGGTAAGTGTTCTGCCACTGGATTTCAACAGGAAATCACCATTTCTGCCCTCTGGGAGGTAGTAAAAAAGATTGGAATACCTCCTCTTTTGAAGAGGTCAGGAAGTGTGGTAGATGCTGTCCAGATTCTCCTTCTGGAATAAAGGAAGTATTCTCCAGCTGCTGGGAGCGGTGCCCACAGAAAACCCTCAGCTGTCAGCAACTTCAGTGATTGCCTTGGCTAAAAAGAGCTGCCTCACCCAAAGTTGCATCCTTCTAGGGGTCAGCCTGCATCTAATAGCTGAAAAACAGGGGGCCCAGCCCTCTCCCCTCAACAAGCGACAACTCCGAATAACCACCTCATCTTCAAAGATCACCATGTGGTAGACCAAGAGAGACAATGTTGGGCTTGTGCTGCCACCTGACTTGCCCCTCTGCCCAATCCTACATCCTTCCCTTCCCTTCAATAGATGTTGATCTCAAGGGCCCTCTCTAATAAATCTCCTGGGTGCAGAGTTTGAAACCAGCCTAGCCAACATGGTGAAACCTCATCTCTACTAAAAATACAAAAATTAGCCAGGTGTGGTGGTGGGTGCCTATAATCCCAGCTACTTGGGAGGCTGAGGCAGGAGAATCACTCAAGCCTGGGAGGCGGAGGTTTCAGTGAACAGAGATCGTGCCATTGCACTCTAGCCTGGGTGACAGAGCGAGACTCCATCTCAAAAAAAAAACAAAACAAAAAGATATCCTGGGTGCTAATCTCCAACTCAGAGTCTGCTTCCCAGAGAACTCAACCTATAATGTGAGTGAAATCACAGGGCTTGGACAAGGCTTGCAGGCAAACCCTATATCCATCCACCTTTTCATCCATTAGAGCTCAGAAGCTCAAGGCAGCTTGGGCATTGGAAGTAGAGCCATGAATACCTGGGGTTTATTTTATTTTATTTTAAAATGTATCTTTCAGTAAATTTCATTCTTTTTGGTGTATAGTTCTACGAATTTTGACAAACTCACCAAGCCATGTAACTACTACCACAGTCACGATGCAGAAGAATTCTAATTCCCCCCAAAGAACTACCTAATGCTGTCCTGTTATGGTTGATTCCTCTACTCTGTGCTTAATCCCTGGAAAGACTAATCTGTTCTCTGTCAATATACTTATGCATATTCCAGAATGTCATATAAATGGAATAATACAGAATGTAGACTTTTGAGCCGGCTTCTTTCTCACAGAATAATGTATTTGAGATTCAGCCACACGTGTCATTGTGTGTATCAATAGTCTGTTCCTTTTTATTGCTGAGTAGCGTTCCATTGTATGGTTGATCACAATTTGTTTCTCCATTCACCAGTTGCTTCCAGTTTTTAGCAATTACGACTGAAGCTGCTATCAACATTTGCATATAGGATTTTGTGTGAACATAAGTTTTCATTTCTTTTAAGGAAATATGTAGGCATGGAATTGGTGGAACATGTGGTAAATATATTTTTAACTTTATTTTAAAAACCTGCCAAACTGTTTTTCCAAAGTGGCTGAACCATTTTTGCATTCCCACTAGCAATGTATGAATGTTCCAGTTGTTCTACAGCCTGGCCAGCAATTGGTATTGTCAGTTTTTTTAAGCCATTGTAATAGGTGCATCAGTGGTATTTCATTATGGCTTTAATTTGCATTTTACTGTTGATGTTCAGCAGCTTGTTCATTTCCTTATAGACATCTGCATATCTTCTTTGGTGAAATGGCTGTTCAAATATTTTGCCCTTTTTGTTTGTTTGTTTATCACAAAACTAGCTTTATTATATTTTTCCCAGTTAGATTTCTTTGTTAAATGTCTTCACTGTCCCAGTGACTTCTGGTTCTTATTTTCTTGACGCACACAATGTCCTCAGCCTTCTTTTTTTTTTTTTTTTTTTTTTTGAGATGGAGTCTCGCTCTGTTGCCCAGGCTGGAGTGCAGTGGCGCGATCTCGGCTCACTGCAAGCTCCGCCTCCCGGGTTCACGCCATTCTCCTGCCTCAGCCTTCCAAGTAGCTGGGATTACAGGCGCCCGCCACCACGCCGGGCTAATTTTTTGTATTTTTAGTACAGACGCGGTTTCACCATGTTAGCCAGGATGGTCTCGATCTCCTGACCTCGTGATCCGCCCGCCTCAGCCTCCCAAAGTGCTGGGATTACAGGCGTGAGCCACCGCACCCAGCCCTCAGCCTTCTTTGGATTTTCTGCACGCCTCTTGACATTCCACGTTACTCTGTGCATATTCACTCTCCAAAGTGCTTGCTGCAGACTGGCTTTTCATCTTTCTTGCTCTCAAACACATGGAGTCTGAATTTCCTGCTTCTCCTTTCCCTTCCTGATTCTGCACGAGAACCCCCGCACTCTTCTGCCCTCTGCTCTCCTCTGCCACTTTAGGCTGGGAGCTCTTATTCTGTCTAACAGACCTCAAGCACCTTTTGTTTTCACTGACTTTGCCCCTAGGTATGGGTTTCTGGGCTCCATCATCTGGATTTTGAATGTCCATGTCTTGGGAGGTCTTCATGGGCTTGTTTTCATTTCAGTTTATTTGAATTCTTTCTGCTAATACAATGACCTTAGTTATTTGCTGTTCTACATCAGTCTTACTTTGGCGTCTGGAGAGCAGGGACATTCCCTTATTTTCAGGGACTGAGTCTTGTAATTCGTATTCCTCTTTGTTGGTTTTCATGTTATTGCTGTTCAGATCTTCTGCAGGTTCAATTCTTTTTGCAGAAGTCCTCAGACTTCTCTTCATGATGACCAAGGGTTCGGGTGATTTGCCTCTCACCCTGGGAGCAACCCTCTCTGCTTCTTGCTGGCTGGCAGCTCCTCTATGATTTCCTCTGGTGCAGGCATGCAGTGCGGCCTCTTGGTTCCTGTGACACTTCCATCTTTTCCACATCCCCTCTTGAAGGGCAGTGGGGGCAGGGAGGTGTTGCTTTTGCTTTGTGATTTTACAGTCTCTGGTGCCTACCAGGTCTCCCACGGGTTCTACTTTAGGGGCCTGAAGAACTCTTCTGGATATTTTTAGAGGTTTTCCACTGTCAGGTGCTTGCTTTGGAGCACTTGTAAAGCTATCAGCACCATTTGCCAGTTCCTCAGTGTGGCCTGGTGTTTGAGAGAGCTCTTGGAAGCTGGCCAGATCTTCTAGGGGTTGGGCCTTTTCCTTGGGCACTCTTGGCAATCTCCTGCTGCCAGTTACATTTTCTGGGTCCAGCTTCTGCTTTGCAGGTTGCTTAAATGCTTTCATGCCTTTGCCCTCACCTTCTGGTTCTTTATTGGTGTGCGTGGTCTCCCCTGATGTTTGTGTGAGCTTGCCGACTGCTAATAGCTCTTCTTTCACTTCTACTTTCTGGCCACAAGCCCTGGGCCATTTCTTTGAGCTTGTTGCAGTGTCTACTAGTTCTGGTGGTGATTTGCAGGGTATTTTGGTGGTTTTGTCATGAGTCATTGATTCTTCAGTATGACCTGGTGCTGGGTCTTTGAAGCCAGCCAGGTCTTCTAGGGCTTGCGCCTTTTCCCTGGGTGCTCTTGGCCATCTCCTGCTGCCACTTACACTTGCTGCTGGAGCCAGTGTCTGCTTTGCAGATTCCTTAAATGCTCTGATGCCTTTATCTTCACCTACTGGTCCTTTGCTTCCACGGTTTATTGCCCATTTTTATATTGGATTGTTTGTTTCCTCATTGTTTGGAGAGCTCTTTGTATATTCTGGATACAAGTCCTTTGTTAGATATGTTATTTATAAATAGTTTCTCCCAGTATATTGTTTTTTCATCCTCTTAGCATCTTTTGCAGAGCAACAGCTCATAATTTTCATGAAGTCCAACTTATCAAATTTTTCTGTTATGGATAGTGCTTTTGGTGTCATATCTAAGAATTATTGGCCTAACACCAGAAAACAAAGACTTTCTTCTGTGTTTTCTTCTAAAAGTTATACATCTTATATTTAGGTCTATGATTGATTTTTTTTTTTTTAAACAGGGTGTCGCTCTGTCACCCAGGCTGGAGTGCAGTGGTGTGATCGCTGCTGACTGCAACCTCTGCCTCCCAGGTTCAAGCCATCCTCCCACCTCAGCCTCCCAAGTAGCTCCCAGGCATGTGCCACCATGCCTGGCTAATTTTGTTTTTAATTTTATTTTTTGTAGAGACAGAGTTTCACCATGTTGCCCAGACTGGTCTCAAACACCTGGATTCAAGCAATCCACTCGCCTTGGCCTCCCAAAGTGCTGGGATTACAGGTATGAGCCACCAGGCCCAGCCAGGTCTATGATTAATTTTAAGTGAATTTTTGTAAAAAGTATGGGTAAATTTCTGCACTCTCTATTCTATTACATTGACCTACGTATCCATCCTTGCATCAATACCACACTGTCTTGAGTACTGTGGCTTTATAGTAAGTCTCAAAATTAAGTAGCATGAATCTTCCAATTTTGTTCTTATTTTTAAAAAATGTTTTGAATATTCTAATTTCTTTGCCTCTCCATGTAAATTTTAGAGTCACCATGCTGATATCTATAAAGAATCCTGCTGGGATTTGGACTGGAATTGTGTTGAATCTATAGATAAATTTTTAGAGTATTGACATCTTCACAATATTGAGTCTTCCAATCCATGAACACAGTTCTCCATACATTTCTAAATCTCCATATATTTAGCTCTCTTTTATTTCCTTCATCATTGTTTTGTAGTTTTCAGCACATAGATCTAGGACATATTTGTGAAATGTACACCTAAATATTTCATTTTTCTGGTTTTATTTTATTTTATTTTATTTTTAGATTGAATCTTGCTCTGTTGCCCAGGCTGGAGTGCGGTGGCACGACCTCAGCTCACTGAAACCTCTGCCTCCTGGGTTTAAGCAATTCTCGTGCCTCAGCCTCCTGAGTAGCTGGGATTACAGGCGCCTGCCACTATGCCTGGCTAATTTTTGTATTTTTAGTAGAGACAGAGTTTCACCATGTTGCCCAGGCTGGTCTTGAATTCCTGACCGCAAGTGATCCGGCTGCCTTGGCCTCCCAAAGTGCTGGGATTACAGGCGTGAGCCGCTGCACCTGGCCTTCTTTGGTATTATTGTAAATAGTACTTGTGCGGAGAAGAATGATGGCCCCTAAAGATATCCATGTCCTGATCCTTGGAACCTCTGTTTATGTTCTCTTACATAAATGGTGGCTCTCACAGATAGGTCAAGTCAATATCATGAAGATGTCAATTCTCCTTCCTATGTTATGTTATAAACTTACCAACTTTCAGTAAGAATACCAATAAGCTTTTATTCTGGACCTAAACAAGTTGATACTAAAGTTCATATGAAAAAATAAATATGCAAGAATAGCTACATGGTCTAAGTTTCTTGAACCCATCATGTTCCATTTCCACCTCATTCAGTCAGGTCCTTCTCCACCTTCAGATCTCTGCTCAAGCATCCCCTGTGGGAAGTCTTTACTACACACACACACACACACAGAGAAGACAGAGAGAGAGAGAGAGTGAGAGAGAGAGAGACAGAGAGAGAGAGACAGAGAGAGAGTGTGTGTGGGCAGATGTTTTTTTGAGTCTCGCTCTGTTGCCCAGTCTGGAGTGCGGTGGCACAATCTCGGCTCACTGCAACCTCCGCCTCCCAGGTTGAAGCAATTCTCCTGCCTCAGCCTCCCGAGTATCTGGGACTACAGGCGCCCGCCACCACACCTGGAAAATTTGTATTTTTTAGTAGAGACAGGGTTTCACCATGTTGGCCAGGCTTGTCTCGAACTCCTGACCTCAAGTGATCTACCCACCTTGGCCTCCCAAAGTGCTGGGATTACAGGCGTGAGCCACTGCGCCCAGCCCTGGGGCAGACCTTTATGTTATACACTCTCACAGAACTGCGTTCCTCTCCTTCAAGCACTTGGTTCAGTTTGGGGTTATTCACACATTAGGAGACTGATTTGGTTAAAGTTGGTCTCCTCTCTTAGGCTGGAAGGGACAACAGGGTCAGGGACTGTTTTGCTCATTGTGTACCTCCTCTGCCCAGCACAACCCCAGATACATGATTGCACTTGATACATATTTTTGAATAAATATTTGAATACATAAGAAAAAGTCTGGTCTCTAGGTCCATTGTTTTGAAAGTAGTAAAGATGTGATTTTAGCACCCCTATTTATAATGTTGGAAACCTCATGAAAAACAGAAAAGGAGATTGTAGAGGTAGATTAGAGCCAGACTGTGAAAATCCTTAGAAGGCATGTTGGCCAGGAGCAGTGGCTCACACCTGTAATCCCCACGCTTTGAGAGGCCAGGGCAGGAGAATCGCTTAAGCTTAGGAGTTTGAGACCAGCCTGGGCAACATAGTGAGACCCCATCTCCACAAAATATTAAAAAATTATCCAGGCCCGGTGACACACAGCTGTGGTCCCAGCTACTCAGGAGGCTGAGGTGAGAAGATCCTTTGAGCCTGGGAGGTTGAGGCTTTAGTGAGCCATGATCATACCCCTGCACTCCAGCCTGGGTGACAGAGCAAGATCCTGTCAGAGAGAGAGAGAGAGAAGGAGAGAGAGAGAGAGAGAGAGAGGATAGCAGAAAAAACGAATCAAAAGAAATCTTTTTTTCTTTTTCTCAGTCTAAAATGCTAGTCTTATTTTTTTCTCAGCCAAGCAGGCAGATTCTGCCTTCCCAATCTCTATTCATCTTTTTCTTTCCAACTGCCATCTATTTCAAATTCTCTGCTCTTTCATTCTGTCCCAATAGGTCTTCCTCTCTCAATCCCAATCTATGGGATCCCAGCAAGACTATTTTTGGAAAGTCATTTCTGCTAACGTTACTTACTCCCTCAATACAAATCATCAGTAGTTTGCTATCAAAGCTCAAATGTAAAGTGCTTCTTCCCAGCAGTCAATCAGACAACAAATGCTTGTTGAGCACCTACTATGTGCTTGACACCATGATAAGGTCTGGCATTCAAGACCTCTAACAACATAATTTTCAAACCTTAATGATTTGCATCATTATCCAAAGACCAATTGGAAGCCAAGACAGATTCTGAGCAGAGAAATGGCATTGACCGAAATCTATCACTGATTAAAAATTAGGCCGGGTGCAGTGGCTCATGCCTTTAATCTCAGCACTTTGGAAGGTCGAAACAGGCAGACCGCTTGAGCCCAGGAGTTCAAGACCAGCCTGGGCCACATGGTGAAATCTTGTCTCTACAAAAAAAGTAGCCAGGCGTGGTGGTGTGCGCCTGTAATCCCAGCTACTCGGGAGGCTGAGGAGAGAGGATCACTTGAGCCTGAGAGGCAGAGGTTTCAGTGAGCTGAGATCACACCACTGCGCTCCATGCTTGGCGACAGAGTGAGTCACAGTCTCAAAAAAAAAAAAAAAAATTAAAAGAGGGCAAAATAGAAACAGAGACTGGCTAGGCAGTTTCTACAGTGCTCTAGGGGACAGTTGGTCCTCTGAGCTAGGGTAGTAGCAATGGCAATGAAGATAAGTGAATGATTTGAAAGGACATTTAGGAGGTAAAACCCACCTGACTTGATGATAGATTGGATTGAAGAAGAGGGACTGAGGAAGAGGGAGATACCCAGAATGGCTCCTAAGTTTCTGACTGCATAATAGAATAGATAGTTTTATCATTCACATATTAAAATTGATATGCCATTGAGGCAACCAAGAGGGAATGTCAAGTGGGCAACTGGATTTCTAGGTGTGGAGCCCCAAGGAGAGGCTGGGGCTGGAAATGTCAATTTGGAGTCATTGAAGAGATCATAAAGTGAAAAGGAAGAGGGCCTGGGGAATCAGCTTCCCACAGCAGCAACAATGTACCGACTCATAAGACTTAAAGCTTACTCTATGGGATACACTGTTCTGGGATTATACACACACACACACACACACACACACACACACACACACCACACCCAGTTGTGCATTGTTTAATGATGGGGATGCATTCCAAGGAATGCGTTGTTAGGCGATTTCATCATTGTGCAAACATCATAAAGTGTACTTACATAAACCTAGATGGGATAGCCTATTACACACCTAGGCTATATGTACAGCATGTTACTGTACTGAATACTGTAGACAGTTGTAACATGAGATCATATTTGCGCATCTAAACATATCATCTAATCATAGAAAAGGTACAATAAAAATAAGGTATTAGAATCTTATGGGACCTCCCTTGTATATGCAGCTCATCATTGACAAAACATCAGGTGGCACATGACTGCATATATATATATATATATATATATATATATATATATATATATATAATTTAATTCTTACAACAACCCTGCAGGATAGGGGAGGATAGGTACTATTAGAACTAATGTTTGATAAATGAGGCACAGAGAGGTTCACTTACTTGCCCAAGGCCATAGAGCTGAAGTGGTGGAGCTGGCCTATGAACTTGGGTGGCCTCACTCCAAAGGATAAAGGATATCAACTTGGGTGGCCTGACTCCAAAGGTCAATCTCTCAAATGCTATGCTCTGAAGGTGTAGCTATGAACTAGGAGAACAGTTCACATGTGATGTCATAGAAGTTGGCAGAAGAGATGATTTGAAGGTGGGAACTGTCAACAGTGTTAAATGTTATTGATACATATGTACACTTACAATGTGTCAGTTAAAAATGTTATTGAAAGGTCAAGTAAGGTGAGCCATGAAAGTGTCCTGGATTCAGTAACATGGCACCAGGCATGGTGGCTCACATTTGTTATCCCAGCACTTTGAGAGGCCAACATAGGAGGACTGCTTGAGCCCAGGAATTGGAGACCAGTCTGGAATACATAGGAAGACTCCGTATCTACACAAATTAAAAATAAAAAAGTTAGCTGGGAGTGGTGGTGTGAATCTGTGATCCTAGCTAAACTCAAAAAAAAAAAAAAAACCATGGAAGCCATTGATAAGCTTAGAAAGAACTGATGATGTGGCAATATGGGGGCAGAACTCAGATTGGAGTGTGCTGAGGAATTGTTCCTGGACCAAGCCGAGGGTCGGACTGCTTATTCTCTCAGCCCAATTACAAGATGCAGGTGAACTGGGAAAGAAGAGAGTTTTTATTTCTGTAACCAGGTGCAGGGAGAAGGCCTGGAAATTATCACCAGACCAACTCAAAATTACAAAGTTTTCCAGAGCTTACATACCTTCTAAGCTACATGTCTACGTGTAAGTGTGCATTCATCTAAAGACATAAGTGATTAACTTCTTCTAATCTATAACTAAGGTCTGAGTCCTGAAGACCTTCCTCTGGAGCCTCAGTAAATTTACTTAATCTAAATGGATCCAGGTGCTGGGGTGATTGCCCTTATCTTATCTCCTGCTAAATCATGGAGGTTTGGGGAGTTCCTTCAGACCACTAATAACATGTGCTTAATCTTTTTAAATTTTATTTTATTTTTTTGAGACACAGTCTCACTCATTGCCCAGGCTGGAGTGCAGTGGCTCAATCTCGGCTCACTGCAACCTCCGCCTTCCAGGTTCAAGTGATTCTCCTGCCTCAGCCTCCCAAGTAGCTGGGATTACAGGTGCATGCCACGCCCGGCTAATTTTTGTATTTTTAGTAGAGACGAGTTTTCACCATGTTGGCCAAGCTGGTCTCGAACTCCTGACCTCAAGTGATCTGCCTGCCTCGGCCTCCCAAAGTGCTGGGATTACAGGCATGAACCACTGCACCCAGAGAAACTTGTTTAATCTTAAATGGGTCCTGTTAAGAACTCCTTCCTTCTCTTGTCACGCTTCAAGGCCCAGGAAAGACCTAGGCAAAACTCTTGGTGTGCTTTTGTTACCTTCCAGCCTTTGTATAAGGGCACTGGCTCTCTTAGCTTTTAATAGTTAGCTTAACCACTCAGTGCTGAAACAGTTGTTAGGGAGGCCTGCCTGTTCAGCCGTTAGGGAGACCTGGCCTGCCACAGAATGAGTAGGAGATGAGAGCACAGAGAGAACTAGTATAGACAGCTCTACTAAGAAGCTGGGCTGTGAGGAGTGGGTAGAGAAACCAGTGGCAACAGGACAAGGGTAGGAGAAGGGCAGAGTGAGGGTACCTGGCAGAAAGATGCAACAGCGGGCTAGAATCTGGCCAGGTTCTGCCTTCAAGCTGTTAACCTTGGACTGGGGCTGTGGCCTGAAGGAAGGGGTACTTATTTGAATGGGGTCAGCCCCCTTGCAATTCATCTGTCTGGAGGGGGCACTTTCTGATTCTCACAAGGGTACTGTATGTGTTAGCAGCAGCTATGCTAAAGGAGGATGCAAATAAATGGGACTTTAAAGAGAGAGAGATAGAGGAAGAAACAGAGAAAGAGATCAAACTGTTTAATTTTCACATCAGTGGAAATAATCTGGTTGAGAGGGTGTAGTTGAATAGGGAGGAGAAATGGTGATTGATAGGAGGGACCGGGGCCTACTCTATTGTACCACTCTATTGTGAAAAATGGATAGCAGATCTAGTAACTTAGATGTGATAGAAATCACTTAATAGAAAACAACTTTAATTCTGATTGAGTTTTCCTTCTGCTAGGATGACAGACCATTGATTGACCTTATTAATTCCTAGGGTTCCTCTACTCCCAAGGTTGTATGTACTCTTGATCTGGGGTCTTAGAATCATTGGGTTTTTGGCTCACCTAGTTGCCCTGAGATGTCTCCATCACTGTCACTTGACCCTTCTGCTGCTTCCAAGCTATGCCTGGGGCCCAGGAAGGTTTGGCACAGTGCCCCTGATCATCTCTGTCAAGCTGAACCATGTGGCCACTTCTCTTTGACTCCTGCTCTGCCCTGACACATTGCCAGGAAAAAGAGTTCAGGTGCCCTGGGCTGCAGGATCCATAGACTTCTCCCTTTGCCCACTCCTCCTAGCCTAAGGAAAATGTCTCAGTGGGGTTGGGGGCACTAGAGTGCTGCTGCTCTTTCTTTTGCTTCTCCAAAACATTTCGTCTAAGCCCTCACACCTTCTTTATATCAGCTAGCTTTTGCTACAAAACAAACCCCTAAAACTTACATCTATTATTTCTCACAATTTGGTGGGTCAGCTCAGTTAGGGCAGGAAGGTGTAGCACCTTTCTACTCTAAGTGTGGTCCTCAGACCAGGAGCATCAGAAGCACCCAGGAGCTTATTAGAAATGTAGTCTCAGGACCCAGTGCAGTGGCTCGTGCCTGTAATCCCAGCAATTTGGGAGGACGAGGCAAGAGGATTGCTTGAGGCCAGGAGTCCAAGACCAGCCTGGGCAACATAGCAAGACCCTACAATTTTTTTTTTTTTTTTTGAGATGGAGTCTCACTCTGTCGCCCAGGCTGGAGTGCAGTGGCACGATCTTGGCTCACTGCAACCTCTGCCTCCCGGGTTCAAGTGATTCTTCTGCCTCAGCCTCCCGAGTAGCTGGGACTACAGGCATGTGCCACCACACCTGGCTAATTTTTGTATTTTTAGTATAGATGGGGTTTCACCATATTGGCCAGGCTGGTCTCCAACTCCTGACCTCGTGATCCGCCTGCCTTGGCCTCCCAAAGTGCTGGGATTACAGGCGTGAGCCACCGCGCCCAGCCTAAAAAAAAATTTTTTTTAATTAGCCAGGCATGAGAAGGATTGCTTGAACCCAGGAAGTTGAAGCTGCAGTGAGCTATGATCACGCCACTGCACTCCAGCCTTCCACCAGCCTGGGTGACAGAGGGAGAGAAGACCCTGTCTATTTAAAAAAAGAAGAAGAAAGAAGAAAGAAGAAGGAGAAGAAGAAAGAAAAGAAATGTAGTCTCTCTGGCCCCACCCTAGGTGTAATGAATCATTTTCTGCTTTTTTTTTTTTTTTGAGATGAGGTCTCACTCTGTCACCCAGGTTGGAGTGCAGTGGCATGACCTCGGCTCACTACAATCTCCACCTCCTGGGCTCAAGTGATCCTCCCGCCTCAGCCTTCCAAGTAGTTGGGACTACAGGTGCACGCCACCATGCTTGGTTAACTTTTTTTGTGTTTTTGGTAGAGACGGGGTTTCACCATGTTGCCCAGGCTGGTCTTGAACTCCTAGGCTCAGGATACCCACCCGCGTCGGCCTCCCAAAGCGTTGGGATTACAGGTGTGAGCCACTGGGCCAGGCCCACTTTCTGCATTTTGACAGGAGCCTTCAAGCATTAAAGTTTGAGAAGCACTGGTCGAGGATCTATCTCCTTTCTCACCTGTCTGGCGGTCAGCAGGCTTGTTTGTCTGGGGGGTGGGGGGCCTCAGCTGGGAGGGCTTATTTTCTGAGCCATGTTGCTAACCCAGGCTTCTTCACGAGCCGATCTCAGGGTTCCAAAGAGCAGGATGAGGGCAATTCCCACAGCAGGAGTATTTTTCAAACCTTTGCTGTGTCATGTTTGCTACTGTCCCACAGGCCAATGCAAGCCACATGGTCATCCCAGAGTCAGTATGGGAAGGCATTGCCCAAAGGCAAAACAGAGGAGGGGAATACTTTGTGGTTATTTAAAAAACCTATCACACTTTCCACTATCAGAGTTGAGGCTTTTGGAGCGGAGGGCGGGGGGTGGGGGGAAGCGGGAAACACCAGCAACTATTTGCATTCTGCCCAGCCACACCTCTCCCCTCACACCAGCACAGAGCCACCTACTTGCTTAAAAGATGAGAGGAGGCCAGGCACAGTAGCTCAGGCCTGTAATCCCAGCACAAGGCCGAAGTGGGAGGATCACTTGAGCCCACGAGTTCAAGACCAGCCTGGGCAACATACAGACCCCGGTCTCTACAAAAAACAAACAAACAAACAAAATTAGCTGGGTGTGGTCCACATGCCTGTGGTCTCAGCTGCTTGGGAGGCTGAGGTAGGAAGATCGCTTGGGCTTGAGAGGTTGAGGCTGCAGTGAGTGGTGATAGTGCCACCGCACTCCAGCCTGGGTGACAGAGCCAGACCCTGTCTCAAAGCTTTTTAAAAAAGCCAGAGAGGAGGGAAAAGTGAAAACAGAAGGGAAAGTTGTAGATTAATATTGCAAAATCATATCCTTGCTATAAACGAGATGTGTACAGAGGTCAATGCATATATGAGTTTGGTAGTGGAAAAGTGAGAGATCGTCTAACATGGTTTCTTTATGAAGTAGGCAGTAAGGTCATGTGCTGAGAAGAGGTGGGTGGGGGAAGAGGGGTATCAGAAGTCTGAGGAGACTAGAGAAGGTTTGAAATCATCATAATGGAACTGGAGACTGGGAAGTGACATGAAGAACCTAAGATTTCAGCAACCATTTCAGGTTGATGATTATGAGGTTATCTTGATGCTGATCTGTTCTGTGGGCTCCCAAAGTGCTGAGATTACAGGCGTGAGCCACTGTGCCTGGCTCACACCTGTGGAGAAATGTTTCGCAGTGGTGTTTGCAGGCACAGAGAAAGCCAAAAGCAGGGTTTGGGGGATTTTGCTAGATGAGTAATGAAAAGGCAGAGGGCACGTGAGTTTAGCTTATTGGAGGGAGTGTTATTAAAATAATGGTATGGCATCTTTCAGCTGAATATGAAAAATTGAGAAGAAAGTGGGGGTGGTGGTCAAAAAGTGGAGGTTGGAGAATAGGGAAGATTTGAACAACTGGCTGGAAGAAGAGGGGAATTGTGGAAAGAAAACGAAATGCTTGAGTCAGTGGTTTCACAGGTGGAGTAGCTTCCGTGATGAAAAAGACCAGTGGAGAGCATTGCATATGTTCTCACTCTTCCAATTTGAACACCTTCCCCTGGTGGAGATAAGTAGATATGCTTTCTATGTTTTATTAACTTTACAACACCTTCCCCAAGCTGGTGAAAGGAAGCTCTCACTTCCTTATTCATTAGCCTGATGAAACAGAGCAAAATGTATCTTTTTTGGTTCTGTTTTGAATTTTAGTAACTCTAGTCTTCATCTGCCTGTTGGACTTCCTGTCTCTTTTTCATCTATCTTTGGGTACACATTTCTTCTTACGGGTCCTTTTAAACACCGAGCTCCTGAGAAAGGTCACCATTCTACCACTTTGATTCTGTAAATGTCTTTTGCTCATAGGTGTCAGAATAGGCTGGGTTATACTGTGGTAACAACCCCCAAATCTCGCAATCCCAGGAGGTACATGGGTACTAAGAATTATTCACATTTTACAAATGACCAAACTGGGCCCCAGAGTATTGGTAAAATGTGCAGAGCCCATCAGCTGGTGAAACCCTAAGGAACACAACACTTAGAATTTCACAAAGGCTAGACTTTATGAAATGTGCTGCGTGGATGCAGTAGTATCTCCAACCCCCCTGGACCGCTCTGCCACGTACAATCTTCTATCTTTCAGTCCGGAACTCAGTAACACCCACTCCAGGGCTGATGGGGGCGCTGGATGTATAGTGGCGAGTGTTTATCTGCCTAGGATAGCGATGGCTAGGCAGGGGACATAAAACAGAAGAGGCAGTGACCTTCTCCGGGTGGGGTCTATGGCCCTTTACTGGGTACATTCTGTACACACAGGCCCCTCCTTTGCCTGAAGTCATTGATGAAGACTTCATTACGGAGGGTTTGGGGAAAGGTGGGGGTCTGGCTGGGTAAGCCGGCGTCCCAGCCCCGCTACAGCCCCGCCCAGATCTGGCAGAGCCGTGGGCGAACCCAGGCGGGCAGAAAGGCGGGGCGGGCGGCTGCCAAGCCGGCCAATAGGCGGCTCTCCGGCTGCTAAGCCGAGAGGGCAGGGGCGCCGTCAGTAGCACCACCGCCTTCCAAGTTTCCCCTTGTGGATGCGCGGCCCCGCGGCTCTGCTCCTCCCGGCGCAGAGGGGCCGGGAGAGGCCACAGGAGCGGACCTGGCACGGGATTTCTGAGGAACGGGAGAAGACTGGCGCCCGACCCGCTCTGGAGGGTCGGTGAACGATGAAGGGCCGGCGGCGGCGACGCCGAGAGTACTGCAAGTTCGCGCTGCTGTTGGTGCTGTACACGCTGGTGCTGTTGCTCGTCCCCTCCGTATTGGACGGCGGCCGCGACGGGGACAAGGGCGCCGAGCACTGCCCCGGCCTGCAGCGCAGCCTGGGAGTGTGGAGCCTGGAGGCGGCGGCGGCCGGCGAACGCGAGCAGGGAGCGGAGGCGCGGGCCGCCGAGGAAGGGGGCGCGAACCAGTCTCCTCGGTTCCCAAGCAACCTCAGCGGCGCTGTCGGGGAGGCAGTGTCTCGCGAGAAGCAGCACATCTACGTGCATGCCACCTGGCGCACCGGCTCGTCCTTCCTGGGCGAACTCTTTAACCAGCACCCGGACGTTTTCTACTTGTATGAGCCCATGTGGCATCTATGGCAGGCGCTGTATCCGGGCGACGCCGAGAGCTTGCAGGGCGCGCTGCGCGACATGCTGCGTTCGCTCTTCCGCTGCGACTTCTCCGTGCTGCGGCTGTACGCGCCGCCGGGGGACCCCGCTGCGCGCGCCCCGGACACGGCCAATCTTACCACGGCCGCCCTCTTCCGCTGGCGGACTAACAAGGTCATCTGCTCGCCGCCACTGTGTCCTGGCGCACCCCGTGCCCGGGCCGAGGTGGGCCTCGTCGAGGACACCGCCTGCGAGCGCAGCTGCCCACCCGTGGCGATACGCGCCCTGGAGGCCGAGTGCCGAAAGTACCCGGTGGTGGTCATCAAGGACGTGCGCCTGCTCGATCTGGGCGTGCTGGTGCCCCTGTTGCGTGATCCAGGCCTCAACCTGAAGGTGGTGCAGCTTTTCCGCGACCCGAGGGCGGTGCACAACTCGCGCCTCAAGTCTAGGCAGGGACTGCTGCGCGAGAGCATCCAGGTGCTGCGCACCCGCCAGAGGGGCGACCGCTTCCACCGTGTGCTGCTGGCGCACGGCGTGGGTGCTCGCCCCGGGGGCCAGTCTCGCGCGCTGCCCGCCGCGCCGCGCGCCGATTTCTTCCTGACCGGTGCGCTCGAGGTGATCTGCGAAGCCTGGCTGCGCGATCTGCTTTTCGCGCGCGGCGCGCCCGCCTGGCTGCGGCGCCGCTACCTGAGGCTGCGCTATGAGGACCTGGTGCGGCAGCCACGCGCCCAGCTGCGCCGCCTGCTGCGCTTCTCCGGGCTACGCGCGCTCGCAGCGCTCGATGCCTTCGCGCTCAACATGACTCGCGGCGCGGCCTACGGCGCCGACCGGCCCTTCCACCTGTCAGCGCGCGACGCCCGGGAGGCGGTGCACGCCTGGCGCGAGCGCCTGAGCCGAGAGCAGGTGCGCCAGGTGGAGGCCGCCTGCGCTCCAGCCATGCGTCTGCTCGCCTACCCTCGCAGCGGAGAGGAGGGCGACGCGGAGCAGCCCAGGGAAGGGGAGACGCCGCTGGAGATGGATGCCGACGGCGCCACGTAGCCTCCCATCCCTGTCCCCGGCACGGATCCGGGTAAGGTGGCCCGGGGCAAGGCAGGGACCGGGACTGGTCTTCCGGGAGCCTGGAATGGCCTGGGGAGGGGGAAGTGTAGGGGGGAGGGTACCATGCTGGATCCCATTCTATCAGATCAGGTCCAAGAGGATGGGAAAGTCCTGCTCGTAGAATTTGGTAGATTCATCGGAATCTCCAGCTTAGCCTCGCGCCTCCTTAGAGGGAGATCCTGAGATGAGAGAGGATATTTAGGCGTGACTGAGGTGGAAGCCAGGTCTCTGCATTCCCATTCCCCTGTATGAAGTAGGAGGTTTCAGAGGGCTGAGGAGAGTAGAGAAGGTTTGAAACAGTCATAATGAGCCGTGAGACTGGGAATTGACATGTGGAGTATAGGATTTCGGAAACCATTTGAGGTTGATGATTATGGAGTTATCTTGATGCCAGTTTGTCCTGTGAGGAGACTTTGCAATGGTGTTTACAGGCACAGAGAAAGCCAAAAGCAGAGAGTTTGGTGGAAAGGCATTGATTCTAACCCTACCTATCCCTAATCTTTCTGTTTCATGTTTCTTCTCTGTCTGTTTTATGCGCAGGCTCCAGGGCTTTTCTCCTGAATTTCCAAACATGCAGGCACAGTCCAGCGGCTCTTGCAACACTTCTTGCACATTGTGTGTCTCAGGCGCTTGTGTAGTGAATAGACTTGCTTTCCCCTGGCTCATGTGCGCCTCTCTGTCTCCCCTCCCCCTCCTTCCCTCTCTCATTTCCCCTCTCCCTCTCTTCCTCTTCCTCCCCCTTCCCCTCCTCCTCTCCCTTCCCCCTTCTCCCTGTAGCTGGCGTTTGCAGGATATTTGACCATATCCCATTCACATCAGGTCACAAAAGCTGCCTGGTCAGCTTCCTCTAGTGTCGACAAGACCTCAGGGTTGGGTGTCCCCCACTCCACCCCATCCGTTTGACAGATGGAGCCTTCAATTGGCAGTAGCAGTTTGTGACTGCAGGAGGAGCTTTGTGAAAAGACACTGCCCCCTCTTTTTTGTTTTTCCATTTTTGTTTTTTGTTTTTTTCTGTATATCTGAAGATGCTAAAGTGGGGCTTAAACAGTCTCAAAATGTGTTCTGTGTGGGTCAGTGTATGGCCTGAGGGAAGGGTTTGTTCTGCACAGTGCTGACCATAGGAGTCTACTTAGTGACATGGGAGTGTGTTTCCCCAAACTTTATGTGAGTTGGAAGGGTGCCGCCTTCTGCACTGTGCAGTCAGTCCAGAGGAGGAGGAAAAGTAGTGCTGGGTGGGCGGAAGTGAGTTAAGTTTCCATTCATTATTTTATAGTGTAATTCAGCATTCCCCTGAGATGAAGCTCTGAGGACAAACGTTGAAGATATTAATGAAGAGGGATTTTGTTGTTGTTACAGAACCAGGGTTTCAGAGTGATTTCAGAAGCTGGCTAACTAATTTTTCTCCCAGTAATCAAATGGTTTTCTTAGTCAGTTTCTGAAATTGCTAGGAAGTCTGTGTTCTTTCCTGATTTCCAGAGTGATGGAAGGTAAGGCACAGGGTGACTTGTCACATCTTAACAAAAACATCCTTTCATCTGCTGATCCTGTATTTACAGATATAACAGTAATTGTCCCTAACCCTTCTTCACAGGCCTGAGGGAACTCCTCCCCTGGGCGGAATGCTGTGCATTTTATGGCTTTAAGACATGACAATCTCCCAGAAACTTTTGCTTTTTTTTTTTTTTTTTTTTCATTTTTACTAACATCTATTTGAGTACTGGCTGGGGTGAAGCATTAAAGAGAATAGAGAGGAGGGTAGAGGACAGTCTTTGCCCTCTAGGAGGTTAGAGTCTGTGTGGGTGACAGTGACTGTGAGGGAAGACACTGGTGTTGCTGTTTGGAAGGCCGATGGGGCTTCCTTTGCAGGGCTGCAGGGACATCTGGGAGCAAGCTTTAGGCTCTTCCAGACTTTAGTGACTGAGTCCTTCCTCCCGCATTGGGCACTTACCACCAATCAGTGGGTTGATTACAGTGCTTGTATTCTTGGTTCCTAGGAAGATAACGTTACTGCCGACTCACTGATGGGTTTTCCAAAAGTTTGTCACACTCTATTCTAGAGAAGGGAGGAGAAGAGAGGGGGAGGGATCCTTACTGAAGGGCTATGTGTCATGCACTGAGTTAGGCATTGTACATATATCATTATTTATACCAGTTTTCCAGATGAGGAATCCGAGACTCAGAGAAGTAATTTGCCCAAAGTCATACCTGGGCTGGTGAGGGTGGAACAGTGTTTGGTGTTAGACTCCAGAGCTCATAATCCTCTCTTTTATACCTCACCTGGCCCCTGCCTTGGCATTCCCTGGCAGCACCCTGATACTCCAGCTAGGCTAGTATGAGGTGGAAAACACACTCAGCTTTATTACTAATATGTCCCAACCACTGAACAAATAAAATATCCCTGAGCTGCCGACAGTGCCTACACAGGAAAGCCGACAACTTTACAGCCATCCTCCCCACAGGGCATCTCAGGGTGCCCTCAGCTCAACTGAGGAGAGAGGCCACATGTGAATTAACCTGAGTAACTTCTGGATGGTCCATACCCAATGGCCAGGATTTGGCAGTGAGGGAGTCAGTGAAGTTTTTTCTGGTCTGGGTAGGGGCCGTAGCACCCTGAACCAAGTCACCAAGGACCTAGGCCCTTTCTATCTTTTACATCTTGGCTTTCATTCACTGGCTTATCTTCCCACTGTAACAAGATGGTAGCCACAGCTCCAAGCAAAACATCTTCACACAACGACACAGGGTTATTAAAATACAGAAAGGAAGGAAGCTATCTAGCCAGTAAGGGGTGGAGGGGTTTTTCCTCCTGCCATGCTCTTTTTTTTTTTTTTTTTTTTTTTTGAGTGGCAGCTCTTACTCTGTCACCCAGGCTGGAGTACAGTGGTGTAATCTTGGCTCACTGCAATTTCCTCCTCCCAGGCTCAAGTGATCCTCCCACCTCAGCCTCCCAAGCATCTGGGCCCACAGGTGCGTACCACCACATCCAATCTTTCACCCAGGCTGGAGTGCAATGTCATGGCTCACTGCAGCCTCAACTTCCCAGGGTTAAGCAATCCTCCCACCTCAGCCTCCCAAGTAGCTGGGACTACAGGTGCACACCACCACTCAATCTCATTAAAAGAAATTTTTTTTTTGCAAAGATTGGGGATGGGCGGGGAGTGGGGGCTCTCACTGTGTTGCCCAGGTTAGTCTCGTACTCCTGAGCTCAAGCTATCTGCCTGCCTCGGCCTCTCAAAGTGCTGGGATTATGGATGTGAATCACTGCACCCAGCCTTAATAAATTATAACACCTTTCCCAGAACCCCCTTTACCAGCCGACGTCCCTTTATGTCTCATTAGCTAAAACTGGGTTATACAGCCTGCCCTAGCCCAATCATTGGTGAAAGGGAATGGGAGCATTGTGATTGGCTTAGACCAGCGGTTCTCAGCCCTGGCTGAACATTACATTTACATGAGGAGCTTTTTTATTTATTTTTTTAATGCCAATGCCTGAGCTCCACCCCCAGAGATTCTGATTTAAGTAGTCTGGAGTGGAGTCCCCAGACTCAGGCACTGGGATGTTTGAAAAGCTCCCCAGATGATCCTACTGTATAGCCAAAGCTGAGAACCTCTGGCTCAGACCAGTCATGGTTCATCCCCTGGGCCAGATGGGACCAGAAGGCTGCCACCGGAACAAGATCAGGATGGGGAATAAAGGGCTGTTGATGAGCACTGAACTGCTTGCCACAGTAATTTATGTGAAAGAACTTGGAGCTATGAAGTGCCAAGCAGATGTAGAGTGTTATTATGGAAAGGGGAAAATGTCCTCAATTATACATGGGTCCATTTATCACCCTCTCACATGCCTTCACATGCTTTGTTGTCTGTAGCTCATTATCTAATTATCTAATAATCCATCATTGTACACTATCCACCACTGTTCTGGACAGACTGATGTGCTATCCTGTCCTTTTCAGCATGTCTCCCTTTAATGTCTGCCCTTGGTAGGTCCCAAAGTTTCATCCCGCTAGGCATTTAAGGCACCTTGATCTTTGCTCTTGACATGACATATGCATCCTTTGAAAGAAATTAGGAAAGAAGGCAAACACCCTGTAATTTGAACCCTAACAATCAGGAAGCTTTCTTTCTAAAGAAATCATGTAAACAGGAAAAGAAATGATCAACCACCACCAAATCATTTTGAAAATCTATTTTAATCAGGAAACTGGGCCACAAACATTTTATATAGGCTTATGTATAAATATCACTGAGGCCGGGTGCAGTAGCTCACACCTATAATCCCAGCACTTTGGGAGGCTGAGGCAGGAAGATCGCTTGAGGTCAGGAGTTCAAGACCAGCTTAGGCAACATAGTGAGACAACCCCCACCATCTTTACAATTTTTTTTTAAACTAGCTGAGGGTAGTGGCGCGCATCTGTAGTCCCAGCTACTTGAGAGGGTGAGGTAGGAGGATCGCTTGAGCCCAAGAAGTCGAGGCTGCAATGAGCTGTGATCACGCCACTGCGCTCTAGTCTGGATGATAGAGAGAGACCCTGTCTCAAAAGATAAATAAATATCACTGAAAAGTGAAGCTGTTGCTTACACACAGACTGCTAAAGAATGGGCATTTTTTTTTTTTTTTTTTGAGATGGAGTCTTGCTCTGTTGCCAAGCTGGAGTGCAGTGGTGCGATCTCGGCTCACTGCAACCTCTGCCTCCCAGGTTCAAGCAATTCTCCTGCCTCAGCCTCCCCAGTAGCTGGGACTACAGGTGTGTGCCACCATGCCCAGCTAATTTTTTTGTATTTTTAGTAAAGACGGGGTTTCACCATGTTGGCCAGGATGGTCTTGATCTCTTGACCTCGTGATCCACCCGCCTCGGCCTCCCAAAGCGCTGGGATTACAGGCGTGAGCTACCGTGCCCAGCCCAGAATGGACATTTTTGAAACATTGCTCCTATATAGAATTTCTCATTCAACAAAATTATCTTCAGACTCCTAATAGCATATCAACCTGGGTGCTAGGTTTGAGCCAGAGAGCTGGAAGTTAGGATGGTGTGTGTGTGCGCATGTGTGTGTGCACATGGATAGGTACCTGAGTAGCAGGGCTGCAATGAGGTGTGAACAATTTTTAAAAATACATCCATGTCCAAATCATTATTGCTCCTTGTGAGGTTAATGCTACCTTTGATCAAGGCACTCGGAGCTCCCATTTGGGCCTGCCTTCCCTGGCAGGACCCCTCAGCTGATGGATACGGTGTTAAGGAAAAGTCAAGACTTGTCAAGTCTGATGAGTGAACAGGGAAGGAGGCTGGTCCTACAAAGCAAGGGGTGGACATAAAGTAGTAACAGTCATTCCTTGCTTTCTATATGAAGTCAGTTTTTGAATTACGGCATGGGAACCCAGGCATCAGGGCCTGCCTCTCCTGGTTACTACTTAATTGACCTTTGGCAAGTCCCTAAACCTTTTCAGCTTTAGTGTTCTTACCAATAAGAAGAGGAAGTCAAATTAAAAGGATTTCTGGGCCAGGCGTAGTGGCCCATGCCTGTAATCTCAGCACTTTGGGAAGCTGAGGCGGGCGGATCACTTGAGGTCAGGAGTTCGAGATCAGCCTGACCAACATAGTGAAACCCCATCTCTACTAAAAATACAAAAATTAGCTGGGCATGGTGGCGGGCACCTGTAGTCCCAGCTACGCGGGAGGCTGAGGCAGAAGAATCACTTGAACCCTGGAGGCAAAGGTTGAAGTGAGCTGAGATTGCACCATTGCACTCCAGCCTGGGTGATAGAGCCAGACTCTGTCTCCAAAAAAAAAAAAAAAATAATAATAATAATAATTAAATAAGGGCCAGGTGCAGTGGCTCATGCCTGTAATCCCAGCACTTTGGTAGGCCGAGGCAGGTGGACCACAAGGTCAGGAGTTCGAGACCAGCCTGACCAACATGGTGAAACCCTGTCTCTACTAAAAATACAAAAATTAGCCGGGCATGGTGGCGCGTGCCTGTAATCTCAGCTACTCAGGAGGCTGAGGCACGAGAATTGCTTGAACCAGGGAGGCAGAGGTTGCAGTGAGCTGAGATCGCGCCACTGCACTCTAGCCTGGGCGACAGAGCGAGACTCTGTCTCAGAAAAAAAAATTGTAGAAATAACATAAGCATGTGGTAAAAATAGAAATTTTTTTTTGAGGCGGAGTTTCGCTCTTGTTGCCCAGGCTGGAGTGCAATGGCACGATCTCGGCTCACCTCAACCTACACCATCTGGGTTCAAGCAATTCTCCTGCCTCAGCCTCCTGAGTAGCTGGGATTACAGGCATGCGCCACCACACCCAGCTAATTTTGTATTTTTAGTAGAGACAGGGTTTCTCCATGTTGGTCAGGCTGGTCTCGAACTCCTGACCTCAGGTGATCTGCCCGCCTCAGCCTCCCAAAGTGCTAGGATTACAGGCGTGAGTCACTGCGCCCGGTCAAAAATAGAATTTAACAGGATAGAAGTTTATAAAATACCTGCCAGTCTCACTTCCTAGAAGCAGCCACAATATTTCTTGTAGTATATGTCTAGAAATGTTTTACGCAAATTCCGGCAGAAAAATATAGCCTTTTTATACACAAATGGGATTGAACTCTATTTATTGTTCTGCACTTTTTTCACTTATTGCTTTGAAAATCTTCCCGTTTCATCTTCTTTTTAATAGCTATATTGTATTTCATGGTAGGAATGTATTATAACATATTTAACTAGCTCCTAGTTCCATACTGTAGGGCATTTAGTTGTTATAGTTTTGTGCTCTATTTCATTGCATTTCTAGTAGGGTCCTTGTATTTGCATACATGTGAGTATGTCTGTCAGAAAAATTCCTATAGCAGAGTGACCTTATATAGCAAAAGGTATATGCTTTGTACATTTTGAGAGGTAATGTTCTTCAAAGTCGTCCAACATTCACTACCACCAGCAATTTCTTGGAACGTCTGTTTCCCAGACTTTCAACAACATAGATTTGATTTCATTTTTTCATCTTGGCCAGTTTGATGAATGGAAAATTCTTGCTGCTGGCATCCTGGCTCTCTCTGACCCTACAGTTCATCTCTGATGATGAATGATGGCCTCATACTTTGGGTTGTAGTCACTGGAATGCCAAAATGAAATCAACTTCTTAGCCCTTCTACAGTCCACATGTATTTAGAGAGTGTTATTTTTGTGATTATTTTGAAGAAATGGATACATTTTGGTATAAAAATTATCCCTTTAGAAAATCACACTTCGACAGGACATCAGGTTTTAGCAAGGTTCTTGTTCAGGCGGCCTTCTTCTGGTACTGTTGCAGGGGATTGTACTTACTGACTCGAGCATAAACAATTTGGGGACCCTATCACTGGGGAAATTAGGCTGATTTTAAATAAGGTTTAACCATTCATACATTTTCTCTATGTTCCTGAGAGCCCTCTTTGTGGTCTCAGCAGGGGAAGGGCAGAAGTGCCCATTTGCAGTTTTTGAGGCAGGATTCAGACGGTTTTCTAAGAGGTTTTTTTTTTTTTTTGTCTTGGCAGAGATTTTCTTCCCATGAATATGAATGTAATATAAATAGTTGGGAGTGAAGCTTTTGAAAAACATTTACAAACAGCTGGTTTAACATTCTTCAGTATGCTTTGTCTCAGCCTGCCCTCAGCATGAGCAGGCCAGAAAAGAATGAAACAAAAAAAACTAAACTGGCCTCACTTTTTTGTGTCTGACGTTCCAGTTGAACAAGGTGACTAATAAATGAACCCCTCTCTTTGTGAGGTCTCCTGGCTCCTCAGCCTCTTGCTTCATAGTGGAAATAAAAGGAACTTGCTCTATTGAAAAGGACATTTCTGCTGAGGTGCAGTATAAAATAAGAATAGTAGGGATTAAGAAACAGCTCTGGCTCAAATTCAAGTCCACAGGCAAGTGGGAACTGTTTGGGAATTGAATAGGAAGCAGTTTTAATTGGAGAAAATAGAAAATTGCGGAGCTCAGTGATGTGTCTATAATTGGAGTCCTTCAGCTTTGCTCCCCGGCCCGCTTGGCACCCTGGCACCAAGCCAGTGGCCAGGTCTGACATTTTCTGCAGCTGACCCTGTTCATAATTAAGACCACCCTGCTGGATGCTGAGAATAAATTAGAGCATCAGCTGATGATGAATATTTTTAAAAATTTGTTATGAATACATATTTGTACATGTTTATGGAGTGCATGTGATTTTTTCGTTACATGCACAGTGTGTAATGATCAAGTCGGTATTGGGGTGCCCATCACCTCGAGTGTTTATAATTTTGATGTGTTGGGAAGATTTCAAGTCCTCTCTCCTGGCTATTTTGAAATACACCATACATTGTTGTTAACTGTAGTCACCGTACTCTGCTATTGAACTTAGAACTTACTTCTTCTATCTAACTGTGTGTTCATACCCATTTAACCAATCTGTCTCCACGACAACCCCCACACCCTTTGCAGCTTCTGGTGACCACCATTCTATTCTCTACCTCCATGGGATCAACTTTTTTAGCTCACATCTGAGTGAGAACATGCAATATTTGTCTTTCTGTGCCTGGCTTATTTCACTTAACGTAATGACTTCCAGTTCTTCTGATGGTGAATATTTTTAAATTCGGAGATTAAGAGGCTGTGAAAGAGGGCCACCACATTTGATTTCAATGATGACTATATTCTGTGCCAGCAGATTCCCCTCCCATGAAATGGATGGGAGCAGGAAGAACTTTGCTGTAGAGTCACATTCTGAAAATAGCCACTGAGGTAGACACGTTTTGCTTACAGAATCGAAGCCCTTTCTAGAATGTTAAAAGGTGCCTTGGCCGGGTGCGGTGGCTCACACCTGTAATCCCAGCACTTTGGGAAGCCAAGGCAGGCAGATCACCCGAGGTTGGGAGTTCAAGACCAGCCTGACCAACATGGAGAAACCCCGCCTCTACTAAAAATATAAAATTAGCCAGGCGTGGTGGCACATGCCTATAATCCCAGCTACTCGGGAGGCTGAGGCAGGAGAATCACTTAAACCCGGGAGGCGGAGATTGTGGTGAGCCGAGATCGCACCATTGCACTCCAGTCTGGGCAACAACAGTGAAACTGTCTCAAAAAAAAAAAAAAAAAAAGGTGCCCTGAAGATAGATGCAGGGTACTCTCTGGGCCAGTAGGCCAGTAAGAAGCCTGAAGTCTGGCCTGAAATCCAAATGCCTAGAGCGAGTGCTTGTTTGATTTTAATATCACTGGTTCATGGTATCCAGCAGGTTGGAAACCAGGAAGCCAACCTAACTGAAGGGCTGAAGTGTGTAATTCTGCCCTGAAATAGAACATCACAGAAAGCTTTGTAAGGCATGGGGAGTGCAGCCGTGATCAAGACTGTGAGTTCTTCAGTAAAGATGATGAAGTGAGGAAAGCTATGAGCAGCTTTAGGAGGGAACTCAGAGGCTAATTGAAGAAGTCATTACATCCAGACAGATAAGGTAGACATTAGGAAAAATTGTACCAGAGCTTTGAGGTCACTTTTCCCATGATTGAGACCATATTTTCTCAAAAAGGACTCTTTACTGCCTCAGAGAAATTATAGGAACAGTAAGCCAAAAATGCTAAAATCAACATAATATTTTAAAAATAGGACCAACTGGCGACCAGCCAAGAACTGGCATATGTTAAATACACAGATTTTAGAAGTAAGAGAAGTAGATCTGTCTCTTGCTATAATAAAGAATATCACTAACATGGATATAATAAAGGAAAAAAACACATTTTTCAGGGTCTGCACATAACAAAAAAGTTCCTCTTTGTTGTTTTTCTGCACCCTCCCACTTTCTCTTTTTTTTCTTTTCCTTTCTTTCTTTTTTTCTTTTCTTTTCTTTTTTTTTTTTTTGAGACAGTCTTATTCTGTTGCCCAGGCTGGAGTGCAGTGGCATGATCTGGGCTCACTGCAACCTCCGCCTCCCGGGTTTAAGCAATTCTTGTCCCTCAGCCTCCAGAGTAGCTGGGACTACAGGCATGCGCCACCACGCCCGGCTAATATTTATATTTTTAATAGAGATGTGGTTTCACCACATTGGCCAGGCTGGTCTCGAATTACTGACCTCAGGTGATCCACCCACCTTGGCTTCCCAAAGTGCTGGGATTACAGGGGTGACCCACCACACCTGGCCCACCCTCCCATTTTCTAGCTGCTAGGAATTACAGAGGGCAATTTTGCAAAAAGGAGATGATTGGCCAAAAACGTACACATCCCTCGCAAAGAATAACAAAATTCCTAACATTATTGAATGCCTTTTAAAATAATTTTACTTCATATTTATTTATGTATGTATTTATCTATTTTTGAGACGGAGTCTTGCTCTGTTGCCCAGGCTGGAGTGCAGTGACGCGATATCGGCTCAATGCAACCTGTGCCTCCTGAGTTCGAGCGATTCTCGTGCTTCGGCCTCCAGAGTATCTGGGACTACAGGCACCTGCCACCACGCCTGGCTAATTTTTTTGTATTTTCAGTAGAGACAGGGTTTCCCCATGTTGGCCAGGCTGGTCTCAACCTCCTGACAAGTGATCCGCCTGCCTCGGCCTCCCAAAGTGCTGGGATTAGAGGGGTGAGTCACCACACCCAGCCATTTTTATTTTTCAACAGTCAAAGGGGAAGAGAAATCATCTGAGCTCAGGAAAAACCCATGTCTTGATCCTTAGTGCGGCCACCTCCAGCAATCCTGTAGACTGGCCTCCACGATCCAATGTCCTATGCCAACACGAACCTGCTCTAGGCCACGGAGCCACTTTACTCCCACAAGACCATGGACAAGAAAGGCTAGGAAAGGGTGGAACAAACATACTGCCTCACTCTGCAGGGAGAGATACCTGCAGTGATTGGCTAGAGTTTGGCTGGTCCATAGATTCTGTACACTGACTAGCCATTCTAACCTGGGAATCTTAAAGCTGATCAAGGGCAGAGAATGAGACTTCCTGGGCAGTCCCAGTGTGGGGGTAGGGAAACTTCAGTTGCTCATTTGACTGATAACCCCTATGGGGACCAATGGCAGCCTGAATTGCAGATCTAAGCTCCAGGTCACTTCCCAGCTCTGTGCTCTCCCAAATCCCTTCCACTCTCACTTAGTGGATCACAAACATCTGCAGGTGGCTTGTCCAAATATATATTATAAAATACTGAGTCAGTTCCTTTATTGGAGTTGGGAGCAACTTTACTCACAAAAGCAATTAGGTATGCAAACTAAATTTATATCTTGGAGCAGCTCAATGAAAGGAAAAAACAAAAGTCAACTAGGCAAACTCAGCTGTTTCCAAGTTTTTTTTTTTGTTTTTTTTTGAGATGGAGTTTCACTCTTGTTGCCCAGGCTGGAGTGCAATAGCACGATCTCGGTTCACCACAACCTCCGCCTCCCAGGTTCAAGCAATTCTCCTGCCTCAGCCTCCTGAGTAGCTGGGATTATAGGCATGCACCACCACACCCAGCTAATTTTGTGTTTTTAATAGAGATGGGGTTTCTCCATGTTGGTCAGGCTGGTCTCAAACTCCCGACCTCAGCTGATCCACCCGCCTCGGCCTCCCAAAATGCTGGGATTACAGGCGTGAGCCACCACGCCTGGCTCCAGGTTTTATTAATACTGGTTTGGTGTGCATCCATTTGTTCTCAAGTGAGCTCAAAAGTTTGGGAAATTTTTAGCTGGGGTGGGTATCATAAAACTGGAGAGATGTTATTATCTTATTCTATTCTAGAATAAGAGGAAAAATAATGCCCATTTAATTTTTGTACTGGCTGACTCTGGGCTTGAATGACTCACGTGGATTGAGATTTTACATTGAATTCCTCCCACGGTGGGAGGTGACGGCGGGAGTGTGTGTCTCTTTAGCTCTCCACTGGGGCCATCCAAGTCCAGGCAAGTTTCTCCCCTCACTCCCCAGTCCAGAGTTTTGTCTTTTTGTTTTTGTTTTGTTTTGACTCAGCCTCTATTTCTTTTTAAACCTGAGTGGAGAGTTGTTTCAAGTTGAATATGACTGAAACTGTTATTGACTAGTGCAAGTATAAATAACTAGCACCCCGTGCCACTGCCACATAATTTTTCAGATTAAATGTCTGGAAATTATGAATAACATTTAATGCTGTTTAAAGTACGTTTCCAGGCTATCTGGGGGTGCAGTTATATTAGCAAACTAAATGTTTCCTATTACATTTTGCTTTGGAGTCACAATGAGGGAATGTACTTTGAGATTTCTGCTATTTCAAATATTATTTTAACATTATCCCTAAGCAGCTCCCTTAAAAAACAACTTAATGGTGCTATTGTTGTAAACATTGTCACTCATTTCCGTTTTCCTTGGCACTGTAGTTGCTAATTTGAAGTGAAAACAGGAAGGTTAAGAAAGCTTAACCTGGGTTAACAGATAAGCTTAGATATTAACATCATCCACAAAGTGTGGTTTCAGTTTAGGATGCTGGGAGAAGACCCCATAAGGACACAGCCGTTGCAAAGGACGCTCAAGCCCTTCCTCAGCCCATTTGTTCTGGAGGTGGTCCAGGAGGAAGGCTGTTACAATAGGCTGGAAAGTCATCCAGCTGGTGGTAACAGGACTTGCTGAATACTCGGAAATCTCAGCTCTCTCAAGTGCTAAGCGCCAGCACCAACTTTTAGCATCTGTGAAGTAGTTTTGGTGGTCAATCCAGGGTGCCTCACCTGGTGCAAGTGTGTGGGCAGGGACAGGATAACTGAGTCCAGTCACAGGCATGTATGTTTTGGAGGCAAGACCAAGAAAAACTTGAAGAGGAGCAGGCCCAAATTGACAAACATAATTCAAGGAGTAGAAATGAGGTCCCCGTGCAAGTTCCCAGATTCATTTGGGAGGCCCTAGGCTCATTACCTGACTTGAAATGGGGGGCACAGGAAGGCCACTGAGAGAGGCAGAGCCTGTTGCAAGTTCATTGGCTTGAATCTTCTGTTCTCTAACTTTAAAGCCAGCAGGAAGTTGATTCATCCCCCTCCCCCATCCCGGCTTCAAAGATTGAAGAAAGTATGATTAAAATGCTAAAAGCGCGTCTTCCTGAGTTATTCTGCTGTAGCCCCAGGAGCCTCAGCCGAGCCAAGTGCTTGCAATTCAGGCTCCATAGACCCAGAATGAACCCAGAATGAAGTTTCCCTTTGATGGCAATGAGGCTATTAGTAGGTCAACCAGCTGCATTTAGGGCCTGGCTGGTCATTTAAACACTCAAGGGAACTGTAGCAAAGGAGATAAAATTACACCCAGCTCATTGAAATATGACTTTCAATCTTTAAATAAATAACCATGCTTTTTTTTTAAAGTGAAAGCCAATTCTTGAATTATTTGAATATTGAGGAATGACCTCACATTTCAATGTCACTTTTTTTTTTTACAAAAAACCTTTTATGCGTGCTTTTCAAAACAACGGTATATAAAAACCTTTATAATTCTTGAGATTAATTGCATGAAGACAGTTTTTTATTATGAATTTTCTATTATTACAGGATAGGTCTTTAAATAGTTCTGACTTAGGAATAAACAGAAGGGTCTATGATTGTTTCAGGTGAGACAGAGAGTAGCAAACATTTTCATTCTCCCCAGATTCTGGGCAAGTGGAAACAGTTGTAACCAAGAAGTTTAGCAGCTTAAAATTTTAATTTTTCCTTGTCAGACATCTAGCAGCTGAAAAAAAGGACAAAACTAGCTACTTGGTAACTGCAGCTGGCTGGTAAACTGAGGGTTTGAGTTCTAAATATGCACCCAAAGATGAATATTTCATTGCTCCCTATGAACAGGGCCCCATAATATTAAGAAGAGTTGGGATCCGGATTAAGAGTGAATTGAATTCTTAATCCTTGTGCTCACACCTGTAATTCCCAGCACTTTGGGAGGCCAGGGTGGGCAGATCACCTGAGGTCAAGAGTTTGAGACCAGCCTGGCCAACATAGTGAAACCCCGTCTCTGCTAAAAATACAAAAATTAGCCAGGTGTGGTGGCAGGCACCTGTAATCCCAACTACTCGGGAGGCTGAGGCCAGAGAATTGCTTGAACCCAGGAGGTAGAGGCTGCAGTGAGCCAAGATCGCACCCCTGCACTCCAGCCTGGGCGACAGAGAGAGACTCTGTCTCAAAAAAAAAAAAAAGAGTGAATTAAATTCTTAATCCTCTATTTAAGATTCTGGGGACTTAAGAGTTTGAGGAAACATCACAGTAAGAATTCATAGACACATTTATGTTTTAAACACAACCAAAAATATTGAGAAATGGTAGGAAATTAGCTGATAGTTTACTTAGGGTGTACTTGGGAGCTACAGGTCTCATGAAGGTGTAAGTCAGAACCGGAAGATATATAAGCATCCTTGACATAGTTCAGGGACATTCAGGAACTAGAGGCCAACACGGGGGAATAGGAACCCATTGCAGAAAGAAAGGGCCTTGTGAGGTTGCCCTGCCTGAATTAGCGGTACTTCATTTAAGTTCTTCAAATACCCCAGCAGCAGCCAGCAATAGTTCTTTCAGAGCACACATCTCTCCTTCCCTCACCTTGTACTGCCAGCGATTCAATAAAAAATATGAACCTGCATGAAAAGCAGCCTTTTGGGTAGATACAAAGATTTTTTAATAAAAGGATATAAAAGAGTGCTTATGGGTACAGATGTTGGGCTGGTAGTACTCTCCATAAAAGTTTGTTGAGAAATGGGATCTGACCTGGCAACATTTAGCACTTGGTTAGTCATTGACAAAACCATCCTGAGTTAATGCCAAGTTTGTTTCCGGTCTTTAAAGCCACCCAAGTGAAGAGCTCAACATGTTGCACAAAGAAACAATGACAGATTTTTTTTTTTTTTACTTTTTATTTTGAAATAATTATATAGGCCGAGTGTGGTGGCTGATGCCTTTAATCCCAGCACTTAGGGAAGTCAAGGCGGGAGGATTACTTGAGCCCAGGAATTCAAGACCAGCCTAGGCAACATAAGGGCATCCCGTCTCTACAAAAAAATAAAAAATTAGCTGGGTGTGCCTGTAGTCTTAGCTACTCAGGAGGCTGAGGTGGGAGGATTACTTGAGCCCAGGAATTTGAGGTTGCAGTGAGCTATGATCACGCCACTGCAGAAATAATATACTCACAGGAAGTTGCAAAAACAGTACAAGAGGTCCAGTGTACCCTTCAAATAGCTTCCCCCAAAGGAACACCTTATATGTAGATCAATATCAACACCAGGAAATTGACACTGGTGAGATCTAACAACAGACCTTATTCCATTTTCAGCAGTTTTTACGTGTACTCATTTTGTGTGTGTGTATAGATCTGTGTAATTTTATTACATATAGATTTGTGTAAACACCACTACAATCAAGACACAAAGCTAGTCCATCAACACAAAAAAACTCTCTTGTGCTACCCTCATTATCATTACATACCCTACCCTATCCCACCCCTTTCACTGGCAAACACTAATCTGTTCTCCATCTCTATAATTGTGTTATTTCAATAATGTTATATAATGGAATTACATAATATGTAACCTTTTGAGATTGGCATTTTTCACTCAGTTGTAATCCTCTGGAGATTCATCCAGGTTGTCTTGTTTAATAATAGTTTGTTCTTTTTCATTGCTGAGTAATATTTCATGGTATGGTTGTACCAGTTTGTTTAACCATTCACTCACTGAAGGACATTTGGATTGTTTTCAGTTTTTGGCTATTACAAATAAAGCTACTATGAATATTTGTGTATGGGTTTTTGTGTGGACATAAGTTTTCATTTCTTTAGGATGAATGTCCAGAAATGCAATTGCTGGATCGTGTGGAAGTGTCTGTTTAGTTTTATAAGAAACTACCAAACTGTTGCTGAGAGCAGCTGTACCCTTCTACATTCCCACCAACAATGTCTGAAAGATCAAATTTTTCTACATCTTCACAGTATTTGGTATTGTCACTATATTTCATTTTATTTTTATTTTATTTTTTTCAGATGGAGTCTCACTCTGTCGCGCAGGTTGGAGTGCAGTGGTGCGATCTCGGCTCGCTGCAACCGCTGCCTCCTGGGTTCAAGCGATTCTCCTGCCTCAGCCTCCCCAGTAGCTGGGATTACAGGGGTGCGCCATCACACCCAGCTAGTTTTTGTATTTTTAGTAGAAACAGGGTTTCACCATGTTGGCCAGGCTGGTCTGGAACTCCTAACCTCAAGTGATCTGCCCGCCTCAGCCTCCCAAAGTGCTGAGATTACAGGCGTGAGCCACCGCGCCTGGCCGAGATTTCTTTTTTTAAAAAAAATCTCTTTTTTATTTTATTTTACTTTAAGTTCTGGGATATATGTGCTGAACATGCAGGTTTGTTACATAGGTATACATGTGCCATGGTGGTTTGCTGCACCTATCAAGCCATCATCTAGGTTTTAAGCCCCGCGTGCATTAGATATTTGTCCTAATGCTCTCCCTCCCATTGCCCCACACCCCCTGACAGGCCCCAGTATGTGACGTTCCCCTCCCTATGTCCATCTGTTCTCATTGTTCAGCTCCCACTTATGAGTGAGAACATTTGCTGTTTGGTTTTCTGTTCCTGTGTTAGTTTGCTGAGGATGATGGTTTCCAGCTTCATCCATGTCCCAGCAAAGGACGTGAATGAGATTTCTTTTTCAAGAGCCTTTTAACTATTAATTCAATTTTTTAGTAGTTACAGGACTTTTCAAATTATCTATTTCATATTGGGTGAGTTATAGTAGTTTGTGCTTTTTGAGGAATTGGTCCATTTCATCTAAATTGTCAAATTAATGGATGTAGAGTTGTTTTTAGTAATTTTTTTTTCTTTTGCCTTTTAATGTCTGTGGTGTCTGTAATGAAAACCCCTGTTTCATTGCTGATACTGGTAATGTTTGTCTTCTCTTTTTCTGTTGTCAGTCTTGATAGAAGTTTTTTGTTTGTTTTCTGTTTTTGTTTGTTTTTGTTTTTTGTTTTGTTTTGTTTTGAGACAGGGTCTCACTCCCATTGCCCAGGCTGGAGTACAGTGATGCAATCTCAGCTCACCCGCCTTCTGGGTTCGAGCAATTCTCCTGCCTCAGCCTCCTGAGTAGCTGGGACTACAAGTGCTCGTCACCACACCCGGCTAATTTTTGTATTTTTTGTAGAGACAGGGTTTTGCCATGTTGGCCAGGCTGGTCTCGAACTCCTGGCCTCAAGTGATCCACCCGCCTTGGCCTTCCAAAGTGCTGGGATTACAGGCATGAGCCACTGTACCTGGCTGATAGAGGTTTTTTGATCTTTTCAAAGTACCAGCTTTTTGTTTCATTGTATTTTGATTGTTTTTGTTTTCAGTTTTACTGATTTCTCCTTTTATCTTAATTATTTCCTTACTTCTGCTTGTTTTGGGTTTTTTTAATCATCTAGTTTCTTGAGGTAAGTACATAGATTATTGATTTGAGATCTTTTTTTCTCATGTATGTATCTAGTGTTACACATTTTCCTCTTAGCTTCACAAATTTTGATGTTGCATTTTCATTCAATATAGTTTTATTTTCAATGAATTATATTTAAGTATGTTCTTTAATTTTAAAATTTCTGGATAATTTCCTGCTATCTTTCTGTTATTGACTTCTAGTTTGATTACACTATGGTTATTTAATTTATTATTATTATTTCAATTTTTAAACATTTGTTCAGATTTGTTTTGTGGACCAGGATAGGTTCATGTTGTGAATGTTCCATGTATACCTAAAAATAATGTGTATTCTGTTAATAGGTGGAATGTTCTATAAATGTCAGTTCAATTCTGTTGGTTGATGGTACTGTTCAGTCCTTCTGTATCCTTACTGACTCTCTGTCTAGTGAGTCCATCATTTGTTGAAAGAATGGTGTTGAAGTTTTCAACTATAGACTCGTCCATTTCTTCTTTCTGTTCTTTCAGTTTTTGCCTCAGGAAATTTGAAGCTCTGCTATTTGCTCTGTACATATTTAGGATTGCTATAACTTGTTTTTGGATTGACCTTTTAAACCTTATGTAACATTCTTCTTTGTCCCTGGTAATTTTCTTTGCTCTGAAGTCTATTTTATCTAATATTAATATAGCTACTCTTCCTTTCTTTTGATTAATGTTTGTATGGTGTATCCTTTTCAGCCTTTTACTTTCAGCCCATCTCATTATATTAGAAATTAATGGTAATGTTTTTAAATCCATTTTGCCAATCTCTTTTAGTTTATGTATTTAAACCATTTATACTTAATCTAATTATTGATATTTTAGGACTTCAATTTGATTTGTTTGTTCCCTCTGTTTTTATTCCTTTGTTTTCCTTTTCCTGTCTTCCTTTGAGTTACTTCAACATTTTTTAGAATTTCATTTTATCTGTAGTGTTTTTGAGGGTATCTCTTTGTATGTTTATTTTAGTGGTTTCCTTGAATTATACATGTGTAACTTATCACAGCCTACTGGTGTCAACATCTTACTACCTCCAATGAAATGTAGAAAACTAATCTCCATTTAGGTTCCTTTATCCTGCCCCTTAAATAGTCTCTTAAAAATTTTCTCTACATATATTGAGAACCACATCATACAATGTTACTTTGCCTCAACCATCAAAAATAATTTTAAAAACTCAAGAGAATAGTTTATTAAATTTACTCATATTTTACCTTTCCGTTGTTCTTTCTTCATTTGTGATATTTCAAGCCTCCTTTTGTCATTTCCTTTCTCTGGGGAAGAACTTTAGCAGTTCTTTTATAAAAGTTCTGTTGGCAAAAATTATCTTAGTTTTCTTTCATGTGAAAATGTCTTTATTTCACCTTCATTCCTGAAGGATATTATCATGGGATATAGAAATCTGGATCGAGGCTGGGCACTGTGGCTCACTCCTGTGATCCCAGCACTTTGGGAGGCCAAGGCAGGTGGATCACTTGAGGTCAGGAGTTCAAGACCAGCCTGGCCAACGTGGCGAAACCCCATCTCTACTAAAAATACAAAAATTAGCTGGGTGTGGTGACGGGCACCTGTAATCCAGCTACTTGGAAGACCAAGGAATGAGAATCATCTGAACCCAGGAGGCGGAGGTTGCAGTGAGCCAAGATCACGCCACTGCACTCCAGCCTGGGTGACAGTGAGACTCTGTCCAAAAAAAAAAAAAAAGAAAAATCTGGATTGGCAGATATTTTCTTTCAGCACTTGAAAACTGTCGTGTCACCTCCTTCTGACCCCCATGCTTTCAGATACAAAATCCGTTGGCATTCATATTGTTGTTCCCATAATTAATGTGTCATTTCTCTCTAGTTGCCTTCAGGATTTTTTTGTCTTTACTTTGCTGAAGTTTGACTATGCCATGGCTTGGTGTAGATTTCTTTGAGCTTTTCTTCTTTGGGGTTTGCTCAAGTTCTTGAATCTGTAAATTTATGTCTTCTGCCAAATTTGGGAAACTTTCAGCCATATTTCAAGTACTTTTTCAGTCTCTTTTTCTGGAACTTTGATGACATGCATGATAGATCATTTATTATGGTTCCACAGGCCCCTGAGGCTCTGTTTATCTTTTTTTAACTCTATTTTCTGTTGTTCAGATTTGATAATTTCTATTGTTCTATTTTTAGATTCACTAAGTCCTTACTCTATCATCTCTATTCTGCTATTGAGCCCATCCAGTGAGTTTTTCAAATTTTTGTTATTGTATTTTACAGTTCTAAAATTTCTATTTGGTTGCTTTTTAAAAAATTATTCGCTGAGAATTTCAATTTTTTTATTTGCTTCAAGTGTGTTTGTAATGGCTAATTGAGGATGTTTATGATTGCCACTTAAAATCTGTTTCAGATAATTTCAACATCTGTGTCATCTCAGTGTTGGTATGTATCAGTTGTCTTTTCTCATTCAAGCTGAAATTTCCCTGGTTCTTGGTTTGACAAGTGCTCTTTTTATTGTCCTGGACACTGGAAGAATTATCTTATGAATCTCCAAATCTTATTTAAATCTTCTTTTTTAGCAGGCCTCCACTGACACCACACTGGTGGAGAAAGGGGCACATCACCTGGTTACTGCCAGGTCAAGGTGGCAGTCCAGAGATCCTGGCTTCCCACTAGGGCTTTGCTCACAGGAGAGGGGATTTTTTTTTTTAATTGTGGTGCTTGGTTTCTGTCTTTTTTAGAGTGAACCTTTCCTGTCCTTTGGCTAGAGGTAACAGGCTTTTTTCAGGGCTTTTTTGTGTGTGTCTGTCACAGTTGGCATTTCTGGCTTGCTGGCTTCTTTAGCACACAACATTCAGGATATAGAGGCAGCAAAAAGAAAACTCAGGGTCATAGTATTCCTCAGTTGCCAAGGTTCCTAGTCAGTTGGCCTTCTTCTCTCCACCCTTCAGACTCTTATCTTTGTTTTATACATAATATTCGGAGTTTTTAGTTATACTTTGTGGGAGGAATAAGAAGTGCATCTATTCCATCTTGTCAACTAGAAGTCAGCCCATCTGGCTGGGCGCGGTGGCTCACATCTGTAATCCTAGCACTTTGGGAGGCTGAGGCGGGCTGATCACCTGGGGTGAGGAGTTCGATACCAGCCTGGCCAACATGGTGAAACCCTGTCTCTACTAAAAATACACAAATTAGCTGGGCGTGGTGGTGCACGCCTGTAATCCCAGCTACTCGGGAGGCTGAGGCACGAGAATCGCTTGAACCCAGGAGGCAGAGATTGCAGTGAGCCGAGATCATTGCACTGCACTCCAGCCTGGGTGACAGAGCTAGACTCTGTCAAAAAAAAAAAAAAAAGTCGGCCCACCTGGAAATTGGTTTTTATTAAAGACTGAAATTTGACATGGTGGCTCTTTATGTAAGTAACCTGTTGTGGAGGCTAAAGTAACTCCATCTTGGATGCTAATCCACTATGTTGACTTGTGATTAACCCTGGTTCCAGGAATGCCTCTGAGATTTCCAGTTCATCTATTGTTCCTTGTGTTAAGAGCACATCCTTACCATAAATCCTGCCCTTAGATCAAACTCCTACTCATTCCCTCTGAAACACGTGTACCTTTTCCTGTGGTTTATAATCCCTGGGTCTGGGGGTGGGGGGTAATGGTGTGGAGATCTATCTGCCTTGCAGCTGCTCAAGACCATACTTCTGTCCATAAGTTCCCCGATAAAATCACCCTGTGATGACAAGCTGGACTTATCTGCCTCCTTCTTTGGTTTCTCAGCCCCTTCTGCATTTGGGGGTCACTTTGCTTATATAGCCCTTTCATGAAACATGTGTACTAGCAAAATACTAAAGATTTATAGAAAGGGGTTGGGCACAGTGGCTCATGCCAGTAATCCTAGCACTTTGGGAGGCCAAGATGGGTGGATCACTTGAGGTCAGGAGTTCGAGACCAGCCTGGCCAACACGGTGAAACCCCGTCTCTACTAAAAATACAAAAAATTAGCCAGGTGTGGTGCTGCACACCTGTAGTCACAGCTACTCAGGAGGCTGAGGCAGGAGAATTGCTGGAACTCAGGAGGTGGAGGCTGCAGTGAGCTTAGATCATGCCACTGTACTCCAGCCTGGGCAACAGAGTGAGACTCTGTCTCAAAAAAAAAAAAAAAAATTATAGAAAGGCCTCAAAGCATTTCTGAAATTAGCTTTTCCTTAATGCTTAGTGTGAATCTTTATTGCACATTTTAAATCATCTTGAAACTGCCTTTCCCAAACTTTGCATCAGTGGTTCTATTAAGCTGATGGACAGTTTCACTCCATTAGAAAATGTCAAATTTGGTACACATCCAGGATCAGAGGAAGGATCACAGGAGAGCAAGAAACTGGTGACAGGACTAGTTCAGACACACTAGAGTCAGCCCACTTTCCACTGCTCACATAGAGTGACACAAGCAATGTGTTTAAATGAAAGAAGAAAAAAGTTCAGGTGCCACAAAGATAGAAAGCTGGACTCACTGCCTATCTACAGCCTCAGTTTTATAGAATCGTCAGTTGCTGTTGGCGTTTTGCACATATGAACTGGTACATAAGTGAAGAATGGATGGGTACGTGGTTGGTGCCTAAAGGTACGGTTTCAATCCCAGTTCCTCCTACACACTACCCAGAAGGTCCCAGAAAGCCCTGTTCTCCTCAGCAGGCGCTCCACAACAGCAGCTGCAGAAAGCGCAGCCATGCTAACAGAGGCGCCCCCGGAGTTTTCCCATCTTCACCCTCACCCAACACCTCTTGGGTCATTTTCTCCTGGTCTGTCTTCACAAGCCAGAAATGGTTGATACTGATTCGGTATGGGTTTGGAAGATTATAGGTTTCTGATTTAAAAGGCCTTATGTCATCAGGGTCCAACAGACTTTCTTTCTGGGGATTTCTGTGTTCTGAAGTTCAGACGTCCTTTGTTCCTTCCCTTCTAGGTCAGTCACCACGAACAGGGGCACTCGGCATGCTGCCCCAGCACTGGAGAAGCAGCGCTGTGGGGGCAATCTGTCACACTCTCAGAGTCTGGGACTTGACTTGCTACCAACAACTGCTGTGCAATTCTGCTGAGCAGGAATATCATGAGCTGTTCAATAATGACGGACGCATTGGTTGAGATGAAGTTTCCAGTAAGGAAGTGACAGTGCAATGTGGATATTTATGGCTGTAAAATAGGAAGAGCTTTAGTTCCCAGGCTGAACCTGCCACTGCTGGAGCCATTTCAACAAGGCATCCTCACAACAAAGAAGAGATGTGATTTGGTACCATTTCACACCAGCAGGTGTCTGGACGAAAACATCAATGTGAATAAGGGCCAAGTGCAGTCCTGTCTTGATTAAATTACTTAATAATATTATTAAATAATAATAGGTCTGGGCAGTATTGTTTTTAACCTGACTCATCCAGCTGTCCTTCAAATAGCTCCGTCTCCCTCTACCCAGAACTGATTTTTAAAAAGAAGTAATTTTTCTCCCTGGGCTGGGAAAACCCTAATGAACTGAAACACACTTTTACTTTAAAATTTTTCTGTCTGGCGTTTTTGTAATCATACTATTAAATGACTCTGGAGTCATGTTAATGACAGGATTTGTTTTGTTTGGATGCAGTTCAATTGCATGGTTTGGGTAAAAGCTAGCCTACATACAAAGGAATATGAAGACTGTGGAAGAAACTGTATATTGGGTTTAAGAATTTCAGCAATTATCCGGTAAAAGAAGAACTTAAGCATTAAGCTGCAATGTCAAATCCACTTGCTTCAGTCTTACTAGCTGATGTTGCCAACAGTTGGTGATGCCTTTTTCAGGGTTCTACATTCAAAGCCTGTTAAAGATGGTTACAGGCAAGGAGGAGTCACAGGCAGAGGCTAAAGTATATCTATCATCTTTTAACCCTAATGCACATTTTAGAAAGTCTCAAAAATCTGTTGCTGTGATTTTTACATCTTGTGTTTTTTGAGACAGAGTCTCGCTCTGTCACCCAGGCTGGAGTGCAGTGGCACGATCTTGGCTCACTGCAACAACTTCCACTTCCTGGGTTCAAGTGATTCTCCTGCCTCAGCCTCCTGAGTAGCTGCGACTACAGGTGCATGCCACCATGCCTGGCTAATTTTTGTATTTTTAGTAGAGACGGGGTTTCACCATGTTGGCCTGGCTGGTCCTGAACTCTTGACCTCAGGTGATCCACCCACCTTGGCCTTGGCCTCCCAAAATGCTGGGATTACAGGTGTGAGCCACTGTGCCCAGCCCTATTTTAAAACTGAATTTCTTCAAGCATCTAAATCAGAGGCTGGCAGAAACTTTTTCTGTTAAGGCCCAGATAGTAAATAGCTGTTTACTTTTTATGGGCCATATGATCTCTGTTGCAACGCCTCAGCTTTGTCATTGTAGCAGGAAAGCAGCCACAGACAGTAAGCAAATGAATGAGCCTAGTCATGCCAATAAAACTTTATTTACAAAAAAAGGCAGTGGGCTGGACTTGGTTCAGGAGCCAGCTGTAGTTTGCCAACCCCAGGCCTAAAGAAAGCTGGAGAGGAATAGCTTACACCCAGAAAAGAACCTCTCAGTGAGGGAAACAGACTAAGAATAGTATCACACTACAGCCTTCTACCAACAGATGATACTTTACTTTAAAATACAAAACAAAATTAGCTCAGCCAGTTAGTTGTTTTATTTTGAGTTTTGTTTTTTTAAAAAAAGAAAAGCTTTGAGAAAATGTGTTAAATATCAGTAAAGGGCAGGAACACACATGGCTAGCTTTACAATAGCAATCTAAACATACACAAAGGCAAACATTGAGTAAAATGCTAGGGAAAGACGGCACTTTGGGGGCCTACTGCAGTTTTCCTTATTGCACATAAAGGTTGTGGATAACGCCAAGTCTTTAATTTTTCACAGTTATACTTTAATGTCATTTTATATAACGTTTATTTATATAACATACTATAATGTTAATTTTATAAAACCACCAGTTTGCTACTGTTGAATGGAAATAGAAGACAAAATTCTCCCCAATTACACTATGTAAGCTCTCTATAAAAAGTTCCCTAGAAGGTCACATCATTCCATGTTAAATTCGTCCTATTCTATTTTAAAAGTTGCTTTTCAGCTATTAAATGAATCTTTATGGCCTTCTCATTTAACCATTTTCATGGACATAGTACAACTTTCCAAGTAAAAAGTACCAGATGTATTTTATGTGAAAAACAAAAGGACAACTTAGGAGGAGCTGGCCCTACTATGAAGTCACACTTTGAACGATCAATTTCAGTGGTAAATTCCCAATCCATAGACTTAACACCCACACAACTGAAAATCATCCCTCTGCTTCTCCAAAGCCCACAATTGGAATAATCACAACACAAGTCAGCCCCTAAATGTCCATGCAGTTAAGTCATCCAGTAACACCTGAATTGTAGCCTTTTTTAAGTGCTTGAGACAGCAGATGTTGAGGTTTCCATGCTGTTTACAAGTCCTTTTCTATCTGAGTTCCTCCAACATATACAGGCCCAGACAATTTTCCACTGGCCAAGAGCTGACTGTGACACTTGGTGATTCTGTTAAGCCTTTTGAAAGGTGGTCATCAGAAGGAGAAGGTGACTTCTGCTGTGTGCGCTCCTGTCTGCTTTGGACCTTTTCAAAGGGCAGCACAGCAGGCAGCCCTTCCTTCTCATCTTCTCCAAGGCTCAGGTAGCAGAAAACCGGCTGCCTGTGTGTTCCATATGGGCCACGACTATAGTATACCCTGCTTACAAAAATAAGACTAACATCAAAAACTTTGGTTTTGCTCTTTACAATTTTTGCTAGCACTGGGTGACAAGATGTGTTTAATTTTTTAAAAATGTCTATGAAAATTGACACTGGAAAAAACTGTTTATCTCTAGGTCTTGTTTTGAAAGGATTGTTGATGAGTCTACTTGCTTTTCCTAGTTAAGACACTAGCAATGGTTTCTACAGTATTTCTCTATATGTTGTTTTCAGGTTTTAGAAAGGGGGATGATCTTTTCAGGTATCAAAGTGGTAAAAGCAGTATTCAGATGGGTTGTTTCTAAACTACAACTCTTGGCCACTAGATTCCTTTGACTTACTGTATCAGAATGTAGCAGCCGACACTGGCAATCCAGAGTGTCAGTTAAAGAACAACAGAATAGCTCAGAACTCAATGATACCAGTCTAATGTATATGAAAGACTTGTTCCTGAACTAATTAATCTATAGAATCAACATCAAAAGGCAGACAAGAAACTTGTCAAGTTCCCCACTTTTGAAGTGGAATAAGAAGTCATATACTTGTGAGATCAGCAGGCTGACTTTCTAGCAGCCCTCATTGCAGATAATCTTTCACAACAGATGGTAAAATCAGCTTTCTGATACACTCTTAGAACTCACAACGGGTGCACAGTAGGTTTCCAAGTGGGTGATTTTCACCTCTGATGAGATGCTCTAACACCCTGCCACTGTTTTTCCCCCTAAGTGCATCAGTGGTGTTTCTACATTTGGAAATTACTTGTTCACATTAAACATCTGGTATGATTACATTAACTTCTACTGCAGACAAGGACAGGGAGAGATAGGATGATGGGATGACGTCAAACAGACCAACAGACCTCTATTTTGGAAGGAACTGTTAGTTCTTTGTCCTAGACCGAATCGTTCATGGATAGCTGAGATACCCTTTTGCATGTTTTCTAAAGAGATTCCATTTGTCAGCCAAACCACAGAGGACATTTTCGGGTCTAGAGAACACAGCCTGAAGAGATCCTTGCTGTTTGCTTGATGAAACATTTGATGTCGCAGTGTGATTTCTGCCTTCCAGGCATCAATGCTTATTTGTCTGATCACCCCAGTAACCACCCTGGATGCTCGGATCCATATGCCCTTCCTGTGATTGTGTCCTAGGAAGAAATGTGGCCTTATTTAAATTCCAAATTTTCTTCCCTAGGAGAGAAAGTTCAGGTTTCTGGTAGTTCTCAAAAAGTGTACTAAAAGGAATAGCAGCTTTCATCTTCTCTCTGTCAGGGCTATACAAAAGTGTGCATCTCCTTAATTACCTGCTACGGAAACCACCACCATCACCATGTGATAGCAAAGGACCACAACCTTCTACTTTGCTCCAGCAGTAAATGGGCCCACCCTTATTCTGAGGAATCCAGTGTGGACTCAGGCATGAGGATAGGTGAAGGAAAAGAAAATCTGACTCCAGAGGGGACTATTAATTTAATTCCAGGTGAAATTAAAAAAAAAAAACAAAACAGCTTCCCAGAAACCTTCATGCTTGATTAGTTAGCAGCTCAGTTAAGACAATACCTTCCCTTTATTCCCCACAAGTGGGAACCAAGATGACAGGTTTTTAGTTCTCCCCATACATACCCCAAGTCACCCTTCTCTTTCCTCGAAGGCTCCAAGGTTTTCGTGATCTTTTCAGCTGTACTTTATGGAGTATGTTCTTGAGTTCTGCAAAGATTAGCATCAAACTCTCTCACAGCTGCCCTGTCTGTATTACTGATCAATACTCAGTTCGTTTCACATGACTAACAATTTAAAAAAACACCTTCATCTGCTGGGCCATTCTTTAAAATCAGATTCCAAATAGTCTAGAGGTCTGCTGCGAGCTCTAGACTAAAGGCTCTTGTCAATCCTGGCTGCACATCAAGAACACTCCTGAGGTTCCAAACAAAGCATGGATTCCAGGTCCCACCTGAAGCTACTGAATCTGAATCTCTGAGGGGAGGGCCCTTGCACTGATTTAAAAACAAAAACTGGCCAGATGATCCTAATTCACAGCCAGGGTTGAGAACCTCTGCTCTAGAACATCGGACTCGGCTGAACTGTCGTCCCCACCAACCCAGAACAAATACGTGTATAAGATGGACTTGGGTTTACTCTCTTGGAAGAACTTTGTTTATTTGGATGTACCATTACTTAGCAGTTTCAATCTGATCTTATGCCAGACTGGCAGCAGATAGTTGGCCTTGTGTTGAATGATGCCTGACATGGCATAGGCAAAATTCTTCTAGATGTGGAACCACTTGACGAATGGATTCACATTCCCAGGACCCCTGGTAAGGTCAGGGTTATTCTCCACATCTTACAAACAAAAATTAGGACCAAAGGTCAAAAATTAGGACCAAAGTGCCTTACTTTGATTCACCAAATATTTGTAATCAAATAAGGACTTAGAACACTGGAAAGCAGTTCTGATTCCAAATGGCTGACAGCTCGGGGTTAGTGACAAAGGCAAGAAAGGGAGACCAGCCTGCATTTCCAGCTTCCTAACACACAAAGAAAGGCCGGGGTAGGGTTACTGGGCAAATGCTGCAACTAGATTCTGGGCCCTCTCTTCCCTGGGTAGGACTTCTGGGTGGGCCTCCTGCCCTATACAAACCATCCCCAACCCACCTTGTTTACATTGGAACTACACTGTCGTAGACAGCAATTCAGGGAAGAGGACAAGCCATAATTAGGATTTCCTCCCTGTTTCCCCTGTCATCTCCACACAGGAAAACCCTGATGGGAAGCCCACCCCTCTAGTTTTGGTCTTGGCAATCTACATTTCCTTGTATGTGAGTAGATCAGAATCAAATGTTTGCAGTGAAGACTACAAGACCCTTTGGGGATAAACACAACACTCTATGAATTGAACTAAGACTAGGAAGGGAAACTGGGTGGTTATTTTTCTTCCCTAAGAGAGTCATTTCTTGTAATCTTGTAAAAGCTTTCTAAAAAAAACTCAAAATAATGGCCAGGGGCGGTGGCTCACGCCTGTAATCCCAGCACTTTGGGAGGCAGAGGCGGGTGGATCACGAGGTCAGCAGATCGAGACCATCCTGCCCAACATGGTGAAACTCTGTCTCTACTAAAAATATAAAAAAATTAGCTGGGTGTGGTGGCATGTGCCTGTAATCCCAGCTACTCGGGAGGCTGAGGTAGGAGAATCGCTTGAACCCAGGAGGTGGAGATTGCAGTGAGCCGAGGTCATGCCACTGCACTCCAGCCTGGGGGATAGAGCGAGACTCCATCTAAAAACAAAACAAAACAAAACAAAAAACAAACAACAACAACACAACAACAAAGCCTTGAGGTGAACAAAGAACCATCACCAGGGTGTGTCTGTTAGTTTTTTCCCTCCAAAATTAAGTAAGCAATATAAGATAAGCAAAGCTTTATAAAGACCCAACCAAAGACCCAAGCAGCCTATCTCTCCATCTCTGCAAAACAAAAACAAAAATGAAAACAAAACAAGTCTTGCCTTTTAGATTTATATGGCATGACTGGTCATTACTAAGATAACTCTGCTAAATAAAAAATCCTGTGCTGGTTCTGGACTCCAGCACACATATAATACAGGCCTCTGCCAGGCCTGGTAGCTGCTGTCTGCAACCTCACCCCAGGATATAAGAACTTCCCTTCCAGGGGCTATGAAAGCTCTTTCTCTGGCTGTGGGGTGTAGGTCTTATTCTTAAGTCCTTCACTAGCCTAGTTGACCCTGAGGGCTCATGGGTTTGGATAGGTTGTTTAGCATTTTTCAAACTTCCAAAGCCCATGGATGACCATAAAATCAAAATGGACTTTATTGTAGATAAAAAGGAAAGAGGAGAATAAAAATCATTCAACTGTATTTTTTTTTTTTTTTTGAGGCAGGGTCTCATTCTGTTGCCCAGACTGGATTGCAGTGGCATGATCTCAGCTCATCGCAACCTCTGCCTCTTGGGCTCAAGCAATCCTCCCACCTCAGCCTCCCAAGTAGCTAGAACTACAGGCATGTGCCATCATGCCTGGCTCATTTTTGTATTTCTGTAGAGACAGGGTTTTGCCATGTTGCCCAGTCTGGTCTTGAACTCCTGAGCTCAAGTGATCCTCCTGCCTCAGCCTCCCAAAGTGTTGGGATTACAGGCATAAGCCACTGTGCCCGGTCTCAATTTTATTTTATTGAACCATATGAAATTGCCACTCCTGTTTTTACAAAATGGTCGAATATCAGCAAACTCATATGGCTCAACCTAATTAAATACGTATTTTCCTGATTTGCACAAATTATCAATTCAAACACAAAGTTGTGAAGCAATGTCTTATTTAAAAATTAAGCATTAAACATGCGAATTGAGAAGATTAAATGACTGATTTCACTACGGGTGGACTAGACTGGGACACAATATTTTGTCTTCCATCATAAGAAAAACTGGCCAGTATGGTGAAACCCCGTCTCTACTAAAAAATACAAAAAATTAGCCAGGCGTGGTGGCGCGTGCCTGTAATCCCAGCTACTCAGGAGGCGGAGGCAAGAGAATCGCTTGAACCCGGGAGGCGGAGGTTGCAGTAAGCCGAGATCGCGCCACTGCACTCCAGCCTGGGTGACACAGCGAGACTCCATCTCAAAAAAAAAAAAAAAAAGGAAAGAAAGAAAAAAAGAAAAGCCCACGTTATTGAAAGCATTTTTTAGAAATTGGGTTGCCAAAAATAAGCTAGCACTGAAGCACAGAGACATTAAGAGAAACTCAAACTTTTCCCGAGAGGTCTTTCTGTATTTCAGCACTACAGGTGTGGGCAGACAGAACAGCTCATCCAGAAAGAATCCAAACTGAAAACCTAACTTTCAAATCACACCCACATGTTAAGCTGGTGCAGCAGCCTCCCCAGATACAAGGAAAATGACCCTTCTCTGCATGGCACTCAGTGGTGTAAAGACACTCGGACTCTTAAGCTTATAGAAGACAGAGCTTTCTAGTGGGCTGAAAATACTTAATGTTCCATTGTTTGCCCTCTGATTCCTCAGGTGGCCACTGAAATCTCATGCATTCGTCGGCTCAAAGTTTGGAATTCTACCTAGTCTTGAGACTACTATCTTGTATTTCTTTGCAGTAATTTTTTTGCATTGAGATTTCTTTCCCTCTGAATTCTAGCCTGGTGCCTTGTAGGTTTCTTGCTGCCTTCCCTTTCCCAGATAATAGCATCCTACAAAATTTGGTGTTATTTCTAAACCCAGAGTAGATACTTCAGTCCTAGTGATTATTTCCCTAGGCTGTCAGCTCATATGGTAGCCCTCAAAAGTTGAATGCTGGCCAGGTGCAGTGGCTCACACCTGTAATCCCAGCACTTTGGGAGGCCAAGGGAGGTGGATCACGAGGTCAGGAGTTTGACACCAGCCTGGGCAACATGGTGAAACCCCATCTCTACCAAAAATACAAAAAATTAGCTGGGCATGGTGGTGGGCACCTGTAATCCCAGCTAATCAGGAGGCTGAGGCAGGAGAATCACTTGAACCCGTGAGGCAGAGGTTGCAGTGAGCCAAGACCACGCCACTGCACTCCAGCCTGGGTGACAGAGTGAAACACCATCTCAACAAAAAAAAAAAGTTGAATGCTTTTTGCAGTGATACCATCATCAGTTTCTAAATACCTCCTTTCCTCAGATTAATCAAAAAATAAGAGTATAACACTATTTGCCTTTGGTTTTAAACATTTCATAACTACTTCTTTATGGATATAGCCAGAGAAGGAACTATAATTCTTCGTTCCATGTTGAAATGTTCGTGGATGTATTTTCAAATCTTCAGTCTAGAAAAAACACAGGCAGCATAAAGTCAGGAATCCTGATATGAGGTTGCAGTCAAGCAGACTTCGTTGCCAGAGCCTCCAAATTGCTTTTTCATGTTTTCTGTCCCATTTAACACCAAGTTTCCCATAATCCTTGGAGTTCCGATCTCAATTGCCTTCCTTCTCTTTAACTTGATAATTCTATGGTCAGCTTGACTTGCACTGCTGTGTACTGAGATGCAGCCTCTCATGGGAGGAATCCCCCCACCCAGCACCTGCCTCGCCTTGTTCAGATACTGCAGGTGAATGAATTAGGAGACCATTAAAGCATGCTATTTTTTTTTGTTTGTTTAACTCTGAAACAGCGCACTACTATGTGAAAAAAGTGGGAATAGGTCTACGTTTGTCTGAATTTAGAGACACTTTTGCCTCACCATCTGCATTGTGAGTTAAATTTTAAGTGTTACAATAGCTTCAGACCCCAATAAAATAGAAGAGTTAGTTCAATCTAGTCACTGCCCCACCTCCAACAACACTAGGGCTTGCAGCTGTCCTCACCCCATCGGGAGCCTACCCCATCGCGCCAGGGCTTGGGGGGAAAGTCAAGCATTATCTTCCAGGGGAAACACTAGGCGGGTGCCCCGGCTCGAAACCTTCTGGTCTCCCATTCCCAGGTCTCGCTCCAGCACTTCCTCCGAGCTGCTCTTCGTTCTCCGGCTGCCCTCCAGACTCGTGGAGGCGGTGTGCGAACTTGAGGAGCCATTTGCAGTCACTGTGCTGTCCCCGTAGGTCAATGTCAGGTCGCCTTCGGTCAGGATGAAATCAGAGTCTTCCTCTCTCAGTGGCTCTTGGTTCTGAAAAGTGCAACCAACAACAACAACAAAAATGAGAGACTGATATCTTCCAGGTTTGGCACCAACCCCAATCCCAATCCCAACTCCTCATCTGAAAACTGGGGACTATGAAACTTGCCTGCCTTGAGCCTCTAGCGTGGTAACTGGATGTAAACTGTAGAGGGCCGGGCACGGTTGCCAGGACTAGGACTTAGAATACTAGAAAACAGTTTCTAATTTCAATGTCTGACAGCTTGGGGTTAGTGAAAAAGGGAAGAAAGGGAGACCAGCCTGGATTTCCAGCTTCCCAATCAACACACAAAGCAAGGCCAGAGTAGGGTAATTGGGCAAACGTTGCAAATAGGTTTCAGGTACTGTCTTCTCTGGGTAGGCATTCCGGGTGGGTCTCCTGCCCTATACAAACCGTCTCCAACCCGTCTTGTTTACATTGGAACTACTCTTTGTCATAGACAGCAATTCAGGGAAGAGGACAAGCCATAATCAGGATTTCCTCCCTGTTTCCCCTGTCATCTCCCCACAGGAAAACCCTGATAGGAAGCCCACCCGCCACATCCTCAGGTGGATGAATCAAATGATCGAGGGAGAGCAAAGTTGCAACCACTTGAACTATCAGATGGTAGCGAGAGTGTCGGAGACGGCACGAGGTCAGACAGGACCTTCTTCCTCCAATAGATTTAACCAACAAAACAAGGGGAGGGCCACAACCCAGCTCCCGCGCTGCACTGAGGCCTATTGAGTACTGTGCACTGCCTTCTAGAAGGGCAAACACAGTGTCAAATACGCTGGGTAAACTGATTTTTTCTCTCCTGTTTCCCACCGACCCTTCAAAGCTCATCTGAAGTCCTGCATCCTCTTATGAGACAGAGCCTCCAGGGCGCCGAACTGGCCTCTCTGACCCCCTCAGGGCCCCCGCGCAGTCACACTGCCCAAGGCCATGGGCAGATTCCCCGAGATCAGCCCCATCTAGATGACAAACGCCAAAGGGCAGTGACCTCCTTCTCCACACCTTGGCACCTTCCTCAATGGTGCTTACCTCACAGTAGGTGCTAAGTGAATGCCAGGTAAATGCACCAGCTAGGGAAGACTCATGGGTTGCGTTTCCTCTCCCAGACTTATTTCTGTGCACTCACTGGCAACAATCACATACTTGTTTTCTGCATTCTCAGTGTTGTCAACTTCCCTACACACAGTCTACACTGTGACTCCACTTAACTAATGCTTCAGCATTTTTGACAGGCAAGCACGCAACTCCTCTCACTTGCTGCTTCAAATCCTCACTGGAATGAAGCAGGGTGCAAATGCCCAATGAGATAAAAGTCCTATATTCAGGCAGATGCTCAGAGCACAGTTCTAAAACTTGATTTAAACTCCCAAATTTCCTCCTCTTTACCAGTGTTTAGAAAGTCCCGAAACTCAATCTGCTTTACAGTAGCCTTCTTTCTTTTTCTTTTTATTTTTTGAGATGGAGTTTCACTCTTGCCACCCAGGCTGGAGTGCAATGGTGCAATCTTGGCTCTCTGCAACCTCCACCTCCCAGGTTCAAGCAATTCTCCTGCCTCAGCCTCCTGAGTAGCTGTGATTACAGGTGCCCACCATCATGCCCAGCTAATTTTTGTATTTTTAGTAGAGATGGAATTTCACCACGTTGGTCAGGCTAGTCTCAAACTCCTGACCTCAGGTGATCCTCCCACCTCAGCCTCCCAAAGTGCTGGCATTACAGGCGTGAGTCACCACACCCAGCCGGTAGCTTATGTCTCCCATCCGAATTTCCAACTCCTGGGGAGTTCACCTTCCCTGTCTCGGCACATCCCAATTCTCCCATTCATACACGTGCTACATAATGATTTTGTTCATCTCTGTCAAAATCTCTCTGCCAGGGCTCTTGGCTCCCAGTTTTCAGGGAAATGGTCCTGGCACATATTTTACTGCTTCAAGGTTTGGAGCCATGGAAGGACAGAGGCAAACACAGGATAACTGCAGGTGAGGGTAATTCCGCAAATGAAGGAAAGCCCACCACAGCACCACAGAGGAAACCCTGGGCATGAACTGTGATGTGGTCCGCTTTCACTCTTTGCAGAGGGAAGCAGGGCCTAAATTCACTGACAGGAGAAAACAAGACTGGATGTCAACCCATTGCATTTCTGAAACTCCCAAGCCCAGACATAGTACTCAAGGAAAGGTCATTCAGAAACAAGGCCATAGTAAAACCCACGGAGGCTGGGTGCGGTGGCTCACGCCTGTAATCCCAGCACTTTGGGAGGCCAAGGAGGGTGGATCACGAGGTCAGGGGTTCGAGACCAGCCTGGCCAACGTGGTGAAACCCCATCTCTATTAAAAATACAAAAATTAGCCGGGTGGTGGTGGTGGGCACCTGTAATCCCAGCTACTCAGGAGGCTGAGGCAGGAGAATTGCTTGAATTGGGGAGGCAGAGGTTGCAGCAAGCCAAGATTGCACCACTGCACTCCCACCTGGGTGACAGAGCAAGACTCTGTCTCAAAAAACAAAACAAAACAAAAGAAAACAAAAAAAAACCCATGGAGAGGCCAGGCATGGTGGCTCACATCTGTAATCCCAGTACTTTGGGAAGCCGAGGCGAGCGGATCACTTGAGGTCAGGAATTCGAGACCAGCCTGCTCAACATGGTGAAACCATGTCTCTACAAAAAATACAAAAATTAGCCAGGCATAGTGGCACGCAGCTGTAATCCCAGCTACTCGGGAGGCTGAGGCACGAGAATCGCTTGAACCCGGGAGGCAGAGGTTGCAGTGGGTCAAGATGATACCATTGCACTGCAGCCTGGGCAAGAGAGCGAGACTGTCTCAAAAAACAAACAACCCATGGAGAGTGATTCTGACATCAAAGTCTAATAATGTTACATGCAGATGATAAAACTAACCTGCTCCCTTGAATTCTAGATGATAGGATCAACACAAGTTTGTTTTGTTACGCTGAAGGTCTATATAATCATGTAACTAGCTGTGCAATTAAGTCTGCTATGAAAATGCAGTGAAAACACCTGCAAACAACAGTGTGTGGGGATGTGTGCATTTTAAATAACCAGAAGTCATTTTCAAAAGTGAAAGAACATTGTTAGGAAGCTGGATACCACACCTAAGTGGTTTAACGTTAGTGGAAATAATGACTGATGAACATCTTAGAAATCTCCAAATAAACTTGGCAAAGTAGAAAACACCTTTTAGATGGTGGGTAAGAACCATGCAACAGGTGTCAAAATCTACGAGAACTGCCCAGTCTGAGACCCTCACCAGGCACTAAACTTTGCAGTGAGCCCCTTCACCTCTGTCAGTTTTGGGTTCCTCCACTGATAATTTTGAAGAGACCCTTTGCTCCCACTGTCTCAGCAGCAGGCCCCACCATGTCTGGAGCTGGCTGAGACCCTAGGCAGGACCCCGGCTCAAAGCAGCAGCAGCAGCAGGACCGAGGGTGATTCTCACTAGAAGCCCAAGTCACTCAGTCTTAGGTTGGCTGTGGGGAGTCACAGCTGAAACATGACCCCCAGAAGCAAACTTGGAGTGGTCCCTTGAACTGCTGGGAGAAGCACTTGAAATTGATGCAATTGTAAGCTTACTGAGTTTATGCTGAGTTCAAACTAGTCCAGATATTCCTAATCTATGAGCAAGGGACTGGTTAGTAAGCTTCAGATTAGATAAGGTTTTTATAAAGTTTTAATAGTGGATTTGTTGTTTTACTATTACATAGACATGAAAAGTGATCCTTATTAAAACCCAATTAAGATGGAAAGTTTTACAAAGTGTTTAGAAGAGACTAGAGTTAGAAGACAAATTTATATATATAAACCCAGTGAAACTTAAGATCAGAAAGTGTAATCACAGTTGGGGCTTCATTAGTGGGAGAAGTGGAAATGCCGTCAGCACCCTTTGTCTCCGATGATGTATGTAAAGGGCCCCTACTACCACTTTAGACAGCGGGCCAAACTGAGCAAACCATTCAGCATTCAGCACAAGACAGCTTTTCTTAAGTAAGCTAGTAGCAGGATGAGAAATTACAAAACTAAGTTTTTAATCTATTGGTTTGTGTCCTTCTAACCTAACAGGTAACTAGCATTATTATTTAGGCTGATAGATATTACATTTAAAACTTACCGCAAGCATTAGACATCACTTTACAAACTGGGAGCAGTTCTACAGAAATGGTGTTCTCACCATCCTACATATTTTTTTGTCATTTAAAACCAGTTTATCACAGGTGGCACAGGAATTTCATTTTTATATGGGGAGGAGCCGTGGGTGTTGGAAGTTCAACTATCTTTAAGAGAAAGACACATGAACGCTACTGCCACATTTGGTGAAATTTCCAAGCAACGGCTGTGGCAGAACTACATTTTTACCAGGCAGAACCTGCTGTGAAGGGGGTGAAACCCAGTAGCCCAGCTGAGTTTCCCAGTGTAAAGTTCTGTCGCTGCCTACCAGGACTTTTCAATGGTCACCTTCCTCTGAGGGGGCCAAGGAGAGGTCCGAGGGCCTAGGGATGACAGACACACAGAGCTCTCTGCAGCAGCGGGTTTAGGACACATGGTGACTTGGCAGTTGTCATCCCTGTTCTTGAAGGAAGAGCGTGCCATTTAAGGAGCTGCATCCTCCAATCTCGGCTGCTCTGATGTGGCTGCCCTTCTCTTCCGCCCCAGCGCCCCCACCTAGCTATGGTGTCCACATCCCTTTCCCCTCTATACCACATGAATGTGCACTGCCTTTCCTAACCCTGCTACCCCTCGTTAGAACTTACCTGTTTAGGGCCGTTCTCTTTCAGATCTAGGCTTTGTGTTCTGCCTTCTCATCACCAATCAAGTAAACTGCAGGTTATTTGCTAAGAATGTGAAGACCTGCATGAGGGTCCCAGCTAATTACTAACTGTGGGCCCGGGGCCAACTCACATCCTCTCTGAGATGCACTTTCCTTCTCTGTAATGCTGCAGTACTCACTGATTCATGGTATGACCCAACGAATGAACTTAGCCTTTGTGAACTCTAGAGCTGTACGCAAATTTTAGAAATTCTTTTCTTCTAGGGCATAATGACTGTGTTAGTGACAAGATGATTAGGATGGCCGAAGAGGGATGAAGGAAGGCCTCTGACCTCTCCTCTACTCCTTCCACGTGGGTAGCTACCTTGCTCTCTCTACCTCTCTGCCCTGTACCCTGCAACCCACACCAGGAGTGCAGGAGTCAGCCCTAAATCTAAGACGTCCACCAGTGTACATGTTCTTTTCATACTGTGCTGAGTCTATTTCTATAATCTGAAAATGGAAAGAAAGGACCTAACCATATCAACATAAATAAACTATTTAGAAAAGGAATCCTTGCATGCTTTGTGGTTCAGTGTATCTTCATGTATTTCATCATTTAATGCTCCCAGCCAGCCTGTACTACTAGGCCCATTTTATAGATTAGAAAACTGAGATGCAGGCCGGGCATGGTGGCTCACGCCTGTAATCCCAGTACTTTGGGAGGCCGAGGTGGGTGGATCACGAGGTCAGGAGTTCAAGACCAGCCTGGCCAACATGGTGAAACCCTGTCTCTACTAAAAATACAAAAATTAGCCCGGTGTGGTGGCAGGCGCCTGTAATCCCAGCTACTTGGGAGGCTGAGGCAGAGAACTGCTTGAACCCGGGAGGCATAGGTTGCAGTGAGCCGAGATTGTACCACTGCACTCCAGCCTGGGCGACAGAGTGAGACTCCGTCTCAAAAAAAAAAAAAAAAAAAAAAAAAAAAAAAAAAAAAAAAAGAGAGAGAGAAAGAACTGAGATGCAGAGCACATCTATGGCCTGTCAGGGGTTGCATTCCAATCCAGTGGCTCTGATTCCAAATCCAGTGTTCTTCTACTACACCACAGCGGCCGATGTGGGGGAATCCCATTACCCTGGTAAAAGCTTTCTCTGTTACTATGCGAAATCTATAAACATATGGAAGATGGCCATTTCTAATCAGCTTATTAGAGAAGCAAAAATCTGTGGATTTGGAGGCATGAGTATGATGGTTTCTTCTTCCTACGTAAGACACTACCCTGGCATGGTGACCAGGACTCCAACCCTGATGTGCAGTACTTACATCGTACACCTGGGGACTGGTCAGACATCGAGCTAGTAAGCCACACCAGGCGGGGAGCGTGGTGGTTAGTGGGGGACCACTGTGTGTGAGGATGGGCTTCAGGTAACTTTAAAATGTGAATTAAGGAAAAATGGCTGCAAAGAAAACATATACACAACAAAATGTGCTTAAAAAATTGCCCGACATTCCACCCACAAAAACCTTCTTTTCCCCATTTTACTCGTACAACACACGAAATACTTGTAACATGCAACAGTTTGAATCAAAGAGTAAGATACGCCCTATCAGCCTTAAATAGTAACTGTTAACTCTCAGGTTGGTAATTCCCAATTTTCAGTTCAAACGTGTATTTGATTAATTAGAAATTAGATCCCCCTTCTCCCTTTGTCATGTTGAATGGAAGTTTTGGTTTCAATCAGCATTTCAGCCTCTGACACACAACTGGCTCCAGGCCTTGGAAACAGGAGATAGTGTCCCTGGAGTGGGGAGTTGCAGCCCCTGTGTCCCCTCTGCTCTTGTTCTCTGCATGGATTCCTGTTAAACCACTCTACCCAGAGGGCAGGTGGTGGAAATGCTGAAGTTGGACAGGACCTTAGAGGTAGCCTGGGGCTACTATAAAGGCAGAAATTGAGACTTGGCAACATGAAATGATTTCAGTAAGGTTACTCGGACTGTAAGTCTCTCAACTTCCCATACAGGACCATTCTTCACTCTACCCACAGCTTCTCTCCTAGACGCTAACACAAGGCTTTTCAACCTCAACACTATTGACATTTAGGGCCAGATCATTCTTTGTTATGGGGGGCTATTCTGTGTATGGTAGGATATTGAGCAGCATCCCTGATCTCTACACACTGCAGATGCCCCTCGACTTATGATGCAGTTACATCCCAATAAGCCCATTAGGTTGAAAATATCATAAGCCAAAAATGCATTTAACACACCTAACCTACCAAACATCACAGCTTAGCCCAGGTTACATCAAATGTGCTCAGAACACTAACATTAGCCTACAGTTGGGCAACATCATCTAACACAAAGCCTGTTTTATAATAAAGTATTGAATATCTCATGTAATTTATTACATACTGTACTGAAAATGAAAAACAGGATGGTTGTATGGGTACTCAAAGTATGGTTTCTACTGAATGCAGATCAATTTCACACTATATCGTAAAGTTGAAAGATCCTAAGTTGAAGCATCTTAAGTTGGGGACTGTCTGTAGATGCCAGTAGCACCGTTACTCCCCTCTCCAAGTTGTGACAATAAAAAATGTCTTCAAAAAATTGCCAAATGTCCCCTGGGAAGCAAACTTGTCCACTGCTCTAACATGAAGGTCAACGGATAAGCAGAGAGCTTATCTTGCTTGTCTGTCACTTGGTGAATATCAGCGCTACCAAACGCACAGCCCTATGTGGGAAGCTCCATGAAGCACCAGCCACATTTTGATACAGCCGGGACCACTTCTGAAACCTACAGCCTAAGCAGTGTGGAAAAGGTGGGGTCTCAGATGGCCACTTCCACTACAGGGATGGCCAAGAGACTTCAAAGAAAGTTGAGGAGATGCCACCGCCATCTGTACCTAACAGGATGACTGCTGGGAGCATCACCCCTCACTTTCTGTTTTCATTTAGAGCAGCACAAGAGAAAAGCAGCTCTCTCTAGAGGAGGAGATGGAAGGGAGACACTGGAGCATGCTTCTAGTTTGAAATTACTCAACCAAAGAGGATGTGCAGGCCTGGCTGGAGCTCTGTTTTTTGTTTTGTTTTTTTGAGACGGAGTCTCGCTCTGTTGCCAGGCTGGAGTGCAGTGGTGAGATGTTGGCTCACTGCAACCTCCGCCTCCCAGATTCAAGCAATTCTCCTGCCTCAGCCTCCCAAGTAGCTGGGACTACAGACGCGTGCCACCATACCCAGCTAATTTTTGTATTTTTAGTAGAGACAGGGTTTCACCATGTTGGTCAGGATGGTCTCGATCTCTTGACTTCGTGATCCACTCGCCTCGGCCTCCCAAAATGCTGGGATTACAGGCGTGAGCCAACGCGCCCGGCCTGGAGCTCTTTATACGCGGAACCAGCTCCCCTTTGCTGTCCTTGAACCACATTCCCAGGGAGAGATGCAGACCAGGCGCTCCTCCAATTTGGGAAGAGACCCTACAGGCCTGTCAGTTTTCTTGTGTCTTTGGCTCAGAAGATGACAGAGGCTCAGATCTGTAGAATGACAAATACGCAGGAGGCCAGGGGAACTCAGAGACTGCTTTTCAGTTCTCCACCTCAGGTACTCCAAAGACAAGCTCCCCCTTCCTCCTCTCCAGAAGGCCCCATGACAACTTCTTCAAAAAAAGAAAAGAAATATGTGTATATACATATACATATATATATATATATATAACCAGTAAGCTATATATATGTTTTTAAATATTCAAATTGTTGGATGGGACAAAATAAAACATCAAGTCTTTCTATCCCACTCTAGTTGTTCTGGTAATTACATTACAACTTTAGATAATACACTTCTCCCCCATTTCTTGATTTATAAACTTTAGTCTGAGGCTTTTCCTTCCTAGTAAGGATGGTACGTTTAACTCATTTACACTCCTGTCTCTTTTTTCCAATTTTTTCTTCCCAATTTTTATTATAATTAACTTTATACTGGAGATATATAACATTTGCTTTCTACTTTATAACTAATAAGTAGATTTTTTATGCTTTGTGTATAGATTGAGTCTAAGTGTTAAAAACCAGTAAGCAGACTGGATGCAGTGGCTCAGGCATGTAATCCCAGCACTTTGCGAGGCTAAGGCAGGCAGATGGCTTGAGCCCAGAAATTCAAGACCAGCCTGGGCAACATGGTGAAACCTCATCTCTTAAAAAAAAAAAAAAAAGCAAAAATTAGCAGGGTGTGGTGACACATGCTAGCTACTTGGGAGGCTAAGGTGGGAGGATCACTTGAGCCTAGGGAGGTCAAGGCTGCAGTGAGTTATGATCGTGCCACTGCATGATCAGTGCAGAGTGAGACCCTGTCTCAAAAAAAAAAAAAACCCACCCCCCCAAAAAAAAACAAAACAAAAACAAAAAAACAAAAACCAGTAAGCAGCATTTGTAATATAACATCATTGCATGAATGCTGTTCTCTGGAGAACCAAGCAAAGTGGTTGGAGCAATATAAAAGGAAATGTAACACACTGTCATTTAAATTTTGTCAGTCAGAAGAGAACCCTTGAGTATCTTGCCAAATAAAAGATCTTTTCTTTTTGACTTTGTTCACTTCTTCTGAGTTATAACAATCACTGTCCCCTTTGCTGGATTTTGTTTTGTTTGATCTTTATGTTATTTTTCTTCCTTCTTACAGGGTCTGCATGGTGCTAAACTTTCTGAATTTTTACATGTCTGAAAGCTACCCTCCTTCATTCTCTTATTTTTGATTGACAGTTTGGGTGTAGAATTCTAGGTTCAGACTTCTTTTTTTCATCCTAGAACTTTGAAGACATTGCTCAACTGTATTCTAACAACCAATTTTGTCGATGAGAAGTCTGATTCTTGCTTTTTGGAGGTTGCTTGTTTTTATCTTTGGAAACCTCAAAGATTCCCTCTTTTTCTCTTGTAGTTATGGAATGCCCCCGAACGTGTCCATTCAACCTACTCACACTTGGTGGGCCCTTGCACTCTGGAAACAACTGTCTTTCTTAGCTAAGGGAATTTTTCTTCCATTATTTCTTTGGTACTTTTCCTCCAAAGTCTCTGTCCTCTCCTTTCAGATCCTGTCAAATGATTTGGACCAACTGATTCTGACCTCCATATCTTGAAACTCTCCTCTTACATGTTTCTTTTTGCTATAATTATTGGACTTTTTTTTTCTCAACTCTATCTTCCAGATCAACAATTTGGTCTTCATCATATTCAAGTTATTAGCTATCCATTACATTTTTTTGGTTAATTTCAGAAACCTTGTTTTTAATTTTCAAGAATTTTTTGTTTGATTTACTCCTTTTTCTAATAATCTTCTCTAGTATCATGACTGAAAAAGCCTTTCAACTCTCTAAGGATTAATCAAAAAGTACATAATTGTTTAATTAGTCCCTCATGTCTCTATTTAGTTTTTCTCTTCATCAGGCAGGTACAGACTCCTACCATGGCCAAAGTTGGGTGGGGAGTGACTCTCAAGAGAAAAATCTTTGATGCCCTCAAGATCTGTTTCTCTACCAAGCCCTCTCCAGGTAGTGTCTCTAACTTTCTTTAGGTATCTGTGGCTTGAAGAAAAAATTAGCAGCTACCAATTGATCTGTTGACACAGGAAGTACCTGTTGCAGCTGTTCTTAACATTCTTTAATAAAATCATCTGGACAAATTGGCTCAAGACTTACCTTTGTCTTACATTACAGTTTTCTCTCCTTTTTAGTTTTTTTCCAAACTAAAAAGTGGAAATCCCAAAGTCACTAAAATTTAGATTCAGATGAAACTTTAGAGATAACTCCTGTTCCTCTTCAGAGGATCAGTTTCTCACTTTAGCACTGTGTCACTCTCCTGGTGGATACTCTTCCATTTTCTTTACATCCTTTCTGAGACCAGCAGGCAATATGCATTCTGGATTCTAATAGTCCACATGGCTTGAAAAATCCCTGGGGGTTCTACTTCAGTTAGTAGCAAACAAGGTAATTTGAACCAACCTTTCCACTGAGAACAACTAGAAAAGCTAGACAAAATAAAATAAGACAAAACCATCTGCTTGAAGGCTTCAGAAAGCTACCAAGGCAGTGAAGAGGGGTGGAATTTGAGAGGAGGAAACCAAAGAGGTGAGCCCTGTGGTTGGTGAGCCACAGTTTCCCTAAAGGCACCTAAGAAACAGAGCAGAGCATTTGGCAGAGTCACAAAGATAGAGTGAACCTGACAAAAAAGAAAGTCCAGGGCCTACTGAGGAAGAAGATGGAAACCAGGCTTTAGGTGGGGATCCTAGAATAAAGGGTAAAGAGAAAACAGTCAAGACTAACTCTCACAGGAACTAGGGCCCAGCATCAAATCATCCTTATTCCTGTTTGGATTAAAGTGATCTGCAATTGCTAATACCCCTAGCCTAGCCACTGATCAGATATAAGCTTAAATCATCTCTGAAGGATGATGATGTTAGGCAGAGCATCTCAAATTATCTCTAGATTTTTTTTCTAGAGAAAAAATTGCCCATGCTTGTCACTCAGTAAAAAAAAAGAGATGCACAGAAGACCAACAATAAAGCTTCTAGAAGATAACATAGGAAATTGGCTTCATGACTTTGGGGTAGGCAAAGATTTCTGAAACAGGACATAAAAAATACTAACTAGGAGATCAATACATTGGATTAAGACCTTTTGTTCATCAAAATATTCTATTTAAAAAGTGAGGCTGGGTATGGTGGCTCACGCCTGTAATCCCAGCACTTTGGGAGGCCAAGGCAGGTGGATAACTTGAGGCCAGGAGTTCCAGACCAGCCTGGGCAACATGGTAAAACCTCCTATCTACTAAAAATACAAAAATTAGCCAGGTGTAGTGGTGTGTGCCTGTAATCCCAGCTACTCGGGAGGCTAAGGCATGAGAATCACTTGAACCCGGGAGGAAGAGGCTGCAGTGAGTTGAGATCACACCACTGCACTCCAGCCTGGGTGACAGAGTGAGACTCTGTCTCAAAAAAAAAAAAAAAGTGAAAAGGCAAGTTACAAAGTGGTAGCAGATATTTTTATCATGTATGATCAGCAAAAGACTCATATCCAGAATGCACAAAGAACTCTTACAAATCAGTAAGAAAAAGGCAGACAACTCAATAGAAAAATGGGCAAAAGACTTGAACAGGCACTTCACAAAGAAACATACCAAATGGCCAGTAAATATATGCAAAGGTGCTCAACCCTATCAGTCATCTGAGAAATGCAAATTAAAGCCATGATTAAATACCACTACAAACCCAATAGAATGGCTAAAATTAAAAAGACTGACAACACCAAATGTTGGTAGGATGTGGAGTAACTGGAACTCTCATATGCTAGAAGTGACTGTGTAAAGTAGTACCACTATTTTGGAAAACTGGCACTATCTTCTAAAGTTGAACCTACCCATGTCCTATTACCCAGCAATGTTACTCCTGGGTAGATTACCAAAAAAAATATGTATATGTACATCAAAAGACATGTACATCAATAATAGAATAAATTGTGATATATTTATATAAGAAATACTATGGAACAAGGAGAACAAATGAACTAGAACTACACATAACAACATGGCTGTATTATACACATAATGTCAAGCCAAATAAGCCAGACACTAAAATATATATACTGTATAATCCTATTTACAGAAAGTTGAAAAACAGGTAAAACTATTAAGTGTTGCTAGAAGTCAACAGAGCAATTACATTTGGGGAGGGGGAAGGGGTAGTAATTGAGTCATGGCATGAGGGGTTTGGCAATTTTCTTTCTTTCTTTTTTTTTTTTTGGAGACAGGGCCCAAGTAGCTGGACTACAGGTGTGTGCCACCATACCTGACTAATTTTTGTATTTTTTGTAGAGACAGGGTTTCATCATGTTGCCCAGGCTGGTCTATAATTCCTGGGCTCAAGTGATCCACCTGCCTTGGCCTCCCAAAGTACTGGGACTAAAGGCATGAGCTACTATGCCCAGCCTTGGAATTTTGTTTCTTGATTCGTTTGGTGTTAAATGAGTGTGTTTATTTTCTGATAATTTACTGAGCACTTATTATTTGTGTACTTTTCTGTATATCTACTATACTTCAATAAATTTTTAACAGTTTTGGCGTCTCCAAAGACCATATATAATAAGCCACCTGCCCATTTGATGACTATGTCAACTTAAGAAACCATGAGGGGTTGGGTGAAGTGGCTCATGCCTGTAATCCCAGCACCTTGGGAGGCTGAGGTGGGCAGATTGCTTGAGCCCAGGAGTTCGAGACCAGCCTGGGCAATATGGCGAAACCCTATCTCTACCAAAAATACAAAAAATTAGCTGGGTGCGGTGGCATGCACCTGTGGTCCCAGCTACTTGGGAGGCTGAGGTGGGAGATTGCTTGAGCCTGGGAGGGGAAGGTTGCAGTGAGCTGAGTGCGCCACCACACTCCAGCCTGGGCAATGGAGTGAGACCTCATCTCAAAAACAAAAAACAAACAAACAAACAAAACAAACAAAAAAAACCATGAGGGTTTAACATTTTGGTTTTTAATTTTCACTTGAGACCAAGTGAATCTACTGGAACAGGGTTTGCCCTGCATGTGGCCCAGTTATGCCAGTATCAGATCATACAAGATCAGACTTGGCCGAGTTCATCCAATAGGAATTATCCTCCCCATATGGATTAACAGCTGAAGTTCTACTTCCTTTTCTGACCACAGCACGATTCATTGCGTAATTTTAATCTAATCACCTAAAAAGGCATAGTTCCCTGGACACAAAGCTCTTAAGAGCCACATGAGTCTACCAGGCTGTGGGCTGGTTACTCTAAGGATATGCAAACATTCCTCTTGGCCAGAGAGATACTCACCAGGACTACCTATGGTTGAATGCTCAATGCACACGTTCCATAAGAGGATGGGCTATCCCTGTCCCAAGCATGCATCTTTCCTTACTTATCAGGTGTCATTCACCGACAATTCAACAAGATTTCATCCCCAATGTTTCACCGACACAGGGGATGCTACTTAAAAGGATACTTGTGATCAAAGCTGTACCACAGCCTGAATATCCATGCGCTCTCCTGTTTTGTCCGGTTTCCTCTGGCAGAATCTGGGCCGTCCTAGGAACAAACAAGAGGGCACATGCTTAGTTGTACAAAAGGGATCTCAAAGAAAGGGGAAAAAAAACCTTTTTTAATAACTTGTATAGCTCTGGAGCTCATAGTCAAACATCCCATGTCAGCAAAGTTTCAAAGATATATTGGGAGGTAGCATTTGAGCAGAAATTAAACTCAAAAGGCAGAAAAATCAGTCTCCAAAGTAAAAAGGCTGGGTTATGCCTGTGGATAGCTCAAACTTAATATGGAACAACATTTCTTTTGGCATTCTTATTGCAATTTTCCTCAAAGTGTCTTTCAGCAGATTAATTACCCTAAAATACTCTAGATACTAACAGGCCAAAATTGATTTATAGCGAATATTTTTAAAAGCTTTTTGTAAAAGCAACTTTCCAATCCTCATCCCCAAAGTAGGCCTGTGGAAACCACATATTGTTGAGTATCCTGACAAACTAGTTAAGGCTTCTCTGTGGTCCTTACCCAGGGACCTACACTGTGCTCCAGGTGGTAAGGTACTTGTTTCCCCACCAGCTTTAGGAAGGTGGGATCAGTGGGCAGGAGAAACGAGCTCGAACTAACAATTCTGTTATTTTATCTACCATCAAGTAGCAAGTTCCTTGCTACTCTCATGCCCTTCCAGTTTAAACATCCCCATCGTGTAACTTTCAAAATAACCTGCAAAATCAAACATTCATTTGAGGTTTAGGAAATCTGTTCTGTGCAAGTATCAGAAGCAGCACAGTTAATATAAAACTCAGACTGACTGCAGCAATTTGAGGGTACTACTAGGGCTGTGCAAGCACAGACTGCTTGTGAAGCTATTATTATCATCATTCTCTTTAATATTACAGGGAGAGGCAACTCTGCAAGTGAGGGACAATTGACAATCACCAAATACAACTTGAACCAAAATTACAAGTAGTTTTAAATCATGGTGAATGTAAATTCTACCCGCAATGGCAACATCAAATAATTAATCAAAGATCTTTGAGAAGCACATAGACAAGAGAAGGAGAGAAATTAGCAAGCACTATTTATTAATACACTCCTAAAGTTTCCAACAGCAAAGATTATTTTTAAAAATTGAATCCCCTCGGTATTTCAGGAATGTTTAGTGATGGATATGGAAATGGCTCAGTTAAATGGGCCCTTCTGTGGATGAGGAAATATAAACAAGGAGAGACCCCAGAGACCAATTTGATTTTACATTTTTATAAATCATGAGCAAGAGAGAGAGCACAGAAATGCCTCCATTTGCAGGGTGACTGATTGCTAACCCAATGACAACTCTGGGAAGATTCCAAAATGCCACATGACTGAGTAGAAAAGTAGCAGATGACTTTTTTGATAGGCAAATATATAATGGAAAAAATCAAATGGTTCTTTATAAAGTAATAGGCTCTAAGTTCTCAGTTCTAAGTGCCTGTAGAATTTTACTAAGGAAAAAGCCAGCACAACGATAAACATCATCAGGAAGGATACTATTAAACCATCAGGCACAAAACGAGTACCCCAAAGTCAGTTTCTTCCGCTTCTTCCCTTAAATCAATGATGAAAACAATGAACCCTACTCTGTCATCTTAACCTCTGCAAAACCACAAAGCATTTATTATCACTGGACTACTTAATTTCTTGCCATTTAATCTCAAGAAAGCTACAAGAACCCCGGAAGTTAAAAGTTAAATTTAAAAAAAGAAAGCTACAAGAGACTTATATAAGCCCCAAAAAAGACAATTAAAATGAGTAAAGCAAGGGAATGGTTTGACAGCAAACTAACAAAAGGTCTTCTCAGGCTACGGAAAGATATGCCTGCAATCCATGAATAAGATAAAGTGACCTCAGACTCCACAGCAAATCCCGAAATGTAAGAACTAAGAAACAACGCTTAGAGGCTACAAGGGGTAAATTCAGGACAAATCAAAGGTGTAACTTTGTGAAAAGGGTGTTAAACAACTTCTTATTCCAAGAGATGGTGCCAGAAGCATGATTAGGTATAGGAAGAACTTAGATAAATCCACATATGGTGGCTTTGGGGAAATCAGGGCAGTTCTGTGGGACAGAACTAATTTTTTAAAGCTGACCCGGAAGACAAGCAATAACTGCTTCATGACATGATTGGGGCTGCTGTCACAGAGAAGCCATTGAGAGCCCTTCCTGTGGGCTCCGAACAGCACCGGACTGAGGAAGGGTCACTGTGGGAACAGGCGGAGCCTCCTTCCTGGCTGTACTTGGCGACTCTTGGATTTTCCACTCCTGTGCCGTCCACAGAAAAAGCACAGACTTGCTCTCTCAACTCGCCCCTCCTCAAAACCTGGGTTCGCACCTCATGTCTTCAGCTCAGGCAACTTCTAGGGCCTGGAGCATTCTTTTTTCCTCTCACCTTCTCCCACCCAGAACACCTACCCGGCCAACCTCTATTCACCTTTCAAGCCTGTGCAGAAGCGTGGCTTCTCTAAGAAATGTTTCAAAAGCGACATAGCACTCCAAGAAGTGTAGGTGTGGATATCACAGGCTCTCTCAAGAGACTATCTGGCTCCTGACTGTGCCGCTGCCATTGTCTTGCTGTGTGATGCTGGGCAAGTTACCTAACCTTTCTGTGCTTCAGTATCCTCATCTGTAAACTGGAAATATTAATAATTACCTACCTCTAGGGGCATTATGAGGCTGTAATGTTGTGATAGAACAAGAAATATATATCTGGTTTTTGTCTGACATAAAACTCCTAAAACCCTTGGAATTTCCTGAGTAGATGGGGTGGGAGGAACATCTTTTTTTATTAATAATAAGCTCCTTTCAAGCACACCTGAATTTATGCTAATAAGGTGACTCTTGAATGGACACTGATTGCCAGAGAAACCAACCATGTAATTAGAGGATTGGAACTTTTAGCCCCATCCCAACCTCCTAGGAGGGGAGGACTGGGGATTGAGTTAATTACCAATGGCTACTAATTTAATCAACCATGCCTATGTAATGAAACCTCCATAAAACCCTAAATGACACAATTTGGAGGGCTTCCAAGTTGGCGCCACATACTCCCATCCCCATCCTTTGCCCTATGCATCTCTTCCATTAGGCTATTTCCGAGTTGTATCCTTTATAACAAACTGGTAATGGTAAAAGTTGTGTTCTGTGAGTCATTCTAGCAAATTATCGAACCTGAGGAGGGGTTGGGAACCCCCCCCTATAGCCAGTCAGTCTGAAGTACAGGTCACGACCTGGGACTTGCAACTGGTGTCTGAAGTGGGGACAGTCTTGTGGGACTGAGTCCTTAACCTGTGGGATCTGACGCTAACTCCAGGTACGTAGTGAGTTAAACTGTAGGAGGTCCAGTTGGTACTCATTGGGAATTGGAGAACTGGCTGGTATACAAAAAGACCCTACATATTTGGCATTAAAAGTGGTGTGAATGTAGAGAAAATAGGTTTTAATTTTAGAACTGTAAAAGATTTTTCATTTAAAGAACTTAGGATGGTGTCTGATATGTGGCAAGCACTCAACAAATATTGACTCATTATTGTTTGCCATGTGACTTTTTGTGCTGATTAAATATTTGTGAAATATTTAACCCAGAATCTGGCATGTAGTTAGAGCTCATATTACTAATTAAGTTCATTTCCAAAGACTGGATATGTAATTTCAAGCACATATTTGTTTGGGGGAAAAAAACGCCTAGCCATTAACATCATTTGGCTATCTTGTGTGGCTTTTTACACAAGGAATTTTCATCTTTTTACTGCCATTATTAATAGAGAAGCCCCTTCAAGAAAATACCACCAACCCTGCTTATTATCATTTTTTGAGCATGTAACAATGAGTGTCTATTTCTTCTGCATTCATTAAGCACCTACTATGTGCCAGGCACCATGCTGGGTGCTGGAAACACAAAGAGGAATGTAACTTAGCACCTGGGCCTCAAGGAGCACTCTTTCCAGAAGGTGAAGGTGGCGAGGGTTGGGGGGTAGGGGGAGGGGAGACAGACAAATACATATTGACTGACAAATATAATGAAGAAAAAGAAAGCTGATTAAAGAACTGGGGAATAGCAAACAGTCCTATTTTTGAAATAATTTTTCTAGAATGAATGCATAATGATATCTGTGTAGAGTTACATTTCATTCCATTCTTATATAATATTAAAAGATGTTTTTAAAAGATAAGGTCATTACACTAATAAGAACAGCTTACTTTTTTTTTTTTTTTCAGGGATGGAGCATGTGGTAGGCAGAATAATGGCCACCCCACCAAAGCTTTCTACAGCCTAATCCCTGGATCCTGTTACACTACCTGGCAAAAGGCTTTGTGGATGGACTTAAGGTTATCCAGGTAGGCCCAGGACAATCACGTGGGCCCTTAAAAGTGGACAAGGAGGGCCAGGCATAGTGGCTCACGCCTGTAATCCCAGAACTTTGGGAGGCTGAGGTGGGCAGATCACTTGAGGTCAGGAGTTCAAGACCAGCCTGGCCATCATGGCGAAACCCGGTCTCTACTGAAAATACAAAAATTAGCTGGGTGTGGTGGCACACACCTGTAATCCCAGCTACTCAGGAGGCTGAGGCACAAGAATTGCTTGAACCTGGGAGGTGGAGGTTGCAGTGAGCTGAGATCACATCACTGCACTCCAGCCTGGGCAATAGAGCAAGACTGTCTCTCTCTCAAAAAAAAAAAAAAAAAAAAAGGACATGGAGGGCAAAAGAGTCAGAGGAAGGAATGCAGTAGAAGAAAGGGCGGGAGAGATTCAGAGCTTGACTTGCCCCACTGTTGCTGGCTTTGCAGCAAGAACACAGGACCTCAGTCCTACAACCACATGGAACTGAATTCTACTGACAACCTGAATGAGCCTGGAAGTGGCTTCTCCCCAGAGCTTAGCCTTGCCAACACCTTGAAAAACTTGAAGCAGAGAAACCAGCTGAGCCCACCAGGTATCTGATCTACTGAACTGTAAGGATGACAAAACTGTATTGTTTTGGCTGGGCATGGTGGCCCATGCCTATAATCCCAGCACTTTGGGAGGCCAAGACAGGCAGATCACTTGAGCCAAGGAGTTCAAGACCAGCCCCAACATGGTGAAACTCTGTCCCTTAAAAAAAAACAAAAACAAAAACAAAACTTTATTGTTTTAAGCCACTAAATTTGTGGTAATTTGTTACAGCAGTCACAGACAACTAATATGGAGCAGAAGAGTAAATAAATGATGTCACTTGATTTGGGCCTGATATGCTTTTTTTCTTTTTCGGACATGGAGTCTCGCTGTGTCACCCAGGCTACAGTGCAGTGGTGTGATCTCGGCTCACTGCAACCTCCGCCTCCCGGGATCAAGCGATTCTCCTGCCTCAGCCTTCCAAGTAGCTGGGATTACAGGTGCCTGCCACCATGCCCAGCTAATTTTTGTATTTTTAGTAGAGATGGGGTTTTGCCATGTTGGCCAGGCTGGTCTTGAACTCCTGACCTCAGGTGATCCACCTGCCTTGGCCTCCCGAAGTGCTGGGATTACAGGTGTGAGCCACCACGCCCGGCCTGGGCCTGGTATGTTTGGGCTCTGTGTACCCCCACAAGTCTCATCTCAAGTTGTGATCCTAAGCGTTGGAGGTGGGGCCTGGTAAGAGGTGGCTGGATCATGGGGGCAGACTTCCCCCTTGCTGTTCTTGTGATAGTGAGTGAGTTCTCACGAGATCTGGTTAAAAGTGTGCGGCACTTCCCCCTTGCTCTCTCTCTCTCCTGCTCCGCTATGGTAAGATGTGTTTGCTTCCCCTTTGCCTTCACTATGATTGTGCGTTTCCTGAGGCCTCCCAGCTATGCTTCCTGTACAGCTTGCAGAACTATGAGTCAATTAAACCTTTTCTTCATAAATTACCCAGCCTCAGGTGGTTCTTTATAGAAGTGTGGGAATGGACTAATACAGGGCCTTTGTCATATCATTGGGATAATGGATCCAAGATTTCTCAGCAGAGGGTAATAATAGGGTTTAGAAACAGGGAATCAGCCAGGCAGTGGGCTCATGCCTGTAATCCCTGCACTTTGGGAGGGTTAAGATCACTTGAGCCCAGGAGTTTGAGACCAGCCTGTGCAACAAAGCAAGACCCTGTCTCTAGAAAAATATTTTATAAATTAGCTTGGTGAAGTGGCACACACCTGTGGTCCTAGCTACTCAGGAGGCCGAGGGAGGAGGATCCCTCGGGCCCAAGAGGTCAAGGCTGCAATGAGCTGTGATTGCACCACTGCACTCCAGCCTTGGCGTCAGAGGGAAACCCTGTCTCAAAACAAAACAAAAAAAAAACCAGAGTCAAATCTCTGACCGTGATACACAGATAGTTTTCTTCCCTGCTTAAAACTCTCCAGAGCTATACATTGCCTAGATCAGGGCTTTTCTAATGGTAAAATGTACACACATTCCCTGGAGACACTGTTAAAATGCAGATTCTGCTTCAGTGGGGCTGGTGAGGCCTGAGTGTCTCCACTCTCTTGCTTCTGCCACTCTCCACCCTCACCCTTTATCACCTTGTCACCAAGCCCTTCAGGATGCAGATTCATCTACCTTGTTGCAGATATTTTCCCAGAACCTGAAAGAATGCCTGAAATAGAACAGGTGCTCAATAACTATTTGTCAAATAAATGAATAAATTGATCTTGACTCTGAGTTTTTAGAAAACAGAAAAGGAAGAGCAGAAAGGGAAATCAGGGGCCAAGGGAGGCACTTGGAAGCACAAAAAAATGGGCGGGTTGGGGGGGGGGCGGTGGTCACAGAGTAGCAACTGGAGGAAAGGCACCTCTGCAACTGTTTGAAGTTAAAGATTTAGGTGACAGATTTACGGGTATCAGATTTCAGCCTGGAGAAACAAAAACAAACAAAAAAAAACACGGAGGACCCAGAAACAAATGATTCTAACTTGCTCAGAAAGTCATATGTGAACGCAACAATAAACTGCTGATTTTCTACAGTTTTCACTACATACACACAGACAGACACGCACACACGTGTGCATATACACAGGCATTGGTGGTTTCCTTTCCTCCACACTCCATTAATATCCGGCTTGTGACCTTGTCCTGTTGATATGGTGAAACTGGGATAAATTCAGATTCACACTCTTAGCTGCTCCAAAGTGGCCTCATCAATGAGTGCTCTTCTGTAAACTCAGGGAAGGAAGTGAATGATGTGTCTGCATGTACGGCCAACAGAAATCTCAGCTGTCTGGTCTGGCATGAAAAGTCCCCTGCTTTATCGGGGTGGGAGGCCACCCCCAGGGCTGGGCAGCTTGCCTCCAGCTAGGGTTGTTTTTGTTTTGGTTGCAAAGTCACCAAGACCTCCAGAGAAACAAAGCACTGAGTTTTGTTTTTTGTTTTTTGTTTTTTTTGTCTTGTTTTGTTCTAATGAGTCAAACTTACCAGGGGACACAAAGCTGAAGTCTGCCCACAATATTTTTATGCTTTCCCCACATGAAGCAAAGTTCTAGCCAACAGCTCCCTTCCTTTTCCCACATGAGCTAATATTCTGTAGCTCCCTAGCCATGACTCTGTTTATAGCCTTGGGCTTCAAGACCAGTGAGGAGAATTGTGCTCATTATAAGACATGCCTTCCCATCAAATGTCACTTTTTTGTTTGTTGTTTTTAGGAAGATTATTTAGAAAATGAGGTAAAGAGAACCGCCCTTTTTTTTCTCTGGTGGAGAACAAACATCTGGACTTTCCCTACCTCTGATTTCAGTTTCATGACAACACTGAGCATGTGACCTGGATCTATTTCAGGGGAAACTGCAAGAACCCAGGGTTTCACCCAAAAATGAGAAGCCCATTTATTTCTGTTTTCCTGTTTCTCATGGCCACAGAGTGCACTGAGCCCTGCTGTTAGTGGCTCACTAGAATGAGGAGGTCAGACCAGGAGGAACTGGAGAAATAAGGTCCTCTCTGCACAAGGGCGTGAGTCATTTCTAAGAGGGTGTCCTGGAGAACCAAGCTTGAAGTTTGCATGTTTTTCCCCATATGACAGCAATCTTGAAAACCTTTCAAAAGGTCAGTGGAACTGACTTTGAGGGGCCCTCTGCATGACTGTGTATGAGGTCTGGAAGGAAGGAGGTCAGGGGGAAGCTGTGACACAGCTTCTGGCTAGGGCTGTGGCAAACAGGGTGCCATTAGGAGTGCAGCGCGAGTGGCTGCCAGCCCGTTCACAACACCACATGTGCGGTGCTCTCAGCCCAAGGGGCCCTCTGGGAGCTGACAGGAACACTGAGTTCATCCATCCAGGCCCATCCAGGGAGGTTCCTGAGACTCACTCCACCTGGGGGTGGGGGCTATTTTAGCTGTTACTGCATGGACTAAATACAAGAACCCTCAGCACTTTGGACCTGCTGCTTTCTCACTCAAACATTTCCACAGAAAAGTGACAGTAAGCTTGTTACTGAATCTAATTACAAGCCCAGTGTTCCCAGTGCGCAGGGCTCATGTGATACATAGTAAGTTCTACTACATGACCAGCCAAATCCTTTCACTTATTTCCTGTTACAGATGCTTGAATGCAGAGGTAGGAGCAATGGGAAACAGCAAAGGGGGTGGGGATGTTTTGAATGGTCCAGAGCAAGATGAAATCTCTCCAAATCTTATGATCCAGCTGCTATTGGCCTTTTTTTCTTACAAAATTAATCTAGACTGGCCACAGTTCTGTGGAGGATGCTTTAGAATAGGGCAGCCATGTCCTACCAGAGCCATTATCTTTCCTTTGGTGAAATAAGGACGGCCATCATGTTTTCCCCTGGGGTTTTCTCAGGCTGAGTTTCAAGATCTCCCAAACTGTTATACTCTAAATTAGCCTCGAGGTGCTCAGTTCCTGAACTCCTGTTTTCTAAAGTCCTTAATCAAAGCTAGAGTCAAATAGCAAATTTTCAAAGAGAACTCACTGAGACCACATGCTCCCAACTGACATAATGGCCAATTCTAAGATCATCTCAAAGGTCTTCTGGAGCTCATTAAAGTGGGTGCCAAATCTCCAATGAAGCTTATTGAAAACTCTTCCCAAAATGTCCAGAACTTTCCAGGTCATGGCTTTGTGTCCCTTGAGCAGGGACCTAGAATGGACATCAATGCTATAAATGCCTTATCAGGCTGTGGCCACCCTTAAAGAGAAAGAAACCACAAAAGGCCACAGTGGCACCCCATTGACCCCACACAGCACCACATTTTGCCAGCCTTATTAAATCTGATTTGGTAGATGGAATCATTTAGAAGATCCTATGGAATGTGAAGTCTGCTGCAGACTGCTGCAGGATTAAGTGCAATGATGAGTCAGATTCAAAGCTGACTGGAAAAAAAAGAATAGGGTTTCATGGACAACATACACAGGTGGTCAGTAAAGCTGCCTGTTGCATGCTGCATCTCTCTCATTCCCTCATCCACCCAACAAACACCTATCAGGTTCCTGCATGTGCCAGCCACTGTGCTCAGCACTGGGCATTCAATGCTGAACGACATAGTTATTGACTCCCAAGGTCAAATAATATATTGGTAACACATTTCTGCCCCTATCATAACTCTCCTTTCCCCACCTTGCCTGCCCAGGTCATGCTGACCTGGATAAAGAGCCAGACCTAGAGACAAAATCATCCCGACAGCTGCACAACAGGGATGATATGGCAACCTCAATTCTTGTCTGTAAATTTGTTGATACTCTTCCCATCCAGAGGTTATGGTCTCTATCCCCTCCCATTGGGTCTGGGCTGGTCTTAGGAATGCATTTCTAAGCAATAGAAAGCCACGGAAGTGATGCTGTAGAACTTGCAAGATTAGGTCAGAAAAGGTGATATAGCCTCTACCTTGCTTGCTGGGACACTTGCTTTTGGAACCTTAAGCCATCACATAAGAAATCCAACTACCCAGCAGCCACCATGCTGGCAGGCAGCTCAGGCCACATGGAAAAGCCCTGCACAGACATTCCTGTCAGAAGTCCTTGTGGTTGGGTCCTTCCAGCCCAGGTGCCAGACATATGAGTAAATGAACCTTTGCATGATTCCAGCCCCAGGCTCCTGGTTTTCCCACCTGGGGCCGTGGACTTCATGGAGAAAAGGCAAGCCGTCCCTGCTATGCCCTTTCCAAATTGCTCACCTAGAGGATCCCAGGCCCTGGAGAAACAGGAATGCCTTCAGGCACCTGATGTCTCTCCTTTCTTCCTCAGATCCCTGGGCTGGAGAGTCAAATCGTATTGCTCTCTTTCTCCTGGGCACCACTGATAGACTCGGAACCAGTTGTAGAACCAATATCCACTATTGAAAAGTGGAGAGTCAGGGACTCTTTCTGGCGAGCCCACACCCTTCATAATGTTGATTAAGAACACATACCCTGGGGACAAATCCTGGCTCCATCACTTATTCTGAGATGACTCAAACTCCCAAACTTCAACTTTTAATCTGTAAAATGGGGAGAGCAGTACACGCTTCATAAGGCTGTTGTCAGGATCACATTGAGGGAATCTAGGTAAAGTGCCTGGCATGTGGCGAATGCTCAAATGTCTTCCCCAGGAAGAAGCATCTCTTGTGACTTACCCCTTGTAAGACTTGAAAGCTGTCGTTGTTGGGTGGTGGGTCTTGATCGGGGTCAACACCAACTCTGAAAGTCACCAGGGAGAAAGACAAAGAGAAAAACAGAGCGTATTAGCTTGGCCCATGGTAGCCATGCAGGCTGCAAGTAGCCTGGAGGCTAATCATCTTCCCGAAGCATAAGGAGTGGTTAGCTAAAAGGTGAGGAAAGCTGTCATGCAGAAGTCATAAGAAAGAGGTCGCATACCACTTCAGATCCCAGAGGGTCAGAGGGGCGATGAATCCCATGTGCTCACACTCTAAGCAAGGCCGCCGGAACACAACACATGCTGGCAACTGTCCACTTGCTTTTCTGCACCAGGTGGTCCCAGTTATCAAAATGGGGGTCTCACTGCACTGGGCCCTTCCTTTGTGCTGCTTCCTCACTTCTGCCCTGGCCTGCTTTAATTTCTCTAACATTCTGTTATAAACTTTTTCAAATATACAGGGAGATGTTGAAAGACTTTAGAGTGAACCCCTATATACCCACCATCACTAGACTCTACCATTAACATTTTACTGTATATTCCTTATTACCTATCTATCCATTTCTCTATCACCCATCTTACTTTTTCTTTGGATACATTCAGATAAAGTTGCAGACATCAGAATACTTCCCCTAAATACTTCACGTGCATATTGACAAAGAGTCTCTCCTTGACCAAACTTTAGTCAGGCTCCTAGGAATTCACTTCCCAACTAGGCACTGACTTTTGGGCTTCCATGTCCATCTCAGCATAGCCCAATTTTAGCAAGAGGTTTGCTAAGTTGGTTTGGCCAGAACCGAACATCTGATTGGGTTCTTCATCCCCCCACAATCCCTCAGGTGATGTCTGATTGTCTAAGTTGGTTTGGCCACAGCCCAACATCTGAATGGCCTATCCCCAACATCTGATTGGATTCTTCATCCCCCCACAATCCCTCAGGTGGTGTCTAATCCCCTTCGCCTGTCTTCAGCAAGAATCCTATTGGGTCAGTTTAGCCAGAATCCCCCTTGCCCCTGATATTTCCTCTCAGTACTTCCCTATCCACTGACCCGTTTCTCTCCCCTGCTGCAAAACCCCATCACAGTGGTCCCTATTCCAATCGTGATGGTCCTGAACAACGTCTGCCTTACTGTTTAAATATACATCAGAATAATGTTTTCTTTAACAATATCATTAATTAGAGTCCTGACCTGCTTTCAATCCTGGTGCCCCTATACCCTCTTGCATCAAGATAGCCTTGAGAACTCACACATTTGAGAGCAACAACTAAAGACAGAAAGAAAAAGCAAAATGGCAGGACTCATTTATAACAAATACTATAAAAGCACCAGGGCAGTTGTCTTGGCTTAGAAACATACTAACTGGCACTCTATGCATCTGGCAATTTTTTTTTTTATCCTTGCACCTTCCTCATTCTGAGGCAGGATACTGTGCCATGGATGACATGGATAACACTGGGCAATGGGGGAAAGAAAAAAGATGCCAGGAAAATCCTATATCTGCCATGGAAGTTCCGACCTTCACGGCAGCCACTTGATATCAACCAAGTATGAAATGCAGCCCAAACTCCTGACAGCAGAGAGTCTAAAAGAACCTCCTGGGCCCTGCCACAGACAGAGGAGTGTGGGAAGGCCCTTGGGGTCTCTTGGAGGGCCTTGCTACTGATATAAGTGCAGAACAGGAGATTTCTAAGAAAGGAAACAAAGAGCTGCTTCTCAGCTTGCTGCTGCTAAAAAAAAAAAAAAAAAAAAAAAAAAAAAAAAAAAAAAAAAAAAACAGATCGGGGCCGTGAGACACAAATAATGTTTTGCACTTTTTTTCCCCTATTCAAGGTTGTTTACTTTAGGGCGATTTAGTAATTACTTTTCTGGCAGGGTTGAGGGCCTCTTGGACCAATCCCCAAGGATGACACGGGACCTTGTGGCTTCCTACAAAGAGCCCCACCCTTGGGGCAGAGCCCAGAACCAAACTGATCTCTGGGAAGAGGAGGTAAAGCAATGGGCCAGGGTGTTTTGGTGTGGAACTGGGCAGCAAGAAAGAACAGGCACAGGATTTTTTTTTTTTTTTTTTTGGTGAATTTTTTTGAGACGGAGTCTCACTCTGTCACCCAGGATGGAGTGCACTGGTGTGATCTTAGCTCACTGCAACCTCCATCTCCCGGGTTCAAGTGATTCCCCTGACTCAGCCTCCCGAGCAGCTGGGACTACAGGCAGGTACCACCATGCCTGGCTAATTTTTGTATTTTTAGTAGAGACGGTGTTTCACCATGTTGGCCAGGCTGGTCTCGAACTCCTGACTTCAGGTGATCTGCCCACCTCGGCCTCCCAAAGTGCTGGGATTACAGGCGTGAGCCACCATGCCCGGCCCAGGTACAGGATTTTAATTGCAGGTTTAAAGCCTCAGAAGACTTTAGGGTCCCCCAACTTTCTGAAATTCCTAGTGCCAGGTCACTGTCCACTTTATGTATCTCTCTCCTGACCTGGTATAACGCTTTTGATCCAGGACACTGGAACTTTTTTATGCTGTTTTATTATATCTTATTTTAGCATTCCCCTGATACATCAGGGCTAAGCTCATAAGAACACAAATGACAGCCTTTTCTTCCAGAATGGGCAGAATTATCTTTATTTTCATTAGGAATTAGATAAATGTGGACATCCCACACTAAATGAATAAATAAAGCAAGCAAACTGATGTGCTCATTCTGGAATGAATAAATACCAGAATGATATTGATAATATCATTGATAATTTCTCTGCTGGTATAATTTGTCCATTCTGATTAACAGATAAAATGCCATAAAATCTCGGAAAGTTTAGAAGTATTCCATGTTAATTAATAATTTTTTCTAAAAAAAAAACCCTGAATGGTCAAGGTTTTGAATAATTTGAGGAATATGAGACACACATCTTCATATAACACCTTGAACACCATATCATAATCTGAATTTGCTCATGTCCCAAGTCTAATAACTTACACTTTGCCTGAAGGACTTTCCTTCTTGAAGGCATGCTTCAAAGGAAAGGGTTTCCTCTGCAATTTAGCTGGTATCAAAGTCAGTCTCCAAAAATGAACATGTGTGTGTAGAAAAAAGTGTGATTTCAGTGAGCTTAAATACTTAAAGTAATTTCATGTGAGTCATTACAGTACACATACGGGGCCTAGTGATATCCCAAGACCCATGTCCCACTGCTTTCACCACTGCCCTCAAGGAAGTGAGATATTCTCACAGTGCCGAGAACAGAGTTGAAGCCTATTTTGCATTTGATTTATCTATCAGCACCGAGAATCAGATCAGGAAGAAAACATGCCAATTAGAGAAACAGAAAGGAAAGAAGAAACATTAAAGTTTGTACTTTGCTTGCCCAGACATCACCACCCTTAAGCATAGTTATATCATAAACTTGGAAGGATACAAGAAACAAACTGCATTAGAGGAATCTTTATCTTTTTGGTTAAACATTCTTCATATCTTCTGGTTCACCATGACAAGGCACAAGTACACAAATATGTATTTTGAAAAACTATAATAGCAGTGGTATTTAACTAAGATGGTGTAAGCCTTACCCCAGTCATGGTTGAAATATGAAAATTCTAGTTCTCTTTATGAATTAAGAGCCTTATTTACTAGATCACAAGCAGGATTTTGTGGGAAAAGTGTGGCTCTGAAAGTGAGCTGCTCTTAACACTAAGCTCAGTTGTACGAAAAGGAGACACTTGACAACTCAGGCTTTATGTTGGCAATACATTGCCTAAATGTGGGGAAAGCAGACAGAATCCCAAGAACACTGACACATCAATCAACCCAGAGGAGGGGTGGAAAAAATGATTAGAATTGACTCAACCTTTTGCACCTTTACTAAAAGTGGGGGTTGGCACACGCAGGAAGGAAGAGAAAAATAGTGTAAAGAGAAATATCTGAGGTTAGAAAGAGGAGAAAAGCCAGGCCCAGTTAATTTTTTCTGAGGATGCCCTTGTGTCACCTGAAGTACTGCCAGTGGTGTTCATTCTGGTCCTCTTCGGAGGGCTCCTCGACGCCAACTCTGGGCAGCAGAAGAAGGGAACGTGAGTGTGACAGGGACAACAGGAGAGCCAGGAGCTCTGGGCAAATGATCTGGACCATGTCCACCAGAGAATATTTTTCACTTTCAATATGAATCCATATCTTCTCTTAAACTGTCCCCATCCTCTAAAACCCAGAGAGGCTGAGAGGCCACTAAATTTAAATTTAAGGCAACAATGTCAAGAGCCAGGTCAAATGAGGATTGATCAGGAATGAGGATGAGCCCCTCAAAATATAATGTAATAAAATCAGAGGATGAAATACACCTCATAGAAAACAAATTTACATAATTTTTTCAGAAATTCATTTGTTTATAAAGATACCAAAAATAGAAAAAAGAAATTGTTGCTTAAATATGTTACACATATTTAAAGTGTTTACACATATTTTTACACATATTTGACAGAAAGAACAAAAAGCATGATATTATTGAAAAACAGCAACAATACTTAAGAAGACAAAGATGGCCTTTTTTTCCAGACAAGCACACCATGTTGTACATAGGATCAACCTGAAAGTCGGCAACCCAACTTCTGCTATTCTCTTTAGCTTGTAGCCTTTTGAATTGACATGGTCCACCTTCACCTTCCTTAATAATTTCTGGGTTACTTAGAGTGCATTTGAATCTTACCATCATGTTGGAGCAGGGTTTCGTAAACTCGGCAGCATTGACATTTTGGGTCAGATAATTCTCTGTTGTGGTGACCCGCATGGTGCACTCACTGTAAGATGTTTAACAGAGTCTCCGGCTTTCACCCACAAGATACTAGTAGCAACCCCACCCACCAAGAAGCTGAGGTTTTGACCCCTTCCTCTGGTTGTGGCCAACTAAAAACATCTCCAGATACTGCCAAATAAATGTCCCCTGGGCGGCAAAATTGCCCTCAGTTGAAAAATCACTGCACTGAACCACGTTTTCTCAATGGAGGCAGTATCACCCTCATGGGTATAAAAATTGGTTCTTGTAGGTTAAAAAAAAAAAACCACTCAGATATTATGATGGTTTGTAACCCTCCAAAGTGCCACAGCACAGACAGAGATGCATAGCAGATCTGTGATATTCAAATTTCACTGGGGGAGGTAACTGAGGAAAAAGTTTTTAAAGGCTCCTCAGCAGCGGCAATAACGAAAAAAAGATTGAGAACTACTTCACTAGACAATGCCCAAATTCTCATGTTATTAATATTCCCTGACATATGCAAGTGAGGACACGATGCTTCTTAAGGTGGTACTTTTAATTAGTTACATGTTCAGAATGTGACTTAAATCAGACTCTATTACTACAACATCGAAAAATTATAGCAAACACCAGAAAAACAAGCCAGATTCCTTAATGTAAGATTCATTGTCTCTTGAGAAATAGTATTAATAATAGTAGCAGCTGTAATGCTATGATTAATACTATTAATATAACAGCTAAAATATACTAAGTGCTTATGTGTCAGATGATACATTGATGAGAGAATTTTTCATTGCATTATTTATTACCACATTTTATCCTCACACTATGACTGTCCCCATTTAATCAGTGAGGAAACTGAGGGATACAGGTGAAATAAGTTGCCCAAGGTCACAAAGGTAGAAATGGTAGAGCCAAGATTCCAACTCAAGCTGCTCGTCTCCAGAGCCTCAGCTCTTCCTCTTATAGGATACTGCCTTTGATTCCAAGGAGGCATATTTAAGTTCTTTTAAAATATCCAGTTGCAAATGTTATTACATAAAGAGCTCAGGGCTTCTCCCTGCCTTTATTCCTTATGTTATCTTGCAAAGAGCTTTATTATAAATTCTCAGTCTAACAGGATTATGCCAAGTAGAGCATTCTTACTTGTCCTTGAAGGATTATATTACTACACCCTGGAATGTGAAAGTTACAGTTCATTTGGCCACCTGGGTGTATGTCGTTCCACCGCCCCCCCAACCCACTATCTCCACCATTTCGTGTGTGTTACTTGAAGCTGACGGCTCCTAGAAGACGGCCACCATGCTGTCACAATGTGGTCAGGACACACACAGGCTCATCAGGCAAAATAATCCCACCATCATTTTTTAAGTTGCCAAAATTATGTCCTTTGTCAATAACAACTCTTACTCAAGAGACTGAGAAAAATATTATGTTTCAACAGAAAGCAATTTGCACATTTTGCCATTATGTTTTAAAATATCAATCACAAAACACCAATGTAAAAAGATAAATTGGATTTATGGAAAGCAGTGACCTGGCTTTGGATTTATAGTTATATTCATTTTTATTTTATACACAGACTTGAAATTAGCCATAGTAAGAAACACAGCTAACTCCTATTTATGGTGAACTCCAAGAACCACCCTGGGCTTCTGACTTCTGGGCAGCTACTTAACAGCTCATCAGGGCCTCTATCAGTAGCCTGGAGAAGTAAAGAATGAGTCAGTGCTGATCATATCGAGGTCACAGGGGTCAAAATGCCAAACTGAATTTCAGGGGGTTTCTGAATCAATTTAGAATAAGAACCTGGGTTACAGAAATGATTCATGGCCATCACACCACAAGCCACAAGCCAGAAAAATTAATCTGTTTTATTACCTTATTTCAGAGGGAATTTCTTTTGATGTAATCTCTGTAAATGTCAGTTTCTACACTTATGTAATCATTATTTATACACATCTGGAAAAATGCAACGAGCTGACACATATATATTTTTCAGTAATGGCATTATGCTGTCTGGATAGAGTCAGACAGAAGGAAGGAAATTGATAAAGATAGAAATCAATTAAAATGAAATTAGAAAAACAATACAGAAAATCAATGAAATAAATAGCTGGTTCTTTAGAAAAGATCAATAAAATTGGCAAATGTCTAGCAAGACCGACCAAAAACAGAGAAGATATATCAAAAATGGAATATCACTATAGACCCCACAGACATCAAAAGGATAACAAGGGAATGCTACAAACAACATAAACTTGACAACTTAAATGAAACTGACCAATTTCACAAATTACCACAACTTACCCAATATGAAATAGGTCATCTGAAAAGCCCTATAACTAATAAAGAAATTGGCTTCATAATTGAAAAACTCCCAAAAAAGAAGTCTCCAGGCCCAGATGGTTTCACTGGAGAATTCTACCAAAAGTTTAAGAAAAATAATTAACACCAATTCTACACAATCTCTTCCAGAAAAAAAAAGAGTCAGGAACATGTCCAACTCATTTTGTGAGGCCAGATTACTCTGATACCAAAAACAGACAAAAGCAGTACAAAAAAAAACTACTACCAATATCCCTCATGAATACAGACATAAAAATCCTTAACAAAATGTTTGCTCATATAATTCAGCAATATGTAAAAGAATAATATACCACATCAAGTGGGGTTTATTTCAGAGAAACAAGGCTGGTTCAATATTTGAAAAGTAATCAATGTAATTCACTATATTAATAGGCTAAACAAGAAAAATCATATGATCATATCAATTGATACAGAAAAAATATTTGATAAAATTCAATACCTGTTCATGAAAAAAACTCTCAGAAAACTAGCAATAGGTAGGAACTTCCTCAACTTGAAGATGAACATCTACAAAAACCCTATAGCTAATATTATAGTTAATAAGGCAAGACCGAATGCTTTCCTCTTTTTTTTTTTTTTTTTGAGATGGAGTCTCGCTCTGTCGCCCAGGCTGGAGTGCAGTGGCGTGATCTCAGCTCACTGCAAGTTCTGCCTCCTGGGTTCACGCCATTCTCCCGCCTCAGCCTCCCAAGTAGCTGGGACTACAGGCACCTGCCACCACTCCAAGCTAATTTTTTGTATTTTTAGTAGAGACAGGGTTTCACCATGTTGGTCAGGCTGGTCTCGAACTCCTGACCTTGTGATCCGCCCACCTCAGCCTCCCAAAGTGCTGGGATTACAGATGTGAGCCACCGTCCCTGGAAAATGCTTTCCTCTTAAGATCAGAAACAAGATGAGGATGTCCATTTATACCACTCTTATTCTACATAGTAGTGAAAATCCTAACCAGAGCAATAAGGCAAGAAAAGGACACAAAAGGTACACTGGTTGAAAAGGAAGGAAAAAAAAAAAACTGTGGCTATTTACAAATACCATGATGGTCTATATGGTCTATGTAGAAAATTCAAAAGAATCTACCAAAAAAAAAAAAAAGGACCAAAACACTTTCAGAACTAAAGAACTAGTAAGTGAGTTCAGCAGTAAGGTGACAGGATACAAGTACTAACAAAACATGTACAGGACTTGGTTGCTGAAAACTGCAAAAATCGAATGAAAGAAATCAAAGAAGTTCTAAATAAATGGAGAAATATATCATGTTCATGGATTGGAAGATTCAACATAATAAAGATGTCAATCTCCCCAAAAATTAATGTAAAGGTTTAACATAATTCCTATGAAAGACCCAGCAAGATTTTTTTTACATGTAGACAAATTTATTCCAAAATTTATATGGAAAGGAACTAGAATAGCCATAACAATAAAGTGGGAGGAATCACTCTGATGCTAAGGTTTGCTGCGTAAGTATAGTCATCAAGACAGTATGGTCTTGGAAGGATAGACACATAAACCAATAGAGCAGTGCAGAAAGACACCCCCATGCATAGAGACAACTGATTTTTGACAAAGGAGCAAAATTAATTCAATGGAGTAGGATAGTCTTTTTAACATATTATGCTAGAACAACTGGATAGCCATTGGCAAATAAAACCTCAACCTAAACCTCACATCTTATATAAAAATTAACTCAAAATGGATCACAGACTTAAATGTACAGTGTAAAACTAAAAAGCTTTTAGAAGATAACGCAGAAGAAATCTTCAGGCCTAAGGCTTGGTGGAGTCCTTAGACATGATACCAAATGCATGACCCATAAAAGAAAAAAAATGATAAATTATAAATTAAAACTTCTGCTCTATGAAAGACCCTATTAAAAGGATTAAAAGACAAGCTACACACTGGGAAAAAATATTTGCAAACCATGTATCTGACAAAAGACTACAGTCTAGAATAAAGAACTCTAAAAACTCAACAAAGAAACAAACAATCCAATTTAAAAATGGACAAAAGACTTGAACAGATATTTCACCAAAGAAGACATATAAATGGTAAATAAACACATGAAGTCATGCTTAATATCATTATCTATGAGAGAAATGCAAATTAAGACCACAATGAGATATTCCCACATACCTATTGGAACAGCTGAAATGAAATACCCTGACAATACCAAATGCTGGGGGGGATGCTGAGAAACTGGATCCCTCATACACTGCTGGTGGGAATGTACAATGGTACAGCCACTCTGGAAAACAGTTGGCAGTTTCTTATAAAACTAAACACGTTTACTATCCAACACAGAAGGCACACTCCTGGGCATCTATCTTGCAGAGGTAAAAATTTATGCCCATGCAAAAACCTACACAAGAATATTCACAGTGGCTTTATTTATAATAGCCTAAAACTTGAAACTATCCAAATGTCCTTCGAGGGGTAAATGGTTAAATTAGTGGCTGGAGCCACTAATTAGGCAGCAGGGACCAGAGGAGGAATGTGGCAGGCCCACCTTGGAATGCTACTCTGCAATAAAACAGAACAAACTTGATACATGAACAACCTACATGGATCTCCAAGGCAGTTACAACAGCAAAATGTCAAAAGTCAACTCTCTACTCTCAATGGAAAATTATTTGGTCCCGTATATGTTTGAGGGGTGGGGGAGAAAAGGATTTATAAACTAGCATGAAAAACAAACATGATTTAATGAGGCTCTGAGCATCCAGAGCATCTACTAGGTGACCAGACAAACAGGAGCAGGAAGTAATCTCAGAGGTCACCAAATGCAAAGATTCTCAACTGTGTAGAGGGTAAACCTTTTTTCTTGCCCTAATTCTGCTACATAGAACAAAGATGGTACCATCTTATGTCTTAAGTTTAAAAGTAAGAGACTGTAAATTTTCTTCAGGTTTATATTCTCAAAGATGGATTCTTTTCCTTAATCCAACCCTTGAGATTCATGCCAGGAAACTGAAATTCTAACCTTCCCAAATTTTATAACTCTTCTTACAGGCAGTATAGCACAGTGGTTAAGAGTGTGGACTCTGTGGTATGAGTGCCTAGGTTCAAATCCTAGCTTGTCCACTTAAAGCTCTGTGACCTTGGGCAAATTACTGCTTTGTGCCTCAGTTTCCCCAACTCTAAAATTGAGATAATAGTCCTATCTCCCTTATAAGAATGTTATGAGAATTATCTTAATATATGTATGGTATCTGGAACAATGCCTGCAACGTAAGTGTTACTTATTATTATGACTAACACTGATAAACCCCATATTGGTTCTGCAGACCCACCTGGATCTCAGGCAGAGATACACTAGCCCAGAAATGGTGAAGCTGGCAGTGGAAGTGGAAGTGGCAGTGGCTGGCAGCAGAAGTGGCAGCCCAGGAATCTCTGCCTAACATCTATACAAAAACCCCAGACACAGGAGATGATTCTCTCAAATTTTAGTTTCTTCCCCCCAACCCCAAGGATGACTGGGAGATCTCTGTTCATTTTCTCTCCTCCAAGCTATGTACGCTCTGCAGCTGTGTCGGGCATTCTACAGTCTAGAGAATACAAACTAAAAAAGCCAGCAGAGAAAGAAAAACCATTGCCACCTTGTGGCTTTTCAGAGAATTTTTATTCACACCTTTGCACTACCCAAGTGTCTTCTTGTTCCAGAACACGGTCACCCTCTGCAGACCTGAAACTGTGGCAAGTGGCCAGAGCACATCCAGTGATGTGCAGCACGACACCTACAGCTGAAGTGCCCTTGAAATCACCTGGCAGAGTGTCTTCACTTAACACTGAGGAAACCTGAGGCCCAAAGACATGAGGGGCTTGTCTTTAACCCAAGCCAGAGTTGGGCTGTGGGTCTCTTGAACCTTATTTCCAGTGACCTCTTTACCATAAGATGCTGGAGCTCACAAACACAATTTGGAATTCAAGCGCTCTTGAAAAAGTCAAACTCGTATCAGTGCTCCTTCTGTCCTGACACAGCTACAAAGCCACAGGCAGAGGACATCCATGAAACTGCAACAGGTGAGGGTTACCCAGGAAATGTCACCTCTTTTGTACACTCAAGCAAGAAGAGACAGCATACAGCTTCATGCTAAAATAAAACTCTAATTGCCTCTATTTCTGGCTGGTGAGCTTATTCTTCAGAGTCTGGATTTCATTTCAAAGGAACATGAAATACTGGACTCTGCCAGGGGCTCTTGGTCTATTTTCTCTCCCGCAGCTTTAAGACTTTTTAAATTTTTGCTCTAATGTCACTGTTCTAGCAAGATCCAGGCACTTCTCATTCTTTGTATGTTTGCACTGACAAAAATTTTTAATGACTACATTTTTTCTCCTGGAAAACCCCATACTCCAAACTTTTACTTATTGTTTTAAAAAAAATTGTTAATCCCCCCTCACAAACAAAACCAAAGACTGTAAAAGGTTTCCATGAACTAAAGTAGCACATCCTGCACAGGTTGTTGAACATTCTCAGGAACGGTGACAACTGACATACTCAATTAGCCTTGGTTCCAAACCAACCTGATGTTAAGCCATGACAACATGGGTGTCGTGCCTCCTCCAATGATCCAGACAGTGAAGAACACAATGAGAAGGGTGGTCGTGAACATCATCTGGCGAGCATAGGATGCCGTGTCACGGATGGCCAACGCAAATGCCATTGCTCCCCTGAGGCCTGCGGGGACCAAAGAAGAAGATCTACTTATAAGGATTAAATGACAATGTTGTCTCAAAATGCACTGCTGCCATTTGGGGCTAATAAACTCTATTCATTCATGCTTCAGGGGCCAAGTTGTTTTACTCAGAAAGAAGAACCTTAAAGGCATGATTTTCTTTTATTTGATGCTGTCTTTTGCAAAACTCCCCAACACAATGAAAAAGCATTGTACTGCTTTGTACAGCACTTTTTCAGAATAATAACACTCCTATTACTTACATGATTCTGCTAGTAACATGAAGTAAAATATAAATAAGTAAAAAATAATATAAGCTAAAACTGTGATCCCAACACAACCCAAGCACTACACAGTCAATATAAATTTAAAAAACAGGCTAGGTACGAGTATGTCAAATTTGTGGAAAACAGTTCAGCATTTCCTTAGCAAAAGGGGAAACCACACAGAGAAGTGAAAACATAACCCAATCTACATCAGGGGTGGTCAACTCTTTCTGTAACCGGCCAGATATTATAGATTTTAGGTTTTGTGGGCCAAGAGGCAAAATCAAGAATATTATGTGGGTACTTAGATCAAAGGGACGAACATTTCCACAAATGTTTACTATCAAAAATCAATAATAATAATTGAGGCCACTTTGTTGTAATACAGGTCTAATAATGAAAAGAGGGAAATTCTTTCTGGAGGGGATATTTTGCTTAACTGTTGTTTCAAAGTCAGTGTTGTCTACATCAAATAGAGTACAAATATTCATCTGTATAAGACATTCTTAGCTCACGGGCTATGTGAAGACAGGCAGTGGCCAGATTTGGCCCAGGGGTTGTAGTTTGCTGGTACCTGATCTGCATTAATGGATTTAAGATTAATACCATCAGTTTAATGTTTTGGAGTTCATCCTTCTAAGCTCTTTTGTTCCTTTCCCATATCACGCTCATAATTTATTTTATAGTAAAGACTGAATCTGGCCGGGTGTGGTGGCTCACACCTATAATCCCAGCATTTTGGGAGGCCAAGGTGGGTGGATCACCTGAGCTCAGGAGTTTGAGACCAGCCTGGCCAACATGGTGAAACACTATCTCTACCAAAAATACAAAAATTGGCCAGGCATGATGGCATGTGCCTGTAGTCCTCTGCTACTTGGGAGGCTGAGGTGGGAGAATCACTTGAATCCTGGAGGCGGAGGTTGCAGTGAGCCAAGATGGTGCCACTGTACTCCAGCCTGGAGGACAGAGCAAGGCTGTGTCTCAAAAAAAAAAAAAAAAGACTGAATCTACAGTCTTTAGTACATATCTAGCATTAATTTTTATTCACCATGGGCAAGACTGTATAACATGCGAGAGAATGAAAACTTAGACCTACTATATCTGTTTGTACATCTTTCTATTTTGCAATTTCACAATTATTAATATATGTAATCTGAGCACTTCACTACAATTCACTAAAGAAGAGTGACATCAATAAAAGTTACATTGAAAACAAAGTTGATGTTTTCTATTAATCTGTCCTAGATATTTATACACATCTAGGTCACCCTACAGCCAGCCAGCTATGTCACTGGTCAACATTTAAGCCTCTCAAGGGATGCTGACTCAAAGAAAACTTGGGCATCAGAGAGAGACCAAGTATAATACATTTTTCTTTATTTCATTAGGTAAGCATGGTAAGCAATATGAAAGTGAAACCTCAGGTATTTCATAGCCTTGACAAATGAGTTCCTTTTGATAGGCAGATTTCTCCCAGCATAAAATATTTTTTATTGGAGATATCATTAAACAGCACTGTGCACTTCTCAGCTTTTTAGTACAGAAGCCAATGAGCATATTTAAGTTGACCTAGATGACAGGGTTAGCTCCAACTAATCTTCCTCTTGTCCACTGGCATATTCCTAATATGTACATAGAAGCTTATCACCGTCCTCTTCACCAAGCTCTGAATGTCTCCCTGCTGCTCTTGAGTGAAGCTCAAACTCTTTGGCACAGCACTGGAGCTTCTCTGAGGTCTCCACTCTACCTACAGTGGTGGTTCTCAAAGTGTGGTTTTCAAACCAGCAGCAGTGGCAGCTCAGAAATGTTAGAAGAGCCCACTCCATATCCCCAGAATCAGACAGTGAGGCCCAGCAATCTGCACTTTAACAAGCCCAATGGGCAATTCTGATGTAACCTAAACGGTGAAAATTATGAGTTTAGATACAATTCTCCTTTCCAACCTCACCTTCTTTCCCCACTCCCTTTTTTTTTTTTTTTTTTTGCATATCATTCCTTTCTTATACTGATTTGGAAAAAAGATTTAGTACAGTTATGCTCAAAATGAGTACTGGGCCCATGTGGCATGGCCAAGTAACTAAAACGTGATTCAGAAAACAGGCAGTGAAAGACACACTTGGACGTGATCAAGAGGCACTTCACTGCCATGAAACAAGGCGGGGCAGGGATTCTAAAATACACAGCAGGAGGCACTCCTACCCCTTACAAGTCAAGGAGCTTATGCCATATTGGTATAAGGAATGGTTTATTTTCTGATGATCACGTGGGATTATTTCAACTGCCACTAGAAACTCCACAAGGACTTTTGTTTTGTATTATTTATATACTTTTTTTTGTAAAATAAATGCAACAGAAACTTAATTCAGGATTGATCCCACTCATCAAGTAGAGCCAGCCCCTTTGGGGTCAGGGAGGAAACTGTTTTTTTTTGTTTTTGTTTTTGTTTTTGTTTTTTTACATCACCATGCAGGTTACATTCATCTTCCACTGGAATGACTAGAGCCCTCCAGGTAGTAGCCTGACTACAGAAGAACACAGGACTGGCTCCTGGGGGCAAACAGGCTCTCTTGCTTCTCCTCATTGGCCATGCCTTAGCATGGTTCCTCCCTATCTCCTACTCAAGCAGGTCCTCAGTACACAAAGCCCTGGTAAAAACCCAAGTCCCTACCTCTCAACTCTTTTGGATAAGGGGAGTTTTCCCTGGGCTTGGACTGAAAATCTGTGCCCTCCCCGGAGATGCTATCTTGTCTAGATTGTGTGAAGACAGTGGGTGCAGGAGAAAAATGGCTGAAATGAAAAATGGGAGCCACTGGTACTCATCTGTAGCTACAACTTCAGATGCCTACAGATGTGGTCAGTGTGACATGTGTAGTGGGGAGGGGCAGAGGAAGGGACGGGCAGGGAAGGTGTTCCCGGCGAAAGTAGTCTGTCCGCTGGCCTTTACCTCTTTTCTTTATCCTGGGCAGCCACAGCTTCCATGGCTTTATGCACGGTCTCTTCATCCCCCAGGAACTGCATGCGCCTGATGTGCTTCAAGTTCTTGTCCAATTCATAGACAACGAGAATAGCAGTCAGCAGGTTCTGCTCTGCAGAGAGACCCTCCAGATGCTTGACAATGCCGGGGAAGCTGTTGCCATGGGCTGTAATCAGTACCCATTTCCCCTCCTTAATCTGGGGAACTATTTCTTCATTCCAAAGGGCAGAGCTCTGGCAGAAGTGTCCTTCAGACCCTCACAAGAGGGTAGCTGATCTTCAGTGAGGGGTACATACCTGCGATCTTTACTGATGCTGCTGTAGAAGGGATGATCGGGCTCTATGAGAGGTGGTGGGACATCACAGGAGCGCCTCCAGATCTTTACCATGCTTGGCAGCAGTTTCTGCTTTACGGAGGTCGGTCAGACCACCAGAGTGCCACTCATTAAGATGCCAAGTCCTCACTACGGGCAGCCACATCAGGTCAGTGGCATCTGGCACTGTCCAGAGGGTCCAGATCGCTCTCTTCTGCACTGATGTGAAGTAGATGTTGAACTTATAGCCAGTATCTTGCAGTGCCTGTCCACCACACTTCGCCTCCTTGTGGCTCCCGGGCTCAGGGCGGTGTCCTTCCAGCCACTGAAGCAGTTCTCCAGGTTCCAGGCACTTTCACCGTGCCAGATCAGCAACAGCTGGTAGGCGGCAGTGGTGGTCAACCTCACCCTCTTTCTGCATTACTCCATGTATCTGACATTTAAACCAGACTGCTGCCCTTCCCTAAACGAGCCAGGCATGCTAATGCTTTTCTGCCTTCCCAAACTGCTGCCTCCTGAAATTCCATTCTTCCAAGCCTAGCTAAAAGGCCACTCCCTTTGTGAAGATGGCCCTGAGCCATTCTCTTCTTGTTCACATTTCTTTCAGACCTCTTTTGTGCAATTCACCAACCTCTCTTGGAAGAAAATTAACTCTTTGTGTACCTGCCTCCCCGCAGCGGACTGTGAGCTCCATGAAGGAGGCTGGTCTTTGCATGCTCCACAACCTAGAGCTGTGGCTTATGAAAAGAGGATGCTCAATAAATGTTTGTCAGAGTAAAAGGAAATCATCTTAGAAGACTGTACCTGTATCTAAGTTCAGAGGCAAGCTAGCATGAGATAAAATGACTGCTTTACTGAGCAGTGCCTGTTGGTTTGATTTCAGTACGACCACTGCATGGCAGTAAAGGTGGCTGCAACTCATTCTCTGTCTTAAAGGACAGAGGTGCCTTTAAGGGTCACAGTAGCCTTTTGCAACTAACTTCTCCTCCCTCTGTTCTGCAGAAATGCTCTAACTTGGGTCCATTTCTATAAAGCTGACGCTTACCACCCTCACTGCATCATCCACTCATGCCAGTTGCTCTCTCCTTACTCTACTTCCACAGCTTTCTTTATTGTCCTTTGTCCCCTCAGTGGCTTCTCCAGACTTCTCAGCTTTACAGGGAAAAGGGGGGCATGTGGGAGACAGTGTCAATTAAGCAGGATGATCACAGTTATTAAATTCTAGTGTTGGGTCCCTCTTGCTTACATGAGTGTATTTTATTTCTTTTGCTCCACAGAAAGTTAGAGCTGGGGGACCTCAGCTAATTAGTTCAATTTCATTATTTTACAAGGGAGGATACTGCGGCTGGGAGGTGTTGAGTGACTTGGCCAGTGGTCTTTCTCATCAGGAGCTCTTTTCCTTCTAATTCTAGAGCTGGTGCCCTTCAGGAAGCTTAAGGGTTATGAAGATCTTCTAGAAAACAATCAAGCACTTTAAACACCATATCTCCAGGTCCGTTGAGTGGTAGTGATGAAATAGAAATGCAAATATTTTAGGGGAGAATGTTCACATTTGGTAGTACGGTTTGCAAAATCAACACTAACTCAACTGAACATGTACATCTGTCTATTTCTCACTGCAGGGGATACAAACGGACCAGAAACTTGAATGCTTGTCTTTTTATGAACCTTATCAATTACATTTTAATCATATTCTTGTTACCTGCTGAATAAAACTCATTTTCTTTACACTTACGCCTTTTTACCTGAAAACATCATCATGTGTTGAAAATTCCAGCCAATCTTATGCCTTCTGCCCAAGTTGAGGAAGAAGGAGAGCGGGTAGATGTGCGCGGCTCTGCCCAGGAAGATGGCAACCTGACCACAAGGTAGAAGGTTAAGGGACCAACAGTTTCCAGAATGGCATTCCACACAACCTCCGGCTGAGCAGAGAATTTTAGGAATGCTGTGACACCTCGTTATAGTCCAGAGAGCTGCCCAAAGAAGCTTGACTGTCTAGTTCCCCCCTAGACAAGTTTCTCAGCAACAAAATGGGACTAATTTGGCCAAGCTTTCCCACCTCCTGATTCATAGAGATCATTTCTAGCTTGTTAAACACAATATTGTAACTTCTTGATTTAATTCAACTGATATCTATCTATCTATCTATCTATCTATCCATCTATCTAAATCTATCTAAAAAGGAGTCCAGAAATAAGCTAAAGTACCACAGCAGGAGAGAGCAGTTGAGAGAAGCAAACAGTGTGTGTTGGGCTCTACTAAAAGAAAAGGCACTAGAAGAAAACAATTGCTAATCCTGCAGTCAAACTATAAAGAAAAAGTTTGCTGGATAAGCGCTTGCAGGCTTCATTTGCAAGTAAACATCAGAGACTTTAATGGTCAGGAAGAGCCTGCAAATAAGAGGTGGGGAAACTTAAAATATTCACCACACTAAAAGACATTCAGATCACTCATAGGAATGAACCCAGGGAGATATTTCTCTACCTAAGTAGCTAAAATGTTTTTTGGAGATGTAAGAAATGGAAAAGGAGTATGGAAAAAGGAACTCTGCTGTGGAAACCAAAGAATGCAGGGAAACTGGTCCTTTGTTACTTGCTGAGCTTAGAATAGTGCCCAACTGAGAGAGCTACACACTCCCCTGGTCAGAGAAGGGAACCCCTGTGGGAGCCAGAGGAACAGGGAGCTTCCGTTTTGGCAAAACACCAGCTGCAGGAGCTGCAGCTGTTTCAGACAGAAGCCAGGGCGGAACTATCTTCTCTGTCTCCTGCAGGGTAAAGCACTGCCTGTTTTTCTTCCGTTTTCTTTGTTTTGTTTTAAGCAGAAAGAACCAGGTAATGCTTATAAAGTACATTCCATCCCAGAAGAGAAACAAAAGTCCTTAAGTGGTAAGCAGCAGTTAGGATCTGCAGAGGACCCGGCTTGGCCTCTGCCAGGCCCTCATCTGTAAACAGGGCTGTGCTCTCACTATCTCTCACAGGGTGTCATGCTAGGAATACAAATCAAAACAACATGCAAGGTCTTTCTCAAAAAAGAATAAAAACACTGATCTTGCAGATTTTTAGCTATTAGTCTGGTAAGCATGGAAATCCAAGAAATGAGCCACTGGTTTAAGCGTAGGAGGCTCTCACGCTAGAAGGATTCCAGCATTGCATTAGGCCACTGTCACTGTCCAGCAGCTTGGTGAGTGTCAGTCATTCCTGCACAATAAATTAAGCCCAGAAGAGAAAAACACTGCTTTTTTGCCAGCATTCCAAAATCTAAGGATAATCATGAGGCCTCAGAAAAGGCAAATGTGAATGTCCAGCAATAGGGGACTGCGCTCAGTATCTTGAAATCAAGCCCCAGAAAAGTTCACTTTAATAAAAACATAGTATCTGAGGCCAAGTGAGCAAAACCCTCAGCTGTCCATCCACTGGTAGGCACATGAGAAGCCAATCCCCCAAACTATGTCTATATTCCAGAAACTGCATTTACAATGGGCCCAGACCAAGGAACCAAATATTTTTCTATTTTATCTTTTCTTCCCTTCATTTTTCTTTTTCCTTCTCCTTTTTTTTTTGGTGGGGGCGGGGAGAAAGAGTCTTTCCCACCATGATCTGCAGCAGCAGGGAAGCTTGAGAAAAAGTAGGGTCACTGCCTGCAGGCAACCCTGGGCAGTGTGAGGAAGGGCTGCCCATACTGCAGACGTAGTCATGAGCAAGAGGAACAGAACCTTTGGGTCATCCAAATCAGGGAACCTCCTGGATTGGAATTCATACAGCAATGAATTGTCAAAAATAACACTGGAGACTGACATGGTTGCTGACTTTTAGATTCACCAAGAAGAGCACTTTACAAAACAATCACCTGCCGAGCACCAGTTTAACAGAAAGGCCATCTTACATAGAAAAGGCAGAAAGGATGATCTTGGAATACATGCAGTCCTTTAAATCAAATACATTTAGTGTTATGAAATGCCACTTAAGCCTTCTTTTTTTCATCATAAAAACCCTGTGAACTAGCATGGAGTTAGTCACCTACCCAAAACAGAAATAGTAATTATTATTTTATGATGGTTTATATTATTATATTATTGTTATTTTATATTATTATTATGACTATTATTACTATAGCTTCTCCAACAGTGGTCGTCTCTGCATGTAGAAAATGGTGGAACAAGAAAAGGATACAAAAGCTCCGATGATGAAAATGGGGCTGAAAACGTGCTTCTGGAAGGTAAACAGTGCCAGGCCCATGTAGGAGAAGATGAAGTTCTCTGCCAGGAAATGTAACACCTCAAAGAGCTGCACAGAGAAGGGAAAAGGAAGCTGTAACCCTGCAGTTCCCCCTTCCCTGTGTTAACAAGCAACTCGTGAGTACCAAGCCTCTCTCTCACCTGCTTGGTTCGACTTCTTGATTCCACCGACAGATTGTTGTAGGTGTAATGAGCTTGTGTGATTCCACAGAAAAGGACAGCTACAACACCTGTTAAAACATCCCCCCAAAAAAAATCAATGGAAAAAAAAGAGGCAGGGGAAAAAAAAAACCCTGCTAGAACAAAAAGTTAAGGTAGGCAAGCCTAGCATATCCAACTTCCTGAATATTTTTGAAACTTTCCTATTGCTGGGTCGGGCGCAGTGGCTCACACCTGTAATCCCAGCACTGCAGGAGGCCAAGGCAAGCAGATCGCTTGAACCCAGGAGTTTGAGACCAGCCTGGGAAACATGGTAAAACCCCATCTCTACCAAAAATACAAAAAATTAGCCGGATGTGGTGGCGTGGGCCTGTGGCCCAGCTACTAGGGAGGCTGAGGTGAGAGGATCGCTTGAGCCTGGGAGGTCGAGGCTGCAGTGAGCCATGATCACGCCTCTGCACTCCAGTCTGGGCGACAGAAGGCAACCTTTTCTCAAAAGAAAAAAAAAAAAAAAGAAAAAGAAAAAAAAGAAAAAAAAGTTTCCTATTACTACTGAACACTCCTACAACCCCTCACCTCTCAACCTTTGTGTCTCCCAACCCTGCCTTCCTTCAAAGCCAAGTACCTCAACATCCCCTCCTTGTTCCAGTTTTAAGGGTATCTCCTGCCTCCTCTAAACTCCTCCAACTACCATCTGTAGTTGGCATATAGCATTCATTCCTTCAAAGAGACTGTGAGGGCCCATCCAAATTTTTGCCATATTCCTCACTGTTTTTAGAATGAATGAACTGAATTTCAAACTAATGCTTTATATACATATATATTTTTTGAGACAAAGTGGATTATATATTATATATCCCTCAGTGGACGGCAGTGGCATGATCTCGGCTCACTGCAGCCTCTATCTCCAAGGCTCAAGTGATCCTCCCACCTCAGCCTCCTGAATAGCTGGGACTACAGATGCACACCACCACACCCAGCTAATTTTTGTATTTTTTTGTAGAGATGGGGTTTCTCCATCTTGCCCAGGCTGGTCTTGAACTCCTGAGCTCAAGGGATCCACCTGCCTTGGCCCCAAAGTGCTGGGATTATATAGGCATGCGCACTGTGCCTGGCCTAGATTTTTTCACAGTCTAGGGCTTTAGACAAAATAGATCAAGAGTACTATTCCATTTATCCAAGCCCCGATCTTCTATATTTCTGGTTAATGGTAACCATTTTGTTGTGCGAGACAAATGACACACCTGGGACTTTGCCTACACATTTACAGATAACTGTTAAATTTTAAGGAAGTGGGGCATTTTGTAATGCTGCATATAAAGATTTGCTACAGTATTTTGAAAGGGTGACAAAAGTACATCCTAAGTACCTGGATTATGTACAGAACTGTACTTGAATTTTCTAATGGAAAAATTCAATGTTTTTTTAAAATGAAAGAATGTGAGGAAGTAAAACCACATGTTTCACCTCACTAATACTATATGAAACTGACACCATAAAAATGTGATATTGAAAAGCAATGATTAAATAGCCCAGAAACAAAACAATGAAAAACCGTGTTCACACTCATCTGAGCAGAGGCAAAATCACCCTTTAAAGGACACATATTTTGCTTGTTATTGCTACTGTTTGCAAAATAACATAGCAATCAAGGGAAATATACAAATAAAATTTTAATAGATTCTTTGCACCTTAACATCTACTTACAGTTAGAATGAGTACTCAAAAATGTAATTGACTTTGGAATGATAAACTTTATCATTAAAATCTACTTTTTCAGGCTGGGCATGGTGGCTCATGCCTGTAATCCCAGTGCTTTGAGAGGCTGAGGTAGGAGGTTCACTTAAGGTCAGGAGTTTGAGACCAGCCTGGACAACATAGCAAATGTTGTCCATCTCTACAAAGAATAAAGAAGTTAGCTGGGTGTGGTACGTGCCTGTAGTCTTAGCTACTTGGGAGGGTGAAGGGGGAAGATCCCTTGAGCCTAGGAGTTCGAGGTTACAGTGAGCTATGATTGTGCTGCTGCACTCCAGCCTGGGTGACACAGCAAGACCCTGTCTCTAAAAAAATAAAATTAAAAAAAGTCTAGCTTTTTGGAAAGTAAATAATCCATTTAAGACAGAACAATAGCCTTGCTCAGCAATCCTCCATACGGACACTTGCTGAACAGTTAAACTCTGTGCAGCTGTTATCTAAGAATTCTTCCCTTCCTTCAAGTTCCCACAGACCCCACTACAGTGAGGGGAAGGGTGGTCCAAGAGTAGAAAAAACCTACCTGTAAATCCGCAGGCTTCTGCCAAGAGAAACGTGCTCCAGGACATGAGGAAGAACAGCGCCGTCTCCAGCAGGGGGAAGCAGTGCAGTTTGGTAAACTTAGTCACGTTGGCATTCTGTCAAGGACCCTGTCTCCAGGTACATGTATCAGGGCCACCAAGAACCATACTCCACTAGCCCAGGACCCCTCCCCAAAGGGCTAGCCTTTCCCTTCAACCTTTTTTTTTTTTTGGAGGCTCTAAAGCTGCTGGAGATTTCTTAAGTAATACAAATTAAGCTTTCCAGTGGAACACAAGTTTTGTAGGGGCTGGAGAGAGGAAGAAACAGGGAGACATTGTTTAATGGGTACAGAGCTTCTGTTTCGGATGATGAAAAAATTCTGAAAGTAGACAGGGAGATGGCTACATGACATTGTGAATGCGGAATTGTGCACGTAAAGATGGTTAAATGACAAATCTCGTTGGCTATATTTTACCACAATTTTAAAAAATTAATCATGTAGGCCAGGTGTGGTGACTCATGCCTGTAATCCTAGCACTTTGGGACCCGAGGCAGGTGGATCACCTGAGGTCAGGAGTTCAAAACTAGTTTGGCCAACATACTGAAACCCTGTCTCTACTAAAAATACAAAAATTAGCCGGGTGTGGTCACACGCATCTGTAATCCCAGCTATTCAGGAGGTTGAGAATCAATTGAACCCGGCAGGCAGAGGTTGCAGTGAGCCAAGATTGCACCACTGCACTCCAGCCTGGGTGACAGAGTGAGACTCCGTCAAAAAAAAAAATTATCATGTAATATACCAAAAGCCATTAAATTTAAATGGGTGACTTGTATGGTATATAAATTATATCTCAATAAGGCTGTTCTTTTAAAAATTCAGAATTCTAGAGAAACTGGCAACTAGTTTTCTGTGCTCCTTGAATGGCCATGGTTCTGAGAGGCATGGTCATGACGTCAGGCTGGCTTGTTGGGTTGGTTCCAGCAGGGCTGTGAAGACAAGGCCTGTGAGACCCTGACCCCTGTGCACCACCGAGGCCACCTGAGTCCACAACAGGTGCCTAAGGAAGGCACAGGAAAGAAAGAAATGCATAATTCTTGAGACAGCTACCAGGTGCTGGTGTCACCTTTCGGGACCAGAGATCCTTCTTGTAACAGTGCCATTCAACACACGGCCAGCATAGAAGCATCTCATGACAGATCTCACTGAGCAATATACGTCTCCAAGGCATCAAAAGGGCCCTTGTGAAGAAAGCAATTTAAATCTGCGCTATCCAATGTGGTAGCTGAACACTTACAATGTGGCTAGTCCAAATTGAGATGTGTTGTAAGAGCAACACACACACTGTATTTCTTTTTTTCTTTCTTTCTTTCTTTCTTTTTTTTTTTTTTTTTTTTGAGACGGCATTTCGCTCTGTCACCCAAGCTGGAGTGCAATGGCACGGCCTCGGCTCACTGCAATCTCCACCTCCCAGGTTCAAGTGATTCTCCTGCCTCAGCCTCCCGATTAGCAGGGATTACAGGTGCACACCACCACACCTGGCTAATTTTTGTATTTTTAGTAGAGACAGGGTTTCACGATGTTGGCCAAGCTGGTCTCAAACTCCTGACCTCAGGTGATCTGCCCACCCTGGCCTTCCAAAGTGCTGGGATTACAGGTGTGAGCCACCACGCCCAGCACACATACCATATTTCAAAGGCTTGGAACAAAGATTGAATGTATAAAATCTCATTAATTATTTTTATCATGATTGGGGGAAGAGCCAAGATGGCCGTATAGGAACAGCTCCGGTCTACAGCTCCCAGCGTGAGCAACGCAGAAGACGGGTGATTTCTGCATTTCCATCTGAGGTACCGGGTTCATCTCACTAGGGAGTGCCAGACATTGGGTGCAGGTCAGTGGGTGCGCGCACCATGTGCGAGCCGAAGCAGGGCGAGGCACTGCCTCACTTGGGAAGCGCAAGGGGTCAGGGAGTTCCCTTTCCTAGTCAAAGAAAGGGGTGACAGACGGCACCTGGAAAATCGGGTCACTCCCACCCGAATACTGCGCTTTTCCGATGGGCTTAAAAAACAGCGCACCAGGAGATTATATCCCGCACATGGCTTGGAGGGACGTACACCCATGGAGTCTCGCTGATTGCTAGCACAGCAGTCTGAGATCAAACTGCAAGGCGGCAGCGAGGCTGGGGGAGGGGCGCCCGCCATTGCCCAGGCTTGTTTAGGTAAACAAAGCAGCCGGGAAGCTCGAACTGGGTGGAGCCCACCACAGCTCAAGGAGGCCTGCCTGCCTCTGTAGGCTCCACCTCTGCGGGCAGGGCACAGACAAACAAAAAGACAGCAGTAACCTCCGCAGACTTAAATGTCCCTGTCTGACAGCTTTGAAGAGAGCAGTGGTTCTCCCAGCACGCAGCTGGAGATCTGAGAACGGGCAGACTGCCTCCTCAAGTGGGTCCCTGACCCCTGACCCCCGAGCAGCCTAACTGGGAGGCACCCCCCAGCAGGGGCAGACTGACACCTCACACGGCCGGTTACTCCAACAGACCTGCAGCTGAGGGTCCTGTCTGTTAGAAGGAAAACTAACAAACAGAAAGGACATCCACACCAAAAACCCATCTGTACATCACCATCATCAAAGACCAAAAGTAGATAAAACCACAAAGATGGGGAAAAAACAGAGCAGAAAAACTGGAAACTCTAAAAAGCAGAGCGCCTCTCCTCCTCCAAAGGAACGCAGCTCCTCACCAGCAATGGAACAAAGCTGGACAGAGAATGACTTTGATGAGCTGAGAGAAGAAGGCTTCAGACGATCAAATTACTCTGAGCTACGGGAGGACATTCAAACCAAAGGCAAAGAAGTTGAAAACTTTGAAAAAAATTTAGAAGAATGTATAACTAGAATAACCAATACAGAGAAGTGCTTAAAGGAACTGATGGAGCTGAAAACCAAGGCTTGAGAACTACGTGAAGAATGCAGAAGCCTCAGGAGCTGATGCGATCAACTGGAAGAAAGGGTATCAGTGATGGAAGATGAAATGAATGAAATGAAGCGAGAAAGGAAGTTTAGAGAAAAAAGAATAAAAAGAAATGAGCAAAGCCTCCAAGAAATATGGGATTATGTGAAAAGACCAAATCTACATCTGATTGGTGTACCTGAAAGTGACAGGGAGAATGGAACCAAGTTGGAAAACACTCTGCAGGATATTATCCAGGAGAACTTCCCCAATCTAGCAAGGCAGGCCAACATTCAGATTCAGGAAATACAGAGAACGCCACAAAGATACTCCTCGAGAAGAGCAACTCCAAGACACATAATTGTCAGATTCACCAAAGTTGAAATGAAGGAAAAAATGTTAAGGGCAGCCAGAGAGAAAGGTCGGGTTACCCTCAAAGGGAAGCCCATCAGACTAACAGCGGATCTCTCGGCAGAAACTCTACAAGCCAGAAGAGAGTGGGGGCCAATATTCAACATTCTTAAAGAAAAGAATTTTCAACCCAGAATTTCATATCCAGCCAAACTAAGCTTCATAAGTGAAGGGGAAATAAAATACTTTATAGACAAGCAAATGCTGAGAGATTTTGTCACCATCAGGCCTGCCCTAAAAGAGCTCCTGAAGGAAACACTAAACATAGAAAGGAACAACCGGTACCAGCCACTGCAAAATCATGCCAAAATGTAAAGACCATCGAGACTAGGAAGAAACTGCATCAACTAATGAGCAAAATAACCAGCTAACATCATAATGACAGGATCAAATTCACACATAACAATATTAACTTTAAATGTAAATGGACTAAATGCTCCAATTAGAAGACACAGACTGGCAAATTGGATAAAGAGTCAAGACCCATCAGTGTGCTGTATTCAGGAAACCCAACTCACGTGCAGAGACACACATAGGCTCAAAATAAAAGGATGGAGGAAGATCTACCAAGCAAATGGAAAACAAAAAAAGGCAGGGGTTGCAATCCTAGTCTCTGATAAAACAGACTTTAAACCAACAAAGATCAAAAGAGACAAAGAAGGCCATTACATAATGGTAAAGGGATCAATTCAACAAGAACAGCTAACTATCCTAAATATATATGCACCCAATACAGAAGCACCCAGATTCATAAAGCAAGTCCTGAGTGACCTACAAAGAGACTTAGACTCCCACACATTAATAATGGGAGACTTAACACCCCATTGTCAACATTAGACAGATCAATGAGACAGAAAGTCAACAAGGATACCCAGGAATTGAACTCAGCTCTGCACCAAGCGGACCTAATAGACATCTACAGAACTCTCCACCCCAAATCAACAGAATATACATTTTTTTCAGCACCACACCACACCTATTCCAAAATTGACCACATACTTGGAAGTAAAGCTCTCCTCAGCAAATGTAAAATAACAGAAATTATAACAAACTATCTCTCAGACCACAGTGCAATCAAACTAGAACTCAGGATTAAGAATCTCACTCAAAACCGCTCAACTACATGGAAACTGAACAACCTGCTCCTGAATGACTACTGGGTACATAACGAAATGAAGGCAGAAATAAAGATGTTCTTTGAAACCAATGAGAACAAAGACACAACATACCAGAATCTCTGGGACGCATTCAAAGCAGTGTGTAGAGGGAAATTTATAGCATTAAATGCCCACAAGAGAAAGCAGGAAAGATCCAAAATTGACACCCTAACATCACAATTAAAAGAACTAGAAAAGCAAGAGCAAACACATTCAAAAGCTAGCAGAAGGCAAGAAATAACTAAAATCAGAGCAGAACTGAAGGAAATAGAGACACAAAAAACCCTTCAAAAAATTAATGAATCCAGGAGCTAGTTTTTTGAAAGGATCAACAAAATTGATAAACCACTAGCAAGACTAATAAAGAAAAAAAGAGAGAAGAATCAAATAGACGCAATAAAAAATGATAAAGGGGATATCACCACCGATCCCACAGAAACACAAACTACCATCAGAGAATACTACAAACACCTCTACGCAAATAAACTAGAAAATCTAGAAGAAATGGATAAATTCCTCGACACATACACTCTCCCAGGACTAAACCAGGAAGAAGTTGAATCTCTGAATAGACCAATAACAGGATCTGAAATTGTGGCAATAATCAATAGCTTACCAATCAAAAAGAGTCCAGGACCAGATGGATTCACAGCCAAATTCTACCAGAGGTACAAGGAGGAACTGGTACCATTCCTTCTGAAACTATTCCAATCAATAGAAAAAGAGGGAATCCTCCCTAACTCATTTTATGAGGCCAGCATCATCCTGATACCAAAGCTGGGCAGAGACACAACCAAAAAAGAGAATTTTAGACCAATATCCTTGATGAACATTGATGCAAAAATCCTCAGCAAAATACTGGCAAACCGAATCCAGCAGCACATCAAAAAGCTTATCCACCATGATCAAGTGGGCTTCATCCCTGGGATGCAAGGCTGGTTCAATATACGCAAATCAATAAATGTAATCTAGCATATAAACAGAACCAAAGACAAAAACCACATGATTATCTCAATAGATGCAGAAAAGGCCTTTGACAAAACTCAACAACCTTCATGCTAAAAACTCTCAATAAATTAGGTATTGATGGGACGTATCTCAAAATAATAACAGCTATCTATGACAAACCCACAGGCAATATCATACTGAATGGGCAAAAACTGGAAGCATTCCCTTTGAAAACTGGCACAAGACAGGGATGCCCTCTCTCACCACTCCTATTCAACATAGTGTTGGAAGTTCTGGCCAGGGCAATTAGGCAGGAGAAGGAAATAAAGGGTATTCAATTAGGAAAAGAGGAAGTCAAATTGTCCCTGTTTGCAGATGACATGATTGTATATCTAGAAAACCCCATTGTCTCAGCCCAAAATCTCCTTAAGCTGATAAGCAACTTCAGCAAAGTCTCAGGATACAAAATCAATGTACAAAAATCACAAGCATTCTTATACACCAACAACAGACAAACAGAGAGCCAAATCATGAGTGAACTCCCATTCACAATTGCTTCAAAGAGAATAAAATACCTAGGAATCCAACTTACAAGGGACGTGAAGGACCTCTTCAAGGAGAACTACAAACCACTGCTCAAGGAAATAAAAGAGGATACAAACAAATGGAAGAACATTCCATGCTCATGGGTAGGAAGAATCAATATCGTGAAAATGGCCATACTGCCCAAGGTAATTTACAGATTCAATGCCATCCCCATCAAGCTACCAATGACTTTCTTCACAGAATTGGAAAAAACTACTTTAAAGTTCATACGGAACCAAAAAAGAGCCTGCATCGCCAAGTCAATCCTAAGCCAAACAAAGCTGGAGGCATCACGCTACCTGACTTCAAACTATACTACAAGGCTACAGTAACCAAAACAGCATGATACTGGTACCAAAACAGAGATATAGATCAATGGAACAGAACAGAGCCCTCAGAAATAATGCCGCATATCTACAACTATCTGATCTTTGACAAACCTGAGAAAAACAAGCAATGGGGAAAGGATTCCCTATTTAATAAATGGTGCTGGGAAAACTGCCTAGCCATATGTAGAAAGCTGAAACTGGATCCCTTCCTTACACCTTATACAAAAATTAATTCAAGATGGATTAAAGACTTAAATGTTAGACCTAAAACCATAAAAACCCTAGAAGAAAACCTAGGCATTACCATTCAGGACATAGGCATGGGTAAGTACTTCATGTCTAAAACACCAAAAGCAATGGCAACGAAAGCCAAAATTGACAAATGGGATCTAATTAAACTAAAGAGCTTCTGCACAGCAAAAGAAACTACCATCAGAGTGAACAGGCAACCTACAAAATGGGAGAAAATTTTCACAACCTACTCATCTGACAAAGGGCTAATAGCCAGAATCTACAATGAACTCAAACAAATTTACAAGAAAAAAACAAACAACCCCATCAAAAAGTGGGTGAAGGACATGAACAGACACTTCTCAAAAGAAGACTTTTATGCAGCCAAAAAACACATGAAAAAATGCTCATCATCACTGGCCATCAGAGAAATGCAAATCAAAACCACAATGAGATACCATCTCACACCAGTTAGAATGGCCATCATTAAAAAGTCAGGAAACAACAGGTGCTGGAGAGGATGCGGAGAAATAGGAACACTTTTACACTGTTGGTGGGACTGTAAACTAGTTCAACCATTGTGGAAGTCAGTGTGGCGATTCCTCAGGGATCTAGAACTAGAAATACCATTTGACCCAGCCATCCCATTATTGGGTATATACCCAAAGGACTATAAATCATGCTGCTATAAAGACACATGCACACGTATGTTTATTGCGGCATTATTCACAATAGCAAAGACTTGGAACCAACCCAAATGTCCAACAATGATAGACTGGATTAAGAAAATGTGGCACATATACACCATGGAATACTATGCAGCCATAAAAAAATGATGAGTTCATGTCCTTTGTAGGGACATGGATGAAACTGGAAATCATCATTCTCAGTAAACTATCGCAAGAACAAAAAACCAAACGCTGCATATTCTCACTCATAGGTGGGAATTGAACAATGAGAACACATGGACACAGGAAGGGGAACATCACACTCTGGGGACTGTTGTGGGGTGGGGGAAGGGGGGAGGGATAGCACTGGGAGATATACCTAATGCTAGATGACGAGTTAGTGGGTGCAGCGCACCAGCATGGCACATGTATACATATGTAACTAACCTGCACATTGTGCACATGTACCCTAAAACTTAAAGTATAATAATAATAAAAAAAAAGAAAAAAAAATTATTTTTATCATAATTTTGTTATTTTTTTCCATATTGATTACATGTTGGAATGATGTGGTTTAAATTACATAGTAATGCCCACCAAAGAGGATATGATGCAGGACTCACCACATCTGTGGAAGGGATGCCTGCTCTTTCCACACTGTTTTTTTAGTTTGTTTAAACTGAATACTGGGCCATCCTTTGCTTACGGAAGGCCACTAACTAGCTATCGCCACATAACACCATGTGGCCGGGAACAGCAGTTGGCAGCAGCTAGCTGGGGCTAAAGTACTTCCCAGCCAGTAGTCCCTAATTCTCAGTCTCCTCCTGCCTCCTCAGCTCTTTTCACCCCTCTAAAACTGATGCTCCAACTGGATCACAAGAAAGGGAGAGAAACAGCAAAGGTGAAGACAGAGCGAAGTCTAGGGTTGCATTCCTAAACATTTTCTCAGACTCTCAGCTAGGGACCCAACCGTCATGCTTCACCAAAGTGACATATTTCAGGAGCCATCATGCCCCAGTGGAACACTCAATGTAAAATTCCAATTTGAAAGAACAGCTGAGAACTTTCTTTTTGAAAGTGTAATGCCACACACGCATACCCAGGCCCGAGCTGAAACTACAAAAAGGATATTAGAGCAGTCACAACACCAGTCACAGCTCCCATGGTAAAAGAGCCACTAAATATACCTAGAAAAATGCCAACTGACTTAAAAAAGGCAGCAGCATCAAAGGCGTGAGTGTTCAGTCCCGCTGGCTGGTAGGCAACAATAGACCTAAAGTTTAAAAACAAGAGACAGTTTTAAAAGACTGCACAGGTTTTACACTATGGTACTTGAAAATATCGACAAACATAGGTCTATCTACATTTTGTCAAGCATTGGCCAGGGTAAATTCATTTAATTTAATCTGCAGCCAGCATTGCCCAGGGTAAATTCATTTAATTTAATCTGCAGCCACCATGTTACGCTGGTGTCAGCATTCTGATTGCTGCTGGGCACACAAAGCAACGTAATTTTATCCACAAAGCTGATAAATCTCATTTAGAAAAACACCCAATTCAATATGTAATACATTTAAGATAAGCCTCTGAATTTAGCCCAAAGCATAGAGGAAACTGGGGTGTCTCTTCTCCAGCAGAAACACTGCTACTTACGAGGACAGTACAATGGCAACAGCATCATTTAGGACGCTCTCTCCAAAAAGAAGTGCGTAAAGATCCACGTCTGCATGCAATTCATTAAATATCGCCAGCACAGTCACTGAAAAGTGAGCCGAAAGCACAGAAATTAGTTTTGGTTTCTGACCTTAAATCACTGATTACAGATTTATAGAGGCAATTCCTATCTTGGGTGGGACTGGGTGATTCAAGAGATAGCAAGGGAGTCAAAGATAGACTTATCTATCTGTGGCAGAAATGAAAACCGCAATCTTCCTTATCTGAAGGAGCTTTGATATGATGCTTGAGTCTAATGATATTGCACCAAAACACTATGCTTTCCACTGTGATCCCATCACACTTTGAAAGTATCTGTTACAGAACTTCAAAAAATAATGACAATCAATGTGATTTGGCTTCACCAGTGGGTTGAAATCTCTTTGATTTCTCTGGCTCAATAGAGCCAAGGTTAAAATAACAAAGTTATTATAAAAATGATTAATGAGATTTTGGTCGGGCATGGTGGCTCATGCTTGTAATTCCAGCACTTTGGGAGGCTGAGGCAGGTGGATCACCTGAGGTGAGGAGTTTGAGACCAGCCTGACCAACATGGTGAAACCCCGTCTCTACTAAAAATGCAAAATTAGCCAGGCATGGTGGCACACGCCTGTAATCCCAGCTACTTGAGAGGCTGAGGCAGGAGAATCACTTGAACCCAGGAGGCGGAGGTTGCAGTGAGCCAAGATCACGCCATTGCACTCCAGCCTGGGCAACAAGAGTGAAACTCTGTCTCAAAAACAGAAAGAAAAAAAAAAGGGCCAGGCGTGGTGGCTTACGCCTGTAATCCCAGCACTTTGGGAGGCCGAGGCGGGTGGATCACCTGAGGTCAGGAGTTCGACACAAGCCTGACCAACACAGTGAAGCCCCGTCTCTACTAAAAATACAAAATTAGCTGGTCATGGTAGCATATGCCTGTAATCCCAGCTACTTGGGAGGCTGAGGCAGGAGAATCACTTGAACCCAGGAGGCAGAGGTTGCAGTGAGCCAAGATCGTGCCATTGCACTCCAGCCTGGGCAACAAGAGTGAAACTCCATCTCAAAAAAAAAAAAAAAAAAAAGGAAAGAAAGAAAAAAAAAGGGCCAGGTGCGGTGGCTCACGCCTGTAATCCCAGCACTTTGGGAGGCTGAGGCGGGTAGATCCCTGAGGTTGGGAGTTCGAGACCAGCCAGACCAACATGGAGAAACTCCATCTCTACTAAAAATACAAAATTAGCCGGGTGTGGTGGCAGGCGCCTGTAATCCCAGCTACTCCAGAGGCTGAGGTGGGAGAATTGCTTGAGCCTGGGAGGCAAAGGTTGCGGTGAGCCGAGATTGCGCCATTGCACTCCAGCCTGGGCAACAAGAGTGAAACTCTGTCTCAAAAAAAAGATTAATTAGATTTTATAAATTCCATCTTTGTGCCAAGCCTTTGAAACATGGTGTGTGTGTTGCTTAAAATAATAATGACGGGGGTGGGGGCAGGGGCAATATCGCCCCTGACTGAGAACCACCGATCTAGATACATGCACGAGAGCTGTGTTCTCTCTCAACACTCATACCCAACTACCCTCTCTCTTGATGGTTTCTACCATACAACTGCAAAAACTAAAAACCCACTTTCCCAGCTTCCCTTGCAGAAAGCATTACCTCTTCCTGTCAGGAAGAGGGCAGAGAGGCCAGACACCAACGCAGTCATCTTGCCTCCATGGGGCAACTGATGTGTGACTGAAACCCCAGAACAGTGGAGCAGAAAGACTGAGTGTAGTATTTTTTATGATTGTAGTGGAAGCCGGGACATCAGCCCAGTACTGGTACCCAAGATAAATATCTATTTGTTTAAGCAGGGATTAGCCAGGTTTTTCTGTTCTTTGCAGCCAAAAGCATTACTAATTGATACAATTAGAAAACCAAGCCAAACAAATGTTCAGTTTAGTGAGTTATTATAAGCCAACCAGTCTTGTAACCACACCCCTGTTCAAGAAATAGAACTTTGTCAGTCCCCTATATGTCCCATCCCAGTCTGAAGCCTCTTCCTTCACTAAAGGGAACCGCTAAACTAAATTTTATAGTCATCATTTTCTTGCCTTTCCCTATAATTTAATCACACAAATGCACATTCCCTGACACTATCATTTGGTTTTGCCCATTTTTTAAAAATTTTATTTTTATTTTTATTTCTATATATTTTTTGAGACAGGGTCTTGCTCTGTTGCCCAGGCTGGGGTACAGTGGTGTGATTATAGTTCACTATAGCCTGGAACTCCTGGGCTTAAGCAATTCCCCCCATCTCAGCCTCCCAAGTAGATGGGACCACAGAAGCATACCACACCTGGCCTAAAAGCATAATTAATAATAATAACAATAAACACGTACATAGCACTGATCTGTTTCAACTTCTCATTCTCCCTGCTCATTATCTCACAAAACAGGTCAGGAACCGTTCTGTGCCCCTCCTGAGCAAGTCTGTGCCTGACCACGGGGGTGGGATGTGGGTGCTGACAACTGGAAGACGATGGGATGGGGATGACAGACTGGCTAAGTGGTCTTTAATGGGAGAGATGAAACAAACTGCCCTCCTCCCTACAGCAGGACCCTTGAAATCAGGGTGAGCAGGGTCACAGCTATTTCCAACTGAACACAGACTGAGAAATCACAATTAACTAACTAAAGATCACTGGGTACAGGCAGTGGGAAAAACAAAAGAATGGCAGATATATGAAGAAGGAAAAACTCAAGGACCTAAATGTGTTCATTCAACTAACTTTTCTTGGACACATCATCCATGTAGTCAAGGGCACTTAGCACTTGTGAGCACTCAGTACAAAGTGGCAAGCACTGACATGTACAAAACAGACCTAACTCAAAGAGCTGAGGGAGCAGATAATGGAGTCTAGAAAGAGTGACTAGGCAGGTGGCACATTTGAACCAAGTCCCAAAGGATGCACTCCAGCCTGGGCGACAGAGTAAGACTCCATCTCAAAAAAAAAAAAAAAAAAAAAAGAAATTGTTAAGATAGTAAATTTTATGTCAGGCATTTTTACCACAATAAAAAATTAATAATAAAAAAGGAAATTGCATGCCCTTCCTGTGAACCATCATGATGTCATTTCCCCAATTTTAATTCATCACCTTTGTACTCCTTGAGTCAATCAGCCTGACTCACAGGTTTCTATTTTTCTTTTCTTTTTAGACAGGGTCTCTGTCGCCTAGGCTGGAGTGCAGTGGCATGTGTTCTCTGGTGGCTGCCTAGGAAGGCACCATGGGGTGCAAATGCATTTTTTTTTCTTTAATTGTGGATCCGTCTAAAACAAAAGCCCACAAAGATGGCACATGGCAGCCATGACACATGACCACAGAGTGGAGAAGGCTCCCTGTCACAGTGCAGCCTACACTATCCCACATATATTATGTCACCTTTGACCAGAAGACCAAAGACTCATGTCTCAAGCCAAGTACAGTAATCAGGGACAAGGATTCTTATTCCTTCATATCAGTCAATACCACTCTGTATCCTAACACTATAAAGTTTTTTGTTTCATTTTTTAAAGACAGGGTCTTGCTCTGTCATCCAGGCTGGAGTGCAGTGGTGCTATCACAGCTCACTGCAGCCTCAAACTCCTGGGCTCAAGCAATCGTCTTGCCTCAGCCCCCCGAGTAGCTGGAACTATAGGCAATCACCACTATGGTCAGCTAATTTTTACAATTTTTTTGTGGGGATGAAGTTCTACTATGTTGCCCAGGCTGCCAATATCAGAATTTTTGTTTGATGCACCAGGTACTAGAAGTCAATCTGGTCTTGTGATGCTTAACTCTGCACTTAAGATTTTATCTCTTTTATGACCCAAGTTTTCAAACAACAGATTTTTTAGGAGGCTGGTAAAACACTTCTAATTTACAAAAACATTCTACATTTCAGGAATATTTCTATTTAAAAAGCAGTTAAAGTTAATGTCCTGATGCTTAATAAGTTTAAACTTTCAATTTTCTACAACTTCCATTTCTATAAAGCCCTTACTGTGCCAGTCTTCATAGGCCAAATGAAAATGGAGTAGCATGGTAATGCCTTCCATTATTCTCTACCATAGCATAGACACATTAAAGGGAAGTAAACAATTACAAAGATAATCTAGAAAAGTAAGCCTCTCTATCCAATTAAATGAAGTAACACTGATAGCTCAGGAAACAATATCAATAATCTTTATGTTAAACTAACTTCCCTTTACTTGTTAGTGGTACTAGTAAGATGTCAGTAATAAAATTATAGATGAGTATACTTAGAAACACATTTTCGGACAGACTAAATACCTTTCTCAGACTTATGAAGATCTATTTCTCCACAGACACACATCTGGAGACAGTCACAGACAGCACAGGATTAAAATAATAAAGCTGATTTTCAGAGTTCTCTTTGGAAACATGCTTGGCTTCAGAGATGATCTGTTATTTGTTTATTTTTTAAACATAAGGAAAACTGAGAAATCTCTGCCTGAGTCAGATGTGGACACAGACCAGCATAATTTAGACAGGGTACACTCAGTGCCTTACACGTGTTGTTTCATTTCATCTTCACAATAGCCTTAGGAGATAGGTGCCATCATTTCTACTTTATATATGAGGAAACTGATGTGAGGGGACAATGTGTGCCCAGGCCACCCGATCAGTGATTGGTAGGGCTAGAACTAAACCCAAGGCCTGTGACTCCAAATCCCACCTTTTCACAAACCAGAGTGCCTCGACAGCCAAGTCTTCAATACTAATTTACTCAGGGTGTTTGTAATAAAATATGAGGGTAAGAGAGGTCAATGTTTTTTTTTTTGAACATTGAGATTCTTCAGAACCACACAACTGTCTAGAGCTATGCTGTTTGATGTGGTAACCATTAGCCACATGTGGCTATATACATTTAAATTACTTAACATTAAATAAAAGTTAAAATCAGTCCCCCTATTGCATTACCCTACATTTCAAGTGCTCAAAAGCCACATGTGGCTACTGGTTACCACAATGGACTTGCAGATTATAGAACATCTCTATCTTCACAGAAAGATAGCACTGATGGAGAGGACCCCCAAGGGGCATGGTCAAGTGGGGTATCTTAATATCTTTAAGGTTATTACTGTTCAGAATATTAGAGGGCATTGGAGACATTGAGCAGACCTTTCTATCTCTACCGTGAGGACAGGAGCAGCTCATTCTCCAGAACTTCTTTCCCTAAGGTGTACTCTCAATAGATGACACTAAGGAAGAGAATAGCTGTAACTACTTTATGCAAACTGATCAAATTATAGGTTTCAACTTGGAAAGGAGAACTTTTTTGTTTGTTTTGAGCTGCAAGGGAGGGTGTAATAATTCACTTGTAAGAATTGGTTCAACCAACACTTGAAAAATACAAGGCAAGGGATTGATGAATAGAAAACCATGTCACAGTGCACAGTCCTGCAGGAATGCCGCACAAAAGGAGTTTACAAATTAAATTACATTCACTACAGATAATCATGTGTGTTTCTACTAAGAAAAGGTATTATTTAACCCAAATGCTATGTTACATAAAAGAAGGCAAAAGGGCAACACTGGGAAAGAAGAAAATCTAAGTGTAAAACTTATGACCAAATTAGTCATTCTAAGACGAAAGGCAAAACATGTTATACAGCCGGGCACGGTGGCTCACGCCTGTAATTCCAGCACTTTGGGAGGCCGAGGTGGGCGGATCACCTGAGGTTGGGAGTTTGAGACCAGACTGACCAACATGGAGAAACCCTGTCTCTACTAAAAATACAAAAAAATTAGCCGGGCATGGTGGTGCATGCCTATAATCCCAGGTACTCCGGAGGCTGAGGCAGAGGAGGCAGAGGCGGAGGCAGAGGTTACGGTGAGCCAAGATTGTGCCATTGCACTCCAGCCTGGGCAACAAGAGTGAAACTCCATCTCAAAAACAAAACAAAACAAAAAAAAAACATGCTATACAGATACAATGGAATATTATTCAGCCTTAAAGGTTAGGAAATTATGAGAAATGCTATAAAATGGATGAACTTTGAGGACATTATGCTAAGTGAAATAAGCCAGTCACAAAAGGACAAATACTGTATGATTTCATTTGTATGAAGTATCTACAGTAGTCAAGTTCATAGAGACAGAAAGTCAAAGGTAGCTGCCAGGGGCTGCAGGGAAGGGGGACTGGGAAGTTGTTGTTTAATGGGTATAGCATTTCAATTTTGCAAGATGAAAAGGTTCTGGGGATTGGTTTCACAATGATGTGGGTATACTTAACTCTACTGAACTATACACTTAGAAATTGTTAAGATAGGCTGGGCACGGTGGCTCACACCTGTAATCCCAGCACTTTGGGAGGCCAAGGCGGGTGGATCACGAAGTCAGGAGATCGAGACCATCCTGGCTAACACGGTGAAACCCTGTCTCTACTAAAAATACAAAAAAATTAGCCAGGCGTGGTGGCAGGCGCCTGTAGTCCCAGCTACTCAGGACGCTGAGGCAGGAGAATGGCGTGAACATGGGAGGTAGAGTCTGCAGTGAGCCGAGATCGTGTCACTGCACTCCAGCCTGGACAACAGAGCAAGACTCTGTCTCAAAAAAAAAAAAAAAGGAATTGTTAAGATAGTAAATTTTATGTCAGGCATTTTTACAACAATAAAAAAAAATTAATAATAAAAAAGGAAATTGCATGCCCTTCTTAGAAAAGCCATCTAACTGTAGTCCCGCTGCTTGGGAGGCTGAGGCAGGAGGATTGCTTGAGCCCAGGAGGTCAAGGCTGCAGTGAGCTGTGACTGCACCACTGCACTCTAGCTTGGGCAACAGAGTGAGATCCTGTCTCAAAAAAGGAAAAAGGAAAAGAAAAGCCATCTAAGTCTGTTAGACCCACCTATTGGTCACTTCTTCCACCACCATGCCATGCAAATAAATACTACATTCTCCCTACTGCAACAAAAGTTAATGATTGCTCTGAACTTTTAAAGATTTAAATAATGGAATATCATAATAATAAAGACAAATACACAAAGCCAAATACCTGGGTCAGTGGCAGAGATGATTGCTCCAAAAAAGAGACAATCTGTGTAGTAAAATTTATCTGAGAGCTGTCCCATAATCTTCATGAGCTTCACCACACCATACATGAGATTTCTGTAAGAAGGTAAGGTAAACTATGTCAGGAGAAAAAAATAAGTAACTTAGCAAACACGCAAGCAGAATAGCACTAGAATGCTGCTCTTAGAGATTTATGAAAACAACAGGCAGCTGCCATGGTTTCACACTTACCAGAGACATTGCCAGCAGGACTTTGGCATCAAGTAATAGTTTGCAGTTAATGTCATCTTGCTGAAATATCTGAACATTTCATTTTTAAAAGTTGTACTGGCTAACAACTAAAGCAACCATGAAGCACAGTCTTCAATTAGCAACAAAGCTAAGGCATTTGACGCAACTGGGTAATACAGAGGAAAGGAAGAGACAGAACCTGGCATAATGTTTTTGTAGCAATAAGTTGCTACAAAACTCATAAGACTCTAAGATAATGCATTTAAAGTCAGAGAAATCAGTAGACTGGATGCAACTAGAGAGAAAAAAATGGGTTGGTCACAAAGATCCAAAGGATCTTGCCTTCTCTGCCAAGAATTATTTCAAAAAAAGGAAAAAGAGGCGAATATCTTTAAATGTCCTATTAGAACATCCATATACCCATCAAGATATCTGGGCTTTCACTCTTTGCATGGGTCAGGCAGGCCAGCAATAGCCCTCCTTATGCTATGTAGACTATGACGTGGGCTAAGAGGGACTACCAAGTTAAATTTTTCAGCTTGGTGGAAGCACATTTCCTACAGGACAGCTTACAAATTGGGAGGAGTGAGGAGTGTGAAAAGGTCTAGTACATGTTACAAGGGTATCTGTGCGTGCATGTGTGTGTGTGTGTCTGTGTGTGTGCGTGTGGTGGCAGCAGCAGTGATAGCAGCAGCTGCAGGGGTTAGAGGAGTAAAAATAACCATGGACTTGACTCATTATACCCTACAGCCAATGCTCTAATAATGAGATTCTTGATGCCATTGCCCACCTTTGTGTCTCAAATGCTTAGAAGGGTGGACTAGCTAAGCTAGAAGCAAAAGAACTATTCACAGAATGGAATCATTTTGAGAAGAAACAGCTATAACTTAATGCTTGCCTATTGTGTGCCAGACACTGTTCTAGACACTTAACCAGCTCAATTTCTTTTCACAGGAATTGTATGTTACAGATTTGATTTGCCCTTTGTTGCTTATCAAAGGCTTCTTTCATGTACCCTTTAAACATTCCTGGAACAAGACCTTCCTCTCCATTTCCTTCCACCAGTCTGTGACCTAAACAATAGACTTCTCCGGCAGCCTTTTCCCCATTTTGCTTCCTATCATCACTAATGCCAGTTATGTAAAGTGTCATTCTTCAATAATATGTATCTCTTAAAGGATAAGTCAAAGCCCCTCCTTTTTTGATGGCACAAAAGGCCCCTGCTATTATCTCCAGGTTTCTAGCTAATTGTTAAAAAATTAATAAAAATCCTAACTTTATTCAGATTTTCTTAGTTTTTAACCTAATGTCCTTTTTCTGTTCCAGGATCTTATCCGGGATACCACATGGCGTTTAGTCATCCAATCCCTTTAGTCTCCTCATGACTGTGACAGTTTCTTAGACTTTGCTCATTTTGTTTTTTTGAGACAGAGTCTCACTCTGTCGCCCAGGCTGGAGTGCAATGGCGCAATCTCGGCTCACTGCAAGCTCCGCCTCCCGGGTTCATGCTATTCTCCTGCCTCAGCCTCCTGAGTAGCTGGGACTACAGGCGCCCGCCACCACTCCCGGCTAATTTTTTTTTTTTTTTGGATTTTTAGTAGAGACGGGGTTTCACCATGTTAGCCAGGATGGTCTCGATCTCCAGACCTTGTGATCTGCCCGCCTCGGCCTCCCAAAGTGCTGGGATTACAGGCGTGAGCCACTTCGCCCTGCCAGACTTTGCTCATTTTTGATGACCTTGGCAGATTTAAGGAGTACTGCTCAGATATTTTGTAGAATATCCTTCGACTAGGATTTGTCTGATTTTTTTTCTCATGGTTAGACTGAGGTAATGTGGTTTTAAGTGAACAACCAGAGAGGTAGAGTATCCTTCTCATCACAAATATCAAGGTACATACTATCAACGTGACTTACCACTGCTGATGTTGACCTTGATCACCTGGGTGAGGTAGTATTTGTCAGGTTTCTCCACTGTAAAGCTACTCTTTTTTCCTGCTTTCTGTACTGTACTCTTCAGAAAGAAGTCACTACGCACAGCCCACAGTCAAAGAGGGAGTGGGAGGGGACTGAGCTCCACCTCCTTGAGGGGGGATGTATCTACATAAAGTATTTGGAATTCTTCTGCACAGGAGATTTGTCTCTTTCCCCCATTTATTTATTCATCCAATCACTTACTTATATCCATATGGACTCAGTGATACTTACTTTATGCTCTTGGGGATAATCTAATGCAATGTTATTTGTTTTGTCGTTCTTCAGCCATTGTGGGGCGGCTTTGACCATTACAGGGGCTTTCAGGTTGGCTCTTGTGTCCCTTTGACATCCCCCACATTCTTTTGTCTGTCTGTTTTCTGAGTACTTCCTTACTTTCTGGCATTACAAGATACTCCCTTTTCATCTTGTATATTTCCTGCCCCAGCCCTAGAATTAGCCATTTCTGCAAGGGGCTCTGGTTGTTTTTATCAAAGAATGATAACAGAAACCAAGATCTGGGTGCTGGGTATAATTTTATTTCATGTAAATTGATCTTAATTTAAATAGCCACACGTGGCTAATAGCTACCATACTGAACGGTGTAACTCTTGATCCTGACTGCCATCATCAAAAATATCAAAATACTGGACTCTGTGGACCCAAATGGATCTCATCCCTATGGAACGTGTGTTAATTTGGTTATATGACAAAGGTTCACTTACCCAATAATGAAGCATGAAACAGCAGTCCCCAAGAAGGCATAGGCCAGTATAGATCCAAGATTTCTGAAAAAGTGTCTCTGAATAAAACAAACAAACAAAACCCAGGAATCACATTGTGATTTTCAACAATGAGCTTAAGAAACACATTAAAAGTCTCTAAAAAGTGGAACTCTACTTACTGTTTCCATTACATCAAGTAACAACTGAAGTTACTCCTATATGGTGTTATTTAACCTTAGACATCATGGTTTTAAGTTATCTTCTATACAGCCAGGTACTGAGCAAGTAAGCAAGGACTTAGTAAATTTTCAGACAAAACTGCTCTGGATGATTACATTAAATCACATTAAGTGTGTGTATATGTTGTGCGTGTGTGTGTGAGTAGACCAATCATTTTTACAGATTTAACCCAAACCATTTTACTCAGTGATACAGCACGTCACTTCCAGTTCTGGTGGTACCTCAGAAGATCATCACAGATAGAAGTTTAAAACAAATAAAGTGTGAAGGTGCTATGTCATGAGCTTTCTGCTTAATTTGATATCAGAAAACAGAGTCCTAAATATCTGCTCATGGAACCTGAAGCGTCTCCTTATATTCATCTAGATTAATGTCTGAAGCCTGGGAAAGAGGGACAATAGAGATGGATGTGGAGAAATGAGAAACAGATAGTTCCATTTAAGATGGCCAAGTTTATACAAGAAGAAACACATATCAATATCACAGCTAGAAATTATTCAGAAAGTGGCAAAACTGCAATCCTTTCAATGCTTCTGCACATTCATTGGTTACCTTAAAAATATAAACACACACACACACACACACACACACACGGATTTACTTGTTTTACCATGTTGTCTTGGAAGGATTTACTTCTTACAAGTCATTAGGCCTGTGGGATATTTTGACGGAGGAAATTCTGCCTGTTCTTGGGATCCTAAGACACAGTTCTGCCTCCTCAAGGCATAAGCCATTCTCATTTGACAATCAGAACTATTTAACAAAAACAGACAAAAATCTCCCAACACTCTGATCAAACAAGGGCCAGGAATACTTTACCTAAAATTTTTTTAAAAGGCAGGAGAGCCCCAGCATGTCAGCTGAGCAACATCAGAAAAAAACAGGGTGCAGGAAGAAGAACCCAGCCTAGATCAGGCAGCTACCATGAAGCATGACCAGACAAAGGGCTGCAGGCGTCCTCTGGTCTGCATCCCAGACACAGGGCCTTCCCAGTGCTTGCCCCTATCTGAGTCAGTGAAGAAGGTGTTAAGGAATGCCTGCTGCCCCTAAGCCACCTGCTCAGGAGAGAATCCTTCAAGGGCTTGCCATGCTGACAGGCACCGAATGAGGGTGCTGCCTGTACATAAGATGGACACATTATGTTTGCCTCTTAAATAACCGCCTTTTTGTTTTTAATCGAATGCATTTATACACCAATGTTTTGAGAAAATATATATTTCCAAAAAATCAACAGCTGTGAGTCTGCTTCCCTTTAAAATCTCCATAAAGGGCTTCAATCAGGGAGGGCTAGGAGTGTACCAAGAACAAGGCATGAGATGAATGAACTTGTGAGGTATCCAAGAACAAATTTCAATCCCAGATGTGCTTTTCCTTGCCACTCAGCTTTCCTTTGGGTAGATATTCCCATGGTAACTCTGAATATAAATTAGATAAATACATATTCATGACATTAGCCAAAGCAAAAAAATTAGGAATGTAAATCTGCAGCCAAAAATACTTTCATAATATATTCTAAAATCACACACACACTATTACCCATCTCCCGTTCATATCTGCTGATGTGAGCTGAAACTTAACTGTATTTTGAAAAGCTATACTACCTATTTGTGTATTATGTCTAGTACTTAAACGTATACTTCATAGTTCACAAAGTGTTTTCACATATATTAGCCCATCCAATTCTCACAATGATCTATCTGGAAGGTGTTATTTGGACCATCATATACGAGAGAACCCAAGGCTCAAAGGCATGATGTAAGCTGTTTCAAGTCACACGTCCGCCAAACCAAGCCACAGACTGGAAAGCTGGTCTCCTGACCCCAAAGCATCATGCTCTCACTGCGCAAGCTGCCCTGCTACCCAGCTCTTCGATTCCCACTTCTCTTTGGGAAAGAAAGGACAGGAGGTGTCCGGTAAAATCCTAGATCTTTCATCCCACCCTTATTTGGTTACAATACAGCCATGACTAGTTCAGAATCTCCCTTACTTTTCCTCCTCAATTATAAAATGACAAGAAGAGACAAAAGGAGATGATGGCATGCCCTGGCAAAGTCTTCAAAAATATAAGCCCAAGACAGGCCAGGATGAGAAGTTTTGCTTTGGTGAAAATCTACCTGATATCCCAATTCCTAGCTGTACCATTCTAAGCCTCACACTGCTACTCCTTGGGAAATCCTATCCCCTCCCATTCCTCACTGGCAAGTTTTAACATGTTATTGTATATGTGTGTGTGAGTGAGGGAGAGAGAGAGAGAAAGAGAGAGAGAGTGAATGTGTGTGTGTGTGTGTGTGTGTGTGTGTGTGTGTGTGTGTGTGTGTGTGTGTGTGTGTTTGGTGGGGGAGTCCACCAATAACGGCTTCTATGGGTGAATTATTTCCCTGCCAAGGCCCTCTAAGCAAACCATGAGTGGTAGCACAAAATCAAAGCTAAATCCAATGAGAACTTTTTCAAGTCAGAAAGCCCAGGTCTGCATGATAGCTATATGATGTGAATAGGCCAGAGGGTCTGAATGTTATACCATCCGTTAAATGGTGAAGTATTTATTACACATTTCACTGACAACAGGTTTCATCAGAGATGGCAACCATATTAAGGACCAACTATTTAGGTGCTTTTATAGGGACAATTTAAAAAGGAAAGAGACTAAACTAATAGTTCATAACCTGAAAGACTAGCTGTGATATTATGATGTGTATGTACTGATTTTCATCTACAATTCCTGGCTCATAAACTCCCATAGCTCTTGTTACAGTCTTTTGTTGTAATGCTGGGCACTTTAGGCCTCAGAAGCAGGTAGCAAAAAAATAGAATCCCTCTGACCTTCTCTTGCCCTCCTTTCATCTGCTCCTTTTTTGTCCCAAGGCAGGGCATAGAAACTAAAAATATACTCTAATTTTCTCCTGCCTTTTTGAAGTAGGTCATAAGACCCTCATTTCAGAAGGGATCCTGCCCCACACTGGGGAGGAAGGAATGCCACACAGAGAGGCCAAGAAGAATCTGAACACACAGGCCTTGCTGGGTTTCCCCACTCAGTCTATCAGCATTACATCACATCCCTTTTGTCCAATCACTTTTCTACATGGTTGTCAATCACGCCTATGCAATGAAACCTCTGTAAAAGGTTCAAAAGGATGGGGTTCCGAGAGCTTCCAAACAGCTGAATACATGGAGGTTCCTGGACGGTGGTGTCCCGGGAGGGCATGGAAGTTCCGTGCCCCTTTCTCCACACCTTGCCTTATGCATCTCTTCATCTGTATCCTTTGTAATATCTTTTATAATAAACTGGTAAATATGAGTGTTTCCCTGAGTTCTGTGAGCCACTATAGCAATGTAATGAAACTCAAAGAGGGGGTCGTGGGAACCCCAACTTGAAGCCAGGCAGTCAGAAGTCCCAGACTTGTGACAGGTGTCTGAGGTGGGGCGGGGGGGCAGTATTGCGGGACTGAGCCTTCCGTGGGATCTGGCATTATCTCCAGGTAGATAGTGTCAGAACTGATCTGGAGGACACTCAGCTGGTGTCCGCTGCAGAATTCATTGCTTGTTTGCTGGTGGGGAGAAATCCCTCCCACATTTAATCACAGAAGTCTTCTGTGTTGTTACTGTAGTGTGAGAGCAGAGAAAAACCAATTTGTGAGTTTTTTCCCACTCAGGCTAGCATCTCAAAAACAAATTGATTGGGAACTGGCAAAGCCTGTGAGGTGTTTTTCTTTTGAGAAAATGGTGCTGATAAAGGGAAGGTTCTGCAAAAACTAAAATGTCTTTCAACCATCATAGTGGCTTTCACAACCCATGATTTGGTTTCATTTTAAAACAACTATAACTGATTATACATTAAGATTAGTTATGTAAAATATCAAATTACTCATCACCCATTTGATCTGAAGAAGAGTTCCCAAATTCTCCACTTACGTAAAAAATAACGTTATTTATACCCATAATAACCATCTCCTATCTACTACATGTCAATAGATGACATACAAATTCGGATGACCCTGGCAACCCCAGAGTAGTCAGGAAAACAATATAGTCTTTTTTGTACAGAAAACCTAAATCCAGAGGCAATAAGGCACAAAAGAACAACTCTGGGCCCTGGAGTCAGACAGAGAGGGTATCACCTTGACTCAGTCCCGCGTTATCTACGTAACCTCATATGCATCATTAATCATTCTGAGCTGAGATTCATCATCAGTAAAACACAGGACACTCTACATGTGAGTACACAAATGCACTGGGCTGGCGTGCAGAAACACACAGCCTCCGTTCCTCAAGCACCTATTATGCAGACAGAACTTATGTTCCATTCCTCTCCCCCTTCCCCTCCTGCCCTGAAGGTTATGCAGTAAGGAGGGGTCACTTGATCTCTGAAAGAGGAAGTGAGTTTGACCCTGACTTGTAGTCTTGACCCTGTTGTGCAAGGTGGGGAATTGTTCTTGCTCCTCTAGCCTCCATGCTATGAGCGAAAGAGGCAGCTTTGCGCAGGCCCAACAATTTCTAGGATCTCTCCATTTCAGCCTCCTTAGGTGTAACTGTGACTGACCTGGTGGCTAAAGGGTACCTGTCCTCAATTCATGAGGTAGGTTGTAAGCAGCCCCATTACTAAAGGCTAAGTGACATACTCCAACATGCATTTACCAGGGACTTAGGATCATAAATCAATCATTTAATCACAAGTTAACTCCTTGTATCTGTTTATCGATGAGTTGGAAACCTGGAGGAGAAGCAGTGTGAACTAATCTTCAATCACCATCACCTTCTTACAGAGTTTCTGTGAAGATTAGAAAGAATGGATGTAAAAACAGAAATAAAGAATATCCGTTCCTAATACACAGCAAATGCTCTGTAAACTATATTTATGTTGGCTGGAAATTGTTTAAAAATCATCTGAAAAGTGCAGAGTGGCTTTGATAGAAAACCCAGCCTGATGGGCCGGCATCCTCTCATAAAATGAATTGGGATGTGTTCCCTCTTCTATTTTCTGAAAGAATTTGTATAAGATTGGTATTATTTCTTCCATAAATGCTTGATATAATTCACCAGTAAAGCCATATGGGTGTGTGGAAAGGTTTTTCATTATAAACTCAATTTCTTTAATATAGGTCTGTTCAAGCTTTCCATCTCAGGTCAGTTTTGATAATTTATGTCTTTCAAGGAATTTGTCCATTTCACCTGGGTTGCCAGATTTATTTTTCTTTTTTTGAGTTGTTTTTCACGGCAAGATCTCATCATGATGTTGTCAAACTTATTGGCACAAAAATTGTTCATAGTATTCCCTTATTATCCTTTTAATATCTGAAGGGTCTGTAGTAAAGTCCCTTCTTTTATTCCTAATACAGGTAATTTGTTTCTTTCCTCCCTTTTTCTCAACTGACCTAGCTAGAGTTTATCAGTTTCAGAGGCATTCTCTAGATCCTAAGGATGTTGTTGAGTTTTATTGTCAGGCAAAATCTCTCTTCTCTAGACTCACTGAAAGGGTTTCCTTTAGTCCTCATTCAGAAAGAGAGCTGAAACAAGTTCCACAGCTGTTACCTGCCTTTGAGGAGGCTTAATTTTCAGACAATATTACCACAATGGGAGAGGGAGGGAGCCATCCATAAATATTTGTAAAGATATCTGGCATTTGTTTTTATTTATTTATTTATTTATTTATTTATTTATTTATTTTTAGAGACCGGGTCTTGCTCTGTGGCCCAGACTGGAGTACAGAGACACAATCAAGGCTCACTGCGGCCTCAAACTCCTAGGCTCAAGCTCCCCACCTCAGACTCCTCCAAGAGTAACTAGGACCACAGGCATGTACCACCATGCCCAGCTAATTTTTTTGCTTTTTGTAGAGGCAGGGTCTTGCTATGTTGCCCAGGCTGGTATTTAGTATTTTAAATAACTAGAAGCTCTGGCCCAACCTTGCTGTCTAGCACGATGACCCTCAGTAATAAGGATACTTAGGTTCTTTAAAACTTTTTATTTTGGAATAATTATAGATTCACATAAGTTGCAAAGATTAAGTACAGAGAGGTCTCATGTAGCCTTCACCCAGTTTCCCCCAATGGTTACATCTTACATAACTATGGTACAATATCAAAACCAAGAAACTAGCATTATATGTATTATGTGTGTGCATAGTTCCCTATCATTTAATCAAATGTGTAGATTTGCATAACTACCACCACAATCAAAATACACAACTGTTCCATCACCCTGAAGATGTCCCTCATGCTACCCCTTTATAAGCACCCCCACCCCAATGCCCCCACCATCCCTATTCACTGGCAACCACTAATTTGTTTCCCATTTTATAATTTTGTCATTTCTACAATGTTATATAAATGAAATCACAGAGTATACAACCTTTTGAGATTGGATTTTTTTCACTCGGCATAATGCCTTTGAGATTCATAAAGGTTGTTGGGTGTATCAATAGGTTGTTCTGTTTTATTGTTGAGTAATACTCTACAACATGGATATACCATAGTTTGTTTAACCATTCACCTATTACAGAACATTTTGGTTGTTTCCAGTGTTTGTCTATTACAACTTGGTATGAACGATCATGTGTAGGTTTTTACGTGAACATAAGTTTTCACTCCTCTGGGATAAATCCTTAGGAGTGAAACTGTGGGTCATATGGCAATTTCAACTTTAGTTTTATTAGAAACTGCCAACTTGTTTTCCAGAGTGGCTGTACCATTTTACCTTCCCACTGGCAATGTATGGGAGTTCCAGATTTTAAAACAGAAATGAATCATTGATGAGAAGTCAACTATAGTCTCTGAGTGGGTGCAGAACAAAGTAATAAGCAATCTGGGAGAAGAAAAATAACTAGAAAATTATGCAGGTAAATTAACACAGAGATTCACATGATTTCAGAAATACTGGCAAAAACATCTTACCTTCTTTAAGCTGTATCCAGCATGAAAAATAATTGGAGGCAGAAGAATGTTGAAAAATACTTCTGGATCGAATGTTACCTGAAAGTTTAAAAAGAAAAAAAAGCCAATTTTTTATTTAACTCCAATTCATGCTATAATATCTGCTTAATATTTGAAGCCATTGACTAAAGTTTGAATATTTAGAGCAAACAACATAAATGTGAAAAATCATGGACTTATCCCAGAGGAGAAGCTATGACTCCCCATGGACTGGCATGCTCTTCTCCCCATAACACTTTTGCTCTTATGATCTTGCTTGTGCTGTTTTAAAACATAATAAGACACAACAGTTTCATGCAATTTTGAGAACTCACAGAAAGCTTCTGGCCAGTGTTTTTCATAAAAACATCTTGGCCAGGCACGGTGGCTCATGCCTGTAATCCTAGCACTTTGGGAGGCCGAGGCGGGTGGATCACAAGGTCAGGAGTTCGAGACCAGCCTGGCCAATATGGTGAAACCCCATCTCTACTAAAAATACAAAAATTAGCCAGGTGTGGTGACAGATGCCTGTAATCCCAGCTACTTGGGAGGCTGAGGCAGGAGAATCGCTTGAACCCAGGAGGCGGAGGTTGCAGTGAGCTGAGATCGCACCACTGCACTCCAGCCTGAGCAACAGAGCGAGACTCCATCTCAAAAAAAAAAAAAAAAATCTTGATTTTCATCACACGTTTATAAAGACTCAACTGCAGTAAAAGATGCCGTCGTGATTCTTTATTAACTTCCTGGATCCCCTCACAGAATCCTTTATAGACAAAATTGTGCTGAATTTAAGTCTCTTTTGAGTGACCAGCCTTCTGTGACACTTGATGTAGCCTAAATCAAAGTCACCAGTGATGTTAGTGGCTCCTGAACATCAGCATAAATTGGGCAACTTTAAAGGAACTGAAATTTCTTGTAGGTTTGATACAGGGAAATTAATCAAATTACTCTGAAACTTTTAGAGAACAAAGTTTTATCATATCCAGAAAAAAATTAAGCATGCTATAAACATGCTAATCTTTTTAAAGAATTTGTTCACGCTGGTAGATTATTTGGCTTGTGTTTCAATTATTTTTAAACCTTCATTCTAGTTATTAAATGTTAACTTATTTGTTTAGAAACTGGAGGTGTTAATCAGCCTAATAAAAGTAGGTTCTTTCAAATGATGCTTTATTCTCTCTTCTTGTTAAAGATAAGAGTGTTCTGCAAAGCAGGGAATGTCAGAATGAGAAGGAGCCTTGGACAGTACCTACCCAATATGAGGACACTGGGCCCAAAGGCAGTGAAAATTGCTGGATGCCACCAAACCCAATAATGTACAAACTAGCACAAGGGTTTTCTGACACTCAGTCCAATGCTCTTCTTATCAACCAAGCTATGTCAACATGTCTCTTTTCCCTCAACTAGCAACAATCATCCTGGCCTTGTTTGTTCTCCCACCTTTGCTTTGTGCAGCAAAATTTTAAACAGAGGGGATTTAAATAAACAGGTTTCTAAAGATAAGAGAGCAAAAGTCAGCTTCATCTTCTATTATGACCTGAAAGATGGAAATGTGTTGGTATCATTTCCCTTTTCCCCCATCTTATCCAATATGAAGGGCTCAAGCTGCCATTTCCAAACAGCCATTAAGTGTGGTATTTACATTGGATTTCATTCTCAGTTGCGCTGAATTTCAGAATGTTTATGAAAACCCCATGCTTTCTTATGAAGAGTTGAGAGCAAAGAGTGCTGCCATTAGGGACACAGAAAAGATGGTCATGTTTAATGCTCCAGGTAGAGAATAATTTTCCTTAAGGATTAGGGTAGATTCCAAAAACAACAATAATTTAATTTCTGGAGCACAGGCTACACTCTGCCTTTCACTGTCAGCCTTCACATACCTTAGCCTTGTGCTGTATTAAAATGGGCTCCCCACAACCTGGATCTCCCAAGACCGCTATACAGAAGGCTTCCTTCTGATAAACCCTGGTCTATAAGGTAATGGAGTATACATCAATTAATACAGATCTCTTGCTTATCCTGGAAATTACCCATGCAAGATGTATAATGCTTTTTCATGTGGACTATGTTGCTACCCCAACATTAAATGAAAATGCTTGGACTCAAATTCTAAGACAACAAGATCTTCTTCTTCCCCTGAAGATTCATTAAGCCTCTGGCATCAATCACTGATAAGAGTAAGCACTCAAATATTTGTAGGATATAGCAAAAGAACCACGAAGAACTAAGAATTACCCTTCTGAATACTGAATAAATTAAGCTAAAAGTGAAATCAATCTTATTTTAAGAAAGTAGCAATATCATCCCTAAACCACAGGAAGGATAAGAGACATAGCAAAGAGGAGATGGTGGCTGGATAAATGAGCTGAGTGGGGACGTACAAATCCATTGCACAATCAGTGGCCCATTTCAGCTACAGATGCTAACAGACCCACAAAGGTCACCAGCTGAAAGGCTCAAGTTGAAGATCTGGTTCTTCCTTCTCCTCATCATGGACCAAAAAGCTTTGTAACAAAACAGAGAGCCAGGAATGTTACGGATAATCCAGGAGTTTGGAAGGATTTCTCTCCACAAGGTCAAGACAAGTCAGGGAATCAACAACCATGTCAGGACAAGGATGGCTGAGTGTCCCCAGCTCACCTTCCGTAGCATATCATTCTGCTCTACGCTGTTGATCTTGCCAGGACTGATTTCTCCTTTCAGAGTGTATTCGAAGAACTTTCCGCTGACATTCACTAATAAGGTACTGAAGGCCCTGTCTTCCTGAGTGCAGCTGAGTGATTTGTCACGGCCACTGGTAGCAGGGGTACCATACCTCAGGATCACCCCAACGATGAGCCCTGAAAGAGTGGAAAAAAACTCATCAGGCCTGAGGAAGGATAGAGAAAGTGTGGAAATAATGGCATAGTTGACTTTCAACAACTAAGAAATGCAGCAGTAATCTTAGAAACTGGGCATGGGGTATGTATTTTAGGAGAAACTGCATGGGCCTTCAGGATTGAAAGGGTTAAGCATCCATCTATTCTGGTCCGATTTAAGTTGCTCGGCCACCAGGAGGACAAGGTGGGACAGTACCTTCAGTGGTATTATGACACTGTGAGCACTTTTTTGTTTTTTGAGTGGAGTCTCGCTCTCTCACCCAGGCTGGAGTGCAGTGGCGTGATCTGGGCTCACTGCAACCTCCGCTTCCCAGGTTCAAGCAATTCTCCTGCCTCAGCCTCCCAAGTAGCTGGGACTACAGGCACCCACCACTACACCCGGCTAATTTTTTTTTTTTTTTTTTTTTTGTATTTTTAGTAGAGACAAGGTTTCACTATGTTGGCCAGGCTGGTCTCGAACTCCTGACCTCAAGTGATCTGCTGGCTTCAGCTTCCCAAAGTGCTGGGATTACAGGTGTGAGCCACCACATCCAGCCAGCCCTGTGACCACTTTTAACACCTGAGCATGTCTCATTTCTCAGGCTTCTAGTGGAGGAAGATGGGATGACAAGCAGCAAAGATTTTTCTGGCCAGGACAGCACAAAGCAGAACTGCTGAGCTCTTTCATTTCACTCAGCAGCATCCCTCAAGCCAGTCCTGTTGCCATGTGCCAGCAAGGACCAGCCCACTGGAATTTCCAGTTGCTATAAATGTAACTTGCTTTGCCACACATCAGAGGAAAGGGGAGAAAAAAGAAATTCTTTTGCTTAGGTCATTTGAAACACTGGTATCATGGAGAAGGTAATTACACCCCTTGGGAAGTGAAACACTGCAGTGTACATTTGAGGAGTCAGGATTCAGGGGCTGGAGAGCTGGCTTCTTGGGGCTGTAGCTATGAGATGGCTAAGATCATCAGCTACAAGTATGTAAGTCTCATACCCTTCTTAGTAGGGCTCTCCCATTAGGAAAAATAAAAACAGCAAGATCATGTATAAGCATTCAATTCTGTGAATAAGGAAGGAGTGTGGCTCCCTGGACCTGAACACGAGTCAGACATGCCCAAGTAAAAGTGAGTGAAAGATTAAAAAACAAAAACAAAAAACCAGCCATAAATCACTATCAGACACTTTCTATAATTCTCTAGAAGGAAAATTTCAGACTTCTCTCTAAATTCAGTTCTTTGCTGGCAATATTAAAAGACAGAATGATATATTTGCTTCCTCATCTCATTTTGCCATTAATGGAGAAAGTTGCTGAGAAAAAGAACGATGTTTACTGTCTTCCATGTGTAATGTTCTATAATGTCTCTTATCACCAAGATATATAAGAACTCACAAGACATTGTTGAATAGCAAATAAAATATAAAATCTAGAAAAATATAGTTCTTTGAGCCAAAATCTGCATCTGTGTTGTGTTATTATAATTATTATAGACCCATATTAACAGATACTTGCAGTTTGTTGACTTGTAATAAAACAACTTGATTTTTTTTACAACTTAAAAATGAGTTTCTTAATAATCTCAATCTGACCAGATACGAAACAATTTGAAAACCTTTAAAGGCATATAAGAAAAACCAGACCTTTTATTTTATTTTATTTGTTTTTTGAGACAGAGTCTCACTTTGTCACCCAGGCTGGAGTGCAGTGGTGCAATCTCGGCTTGCTGCAACCTCCGCCTCCCAGGTTCAAGCAATTCTCCTGCCTCAGCCTCCCGAGTAGCTGGGACTACAGGCATGCGCTATCACACCCAGCTAATTTTTGTATTTTTAGTAGAGACGGGGTTTCACCATGTTGGCTAGGCTGGTCTCGAACTATTGACCTCTGGTGATCCACCCACCTCGGCCTCCCAAAGTGCTGGGATTACAGGCGTGAGCCACCATGCCTGGCCCCAGACCTTTTAAAAAACATATTTAAAAAAACATATTTATCATTACCAAAAAGAGATGTCTGTAGGGAAAAGTAATGAAAGCTCCATAACTCAGATAGTGCTAGCTGTCTGGTAAATGGGCCAAAAGCAGTCACTTAAGGTCTTCAGAACCAATCTTTTGTTCAGGTCTTATTGCTGGAATTTATATTCATTTATTCCTGTAGGATGACAAACCAGATGACACTAGAAATGGTTGGCTGGCATTTACTCTGTCCTGCTCTGCTCAGCCTTGGCAACGGACTTCCTAGCTGTCAGTCTCTTTGCCATCTTGTGGTTCAGGGTTTTCTGGGTGTCTGTGCTGGTAACTGAAGTTGGGGGGTGCCTACAATGACATGGCTGCTGGCCTTGGGTGTTCATTACTGTTCTAGGTGAGGAGGGGCCCTGGAGATTCGTGGTCTGTAACCCCAATACGTAATCTGTCTCACTGACCTACCTCTTCTCCTTCACCCTGGTTGTCACCACCCTCCATCACTTGTCTCTGCACAGGAGGGTTAGAACACTCTGGTCAAGAATCATAGGGTCTCTGCAAGGGAGGAGGCATCTTCTGTGTGCTGTAAGGCCTGACGTTTAAGGGAACTCTCCAATCCTTCTTTTCCCCACTCTCATTGTTCTGGTAATTGTGCTGGTGACCGTGTGGAAGACCCCCATGATGCAGATAACATCTATAATGGCTTCAGTCTACTGCATCTGTACTGCCTGGCACTGGAACTCCACCAGGGCCTGCAATCTTTGCTGCCTGTGTACCGTTTTCTCCTTCAACATCGAACTCCACAGCTTCTCCATCCCCTGTACTGCCAGGGTGTTTCCTGGGGGTTATTCTTCTTTATGACAATCTGGCATACAAATACATCTCACCCAGTGTCATTCCTGTGGACGAAACCATATATATTTCTTACACTGAACCATCTTACTGTTCCCAAACTTTCACTGGGATAACCTTCTTGTCCTGTTTGCAGGCTGCCACTCCCTCTGCCTCTGCCCATGGTGTCATGCCAAGTGTCTCAGCCTCACTGCTCATGTTTGCGGTCACAGTAATGGTGACTGGGGCCAGCTGTGGCAGCAGTGGCCCCTTTGCAGGTGTGATGGTAATGAGATTGGTGGCAGTGGAGCTGTTCAGGGCTCTGGGGGGCTCTCTCTCCACTCTAGATGGAACTCTGTGATGCTTTTTAGTCTTATTTCACTCCCTGGTTAGACAGTTATTTTCTGACGAAGTTTTACATGGCAAAGACGACTCTAGCCCTTCAACACTCATCATAATACAGGATGATCTGCAGCATCTGGAGGCAGCTATTTGGAACATGATTTAACTTAAATTGTCATCAGGAAGCCAAAACAAGTCATTTACAGACTATCTTTCTCCTAAAAATCAGAACCTGCTTCATGTAACTCATTGTTTCTTGACTTTTCTAACCTCATTATTAGCAGAGCTAATGGAAAGACTGAAGCATACTAGCAAAGGTCCTCATGAATACTACTCTAACAAGAGAGGGTTTATATTTGTAGACAAATTCCTCAATTAGAGGAAACATTCTTCAACTCTCTTCCAGTAATCATCACTATCATATTTACAATCATCACCAGATGACGAATATTGCTTTTTAAAGTTGTAAAACCTTTTCTTCTCTACCCTGGGCCCAATGCGCTCATATTAAAGATGGAAGGGAGACAGCGAAGGTGGTGATGCTGCCCCCTTGTGGTTAAAATATGGCAACACAAAACACCACAGCAGAGATGTAAGGTTAACACCATCCTGACAGTTTTGACCAAAAATATACCAAGCCACAGGGTACACCACTAACTCAAGGTAGAGTTTGGGTACCTCCCCAGACATTTTAGATTCATATTTATTACCACTATATTCCATGGCATGATATTAAGTTCATATTTGGCGTTTTCCAGTTGAAGAAAGAATAGGATATTAGAACTGCAGGAAGGTAATTAGGTGAGAAAATGATAAAGACTTGGAGAAAACATGAACAGCATATTTTCATCTGCTGGATCTCGGAGACATCCTGACAGGGAACTGTGAAGTGGTCATAGCTACAAGGAATTAAAACATGCACTAGATTTTTTTTTGAAAGCTTCAGAAAGTTCAGTATTCATAAAAAATGATGGAGAGCAACAGAAGCACTAATGATTTGACCAGATTAACAGCCTAGTGTTCTAGATCACAAAGAGAAATAACCTACTGTGTGTTTGGGCCAGGGAAAATAGCACATAAAATGTCAGCTGATAAAGAGACAATCACTGATTTCGTAGGTACATTACTAATGAAAGAATTGTTTTGAACTTTTACAGAAAGCAAATATGGATGAAATTCCTTTGACATTTGATGTGGCTTAAAACAAGATGGTAAACTCCAAAGGGGCAAAAATTCGAGACTGTTTCAACTTGTGGATAGGAAAAAAACTCACTTCACAACTGTACTTGCATATATATAGTTTATGTATGTGCTTATCCAAAACTTGGTAGTATGATGAAGGAATATAATCATGAGAGCAACGTGTGGTTTAAAAATCCCACGGGTTCATTAAAGAAACCAGCTCCCATTGGTCTGGTGCCAGTTTTCCTTTTGTGGCTGAGGCTGTTGGGAGGAGAGCTGAACAAGTGGACATGGTGAGGTTTAATTCTAGACAGCCATCCATCAGCTACAATATTTAAATGTCTATGTTAATAAGCCTTTGTTACGGAGGAGAACAGGTACGTGGGTGCACTGTTCTTTAGTGAGACCTCATTTTTTCTTATGTAAGGTACTGAGGGTAGGTGATCACCTGATCAGTGTGGCCACCACTGTGGAGTTTTTTACAGCACAGTAGGGGTTGTTATGAGTTTTAAAGCTTCATCTGAAATTCCAAGAAAAGAAAGTATCTCATTTTGCATCCAGTTACACAGTGTTTGAAGATGGTGATAACTATTTCTAATTCAATGAATAAAGAGAATCCAATGGATTCCAGCAGTTGACAATGACTTTTCAGGTTTGGGGGTAATTTACATGACTTGGATTTTGAGAGTGAATATTACAGCCCTTTCAATACCTTGTTCTACTTGTTCTGCTACTTATGCAGCTGTGTTATTCGTTGATATATTAGTTTCAAGGAGAATTCATTCAAAATATTTTTGTTCCTTGTTTTGAATATGTGGTGAAACTAAAAAGCAATTTTATTAAGGTACAATTTACATACCATAAGATTCACCCATTTTAGAGTATACTATTCAATGATTTTTAGTATATTCACAGAGTTGCACAATCATCACTGCAATCTGATTTTGAAACATTTCCATCTGCAGTCACTTCCTGCTTCCTACTCCAATTCCCAGGCAACTACTAATCTACCTTCTGTACTATAGATTTGCCGTTTCTGGACTTTTAATATAAATGGTGTCATACAATATGTAGCCTCTTGTGTCTGGCTTCTTTCACTTAGTATGTTTTCAAGGTTTATCTATGTTGGAGGCATGTATCAGTACTTCATTCCTTTTTATTGCCAAATAGTATTCCACTGTACCAGTGTATCATATTTTATTTGTCCATTAACTAATCAATAAATATTTGAGTTGTTTCCCTTTTTTGTTAATGTGAATAACGCTGCTATGAACATTTGCATACAAGTCTGTGGACATGTTTTCATTTCCCTAGAGTAGATACCTAGGAGTGGAACTGCTGTGTCATATGATAAATCTATGTTTAATATTTTAGAAACTGCCAAACTACATTGGGAAAAATGTATTGTTTTACATTCTCGCCAGCAACACATGAGAGTTACAGTTTGTTGGCCGGGCGCAGTGGCTCACACCTGTAATCCCAGCACTTTGGGAGGCCGAGGCGGGCAGATCACCTGAGATCAGGAGCTCGAGACCAGCCTGACCAACATGGAGAAACCCCATCTCTACTAAAAATACAAAATTAGCTGGACGTTGTGGCACATGCCTGTAATCCTAGCTACTCAGGAGGCTGAGGCAGGAGAATCGCTTGAACCTGGGAGGTGGAGGTTACGGTGAGCCAAGATCGTGCCATTGCACTCTAGCCTGGGCAACAAGAGCGAAACTCCGCCTCAAAAAAAAAAAAAAAAAAAGAGTTATAGTTTGTTTACAGGCACAGCAGCACTTGTTATTGTCTTATGATCATACCTGTTTTAGAGAATGTTCAGAGGTATCTCATTGTAGTTTTAATGTGCATTTCCCTAATGCCTAAAGATGCTGAGCATCTTTTTATGTGCTTATAGGCCATTGTATATCTTCTTTGGTGAAATGTCTCGTCATTCAAATCTCTTGCCATATTTTAACTCAGGTTCTCTTATTGAATGGTAAAAAAAAAACCCAAACTTTTTGTTTTCTGGATAGAAGTCCCTTATTGAAAATACAATTTGAAAATATTTTCCCCAAATCTATGACCTATATTTTTCCTTTCTTTTTTAAAATTTCTCTGATGTTGTCTTAAAATTTTTTTTTTGCTTTATTGTTATACAATGAATTATTTTTTCTTTTGGTGTACAGTTCTATGAATTTTAACACACATATAGATTCATGTAAGCACCACTGCAACAAGGATACCAAATAGTTCTACCACTCCCCCAAAACTCTCTTGTACTATCTCTTCACACTGATACCTTCATCCTACATATTAACCCCAGCAACCACTGCTTTTTGTTTTGTTTTGTTTTGTTTTGTTTTTTCCATTAATACAGTTTTGTCTTTGCAAGGTTAAATACATGGAACCATGCAGTATGTAACCTTTTGAGACTGGCTTCTCTCACTCAGCGTAACACCTTTGAGGTTCATCCAAGTATTGTGTGAATTAACACTTCATCTCATTTTACTGCTAAGTTGTATTCCATTGTATAAACACTCACCTACTGAGGGATATCTGGCTTCTTTCCAGCTTTTGGCTGGCACAAATAAAGCTGCCATGAACACCCATGAACAAGTTTTTATATGAACATGTTTTCATTTCTCTAAGGTAAATACCCAGAGTGGGACTGCTCGGTCATATGTGCAGCATATCTTTAACTTTATGAGAAACTGCAAGCCATTTCTCAAAGTAATTATGCCTTTTTTTTTTTTCAGTTCTTTTTTTTTTTGTTTAAGTTCTGGGATACATGTGCAGAACGTGCAGGTTTGTTACATAGGTATACATGTGCCATGGTGGCTTGCTGCACCTATCAACACATCATCTAGGTGTTAAGCCCCGCATGCATTAGATATTTGTCTTAATGCTCTCCCTCCCCTTTCCCCCTACCCCCTGACAGGCCCTGGTGTGTGATGTTCCCCTCCTTCTGTCCATGTGTTCTCATTGTTCAACTCCCACTTACGAATGAGAACATGCGGTATTTGGTTTTCTGTTCCTGTGTTAGTCTGCTGAGAATGATGGCTTCCAGCTTCATCCATGTCCTTGCAAAGGACATGAACTCATTCTTTTTTATAGCTGCATAGTATTCCATTGTATATATGTGCCACATTTTCTTTATCCATTCTATCAAAGAAATACCATTTGACCCAGCAATCCCATTACTGGGTATATACCCAAAGGATTATAAATCATTCTACCATAAGGACACATGCACACGTATGTTTACTGCAGCACTATTTACAATAGCAAAGACTTGGAACCAACCCAAATGCCCAACTATACCATTTTTTAACCACTGTCCCCTACAGCATCATATGAGGGTTCTAGTTGCTCCACATCCTCATCCACATTTGGTATTGCCAATATCTCTCATTTTAGCCATTCTATTGTAATAGGTGTGTAGTGGTATTTCACCATACTTTAAATTTGCATTTCCCTAATGGCTAATGATGTTGAATATCTTTTTGTGTACTTATTGGCAATCCTAATACCCTCTTCAGAGAAATGTTTCTTCAAGTTATTTGCCCATTTTAAAAACTGGGTTGTTTTCTTATGGGTTCCTTATATATTCTGGGTTCCCTTATACATTTTGGGTTCCTTATATATTCTAGATACAAGTCCTTTGTCAGATATATGATTTGCAAATATTTTCTACCAGACTGTAGCTTGTCTTTCCAGCCTCTTGACATTGTCTTTGGCAGAGCAAAATTTTTTTACTCTGATAGATTAAATCTAATTTATCCATTTTATTTTATTGCTTGTGGCTCTGGTATCATATCTAAAAAACACTTGTCTAACCCAAAGTTATGAATATTTCTTATGTTTTTAAGTGTTTTATAGCCTTGATGCTTACATTTAGATCTCTGATACAATCTGAGTTAACTTAGTGTGTATGGTGTCAGGTTAAGGTCCAAATTCATCCTTTTGCATACGGGTATCTAATTGCTCCAGCACCATTTGTTAAAAATACGGTCTTTTCTCCAGTGAATTCTCTTGGTACCTTTGCTGAAAATCAACTGACCATAAACACAATGGTTTATTTCTGGAGCTGGTGGGAGAAATGGGAGCTGGTGGTCACTGCAGTCTATTCCACCTGCCTGTGATAAATCATCCAGAACATGGATCTGGCAGGGATGGGAGCAATCTTAAATGCCATAGACACCTACTATTCTTACCAAGATTCAGTAGATTTTCTTTAATAAATGTTCCTCAATTTAATTGACCTTTCATCAATTTACAGAGACTAAATAGTTATTTTTGACAACTTTGTCCAATTTTATTGCTGTGTTTTGGGAAGAAGATTTATTGAGCTCTCACACAGTCATTCCAGAAGTCCTCCCATGAGCATGAATAACAGAATTCCTACATGCTTGTTATCTTGCCATGTTTTATAAATGTATAAGAAGCAAAAATTTACTGAAAATGTTTGCTTTTGTATATTGTAGCAAATTAATTCTAAGGCATTATTTGTTGCTATTTACCAACTTTTCCTGATATATTTATTTTGTCTGGTAGTAATGAGGAAGCATAATGGAGAAGAATTTGGTAGATTCAGTGACAGAAGACCTGGGTAGGTAACTTCACTTTCCACCTAGCTACAATCCAGCACAAAGTACCTCTCTGCTGCTCATTTCTAAAATTGGGCTGTTGTAAGAATGTAGTGAGAACATGCATATGTCAAAACCCTTTATAAACTGTCAAAAGCTGTACAAATGCTGCTTTTTATGAGCCCTTTAGAATTAGTTATTTTCCTTTGCATCATCTCTTGCTATAAAAATAGTGCATATTGGGGATGGAGGTTAGGAAGACAAGTGATATGTGGGCTGGAGCAAAATAGAAAAAATATCTCTAGAAAAGTAGCTACAGAACTCACTGTTTTTGAAGTTGTCCTGTCCAGCAAAGGCACAGGACACCATAACTTCCTTATTTGTCCCTCTAGCAGCTTCCCAGGTGCCTGTAAAATGAGCACTTCTACAGCAATTTTACAGTTATATAGGGTTTTCACCAGAGGAAAATTTCAAGGGTAGGCATAATTGTCCTTGTATAAATGCTGATTTATTTAGAAGACTCTCCCAGGGATTTAGCAAAACACATAATGATAGTAATAAAACAGTATCATCATATAATGTATCATCATCAATCTTTGTGGCACTGTAGATTGGTAAACAGGCCAAAAAGTAAGCAACCTTACTCTATCAGTTTTCTTTTAATAAGAATTAAAAGACTGCAAGGAAGACAGGTTTCATGGAGCTAGCAACCTTACTATTAAAAATTCCCATTAAAATGGGAAATAAGTATCTGCCATATAATGGGCTAAACCTGAAGTGTGAGACACAAGCCACTGATTTTATTGCTCAATTTCTCTAATGCATTCAGGTCACTTAAAATCAGATGACCTGCATGGCACCATTAGGAAGATTTTTTTCAGAATTGCTTGAGATTCAGCATTGGCACTGAACCATCCGAATGAGATATGAAGCCCACCACAAACAGAACCACAGGTCCTGCCTGCTTGTCCAAGGAAAATCCCTCTGCTTGTGTTTCCTACATACCTAAGGCATGTCTACAGTTGCCCCACACTCATTTTATCCAGATCTCATGCCACTACAAAATGCCAATGTTGGAAGGGACAATACAAGTCCAATTATCCATCACATTTATAAAACACTCTGTTCAACAGCAGACAGGTCTTATACTGTGGTATTCAGAGTCATCTTGGGGAACCAATTAAAGTACAGGTGTCTAGAGTCTCTCCTGTAACTTCTCATCCTGTAGGTTTAGGGGGTGTTTGAGGTATTTTGATTTAAAGAAGTTCCATATCTGATTTCAATGCATGCTCAGAAATGAGAACGAATGGTCTCTAAGCTTCTTACCATGATATTATACAGCTCTTGTTTAAATACAGACAGTGAGGGGGCTCACCATCTTCCAGGTCTATCCTTTTTGCAGCAGGACAACACTGGCTCTCTAAACAGAGTCAAAGTTTGTCTCCCTGTAGCTTCTGCCCACTGGTCTCAGGCCCCTTTTATTATGACCACTGAGAAGCCATACTTCTCCAAGCTCTGGATTCCCACCTCACCAGAATTTTCTAAGTGCCAGTTGTATGAAAAAATCCAAATTGTACAAATACTCGTTCTGTGAAAAATGAATGACCAAAATGTAAGATTTATACACTGAAAATTACAAAACACTGCTGAGAAAAATGAAATGACCCAAATAAATGGAGAAACATCCCATATTCATAAATTAGAAGACTCAATATAGCTAACATGACAATGCTCCCCATATTGCTCTACAGACTTAATGCAATTCCTATCAAAATTCCAGCAAATTTTTTGGCAGAAATTGACAAGCTGAGCCTAAAACATACATGGAAATGCAAAACCACCAGAAGATCGCAAATTACCTTGAAAAATAACAAAGCTGGGTGAATTTCACTTCCACATTTCAAAACTCACTACAAAGATAGTGTGGTAGTGGTATAAGGATAGACACATAGCTCAATGGAGCAAAACTGAGAGTCCAAAAATAAAATGGTGTGTTTATGGTTAATTGATTTTCGATAAAGATGACAATGCAATTCAATTGAGGAAAGGACAATCTTTTCAACAAATGGTGCTGGGACAATTGGATATCTACATGCATAAAGATGAACTTAGACTCTGACCTCCTACTATATATAAAAATTAATACTATATATATAAAAATTAGTTCAAAATGGGTCAAAGACCTAAATCTATGAGGTTAAAATTATACAACCTTTAGGAAAAAAAAAGCCTAGGGGAAAAAATCTGTGAGTTCCTAGGTTAGGTAAATTTTTCACTGATATGATATGAAAAGCACAAACAATAAAATAAAAAATTGATAATTTAAATTTTATCAAAATTCAAAACTTTTGTGCTTCAAAAGACATTATTTGGGAAGCCAAGGTGGGAGGATCACTTGAGGCCAGGAGTTCAAGACCAGCCTGGGCAACACAGTGAGACCTCATCTCTACAAAAAAATTGCAACGTGGATGGAGCTGGAGGCCATTATCCTAAGCGAATTAAGGCAGGAACAGAAAAACAAATACCACATTTTCCCACTTATAAGTGGGAAATAAATGCTGAACACATACAGACATAAACATGAGAATAATAGATATGATGGACTACTTGGGTGGAAAGATGGGGAGTGGGTTGAAAAACTACCTATTGTGTACTATGCTCACTACCTGGGTGCAATATACTCATGTAACAAACCTACACATGTATCTTCTGTATCTAAAATAAAAGTCAAAATTAAAAAAAAAGAAGACTGAGGTGGGAGGACCACTTGAGCCCAGAAGTTTGAGGTTACAATGAGCTATGATCACACCACTGCACTCCAGCCTGTGTGACAGAGCAAGAACCTGTCTCTTAAAAAAAGAGAGAAAAAAAGACATTATTAAGAAAATGACGAGGAAAAAACTGCAGACACATATTTGATAAAGAACTTGTATCTAGGATATATAAATATATAACTCCATAATAAGATAATTCAATTTTAAAATGGGCAAAAGATTAGAATAGACATTTCACCAAAAGAAATTATGAATGACTAATAAGCACACGAAAAGATGGTCAACATTATAGATCATTCAGGAAATGCAGATTAAAACCATAATGAAATACCATTTCATGCCCACTAGAATGGCAATTATCAGAAATACAGATACTAACATATGTTGGAGAGCATGTGGCAAACCTAACCCTCATACGCTGCTGGTGGGAATGTATAATTGTGCAGCCACTTTGGAAAACAGTTTGCAGTTTCTTAAAAAGTTAAAAACAAACTTACCATACAACTCAGCAATTTACACTCTACCCTAGACTAGAATTGAAAACAGATGTCCACACAAAGATTTGCAGACAAATGTTCATACTAGCATTATTCATAACAGCAAAAAAATGAAAACAACTCAAATGTCCATCAACTGATGAATGGATAAACAAAATGTGGTCTATCCATACAGTAGAAAAAGGAACGAACTTGATACATGCTACAACATGGATGAACCTAAAAGATATTACACTAAGCATACATGCTCAGTGAAAGCCAGTCACAAAAATGCCACATATTGTATAATTCCATTTCTATGAAGTGTCTAGGACAGGTATATCTACAGAGATGGAAAGTAGATTCATGGTGGCCAGGGGCTAAGGCATGAAGGATCCTATTGGGATGATTAAGATATTCTGAAACTGAATTATCATGGTCACACAACTTTGTGATTTTACCAAAAATCACTGAAATTGTATACATGAGTGCATTTTATGATATGTAAATTATATGTCAATAAAGTTTTTTTTTAAAAAAAGAGCAAATGAGAAAATGAATCTAGAGATCGCATGTGCGATCCTTTTCCAGTACTAGTGTTCCATACTTTTCCAATAAGTATCTCTCAAAGTGAGAACTGAACTGATGTAAGACCAGCAGACAATATATTCTGTAGTGCAAGGGCTACACGCATGAATACCTATATGCAGATCAAATATGTAACACAAACGTAAATCCTTCAGGACCCTGGAAGAAACAGAGGGGAATATACAATGACTCTCAGGAAGTGATAGCAGGTTAACTATATAGGTGGTATATCTAAATGCAACTTTACTATTATTTTTTCCAATGGGAAACACAGCCTAAATGCCACCTCCTCCAAGAGGCCCTCCCTGACTCCCTAAGCTAGGCTAGGTTCCAAGGCTTTGTAGTCCCACTGCACTATGTGCTTCCTCTTTTGTAAACATGCCACACTTTGTTATAAACATCTGGACAGTTGGTCTGCCTAGCTGGTCCAACTGTCAGCTCCATGGAAGGTGGGGTGTGGGGGATCTGTTGAATTCCCCTCTGTATCCTTAGCACATGGAAGTGCCTGGCATACTAGGTACTCAAAACATATTTGCTCGCTGGCAATCAGATAGAGGCTGAACTACACTCAAACCTATATATTAAGAGTACCCACAATGAAATATATAACAAGAGTTGGTATCCCACTTTGGACATGAGAAAACATTTCTGACTTTAGAAAAATTTCTTTGAATCTCATTTCTCCAACTTTATATTTTTACTTATTTATTTATTTATTTATTTATTTATAGACAGAGTCTCACTCTCTTGCCCAAGCTGGAGTACAGTGGCGCAATCTCGGCTCACTGAAACCTCCACCTCCTGGGTTCAAGCGATCCTCCTGCCTCAGCCTCCTGAGTAGTTGGGATTACAGGCGCCCGCCACCACGGCCGGCTAATTTTTGTATTTTTAGTAGAGACAGGGTTTCTCCAAGTTGGCCAGGGTGGTCTTGAACTCCTGGCCTCAGGTGATCTGCCTGCCTCAGCCTCCCAAAGTGCTGGGATTACAGACGTGAGCGACTGCGCCCAGCCTCTCCAACTTTAAAATAAAGAAAACGTCAGCTGGACCACAAACCTAAAATATTCTTAAAGCACAGACGTCCTTAAATGAAAACCCCCTTCCCACTCCCCAGCCCTGAAAAATTACAGGTTTAGCGTTACAATACATGAAAGCTTCTACCAACCAGGTGCTTAGGAGCAACCAAAAAATAAATCAATAATTCTATCCTGTGAAAGTGATTAGATATCATAATCCTGGTTTTGCTTACTAAACATAGCTCACAATCACTGTTTTCTTCCTTCCTTCCTTATTTATTTATATATTGATGAATTAATATTTCTTCATTCGTGCATGCATTCAAAAAATATTTGGGTACCCACTATGTGTCAGGCCCTATGGTAGAAACTGGACATATGGTAGTGAAACATATATTCTGCTGTCATGGAGTTTACAATCTGAAAGAGCAGATAAACAAAAACAATAGTGACTGCTAGCACCATGTGCCAGACACTGTTCTAAGCATCTTAGGCATATTAACTGAGTTAATACTGACAACAATCCCTTGAGTAAGGTACTATGACTATTCCTATTACATTGCTGAAGAAACCAAGGCAGAAAGAGAAACAGGACTTTGCCCAAGGTTACACATAGGTCACATGCAAACGAAGGACCTGAGATTCAATCCCAGGTTGTCTGGCTCCAGAGTCCCAGGACTGGTCATGGCCAATGTGCCAATCCACCCCAACCGTCTTTCGCCTGGACTTCTTCAGTAACCTCCTAACTGGTCGTGTCGATGGAGTGACTGTGGGAGATCATAAACAGGGAGGAATTAATGATGACTACCAGGTTCCTAGCTGAAGCAATTTGGGATAAGAAGGTGACTTTTATTAAGACACATAAAATGCTACATTACAAAAACTGAATACAATTTTGAAAGTGGTCAAAGGATACAAAGTTTCAGTTAGGAGGAATAAGTTCAAGAGATCTATTGGACAACATAACTATAGTTAATAAAATGTGTTGTATTATCAAAAATTGCTAACAAAGTAGCTTTTAAGTGTTCTCACCACAAACAAGTGAAAAGTATGTGAGGTAATGCATAGGCTAATTAGCTCGAGTTATGTTGCGGGAAGTCAGGGACCCCAAACAGAGGGACCAGCTGAAGCCACGGCAGAAGAATGTGGATTGTGAAGATTTCATGGACATTTATTAGTTCCCCAAATTAATACTTTTATAATTTCTTATGCCTGTCTTTACTGCAATCTCTAAACATAAATTGTAAAGATTTCATGGACACTTATCACTTCCCCAATCAATACCCTTGTGATTTCCTATGCCTGTCTTTACTTTAACCTCTTAATCCTGTCAGCTGAGGAGGATGTATATCGCCTCAGTACCCTGTAATAATTGCATTAACTGCACAAATTGTACAGCATGTGTGTTTGAGCAATATGAAATCTGGGCACCTTGAAAAAAGAACAGGATAACAGCAATGTTTAGGAAACAAGAGAGAAAACCTTAAACTCTGACCTCCCGTGAGCCCGGAGGAACAGAGCCATATTTCTCTTCTTTCAAAAGCAAATGGGAGAAATATCGCTGAATTCTTTTTCTCAGCAAGGAACATCCCTGAGAAAGAGAATGTGCACCTGGGGGTGGGTCCCTGAACTGGCCCCCCTGGGCATGGCCATCTCTTATGGTCGAGACTGCAGGGGTGAAATAGACCCCAATCTCCCATAGCACTCCCAGGCTTATTAGGAAGAGGAAATTCCCGCCTAACAAATTTTGGTCAGACTGGTTGATCTCAAAACCCTGTCTCCTGATAAGATGTTATCAATGACTAAGGTGCCCAAAACTTCATTAGCAATTTTAATTTCGTCCCGGTCCTGTGGTCCTGTGATCTCGCCCTGCCTCCACTTGCCTTGTGATATTCTATTACCTTGTAAAGTACTTGATGTTTGTGACCCACACCTATTCACACACTCCCTCCCCTTTTGAAACTCCCTAATAAAAACTTGCTTGTTTTTGCGGCTTGTGGGGCATCACGGAACCTACCGACACGTGATGTCTCCCCCGGATGCCCAGCTTTAAAATTTCTCTCTTTTGTACTCTGTCCCTTTATTTCTCAAGCTGGCCGACGCTTAAGGAAAATAGAAAAGAACCTACGTGAATATTGGGGCAACTTCCCTGACAGAGTTAGCCATTCCACAGTGTATAGATATTTCAAAACATGTTGTACACAATACATACAATTTTTGTCAATTAAAAATTTTAAAGTACATGGGACATAAATATATCATAATAAAAGTTTGTCATTTATGGACTGGTTGTTCTCTCTCCCAAGCCCGGGAACCCCTACTGCATATGGACACCCAGCCTGTGAAATGACTTACACTTTGGAATAGTTTAGCTATTACCATGGATTTATATTCCAGTGCCTAAACACCTTTGTAGTGCTGAGACGTGATCTTTTAAGTATTAAGAATTAACATATTACCTTTTCAATAATTTCTTGGGGAAAGGGATTTGCGTACATTTTTTTCACTCCACTTTGTTGGACAGTAGGCAGAAATTCATCCTTAAAAGGGCTCAGAATCTGGAGTGTGGGGGAGAGGTAGCTACTGATAACTCTTGACAATACAATAGAAAATCTGTGACTCACCAACCTGGGAATAGTGCTGCTCTGACAGTGGCTGAGTTTAATTAAAGAAATAACCTGAGTCAATCGCTCTTCAAGACAAAAGTTCTATCTCATCCCCTTAGAACAATACACTAAAAGAGTGAAATTCAAGCCCATCAGCCAAGAGTTTGACCTCCAATCCAATGCCCCTCTTCTTCAACAGCTGAAATTCCAAAGATTTAACTCAAACCAAGATGGAACAAGTTCATGTGATTCAAAATACACCATCAATTTTAAGTAGTTTCCTCATATACAAAATGTTACAGTTAGTAATAAGAGGGGGAAATGATTTTAGGTCTTATATACTACTTAAGAAAACTAGACATGGAAAATGTAGTTATATTGCGCCATGAAGCTCTTGGGTGAGACACCAGGAAGAACTTGCCATCGTTGCTGTGCTGCACAGCATTTCTCTATGGGAGACCACATACCTTCTTCTGATAGTCTTTGCAAAAGAACATGCCCATTCTAATGTTGAATGGAAGAGGTGCTCATTGAAAACTAGAACCAAGGAGGAAGACTTGGGCTTCACAACTGAACTTTTTACTGAGTTCAATATGGTATCCAAGTGTAGGTTGATTATACTTGCCTCATTCTAGTTGGGGCCTGTGCTAGCTCAATAGTCCCAGGACCTGGAGGGATTATTGCTGCCTATTCCAGGACTACGGTCTCAAGAAGTCAATTGTTGCCACATACCTAAGCCATACTCTACTAGCTCTGCCACTAATAAATGAGACATTGGGATTGCTACCCATCTGGCTCCTTTATCTCCCAACTGCTTCAGTTTGGTAGAGAATTTAGAGTATCACTAGTTAGACCCCTCAAGTCCCAACAATATGGAGGGGCACCCATACGTACTCTTAAACACATTTTCTTTAAAATGCTTCTAAAATAAAATTCACAGGCCATGCACAGTGGCTCATGCCTACAATCTCAACACTTTGGGAGGCTGAGGTGGGAGGATTGCTTGAGCCCAGAAGTTTTAGAACAGCCTGGGCAACATAGTGAGACCTCGTATCTACAAAAAAATTAAAAAATTACCCAGGCATAGTGGTGTGTGGCTACTCGGGAGGCTGAGATGGGAGGATCACTTGAACCCAGGAGTTTGAAGCTTCAGTGAGCCGTGATTGCACCACCGCACTCCAGCCTGAGTGACAGCGAAACCTTGTCTCAAAAAAAAAAAAAAATCACAGATATATTTGAACAGAAAATAATGGGAGGACAGCAGATGCCTGGGTTAGGTCCAAGGCCCTTTGGAATTATAATATCAGCTTTCTGTTTTAAATCAGTTGTATGAATATTTGTTTCTGTCCCACACTCTGACATTTCCCAAAATCAAGGACAGTGTGCCTGTGGCTGAGGGATCATTTAACACATTTTTATTGCTGTTTTGTCTATTTCTCCCTTTAATTAAACTTATTAATCAAATCCAAGTCAGTTACCTAAGGACTGGATTAAAAAGGTTACTACAGATGAACACAAACTTTCCTGACCTGTTTGTCACTCTTTAGAGACCCAGGTCAAGATTTTCAGCTAAACATCAGCTACGCTTTGAAATAGATTAATCAGTTTTTCCTCTGAGCTTCTGCCGGGGACTCTCTTTCCATTCTCTCCTCCGTAACTATCTTCACCAGGTTAACTCTTAACCATTCTTTAAGTCACAATGTACACATCACTTGTAAGAACTCAATCATGCAGGTACACTGATCTTGGACTTCTGGCCGCCAGAACTGTGAGGAAATAAATTTCTCTTCTTTAAGCCGCCTAGTCTATAGTATTTTGTTATGGCAGCCCAAGTTGACTAATACACCATCTTTTTGGGAAACTGCACATAGCTTCTCTAGACCATCAACAACATCCCTATTGCTAACTCAGATCTCACCTCCCAATTAGTAAACATTTCTTTTACAGATGAGAAGTTAAGGTACCATTGCTCTAACACAGGGTCCCTAACCCTTATTCCAGATATGTTTTTAAGTTTCTTTTTCCCTCTTCCCACACCACCATCAAAATGAGCTTTTTTGATCTTCCAAAGGAGACTTCTGACATATAACCTCCTGACATGAACTCCACTTTTGTAGATGGTATTATCCTAAGGCACTAACCAAGAAACTACTTAACTTTGGTTCTCCCTGATTAAAACTGATGGGGCCAGATGGAAGATTAATTTTCACTATGCTCTTGAAACATCACATATTTTGGGGAGATGCTGAAAATATGTTATGTTTAGAAGTTTTATCATAGGCACACAAGATATAATTTTTACTTAGATGACCAACACAACAATTCTTAAAAAGGGGGATGAAAATTTGAGTTCAAATTAATTATCAAATATACTAGTAAGATGCTTTATCCCCTTAAAAGCTCTTATTATGGGCCGGGCGCGGTGGCTCACACCTGTAATCCCAGCACTTTGGGAGGCCGAGGCGGGTGGATCACGAGGTCAGGAGTTTGAGACCAGCCTGGCCAGCATGGTGAAACCCCATCTTTACTAAAAATACAAAAAATTAGCTGGGCACAGTGGCACATGCCTGTAGTCCCAGCTACTCAGGAGGCTGAAGCAGGAGAATTGCTTGAACCCAGCAGGCGGAGGTTGCAGTGAGCCGAGATCACGCCACTGCATTCCAGCCTGGGCGACAGAGCGAGACTCTGTCTCAAAAACAAACAAACAAAAACAAAAAGAAACCCTTATTATGAAATATATCAGCTACATGAAGGACTAGATATAGTACACCTCAGGGGCAAAGTATACCATAATTGGGAAGGAATACATGGGGGGAGTGGTTCAAAGGCACTGGTAATTTTCTGTTCCTCAAGCCGGGCAGTGAGTATGGACATGCTTATTTCATTTTTTTCTGCATATAAGCTACATATACTATTTTGTATATTTAATATATTTTACAAGAATTTATCAGGATAAAAATGGTCTACTGGACATCTGGGTGTCCACCACTCAGCTTAATCAATAGCACATTACCAAGAGAGCTAAGCATCCTTGGTATCCCTTCCCACCCAAGTCCTTCGATTCCCATACCCCATTCTCTGGACACTGCTAGACTGAATTTGGTGTTTACTGTGCCCTTAGAGTAGTATTACAGATATATGTTGTTTAACTTTGCATGTTTTAAACTATATATGGTATGGATTATTAGGTAACCTGCCTTTTTTCTCCCCATAATACACTTGTGAGAGTCAACCAGATTGACACATGGTTCTGGTTCATGTGGTCTCACTGCTGTGTAGTATTTCAGCATATGGATACATTTTCTTTCTGCCTCTCTGTGGCACTTTCTGGATAATTTCTTCAGATCCACTGTTCAGTTCACCAGTTCTCTTTTCAGTTCTGTTTTTAAAAATATAATTTCAACTTTTATTTTAAATACAGGGGGAACATGTACAGGTTTGTTACACAGGTATACTTGCATGATGCTGAGGTTTGGAGTATGGATCCTGTCACCCAGGTAGTGAACATAGTACCCAACAGGTAATTTTTCAATCCACACCCCCATCTCCCCCTCTCATAGTACCCAGTGTCTATGGTTTCCATCTTTATGTCCATGTGTACTAATGTTTAGCTCCCTGTTACAGGTGAGAACATGCAGTAGTTGGTTTTCTGTTCCTGTGTTAATTTGCTTAGGATTATGGCCTCCAGCTACTTCCATGTTGGTGCAAAGAACGTAATCTTGTTCTTTTTTATGGCCGTGTAGTATTCCCTGGGGTATATGTGCCACATTTTCTTTATCCAATCCACTGTTGATGGGCACCTAGGTTGGTTCCATGTCTTTGTTATTGTGAATAGTGCTGCAATGAACATATGAATGCATGTGTCTTTATAATAGAACAATTTATATTCCTTTGGATATATACCCAGTAGTGGGATTACCAGGTCAAATGGTAGTTCTAAGTTCCTTGAGAAATCTCCAAACTGCTTTCCACAGTGGCTGAATTAATTTACATTCCTATCAACAGTGTATATGTGTTCCCCTTTTCTGTGCAGCCTTGCCAGCATCTGTTTTATTTGACTATTTAATAACAGCCATTCTGACTGGTATGGAAGGGTATTGCACTGTGGTTTTGATTTGCATTGCTCAAATGATCAGTGATAATCAACTTTTTTTATATGCTTCTTGGCCACTTGTATGTCTTCTTTTGAGAAGTGTCTGTTCCATTGTCCATTTTTTAATGTGATTATTTGTTTTTTGCTTGTTAAGTTCCTTACAGATTCTGGAAATTAGACCTTTGTCAGATGCATAGTTTGCAAATATTTTCTCCCATTCTGTAGATTGTTTACTCTGTTAATAGTTTCTTTTGCTGTGCAGAAGCTCTTTAATCAGGTCCCACTTGCCTACTTTTGGTTTTGTTGCAATTACTTCTGAGGACTTAGCCAAAAAATTCTATGCCAAGTCTGATGTCAGGAAGGGTACTTTCTAGGTTTTCTACTAGGATTAATATAGTTTACATTTAAATCTGGTAGTCTAGTGGTTAGGATTCAGTGCTGTCTTTTCAGTTCTTTATCTTGAGTTTGTAATTTCAATGAATATATTGCATTTCTTGGAATTCGATTTGGTTCTTTCTCCAACATGCTTGACTTTCTGTTTGTTAGCAGAATCTGAACTAAGAGTTGAATATATTTACAACCCTCAGCTCTGTAGTCTGGCTGTTGCTCACTTATTCCAATCTACATCATGGGATAGGCGACACCACATTATTATAAAAGGCCTAAATGTCTCCTCCAAAGGGTACCAACTAAATAAACTGTTGTCCACTCACATAATGGAGTCTATAGCCATTACATTAAAAAGAATGCAGCCACTCTACACACATCCTATGCATTAGGTGGAAAAAAGCAAGATGAAAAACAAGTTGCATAACATGTTACCTTTTGAGGGGAGATAAAAATCTATCTCAGGTTTATAAATGTATCATAATTCCGTGGAAGGGCATTTACAAGAAAATGTAACAGTGGCTCTCTCTAAGGAGAGGACTTGTGTGGCTGAGGGTCAGAGGAAAGATAGGACTTAACTGTCACTGTTGATCTATTTGCATTTTACAACATGTACAATATATATTTCCTATTAAAAATGAAAATGACAGCTAAATACTAAAGTAAGCCATGCCATTTCCTACTTCTCCATTCTTGGCGCACACTGTCCACTCTGTCAGGTATGTCTCCTGAGCTCCACCCTCCCTACCCTGTCTACTTGATCAGTTCCTATTCACCCTGCAGGACCACCTGTGTCACAAAGTCAACCACTCTTTTCCCTGTGCTGTCGTTGCCTATACAACTGTTACTGCACGTCCTCCTCATGAGACTACAAGCTCCACTGAACCCAGCACAATGTCTGGAATGTGGTCGTCACTCAACAGATGTTTGCTGAAAGAATGAAATAATGAACATCAAAAACTGTAATCTGAGCACAAATAATAGTAACAGATTATATACACATAAAGTGTCAATTCTCTTAATTGTGGACATAATGCTTTTCTTCCCCCTGCAATTTATGTCTAAGTTTTGGCAGGCAACAAAACAGTATCTGGAAAGATTAGAGTTTTGTGTTTTTGCTGAAATTTCCTGAGTCATGAAATTGGTGTCTGGGACACAAGGAATGCTTCATATCACATACCCAGTGATATCCTTTATGCATTTACAAAGACAGAATAAAATCTAATTATATACTGGTTTTAATTCAGCCTAGCTCTAAACTATGTCATTTTTAATAGGCTGCTTAATAAATTTATTTTAAAACAGAACACGGAGTGGAGTATCTAGAATAGGAAATCTGTTATTCATCCTCCTAAGAGTTGTACCCAACTGGTGGACCCTGTATTTCAGGAGGGAAGGTCTCTGTGCTGAGTGCTAAGGAGACACAGGCCTGGCCGGGACACAGTATCTTCCCTCTTGAGACACACACAAACACACAAACACACACCTGTCCTACCTGCCAACACACTACTGACAATAAAGCCAACCAGGCTGTAACAACCACCACAAAACAGAGGCATAAAAAGGCGACATAGCAGACAACAGAATGAATAAGTCTTTCAGATGAAAAAGTTGTTGAGGAAAACTTCACAGAAAAGGTGACTTCACAGTTGGGCCTTTCAAGATGAGTCAGACTTGTACAGAGGAAAGAGGAGGCGTGAAGTATATTTCAGAGAAAGCCCTTAGCATGAGGTAGGAAAGTGCACATTAGATACAGTGGCATGGCTGGAGCTAGCCCACACAGGGGAGAAAGGGGAAGGGTGGAGACCAAATGTCAAGCAGGGAGGTTGGCACAAGGAAGATGGCCAGCCATCCCTTTAAGCCAAGCTCATGAGATAAGACTTTATCACACAGGAAACAGAGGCCACATAGACTTCTGGACTAAAAAGGGGTACAATCAGGACTGACTTTTAGAAGATACCATAGCAGTACAGAGAATTGACTGCAGGAGAGAGAGGCTACAAGTACAAGAGCTTTATCAAGCTTTCCTGGAAGCATCATACCTCCCAGGGGAAAAAACTTAAAATCACACCTCCAATTAAGAAGATCTTGGCTGGGTGTGGTGGCTCACGCCTGTAATTCCAGCACTTTGGAAGGCTGAGGTGGGAGGATCACTTGAGTCCAGGAGTTTGAGACCAGCTGGGCAACATAGGGAGACCCTACATCTATACAAAAAATTTAAAAAATTAGGCAGGAGGATTGCTTGAGCTCAGGAGTTTGAGCCTAGCCTGGGCAACACAGTGAGATGTTGTCTCTACAAAAAAATTAAAAAATCAACTGAGTGCAGTGGCATGCACCTATAGTTCCATCTACTCGGGAGACCGAGGTAGGAGGATCACTTGAGCCCAGGAGTTTGAGGCTGCAGTGAATCATGATTGGGTCACTGCACTACAGCCTGGATGACAGAGTGAGACCCTGTCTCAAAAGGAAAAAAAGAGAAGATCCCTACATTATCCCATATTCCTCTACCTCTTTCTTTTGTTGAAGTGCTGGTTATAGTTCAGGTTCACACAAATAGATCCCAAAATGCTCTGAAAAGTTTTACACCCAAATCTACAGATTAAGAGAGATTTATGAGACACAGAGACATATCAACCAAATGCTGTTGGAGGGCCCTTAGTTACATCATAAATGAAGCTTAAAAAAAATCAACTGGGGAAATGCGAACTCACTGGATATTTGACAAATATCACAAAATTACTATGGTTTTTAAGGATGGATAAGGTATTGTAGCTATATTTTTACAAGACTGTCTTTCAGAGATAAATATTGAAATATTTACAAATATCAGGTTGGTGCAAAAGTAGTTGCGGCTTTTGCCATTGAAAGTAATGGCAAAAGCCGCAATTACTTTTGCACCAACCTAATAAAATGACACGACATCTAGAATTTGTGTCAAAATCACCTTGACATGGGAAGAGGTAGCTGGAAGGTATAGATGTAATAAGACGGATCATGAGCTGGTAATTAACAAAGCATGGTAATGGGTACATGGGATTTGGTTTATTATACTATTGTCTCTACTGTGTTTGAAACCTTCCATAATAAGAGGTTATATTTTAAAAGTCACTCACCCAGCAGGAACTTTAAAGGAGCAGTTCTAGCAACTGTAGGTTGAGCACAGAGTTCTCCCATGGTGTTCCACAACCTACATCTAAACCTCTGCTTGCCATCTCTCTGACACCTCTAACTCAACAGATCCAAGAGTAAGTCTCTCTCCTCCCCATCAGTGTTGTTTCTTCTCTGCATTCCCTGTCCCTGTGAGAACCAGATACCTGGGAGTTATCCTTATGTCATTCACCTGCACTGGAGGCATCTAGGTTCTGCCCAGGGGCAGCCATTCTTCTCAGGTGAACTTTTTATTTGTTCTTTCTTTCTTTTATTCTCCATGATCTCAGCTCACCACCACCTCCGCCTCCCAGGTTCAAGCAATTCTCCTGCCTCAGCCTCCCGAGTAGCTGGGATTACAGGCACACACGACCACACCTGGCTAATTTTTATATTTTTAATAGAGGTGGGGTTTCGCCATGTTGTCCAGGCTGGTCTCGAACTCCTGGCCTCAGGTGTTCTGCCTGCCTCAGCCTACCAAAGTGCTGGGATTACAGCCGTGAACCACCGCACCCAGCCTCAGGTAAACTTTTTCTTTGACAGCTTCTTGCCTTCCCTGCATCCATCTCACACTCCTCAGTACTTTACCTGAAAACCACTGCAAGGATAGTCATTCTAAAAGAAACACCTCTGCTGGCTTAAAGGCTTCCAATGGCTCCTCGCCAGCTAGAGGACAAAAGCCCAACTCTTCAGCAAAGTAAGATCTGTTGATCTGATCTCTTTGTGTTTATAAGGTAATGAGATTTCCCTGATATCATCTTGGTGAATTCCGTTCTCACAAAGGACATGAAATCCATTTTAGAACTAATTAAGGATCTGACTAGTAAGTGGCACAGCCAGGAGGCATGTGACATCCACAGTGACAGTAGGAGATCACTTGAGGCAAGGTGGCCAGGCAGCCCCTACCAAAAAGCCCGCGTCACTAGCCAGCATCCTCTCAATTCTGTATTTATGCCAAGGTCTACTTGGCTGCCCTCTCAGGAAAGGGAGCCCAAGGTTCACATATTCATGGCAGCTGCCTGACTACATGGGCAAAATGTGGCCACAAAACAGAATTTTTCTGTGTGAGACTAAATAACCTAGTTAAAGCTCAAACTCAAATGCAATAAACTGGCCTTCTCCTTAATATCAGAGTGACAGCATCTAAGCAAAAGAATCAAAAGAGATATTAACCATAAAAAGAGGAGAGATTGAGCCAGGTGTGGTGACATGTGCCTTTATTTATTTGTTTGTTTGAGACAAGAGTCTCTTTCTGTCGTCCAGGCTGGAGTGCAGTGGCACGATCTCAGCTCACCGCGACCTCCACCTCTCGAGTTCAAGTAATTCTCCTGTCTCAGCCTCCCAAGTAGCTGGGACTACAGGTGCACGCCACCATGCCCAGCTAATCCTTGTATTTTTAGTAGAGAAGGGGTTTCACCATGTTGGCCAGGCTGGTCTCAAACTCCTGACCTCAAGCGATCCACCCGCCCTCAGCCTCCCAAAGTGCTGGGATTACAGGCGTGAGCCACTGCGCCCGGCCGACATGTACCTTTAGTGCCAGCTACTTGGGAGGCTGAGGTGAGAGGACTGCTTGAGCACAAGAGCTCGAGACCAGCCTGGGTAACATAACAAGACCCTGTCTCAAAAATTTTTTTAAAAAAGAAAAATTAAGCCACGAAAAATGATATACTCTGTGGTGGAAATAACAAATAGGGACATGAATCACCTTTATTAAAGGTACTCAAGGCCAGGCATGGTGACTCACACCTGTAATCCCAGCACTCTGGAAGGCCGAGGTGGGCAGATCACCTGAGGTCGGGAGTTGGAGACCAGCCTGGCCAACATGGCGAAACCCTAGCTGTACTAAAAATACAAAAACATTGGCCAGGCATGGTGGCGGGTGCCTGTAATCCCAGCTACTCAGGAGGCTGATGCAGGAGAATTGCTTGAACCCAGGAGGCAGAGGTTGTAGTGAGACGAGATCGCACCACTGCACTCCAGCCTGGGCGACAGAGTGAGACTCCGTCTCAAAAAAAAAAAAAGAGGTACTCAAACTAGGCTAGTAAAATACAAGTGGGGAGTGTTGTTTGGAGAATATGTCAGGCACTGACAGCAGAGCCCAAGCAAGGCGTTGTGTTCTAGCACCACTGATTATGTTCTTTCTTCCTTCCACATGCCTCTAAGTCACTCAGCCCCAAACTACAGGTTTTGTTTGCAGAGAAACGAAAAATGTCTTCCTGGTCTCAAAGCACTGATACCTAGTATCAGTGGGGGACAGAACAAAGAGAAATCTAGGATTGGTGATGGTAATCAATTCAATGACAACATAAACAATTGGTATCTCACCAGGTTATACATTCAACAAATATTTGTTGAGCAGCTTACCATATGCTAGGCTCTGGGAACATAAGAGTCAACAACAGGGACAAAAATCCTGCCCTCCCTTCATAGGGCTTACATTCTAGCAGGGGGAAAGATGTTTAAAAATAAGATAAATGCGTTAAATAGTATGTTGTAAGTGGTAAGGAGGAAAGGAGCTCAGGCAGTGTCGTGGGATGTGCTGAGGTAGGACAGTGGTACACTATCAGAGAACAAGGAAAGAAGTTCCACTGAAAAAGGCACTAAACTCGTGGTGACACATGCCTGTCATCCCAGCTACTTAGGAGGCTAAGGCAGGAGGATCACTTGAGCCCAGGAGTTCGAGACCGGCGTGGGCAACAAAGTGGAACTCTGTCTCTGTAAAAAAAAATACAAAAATTAGCCTGCTGCGGTGGTGCGCACCTGTGGTCCCAGCTACTCAGGAGGCTGAAGTGGGAGGATTGCTTGAACCCAGGAGGTCAAGGCTGCAGTGAGCTGAGATCACACCACTGCACTCCAGCATGGGTGACAGAGTGAGACTCTGTTCTCAAAAATAAAAATAAGTTCAGAAAAAAAAATTTAAAGGTACTAAGCTATCATAATACATAATACAACAGGCAGCTGCTCATCTTCTTTTCATTACATTTTCTGCCAGCAGTTACTTTTTTTGATGTTTTTAAAAACAAATGCCTACACCCATTACCTAAACTAACAAAAAAAGTTCAAAAAATGTTACCTAAAATAACAACAACAACAAAAAAAAACCCTACTGTATGTATAAGACTGTGTAAAGCACTAAAGGGGATATGCCAGAAACAGCATACAACAATTGCTATCCTCTGAGAGTTCATAGCTAACTGAAGGTGAATTCTACAAAAGCAAAAAAGCATCGTAAGGAAATTCCAGCAGCCATTCTTTTAGTTTATACTATAGCAGTGGGGTTCTCAAGGTTCTCCGGGGAACCATTAGGCAATGTGAGAAGGGAGGGCACCTCAACATCTAGGTGGGTGTTGATGGCACTCTAGAGCAACAGTGCCAACTGCGTTATTACATACGCTGATTTTAAATACAGCATGGCACATTCAGGCAGAAATGGCTCAACTGATGAGTGTATTTGTCTCCAGAGAAGACAATGGAATACATTTATCTCCAGGGAGAAAGGGAGGCCGGTTTTTCAGTTTGCCTTCTAACTTTTGAATTTTGTACTATCATATGTATTATCTTGTCCAACAACTACTTATAAAAGGAGTGACTTTTAGGACTGTATTGTAAGAATACATTCAGGACTGAATATAAAGACCTGGAAGCTAGCTGTGCACAAATGATCTCTAAAGCCACACATCAGAGAGCCAAAGTTATGTGAGCAAGGACTGCCCCTTAGGCACTTCCACATTTAGGTAAACAGAGTGAAAGCAGGGACAAGTGGGAAGACAGAAGGACTGCCATGTGACAAGAAGAACCGCATTCAGAAATACAACTAAATGCATCATGGAATGTACCTGGAATAGGGAAGTGGACAGTGAGGGCCCCCATAGATTTAGAGGTAAGAGAATGAAGGTTCCCTCAGTGTTAGCCAGCAAAATTGTCATATGTTGGATGTAACTGGCAAATTGAGGGAGTAAACCAGATGAGCTGTTTGTATGCCCTTAAGAGCCTGGGAATCCCCAAACTGCAATGTGACTCACCTGGAATGCACCTGAGATTCGTTTAGGGAAAACCCAGTCCATTCTGTGGAATCTAGTTTGAAAAAAATACTGTGGGAAAAAAAAGAGAGAGAGAGAGAGAAGAAAGGCTGACTCCAAAAGTCAGATGATGAGATCATGCATGTAACCACTGATAAAGGAAAGGATACAGTGGCTGTTAGTGGGGAGAGGTGGAGTCAAGGCTATTCCAGCAAGGAGATGGACCCATCAGGCTTTTCCAGTCTATTTATGAGCATACCATAACCAATTGCCTCTGTTCTTCCTCTGTCCTTTCTAAGCAACTTTCTGATGACAACCTGGGGTCCCCTGCTACTTGCCTACTCAGAAAAAAAATGCTCTGCTCAGCCTGAACATACATTCTGCTCTGCAACAGCCAAATCTCTTATCATAAATTAATCGATTGGCACTCTGGTTTAGCCTCAGGCTCTCTGAGCCTGATTAACGTGAGCCTGACCCCAAGAGACAGTCACCCAGGCTGCTGACGATTTCAGCTTTTGAGCCAGCAATGGCATTGTCTAGAGTCTGGGCAAATGGAGAAGGCCCCCTGTTGGGGCCTCTTGCAGCCTGCCAGCAACACCTGTGCCACAGGCCTTACCATCAAACTGCAATAGCATCTGTTTTCCCAGGTCTATTTCATAGCTCACTCCTGTTATGACAGCCATGGCTCTGTCCTCCACATTTGTTTTAAGGGTGAGCCACTATTTTCTCTTAATCCAATCACTTCATATGGGGTAAAAGTCACTGTTAAAAGCCAACAGAAAACCGCGTGGCATAAAGCAATCACAAAGATCACAAACATACAGATTCTTCATCATTGAATTGACTGTCCTACTCTGACATAGTTGACTGAGCACGACACACAGAAAAGAGAGAATCCCTTGTGGCTTAGTGTAAAGAGAGGAAGTAGGCTGTATTTCCTCCTTCCCTGGTCCCATTCCTTCCCTTCTACCTCGGAGGCAACTGTCATTCATTTTAGTCTGTATCCAGTCCAGGTTTACTAAATATACATGTCCGCAGATACATAATAAATATTCTTTTGCTCATTTTAACTTACATAAATAGTATCATATAGAATTAGGAAGCAGGTGTAGCTGCTGGAACAAAGACCAAAATAATGGTGGCTTAGACAAGTTTCTCTTTCCTTCACAGAAGAGTCAGTGCATAAGTATTCCTGGGATGAAGTGGTGGCTCCCTACTCCTCCCTCACTACCCCTCCCTAATCTTCCTGCTCTACCACCAAGAGGGTGTTGCCCTCACCATCAGGCCCACGTGTCAGGCAAAGGGAAACGAGAAAACAACCAGGGAAGGCACTCCCTTTAACGGCACAGCCTCTAAATTACACACACACACACACACACACACACACACACACACACACTTCCACTGATATCCTATTGGCCAAGTACTTGGTCATATGATCATATTTGGCTGCAAGAGAGGCAAGAAAATAAAGTCTTCTTTCTGGGAGGTCATTGAACCTTCTAAAAGTCTATTATGAGGAAAAAAATGGAAAGCAGATACTGGGGGACAAGCAGCATTTTCTGTTGTATTAACTGAATGAATTTTGCTGCATCTCCCTTTTTTAACTCCATATTATGTTTTTTGCAGGTTACTGTGTTAGTCTATTTGCATTTCTATAAACAAATACCTGAGACTGGGTAATTTATAAAGAAAAGAGGTTTATTTGGCTCATGGTTCTGCAGGCTGTACAGGAAGCACAGTGTCCACATCTGTCTCTGAGGCGGGCCTCAGGCTGCTTATAACCATGGTGGAAGGCGAAGGGGAGCCAGCATGTCACATGAAGAGAGGGAGCAAGTGAGAGAGTGGGGAGATGCCAGGTTCTTTAAACAACCAGATCCCACCTGAACTAACAGATCAAGAACTCACTCATTAGTGGCAGGGATGGCACCAAGCCATTTATGAGGGATCCACCCCCATTAATCAAAACACCTCCAACCAGGCCCACCTCCAACATGAGAGGTCACATTTCAACATGAGATTTGGAGGGGACAAATAATATCCAAACCATATCAGTTACTCACGTTGAAACATAAATTCATTCATGTTCACTGCTGTTCAGTTATACATTGTGCACTGAGTCTTGTATAAGGGCTCAGTGACAGATTTGCTTTAGAATTTAAGATAAAAATTCTAAATGCAGTGTATTAATATGCCACAGTTTATTAAACCATGTCCCTACTGCTAGACACCTGGGTCTTTTAAATTCACTACATTTACAAAATGTTTGAGTCACATCTGGGGAAATGTTAAATTAGTCAAATGCCAAATTAGGTATACTCAGGCTATTTTGTAAAGCCTTTAAGATGCTCTACACAGCAAGCCACTTAAAATAGAAAACGACAGTACTGAACTATAGCATACAAGGAGGAAGTAAATTTATGGTCCTCCTAGACTTTTTGTTATTGTAATCAAGCATTACATGGTGCTCTGAGTTTCTTGATAACTGAAACAAAAAGGAAGCATTGTGTGCTATTTAATTCTCATAATCTGATAAGAGGGAATAACCAGTTAAGAGAAATAAATGTTTGCTTAATCCTAAATTCTCAAAGCTGTCAGATGGCCCCTTATCCATGGGTCAATTAGCAAAAAAGGATAACATCTTTAACAACCAGTTATATAGAAAATGCACAAGGCAGGCTGGGCATGGTGGCTCATGCCTGTAATCCCAGCACTTTGGGAGCCTGAGGCGGGTGGATCATCTGAGCTCAGGAGTTCAAGACCAGCCTGGCCAACATGGTGAAACCCTGTCTCTACTAAAAATACAAAAAACTAGCTGGGCATGGTGGCGGGCGCCTGTAATCCCAGCTACTTGGGAGGCTGAGCCAGAAGAATCGCTTGAACCCGGGAGGTGGAGGTTGCAGTGGGCTGAGATCACACCATTGCACTCCAGCCTGGGCAACAAGAGTACAACTCCATCTCAAAAAAAATTAAAAAAAAAAGACAAAAGAAAAGAAAAGAAAATGCACAAGGCTTCTCCAGGAGAAATATTCTTGGGTGACCTTTAGCAAGCAGAGGACTTAACATTGAAAGTTTTTTCTGCGGAGGGTCAAGTTAGTGCCCTAGGTTCATGTCAACATGCAGGTCCTACCCAGAAGAGAATATCCATGAGGACTGGACCACTCCAGGAAAGCTGATCTCCTCCAGAACCCGGTGACTTCCCTGTGGTTCGGTACTTTCAGAGACCACACTATTAGTGACTCTAGTATTATTAGGGGATTTTCCTCTCCCTTCTTAATTAACTCAAGGTTTCAAAACGTTTTGGAGAAGTGAAAAGATACTAGTTATTTCTGTGGGTTTTTTTTTTTCGTGACTGTAAAACACCCAAATATAGTATCTTCCTTTTCATTTTTACTCACAGTTGGTAGTTATTTTTCCTAAACCACAGTTACAATACTCTACCTCAATATACTATACTCAATGTTTTCTGCTTCTTCCTACTACTCTAAGTAATGTGCCCCAAACAGAAAAAGTACATTTTAGTATGCTAATAGTTTCAAATCAGTCAGTGTAGTCTAAGAACTACTTACTGGGCACCCACTTTGTATTAGGGGTTTTACTTACAATATTATCTCTTAATTTTCACCACAACTTTATGAGGTAGGGATTATTAACACCACTTTACAGTTAAAAAAAAAAACTGGATCTTCAAGAGTAAGTAACTGCCCTAAGACCACATAGCTGGTAAACTGTAGAAGTAGGATTCCAACTTGCATACTTCCAATTCCAAAGCCAGAGTTCTTTCTGCTATTTCCTGATGTCTCCCAGATGACAAGTAAATTATGGATATTTGGCTCAGCTTTGTAAATAATATACATGCCTACTACGTTGAAGCCCCAAACCTCCCCTCAACACAGGATGCTCTATATAATCTGGCCATAATGAAGCCCCTCCCCAAATTTTATTTCCTACTGGACTCTACAAGGACCTCATCTCCACCCCAATCTAATTTGGCAGGTTTCACTATTGCCTCCATACTTATGGACAACACATATATTTTTTGAGATCCCCGACAAATATTTTTTGAGATCCCCGACAAATATTTTTTGAGATCCTACTATGTCCCAGGCACTGTTCTAGTGTTTGGAGATATATGTCAGTGAACGAAACAAATACAAATTCCTGCTTTTCTGGACTTCGTTATATTTCTAATAAGGGAAGAAACATAAGAAACAAAATAAGTAGATTACATGGTATGTTAGAATACGGTAGGTGCTATGGCTAAAAATAAGGCAGGGAAAGGGTTAAGGAGTGTAGTGTGGAGTAGAGGATTGTGAGTTTAGAAAGAACCAATAGAAATCCTGGAAAAGAAAAACATGACCTTAGCATTTTTATTTCATTTTCAAGTTCAACAGCAGACTAGACACAGTAAAGAGAGAACTGGCAAACTAGAAGATAAATTTGTTGAAAGAGATTCATTCATCAAGCAAATTAATACTTATTGAGCATGTACTATATATCAGACATTGCGCTAGATTAAATTATTCCATCTTGACAAAATTCCTTTCCACTTGGATTATGTTCCCAGGTTTAATTTCAACTCTTTAAGACCCTACCCAAGCTCCTTACTCACATTGATATCTCATTTCTCTCAATAAGTATCCTAAAAATAATTTTTAAAGAATTTTTAAAGTATTTATTTATATCACAGATTAGTCCAGTTCTTAAATTATTCCCTCCCTAACTAGACTGTAAATTCCTTGAGGATCAGACCTATAGGTAAGATTTCTTTTCTATTTCACATGTGGAATAGCACAGTAACAGGCATACAGTAGGCATTCAATAAACACTTGACTGATTTGGTATATTTTTGGGTCCCTATAACTGAACAGCTTTTTCTTTGTAATGGCTCAGTTACAGTTAGTTCCTGGAAATGGTCACAAAATTGTTAATAACTACATTATGATTCACTGATCCCAAAAATATGAGTCCAGTGGTATAAGGTTAAATTCTGAATCTAATCAAATTTTTGCGAATGTGCCCTCATTCTCGGTTAGTTGAAAATGACAAATGTCGCACAGAGTGTATTTTTCAGTCTTGAGAAGCCTTATACATGCCCTCTGACTTAGAATTGACTTACAATTTTTCCCCTTTAAGATGGTGCAAAAGCGATACACATTCAGTAGAAACTGAACTTTGAGTATCCATACAACCATTCTGTTTTCACTTTCAGTATGGTATTCAATAAATTATGAGCTATTCAACACTTTATTATGAAACAGGCATTGTGTTAGATGATATTGCCCAATTGCAGGCTAATGTAAGTGTTCTGAGCACATTTTCGGTCAGCTGGGCTAAGCTATGATGTTTGGTAGGTAAGGTGCATTAAATGCATTTTCAAATTGCAATATTTTAAACTTATGATGGCTTTATCAGGACATAACTCCATCATAAGTCAAGGAACATCTGTACATTACTTAATTTTATTTCTGGCAAAAGTCCTTAAGGCAGGCAGTGCACATATAGACAGCCCCTGACTTATAATAGTAATCTTATTTTATAAATCAAGATGTTGAAGTCTAGAGATATTAAGTGGTCTGCTCAAGTGAAGATGGGTACTGAAGACTGAAGGAGTGACTCAGACCTGAGACTTCTAGATCCCAGTCCAATGCTCAGATGCATAAACCTAGATGCATGATATATCATTAAGGGGATAAGTGGTAAGGTGAGAATTTGCAGGGCCTTAGAGGGCTCTGACTTGGTAAAGATATGCTTATTTTGAGCACGCAAATAGAAACCAGCCAGTTTCTTTATTAAAAAGAGAAGAAACAAACATTGATAAACCAAGAAAGGAATCCCTATTGCCTGCCTTAATTCAATAAACATTCAGCCACTGGATGCTATGAACCCTGAGACGACTTAGGCAGGATCCTCTTCAGTAAGACCAGAAGCTCTAGCACACAGCACAAATGCTGCAACAGACACAGGTGCTACAAAAGCACAGAGGGGAAGGAATTTCCTTGCCCAAGTCTGTTCTCAAATTCCCACTCACTCACCCCCTAAAACACTTTAAATATAGAATCATGCAGACTCTATGGCTATCATAAATGTACTGACTCTTCTGGTTTAAAATATCCATTGTAACCATTAGCAAATTGGAGATCTAACTGATTTATACCCAAACAAGAAGGGACGATTCTGATATCAATAGGCAAATAGTACCCAAGTGGCTTTAAAACCTTATTTGAAGCTATTTTGATCATAATGTGTTTCTTTTTATTTATTTATTTTTTCCTGTTTCTGATTCTAGTTCCCTGCTGTTTGGGGAAGGGGAAACCACCTTGTACTGAAGTCACTTGGCTTCTGGATAAAGCCAGAACTCTGACCAAAACGATAAAGGCTGCCCAGGACAGAAATGAAACAAAAAATCCTAGCCCTACTTCTCCATTGTGGACACCTGGTCTCATGAGTTATGGCAACACGCATCCACCAGAATAACCGCATTTTCCTAAAGAAATTGTGAAATAATTGGGAAGGGGGTGTCCCATTCTTGAGTAAGTAATCAGCATTGCAGACAAGAACTATGTCATAAAAACCAAAGTTGAAATTGTGTTACATATTCCTGGAAAATACTCAAAAGGTGCTCTGAGTTCTATAAGATGGACAGATACATTATACATACTAATTATACCAAAGGTCAGGTGATTAGAAATGCCACATTGTACCACAAAAATCACCCTGATACTTGTGTTAATTTTTCTTGTATTTGTGTAATAAAGTGTTTTGAAGTTTTTAAGAGAAAATTACTGCACAAGGAGCAGTCATCTTCTTAAATGTCCCAAAAAATACTGATGTAGGGTCATCCAAAATCTTTTTTTTGAGACACAGTCTGCTCTGTGGCCCAGGCTGGAGTGCAGTGGCACAATCTCAGCTCACTGCAACCTCCACCTCTGGGGTTCAAGCGATTCTCCTGCCTCAGCCTCCTGAGAAGCTGGAATTACACATGTGCGCCACTGTACCTGGCTAATTTTTGTATTTTTAGTAGAGATGGGGCTTCATCATGTTGGCAAGGCTGGTCTCGAACTCCTAACCTCAAGTGATCCACCCATCTCAGCCTCCCAAAGTGCTAGGATTACAGGTGTGAGCCACCATGCCTGGCCCCAATCTTTATTCATTTCAGAAACATACTTTAAATATTTATCCAACTGCAACTTTCAAGGGCTGTGAAAGACCTCTTAAAGGAGAACTACAAACCACTGCTCAATGAAATAAAAGAGGACACAAACAAATGGAAGAACATTCCATGCTCATGGATAGGAAGAATCAATATCATGAAAATGGCCATACTGCCCAAGGTAATTCATAGATTCAATGCCACCCCCAATCAAGCTACCAATGACTTTCTTCACAGAATTGGAAAAAACTACTTTAAAGTTCATATGAAACCAAAAACGAGCCCACATTGCCAAGACAATCCTAAGCCAAAAGAACAAAGCTGGAGGCATCACGCTACCTGACTTCAAACTATACTACAAAGCTACAGTAACCAAAACAGCAGGGTACTGGTACCAAAACAGAGATAAAGACCAATGGAACAGAACAGAGCCCTCAGAAATAATACCACACATACACAACCATCTGATCTTTGACAAACCTGACGAAAACAAGAAATGGGGAAAGGATTCCCTATTTAATAAATGGTGCTGGGAAAACTGGCTAGCCATATGTAGAAAGCTGAAACTGGATCCCTTCCTTACACCTTATACAAAAATTAATTCAAGATGGATTAAAGACTTAAATGTTAGACCTAAAACCATTAAAACCCTAGAAGAAAACCTAGGCAATACCATTCAGGACACAGGCCTGGGCAAGGACTTCATGTCTAAAACACCAAAAGCAATGGCAACAAAAGCCAAAATTGACAAATGGGATCTAATTAAACTAAAGAGCTTCTGCACAGCAAAAGAAACCACCATCAGAGTGAACAGGCAACCTACAGAATGGGAGAAGATTTTTACAATCTACCTATCTGACAAAGGGCTAATATCCAGAATCTACAAAGAACTTAACAAATTTACAAGAAAAAATCAAACAACCCCATCAATAAGTGGGTGAAGGATATGAACAGACACTTCTCAAAAGAAGACATTTATGCAGCCAACAGACACATGAAAAAATGCTCATCATCACTGGCCATCAGAGAAATGCAAATCAAAACCACAATGAGATACCATGTCACACCAGTTAGAATGGCGATCATTAAAAAGTCAGGAAACATCAGGTGCTGGAGAGGATGTGGAGAAACAGGAACACTTTTACACTGTTGGTGGGACTGTAAACTAGTTCAACCATTGTGGAAGACAGTGTGGTGATTCCTCAAGGATCTAGAACTAGATATACCATTTGACCCAGCCATCCCATTACTGGGTATATACCCAAAGGATTATAAATCATGCTGCTATAAAGACACATGCACACATATGTTTATTGTGGCACTATTCACAATAGCAGACTTGGAGCCAACCCAAATGTCCATCAATGATAGACTGGATTAAGAAAATGTGGCACATATACACCATGGAACACTATGCAGCCATAAAAAGGATGAGTTCCTATCCTTTGTAGGGACATGGATGAAGCTAGAAACCATCATTCTGAGCAAACTATCACAAGGACAGAAAACCAAACACTGCATATTCTCACTGATAGGTGGGAATTGAACAATGAGAACACTTGGACACAGGGTGGGGAACATCACACACCGGGGCCTGTCGTGGGGTGGGGGGAGGGGGAAGGGATAGCATTAGGAGATACACCTAACGTAAATGACGAGTTAATGGGTGCGGCACACCAACATGGCACATGTATACATATGTAACAAACCTGCACATTGTACACATGTACCCTAGAACTTAAAGTATAATAAAAAAAATTTATCCAACTGACTAAAATGGGTTAAACTAAAAACACAAAACCAGTTAATATATGAGCATAATAAATAAAATAAATAAAAGAGCACAACAAAAATAATAATTTTAAAAGTTGTTTGAGGAAAACCATAGAAAATAAGCTTAAAACTTTGTGCTTCTTGCTGACAAGAACAAAATAGAAAACACTAGAACAAACATAGGTTTCCTACTCTAGCTTAAGGTTTGATAACTCAAAAAAATATTTTGTTGGTCTTGTGCTCTAAGAAGAAACTATCTCAGGGTTTTGTGGAAATTAGGGGGAGGGGGCCACGAAGGTCAATAGCCTTAATAACATTTTTCTCCTAAATGTGAAGGCATTCCATATATGAGTAGCTCTAAGAGAAAACTAAAGACATAAAGTTAGTTTGGTTCTATAAGGGCAATTCCAGGAGTGAAAGGCTGAAGGGCACAATAACATGGTCTAATCTGTCATTTCCTGATGTTTTGACTTAAATTGTTTTTTGAGAAACTAGTAAGTAATATATTCCTTAAGAACATTCCTCTCTCAAATACCAAAATTTTCAGCCAGCCTTCTGACAAGAACAAGATGAACAACAAACATGATTAAGGTCATTACTGAGGACCTCAATAGCTGGTAACATAAAAGATCTATAGGCTACATCTTCCAGGTATGTTGGTTGTAATGATACTTGTTATGAAAAAGAAATCAAAGATCTTGACCTGCATATTCTTGTCTGCTGAAGAGAAGTTCTATAATCACAAACAAGACTTTCCTCAGAAACTAACTTTGGTTCTAGGACTTGAGCAATTATTTGATTCAAGCATAAAAACTTAGTGCCACTGAGTAGCACCTCATCACACCCATATCCTGTCCTTTCCCACTCCTGCCAACTCTACTTCTCAAGTATTTTCCTGATCACCCCCTCTTCTCCTTATTATCATTACTCTGGTTCAAGCTCCCTGACTGGATTTTCTGCAGTCGTTTCTTAACTATCCCCCCTGCTTCTCCCCTGATTCCCCAATCATTCCTTCTCCATCAGCCACCAGACTAATTTCTCTGAATCACAAATGAGGCTAGTCACGCCATGACCCTGCTTAAAATTATTCAGCAGCTTCATCATCCATGGGAAAAAAAAAAATCCAAGCTCCTTAACATGGCATTCAAGGCCCACAAAGCACTGGCACCTGCCAATTTCACTTCCCACTGCCATCTGCCCCTACACATAAACACTCATATTCAACTCCTCAGAATTCCCCACATACACCTTGCATCCTCCTCTACCTGGCATTATTGTCCTCCAAGACCTCCCTCACAGCCGTGGCAGAGAAGAGAAAAGAAGGGGACCCTAGCTGATGGAACTGATCATCCAAATAACTCCTGAAGATCACTGAGATGATATAACAAAGCAAAACCACCTACGTTTTTAGACTGCCAAGACTATATCCTGAATTTCCAGAATAAAACCTCTCAAAAAAGTGATAAAGCATCACATGAGTGGATGTTAAACGTAAGGCCTCACAGTACAACAAAATCTAAACTTAAGAACAAACAGGCTGAACAAAGGACTTCAAATCGGCATGCCCACAAAAGGATCGCCTCTGGTCCTTATACATATAACTACATTAATAATGATTTAAAACATTTTTTCTTACTGCAATTATCTTTATGGTCCTTTTTGAAAATATAATTTGATTTAAGGTGATCTTACAAAATTCCAGGGAATAATTCTTATTCTTAATAAAGTTTAATAGTCTGTTGAGATTCAAGTGTTCCAATAGGTATGGTTCTTTCCACTTCTAAAATTAAATCACTTAATGAGAATTGCCAGAAAGAGACTTCATTAGTAATTATCCATAATGGTAGAGAACACACAAGATACATTTGCACTGTTCTATTGTTATAAGCCAGCAGAAGAGTGGAATTTTCAAAGATGCAAATAGTTCCCCTCGGTCATATTACCCTGGATAGAAATTAGAGCTGCAAGCTAATAGGAGACTGAGGGACAAGGGCATGCTCCTCAGCCTGTGGTTTCTCTGGCTTCCAAAGCTAGAAGCAAATGATTCTTTTTTTTTTTCCAATCCATCCATTAAGCTTCCAAGAAATAAACACGTTTGCTTCAAAATTCAATTCCCTGTGGGGTTATCTTCAGATGCTGCATGGGTTTATTAGAATTAATTGCAACACAGCACAGCTTCCAAAGTGAAGGCCCAGGGTTGACAAAAGACCCTCCCTATCACAGCCACCAACCCACCAAAGGCTATGGGGACTCTCTTGCAAACAATATCTGAGCAATCTCGAGGAAGACAAGCAAAGGCCTTGCCTTTCTCAACTTCAGTCTAGAGCAGGTAGGGAGGGGTAGCCCATAAATGAGTAAACAAAGAGAAAAGATGATTACGTATTGTGCTAAGTGCAGTTAGTGAAGGCAGTCGGCGATGTTTGTCAGCAAGATGCATTTTTTTCCATTTTGCTTCCCACATCTGCAATCAACATATAACTTCATGGTATGAACTATTAAACACATAAACACTAGAACAAATGTGGGTTTCCTATTCCAGTTCAAGGCTTGATAAGTCAAAAAACTATTTTGATGGTCCTGGGTTCTAAAAAAACACTGTTTCTCTCTGGTGGGTGTGTGTGTGGGTGTGGGGGTGTGTGTGTGTGTAAGGGCGAGTAGTGAGTACTAGGGTCAACAACAGCCTTAATAGCACGTTGCCCCCAAATACAAAGGTGTTCCACATATAAGTAGCTATGAATGTGGGTTTCAAAACAAAAGCCTTAACTTAGAGTTTTATTATGTTTTAAAATCATCACTGTCTTAGTGTTTAAACACCTGTTTAAGTCCTCTTAATAAGGTAGAAATGCCTGTTTATGGCTTTTTAAAAATATAAACACAAGGATCCATAGCTTTAAAAAAAACACTTTGTTTCTGTGACAATGTTTGTTAATCTAGCTAATTGAGTTACTTGCAGAAAAATGGGGAACAGAGAGTGATAGTTGAGTTCTTCATGTACAAGTAAGCACTGTTACTCCAAATACCTTAGTTACCTGAATTATTCTAAGGTTATTTGTAAAAACTAAAATTCCACGAGGCAAAGAAGGACTTTTATCAATCCCATTTATATTTGATTTCTGTATTACACATAAAGAATTGGACTATTAAAGAAAGTAACCAAATGAGAGATGGATGTTTAAAAATAACATTAAATGAGTGATTTGGGAACTCCAAAACTTTATGTGACCAAGTTATTTCTTCTCTGTGCCTACAGGTCTTTGTCACACTGGGATTGCAATTTATTAGATGCCATACACAAGTTCTATTGTGGGCTCCAATCAGAGGTACAGGGAAAACCTCCAGAAGATTCTTCCTTAGTAAGCAGCAGGTAACGTTCTGTAATTTTAGGCCACCACACGGAACCAATTGTCACTCACAGTTTCTGTCACAGAGTGGGATGTGTCACACTTCATTTGGTGCAAAATATGACAATGAAAAACACAACTTGATCAACCTATTTTAGCAGCCTCTGTTCAGCCATCAGTGTGAGGAGCTGGAGTACTGTGACAAAGCATTAGGCTCCTTACAATGCCGACCTAGAAACCAAATCACTGCTTTGTAGCAAGGAATGAAAATCAGGATGAAAAAGCTACAGTTGATCTCCCCACCCAGCAAAGGAAATATGGACAAAATACAATCACCACCACATATATAACAGGTGGACTTCATGTAAGGATTAATATAATGATTCATGTAATATAAGGCTCATCTTCAAAAAGGAATGATTTGCTCCCTTTGCCATGACTAATGTGTCTGGGTGGGGCAGCCCGTGGTGTATCGGCAATAAGATTTCTACAAAAAAAAAAAAAAAAAAAGAAAGAAAGAAAGAAAAAAAACAGAAAGAAAAGAAAAGAAAGCAAAAACACCACCACAAAGCAATGTCTGAATCCCTGAGTCAGCCCCAAATGCACACTCATTGTTCAGACTTGCCCGGGTTTCCTCCCAAAGAAAATTTACTCACTCTCCTATGGAAAGGCAAAGTAGGAGACTACAGGAGCATCAAAGCCATGGACCCTGTCAAGGATGCCAAGAGGAGGGGGAAATACACCTTCCGACCTCAAGAATTTTGGAGAGGGGGCTGTCTCAGTAGCAAAGCGGGTCAAGAAATGTGATATGAGGCCCTAAAACCATAGCATAGGACTTCCTCGGTATGTAGGACAGGGGTACAAGCCAAAGGGCAGGTGCTATATTCACCCACACACACCATAAGGAATCCATGCTTCCTGGAAACTGCCCATTGATGTCACCCTGTGCAGCTGTAACCTGTGTGAGTGTTCTGACTCAGTCATAACAATGACATTTTGGCTGGGCACAGTGGCTGACGCCTGTAATCCCAGCAATTTGGGAGGCTGAGGCAGGTGGATCACTTCAGGTCAGGAGTTCAAGGCCAGCCTGGCCAACATGGTGAAACCTCATCTCTACTAAAAGTACAAAAAAAAAAATAGCTGGGCGTGATGGCGCACGCCTGTAGCCCCAGTTACTTGAGAGGCTGAGGCAGGAGAATTGCTTGAACCTAGGAGGCAGAGGTTGTAGTGAGAAGAGATCACACCACTGCACTCCAGCCTGGGCAACAGAGTGAGATTCCCTCTCAAAACAACAACAGCAGCAACGATGACATTTTAAAAACAATTAATTCCACTTTTTTTTTTTGAAGCAGTTGCTTTTTTATTGTTAACAATCCCTCATATGAGAATAGCCCATTGCGGTTAATAAGGTACTTATGACCATTACCTCAATTATTCCTCACAAAAGCTCTATGAGATATAAGCATGATTTTACTAATAAGGAAACAGAAGCTTAGAGAAGTTGAATAGACTACTCAGTAGTTAGTAAATGGTAGACCCAGGGCCCAAGCCCAGATTGTTCCTTGCTCTTTCCTCACAATGGTTAACTTGGTTTCTGGAGTGGAGTTATAGGCTAAAATGACATTAAAATTCTATTAAATGTGGTTTCCGCAGTAGAGGTTTTAAGCTGAAGTGATATCATTAAAATTATATCCTTTTGAAAAATATTTATTGAGTATAAATAAATGTCCTATACATTAAATATCAAGAAATATTCATTATTGATTACAAGTCAAGATGTAATACTGAGGGAACCATAGAATAAAAATACCCACTCATGATACAGTAGTGATAACTCCATTCCAATATTGGACACAGTAATGATTTGTTCACAAGACACAACAAAACCCATCAAAAAGGCCATCACTTTAACCAACCTATAATACCACAATAGAAAATGGTTCTGAAACATAATATGAACAGCCCCAATAATCTCATCTTTGTCTTATCAGTTTATCAGGTCATTTTGAGACTGCAGAGTTATAGTGTCATAGATTTTTAACATTCCATTTCCTTAGTTTTATTTCAAATTATTACTAATGAATGAAAACAAGTCATACAAGCCAAAGATACCTTTAAACTAAGTTCAATTTTCATAAGAAAAAAGGAATCAAATTTTAGTACAAAAAAAGCGTTTCCCAAACAATGAGTCTCCTAATGGAAAAAATACAAGAGCAATGTAATTAAACTTTCCTTCAAAGAAAGGAAAGAAACGTAAATCTGTTACGTTAATTTGGAAAGATAAATATTTCCTAGTCCCCTAGTCCCATAATATGTGTTTGTTTTACAAGATATACTTGAATGATGCCAATCTATGAAGTAGGGATCTGTGGCAATCCAAATTCATCCACCAGAACTCCATCCTTGTTTTTCGTATCAGTGGGAACACCTTCCGGAATTGCAGGTGCAGATGCTGTCTCATACAAATAAGAACTGTCTTCATCAGCCAGAAGCTCATCACCCAGTGCATCCAACTTTGCTTCTAGGTCATCTTCATCCAGTTCTGGTGTGCCATAACTGCGACTCAGTGCTTCTTGGATTTCATTTGCATCTTCCATCATATCCTCTAGCTGGTCTCGTAAATCCTCAATCTGGTCGATTTTCACTTGCTTGTGTGCCTTCTTCATTTCCTTTACTCCCAGTTTCATAGCATCAACCGTGGTCTTGGTGTCCTTCAATGACTGGATGGTATAATTGGCTTGTTCTATGTTGAATGACTATTGGGCAAGATTGCCCTGCTGCTGCTCATACATCCACTTTTGCTTTAAAACTCACGAGGCTTTCTGCTTAACCATACTCTTTGCAGGACCCTCTCTCATCTTCTTGATCTGATCCTTATACTTCACTAGCTCAGCATCCAATCGAGAAATCTTCTTGTCAATGGATTCTGCCCTGCTGTCCACCATGTCAATGCAGTCAGTCAGGCTGGGCAGTGGAGCCTTGGGTTTCACTTTCCCGAAGAATTGGTTGATCTTGAGCGGCCGCAAAGAAACCCAAACACTGGAGCAAAACCATAAACCACTTATTTCTTATGAGGAAAAATGGGGAAGAGGAGCTATAGGAATCAGAAGGGTTCAGAGCAGGGAGTCTAGAGGCAGACTGCCCGGATTCAAAGCTCAGCTTCATCATTTACTAAGCTACATGACCTGGGCAAGTCACTCAACTTCTTTGTGCCTCAATTTTCTCATCAGGAAACTATAAATGGTATTGAGTTGTTAGAAGAATTAAATGAGTTAATATTTATAAAATGTCTGGAATGGACCAGGAGCCATGGCTCACTCCTGCAATCCTAACACTTTGGGAGGCCGAAGTTGGGAGGATCGTTTGAGCCCAGGACATTGGGGCTGCTGTGAGCCATGATCACACCAGTGCACTGCAGCCTGGGTAACAGAGCAAGACCCTGTCTCAAAAACAAAATAATAAAAATAAATAAAATAAAATGCCTGGAATGGTGCCTGGCATATATAAGCACTGTTAAATTTTGTTATTTAAAATAAAAACTTTTAAAATGTTTAAACAGCTAAGAAGAGCCCTTGGCCCCATTCAGACCTCTCACCAGAGCTAAAGTTGGAAGTTCTGTTCTTCCTTCTTCCCCAGACCATGTGCCAGAACTGCTGACAGGAGTCTCAGTGTCTGTCCTGAAGGCAGATGATCCTCCCTATTCTCACCTTGTCATTGCTCTAACCCCCATTCAGATCCCCTGCATCCCCAACACGAGTCCAGTTAGCCCAGTTTGTAATGCTAACCTTCCATTTCAAGGTGTCAGTGCAGTGGCACAGCTATGGTGATGAGACCAAGCGGCAACCAGAGCCCCAAGACACACACTGGTTTCCATTTAATACAATATTTACTTATCTTTATATTAGGACACAGGAGAGGAAACCCATCAGGGACCGCAGCTTCATCTCAATGGGAGGACCAGCAGCTACCCAAGTCTACAGCTACTTGTGTCCCTCATCCACACAGGTCACGTATGACTGCCACGGATGATAGGCAAGATGTTTGCGGATTTTGCTGATGAAAAAAACAGCCCCTTTTCCTGTCAATCTTTTATACCACCCTCAGGCATGCCAAATGTCCCCATGCCAATTTACAGCTTCCCAGTGGAGGGGCAGCTCCATGTGACAACCAAGGCAGGCGCAACATCCCCCAATTATCTTAACTCTTACTGTTTTCAACAACATAGAGCATAGGAGGCCAGGGTCACTCTCAGGTAGGCCTATATCAGCCCAAGCCTTCACTCATGAATGCCAATTCACTTTTTAATGGAATGCAGCCTTGGGCCCCAAAAGGGCAATCAAGGTCCCCCACAATCTATTGCCTGAATATGTTTCCTGTCTCATCTCCTACAACTGATCCCCGCATACCCTAAACTCAGCCACACAGCCTGCTTCACCCTTTGGCTCACTGTGCACAGTTGTGTTACACTCAAGAGTGTCAACTCGGGGGCAGAAACCTTTTATTTTCTCTTCCTATCACCTGGTACCCCAATGCAATCTCTTAAACACTAAAAATTCAGCAAAACCTTAACTGCATTTAAGCAAATGAAGCTGGGTCACAATTACTCTGGTACAGTGAAGGAAAGTCATGGAATTTTAAAAGTTCCGATGTCTGGATGACAGTGATCCTTATACACATGAAATATTAAAGGCCACAAGCCTCATCCAAACCACTCTCTTGATTCCACAGCAGGAGGAAGATACGCCAGAGGGATCGCAAAGCTAATTGCTTAATAACTCCCTTTGCACAATGTTCCCATAGCCATCCTTGTGAGTAGAGCCTGTGTCCCTGTACAACAAATAGTCAGCAAATGCTTGGGTAACCAGCATATGACTTAGTCTTGTGAAAAATTATGATTGCGCTTGAGTCTCTTCGTGGAAAGATTTAAATCTGTACTTAATGCCAAAATAAACACAAAGAACTAGCCAATGTAAATTAGGGATATCCCAAAGTTTGACTTAGGCAAAAATCATCTCTGATCTTCAGAAGTAACTGAACGTCTCCTGCAATATCATTTTTGGTATCCCTTAACTGTTAGTGACCAATTATTGCACGATAGCACAGTGACCAGCATAACAATCTGAGTAATATAAAAAAAGTGTACCATTTGTATTTATTAAGTCTATATGTAAGATGGAATAAAAATTGTATTAATCTCTTGAGAGATATATTGATCTTTATTATTGTAAGAATAAAGTACCAATTAATGACTGTGAGAGCGGTTAATTTGATATACAAAATAGTTAACCTATTAAGAATGTATTAAGATAAACACAAAAAGCACAAGCCATAAAGGAAAAATTAATTGATAAACAGGACTTTGTCAAAAACTTAAAATTTCTGTTCTTCAAAAGACACAGTTCAGGAAATGAAAAGACAGGCCACAGACAGGTAGAAAATATTGCATACTACTTATCTGACGAAGGATTGGTATCCAGAAAATATAAAATACACAACTCAATTAGACAAAAAAAGATAAATTTAAAATGGGCAAACAAGTACAAACAGAGACTTCAAAGAGGATATATGGATGGCAAATAGGCATAAGAAAAGATGTTCAACATTATTAGTCAGTAGGGAAATGCAAATTAAAACAGTAAGATACCACTTCATACTAGAATTGATAAAATTTAAAATTCCTAAATAACAAAAGTTGGTAAAGGTGTGGAACAACTGAAAAGCTTCTACATTGCTGATGGAAATGAAAAATGTTCAGATCTTCTAAAAATGATTGCCAGGTTTTTAAAGTTAAACATACACTCACCATGCAGCCAAGGAATCTCACCTTGGGTATTTATTCCAACAGAAATGAAAACCCATGCTCACACAAAGACATGTAAGCAAATGTTCATAGCAGCTTTATTTATAATACCTCATAACTGAAAACAACCCAAATGTTCAATGAATGGTGAATATATAAGTAAACTGTGATATATCCAGACAATTGAATATTACTCAGCAATAAGAAAGGAACAAACTATTGATACACATTACATCACAGATGAATCTCAAAAGCATTATGCTAAGTGAAAGAAGCTAGAAAACAAAAGGTTATCTAATACATGATGTTCTAAAAACGGCAAAACTATAGAGACAGAAAACAGATCAGTAGTTGCCAAGAGCTAGGGTAGAAGAAGGGCATGTTCTGCAAAAGCAGATTTCCAGGGGGATAGAAATGTTCTATTATCTTGATTTTGGTGGTGGTTACACAAGTGTACGCAGTGTCAAAACTCATTGAACTGTATATTTAAAAGAAATGAATTTTGTTGTATGTAAATTATACCTCAATAAACCTGGCTTTTAAAAAGGGAATACTTTAAAAAATAGGTAAACAGCCAGTGAATATTTGAGTGAATTAATGAATGAAGAGTGCAATAATTAAATAACTTAAGGAAAAACAATATATTTGGTTAAGCCAATAAATACCTAAAAATTTAAGTAACAATACAAGATACAATAATAGATATTAGATTATAACATAATTCTAGTCTTTGTAGAATTGTTTGGTGCATTAACATAACATTGCAAAACAAACTTTTAGAGTTGCATTTAATTTCTAGTTATGTCTTTCGTATGACATACATACAATCTAATGAACTCACATGCAATCTAGCAACTGATGGTGCTGAGAAATTATCTCTTGCTGGCTGGGCGTGGTGGCTCATGCCTGTAATCGCAGCACTTTGGGAGGCCGAGATGGGTGGATCACCTGAGGTCAAGAGTTCAAGACCAGCCTGACCAACACAGCGAAACTCCATCTCTACTAAAAATACAAAATTAGCTGGGCATGGTGGTGGGTGCCTGCAATCCCAGCTACTCGGGAGGTTGAGGCAAGAGAATCGCTTGAACCAGGGAGGCAGAGGTTGCAGTGAGCCAAGATCACGCTACTGCACTCCAGCCTGGGAGACAGAGCGAGACTCCATCAAAAAAAGAAAAAGAAAAGAAAGAAAGAAAAGAAATGATCTCTTGCCTTCAATGTCAAACTTTAAAAAGATGATTCCTGAAATTTTTAATAAAATTGCAATAATAATATATTTCTGAATAAAATTTCAGATTTATTTAACTCAGAGGTTCATTCTAAGTTGGTGATATTTTGGTTTGGATAAATATTTATTTTTTAACCCTTGCCACTCAACATTTAGCTAAAATAGTTATTCAGTAGCTAATCTGTTAACTTTCACGGTTTCAAGTTCTGGTTCATGCTCAGCCTGCCTTCACTAAACCAATGTCAAAATACACTCTGGGGTTCAGCCTTCATACCCTTTAAGGACTTATGATAAACTCACCATTACATCCAACATTTACACTAGAAATCCTAATCAATCTTCACAATGTTGATTTCTTACATTAATTTTCAAGATAATTCACTGTAAGACAGAAATATAGTAAGAATCACTTGAAAATTTTCAGAAAATATCCTGAAAATGAGAGTTAAAAATGAAAAAAAAATGGAGCTAAGCAAAATCTTTTTAAAAAAAGAAAATAAAGGAAATCTAGAACAACAATAGAGGTTAAAGACATAATGGATGAGGCTGGGTGTGGTGGCTCATGCCTGTAATCCCAGCACTTTGGGAGGCCAAGGCAGGAGGATCACCAGAGCTCAAAAGTTCAAGACCACCCTGGGAATCAAAGTGAGACCTGGTCTTCTCAAAAAATGAACAAAATTAGCTGGACAGAGTGGTGCATGCCTGTAGTCCCAGCTACTCAGGAGGCTGAGGTGGGAGGACTGCTTGAGCCCAGGAGGTCAAGGCTGCAGTGAGCCTAGATCACACCACTGCACTCCAGCCTGGGCAACAGAGCGAGACTGTCTCAAAAAAAAAAAATTATATATATATATATATATATATATATATATATATATATAAAATGGATGAGAAGACCTTGTTTATAATAGTACCAAAAATATAAAATATCCAGGAATAAACTTAGGAAATGTACAAAACTTAAGTGGAAGACTCAAAAACACTCCAGAAGAACACAAAAGGCTTTAACCAATGGAAAGTCACAGGATATCTTTGAATAGGAAGAATCAACATCATAAAAATGATTCTCCCACTTCGACTCATAAATCCAATGCTATCCAATAAAAATACCAATAGGCATTTGGACAGAAAACAGGAAAGCTAATTTTAGAGTCATACACAAAACTAAACAAACAAGAAGAACCAGGAAGACTCAGGGGGAAAAAAAGCAATGAGAAGCCACTAGCCCTACCAGATTTTAAAATATGTTCTAAGGTCCATAACAATTGGTACTGTGGTATTAATTCATGAATAGAGAAATACCAATGGACCAGAACAGAAAGTCCAGAAATATATACAGGTAGTGGATGAAAGAGAAGGCATCTCAAATCAGTGGGGTCAATATGGACATTTTAGTCACTGGTGTTGGGACAATTTGGTAGCCATTTGGTGGGGAATATCTTTCTAATGATAAGGTCCAGGCATCTTAAAAAAAAAAATGGGCCAGGTATAGTGGCTTATGCCTGTAATCCCAGCACTTTGGGAGGCCAAGGTGGGAGGATCACTTGAGGCCAGGAATTCGAGGGCAGCCTAGGCAACATAGCCATACTCCATATAAAAAATTAAAAAAAATTAAAATTAAAATTAGCCAGGTGTGGTGGTGTGCACCTGTAGTTCTAGCTATTTGTGAGGCTGGGGCAGGAGGACTGCTTGGGCCCAGGAGTTTGAGATTACAGTGAGCTATGATTATGCCACTGCAGTCCAGCCTGGATGACAGAGACCATGTCTCTAAAAAATAAAAATTTAATAAAAATTTAAAAATAAAAAAATTGAAGATTCTAAACACTTGATAGTTATAACAACAAACTTCTAAGAAGGAGGAAATACATAAGCAAAGCTAAAAAGGAAAAACAGAAAAAATATTTGCAATTTATCACAGATAAAGGGCTAATCTCTGTAATATACAAAAAACTCCTAGGACTCAAGAGAAAAGACAAGCCCATGGGAAAAAAAATAGACAAAGAATATAAGTAGGCAATTCACAGAAAAAAAAATACGAATGGCCCTTAAAACTTTTAAGAAGATATTCATCATTACTTATAAGAGAAATGCAAATTAAAATGACACTGAGGGCTGGGTGTGGTGGCGCATGCCTGTAATCCCAGCACTTTGGGAGGCTGAGGCGGGTGGATCACTTGAGGTCAGGAGTTTGAGACCAGCCTGGCCAACATGGAGAAACCGTTTCTACTGAAAGAAAAAAAAAATTAGCCAGGCATGGTGGCAGGCGCCTGTAATCCGAGCTACTCAAGAGGGAGGCTGAAGCATAAGAATCACTTGAACCCAGAAGGCAGAGGTTGCAGTAAACTGAGATTGTGCCATTGCACTCCAGCCTGTCTCAAAAAAATAAAATAAAATGACGTTGAGACATCATTCACTCATACTTACAAAAATCCAAAAGTTTGGCTGGGCATGGTGGCTCATGCCTGTAATCCCAGCACTTTGGTAGGCTGAGGCGGGAGGATCACCTGAGGTCAGGAGTTCGAGAACAGCCTGGCCAACATGGTAAAACCCCTATCTCTACTAAAAATACAAAAATGAGCTGGGCATGGTGGTGGGCACCTATAATCCCAGCTACTCAGGAGCCTGAGGCAAGAGAATCGCTTGAACCCGGGAGGCGGAGGTTGCAGTGAGCCAAGATCGTACCACTGCACTCCAGTCTGGGCGACAGATTGAGACTGTCTCAAGAAAAAAAAAAAAAATCCAAAAGTTTGATAACACACCCTGTTGGTGAGAAGATGGGGAAATAAGCACTTTCATATATTGTGGAGGAAGTAAAAAATGCTACAACTTCTAATGAGAAGAATCTGGCAATGTCATCTAAAATTGCAAATGCATATACCTTTTAATCTAACAGTCCCACTCCCAGGAATCTATTCTACAAATACACCCGCACATACATAAGATGCTCAAGGTTTCCTGCTACAGTATTGTTCGATTACTATAAGAAACAACCCTAGGGCCCACCAACAAAGGACTAAATTATGGTACATCCAAACAATAGAATACCACGCAGCTATGAAAGAAAAGAATGAGGAATACCTCTTCGTACCAATATGGCAAAATCTCTAGGACAAATTAAATGAAAAACACAAGGTGCAGTACAGGACACATGGTATACTACCTTTGGTCAGAGAAAAGGTGGAAATTAGCACGTATATTTGTATTTGCTTTTATTTATGTAAAGAAACACTGAAATGACAAACAACTAAGAAAAGTGGTTACTACAATGTTAAGGAGAAATGGAGAGTTGGGGGTGAGGTATACCTTTTCAATCTGTCCCTTTTAAATTTGCTTTTATATGTAGACCATGTAAATGTATTAACTACTCAACATTTTTAAAATATTGGCAAAAAAGACTCAGGAAGCACAAAAATAGGCAAGACTAAACAATACATTATTAAGGGCTATATACACGTTACAAACCTAAAAAAGACTATTTGCTGCTATCCATAGCAAAGAATTTGTTGCTAGCAGATCTGCCTTACAAGAAATACTAAAGGAAGTCTTTTAGGTAAAAGGAAATGATACTAGACAATGACTCAAAGCCACACAAAGAAATTAAGAGCACTGGAAAATGTAAAAATATGAGTAACTATAAAACACTATATACATGTATACCTTTTTCTCTTCTCTAAACTCTTAAAAAGACATAAAACTGAATTAAACAATAATTACAATGCTGTATTGTTAGGGTTGTAGCTTATATAGATGATACATATTTTATGATACTAGCATGATGGAGGGATGTGGTAATGGAGTTAGAATCAAAGAAAGTTTCAATATTTTACTGGAATTAAATTAGCATCACACTAAAGTAGATTAAGTTAAGATGACTATTGTAATCCCTAGAGCAACCACTATGAAACTAACTCAAAAATATAGTGGAAAAAACACAAAGGAATTAAAATGGTAAACTAGTACTATCTCTCCCACACACATGGAGGGCAGTGAAAAAAAAACAAAGAATCAAAACTTTCATGAAATATATAGAAAATAATAGCAAAATTGCAGATATAAATCCAACCATACGAATACTTACATTAAAGGGGACTGGACTAAACACTGCAATCAAAAGGCAGCAATTGTCACACTGGGGAAAAAACCAAGATTCCACTTTATGCTATCTAAAAGAGGCACATTTTAGATCAGGGCTTCTCAACCTTAGCACCACTGAAATTTCAGGCTGGATAATTCTTTGTTGTAAGAGCTCTTCTGTGCATCATAGGATATTTAGTAGTAGCCCTGGCCTTTATTCATTAGATGTCAGTAGCTGCCATGCAGGTATGACAACCAAAAATATTTCCAGCTACTGTCACATGTCACAAGGGGGCTAAATTGCCCAGTTGAGAACCATTGTTGTAGATTAAAACACACACACACACACACACTCACACACATACGTTTAAAGTAAAAGGACTGGAAAACATATGCCAGGTAACACCAATCATAAAAGCACTACAGTAACTACATTTATATCAGATGAAATAAACTCTAGACAATAAATATTATAGACGGAAAGACCCTTCATCATAATGTCATCAGGAAGATATAAAAATTATTAAAGTGGACACATCTAAAAACAGAATACCAAATCACTGAAGCAAAAATGAACAGACATTAACATTTCAATCTTTGTTTTTCTGGGAATGTCATTATTTCACACTCATTTTTTAATGTAAATGTTCATTACTTTTGTTCCTTTAAGTGCTGACAGGTCTATGATGTTCCCTGTGCTGGCAGGGACCTGATGAGTTATTAAGGATCTGGAAGCCTTCAGGTGGCTGAGACTCTTCTACAAGAAATGGCCAAACTGGCCACAGTCATTTTTTTTTTTGCATCACCACACTTATTGTTTTTTTAAATCAATTTTATTGAGTTATAATTCACATCCCACAAAATTCACTCAATTTAAGCATACGATTCAATGATTTTTAGTAAATTTAACAAGTTATGCAACCATCAACACAATCACTCCAATAAGATCCCTGGTATCCATGAACAGTAAATACCAGTTTTCCACCTCCAGCCCTCGGCAACCATTAACCTACTTTGTTTCTATATATTTGCCCTTTCTAAACATTTCATATAAATGAAACCGCACAGTGGCTGATCTTCTGTGCATGACTTCTTTCATTTAGCATAATGTATCTATGTCTTTATATTTAAAGTGGGCTTTTTCTTGTAGACAGCTTATAAATTGTGTCTGCTTTTTTTAATCCAATCTGATGATCTCTGTCTTTTAGATGATTCACATTTTCACATTTAAAGCAACTATTTATATGGAGGGTCAAAATTTACTATCTTGTTAGTTGTTTTCTATTTGATCAATTTGTTCCTTTTTTCCTCTTTTTTCTGCTTTCTCTGGGTTTTATTGAGCATTTTTTATTATTCAATTTATCACCTCTATTGACTTATTATTTATACCTCTTTTTAAACTTTTTAAATAGTTATCCTAGGGTTTACAATGTTTTTAAATAATCTGAGTTCAAATAATATAGCCACTTCACAAGGAGCATAGGACCTTATAACAGTATTTTACCAATTCCTCCCTTCCATCTTTGTGCCATTGTTGTCATACATTTCACTTTTACATATGCTATAAACACACAACACATTGTTATAAATTTTATTTTTTAAAAATCACTTATTTTTAGAACAACTAAATGTTTAAAAGATTTCATCTTCACTTACTTCATTTCTGACATTCTTTGATTCTTTTTGTAGATCCAGTTTTCCAAATTATATCACTTTTTTCTGCCTGAAGAATTTCCTTTAACGTTTCTTGTAGAGTGGGTCTGCTGGCAATAAATTCCCTCAGTTTTTGTTTGTCTCAAAAAGTCTTTTTTCTTCTTCATTTGTGAAGGACATTTTCACTGGATATAGAATTCTGGGTTGACAATTTCTTCTGTCAACACTTGAAACAAGCCACCCCACTGTCTTCTTGCTTGTATGGTCTTTTACTGAAAAGTCTGCTGTATTTCTTATCCTTTTCCTCTGTATATAGCACTTCCTCCTCTACTCCTCCCCCTGCCCTCTCCCCGCACCCAGACACCTTGTCTTTAGTTTTAAGCAGTTCAAATGTGATATGCCTGGGTATCTGTTTATTGTTTTGGTATTTATCTTGCTTGGTGTTCTCTAAAGTTCTTGGATCTGTGGTTTGGCATCTGTCACTAATTTTGGAAAACTCTCAGCTATTACTTCTTCTAATATTTCTGTCCCATTCTCATTCTCTCTCTTCCTCCCAAGATTCCAATTATGTGAATGTTAGACCATTTGACATTGTTACTCTTCTCTTGGATATTCTGTTCTGATCATTTCACCCTTTGCCTTCCAATATCTTTAAGTTCATTGACTCTTACAGTCCACAGTCCACTTCATTTGTTACTGTATTTTTTGTTTCTAGCATTTGAATTTGATTTTTTCTTTTATTTTCCATCTCTGTCCTAAAATTACTTATCTGATCTTGCATGTTATCTACTTTTTCCATTAGAGCTTCAAAAATATTAATCATAGTTTAAAAAAAAATTCTCTGATAGTTCCAACATCTGTGTCATACATGAGCCTGGTTCTGGTGACTGCTTTGTCTCTTGCCTTTTCTTGCCTTTTTGGTCTTGTAATGTATTTCTGATGGTCAGATATTTTGTATCAAAATGGTACTGAGGTAAATATTTTTTATACTTGAAGATGAGTACACCTTTTTTTCTGATAGGCCTTTAGCATTGAGGTTTGTATTAATGTAATCAGGAGGTGGGCTAGGTTTGAAGATTATTGTTTCCATGGTTATGCTCAGGGCCTCAGGAGCCTTCATATTCCTGTACTGATAGCTTGTTTTTATGGCATTGGGTAATTTGCCACAAGATTTTTCTCAATGTCTTCCCCTCGCTTGGCTTTGGGTCTCCATACTTGACTTTTAAGTTTTTGTACTGCTCCCCAGAGACAATCTCTCTCTTGCAGCTCCCCAGGCCTTATTCCATTGTTATTTTTATTTGATGCTTGTTAGCTTTATAGTAAGGAGGTGAGAAATGGGGGTATTCTGATATTCTGATTAATTTGCAATATTATGCAGATACTGTGAACCTGGGTCTTGGGGTTGTGGCCTTCATAAGCATTCCTGATCCTCCTCCAAACACAATGCCAGGCCTACCAGGCATTCATTTCCTTTCCCAAGAAAGTAGATCTTCTTTCTTTTTCCTCTTCTCCTTCCCCAATTACAGTGGGTTTCCACCAGTAGTCTCACTTTCTGTTACTTTCTTCCTGCAGATTAAGACTTTTGTTCCTTAGGGAGATGGAGAGATATCTAGGCAGATTTTGGCAGTGGCTTTTGTTCTTCTACCCCAGCCAAGACACAGGAAAAACTTTCTCAGGATTCTCCCTGATCTTCCCTGTGAGTATTTGGCAGGAATCCTGGAGGAAAAGCCTGTAAGAGGGCAAGAAATCCCTATATCTGTGGCCCCCAACTTTGAGCAATTCATTACAAATTTCTGGTTTAATCTTCTTACTGGTTTATATGCCATTCAACAGTATCTGTCCCAAGTAAGCAAATGTTCAGGTCCTGTTTCTTTCTTCAGTGGTACCTGTCTCTCTCCTGATTTTGGGTTAATCATTTGCCCTGAAATCTCCATTTCTTTCCTAGGTTCAGGAAAAGTTATTAATTTTCCATTTGTCCAGCTTTTTCTTTTTGTAATGATGACAGCTCTGCATGCCACATATCTAGGCTGAAACCAGAAGTCTGTTTATTAGTATTTCCAGTTTTATCAGCCTTTTCCCACAAGGACTGGATATTTGAAATACTGAAAGATTGCATCAAGCAAATTACAATGCATTAGGTAATAACTCACTGAATATTTTGCTAATCAGTCATACACAGAAAGTTTGGGGCTGGGTGCAGTGGCTCATGCCCGTAATTCCAGCACTTTGGGAGACTGAGGTGGGAGAATCACTTGAGCCCAGAAATTCGAGACCAGCCTGGGCAATATAGTGAGACCTCATCTCTACAAAATTAAAAAAAAACTAGCAAGTGTGGTGGCATGCACCTATAGTCCCAGCTACTTGGGAGGCTGAGGTGGGAGGATCACTTGAGCCCAGGAGGTGGAGGCTGCAGTGAGCAGAGATCACACCACTGCACTCTAGCCTAGGAAACAGAGTGAGACCCTGTCTCAAAAAAAAGAAAGAAAGAAAGAAAGAAAGAAAGAAAGAAAGAAAGAAAGAAAGAAAGAAAGAAAGAAAGAAAGAAAGAAAGAGAAAAGAAAAGAAAAGTTTGGACATCTATAGTATTAACATTCAATCAAGAATTGTGATCAATTTGAAATAACTAATAGTCTCACCTGAGTTGCTATAATTCAAAGACAGAACTTGTTTTCGTTAACTTATATGTTCTTGTAACACATAAATGCTTGATGTCCATTTGGCCTTTTGAGGCAGAAAAAACTTCTCAAATTTACATCATCCCTTGACCTTGTGTCACTGGCCAGACCAAGCCCTCCACACCAGCAAGGGCTTAATTACAGGACTCCTGTGGAAATGTCCTCTTTTACGGAAACCCAACTCTATTTAGGAATTTTTCAAGAACTGCCTGAATTATAGAAATTGAAGAAACATTACTATAAAACCAAATAGCATTGCCTGGCATGGTGGCTCATGCCTGTAATCCCAGTACTTTGGGAGGCCAAGGTGGGTGGATCACCTGAAGTCAGGAGTTCGAGACCAGCCTGGCCAACGTGGCAAAACCTCATCTCTACTAAAAATACAAAAATTAGCCAGGTGTGGTGGCACGTGCCTGTAGTCCCAGCTACTCGGGAGGTTGAGAAAGAAGAATCGCTTGAGCCCAGGAGGCAAAGGTTGCAATGAGCTGAGATCATGCCACTCCACTCCAGCCTGGGCGACAGAGCAAGACTCCATCTCAAAAAAAAAAAACAAAACAAACAAACAAACACCAAATAGCATTGATTCAGAGAGATTAGTACCCACCCCGGGCACAGTTTCTCTGGCTAAACTCATCAAAAACGGTCCTGGAGATACCAGGGTATCACTGTTAATGTGGCTCTCTGAAAAAAGGCATTGTTACAGAAATACCTACCATTGTGCCTACAAAGATTAATGTGTATATTAAATTACAACATTACTTACACTATAAAAAGTGTTCTTCCTTCTATCTCCATATCTACCGCCACTTCCTCTCCCTAAATAATATATAATAATTCAATAAAACAACGACAGATAAGCTTACAAAATAGCTGATGTGAGGTTTTTTAACACATATGCTTAATATTTTAAATGAGAAATTTGTCATAATTACCTCATCCCATCCTTCAGGCATATATTACCACAGCAGTTCCAGCTTGTGCCTCGATACCTGATTTCCTTTCCCCCTGAGTTTGGTGACAGACATATTAGTTCTTCTTGACCCTGACCACACAGTTTTTTTCCTCCCTTCCATATTGTATGTAGGTATTGGATATACTACACACCAGAATAGGTATTCAATCTGAAGAAGAATCTTCATGCTAGTCTTGGCCCTTGGATCCATTTTATGCCCTTTCTTGCTCTGCACATGTCACAGGGTAAGGAGTGACTCCTATCATCTCTCTCTCTCTCTCTCTCTGGTGGTGGCTATGTGTTCTCCATGGCTGAAGCTCCCATCAGACAGCCCTCCGACCAGGTCCCAACAGCCCTCACAATAGTTGTTCTTGCCAGGCAACCTCATTCCTGGGCTCTGGTAATACTACCTTCTCCCTGTGTCAGCCCCAGGGATGAAAGTAGCTTTCTGCTGTTGCTCATCTTTAGCTTGCTTCAACACACTCTGTTTGGCTTCTCAGCTCTTCCAATGCCTTGGTAAACAGTTGTCTCCTACTGAACTACCTGTCTCTTTTTCCCCAACTTTGCTGGGAGGACTTCATCTGCTATAACAGACCTTGACTCTTTACCAGATTTTCCCACAATGGATAAAAATCACTACAGTATCACCATCTTGTCTGTCTCTCTTCAGAGCCATCATAAACACTCAGCATAACACTGCCATTGAAAATAGACAATTGTCTTATTCATACCACTGGGGAGAATCATTCTGGCTCATTCATAGCCCACTCTATTAATGAATGCAATCTTTTCTTTCCCCCTAGTTCTCTCAGCAGCAAAAATGTACAGCAGTCAACAGAGTCCTAGACTAGAAAAAGATAGTCCATGGTAGACTTGTTTTAAATGTGTATTTAAACACATTTACATATACTTAACTGTATAAACATACAGACACACACACGAAGTCCACAGTTCAAGAAAAATAAATACCAAAGGACAGAGTGTATGTATATGGGGATTACAATAACAAGAAAGATCAAAACACGTTTATAAAATTAAAGCTTCCCTAAAGGCCATATATGACAAACCCACAACTAACATCATACTGAATGGGGAAAAGCTGAAAGCCTTTCCTCTAAGAACTGGAACAAGACAAGGATGCCCACTTTCGCCATTCCTATTCAACATTGTACTGAAATTCCTGACCAGAGCAATCAGAAAAGAGAAATAAATAAAAGGCATCCAAATTGGAAAAAAAGTCAAATTATCCCTCTTGGCAAATGACATAATCTTATATTTAGAAAAACCTAAAGATTCCACCAAAAAACTCTTAGATATAAACAAATTCAATTTATTTGCAGGATACAAAATCAGCATTAAAAAGCAGTAGCATTTCTATATATCGACCATATATTGTAATATATACATTGTATATGTATATGTATACATTATAATGAACTAGCAGAAAAAGAAATCAAGAAGGCAACCCCACTTACAATAGCCACAAACAAATAAAACCTACAGCTAGCTTTAATGGTGAAAAACTTTGCTTTCCCCAAAAATCAGTAACAGGATAGGGATGTCCACTATGGCCCTACCACTTCTAATTCAACACTGTACTAGAGGTTCTAACCAATGCAATTAGGCAAGAAAAAGGGAATCAAAGTCATCCAGATTGCAAAGAAGGAAATAAAACTGTCCTTATTCACAGATGACATGATTGTCTATGTATGAAATAAGCAAAAAAAAAAAAAGCTACTAAAACGAACAAGTGAGTTTAGTGAGGTTACAGGATACAAGACTCATACATAAAAATTAATTGTATTTCTATATATTAGCAATGAACAACTGGAAATTGAAATTATGAAAATAATATCAAATGTAATACCATCACAAATGTGAAATACTTAAGGATAAGTCCATTAAATATATGTAAGACCTGTACATTGAAACTATAAAACATTTTTGAGATAAAGAAGTCCTAAGCAGAGAAATATAATGATCATGGATCAGAAAATCCAATACAGTAATAATGTCCATTCTCCTCAAATTGACTAACAGATTCAATACAATTCCAATCAAAGTACCAGCAAGACATTCCGCAGGTAGAGACAACCTGACTCTAAAATGTATATGGAAAGGCAAAGGAACTAGAACAGCTAAAACAATTTTGAGAAAGAGTAAGGTTGGAGGATTCACACTACCCAATTTTAAGACCTTCTATAAAACTGCAGTAAGAAAGATGGTGTGGTATTGGCAAAGAGCTAGATACACAGATCAGTGGAATAAAATAGAAAGTCCGGAAATAGATCCACACAAATATGGACAATTGATTTTTGACAATGTTGTGACAGTAATTCAGTGAAGAAAAGATTGTCAACAACAATCTTTTGGAACAAAAGAACATCAAAAATATTGGAACAATTGAACATCTATACATAAAAAAACTCAACCTAAACCTCATACCTTCTACAAACATTAACTCAAAATAAATCATAGATCTAAATATAAAATGCAAAACCATAAAACATTTAGGAGAAAACATAGGAGAAAATCTTCTCAACCTGGGATTATATAGTTTTGGACATGACACCAAAAGCATGATAAATAAAAGTTGATAAATTGGACTGCATCGAAATTTAAAAGTTTTGCTCTCCAAAAGATATGGTTAAGATACTGAAAAGAAAAAAAAAACCCCAAAGCTAGGAGAGAATATTTGCAAATTACACATCTAATGAAGTACTTCCATCAAAGTATATAAAGAACACTCGAAACTCCAAAGAAAAACAACAGTACAATTTAAAAATGGGCAAAAGACTCAGTCATTTCACCAAAAAGGATATATAAATGACAAATAAGCACATGAAAATATATTCAACATTAGGGAAATATAAATTAAAACCACAATGAGATACTGCTATTCATCTATTAGAATAGCTAAAATTAAAAATGCTAACAATACCGAGTTCTAAAGAGAATGTGGAGCACTAAACTCTTACATGTTGCTAGATGGAATGTACAGTTGCCCTAGAAAACAGTTCGGCAGGTTTCTTATAAAGTTAAACATATGCCTACCCTCTGACCCAGCAATCCCATTCCTGGGTATTTACCATAGAAAAATAAAAACTTACATTCATACAAAAACCTGTACAGTAATGTTTATAGCAGCCCTATTCATAATTATCAAAAACTCGAAACAAGCCTAGTGTTCTTCAACTGGCAAATAAACTGTGATACATTCATAAAATGGAATCCCACAGAGAAAAAAAAAAAGACCTAATTATAGATACATGCAACAACAAGGGTGAATCTCCAAGGCATTATGAAGAGTGAAAAGGCTAGTCCCAAAATGTTACATACTGTACAATTCCATTTATATGACATATTTGAAAAGACAAAATTACAGTGATGGAGACTAGATCAGTGGTTGTCCAAGTGATGTGGTAGTACAAGAGAGTTTTTTACACTGGAACAAGTCTTCATCTTGGTTGTGGTGGTGGTTACACATATCTATCTATCTATATGTTAAAATTCATAAAACTGTATATCAAAAGTAAAAAGTCAATTTTACTTGTGATAATGTTAAAAATTAAATTAATAAATCTGACCAGGTGTTGTGGCTCATGCCTATAATCCCAACACATTGGGAGGCCAAGGTGGGAGGATCACTTGAGCCCAGGCATTCAAGACCAGCCTGAGCAACACAGTGAGATCCTATCTCTACAAAAAGTTCTTAAAAATTAGCCGGGCGTGGTGGCATGCACCTGTAATCCCAACTACTCAGGAGGCTGAGGCAGGAGATCACTTGAATCCAGGAGTGTGAGGCTGCAGTGAGCTGTGATCATGCTACTGCACTCCAGCCTGGGTGACACAGTGAGACCCCATCTCAAAAAAAAAAAATTAATGAGCCTAAAAAGGTAATGATGAAAAAAATAAGAGTGTGGATGAAACTGAGGAAGCCTCAAGAACACAAAAAGCTAACAGCCAGTTGACACCACATATTACTCTGCAGGAAAAAGTTAATATAACAGGCCTGATGTTGCTATCTCTAGGAGGGCATGCCTGCATGACCTCATATTCCAATAGGTCCTGGGAACTTGGCCTGTGAGATATTACCTATGCTACTAATTGATAAGGTTGTTTTGTGTGCCTGGAACACTGAATTCTGCTGTACCAGCCAGGCTAAATTGCTTTTGCAAATGTGATTTATGGTGAACACCTGCTTTCCTTCTGAAACTCAGAAATTTCAATAAGAACGCCTGATCAGCCCTCAATACAGAAAAGCCTGTGTCTTAAGCAAGCTTCCCTAAACAGAAACACTGCATATGTGCCGCTACATTTAATTGCAGGTGGAAAAAGTTTGTTCTATGCAGCCCCACCCCCAACCTCCTAAGGGAGAACTTAGGAAGCTCACATTTACTCTTTCAGGCTCCACCCATTATGTCTTTTTCTCCTGCTGATCTTGCTGTGTATGTTTTCACTGTAATAAGTCATGGCTTTAATACAACTGTCTCTGGATCCTGTGAGTCTTTCTGGCACATCATCAAATGCATGGGTAGTTGTTAGATGCCCCAAAGTTCCCAAATATAAGCAACACTTTAAATCTGAATCTTTTCCTCAAATCCTTTCTCTGGCCCTGTACTGTCTACTCTTTGGCCTCCCCTAGAATCCCAAGCAGTGCCACATTCATCATAGGTACGAACATCTGCACCAAGTCCTCAAAACAGCCCTGTATGTCACACCCAAGTTCCAAGTGCAACTCAGTGCCTGATGTAAAAGTTACATTCAGGTTCAGCAGCAAATAACAAAAACCCATTTCTCTCTTACTTATAAGAAATACATAAGTATTCAGTCCAAATCTGGCATGGCAGCTCTATGCTATCAGAGACTACAGCGTCATCTATTTTATTGTATTGCCAGAAGTGTTCTCCATTCCCACGGTTACCTCTTGACCAAATACAGCTGCTGGAGCTCTAGCCATTACATCCACATTCCAGGAAGCAGACAGAAGGCATGGTAGAAGAGGGGCACGCCCCTTTCCTTTAAGAATACTTTGCATAAATCCCACATACTTCTCCTCCTACCTTTGGCCAGAACTTGATCACATAACTACACCCAGCTGCAAGACAGGCCAGGAAATGTAGTTTTCTTATTGCACAGCAATATGCTGAGCTAATTAGAACAGGGTTCTACTGGAACAATGAAAGGAACAATGGATATTGGGAGGTAACTGGAGTCTGCTACACCTCGTTCATTCTACACTCAACAAAAGTAATCTGAGAATCAATCCTTTTAATAACCCAAGACAATTTGAAGTAAATGTGTCTTTACCTAAAATTAGTTTTAGGGGTAGATATGAAGAAGTAAAAGGAGAAAATTTGTTGACTATGAACCTGAAGTTACACACTAGTTAGATGTTTCTCGATCTCTAGCTTCTCAGTGAAAATATGTGATAAGAGCCTATGATACAATTTGAAAGACTACCTCTGGGACATTTACTATCTCAGTAACATGTTAAGTTTAACAAAACATAGCGCTTAACACTGTTCTTCCCCAAAGGTTGCAGTGTCTCTGAAGATATACAGAATCTTAATTTTTTAAAAATACCGTGTTTGGTAAAGAGCATTAGCAAAATAGCAGAGTAGACAGCTCCAAAGTCCCATCCCTCCACAGAAACATTGAAGAACAACCAGAAGCTGTCAGAGCCAATTTTGTCAGAATTCTAGAAAAGAGTCAAAGGTTTACAGCAACCAAGTGAACAATGACTCAAGAACAAGACAACTTTAAAATGGTAGGAAGGCTGTGTAGCAAAATAGCAGAGTAGACAGCTCCAAACTCCCATTCCTCCACAGAAACATTGAAAAACAAGCAGAAGCTGTCAGAGCCAATTTTGTCAGAATTCTAGAAGAGAGTCAAAGGTTTACAGCAACCAAGTGAACAATGACTCAAGAACAAGGCAACTTTAAAATGGCAGGAAGGCTGTGTGGCATTTTGCTTGCCCTTGTCCCACCCCCTCACCAGCTCAGCAGTGGTCTTGAACACAGCAGCCAATATCCCCTGGTCCCTGGTTCCAGATGGAGCAGAGCAGGGCTTGTTTGCAATTTTTTGTGTTTGTTCTAACCTGTCTGAAGACTACCCAAAGGAATGACTTGAGGTTCTCATCTCCATTTTGCCTAACTTGGAGCCCACTCATAGCGGACAAGCAGCAAGCATTGCTTGAAAAATGTTGTAAGGTAGGCCAAACAAACAAACTAACAAAAACACCCTGCAGCTACCTGGGAGGAAAAGTATGGGCCATTCAAAGGAAAAAAATTGATAGAAACTATCCCTGAGGAGGCTGAGACACTGGATATATGAGATGAAAACTTTAAATCAGCTGTCTTAAATATGCTTAATGAATGAAAGGCAGTGGCTCACGCCTGTAATCCCAACACTTTGGTAGGCTGAGGCAGGAGGATTGCTTAAGGCCAGGAGTCCAAGACCAGCCTAGGCAACATAGTAAGCACTTGTCTCTATAAAAAAAAAATTTTTAATTAGCCAAACATGGTGGTATGTGCCTGTAGTCCTATCTACTTGGGAAACTGAGGCAGAAGGATCACTTGAGCCCAGGAGTTCAAGGTTATAGTGAGCTGCAATTACACCACTGCACTCCAGCCTGGGTGACAGAGACCCTGTCTCTATTAAAAAAAAAAAAAAACTAAAGGAAACCACAGACAAATAAATAAAGGAAGCCAGGAAAACAATGTATGAACAAAATAAGAATATCAGTAAAGAGACAGAAATTATAAAAAAGAAGCATTAGAATTCTGAAGCCAAAAAGTACAGTAACTTAAATGAAAAATGTACTACAGCAAAGGAAACAATCAAGAAAAAAAAAACAGGTCGGGCGCAGTGGCTCACGCCTGTAATCCCAGCACTTTGGGAGGCCAAGGTGGGCAGATCTCTTGAGGTCAGGAGTTTGAGACCAGCCTGGTCAACATGCAAAACCCTATTTCTACTGAAAATACAAAAAAAAAATTAGTTGGGCGTGGTGGTGGGCACCTGTAATCCCAGCTACTCGGGAGGCTGAGGCAGGAGAATCGCTTGAACCCGGGAGGCAGAGGTTGCAGTAAGCAGAGATGGTGCCACTGCACTCCAGGCTGGGCGACAGAGCGAGACACCATCTCAAAACAAACAAACAAACAAACAAAAAACAGTGCACAGAATGGGAAAAAATAATTGCAAACTATCCATCCAACAAGAGATTAATAACCAGAATATATAAGGAGCTCAAACAACTTAACAGCAAAAAAAAAATCCTATTAAAAATGAGCAAAAGATTTAAATAAACATTTCTCAAAAGAAGACATATAAATGGCCAACCAGCATATGAAAAAATGCTCAACATCACTAATCATCAGAGGAATGCAAATAAGAACTACAATTTTATATCATCTCACCCCAGTTAAAACGGCTTTTATCAAGAAGACAGGCAACAACAGATGACAACATGGATGTGGAGAAAGGGGAACCCTCATACACAGTTGGTGGGAATGTATATTAATACAATCACTATGGAGAACAGTTTGGAGGTTCCTCAAGAACTAAAACTAGAACAACCACATGATCTAGCAATTCCACTTACTGGGTATATACCCAAAACAAAGGAAATCAATATAATAAAGAAACATGTGCACTCCTGTGTTTGTTGCAGCATTGTTCACAATAACCAAAATATGGAATCAACCTAAGTGCCCATTAATGGACGAATGAATAAAGAAAATGTGGTATATATACACAATGGAATATTATTCAGCCATAAAAAAGAATGAAATCCTCTTGCTCACAGTAGGATGGATGGAACTGGAGGTCATTATGTTAAGTGAAATAAGCCAGGCACAGAAAGATAAATATCACATGCTCTCACTCATATGTGGGGGCCAGAAAAGTGGATTTTATGAAGATAAAGAGTAGACTAGTTGTTACCAGAGGCCAGGAAGGGTAGGGAGGAGGGACGAAGAGAAAGTGATTAATGAGTACACATATACAGTTTGGTGGAAGAAACAAAGCCTAGTGTTTGGTAGATCAGTAGGGTGACCACAGTTTACAATAATCTCTGTGCATTTTGAAATAGCTAGAAGGGAATAATGCAAATGTTTCTAGCATATAGAAAAGACAAATATTTAAGGTGATGGGCATCTCAAATATACTGATTTAATCTTCACAAATTATACAAATTTATTAAATTATAACATACCTCAAAACTATGTACATCTATTATGCATCAATTTTTAAATTGTTTTAAAATAAAGCAACATGAAATAATTCGTTTATAAACAAAATAATATTGTTTTTAAAAAAACAGGTAAACATAACAATTTGGGTTTCAAACTCCTCATTTTTCCTACATGATTAAAAAAGCAAATGCAAAAAAAATTATAAACCTATGTTAATGAGCACACAATATATAAATATCTGCTCTTTGACAATGACAATATAATGGAAGGAGGCAGAGATTAATATTCAGAATATATAAAGAATTCCTATAACTCAATGACAAAAAAACCCTGATTAAAAATGGCAAAGAATTTGAATAGACATTTCTCCAAATAAAATATACAGATAGCCAAAAAGTACATGAAGGGAAATACAAATAAGTCATTAGGGGAATACAAGTCAAAGCCACAACAAGATACCACTTCACACCTACTAGGGTGGCTATCATTTTTTTTTAAATGGAAAACAACAAGTGTTGAAGAGGATGTGGACAAATTAGAATCTTTGTGCATTGTGGTGGGAATACAAAATGGTACAGCTACTGTGGAAAACAGTTTGGTGGTTCCTCAAAAAGTCAAACATAGAATTACCATATGACCTAGCAATTCCACTCCTAGGTATACAGCCAAAAGGAATGAAAACAAATGGCCAGGTACAGTGGCTCATGCCTGTAATCCCAGCACTTTGGGAGGCCGAGGTGGGTGAATCACCTGAAGTCAGGAGTTCGAGACCAGCCTGACTAACATGATGAAACCCCATCTCTACTAAAAATACAAAATTAGCTGGGCGTGGTGGCACATGCCTGTAATCCCAGCTACTTGGGAGGATGAGGCAGGAGAACTGCTTGAACCTGGGAGGCAGAAGTTGCAGTGAGCCGAGATTGCGCCATTGCACTCCGGCCTGGGCAACAAGAGTGAAACTCTGTCAAAAAAAAAAAAAAGAAAGAAAGGAAGGAAGGAAGGAAGGAAGGAAGGAAGGAAGGAAGGAAGGAAGGAAGGACAGACAGAAGGAAGGAAAACAAAACAGGGACTCTAACACATACCTCTATGTGAGTGTTCATAGTAGCATTATTCAAAAGGTGGAAATAACCCGAGTGTCCACCAACTGATGAACAGATAAATGTGGAGTGTGTGTGTGTGTGTGCGTGTACACACACACACACACACACACACACACTGCAGTATTATTCAGCCACAGAAAGGAATGAAGTTCATATATGGGCTATACAACATGGATGAACCTTGAAAACATTATGCCAAATGAAATAAGCCAGACACAAAAGACAAATATTATATGAATTCACTTATATGAATGATCTAGAATAGGCAAATTCATAAAGTCAGAAGGTAGATTAGAGACTATTAGGGGCTAGAAGGAAGGGTGGATGGGGAGTTACTACTTAACTGGAAGAGTTTCTGTTTGGGGCAATAAAAAATCTTTGGAAATAGTGGAGATGGCCATAAAACTTTGTGAATATTATAAATGTTATTAAATTATACAGTTAAAAATGGATAAAACGGCAAGTTTTATGTTATGTATATTTTACCAAAAAAAAAATAAACAACTACCACGTGACTTATCAGCCAAACACATACTTTTCTGCAAACACACATTATTTGTGTACTCATTTATTCCTTCATCCTCCTTCCTTAAACAGTCTGCTGCAATTCAGGCAAATGTTTTCACACACAAAGGTTTCCTTCTCAGAAACTTCACTGTCAGTGTGAAGCTGAGGCATAAGAACTTGAAGGAGGAGGGGAGGGAAGAACTTGAAGGAAGGACCTTTAATGCTAGGTAGCGTTATAGCATCTTATTTTTTGATAGACAAAATAGAATGCACTAAACAAACACTTCTGGAGCATCTACTAGGTGTCAGGCACTGTTCTAGGGTCTGGGGAGACAGCACAAACAAAAGATAGATATCTCTGTCTGCCCAGGGCTTACATTCTAATGCATTTTGGAAAAGCTCTCCAGAAGATTCTGATATGCCCATCACAACTAGCATAGAGTGGAGAGACATGAGAGCTGCACAGACCCAACCCTATCCGCCTCCCCACCTCTCTGATAGTGAGGTCTAGAGATGAGAATGCTTTCAAGCAACTACTCTCATGTACGAAGGCCTGGTGCTGCCACTCTGAACAGCTCTTAACATTTTTTCCCCTAAAACACTGGTAGCCTTCTGTCATATCAATGGAATAACACCTGGAGTGTGACCTTTGGGCTGAAAGGAGCAGGCATTTTGCTCCTACTTGGATCCAAGGCCCCCAGGCTGATCTAGCACAGGAAAACTAAGTTTTCCTTGTCATCCTGCCTCATTCCTCACTGTTCTACACTGGAGCTTGAGAGCAAAAGTCCTAGCTAACATAAAAGAGTCAACTTTGGGTCAGGCACAGTAGTCACACCTGTAATCCCAGCACTTTGGGAGGCCGAGGTGGGCAGATCACTTGAGGTCAGGAGTTTGAGACCAGCCTGGCCAACATCGTGAAACCCCGTCTCTACTAAAAGTACAAAAATTAGCCAGGCGTGGTGGAGCATGCCTGTAATCCCAGCTAGTCGGGAGGCTGAGGTAGGAGAATCGCTTGAACCCAGGAGGCGGAGGTTGCAATGAGCAGAGACCGTGCCACTACACTCCAGCCTGGGGGACAGAGCAAGACTCTGTCTCAAAAAGAAAAAAGAAAAAAAAAGGGTCAACTTTGCTTTGTTTTCTACTCTGGGCATAGATTTCCCTCAGAGACCTCCTAGGAAGTGGTAATGGGCGGGATTCAGGTTCTGCTCTATCCTGGCCAAATACATCCTCAGCTATATTGAGTTCATCCTTTAATAGATCCCAATTTCCCAATTTCAAACATGTGACCTTAAACAAAGGAGGTACTTGACCTAGGTTTCAATTTCTTTACCTGGGAAAATGGGACCAATATTAGGATCTTCAAACATTTTTATTTTTTGGAGACAGGGTCTCACTCTGTTGCCCAAACTGGAGTGCATTGCTGCAATGACAGCTCACTGCAGCCTTGACCTCCCAGGCTCAAGCAATCCTCCATCAGCCTCAGCCTCCCAAGTAGCTGAGACTACAGGGACATGCCACCATGCCCAGCTAATTTTTATATTTTTAATAGAGACAGGGTTTTGCCACGTTGCCCAGGCTGGTCTTCAACTCCTGGGCTCAAGCAATCCTCCCGCTTCGGCCTCCCAAAGTGCTAGAATTACAGGCATGAGCCACCACACCCAGCCTGATCTTCATACATTTGATGTGAAGGTTAAATGGCTTAACGTATGCAAAGTACTTAACACGGTGACAGACTATTCTAACAGGTGCTCAATAAACAGTTACTATTTTTTTCTACTATTATTTTATTAGAAACAACATAGTGAATGTTTTTGAAGGGTGAAAACTTAAATATTCTTATTCATAATTGCCCAAACTTGGAAGCAACCAAGATGTCCTTCAGTGTCCTTTACATTTGTATGTAAACTGTGGTACACACAAATCACATGCAAATCCTATTACTTCTCTTTTCTGGATTATGTATAACAAAGTACTCATCAAATACTGCAATAGAGATTGGCTAGCTGCTTTCCAAACCTGTTCCTCTTCTTCCAACTAGACTATGTTTCCCTGGCTCCCTTCCAGTTAGATGTGGCCTTGTAACCAAGTTCTGTCCAACAGAAGTGGGCAAAGTGATGCAGAACATTTCCAGGCTTAGCACATAAGTCTTCCCCATATGATCTTCATTTCCTTGCTTCATTCATCAACTGGAGGAGGAGGATTCCAAGGCCATATGGGATGGGGAAGCCACAAGATGGAAGGCATCTGGTCCCTGAATCACAACGTAGAGACAGCCACCTGCCAGTCCCTTGCACTGGTCCATTACATGCGTGAAAAACAAATTTCTCCTATGTTAAGTCACTGAAATTTGGGGTTGGTTTGTTTTAACATCTAGTATTACTCTAATATAAATACCCATATTGATTAAAAGCCAGGTAGCATGCTTTAACTAAAAGAGAAAATTCTCCTAACACATATTCTCTTGTATGTTAAACAGAGGCAATTTAAAAAATACATGAACTTAAGAATCAAACAAAAAGTAAAATGAAAAAGAAGTTACTGGCCAGGTGCAGCAGCTCATGCCTGTAATCTCAGCATTTTAGGAAGCCGAGGCAGGTGGATGGCTTGAGCGCAGGAGTTCGAAATCAGCCTGGGCAACATGGCGAAACCCTGTCTCTACAAAAAATACCAAAAAATTAGCCAGGCGTAGTGGTGAGCACCTGTAGTCCCAGCTACTCAGGAGGCTGAGGTGGGAGGATCACTTGAGCCCAGGAAGTCCAGGCTACAGTGAGCTAGGATTACACCACTGTACTCCAGCCTGCATGACACAGTGAGACCCTGTCTCAAAAAAAAAGAAGAAAGAAGTTACTGATTCTCAAGTCACGTAAGCCTAACTTCACCTCAGGTAAACTAATGTCAAACAGTGTTAATCAGTGCTAGAAAGAGTTTAATGAGAGTAACAGACAGGATGTGTACAGCCTCACCTGTACAATCTTCCAGGCAGGGAAGTTAATAGGTTGCAAGCTAAGAGGGGGATTAACTTCTTTTCCAATCTTTCATCTTAATGACAATGTCAAAACATACAGAAAAGTTGAAAGAAGAGTATATAAAGCATACCCTTTCACTAGGCACCTACATTTAACAGTTAGCTAGTAGGCTGCAATATTTGTTTTCTCTATATAGGTGGTATGTATATTTTTTTACTGAACTTTTTGAAAGTTGCATATGTTAGGATTCATATACTTTACCCCTGAATACTTCAGCTTGCATCTCCAAAGAATGAGTACATTCTCCTGCATAACCTCAATTATCACACCTACAAAAAATAATAGTAATTCTTTAATATCATCTAATACCCAGTCTACATTCAAATATCCCTACCTATCCCCAAAACATCTTTTATAATTCATTTTCATGAACTAGGAGCCAATCAAGTTTCTCGTACTACATTTAGTCTCTTTGACCTCCCTTAATCTAGAACACTCACCCTGCCTTTTTGTTTCCTTTGACGTTGACTTTTTGAAGAGTCTGGGGCAACTGTCTTACAGATCATCCCATATATTGGATTTATCTGATTGTTTTCTCATGGTGTTTTATAACTTGTTTCTCTATCCTCTGCATTTCCTGGAAACTGGAAGATGTGTCTAAGTCCTTGATTTGATTCAGATTAAACACATACAGGAAGGATACTACATAGGTAAAGCTGTACACTTCCTGTATACCATGATACTAGATAGTCCCACAATGAGCAAGGATACATTTGATGACTTGCTTATAAGATGGTGACTGCCAGACCTCTTCACTGTAAAGGTACCTTCTTTTCTTTGCAACAGGCAAGTAACCTGTGGGGTGATAGTACTTTGCAAGTACCATGTTCCCCAATAACCTTTCACCTAGGATTCTGGAATTCATTGAAAACCCTTGTCTAAATAAACTATCACTAGAGGTTGAAAAATTGTGATTTTTCTAATTACAGCGTTCCACAAAGGTTAACTTTTTAATATTCTAAGAAATGCTTTTAGTAAATGTCATTTTTCTATTTTTTAAGATACAAACATTTTACTTCCATTTATAACTTTCAAATAATAAGTAAAAGTATTCTTTATATCCAGAGACCGCTTTACAAAGAACATTTCGACAATCCAAGGAAAATGCTATGTAACCACATAGTACAATCTTCTGTTTATAAAGCATTTTTTTGCTACATAAGTTATTTGCTTCATTTTTAAATAATGTTTAAATTGCAAAAGTAATGTGTCAGTATTAAAGAAAGTTCAGGCCATTTAGAATAATATAAAGGAAAAGTACCACCTCCCCTCTCTCTCTCCCAACAACTCATCCTGCTCCCAAAGGATAAAGCTTGCATATCCTTCCATAAAAGCACATATATCATATATAAATTACATACATCATGTTTGTGTATATACAGTATATAGTTATTGAAAGATCAAATAGAATAATACTATACATGATGTTCTGTGCCTTGCTTTTTTTCCACAACATTATGTGTGGACAGTAGCCTTAAAAGGACATCTCAAAACACCTCTTTTTATCGCTGCATAGTATTCCTTAATGGGAATGTGCTACAATTTAACCAGTCTCATCTGATGAGTTCTGCAACTTATGTCCACTGCAACAAATATTGCTGTCTATATATTGCAACATGCTAGCACAAGTATTTCTGATAGATTTCTGAAAGTCCAAGAATTGAAAATGCTGAATAAAAGAGTAGGTGTGGGCCGGGCACGGTGGCTCATGCCTGTAATCCCAGCATTTTGGGAGGCTGAGGCGGGCGGATCACAAGGTCAGGAGACTGAGACCATCCTGGCTAACATGGTGAAACCCCGTCTCTACTAAAAATACAAAAAGGAATTAGCCGGGCATGGTGGCGGGTGCCTGTAGTCCCAGCTACTCTGGAGGCTGAGGCAGGAGAATGGCATGAACCCAGGAGGCGGAGCTTGCAGTGAGCAGAGATCGCACCACTGCACTCCAGCCTGGGCGACAGAGTGAGACTCTGTCTCAAATAATAATAATAATAATAATAATAAATAAAATTTTAAAAGGGTAGGTGTGTTGTAAATTTTTTTCTAGGTATTAACCAAAAGCTCACCCCAAAATATACAATTTTCCTCACTTCCACTAACTGTGTCCTAATGCATTTTAAAATTACAACAGTCCACTACTGAACAAACCTCAAGTAGTAAAGCCTGCCAAAGAATCACAAAGCCTAAAATGAGAATGGGAACTAATATTTACCAAGTGCTTAAGTGTCAGACACTGCACTTGACCCTTTAGAATATCTCAATAACACAGCAATTCTGTGAGGTAACATAATCTCCATTTTCCAAAAGAGGAAGCTAAGGCTCAGAGAGTTTATCCAATGCTATACAGTTTTATAAGCAACAGGGCCAGCATTTGAACCCAGGGTTATCTGGTACCAAAGTGAGACCATACAGAAGCTGCTCCCAACTGGGGCCAAAGTGAGGGGCTCTTAAAAGGGGGGACTCCTGATTAACCAGGAAGGAGATGGTTCCAAAATGTTTGCTTACAGGTTCAAATGTTAATTTCATGTTACCGCAAAGAGTCATCTTTTTCCCCTTCAGACTCTGCCTATGAGCCCACTCTCAGGCTGTGCTTAGCAATCCAGCTCCACCACAGCAACAGTGAGCCCACAACCCATAGAACCTAGAGGGGCTGATCAACATATTTTTGGAAAGGTGATGGGGTGGTGGAGGAGGAGGAAGCGAGAAGCAGGTGGTGGGTTAGCATGGCAGAGTCAGATTATTTTGGATCCATATCAGTTGTCACAAAAACATTATGGGGGAAGTGGAACTACCGTACATCTGAGAGAGAACCACAATGAACTGGCACAGTCTGTTTATACCAACTTTCCCTGCCCTAAACACTTTCTATTTCTGCTGCAAAGACATGTAGGGCCCAGTAACTTTAGGATGGCACTTAATCACATAACAGAGACAGACAGCTGGGAGCTCCCTGGCCTGACAAAACAGGTTAGACTGGTGGCAGGCAAGTGCCTGGCCCCGCTGCCTTGCAGCTCCAGTGGTGGGGTCTGGGGGCTGCTTTCAACCTTCCTGGGGAGTTAGGTCTGTAGCTACCTTCCCTTGTAGCTGCCCTGGCCTGTCAGGGAGGAATGCTTATAAGTGTCCTTTGGTGGGTGGGGGAGTTCCTTTCTGTTTAAACGTTAAGCATTCACAGTGTGTCTTTTATTTTCCTTAGGTCCTCTGCATCCAAGCAAGCACTTATTATGGGGTCTATTTGTGCACATCACTGCTAATGTAACATTGACTACTCTCTGAGGATAATGGAATAAAGGGAAGGAAAAAGAGGGAGAGAGCGAGTGGGAAAGAGAGGGTGAGAGAGGGAGGGAGGGAGGGAGAGAGAGAGAGAAATCTCTTCCCCTTTCCCCATTTTATCTCCATCCCAGACACAGGGCTCAGAAAAGCTCCAAGGGCACAATTAAGAATTGAAAAGTCATGAAGAAAATTGATAACATAATGTGATTTAAATAGGGAGAAGTAGGCGTCAAATTGAGTGATTTGAGGAGCACGTTAAAATGCTATTACAGCCGGGTGCGGTGGCTCACACCTGTAATCCCAGCACTTTGGGAGGCTGAGGTGGGTGGAGGTCAGGAGTTCAAGACCAGCCTGGCCAAGATGGTGAAACCCAATCTCTACTAAAAATACAAAATTTAGCCGGGCATGGTGGCGGGCGCCTGTAATCCCAGCTACTCAGGAGGCTGAGATGAAGAATTGCTTGAATCCGGGAGGTGGAGTTTGCAGTGAGCCGAGATTGCGCTACTGCATTCAAGCCTGGGCGACAGAGTGAGACTCCGTCTTGGAAAAAAAAAAAAAAAAAAGCTATTACAAGACCAAGAAGCATACAAGGTTATATGGTGACCTCTCCCTCCCACTCCTATTTCACAGCCATCTAGTTCCTCTCCCCCAAGGAAACCAATGTTACTCATCTATTGCATGTCCTTCCAGAGATATTTTACGACTATACCAACAAATATATAAATTTATATATATATAAATTTATCTTAAATGTAAACGCTGTTCTTCTCAGATTAAAGTGTCACTTAAACACAAAAAGGTGGCAGAAATTACATTTTAAAACTTTTTCTCAAAATAAAGAGTTTTGAAATTCACAGTTGAACTCTTTCATTCATAAACATTTAAAAGTTAAATTGTTTGCCTCCAGAAATTAAGTTGGGTTCCCAGCACACAGTGGATACTTTAAAAATGTTTCCTTAGGTCTTTTTGTCGTTCCTTATTCAGAGCCAAGAGGACAATTACTCACTTCCTCTATTGATATAGAGAAATCAAATTTTATTTTTTACTATTAAAAAAGAGAAGTCTTGAAAAATCTTTACTGGATTTACTTGTGTTCAAAGATTTGCTTGACAGTAGTAATCATTTCATTGTGTTTATCAAAACATCATGTTGTACATCTTAAATGCAGACAATTTTTTAAAAGATTTGCAAACTGAATTTTAAGATCAGTTTAAAATCCCCATCCCAATAGTCTTCAGTATACTATGAATAATTAGCTAATCACATGACATTAGAATTCAGATTAGGGGGACCTTGCAGTAGAAGACCAAACATACCTGAGAGAAAGAAGAAATGTTTTCTCACAATTACAGACAGTCCTTAAAATATTAATATTTGGCATAACCTGAGACATCACATATTGACAAACTAAATTTCTTTATACATTTAAAGAAACACTAATACTCAAAGATATAGAACAAAATTACACAGGAATGCTGAGATGATATTGCCTTTTCTGAACAGCCATCAGTTACACTAGATTTGTAACTTGATTGTTCACAAAATAAAACAGTACACTGTAGCACAACCAAATGGCTGAAAGATGGAGGTGAGTTTTAAAAGTACGTATCAGCAAAGGAAAATTCCACTGTTGTCTTTAAGCCTTAAGATAAAGGTGATTGAACTCCTCAGAACACGGAGTACTCTCCAGAAAATATATTTTCAAATCCCCATTTATTTTCCATCCCTTGAGCATGTGTTTACGAATCTGACAAATCTACCTCCTATTTCACATTGTCCTTTAAGAAACTGGGTCTAGGGCCTATTAAATAAAAATATTTTCACGGTTATCTATATAAAGGCAATTTTCATTTGCATCATGGCTTGGAGTCAATCACCTGCAATGACCACGTGCTTCAATTCCCCCCTGTCTGTCTTCTCAGGAAACCTCCCAGCTTACCTGCAGGCCTGGCATCAGTCATTTATCACCAACTGACACAAACCACAGAGCTCAACAACGGTCAGGGATGGAGGCCAAAGTCTGTGTTGAGACCTATAATTCGCAATCACCAAACTCGGTTTTAGACCTGGTCCTGTTTCAAGATCTGTGTAGGTCACTACTTCATCAAAACTGGAGGGCTCTTAACAGCGCTTGCCCCTTACACGGTTTGGCTGCGAGGGCCTGGTGGCCATGAGCCCCGGCTGTCAACAACTAATCAAGAAACATGAGAAGCAAGGCCCAGAACCAAGGGTAATTTTCACATTAAAGGTTAAGGTTTCTGCTTTCCATTCTCTATCAGGGCACCTGGATGGAAACTGAATAAAGAAATCCCTCAGTATATGTGATAAAATAAAATTTTCCCCGTTGGGAACAATCATGAAGTGGCTCGTCTATTTCGTGTGAGGATGCCAATTCAGGGGCTTTAACACCACTGAATTACATTCAAAAAGAGAATACCTGACTCCACTTTGGAGTCATGGGCAGGGCGAGGGGGGAGGCAGGGGGCACAGAAGAGGAAGAGGGATGACTCAGATTATGGCTGACATCCATGTAATAAAGGGAGATTTGTACTGACCACTGTGCATGTAACACACTGTGTACCATTAAATCTAGAAAAGGATGGTAGCATCAGCCCACCCCTAACAACAAAAGATGGCTGACTCCGGAATTAAAACCACGACTTTTCCCCTTCATACATTCGGAAATGTATCTCAAACTCACTCCCTGTTACCGTCTTAGGAATACAAAAGCTCCTCTTCGTTTGAGAAAGCAAGTAACTGGGTATAACTTTCCACTCGGGACATAAGAGCAGGAGGCGTGCCTGTCTCCTCGTCCAGGCCTGACATGGTGGTGCCACCCACTCTGGGTCCTGGACCACTGCTCACCTTTCACCACACTTCATGCTCTGACTTTATCATTAAGAGACCTGGGAATGTGGACCTCAGGAGTGGGTACCCACCCAGGCTGACCATGGATGTGGCGTCCAAGAGGCCCCACTAACCCATACCCAAGCAAAGACACTTTCAGACTTCGTCCCCACTCCCTACTGTGGCCTGTCCCCTGAGGTGATGCAGTCACCTGGGAAGCCACCCACCTCCAGCCACCACGCAGGCACACACACCCTATCGAGCTCAACTGGAGCGGGAGGTGGTGGGTAAGAGGTTTGCAACAGAGACCGAACGGGGCAGACGGAACCGGACCACCTCTGTCCCTTTCATTTTCCTGGGTTCCCAATGCAGAAACGTGGAATAGGGGTGGAATTGTTTTTAACGGTAGCAGAGAGCCAGAAAATGCAGACAGTTGACCTTGGGAACCAACACCGTCGCAGCGGGAAACGTAAAAGAAACGGAACACGTTGGCAAGTGAAGGGGGAGCACCGCGCGGCGCCAGGAGGAGCGCGGCGGCCGAGGGGTGTGGAGGGCGGGGGGTGTAACAGGGGTGCTCACCATAGATCATGGCCAGCCCGGTCTCGTGCAGAAAGCGCACCCGGCGGTGCTTGAAGAGCCAGATGGTGAGGATGGTGAGCGTGAGCAGCAGGATGAAGGTGAGCAGGCTCACGCTGTCTTGCCGGTGGCTCTCCTCCGCCTCCTTCTCAGTAGCGAGCTCCTCCATGGCGCTGCTGTCCTCCGCCGCCGCCCCAGAGGAGGAGGCCGAGGCCGCGGCCGCGACTCGCAGCCCCCAACCCAGCAGCAGCGGCAGCAGCAGCAGCCGCGGCGGCGGCGCCCCGGTAGCCCGACCCGAGCCAGGGCGCGCCGCGTCACCAGGCTCCATGGTCCCGGGGCCCCCCGCGCCTCCTCCGAGCGGGGACCAGCAGCCCGCGCCGTCGGCGGGTTCTGGCAGCACCGCGGACCTGCCGGAGTGGCCGTGGCCGCTGCAGCTCCTCCTCCTACTCGCGCCGGGCCGGGGCTGCGCCCGGGGCCGCGCGGGGGAGGGGCGCGCGCAGTGCGCAGGATCCCCAAGCACCGCCCCCCGCCCGCGCACCTGTTCGTCCCCCGGCCGCGCCACGCCGCACCGCCCCGCGGGCCAACCGAGCCACCCAGGCGGGGCCGGGTGTTGCCCTCGGGTCTGCGGGCCGGCCGCCGGCTGCTTGCCTCTCTGCGCTTCTCACCCCGTCCTGGCGCACCTGCCCAGGCAGTCTGGGGTCGTGGGGCCAGTTCATGGGCAGCCGCCGCCGCACTTCCGAAAGGGGACGCCAGAGGTCGCCGGCGCCTAGCGGGAGCATCGGCTTGGAGTGACTAGCCTTGCGGTCTCGAGTCCCGTCTCTGGCGCCACGGCGAAGTGTTTAATCTCAGGCCAGTGTGCAGCCGCCCTGGGCCCAGTAAAGTGGGGGCTGTCAGTGAACCGAGCAGCCCCGAAGCCACGTTAGCCCCTACACCTCTCTTTCCTCATCTCTCAGGTTGCCCTTCCAGCCCCAGAATCTGCTAGGTTTCATTCAAACCTCTGTTCTCATCAGACTCAAATGTGAGGACTGATAAGGAGTTGGAATCGGGGGAGGGCATTGAAGTATCTCCTTCCTCACTTGAGGGAATAGACTTCGTCTGCGCTGTGCTACTAATCCCCTTGGGGAATAGGGTTGAACCAGAAGGAACTGAACGCTTGCCATTCCTGGTAGATGAGCAGTAGCTGGTCCTAAGGTGGTGGTGGGGGGTGGGGGTTACCCTGATGACCCTTTCTTTTATGTTGCTCACCTGGTAGCTCAGAGAGTCTTTTAATGACTCTTAAGACCAAACCCAGCTCTGAACAAAATTATGGCGTGGACTCTGAAGGATGAAGCCTCTTGGAACAAATTCTCAGGAAAACTAGAATCTTCAATCCACCTTGCTCCTCTGGTCAAGGAAGAAACAAGATCAGATTAATCACTGAGTTCCCAGTGCTTAGCACTGTACTCATGTGTTTATTGAACCACTCTGAAATCTCTACCAAAACTGCCCATGTTTTCGCTCCCAGGGGAGTTTGCATTTTTAAGAGGATTCATTGAAGAAGGTGATGCTTAACCAAATGAAATAATAGGGTAGAGGTAGCATTAGGTAAGAAAACTCTTTGGAGTACTGCAGCCTTCCTGGTTCCCCTGTAGGTGAGCACTCTGCCAAAGCTGTTTAGTGGTTTCTTTAAAGCAGGGAAATCTCTTCATCTACATTTTAGCTAGCCCCTTTCCCAACTCCTCTAGGCAGTCACTCAGCCCCTGCAAACATCCGTATACCTTGAAGTTCCACACAGGTTTCCAATAAAATTGCAAATACTTAAAACCTGGATGGGCACTGTGTTGGTCATAATATTATGCCCCTTTGGGTGCCCAGTACTCAAGGACAGAATTTCTCTCTTTAGAAAAGGGCAACTCAGGAGCTACCTTAAAAGTACAGACTTCTTAGTATTTGTGGCGGATTGTATTTTTTAAAAAGATGGCCACAATCATATTTCCAATCCCAGAACCTTACCATCCCCCATCAAGAAGGGGCATCTATGTTCCCTCCCCTTGAACCTCAGTGGACCTTTGTGACTCCCTCAAAGAATATAATGTGGTAATGGAGATTATGTGATTTGTGAGGCTAGGTCATAAAAGGTAATCTAGCTCCTGCCTGTTTCATTCTGTCACTTTCCACTCTAGCTAGGCTGGGCACGGTGGCTCACGCCTGTAATCCCAGCACTTTGGGAGGCCAAGGCGGGCGGATCACCTGAGGTCAGGAGTTCAAGACCAGCCTGACCAACATGGCAAAACCCTGTCTCCACTAAAAATACAAAAATTAGCCGGGTGTGGTGGTGTGTGCCTGTAATCCCAGCTACTTGGGAGGTGGTGGCACGAGAATCACTTGAACCTGGGAGGCAGAGGTTGCAGTGAGCCAAGATTGCACCACTGCACTCCAGCCTGAGTGACAGAGTGAGACCCTGCCTCCAAAAACAAAAAAACAAACAAACAGACAAAGAAATCTAGCTACCTGGAAGCTGACATACTGAAGAAACCATGTAGAGAGACCATGTAGCAATAGAGGTAGATGCCACAGGAGACCCAACTTTTTGAGTGTTCCCAGCCCAAATGCCACACATGTGAATGAATGAGTCTTCAAATCAATTCATTCCCAGCCACCATCTTACTGTAGACATATGAGAGGCCCCAAGCAAGAACCATGTCGCTGAACCTAACCAACATCTGCAACTGTAGCATAATAAAATGATTGGTGTTATTTTAAGCTACTAAGTTTGAGGGTGGTTTCTTCCACAGCAATAGATAACCAGAAGAGTATTTATTATGTAAAGTAGTTCCCTTGGGTAGAGTATGAAAAGACTAGTCCCAACCATTCACAAATACACACCAAAGAAAACACTCCATTATCTCTACATATTTATGTGTGAAAACTAACCTATATAATACAGGAGTTCTGATTTCAGTTAACACAGAATAATCACACTAAACCCATTACCTGCTACTGAATACAGCTATAAAATGTGAACAGAATGCATGCAGCAACTATTTGAGGACTCTGGAAAGTAAATTGTACCACATAAACTGAGGAAAAACAACAGAATTTGAAGTAAAACTGAACTGGCGGTGAGTTTACCATTTTTTTCCTCCAGTCTCCACTAGACTGGACTCAAGGCAGCTTAACACCCGGAAGGGAGCATCAACATGGACAGAGAGAGCTCCAGGAAAAGCAGAAAATTGGTCTCCTAATATTCAGAGAAAGTAGGAGAAATGTGCCATTTTTTTTCTTTTCTCCATTCTCTTACATTTTAGCCAATAAGCAATCCCACTGTGGCACCTCAGTCAACAGTGACAATGGAGACAGCAATACCTTCAAGCACCCAAAAAATGCTAAGGGAGGGGAGAACCTTCCTCTCTGTTTGAAGTAGCTCTGGTCCCAAGACAGTGGGGCCAAAACCTCAATGATATATATTTTTTCACTCTCTCTGTCCTGATGCTTGGCCCAAGACATGGGCAAAGTTTCAGGAAATACATAACAGAGAGGATTAAATAAAGACCCAGATTTCTGGACAGGCACAGTGGCTCACCCCTGTAATCCCAACATTTTGGGAGGCTGAGGTGAGTGGATTTGTTGAGGCCAGGAGTTGGAGAACAGCCTGGGCAATGTAGCAAGACCCTGTCTCTATGAAACATTTAAAAATAAAATTAGCTGGGCACTGTAGTGCTTGCCTGTAGTCTTGGCTACTCAAGAGGCTAAGGTGGGAGGCTCACTTGAGCTCAGGAGTTCGAGGCTACAGTGAGCTATGATCACACCACTGTACTCCAGCCTGGGCGACAGAGCGAGACCCTGTCTTTAAATAAATTAAATAGTCTAGATTTCTTGCCAATTGATTAAAAGGGGAACTCCAAGGCATTACAAAGTACCAAGGAGACAGTAGAGAGGAGAGGACCTTGGGAAAGGTCCTCATAAAGTTTTTATGAACTCCTAGGTTCACCCCAACCTGCACATGGATCTGATCCTAAACAGCATACCAAAGACTGTGATAACTGAACTAAGAGGCAGACCACCACCCAAGCCCTAGACTAGCCACTGGATAAAACACATGTAGGACAGATCTGAATAGCATTACAAACTTTTGAAAACTGAATTGACTTTGGAGCCACTATCCACAAAAGGCATGTCAGAACTTGTGATCTAAACCCAAGCATGTCTATTACAAACTAAAACAAAAATATGAATATTTCCCCATAGTATTAAAACAAGATACAAAGTCCTATAACATAATATTCAAAATGTCCAGGATACAACCCAAAATTATTCAATACCTGAAGAACCATGAAAATCTTAACTTGGGTGGGAAAAGGCAAACAACAGACACCACTGCTGAGGTGACACCAATGTTGGAATTATCTGAAAAAGACTTTAAAGCAGCTATTATAATGATGCTCCAACAAGTAAGGACAAATAATCTTGAAATGAATGTAAGGATAAAAGGCTCAGCACAGGAGTAAAAGATAAAAGAAGAACCAAATTGAAATTTTAGGCTGGGCACAGTGGCTCACACCTGTAATCCCAGCACTTTGGGAAGCCAAAGCGGGTAGATCACAAGGTCAGGAGTTCCAGACCAGCCTGGCCAACATGGTGAAACCCCATCTCTACTAAAAATACAGAAATTCACTGGGCATGGTGGCATGTGCCTGTAATCCCAGCTACTGGGAGGCTGAGGCAGGAGAATAACTTGAACCTGGGAGGTGGAGTTTGCAGTGAACTGAGATCGCACCACTGCGCTCCAGCCTGGGTGACAGAGTGACACTCCATCTCAAAAAAAAAAAAAAAAATTTTATAAGTGAAGAATACAATAGCTGGAATTTTAAAATTGGATGGATGCAATAGCAGAATAGAGATGAAAGAGTCAGTAAATATGAAAATAGATCAATAGAAATTATCCAACCTGAATAGCAGAGAGGAAAAACTGAAAAATAAATAGAGCCACAAAGACCTATAGGAGATAATAAAATATCTAACATTTGTGTCTTTAGAGTTACAGAAGGAGAAGAGAAACAGTGTGGTACAGAAAAAAAGATGTGAAAATATAATAACTGAAAACATTCCAGATAAAGCAAAAGACACAAGCCTGCAGATTGAAGAACCTCAGCAAAACCCAAGCAGGATAAGCCCAAAGAATCAAAGCACAGACACATTATATTCAAACTGCTGAAAAGAAAAACAAAAAAATATGTTTAAAGCAGAAAGATAAAAATGAAATATTACATACAGGGTAACAACAATTCAGATGACTACGGATTTCTCATCAGAAACCAAGAAGGTCATAAAGACATGCACAGCATTTTTAATGTGCTGAAAGAACTGTTAACCAAAAATAATACATCCAACAAAAATAGATTTCCGTGTGAAGAAATAACACCAATACTGTACAGTCTCTTCTAGAGAGTCAGACAGTTGAAGAAAAGAAAGCTACATACCAATATCTCTCATGAACTTAGACATAAAAATTCTTAACAAAATATTAGTAAATTGAATCTAACAATGTATAAAAAGAAGTGTACACCATGACCAAGTGGTATTTATCCTAGGATTACAAGGCTTGTTCAACATGAGAAAATCACTCAATGCAATCCACCATATTTACTGTCTAAAGAAGAAAAGCTGCCTGATCATATTCACTGATGCGGAAAAAAGCACTGACAAAATTCAACATCCATTCATGATAGCTTTCAGCAAAATAGGAATAAAAGGGAACTTCTTTGACCTGATAAAGAGCAGATACCCGCCCCCCCCAAAAAAAAAAACCGCACAGAATATCTAGCATTATTCTTAAAAGACTGAATTCTTTCCCCCCAAGGTCGGGAAAAGGCAAGGAAGTCCACTATCACCACTCTTAGTCAACATTGTATTGGAACTCCAAGTCAGTGCACTAAGACAGAAAAACGAAATAAAAGGCATACGTATATAGCAAAAATCACAATATGTAAATTTTAATGGAATGCTGGGGAAACAGAGGAACTAAAAACAGAGGGAACAAAAAGAAAAGGGAGGAAAAAAGAGAAATTCTCAAAGGATATTAGAAAAATTCTCCTATTCATAGATAATATGATCATCTACTTAGAAAAATCCCATGAAATCTACAAAATCCTAGAACCAAATAAGCGAGTTTAGCAAGGTCTCAAGGTGCAAGGTCAGCACACAAAAACCAATCATATTTCTATATACAGGCTATGTGCAACTGGAGATTTTTTTTTTTTTTTGGTGGAGTCTGGCTCTGTCACCTAGGCTGCAGTGCAGTGGTGCGATCTCGGTTCACTGCAACCTCCGCCTCCAGGGTTCAAGTGATTCTCCTGCCTCAGCCTCCCAAGCTGGGATTACAGGCACCCACCACCACACCTGGCTAATTTTTGTATTTTTAGTAGAGACAAGGTTTTGCTGTGCTGGCCAAGCTGATCTCGAACTCCTGACCTCACCTGATCCGCCTGCCTCGGCCTCCCAAAGTGCTGGGTTTATAGGTGTAAGCCACTGCACCTGGCCAAAAAATCTTTAAAATGTATCATTCACAATAGCATAAAAGAAAAATATTTAGGTATAAATTTTTAACAAAACATGTCCAGGATCTATATGCTAAAATCTATAAAATGTTGATGAAAGAAATCAAAGAAGACCTGAATAAATGAAGAGACATGCCATGTTCATGGATTGAAAGACTAAGCAAAGATGTCAAATCTCTCCAAATTGATATACAGATTTAATAAAATTTCCATAAAAATCCCAGCAAAATGTTTGGTGAATATAGCCATGTGAAATATAAAATTAATAGGAAAGTCAAAGTAACAGACTAGCCAAAACAATTTTGAAAAAGAAGAATAAAATTGGAGGCCTCACACTATCCAATTTAAGATGTACTGTAATGCTACTATGTAAAGTAATAAAGTATAATTAAGGCAGGGTAGCATTGGTGAAGGAATAGATATATACATCAATGGGACAAAATTAGAGTCCAGAAATAGGTCTACATACAAAATTGATTTTTCACAAAAGTGCAAAAGCAATTAAATGGACAAGGTACGTTCTTTTCAATGAATTGTTTGGAATTATTGGGCATCCATACACAAAAAGAATGAACCTTGAGCTAAATCTTATACCTTGTACAAAAATGAATTTTATGTAGATTATAGATTTAAATGTAACATACAAAACTGTGAAACAGTTACAAAAAAACATAAGAACACCTTCCTGATCTTGGATTAAGCAAAGAGTGCCTAGATATGACACCAAAAGCACAATCCTTATATGAAAAAATTGATAATTGGACTGCATCAAAATTAAAAGTTTTTGCTCTGCAAAAGACACTTTTAAAGTAATGAAAAGACAAGCTACAGAGTGGGAGAAAATATTTACAAAACATATTCAACAAAGGACTTATATCCATAGTACATAAGAAATTCTCCAAACTTAATAAGAAAACAACCCAGTTGAAAAATGGGCAGAAGGTTTAAACTAACACTTTACAAAAGACGGTATGTGGATGAGAAATCATTACATGAAGAGATGTTTAACACCATTAGCCATTAGGGAAATAAAAATTAATACCATGATTGCCACCTATTAGATTGACTTAGAATATTAGAAATAGAATGACTAAATAAAAAATACTGACAACACCAATTGGAGATGAGAACGAAGAGCCCCTGGAACTCTCTTACATTGCTGGTGGGAATGCAAAATGGTAAACCACACTGGAAGAGAGTTTGGCAGTTTCTTATAAAGTTAACATGCATTTATCCATAAGAACAAGCAATCTCACTCCTAGGTATATATGTATATATCCAAGGGAAGTGAAAATGTGTTCATCCAAAAACCTGCACATGGATTTTTTTGTTGTTGTTTTGAGACAGAGTCTCGCTCTGTCACCCAGGCTGGAGTGCAGTGGCACAATCTTGGCTCACTGCACCTTCCGCCTCCCAGGTTCAAGCAATTCTTATGCCTCAGCCTCCCAAGTACCTGGAATTATAGGCATGTGCTACCATGCCCAGCTAATTTTTGTATTTTTAGTAGAGACAGGGTTTCACCATGTTGGCCAGGCTGATCTTGAACTCCCGACCTCAAGTGATCCACCCGCCTCGGCTTCCCAAAGTGCTGGGATTACAGGTGTGAGTCACTGCGCCCAGCTTTTTACATGGATGTTATTAGCAGCTTTATTTATAATAGCCAAAAACTGAAAACAACCCAAATGTCCTTCAGTGGGTGAATGAATAAAAAACTGTTGTATGTTCATACAATGGAATACCATTCAGCAATAAAAATGAATGAACAATTGATATACTAATAATTTGGATGAATATCAAAGGCATTATGCTGAGTGGAAGTGAGTCTCAAAAGGTTGCACACTATATTATTCCATTTTATGACATTCTTGAAATGATAAAAGTATAGTTACAGAGAATGGATCAGTAGTGTCTGGGGCTAAGTGGGAGGGGAAGCGTATAACTATAAAGGGATAACACAAGGGAGGTTTGGGGATGATGGAACCATTCTATATTCTGATTGTAGTGATGGTCGTATGAATCTGTACATGTGTTAAATTCAAATAATTGTACAAGAAAAATAAATATTGCTGTAAGTTAACTTAAATAATTTCTCTCTGTCATGTGTTAACAAATCCTCTGCTTACCCTTGGACATGCTACAACTTTATATTAGTTTAAGACGGTGGTTAAGGCCTCAAGAAGTCCCCAAGAGCTATGTCCTGGGTTCAGTTACCCTGAAATGTGGCAGATGAGGAAAACTGAAACCTTAAATTCAGGCACACCCACAGGATACTATGAAATATATGGGCATAAACACTAGCATTGGCGGGGCGTGGTGGCTCACGCCTGTAATCCCAACACTTTGGGAGGCCGAGGCGAACGGATCACTTGAGGTCAGGAGTTTGAGACCAGCCTGGCCTACATGGTGAAACCTCATCTCTACTAAAAATAGGAAAATTAGCCGGGTGTGTTGGCGGCATCTGTATTCTCAGCTACTCAGGAGGCTGAGGGAGGAGAATCACTTGAACTCAGGAGGCAGAGGTTGCAGTGAGCCAAGGTTGCGCCACTGTACTCCAGCCTTGGTGACAGAGGGAGACTCAGTCTCAAGGAAAAAAAAAAAAAAAGAACCAGGAAGGAAGCTTCTCCCCTCTGGCTGCCTTCCACTCTCCCACAAGTGCCTCCCATTGGCAGCACCTCAGCAGCAGCAACCAGGCATCCTAAGAGGACCTCATATCTATTCTGCATGGCCTTTGCTCTGTACCGCCAGGTTCTGGTAATCCTACCTCTTCCCTGTTGTTTTTCCAAGTTTAGGGATAGTAGCTGCTTCTTGTAGTTATTATCTCTGGGTTCTCTCACAGTTGCCTTTTTGCTATCTCATTTCTGCATTACCTATGTAACCAATTCCTTATCTTAACCTCCTCTGTGGGAACATGTAGTGGCCTGTTTTCCTGTGGACGCTGACTGATACTCAGCCTTTGGAGACTTGAAGTATAGAGTCAGAGGGCAACCAGTTGTGAAGCTGACCCTGAATTCCTTGTGTTTGTTTGGCCTCTGCTTGCATTTGTTCCTGCACTTGAAGATAAAATCACAATTTCAAAGCGCGGTACACAGGGCCTATGGTAGACTTTGCTGGTGGTTCCTAATATTTCTGATTCCCTTCTTGCAAAACAGATGGATTGCATTGATTGCATTTTTCACCTCTTTGACGTTTGAGGTGACTTTATGACTTGCTTTGGCCAACGAAATGAGAGTAGAAGTGGTGAATGTCATTTCTGGGCAAAAGTATTTAAGAGCAGATGCATGTGTTCTCTCCACCTGCTGCAGTGAGTCCTAAAGCCTCACGCTGAGATGGTAAATTATAGGGTGGAAAAGCCTGTGTGACATGTAGTCTGGGAGATAATTTTTATTTTACTTCACGGTTGTCACCACAGTGTAAAGTAGCCTATCCTGACTAATAATACATTTGTGATTCACCCCCTGCCACCTCCCCTCCGTCTCACTCTTCCCTAAATGCATCAAGATACCTTACACCTTTGGGCTGTGCCTATGCTCCACCTCTTGCCTTACCAATCATTTTGACCTGGCAGCTGCTGCTAGTTGTTCAAAGCCCAATTCAGATGCTACCTACTCCAAGAAGCCTCCTTCATCTGGATCTGGGATGTTTCCTATATTTTCTCCTAATAGCTCATGTTTACTCTTTTTTTTTTAGACAGAGTCTTCTGTCACCCAGGCTGGAGTACAGTGGCACGATCTCGGCTCACTGCAACCTCCCCTCCTGGGTTCAAGGTATTCTCCTGCCTCAACCTCCCTAGTGACTGGGACTACAGGCGTGCGTCACCACGCCTGGCCAATTTTTTTTTCTTTTTGTATTTTTAGTGGAGACGGGGTCTTGCCATGTTGGTCAGGCTGGTCTCGAGCTCCTGGGCTCAAGTGATCCACCCATCTTGGCCACCCAAAGTGCTGGGATTACAGGCGTGAGCCACCGCCACACCTATAAAGTAAACATGGCCTCCTGTTTACTTTTAACATGACATTTCCCACATTGTATCATATTATCAGATTATTTATTGATATACCCACTTTATATTAAGCTCTTTGGAGGCAGGGATGGAGTGTCTTCTGTTGTATTTTTTGCTGTTGTTTTATTTGTTTAGCTCTAGCTTAAAAAATGCATTGAGCATAATGCCTGGTACATAGCAGATGTTCAAAAATATTTGTTGAAAGAATAAATTATTTCAACAAAATAAATAAATACATTTATTATAAAGTATAAATAAAGCAGAGGATATGTTTTTAAAAATTTAGCTATATACTTATAATGCAATTTAATTGGAAGTCATTTTGTGCATTCTATATTTTGTCAAGGTACCCCATGTGGATTCTTGGTCATCTACTTTATTTAGAATTCATATCTCTTAGTCATTATTTGCTTTTTTTCTAATGTATTTTCTGCCTCTTTCTTACTTTTGTTGCTCTGTTTCTATGGAATATCAGCTGGCAACATTCACTTAGTTGATCTATGTTGGTAAATATGTATAGTTAAAATTCAATTCAGTCCGGGGAAACTGGAAAGATTTAAATATCTTGAATGTTTAATGATATTTAATTAAATATCTTGAATGTTTAATGATATTTAATTAAATATCTTTAATGTTTAATGATATTTCATTAAATATCTTTAATTAAATATATTTAAAGATTTAAATATATTTAATGCTATAGTAACCCTGTAGCATGTTTCAAATTAAATAAAAGCTACTTTTAAATATAAAGGGGTTATTTTTGTCAGCTGCTTTATTACCTCCAAACCAGAGCTGTTCATTTTTTATTCTATTTCCAAAAACCAAATATCCCTCCCAAGTCAATTTCAAAATATAATCTTAGTTCAGATTCTCTAGAACAAAAGCAAAGTCATTTCTAGGCACTCATAGTTTTGTTTTATGTTTCTCATTATGCACATTGAGATTCCTCTAAATGTGAGTCATTTAAGCAAAACCTTGGGAAACCTCCAGATTCCTTTTTAATTATCTTAAATTCATCTGAAAATATTTCAGCAAATGCAGGAGAGAATGCCCTTATTAGCAAGATGTTTTAAAATCAAGAAGAGCCTATTATGAACTCAAGATACTCCCTAAAGGTTTTATTAACAGTTCAGGATTGTCCCTTCTATCTGCCTGTTCCTGTCTCACTACAGATAGCAAAATGTAGGAATTGCAGTTTTTAGCTCCTTTTAGCATCTTCCAGATTTGGGCTTCCATCCAAGCTCCCACTGCAGTGCACCACTCTGTGAGTCGATGACAGGCAAGGTCGAACAGCCCCTGGGGAACCTTCGCAGATGTGTTGAATACCATAAACATAAATAGATAATCCTTATCTTAAAGCAAGAGAGGCAGAAAGACACGGAGAAGACCCAGGCACCCTTGCCTTCATGTCTGTACAGACCCACATGGACTGTATGTTTAGGATTCAGTAGCCATGTTAGAAAAATGCTACCTCAGACCCTATTCAGGGTTAGCTACAGTAACCTTAGGAGTCCCTTCTGATCATCCTCTTCCCATGGCAGCTGCAAACTTTTGCCTCTGCCATGTATGGGAAAATTGATCACTTAAAAGGAACTCTTAAGGTTTATTAGAAATGCTTTTGCTGTAAGTGGCAGAAAACCTGCTCCCAAAGACTGAAGTGAGTAAGACTTTATCTTGCTCATATAACAGGCATTCTCTCAGTAGGAAACCACCAGCTCAGTGACTCAAGGATGTAACACGACTCAAGGATGCAATCCTAACATGCCAAGCTGTTAGGATTGAGAAAGAGATACTGCAACTGGAAACATCAGGTATAGGTTTAGAGCAGGGAAAAGTGGGAAGGGCCCTGCAGCCTCTCTCCTTTTATCAAGAAGGTGAAAGCTTCCTCAACCCTATCTCCCTGAGGCTCAGCCAACTCCTGTTTGGATCTCATTGCCCAGAACTTGATTAAGTGGCCACCTCTGGCTGCAAGAGAGGCTGGAAAAATGGGGAACAGTTTGTCACAATTGGCTTGGTGCAGTTGCAAGACATTGCCTGGCAGGGCACACTGATGCTTCAAAGAAAATTAAGGATCCAGTAGCTATGAAGAAGGGAGTGGGTAGGCAAGTGCTAAGCTCTACCTCCACGAGACTAATCAGGAGCATTACACCCAATTATAAGGCAACCGATTTTTGCTGGAGCCTTTGTTTAGAATGTGCCATGGAGGATGGTACTGTGTCTGCTAAGAGGATTCTCCTCCCATATTCACCAATAGAAAGGAACGCTATAATGTGGATGAACCTCAAAAACACTATGCCAAGTGAAAGAAGCCAGACACATGATTCCATTTATATCAAATATCCAGAATAGGCAAATCCATAGAGACAGAACACAGATTGGTGGTTACTAGGGGTGAGAGGGAAGGGGTAATTGAGGGCAAGCATTTAACAGGTTTAAGGTTTCCTTTTGGAATAATGAAAATGTTTTAGATCTAGATAGAGGTGACTGTTGTACAACATTGTGAATGTACTAAACACCACCAAATTGTATACATTAAAGTGGTTGGTTTGGGGTTACATGTAATTTAACCTCAATAAAAAAAAAGAATATTCTCTTCCCTTCTGCTGAACAAAATATTACGAGCTTTATGCCAATCAGCTTTGTACAGCATTTATACTTCAGTCCCTACAAATTCATCTTGGCAGTAGTAGTTTTAATATGAGCCACTTATCTGTGGCTGAGGCAGAGACAACTAGTCACCCTCCAATATCCTTTTCTTCTATCCCTTTCTTCTTTAGTAACTAAATCCTAGGCCAGGCGCAGTAGGTCACGCCTGTAATCCCAGCACTTTGCGAGGCCAAGGCAGGCGGATCACCTGAGGTCAGGAGTTCAAGACTAGCCTGGCCAACATGGCGAAACCCCATCTCTACTAAAAATACAAAAATTAGCCGGGTGTGGTGGCAGGCACCTGTAATCCCAGCTACTCAGGATGCTGAGGCAGGAGAATCACTTGAACCTGGGAGGCAGAGGTTGCAGTGAGCCGAAATTATGCCATTCACTCCAGCCTGGGTGACAGAGCAAGACTCCGTCTCAAAAAAAAAAAAAAAAAAAAAAAAAAAAAAAAAAACACCTAGTCAATGTGTCCAGCTAAAAAACAAAAACAAAACACTAAATTTCCCAGACTCCCTTACAGCAAAGTATGGCCATGGACTAAGATCCATTCAGTGAAATGTGAGTGGAAGCTCTGGGCAGGTCTCCCAGCTAGGATCTTTAACAGTGCATGACCTTTTGTCCTTCCCCTTTTTTTCTTCTTTCCAGCCTGCAAAACAGACTTGATGGCTGAAGCACCACCAGCGAATCTGGATCATGATGTGACCTTGAAAATGAAAGCTGTGTGCTGTGTATGGTAGGATGAAAACATGAGACTGAGTGCTCAATGACAACCCGAAGATACCATACCATTTGTGGACAGCCTACCTCCAGATTTCCTTTACCTGAGAGAAATGGGAGAGAAAAATGCTATTTTGTTATTTGTTGGGAGAAAAGCATTGTTCTATGCAGCCAATCTTACTTGTAACTGATACAGCAATATAACTTCCTCAAACAATTCTTATTAAAGATATTATTAAAACTTATTAAAGATAATGCAACTCAGGGCATGAGTAACATATTCCATTCCAAAGTAAGAATGAGTCTACCTACAGGGCTGTTACCTGTTCCATTAAAGTTACTGATGCCACTTGACATTGGTCTTGGCAATAATTTTTTGGATATGACACCAAGAGCATAGGCAACAAAAGCAAAAATAAATAAGTGGGACTATATCAGACTAGAAAGCATCTACACAGCAAAGAAACCAATAAACAAAATGAAAAGGCAACCGATAGAATGGGAGAAAATATTTGAAAACCATATATCTGATAAGGGGTTAATATCCAAAATGTACAATTAACTTATACAACTCAGTAGCAAAAAAAGCCCAAATAACCCTATTGAAAAATGGGCAAAGGACCTGAATAGACATTTTTTCCAAAGAAGACATACGAATGGCCAACACATATATGAAAAGATGCTCAACATCATTAATCATCAAGGAAATGTAAATCAAAACCATAGTGAGATATTACCTCACACTGGTTAGGGTGGCTAGTACCAAAAAAATAAAGGTAAGTAGTGGTGAGAATATGGAGAAAAGGGAAACTTGTACACCGTTGGTGGGGAATATAAAATGGTGAAGCCACTGTGGAAAACAGTATGGAGGGTCTTCAAAAAATTAAAAATAGAAATACCATATGATCCAGCATTCCTACTCCTGGGTATTTATTCAAAAGAATTGAAATCAAGATCTCAAAGAGATGTCTGCACTCCCATGTTCACTGCAGCATTATTCACAATAACCAAGATATGGAAACAGCCTAAATATCCATTGAAAGATGAGTGGATAAAGAAAACATGGTATATATACACAACGAAATACTATTCAGCCTTAAAAAAGAAGGAAATCCTGCCATATGCAACAACATGGGGTGAAACTTGAGGACATTGTGCTAAGTGAAATAAGCCAATCATATCAAGACAAATACTGCAAGACATCATTTGTATGAGGTATATAAAGTAGTCAAACACAGGAGCAGACAGTAGAATGACTGTTGCCATGAGATGGGGGTAGGGAGAAATAGGGAATTGCTATTCAACAGAGAGAAGGTTTCAGTTACGTGAGATGAAGAAGTTCTAGAGATCTGCTGTACAACATTGGGCCTATAGTTAACAATACTTTATTGTTCACTTAAAATTTTGTTAAGAGGACAGATTTCATGTTAAGTGTTCTTACCACAATAAAAAAAACTGAAGCATCTAGATAAGTGCTCTAATACAGGGAAGGAATCACAGACCAGGGACACTTAACCAGCCTAAAGAGAATAATAGAAGGCTTCCCCAAGGTGGTGAGTTCAGTGTGAAGGACAAGTCATAATTAGCGAGGTGAGGAAGTAGCAAGTGTGGATGTACTAAAGTTTGAAGGGACTTCCCAGTAGAAAGAAAACATGGCAGCTCAGGCTGCCATAACCAAATACCAAAGACTGGGTGGCTTAAATAACAGTATTTTCTCTCAGTTCTGCAGGTTGGAAGTCCAAGACCAAGGTGTTGGTGGGTTTGGTTTCTTCTGAGGCCTCTCTCCTTGGCTTGCAGATGATCACCTTTTTTTTTTTTGAGACTGAGTCTCGTTCTATTGCCCAGGCTAGAGTGCAGTGGCGTGATTTCAGCTCACTGCAACCTCCGCCCTCCGGGTTCAAGTGATTCTCCTGCCTTAGTCTCCTGAGTAGCTGGGATTACAGGCACACACCACCACGCCTGGCTAATTTTTGTATTTTTAGTAGAGACGGGGTTTCACCATGTTGGCCAGGCTGGTCTTGAACTCCTGACTTCAAGTGATTCACCCTCTTCAGCCTCTCAAAGTGCTGGGATTACAGGCATGAGCCACCACGCCCGGCCAGATGATCACCTTCTTACTGTGTCCTCACATGGCCATCCCTGTGTGTGTGTGTGTGGGGGGGGGGGGTGTGTGTGTGTGTGTGTCCCCTATAATTGCCTCTTTTTAACTTAGTCACCTCTTCAAAGACTCTATCTTCAAATATAGTCACATTCTGAGGTACTAGGGGTTGGGCTTAAGCACACTAATTCTGGAGAAACACAATTCAGCACATAGCGAGCATTCACAAAAGTATGGAGGTGAAAGAATACACTGTAGGCCCAGGAAATCGCAGGTACTTGTTATAGCCTGTGGCTGTTTGGTGAAAGATGAAGTACAACTGAGAAGTTTGGGTTTTACATAGAGGCAATGGGAAAATGTTGGGGGAGTATTGTGATTGAGTGGTGCTTTAGAAAGACCATCACAGTGGCAATGGTGAGGCTCCATTGTAGTGGGGCCAAAACTAGAAGATGGGAAACCAATTTTATCAGTTAGCTTTTGCTGAGAGAGGAACTACCCCCCAAAATTTAGTAGCTTACAAAACACAAACACACACACATATTTATTTACCTCACAATTTTGTGGTTTGGCAATTTGGACCGGGCTCAGCTGCGCAATTCTGCTGATCTGGGCCAAGCTTGGCTGAACTTGGCTGGGCTCGCTCATGTATTTGCTGTCTGTGGCCAGGTCAGCTGAGGGTGGGCTGGTCTAGGATGGCTCAGATGAGATGGAGCATCTCTGTTCCACATGGTCTCTCATCATCCAGCAGGCTGTTCTGGGTTTGCCCATGTGGCAGTGGTGGTAGGACTTCCTAGAACAAGGTAGAAAGAACACAAGGCCTCTTGAGCCTCATGCTTGGAACTCACATAATGTTGCTTCCACTGCAAAGCAAGTCTCAAAGCCAGCCCAGATTCAAGGATTGGAAACAGAGATTCCATTTCTTTTATTTTCCTTCCTTCCTTCCTTCCTTCCTAACTTCCTCCCTCCCTCCCTCCCTCCTTTCTTCTCTTTCTTTCTCTCTCTCCCTTCCTTCCTTCCTTCCTTCCTTCCTTCCTTCCTTCCTTCCTTTCTTTCTTTCCTTCTTTCTTTCTTTCTTTCTTTCTTTCTTTCTTTCTTTCTTTCTTTCTTTCTTTCTTTCTTTCTTTCTTTCTCTCTTTCTTTCTTTCTGATGGAGTCTTGCTCTGTTGCCCAGGCTGGAGTGCAGCAGTGGCACCATCTTGGCTCACTGAAACCTCCACTTCCCAGGTTCAAGTGATTCTCCTGCCTTAGGGTCCCTAGCAGCTGGGACTACAGGCACACCACCAACCCGGCTAATTTTTTTATTTTTAGTGGAGATGGGGTTTCACCATGTTGGTCAGGCTGGTCTCGACCTCCTGACCTCATGTGATCAGGATTGATCAGGATTGATTGTGATCCGCCTGCCTCGGCCTCCCAAAGTGCTGGGATTACAGGCATTAGCCACCACGCCCAGCCGATTCCATTTCTTGATGGAAGGAGCTGCAATTATTTGTGGCCATCTCTACAGTCCACTACACCAGCTAGGAAGTAACATTTTATAATTCAGAAGGAAATAAGTAAGAGGAATAGAACTGAATTAATGACAATGGAGATGGATGAGAGACTGAGTTGGGAGAAGTCAGTGATCATTTGGGGATTGGCTGGGTCCTCTGGTTCTGACTCGGGTGATGAAGAGATTGATGGCATTGTCAGAGGTATTTGAACCAGAGCAACTCCATCTTGAATAGGGGCTGGGTAAAATAAGGCTGAGCCATACTGGGCTGCATTAAGGCATTCTTAATTAGGAATGCCTTAACTAGGCCAGGCGCAGTGGCTCACGCCTGTAATCCTAGCCCTTTGGGAGGCTGAGGCAGGCAGATCACCTGAGGTCAGGAGTTCGAGACCATCCTGGCCAACATGGGAAACCACATCTCTACTAAAAATACAAAATTAGCCGGGCATGGTGGTGCATGCCTGTAGTCCCAGCTACTCAGGAGGCTGAGGCAGGAGAATCGCCTGAACCCAGGAGGTAGAGGTTGCAGTGAGCCAAGATCGTGCCATTGCATTCCAGCCTGGGCAACAAGAGCGAAACTCCATCTTAAAAAAAAAAAAGAATGCCTTAACTAAAGCATTTTTGGGTTTGTTAAGGAGGTTAAGGCATTCTTAGTCACAGGATGACAGGAGGTTGGCACAAGATATGGGTCATAAAGACCTTGCTGATAAAACAGCATGAGGTAAAGAAGCTAGCAAAATCCCACCAAAACCAAGATGGCAACAAAAGTGACTTCTGGTTGTTCTCACTGCTCATTATATGCTAATTATAATACATTAGCATGCTAAAAGACACTCTCACCAACGCCATGACAGTTTACAGATGCCATGGCAACATCCAGAAGTTACCCTACATGGTCTAAAAAGGGGAATTGCCCTCAGCTCTGGGAATTGCCCACCCCTTTCTCATAAAACTCTGGAGTAATCTACCCCTTGTTTAGCATATAATCAAGAAGTAACAATAAGTATCCTTAGTCGAGTAGCTCAAGCCACTCCTCTGCCAATGAAGTAACCATTCTTTATTCCTTTTCTTTCTTTCTTTTTCTTTTCTTTTTTTAGATTGTTTCACTCTTGTTGCCTAGGCTGGAGTGCAATGGCACAATCTCGGCTCACTGCAACCTCTGCCTCCTGGGTTCAAGTAATTCTCCTGCCTCAGCCTCTCCAGTAGCTGGGATTACAGGCACTCACCACCGCACCCGGCTAATTTTTGTATTTTTATTAGAGACAGGGTTTCACCATGTTGGCCAGGCTGGTCTCGAACTCCTGACCTCAAGTGATCCATCTGCCTCAGCATCTTAATAGAGCTGGCTTCACTTTACTCTAGGGACTCACCCTGAATTCTTTCTTATGCAAGATCCAAGAACCCTCTCTTGGGGTCTGGATCAGGATCCCTTTCCAGTAACAGCATCGCTTAGAAGATGAGTGTGAGAGGCAGCGCTGATGGTCAATCTGACCAGATCATATCATTGTGTTGAGATTTACCTCTTCTACTTGCTTGCACAGCCTTTATAGTTATAAGCATAAAACATCATTATCTGCTAATGAATGAAATAAAACAACAGAAGTGGAAGGGATACCTGTGGGTAGCAGTTTACTGTTGCTCTAGGGAGCGAAAATTTGTACTGTTTTTAAGTGGCAGAGAAAAATAGTAGGGGCAATGTTTTTCTTGTGTGGGAACTTGTATCAGGGACTTTGCACGTGCTGTTCCCTTGGCTGAAAATATCTTACCACCCTATCTCTCTGCCTGCCTCTCTGCTGGCTCCTTCTTAGCCTCCAAGTTTCAGTTTACACATCACTGTCACAAAGAGACCTTTCCTGTCGACCCTATCTCAATGCGCCTCTTCCCCTGCCAGTTACTACTACAGCGCTCTCTTTAATTCTTTCTCAGCAGTGTTCACAATCTGCTGCTATCTTGGTTTGGCTTATTTGTGTGTTTGTGTCTCTCCCATTACATTAACATTAAGCTTTGAGATCAGAAATATTATCTGTCTTGTTTACCCCACAAAGAGCTTGGCAGATTCTAGCGGCTTGTGAAAGGAAAATAAAAACGCAGGACACCAATTCACTGCCAAAAGGAAAAAATGAAGCTGAAAGCTGAGTCATGCCAGAAGCTGCCTTTCCCTTTGTTCCTAAGCTGATAGCTACAGATAAAAGGTTAAATATCTCTGCAGGTAGCTACTCTGTGTTCACCTTATCTTATGTACAGTGATTTACTGAGTGAGAGACGAATACATAATTGACTCTTCCCCTACCTGCTCCTTTTCTCTTGCAACATGTGAATATCATACCCTCCTCCCTCTTTCCCCTCCAGCCTGCTTTTCCCCTTTAAAAACTGAAGCCCTCAAAATCATCTTTGGAGAAAGGCACAGACCACAGACTGTTTCTGTGATTCTCTGTTTCCTCTCCTCCGGGCATGTCCTTAACCTTGGTAAAATAAACTTCTAAATGGATTGAGACCTGTCTCAGATACTATTTGGTTTACATGCTCAATATATATTTTTTAAATGAAAACATTGTTATCTCCATGGCTAGAGAGTAAATATAGATGATGTTCTTCCTTAGGCACTCTTCTTTTTAATCTGCTTTAATATGAATTTAGAAATGTGGCCAGGCATGGTGGCTCACACCTATAAGCCCAGTACTTTAGGAGGCCAAGACAGGAGGATCGCTTGAGCCCAAGAGTTCAAGACCAGCCTGGCCAATGTGGCAAAGCCACGTCTCTACAAAAAATACAAAAATTAGCTGGGCGTGGTGGTGCGCGCCTGTAGTCCCAGCTTCTTGGGTAGCCAACACAGGAGGATAGCTTGAGCCCAGGAAGTCGAGGTGGCAGTGAGCTGAGATGGTGCCACTGCAATCCAGCCTGGAGATCGTGACAGTGAGACCAGGCACGGGGGCTCACGCCTGTAATCTAGACGGCAGACCTTTTAAAGAAATTAGTAAAATTATTTTAAAGAAGCTGTGGCATAATGGTTAAGAGCACAAGCTTTAAAGCCAGACTGCTTGGGTTTAAGCCTGGGCTCTACCATGAACTGTCTGTATGACCCTAGATACATTATTTACTTTCTTTGTGCCTCACTGTCTTCATATGTAAAATGGGGATAATAGTACCTATCTCACTATCTAATGAAGGCTAAATGACTTAACATACATAAAGGACATAATAGACATTCAGTATATATTTACTACATTAGTAGATCACTTCAGTGTTTAAACACATCTTTAATATCAAAATCTTCCCTATATGTTAAAGCAGTGTTCTTGAAATATACTACAGGCTATCAGCAGAATACCCTGCTTTGCTTTGCTTTCCTTCCTTCCTTCCTTCCTTCCTTTCTTCCTTCCTTCCTTCCTTTCCTTCCTTTCTTCCTTCCTTTCCTTCCTTCCTTCCTTTGAGACAGAGTCTCACTCTATCGCCCAGACTGGAGTACAGTGGCATGATCTCGGCTCAGTGTAGCCTCCGCCTCCCGGGTTTAAGCGATTCTCCTGCCTCAGCCTCCTGAGTAGCTGGGATTACAGGCATGCACCAACACAGCGGGCTAATTTTTGTATTTTTAGTAGAAACAGGGTTTCACCATGTTGATCATGCTGGTCCCGAACTCCTGACCTCAGGTGATTAACCCGCCTCAACCTCGCAAAGTGCTGGGATTATAGGTGTGAGCCACCTTGCCCAGCCTACACTAATTTTCTTAATACTCCTGTAGGTCCAGCGTTTTCAGTGGATAACTGCAAATGTCCATTTCTTTCGAGAAACAAACCTTCTTGGCAGTTTTGAGAGAACTTGATAGCTCAAGTCTCATTGTCAAATCACAGTGGGAATTTGGCTATGAAAACAATTACTGTATTAGTTTGAACTTTTGTGGCTTCAAGTGCCAGGAAACTCAGCTCAAACTTGTTTAGCATCATATAATAATAATGATAATAATCCTTCGTAACAGCACTAGACACAGAGATGCACCACCCGGATCCCCCTCAAGGGAAGGACTTGCTGCACAGCTGCAGGGACTGCAGTCGCCAGATAGCTCCAGCTCCAGTTTGTCAGTTTCTTCTGGGGCTGCCTCTGGTGGGGAGAGCCATCTCCCTTGAAGTCATACCCTCTCTATACAACCCACATCCAATGACTGTGTGAGGCAGAGCTGTAAACACCCACCTTGAGACAACTCTGACTGAAAATACTTCCAGAGCTCCCTGCTGGACTGGCTAAGGCTTCATCAGACCTGCTTCAGCATCGTTCGGCATCGCTCAGCATCGCTCGGCCCAATCCTGTGTCATCCTTCTTTCACAGGTATTATCCCTTCCTTATAAACACTTTGCATCCCGAACTCCATCTCAGTGTCAGCCTCTGAGGGACCCAGCCTGCCACAGTAACTGTTTAGTCAGGGTTTTCCAGAGGGACAGAGCCAATAGGACATATGTATATATGAAAGGGACTTTACTAAGGAGAACTGGCTCACGCGATCACAAGGCAAAGTCCCATGACAGGCCGTCTGCAAGCTGAGGAAAGAGAGAAGCCGGTAGTGGCTCAGTCGGAGTCCAAAAACCTCAAAACCAGGGAAGCCGACAGTGCAGCCCCCAGTCGGAGGCTGAAGGGCCTGAGAGTCCCCGGTAAGCCACTGGTCCAAGTCCCAGAGTCCAAAGGCCAAAGAACCTGGAGTCTGATGTCCAAGGGCAGGAGGAGCAGAAGGAAGCATCCAGCACAGGAAAAAGAAGGAAGCCAGAAGACTCAGCAAGCCAGCTTATCCCACCTTCTTCCACCTGCTTCGTTCTAGCTGTGCTAGCAGCCAATGGAATGGTGTCCACCCACATTGAGGATAGGTCTTCCTTTCCCAGCCCACTGACTCAAATGTCAATTTCCTCTGGCAACAGCCTCACAGACACACCCAGAAACAATACCAGCTATGTAGCTACCCTTCTATCCAATCAAGTTGACACCTAATATTAACCATCACGGTAACTTAGCTGGCCATTGGTAAATTTGGCTTTGGCCATGGTTGCACATGGGAATACAGAGCTCAAAAATATACAATCAAGCCCTGTCTTCCGTCTCTCAGTACAACTCTGCTCTCATCTGTCTGTTGACCCATTCATAAGAGGCCACCTCATGGCTGGAAGGTGGCTGCCAGGAACTCCTGGGATGATATCCTTCCATTTCACACCCAGCAAAAAGGAGCAAGCATCTTTATCCCAGCATCCCCAGAATTCTTGAAGTTCACAGTAACAGGGCTAGCATGGGTCAAGTGCCCAACTCTGAACCAATCACTGTGGCTGGGAGAAGGTGATGCTGATTTTCTTCAGGTGTAGGTCATATGCTTCACACTGAGAGTGTGAGGGTGGGAGAGGAATAATTTGCCAAATGAAAGCTCGGAGGTGTGGTCAGCAGTGGGTGAAAATCTTTTTGCTCAGAAATGTCCCCCACAATCACTCCTTGAGTCAGTTTTAACCTTATTCCGATTAAAAGTCTAAACTTCGGTAAAGGTAAAGGATATAGGTAAAATGGATTCTGGAATGAGACTGGGAATATCTCATTGAATGCTATTCAAAAATCATTTCTGGAATACCTGCTGTGTGTAGAGCATAATACAAGGTATTGTTAGAAGATAGAGAGTCTCTACCCTCAAGATATTTAAAGTCTGATTGAATATATACTCATTCTGCACTTGCAGAATAACATCAACACGTTTAAAGTGAGAGTAGGCCAGGCGTGGTGTCATGTGCCTGCAGTCCCAGCACTTTAGAAGGCCAAGGCTGGAGGATTGCTTGAGCCAGGAGTTCAAGACCAGACTGCAACACAGTGAGATCCTATCTTTATAAAAGACAAAAATTTAGCTGAGTATGGTGGCTCGTACCTGTGGTCCCAGCTACTTGAAAGACTGATGTGGGAGGATCACTTGAGCTTGGGAGGTCAAGGATCCCAGCGAGTCATGATCATGCCACTGCTCTCCAGCCTGGGTGACAGAGTGAGACCCTGTCTCAAAAGAAAAGTGAGAGTAGACGTTCTGAGAATCTCACACATGTGGGATGGGGCAGGAAAACAAAAATGTCTGCTGATTGGCTAGAGCAGCCATCTCGAAGCCCACAAATCTGACTCTGGTCATGTGAGCTTCAGGCTTTCCTGCAGAGCCTGTCCATTGTTACCTTTACTTACAGTTGAATGATCATGGTAAACTTGTTCCCTCAGCTCACAATTTAGAAGTCACAGATTATAGAAGCGAGGAGGTAGCAGGCCAAGTGACCCTAGAGGCAGTGAGAAGGGATGACTAACTGGTTAAAAGAGAGAGAGGAGACAGAACCATTTAGGTAAGATGTAAGAGATTGCAACTAAATTGAATAAATAAGCTATAGAGAAAAAACAGGCTCACATAAGTCTTTTAAAAGAGTGAAAGAAAATGCACCAAAATGTTTCTAGGCCTAAAAGAGCAATTTTCCTTCACCCTTTTTATGACTTTCCAAATTTCCTATAAGGACATAATACTTTTTTTTTTTTTTTTTTTTTTGAGACAGGGTCTTACTTTGTCACCCAGGCTGGAGTGCACAAATGTGGCTCATTGCAGTCTTGGCCTCCTGAGCTCAAGCGGTCTTCTCGCCTCAGCCCCCCAAGTAGCTGGAACTACAGGCGCATGCCACCATGCCTGGCTAAATTTTTGGATTTGTTTTTGTGTTTTTGTTGTTGTTGTTGTTTGTAGGGACGGGGGTTTCCTCATGTTGCCCAGGCTGGTCTCAAACTCCTGACCTCAAGCCATCTGCCCGCCTCAGCCTCCAAAAGTGCTGGGATTACAAGCATGAGTCACCACACCTAACCCATAATACTTTTATATAAGGGGGAAAACAAGTGTTATATTAAAACCATAGCTGTTAGAACTAGTATAAAGCACTCCAGGGTGGGCCATAGGGCAAATTGTCCCACATATCTTGGTGCCCATGGAACTATGGCATACCAAAGAAAGGCTAAATTATATTTATTATCCATCTTAAAAGAAGGCAATAATTTTACAATCTATTTCAAGATTTTTTTCTATTAAAAGGGTTAAATTTTAAAGAAAAAAATTGTCATTAAAAGGAGTAACTTGAGTTCCACGGACAATTCCCTTATGTACAGCAATTCCTACCCCAGAAAGCTCATTTACTTGGGTAAATAAGACATTACTAAGTCCAGGCGCAGTGGCTCATGCCTGTAATCCCAGCACTTCGGGAGGCCGAGGCGGGTGGATCACCTGAGGTTGGGAGTTCGAGACCAGCCTGACCAACATGGAGAAATCTCATCTCTACTAAAAATACAAACTTAGCCAGGTGTGATGGCGCATGCCTGTAATCCCAGCTACTCGGGAGGCTGAAGCAGGAGAATCGCTTGAATCCGGGAGGCAGAGGTTGCAGTGAGGCAAGATTGCACCATTGCACTCTAGCCTGGGCAACAAGAACGAAACTCCATCTCAAAAAAAAAAAAAAAAAAAGACACATTGCTGGAGCACATAGGAGGAACATAGTGAAGGAACAACCCTCACAAGATGTCATTCATCCTTGGCCTTGAGAGTGGACATCAGCATGGGGGTGGGGCTGATGGGGACTGCAGCATACAGGGGACTCGAGGAAAGGCTAGAGCACCGTGGAGTAGTGCTGGGCAGGGTTGGAGATGTCTGCGTGCAACAGCTGCAGCCAAACCCAAGACAAGTAGATCTTCATTTCTTTTTTATTATTTAAAAAAATTTTAAAAATATGTATAGATTTGGGGGCATAAGTGCAGTTTCATTACATGAATATGTTGCGTAGTGGTGAAGTCTGGGCATCTAGTGTAGCCGTCACCCGAATAGTGCACATGCATCCATTAATTTCTCATCCCTCACCCGCCTCTCACATCCCACCCCTCCGAGTCTCCAGTGTCTGGTATTCCTCTGAGCTGTCTCCCCACAGCCCCAATACACGTACACTCTCACATTCTCAAACACATGAAGGGCACAGGCCTGGAGAAGAAAGGTAAGTCCAAGCCTGGCCCACAAGAGTCAAGTAAGTGTCTGAATAGTCTTACTGGTGATCTAAAAATAGTGATTGAGATAATGCTTATAAAGCTTGCTGGTTACTTTAAAATGTTAGCACCTTTAACACCTTAAGCAAAGCCTGGAAGCACATATAAAGGAAAGTATATTTATGGAAATACCTGATAAGGCAGAATAAGGCCTTTGTGCCATAATCTATCTTTATAAAAAGTAGAACTATTTTGTTAACAGAAATGTATTGTAAAAAAATTCTATATTTGCCATGTTTGGCCTTGGTCAGGCCCCTTGATTTAAATGGTATCCTTCCCTTAAGGCTGGGCATGGTGGCACATGCCTGCAATCCCAGCTCTTTGGGAGGCTGAGGTGGGAGAATCACTTCTGCAATCACCAACCACAGGCCAGAATTTCAAGGCTGCAGTGAGCTATGATTGCATCACTGCACTCCAGCCTGGGCAACAGAGTGAGACCTCATCTCTAAAAAAAAAATTAATTAATTAATTAGAAATAGATGGCCAGGCATGGTGGCTCACCCCTGTAATCCCAGCACTTTGGGAGGCCAAGGCAAGTGAATCATTTGAGCCCAGGAGTTTGAGACCAGCCTGGGCAACATGGCAAAATCCCTTCTATACAAAAAAATTAGCTGGGCTTGGTCCCAGCTACTCAGGAGGCTTTGAGCCCAGGAGGTCCAGGCTGCAGTGATCTGTGATCATGCCACTGCACTCTAGGCTGGGCAACAAAGTGAGACCCTGTCTCAAAAAAGAAAAAAATAGATGGTACACAATTTCTTTTTTTGAAGGAGATGAATATATATCACTTAATCATAACAGGTAGCATTATTAAGCTTCAATATGTGCTTTTCATGTATTTGCTCATTTTGAAACGTTTCAATTCAGTTACATGGGAGAAATAAGTTCAAGAGATCTACTGTGCAGCATGGTGACTATAGTTAATAAGAAGATATTGTATTCTTGAAAATTGCTAAGAGAGTGGATGTTAAGTGTTCTCACCATAAAAATGATAACTATGTGAGGTGATACATGTTTTAATTAGCTAGATTTGGTCATTCCACAATGCGTATATACTTTGAAACATCATGGTGTACATGACAAACACATATCATTTTATCTATCAATTTAAAAAGTTGTTTAAATGTTTTAATAAAACAACAAAAATATGATACAAAGACATTTCCTTGTGAAGTACACACAAATACAAATTATAGGCACATTTTGCCAAATGGTTAGAAAGTAAACATCTGTAGCCACACAAAAACCTGCTCATAGATGTTTATAGCAGCTTTATTCATAATTGCCAAAACTTGGAAACAACCAAGATGTCCTTCAGTAGGTAAATGGATAAATAAACTATGGTATATCCAGGGAACAGAATATTATTCAGCAATAAAGAGAAAGGAACTATCAAGCCACCAAAAAACAAGAAATCTTAAATGTATATTACTAAGTGAAAGAAGCCAATCTGAAAAGGCTACATATGGCCCGGGGCGGTGGCTCACACCTGTAATCCCAGCACTTTGGGAGGCCGAGGCGAGTGAATCACCTGAGGCCGGGAGCTCGAGACCAGCCTGACCAACATGGAGAAACCCTGTCTCTACTAAAAATACAAAATTAGCTGGGCATGGTGGCGCATGCCTGTAATCTCAACTACTCGGGAGGCTGAGGCAGGAGAATCCCTTGCACCGGGCAGGTGGAGGTTGCGGTGAGCTGAGATCACACCATTGCACTCTAGCCTGGGCAACAAGAGCGAAACTTCGTCTTAAAAAATAAAAAGGAAAAGGCTACGTACTATATGATTCCAACTATATGACATTCTGGAAAACTATGGGTTAGGAGAGAGGGAGGGATGAATAGATGGAGCACAGAGGATTTTTAGGGCAGTGAAACTACGCTGTAAGATACTACAATGGTGGATACATGTTGTTATACATTTTTCCAAACCCATTCAATGTACACCAAGGGTGAACTCTAATGTACACTGTGGACTTTGGGTGATAATGATGTGTCAATGGAGGTTCATCAGTTGGAACAAATGTACCACTCTGGTGGGGAAGGCTGATAGTGGGAGCTGTTAGAGTGGGGTGGGAGCTGTTAGAGTGGGGTGGGATCAGGGAGCATCTGGGAACTCTGTATTTCCACTTAATTTTGCTGTGAGGCCAGGCTTGGTGGCTCATGCCTGTGATCCCAGCACTTTGGGAGGCCGAGGTGGGAGGATCGCTTGACCTCAAGAGTTTGAGACCAGCCTGGGCTACATAGTGAGACCTCATCTCTATCATATATATATATTTAAAATTTTTGCTGTGAACCTAAGCATTCAGACTTTCACCATTAAGTATGATGTTATCTATAGGGTTTTTGCTTGTTTGTTTGTGCATGCCTTTTTCAGATTGTGCAAATTCCCTTATCTTCCTAGTTTGCTGAGAGTTTGTTTGTTTGTTTCCCCTTGCCCCACCCCCCGCTGCCCTGCGAGATGGACTTTCACTCTGTCACCCAGGTTGGAGTGCAGTGGCATGATCACAGTTCACTGCAACCTCCACCTCCCAGGTTCAAGCGATTCTCCTGCCCCAGCCTCCCGAGTAGCTGGGATTACAGGTACATGCCACCACGCCTGGCTAAATTTTTGTATTTTTAGTAGAGACGGGGTTTCACCATGTTGGCCAAGCTGGTCTCGAATTCCTGACCTCATGATTCGCCCTCCTCGGCCTCCCAAATTGCTGGGATTACAGGCGTGAGCCACTGTGCCTGGCCTACCGAGAGTTTTTTTTTTTTTTAATAAATTGATGTTGAATTTGTCAAATGCTTTTTCTCCATCAATTGATGTGGTCATGTGGTTTTTATTCTTTTTTAATATAGTGGAATCCGTTGATTGAATTTTTTGTTTGTTTTGTTTTGTTTTTGAGACAGAGTCTCACTCCGTCACCCAGGCTGGAGTGCAATGGTGCGATCTTGGCTCACTGCAACCTCCGCCCCCTGGGTTCAAGCGATTCTCCAGCCTCTGCCTCCTGAGTAGCTGAGATTACAGGCACCCGCCATCATACCTGGCTAGTTTTTGTATTTTTGTAGATGGGGTTTCATCATATTTGCCAAGCTGGTCTTGAACTCCTGACCTCAGGTGATCCACCCGCCTCGGCCTCCCAAAGTGCTGGGATTACATGCATCAGCCACCACACCCGGCCTTGCTGATTAATTTTGAGTATTGAACCAGTCTTGCATTCCAAGAATAAATGCCATGTGATCATTATATACTATTCGGCATGTTGTCTACAAAGAGGGACAGTACTGGAAGTCCTAGCCACTATACTAGGCACAAAAAAAGGACACAGGTTAGAAAGAAAAGAAGAGACTTTTCCCTGTATGAAGACAACATGATGTTTATCTACATAGAAAATCCCAAAGAATCCACAAAATGACATGAAACTAATAAGTGAGTTTAACAAGGTCACTGAATACAAGGCCAACATACAGAGATCAATTCTATTTTTTATACATTAGTAACAAATAATTACAAATAGAAGTTAAAACGATATCATTTATATTATCTCCAAAAATGAAATACTTAGGTATAAATCTAAGAAAACACATATAGAATATGTATGCTGGATAACTATTGAAAAACAGGGGTGGAAAGGATAGCAATGGAGATGGAGTGTGGGCAGAGGGCAGAACCATTTGCTTCACTCTAGGGAAGCACGCTTTACCCTGCATAACCCATGAATACTACTCTGACACTCTGACACTGCTTTTGCTTACCTATTCTTCATCTCTGTGCACATCCTCAGAATGTACACAGTCTTGACTGTTATCTATTTCTGCAATATTGCTGCATATCAAATTACACCAAAATTCAGTGGCTTATAACCATAAGCATGTATTTAGCTCACAAATATGTGGCTCAACAATTTAGACTGAACTCAAATCGGGGAATATCTCTGGTCTTCACTAGGATCACTCTATTGTCTCGGGGTTGGCTAGCTGTCAACTTATCTCAGATGGCGTTGGCTGCTACTGGGGTCACTTGACTGTTCCATATATTTTTCATATATTCACCACATATATTTCATCCTCTGGCAGGCTAGCCTGAGCATGTTCTCATGGTGAGGGCGGAAGAGGAAGAGCAGAAGTGTATACCTGTAAGTGCTTTTTAAAACCTCTGCATGGCGGGGCATGGTGGCTCACGCCTGTAATCCCTGCACTTTGGGAGGCTGAGGCGGGCTGATCACCTGAGGTCAGGAGTTCGAGACCAGCCTGGCCAACATGGCAAAACCCTACTAAAAATACAAAAATTAGCTGGGCATGGTGGCACGCACCTGTAATCCCAGCTACTGGGGAGGCTGAGGCAGGAGAACCGCTTGAACCCAGGAGGCGAAGGTTGTAGTGAACCGAGATCGCACCACAGCACTCCAGCCTGAGTGACACAGCAAGTCTCTGACTCAAAAAAAACCAAAAAACAAACAAACAAAAAACACCTCTGCATGCATCACATCTGCTAACATCCCATTGTCCAAAGAAAGTTACATGGCTAGCCTCAGAATCAAGGGGCACAGAAATATACTCTGTCTCTTCGATCAAAGGAGTTTCAAAGTTACGTGTCAAAGGTACAGATACAGGAGGAGGAGTGAATAATTGGGAACATTAATGCAACCAGTCTACTAAAATCATGGTGCGAGGCTCTAATCTTTGGCACCCTCCCTGGCCGCAATGCATTTTGTGACCTCAGTCTTCATTCTTGCACATCACTTTGATATCATCATTACTCTCCCAGCACATCCTTTCAGGATTAGCTCTAGGGCTGGTCTAAGACACAGATAGATGAATGGGCCACTGATTTGCATTCCAATCTCACAGCTCTAAGCTCTGAAAAGCATCTGGCCCAGGCTAGGCTGGTTTAGTTGAGCCGTGGGTGGGAAATAAGGGCTGTGCTCATGCCTAAGGGTCTGAACTGTTCTCTGTCGCCAAATTGCTGAGCTTTCAAAAGCTGGATGTGACCTTACCTCACTCAGACTTGTTATTTACAGCTGTGTTTCCACTAGTGAGGTCGTTTTGGGGATCTGGAGTCAAAAACCTTCCTCTGTCACTGGAAAATATTTACTGATTTCTAGCTGTGTATCTGACCATGCTAACTTCTTCTTTTTTTCTTTTTTCTTTTTCTTTTCTTCTTTCTTTTTGATGGAGTTTCGCTCTTGTCACCCAGGCTGGAGTACAGTGGTGTGATCTCAACTCACTTCAACCTCTACCTCCAGGGTTCAAGCAATTCTCCTGCCTCAGTCTCCCGAGTAGCTGGGATTACAGGTGCCCACCACCATGCCCAGCTAATTTTTTGTATTTTTAGTAGAGACAGGGTTTCGCCATGTTGGGCAGGCTGGTCTTGAACTCCTGACCTCAGGTGATCTGCCCACCTCAGCCTCCCAAAGTGCTGGAATTACAGGCGTGAGCCACCTTGCCCAGCCTGCTAACTTCTTTTTATATGCTTTAGATCAGTCATCATCTGTATGTTCTCTCTTTCCATCTGAACCAAATTCTTGACTTTCCTCAATCCTATGGCTATGTGATTCCTAAAGTGTCTAAAACAGGCTGGGCACAGTGGTTCACGCCTATAATCTCAACACTTTGGGAGGCCGAGGCAGGTGGATCACTTGAGGTCAGGAGTTTGAGACCAGCCTGGGCAACATTGTGAAACCCCATCTCTACTAAAAATACAAAAAATTAACCGGGTGTGGTGGTGGGCGCCTATACTCCCAGACACTCGAGATGCTGAGGGTAGAAGGATCACCTCAGCCAGGGAGGTCAAGGCTGCAGTGAGCCATGGTCATGCCACTGCACTCCAGCCTGGGCGTTAGGAGTAAGACCATGTCTCAAAAAAATAAAGTAAAATAAGTAAAGTGTCTAAAACACTATGATCATTTTTCTTCCATGTCAACTTATCCTAAATTACTGACCTGGTCTTCTGTAAGTACTTAATGTTGGTGAGCATTGTGCTCCAAACTGAGCGCCCAAAGTGTATACCAAAGCATATTACGGGTTGGATGATCAGACTGGACTCTAAGCTCAATCTATGCAATAAAAGCTGAATGGAGAGTAAAGCCATATCAAACCTTAAGCTAGCACAGAGAGACAACCTGACTAGGCAGAAAATGTATGAGCATTCAAGACACTGGGCCCAGTCAAGGGCAAAGTTGGTAGGAGATAACATGGAGGTAAAATTCAGGAGTCCAGATAATGTCACACATTTGGGTCCCTAAGAAGCAGACACTGAGACGAAGCTTAGTTCGCAAGATATTTATTAAAGAGCGTCCTTACAGACAACACCTGCAATGGAAAGGGAAGGATGGAGAACAGGTCAGACAGAAAAGTCAAGCTGCAAAATAGGCCCAACGGTCTCAACCAGCCTCATGAGAAACGATAGAAATAAAATGACCCTTCAGAGTTGTCTAAGGCTGGGCCAAAAAGACCAGGCCTTATATTCCCGCATCCATCAGTCACTGGATATGAGCCACCAGGAGGTGCGTCATCACCTTGAACGGGGCGACTCTGCAACTGAGGCAATCTCTGAAAGGGCCAAGAGCTGAAGGCTGCCTACCTATAGCTGTCCTAGCAACTGGGACGAGTTTCTCCTTGGTGGGAGACCTGAGAGGTGGATGACAGTGTTAACCACAGACAGCAATTTGGAGACCTTATGTTCCTTTAAAACGCTTAAGTTCCTGCTCCTATAGGTTTGCCTGAATCAATTTTTTTTTTTTGAGCCAGAGTCTCACTCTGTCGCCCAGGCTGGAGTGCAGTGGTGCAATCTCAGCTCACTGCAGCCTCCGCATCCTGGGTTCAAGTGATTCTCCTGCCTCAGCCTCCTGAGTAGCTGGGACTACAACTGCACACTGCCACATCCAGCTAATTTTTTGTATTTTTAGTAGAGACGGGGTTTCACCATGTTGCCCAGGCTGGTGTCAAACTCCTGAGCTCAGACGATCCACCCACCTCAGTCTCCCAAAGTACTGGGATTACAGGCATGGGCCACTGCACCCGGCCCTCCTGAATCAATCTTAAATGCAGGGCCCCAAGCTCAGTCTCTGACAGCAATTCTACAGTGTTTCTTTCAGTCACCTCTGAGATTGGAGTTCTTTTTTTTCCGTCATTTTTGTCCAGTCTGATTTATTATTTGGGAATCATGACATAACTTTGCAGCTATAAACACATAGAGCTTAACATGTTGTGGCAATTTAAAAACATGTCCACAGGCCGGGTGCGGTGGCTCACGCCTGTAATCCCAGCACTTTGGGAGCCCAGGCAGGCGGATCACTTGAGGCCAGGAGTTTGAGATCAGCCTGGCCAACATGGTGAAACCCCGTCTCTACTAAAAATACAAAAATTAGCTGGGTGTGGTGGTGGGCACCTGTAATCCCAGCTACTGGGTGGGGGGAGGGGCTGAGGCAGGAGAATCACTTGAAGCTGGGAGGCGGAGGTTGCAGTGAGCCAAGATCATGCCCTTGCACTCCAGCCTGGGTGACAGAGCAAGACTGTCTCAAATAAATAAATAAATATATGTCCACAAATTCTTTGATTCTTCTTCCATTGAGAAGTGTGGCTTATGCACCTTTTCTTTGAACTGGGACAGGATTGTGACTGGTTTGTAGCCGCTAGAAAGAGGAAGAAATGATGCCGCATGACTTCCAAAGCTAGGCCAGAAAAGGCGAGGCAGCTCCTGACTTCTTCCCTGGGACTTTGACTTTTGAGTCCCTAATTCACCATGTAAAAAGTTGGATTATCCTGAGGCCACCATGCTGTGGGACAGTCCAGGCCATATGGAAAGGTCACATAGAGGTGTTCTAGTCAGCACTCTCAGCTGAGGTCCCAGCCAACATTCAGACACGTAAATGGAGATACTTCCTTGTGGTTCCAGCCCCCAGCCGCTGAGTCACCCCAGTCATCAAGTCTTCCCAGCTGAGGCCCTAAACATCGTGGAGCAGAGACAATGGACTCCCACTGTGTGCTTTGTCTGAACTCCTGACCCACAAAATTAGTGGGCATAATAAGGTGGTTATTGTAAGCCTCGAAGTTTTGGGGTAATTTATTACCAAGCAATTAGGTAGCCAGAACACGCAGGATACAAAGCTTACTATGAGCAATGATAAATGCTCTGGACAGCCTGTGCACGCTTATAGAATATGTTCTGTGTGTCTTTTGGCTCTGCAGGGACCTGGAAATGACTCAAAGAAATTCTTCCTTTGGAAGAATTAAAAAGTAGAATTTCTAGATTTAAAGCCTAGTTTTTGGAGGTCTACTGTGTGCTTTGCTTCAAGAGGCAAGTTTGTGACAAATGAAGCCCAGCCATTCTAAAAAAATCCAAGCATGTAGATGCCTCAGAGGATGTAGGAAATTAGTCATTAACCACACAAGTTTAGTTCCTGATCCAAAATACTGTGTGCATGTTTTGCAATTTAATCTGGTTGGCACTGGATTTTTGTTTCATTTTGCATTGACTAAACATAAGATACAGGTTGGCCCAGTTGCGTTAGTCATAAAATATATCAAGCCATCTTAGTTAAATAGCTTTTAAAGCTAAGAATTTTCTCTCTGGATAAAATAATCTCATTTAGATAATGTTTCCAGATACCTCCAAGTGAGCGTGAATATCAGTGTTTGAGCAATCCAAATGAAGGAAGTCCTTTTATTTTCATAGCAGCTAAGATAATTTATATCATTAACAAACAGAAGAAGTGAGGAATTCCACTTTCGGTTTTAATTAGAATGTAAAGACTCATTAAATGGAAGGAACTGAAAACCACCATCTTCAACAGGTCATAATGTACCCAATGTAACAAGTAAAATGCCTCGGGAAATTGCAGAGCGAAATTTTCCTGGTGCTCAATATGGTTTAAATTCTAGGGGTTGGATTAAGGAAAATATCTACCTTATTACCTATAATGTCTCCCTACTTATTCTAATCAGATACTTTAGAGAAATTGTTGGAGATCACTTGCCAGAAACATACCTCAAGGTTTCCATCTCACCTCTGAAAAGTGACTTAGAAGAAAAGTGACTTTTGACTCCAGTCAAACTGTTTTCTTCTAAACCCTTGACGTCAACAATTTTTACTTAACATGAAACCTATATATTGCAAACAATTTCTCTTCCTACTTAATGATATTGGGGGATGATATTGGGGGATCTTCCCGATAATACTATGGTAGGACAAGTTGAAAGAAGAAAAACCTCAAAAAGGTATTCTTTGTCACTTCAGTCAGTAGGCAGCATTTGATCCTGAGGTTACAGGGCTGAGAAAATGAAATGGAGAAAATATGTATTGAAGGCTTAGAGGTGGCAGGAACTATTATTATCACATAGAGAACTAAAGCCGAGAGATAGTAACCTGCGCAAGATCATGTAATCAGGAAGGGGTAGGGCCAAACTTTGAACACTGGGGCACCTTTGACTAGGAAGCAGTACTGCTTCTTGGAACAGAGCTTATGAAAAACGGGGCCTAGAAACAGTAGGAAACATTTGAATACACAAGAGTATGGTTACCCCCTATCACATCCAAGGAAAAACAGAGGAATCAGGTAGATCATGAGCTGGTTGTTTTGCATCTTTCTATTCCATTTCTTCTGTATTCACTCATCAATTCTAGCATTTGTCTCTCTATGCCTTGTTAGCCCACTCATCCTCCACTTTCCTAATCACCCTTCCTATAGCCTATGCACTTTGAACACAGAGACCCACCCCACTCCATCCTAGTTGCTAGGAGAACTTAACAAGGTAAGGTATTTCACAATAGAACTGTGTAAATTGTAAAGTGCCATTTAAATGTGAGGTATTATTATTATTTATACTAATTTGATGTTGCGTCCTGTTCTACCACATTGCCTGGAATGGAATCTAATTCTTCTTCTTTTTTTTTTTTTTTTTGAGACAGAGTCTCGATCTGTCACCCAGGCTGGAGTGCAGTGGTGCAATCTCGGCTCACTGCAGCCTCCGCCTCCCTGGTTCAAGTGATTCTCCTGCCTCAGCCTCCTGAGTAGCTGGGATTACAAGCACGCGCCACCACGCCTGGCTAATTTTTGTACTTTTAGTAGAGACGGGGTTTCACCATGTTGGTCAGGCTGGGCTGGAGAGTTTTTTGTTTTTTTTTTTGTGGTAAAACACACTTAACATAAAATGTACTTTTTTTTTTTTTTGAGACAAGGTCTCACCCTGTCACCCAGGTGCAGCAGTGCAGTGACACGATCATGACTCACAGTAGTCTTGATCTCCTGGGCTCAAGGTATCCTCCTGCCTCAGCCTCCTGAGTAGCTGGGACCACAGGCACGCACTACCATGCCTGGCTAATTAAAAAAAAATATGATTATTATCTCTATTTGAGACTGAGTCTTGCTCTGTCACCCAGGCTGGAGTACAGTGGTGCAATCTCGGCTCATTGCAACCCTCTGCTTCCCGGATTCAAGCGATTCTCCTGCCTCAGCCTCCCAAGTAGCTGGGACTACAGGTGCCCGCCACCACGCCCAGCTAATTTTTGTATTTTTAGTAGAAACAGGGTTTCACTATGTTGGCCTGTCTGGTCTCGAACTCCTGACCTTGTGATCCACCTACCTCGGCCTCCCAAAGTGCTGCAATTACAGGTGTGAGACACCTCGCCTCACTATGTTGTCCAGGGTGGTCTTGACTTCCTGGGCTCAAGTGACCCTTCTGCCTCAGCCTCCCAAAGTGTTGTGATTAAAGGCCTGAGCCACCACCCCTACCAACATGTACTATCCTAATCATTTCTTTATAAGGATATAGTTCAGTATCGATAAATATATTCACATTGTTGTGCATCCAATCTCCAGAACATTTTCATCCTGCAAAACGAAAATTGTAAGGCCAGGTGCGGTGGCACATGCCTGTAATTCCAGCACTTTGGGAGGCTGAGGCAGGTGGATCACTTGAGGTCAGGAGTTCAAGACCAGCCTGGCCAATGTGGCAAAACCCTGTCTCTACTAAAAATACAAAAATTAGCTGGGTGTGGTGGCGGGCGCCTGCAATCCCAGCTACTCGGGAGGCTGAGATAGGAGAATCACTTGAACCCAGGAGGTGGAGGTTGCAGTGAGCCGAGATCACGCCACTGTACTCCAGCCTGGGCAACAAGAGCAAGACTCCATCTCAAAAAAAAAACGAAAACAAAAAACAACTAAAACTGTATATCCATTATCCATTAAACACCAACTCTCCATTTTCCCTTCCCCTCAGCTCTTGGTAACCACCTTCTACTTTCTGTCTCTATGAATTTGACTACTCTAGGTACATCATATAAGTGGGATCATACACTATTTATCTTTTTTTGTGACTGGCTTATTTCACTTGTCACAATGTCCTGAAGGTTCATCCATGTTGCAACATGTGTCGAATTGCCTTCCTTTTTCTCTTTCTTTCTTTCTTTCTTTTCTTTTCTTTTCTTTTTTTTTTTTTTTTTTTGAGACAGAGTTTTGTTCTTGTCACCCAGGCCGGAGTGCAATGGCGCAATCTCGGGTCACTGTAACCTCTACCTCCTGGGTTCAAGCGATTCTCCCACCTCAGTCTCCCTAGTAGTTGGGATTACAGGCACCCGGCACCATGCTCGGCTAATTTTTGTATTTTTAGTAGAGACGAGGTTTTGCCATGTTGGCCAAGCTGGTCTTGAACTCCTGACCTCAGGTGATCCGCCCGCCTTGGCCTCCCAAAGTGCTGGGATTACAGGCATGAGCTACTGCGCCCGGCCCCTTCCTTTTTAAGGCTGAATAGTATTCCATTCTATGTATATACCACATTTTGCTTATCCATTTATTCATCCATGGACATTTCAGTTGCTTCCACTTATCCTCAGAGCTTTTTAAAATTAGTGCCACTCCCAGTTCACACAAAAATAAATGATCCCCACCCTTTCTACCCTGCTTCCTACTCTGCACTGCCATTTGTTTGTCAGAGGCTGACCCTCCTCCCTTCTTTCTCCTATGCCTTCCTCCTTGCCTTGAGGATGGTTTCACTCCTATGCCACCCCTCCTTTCTTTTGCATCCATCCCTGTTCCCTGCCAACCAACCCCAACTCTGGGTCTTTTATTTTATTTTATTTTAAAGACAGAGTATCGCTCTGTCACCCAGGCTGGAGTGCAGTGGTGCGATCTCGGCTCACTGCAACCTCTGCCTCCTGGGTTCAAGTGATTCTCCTGCCTCAGCCTCCCGAGTAGCTGGGATTACAGGCGCCCGTCACCACGCCTGGCTAATTTTTGTGTTTTTAGTAGAGACGAGGTTTCACCAGTTTGCTCAGGCTGGTCTCGAACTCCTGGGCTCAAGCTATCCACCTGCCTCGGCTTCCCAAAGTGCAGGGATACAGGCATGAGCTGCCGCGCCCGGCCTGGGTCCTTCATTTTAGACACCAGATGCTAATCCTGGGCTTCTGGAAGACCCTTTCACGTTTCTTTTTCTGCTGGGAAACACATCATACCCTCTTCCAACCACTCACAGATGCTGTCTCCTAAGCCCAAAGGCCCATGTTGCAGTTTAGCTAGGGCCTTTCCAAGTTAGTAAATTCTTCTGGCACGGCCCCCTGCTGCCACCTGCTGGCTGTATCCATCGATGCCGCTATGGGTATTGTTTCCTATTCATGAGACCTGTATGAAGGGAGTTAGTCTTTCCCATCCTATCATCCATCATGGGATAAGAATTTCATCTACCTAAATTTTTTTTCTTTACAGTATTTTCACCTTGTTCTATTTTTTAAAGAAAAGTCCTTTAGCAAATCTGTGTGCAGGTCACAGATGGTCTCACCAGACTTGCCCAAACCTAAAGAAACATCTCTGTATTTGGGCACTGCAATTTGCAAAAGGACAAAAGAGTCAAATGTATATCAGTTCTCATTAGCTCCCTGACAGCAATTATATTACATTCAAATAAGTTGAATTGTGGATAATACATAAAATGCTAAATACCAAGTTTTCTTTGAAACTGGTAAAATATTTCGAAAATCTTTTGAAAACACTTCAAAACCAGACAAGATTTTTGTGTGTGTGTGTGAGACAGGGTCTCACTCTGTCACCCAGGCTGGAGTGCACTGGTGCGATCTCAGTTCACTGCAACCTCCACCTCCCGGGCTCAAGCGATTCTCCCACCTCAGCCTCCTGAGTAGCTGGGACTACAGGCACACGCTACCATGCTCGGCTAAGTTTTTGTATTTTTTGGTAGAGAGGGGGTTTCACCATGTTGGCTAGGCTGGTCTTGAACTCCTGACCTCAAGTGATCCACCTGCCTTGGCCTCCCAAAGTGTTGGGATTACAAGCGTGAGCCACTGTGCCCGGCCCCAGACAAGATTGTTTATTGTTGTTATTTTAAACTTTAATACAGACATAAAAACAAAATCTGTGGAAATACAACAAGAATTACTTTACAGATTCTTTGGCCCTTTTGAAATAAGGAGAGCTAAGAATGAAGAGTCAATTTTGTGTTTATAGATGAAACTAATTTGTGAATGGGCAAAACTGAAAACGCATAAGAGTCCAAGCCTGGGCATTGGAGGGTAAGGCATTAAAATTAAGAATTTCTGACTACATCTTTATTTATTATTGTTTCTTTCACCTTCCCTCCACCCCAGGTTCCTGCTTTGTCTTCTCACTTCACATTGAACTTGTTTCCAGCACATGTACATAAGAGACATCCATCCTGTCATGACCTCTCGTTATAACAGGGGAGGTCAGTGGCACTGGAAATATATATTTTTTAATTTATTTTATCTTTTAAAAAAAATTTTGGCCAAGCTCGGTGGCTCACACCTGTAATCCCGGCACTTTGGGTGGCCAAGGTGGGCAGATCACCTGAAGTAAGGAGTTCAAGACCAGCCTGGCCAACATGGCAAAACCCTGTCTCTACTAAAAATACAAAAATTAGCCAGGCGTGGTGGTGTGTGCCTGTAATCCCAGCTACTTGGGAGGCTGAGGCAAGAGAATCACTTGAACTCGGGAGGCGGAGGCCGCAGTGAGCCGAGATTGCACCACTGCACTGCAGCCTGGATAAGAGAATGAGCCTCTGTCTCAAAAAAAAAAAAAAAAAGTACAGAGATAGGGAGTCTTGCTTTGTTGCCCAGGTTGGTCTTGAACTCCTGGCCTCAAGAGATTCTCTTGCCTTGGCCTTCCAAAGTGCTGAGATTACAGGTGTGAGCCACCACATCTGGCCTGAAAATATTTTTTACAGGGCGCTGTATTATTATTATTATTATTATTATCATTATTATCATTATTTGACACGGAGTCTTGCTCTGTTGCCCAGGCTGGAGTGCAGTGGGGTGATCTCAGCTCATTGCAACCTCTGCCTCCTGGGTTCAAGCAATTATCCTGTCTCAGCCTCCTGAGTAGCTGGGACTACAGGCGCACGCTGCCACACCCAGCTAATTTTTTTGTATTTTAGTAGAGATGGGGTTTCACCATGTTATCCAGGCTGGTCTCGAACTCCTGAGCTCAGGCAATCCACCGGCCTCAGCCTCCCAAAGTGCTGGGATTACAGGTGTGAGCCACTGTGCTGGGCCATGGCAGTGTATTATTTTTAAGGGCAGTGTAAGAGTTGGGAAAAGAGGCTGGGTGCAGTGGCTCATGCCTGTAATCCCAGCTCTTTGGGAGGCCAAGGAGGAAGGATCCCTTGAGGCCAAGAGTTTGAGACCAGCCTGGGCAACATAGCGAGACCCCCGTCTCTACCAAAAATAACAAAGTTAGCTGGGTGTGGTGGTGTGTGCCTGTAGTCCAAGCTCTTTGGGAGGCCAAGGTGAGAGGAGACCCTGAGTCCAGGAGTTTGAGGCAGCAGTGAGCTGTGTTCATGCCACTGCACTCCAGCCTGGGTGACAGAGTGAGACTCTGTCTCAAAAAAAAAAAAAAAGAAAAAAAAATTACATAAAACTTCTATTGCCTGAAGCCTTAGAGCTTTACAGAGACTCTGAATCACATCAAAATTATGAGCGAGGAGTCAACTTACAGACATTGCCTTGAAAGGTGGGAAAGGGAGAAGGTCTTTAATAAATGCTACCTTGAAAATGTCATCATAAGCCAGCATGATGTCTCATGCCTGTAATCCCAGCACTTTGGGAGGCCAAAGCATGCAGATTATTTGAGGTCAGGAGTTTGAGACCAGCCTGGCCAACATGGTGAAACTCCATCTTTATTAAAAATACAACAACAAAAAAATTGGCTGGTGTGGTGGTGCACACCTGTAATCCCAGCTACTCAGGAGGCTGGGCCTCGAGAATTGCTTGAACCCAGGAGGCAGAGGCTGCAGTGAGCCAAGATCGCACCACTGCACTCTATTCTGGGTAACAGAGTGAGACTCTGTCTCAAAAAGAAATAAATAAGGCCAGGCACAGTGGCTCATGCCTGTAATCCCAGCAATTTGGGAGGCTGAGGCAGGTGGATCGCCGGAGGTTGGGAGTTCGAGACCAGCCTGACCAACATGGAGAAACCCCATCTCTACTAAAAATACAGAAAATTAGCCAGGTGTAGTGGCACATGCCTGTAGTCACACCTATTCGGGAAGCTGAGGCAGGAGAATCACTTGAACCCCAGAGTTGGAGGTTGTGGTGAGCCAAGATCATGCCATTGCACTCCCACCTGGGCAACAAGAGCAAAACTCCGTCTCAAAATAAATAAAATAAAATAAAATAAAATAAAATAAAATAAAATAAAATAAATGTCATCATAGATTTGGTTCTTTCAGGTGGAGGGGCCAGGTAGATCAGCCCATGCTTCGTCAGGTGAACTTCTTGTTCTTGCCATAGGAATCTAGCGATGGGTATGTTAACACATGTCAATCCTACCAGGGGGAAAACAGATGCTAATAGGCTGAGTCGTGTAAAACATCTCAAGAAATTCTGTCAAATCCTAATAAAATAAGAGCAATTGTTAATCAAATTCAGTATTACAAAACATTTTAATCTTTGGTCAATTATTTAATAGTGATTTTGAGCACTTACTAACTACTCTGATTTAGCATACATTGTTTCTTTTAATCCTCACAACAATTCTATGAAAGCACCATACTATCATCAGCAGCACCATCCTTATTTTATTTTACTTTTGAGACAGGGTCTCACTCTGTTGCCCAGGCTGGAGTGCAATCAGAGCTCACTGCAGCCTCGACTTCCCAGGCTCAAGTGATCCTCGCATCTCAGTCTCCCAAGTACCTGGGACCACAGGCACACGCCACCATGTCCAGCTAATTTTTAAATTCTTTTGTAGAGATGGGGTCTTGCTATGTTGCCCAGACTGGTCTTGCATTCCTGAGCTCAAGCATCCTCTGTCTCTGCCTCCCAAAGTGCCAGGCATGAGCCATCATGCCCAGCCTAAATTATTTTAAATATTTAGTAGCTCTTTTGCATTTCCATGACTGGGAATTGCTTGTTCATGTCCTTTGCACTGCTCCCAGCCATTATCCCCATTTTACATAGGAGGAAAGTGAAGTTCAGGAATCTTAACTTGGCTGTGGTCACAAGTTCCTGGGATTCAAGCCACTGTAATCTGACCTCACAGCTCATGCTCAAACACTGTACTGTTTTGCCTTCTGTGGCCCCCATGTTTACTTACAAAACTTTATAGTACCTATACCTTTATAGGTATAGTATAGTATAGGTATAGTACCTATACCTTTATAGGTACTTTAAAAGTTCACTATAATAAAATTTCTGGCTGGGCACGGTCGCTCACGCCTGTAATCTCAGCACTTTTGGAGGCCAAGGCGGGTGGATCACCCGAGGTCAGGAGCTCGAGACCAGCCTGACTGACATGGAGAAACCCCATCTCTACTAAAAATACAAAAATTAGCCAGGAGTGGTGGCAGACGCCTGTAATCCCAGCTACTCGGGAGGCTGAGGCAGGATAATTGCTTGAACCCAGGAGGCGGAGGTTGCAGTGAGCTGAGATTGCACCATTGCACTCCAGCCTGGGCAACAAGAGAGAAAATCCATCTCAATAAATAAATAAATAAAATTTCTACATGTGCACTTCACTTTGGAATAAGTGTATATGTGGTGACATTGTTGGTTACCTACCCAGCATCCATCCTTTATCCTGCTTGTTGAAGAAACCCCAATTTTATTTAAGTATCTCTCCCTCCATTTGTTCAGCCTTTATAATTTAGTGAAGGTGATACCAGCTCACCTTGAGGGGCAGGTCCTGAGAAGTCTAGGCTAGTCATGGTAATCCTATTGCCCCTACCTGAGAAGCCAAATCCCAGGCTTACAACAATTAATCCAGCATTTCTCTCTGGGAACTGTTATGACTCCAGAGGTAATGACCAATGACCCAAACTGGCCTAAGAGGTGTCAAGTAGAGAACATTTATTCCTTGGTTTGATTGTAAATTTTCTCTCTTTCTCTCTCCCCCTTTCCCTCCCTCACTCACTCCCTCACTTCCACTCTCTCTTTCCCTGCCCCCCTTTCTTAACTCGTCACCTCTTTGTCTCTATGTCTATCTCTGTCTTTCTCACTCTCTTTGTCTCTCTCTCTCTTTCACACACACACACACACACACACACACACGCATACACACAGCTGTCAACGTGAAATTGCACCTTACACCAACCATCCCAAGAAAGAGCTGAAAAACCAAACCTGTTCCATTCATTCTAACTGCAAGTTTTGCAATGGTTACAGATAAAGAAACTGCATCTGGGACAAGACCAAAGTCATTTACTCCTCTCTTCTCCCTACTGATGACAACTCCAATTCTGCTTTGGCTCAGGAAGTTACCTACTTTTGAGGTGCTCCCAGATGCCCATTGGCTATATAAAGCCTTTAATCTCTATTTGAATCATTTTCATTTATTTCTTTGTTGCTATCCACTTGTCCCAACATACTATATTAAATATTCCATTCAGTAGCATTCCAAAGAAGGTGGGGGTGGGGGTAGGAGCAGTCCATTCAGCAGCTGGAGTAGGAGGAGAATTTTATCATTGACATTCTTCAGAATCACTGATGCCTGATGATGATAAAAATAAGACTGATTTATCCATCCTTATTATTGTTTGCAAATTCTTCATAATGGTGAACCCCTATGCTTCTATACTTAGGGTGAGCCATCGCACTGTCCCTCTTCCTAGCTTGGTACTCCACTGAGTCCATTTTTTTCCTACTGATTCAATTATTATGTATCAATTTCCATTCCTGGGTTTCCTCTTCTATTCCCTCGGTCTATCTCTTTATATTGAAGTTCACTCTCTTTTTTTTTTGAGACAGGGTTTCACCTTGTCTCCTAAGCTGGAGTGCAGTAGCACAATCATGGCTCACTTAATCCTCCAGTCTCAGCCTCCCAAAGTTCTGGGATTACAGGCATGAGTCACTGTGCCTGGCCCTAGTTACACTCTTAAGGCTTTATAATATGTCTTAATATCTGATCATTCTGGTTCCTCTATCATTGCTCTTCTGTTTTTTCAGATTTCTCTGGCTACCTTTTCCATATGCATTTCAAGATCAGTTTGTTTAGTTGTGGCTTCTGGTTTTGACTATAATTTTAATCGAATTTGAATTAGAACATTTGAAGTTTATAGTCCATTTGACATTACATAATATATAAAGTCATCTACCAAGGTTAGGGAAATTTCTCATTCTATTTATTATAATTTAAATTTTTAAAATTTTAGCCGTTCTTTGTTTTGTTGTTGTTGTTGTCTTGTTTTGTTTTTTTGAGATGGAGTCTTGCTCTGTCGCCCAGGCTGGAGTGCAGTATTCGATCTCAGCTCACTGCAACCTCCCCCTCCTGGCTTCAAGCAATTCTCCTGCCTCAGCCTCCTGAGTAGCTGGGATTACAGGTGCCTGCCACCACACCCAGCTAATTTTTTGTATTTTTAATAGAAACGGGGTTTCACCATGTTGGCCAGGCTGGTCTCTAACTCCTGACCTCGTGATTCACCTACCTGGGTCTCCCAAAGTGCTGGGATTACAGGCATGAGCCACCGTGCCCAGCCTTTAGTTGTTCTTTGAATAGGTGATTGTTGTGATTTGAATGTTTGTGTCCCCTGGGAAATTCATGTTAAAACTTTATCCCCAATGCAATAGTGTTAAGAAGTATGACCTTTGAGAGGTGATTGTGTCATGAGGGCTCCACCCTTATGAATGGGATCAGCACCCTGATAAAAGCGCTTAAGTTTGAAGGGAAAGGGCTCTTTCTTGCCCTTCCACGTTCCACCATGTGAGGGCACAGCAACAGGTGTTGTCTTGGAAGCAGAGAGCAGCCCTCACCAGATATCAGTGCCAGAACCCTGATCTTGGACTTCCCAGCCTCCAGAAGTGTAAGAAATAAATTTCTGTTCTTTATAAATTACCTAGTCTTAGGTTATTTTGTTATAGCAGAACAAACAGACTAAGACAGTGATAAACTCGTGCGGTGCAAAATTCAAAAGGAACAAAACATTTTATTTATTTATTTATTTATTGAGACAGAGTTTTGCTCTCGTTGCCCAGGCTGGAGTGCAGTGGCATGATCTGAGCTCACTGCAACCTCCGCCTCCTAGGTTCAAGCGATTCTTGTGCCTCAGCCTCTTGAGTAGCTGGGATTACAGGCGCCTGCCACCATGCCCTGCTAATTTTTATATTTTTAGTAGAGACGGAGTTTCGCCATGTTGGCCAGGCTGGTCTCGAACTCCTGAGCTCAGGTGATCCGACCGCCTCAGCCTCCCAAAGTGCTGGGATTACAGGTGTGAACCACCGCACCCGGCCAGAACAAAACATTTTATAGTGAAAAGTCATTTCCCCATCCCATCTCCCAGACACCCAGTTTTCTTCCCATGAGGCAACCTATGTTGCCAGCTTTTATCAGAGATGGTCTATGTGTAGACAAGCAGATATATGGGTATATTTTTTTCCCTTTGTATATAAGTGGCACCACACTTTACACACTGTTCTGTGCCATGCATTTTCCACTGAACAATATTTTTGGGAAATTATTTCAGGTTAATACATGAAAAGCTTCCCCTCCCCCAGCTGCATAATACTTTATTGAATAGATGTACCACAAAGTACCACTATTGCTGTTCATTTAGGTGAGGAAAGATCTCTTGCTATTATGTACTGTATGATTCCATTTGCATGAAATTCTAAATATTGCAAGATGATCTATAGTGACAGAAAGCAGATCAGTGGTTGTTCTGGGGATTGGATATGGGAATAAGGGGATGTGACATCTGTCAAAATTTGCTGAATTGGGCCAGGCGTGGTGGCTCACGCCTGTAATCCCAGCACTTTGGTAGGCCAAGCGCAGGGGGCTGGGAGGGTGGATCTCTTGAAGTCAGGAGTTTGAGACCAGCCTGGTCAACATGGTGAAACCCCATCTCTACCAAAAATATAAAAAATTAGCTGGGTGTGGTGGTGCACACCTGTAATCCCAGCTACTCAGGAGACTGAGGCAGGAGAATCGCTTGAATCCAGGAGGTGGAGGTTGCAGTGAGCAGAGATCACGCCACTGCACTCCAGCCTGTGTGACAGAGCGAGACTCCATCTCAAAAAATAATTACTGAATTGTACACTTTAGGTGAGTGCAGTTTATTGTACCTAAATCACACTTCAATAAAACTACTTTTCGCAAATCTAATGCCATTACCACAATGCTATAATAAATAACCTTTATATACATGTCCATTTTTTTCATCTCCACCTGTTTTCTCAAGTATTTGTCATGATTTTACAGTAACCGATTTTGTTTATTTTCAGAAAGGATAATCTTGGTACAAAAATATATTCATTTGTTTATTTAGTTGTTCAATTTTTTTTTGTCTGTTTCCCCCACCTCACTCCCTGCCCCCAGGAGAAAACAGGAACCTTGTCTATATCATTCACTACTTTTTATCCCCAGAGCACAGAATAGTGCCTAGCACAGAGTAGGTGTCCAACAAATATCTGTTGAAAGAAAGAGCATTAAAAATGTATATTTTCAGGCTTCACTTCTAGGGGTTCAGATTCAGTAGGTCTGTGGCAGGGCCTGGGAATCTGTATTTTTAATAAGTGCCTCAGATAATTCTGGTTGTCAATCAGGTTGGGATTCAGGCCTACCCCCTTGCTGCCCCAGGTAACTGCAGCAGTCTTCTTACTCCTTCCTGCGTGCTGTGCCCCTTCTTAAAACATTGTGATGTAGTAGATTGCTTCCAAAGATTGCCACAACACTCCTTCCCATCCTGAATGCCTTTTTCACCATGACTTTGCCACTCTTACTATCAAGAGGTGGAGCCTCTTTCTTCCCCTTGAATCATGTCTGATCTTGTAGCCTGCTTTGACCAATAGAATGTGATGGAAATGGGTGCTATGCCAGTTCAGCTCAAGGCCTAAGCCTTAAGAGACCTTGCAGCTTCCGTTTCTGCTCTTTTGGAAGCTATGTGAAAGAGAAGCAAGCCACCCAGCCAAAATCCTCCACCAAGGTCCTAGACATGTGAATGAGGTAATCTAGGATCCTTCACTGCTTGTGGAGCCACCCCAGTTGACAACACATGGAGAGGGATCAAGCTGCCCCTACTAAGCCATCCTCAGATTCCCAACTGACAGAATTGTGAGCAATTAAATGGTACTTGTTTTAAGCCCCTACATTTTGGAACTGACAGTTACAAGGTTATAATAACTAAAACAAATGCTATTGCATTGCTTTCAGGATACATCCTTAGAGGGTTTGAAAGACCTGTGATGATGTGACCCCTGGTCATCTCTCTAAACTCACCTCCTGCTAAAGCTACCCAGTCTAGGAAAACTTACCTGAGTCCCTAGGCTTCAGATGCTGTTATAGTTGACTTCTGACTTTGGAATAAGACATCCCTGGCGTTGTCCAAATTGCGTGGCCTTGATTAAGTTACCAAAGCACTCTTGGTTTTATTATTCTCATCTTTGACATAGGAATGATAATAGCACTTAACTCATAAGGGTGTTGCGTGAATTCACTAAGATAATGCATGACAAATATTTAGGATAGCACCTAGCACATGGGTGGAACACAATAAAGGTTAGCAATAATAATAATTACTACATTATCTTGTAATTGTCTGTTTTTGTTTTGTTTGGTTTTCCCCTCTAGATTGCAAGCACTGTGTGGACAGCAGGGACCATACCTTGTCCATTCTTATATTCTCAGGGTCTAGCATAGTAGGTGTACTCAATAAATAACTGTTAAATACATGAATGAACGAATGAATCAGCAAGAGAGTAAACAAACAAACTTATTAGTGATGCGATATTGATGAACTGAACTGCTACACGTATGTACACTGGTATTATCTCTTATTCTTTAAGAACAGAGCTTCAGGTATTCATTAGGTTCTCTCATTACAACAATGTGGTGAAGTTGTCTCAGAGTCCTGATTAGATAGGATCACAGGGCATGTTGAACCAGATTCTTTCTTATATTTTATTTTATTTGAGATGGAGTCTCGCTCTGTCTCCCAGGCTGGAGTGCAGTGGTGCGATCTCGGCTCACTGCAACGTCCGCCTCCCAGGTTCAAGTGATTCTCCTGCCTCAGCCTCCCCAGTATCTGGGATTACAGGCACCCACCACCACACCTGGCTAATTTTTGTATTTTTAGTAGAGATGGGTTTTCACCATGTTAGCCAGGCTGGTCTCGAACTCCCGACCTCAGGTAATCCACCCACCTCGGCCACTCAAAGTGCTGGGATTACAGGCGTGAGCCACTGTGCCCGGCCTTTTAAAAATTTTTTAATTTTTTAAATTATTTCTTTGAGACAATCTCACTCTGTCACTCAGGCTGGAGTGCAGTGGTGTGATCTCAGCTCACTGCAATCTCCGCCTCCCAGGTTCAAGCGATTCTCCTGCCTCAGCCTCCCGAGTAGCTGGGACTACAGGTGTGTGCCACCACACCTGGCTAATTTTTGTATTTTTAGTAGAGATGGGGTTCCACAACAGTGGCCAGGCTGGTCTTGAACTCCTGACTTCAAGTGATCTGCCCACCTCAGCCTCCCAAAGTGCTGGGATTACAGACGTGAGCCAACGCACCTGGCCTCTGACTCTTTGATTATGTTTTTTTGGTCTTGACTTTTTTCTTCCAACACAGATGCTATAGTTGGAATCTCAGTTAAGTCTTCTTCTGAAAGTGCTACGTAGATCTCTTAATTTTGTCAAGCATAAGGCCTCGCCTTTAACTTACATTGTTTATCTGTTTATAACAAATCGTATTATTGGGATTACAGGAAAAGCATTTTGGTGGAGTTTTCTGTTTGTTTTTTGCAGAGAGAAAGCAGTTTTCTATTTACTATTTCTACTTTAAGCTTCTGCAAGACTGTTTTTGTTTTTGACAACAAGCATGAACTGCTGGTAGTCAAGGAGATAGGATCATTACTGCAGTCTGAGAGTTGAAAACATCCAGATGTGTCACATTATTAATTAATCTGCTGCATTATTTTTCCATCTTATCTTCAAACACTGTCTCTTGCTACCCTGGTTATTAACAAGTAGTATAATTTATCCCTCAGAGGCCCTCAGAGTGACATAATTGTATTTTTAAAAACAGATGTACAAAACAAGGCAGGAAAGTATCACGTATTTTATAACACCAGAGCCTACTTACAAAGTTAAATAATTTAATGGTGATTTACAACTTAACATGTAGCTTATGTAACATGAAAAAAAATCTATGAGATAGAAATTAATGTGTTTTGTTGTTTTTTCAGGTTGTTTGTTTGTTTGTTTTGAGACAGGGTCTCATTCTGTCACCCAGGCTGGAGTGCAGTGGTGCAAACATGGCTCACTGTAGCCTTGATGTCCTTGGCTCAGGTGTTCCTCCCATCTCAGCCTCCCAAGTAGCTGGGACAACAGGCATGTGTCACCACGCCTGGCTAATTTGTGTATTTTTTTGGAAGAGATGGGCTTCGCCATAATGCCCAGGCTGGTCTCAACGTCCTGGTCTCAAAAGATCCTCCTACCTCAGCTTCCCGAAGTTCTGGGACTACAGGCGTGAGCCACCATGACTGACCTTCTATTTGGTTTTGAGGGTGTTTGTTTGTTTGTTTTGTGAGACAGAATCTCGCTCTGTCAGCCGGTCTGGAGTGCAGTGGCACAATCTCGGCTCACTGCAACTTCCACCTCCCGGGTTCAAGTGATTCTCCTGTCTCAGCCTCCCTAGTAGCTGGGATTACAGGCATGCACCGCCATGCCCAGCTACTTTTTGTAGTTTTAGTAGAGGCAAAGTTTCACCATGTTGGCCAGGCTGGTCCCAAACTCCTGACTTCAAGTGATCCACCCACCTCTGCCTCCCAAAGTGCTGGGATTACAGACGTGAGCCACCACCTCCAGCCTGTTTTGTTGTTGTTGTTGTTGTTGTTGTTGTTGTTGTTGTTGTTTTTCAAAATGAACCTTAACTTTTCCACACTATATTCATTGTTCCCATCTCCTCTCCTTTCAGTCTCTCTTGAACACCCTCCAGTCAGGCTTTCGTTCCTGTATCTCCACAAAAACTGCTCTTGTCCTAAGTCCCTAACAACCTCCACGTAACCAAATCCTGTGGTCATTTCAGTCTACGTGAAAGACTTTCTTCTTGTGGCCTCTGGACTCTTCTTCCACCTCATTGATTATTTCTTATTAGTTTTTATTTAACTTTTTATTTTGGAATAATTTAAGACTCACAAGAAGTTGCAAAAATACTATAGAGAGATCCCATATACCTGTTCCCAGCTTTCCTGTAACGATAGCTTTTGACATAACCATAGTATATAATCAAAAGCAGTAAACTGACATTGTCACAATACTCTTAATGAAACTACAGAACTGGCCGGGTGCGGGTGGCTCACGCCTGTAATCCCAGCACTTTGGGAGGCCAAGGCAGGCAGATCACTTGCGGTCAGGAGTTCAAGACTAGCCTGGCCAACATGGTGAAAACCCGTCTCTACTAAAAATACAAAAATTAGCCAGGCATGGTGGCAGGCACCTGTAATCCCAGCTACTCAGGAGGCTGAGGCAGGAGAATCCTTGAACCTGGGAGGTGGAGGTTGCAGTGTGCCGAGATCATGCCACTGCACTCCAGCCTGGGCCACAAGAGCGAAACTGTGAAGAAAGAAAGAGAGAAAGAGAGAAGGAGAGAAGGAGAGAAGGAGAGGAAGGGAGAAAGGGAGGAAGGCAGGAAGGAAGAAAGAACAGAAACTATGGAACTGAATGAACTTAATGAAACTACAGAACTATAGAACTGGTGGATTTCACCAGTTTTTATATATGTTTACTTTGAGGGGTGATTGTATAGTATAGATTCATGTAACCACCACCACAATCAGGACACAGAACTAGTCCACTGCCACAAAGAAACTTCCTTTTGCTACCTCTTTATAATTATACCCTATCCCTAGCCCCCGCCAACCATTAATCTGTTCTCATCATTAAAATTTTGTCATTTCAAGAGTGTCATATAAATTGAACATTTTGAGAAACAACACAGCAAATTGTCTTTTTTCACTCAGCATAATAACATGAGAAAACATGAGAAAAAACATAATTCAAGTTGTTACATGTATCAGTAATATATTCCTTGTTCTGCCTGAGTAGTAGTTCACTGTATGGATGTACCACTTTACCTATTTGCCCATTAAAGGGCATTTGGCTTGTTCCGAGTTTCTGGCTATTACAAATAAAGCTACTGTGAACATTACTTATGGGGAATGCATCGTTTTTCTCTGGCTGCTTTCAAGAATTTTTCCTTTGTCATTACTTTTCAGAAATTTGATTATGATGTGTCTGACTGCCGATTCCTTTAGGTCTATCCTGTTAGGATTTGCTCAGCTTCTTAAGTTTTTAGGTTTATGTCTTTTACTAAATTTTGTTATTGTCCCATAGGTCCCTGAGGCTCTGTTCATTATTTTCCAGTCTATTTTCTCTCTTATTCATATTGGGTAATTCCTATTGATCTATCTTTAAGTTCACTGGTTCTTTCCTCTGTCATCTCCATTCTGTTATTGAGCCCATCAAGTGAGTTATTTCAGTTATTGTATAGCTCTACACTTCCCATTTGGTTCATTTTTATATCTTTTATTTCTTTGCTGAGGCTTTCTATTTTTTCATTAGTTTCAAGAATGTTCATGACTGCTTGTTGGAGCACTTTTATCATAGTTGCTTCAAAATTATTGTCAAATAATTTCAACGCCTGTGTCATCTCAATGTTGGCTAGCGTTGGTTGTCTTTTCTCATTCAGGCTGAGATTCTCATAATTCTTGGTATGATGGGTCATTTTTATTATATCCTAGACAGTTTGAGTATTATTTTATGAGACTTTGGTCCTTATTCAAATCTATTATAGCAGGCAGTTAACCTGTTTAAGTTAAGAACACATATCTTGGCCTATGTACTAGTCCATTTTCACACTGCTGATAAAGACATACCCAAGACTGGGTAATTTATAAAGAAAAGGAGGTTTAATGGACTCACAGTTCCACATGGGAGGCATGGGAGGCCTCATAATCATGGCAGAAGGCAAAAGGCACGTCTTACACGGCAGGGGGAAGAGAGAATGAGAGCCAAGCAAAAGAGGAAACTCCTTATAAAACCATCAGATCTTGTGAGACTTATTCACTAGCACAAGAACAGTTGGGGGAAACTGCCCCCCATGATTCAATTATCTCCCACCAGGCCCCTCCTACAACACCTGGGAATTATGGGAGCTACAATTCAAGATGAGATTTGGGTGGGGACACAGCCAAAGCCTATCAGCCTACTTTTGTGGGCTGTGGTCCAAATACACATTTAGTTTTCAAAGGCTTTGCAATACTATTTTGGTCTGCTCATGTGTGTGCTACCCACAGGTCAATCTGAAACCTGGGTGATGTTCCAGACCATTGTTCAGTCCTGAAGCTTTTTGTTGTGTTATTTCTAGTCAGTCTCACACATGAGTTGTTCAGAGGTCTGCCAAGGATTTCGTACACAGATTTTAAAGATCACTTTCTTTAGCTCCCTTTTCTCAGTAATCCTTTCCACTTTCTAGTTGGGAGAGAGAGGAGTGAGGCTTTGCTTGTGGTGTTCACCTGGAATAAGGCAGGTATAATCAAAATGTTTCTGTCCTGCTGAGCCACGCTTTTCCTGATTTTTTGGCAAAGGAAAGTGGACTTTTCTTGGGGCATTTTTTTGGTCTGTGCTTACTGACATTTCTGGAATGTGGGCTTCTCCAGGGAGCAGGCTATTGTATATAGGAGACAAAACAAAACAAATAAACAGGGAAGTCACCTCTGGATTGTTTCTTAATTCTCAAGGTTCCCAATCATTCTGCCTTTTTTTCTTCACATTTCAGAGTCTTCTGATGGGTGCTTTATCAAATTTGTATAGGCTTTTTGTATGTTTGTTTTGTTTTCATTTTTGTTTTTTGAGATAGGATCTCACTCTGTCGCCCAGGCTGGAGTGCAGTGGCACGATCTTGGCTCACTGCAAACTCCACCTCCTGGGCTTAAGAGATTCTCCTGCATCAGCCTCCCGAGTAGCTGGGACTACAGGCACGTGCCACCACACCTGGCTATTTTTTGTATTTTTTGTAGAGGTGGGGTTTTGCCATGTTGCCCAGGCTTGTCTCAAACTCCTGAGCTCAAGTGATCTACCTGCCTCAGCCTCCCAAAGACCTAGGATTACAGGTGAGAGTCACTCCCATTTTTTAAATTAATGGGAGTGACAGGGTGGAACATTCCACCCTGTCACTCCCATCAATTTGAAGAAAACCCAGACAGCCAGTCTAGGTTTTTGGTTTTGGTCCTTCTTCATATTCCCCGTGGCTCTCTCTTGAGACCTCTTTTTTTCTGTAGCTGTGTTCATCTCTATCTAGTCTCATCAAATGCTGTGACTTTAATTGCCATTATAAGTAGCTCTCAAATAAATATCTTCAACTATGACCATTCTCTCGAACCCCAGACTCACATATTAAACCACCTTAGTTGTCTAGTAGACACCTCAAACTAAACACTTACAGAACCAAATTCAACTTTTCTGTTTGAACTTGCTCCTTCATTCTTACTCATCTCAGTAAATAGAAACCTTATTCTGCTAGGTGCTTAGATTATCTTTGATTCCTCTCTTTTTCTCATACCCCAATCTAATCCATCAGGACTTCTTGTTGGTACTACCTTCAAAATAAAACCAAAAGCCAATCACTTCTCATCATTTCCACAGCTACCTTCCTGGTCCAACCTAATATCAACTCTTACTTGAATTAGTGGAATAGCATGCTAACTGGTTGCCCTGCTTTCTTTCTTGCCTTCCCCATATGCTGGTCTTCGCATCAAAGCAAGGCTTTTACGTGCAAATCAGATCATGTCACACCTCTGCTAAAAAATTCCTGAGTCAAACTCAGAGTCCTTATCATTCTCCTCCCTGATCTGGTGCTGCTACTCCTCTGCCTTGATCTCCTACCAGTCTTCTTTTTGGCCACTGTGCTGTATCCACACTGGCTTTTGTGCTGTTCTTAGACTATGCCAAACATTTCCTGCCTTTCAGCGTCAATATTTGCTGTCTCTTCCACCTGGAATGCACTTGTTCCGGATAGCCAAATAGCCTGGTCACTCATTGCCCTTAGGTTTCTGCTCAAATGACTCATTCCTTATCAGAGAGGCCCTCCCTGATCATTCCCTCTAAAATAGTACCCTTACCTGTCTTTCTTTCTTTGCCCTCATTTATTTTTCTCTTTAGCATTTGTCCCAGTTAGCTACTGTTGCCTAACAAGCCATCCCAAAACTTAGTGGTTTTAAATAACAACCATTTTACTCACAATTTTGTGGGATAGGTGTTCAGGCATCCTGAGGCTGGGAGCGGTGGCTCACACCTGTAATCCTAGCACTTTGGGAGGCCGAGGCAGCCGATCACCTGAGGTCAGGAGTTTGAGACCAGCCTGGCTAACATGGCAAAACCCTGTCTCTACTAAAAATACAAAAATTAGCCAGGAGTGGTGGTGGGCACTTGTAATCCCAGCCACTAGGGAGGCTAAGGCAAGAGAATCACTTGAACCCGGGAGGCGGGGGTTGCAGTCAGCCGAGATCGGGCCACTGCACTCCAGCCTGGGCGACAGAGTAAGATTCCGTCTCAAAAAAAAAAAAAAAAAGTTCAAGCATCTTGGGGCCTCAGTTGGGATGGATTTAATGGCTGAGAGTGAGCCTCACATGCATTGGGTCTCACTTTTGCTGTATCTGAGCTCCTCACATCTCCTGCATAAAGGACTCTCCATGTAACTAGCTTGGAATTCCTCATTCCTCACAGCGAGGTGGTCTCAGAGTAGTTGGATATCTTACATGGTGGCTGACTTCTCTCTTAGATGAAGTGGAAATTGCCAGGCTTTTACAGAGGTGGGCCCAGAACTGATATAGCAACACTTCTGCAACATGCTCTTGGTCAAGGAAGGAAACAAGGCCAGCTCATAGAAGAAGAGAGAAAATATATTCTACCACTTGGTAGAAGGAACAGCATGCATGTGCAGGAAGGGAAAGAACTGATGATAGCCATGGCTATCTTTGGAGATTATTTATAATACCACAGAATTTACCACCTGACATTATTCATATTAGGTTTTGTTTGTTTTGTTTTGTTTGTTTGTTTGTTTTTGAGATACAGTCTCTCTCTGTTGCCCAGGCTGGAGTGCAATGGCAGGATCTCGGCTCACTGCAACCTCTGCCTCCCAGGCTCAAGTGATCCTCGCACCTCAGCCTCCCAAGTAGCTGGGACTACAGGTGCACACCACCATGCCTGGTTAATTTTTCTATTTTTTGTAGAGATGGGGTTTTGCTCTGTTGCCCAGGCTGGTCTCAAACTCCTGAGCTCAAGCGATCTACCAATCTTGGCCTCCCAAAGTGCTGGGATTGCAGGGGTGAGCCACTGTGCTTGGCCCTCATATTGGTTTATATCACTAGGTCTGTGAGAGCAAGAGGTTATCTATAAGTTCACTATTATACCCCCAGTGCCCAGAACAGTACTTGGCACATAGTAGGTGATCAACTATTTTGTTAATAAATTCAAGAGGTAAACTTTGGTGATTCCTTACTAAACACACACACACACACACACACACACACAAACCACCAAAAAACATCTGAATTACTGTTCCTACAATTGTTAAGCTCTGCTGACATCTGGTCCAATATTTTACTATATATCTTTAATTACAATTTTATGGGTTGGGCGTGGTGGCTCACACCTGTAATTGCAGCACTTTGGGAGGCCAAGGCAGGGGGACTGCTTGAGCCCAGACCAGTATGGGCAACATAGGGAGACCTCATCTCTACAAAAATTGTTTTTTAAAAAATTAGCCAGGCATGGTGGTGTACATCTGTGGTCCCAGCTACTCAGGAGGCTGAGGTGGGAGGATTTCTTGAGCCAAGGAAGTGGAGGCGGCAGTGAGCCATGATCGTGCCACTGCACTCCAGCTTGGGCAACAGAGTGTGACACTGCCTCAAATAACAATAATAATAATAATCATCATCATCATCTTACAATACAAACAGAAGTTTACAGATTTTACCTGTGGTGAAAACATGCACCATAGAAGAATAGAGGTGAAGTCCTCAGGGGTTTGTGGACCTGGAAAGAGGCACGCTTCTGTCTATACCAAAGCTTAAGGATATTATGTGGTTATTACATAAGCCTCCTCTTCAGAAAAGTCATATCCAGAGTCAAAGGGAAATTTTCTTGTCACCAGTCACAGTCCCTACTCATTCTTAACCTTTCAAGTAGCCCCCAAATTTCTGAGACACTTTATTGAAGGCAAGCAAAGAAGATATATGTAATAACCAGTAACGAAATCAGCCAGTTAATTGAGTACAGGGAGGCAGAGGACTTTGTATCCACAAGTGAAGTATACTGTAGGCCCCACCCACAGCTCCTACTCAAGAGACAGCCATTAGGCTTGTACCATTTCCCCAAGATGTCTTACTAGCCACACATGTCACTCTAAACTGAAGGTCTGGCCCAAAAGCACCAAATCCATAGACACGTGTGTAATCTATGATTTCGCCTGCAAAGAAGAGATTAGCTGAGTCACAATCCGTCCTCAGGCATTTCACTGGGAAATGCCAAAAAAACTGGATGACTAGTGTCTGTGATGGGCCATGTGTAAGGAGAAATTATGAGAGAACAGAACGTAGGAATAAAAGAAGCTATGAGGCCAGGTGCAGTGGCTCATGCCTGTAATCCCGGCACTTTGGGAGGCCGAGGTGGGCGGATCACCTGAGGTCAGGAGTTCGAGACCGGCCTGGTCAGTATGGTGAAACCTGGTCTTTAGTAAAAATACAAAAAAATTAGCCGGGAGTGGTGGTGGGTGCCTGTAATCCCAGCAACTCAGGAGGCTGAGGCAGGAGAATCACTTGAATCTGGGAGGTCAGAGGTTGCAGTGAGCCGAGATGGCACCATTGCACTCCAGACTGGGCAACAAGGGTGAAACTCCATCTCAAAAAAAAAAAAAAGCTATGAGGTACTGAAAAGATATAGAGTGAGAAGGTAAATGGTAGTCAGATAGAAACAAACAGACATGTGGAGAGTAGCTTAAGCATAATAACAGTGGGGCACTAGGATGAAGAGCCACAAACGCCTGCTGTCTCTCCTGTCATCTTAGATTCCTCCCACTCTAACCTCCAACAGAAGCCCAAGGCAAATGCTTCAATAATGTATTCGGAAGGAGCTTTCCCTATGCTTATAAACAATGCATGAAGGGACTTTTTTGTTATTATGATTATAATATTTAATCCAATAACATTTTCTGCTTATTTTCTAATGCTGATAAGAACCATAAAAGGAGAAAAAAAACCTTATCCTTTCGGTAGAATTCCAGGGAATAGGAAATGAACAGTGCTATTGTACCACACATTTAGAAGATGAGTCAAATTAGATCCCCTACACTTCAAACAAACAAAGAGAAATATGGGGTGAAAATTAAACTTAGATTATTTTGATTATAGACAATCATATTAAGTTTGCTCAATTCTTCTCTTTTTCTGACTCAAGGTGACAATACACCAACAAAGCTACAAAGGGAGAAAATATATTAAATACTTCTTTTCTAGATTCTATAAAGGGAGTTTTTCTGGCCACCCAGGAAAGGAATCTGGCTACTATCATAACTGCAATGCCAACTGAATGGAAGCCAAATAGAAACACTTTGGTACATGGAATATTGATTCACAGAAGAGCTGGCTCTAAACTGGGGTATGCTGACTTGGCTCCTTTTCCCTAAAATCTTCCTCCTGCAAACACTTCAGAGAGGTTGGGACAGGTTTGGCTATTAACAATCAATGATGGGCCGGGCACGGTAGCTCACACCTGTAATCCCAGCACTTTGGGAGGCCAAAGTGGGCGGATCACTTGAGGTCAGGAGTTCAAGACCAGCCTGGCCAACACGGCAAAACCCTGTCTCTGTTAAAAATACAGAAATTAGCAGGGCATGGTGGTGGGAGCTTATAATCCCAGCTACTTGGGAGGCTGAGGCAGGAGAATCACTTGAACCTGGGAGGCAGAGGTTGCAGTGAGCTGAGATCGTGCCACTGCACTCCAGCCTGCTGGGAGACAGAGTGAGACTCCATCTCGAAAAAAAAAAGAATAAAAATAAATAAATGATGAGTCCTGGGGCTGGTCCACCCACATCTTCTGGGTCTTGCCAGTCCGAATAACAACATAGTCTGCCTTTTGCTGTTGTTCAAAAAAAATCTACGAAGATTAAAAAGTTCAATAGCATTTTTCAGACCTCAGTTTAGATAACTGAGCAGGCTAAAATTCTCCATTTTACATCTACTAGAGAGTGCTTTAATAAGATGAAATAGAAATAGCTAATTGACCAACATATACCAGAAGTTTAGGATTTTCTGAACTTCGAAAGGCAGAGGTGGAATAAGATAGTACTGTCAGTGAGCGTAGACACACACACAAACCCCATGAATCCACTGTGAGAGAAAAGTATCTGGGCGGTTGAGGCAGTAATCACAGGCCTCCCATTGCCTCCTCCCCTTCTGAGACTGTGGACAGGAAGGCAGGAAGGTGGGGAAAAGGAGGCTTCGGAGGCATGGGCTGCCCAGCTCCAATGCCGTCTCTCTACTTCTATATACACTGGCTCTCAGGAATGCATGTCATTGGCTTGTACCTGCAGTATCATCATCTATCCTTTTCCCTTGTTCATTAGTTTGCTAGGGCTGCCATAACAGAATACCATAGACTTGAGTGACTTAAACAACAGAAATTTATTTTCTTATGGTTCCAGAGGCTGGAAAGTCCAAGATCAAGGTGCCAGCAAGTTTGGGTGCTTCTAAGCCCTCTCTCCTTGGCTTGAAGATCACCACCTTCTCACTTTGTCCTCATGGTCTTTCCTTTGTGTGCATGCAGGTCTGCGTGTTACCTTCCTCTTCTTATAAGGACATCGGTCAGACTGGATCGAGGCCCACCCATGTGACCTCATTTTACCTCATTTTAAATGCCCTATCTCCAAATAACAGTCATATTCCAAGGCAGTTGGAGTTAGGACTTTCAAATATGAATTGGGTGGTGGGGGGCACAATTCAGCCTATATATACCAACTTGCAAGAGTGTTTATTTTATTTATTTTACTTCATTGTAATTATTTTTTACAGACAGGATTGTACTTTGTCACCCAGGTTGGAGTGCAGTAGCATCATCACAGTTCACTGCCACCTCAAATTCCTGGGCTCAAGCAATCGTTCTACCTCAGTCTCCCAAGTAGCTGGGTCTACAGGCATGTGCTACCATGCCCAGCTAATTTTTTACTTTTGGTAGAGACAAGGTCTTGCTATGTTGCCCAGGCTGGTCTCAAAATCCTGGGCTTAAGTGATTCCCCCACCTCAGCCTCCCAAAGTGCTGGGACTATAAGCATGAGCCACTGCACCCAGCCAATGTGTTGATTTTATGCAAGAGGATGTCAGAAGCTTCCTGTCACACCTTCTTGAGTTCATACTAGTAGCCGCCCAACATTATGGCAATGTTGGGGAAGTCATAACAGCTTTCCATTTTTCTGAGACAAGGATGTGAGAAACCTTTTTGTGGCTTGTCAAAGTGAGAACTCTCTTAATACTCCTTGGTGTGCAGCTCCCTGAGATGGATGGTTAGAGAACCTTGTCACTCTGGATCTGGGTGGCTCCAATTAAGATTTACCGGAAGGAAAGGATGTCAATGATCCCAAAAAGGAATTTACTGGGAGGAAAGAAGAAATTGGGATGAGAAACCCCAGCCCAGCACTAGGGGGTAAGGGTTGATAAGGCTGACGCTAGAGGCCTCCCAAGACAAAGCCATCCTGGTGTGGTGTTCCGGTAGAGGGGAGTTGCTCAGCATGCGAATGTGAACCACAGAGCCATAACCTTTGAGGCTATGGGAGTGACATCATCTAGGTGTGTAGGGGGACCCATCTGAAAATGAGCATCCTTGCTGAGAGGACAAATGTCCATATGACTGGCCAGGACCAGGCTTCAAAAGCCACTCTGAGGACCACTGGAAACAAGAGCAGTAGGGACCTTACTCCAGTTTCTAGTTCTTGCTGGAGGCAGCCTATGTAGTGGTTTAGAACAAGCTCAGAGCCATCTGCCAGGGATCAGAGCCCAGCTTACCCACTTACTATGCAACCTTGGGCAAGTTATTCTCTGGGTTTCAATTTCCTCATCTGCAAAACTAGAGTAATAAGAGCCCCTCCTCATAGAGCGTTTAGGAGAACTAAATGATTTGATAACTTGGAATTGTGTTTGCCACATCAAGAGGTCAATTAATAGTAGTTTTTCTTATTATTCTTGTACCTGGTTTCAAAATTGTTATTAGGGAGTGGGACAGAGCAAGATTGCAGAACAGATGGCTTCACCAATTTTCTCCCTCTCCTCCTGCCACAAGGAAACTAATTTAACAACTATCAACACACAGAAAAAGCACATTCATAAAAAACAAAAATCAGGTGACCACTCACGCTACTTGGTATTAACTTAATATTATTGAAAGAGGCACTGAAGAAGGTAGGAGACAGTTTTGCACTGCCAATGCCACCCCTTCCCCATCCCCTGGCAGTAGCCATGCTGTGTGCTCGGGAGAGAGAGAGCACAGCAATTGCGAGACATTGCATTGAACTCAGTGGTGCCCTGTCACAGCAGAAAGCCAAAACAGGCTGAAATCAGCTGATGCGCACTAACAGAGAGAATATTTAAACCAGCTCTAGCCAGAGGGGAAATGCCTATCCCAGCAGTTGGAACTTGAATTCTTTCAAGCCTCACCACTGTGGGCTAGAGTACTCTGGGGCCCTAAATAAACTCGAAAGGCAGTCTAGGCCACAAGGACTGCAACTCCTAGGCAAGTCCTAGTGCTGAACTGGGCTCAGAGCCAGTGGACCGGGGGAGCCCACAGCCTACTGAGACAATAGCCAGGGTGGCCAAGGGAGTGCTTGTGCCACCCCTATTCCTACCCCAGGCTGCACAGCTCACAGCTTAAAAAGAGATCCCTTCCATCTGCTTGAGGAGAGGAGAGAGAAAAGAGGACTTTGTACTTTGTCTTACATCTTGGATACTAGCTCAGCCACAGTAGGATAGGGCACTGGTCAGGGTCACAAGGACCCCTTTCCAGGCCCTACCTCCCAGACAACATTTCTAGATACATCCTGGGCCAGAGGGGAACCTGCTGCCTTGAAGGAAGGACCCAGTCCTGGCAGGACCTGTCACCTGTTGACTAAAGAGCCCCTGGGCCCTGAATAACAAGCAGTAATACCCAGGTTGTACACCATGGGCCTTGGGTGACACTCTGAGACTTGCCAGTTTTAGATGAGACTCAGTACATTCCCAGCTATAGTAGCTTAGGGAGAGACTCCTACTTGAGAAAAGTGGAGGGAAAAGGAAAGAGGACTTTGTCTTGCACCTTATGTACCATCTTGGCTACAGGGGATAGAGCACGAAGTGGGCTCCTTAGGGTCCCCAATTTCAGGCCTTGGCTCTTAGATGGCATTTCTGGACCTGGCCTGGGCCAGAGGGGAGCCCACTACCCTGAAGAGTGAGTCCCAGTCCAGACAGCATTCACCAAGAGTTGACTGAAGAGCCCTTGGGCCTTAAGGAAGCATCAGCAGTAGCTTGGCAGTACTCCCTGTGGGCCTGTGATGGTGGTGGCCATGGGGTGAGCCTCCTCTGCCTGTGGAAAGGGGAGGGAAGAGTGGGAAGGACTTTGTCTTGCAGGTTGAGTGCCAGCTCAGCCACAGTACACTAAAACACCAGGTAGATTTCTAAGGTTTTTGACTCCAGTCTCTGGCTCCCAGATAGCACCTATGGACCTACCCAGGGCCTGGGGGAACTTACTGCCCAGAAAGAAAGGACACATGCCTGGCTGGCTTTGCCACCTGCTGATTGTAGAGCCTCAGGGCCTTGAGTGAACATAGATGGTAACCAGGTGGTGGTTACAGAGGGCCTTGGGCAAGACCCAGTGTTGTGTTGTGCCGGCTTCAGGTCTGACCCAGAATAATCCCAGTGATGGTGGCCACAGGGGTGCTTGTGTCGCCCCACCCCCAGCTCCAAGCAGCTCAGAACAGAGAGAGAGAGAGAGGAGAGAGAGACTCTGTTTGTGAGAAGATAAAAGTCTCTGCCTGGTAATCCAGAGAAATCTTCCAGATCTTATCTAAGAACATCAAGGCAGTACCTCTATGAGTCTGCAAGAACCACAGCATTTTTGGGCTGGGGGCATATCTCCTAACGCAGATATGGCTTAGATCATAACACCCAAGTCCTTTCAAATACCTGAACAGCCTTCCTAAGAAGGACAGGTAGAAACAAGCCCAGACTGCAAAGACTGTAATAAACACCTAATGCTTCAATGCCCGGACACAGACAAACATCCACAAACATCAAGACCATCCAGGAAAACATGACCTCACCAAATGAATGAAATAAGGAACCAGGGAACAATTCTAAGGAAACTCAGAGAATCAAGATAACACAGAGTAGGAATTCAGAATTCTACCAGATAAGTTTAACAAAGATATTGAAATAATTTAAAAGAATCAAGTAGAAATTCTGGAGCTGAAAAATGCAATTGGCATATTGAAGAATGCATCAGAGTCTTTTAATAGCAGAATTGATCAAGCAGAAGAAAGAATTAGTGAGCTTGAAGACAGGCTATATGAGGAGACAGAAGAAAAAAGAATAAAAAACAATGATGCACACCTACAAGATCTAGAAAATAGCCTCAAAAGGGCAAATCTAAGAGCTATTGGCCTTAAAGAGGAGGTAGAGAAAGAGATAGGGATAGAGAATTTACCCAAAGGGATAATAACGGAGAACATCCCAAGCCTAGAGAAATATACCAATATCCAAGTACAAGAAGGTTATAGAATACCAAGCAGATTTAACCCAAAGAAGACTACCCCAAGGCATTTAATAATCAAACTCCCAAAGATCAAGGATAAAGGACCCTAAAGGCAACAGGATAAAAGAAACAAATAACATTCAATGGAGCTCCAATATATCTGGAAGCAGACTTTTCAGTGGAAACCTTACAGGCCAGGAGAGAGTGGCATGATATATTTAAAGTGCTGAGGGGAAAAAAAAAAACTTTTACCCTAGAATAGTTTATCTTGTGAAAATATTCTTCAAACATGAAGGAGAAATAAAAACTTCCCCAGGCAAAGAAAAGCTGAGGGATTTTTTTCAATGCCAGGCCTGTCCTACAAGAAAAGCTAAAGAGAGTATTTTGATCAAGAACAAAAGGACATTAGTGAGCAATAAGAACTCATCTGCAGGTAAAGAAATCACTGGTAATATTTAATAGTAAGTACACAGAAAAACACTATAACACTGTAACTGTGGTATGTAAACTACTCTTATCCTAAGTAGAAAGACTAAATTATGAACCAATCAGAAATAATAACTACAGTAACTTTTCAAGACATAGACAGTACATAAGATATAAATAGAAGCAACAAAAAGTTAAAAAATGAGGGGATGAAGTTGAACTGTAGAGTTTTTGTTAGTTTTCTTTTTGTTTGTTTGTTTATGCAGTGTTGTTGTTATCAGGTTAAAATCATGGGTTAGAAGATAGTATTTACAAGCCTCATGGTAACCTCAAATCAAAAACATGCAATGAATACGTAAAAAATAAAAAGCAAGAAACTGAATCATACCACCAAAGAAACTCACCTTCACTAAAAAAGAAGACAGGAAGGAAGGAAGGAAAGAGAAGGACACAAAACAGCTGGAAAACAAATAACAAAATGGCAGGAGTAAATCCTTACTTATCAATAATAACATTGAATGTAAAGGACAAAACTATCCAATCAAAGGACATAGAGTGTATGAATGGATTAAAAAACAAGACTCAATGATCTGTTGCCTACAAGAAACATGCTTCACCTATAAAGACACACATAGACTGAAAATAAAGGGACGGGAAAATATATTCCATGCCAATGGAAACAGAAAAAGAGCAGGGGTTGCTGTACTTCTAGCAGACAAAATAGATATCAAGACAAAACTTATAAGAAGAGAAAAGGTCACTATATAATGATAAAGGGGTCAATTCAGCAAGAGGATATAACAATTTTAAATATATATGCATCCAACAAAAAATAGTTAGAATAAGACTTAGTATTTGCTACCATAACAGGATGACTATAGTCAAAAATCTTTTTTTTTTTTTTTTTGAGATGGAGTCTCGCTCTTGTTGCTCAGGCTGGAGTGCAATGGCGTGATCTCAGCTCACTGCAACCTCCACCTCCCAGGTTGAAGCGATTCTCCTGCGTCAGCCTCCCAAGTAGCTGGGATTACAGGCACCCGCCACCACACCCAGCTAACTTTTGCATTTTTAGTACAGACAGGGTTTCACCATATTGGTCAGGCTGGTCTCGAACTCCTGACTTCAGGTGATCCACCCGCCTCGGCCTCCCAAAGTGCTGGGATTACAGGCGTGAGCCACTGTGCCCAGCCAGGAATAAACATTTTTAAAGCTCTTTCTACATATTGCCAATTTGCTTTCCTGAAAGGTGGTACCTACTTGCTCCCTGACTCTTGCCAGCACTTTGTTAATTTTAGTCTTCACATTTTCATTACTAGTGCAATTAAATATATTAAGTATTTTAAGTATTTAATAGTTCTTTGCATTTCCATGATTGTCAATTGTTTGTTCATGTCATTTGCCTATTTATTTGCTGCTCTTTTTAATCAAATACCACCAATATAAAAACATTAAAGGACTGTGAGTGGAGGTAGGTTTTGGGGAAGAAAATAAGGGTGCTCTGGTTCTGAAAATTGGAGGACACACTCTGATTTGCCCCAGGAAAACTTTTCCACACTCTCTCTTCCCGCAAGTTCTTGGCCTTTCTACCCACCTGGAGAGCAGGGGAAATGTATGTCAAGCACAAGGCAAGTCTAGGCCTGACAGACTCTACAACGAGCACATTTTAGATTCAGACAGTTTATTACTTACAAAGACAGTGAAAGGAAGGGTAGCCAAGGGTGCCAGCTCCCCATGGCCTTTGAGCAGGGCAACACTAAAACAAAGAGCCAAATGACTACAACAAAAATGATGTGACACCCTGTCACTGAGGGGCCCATTCCAGACTGCAGCAAAGTGATTTTTATGGCCTGCAGCTGTGCCCTAAGCGGGTGAGACAGAAAGCTGCTTCATCAAAATCCAGATGGCTATAGGAAACTATGTTGGCCAGGCACAGTGGCTCATGCCTGTTATCACAGCACTTTGGGAGGCCAAGGCAGGTGGATCACTTGAGGACAGGAGTTCAAGACCAGCCTGGCTAACATGGCAAAACGCTATCTCTACTAAAAATAAGAAAATTAGCTGGGCATAGTGGTGGGTGCCTGTGATCCCAGCTACTCAGGAGGCTGAGGCACGAGAATCGCTTGAACCCAGGAGGCAGAGGCTGCAGTGAGCCAAGATCTCACCACTGCACTCCAACCTGGGCGACAGAGTGAGACTCTGTCTCAACAAACAAACAAACAAGCAAACAAACGAAAAAACTCAAATAAAAAAAGAAACTACCTGATGACAGCTTTCCAGGCTGATATCTTCCAGGGAAGATAGGGAGGTGAGTGGGAAACAGCTTTGTTGTAGCTCCTCACAAACCTCCCGTCCCCTAGTGTTCCAGAAAGATCACAAGGTGTTCTGCCAAGACTTTGATTCAGCTGTGTCCTGTGTGGATATATGCAAGGTTACCAGAACACCATGGTGGAGCCACTGCTGCATACGATGCAGGTAAAGAGTCTTGGAATTCTGTGTGTTTTATTTTGAGACAGGGTATCACTCTGTCACCCAGGCTGGAGTGCAGTGATGTGATCACTGCTCACTGCAGCCTCGACCTCCGGTGCTCAAGCGATCCTCCCACCTCAGCCTCCTGAGTAGCTGGGACCACAGGTGCATGCCACCATGCCTGGCTAATCCATCTTTTTATTATTTGTCGAGACAGGGGCTCCCTATGTTGCCCAGGCTGGTCTTAAACTCCTGGGTTCAGGTGATCCTCCGGCCTCAGCCTCCCAAAGTGCTGGGATTACAGGCGTGAACCACTGTGCCCAGCCTGGAATTCTTTTTGGACCTTTTTTCAATTTAGGGAGTTTTGAGAAAACTTCATTTCTTTCTTTCATTTTTTCTTTTCTTTTCTTTTTTTTCTTTTTTTTTCTTTTTTTTTTTTTTTGTGAGACAGGGTCTCTGTCTGTCGCCCAGGCTGGAGTGCAGTGGCACGATCTTGGCTCACTGCAGCCTCTGCCTCCCGGTTCAAGCCATTCTCCTGCCTCAGCCTCCAGAATAGCTGGGATTACAGGTGTGCGCCACCACACCAGGCTAATCTGTTTTGTTTGTTTGTTTGTTTGTTTTGAGATGGAGTCTCGCTCTGTCACCCAGGCTGGAATGCAAAGGCTTGATCTCGGCTCACCGCAACCTCTGCCTCCCAGGCTCAAGCAATTCTCCTGCCTCAGCTTCCTGAGTAGCTGGGATTACAGGCACCCACCACCATGCCCAGCTAATTTTTGTACTTTTAGTAGAGACGAGTTTTCACCATGTTGGCCAGCCAATTTCAAACTCCTAACCTCAAGTGATCCACCCGCCTCGGCTTCCCAAAGTGCTAGGATTACAGGTGTGAGCTACCATGCCCCGCCTGTACTTTACTTTTTAGTAGAGACAGGGTTTCACCATGTTGGCCAGGCTAGTCTAGAAATCCTGAGCTCAGGTGATCCGCCTGCCTTGGCCTCCCAAAGTGCTGGGATTACAGGCATGAATCACTGTGCCTGGCCTGATTTTTTTTTAATACGGTGAGAGACAAGGGTCTAGTTTCATTCTTCTACATATGTATATCCAGTTTTCCCAGCACCGTTTATTGAAGAGGCTGTACTTTCCCCAGTGTATGTTTTTGACACCTCTGTCAAAGATGACTTGGCTGTAAATGCATAGGTTTATCTCTGGGTTCTCTATTCTGTTCTATTGGTCTATGTGTCTGTTTTTATGCCAAGGTCATGCTGTTTTGGTTTCTATAGCTTTGTAGGAAATTTGGATGTCAGGTACTGTGATATCTCCAGCTTTGTTCTTTTTGCTTAATATCACTTTGGGTATTTTGGATCTTTTGTGGCTTCATACGAATTTTGGGATTTTTTTCCTATTTTTGTGAAAAATGTCATTGGTATTTTCATAGGGATTGCACTGAATCTGTAGATTGTTTTGGGTAGTACAATTATTTTCACAATATTAATTCTTTCAATCCATGAATATGGGATGTTTTTCCATGTTTTGGTGTTCTCTTCAATTTCTTTCATCAGTGTTTTGTAGTTTTCATTGTATAGCTCTTTCTCTGCCTTGGTTAAATTTATTCCTAGGTATTATTTTTTGTAGCTATGGTAAATGGGATTGCTTTCTTAGTTCTTTTTCAAATAGTTCATTATTGGTGTATAAAAATGCTACTGATTTTTGTATGTTGATTTCATATCCTGTAATTTTACTGAATTTGTTCCTTTTTTTTTTTTTTTAAGACAGGGTCTTGCTCTGTCACCCAGGCTGGAATGCAATGGTGCCATCTTCTTGGCTCACTGCAACCTCTGCATCCTGGGCTCAAATGATCCTCCTTCTTCAGCCTCCCAAGTGGCTGGGACTACAGGCATGTGCCACCATGTCTGGCTAACTTTTGCATTTTTTTGTAGAGACAGGGTTTTGCCATGTTGCCCAGGCTGGTCTTGAACTCCTGGACTCAAGTGATCCAGGCACCTCAGCCTCCCAAAGTGCTGGGATTACAGGCATGAGCCACTGCACCTGACCTTGAATTTGTTTAAGAATCAGTTCCAAGCTTTTTTTTTGGTGGAGTCTTTAGGTTTTTCTGTATATAAGATCATGTCATCTGCAAAGAGGGACAATCTGACTTTCCTTTTTCCAATTTGAATTCCCCTTATTTCTTTCTCTTGCCAAACTTTTTAAGAGTTTGACTAAATTTGTGCCTTTGGTCATCTGAATGCTTGATTGTGTAGTTGTCTCTGCTTATTACTAACAAGTCAGTACACGTTACATTAGGAATTTTGTTTCATGTACATCTGGCTCCATTAGCTAATTTTTTATGCTACTCCTTATGGAGCAGGGCTACCCCATAGGCAGTGTGCCCAGAGTAGTATTAATAGCTAATTTTTTATTGGCTTTTATGAGCTTGCACCTATTGATTTCTCTGTTCCCATTGAGGTTTTTAATAAGTTGTGGCAGATTGGCAGCACTGCTAGGAGAATATGGTCTTCTTAGTTCTTTGTCTGTATAATGTGCTGTCATGTAGACATTTTGAAGCCAATCGGTATATGAAAACAGGTAGCCTTTGTGAATTTAGATCCTGACTCTTCAAGAGATAATATTCTGAATACCTCTGGACAGGTAATTTTATAATATGGTTAATGAAATATAAACTTGAGAGCCCTTTGCTTGTATGGGTCCTGTACACACCCCAGGAAAGGCCCTGGAAATTTTACATTAATAATCAGTGTTATTTTTCTTCAGAGGACCCAATCCACATTGTATAGACGTTAGAGCCTACAAATCCTGAAATTTTCCCTGTCTCAGAGTGAATTATTATTTATTAGGTGCCATTCTGAGCATTGTGATAATTAGGGAATATATGAAAGAAGTGATAAAGGCCGGGCACAGTGGCTCATGCCTGTAATCCCAGCACTTTTGGAGGCTGAGGTGGGCAGATCACCTGAGGTCAGGAGTTCGAGACCAGCCTGACCAACATGGAGAAACCCTGTCTCTACTAAAAATACAAAATTAGCCGGGCATGGTGGCCCATGCCTGTAACCCAGCTACTCGGGAGGCTGAGGCAGGAGAATTGCTTGAACCTGGGAGATGGAGGTTGCGGTGAGCTGAGATCACGCCATTGCCACTGTGCTCCAGCCTGGGCAACAAGAGTGAAACTCTATCAAAAAAAAAAAAGAAAGAAAGAAAGAAAGAAAGAAGGAAGGAAGGAAGGAAGGAAGGAAGGAAGGAAGGAAGGAAGGAAGGAAGGAAGGAAGGAAAGAAAGAAAGAAGGAAAGAAAGAAAGAAAGAAAGAAAGAAAGAAAGAAAGAAAGAAAGAAAGAAAGAAAGAAAGAGATAAAGAGATGTCTTCCTCCCCAATTCACTTTCTTATCCTGAATGTAGGAAATCTAAGAACGTACTGTGCAGCTGGATGTATGTGGTGGGGGAGGTGAGGAAGTGGGAATTATACCAAGCCTAGCAGAGCATCTCTGAAGGAAGATTTTATCTAGAATTACCCCTAACTTTTGTTCACTTTGTTCAAAACCAGGGGAGAGGAAGAGTGGAAAGTAGGAAAGAGATCCTACTCATATAAATCCAGGGACTGTTGGGACTGCTTAGGTATTGGCCATCTATATGATATTAACCATTTTCTTCTGTAAGATTTAGGAAATGTTATTCTTTTACTGATACTTTTTTCTTGTGGCATCAGTTATCTTGCCCAAATCTTTTTTTCACTACCTTGAAATTATTTTTAAACTATATAAATGTTGATGAGTAGCAATTATGTGAGTTGGGATCTTCTAAATGTCAGACTGAGAGTCTGGTAAACATTAAGAAGAGGAAACTAGGCTGGGCACGGTGGCTCACGCCTGTAATCCCAGCACTTTGGGAGGCCGAGGCGGATGGATCACCTGAGGTCAGAAGTTCGAGACTAGCCTGGCCAACATGGCAAAACCCCGTCTCTACTAAAAATACAAAAATTAGCCAGGCATGGTGGTGGGTGCCCATAATCCCAGTTACTCGGGAGGCTGAGGCAAGAGAATGGCTTGAACTCGGGAAGCGGAGGTTGCAGTAAGCTGAGATCGCACCACTGCACTCCAGTCTGGGTGACAGAGCCAGGCTCTGTCTAAAAGAAGAAGGAGGAGGAGAAGAAGAACAAGAAGAAAAGGAAGAGGAAGAGGAAGAGGAAGAAACTATATCTCTTATTTAGCTTGGATGAAATGGGAAGTAGTCCTAATAAAATCCCAAGGATGAAAACAGATTTTCTAACATACTCTAATTAACTCTGTAGTTTTAGTTTGCTCAGAGTTTATCCCTTTCCTGAAAAGTATTAAAATGAATGTTTAGAACATGGGAAAACTGGCCTGGGCACAGTGGCTCACACCTGTAATCCCAGCACTTTGGGAGGCCAAGGCAGGCGGATCACTTGAGATCAGGAGTTCGAGACCAGCCTGGCCAACATGGTGAAACCCCGTCTCTACTAAAAATACAAAAGAAAATTAGCCGGGCGTCGTGGTGGGTGCCTGTAATCCTAGACATTCGGGAGGCTGAGGCGGGAGAATCACCTGAACCCAGGAGGCGGAGGTTGCAGTGAGCCGAGATTGCACCACTGTACTCCAGCCTGGGCGAAAGAGTGAGACCCTGTCTCAGGAAAAAAAGAAAAGAGAAAGAGAGAGGGAGGGAGGGAGGGAAAGAAAGAAAGAAATGAAAGAAGGAAGGAAGGAAGGAAGGAAGGAAGGAAAATGGGAATTCTGCTAGGACAAAAAAAAAGATTTTTGTAAGTCCAGAAACTATCTTTTTTTTTTTTTCTGAGATGGAGTCTCATTCTGTCGCCCAGGCTGAAGTGCTGTGATGCGATCTTCACCCACTGCAACCTCCACCTCCCGGGTTCAAGTGATTCTCCTGCTTCAGCCTCCCGAGTAGCTGTGACTACAGGTGCGTACCACCACGCCCAGCTAATTTTTCTATTTTTAGGAGAGAAGAGGTTTCACCATGTTGGCCAGGATGGTCTCGATCTCCTGACCGCGTGAACCACCTGCCTCGGCCTCCCAAAGTGCTGGGATTGCAGGCGTGAGCACCGCACCCAGCCGAAACTATCTTTTAAAAATAGTCTCCATTGGGTAGGCTGGGCGCGGTGGCTCATGCCTGTTATCCCAGCACTTTGGGAGGCCGAGGCGGGTAGATCTTGCTTGTGCTCAGGAGTTCGAGACCAACCCCGGCAACACGGTGAAAAACTGTCTCTACTAAAAAAACAAAAATTAGCCAGGCGTGGTGACGCACGCCTGTAATACCAGCTACTCGGGAGACTGAGGCATGAGAATTGCTTGAACCCGGGAGTCAGAGGCTGCAGTGAACTGAGATCATTCCACTGCACTCCAGCCTGGGTGACACAGTGAGACTCTGTCTAAAAAAAAAAAAAAGCCAGGTGCGGTGGCTCACGCCTGTAATCCCAGCACTTTGGGAGGCCGAAGCGGGCGGATCATAAGGTCAAGAGATCAAGACCATCCTGGCCAACATGGTGAAACCCCATCTCTACTAAAAATACAAAAATTAGCTGGGCGTGATGGTGGTTGCCTGTAGTCTCAGCTACTAGGGAGGCTGAGACAGGAGAATCACTTGAACCCGGGAGGCAGAGGTTGCAGTGAGGCAAGATCGTGCCATTGCACTCCAGCCTGGCAACAGAGTGAGACTCCGTCTCAAAAAAAAAAAAAAAAAAAGAAAGAAAAAAAGTCCCCATTGGAACTGCTTTGTTGTAAAAAGTTACTAGTTACTAGAATTTATAATTTTCTGCTGCTGAGACCATTTACTTCTGAGAAGCCTTTCTTGACTCTTCTATCCTCCCCACCCCTGTCTGAGTTAGAAGTCTGTTTCCTCTGTTTTTCCTCTTTTGTACTAACTTCCAACTCTCTGTTATATCTTTACTATAACATTGTACTGTGATCATTTATTTTCTGGACCATCTTTTCCACTAAACTGACAGTTTGATGCTTTTTCATTTCATTACCTAGCACAGTGCCTAGCACACTGGGATATTCATGAACTTTTTAAATAAGAATGAATGATAGTGTTGTCAGACAGCCCAGTATGATATCACAGTCTATGAGTTCACATGTACATGGGAGGATAGAGTCACTGGTTAGTAATAGAAAGAAGAAGGAAGAAACACACAGAATTCAATAAATGTTATAGTCACGTACTCAGAAAGCTGACTAGGAAGTCAGATCATTGACAGACAAATATTTTTTACTTTGCCTAAATTAAGACTTTTACCAACAACAGTGAATAAGATACCTCATGGTAAGAAAAAAATATATAGTCTTTATAAATTGATTATACACAATTTTCAATGCTTTTAAAAATAATTGGAACTGGTCAATAAGATATTGAAAGAAAATTGATAAGAATTATTTAAAAGTTAAGTGTGAGAGGATCGCTTGAGACCAGGAGTTTGAGACCAGCCTGGGCAACACAGTGAGACACTGTCTCTAGAAAAAAAAATTAAAAATAATTAGCCCCCGTCTCTAAAAAATTTAACAAATAATTAGCTGGGCACAGTGTTGCACACATGTAGTTTCAGTTACTTGGGAGGTTGAGGTAGGAAGATCGCTTGAGTCCAGGAGTTAGAAGTTGCAGTGACCTCAAGACTCCGTCTCCAAAAAAAAAAAAGAAAGAAAAAAATAAAGAGGGAGAAGAAATGTTGACTCAAAAACTTATGAAAAGGAGCCGAGCGTGGTGGGTCATGCCTGTAATCCCAGCACTTTGGGAGGTTGAGACAGGATTGCTGAGCCCAGGAGTTTGAGACCACCCTGGGCAACATAGTGAGCCCCCTGTCTCCACAAAAAATTTGAAAAATTAGCCATGTGTGGCCAGGCACTGTGGCTCATGCCTGTAATCCCAGCACTTTGTGAGGCCAAGGTGGGTGGATTGCTTGAGTCCAGGAGTTTGAGACCAGCCTGGGCAACATGGTGAAACCCGGTCTCTACAAAAAGTACAAAAATTAGCCTGGCGTGGTGGCACATGCCTGTAGTCCCAGCTACTTGGGAGGCTGAGGTTGGAGGATCATTTGAGCCCAGGAGACAGAGGTTGCAGTGAGCCAAGATTGTGCACTCCAGTCTGGGCGACAAAGTGAGGCCCTGTCTCAAAAAAGAAAAAAAAAAATTAGCCAGGTGTAGTGGTGGGCACTTATGGTCCTAGCTACTCAGGAGGCTGAGATGGGAGGATTGCTTAAGCCCAGAAGGTCGAGGCTGCAGTAAGCCATGAATGCACACTGCACTTTAGCCTGGGTGACAGAATGAGACCCTGTTAAAAAAAAAAAACACTTATGAAAAGGGGAAAAAAGTTATCTGCCTATATATTTTTTTAAACCTTCCAATCCTCTTCATCAGTATATGAATTGAACAGATTTGACTCCTGCCATGGAGACTAGCCACAGAGATGACACCTCAAAGATCTGCACCTTCGAGTATTCATGTCTCTTGTTTCATCTCCTCCCTTAGTGAGTCAGGGCCAGCCCTGGGTGACCAATAGAATCCAGTGAAGTGATGTTGCATGTCTTCCGAGGCCACACCATAAGAAGCCTTGCAGCTTCCACGTTGGTCTCATGGAACACTCACTCTTGGAGCCCTGAGCATGATGTATGGAGTTCAAATACCCTAAAGCCACCTTGCAGGAGAGACTGGGTGGAGAGGCTCTGAGATTTCATGTAGAATGATTCTTGGCCAGCACCCCAGCCATTTGAGTCATCCCAGCTGAGGCTCCAGATGTACTGTGGAACAGAATTGAGTTGTCCCCACCAAGGTTCATGAGTAAAAGAAATATTAAGTTATTATTGCTTTAAGCGATTACGTTTCAGGTGGTTTGTTACTCAGCAATAGATGACTGAAACACTCCTCTTTCACTTGATGTGAAGTATTTCCTTAGGTGAGTGCAGAGTGAGCAAGGATGTGTCAGGTCAACTCAAACATAGGGAATTTTCCAGCCATCGTTGCTGGGGTAATTGACTTATTCATGCTGTAGAGATACACTGCTTCAGGACTGTCTTTTTGTTGTTGTTGTTTTTGAGATGGGATCTCACTCTGTTGCCCAGGCTGGAGTGCAGTGGTGCGATCTTGGCTCACTACAGCCTCTGCCTCCCGGGTTCAAGCAATTCTCCCACCTCAGCCTTCTGAGTAGCCGGGATTACAGGGGCGCACCACCACGCCTGGCTAATTTTTGCATTTTTAGTATGTTTAGTATTTTCACCATGTTGACCAAGCTGGTCTCAAACTCCTGACCTCAAGTGATCCACCTGCCTCGGCCTCCCAAAGTGCTGGGATTACAGGTGTGAGCCACCGTGCCCGGCCAGGACTGTCTTCTGAGAAGTAACTATATCACTTCTGTGGTCAAGACTCAGGGGACCCAGAGCCATCTCTGGAGCTTGTGGCCAGGTGTAAACCCACAACTCAACATTTTAATATAGATGAATAGATACATCAAGCTGAACAGGAAGGGCAGCCTTCTATAGAAAAGAAATCACTAGAATATAAATAGCAGGAGGAGCACAAGCAGAACAAGCAACCAACTTCTGCCTGAACTCTTCAGAGTTAGCGTTCCCTTTTCAGGACCTGCTTCCCACCCATATCTGTAACACCCATGTTTGGAATTCGCCCCTGCAGCTGCAGCAATGGGACCAGGGGTGCATACCAACCTAGAGCCAATCTGTTATTGACTGGCCAGCAATGTATATGATTATCTCCCTTGAGAGTCTGAGACTGTAGCATGCCCTTGGACAGAAAGGCCATGAGGAATCAGGGTGGGATAGCTGTTGTCAACCATGTAAATGCTGATGAGTAAGTAGAGAGCTGGTTTGCAAAAATAAGTAGTGATGAGAATTCATGGGGACAGGTGAAAAAGAGATGGGGCAGAAAAGAAAGAAAGAATAAGAGAGAAAGAAAAAGGATGAGACAGCACTAGTATTAGCTCTGTTCATTAGCTTTCTAGTCCCCAGTTCTTAACATTTGATTTAATTTTCTTTTTGTAATTTTGTTTTTGGTCAAGAGTGATGGTAGGATGGGAATGAACAGAAAAGGGACTTTATCTTCACTTTTAAGGGTCCCTGAAAAGATCACTCTTGGATATAGGTTTTATTGTAGATTTGAGCTTTTCTCATTAATGAATACTTCAAAACAGTGAGAGTTTCAGAGGTTGTTTCTCTAGAATTAGTTTTGTTATATTGTTTGTTCATTAAGAGGAATAGCATCACTGTGGGACAGAGCTCCCATAGGCATCAGAAGGCCGAGGCAGATACTTATTTCAGATGAATTAGAGAGGAACAAACTTAAGGCAGGAGGAGGCACTGGGAAACACAGGATGTGGATTTTTCCAGTCCCTGCTCAGCCACTCTCATCGTGACCACAGATTCATCCCTTCACCTCTCTGGATCTCTGCCTCCTCTGCTACACTAAGTAGTGGTCATAGTTATATATTTATATCTGGTCACAGATGTTTTATAATCATAGACCATAGATTATAAATATAATAATAGATTATAAAATATCGAATGAGGGTCTTATCCAAAAACATCTTCACATAAAACTTTCATCTCACTCTGAAGGAGAAAAAGTGTGCACTGGGTAAAGACTCTATTGCCTAAGATCTGGAACTTAAATTTGCAGTAATTTCTAATACTTAAGCACATGTACTTTTCTTCCCGATTGTGCAATAAAGGACGGGAAGTAAAAAGGGGAACATTCTTTATGTTCAAATTAAGTCGGCCGGGCACTGTAGCTCACGCCTGTAATCCCAACATTTTGGGAGGCCGAGGTGGGTGGATCACCTGAGGTCAGGAGATCGAGACCAGCCTGGCCAACATGGTGAAACCCCGTCTCTACTAAAAATACAAAAATTAGCCAGGTGTGGTTTTGTGCGCCTGTAGCCCCAGCTACTCGGGAGGCTGAGGCAGGAGAATTGCTTGAACCTGGGAGGTGGAGGTTGCAGTGAGCTGAGATCATGTCATTGCACTCCAGCCTGGGTGATAAAGCGAGACTCTGTCTCAAAAAAAAAAAAAAAAAAAAAAGTCAGAGGCTCATTTAGGATACAAACTAGATGTGAATAAGTATGGGAAATTTAAAAGATAACCAAATTTGAACCTGAAGTGATCAGCATTTGATATCCTACTGAGATGTCAAAATACTGTTTCTCAGAGAAACTGACTTACCTTTCTTTTCTATTACATAGGCAATGCATGTGTATTGCAGTAAAATTCGACCCAAGTATAACAAATGTTTATATTTAGTGTATATATCTTTAAATATATTCTGACGAACCCTATGCCATTTGCTTAGAACAGATCTGATCGTTCATATGCAATGCTTATGTCCTCAACGAGGCTATAAACTCCATGAGGAGAACCCCTTTACCATAAATCCACATGCCTCCCACCCCCACAGTTTGGTCACTTTCTTTGGGAAGGGATGGGGGAAGTTTATAAATGCTTCCTTCACTAGCACCCATGCATGCATTCATTCATTTGACAAACGTTGTATTGAGCACCTAGTATGGACTTGGGCCAGGTGTAGGAGATTCAAAGGTACATCCCTCCCCTCAGCTTTCCTCCCCACTGCCTTTTTTTTTTTTTTTTTTTGAGACGGAGTCTTGCTCTGTCGCCCAGGCTGGAGTGGAGTGGCGCCATCTCGGCTCACTGCAACCTCCGCCTTCTGGGTTCAAGCTATTCTCCTGCCTCAGCCTCCCGAGTAGGTGGGACTACAGGCGCCCGCCACCATGCCCGGTTAATTTTTGTATTTTTAGTAGAGATGAGGTTTCACCATATTGGCCAGGCTGGTCTCGAACTCCTGACCTTGTGATCCGCCCGCCTTGGCTTCCCAAAGTGCTGGGATTACAGGCGTGAGCCACCGTGCCCGCCCCCCCCGGCTCTGGTTTTTTTTTTTTTTTTTTTTTTTAGACAGAGTCTCCCTCTGTCGCCCAGGCTGGAGTGCAGCGGCGCCATCTTGGCTCACTGCAACCTCCACCTCCTGGGTTCAAGCAATTCTCCTGCCTCAGCCTCCCGAGTAGCTGGGACTACAGGCACACGCCACTACGCCCGGCTAATTTTTGTATTTTTAGTAGAGACGGGGTTTCACCAGACGGGGTTTCACTGTGTTGAGCAGGATGGTCTCGATCTCCTGACCTCATGATCCTACCGCCTCGGCCTCCCAAAGTGCTGGGATGACAGCCGTGAGCCACCGCGCCCGGCCCTGCATGCCCTTTATGACATACCTTTTAGGCCAGGCGCGGTGGCTCATGCCTGTCATCCCAGCACTTTGGGAGGCCGAGGCGGGCAGATCACCTGAGGTCAGGAGATCGAGACCAGCCTGCCCAACATGGTGAAACCCCGTCTCTACTAAAAATACAAAAATTAGCCGGGCGTAGTGGCAGGCGCCTGCAGTCCCAGCTACTCTGGAGGCTGAGGCAGGATAATCACTTGAACCCGGGAGGCGGAGGTTGCAGTGAGCCGAGATGGCACTGCTGCACTCCAGCCTGGGCGACAAGAGCAAAAACTCCATCAAAAAAAAAAAAAAAAAAAAAAGATATACCTTTTTGATCTCAAGAAAGTCACAGTTCAAATAGGGAAACAATACACAATTAACTATTTTACTAAGTACTTGTGCAATTTTAGAGCCATATGTGAAAGTCTTAAGAAAACACAGAAGCAGCCTGGGGTGCGGTGGGTCCTGCCTGTAATCCCAGCACCTTGAGAGGCTGAGGCAGGATGATCGCTTGGGCCCAGGAGTTCAAGACCAGCCTGGGCGACATAGCAAGACCCCATTTCTACAAAAGTAAAAAAAAAAAAAAATAGGTGGGCATGGTGGTGCTTGCTTGTAGTTCCAGCTACTCAGGAAGGAGGCTGAGGCAGGAGGATCGCTTGAGCCCAGGAAGTCAAGGTTGCAAAGTTGCAAGGTTGCAGTGAGTTATGATTGTGCCACTGCAGCCTGAGTGACATAGCGAGACCCTGTGAAAGAAAAAGAAAGAAAGAAAGAAAGAAAGAAAGAAAGAAAGAAAGAAAGAAAGAAAGAAAGAAAGAAAGAGCACAGAAGAGGATTGGGAGGTTATGGGGTACAATTCTTGAGGGGGTGACCCTGGCCAGGCGATGAGAGGGCGGTAGGAAGGGTGATGAGGGGAGAAGAGGATTTAGAAATACAAATTTCAGGGTCTTCTTGTGTCAGCGGGAATTTCTGTCCCTCACAACTTTCATCATAAGATAAATCTAATGTTCAACTAGAGATCTCTCCCGCGCCTTGAACTTGCAAATTTATGAATCAGGGGCAAAAAAAACCCGGATACCGAGCCTGGCCTCCCACCAGCTAGAGAACCCACCAAGTTCCAGGAGGGGCGGGGCCGAGGGCGGTCCGTGCCACAGCTGTGGGCGGGGTTGTCCGTGCTTGCGCCAGAGCCGGCCCGCCCCGCCGCCAGGGGCTGTCGCAGGAGCCAGGCGTGGATTGGTATGTGGGTATGTCGGCCTCTCTTCATAGGCCGCGCAGGATTGCTCGAGAGGCTTTGATTGGCTCAACAGGCGCTGAGCGTTCATTGGCTGCGCTGGGTCGTCAGGGCGACGAAAAAGGGGAAGGGGTGCTGGGCCTGGCGGGCAAACTAAGGCTGCGGACCGTTGGGCGGTTCCGCGGGGCGTTGTCCGGAGAGCTGCGAGGCCGGGGTTCCCAGGGTTCACGCCACACTCTAGGAAGTGCCTGAGCTAGTGAGCTGGCCAACGAGCTCCGCGGGCTGGGACCATGGGCTGCTTCTTCTCCAAGAGACGGAAGGCTGACAAGGAGTCGCGGCCCGAGAACGAGGAGGAGCGGCCAAAGCAGTACAGCTGGGATCAGCGCGAGAAGGTAATGAAAGTCGTGTAGCCGCCGTCTCAGCCTCCCTGAGCCGCTCCGCCAGGTCCCTTACGGCCCGGGACCGCTGAGGGGGCCGACCCAACTGCTGCCGCACTCTCTTGAACGCGGATAGCTGAAGTCGGGGTGCACGACTTTTTTGGGGAGCGGGGACGTGAAGTACAGCGCTAGAGAGGCCGCCCAGAGGGCTGTGGAGCTCCGGAAGGAGCCTTAGGAGTTTGTTGTCGTGGTAGACAGACTCCCCCGGGAGCTTTCTCTGACTCCGAACCCTGCCTTGCTCTGACTTCCTGTTGGAGATGATCGATTCGAGAGAGGGAAAGAGCCGAGAACGCCCTGAATCTCAAATCACCTCGTTTCACCCACCGGCAGCGTCAAGCGGGGTTTTGTCCAGTCGTCGAGTTACGTATATGGGACCGATTCTCATCTCTTCCGGGGCTTAATGTTCTGTGGCTGTTTTCTCTTTTGTCTGCCCTCCCCGGCAAATCTCTTTGGTGCCTCATGATATATTTCACTGCTGAATTTTCTCAATTACCAAGTGGACTGTTTAATGTACAGCTTTACTCCCCCTCCTCTTCCAGTTATCCGAAAGAAATAATGAATATCGCATCAGTCTTGGAATGTGTATTAAGACTGTAAGGTGAAAATAAGCGGCATAAACCAGGCAGTATTTTACTGCTGGTTTAAATGAATGAAAACGCCCTTATTTTTATTTTTGTATATAGCCAGAAACGAAAAACCTTTGAAAACCTCCATTAGTCTTACACAAAACACACTCGGTCATACATTTCATAATAGTTCCTCTTTCTACATAGTTCTCCATTTGTGCTTACTAAACTACTTTGATGGACTTATCAATTATTTCTCCCAAACAAAATGAGAGATTTTTCAAATGGGTATTATGAACAGTTAACTCTTTGCTTAAGGCAACATATCTTTACCCAAGATTACTTTATAATAAATGTATTAACGTTTTGGAATCACAGACCTTTCTGCATGATTTCCAATCCCCAGCAGAATGTATTCAGGTAAGCTCTGGTCTCTAAGAGTCAGAGTTAGGAAATTGAAAGCTTTTTGCAGCTTTTCTCAGCCCCGTCTTTCTGCCCCTACTTCTCATACACACCCTTCTTGGGTCACATGGTACCTTTATTCTCTGTTAGTCATACTCGATAGTAGCATTTTATAATGTAGGGGAAGAAAGTACTATGCTTTCTATTTCACAAGAAGATTGCACCTGCCATTTAAAGTTATCTGATGGGCGGTTTTTAAAAGATATTGTTTTCCTCAGCCTTTGGCTTTCTAACAATGTTCTTTTAGCTTGAATTGTCTGCCTTAGAGAAAGTTGCATATTTCATTTTTATTTTAGTTTTTTCTTTTGAACTCAGGCTAAATCTAAACTAAATAAAATGCCTTTTTTATTTATAGTAGTCTTGGCTGCCTATGACTCATCGTTTCACAATAAATTGTTTTACAGTTAATGTTTATTAACATAATATTCAGGTTAGTTAGGACTTCTCATGTTAATCCTTCTTTTAGATAAGTGTGTGTGTCCTGTGATTTTTTTTCTTCTTTTGCCCATTGGCTAAGTAAATGCATTGAGAAATATAACATTGGACACCAACATCTAAGCTTTTTCCCCACAAATGAGTGTGTAATAAACTTTCAATTGTAGAAACTGTTTTGAGCTTACAGAGAACCTTTTTTTTTGAGAACACTACTAAGTTCTGTAGTTGTAGAGTTGTAAGAGATGTTATTGGATATATAAAATAAGCTCATGCTTCTGAGTGTGTGTATAATAAAAGTTAAAATCTTGATCAACTCAGCCAATCAAAATGAGAATTTCTAACCAAATGAGCATTCTGAAAAAAACCCCAGTTTTAAAATATTTTGGACTGTTGAAGAGAATTACCAGCTTACATTTTGAGACAATGCAGATACCACATTTCCCAACATAGCTTTTTCTTTTTAGTTTTTTTTTCTTTTGGAATTACTAGGAATTCTTTCTAAGTTGCCTCATTTTGATAGCTTGTTAAATTTTATACAATTTAAAATATTTTTTTCTAGGGCCAGGCATGGTGACTCATGCCTGTAATCCCAGGACTTTGGGAGGCCAAGGCTGGTGGCTCTCTTGAGCCCAGGAGTTCCAGACCAGCCTGGGCAATATGGCGAAACCTCATTCCTACTAAAAATACAAAAATTAGTGGGGCATGGTGGTGCACACCTGTAGTCCCAGCTACTCAGTAGGCTGAGGTGGGAGGATCACCTGAGCCTGGGACTTAGAGGCTGCAATGAGTCATGATCGGGCCACTGCCCTCCAGCTTGGGCAACAGAGTGAGACCCTGTTTCCAAAAAAAAAAAATAAATAAATAAAATATTTTTTCCTAGTTCCTTGCCTCCCGTGAGGTTAATTTGGGCTAGTGTGCAAATGTTCTGTATTAGTCCAATGATACGTTTACTGAGCATGGCCTTGCTTGCTCCTAGAAGATTTCAGTTGTACCTTAAAAGGAACAGATTGCAAATACAGCCCAGAGAACATAAATGAGATATGATGCATGCATATTAATAGAAATGATTTATATTAAAAGTTTAGGCTTCTGGAATGTGGTTATGGATTATAGCATATACAGTTTTAAAGTTATATCAGACAATTACCATTCAACTTGTAAGACTTTTACATGTAAAAACAAAATGGGTTGCCTGAAAAATTTCCTTGCAGCTTAGAAAAGGGTGTTTACATTTTTCCTTAGGTTGTGTAATCAGAGTATCTTTTTTTGATGTTTTCTTTTTGAGATGGAGTCTGGCTCTGTCATCGCCCAGGCTGGAATGCAGTGGCGCGATCTCGGCTCACTGCAACCTCTGCCTCCTGGGTTCAAGCGATTCTCCAGCCTCAGCCTCCTGAGTAGCTGGAATTACAGGCGTGCACCACCACGCCTGGCTAATTTTTGTATATTTTTAGTAGAGACAGGGTTTCACCTTGTTGGCCAGGCTAGTCCTGAACTCCTGACCTCAGGTGATCCACCTGCCTCAGCCTCCCAAAGTGCTGGGATTACAGGCGTGAGCCACCGCTCCCAGCCCAGAGTATCTTTATTGAAGGGCACCCCTTGGGTTTTGGGGTTTGAGTTGTGTAATTGGGTCAGTCTTAGGGGACTGAAGCTGGGAGAAATTGTCTCATTTAGAAGGAATGTCTGGGGACTAAGCATTGTCATAGCAACTGACATACTGTAGTCAACAGTGTAAGAAGCTCATTTTCTATTGCTACTGACTTTGAAAAAGAAAAAAGATTACAATTCTTACACTGATGTGATGAGAAATATTTTTGGATTGTAAGACTTGTGTTTAAATTATTTCAAAAGAAATGTTTTTATCCTTATCTGTATGCTGCCACCCATAGGTAGGCAAATTATTCAGTATGTATGTACTCAAACACCAAGTAAGTCTCAAAATTATAAGACTTATCCCTGCCCTAAAAGAGTTTACTGGCTTTCTGGAGTTAAAACAGGAAACATTTAAGTACATATGAGGTGAGGAAGAGTGATACGGAAAAGTAGTTTTCATCTTCCAGTATTCATGCCCATACTTTTCCTCCTAGATAATAGAAATGAGGATTAACTCTAAACAATTATGGCTTAAGTGTGAAAATTGTGATTTGAGTAAGGACAACACATGTGTCTGTTATATTTGTCTCATATTCAATAGAAATAATACTAAACAAAAATCTTATACCAGAAATTCGAGTATCTATTGTGTAACTTTGGGTAAAGCAGCCAATTTGTGCACTTCAGGTTCCTCAGCTATATAGTAGGACAATGCTAAAGATTTCTCTACTGTTTAGTAAGGTAAAGGCCTGTCCTGAAGAAGAGGTTTAGACAGTAATGGTCACCTCTGAGGAAAGAACTTAAACCAGAGGTTGGGCATGACAGAACTGGTTTTAACATAAGGCAGATCATAATTCCCAGGATTGGTCATCAGTGGAAGGGGTGGCTTCGTTGAGGACCTGATCTCCATGTTAGTCAAAATTGTCAGACAGTTAGGGTGGTAATCTGCTAGAAAGAAGTGTCTGCACTAAGTAGGAGGAGGCTAGATACTGTTTTTAGCCTTCTTTTAAGTATGAAAAGTATTCTAGTTACCCATTGCTGTGTACCAAACCACCCTAAAACTTAATGGTTTAAAATAATGGCAGATATTTTGTTCATAACTCTTTAATTTGCATAAGGTTAAGCAGGGTTGACTCTGCTCAATGTGGCATCAACCGTGACAGCTTTCAAGATGGCTTGACCACATAGCTGGCTGGCAAGTTGATGCTGGCTTTGGGCTGGGAGCTCAGCTGGGGCCTCTCCATGTATTCCTGGCTTCCTTACAGTGTGATGGCAGGGTTCCAAGGGCAAGCATCCTAAGAGAGACTGGCAGAAGCTGCATGGTTTTTTTCTAACTAGCTTATTAAGTGAATTCTTAAGTCACTTAATTAGACTTAATTTGGATGTGGCAGGAGTAATGCTGAGGCAGTCACAAATGCCCACCCAGTTCCAAGAGGAGGTGACCTCTCAATGGGAGGAGTGTCAAAGAATTTGCCAGTAGGTTTTAAATCCTCTATATAAAGTTGTTTAAAGGATATAACTAGTTCTTTGTTTATTAATTTTAAAAATAGCTTTTTAGAGATATAATTCATATGCCATACAATTCACCCATTTAAAGTATATAATTCATTCTATCTAACTGTATATATATTTTTGAGATGGAGTCTCACTCTGTTGCCCAGGCTGGAATGCAGTGGTATGATCTCCGCTCACTGCTCCGCCTCCTGGATTCAAGCGATTCTCTCACCTCAGCCTCCCAAGTAGCTGGGATTATAGGCGCGTGCCACCACACCCAGCTAGTTTTTGTATTTTTTAGTAGAGATGAGGTTTCACCATGTTGGCCAGGCTGGTCTCGAAACTCCTGGCCGCAGGCAATCTGCCTGCCTCGACCTCTCAAAGTGCTGGGATTACAGGCATGAGCCACAGTGCCTAGCCGTCTAACTGTGTTTTTGTACTCATTAACCAACCACTCTTCATCCTCTCCTCCCCACTACCCACCACAGCCAACTATTGTTGATAATAATTTATTGTATATTTCAAAATAGCTAGAAGAGAAAATGTGGAATGTTCCCAACACAAAGACATGATAAGTGTTTGAGGTAATGGATATCCCAGTTACCCATATTTGATCATTACATTGTTGTATGCTTGTATGAAAATATCACATGTACCCCATAAATGCATACTACTATTATTATATATCCATAAAAATTTAAAATAAATTTAGTTTAAAAATAAAGTATATAATTCAGTATTTTTTAGTAAGTTCACAGGCTTATCACCATGGTCTAATTTTAGAACATTTTCATCCCTGGAAAAAGAAACCCTGTACCCATTAGTAGTCATTCCCCATTCTCGTCTCTCCGAGCCCCTGGAAACCACAAACTTATTTTCTGTCTCTATAAGTGTTCCTATTTTGGACATTTCACTTCATTGGAGCCACAATATTTAGCCTTTTGTGACTGGCATCTTTCACTTAGCATGTTTTTGAAGTTTGTCCATATCGTAACATGTATCAAGACTTTATTCTATTGTATGGATATACCACATTTTATTTATCTATTCATCAGCTGATGGACATTTGGGTTGTTTCTACTTTTTGTCTATTATGGATAATGGTGCTATGAACATTTGTATACAAGTTTTTGTCTGGACATGTTTTCATTTCTGTTGTGTACACATCTAGGTTTGGAATTGCTGGGTCATATGGTAACTCTATGTTTAACTTTTTTTTTTTTTTTTTTTTGAGACGTAGTCTCACTCTGTCGCCCAGGCTGGAGTGCAGTGGTGTGATCTCAGCTCACTGCAAGCTCCGCCTCCCGGGTTCACGCCATTCTCCTGTCTCGGCCTCCCCAGCAGCTGAGATTACAGGCGCCCGCCGCCACGCCCGGCTAATTTTTTGTATTTTTAGTAGAGACGGGGTTTCACCATGTTAGCCAGGATGGTCTCGATCTCCTGACTGCGTGATCTGCCCACCTTGGCCTCCCAAAGTGCTGGGATTACAGGCGTGAGCCACCGCGACTGGCCTATGTTTAACTTTTTGAGGAACTGCTAAACAGTTTTTTAGAGTGCCTGCACCATTTATATTTCCACCAGCAATGTGTGAGTGTTGTTTCTTCACCCATATAAAATTTTGATAAAGGTAAAAAGCATAGAGAGTGAAAAGTATATGGGGCTGGAATTTTAATTTGTATTCTGCACCTAACTACACCTCACTGGTAAACTAATTTAGCTTTTAGCCCTCAGTTTCCTAAGATCCCTTCCAGTTCTTGAATTCTTTGAGCAGCCCATGAGGGGAGGTAAGCATTGCTAGAAACATTCAGGCAAATCTGGATGAACAAAGGGAATGTGATAGGATGTAAAAATAGATTCAGATTAGATTAGATGATATGGGGAATCTTTTCAATCCTAAAATTTCATAATTCTATTTTGTTGTTATATATTTCACAAAATGGTAAGCTAATATAAATGTAGTACTTCAGTTTCTCGAATCATCAATAGTATATAAGCTCAAGATACTGGTCTTGAGCTTATACTATATAAGCTCAAGATACAGGGTAATTTTTGTATTTTTAATAGAGACAGGGTTTTGCCATATTGGCCAGGCTGGTCTCGAACTCCTGGTCTCATCTGATCCTCCCACCTCGGCCTCCCAAAGTGCTGGGATTAAAAGCAAGAGCCACTGCACCCAGCCTCAGAAATTTTTATAGAAGTTTTAAGAATGAAGCATCAAAAAAGAAAAGGTATCAGAAAGCTGAAATAGCAAGGTCGTGGTTAAGATCATTAGATACATAGGATATGAGTTGAATTTTTCATAGCCCCTTTTATTAAAACAATCATTTAAAAAATATATTTTTGACCCTGGTACTCTACAAAGCTTAGTACATTTTTTTTATTTAAAAAAATTTTTTTATTATACTTTAAGTTGTAGGGTACATATGCACAACGTGCAGGTTTGTTACATATGTATGCATGTGCCATGTTGGTGTGCTGTACCCATTAACTTGTCATTTACATTAGGTATATCTCCTAATGCTATCCCTCCCCCCTCCCCCAACCCCACGACAGGCCCCGGTGTGTGATGTTCCCCTTCCTGTGTCCAAGTGTTCTCATTGTTCAATTCCCACCTATGAGTGAGAACATGCAGTGTTTGGTTTTTTGTCCTTGCTATAGTTTGCTGAGAATTATGGTTTCCAGCTTCATCCATGTCCCTACAAAGGACATGAACTCATTCTTTTTTATGGCTGCATAGTATTCCATGGTGTTTATGTGCCACATTTTCTTAATCCAGTCTATCATTGATGGACATTTGGGTTGGTTCCAAGTCTTTCCTATTGTGAATAGTGCCGCAATAAACATACATGTGCATGTGTCTTTATAGCAGCATGATTTATAATCCTTTGGGTATATACCCAGTAATGGGATGGCTGGGTCAAATGGTATTTCTAGTTCTAGATCCTTGAGGAATCGCCACACCGTCTTCCACAATGGTTGAACTAGTTTACAGTCTCACCAACAGTGTAAAAGTGTTCCTATTTCTCCACCTCCTCTCCAGCACCTGTTGTTTCCTGACTTTTTAATGATCGCCATTCTAACTGGTGTGAGATGGTTATCTCACTGTGGTTTTGATTTGCATTTCTCTGATGGCCAGGGATGATGAATATTTTTTCATGTGTCTGTTGGCTTGCATAAATGTCTTCTTTTGAGAAGTGTCTGTTCATAAAAGCTTAGTACATTTTTTACTTGTATAAATTCCAAATAGGCTAAAAGCCTACTGACAGTATTGACAGTAGCAATGATGATGTAGGTGTCACTTGGGTTAAGTCACAGGAAAACTCAAACCATAGTGTCACAGAGGCTACCCTTTAGCTTTGCATGCCCAGAACACAATTTAATAGCAAAGATAGTGGATCTGTCTTCTGGGAGGTGTGTATATTGACTAAGATCATAAGTTTTATATTATTATTGAGAGAAACTATTTGTCCTGTTCATTTTCTTATTATGTTTCAAAGTCATTGAGATTAAGAATTTATATTTCAGCACTATTAGTTCTATAATTATGTGGCACTAATGTTTTCATTTGTGAAATAACCTCTCAGCTACATAGCTATCTAGCCCTGAAGCTGACTTAACAATGTTTAAACTTTAAGTATTTGTTTTAATTGAAGTGTAATTTATATACAGTAAAATTTACCCTTGTTAAGTGTACGGTTCTATGAGTTTTGACAAATAAATACAGTTGTGGAGCTATCACCAATCAAGATATAAAATGGTTCCATCGCCCCCAAAAGTTCTTCCTTTGTATAGTCAGTTTGCTCCTTTGTAGTCAGCCCCACTCCCAGCTCCTGATAAGTTTTCTATCCCTATAGTTTTGTCTTTTTGAGAATGTCATATACATGGAATCATACAATACGTAACCTTTTGAGTCTGGCTTCTTTCACTTAACCATAATGCATTTAAGATTTATCCATGTTGTTGCATGTATCAAGAGTTTTTTTTTTTGAGATGGGGTCTCACTGTGTCACCCAGGCTGGAATGCAGTGGCACAATCTTGGCGCACTGCAGCCTCAGCCTCCGGGGCTCAAGTGATCTCCCATCTCAGCCTCCCAAGTAGTGGAGACAACAGGCGAGTGCCACCATACTCAGCTAATTTTTTGTATCTTTTTGGTAGAGATGGGGTTTCAACACGTTGCCCAGGCTGGTCTTGCACTCCTGAGCTCAGGTGATCCGCCCACCTTGGCCTCCCAAAGTGCTGGAATTACAGGCATGAACCACCACACCCAGCCGGGAGTTCCTTTTTAATTGCTGAGTGGTATTCCGTTGTATGGATATATCACAGTTTGTTTATCCATTCATCAGTTAAAGGACATTTGGGTTGTTTCCAATTTTGGTAATTATGAATAAAGCTACCATAAATATTTGTGTACAGGTTTTTGAGTGAACATAAGTTTTCATTTCACTTGGGTAAATACTCATGAGTGGGATTGCTGATCATATGGAAATTGTTTATTAAACTTTACAAAAAACTGCCAGGTCAGTGGCTCACACCTGTAATCACAGCACTTTGGGAGGTGAAGGCAGAAGGATCGCTTGAGGCCAGGAGTTCAAGACCCGCTTGGGCAACATAGTGAGACCCCACCTCTACAAAATGGATAAACATAGCCAGGCAGAGTGGCATATGCCTGTAGTCCCAGCTACTTGGGAGGCTGAGACAGGAGGATTGCTTGAGCCCAGGAGTTTGAAGCTGCAGTGAGCTCTGATTGCACCACTGCACTCCAGTGTGGGCAACAGAGCAAGACCCTGTCTCTATAAAAAAAAAATTAATTAAAAATTTAAAAAAGAAACTGCCAAACTATTTTTCAAAGTGGCTATGCCATTTTGCCTACCAGCAGTATATGAGAGATACAGTTGCTCTGCATCCTCACATCACTTGCTTGGTATTGTCAGGTTAATTTGTTTTTAAGAGACAGGGTCTGCTCAGTCTCCCAGGTTGGAGTACAGTGGCATGATCATGGCTCACTGCAGCCTGGACTGCCTGGGCTCCAGCAATCTTCCCACTTCAGCCTCCCAAGTAGCTAGGACTACACTACATGTGTCTGCCACCACACTCGGCTAATATTTTTATTTTTTGTAGAGACAAGGTCTGGCTGTGTTGCTCAGGCTGGTCTGAAACTCCTGGCTTCAAGCGATCGTCCCACCTTGGCCTCCCAAAGTGCTGGCATTACAGCTGTGAGCTACTGCACCTCGCCTAGCTTTAAAAAAAAATGTTTAGCCATTCTAATAGGTGTGTAGTGATGTTTCATTGTAGTTTAACTTGCATTTCCCAAATGACTTGTATTTACCTAAATGTTGAGCATTTTTCATGTACTTATTTGCCATCCATATATCTTTGGTAAAATGTTTATTCAAATCATTTGCCCATTTTTTTATTGGGTTATTTGTTTTCTTATTATTGAGTTTTTCAGAGCTCTTTATATGTCCTGGATACAAGTCCCCTGTTATATATATGTTTTGCAAATACTTTTTTCCCAGTTAATAACTTGCCTTCTCTTAAGAGTGTCTTTTGAAGAGCAAACATTTTCAATTTGAGTAAAAGTCCAATTTCCACTCACTTTTTCTTTTGTGGATTGTGTTTTTGGTTTCACATCTAGGAATTTTTTTTCTTTTTCTGAGACGGAGTCTTGCTGTGTCGCCAGGTTGGAGTACAGTGGCGCGATCTCGGTTCACTGCACTATATGTATATGTATGTATGTATGTATGTATATACACATACACCATATATATGTGTGTATATATATACATACATATACAAAACAATTGCTTACTAGATGCACAAATCAATGGAATAGAGAGTTCATAAACAGGCATATCTCTCTTTACATATATATATCTATATCGATCACACTATATATATGTGTGTGTGTATATATACACACATATATGTGTGTGTGTATATACACACATATGTGTGTGTGTATATACACACATGTGTGTGTGTACATACACACATGTGTGTGTGTATATATATACACACATATATGTGTATATGTGTATATATGTGTGTATATATGTGTATATATGTGTGTGTATATATATACACGCATATATATGCGTATATACATATATATGGACTCATATATGTGTATATACATATATATATATATATATATATATATATGGACTCACAGTGTGTCCTTGGACAAGTTATATAGTCTCTGTGTGCCTCAATTTTCTCAAGTATAAAACAGAGATAATTATAGTACACAACCCTTATGGGGTTTTTATGGATTGAGTGAATGATTATAGAGCACTTAGTATGGTGCCTGGTACATATATAGTGCTTCTTATACTCCTGAATCTTTTTACTTCTATTCAGACTGGATTTTCATTGGAATTAACAAATCCCATTATTTTATCTCACATTATCATTATGGAAATTTAACTGTGGAGATGAATTTTAATGAAAAATTTGTATTGCCGCTTAGTAAGATAATAAGATGTTCATTTTTGTTTTCTGTTAGGAAAATAATGCTTAACTTGGTTTAATAGCTGTAGGACATTAAATTGATATCAGACGAATTACAACTCTTGAAATTTTTCTTTGATTTTTTTTTTTTTTTTTGAGACAGAATTTGGCTCTTGTCTTCCACGCTGCAGTGCAGTGGTGCGATCTCGGCTCACTGCAACTCTGCCTCCTGGGTTCAAGCGATTCTCCTGCCTCAGCCTCCCAAGTAGCTGGAATTACAGGCGCCCACCACCATGCCCAGCTAAGTTTTGTATTTTTAGTAGAGACGGGGTTTCACCATGTTGGCCAGGCTGGTCTGGAACTCCTGACCTCAGGTGATCCACCCGCCTCGGCCTCCCAATGTGCTGGGATTACAGGCGTGAGCCACCACGCCTGGCCACTTTCCTTGATTTTTTAAAGTATATCCATTACCTTTTAAGGATTGTAGTAAGAAATAGTCTAGGCCAGACACGGTGGCGCATGCCTGTAATTCCAGCACTTTGGGAGGCTGAGGTGGGTGGATCGCTTGAGTCCAGGAGTTCGAGACCAGCCTGGACAACATGGCGAAACCCCATCTCTACAGAAAATACAAAAATTAGTTGTGCATGGTGGTGTGCACTTGTAGTCCCAGCTACTCAGGAGACTGAGGCGGGGAGGATTGCTTGAACGGTGGAGGTCGAGGCTGCAGTGAGCTGTGAGTGTGCCACTGCACTCCAACCTGGGCAACAGAGTGAGACCCTGTGTCAGAAAAAAAAAATACAGTCTAAACTAAACTCACTTCATAAGTGGCTCTTAGGAAAAAATAATTTAAAACATGACCTTTCCATGTTTGTGATTCTAGACACTTTATTTCAGAACTAGTAACCTGCAAAATTACGAAGGATTTCAGTTTCAGTTGTTTATTATTACTTTTTTTTTTTTAAAGTGTCAGGGTCTTGCTTTGTCACCCAGGCTGGAGTGCAGTGGCATGATCATGGCTCACTGCAGCCTTGAACTCCCAGGCACAAGCAGTCCTCCTGCCTCAGCCTTCTGAGTAGCTAGGACTACAGGCGCACACCACCATGCCCAGCTAAGGGTTTTTGTGTTTTTTTACCCCCCTTCCACCAACTCACTTCAAATAATCTGCTAAGTTTTAAAAAACTTTTTTAGAGCTAGGGGAGTGTCACTGTGTCACCCAGGCCAGTCTCAAACTCCTAGTCTCACTAGGCCACTGGCCCACTCTCAAGTAGCTGGGATTACAGATGTGAGCCACTGTGTCTAGCTCCTAATGCTTTTTGTTTTGAAAAACTTTCAGGAATTGTTGAGAAAGTACAGCAACATAAATCTTAAATTTCTCCTTGGAAGGCCGTGCTGACAATCCAACTAATTTTATACTACAGAACTATTTAGCTATAAAATCTTTAGCTATCAGATTAATTTCTCCCTATGAGCTAGGAAAAGTGGAGCGTCCAGAGAAAATACTTAGGGTAGTAAATTACATTTAACTCCTCAGCATTGGCAGCTGTTATGGACTGAATGTTTGTCAAATTCATATGTTGAAGCCCTACCCCCCTACACATGGCTGTATTTGGAGATGGGACCTCTAAGGAAGTAATTAAGGTTAAGTGAGGTCATAAAGGTAGAGTGCTGATCTGATAGGATTAGTGTCCTTATAAGAAGATTCAGTTAGCTTGCACTTGCTCCCTCCCTCTCCTTCACACAGAGGACAGGTCTGGTGATGACATAGCAAGAGGTTGGCTTTTGCAGTCTGAGCAGACTAAAACAGGCTGCCATAACAAAATACCACAGACTGGTGGCTTAAATAACAGAAGTTTATTTCTCACAGCTCTAGAGCCTGGGAAGTCCAAGATCAAGGTGCTAGCAGATTCAGTGTCTGGTGAGGGCTCTCTTCCTGGCTTACAGACAGCTGCCTTCTTGCTGTGTCCTCACATGGCCTTTCCTCTGTGATTCATCCTTCTGCCTTACCTCCTACAGCCATTGAATTACCAGTCTGCTGATTCTGTTTCCTCAGTATTTCTCAAATTCATCCCATCTTCTTCTTCCCTACTAATTACAGCTCTGGTTCCAGCCCTTTCTGTATGACTACAATAGTCTCTCCGATCAATCCATGTTGCATGTGTCCTTATCTCATCAGAGTAATTATCCTGACATGTAAATTTTGCTTATTTAAATCTTTCTGTGGTTCCCTCTTGTCTGTGGATAACTTCTAAGCTTTATATAATACGGTTTCTGCCTACCTCTGTAGCTTCATCTACTAGCATTCTGATAGCATGTGTAACACCAAACTACTTTCAGTTTTCCTCCTACTCCCTGAAGAATTTTACTTTGTTCCGTCTGTTACTTTTGCCTGGCATGGGAAGGGAGGGTCCTTTATTCCTACCCCTTTTACCTAATGAGCTCTAGCTTATCCATTCTCATGTTTTGCAGAACTTCCGCCCCACTTCTCTTCCCCGCCCCAGATGTCCCTTCTCTGTCCCCTCCAAAATATTCTCAGCATCTCTCATTACATGGTCAAGTTGTTTTTAGTTTAGATGAATGTTTACTTTTATGGAAAGAGCTGGTCCTATTCATTTTAGTGCCTAAAACAATGTCTGGCTCATACTGGGTATTCAAATATTGGTAGAGTGACTGAACATCCAGAAAGTTAAGGGGATTTTTTCAAGATCCGGTTGCTTATAGGGGACAAAATTGGGACTGGAAAATGAGTACTTCTTTTATTGCCTCATACTGCAGACCAGTGTTCCTCCTAGTACAGCATGTAAAACTGGCTAAGTACAATATCTATTGTGCAATTACTAAGTCAATTTAAGCTCATTTGCTAATCATTAAGATGATTAAATTTTGCTTTGTAAATCAAATTTTTACATATTGTATATATGGGAGCCTATGGTGCATGAATGGTTTTGCATGAAGTTTATATAGTCACAAACAGTTAAAACAGTTGAAGTAGATAAGAAAGTCACATGGAAGAAACAAAAATAGGCTTTTAGTGACCATATTTTGATAGGTCAGGTAAAATAAAAAAAATTAATGTGACATTTTCCAGGCATACTGTTTAAAAGATTATGTGGGCCGGGCTCGGTGGCTCACACCTGTAATCCCAGCACTTTGGGAGGCCAAGGCAGGCAGATCATCCAAGGTCAGGAGTTTAAGACCAGCCCGGCTAACATGGTGAAACCCCATCTCTACTAAAAATACAACATTAGCTGGGCATGGTTGCACACGCCTGTAATCCCAGCTACTCAGGAGGCTGAGGCAGGAGAATCACTTGAACCCGGGAGGTGGAGGTTGCAGTGAGCCAAGATTGCGCCATTGCACTCCAGCCTGGGTGACAAGAGTGAAACTCCATCTCAAAAAAAGAAAAAGGCCGGGCACGGTGGCTCACGCCTGTAATCCCAGCACTTTGGGAGGCCGAGGCAGGTGGATCACAAAGCCAGGAGATCGAGACCATCCTGGCTAACATGGTGAAACCCCATCTGTACTAAAAATACAAAAACAGGGGCCAGGCGTGGTGGCTCACGCCTGTAATCCCAGCATTTTGGGAGGCTGAGGCGGGCAGATCACGAGGTCAGGAGATCAAGACCATCCTGGGTAACACAGTGAAACCCCATCTCTACTAAAAAATACAAAAAATTAGCCAGGCATGGTGGCGGGTGCCTGTAGTCCCAGCAACTCGGGAGGCTGAGACAGGAGAGAGCCGAGTTCATGCCACTGCACTCCAGCCTGGGCAACAGGGCGAGACTCCATCTCAGAAAAAAAAATACAAAAACAAAATTAGCCGGGTGTGGTGGCAGGCACCTGTGGTCCCAGCTACTTGGGAGGCTGAGGCGGAGAATGGCCTGAACCCAGGAGGTGGAGCTTGCAGTGAGCTGAGATTGCGCCATTGCATTCCAGCCTGGGCGACAGAGCGAGACTCCGTCTCGAAAGAGAGAGAGAGAAAGGAGGGAGGGAAGGAAGGGAAGGAAGAGAGGAAGGGAGGGAGGGAGGAAGGAAGGAAGGAAGTAGCGAAGGAAGAAAGGAGCGAAAGAAGGAGTGAAGGAAGGAGCGAGCTATAGTTTGGAAGATCTAAGAATAGAAATGGCCAAATTTGAAAAATTGCGTTGTAGCTTAATAAATGCTTGAATCAAATTTGCTTGCATTTACATATTGTGATTCTTGTGCCTTCAGGTTCTTCTGTTTTCTGTAGCATATTGCAGAAATCAGTTGGGGTTTAGAAACTGAGACCATACATTGATTTGAAAAAGGATAGAGAAATATATTTCAGTCTGGGTACATTCCCAATTTCAGAATTTTATTTTATTATTATTATTATTTTTGGGACAGAGTCTCACTGTGTCCCCCAGGCTGGAGTGCAGTGGTGCGATCTCGGCTCACTGCAACCTCCACCTCCGAGGCTCAAGCTATTCTTGTGCCTCAGCCTCCCGAGTAGCTGGGATTACAGACATGCGCCACCACGCCTGGGTAATTTTTGTATTTTTAATAGAGACGGGGTTTCGCCATGTTGGCCAGGCTGGTCTCGAACTCCTGGTCTCATCTGATCCTCCCACCTCGGCCTCCCAAAGTGCTGGGATTAAAAGCAAGAGCCACTGCACCCAGCCTCAGATTTTTTTAGAAATTAGAAGTTTTAAAAATGAAGCATCAAAAAAGAAAAAGTATCAGAAAGCTGAAATAGCAAGGTCATGGTTAAGATCATTAGATACATAGGATATGAGTTGAATTTTTCATAGCGCTTTTATTAAAACAATCATTTAAAAATATATTTTTGACCCTGGTACTCTACAAAGCTTAGTACATTTTTTACTTTTATAAATTCCAAATAGGCTAAAAGCCTACTGACAATATTGACAGTAGCAATGATGATGTAGGTGTCACTTGGGTTAAGTCATGGGAAAACTCAAACCATAGTGTCACAGAGGCTACCCTTTAGCTTTGCATGCCCAGAACACAATTTAATAGCAAAGAGAGGGGATCTGTCTTCTGGGAGGTGTGTATGTTGACTAAGATCATAGGTTTTATATTATTATTGAGAGAAACAATTTGTCCTGTTCATTTTGTTACTGTGTTTCAAAGTCATTGAGATTAAGAATTTATATTTCAGCACTAAGAACTGTGCCTGGCAGCCAATAGTCCTTTAGTTGATACTTGTTGAATAATGTTAATAATACTCAAGGTCTGTGTTTTGTTCCTGCAGGTTGATCCAAAAGACTACATGTTCAGTGGACTGAAGGATGAAACAGTAGGTCGCTTACCTGGGACGGTAGCAGGACAACAGTTTCTCATTCAAGACTGTGAGAACTGTAACATCTATATTTTTGATCACTCTGCTACAGTTACCATTGATGACTGTACTAACTGCATAATTTTTCTGGGACCCGTGAAAGGCAGCGTGTTTTTCCGGAATTGCAGAGATTGCAAGTGCACATTAGCCTGCCAACAATTTCGTGTGCGAGATTGTAGAAAGCTGGAAGTCTTTTTGTGTTGTGCCACTCAACCCATCATTGAGTCTTCCTCAAATATCAAATTTGGATGTTTTCAATGGTACTATCCTGAATTAGCTTTCCAGTTCAAAGATGCAGGGCTAAGTATCTTCAACAATACATGGAGTAACATTCATGACTTTACACCTGTGTCAGGAGAACTCAACTGGAGCCTTCTTCCAGAAGATGCTGTGGTTCAGGACTATGTTCCTATACCTACTACCGAAGAGCTCAAAGCTGTTCGTGTTTCCACAGAAGCCAATAGAAGCATTGTTCCAATATCCCGGGGTCAGAGACAGAAGAGCAGCGATGAATCATGCTTAGTGGTATTATTTGCTGGTGATTACACTATTGCAAATGCCAGAAAACTAATTGATGAGGTAAGGAGAAAGAGAAGAGAAATAGTCATACACCTAGATTTAAAAATGTACCACTCTGGAGTACTTCCATTCTTTTCAAATTGGCTATTGGAAATACAGGCAACCCTCAAGTTATAGTCCTTTGCCACCACCCCCTCTCCCAACAGACTCATCTGTAAGTAGATTGCTTGGGCCTCAAAATACTTTCTCAAAGAAACTTTTAAAAAATATAATTCAATTCAGTAAGCATTAAGCATTTGTTTGTAAGTAGATTGCTTGGGCCTCAAAATACTTTCCCAAAGAAACTTTAAAAAAATATAATTCAAATCAGTAAGCATTAAGCACCTATTATGTGCTAGTTACTGTTATCATATTTCACTGATGATAGGATGCCTATTTGTTTTCCATGATTTTGCTTATCTGGAATGCATCTTATAATTGATAGCAACTCAGAAATGATGAACTATAGTGTATGCTGGAGATGAAGATACATAGACAAAATTCTCTGCCCTTAAAGAGTTTCCATTATACTAGATGATTTCCAGAGAAGCTCACAAAAGTAGTACTGCTTAGTAAAGCATGACATTTTATAATTATTTAGTGGGGAAATTTCTTTAGAGTTCTAATTGGTTAGGGGGTAAGAAAATGCAATTTTTTTTTTTTGTGACGGGGTCTTGCTCTGTCACCCAGCCGGAGTGCAGTGGTGCGATCTCGGCTCACCGCAACTTCTGCCTCCTGGGTTCAAGCAATTCTCCTGCCTCAGCCTCCCAAGTAGCTGGAACTATAGGTGGGCGCCACCACACCCAGCTAATTTTTTTTGTATTGTTAGTAGAGACGGGGTTTCACCACGTTGGCCAGGATGGTCTCGATCTTTTGACCTCATGATCCACCTGCCTAAGCCTCCCAAAGTGCTGGGATTACAGGCATGAGCCACTGCACCCAGCCAAAAGTACATTTAGGAATACAACTTTTGGACCCTGTTGTGACTGTGAGAGCAACCTCCACATTACGTTCCTTATTTTCCTTTATTGCCATAGAAGGGAGCTTGATGCAGAAGAGTGAGATGGAAGCTAGGTTGGCAAAGCTCATAGGCTCATGAACAGTGGGTCTTGGTGAGCTCATGAATAGAGAAGGCTTTTTGGGGTAGCAGCTTCTGCTTGAAAAATAATTGGAGATACAGAGGTTAGGGGCTCCAGAAGCAGCAGTTCCTTAGTTGGTGGGTGCTCCAGTGGGAAGGCAGCAGTAGGATGTATTGATTATCCATTAATCAGGTTCCTTCAGGAGGAATCTGTTTGAATTTAAAAACCAAACTTAAAGACATAGAGAAGTGAATGGAAAACTCATCAAGTCTCTTTTTATTTTTTTGAGACGGAGTCTCACTTTGTCTCCCAGGCTGGAGTGCAGTGGCGCGATCTCAGCTCACTGCAACCTCTGCCTCCCGGGTTTAAGCGATTCTCCTGCCTCAGCCTCCCGAGTAGCTGGGATTACAGATGCCTGCCACCATGCCCGCTAATTTTTGTATTTTTAGTAGAGACAGGGTTTTGCCATGTTGGTTAGGCTGGTCTCGAACTCCTGACCTCAAGCAGTCCACCCGCCTCGGCCTCCCAAAGTGCTGGGATTATAGGCGAGAGCCACCACGCTCGGCCGGAAAACTCATCAAGTCTCTTTTTGAATGGATTTTTTTTTTTTAAGTTGGAACATATCAAAAGGAATGATTTTAGGAAAATACTAAAAATGAATACCTCTCAATAGCTATATATTCCACAATGTAGAAAACCCATGTAGAAATGTCTGAAATCCACAAAGTATATCTGAGGTATAGTTTTTAAACCAACAGAAGCCAAAGTTTAATTTTAAGACTTTTATATTTTCTCTTTTGCTTATGCCTATGTGATAAAAACATTCCATGAATCTGGTAAGATACAGAAAAATGTGCTTCTGGCTTTTGAGCTATCTGATCACATGTTAATCCAACATCTGAGAGGTAAATGCTTTCATTATGCAGTATGGTGATTTAAAAAAAAACTACAAACAGTTTTCAAAATATGTAATTATTTAGGTTAAACTCCTTTTTCATAGGTAATGAGGAGTGGACATAAAGAATATTTAGCATGTTTAAAGAAAAAGCCATCAAAACAGTGTTTCTTCATGAATCACCAAATGTTCTTAACCTTTTAACCTTTGGTATCTGGTATGTGAAATGGCAGTGTTGTGTGCCCTTGAAAAGAATATGACCAGGAAGAATGATATTCTTTAGATATCCTCTGGAATACAATATAAACAATCCCACAGCGATAATAATAACTAACACTTACATAGTGTTTACTATATGCCAGGCACTATTGTAAGGAATTTAAATGAATTAACTCAATACTCAAAACAACTCTATGAAATAGGTGCTATTATTCCCCATTTTACAGATATGAAAAATAGACCATAAAGAGGGTAAGTACCTTGCAAAAGGTCATTCAGCTGGAAAAAGCAGAGCCATGATTCCAATCCAGGCAGTCTGGCTGTGTAGGCCACACCTTAACCCTTAAACATGATGCTGTTATGCTCCCTCAGTGGTAAAGGAAAGTTGCTGAATGCCTGGTGGAGCAGGAATGTGACTGAAAGCATGTGGACTCTAGGGCCTTCCAGTCTAGGGACTATTTGGCTATAGTTATCCTATCTTATTCTGAAAGTACAGAATTAAGGAATGAAGAGAACAAACAAAAATAAAAAATAAAATACCAAGTACATGTGAAGAGGGTATCAAAACATGCTGAAAGACAAAAGACTTATATATTATATTGAGAGATTACATTTTTTAAAAAATGAGATGAGTTCGCAGGGAAATATGTATAGAAGCTAGTGAATCTTGAGATGAAAAAAATAAAACTTGAGTCTTTCTCATGTCATAACACAAATGTCTTAGGACAGCTTAGACTGAAACTATGATTGCTAACTCTATATTTGTTAAACCCCAGGAGGATTACAGAATTTTGTTTCACATTGTTTTAATGCATTAAATAATGATTTTTTTTTTTTCGCAATAGGAAGTATACAATTTGAGAGAGGTTAGGAAGTCCAAAAAGGCTGGGTAAAGCAAAAAGACATTCCATAGGGAGCCAAGAGAAGTTACTAGACTTTGGTTTTCTCACCTAAAAATCAGATTCCAGCCGGGCGCAGTGGCTCACGCCTGTAATCCCAGCACTTTGGGAGGCCGAGGCGGGTGGATCACGAGGTCAGGAGTTCAAGACCAGCCTGGCCAAGATGGTGAAACCCCGTCTGTACTAAAAATACAAAAATTAGCCAGGCGTGGTGGTGGGTGCTTGTAATCCCAGCTACTCGGGAGGCTGTGGCAGGGAATTGCCTGAACCCACGAGGCGGAGGTTGCAGTGAGCTGAGATCCCACCACTGCACTCCAGCCTGGGCGAGAGGGCAAGACTCCGTCTCAAAAACAAACAAACAATAAAAATTGTTTTTCTTTCCTCGACTTCTCTTACCTACATCACAGATATGTACAGGATAAAATAGAGTAAAATAGTTTGAGAGTACTTCATCATCTGAAATTGAAGTTGGGTAGTTACCACTATTTTCAAGTCTTTAAAAGTAGAATTTTCATGAAAAGGAGTCTCTTCAAATATCTGCAGTGAAATATTAAAATATAGTTTATTATTTAGGTAACATTATTTTGAAGTAATCATCATAATCTCATCAGTTTGTGTTTATAAAATCAGAGATGATAAGCACTCTAGAAAATAAGAGAGGTAGAATTGTTTCTGATATTTTTATTTTACAGTCATCTGGCAGTGATGTCCATGTAATTCTCTACAATTTTTAAATGTATGTTTCTTTTTTTGGAGGCAGCATTGAATGAGGGTTCTGAAATAGGATTTGAGTTTAATAAAATTCGATGGAATGGTATGGAATAATGTAGCCATAGGATGAAATACTATCAGCCATTAAAACTGACTTTATGTAGAAAATGTCACAATTAAGTAAGTGAAAATTTGTAGAATATTAGGTAAGTAACTGATTTTTTTAAGTAGGTAAGTCTGGAAAGTTATAGATACTTAAATGTTAACAGGCATGCTTATTCTTAGGCAGTTGATTAACAGCAGGGTTTTCTTTTTTTGTAGTTCTATGGATTTAACAGTGAGCATATATTATTTCTGTAATGGGAGAAAAAGAAAACTGGGAGGGTATACCTGTATGGCAGTAGCATCTTTTAGTTGCAGCACCCTGGTTGATATTTCTTCATTTCTATTTTTTATTTTTCAAATGTTCTGTGTTGAGAATATATGTTACTTTTAATTATTAAAAACCTAACAAGCTTTGCTAAAAATTAAGTGGTTGGAATATGACTACATTTTTTTTTTTTTAAAGACAAGGTTTTGCTCTATTGTCCAGGCTGGAGTGCAGTGGTGAGATCATAGCTCAGTGTAGCCTCTAACTCCTGGGCTTAAGGGATCCTCCCACCTCAGCCTCCTGAGTAGCTAGGACTACAGGCACACACCACCACACCTGGCTAATTTTAAATTTTTTTTTATAAAGATGGGGTCTTGCTGTGTTGCCCAGGCTGGTCTCAAACTCCTGGTCTCAAGCAGTCCTCCCACCTTGGCCTCTCAGAGTGCTTGGGATGCATGTGTGAGCCATGATGCTGGGCTGACTGCATTTTTAAAAACTACTTTCATAATTACTTTAAAAATTAATATGCCCTCATTGTGGAGAATTATAGAAATAAGAAAGAGTAAAATAAGTTTAAAATCAATACATAATTGTACCATACCTTGAATAATCTTTTTAGGAATCATTTTTAAATTTATTTAGTCTGTAATTAGATTAACTAGGTTTGAATCACAGCTCTGTCACTTAATTGTTGAATGTCCTTGGGCAAGTTCCTTAATCACTGTGCGCCTTAGTTTTCATATCTGTACAATGAGGGTAATGATACCTACTTCGTGAGAGGGTTAAATATATATATGTAAAGTACATAAAACTGCCTGCCACATGGTAAGTGCTCCATAAGTGTGATCTACCATTATTGTGCTATACTATATAAATTTGTATCATGCCTTTTAAAATTAACATTATTGGCCAGGTACAGTGGCTCATGCTTATAATTCCAGCATCTTGGGTGGCTGAGGCAGGAGGATGGCTTGAGCCCAGGAGTTCAAGATCAGCCTGGCAACATGGCAAGAACCTGTTTCTACAAAAAAAATTTTAAAAATTAGCCAGGCATGGTGGCACGAGCTTGTAGTCCCAGCTAGCTGCCTGGGAGGCTGAGGTGGGAGAATCGTTTGAACCCAGGCGTTTGAGGCTGCAGTGAGCTATGATTGCACCACTACATTCCAGCCAGGGCAACAGAGTGACACCCTATCTCAAAAAAAAAAAAAAAGAAAGAAAAATAAACAAATAAAAGTAAAATTAACATTATTACATAAGCTTTTCCTCATTTTATTATAACATCTTTGTTGTATTTAATGAACTGTGATAAATGTAATGAACTGTGGCATTTCATCATGTGACTGTACCATAATTTACTTAACCATTCTCTTCTTATTGGACATTTGCAGTATCACCAAACTAAAACTTCCATCTGGTTGTAGAAAAATTTTAATCATGTTTTAAACTTGAGAGATAATTCACATTTATTTGACCCTTAACCTTAACTGCAGTACTAAACCAGAACCACCCATCTGTAAGAAAGAATCTCATATAGTGAGAACTTATTATAGCAAACACCCTGAATTAGACTTATAATTAAAACAAAAATCAGTGTGCTGTTGTTGCATTTTATACAGAGAAATACTAGAATAGGAAATCATTGTTTTAGTCTCAGAAGTTCATTTTAAAATCTCAATGAAATTTTATTTTCACAGATGGTTGGTAAAGGCTTTTTCCTAGTTCAGACAAAGGAAGTGTCCATGAAAGCTGAGGATGCTCAAAGGGTTTTTCGGGAAAAAGCACCTGACTTCCTTCCTCTTCTGAACAAAGGTACCTTCTGGATGATTGGTATACTTTTGTGGATATTTTCTTTACATGCTGATTTGATTTACTTTTGCCTTTAACATTTGTTTTACATTGCCTTCTCTTTCTCATTTGTTCTTTGTTTTTTTTCTATTATTGTTCTGAAATGTCAAAATTTCACATCACTCAAGGAGCCCTAGACAACTAACTAGAAATTAGGCATTCTTTTTTTTTCCCTATCCTCTGTTCTTAGTACTGAAAGTCACATTTTATTATGTATCTTATTATCATTTTAATTGTTGTATTATTGTTGTACCTTTATAGTGTAGTGATAAATATTTCATGCTCCCTGCTCAGAGTTGCAAAGCACTTGATGAAGATTCTTTCTACCTTCAGTGTGCTTTAATCATACTGGAAAAGAAATAAGAAATATAAAGTGGTATACTATTTTATGTATTTAATATGATTGATTAACTTCCATGTATAATTAGAATTGTTTTCCCTAGTGGGTAAATGCCACCAATAAATTTCAGATACTGGATATAGGTCTTCAAAGAGAGGAACTTGAGTATGTGTGCCCACTTGAAGGGTTACTGTCTGCCTACCTGTATTTGAAGGTGTATTGATTCTAGAGGACAGAGTACTCTTTATCTGTTCAGAGTGGGGCCATTGTTTGCTCAAGGCTCATCAGGCTTTCCTTGACTGGCCTGAGCAAATATGTATAGTAATACGCAGTGTTGATTGGGTATTCCCTAGAGAGAGGGCACATCTGCATTTTATGTGCTCTTTATGTATAAAAATATTATAATAAACTGCAAAAATCTGTATGCAAATGTTAGAGGAATGTTAGGATAATAAGTAATGCTGGGTGTAACTCAGCTGGTAAGTATTAATGCAGTATTTGATAATACTTCTGTGGTTACTGTAGTGGTAGCAAGGACTTGCTGTGACCCACTGCATGAATCTACCCCAGAATATATGTAGGAAATTCTGACCTGGCCCCTTTGATGCAACCATTTTGACATGGGAACATTTGGAAGCTTGAAAATGAATGTTTAACTTCTTAGCAGCTTTTGGAAATTGAATCAGGTAATAAGTGTATTGGACATCCTAAAGTGTGAGAGTTAGGAATAAAGTGAGCATATCGGTAGAGCTAAATTAATGATTTATGTACCTGTGTGATGTTAGTGAAGTCGTATTGTAGAATTGCTCCAACCCAAATATAATATCTGCATTTAAGTAACAGAACATTCCACATGGAAGAAGTAAAATGTTCTATTGCTGCAAAAAGTAGAACTAAAACCAATAAGCAGATGTTGCAGGAATTTCAGCAAATAAATATTATATAAACAAGTCTTAAAAACAAGAGATGCCTATAGGAAGTATTCAAAGACTGATGAGTTCATATCAAAAGATCTTAGGAGCCAGCTTGAAGGAGTTTCCATGGGCCAAATTTGGGACAATTTAACAATTAAAAGGAATACTGGGACTGGATGTAGTGCCGAACCCCTGTAATCCCAGCATTTTGGGAGGGTGAAGTGGAAGGATTGCTTAAGGCCAGGAGTTTGAAACCCATCTGGGCAACGTTGCAAGACCTTGTCACTACAAAAAATACAAAAATTAGCTAGGGGTGATGCATACCTGTAGTCCCAGCTACTCAGGAGCTGAGGTGGGAGGGTTGCTTGAGCCCAGGAGCTTGAGGCTGCAGTGAGTTATGCTCATGCCACTGCACTGCAGCCTGGGCAACAGAGCAAGACCTTGTCTCAAAAAAAGAGAAGAATGAAGGTAATGATTTAACAACAGAAATCTATGCATCCATATTGTTAAACAAAAAGGGGAGAGAAGAAAAGAATGTTCATCTGCTGTTTATGGAATATTGTGAGCTAAAAAATGCAGAAGGAATGCTGGACTTTGGAAATCACCATTTCCAACCCCAATGTAATAATTATTTCAGACAAAGATTATCAGTGGGTGCTAAAACTATTGGGGTAAAAGTTGCTAAGAAGTAGGATATTTGGCTGGGCGTAGTGGCTCATACCTGTAATCCCAACACTTTGGGAGGCTGAGGCGGGTAGATCACGAGGTCAGGAGTTCAAGACCAGCCTGGCCAACATGGTGAAACCCTGTCTCTACTAAAAATACAAAAATTAGCCGGGTGTGATGGCGGTTGCCTGTAATCACAGCTACTAGGGAGGCTGAGGCAGATAATTGCTTGAACCTGGGAGGCGGAGGTTGCAGTGAGCCAAGATCGCTGCTGCACTCCAGCCTGGGCAAAAGAGCAAGACTCTGTCTCAAAAAAAAATGGCCGGGTGTGGTGGCTCACGCCTGTAATCCCAACACTTTGGGAGGCCAAGGCGGGCAGATCACAAGGTCAGGAGATCAAGACCATCCTGGCTAACACGGTGAAACCCCGTCTCTACTAAAAATACAAAAAATTAGCCGGGCGTGGTGGCGGGCGCCTGTAGTCCCAGCTACTCAGGAGGCTGAGGCAGGAGAATGGCGTGAACCCGGGAGGTGGAGCTTGCAGTGAGCCAAGATCGCGCCACTGCACTCCAGCCTGGGCGACAGAGCAAGACTCTGTCTCAAAAAAACAAACAAACAAACAAACAAAAAAACCCAACAGGATATTTATACATCCTAATTCAAAGGGGAAGTGTACCTTTACAGCAGAGATTTGGTGATCACCATGTTAACCCAGTGATCAAACAGCATCATTGATGGACAGCCTAACGTGTTATTTGTGATGTGATGCATTGAAAAATACACAACATCATATGTAGAGTGTTCTTGCCAAAGTAACCTGAATCTAATTGAGCCAAGACTTAACTTGTAGTTTGTAGTGTAGGAAGAAAAGAAATATGTTAAATGACACCATAAGGAAATAAGACAAATCCAAAATAGAAGACATTCTACAAGACAACTGGCTAGGTCTCTTCAGACAGTATAATGGAAAACAAAAAATATGGGGGAATTATTCTGGATTAAGAGACTAAAGAGATATAACAACTAAATGCAATGAGTGAACCTTGATTGGATCTTAGGTTGGGTTGGAGTGAGCTGTAAAAAGCATTTTTGGGACAAGTGGGGAAGTTTGAAGATGAGATAGAATTATCGTTGATCCTTTGGTATAATAATGGTGGTGTGGTTATGCAGGAGATACATGCTGAAGTGTTCTTATGTCTGCTACTTTCAAATGACTCAGCAAAACAAAGCATATATGTGCAGATAGATGGTGTTTATTTTGTAATAAAGCAAATGGGGACAAATGTTAACTTTTGGTGGGTGTAGGTGAAGGGCAAATGCATATTTATGCTATTCTTTCAATTCTTCTATAATGTATAGAAATTTTCAAAATAAAAAGTTGGGGAAAACTTTTAAGCTGCTCAGCAGTGCGCTGATTCCTGTGGAATACTGAGTAGGCTGGCAGTGGAGATATTCTAGCAGGAGTTGGATGGACTGGGCCCTTATCTAAAAGTGGCCATCAGTCATTCTAAGGCAGGGTTTCTCAACTGTGGCACTACAGACATTTTAGGCCAGGTAATTCTTTGTTATGAGAGGCTGTCCTATACCTTACAAGATGTTTGGCAGCATCTCTGGCCTCTACCTATTAGATGCCAATAAAACACCACCCCAGTTGTGGCAACGAAAAATGTTTCCAGATGTCCCCAGGGGTGTGGGAGGGAGGCAAAATTGCTCCCAGTTGAGAATCACTGTACTGAACTAAGGGTGGTCTTATTTATTTATTTCTTTTGAGAATTCACATGTATCTTAAATAGTTTGCACCTCAGAGTCTCTCAATTTTCCTCTTCAGTTGCAATAGTCACATTTATTTTTAATATTTAATAAAGCTATTTGACTGCTTAATAAGAGAATTCATTGTTTTCCATCATGAGGATCTCCAAATCTGACTAATCCTCAGAACCATCCAGGGTGCTTTTAAAAATGTAAATTTTCAGCCAGGCACGGTGGCTCACACCTGTAATTCCAGCACTTTGGGAGGCTGAGGCAGGCGGATCACTTGAGCCTAGGAGTTCAAGACCAGCCTGGGCAACATGGCAAAACCCTGTCTCTACAAAAATTAGCTGGGTGTGATGGTGTGCACCTGTAGTCCCAGCTACTTGGAGGCTGAGGTGGGAGGATCACCTGAGCCCAGGGAGGTTGAGGCTGCAGTGACCCATGATCGTGCCACTGCACTCGAGCTTGGGCAGCAGAGCGAGACCTTGTCTCAAATACATAAATACATAAACAAATTTTCCTTCCTTCCTTCCTTTCTTTTTTTTTTTTTTTTTGAGACAGGGTCTCACTGTGTTGTCCAGGCTAGAGTGCAGTGCTGCAATCTCGGCTCACTGCAAACCCTGTCTTCGGGGCTCAAGCAATCCTCCCACCTCTGACTCCGGAGCTCGAGCAATCCTCCCACCTCTGACTCCTGGGCTCAAGCGATCCATTCACCTCAGCCTCCTGGGTAGCTGGGACTACAGGCGTGCACCACCATACCCAGCTAATTTTTGTATTTTTTGTAGAGATGGCATTTTGCCATGTTGCCCAGGCTAGTCTCAAGCTCCTGGGCTCATGTGATGCGTCCGCCTCAGCCTCCTAAAGTGCTGAGATTATAGGCATAAGCCACCAAGCCCAGCCAATAAACAAATTTTCTACTCCCACCCCAGAAAGCCTGATTCAGAAATCTTTGAGATGTACCCTTGGAATGTTCCTTTTTTGATAGTTCTCCAGATTAGTCAGACTTGGGTTCTTTTGTTTTAGGGAGTAATTCATTCAATTATTCAACAAACATAGTAGATGAGGTCTGAGAAGTAGAGAGAGAGATAATGAAGGGCCTTGTAGGCCACTGTAGAGACTTTGGCTTCTATAGTAGTCTGAGTGAGATGAGATGCTACTGGACATTTGTGGGCTTTTTTAAAATAAACTTTTTATATTGGAATGATTTTAGGTTTACAGAAAAATTGCAAAGATAGTACAGAAAGTTTCTGTATATCCCTTACCCAGCTTCCCTAAATGTTAACATAACCATAGTACATTTGTCAAAGCTAAGAAATTTACATTGGTAAAATGCTAACTTAAACTACAGACTTTATTCAAATTTTACCAGTTTTTCAACTTATGTCCTTTTTCAGTTCCAGAATTCAATCCAAGATCCCACATTGCTTTTTGTTGCCATGTCTCCTTAATTTCCTGTGACAGATGTGACATTTCTTCAGTCTTCCTTGTTTCTCATAATCTTGAAACTTTTGAATAGTAGTGGTCAATTATTTTGTAGAATGTTCCTCAATTTATGTTTATCTGACATTTTCCTCTGGTTAGACTAGGGTTATGGGTTTTTAGGAAGAGGAAGTGCCCTTCTCATCACGACATCACAGGGCACATGATGTCAATATGAGGTGATATCTGCCAGATTTCTCTGCCGTAAAGTTTCCATGTTTCCCTTTCCATACTCCATTCTTTGAAAATGAGTCACTAAGATCAACACACAATCAAGGAGAGGAGAATTAAGCTCTACCATCGGGAGACAGGAATATCCACATACATTATTTGGAATTCTGTAAGAAACATTTGTCCTGGCTGGGTGTGGTGGCTCACGCCTATAATCCCAGCACTTTGGGAGGCTGAGGCAGGCGGATCACGAGGTCAAGAGATCGAGACCATCCTGGCCAACATGGTGAAACCCCATCTCTACTAAAAATACATAAATTAGCTGGATGTGGTGGCGCATGCCTGTAGTCCCAGCTACTCGGGAGGCTGAGGCAGGAGAATCACTTGAACCTGGGAGGCGGAGATTGCAGTGAGCCAAGATTGCCACCGCAGTCCAGCCTGGGCGACAGAGTGAGACTCTGTCTCAAAAAAAAAAAAAAGATTTGTCCCTTCTCCCCATTTATTCAATCATTTATTTCTCATGGGTGTGTATTTTGTTCTTTTAAGTTATAATCCAATACTATCAAATTGTTCTGGTTTTAACCATCTGGAGCTCTTTTAGGTTGGCTTTTTTGTCCCTTTGACATGCCCCATCCTTTTGAATTTTGAACACTTCCTTACTTCCTGGCCCTACAAGATGCTCCAGGCTCATCCTGTATTTTTCCTTGCTCCAGAACTAGTATCAACCATTTCTCCAAGGAACGCTGGTTTCTTTTATTCTAGAATGATAGTTAGAAACCATGATCTGGGTGCTAGGTGTGCCCTTTACTAATGGGGTACCACTGGTTCTAGGCCCTTTCAACAGACAAAGGTAAAAAATACATGTATGACTATTAACCTGTATATACACACACATCTATAATCCTGTATCTATCTATCTATCTATTAAAATACCTCTGACCCTAATCCAGCACCACAGGGTTCATTCTAGCATCCCTTCCCTTGCTTTTTTGTGACTTCTTACTCTGAAAGTGAGAAACCTGGCTTCCATTATGTCCATTTTATTCACTTATTTGTTTAACCCTAGTATAAATATAATATATTTTTAGAATTACTAACCCATACCCCTGTGAGAAACTTATTTGCCAACTAGAGTGCAGTTGGTATTGTACAGTCTTGTCTTTAGCCTTACAGTAGCCACTCAAAACAGTTTTCCAAAGTCCTGAGGTTAGCTCCTTTTTCCCTTATCCCCTTCATTGAAGTATTGGCACACATTTCTAATACTGTTAGATTCATTTGTTACAAGCTTCATTCCATCCTTGGATACTGTGACATCTTGGTTAATTTTTTAAAATTTGCATACAGTAACATTCAGTTGGCATGAGTTTTGATGAGTGCATAAAGTCCACCACCCCACTTATCACCCCAGTACCATGGAAAACAGTTCTCCCTAAAAATTTCCCTTGTGTGGCCCCTTTAGTCAGTCAACCACAACTCCTGGCAACTGATTTGTCTCCTGTCCCTATGATTTTGTCTTTTCCAGAGTGTACCATAAATGGAATCATACAACATGTAGCCTTTTGGGTCTGGCTTCATTTATTAAAATGCATTTGTGATTCAGTCTTCTTGCTAGGTGACTCAATAACTTGTTCCTTTTTTTTTCTTTTGTCTTTTTTTTTGACAAGGAGTCTCGCTCTGTTGCCCAGGCTGGAGTGCAATGGCGTGATCTTGGCTCACTGCAACCTCCACCTCCTGGGTTCAAGCGATTCTCCTGCCTCAGCTTCCCGAGTAGCGGGGATTACAGATGCCTGCCACCACGCCCGACTAATTTTTGTATTTTTAGTAGAGATGGCGTTTCACCATGCTGGCCAGGCTGGTCTCGAACTCCCGACCTCAGGCGATCCGCCCGCCTCGGCCTCCCAAAGTGCTGGGATTACAGGCGTGAGCCACCGCTCCTAGCCAACTTGTTCCTTTTTATTGCTGAATAGTATTCCTTGTATTGATGTACCAGTTTGTTTTTCCATTCAATTGTTGGACATCCTGCTTGTTTCCAGTTTTGCCAATTATGAATAAAGCCAGTATAAACATTTGTGTGTAAGTTTTTTTATTAAGGTAAAATATACATACATAATTTACCACCTTTACCATTTTTAAGTATACAGTTCAGTGGTAATACATTTACATTCTCTTTTTTTCTCCACATTCCCCCCCACCCCACTGTCCCCTTTTCCAGCCTCTGATAACCACCAGTCTACTCTCTATCTTCATGAGATCCACTTTTTTTAGCCCCCACATATGAGTGAGAGCATGTGATATTTGTCTTTCTGTGCTTGGCTTATTTCACTTAACTAGTGGTCCCTAGTTCCATCCATGTTGCTGCAAATGACAGGATTTCATTCCTTTTATGGCTGACTAATATTCCATTGTATAAGGGTAACACATTTTCTTTATCCATTTATCTGTTGATGGGCAATTAGGCCGATTTCATATTTTGACAATTATGAATAGTGCTGCAGTGATCATGAGTGCAACTATCTCTTTGACATACTGATTTCCTTGCTTTTGGATCTATACCCAGTTGTGGAATTGCTGGATCATGTTGTAGTTCTATTTTTAGTTTTTTGAGGGACCTGCATTGTATATAGGTTTTTGAGTGTACATAACTTTTCAAGTCACTTGGGTAATTTGCTAGCATTTGCTATTGTCAGTTTTCCAATAGGTGTGTCATGATATCTCATTGTGTTTTTTAAATCAACTTTTAATTTTGAAACAATTTTAGATTCACAGGGAATTTGTCAAGATAGGCCAGGCGTGGTGGCTCATGCCTGTAATCCCAACACTTTGGGAGGCCGAGGCAGGAGGATTGCTTGAGCCCAGGAGTTCGAAACCAGCCTAGGCAACATAATGAGACTTTGTCTCTACAAAAAGAAAAAAAAAATGAGCCGAGCATGGTGTCATGCGCCTGTAGCCCCAGCTACTCTGGAGGCTGATCTCAGGAGCAAGGCAAAGATGCCTTCCATCACTATTCTGCAAGTGTTCAGTCTCACCCTTAGGAATGATGTAGGCCGGGCGCAGTGGCTCACACCTGTAATCCCAGCACTTTAGGAGGCCAAGGTGGGTGGATCACTTGAGGCCAGAAGTTCGAGACCAGCCTGCCAACATGATGAAACCCGGGTCTCTACTAAAAATACAAAAAATTAGCCGGGCGTGGTGGCACTTGTCTGTAATCCCAGCTATTTGGGAGGCTGAGGCAGGAGAATCGCTTGAGCCCGGCAGGTGGAGGTTGCAGTGAGCCAAGATCGCGCCACTGCACTCCAGCCTAGGAGACAGGGCGATACTCCATCTCAAAAAAAAAAAAAAAAAAGAATGTCAGTGGCCAGGCGCAGTGGCTCATGCCTGTAGTCCCAGCACTTAGGGAGGCTGAGGCAGGTGGATCACTTGAGCCCAGGAGTTTGAGACCAGCGTGGGCAACAAGGCAAAGCCTCATCTCTACAAAAAAATACAAAAATTAGTTGGGTGTGTGATGGTGCGTGCCTGTAGTCCCAGCTACTTGGGAGACTGAGGTGGGAGGATCACTTGAGCCTGGGAGGCAGAGGTTGCAGTTAGCTGAGATCACATCACTGCACTCCAGCCTTGGGGGGAGTGACCCAAGGAGATCCTGTCTCAAAACAACAAAAACATCGATGTCAGGTTTAGGCACAGTTGCTTATGCCTGTAATCCCAGCAATTTGGGAGGCCAAGGCAGGAAGATTGCTTGAAGCAAAGAGTTCAAGACCAGCCTGAACAACAAAGTGAGACCCCCATCTCTTAAAAAAATTAAATTAAAAATTTTAAAAGGAATTATGTCAGTTGTAGTTTTTCTTTTTTTTTTTTTTTAAGACGGAGTTTTGCTCTTTGTTGCCCAGGCTGGACTGCGATGGCGCGATCTTGGCTCACCGCAACCTCTGCCTCCCAGGTTCAAGTGATTCTCCTGCCTCAGCCTCTTGAGTAGCTGGGATTACAGGCACGCCACCACGCCCGGCTAATTTTGTATTTTTAATGAAGACGGGGTTTCTCCATGTTGGTCAGGCTGGTCTCGGTGATCCGCCCACCTCGGCCTCCCAAAGCGCTGGGATTACAGGCGTGAGCTACCGTGCCCGGCCGTCAGTTGTAGGTTTTCATACATACTTTTTTTTTTTTTTTTTTTTGAGGCAGAGTTTTGCTCTTGTTGCCCAGGCTGGAGTGCAATGGTGTGATCTCGGCTCACCGCAACCCCCGCCTCCCGGGTTCAGGTGATTCTCCTGCCTCAGCCTCCTGAGTAGCTGAGATTACAGGCATGTGCCACCACGCCCGGCTAATTTTGTATTTTTAGTAGAGATGGGGTTTCTCCATGTTGGTCAGGCTGGTCTCAAACTCCTGACCTCAGGTGATCCGCCTGCCTCGGCCTCCCAAAGTGCTGGGATTACAGGCGTGAGCCACCGCGCCTGGTGCAATACATAACTTTGTTTAATGTGTGTTTAAAGATACCTTATTTAGCATATACTGTTGATTCGTTAACATTGAACTCACAGCCAACAGCACTAGAACTGATGCTGGAGCAAAGCTTATCTAACACATTTTCTCATGAGGCACATCACAACTTTCCTCAGTTTAGGAGCCATTAGACAGCACTTCAGCACTGTGTTTGGGGGCTATTTTATTTTTTTGGAGACAGGGTCTTGCTCTGTCAGCCAGGGTAGAGTGCAGTGGTATGACCATAGCTCACTGTAACCTCAAACTCATGGGCTCAGGTGATCCTCCCACCTCAGACTCGCAAGGAGCTAGGACTACAGGTTCACTCCACCATGCCCAGCTATTTTTTTTTTAACATAAAAGAGACAGGGTCTTGCTTTGTTGCCCAGGCTGGTCTTGAACTGCTGGGCTCAGGTGATCCACCCAACTTGGCCTCCCAAAGTGCTGGGATTACAGGTATGAGCCACCACGCCCAGCCCCCAGCTATTTTTTTAAACAATGTTGTAGAGTTGGGGTCTTGCCATGTTACCCAGGCTGATCTTGAACTTCTGGCCTCAAGCAATCCTCCCTCCTCAGCCTCCCAAAGTGCTGGGATTACAGGCATGAGCCACTGTGCCTGGCCTAGGGGATATTTTAAACAGGTAAAATCACCAACAAAAAGCACAAAAATGTGAAAAATACGGCACTACCTAGACCTCACAAAGGACACTTTCTTATACTACAATAGCTGAAACAGGCAGAGTATCACCTTGTTCAGCCTCAGCTGGGAGCATGCACATCAGGCAATTCTAATTTTTTGCCACTGTGCATGTCCACAAATAACCATGAAAGCACTGCAAGCATTGATTTGGGGAGTTAGAAATGAATTTTAGCAAGTAGGTAAATTTGAAATGAAGGGATCTGCATATAATGAGGATTGACTATATCTGTTATTTAATGTTACAATTTTTCCTTTAAGCACTGCTTTAGCACATCTCACAAATTTTGATATGTTGTATTTTCATTTTTATTTAATTCAGAGTTTGGCAAATTATGGCCCACTGCCTGCTTTAATAAGTGAAGTCTTATTGGAGCACAGCCACGCTCATTCCTTTTTTTTTTTTTTTTTTTTTTTTTTGTGAGATGGAGTTTTGCTCTCGTCACCCAGGCTGGAGTGCAGTGGCACACTGCAACCTCCGCCTCCCGGGTTCAAGCAATTGTCCTGCCTCAGCCTCCCGAGTAGCTGGGATTACAGGTGCCCGCCACCACGCCCGGCTAATATTTGTATTTTCAGTAGAGATGGGGTTTCACCATGTTGGCCAGGCTAGTCTCAAACTCCTGACATCAGGTGATCTGCCCGCCTCAGCCTCCCAAAGTGCTGGGATTACAGGTGCGAGCCACCACACCCGGCCACTCATTCTTTTATCTATTACATTATGGTGCACAAAGCCTGAAATATTTCCTGTCTGGCCCTTTACAGAAAAAGTATGTTGACCACTGATTTAGTTAAAACTATTTTTTAGTTTCCCTTGAGACCTCACTTGATCCACGGATTATTTAGAAGTATAATTGTTTAATTTCCAAACATTTGGGGATTGCCCAAGTGTATTTCTATTATTGATTTCTAAATCCTGTTATGGTCCAAGAATACACATTTGTATGATTTCTGTTTTTTATATTAAAATGTATTTTATGGCACAGAATATGGCTTATCTTGGTGAATATTCTATGTGCATCTGAGAAGAATGTGTAATCTGCTGTTGCTTGGTTGAATTTTCTATAAATGTCCACTAGGTCAAGTTGGTTGATAGTGCTATTCAGGTTATCTGTATCCTTGCTGATTTTCTGCCTACTTGTTCCATAAATCAATGAGAGAGGAGTGTTGAAGCCTCCAACTGTAATTTTGGATTTGTCTGTTTCTCTTTTCAGATCCTGTCAGGTTTTGTCTCATGTATTTTGAAGCTCTGTTATTATGTGCATACACATTTAGGATTGTTATATCTTCTTGGAGAATCCTTCATGGTTATGTGATGTCCCTCATTTTTTTAAGAGAGGGGTTCTTGCTCTGTCACCCAGTCTGGGGTACAGTGGTGCAGTCATAGCTCAACTGCAGCCTCGAACTCCTGGGGCTCAAGTAATCCTCCCACCTCAGCCTCCTCAGTAGCTGGGATTACAGGCACAAGCCACCATGTCCGACTCTGATGTCTTTCTTTATCTCTGATAATTTTCCTTGTTCTGAAATCTACTTCATCTCAAATTAATATAGCTACTCTAGCTTTCATTTGGTTAGTGTTTTATTGTAAAGATTTATCTTTTTTTCTTGTAGCTTATCAAGGCTGTATATTTAAAGTGAGTGTTCTGTAGACAGCATGTAGTTGGTTTTTGCTTTTCAATCCAGTCTCTTTTAACTGCTGTATTTAGACCATTCACATTGAAAGGGATTATTGATACAGTTGGATCAAAATCTTTCATTTTGCTAGCTGATTTGTTCCAGTTGTTCTTTTTTTCTTATTACCTCTTTTTCTTTTTAGCAGTTTTGTAATTCCACTTAATCTTGTCTATTGACATATTTATACCTCTTCTTCAAAAACTTATTTAATGGTTATGTTGGGTTTTACAGCAAATATTTTTAAATAATTTGAGTCTACCTTCTAATATTACACAACTTCACCTGTCATCTAAGGACCTGATAACATTATATTCTTAATTCTTCCTTCTCATCTCTGTGTCATTATTGTCATATATTACTGTTGTATATGCTATAAACACCTAATACGTTGTTAATGTTATTGCTTTGAACTGTCTGGTGTTTTTTTGTTTGTTTGTTTGTTTGTGTGTTTGTTTTTGAGACAGGATCTCACTTTGATGCCCAGGCTGGAGCGCAGTGGCTTGATCTCGGCTCACTGCAGCTTCGACCTCCAGAGCTCAGGTGATTCTTCTACCTCAGTCTCCCGAATAGCTTGGACTACAGACATGGGCTACTACGCCTGGCTAATTTTTGTATTTTTTTGTAGAGATGGGGCTTTGCCATGTTGCCTAGGCTGGTCTTGAACTCCTGGGCTAAAGCGATCTGCCTGCCTCAGCCTCCCAAACTGCTAGGAATACAGGAGTGAGCCACTGTGCCTGGCCTGAACCGTCACTTATTTTTAGAGCAATTAAAAATAAAAATATAGATCATACTTTATAGGCAGTTTTAGAGCAGAGGAATGTCATGGTCCTTTTAAAGTGTAAATCCTGTCACTGGTCGCTTTAATGGGGAAGCAGAAAGACCAGCTAGGAGGCTGTTGCAGTAATCTAATTGAGACATAGTGGCTTGTTCCAAGGTCATGTTAGATCTCAGAAGGGTTCACTAGATAAGACATCCAGAAATCTTTTTTGTCTGCTTCAGAGTCTCACAATTTTTCATGACAGCTGAAATATTTAGATCTAAAGCTACCATGAACTCTCTGAATAAGATGTTCATATTAAAACACTAAAAACATGACCAGTAATCCTTGTTGACCTCATAGTTCAGTTAGAAATAATCACAGTAATTGGCATCATCATTAGATAGAGGGACAAATAGTAGTGTTTAACAAGTGTGTTGTCAACATTGTAGTTTTTAAAAAATTTAGTAGTGCTTAGCAAGTGCATTGTCAACACTGTAGTTTTTTTAAGGGTTTTTGTTTGTTTAATACATATGAAAAGAATGCATAAACAAAGAATTGAGACATGAGAAAGCATTGGTTCAACACTAATGAATCTAAAGAATTAGGATTTGGGAAGGTGGAAAAGATTACCTAAACATTTTCAAAAATTGGAAACTGCAACCAAAATAAGCTGATAAAAATCCCTATTAACACTTATGAAGAGTCTTCAGACTCTTCCCATGATTTTTATTAAACTAGAGAGCCTCACCTGGCTGCTATAGGAGTCTTCATATGCAGAACAGAAATAAGGAGACTCCCCTGACGGTTCCCCATGTTGCTAAGTGTTTTCCCCACCCCCACCTGACCCTGAGCTTCTTAATGAAGCAGGCCTCCATCCTCCTAATTTGAGAGGATGTGAATCATTCCACAGATGTCTGTCTTCTAGCACCACCCCTCATATTTCCTCTACATACCAGGTCTTCAGCTGCGTTCTAGGAACACCATAAACTACTGAGTTGCAAATCTATGTCAAGCATATAAGACAAACATTGTAGTCTTTTTAAATTTAAGATTATCCACACATGTTAAAACAAATGCATTTGTCCACTTTTTTGTTGGAAAATTATTAGGTCATTTATTGGAAGTTTATCATATTCTAGTCAATATCAATCAAGTTATATACCTGAGTAATTCTACCAAGATTGTATTTCTGAATTCTAGATTACATGTTCTTTATAGAAAGACTGGAACTTTTAATAATAAATGTCTAACTTAAATACACACACACACTATATTTCCTTGTAGTGATGAAACTATATTCTACCTTAATTCAAACTTTCTACCTTGCAAAACTGGAAACCCTACATTTATTATCAACCTTTTCTTTTTAGTTCAGTATTTATTAGGTTTAAAGTACTTTTTAAACTCATTTTGCAAATTTCCAAATGTACTAAATGTAGAGAGTACAATGACCCCCATGTGTACCCATCACCCAGTTTCATCAACTTCTTGCCATACTTAAAAAAAAAACTCATTGTTTGCTAAAACATTTTAATCAAATTGATTCATCCTGTCATTTCATCCCTAAATATTTCATTATCTTAAAACAAAATTAAAAATGTTTTCTTAACTACAGTGCATTATCACATTTAACAGAATTAACAATAATTCCTTAGTATCCTCTAATATTCAGTCTATATGCAGATTTACCTACTTACTAAAATAATTCTTTGTGTTTTTACAGTTAATTTGATCCAGATCTAAAATAGACCCACTTACTGTATTTGGTTTTTTTTTTTTAATCTTCTATCGCTCTTAAATCAAAAACAGGTGTTCCCCCTCTACTACTTTTTTCTTGCCTTTGTCTTGGGAAAGAAGCTTGGTCAATTATGTTATAGTATTTATGAGGTTGTTTAATTCGTTCCTCCATATTTCTTGCAGACTAGAAGTTAGATCAAAGCCTTGTTTACGTTCAGGTTTAGTTATTTTTTTACTTTTATTTTTTAATTTTTTTTGGCAGGAATACATAGATGGTACTGTTTCCTGTTGCATTAATTGAGAAGGCACATAATGTTTGATTGTTGTACTTTTAGGGATACTAAGATTTAATGGTTGGGTTTACACGGTGACGACCTTCTCTTTTTATTGTAGAGTTTCCTGCAGTCTTCTCTGTGGGATGCTAAAACCATTGATGATTGTTGCCTGAACCAATTGTTTTAATAGGCGTTGCAAAATGACTGTTTTCTGTATTTTCTTTCTTTTTTTTTTTTTTTAGCAAACTTACTTTTTAATCTTGTCACTACCTCTGCATTTATTAACAGATGTTAACAGAACTCCTCGTATGCCAGAGCTGTTTGGTTAACTTGAAATATGCTTCATGTCAGAAAAGCAGAATAAATAAAGAGAAAAATAAGCATCAATTTTCAGAGTAGTGAATTGGTGCCCTAGCAACCTCCATTGGTATACAGTGAATTTTGTTTCTCTCTTCTTTTTTTATTTTCCTTAAAAATATCTGGTAGTAAGGAGGATCTCTCTAAGTATCATTATGAACTCATGACTTTTTATATATTAATTTTAATAAATCAGAGTCATTATTCCTTCTGTTTCACTATGTCTCATCTTTGGCCATTGGGAGCCCCTTCAGGCTGGCTTCTGTCTCCTTTTGATAGAACCCCACTGGCCTTTGATAGCTTCATTACTTTTTGGCTGAAGAAAATATTCCACATTGACCTTAATCCATTTCTTGCCCCAGACATGGAATCATCTATTTTTCTAAGATTACTTAGTTATTTTTAGTGGGGAATGATATTTAGAAATACATGTTAGGTGCTATGTATTACTGGGTTGTCATTTCTTTTAAGCTTTTTCAGTGGACATAGCTAGAAACTATGTATTTTTAAAAAGGAAAAGATCATGAGTTTACATTGATATTTCTAAATAAAAATTTAAGATTTTAAGCTTTTCTTTTGTAAGGTTAGATGTTTTATTACAATATGTTCTTGAACTCCTGGCCAGGGCTGAAGGCAAGAGGATTGCTTGAGGCCAAGAGTTTGAGACCAGACTGAGCAACATAGTGAGACCCCATATCTATTTTTTTTTTGAGACATGGTCTCGCTCTGTTGTCCAGGCTAGAGTGCAGTGGCTTGATCATGGCTTGCTATAACCTCAAACTCCTGGGGTCAAGTGATCTTTCCATCTCAGTCCCTCGAGTAGCTGGGACTACAGGCCTGTGACCCTGCACCCAGCTAATTTTTTAATTTTTTGTAGAGACGGGGTCTTGCTTTGTTGCCTAGGCTGGTCTTCAACTCCAGGGCTTGTGATCCTCCTGCCTAGGCCTCCCAAAATTCTACGATTACAAGCATGAACCACTGTGCCCAGCCGTGAGATTCTATCTCTAAAAGAAATTTTAATACATTTTTAATAAAGTATACAGGAGGATGTGCATAAGTTATATGCAAATACTATACCATTTTATTAATATATAAGGGATTTGAGCAACAAATGGAACCAATCCTTGCAGATACCTAGGGACCACTATATCCTGCCTTTTCTGTATTTGTTGCCTGTATTATATCACAAGCCTCCAAGAAAAAAAAAATCACAAGCCTTCAGTTATCTTGATGCCCAATGTAGTGTAACCTTTTCTTTCTCATTCTTGTACCTTGTACTGCAGCACACGGTTACATTCAATTTAGTGTTTCATATTCATTCACTCTAGTATTTCATTACTTCGTACTTCATTATTCTGTGTTGGTTTGTATTTGTTTAATGGGTTTATGTCTTCTTTCAATACATTTGTAATTTCCTGGAGATCAAGACTTTTCCATCACTGTAGGAGGTTTTTAATGTTTTCAAATTAATGTATGAGAAAGGAGGCACAGATATTCTATTAAAAGGATTAAAAAATAAAAACTTTGTCTATGTTTCTAGAATGTAGCTTTAAGACACACTCAAGGAAAATACTTTCAGATGGTCATCACTTTTGGTGCCTGGCCTCAATTCTTATTTGGCTTAGCTTCATTATTGGTGGCCTAGAACTTGGCTGGTAAGTAGGAGAGTTGGAAGCAAGGCTGGCTGCCTGGCAAAACCTACTTATGTTGACTTGGATTGCTTTTGATCTTATTTGCTATTTTATCAACTATTTTTATACTCCTAAATGAGTAGAATTTCTGTGGTTTTTATAGAAGAATGAGAACCAGAAAAGCCAGACTATTTACAACACTTTAAAAATGTGACACTAGTCCTATAATAGTACTGAAGCTACTTGTTATGAGACTGTGTTAATTTGTTTTATGATTAGCGTAGGAAGAAGCAGCTGAGGTGATATGTCCCATCTGTCTGCTTTCCTCTTCCTTCTCTTTCACCCTCAAAGAAGATGCTGGAGATTCTTCAGGGAAGAATAAAAAGATTAAATTTAGAATATATTTGTATTTGTGTTAAGAAAATGTTTCTTGGGTTTGCTTATAGGTCCTGTTATTGCCTTGGAGTTTAATGGGGATGGTGCTGTAGAAGTATGTCAACTTATTGTAAACGAGATATTCAATGGGACCAAGGTACAAGATTTTATTGACTGTATTTCAATCTAACTTTTCATTTCATCTCCTTTTCCTTACAGTCAAATAATACTTTAATACTTTTGTCCCTAATGTTGCTTGGAATTTTTGGGGTGTGTGTGTGTGTGTGTGTGTGTGTGTGTTTAAAGCAGATCATGATTTTTAGAACCTTTGATAAATAATTGGGAACTAAGCTGTGATTTTTTTCTTGCCAAACTAAACTTTAATTGTTTAAAATAATTACAAAATAAGAATCTATTTATTAAAAACCTTCTATAGTATATGTTTCTAAAGTAAAAAGTCTCATCAAATGTCTTTTCAAGTCTTTGCATTTTTAAAAATACTGATTTGTTGAAAATATTTTATTTCTAAGATTATAGTCTTTAGATGGACGATTCTGTTGCCCAGGGTTCATTTTTACGCCCAGGGTTCATTTTTACTTGCTTCAGTAATGCTTCACCAAAAATTGAACTTCAGATATACATAGAAATCATCACATGTAGGCCGGGCGCGGTGGCTCACGCCTGTAATCCCAGCACTTTGGGAGGCCGAGGTGGGCGGATCACGAGGTCAGGAGATCGAGACCATCCCGGCTAAAACGGTGAAACCCCGTCTCTACTAAAAATACAAAAAAAAATTAGCCGGGCGTAGTGGCGGGCGCCTGTAGTCCCAGCTGCTTGGGAGGCTGAGGCAGGAGAATGGCGTGAACCCGGGAGGCGGAGCTTGCAGTGAGCCGAGATCCCGCCACTGCACTCCAGCCTGGGCGACAGAGCGAGACTCTGTCTCAAAAAAAAAAAAAAAAGAAATCATCACATGTAGGCATTTTCTAAATATATTGATGAAGTTGCTGTATCTAAGAATTGCAGACATAAATAAATTTAAAACCAAACATAGAGGATTACATTAGCAAATCTATAATTGACTACTTTTTGATAAATACCTGGGAGGACATTTTGGTTTTATCATCTGATTTGGCTTATGATTCCTTGAATTTACAAAAATTAAAGTACTTTGTCTTTGATCTCATTTTATCATCACAGTAGTACTAAGGGAGAGGGAAAATACCAGGTTGAATAGAAAAGGAAACTGAGAGATAAAATGGTTAGAATTTGGACTTTTAGAGCTGAATGATTTAGAGATTATCTAATCCAGCTTTCTCATTTTACAGGTGTAGTTACTGAGCCCACAGAGGTTTATTAAATTGTCAGCATCATATGCTAGTTTACGATAAAGCTAGAATAGAACCCACATCTGCTCTAATTCCTTGCTGACATTTGTAAAAGCTACTTTAGAAGGGTTCTATTGAGTATTGCTTCATTGATGTTTAGCAGATAGTTTATTTAAAAATAACAGGCTGGGTGTGGTGGCTCACACCTGTAATCCCAGCACTTTGGGAGGCTGAAGCGGGAAGACTGCTTGAGCCCAGGAGTTCAAGACCAGTCTGGGCAACATAGTGAGACTCTACAAAAAGTAAAAAAAAAAAAAAAAAAAAAAAAAAAACTAGCTAGGCATGGTGGTACACACCATTAGTACCAGCTACTTGGGGGGCTGAGGCAGGAGAATCACTTGAGTCCAGAAGTCTAGGCTGCAGTGAGCCATGATTGCACCACTGCACTCCAGCCTGGGCAACAGAGCAAGACTCTGTCTCAAAAATAAATAAAATAAAATAAAAAATAATAATATATCTTTAGCAGCTTTGAAAGGGATAATCTCAAGTTTTGCTGCTCAGACTACTGAGATTATTATTAGAAAATAGAAGAAACAAAGAGTTTTTTAAGTGACTCTTATTCAGTAGCTTCCGTAATATTGAGTGTTGTAAAAGTCCAGATGTAATAAAATACAACTCAAGTATTATGAAAGCAGAGACCTTAATTATATAAGTGCTTCCAAAAGAGCTTAATTTACATTATAGCTATTCAAAGTGTATTACATGAATTCTAAAGAAAATCTACAGATTAAATATTGTCATTATAAATGATGTACTTGAACTTCTTTTGAATAATTAGCTTGGAACTTTGTTCTGTGGAGAACATGGGCTTTGGCATTCTGAAGTACTTGGTACTGATTTTTTTTTTTAATTTTCTATTTAAAATAGATGTTTGTATCTGAAAGCAAGGAGACGGCATCTGGAGATGTAGACAGCTTCTACAACTTTGCTGATATACAGATGGGAATATGAAGTGCAATGTGGAACCAGGACTTGGTATTAAGCCTTTCCCAACTTGTGAATATAGAATTTGATAATACACTTTTGTGTATTAGCAATGGTTTTTACTAATGCTAAAACTTTTAAAGTTTATTTTTTAATAAATTGTTGAGTATTACATCATTTACTTGAGGTTCAAAAATAATTCATTTTAAATTAAGTAGTTTTAATCAGCTTAAAAGCTATTTAACCCATTTTAATAAGCTTGCAGTTTTGTTTCTCTGCATATGATATTCTTATTAGAAAACAGAAGTAGCTAAAAGTTTATTATTTTAATCCTATTTAAATGTTCTTTCAAATCTCTAATAATTTAAACTTTCCTCAGTGCTCCATGATACTTTTTTTGAGACTCCATATCATTGCTTATTTTACCTTTTTCAATTTAGAGGGATTTGTTACTAGTCGATCAATTAGAATGAACCTATGCACATTTTTATGTACACATATCCAGTTATATAATTGCTTCCTAGTTGCATTATATGGCAAATGAGATTTTGTACATGGAGTTGACATAATACTTTGTAAATTGAATTTTTTAAAGAAATAGGCATTTGATAACCAGCTTGGCAAGTAACTCTACTAACAGATGTTGGTATAGCTATTTAAAGACTACTTCGTAAGTAGTATGATTATTTGAATAAATTACACATTGTTTAGTTTTTTAATACAACTGCTATATGACTCTTCTGCTTCCTGATAAGAAAAGGTATATGCAATGCTAAAACTGTAGAAGCCCAATCACCAGCAGTTTTTAAAAAGGTGATAACTTTTATTAGCTCTTGTGGGCTATCAAGAGAATTGGAACAAAACCTTGTGACTTTTAGGTAAGAAATAGGCATGATGATAAGCTATGCAGATTATTAAAAAGCTTGATACATTTGATTTTTCATTAGATATGCCATTCATATCAAGTAATGTTCAAGTATGATAAAATTATTTTGGTTGCTTTAAAGCACTGTTTCCCAAATCTACCTGATCATAATAATTTACCAGGAAGCAGAGGAGAGCTACTTGTTTAAAAATCCACATTCTTGGACCCAATCCTCAGATGCACGGATTCAGTCTTCAGGGGAAACTCTGTTTTAAGGGGTATGTTGTAATCTAAAGTAATTGGTTCAGGAGGTGTCAATAGGTTGAACTTGTGAGAAGGCACTGAATCTGCCATCCACATCACATATAGCAGCTATTATGAAATCAGCTTTCATAGGCCTATTTTTAAAAGGAATCTGAAATTTAATTCTATTTTGATAAAACTAAGACTGAAAATAACCACTTGTAAACATTCCTATGATTGTTACTAAAATGTATTTTCATGTTTAAAATGTTTTTGGATATTTTTGGGTTAATAACTACTACATTGAATTGCATGTTAAGGTGCAGAAATAATACATTAAAAGATTTTCACTTTAAATTAATTAGTAATATTGAGCGCTCACCCTGTGCGTGGCCTTGTGCTAACCATTAGCACTGCATCATTTCAATTCTTTTATAAGGGCATTCAATACTACAAAATCAACATGATTTCATAAGGTGCAAATAAAAGTTGGTGACAGATTTAATATAATTTTGATCACAATTTACAAATGATCTTTGCAAATAGTGGTCAGACGGCATTAGTTTTTCCCTTAGTTAAGCTAAATTAAAGGGACTCCATCCTGTTATGATTATATTATTATTATTATTATTATTATTTTTGAGGTGGAGTTTCACTCTTGTTGCCCAAGCTGGAGTGCAATGGCGCGATCTCGGCTCACCACAACATCCGCCTCCTGGGTTCAAGCGATTCTCCTGCCTCAGCCTCCTGAGTAGCTGGGAATACAGGCATGCGCCACTACACCTGGCTAATTTTTGTATTTTTAGTTGAGATGGGGTTTTTCCACGTTGGTCAGGCTGGTCTCGAACTCCTGACCTCAGGTGATCCGTCCACCTCAGCCTCCCAAAGAGCTGGGATTACAGGTGTGAGCTACCGCGCCTGGCCATGATGATATTATTAAACACCATTATTCACATTTCAAATAATAACAATACTTTTTGTTTTTCAAAAATAAAATGCAATGTTATATAAAGCTATAAACTAAGTTCTTTATGATATTTGAGCAACAACTCAGGAATATAACATATAAGGGAGATGTTAATTTAAAAATTTCCACTACACTTATTATCTATTAACCAAAGCTTAAAATTTTGTATTCTTCTGTTAGATAAGACCTTTTACCCATTTAATTTGTCTTTAAGGACAGTCATTTGGCTTCTGAATGTTTGAAACGATTTTAAAAAATAAGTAGTGCTATGGTTGTTTCTATAATTCTAACCTTTGATAGTAATCAGAATGTATTACATTTCATTTCTGAATAGCTTTTGAATTTATGAAAAATTATTAACAATGAAAAATTGGTAATTTTATTAAGTTATATGTGTTTAAATATTATATTAGCTTATTTCTCTTGCATTAATAGTACTGCTGTTTTTGTTTTGCTTCTTTATATTTATGTCTAGCTTTTATATGTAATTTATCTAGTGTTTATAAAATGTGATTTGTAATAAATGTTGTTAAAATGAAAATGGCTGCAATGGTTTGTATATGGTCTGTTTGTCCCCACCAAAGCTCATGTTGAAATTTGATCCCCAGTGTGGCAGTGTTGGGAGATGGGGCCTAGTGGGAGGTGTTTGAATTATGCAGCCCAATCCCTCCTGAATGGCTTGGTCCTGTCTCTAGAGAGACTGGATTAGCTCCGTGAGAGTGAGTTGCTATAAAGCAGGGTAAGGGTTTCCTTCTCTTTGCTAATGTCCACTTCCCCATTAACCTTCTCCACAATGTTGTGATGTAGCACAAAAGCCTTCACCAGAAGCCAGAGCCATGCCCTTGAACCTCTCAGCCTACAGAACCCCTTTTCTTTATAAAGTACCTCTTTTCTTTATAAAGAACCTCTTTAAGAGAGCCTACAGAACCTCTTTTTCTTTTTTCTTTATTTTTTTGAGACGGAGTCTCCTTCTGTCGTCCAGGCTGGAGTGCAGTGGCGTGATCTCAGCTCACTGCAACCTCCACCTCCCAGGTTCAAACAATTCTTCCTCAGCCTCCTGAGTAGCTGAGATTACAGGCACATGCCACCACGCCCAGCTAATTTTTGAATTTTTAATAGAGATGATGGGGTTTCGCCATGTTGGCTAGACTGGTCTCGAACTCCTGACCTCCAGTGATCCACCCGCCTTGGCCTCCCAAAGTGCTGGGATTACAGGCGTGAGCCACCTCGCCCGGCCCAGAAACTCTTTTCTTTATAAATTACCCAGTCTCAGACATTCTTTTATAGTAACCTGAAATGGACTGATAAAATGACTTACCACTAAGAGCACTCTATAACATGCATTTACTCATACATGTGCCAAAACTTGACGTAATTTTTTAAATATTAAATGTAAAATGCTCTAATCTACATCTTAAGTTAATGAGATATGAGCTGTGAGCTGTGTGTGTGTGTGTCTGTGTGTGTGTGTAAGACGCTGGAGCAATGCAAAGGAAGTAGAAAACCTATTTTAATCTAAGGAATTTCCAATATAATGCTTCCTTTGCTAAAAGGAATTTTATTTTGAATGTTATTATGAATGGATAGTAAGATTAGGTATCTTTCTCTTCCATATTTAACAAAAATAGTGATACACTTTCAGGTTTATACAAATGGACCTTATTTTAAAATTACAAATTTTCCAGTCTTTTGTACCCAACTTCTCCCTCTCCTAGCCCATAAATCAGAAGGACTGAAACAACTGCAGATTGATTAGTTTTTAAAATAACATTTATTATTTTTATAAAGGTTCTGCATGTACATTTGCAGCATTTGGAGCACTGAGAAAAAACATGCACAAGACAATAACAAAAATTATTTTTTATTGGATAATTTTTTTTTAGTAGTGACAGCCTGGATTATTGGATAATTTTTTTTTTTTCTGAGATGGAGTTTCACTCTTGTTGCCCAGGCTGGAGTGCAATGGCACAATCTTGGCTCACTGCAACCTCCGCCTCTTGGGTTCAAGTGATTCTCCTGCCTCAGCCTCCCGAGTAGCTGGGATTACAGACGCGTGACACCATGCCCAGCTAACTTTTGTATTTTTAGTAGAGACAGGGTTTCACCATGTTGGCTAGGCTGGTGTCAAACTCCTGACCTGAGGTGATCTGCCCACCTAGGCCTCCGAAAGTGCTGGGATTACAGGCATGAGCCACTGCGCCCAGCCAGATTATTGGATAATTCTTGATGTTTAAAATTTGTTTTTCTCATTTAAAAGGAACATACTTAGCTGTTTGTTGTTGTTTTGGAGACGGAGTTTTGCTATGGAGTGCAGTGATGCAGTCTCGGCTCACTGCAACCTCTGCCTCCTCAGTTCAAGTGATTGTCCTGGCTCAGCCTCCCGAGTAGCCAGGATTACAGGTGCGCACCACCATGCCTGGCTAATCCAGCTATTTTTTGTATTTTTAGTAGAGATGGGGTTTTACCATATTGGCCAAGCTGGTCTCAAACTCCTCACCTCAAGTGATCTGACTGCCTTGGCCTCCCAAAGTGCTGGGATTACAGGCATGAGCCACCGCACCTAGCCATACTTAACCATTCTCTATACAAAGAGAAAGTATTGTAATTAGGATATGATCACTTCTTCGAAACTCATTCTAGAAAATATTTTATCCTTTAAAACTACAACACGAAGAAAGCTAAACTTCATTTGAATTTTCATAATAGACATCTTTTTTGTGAAAATGGAGTCATTCACTGTTGACTTCTTTTTTTGTAGATGGGGTGGGGTAATAAGCCTTTAAAATACTTCACCTCTTTCCTTATATGTTTTGGTTCTTAGTGGCAAACTCCAGCAAGATGTTCAGAAATGGCAATTTCTTCCTTTTCTAGTGTTTTAGTGCTCTCCTGGTGAGGGCTGTTTCTCACCTATAAAAACTGTGAGCATAAGTCATACACAGCCCCACCATTCTCACCTTGGCTTGGATCCTCCCTCTGGGGCCTGCCTTTACTCTTTCAGTTTTATCTGGTCCACTCCTAATTGGACTAATGAAAATTAACTTGCAAATTGTGTGACAAGTAATTAACTGATGTTTGTAAAGTGCCTTGAAAATGAAAGGTACTTTATAAATATTAAGCATTATTGTGCTGAGCAAAATGAGTACAGTAGGACTCCCCACTTATCTGCGTTTCACTTTCTGTGGTTTCAGTTACCCGTGGTCAACCAACAGTCCCAAAATACCTGAGTACAGAACAATAAGATATTTTGAGAGACATCACCTTCACATAACTTTTATTACAGTATATTGTTATAATTGTTCTGTTTTATTAATCTCTTACTGTGCTTAATTTATAAATTAAATGTTATATGTATATACGTATGTATATATAGGAAAAATCATAGTTTATATAGGGTCTGGTACTATCCATGGTTTCTGGCATCCGCTAGGGGTCTTGGAATGTATCGCTGCAAATAAAGAAAGACTTCTATATGGTATTCTTTTAAAGCAGTTCTGCTGTGAAGCCATACACTCGGCTACAAATAGGCAACTGAACAGGAAAAAACAAGTGCAAGATGCTGTTAAGACTTCCTGCGGTTTGGGCCAGGCATGGAGGCTCACGCCTGTAATCCCAGTACTTTGGGAGGCCAAGGTTGGAGGATCACTTGAGGTCAGGAATTCGAGACCGGCCTGGACAACAAGGTGAAACCTCGTCTCTACTAAAAATACAAGACTTACTGCGGTTTTCCTATTGATTGATGTACTTTCATTTGTCAAATGTATGTTGGTTTGTTTGTTAGGTGAATTGATAGAACCTTTTATACTTTTTTTTTTTTTTGAGATGGAGTTTTTGCTCTGTTGCCCAGGTGGAGTGCAAATGGTGCGATCTTGGCTCACTGCAACCTCCGCCTCGGTTCAAGCAATTCTCCTGCTTCAGCCTCCCAAGTAGCTGGGATTACAGGCACTCAACACCAAACCCAGCTAATTTTTGTATTTTTAATAGAGATGAGGTTTCACCATGTTGGCCAGCCTGGCCTCGAACTCTTGACCTCAGGTGATCCACCCGCCTTGGCCTCCCAAAGTGCTAGGATTACAGGCACGAGCCACCGTACCTGGCTTAGAATCTTTTATACTATTTCACCCTAACTTCTAAACTGATCTTATATTAAATATTTTAAAACTTGTCTCACAGTAATCTGGTTTTAGGATCATGTAGGGTCTGGACATTTTTAATCCCTCATTTTACTGATGAGGAAGAAAATTGAGGCTGGGCACAGTGGCTCACGCCTGTAATCCCAGCACTTTGGGAGGCCAAGGTGGGTGGATCACCTGAGGTGAGGAGTTCAAGACCAGCCTGGCCAACGTGGTAAAACCCCATCTCTACTAAAAATACAAAACTTAGCTGGGTGTGGTCACACGCCCCTATAATCCCAGCTACTTGGGAGGCTGAGCTAGGAGAATGGCTTGATTGGCGGAGGTTGCACTGAGCTGAGATGATAGCACCACTGCACTCCAGCCTGGGTGATAGAATGAGACTCCATTTCAAAAAAGAAAAAAAGAAAGAAAATTGAGGGCCAGAAAGTTTAGACGGCCTGTCCAACTCACACCATAGTCACTGAACTTTAATGTTGACCTCTTGACTTTATCCCCATGATTACCAGGAGAAGACTCAGCCCATCCATCCCTTCCTGTATGAAGCCTTTTCTAATACTCTGAGGTAGAAAGGCCCTCCATGGTGCTCACATAGTACTCTTTATAGATTTCCAAGTACCTGCAACACTTCACTCTATTTCTTTATCCATGCGTTTCTTGCTACTCAAAGTGTAGTCCATGGGCCAGCAGCATCAGTATCACCTAGGAATTTGTTAGAATTTAAGGCTCTACTCCAGATCTCTTGAATAAGCCTCGACTTTTTTTTTTTTTTTTTTTTTTGAGATGCTCTGTTACCCAGGCTGGAGTGCAGTGGTACGATCTCAGCTCACTGCAACCTCCACCTCCTGGGTTCAAGCAATTCTTGTGCCTCAGCCTCCGGAGTAGCTGGGATTACAGTTGTGTGCCACCATGCACAGCTAATTTTTTTTTTTTTGTATTTTTAGTAGAGATGGAGTTTCGCTATGTTGGTCAGGCTGGTCTCGAACTCTTGCCCTCCAGTGATCTGCCCACCTCAGCCTCCCAAAGTTCTGGGATTACAGGCATGAGCCAAGATTTTCAGGGGATTCATATGCACATTAAAGTTTAAGAAGCCTTGGCCTAGACTATTGGCTCTAGAATCAAGGCTTAGAAATTGTTCTATTCCTAGAGAGTAGCTTAGAGTCCAGTAAAGTGATCTATGTTTAATATTTTTTAATTGAATATTCACAATCCAGTGTTTCATTCTACTCTATCAGACTTTAGTCTCTTCTGTAATTCCTCCTTTCAGGTACTCTCCTTGATTGGCTTTCGAGTAACAATCCTTCTACAATCTCTATTTTTTCTGTTTTGTACTGAAATAGTAACTATGGTTTCTGCCCATTGAGGCTCCTAGGAAGCTTTAAGAACATCATTGGTATTCATTGGAAACAGATAAGAGCACAGCAGTTTCTAACTTAAATTTTTTCTGACTTAAATTTTCTTCTGATATGTTTTCATATTCAGGCTTATTTTATTCAATTAGGAAACAAGTTGCATAAACCCAGAGTGGTGATTTGTTGATGCTGGGGCAGAGTTCAAATGAAAAAGCAGTCAACTTCTTGCTTTGAGCTTGCAGAGGAAAGTTAGTCACTCGGTCCCTCTCAGATCTGTCATCCTCTGTCTTTTATCTCTTGACATCTTCCCACTTTTCCCAGTGTTCAGGGATAAGCTTGGGCATCACCAATAAAACATGTACAGGACTGTCCAGGAAAGTGTTCAGTGTTGCTCTAATATTTGGGGGAGAATATGATAGTTAACAGTGGCTTTTCTTTCTTTCCTGGAATAAAGGCTTAGTTGTAAATCTAAAATTTGGAAGAAAAGTAAAATTCTAAATGCACACTCTACCTTTATTTACTTTGAATTTTTTTTCTGTTTCTTTAGTATAAATACATTGATGTCTTCATATGAGTCTTAATTGTAATTTCTTATTTAGGAAGCTTTTTTTAAATTTTTATTTATTTATTTACTTATTTATTTTGTGTGTGGCCAGACACAGGGCTCATGCCTGTAATCCCAGCACTTTGGGAGGCCGAAGCGGGAAGATAGCTTGAGGCCAGGAATTTGAGACCAGCCTGGGTGACATAACGAGATACCATCTCTACCAAATTTTTTTGAAAAGAAAGGTTTTTTTTTTTTTGCATTTATTCAATGGTAGCAGTAGACCAGGATTCAGGTGGCAGATGATTATCCCCTTCTAATTACTGTTTTAAAGGTAGCATAACACAAAAAAAACAGAAAACAAGTGTATAAATGTGGTGCTTAGATTTGAAGAGTCAGACGTTTCTGACTTGAGCCAGGGCTCAGCAGCTTGAAATAAAAACAAATGCAGACATTCTTTATACAACTTTGATCAGGTGTATAATACTACAAATCCTTTTGTGTTACTATTGTGTAAAGCAAATAATCAAAGGTTAGAGCAATAGGTAGGGCAGCATTTGATACCTATATGGTGCTGTTCATACTGAATCTAACCCCACTACAAAATAACACTCCAAAAATAATGTTCCGATTATTTTTATATTATTTTATATATGTTATATATGTTATCTGTATTTTATATTTTTATATTAGCATAAGTATAAGGAAAGATGTAAACCATAGGACACAGTAAATGCTCAGAATCTCACAGTGTCCTCCCTTCACCCTTATAAACTTGCTTAATTTTTTTTCTTTGTTTTTTAGGAACAGGATCTTGCTCTGTCACCCAGGCTGGAGTGCAATGGTGTCATCACAGCTCACTGTAACCTCGAACTCCTGGGCTCAAGTGAGCCTCCTACCTGAGTCCCCCAAGTAGCTGGGACTACACGCACATGTCACAATGCCCAATTAATTTTTAAATTGTTTGTAGAGATGGGGTCTTGCTATGTTGCCCAGGCTGTTCTTGAACTCCTAGGCTCAAGTAATCCTCCTGCCTCAGCCTCCCAAAGTGCTGGGATTATAGGCGTGAGCCACTATGCCTGGTCTTAAAACTTGTTTGTATGAGTGCTTTTTTAAAAAAAATTGTGAAAAATAGGTGACACAAAATCTACTCCCTTAACAAAAAAAAATTTTGAGACAGGGTCTTGCTCTGTCACCCAGGCTGGAGTGCAGTGGTGCAATCATGGCTCACTGCAGCTGTGACCTCCCAGGCTCAAGGGATCCTCCCACCTCAGCTCCTTAAGTAGCTGGGACTATAGGTGCATGCCACCATGCCTTGCTAATTTATTAATTTTTTTGTAGAGATGAAGTCTATGTCATAACAAAAATTTAAGTATACAAATATAGACTATGAGTGCATTTTTATGGGTAAATGTTACTTTCTTCCCCAGCTCAAGTATATGTAAAGAGGTTCCTCTCACTGTATCTGAAGGGACATAAATCATTTAAGTATAGTTGGGTTTGAGTTTTTAAATGCTGTTAAGATATAGCAGCTACTTATATATCAAACTCTGTGTTTCTGTGTTAAGTACTTTACATATAGAATCTCATTTAATCTTCTCAGCAACCCTAAGAGAGGTACTATTACTATTCCTTTATTATTATTATTATTGAGGAAATTGAAGCTTAGAGAGCTAATTTCCCTTGGTCAAACAGGTGCTAAGCTCAGAGTCTGGATCCAAGGCCAGAGAGAGCCGTTTAACTCCGAAAGCCATGCTCTTAGCCACTACACTATACTGCTTAGCAATAAAAATAATAGCAACCATTTACTGAGCACCTGCTATAATAGCCAGGCACTGTGCTCACTATTTTGCATATATTAAGTCATTTAACCTTCACATCAAGTGTATGAAGACTGCATTACTGGTCCCATTTTGCCAGATGAAGAAATTGACACTTAGGTCAAGTACCTCATTTGTTCAGGGTCACATGTTTGAAAACTGGGAAGAGGGGACCTATTAAAGGATGAGATCAATATGGTTAAGGATGTATTTGGCCAAAATGGAGTAGAACCAGAATAGAACCTGAATCTTGCCCCAACTACCTGTTTCCAGGCGATCTCAGGGAAATCTATGCCCAGAGTAGAAAACAAAGCAAAGATTCTTCATTATTAGCTGGAGCTTTGGCCCTAACCACCAGTGTAGAACTGTAAGGACTCGCGCTGGCCCATAGCAGTTTTCCTGTGCTAGATTGGCCTGCGGCCCCCAAAGCACACATTCTAGGATCTGCTCTTCCTCCACTGATGGGACGAGGGCCTGCCTATGAGTGCTAGAGGAGGAGAAAATTGAAAGAAAGATGGTTGTATTGATGCTTGGGAGCCTGTACCTCTAGGCCTGGCTGCTGCAAAGGGAGAGAAAGGGAGAATGAGCAACAGGGCACTTCCAGGCAGAAGATGGAGACAACCACTTACCTCTTTAGTCTTCTTAAAGTTCCTCTTTCTATGACTGTGGTACAGCCTAGTGCCATGGAATCTTCCCAATCCAGATTAACATTCCTTCTGGGTGGGGGGGTTGGAGGAGAAAAAGAGAAGAGAAAATCTGAGCTTCCTTTACCCTTAAGACCAGCATTACCACAGCAAGTAAGTGTCTGAACTGGGATCTAAACCAGTATCTGTGCTCTTAACCACTATTCCAGTGGGAGGGGCATATCAAAATTACATATAACCCTCCAGGCAGTTATAAAGCCTAAACATGGTATTGTGCAAAGCATTAAAGATGGGAGAAAAGACTGAAGATGGGTAAAGAAACAACATTCAAATAAACACGAAGTCAAAAACAAAAACAGGCCAGGTGTGGTGGCTCACGCCTGTAATCCCAGCACTTTGGGAGGCTGAGGCAGGCGGACCACTTGACGCCAGGAGTTCGAGACCTGGCCAACGTGGTGAAACCCCATCTCTACTAAAAATAGAAAAATTAGCCAAGCATGGTGGTGCACACCTGTAATCCCAGCTACTCGGGAGGCTAAGGCAGGAGAATCGCTTGAACCTGGGAGGTGGAGGTTGCAGTGAGCTGAGATTGTGCCACTGCCCTCCAGCCTGGGTGGCAGAGCAAGACTCTATCTCAAAAACAAAAACCCAAAGATCTATCTCTCTAAGTACTGATCAGGAGAAATCTTACTGTTAGATGACAAAACCAAGATCTGGAACAGTGTACTCACTATGCTACCTTATGTGTTAAGAAAGGGGAGATTGTGTGTGTGTGTGTGTGTGTGTGTGTGTGTGTGTGTATGCTTAATTTTACATCAAGAACCACTGAAAGGGCTGGGCACAGTGGCTCATGCCTGTAATCCCAGCACTTTTGGAGGCCAAGGCAAACTCCTGAGGTGAGGAGTTCAAGGCCAGCCTGGGCAACATGGTGAAATCCCATCTCTACTAAAAATACAAAAATTAGCCAGGTGTGGTGGCAGGCACCTGTAATCCCAGCTACTTAAGAAGCTGAGGCAGGAGAATTGCTTGAACCCGGGAGGCGGAGGTTGCAGTGAGCTGAGATTATGCCACTGCACTCCAGCCTAGGTGACAGAATGAGACTGTCTCAAAAAAAAACAAACAACAACAACAACAAAACAACCAAACAAAAAAACCCAAAAAAGAACCACTGAAAGGGCAAATAAGAAACTAATACAAGTTACTTATAGAAGACAAGGGGAAACAAGGGGAGTGGGGTCAAAAGTGAGAATTAGACTCTTTTTGTTGTACAGAGAGGGTCTCACTATGTTGCCCATGGGCTCAAGCAATCCTCCTGCCTCGGCCTCCCAAAGTGCTGAGATTACAGGTGTGAGCCAATGTGCCCAGCCAAGGAAATGAGACTTTTAAAATGTATACCTTTTACAGTTTTGATTTTTGAACTTCATAAATATACTATCTGTTTTAAAATAAAAGTTGGGGGTAAAAAACAAAGAATGTGGTAGAGAGTGAAGGAGAAAAGAATAAGTAGAAAAAATCACGGGAATACTTTTCCAAAAATTAGTTGGGTGGTCTTTTTTTACTTGGGGTGGAATGCAGGGAAAGCAAAAAAATTAGTGCTCAGAGATGGCTGGAAAGAGATGGCTTTTGGCTGGATATCATAGACTGGACCTGGAGCCCAGAATAAAAGATGTTTCCTCAGCAACTAAAGTAGCTGATGAAGAACTCCAACTCAATTAAGAGATTGAGATTAATTAAGAGTCACCAAGTCAGTTGGCACAACTTTTATTGTTGTTCATGTGCATTACTCCTTTTTACCTCCTAAGAATGCTATCAGGCCAGATGTGGTGGCTCACGCCTATAAACCCAGCACTTTGGGGGGCCGAGGAAGGAAGATCACTTGAGCCCAGAAGTTCTAGATCAGCCTGTGCAACATAGTAGGGCCTTGTCTCCACAAAAACTATGAAAAAATTAGCCAGGTGTCACTACACCTATAATGTGCCTATAATCCCAGCTACTGGGAGGCTGACGCAAGAAGTTTGCTTGAGCCCAGGAGTTCAAGACCAGCCTAGGCAACATGACAAGAGCCTATCTCTACAAAAAATTTAAAAATTAAGCTGGGCGTGGTGGTGTGTGTCTGTAGTCCCAGTTACTTGGGATGCTGAAGTGGGAGGATTGCGTGAGCCCAGGAGGTCAAGGCTGTAGTGAGCCATGATCATGCCACTGCACTCCAGCCTGGGTGATAGAACAAGACCTTGTCTCAACAACAACAACAACAACAACAAAAAGTTACCAGTGTTAATACCACTTATACTCCAGAAGCGTGCTTCTAAATCTTGTCAGGATCTATAGGTGTGTTTTAAAAATCACACTTTGTTCCCTATAGCTTCTTTTTTTCTTTGAGATGGAGTCTTGCTCTGTCGCCCAGGCTGGAGTGCAGTGGCGAGGTCTCGGCTCACTGCAACCTCTGCCTCCTGGGTTCAAGCGATTCTCCTGCCTCAGCCTCCTAAGTAGCTGGGACTACAGGCGCCCGCCACTACACCCAGCTAATTTTTGTATTTTTAGTAGAGATGGGGTTTCACCATGTTGGCCAGGCTGGTCTCGAACTCCTGACCTCAGGTGATCCACCTGCCTCAGCCTCCCAAAGTGCTGGGATTACAGGTGTGAGCTACTGCTCCCGGCCCCTGTAGCATTTTTTACATCAGTGAAAATCACTCCATTTTTCTTCAAAATTTCTTCCAATTTTGGTTCCTGGGATATTGAATGCAGTTGTCCCCCATCTATGAATTCACTGAGCACTGCTTCTTGGGCCAGGAACTGTGCCAGACTCAGTGTTTTCTACTTCTCTGAGACTTAGTCTTTTTGGCTAGCTCCTCATTTCTTTTTTCCTCTACCCTCCTCCACCTCAGCTGTCATCACAGTACAAGACTCAGTCTTGAGTCCTCTGCTTTTATCCTTATGTTATTTTTTTTGCTTCTAAATATTAATTTTAATTACTTTGAAGCAACCTAACTTAGTATCAAATGTTTAACCATTACAATTGCTAAACTGGAAAATCAGCATTATTTGTATCTGACCAATTATATAATACTCATCAATTTTTCTTTTGATAAAAAATACGGGTTGCGTATCCTTTATCTGAAATGCTTGGGACCAGAAGTGTTTTGGATTTTTTAATTTTTTCGGACTAGAATATTTGTATTATACTTCCCAGTTGGGCATCCCTAATCCAAAAATCTGAAATCCAAAATGCTCCAATGAGCATTTCCTTTGAGCATGACCACTCAAGTTTCAGATCTTGGAACATTTTAGATTTCAGATTTTTGGACCAGGGATGTTCAACCTATAGTAGAAATCCTGAAGAGTACGGGAGAGTCTACTAGTTTACTAATTTAGCACCATATTTCCAGTCTTAGAACCTCCCAAGCAGCTGAAAGGAGGATGGGAAGAGGCAAAGATGTTGGAAAGTAAGGATAGTTTTTAGCTCCATTTTTGTTCTAAGGCAATGCAGGGTCTAGCAAAGAAGAAAAATCACTGAGGCTGAAGACAAAGCAAAAGTTTTTGGTTCAGATGGTAAAGGAGGGCCTGAAGAGCAGTGGAATCGGTGTATCCAGAAGGCAGTGCTGGAGTCAACCTCATGAACTAGGGGGTGTCTTCTTGGCACCCAATTCCTTTTTAATTTCTTCACATGTTTTAGCTAGATTTGGTATGTCATAGTTCTGAGCCACATACATTCCAACCACATTGCCAAAAGCAAGTGCAAGCAGGAACTGGAACGTGATGTCGACAACAAGGGCAAGGAGGACAAAGAGGTTTCAATGGGTGGCTGCAGCCCTATATATTCTTTCCTTCAAGTACATGAACCCTTCTCACCACAGATTCAACTGTCACTACAGAGCACAGCCATTCATCTGACTGCCATTCCTCAATCTGCCAACTCTCTACCAAATATGCTCACTTGAATAGTTAAATAATTGTTCTCCTCGTCTCACCATGTACTAAATTCAACTCATTATATTTCTCTTTCCCAGATGGTCTCCCTGTCCTGGCATTTCCATTTCCATCGATGACATGCAGTTATCTTAGTTATACCATTGACATTTTGGGGTCATTTTAGCTTGTTCTTTTTTCCACTCTGCTAAGCAGCTGTTAACTAGCCTTGTTGTTGAAATGTTTTTCTTCTCCATCCTCTCCTTTTCATGTCCCTCATCATCAACCTAATGACCCCATGGTTACTTACATCAGCCTCCTGATTGGGGTCCTCACTTGGGATCTTTTCATCCTGTACATCCTATACACTGCAGGGTAAAAGAGCATAGTAGTTAAGAGCATAGCCCCTGGGGCTGTTATCACCAGTCTTATATCATCTTGTGACACTTTCTATTTTGGAACTCTTAAATAATTTAAAAATCTCCCTAGCTAGATTGTCAGCTTTCTGAGTAATCCAAATGATGAGTACCTTCACTTTGAGAAAGGAGAGCACTTTCTTTCTTTCTTTCTTTTTTTTTTTTTTTTTTTTTTTTGAGATGGAGTTTCACTCTTGTTGCCCAGGCTGGAGTGCAATGGCGTGATCTCGGCTCACTGCAACCTCTGCCTCCCGGATTCAAGTGATTCTCTTGCCTCAGCCTCCCGAGTAGCTGGGATTACAGGTGCCTGCCACCACGCCTGGCTAATTTTTTTGTATTTTTAGTAGAGATGGGGTTTCACCATGTTGGCCAGGCTGGTCTTGAACTCCAGACCTCATATAATCCACCCACCTCGGCCTCCCAAAGTGCTGGGATTACAGGCATGAGCCACTGCGCCCAGCCAGCACTTTCTTAAAGGACAAAAAAAATGGCCAGGTACAGTGGCTTACACCTGTACTTGTAATCCCAGCACTTTGGGAGGCCAAGGTGGGAGGATCGCTTGAGCCCAGGAGTTTGAGACCAGCCTGGGCAACATGGCAAGACCCTGTCTCTACATCATGCTACTGCACTCCAGCCTGGGTGACAGAGTGAGGCTCTGTCTCAAAAAACAAAACAAAACTAAAACAAACAAACAAAAAACAGGCAGCAACTACATGCCAGGTACTTTCAAAAAATTAACCTTGGCATATCTCACAGTGACTATCACAGGATATCACAGGAGATAAGTCAATAGATATTATGTGTTTAAAGAACTGAGTCCTCTGCTTTAGTGATTTCATCTCCTGACTATTGAATGGGGCATGATCAATGAAAGCTGGTCTTTGCTTATGTTCCTTTCCATACCTGCAATCCCTTTTTCTACTCCCTACCTCGAAGCTTCAAATTTTGCCCATCCTTCAGGACTAGTCCAAGTTCTATCTCCTCCAGGAAGCCACTGACCCATGATCATTTTGGCTAGTTGTGTCAGAGTTGCAAAGAACAAGTGTGGATTTGAGAACCATCAGACCTGAGTTTGACTTATATTCTGCTACATACTACCTGCCTAGATCTTCATCAGCTATGTAATGTCTTTAGTTTCCTCCTCTGCAAAAAGAGAGTGATGCATGCTTTGCAGTTATTTTGAGCATTCTATAAGTAAAAGCACCAGCCCTAGTGTTAGTTCTCCTTCCCCTTAATCATATAAAACATTGAAGTATTACTTCTCTTATGTCTTATTTTTTCCAAAATGACACAAAACCCACTGTGGACAACACCAAGACTTCTATATCTGCCCCATCTTGGCCTTAGGCAGCCAAATACTGCCTGAGGCAGAAGCTGGTAGGATGAATGCAAATATGAATATGTTCGAGGAGGTTCTAGTACATTAATACCACTAAATCAGTAACTTATTGAAATGAGCTGAACACTGTAGGATGGGGGTAGGAGGGTGAAGAGAACCGTTAGCAGGTTACCAAAAAAGGAATAACATGCTGGTTCTCATGTAACACAAAGGCTTGAGGGAGGCAACCCACAGTGGGTTAGAAAGTGGGTTAGTGGGATAGAAAGGTCCTGGGCTCTGTCTTCCTTCCTGGCCATCCTAATCATGTAGTTTTTTCTATTTGCTGGTAAGATAGCTCTCATACCTGGTTCTCATGTAACACAAAGGCTTGAGGGAGGCAACCCACAGTGGGTTAGAAAGTGGGTTAGTGCGATAGAAAGGTCCTGGGCTCTTTCTGTCTTCCTTCCTGGCCATCCTAATCATGTAGTTTTTTCTATTTGCTGGTAAGATAGCTCTCATACCTCTTAAGTATTGTGACTGCATTCTAGGCAGAAAGAATAAAGAGAGTGGCAAAAGGCCAGCTAAGTCTGTCCCCTTTCATCAGGAAAACAATAACTTTCCCAGAAGCCTCATGCAGTAGACTTCTGCTTAGATCTCATTTGCCAGAGCTGGATCACATGTCCATTCTGGCTTCAAGGGAGTCTGAGGAATTATTTTTACTAGGCACATTGTTTTGCTGAAAAATTGAAGTTCTGAAAGTAAAGGTGAAAAGAGTGGCTATTGGGTAAGCAACTATCAGTATTTGCCACACGAAGCATGCATTATCTGTTTAGTTTAAAATACACCATAGGGTCCTTTCCGCTCGGAGACCTCTCTTTCTATAGACAGAGAGCTGTTTCTCTTTCTCTTGTCTTCTGCCTATTAAACCTCCACTCCTAAACTCCTTGTGTGTGTCCGTGTCCTAAATTTTCCTGTCGCGTGACAATGAACCCCAGGGTATATACCCCAGACAACGTAGTCACTTCATAATGGGGACCTCATCCGAGATACCAAGGTGCAACATTCACCGAAACGATGAATAGATGAGGGGACTCCAACTCTGTCCTTTCATTTCGAGGCTCTTGGCTTCCATTTTAGAACCAAATCAAACCAAATACTGGGCCCCCTTCAGCCATTTAAAAACGATTAGTGTGGCTGCCAGCCTTAAAAGACTTGGGGGACAGGCTTACTAGGGAGAACATGGAGAATCTCCCGGCACCCATGGGTTGCTGGGCATATTGGCCATGTTTGAACCAGCTTCCTTTCACGGAAGACTTAGCCATCAGGTGGGGCTGGAAGAAGTCCTGAGGCAGCTGAGGATTTCTGACCAGGGCTAGCTCCCAGTGTTATCCAAAGGCTTCTGGACTGGCCCCAGCCTCCAATTGCCTCGATGGGGTGTCGGCAACAGGATCTCCAACTTTCCTTTTGTAATTTCCTCCTTTCCTGTCTGCGACCGCCATATCTCTTATCCTCTCTGTATGCAATGTGTGGGAAGCTTTACAGTTCAGGGAAGTAATCTTGTTTGGCAAGACCAGGGAATGTCATAGTCCATGTAAACGTCATACCTGATCAAACCAATCTGTGAGCCCCATGTAAATCAGACACCCCTCCTCAAACCTGACTATAAAATCTGGCACATGGGCCGCCTGCTGGTCCTTTCTGTTCGGAGACCCCTCTCTCTATATATAGAGAGAGCTGTTTCTCTTTCTCTTCTCTTCTGCCTATTAAACCTCTGCTCCTAAACAAAACAAAACAAAACAAAAACAAACAAAAAAAGAAACACTATAGATAGGTGGGAGGAACTCTTCAACTGGCTCAAACTCCAATGCCCTAAGCTGGGGAGCATCCCCCTCCACCACCACCACCACGTGTGGATACCCCCTTATCCTGTTTGAGCTTTGATGTTTGATGCCCGCACAAGGTCACTTTAGGAGGATTCTCTCTAAGTACTCCTTGGTCTCTGATACCCCATACCTGACTATCTCCACTGGACAAAATAGGTTCTTGAGTCAAGCACTAAGTAAGGAATATGAAGATTTCATAATTTGTGTGCAGTTTCAGATAAATTCTTTCCAAAGTTAGGAGAAGTAAGAATAAAATATGTAACTGGAATCAGTTGCTACCTAAAGATGTCTTTTTTTAAACCTCACCATGGTACCTGGGGTTAGAAGCAATGCTTTGTTTACTCTTTTTAAAAAGCAACAGAATGGGAATATTGTAGTAAATCTCTGGGGGAATTCCTGTCTTCACACCAAAAATAGTTGTTATTCTCTTAGTTGGTTTGGTTTTATCTCATGGACATTTTGAAGTATATATTTTTTCTTATTTTTTTCCAATTTTTGAGCCACATACATTTTATAGACTACTATTCATTTTTAATCTGTTTCCTTTTTTCTTTTTCACTTTCTCCTTTTCTCTCCTACTCTTTTTTATTTTCCTTCTTTACTTTCTCTTTTTTCCTGCCAATTTTAGTTTTTATCTTTGTGCTGTATTTAATTGTATCATCACAGGCCACATTAAATCATTTCTGGAAGATCAGTTTTAAATAAATAGATGAATAAAAAAATAGCAGTTAAAAAAAGGGAGAGAAAAGATTTAAGAACATTTCTAAAAGTAACCCCAAAATTTCTTCAGGGGGATAAAAAGTGGGATGATTTGGGAGGTCGAGGTGAGAGGATTAGCTGAGACCAGGAGTTTGAGACCAGCTTGGACAAGACGGCAAGATCCTGTCTCTACAAAAAAAAAAAAAAAAAAAAAAAAATTTAATTAGCTGGGCATAATGGCATGTACCTATAGTCCTAGCTACTTGGGAGGCTGAGGCAGGAAGATCACTTGAGCCCAGGAGTTCAAGGTTACAGTAAGCTATGATCACACCACTGCACTCCAGCCTAGGCGACCCTGTCTCAAAAACAAAAATGAAACAGTGGAATGAAATCATTTGGGTAATGTCTCCCAGACAAGTAAAGTATTCCCAAGAAATTTCTGAAGGAATTAAGGAAAATTATTGATGTTATGATTAAAAAACAAACAAACAAACTGGTTCTACTATAGAATAATAGACATTGGCAACTCAGAAGGATGGGAGGGTGGTGAGGAATAAGAAATTACTTAATGGGTACAATGTATATTATTCAGGTGATGGTTATGCTAAAAGCCTGGACGTTACAACTATGCATTATATCCACGTAACAAAACTGCACTTTTACCCCTTAAATGTACACAAATTTTTTGAAAACTGGTTCTTGCACCTCAACAGACACATAGGATTTATGAATGGACTTGGATAGAGCATAGAGGAAGGCCTGGAGCAGTTTTCATGGGCTTTTGTCTCCTATGGCCCTGGTGCGTCTATCTTCAGGAAGCTAAATACAGAGGCTTCTGAGAATTCACTTAGATGATGGTTCCCAAGAGGAACAACTCTCTCCTAAGCCACACATGGGGCAGTTTACTTCTAATATGGAAAATTATGGGTCGGGCATGGTGGCTCATGCTTGTAATCCCAGTACTTTGGGAGGCCAAGGCGGGCAGATCACTTGAGGTCAGGAGTTCAAGACCAGCCTGGCCAACATGGCAAAACCCTGTCTCTACAAAAATTAGCCAGGCATGGTGGCGTGCACCTGGGAGGCTGAGGCAGGAGAATTGCTTGAATCCAGGAGGCAGAGGTTGCAGTGAGCTGAGATCGCACCACCGCACTCTAGTCTGGGCGACAGAGCAAGACTTCATCTAAAAAAAAGAAAGAAAAGAAAGAAAGAAAATTATGGATAGTCTCTGAAGCTGAGCATTCTCTGGAGTCAGACACTTTCTTAATCCCTTTTGAAATTTCTGATGGAGAAAAATCCAATCCAAAGAAAGAATATGAAATCCAGGGAAAATTAGTTTTTTTTTCTTAAGTGCATATAAGTTATGGATTTATATATAAAATAAAGATAGTGATTGTATCAGTCAGGATTCTAACAGAGAAACAGAACCATTAGGAGACACATGTAGATATAGATATAGATATAGGTATAGATATAGATGAACTGGCTTATGTGATTGTGGTGGCTAGCTAGGCAAGCCTGAAATCTGAAATCCTTAGAGCAGGCCATCAGAAAGGACAGGCAGGAGTTCTCGAGCACAAGCCAATGCTGCTGTCTATGGGCAGAATTTCTTCTTCAGGAAAGCCTCCATTCTGCTATTAAGGCCTTTAACTGATTGATTCAGGCCCACCAGATTATCTAGGATAATCTTGTTTACATAAAGTCAACTGATTATAGACTTGATTCACATCTACAAAATACCTCTCAGCACCACCTAGATTAGATTTTAATGGAATAACTGGCTTATGTTAGCCAGTTATAAACTAGGGACTATAGCCTAGCTATGTTAACACATAAAACTGACCATTACAGGCCAGGTGCACAGTGGCTCATGCCTATAACCCCAGCACTTTGGGAGGCTGAAGCGGGCGGGTCACTTGAGACCAGGAGTTCGAGACCAGCCTGGCCTCAAGGCTGGTGAAACCTCGTCTCTACTAATAATACAAAAATTAGCCAGACGTGGTGGTGAGTGCCTGTAATCCCAGCTACTTGAGAGGCTGAGGCAGGAGAATCACTTGAATCCAGCAAGTGGAGGTTGCAGTGAGCCGAGATCACACCACCATACTCCAGCCTAGGCAACAGAGTAAGACTCCGTCTCAAAACAAAACAAAACAAAAAACAAAACTGACCACTACAGTGATGTTTGGTGTTTCATTTTGATTTTAACTTCCATCAGTGAACATTTTGTTCTTTGTGAAAATAAATCACAAGCTAAGATAGGCTTCTATGGAGAGAGTGTCAATATTACGGATCCATGGCATCAGTTGTAACATGTATTTGGTCTATGAAGGTCATTAGCCATCTGGTAAAAGGAAGCTATACTGATTATAACTCACTCATTGGGTGTATGCTATTACCTAATTCCACTAAACTGTTTTCCGTTCATTGATTTAAAAAGTTAGTTATTCAATTCAATTGAAGTTAACACCTGAGAAGGATTTCAAAGAACAGATGTGTATTTCATTTGTAGAAATCATTTTCTCATGTCACAAATGTTTAATGAATCCACTCTCCCTTGAGTTAGAAATGGTAGGTGCTTTGAAATACTTGAACCTACACAAGAGCAGAAAGCATTTTATTTTGAAGTGTGCCTACTGTCCAGTAATAATGTTGGACAAGTTATTTTCTCTCTGAGCCTTAGTTTGCTTACCTGTAAAATGGGAAATAATGATTATTGTCTTGAGGGCTTGGGAAGGATTAGATGAGAAAACATAAGTTAGACACTTGAAACACAGTAGATGTTCCACAAATATTGATTTTTTTTGCCTCCTTCTATGAATACAGACTTCATAAGTGAAGTCCTATGAGTTAAAAGTCCTCTCCAATTTTTTTGCAGATTCTATCTAGCAGCACTATTTTGGATATCACTGTGTAGCGAAGAATCAAGTGAGGTTTCCAGTGCTCATTAATTTATCAAATTGACTATAAAGATTCACTGTAGGTGGCTTTGTATTTACTTATGTGCATAGGGAGACCATTTTTACATGTTATCACTTCAACAATAAATACAGATAAAGTTGCTGGAGTTTACAATTGCTTTTTATTTGAAAAATCAGCAATTTTCCTAATTTTATCTGAAAATGTTCTTCGGAGTCATGGTGGTGAAATTCTGAGCAAATATTAGGTGTCACTAGTTTTCAAGAGTGTGAAATAATTTTTGATTGAGAAAAAAGCATATCTTAAATTCTGTTCAATATCAGACTCACATGTCTTGGCAAATGCACACATTGTTTTTGTTTCATTATTAATTTTTTTTTTTGAGATGGAGTCTCGCTCTGTTGCCAGGCTGGAGTGCAGTGGCATGATCTCTGCTCACTGCAGCCTCCGCCTCCCTGGTTCAAGTGACTCTCCTGCCTCAGCCTCCCAAGTAGCTAGGACTACAGGCACGCGCCACCACGCCCGGCTAATTTTTGTATTTTTAGTAGAGACGGGGTTTCACCATGTTGGTGAAACCACCAGGATGGTCTCGATCTCCTGACCTTGTGATCCGCCCACCTCGGCCTCCCAAAGTGCTGGGATTACAGGCATGAGCCACTGTGCCCAGCTATTAATTGTTAATTACACAAATAATACAGGGTTTTGTTTTTTTTTTACATGAAAAAATTGGAGATAAATCTAAAATCTTCTTCAATCCCCACTCCCATTGGGAACTACAATTATCAGTTTGGTCTGTATCCTTCCAGAGCATTTGTGTATGGATTTACATAGGTATTACTGTGCACAGACAAAGTAACTCATGGAAAGTAGGTATTTTACTTGTCTAAGGAAAATTGGGCCAGTTATTGATTTTTATCATATGAAATTTGGCGTGATGGGCAAGAAAGAGATTGGAGAGAAAGGAGAAAAAGGAAGGGAGGTCTTGCCAAGATTGATCTTTTACTTCTTTATAGTTCTTTGGCCTTTTCTTTTTTGGTTCCTTGAGCCCATTTTAGGTGAGTTACACTATCAGAGTGTTTCAGCAGTTTAAAGCTCTTGCATCCAGTTTCATCAACCAGTGGCTCAACAAAGACAGATAAATAATCCCCTATACTTTCTGAAAGTATCTTTCCACCAAAGTCCAAGCATTATCAGTTTCATTTTATGAATGAAAAAAAGAAAAAAAAAGGGAAAAAAAAAAGAGGCCAGGTGCGGTGGCTCATGCCCGTAATCTCAGCAATTTGGGAGGCTGAGGCAGGTGGATCACTTCAGCTCAGAAGTTTGAGAGCAGCCTGGCCAACATGGTGAAACTCCATCTCTACTAAAAATACAAAAATTAGCCAGGTGTGATGACGCACACCTGTAATCCCTACTCAGGAGGCTGAGGCACGAGAATCACTTGAGCCCGGGAGGTGTAAATTCTTTGTGTTTTCCAACTGAAACTGAAAACTTTATCTGTTAATTATTTCATTAATTTTTCTCTCTTTTTTTCGAGACAGAGTTTCACTCTGTCACCCAGGCTGGAGTACAGTGGCATGATCTCTGCTCACTGCAACCTCCACCTCCCAGGTTCAAGCAATTCTCCTGCCTCAGCCTCCCAAGTAGCTGGGATTACCCGCGCTTGCCACCATGCCTGGCTAATTTTTGTATTTTTAGTAGAGACGAGGTTTTGCCATGTTGGCTAGGCTGGTCTCGAACTCCTGACCTCAAGTGATCCGCCTGCCTTGGCCTCCCAAATTGCTGGGATTACAGGCGTGAGCCACCGTGCCCGCCCTCATTAATTTATTTTAAAATGTAAGGTAACCAAGCTTCAAACAAGATGACATAGACCCATTTCTCTTTGCTTTTCCATGCTAAGTACAATTAAAATTCCTAAAAGTAATACAAAAGTCCATCATAAGGGGACTGGTAGGTGGAAAGAAGAAAGTGGACTGGCTAGAGACTTCAGGACTTGAGGAACGACACTGTGATGGGCTCCTGGCTTTTCTTTTTATCTTCTGTATGTTCCAGACTGGGTGCTGGAGAAGCCTGCAACCTAGAATCTCCAATCAGAGCAGACAAACAAAACAAAACAAAAACCTGTTCTTTGTGGCCAAAGGACTGGGAAAGGAGAAAAACCCAGCCCAGCATAAGTAAAACCCTGTGGACAGCACCAGCCCTACCCAAGCTGAACCCTGTGGTGTCAGCAGAGTGAGACTGAGTAGGGACTGGAAGAGCTCTGTCCCCCATTCAGTAGCCTCAGGTGGCTGGGCAAAAAGCCGCCTTCTTCCCCCATGGGAACACCAGACAGGATTGAGTGGGAGTCCCAGCGGTACCAGGGAAGCACTTTCCTACCACGCTGGGCAACAGCCAAGAGCTAGGGGGAGCCCCAGTCACACCAGGCAGCCGGAGGAGGCGTGCTCAGCCCTGCTGGCAGCATCAGCGTATACCCAGCACGGAGTCCAGACGCTTGTCCCCGACCCAGCAGCAGCAGGTAGGCAGGATTAGTACTTTCAACCCCTACCGGCCTAGCATCTCCCAACCCCTCACCCAGTGGCACCAGACGGCCCAGGGAGGCACTTTCCATCACAGGCACCATGACGGGGACCAAGTGGGGAGTCTCCCGAGCCCCATCAAGTGGCAGGCAGCTGGGAAGGTACTTTACTTTCCCACCAGTGGTGTCAGCAGAGAACTAGTGGGGAATCTGGACATCTGCTGCCCGGCTCCCAGCAGGCATCAGCAGAGGATGCAGACAGGTGCTCCCCTCCCCACTGTTGCCATGTCAGTGGAGACTGAGTGAGGAGTCTGGACTTTCACCCTTATCTGCCAGTGGCAGCTGGTGCCCCTCACCCTTCCAATTAGAGTGCAGAAGGGATCTTAGAGAGGAAGGAGCTGCAGAAAGGCATTCTTTACATCTGCATAGGAAGTCCTGGAAAGACACCTGTCTGACCCAAGCGTGAAACTAAGTAAATCACCAGGTCTGCAGGTCTGACAACTGAACTACTGTGTGGCATACCACTCAGGTTTTCAACGTGGCTTGGGAGTAGCACACAAAGCAGACCAGAATAGTGCCACAAGGGTTCTAAAAACTAAACTGTCATTGGAACTACACAGTCCACAAAAGTAGGCCAGGAAAACCCAAAAATATCCACACCAAGACACATCATAACTAACTTTTGAAAACTAAAGATAGAGAAAAAAAATCTTGAAAGCAGCTAGAGAGAAAAACACACATTACCTATAGAGGAACACTGATTTAAATCATAGTGGATTTCTCATCTGAAACCATAAAGGCCGGAAGGAAGTGGTACATTTTTCAAGTGATGAAAGAAAAGAACTGTCAACTTGGAATTCCATGTTCAGTGAAAATATCCTTCAGGAATAAAGGGGAAATAAAGACATTCTCAGATGACAGAAAATTTATAAAAATTTCACTAGCAGACTTACTATTAATGAATAGCTAAAGGAAGTTCTCCAAACGAAAAGGAAATGATAGCAGGAGGAGGCCTGAAACTTCAGAAAGGAAGGAAAACAATGAAATGTATAAAAAATAAGGATAAATATAAATAGACTATCCTTTTCCTAATGAATTTCTTTCAATTATGTTGAATTGTTGAAGCAAAAATTGTAACACCATCTGATGTGGGTTCAATGTATGTACAAGAAATAGAAATTATATTTTTAAAGTGGGAGGACAGGCCGGGTGCGGTGGCTCACGCCTGTAATCCCAGCCCTTTGGGAGGCCGAGGCAGGCAGATCACTTGAGGCCAGGAGTTCGAGAGAAGCCTGACCAACATGGAGAAACCTCAGCTCTATTAAAAATACAAAAATTAGCCAGGCGTGGTGGTGCATGTCTGCAGTCCCAGCTACTCGGGAGGCTGAGGCACGAGAATCGTTTGAACCCAGGAGGCAGAGGTTGCAGTAAGCTCAGGTTGCGCCATGCACTCCAGCCTGGGCGACAGAGCAAGACTATGTCTAAAAAAGAAAAAAAAGTGGGAGGGTAAGGGATAAAGGAACCTAAAGGAAAATAAAGTTTCTACCCCTTACTAAAAGTGGTAAAATGTTGATAACAATACACTATAAGTTATATGTGTATATTTTAACACCTAAAAAACAGAAAACTATACACACTGATATACTCAAAAACATTATAATAAAGTAAAACGGAGTTCTAAAACATATTCAAGTAACCCACAGTAAGGCCAGAAACAGCAAACAGAGGAATGAGAAATAGAGGGAACAGACAAAAAGCAAATAATAAAACATTAGACTTAAGCCCTAAGATACCAATAATTATCTTCTAATTAAATGGTCTAAATACATGAATTAAAAGGCAGAGAATCACAAAATGGATTTTTAAAAAAATAACCCTCTATGTGCTGTCTATATGAAACTACTTCAAATACGATAACATAGGTAGAAAGTGAAAAGAAAAAGATATACTACACAGACATTCATTTATAAAAACAGATATGGCTATATGTTAATATCAGAAAAGTAGACTTTGGAGCAAATAAAATTACCAAGGACAAAGAGAGATATTACACAATGATAAATGAGTCAATCCACCAAGAAGACAAAGAAATCCTAAACATGTATGCACCAATAAATAAGGCTTCAAAATACATGAAGTAAAATCTGATAGAACTGAAAGAAAAACAGGTAAATCCATGATTATAGTTGGAGACTTCAATACCCTCCTCTCAGCAATAGAAATACTAGACAGAAAATCAGCAGGATTATAGAACTCAACAATACCATAAAGCAACAGGACCTAATTTATAGGACATTCTACCCAATAGCATAACTCACATTCTTTTCAAATACCCATGAAACATTCACCAACATAACCCATATTTTGCATCATACAAAATTTCAACAAATGTAAAAGAATTGAAACCATGCAGAGTATGTTCTCTTGAACTCCTGGCTTCAAGCAATCCTCCTGCCTCAGCCTCCCAAAGTGCTGGGATTACAGGCATGAACCACTGTGTCATGTTCTCTGACTATAAGGGAGTCAAACCAGAAATCAATAACAAAGTCAGCAGGAAAATCTCCAAATATTTGAAAACTAGACAACACACTTCTCATTAATACATAGGTCAAAAAAGGAGTCTCAAGGGAAATTTTTTAAAAATACAATGAACTGAATGAAAATGAAAATATAACATATTAAAATTTGTGGAATGGAGCTAAAGCAGTGCTGACAAGAGAGTTTATGGCACTAAATCCTTACATTAGAAAAGAGGCTGCCGGTCACTTGCCACTAAAAGAAAAATTTGTAATATATTTTTTTAAAATTTTTAAAAAAGAAGAGGTAAGGTCTTAAATCAATCAGGTAAGCTCCCACCTCAAGAGACTATAAAAAGAAGAGCAAAATTAAAACTTCAAAGCAAGCAGAAGGAAAGAGACAACAGCAGAAATCAATGAAATTGAAAATAGGAAAACAATAGATAAAATCAATTAAGCAAAACGCTGTTCCTCTGAAAAGATCAGTACAGTTGATAAACCTATAGCAAGATTGACTAAGATAAAAAGAGAGAAGGCATAAGTCACTATAATCACAAATGAGACAGGGGATCTTACTACAGATCCTGCAGGCATTGAAAGGAAAATAGAGAAATTCTATCAAGAACCCTACATATATAAATTCAACGACTTAGATGGAATGGACCAATTCCTTGAAACTACAAACTACCAAAACTCGACCAATATGAAATTTATCATCTGAATAGTCTAATAACTATTTTAAAATAGGATTTATAATGTAAAAATTATTGAAAAAAGAAGGCTCCAGGTCCACATGGTTTCACTGGAATATTTTACCCAACATTTAAAGAACTAACACCGATTTTACACAATAGATTCTATAATACCAAAGAGGAGGGAACACTTCTGTGCTAGGGGTCCCCCAAACCATTCCCAGGCTTGATGATTCACTATGAGGACTCAGAATGCAGCAGACAGTCACATTCATGGTGAGAGCACACAGAACAAAATCTTCAAAGGCAAAAGGCACATGGAAGTATAGAAGAAACGAGGTACAAGCTTCCAAGAGTCCTCTCCCAGTGGAGTCACGCAGGATGTACTAATTCCTCCAGCAACAAGTTGTGACAACACGTGTGAAATGTTGTCTATCAGGGAAGTTCATTAAAAACTCAGCTCCCAGGACATTTACTGGGGGTTGGTCATATAGGCACCCTCTGCCTAGCGCTTACCAAAACTCCAGACTCCTAGAAGGAAAACAAGTGTTCAGCATAAACCATATTGTTTGTACGAACAGTTTAGGCCCAGTGAACAGTCTCATCAGCCCTGGGAATGGTGAGAGCCCTCTTCAAATCTAAGTTCCAAATGCCATCCAAGGACCGACCTTGCATGCAGGGCTTTCAAAGGATAGCACTGAGGCCTTTCACGTTAACTCTTTTCTGCACAGCTTGAGAATCAGGAGACTTGAGTTCTAGTCCCAGCATAAATAACATTTGTACAAACAGCTTAGATATAGTTAGCCATTCTTATCAGTTCTGGGAACAATGAGAGCTCTCCTGAAATCCAAGTTCACAGATGCCTGCCAAGAGCCTGTTATGTTAACTCTTTTCTGCACAACTTCCTCAACTCATTTTATAAGGCCAGTATTACCCTAATACCAAAACCAGACAAGGACTGTAGCAAAAATCTCCCCCAAACTACAGACTTTTATCTCTTATGGGCTTTAACACAAAAATCTGCAACAAAACATTAGCAATATAGAATCCAGCAAGGTATAAAAATAATTATTTTATGGCCAAATGGGGTTTATTCCAGCTATGAAAGGTTGGTTCAAAAATCAATATTCTATCAATGTAATCTACCATATCCACAGGCTAAAGAAGAAAAATCACACGATCATATAACTTGATGCAGAAAAGGCATTTGACAAAATTCAGCATTCACTCATAATAAAAACTCTCAGCAAACTGTGAATAGAGAGGTACTTTCTCAACTCAATAAAGAGCATCTACAAAAAACCTGCAACTATCATATTTAATGGCGAAAGACAATGTTTCCCCTTAAGATAAGGAACAAGGCAAGTATGTCCACTCTCTCCACTCTTATTCAACATTGTACTGAATGTTCTAGCTAGAACAAGACGGCAAGAAAAGGAAATAAAATGCGCACAGATTGGAAAGGAAGAAATAAAACTGTCCCTATTCACAGATAATATGATTGTCTACATAGAAAATCCCAAAGAATCTGCTGAAAAATTCCTAGAACTAGTAAGTGAGTTTAGTAAGGTCAGAGGAAACAAGATCAACACATAAAAATTAATTGCATTTCTATATATTAACAATGACCAATGAATGTGAAGACAAATTAAAAACACAATACCACTTACAATCATGACAAAGAAAATGAAATACTTAGGTATATATTTAACAAAACATGCATAGGTTCTGTATGCTGGAAATTCAAAAATGCTGACGAAAGAAGTCAAGGAAGATCTAAATAAATGGAGAGATAGACATATCGTGTTCATGGATTGGAAAATTCAATATACAATAGTAAAGATGTCAATTCACCTTAAACTGATCTATAGGCTTAACACAATTTCTTTCAAAATCCCAGCAAGGTTTTCGTAGATACAGAATACACTCATTCCAAAATTTATATGGAAAGGCAAATGACCTTGAATGGCTAAAACAATTCTGAGAAAGAACAATAAAGTGGGAGGAAGTGCTCTACCCAATGTTAAGGCTTATTATATAGCTAGAGTAATCAAGACTGGTATTCACAGAGGTATAGGCACATAGATCGATAGAACAGAATAGCGAACCCAGAAACAGCCCCACACAAATAGCCCCACACAAATATGCCCAATCGATTTTTTCAAACGTGCAGAAGCAATTCAGTGGAGGAAAAGTAGTCATTTTATTTGAGCCATCAGACAACCATAGACAAAAATATGAACCTCAACCTTAGGTTTAGATCCTATATAAAAAGTAAATGAATCATGCACTTAAATGTAAAATATAAAACTATAACACTTATAGAAGGAAAGATAAGAGAAAATCTTCAGGACCTGGAGCTAGATGAAGATGTCTTAGCCATGACACAAAAACATGATACATAAATGCAAAAATTGATAAATTGGACATCATCAAAATTTAAAATTTGGTCTGCAAAATCTCTTAAGAGGATGAAAAGACCAGCTACAAACTGGGAAAAATATTTGCAGATCACATATCTGACAGAGGACTTGTATCTAGAATGTAGTATACAGAATTCTCAAAATTTAACAGTAGGAAACAATCTGATTAGAAAATGGGCAAAAGACTTGAACGGACATTTCACCAAAGAGGTTATACAGATGGCAAATAAGCACATGAAAAGATGCTCAACAGCATTAGCCATTAAGGAAATGCAATTTAAAACAACAATGAGGTATCACTACACACCTATTAGAATGGCTAAAAGAAAAAGATAGTGACAATACCAAATGCTGACAAAGATGTGGAGAAACTAGATCTCTTATACATTGCTGGTGGTAATATAAAGTGGTATAGTCTGGAAAAGTTTGGCATTTTCTTGTAACACTAAATATACACTTACCATCTGACCCAGCAATTGCACTCCTGAGCATCTGTCACAGAGAAATGAAAACTTATGTTTACACAAAAACTTCTACATTAATGCTCATAGCAGTTCTATTCTTAATAGGCAGACATTGGAAACAACTCAAATGACCTTCAATGCATGAATAAACAAACTGTAGGACATCCATACTACAGAATACTACTCAGTAATAAAAAGCAACAAATCATTGAGACATGCAACAAACTTGGGTACATCTCAAGAAAATCATGCTGAGTGAAGAAAAGCTGATTTCAAAAGGTATGATTCCATTTATGTAATACTCTTGAAATGACAAATTTATAGAGATGGAGAACGTGTTAGGGGTTGCCAGAAATTAGAGGAGGAGAAAGCGGTGACTGTGACTACAAAGTGTAGCAGGAGGAATCTTTGTGGTGGAGAAAAAGTTGATTGTGGTGATTACACAAATTTAAATGTGTTAAAATTGCACAGAACTATATACACAGACTCAGAAATCAGTGCATGAAAATTGATGAAATCTGGATAAGGTCTGTGGACTGTATTAATGTTAATATCTATATTGTATTATAGTTATCTATTACCATTGGGGGAAACTGGGCAAAGGGTACATGGGACCACTCTGTACATTTTTTTTTACAACTTCTGATGAATCTATAATTATTTTTAAATAAGTATAATAAAGTGAGATAAGTCTGAAGGACTACGAATATTTTAGAACTCACGCATTTCCATATTATGGAATATAACTAGATCTTTAACATGGAAAACAGACAAAATACAAAAGAGCCTACATTATTGTTCATCCTAGAAATGTAAACGAAAATAGCCCAGGACAGTAGCTCATGCCTGTAATCCTAGCACTTTGGGAGGCCCAGGCAGGCAGATAGCTTGAGCTTAGGAATTCAAGACCAGCCTGAGCAACATGGTGAAACTGTCTCTACCAAATAAATAAATAAATAAATAAGTTGGGCCATGGTGGCATGTGCCTGTAGTCCCAGCTACTTGGGAGGCTGAGGTGGGAGAATCACTTCAGCCCCGGAGGTGGAGGTTGAAGGGAGCCAAGAGGTTGCAGTGAGCCAAGAGATCTCACCACTGCATTCTAGCCTGGGTGACAGGGAGCCCAGAGGTTGCAGTGAGCCGAGATCGAGCCACTGCATTCCAGCCTGGCGACAGAGTGAGACCCTGACTCAAAAAAAAAAGGAAAAGAAAAAAGAAAGAGAATGAGTTCATCATAGTTGCATATAGCACATTTCCAAACCCAGAGAGGTAAGCCAAAAAGGTTTGTTGCTTAAACATCTATATTAGGATTCAACCAAAGGATCAGAACCAGTAGGAAATTATATATATATATATATATATACACACACACACATATATATATACACACACACATATATATATACATACACACACACATACATATATATATACACACACACACACATACACCCACGGTGCCCAGCCTGCCAGAAGAATGCGTGGTGGGAATATACGTATATATACTCCCTGTTCATTCATTTCTTCGAAGCTATTGTCTTAGACGATTATGGTGGCCAAGTAAATCCAAAATCTGTAGGGCATACAGTCAGGAAGGGAAGATCAGGAGCAGGCTGGAACCAATGGACATAGGCCAAAGGTGTCATCCATAGGGGAAATTCTCTTTCTCTGACGTACTCAGCACCCTCAGCCCTGATTGAAAGGCTTTCCAACTGATTCCGTCAGGCCCACCTAGATTATCCAGGATTATCTCCCTAACTTTAAGTCAACTGATTAGGAGCTTTAATTACATCAGCAAAATACCTCCAGAGCAACACCTGGATTGGCATTCGATCAAATAACTGTGGGCGATAGCCTAACCAGTGGACACATCGAAAAAGCCACACAACATCACAAACCACCTGTGCTGGCAACTGAATAAATGAATTATGTTAATAGCCACCTTGGCTTTATTATTACAGGTAATTCAAGCACAAGCGACATAAATCAATAGCGGCCACCGAGTTGATGTATGAGAGTCCCACTTTGGAACTTCAGAGTTGGAAGGGGCCATGAAAAGCTTAGTTTGTATTTCAACACAGCCGAGGCATCTGCACCTCGTCCTCTCTAGCGCTCGGCGGGGCTGGGGCGTCTCGGGCAGTGGCGCACCCAGCTGGACGGGAGGGGAGCCCACCTGGAACGCGGCGCCGCGGGTGCGGGAGCGGCGAGTGGGCGGGGCGTCGAGGCGGCGGGTGGCGACGGCGCCCAGCCCGCCAGAAGAACGCGCGGCGGGCAGACGGCTGGGAGCCGCTCCGGTAGGGCGAGCGCGGCCGGCGGTGGGTGGGAGGAGAGGTTGGGGGAGGAAGGAAAGGGAAGAGGCGGAGCGTGGGAGCGCACAGTGTCAGGAATACAATAGTGCTCCGCGCCGCCTCAGCCGCCGCCGCCGCCCAACCGCCTGCCCAGCGCTGAGGCCTGACGGGCCGGGCGGACGAGGGCCGAGGGCGGGAGCTGAGGCGCGGGGGGCGGCCCCGGCGGGGGGCGGGGGCGAGGAGGGGATTAAGGGGCAGGTGCGAGGGAGGGAAGAGAAGAAAGCGAGCGGTTAGGGGGGCGGTTACCACTCCGACCGGACTCACCCGGCACATTGCCGGGCCGCGGCGTGGAGCCGGGCAGGAGCCGCGAGCCAGCTGCGCGAAGGTAGGCGCCGCGGAGGCCGGACCCGGCGCGGGCGAGGTTGGGGGCGTCGCACCGGCTGGGCGGCGGGAGCGGCGGCCTCCGGGAGTGGAAGCGGGCGGCGCGGAGCGCACAGTCCCGGCCCGGCCTCGCCGCGCTCCGGGTCGCTCCGGTTCCACATCGTGGTCGCCTCCGGCGTCCCCGGCGCCTTGGGGCCGAGAGCGTGTGTGGGCTGAGGTAAAGTGCCTGGTGGCCCCTCTGCCCGCCCGGGTAGTGCCTGGTGGCCCGGGCGGGGGGCGGGGGCGGACGCGCGAGCTCGGCTGCAGCTCCCGGCTACACCGGGCAGGAATTGAGCGCCATAACTGTTGCGGCTCTTTCCTCCGGTGCCCCCTCCTGGCGCCCCCTCCTCCGTTCCTGCCCTTTGCCTGGCTTCGGGGCTGACGGGGCCAGACCCGTGGCGGGAGGACCTGCTCTGTCGGCCGCCAGGGGTCGGATGCTCCAGGGAGCGAGGGCGCGCCCTGGCTGTTTAGCTGTTGGGGGGCGGAAAGAACCGAGTGCCTGGAGAGGGGAGAACGGGTGGTGCTGGGTGCGGCGAGGCACCCCGGGAAGCCCGGGTGCCCACCCGGCGGGAGCGGGAGCGCGGGCGCCCGGCGGGCTGGCGAACTTTCCCTCCCACTGGCGGCATTGTTCGAACTGCGGGTCCGTGGCCGCCGAGCGTCGGGCGGTCCGGGGGTGGGAAAATCGTGAGGGCTTTGCTAGTCTTCCGGGGAAATTTTCCCACCGCTGGGCACGGCAAAGTTAACTTTTCTCCAGCTTTCGAGTTCGTTTTATTCCCTCCGCCCCGGGGGCCGTAGTTTGTTTTTTTGTTTTGTTTTGTTTTGTTTTTTGTTTGTTTGTTGTTTTTTTTAATAGCCTTCAATCTTTTTCTCCCGCTTTTCACAGCAGAGCCAGTGCTTCGGTGGAGTCTAGCTTTAAATTGCACAGGGCAGCCTGAGTTTGTTATTTGTGAGGAGGGGGTGGCGGGATCTGGAGTGAGTGACCACAATGGTGGTATGTGGAGGCATGTTTCAAAGTTTTTATCGCTGTGCGGCCCTGGGACATATGTGGCTACTAGGGATTTGGCAAGAAACTTGTTTGGCCGCTTCTCCGACTTTGAGTTGCAAGGAAATCCGTGGCCTCAGATGTGCGCGAGTTGTTTGTGTGTGTGTGCCGTGAGGTGCGTTTATCTATGAAGCTGAGGATGAGATTCCCCCCTCCCGCCGTCTGATTGTGTAAGAAGTCAAAACCGTGTTGAAGGTGATTCCAGTGGTGGCCTGGAGGGAAAGGCGACCTCATTCCCTGTGTTCAGTCTGATAAAGTGAACTGCTGCTCTCTAAACTTGGGAAGTAATGAAAAATAATTTAGGTAAAAACTGGTTGCACAACGTCTTTGCTTAGTTTAAGCAACCCACAATCCACTTTCCCAGACCAGTTCTCCTGTTAAATACTTTCCCTTTAGCCACTTCTTGTCAGCCTAGGCTGGGAGGGGGAAAGAGTAGGGCTGAGAGAGGAGTCGGTCTGAACAAAGCATTGTGTTTTTATTTAGTTTAATACTTCCAAAACATCTGTAGACAATGGGAGTATGGGTCCCGGCCTTCGTACCCTTTGAGTAGTGTGGTTCTCATGCTTTTGTAGCATCATGTGATTACTCTTCGGATACGTAAAAATAGATTTTTTTTCTTTTTTGTTTAACCTAAGAGTATTCTACCTCCATAACATATCATTTTCTCTTTCGTTTAAAGTGAGCTCTGAGCTTAAATACTTGAACTGTAAAAGGATAATACCCTCTCTTCAAGGATTACCTGAGACCGTTGAGAAGTGTTTCAGTGCCCAGCGTGTATTCAACTTTCAATCGATGTTAGCCACCATCTTTGCCACCTTTTCTCCAGTTGTGCTCTTCTTTATGCTTTTGTTTGCTAGAGAATAGCTTTTAACCCAATATTGTTGCCTTGCTTTCTGTCCAGTCAATTCTGGAATACTCAGGGGTGCAAGTCTGGCTCTAGAATTCACACTTTCTCTCTCCCCTCTTCTCTGAGTCATGTTGCTTGCCCTCGGCAATGCGATGTGAATCTGGTCATAGGTAGAAAAAAGTAGAGAAAGGCTTCCCACTCCTCCCTGAAGTGTTGTGACCCACCTTCAGGCCCGTAGGGGAGATTCCCAGGAGCAGGACAGGTGATGGTGCAGGGCTGGCATCATAGCTAAGAAGTATGGATTGGTGAAAGTTAAAGAAGAAAGGGTGTTGAAGACTTGTAGGTTTAGTATTGTCCTCTCCTTTAATAATGCTTGTCTTTTCCCTCTCTTGTGTTCCACCAACCATAACAACCCATTTTTTCCCCTAACCTACACAAAGCCATATCTTCTTTCTGCCCACTGCTTTGAGGTCTGGCTGGAACTAGGCAAGTATTTTGGAAGAGGTGGGGGAGGTAGGAGGCATCAGGTGCTGGTAAAGACATGGCATTAGGGAGGGCTCTTACAAGCCTTGATCAGAGTTACAGAGAGCCAGTCCAAAAATGAAGCTGAGCATTATCAGGGGACATAATGCACCTACCTCCTTGTGGAGCTTACACAAAATAGGAGCTGAGAAGACAGAGGTAATATGCTGTCTTACATTAAGAAAATCTCTCATTGAGGTATGATTTACTATGATCTTGACTTGTCCCACAATATAGGTGAGAAGTGAGTGTTAGGTGACACCTGTCTGGCACTCTCCTAACATGGGGACACTTTAATGGCTCACAAGTTTCTGTTGTTCCAGTTACAGTGGCTGGGAAAGCTGAAACATTCTGGTTTGTATGGTGGGGAGGATCTAGGGTGAATGGGTAAAAGTGATGAACAAATAAACGGGTACTAGCAAGTAAGTGGTCATTACAAACCAAATAACTACCACTTTGAGTTTTCTGATTTCTGGAATCTTTATGACTCCCTCATGGTTATTTTTGCCTTGTTCCTGTAGGTCTTTCCATAGATAATAACAACAAAATTCTTACCATTAGAACTGCCTCTGTGCTTTTCTTGGGAGAAAGTAAAAAAAAAAAAAGGGTCCTGGGAAAAACTTGCCCGATTTCATAGCTAGGCTTGTGAAAAGGAAGGTGATAAGTCAGAAGACAGCCGACTGAATAAAGGACCTGGTGTGAGGAAATAGTACTGGGGCTTTGACCAATAGGAAACACCTATGAGTTCATCAATGCTTTTCAAGCAGCAAATAATTTAATCTTTGCCAAAACCCAGGAACTATGGCTGTGCCCTGCTACCCAAGGAGCTCCTTTTCCCTTGGTATTGGCTGATGGGCAAGGAAACCCAAGCCTAGAATGTGTTTTTTTGTTTTGTTTTGTTTTGTTTTGTTTTGAGACACATGACAAGAATATATGATACCAGCATGGCCAATACACTAGACTTTGTGTGTTGGAATCTTCTGGGACACATTCTTTTTTAAATTTTAAAAACTTATTTTGATAATTACAAACTGTTATAAGAATAGTACAAAGAACTCACTATATTCCCAATTAGTAACGGTTTGCTCTCATTTGCTTTATCACTTGCTCTTTTAGTTCTCTTTCCAAACCATTTGTTAGTAATCACTGAAATTTATTATTTGTTGTTTCTTTCAAGCCATTTGTTAGTAATCACTGAGAGATTGGTACTTATCAAGGGCATCCTGTCCTGAACAGTGGCTCAGTTGCAGCCACTGGGTATAGCAGAACAGTGGTGGTGAGGCAGGGTCCAGAGGTAGAGCAAAGTCTACCTACAGCTGTGAAGCACACAGTTTGTAAACCGTGTAGAATCTCTAGGGCTAGATATAGAAATCATTATCGATTGTAAAAGTGGTTAAGATAAACTCCACTTTTCTCACCATTCTTGTCAAGTTTGTTCTTAACTATGCCAAACTTTAATACTGTTAATGAAAATTCACTCCACTCCCCAACTTTGCAACAATAATATATTCTCCAAGATTTTCATTTAATTCATTCAGCAAACATGTATTAAATACCTTCTGTTTGCTAGGGGTATAAGAGGTGAAAGATACCCCCTTAACAGCTCAACTTCCAGTGGAAAGGAATTAAGTCATCTTCTCACAGTCAGGAGGAAGAGTGCTCTGCTGAAGGGGTTCACAGGGAGTGATGGGAGCACCATCCTGGTTAAGGATCTGAGAAGTAGATCTCTGGGAGTCATTTGGGATGGGTGTAACTATGAAGATCTGTCTTCTCTGAGGCCTGCTCTTAGATGACAAGGTTCATGAGTTAGAGAAGCCTTTGGTGTCATATACCCAGCACAGGCTGTGAGGTCAGGCCAACTTGGATTCAAATCCTAACTCTACCACTTGCTCTTGGCCAGTTATTTAACTTCTCTGTGCCTCAATTTCTTTGTCAAACCATATCTCTGAGGGTGGTAGTGAGAATTGATCAATGCTCTGTAAACATTCATTTCATCTTACTCTACAAAAATGCAATGTATGGGGAAATTGCCTGAAAAGTAATAGGTATTAAGGTGGGATCCAAGCTGGTGGGGGCGGGTGGGGGTGGCTCGGTGTGTTTCTATTTTTTCAACAAATAAATATCTAATTGCACTAAGAGCTATGATGGACATTACCATATAGGATAATAACAATAACAGCAGCAATGATTTCTTAAACATTTCCTGTGTCCCGAGTACTGTGCTAAGTGCTTAACTAACAGAGGATCTCTCTCTCTGAGGTGTGAGACTCAGAAAGGTGAAGCAAAGGTAACTTGCCCAAGGTCACGCAGCAAGTATAAGGTAGAATGTCCCTGTGAGGGAGACCAGCATGGTGCCCTGAGCCTTGAGAATGAGCAGGAATAAGCAAGGTAAGGGTTAGAGAGAAGGGATTGCCAGGCAGGGGTAGCAGCAGGTGTTGTGAGGGCACTGAGGTGGAAGAGAGATGTGGAAAGGATCCACAGAGGTTTGGCTAGGACTTGGGGTAAGAGAGATGAGGTGGGCAGGGAAAGATTGACAGGGCCTTACGGGACCTCATTAAAGAGCTTGTGTTTTATTCCAAGTACAATGAGAGGTGTTTCTTTCTCTCTCTCTCTCTCTCTCTAATGGGAGGTCTGTCTCTCTCTCTCTCTCTCTCTCACTCTCTCTCATCCTCTCTCTCTCTCTCTCTCTCATCCTCTCTCTCTCTCTCTCTCTCTCTCTCATCCTCTCTCTCTCTCATCCTCTCTCATCCTCTCTCATCCAGGGAAGCATATAGTGAGGCCTAAACAAAAATGGTTTAAGAAAGTCATTTCCCCTTCAGTGTCCCACCTTGCAATCCAATAGAGGCAATGTCTCTGGACCAAATGTGTAGGTCTTAAACAGTTTTTATCGACTGCCATTAACATGGCTAAAAAGAGTTTCTATGATGCTGGAAGAAGCTGGTCCTTCAGAATGCTTCTAGAAGGAGGTTTAATTAGGCTCATATAGCTGATGCTTTTTAGGCTGCATTAAGGGAGCTCTTTCAGCTCTCACTGATCCCTGTCACATGGGGAAAAAGTAGAATTGAGAGAAAACATAATTCCTGGAAACCTGAGTTGTTGTTCAGTGTTAGAAATGGAACTATCGAGTATAAGACTTTGGTTTAAATATATCATGATAAAGATACTTCAGTGACTAAATGGAAATTTTTTTATGTTTTTTGTTTTTTGCATGTGTGTGCCATCTGTGATGGCAGACAGCACATTTGTTAGAATCTGGGAAGACTTAAGTATTTTTTCAATACTTATATATTTATATTTATTCTCATCCAGGTACTAGAAGTTTTTCTGTTTGAAACTATTTCTTATCTACAGAGTAAACTTCACAGGAGGAAAACCAGTGTTCTGTTCCCCTTCCCATAAGTACTAGGCCACAAACATATTTACTTTTAAGTAGCCTGTGTCAATTAGCTTTTTGGGGGAGGGTGGTTAGCTGGTGGCTAGATGATCTGGGATAGCCTTACTCACACATCTGGTGGTTGGCAGGCTGGTTGGTCTAGGAGGCCCTAAGCCGGGATGGTTCATCTCCATTCTATGTGGTCTGCCCTCCAGCTGGCTAGTCTGGACTTACTAACATGGTGGTCTTGAAGTCACAGAGTAGCAAGTGAGAGCAAGCACCAGTGCACAAGCACTTTTCAAATGTTTGCTGTGTCACATTTGCTATTGTCCCATAAGCTAAAGCATGGAAGTGCTTCTGTGGCCAAGCCCAGAGTCATTGTGGGTGGTGACCATTCAAAGGTGTGGATACAGGGAGATGTGAAAAAATTGGGGGCCATTACTGCAATAATTCATAATAATTAGCAATGAATGTAAGCTGTTAAGCTTTGATAAATCTTGTTAAACACCCATTTCTGAATGTAGTGTATTCTAGAGACTAAATAATGTGATTGTGCCATTGGTAACACCTCTTCCACCAAGTGTGGAATGGAGTGATGGTTTTTCTGGGAAGAAGCCAAAGGCAGACAGTGTGGTTTTGGACATAGATATTCTTGTGAGTGGCTTAACTGCTTTCTGATCTTGTGTGGCTATTATCAAAGGAGTCTCTAGATTTCCTCAACCTTCCATTCAAGCATTATCACGAAAACCCTAGTGTATTAGACTCTACTAGATTTTGTGGTCAAGCCAAAAGACCGTTATTTGGGAACCACCACCACTTAAGAGATGAAAGAAACATTTGCAGTCTTTCCTTGGAACCTTTATATGATTTATAATTTGTACCTAAGAGAGGAAATCCGTATTTGAGCATTGGTAATAAGGACAAGGGATTCTCTGTAAATGTGTTTTAATTGGTTAAGATTTAAAAATCTTCCTGTGGTTGCAGTGAAAAATCCAGCATTGTACTGTGAAGTGAGTGGCCAGGAATTACCAATTTGGGGCATCAGCCTTTGACCTTTGCTTGTGAAGATCTCAGAAGTAACACTTTCCACATAACTGAAATAGGCTTCACAACAGCTTGTGGCCTGAAATATATTACATGAAAATGCAACTGGACCCCAGGAAGTATGTGTGGGAAACTATACAAGGCTCATTTTGTATGTCTTAGAGATGTACATTCCCCCAGAAAATTGCCTGGTGGTAGAATGTTAGCTTTTCTTCTTTCCTCCTAGGATAAAAATTAAAAATCTCTGACATTTTAAAAGTCAGTGACTTGAAAGAGCAATCAAAATTTATAAACACACACATCATTAGACCCCACAAACACTTCCAGGAATTTATTCAACAAATATTTGCATATTAATTGGAGTATTGCTTGTAGTAGCAAAAGATTGGTAATATCCTAAGGGTCAATCAAGAATATTGAAGACACTGATAGTTTTGGAACACGCATGACCAAGCAGGTAGAGGGTGAGAGGGAGACTTTTCACTACATAAACTTTTACGTATGTGTTTTGAATTTTAAGCAATGTGAATATATTTTCTTATTTTAAAAGTTAAATACATTTTTTAAAGAGATGATATATAGTGATGCAAAATTCCATAGACTCCTATCCGAGTTGACCTGATCAGAGCTATTCCTGTTCAAAAAAAATCTAGCCAGTTTTTCCCCCTAGAAATGCCTCACGATAGTGTACTTCTGAATTTTTAACTATAATTCTGCCTTTTCCAGAATATCACATGAGTGGAATCATGCAATATGTAGCCTTTTTTTGGTCTTGCTTTTAGTGGATTCATCCATATTATGTGAATGAATAGCCTGTTCCTTTTCATTACTGAATACTATTCCATTGTATGGATGTACCACAGTTTGTTCATTCACCTGTCGAAGGACGACTTAGTTGTTACCAGTTTTTTGGTGGTTTTCAATAGAGCTGTGGTAAACATTAGTGTACAGATCTCTGTGTGGACATAAGTTTGCAGTTTATTGGGGTAAATACGTAGGAATGGGATTAGTGGATTTTTCTTTGACAGAAATTACCAAACTATGTTCCAAAGTGGTTCTACCATTTTATATTCTCCTGCCATGAATGTGATTCCACGTATGGATGTCTAGTTGTCCCAGCACCACTTGTTGAAAAGACTACCCTTTCTCCATTGAATTGCCTTTGCATATGTGTCAAAAATCAGTTGACTATCCTTCTGTGGATCTATTTCTGGGCTCTCTGTTGCATTGATCTATATATCTATCATTTCTCCATTAACACACAGTCTTGATTATTATAGCTTTATAATAAGCCTAGAAATCAGGTAATAGAGTACTCTGGCTTTTTAAAATCTTTCTCTCAGGGTATGCTTAAGTTACTTTTTAAAAAAATTTTTTTATAGAAACAGGGTCTCACTGTATTGGCCAGGCTAGTCTCAAACTCTTGGTCTTAAGCAGTCTTCCCACTTTGGCTTCCCAAAGTGCTGAGATTACAGGCATGAGCCACCACGTCTGGCTTTTTTTGCTTTTTAAGAGACAGGGTCTTGCTCTGTCACCTAGGCTAGAGTGCAGTGGCCCCATCATAGCTCACTGCAGCCTTGAACTCCTGGGCTCAAGTGATCCTCCTGCCTCAGCGTCTTGAGTAGATGGGGCTATGGGCACATGCCACTATGCCCACCTATTTTTAAATATTTTTTGTGCAGAGATAAGGTCTTGCTATGTTCCCCGGGCTGGTCTTGAACTCCTGCCTCAAGTGATCCTCCTGCTTTGGCTTCCCAAAGTGTTGGAATTACAGGCGTCAGCCACTGCACCTGGCCTGGCTTTTTTCTTCTTTTTCAGAGTTGTAGTGGTGAGAGAGGACATCCTTAACTTGTTCCAATCTTGGAAAGCATTCCATCTCTCACCATCAAGTATGATGTTGTAGGATTTTTTTTTAATATACTGTGTTGTGCAGAAAAGAGTTAACATAGCAGACCTGAGGCTGCTGTCTTTAGAAGGCCAACGTGCACGATTGGCCCTTAGCTGGTGTTTGGGAAATTGGCTTTTCAAATGTTTAAAAAGAAAAGATTATATTCTACCTTCATTTATTCCTTTTCCAATGCTTTTCATTTCTTTATGGTAATCCAGGTTTCCTACCTTGATCACAGTCTTTCTGCTTAAAGAATCCCCTTTAACCTATCTTTTGAGGGCAGATCTGCTGGCAGTAAATTCTCTGTTTTTGGTTGTCTGAGAAAGTTTTCATTTTCCTTCACTTTTGAAAGGACACTTTTGTGGGTTGACAGTTGTTTTTCCTCTTTCAACATAGTACTCCACCATTGCCTGGCTTACGTGATTTCTGATGAGAAGGCTGCTGTAATCCTTTTTTTTTTTTTTAATACCTTAAGTTCTGGGATACATGTACAGAATGTGCAGGTCTGCCACATAGGTATATATGTGTCATGGTGGCCCGCTGCACCCATCAACCCGTCACCCACTTCAGGCACCTCTCCCAATGCTATCCCTCCCCCAGTCCCCCATCCCCCAACAGACTCCAGTGTGTGATGCTCCCCTCCCTGCGTCGATATGTTCCCATTGTTCGACTCTCCCACCCATGAATGAGAACATGTGGTGTTTGGCTGTCTGTTCCCGCGTTAGTTTGAGGCTGCTTTAATTCTTATCCTTGTTCCTCCATAGTTAATGTGTCTTTTTTCCTCTGACTACTTTGAAGATTTTCTTTTTGTCTTTGGTTTTCAGCAGCTTGAATATGATATGCCTAATTGTGGCTTTTAAAATTTTTTCATTTTTGTCCTGCTTTGTGTTCTCTAAACTTTATTATATCTGTGGTTTGTTGCCTGTCACTAATTTTGGAAAGTTTCTCAGCCATTATTTCTTCAAATAATTCTATCTTGTTCTTTTTTTTTTCTCTTTCTGGGATTCTAATTACAAGTGTGTTATACTGTTTGTTATTGCCCCACAGTTCTTGAGTGCTCTTCAGTATTTTCATTCGTCTCTTTTTAATTTTTATTGACTGATCAATAACCTTGATCTTCAAGCTCACTGAGTCTTTCCTTGGCTATGTCAAGTCTACTGTTCAGCCCATTGTTTTTCTTACTGTTTTTTTTTTAATTTCTAGCATTTCCCTTTGATTCATTCTTACAGTTTCTATCTCTTTGCTGAAATTATCTGTCTGGTCTTGCATATTGTCTATTTTTTACATTAGAGTCTTTAAGATATTAATCATAGTTCTTTTACATTTTTTTCTGATAGTCTCAACATCTGCATTTACTGAGTCTGGATTTAGTAATTCCTTTGTCACTTGGAATGTTTTCTTGCCTTTTGTTACGCCTCCTAAATATGCTGAAAGCTGAACATGGGCAGGAGATGCTTAGGTAAATATTTGATATGTTTGGAGAAGAACATATTTATGGAAATTTGTGTTAATTTGGTCAGGAGTTGGCCTGTGTTTTTTTGTTTTTGTGTTTTTGCTTTTGAGATAAGGTCTCTCTCCGTTACCCAGGCTGGAGTGCAGTGGCATGATCATGGCTCACTGCAGCCTCGACCTCCTGGGCTCAAGCTATCCTCCCATCTCAGGCTCCCAAGTAGCTGGGACTATAGGTGTGCTCCACCATGTCCAGCTAGTTTTTAAGATCTTTTGTAGAGATGGGGTTTCACCATGTTGCCCAGAGTAGGTCTGGAACTCCTGGGTTCAGGTGATCTGCCCGCCTTGACCTCTCAAAGTGCTGGGATTACAAGTGTGAGCCACTGCGCCCAGCAAGAGTTGACCTGTTTGATATTGGGTTTGTTTTGTTTTGCTGTGGGTACCAGAGATTTCTTTTCTCTCTCTCTCTCTCTCTTTTTTTTTTTTTTTTTTTTTTTTTTTTGAGGCAGGGTCTTCCTCTGTCACCCAAACTGGAGTACAGTGACACGATCATGGCTCACTGCAGCCTCAGCCTCTCAACCTTCTGGGCTCAAGCAGTCCTCCAACCTCAGCCTCCTGAGTATCTGGGACCACAAGTGCATGCTACCATGCCCAGCTAATTTTTAAATTTTTTTTTGTAGGGATGGGGTTTCCCTGTGTTGCCCAGTCTGGTCTTGAATTTCTAGGTTCAAGCGATCCTCCTGCCTTGGCTTCCCAAAGTGCTGAGATTACAGGCATGAGCCACTGTGCTCCACCAGGCACCAGAGATTTCTGATTTCTCTAGTGATACATTCATTTTGACTCTTGCTTAGCTTTGGGTTTTTACTTTGTGCTGCTTCCCAAGAGCTAGCTCTAACAGCTCTCCCAGTTGTATTCTATTGTTCTTAACCATGGAGCTGGTTTGCCAGGTTGTGGTTAGTAGGGGAGGAGGGAGTTCTCTGATGATCTGATTAAACCTTACTTAGACAGGTACTAGAGCCTGGGTCTTGAGTGTGTCCTTGGCAAGATTTACTTTTCCTCCTCCTGGACTGGAGCTTCTTTTTCTTTTTCCCATGTTCCTTTACCCTAGCTGCAGTGGGTATCCACCAGTGTTCTCCAACCATGGGTTTCAAGTCCTTCCCCCAAAGACTAAGCCTTTTTTTCTGTATTGGGGATAAAGGGATCTGGGTAGGTTTCACAGTGGGTGCTGTTTTCCTCAGCCAGCTAGCCAGCACCATGGTGGGCGCTTTCTCTGAGATTTTTCCCTGATCTTCCCTGTGAGAGCCTGGTGGAATTCCTGTAGGAAAAGCTTGTAAGAGTGTAGCAACCTCTTACAAGCTTCACACTCTCATGCCAGCTCATACTCTGGTCTCCAGTAATTTGTCAGAACTTCTAGTTTGGTCCTCCTACAAGTTTATATGCTCGGATCCTGTGTCTCCCTGCGGGTATGAGTATTTCCATATATTGGGATTGTGGGACAGTGGTTTGTCCTAGGACCTCAGTTCTGTCATATTGAAGAAAAGTAGTTGCTTTTCAGTTTGTCTAGCATTTTTCTTTTAGTGAGAGTGGAGATGGTAGCATCCCAGTGCTTTATATCCAAGCTGAAACCTGGAAGTTTTAATCTATATAAATGTCTAATGCAATGCATGGTACATAGAAACTCAGTACAGGTTAGTTTTCCTTTATGTTTCTTTTTCTTACTCTCTTGAATTTTATGGTTTTATGACTAGGGAGCCAGGAATAATTGATTCTAGTTTGGTTTCTCCCTGTTTTAGGCTTAAAAATCCTCTATACCACTTAAACATTATACGTTTGTCTTGCTTTCTTCCAAAATTCAATGTATGCCTTTGTAGTTTTTGAATATGTCATTAGCACTCAGTAATTTGCGTCACTGAAAATTAGAGCATGATTTTATCTATTTAGATTGTAGATTTTGTTAGTGACCATGTTTTTGTCATTTTTGTTATCCACATCGCCAGGTGCCATTCGCTTCAGCAGACATTTGTTGAGTGCCCACTGTACTATGAGTGAGGCACTAGGTATTGAGTAGAATACAAACCTGACTAGGTAAGTGGAATAACCAAGGGGTCCCCAAGGGCAGTGGAAACTCCATGGAGGGAAGGATATTGCAACTTGCACAGTATCTCCATTTCAATCTAGAAAGGTTTAATTCTTTTAAGAATTCTATTTTTATACTAATGATACATGAATGCATCCTAGCAAAAAATTGAAAAATTGTAGAAAGAGCCATGGTTGTTCTTGACATCCTCCTCCTATCACATTCTCCTTCCCAGGGTTAATTTTGATTACTATTTCTGTTTGACTGTAGAAATTGCTGTGTGAAATATCATGCCATCTAATAACTTAGTAAATACTTTTATTTTTAAGGGAATAAGCTCTCAAATTTATTTAACTTTTAAGGAATGCTTATTTAAAGAGATGACTATTATCATTCAGTGGGGATGTGTGACCTGATGATAGTTCTTTGTTTCACTTTATAGTATAGCTATTTTAATTGTTAAATCCTACGTTAGTGGTCAGTGGAAATGTTGTAGTAAATGGGAAACACAGAAATTAGTAGTGACCAAAAAGATGACCTATTGGCTGGGCGCAGTGGCTCACGCCTGTCATCCCAGCACTCTGGGAGGCTGAGGCAGGGGGATCATGAGGTCAGGAGATCGAGACCATCCTGGCTAACACAGTGAAACCCGGTCTCTACTAAAAATACAAAAAGAAATTAGCTGGGCGTGGTGGCAGGCGCCTGTAGTCCCAGCTACCTGGGAGGCTGAGGCAGGAGAATGGCGTGAACCCGGGAGGCAGAGCTTGCAGTGAGCCGAGATCACAGTACTGCACTCCAGCCTGGGCAACAGAGCAAGACTCCGTCTAAAAAAAAAAAAAAAAAAGATGACCTATTGACTTTTTTTTTTCTTTTTTGAGAGTCAGGGTCTTACTCCATCACCCAGGCTGGAGTGCACTGGCCCTATCATAGCTGACTGCAGCCTCAAACTCCTGGGCTCAAGTAATCTTCCCACCTCAGCTTCCTGAGTAGCTAGGACTACAGGTGTACACCACCATGCCCAGCTAATTTTATTTTATTTTATTTTATTTTATTTTATTTTATTTTATTTTATTTTATTTTAAGAGATGGGACCTTACTGTGTTGCCCAGGCTGGTCTTGAACTCCTGGGCTCAAGCAATCCTTCTGCCTCAGCTTCCCAAAGTGCTGGGATTGTAGGCCTGAGGCACTACACCTGGCCTATTGACTTAAAAAAATTATACAGTAGGTTGGACTTTTTTGGGGTTATTTATGGTTCTGTGGATTTTTTTTTTAAGACAGGGTGTCACTTTGTTGCCCAAGCTGGAGTGTCACAGTTGTCACTCACTGTAGCTTCGAACTCCTGGGCTCAAGCAATCCTCCTACCTTAGCCTCCTGAGTAGCTAGGCCTACAGGCACGCATTACCACACCTAGCTAATGTTTTAGTTTTTTTGTAGAGACGAGGTCTCACTATGTTGCCCAGGCTAGTCTTGAACTCCTGGGCTCAAGTGATCCTCCCACCTTGGCCTCCCAAAGTGCTGGGATTACAGGCGTGAGCCACCACACCTGACCCCGTTCTGTGGATTTTTAACACATAAATAGATCAGTGCAACCACCACCACAATCCACCACAATCAAGGTGCAGAACAGTTCTATTACCCAAAAAATTCCTTTGTGCTGACTCTTTAGTCATACTCTCTTTCCATCCTAAACTCTGGCAGCCACTGATCTGTGTTCTATCACTACAGTTTTGTTATTTTGAGAGTATCACATAAATGGAGTCAAACTGTAATCTTTTGAGTCTCATTTTCCTCTCTCAGGGTAATGCTTTTGAGATTCATCCAAGTTGTATATATCAATGGTTTGTTCCTTTTTATTGCTGAGTAGTATTCCATTGTCCAAATATACCACAGCTTGTTTAATCATTCACCATTGAAAGGCATTTGAGTTGTTTCCAGTTTTTGTTGATTGAGTAGAGCCGCTATAAAAATTCATGTACATGTGTTTGTGTGCATATAAGTTTGCATTTCTCTAGGATAAATACCTGGGAGTATGATGGCTAGAATTGTACTACCATTCATGGTAAAACTAGTTAGCTAGAGTTTGAATGCTAGGATGGATAGAGTAGCAGAGACCCAAGTTTGAATCCTGCTTTTTCTTTTTACTAGCTCTGCAACCTTGAGTCAGTTTAACCTCTTTGTGCCTCAGTTTCCTCGTTTGTAAAATGAAGTTAACCACTGGTATTGTGTGAAATAAATGACATATTAAGGATAAAATGCTGAGCAATGTATGACATACTGAATATATTATTATCTCATGTTTAATAGAACCCTTTTTGTGAGAAACATTCATCTTTGATGAATTAAAATGGAGAAATTAAGTAATCTATAAGTGTGGCGTGTTTGGTAGGCAAGCCTTCAAAATATGTTGTCCCTGGGGAAAATTTCAGAAGTCCTCAGTGGTGAAAAGGTTTAGGAACATAGATGTATGAGAGTCTTGTATAACATCCAAAGGTTGGACCAGATGCCCAAGTTTGGTGGTTTGACTTGCCCTGTCAACACTGAAGAATCAGATTCACCAAAAATTGAGTACATTGCTATATTTCATGTAAGAAGCTGCAAAAAGTAGCTCAGAATCAGTGAACACTTATTGAGCTCAGGAGATCCACCTGCTTTGGCCTCAGAAAGTGCTGGGATTACAGGTGGGAGCCACCACCTGGCTTAATCTCCCCAGTTTTGAGAAACACATTGAGGTCGGAATTACAGAAATACTCAGCAAGTCTTGCCCTAGAGCACTATACCATTAGAAAATGCAGTGGAGACCCTTTCTTGCATAACTGCCACATAGTATGGTCTGGCTCAGTCTGAGCAGGCACCAAGGGCAGAGAGGATATGTTTTCCCCTGGAGAATTTTCCCGTATCCTATGAGGTGCGCACAGAAGACTACCCATTCACTCACCAGGCAGTGGATGAAATTCAGCATTTGCAATAAGGAACCTAAATGTTCTTTTATTGTCTGTTCATCATTTTGTAATGTTTTCACATGGTACAGTCCATCAACTGTGACAGTTCTTTATCTGGGATTTCAGCAGAACTGGGTGGAACAAAAAGTCTTGAGCACACAATCTTAAGAGATGTCACCTCTGGACTGTTTCTGCACTGCCTTCCCTCTCCCGTACCATCAACAATCCAACACTCATGTTTACCTGCACCTTTCCTCACAGCTGGGAAATCCTTCCCTCTTTGCCCTGCCAATCCTGCCTGGGCCAATTCTTCCAAATTCCTGTAAATTCTATCTCAGCGAGAGATTTTCCACTATCCCCAACTCTATTCTTTTGGATGCCATCCCCTACTACATATTTCCTCATTAAGTCCTGTCTTTTCTATTCACTTTGGCCCTAATGCCATACTTCCTTACTCTGTGACCTATTTGTGTACATGTGACTTGCAGGTATACAGCTAGACAGAGTGATAGAAAACCTTCAGGTTCTCTGCATCTTATCTCCCACAAATACCTGAAGGGGACTTGCTGCCTCTTATTCAATTAACAAACCAAATATCGATTATCATTTTGTGTAAAAAAAAATTACATGTAACATGTTCTTATTTGTGTTTTTTGGTTTTTCTTAAAGACAGGATTTCACTCTGTCACCGAGGCTGGAGTACAGTGGTGCTATCATAGCTCACTGTAACCTTGAACTTCTGGGCTCAAGCAATTGTTCTACCTCAGCTTCCTGAGTAGCTAGGACTACAGGTGCACACCACCATGCCTAGCTAATTAAATGGTGGGTTTTGTTTTGTTTTGTTTTGTTTTGTTTTTTGTAGAGACAGGGTCTCACTATATTGTGCAGGCTGGTCTTAAATTCCTGGCCTCAAGTGATTCTCCTGCCTCAGCCTCCCAAAGTGCTGAGATTACAAATGTGAGCCACCCTCCCCAGCTGCATGTAGCGTGATCTAATGGCTATATACTTCCTGTGGAAAACAATAGTTAGGAAAAGAAATACACATTTTGCAGATTGTCAAAACTGCTGCTTTGCCATGCTACCGTTGTGAAAAGTGTGGCTGTACAGTCTGCCTGGGTAAAGTATGGCTTCAGAGTGTAGATTGCAGACAGCTCTTCCCTGGCTCCAGTTTGGTTTCTAGCCTTCCTCATGATTCCTTGCCCACTTAAACAATGTTAACACCAGGAATTTTGTCTTTTCAAATATAGACAAAACTTTGACTATAAACAGCTGTATCCTACTTGTCTCACATGAAACTTATACAGGAGCGGTGTTTGTGTATGTGTGTGTGATAAGCCTAAATTTAGCTCTCTTTGGAATAACTAACATAAATCCAGAAGAAACTTTTTTCTTTCTTTAGTTGATAGTATGGATTAGAAAATTAACATGCAAGAAGGAGCTTTTTTAGACTTCTAAATAAACTTACTTGAAAGAGCTCCAATTATGCCCCTTAGCCTCTTAAGGATAATCCGTGTAGACACTTGCCTTTAGGGTAATTGTCTCTAGGCTACTTTCTTCCCATAATCTCTGTGTCACCATATTCCAAGTCCGACTCAACTTCCTTCTGGACTGCTGTCCATAAAGATGCAGACTCAAAAGGCTTTTTCACTATACCCTTGTTTCCCACCCTCACCACTAGGCTACCACTGACCTCTGGCTGTGCACTGCACAGTAAGTAGTGTGTGTACCCTCTAGAACCTGACATTCAAGGTCCCCCATACCCAATCATAATCTTTCCCACTACCCTTGACTCCTCTCAAATACTTTTCTCTAGCCACTCTGTCCAAGCATGTATTCACTAGAGTCTAAACATACCATGAGTCATTCTGACCGTCTGCCTCTGCCTGGAGTGTTCTCCATATTGCTCTGAGTTTGTTCCATCCTGTGTGTTCTTCAGGACCCAGTGAAAAGCTCATCTTTTCACTACAGTGGTTTCTTCCACCTCTGAAGCCCCACAGGACTAAATGTGCTCAACACTCATTTACCCAGATGGGATAGTGTGGTAGAGTACTTACTGGCTACAATGTCCTTTCATCTCTGTATGTACACTTAGAGTGTGATTTTGCAGATCCTTGCAACAAGAGGTGGAGTCTGTTTCTCTACTCCTTGAATCTGGGCTGTCCTTGTGACTCACTTTGGTCAGTAAAACATGGCACAGGTAACTCCAGATGACTTATGAGCCTAGGTCTCAAGAAGTGTTGTAGCTTCTTTCTTACTCTCCATTCTGAGGCAACCATGTGAGGAAGCCCCAGCTAACCTGCTGGAGGAAGAGAGATGGTATGGAGAGGGAGAGAGAGATCCAGTCATCAACCAGCCATCAGATATGTGAGTGAAGCCATCTTAGAACATTCAGCCCCAGTCACATTGGCAGATGACTGTAACCATATGAAGGACCACAGAAAAGACCAGCAGAACAACCACCTAGCTGATTCTAGCCGAAATTGCTAATCCACAGAATTGTGAGCTAATAAAATGGTTATTATTTTAAGCTACTAAGTTTTGGGGTGAATTACATAGCAATAAATAACTGAAAGGGCAGGGTTTGTACTGCTATATCCCCAGGGCCTAGAGGGCATGACCATGGCAGGTTTTCAGTAAAAGACTGTTGTGGATTACTGTCATTGTGGTGTCACTCCTCTCTTTGCTTAATAGACAACCAAACTTCCCAGTCCTCTTGGCTCTCACAAAAGTTCAAAGCTTGACTTCAACACATTCTTCCAGAATAACACCTTGAAGTTCTTCTTTGCCCCACTGCACCAGCATCCATCCATTTGCCCCCATCACAGCCCTATGACAGACAGTTCATTACACCCCACCTCAGCTCCATGTTGCGTCCCTCCTACTTACCCTTATTCTCTAACCCTGTGGGGTCAACCCATTGACCACCTCAGTGCCATAAAGCTCTTCTCAACTTCCCAGCCCCCCATCCATACCCTGAACGCGCACTACCTGAATCACATGTGCTTATAATTAGGAGGAACCTTAGAAATTGAGACAGCCCCTTCTAGTTATGAATGAGGAAAGGAAGGCCCAGATAAGAAATAATAATAAATGGCTTATTCAAAGTCACATGGAGGCAATGTCAAAAGTAGAGCCCACATCTCACACAGATGATTACCTAGTGGATTGCCTGTGTTTTCCTGCATCTGGTGCTTGGTTTATGTGTAGGACAATGCCTTTAATGATTAAACTATGGGAATTCTTTGGAGGCAGGCATAATACCTTTTACTTATGCCTTTTCTCATTGCCAGCATATCTCCACTTAAAGACTAACCAGCGACTACTAGACACATCAGTAGTCAATAAATACCTGTTGATTAATTGACATTTTAAAAACAATTATGCCTGGAACTTTTTAATATATTGTTTGTGGTAGTGATTACAATAGTATACATTTGTCAAAACTTTAACTGTACGTTAAAAAGGGTAAATTAGAGTATATGTAAATTTTTTTTTTTTTATTTGAGACAGAGTCTTGCTCTTGTTGCCCAGGCTGGAATGCAATGGCACGATCTCAGCTCACTGCAACCTCTGCCTCCCGGGTTCAAGCGATTCTCCTGCCTCAGCCTCCTGAGTAGCTGGGATTACAGGTGCCCGCCACCATGCCCAGCTAATTTTTTGTATTTTTAGTAGAGACGGGGGTTTCACTATGTTGGCCAGGCTGGTCTTGAACTCCTAACCTCAGGCGATCCACCTGCCTCGGCCTCCCAAAGTGCTGCGATTACAGGCATGAGCCACTACGCCCAGCCTATATAAATTTTTTTAAATTAAAGCGTAATCAAAGCAATTATGCTGAAGAAATCCATTTATTTGATAAATGTGGCTAAATATATAGGTAACATGTTACTATGTGAAAAGAAGTTTGGCCCTTTGAAAATAAACTTGCATATAATAGGCACTCAATGTTAGTTTCCTTCTTCCTTGTATACCAATGCTTCATGATCACCTGTCAAGGCTACTAAAGAAAGCATTCTTGTACTAGAAGATAGCTGGATCTGATCTGACTTCTAAGATTCTATGATTTGTTTAAAAGGTAAATAAATGACTGTTTTGAAATGCCTGTGTAAAGTAAAAATACGTAAGCACTACAACACTGTTCTAAAAGGTGGCCCCCTAGGACCTTAATTTTACTTTCAAAGACTTAGTTACAAAATAACTAGTCCCCTGTTAATAGAAGTTACTTAAAGCAAAAGGATGTCTGAATATCCTTTCAGTGTCGTACTGGAGCATTGGCTGACGGGCCCACCCAAGAATTACTTAGTTCTCTAGGGGATTGCATCTTTGTTTGGCTCACTGTTCACTAATGATTAGAGTCGAGACCTTTTCAAGCAACATGTTAACTTATAGATTTTTGCCTGGTAGAGATGTAAAATTTTCTGTTTGGTAGAAGAAATTATCCTAAAGACTACAGATTAATTTTCCTATAGGGCATAACCACTTTTCTAATTTAGCAATTTTATTCGAGCATTCTTTCAAGGCCTATATATAGCAAGTCTCTCAAATATTCTTTGAATAAGCTTTAAATCCTGTTAGTTCCCTAATAAGTTAAATGTCTTTGACATGTGTTCAGTCTACATTTGTATGAGTCATGTTTTTAATTTTGAAAATTATATTTCGATACCCAAACATTCTACAACATTGCCTGTGGGTCATGACCCATCCTGTACAGAGTCCCTGAAATCCATTACTGACTGTTGGTTTTGATGCTGTGCTAGCACCTTCAAATACCTTTGTGATCATGCTAGTACTTGAAGAGGTCTTCACAGGAATAATTTTGGATACCTCTGCAGGTACTCAAGAACACTGCAGAAAGACTTTCTGGGACTTCTCTCACAAAATGAGAAACTAATGTTCCTTCCTATCATGTTATTGTTCTGTCTATAAGCTGAGAGGATGACATTAAGAGCCTTTGTTTTAGGAGATCCATGGCAAACAGACTCACAGGGTCTTTCTTGTTAAACAATATTTCTATAATCTGGCTTTCCTAGTAATGGCCATAAAATAACTATATCATAGCAATAAAAATTGATAAACTATCAGCTGCCTCAAAAATCTAATAGCTTTGGCAAAATATACTATAGCTCATGTATATCCTCTTTTTCTCTAACAGATTTTAATACTTTTCCTTTTCATACTACTGAACAGCATAATCAAATCAACAAATTCAGCTAATGGCCATTGTGTTGTGGGCACTGTGCTTGGCCCTGCACATCCCCATGTTCCCTCTCCCCTTTGTCAAAAACTAGCTCCACTGGTTGTTAATGTCAATCACTGATTTGCGGTTGTCCAGAATAAAAATGGAGAGCAGAGCCCAAACGGAGGGTGGCAGTCGGCCTTGTCATTACCCAAAGAACTAAAAATGGAGTAATGCAAAAGAGTGGAACTCCTTCACATTAACAAAAGCTTAGTTATATACAGTATAAGACCACTGAATATTAAACACACAAATTTGAAATATGCAGAGAACCAGGAAGAACAGGTTAAAACATGGTTCACTAATTCTGGTATTTATAAGTATTCTGAGTCAGCTTGACAACTTTATTGAAAGAAGCATGAAACATCTTACAATAAAAATTCAAACTCAGAAGTAATCCAGGTGTGATTCCCATTCATACAAAAGGATCAAAGTGCCAACTTCGTATGCAGTATAGGGAATCCTCTGCAGAGGAAGTGTGAACCAAACTTTTAAAATACCAGGGAGGATGAGGTGGAGTGGATTGAGAACAGGAGTGGAAGAAAAAATTTCAACCCACTTTTCCTGGTGATTATTTAAAAACAAAAAATCTACTATTTAATGTTTCACAATAAAGTGTTTTAGAAAAAGTAATTAGCTCGGCCAGCTTCTGCCCCAGGATGTAGAAAGCTGGAAGCAGTGTTGTTCACATCCTTAAAATTAAAAAAAAAAAAATGCTGGGCTAATTTCAAATTCATGACTTTTGTCAAACCCATCAGAGAGAAGTATTTTGCCCAAGTATTAGTTCAGAGAAGTATTTGTTCAAGTGTTTCTTATTTAAGTTGGGTTGTTTCTTACTGTTGTTTTTGAGGTTTTTTCCCTAATAGTCTGGGTAAAAATCCTTTGGTTATTTGATTTATCAGCAAATATTTTTTGTATGTAACTTGGCTTTTCATTGTCTTAATGGTGTCATTCACTAAGCAAGATTTTCATTTTGTTTTTTTTAAGACGGAGTCTCGGCTCTGTCACCCAAGCTGGAGTGCAGTGGTACAATCTTGGCTCACTGCAACCTCTGCCTCCCAGATTCAAGCAATTCTCATGCCTCAGCCTCCCGAGTAGGTGGGACTACAGGCGCACACCACCACGCCTGGCAAATTTTTTTTTTTTTTGAGACGGAGTCTCCCTCTGTCACCCAGGCTGGAGTACAGTGGCGCGATCTCGGCTCACTGCAAGCTCCGCCTCCCGGGTTCAAGCGATTCTCCTGCCTCAGCCTCCCGAGTAGCTGGGACTACAGGTGCCTGCCACCACGCCTGGCTAATTTTTTATATTTTTAGTAGAGACGGGGTTTCACTGTGTTAGCCAGGATGGTCTCGATCTCCTGACCTCGTGATCTGCCCGCCTCGGCCTCCCAAAGTGCTGGGATTACAGGCGTGAGTCACCGCGCCCGGCCTTTTTTTTTGTATTTTTAGTAGATGTGAGGTTTTACCATGTTGGCCAGGCTGGTCTCCAACTCCTGATCTCAAGCGATCCAACTACCTCGGCCTCCCAAAGTGCTGGGATTACAAGCCTGAGCCACCGTGCCCGGCCTTCTTCTATGTTTATAAGAAAAACTTGCTTATAAAAGTTTTATAATTTTACATTTATGTCTATTTTGAGTTAATCTTTGTAAATGGAGTGAGGTTTAGGTGAAGGTCTATTTTTGTGTATATGGATGTCTTTAATTTACTTTTGCATCTTTGTTGAAAATCAGTTGCCTATATTTATGAGGGTCAGTTTCTGGTCTCTCTTTTGTTCTGTTGGTTTATTCTCAGTCTCACTCTGGCTCCCAGGCTGGCGTGTACAGTGGTGCGATCTCAGCACACTGCAACCTCCACCTCCCAGGTTCAAGCCATTCTCGTGCCTCAGCCTCCCGAGTAGCTGGTATTATAGGTGCCCACCACCATGCCCAGCTAATTTTTGTATTTTTAGTAGAGACGGGGTTTTGCCATGTTGGCCAGGCTGGTCTCAAACTCCTGACCTCAAGTGATTCACCTGCTTCAACCTCCCAAAGTGCTGGGATTACAGACATGAGCCACTGTGCCCAGCTTGCTGGTCTGTTTTTAATCACTTTGCCAATACCACTATCTTGATTACTATAGCTTTATAGTAAGTTTTAAATTCAATTGTTATTATTCCTCCAATTTTATTCTTCTTTTTAAAAAGCGTTTTTGGCTCTTCTAGTTCTTTTGCTGTTCTTTATAAATTTTAGAAGCTGCTTGTCTCTCTCTACAAAAAATAGGCTGTGGACTCTTACCAGTCTGTGGCCTGTTAGGAACCAGGCCACACAGGAGGAGGTGAACAGTGGGCAAGCAAACATTCCTGCCTGAGCTCCACCTCCTATCAGATCAGTGGTTGCATTAGATTCTCATAGGAGCACAAACCCTGTTGTGAACCGCTAATGTGAGGGATCTAGGTTGCACACTCCTTATGAGAATCTAATACCTGATGATCTGAGATGGAACAGTTTCATCTGGAAAATCATCCTCCCTTCCCCCGTCCGTGGAAAATTGAAACCTGTCCCTGGTGCCAAAAAGGTTGGGGACTGCTGCCTTATTGTACAGGCTGATACTTCCAGTATGACATTGAATAGGAGTCATGAGAAAGGGCATCTTTTTCTTGTTTCAACTTTAAGTCTTTCACTTTTTTTTTTTTTTTTTTTTTTGAGGCAAGGTTTCTCTCTGTCACCCAGGCTGGAGTGCAGTGGCGTGAACACGGCTCACTGCAGCCTTGATCTCCTGGGCTAAAGCCTCGACCTCCTGAGATTACAGGTATGAGCCACCACGCCTGGCTGATTTTTCTTTTTTTAGATTTAACGTGGTTGAATACATTGATTTTTTTTTTTTTTTTTTTGAGATAGAGTCTCACTCTGTCACCCAGGCTGGAGTGCAGTGGCACGATCTTGGCTCACTGAAACCTCCGCTTCCTGGGTTCAAGCAATTCTCCTGCCTCAGCCTCCTGAGTAGCTGGGATTACAGGCGCCTGCTACCATACCCAGCTAATTTTTGTATTTTTAGTAGAAACGGGGTTTCGCCATGTTGGCCAAGCTGGTCTTGAATTCCTGATCTCAGGTGATCCGCCCATCTCAGCCTCCCAAGAATACATTGATTTTTGAACACTGAACCCAACCTGCCTTACATTCCTAGGGTAAACCCCACTTGGTTGAGGGGTATTATTATTTTTACATATTGCTGTTAGATTTGCTAATATTTTGTTGGAGGTGTTTGTTTCTATGTTCATGAGGGATATTGGTCTGTAGTTTTCTCTTTTTGTATGTATTGTCTGTGTTTGGTATCAAGGCTTCATAAAATGAGTTGGGAAAGCTTCCCTCCTTGCCCATATTCTGGAAGAGATCTTGTAGATTTTTTTTTTATGTTTGTTGGAATTTGCCAGTAAAACTATCTGGGTCTGGGCATTTCTTTTTTAAAAGGTTTTAAACTTTGAATTCAGTTTCCTTAGTAGTTATGGGAGTATTCAGGTTATTTATTTTATTTTCAATGAGTTTTAGTAGTTTGTTATTTACAGGGGATTGCTCCATTTCATTTAAGTTGTCTATGTGTGCAGTTGTTCATAGTGTCCATTTATTATCCTTTTAATATCTGCAGGACCTGTAGTAATATCCCCTCTTTCATTCTTGATATTAGTAATTTGAGTGTTCTTTTTTGCTTTTCAATTGTGCTAGAGGTTTATCAATTTTGTTGATCTTTTCAAAGAACCAACTTTTGGCTTCATCGATTTTTCTCTGTTGTTTTTCTGTTTAGTCCTTTATCTTGACTGTTTCCTAATCATCTTGCTTTGGATTTATTTTGCTCTTCTTTTCATAGTTCCCTAAGGTAAAAGTGTAGGTTGTTTTTTTGAGACCTTTTTTCCTCCTAAAAGAGAATTTAATCCTATAAATTTCTCTCTAAGCACTGTTTCCACTGTAGTCCACAAAATGGGTTATATTTTTGGTTTTCTTGAGTTCAAAATATTTTATAATTTATCTTGAAAGTTTCTCTTTGATTCGTGGATTATTTAAATATATGCTGTCTAATATCCAAGTGTTTGGAGATCTTCCTCTTATGTCTCTGTTGTTGATTCTTAATTCCTTTATGGTCAGGGAACATGCTCTTTATGATTTCCATATTTTATATTTTGGAAGGTTTGTTTTATGATCTAGGATATGGTCTATCTTATTGAAAGAACACGTATTCTGCTATTTTGGGGTGAAGTGTTCTGTACATGTCAGGTAATGACGGTTGATGATGGTGTTCAGTTCTTGTATATTTTTGCTGATTTTCTGTCTACTAGTTCTGTATATTAATTAGAGTGTTGAAACCTCCAAGTGTAATTGGATTTTTCTATTATTTTAGATCTTAGAGTTTTGCTTCACGTATTTTGAAACACTATTGTAAATGTTTACACATTTAGGATTGTTAAGTCTTTTGGGTATGTTAACCCTTTTAACATTATGTCATGTCCCTCTGCATCCCTCTTCTATCTTGGTAATTTTCTTTGCTCTAAATTACTCCTTTTGGCCAGGCGTGGTGGCTCACGCCTGTAATCCCAGCACTTTGGGAGGCCGAGGCGGGCAGATCACCTGAGGTCAGGAGTTTGAAACCAGCCTGACCAACATGGTGAAACCCCATCTCTATTAAAAATACAAAAAGTAGCCGGGCATGGTGGTGGGCGCCTATAATTCCAGCTGCTTGGGAGCTGAGGCAGGAGAATCATTTGAACCTGGGAGGTGGAGGTTGCAGTGAGCTGAGATCACGCCACTGCACTCCATCCTGGGCGATGAGCAAAACTGCATCTCAAATAAATAAACAAATAAATAAATTGTTTCTTTTAATCAGTGTTTGCATCACATATCTTTTTCCATCCTTTTGCTTTTCACTTACTTATATCATTGTATTTGAAGTGATTTTCTTACAGATAGTGTGTAGTTGGGTCATGTTTTAAAAATCCATTCTAAAAATCTGTCTTTAAATTGTAATGTTTAGACCACTACATTTAATGTAATTATTGATATGATTGTTTTACATCTGTCGTTTTTTATTTTTGATACCTGTTTTTATTTCCTCTTTTTTCCCATTTTCCTGTCTTCTTTTGGTTATGTGAACATTTTTAGTGCTACTACATTTTTATTTACCTACTGTGATTTTTTAGTTATCTCTTTGTTTTTTGTGGTTGTTCTAGGGATTATAATATACATAGTTTTATACAGTCTACTTAGAGTAAGTGCTTTACCACTTCAAGAGGAATGCAGAAACCTTACCACCCTATAGGTCCCTTTATCCTCCTTTCTTTATGTCATAGTTGTCTTATATATTACACCTATACCTGTTGAAAATTCCTTCACACATTGTTACCATTTTTGCTGTCAGCCACCAAACATATTTTAAAGAACTCAAGAAAAGGATAGTATATTGTATTTATCCAAATATTCACCATTTATGTTGCTCTTTTCATTCCTAATATTCTAAGTTTCCTTCTGGTATCATTTACCAATTGTCTGAAGAACATCCTCTAGCAGTTCGTTTAGAGTAGGTCTGCTGGCTATAAATTCTCATTTCTGAAGGACATTTTTGCTGAGTATAGAATTCTGTGTTGACATTTTTTTTACCCCCAGCACTTCAAACGTGTTGTGCCACTTCCTTCTGACCTCCATGGTTTCTTTTTTGAGACGGAGTCTCGCTCTGTTGCCCAGGCCGGTGTGCAGTAGCATGATCTCAGCTCACTGCAACCTCCGCCTCCCTGGTTCAAGTGATTCTCCTGTCTCTGCCTCCTGAGTAAGTGGGACTACAGGCACGTGCCACCATGCAGCTAATTTTTTGTATCTTTAGTAGAGATGAGGTTTCACCATGTTTGCCAGGCTGGTCTCAAACTCCTGACCTCAAGTGATCCACTCACCTTGGCCTCCCAAAGTACTGGGGTTACAGGCGTGAGCCACCACACCCAGCCTGGCCTCCATGGTTTCTGATTAAAAATCCACTGTCATTCTAAATGTTGTACCCCCATAAGGTAATGTAATAGCTGCTGCTTTCAAGATTTTTTTCTTTGTATTACTTTCAGCAGTTTGATTTAGGTATGCCTGGACGTGGGTTAATTTTTTTTTTTTCTGTTGGGATTTTTCACTGCTCAGGCTATTGAAAGTATAAGTCAGCTCTAGATTTTATAATAGACTGGAATAATATTGATAAAAGACTTCTTTTGAAAGTGGCTTGGCATCATAGGGAATTGCACAGTGAAATATATAAGTATTTACTATACATCTCAGACAGAATTTAACGTTAGTAAATTCTAGTTGTAACTCCTGCTCTCTTTCAATGATGTGGAAGATTGTTAAAAACGGACTAGAATGGAAGGAATTAAGCCCCAGAAAAAATAAGTGAGTTTTGTAGCTTTACATACCTAGTAAGTTGCAGGTCTTATTTTCAGGTACTGTTTCCACTGTAATGTATTGCTGTGTACTTACAGAATTTTCGCCTCCCTCAAGCTGAAACTTTAACATAGGTTTATGGTGAGATACTGGTTTGAAATATCTACTTTTTATCAGGAAAAGTCTAAATTTTCAGTTTCTTCAGTGAGGCATCAAGTCTTAGTTAAGAGCACGATTGGCACCCTGTGGCCTGCCAGCCAAATCTAGTCTGCTACCTGTTTTTGTACAGTCCATAAGCTAAGAATGGGCTTTTCATTTTTAAATGGTTGGGAAAAAACTCAGAATAGTTCATGACATGTAAAAATTATATGAAATTCAAATTTCAGTGTCCATAAGTCAAATTTTATTGGAACCCAACCACATCAGTTTGTTTACATATTGCCCATGGTTTATTTTACACTACAATGGCAGAATTGATTAGGACACAGACCAAATAGCCTGCAAAGCAAAAAATATTTACTGATTAGCCCTTTACAGAAAAAGTTCGCTAACTCCTGGTTTACAATAATGTTGAGTGAATTAGGTTAGAGTGTCAGTAATCTGAACTGTGTGAAAAGGGTAGCTAGGATTCAAACTTTACTCTTTGAATAAGTATCTTAGATGTGAGAAAATTAGAAGATGAGAGTTAACTGATTATAATCCTAGTCTATTAACATATATTAAACATTATCAGTCCTACAGCAATATTCCACATTATCTGTACTTTTTAAATTAGCCCATCAGATCAGGAGAGGTTGATAGGAGGAAAAGTTGGAGTTGTTTCTACCTAGGTATTTGAAAATTGTTGGAGGCATTGAGACTCATGCATAAGGGACTTAGGAAGCCTTTACTGGCTGGAGGAGATAAAGGCTCTTATTTAAAATTCTGTGTTTTCCTGGTTATATTTCTGTTTTCCTAGAGTTGGGCTTTTTATAGGTCTAGTTAGTTACCTAGTTGCCTTTCTGCAGGCTTCTTTTGTGAGGGTGTTTCTCTATGGCTAGTGGGAGGAAATGGCTGGTCATTTTTAAATGAAGAGGAAAGCCCAACTCTTACCAGGACCTCAGCCTGACATTGTCCCTTACCCCTATAGAGGCCTTTCTTCTGAGCCTATAGACCCACCTTGCCAGCTGACATCAGAAGCCTATTGAGATGTCCATAGCCTGTTGTTCCCAACCTCTTCCCGTTTTCTCCCCTTCTTTTCAAAGACCAAATGAGCTACATCTACACTACGTATACATTTAAGGATTTTTTTTAAGGCACAAATCATCTTGTTACCCACTGAAATTTAAGCTTAGTTGGGTCACCTAAGAAACAACCTAGAAACTGCCAATTTTATTTTTTCATTTAAAAATATAATTTCAGCTTTTATTTTAGATTGAGAAGATACATGTGCAGGTCTGTCACGTGGGTTTGTTGCATGACATCGAGGTTTAGGGCACAGATGGTCCTGTCACCCAGGCAGTGAGCATAGTACCTGATAGGTAGTGTTTCAGCCCTTCCTCTTCCCTCTCTCCCCATCTAGTAGTCCCCATCTTTATGTCTGTGTGTACCCAGTGTTTAGCTCCTGCTTATAGACGACAACATGCGGTATTTGGTTTTCTGTATTAATTCACTTAGGATAATGGCCTCCAGCTGCATCCATGTTGCTGCAGAGAACATGATTTCATTCTTTTTTATGGCTACATAGTATTCTATGGTATATAAGTACCATATTTTCTTTATCCAGTCCTCCTAGGTTGATACCGTGTCTTTGCTATTGTGAATAGTGCTGTGATGAACATATGAGTGCATGTGTCTTTATGGTAGAATAATTTATTTTCCTTTGGGTGATATACCTAGTAGTGGAATTGCTGGGTTGAATAGTGGTTTGATTTCACATTCTTTGAGAACTCCCCAAACCACTTTCCACAGTGGCTGGACTAATTTACATTCCCATCAACAGTGTCTAAGTTCCTTTTTCTCTGCAGCCTCACCAGCATCTGTTACTTTTTGACTTTTTAATAATAGCCATTCTGACTGGAGTGAGATGGTATCTCATTGTGGTTTTGATTTGCATTTCTCTGACAATTAGTTTTGTTGAGCATTTTTTTCATATGTCTGTTGGCCACTTGTATATGACTTCTTTTAAGAAGTGTCCATGTCCTTTGCCCACATTTTTTTTTTTTTTGGATACAGGGACTCACTCTGTTGCCCAGGCTGGAGTGCAGTTGTACAGTCAGTCTCAGCTCACTGCAGACTCAAGCTCCCAGGCTCAGGTGATCCCCCTGCCTCAGCCCCTCGAGTAGCTGGGACTATAGGCAGGTGCCACCATGCCTGGCTAATTTTTTTTTTTTTTTTTTGTAGAGGCAGGGTTTCACCATGTTGCCCAGGCTAGTCTTGAACTCCTGGTCTCAAGCAATCTGCCCACTTTAACCTCCCAAAAGTGCTGGGATTACAGGCGTGAGCCATTGTGCCTGGCCTTTTGTCCACCTTTTAATGGGGTTGTTTTTTCACTTGTTGAATTTTTTAAGTTCCTTATAGATTCTAGATATTAGACCTTTGTTGGATGCACAGTTTGTGAATATTTTTCTCCCATTTGTTAGGGTGTCTGTTTACTCTGTTGATGGTTTCTTTTGCTGTGCAGAAGCTCTTATTAGGTCCCACTGGTCAATTTTTGGTTTTGTTGCAGTTGCTTTTGAAGACTTAACCATAAATTCTTTGGCAAGGCTGATGTCCAGAAGGTATTTCCTAGATTTTCTTCTTGTATATTTATAGTTTGAGGTCTTACATTTAAATCTTTAATCCAGCTTGAGTTAATTTTTGTATATGGTGAAAGGTAAGGGTTCAGTTTCTTCGGCATATGGCTAGCTAATTATCCCAGCACCATTTATTGAGTAGGGAGTCCTTTCCCCGTTGCTTATTTTTAACTTTGTCAAAGATCAGATAGTTGTAGGTGTGTGGCTTTATTTCTGGGTTTTCTGTTTTGTTCCATTGGTCTATTTGTCTTTTCGTACCAGTACCATCCTGTTTTGGTTATTGTAGCCTTATGTTTTGAAGTTGGGTGATGTGATGTCTCCAGCTTTGTTCTTTTTGACTAGGATTGCTTTGGCTATTTAGGCTCTTTTTTGTTGTTGTTGTTCCATATGAATTTTAGAATATTTTTCTAATTCTGTGAAAAATGATGTTGCTAATTTGATAGGAACAGTGTTGAATCCGTAAATTGCTTTGGGCATTATGGCCATTTTAATGATATTGATTCTTCCAATCCATGAGCATGGCATGTTTTTTCATTTGTTTATGTCATTGTGATTTCTTTCAGCAGTGTTTTGTAGTTCTCCTTGTAAAGATCTTTAACCTCCTTGGTTAGATGTATTCTAGGTATTTTATTTTTGTGTGTCTGGCTATTGTAAATGGGATTGCATTCTTGATTTATTTCTCAGTTTGAATGTTATTGGTGTATAGAAATGCTACTGATTTTCATATATTGATTATCCTAAAACTTTACTGAATTCATTTACAGAATCTAAGAGTCTTTTGGAGAATTCTTTAGGGTTTTCTAGACATAAGATCATATAATCAGAAAACAGATAATTTGGCTTCCTCTTTTCCAATTTGGATGCCTTTTATTTTTTTCTCTTGCCTAATGGCTCTGGCTAAGACTCCTGGTACTATGTTGAATAATAGTGGTGAGAATGGGCATCCTTGTCTTGTTCCTGTTCTTAAGGGGAATGCTTCCAGCTTTTGCCCATTGATTATGGTGTTGGCTTTGGGTTTGTCATAGGTGGCTCTTATTATTTTGAGGTATTTTTTTTGATGCCTAGTTTATTGAAGGTTTTTATCATGAAGAGATGTTGGATTTTATCAAAAGCTTTTGCTGCATCTATTTGGCATAAATGCATCTATTTAGATGATCATATGGTTTTTGTTTTTAATTGTTTATGTGGTGAATCACATTTATTGAATTGCATATGTTGAACTAACCTAGTATCCCAGGAATAAAGCCTACTTGATCATGGTGAATTAACTTTTTAATGTGTTGCTGGATTTGGTTTGCTAGTATTTTGTTGAGGATTTTTGTCTACCTTCATCAGGGATTTTGGCCTATAGTTTTCTTTTGTTTTGCCTTTGCCTGATTTGGTTATCAGGATGATGTTGGCTTCATAGAATGCATTAGGGAGGAGCCCCTCCTCCTCAATTTTTTTGGAATAATTTCAGTAGGATTGGTACTAGTTCTTCTTTGTATATCTGGTGGAATTTGGCTGTGAATACATCTGTTCCAGAGCGTTTTTTGGTTGGTAGATTTTTTTTATTATTGATTTAGTTTTAGAACTTGATCTGTTTAGGGTTTAAATTTCTTCATGATTCAATCCTGGGAGGTTGTATTTTTCCAGGAATTCATCCGTTTCCTCTAGATTTTTTAGTTTGTGTGCATAGAGGTGTTTATAATAGTCTCTGAGGATCTCTTGTATTTCTGTGGGGTCAGTGTAATGTTACCCTTGTCATTTCTGATTGTGCTTATTTGGATCTTCTCTCCTTTTTGTTAGTCTAGTAAGCAGTCTATCAGTCTTATTTAGCCTTTCAAATAACCAACTTTTTGTTAATTCTGTGTGTGGATTTCCGGGTCTCAGTTTCATTTGGTTCTGCTCTGATTTTAGTTATTTTCTTCTGCTAGTTTTTGGGGTTCTTGTTTTTCTAGTTCTTCTAGGTGGGCTGTTAGATCATTGAATTGAGATCTTTCTCACTTCTTTTTTTTTTTTTTTGAGACTGAGTATTGCTGTTGTCGCCCAGGCTGGAGTGCAATGGTGTGATCTTGGCTCACTGCAACCTCCGCCTCCTGGGTTCAAGCGATTCTCCTACCTCAGCCTCCCAAGTAGCTAGGATTACAGGTGCCCACCACCATGCCCAACTAATGTTTTTGTATTTTTAGTAGAGATGGGGTTTCACCATATTGTCCAGGCTGATCTCGAACTCCTGACCTCAGATGATCCACCCGCCTTGGCCTCCCAAAGTTCTGGGATTACAGGAGTGAGCCACCACGCCTGGCCTTTTCTCACTTCTTGATATAGGCATTTAGTACTGTAAACTTTCCTCTTAACACTGCCTTTTTTACATCCCAGAGATTTTGGTATACCGTGTCTCTGGAAACCACCAATTTTAAATGTTCTGTACACATTAATTTTTAGGCTAATAAAAATGTTACTCTCTTGATTTGGAAACTTATCTTTTAGGTGACAGAAAAACAAATTTTGTACTATTCATGCATATGTATTTTCAATACATATGTGTGTTCTTTTTGTTTAAGACCGGGTCTCACTCTGTCAGCCAGGTTGGAGTGCAGTGGCATAATTATGGCTCAGTACAGCCTCGACCTCCTGGGCTCAAGCAATCCTCCCACTTCAGCCTCCCAAGTAGCTGAGACTACAGGCGCACACCACCACACCTGGCTGAATTTTTTTTTTTTTTTGATAATTTTTGTAAAGATGAGATTTCACCATGTTGCCCAGGCTAGTCTCAAACTCCTAGGCTCAAACAGTTCCTCCCACCTTGACCTCCCAAAGTGCTGGGAGGTGCCCAGTCCATATGTGTATTTTATAGCTATTCACTCTTGGATCTGTTACTACCATGAAATACAGCTGTCCTAAATGCCCTGGGCCACATCATCCAGGAGGGTAAAACCAGAGTCTGGATGATAGTCACTCATAGACTTTAGCTGTTATAGTTCTCCAGCTTCCAGAGCAGTCTTCAGCTATACCCATTTTGCCCTGGAGGTATCTGCTATGTTTTCCTGACTAGGTACTTTATAGCACCTAATGTCCCTTCTCTCTTCTTTCCTCTTAGCACTTTTGGTGACCTCTTGGGCAGGGTCTTTCCTGGACTACTATTGATTTCAACCTCTGGAAGCTTCTCTTCTATTAATATGTTTGCACAGCCCCCAGTGCTGCTGCTACCACTGACTTGCTTGACTTCCCATTTGGCTGACCCACTCATGCAGTACTCAACTAAGGGTACTAGTGTCTGTGCTAAGGTTCTTGGCTCTCTCATCTTTCTGCTGTAGCTGGGACTCCTGGAGCTGTGGGAGCTGCATGTCAGCTTGTTTAGGTTTCTGTGAAGAGCCTCTCACTAGGATTCTGAACTGAGTCCTTGCAAGCTAGCTGAGCTAAAGAATGAACCTGAGTAACACACTTCACACAGTTTTATGAATTACTGCTCCCTCACGCCTTGGAATATTGCCACCAGATTCAGTTGGTGAGCTACCATTTTCTCTTGGGGCCCCTTCTTTAACAGGAGATTCCTGTTCCCTCAATAATACAAATTTCTGGTAGGATAGGCCGCTCCTAGGCACTCCCTAACAGGTGAGAATCCTCCTGGTGTGTTCATCTCCTTATGCTTAAGTAGGGCATATGTGAGGATTTGTGTATGTATTGATAGTATATTCCTTATAGTGCATACATTCCTGTTGGAAAGCAAGACTTCAGAGTAGCAGGTAAAGAATTACGATTACTAACCTTGCAAAAGAGAAGATCAAGAGGGTGCCCTTTCAGTACTTGGAACATTTTAAATGAAAATAGGTAGTAGCCAGTTATAATTATGGGTACTGAGAATAATATAAAGACTTTCTTGCTATGATAGGTTTAAGAAAATAAGGAAGTATTTCTGACAACTGTTGAAATGGGTCCCAAAGGAATATAGTAGAATTTCCTGGCTAGGCCTGAGAAAAAAATGTCCATATTCTCCCTTTTGGAAGTTAAGGTAAATGTAGAGGACTTAAGAGGCAGTTGGCAGGATGGGGGTGGGGGTGTGTTCTTACGTCATCACCCAGCCCTCCCATGGAGGTAGCATAATGTAGTGGAAAGATGTGTCTTTGGGAATCAGTCCATGGGTTCAGATCTCAGCTCCCTGAAGCTGTTCTGTGTAAATAGATACTATCATGTGGCATGTATGATTAAATGAATTAAAATAGTGCCTCCATGAGTATATCCTCCTGTACTTGGGGAGGGACTTGAGGTCACCTAGCTCTTGAGATCTGATCTGTATGAGCTAAGATGGCAGTTTATTGATATATAGTGAAGATTCAACTGTGATTGCATTTTCATATGATGGAGCCACCTCACACCGGATTGCAAGAGCCGATTTGCGTGCATGGCTTTCAAATTCCATGATGAGTGACATCATCTTAGTAGCTTGAAATTGACCATCTTGGGAGTATCTATATCACAGGAATCAGTAAACTACAAATCAGGGCTTTTTCTCCCTCTTGAAGAGCCTGATGATAAACATTTATCAGCATATCACTGATACTATCTCTCTGTCTTTGGGTGAGTTGTGTGGTAGGCCAAGCCATCTTCACAAGATTACATCCCAAGTGTGGACTTGGACCAGGGACTTTAGTTCCATGATTCTCATGTTTGATGCCATCAGCATGAGAGTTGCTTTTGGTCCTTTTCTTTTCTCTTCTTTTCTTTTCTTTTCTCTTTGAGACGGAGTCTCACTCTGTCACCCAGGCTGGAGTGCAGTGGCACAATCTCAGCTCACTGCAACCTCCCCCTCCCAGGCTCAAGTGATTCTCATGTCTCAGCCTCCTGAGTAGCTGGGATTATAGGTGCGCGCCACCATGCCCGGCTAATTTTTGTGTTTTTTGTAGAGACAGGGTTTCACCATGTTGGCCAGGCTAGTCTTGAACTCCTGGCCTCAAGTGATCACCTACCTCAGCCTCCTAAGGTGCTGGGATTACAGGCATGAGCCACCGCGCCTGGCCTTTTGGTCTTTTTCTGAAACTGCGGTGTTCTTGTCCTTGAGCCCGGAGGGGTAGATACTTGGACATGGACTGTATCTCCTCTGGACCATGCTTACATAGGAATTTCAAGCTGTGTAACTTTCGTTTTTGTACTCCTTCAGACTGATCCCCCTTTTATTTTTAGTCTTTTTCCATCCTAAGTAGAATATAAACTACAGTTGCTTGTTTTTACTAAACTGTAGTCATATTCTAATCCTGCCTCCCTGAAATGAAGTCAGACGTAACTGTTTTTTGTATCCATGCCATTCCCAAATTAATTTGGAGTTTTGGATATTGATGAGCTTTTTTGGCTCCTATATAGGCAATATCAGGGTTTGTCCCCTTAGCTGTCCAATTACATCTGAATGCAGATTTTACCAGTTTATCTTTCATAATAAAAATCTGCATTTTGCTCATCCCCAGCATGAGAGGTACCGTGCCGTTTGGTCCATGTCCTGATAATGTGTCACTTCCAACATGGAGCCTCCATGCCGTCTCTGGACAGATTTAGTCAATATTCTATCATGCCCCCAGGAAATTTGGAGCCTTCCTTTCTTCCTCTGTTATACAACCTGTTACTCTGGGTTCTGGTAATTTGTTTTCCTTTCTTCCTTATCCCTCCACCAGAGCCCACGTTCCTGGAGATTACAGACCTGCAATTATCTGTCCCTGGTATCTGATACCACAACTGTATCAGGCCTCTAGATGAATTTGGCATGTGGATAGATTAATAAAATTATGTGAAATTAAAGGGTCGGTGAAAGTTGTTAGCCTGTGGGAGTTTTTAAGATTAAGATCACTGTCTAAATTCAAGTTGTGTACTGTCAGTTAAGAATCAATTCCTGGGCAGCTTTTTGCCTCCTTTATAATATTTCTCAGCTTTGATAATTGCTAAAGTATGTGAAAGTGCCTTTGGACAGATTCCCTATATAGGAAGGAGCACGCAAAGGAATGTCACTCCTGACCTACACCTTTGTCCTGGAATTATGTGGATAAATAAACTAATCCTTCTATTTAAAGGATGGTTTCCCTTCTATGGATAGACAGGCCAGATTGTTTGATGCTAACTCATGAAATTCTGCCTGTGTAAAGGATGCCTGTATTCTCCCTGCATTCATTTTGTGGGCTCGCTTTATTTGCATCAGTTTTGACTTAAGTGTTCCTAATCATTGGCAATGAAGATACAGGTTAAATACAATATATTATTGATAGTTCAGCAGACAAGAATGTAGAGAGAGAATGCAAAGAAGGATAAAGATAGTGTCAAAGAGGGAAAGCCTTAAATATATGTACATAGAGCATAAAGGAAAGTATATAGCATATAAGTAGAAGTATAATATACCTGAAGAAAAAGTGAACAAGTCATAAGGGTACAACGCTATTAATAATCTCAAAGTGAACTTACACATTCAACCAGTGCCCCAGTCAAGAAGAACATTATAAGCACCTCAGAGGCCTTCTTCCTGAGTACCCCTTTCTTCTACCGCAGGGGTTACCAGGTTACTGCTATCTTGAATTCTGTCACTATAGACTAATGTCATTTTCACACTTTGTGTAGATGGACAATACACATACACAAACATATCACAATTTTTTAAAAAAACTCTACTTTTTTTTTTGAGACAGGGTCTTTGTCACCCAGACTGGAATGCAGTGGCACAATCATGGCCCACTGCAGCCTTGACTCACTGGACTTAAGTGATCCTCCCACCTCAACTTCCAGAGTAGTTGGGACTACAGGTACATGCCACCATGCCCGGCTAATTTTTGTATTTTTTTTTTGGTAGAGATGGGGTTTCGCCATGTTGCCCAGGCTGGTCTCAAACTCCTGGGCTTAAGTGATCTGCCTGCCTTGGCCTCCCAAAGAGCTGGGATTATAGGCATGAGCCACCATGCCCAGCCAAATCTACTCTACTAGTGATGAACATTTCTGGGTTGTTTCTAGCTTGGGGCTGTTACATATAGTGCTTATCTGAGCATTCTCATACATGTCTTCAGGAACATTTGTGTACATTTCTGTTGTATATATAATTAGGAGTAAAGTAGCTGGGTCATAGGGTGTGCACATGTTAAGTAAGCTTCAGTAGCTATTGTAAAACAGCTTTCCGAAGATTTTATCCTAATTTACATTCTCACCAGCAGCATAAAGAGGCACTTTGCCAACAACACTTGTATTGTTGATGTTTCGAATTTTAGCCATTTTGATGAGTAGTAGTGGTGACTTCCTTATTTCTCTTTTATTGAGGCATAATTTACGTATAGTAAAATGCAGAGATTTTAAGAGTACAGTTTGAGTTTTGACAAATGTATGTACCCACATAGCCCACACCCTAATCAAGATATAAAACATTTCTATGTCCCTGAAAGTATCATTGTGTCTCTTTTCAGTCAGTCCCCTCTAAGCGGAGGTAGCTACTCCTATTCTGATTTCTGTCACCATATAGTTTTTCCTATGACTGAACTTCATGTAAATGAAATAATATAGTATATATATTCTTGTATCTGGCTTATTTTTGGTTTATTTTCCTCAATATAATGTTTCTGAGATTCATCCATGATGTAGAGGAATATTCATATCAGCTATATTTCTAATAACCAAAGACTGGAAACAACCCAAATGCCCTCCAGTAAGTAAATGGTTAAACTGTGGTGCATTCATAAAATGTAATAAAAGAAACAAACTATTCATAAGTGGATCAACTTGGGTGGCTCTCAAAAGCATTATGCTGAATGAAAAATAGCCTATCTCAAAAGTTTACATACTGTATAGTTTCACTTATGTAAAATTATTAAAATGACAACTTTATTGAAGTATAATTTATATACCACAAAATTCACCTGCATAAGTATATAATTCAATGCCTTTTAATGAATTTACTAAGTTGTGCAACCATCTCCATAACTCAGTTTTAGAATATTTCCATCACGCTAATAAAATCCCTTGTACTCATTTGCAGTCACTCCACTCTTCTCCCCTCAGCCCTAAGCAACTACTAATCTACTTTCTGCCATTGTAGATGTGGACATTTCATATAAATAGAAGCGTATAACATATGGTCTTGTGTGTCCAGATTCTTTCACGTAGTATAATGTTTTGGGGGTTTATCTGTGGTGGTACAACATATCAATAATTCATTCCTTTTTGTTGCTGAATAATATTCCATCATGTGGATGTACCACATCGTGGTTATTCCTTTGCTAGCAGATGGGTATTTGGGATAGTTCCAGCTTTTGGTTCTCATGAACAGTGCTGCAGTGAGCATTCATGTACATATCCTTGTGTAGACATAAGTTTTCATTTCTCTTGGGTAGAATTTTAGGAGTAGAATTGCTGGGCTGTATGTTAAATTTATATTTAATTTTTTAAAGAAACTGCCAGTTTTCCAAGGTGGCTGAACCCTTTTATAGTCCTACCAATAATTCCTGGGAAATATAGCTTGTGTACTTGAAAAGCATGTATATTTTGCTTTTCTTGGAGTGTTTTGTAGATACCAGTTAGGTCAATTTTTAAAATAGTTCTTGTTTAGGTTTTGTATATTCTTTATTTTTTTCTAGTTCTATTTATTACCAAGAGTGGAATGTTAAACTCTGTTAGTGTCCAATTGTCTGTTTCTTCAGTTCTTTGTCTTTAGTTTTCAGCAGTTTGATCATGATGTGCCTAGGTGTAGATTCCTTTGTATTTATTCTGTTTGGTGTTCTTAGTGTCTTGGCAGTTTTAAACTTTTTTTTATTTTTATTTTTTATTTTTATTTATTTTTTTGAGACAGAGTCTCGCTCTGTTGCCCAGGCTGTAGTGCAGTGGCACAGTCTCGGCTCACTGCAACCTCCGCCTCCCGGGTTCAAGCGATTTCTGGCTAACTTTTGTGTTTTTAATAGAGACGGAGTTTCACCATGTTGGCCAGGCTGGTCTCGAACTCCTGACCTCAAGTGATCCGCCTGCCTCGGCCTCCCAAAGTGCTGGGATTACAGGCATGAGCCACCGCACCCAGCCTGTAATCCCAGCACTTTGGGAGGCCGAGGCAGGCAGATCACTTGAGGTCAGGAGTTCGAGACCAGCCTGGCCAACATGGTGAAACCCCGTCTCTACTAAAAATACAAAAATTAGCCAGGCATGGTGGCATGCGCCTGTAGTCCCAGCTACTTGGGAGGCTGAGGCAGGAGAATTGCTTGAACCCGGGAGGTGGAGGTTGCGGTGAGCGGAGATTGCACCACTGCACTCCAGCCTGGCAACAGAGTGAGACTCCGTCTCAAAAAAAAAAAAAAATTATCATCACACTCTTTTTCGTCTCTGTGTTAGATTCTAGTTATACAAATGTTAGATGTTAGATCCTTTATTGTTATCCCACAGGTCCCTGAGGCTTTGTTATTTTTTTTTTCCAATCTTTTTTTCGTTTAGATTGGCCAGTTTATCTGTCTTCAGGTTGCCTGCCTCCTCCATTCTGCTGTTGTGTTCTTCCAGTTAATTTTTATTTCGGTTGTTTTTTCAGTTCTAGAGTTTCCATTTGGTTATCATTATATCTTCTTTTTACTGATATTTTCTATTTTAACATTCTTTCAAGAGTGTTCAGGTTTGGTGATTGCCTGTTTGAGTGTGTGGTGGTGGTTGTTTTAGAAGCAAGATCTTGTTCTATTGCCCAGGCTGGACTCAAACTCCTGGGCTCAAGTGATCTGCCCACCTCAGCCTCCTGGGTAGCTGAAACTATAGGTGCAGACCACCATGCATGGCAATCTGAGCATTTTTAGAGTTGCTGCTTTAAAGTCCTTGTTAGATAATTTCAACATTTGTGTCATCTCATTGTTGGCATCTGTTGTCTTTTCTCATGTGAGCTGGCATTTTCATGGTTCTTTGTATATCGCATAATTTTGGATTTTATCCTGGATGTTTTGGATATTATGTTATGAGACTCTGGATCTTGTTTCAACCCCATGGAGAATGTCAATGTATTTGTTTCAGCAGCAGTTGGTCTGGTTAGGTTCAGACTGCAAGTTCCATCTCACTTTCTGTGGGGTGTAGTTCAAATATCAGTTCAGTATTCAATGGCTTTGCAGTGCTGTTCACCTCTGTCGTGTGTGTGCCACCCACCTGTCAGTCAGGGACCTAAGTGTGTGTTAACTCATTTCTCCAAGTCTTTGATATGCTAATTAGAATCAGATCCACCTGTGAGGAAGTGGAGGCCTTCCCAGGAGTTTGTAAGCAACTTTTTGTGAGTTTGTTTTCCTGAGCTCTTCCTTCGTTGTTATTTCTCTGGTACTTTCTACTTTTCCAGGGCTTTCCTTTTTAGTCCTCCAGTGAGAAACTACACACTTTCACAATACACTGCCTCTAGGGCACAAGGGGCAGGCAAACAGAGAGAAAAAAAGTAAGAAAAATCAATGGGAGGCCAGGTGCGGTGGCTCACGCCTGTAATCCCAGCACTTTGGGAGGCCGAGGCGTATGGATCACGTGAGGTCAGGAGTTTGAGACCAGCCTGGCCAACATGGTGAAACCCCATCTCTACTGAAAATATAAAATTTAGCCGGGCATGGTGGTGTGTGCCTGTAATCCCAGCTACTCAGGAGGCTGAGGCAGGAGAATCTCTTGAGCCCAGGAGGCAGAGGTGGCAGTGAGCCAATATCGCTGCAGTCCAGCCTGGGTGACAGAGCGAGACTGTCTCAAAAAAAAAAAAAGCAATGGGATTTGGCTTTGCCCTTTTGGAGCCATAGTTCCACCAAATGGACAGAAGTTTCTTCTCTCTCTTTCAGAGTTTTAGCTCGTACAGTCTCCCTATGCCAGTTACTTTTTGTTGCTGCTGCCACAGCCTCTACCATGGGATTTTCTAGACATTAGAAAGGGGAGAAAAAGGAGAGAAAAACCCAGGGGATTCCCCCCCCACCGCCCCCCACCGCCACCTCACCACTCCAGTTTCTCTGAGCATTAGTAGTTCCCTTTTCCAAAAAAGCACCTTGAACCAGAACATGTGCTCTAACCACAGTGCTCACTTTCAGATTTCATTGTGTTGAATTCAGGCCAGTGAATACTGGAAGAAAAAAAGTGGTTAAGTCACTGCCAGTTCAGTTGTACTCCGCATTCTGGCATTCTTTCTTGATCGCCTGCTGTTATATACTTTTAAGAGTTCTCTAATAGTTGCCCATATTTTCTTTACAGATTTTATAGTTGCATTTGGTCAACAGAAAGGTTACGTGTGTGTTTATACCATCTTACTTGGAACCGGAAGTCTTCACTGATATTTTAATGGATGTTTTGGGTTGCTTTCCCTCCCCCTTAAAGTATTTATATCTCTGAAATAATAGTTTCAGATATGTAGTGTTTGGTGCAGTTAGGTGGACAAAAGTTGCTAAGAGTAAGCAGATTAGCTGCACTATTGGCTGAATACATAATGACCCCCTGAAAAACAGAACCACTTCTCTAAAGGCATATGTGGTAATCTCATCTGGAAGCACAGTTCTTTGTCTTTGTGTAGCATATCATTGACCTCGTTGTTTTCCTTGGCCCTGCCTCTCTGTCGTAGTCTCTTGCTTCTGTCCTGCTGTTTTCCAGTAACCTTTGCCCTGCAGAACTTCATTCCTCAACCCCTTTCTCCTCCTCCCTCTCCTGTTTGTCTCTGGCTTTCCCCACACTCTGTCCTTCCTAACATTACAGTCTTGCATTTTATCACCAAATTCTATCTCCCAAGGATAAATGCACTGCTTTGTGACATTTTAGGATGTTAAGTGCTTGCATTTGAAGGATGGAGAAACCTGGAGGGGGGTGGGAATCAGGTTTTGCTCATAGATTAGGGCCCCAACTGTGTCTCTGCAAGGCATTGTGGTGGTCTAGGCAGCTGCTTTTCCAGCATATTGGGGCTTTCTGCCTCACATGGTATTTCTGGTGGGTAACAGAGACCAGGACACATGAAACTCCAGCACAGTCAGGAATGTGGGTCTAGAAAGAAGGTATATTTAAGCCATACTAACCTCATTAACTTGGGAATATTTAAGAGCTTTGTGGGCTGTTTTTTGGTTTTGTTTGGTTTGGTTTTAGTTTTGAAAGTTAATAGAAGAAACTACTAAATAACAGTCACTTTTATGAAAGTATTTCCTATTGTTAGTTATGTGGTACAGAATCACTGAAGGAAGGAAATCCTAAACGAGCAAAAACACATGGGCAGAGCACATGTTTTTATGTTGCAGCATGCTTTCAGTATTTTTGTGGTAGAAATATGCATTCTTTATTTTTTATTTTTATTTTTATTTTTTGAGATGGAGTCTCACTTTGTTGCCCAGGCTGGAGTGCAGTGGTGCGATCTCGGCTCGCTGCAGCCTCTGCCTCCCGGGTTCAAGCTATTCTCCTACCTCAGCCTCCTGAGTAGCTGGGATTACAGGCATGCACCACCACACCCAGCTAATTTTTATATTTTTAATAGAGACAAAGTTTCGCCATGTTGGCCAGGCTGGTCTCAAACTCCTGACCTCAAGTGATCTGCCCACCTTGGCCTCCCAAAGTGCTAGGATTATAGGTGTGAGCCACCGCACCCAGCCAGAAATATGCATTCTTTAAAAGCCACAGTGGGCTTCCCAGGTGTCTGTTGAGATCTGTCAGGTTCCAGGCATGCAAAGGCTGCTCAACTTATAACCTTCTAGGCATATATTAACTGTGTACAGCAAAGAACCTTACTGGTTTAAAAGGTATGGTACCTTTTTGAAAGAAAATCCTCAGCTATAACATGTTGTCTCATTTACTCCTATTGAAATCCCTTATCTTCTTGGCTGGGAGCAGGGTAGCAGCAGAGAGCTGCTTGAGTTTTTACCTCACTATCTTTATGCCAGACTGGCCCTCCTCATAGAAGTGATACTTGTTTTCCATTGCTAAGACTTTTATTTTTTCTTTTGACAGCAGCCAAAGCAACTAGTTTAAAAGAAAACACATTCATTATTCTTACTCTTCCATTTTATAAAGGAATGTTTATTTCAGTGGGATGTTTCTGTGGAGATCTCTTTAGCTGTGGGAGCAATTTGCCTTTGGTACTGGGAGAACAAATAACAAGTCACAGAAACAGTAATTAAACAGGCAATAGTTCTCCAAATAATACTGATTTAATTATGTGCATAAGGTTGATCGGGGTGTGAGAATTAAAGCTAGCTTTATTCAAGGCCAGTATAATTCTTGTGACTCTCTTGCCTATAATAACTATTAGTCCCAATTAAGTGATTTATTCCTTATTGATTGTGAAATATTCCCAGGTAACACAATTCAGATTTGTATTGTGTTCAGACTGTTGCATTATCTTTTGAAGTTTTCCTTGGGATAACTGTGGTGCATTTCCCAGAGCCTGTGAACTAGAATTTAGAAACTGAGAGGTTCCAGTCCAAGGTTGATGGAACGTGAGAATTGTAGGGAACTTGGAGATTACCAAATCCAAATTCCTTCCCAGTGCAGGAATCCTTGCCACAGTATTTGTCAGACAGGTGGTTGTCTGACTCTTGACAACATTATTTTTTACCCCAAAGAATACATATTTTTCCTCCATACAGTTTTGAGGCTACTAAAAAAAATAAGACCAAAAACCTTAACAGATTGGTGGTTCTTTATTCCCAAGCCAAAATCTGCCTTTCAGGAACTGTCAGTATCATTCCTGGCTCTCCTCTCCATAGTCACACACAGCAAATCTCTTTTGTCCAAAATATTTAAAGCTATCTATTTTCCTACTTCCCATTCCCCTTTCTCCCACCCGTGGCCTTTTTTTGTGTGTTTTGTTTTGTTTTGTTTGAGACAGAGTCTCGCTCTGTTGCCCAGGCTGGAGTGTAGTGGTGCCATCTTGGCTCACTGAAACCTCTGCCTCCCGGGTTCAAGTGATTCTCCTGCCTCAGCCTCCCAAGTAGCTGGGATTAGAGGCACACACCACCACACCTGGCTAATTTTTGTATTTTTAGTAGACAAGGGGTTTCACCATGTTGGCCAGGCTGGCCTTGAACTCGTGACCTCAAGTGATCCACCTGCCTCGGCCTCCCAAAGTGCTGGGATTACAGGCTGAGCCACCGCGCTTGGCCCCCGTGGCCTTTTAAGCTAAAACATTTCTGATTCATGTAACAACTTATTTCAAGGATTTTAATATAATGGAAAAATTCAAAGAATAATATGATAAATACTCATATTCTCTACCAGCCAGAATTATCAACAATTAAGATTTTGTAATATCTTTTTTTCTTTTTTTCTTGCTTGTTTATTTTAGAGACAGGGTTTCACTCTGTCAGCCAGGCTGGAGTGCGGTCGCGCAATCATGGCTCAGTGCAGCCTCGAACTCCTGGGCTCAAGCGATCCTCCCACCTCAGACTCCCAAGTAGCTGGTACTGCAGGTGTGCATCACTATGCCCAGCTACTTTCTTCCTTCCCTTCCTTTCCTTTCTTTCTTTCCTTCCTTCCTTTTTTCTTTTTTTTCTTTCTTTTCTTTCCTTTTCCTTTTCCCCTTTGTTTTCTCCCCTTCCCCTTCCCCTCCCCTCCCCTTTCCTTTCTTTTTTCTTTTCTTTTCTTTCTCAGGGTCTCTGTTGCCCAGGCTGGAGTGCAGTGGCATGATCTCGGCTCACTGAAACCTCTGCCTCCCGGGCTCCAGTGAGCCTCCCACCTCAGCCTCCTGAGTAGCTGGGACCACAGATGTGCACCACCACTTCCAGCTAATTTTTTTTTAATTTTTGGTAGAAATGAGGTTTCTCCATGTTGCCAAGGCTGATCTCAAACTCCTGAGCTCAAGCAGTCCACCTGCCTCAGCCTCCCAAAGTGCCGGGATTATAGGCATGAGCCACCATTTTTAAATAAAGGGACTAAAACATTACAGAAATGCTTATTTCTCCTTTGGTCACCTCTTCTAATGTCATCCTCCTCCCTCCTCAGTTTCAGATAGATTAGATAGATAGATAGATAGATAGATAGATAGATAGATAGATAGATATAAACGATATATAGATTTGTTTTGGATCTATGTTTTAATTTACATAAATGGTGGTATTATGAATGTGTCTGTTTTTTCTACACAGCAAAATATCTTAGATCTTTTCATATGTTTTCTATTAATCTTTGCATAGTATGTATTATTATATGTCACATGATGTTTTTGGCTGTCTGCCATTTGGGCATGTGGTAGGATTGTAGTTCCTGTCCCTTTTGAGGTTAGGCGTGGCCCTGTGACTTGCTTTGGTCATTGAAATGTCAGTAAAAGTAATGAATGCACTTCCAAATGGAAATTTTAAGAGCTAATATGAGATTTGCCACATTCCATTCCCCTGGCCGGTAGAGATGGAGCTTCTGACAGCTTAGGTCAAGAATAACTACAATAAGCTCTCCTACCAACTCACTTTAAATATGTAGCATACGGAATAAACAGACTTTGGTTGTGTTAAGCCACTCAGATTTTAGGTTCCTTTTGTTACCTTGGCAAACTTAGTCTATCCTGATTGATTATAGACCCACTTCATTGTTTTTAACTGCTGCAAAGTATTCCAGAGTATGAATGAACCTTATTCTGTCTAGCCGTTCTATTGATGGAAACCTAACTACTTTCTGAATTTTGCTTTTATAAACAGTTCTATGTTGATCATTGTGCAAATTTGTGAGAGTTTCTCCAGATATATGTTTAGAAATAGGATTGCTGGGTCATAGGGTTTGGATATTTTCAGTTTTATAGGATTCTGTCTTTGCTTTCCCAGGCGGCTACACCATCTCTCACCCTTTCAATGGTCATTTATGTGATATGATCCCCAAACTTTTTCTAGTCTTGGTTCCCCTCTCTGGATGCACTTTCATTGGTCACCATTAATGGTACTCAGATTGGAACATGGTTGTCCAGTTGTTGTCCAACTGAGGTAGACATTATGTTTCTGAATTCAGCCCGAGTTTAGTAGCTGCATCACTAAACTGTGGTGTTTACTGACATCAAAAGCTGAAACTGCTATCATCCTGTATTTGGGAAACAATTTAATTGCAGTGACTTTACATATGTTCTAGTTAAATTTCATCCTGTTTTTGCTTATAATATTTGCTTTTGAATTCTCCTCTTTTCTTTGATGAATGTTATCCCTCTTAGGGTCAATAACCCTAAATTCATCTATGTTACTCATCAAAGTTTTGATCAAGATAGGGCCAAGGGCATAGCTCTGTGTCCCACCAGAAGACTCCTACCTTCAGGATTACCTGCCTGCAGCCTGCATTTTTTTTAATCTATCAGCAGGAAAATCCTGTCAGCTGCCTCCACGTATTACTGTACCTATAAACAATTTTCTCAATAAATGAGTGACTGGAACAGAAAAGAGCCTAAAGTAAGTTGGGTGTGTCATGTTCTTAGAGAGCCTATGCTGGCTGCTAGTGACTGTTTTCTTTTTCAAGTGCTTATCCAGCCAATGCTTTATTAATGTGGTTTAGAATCTAGTTTGAAGTGATATTCAAGCTTTTTATTTGCAATAATTATATCTACCCCCATTGAAAATAAGGGAGATTTTTGTCTCTCTGTAGCCTATTGGGAGATCTGGTTTGAGTTTCCACAAATAAAGTAGTTTTTAGGATAATGACCAGCCAGGATGCTTGTGCTCTACTTCCCAGCCAGGGCATCTTTTCTCCCTGAACAATAACCAACCCTTTTTATAATTTAAGGAACTGTAAGGACTCCCTAGGCCAGTAGCTTGGGACATCACAAGTTAGGCTTCCTGGTAGTCTTTCTCTTGTTCTTTAGGACCAACCACGTGCCTAATTCCAGTTACTATTTTTCTATAAGGATTCTTAGTTATACATCTCAGAGTCCTGACTTAAATTAGCCTAAGTAACAGAAAGAGGGTTTACTGGTAAATGAAGTCCACAGGCTGCTGACTTTAGGAATGGCAACATCCAGGCTGTTATTGCAGCCCCAAATCTCCTTTTCTCACCTGTGTGTTCCTGTGATTTAGTTTCACTCTCAGGCAGACTGTATCTGTAGCAATGCAGTGCCTCTTTCCCAATACCTCTGTCAAAACACTTGGCTGACTTGTCGACCTAGCTTAGGCCATGTGCCTTAGACACAGGAGGTGTGTAGTGTTGGGGAAGGGGAGTGAGCCCTGATTCATTCTTCATTCATATGTTTGATGAGTGCCCAGTATGTACCAGGCACCGTGTTAGGCTCTGTGGTTATCACAGTGAACAACACAGGCATAGTCTCTGCCCTCTTGAAGTGTCAATGTGTAAGGAAATGGACTTTAATGTGCCCACAGTGATAAAGGAGAAGTTACTTGGTGCTGGGAAGCAAATGACATGGGTCCCTACCTACTCTGGGGTAGGGGACAGAAGGCTATCCTGAGGAAATGTTGTTTGGATTGAAATCTGACATGACTAGGAGATAGCCATGTGAAGTAGGATAGGGTGATGATGAGCAGTCCAGAGTAGGGGGTAGGATAGTATTGGAGGTAGAAAGGAACATACTCCAGGCACTGAAAAGAATACCGGATGTTGGGACCACAGAGACTGAAGGGGCAGAGTATCACAGGTAGGACTGGAAAATTAGGTTGGCACCACCTCTGACAGAGCTGCATGCTTTGCAGGAGATTTAGAAGCCATACAAAGTTTAAAGCAGGGAATCAAAGTGATTAATAGCCCTGGTCCATATGGGTAACTCACTTTCTGAGATACAGCTTAGTCTCATTAATTTACCAAGCTCACTTACCTGGTTAGCATTTAAATCTATGGACACCACAATATCTATCATGTTCAAACTGGGCTCAGGCATTGCCTCTCCCAAGAAGCAGTCCTCATTGCCCCTTCTTTCAAGCCACTGGAAAAGGATGGGTGTTCCTCTATTCCTGTTCCCTTAGTCCCCTGCTCAGAGTACTGTCACAGTTTTGTTTACCCCATCCAGGTCTGGGCAGAATGTGTAGGTGCCCAGCCAAGCTAATGATTGGCATCTGTGCAACAAAAAAAAAAAAAATGTTATCATAGCAGACCTGACTTTGAAAAGGCCTGCTTACAAGGTTGACTCTGGGCTGGCGAATAAGAACTTTATTTTGGGGATGGTTCTTGACCTTCCCAGAACGGATAAGGGTGGCTCATTGTGCCGGAATTGTTTATACAAGTAATATGGTTTATGCTGAATACCTGCTTTATTTCTTGAAGTCTAAAATTTTGGTCTGTACCAGTCAGAGGGTGCCTATGTGACCAGTCACCAATAAAAACCCTGGGGCAGAGTCTCTAGTGGGCTTCCCTAGTAGACAACATTTCACATGTATCATCACAACTTGTTGCTAGGGAAATTGTGTTCTGTGTATGCACTAGGAGAGGACTCTTAGAAGCTTGTGCCTTGTCTCCCCTGCACTGCATCCCATGAGCCTTTTCCCTTTGCTAATTTTGCTTTGTATCCTTACAGTGTAATAAATCATAGCCATGAGTATGATTATATGCCGAATCCTGTGAGTCTTCCTTGTGAATCACTGAACCTAGGGGTGATCTTGGGAACCCCTTACACAGCACCCTTGCAAAAACCATTATTTGTTCAATGCATATTTAAAGGAGAGAGTGAGCCTGGTAAGGAACCAGGTCAGAGAGAGAGGTTCTCTGATGGTGGCAGTGACTCTCCTGTTGAGCAGTCAGATTTCACCCTAAACTCGCACTCTCCACTCTACTAAACCGCAGTTCTGCAGGGGCCTAAAAGGGAGTCTGTGAGCACTGGGAAGCAACAGAAGGGTTTTACATCAAGTATCATAATCAGGTTTGCATTTTGGAAAGAATAAATGCCCCAGAAGCAGGAAAATTTGTGAGGGGAGTTTGCTTTATCAAATTAAAACTTACTACAAAGCCATTATAATAAAAATAATATGATAATGGACTAGAAATTGGTGTTATCCACATTTTCCAAATTCCAGCCTAAGTTCCTTCATCAGATCTTTATTGAGTTCTTTGATGGGCCCTGTGAGAGTGAACATGTGAGACTTAGTTCCTCCTTGGCTGTACTTCTGAGACAGATCATGCAAAAACAAGCATCATTTATACTGTCTACAACGGAACGCTCTGAACTTGTTTTTAGGTGGTTGTGATGCTATCAGTTGTCAAAGTAGTTATGTGGGGTTCTGAATTCAGAACTTGATAAAAACAGTAAATGAACAAAGGACTTTTTACCAGTCTCCTGTGAATTGCTGATATTTCAAATCGTTGCATATTAATAGCTTAGGGGTAGTTTTAATTTTTATAGTTTTTCAGCTGGTAAAAATGAAATATTTCTGTTTCCACAGTCTGCCACCATTGTTTTGTCTTCCTTTGTGTGTCAGGAGTGGTGTTTCCTAAGGGAAAACTTAATTAGACTGTGCAATAATTTTCTTTGGGAAATAGAGAAAGCTGGTTATGTAAAATACACTGGACGAAAGATCTTATAAAAAACCTTTGAAGGAGGGAAACATCCTGTACTGAGGGAACTGAGGTGGGATGATGGAGTTTTGGTGTCCCTGTTTTGCATTTCTAACAGTAAGCTTGAAAGCACAGGATCTTCTGACCATTGAAGCTGAAATTATGTATGCAGTGTTTCTCATGAAATAACATTTACCATAAAAAAGACTGCGTTTATACTTGGGTAATTCTAAAAATTTCTAGGCAGAAAATTCTAAAACCGTTAATGCAAAAAATTCACAAGCTCAAGACCCACACGAGCACACAAAAGCATTACATTGATTACATGTTTGTATATTGGCCAATCCCTGAAATGGTGTCTCAGAAGGATTAAAATTGAGCCTCTGTTCTGAGCATGTGGCTTCGGCTGTGGCCTGGGAGAGTGCCAGTTATTCGAAGCACCTGCGCCTCCTCACAGGGTCTTGTTGTGGCTGCCCAGGAAGATGGAGGAAAACTGCCTCACCACTCTAGTCACATATGCAGGGGTAGGAATCCTGCCTCTTAGGCTTCTCCTGCTCTGACTGACAAGAGACCCAGAGATGATAGTCTAGCCATCTGGTTGCAACTCTGGGGCAGAAAAAGCAGAAACTAGAATAAAATCAAATATATCCTCCCCCCACTGACACCAAGCACACACTGATAGTAATAATCAGAATACTTTTTTGTCAACAACCTCCTCTTGTGTTAAACAACATTCTGGAATCCTGGTTCGCCGTGTACAAATGGCACATGAAAAGAGGGTGCTCAGATCTGATCTAGAAATTTGAGATGTAGGTAGAGAGACCTAATACTCCACTGGGGACCCACAGGCTAATTACCTTAAGTCTGGTAAGTGGAATACAACTCCTAAAGGAAACTAGGTGTTTTGAATTGAGAAAAAAAAATGTATTTATAAGCGAGGCTTTATGTATTTCTTAATATATGTCCTTAAAAGTTCATAGGAATTAAACTTCTCTAGAATATGTGAGGGCTTTGGAGACTAAGAGAAGCAAAGGAAGGAAGCTTTTATTTTTTGCTTATTTTTGTTCATGAGCCAAATCCTGCAGTATTAGATTGAACCCTATGAAATTGCTGATATGCAAACATTTTGACTTGCAACAATGGCAGTTTCATATGGTTCAACCTAATATAAACTAATTTTTTTTTTTTTTTTTGGAGAAAGAGTCTTGCCCTGTCTCCCAGGCTGAAGTGCACTGGCTCAGTCTCCGCTCACTGCAACCTCTGCCTCCCAGGTTCAAACGATTCTCCTGCCTAAGCCTCCCAAGTAGCTGGGATTATGCGTGCCTGCCGCCACGCCCAGCTAATTTTTGTATTGTTAGTAGAGACGGGGTTTCACCATGTTGGCCAGGCTGGTCTCGAACTCCTGACCTTGTGGTCCACCCGCCTCGGCCTCCCAAAGTGCTGGGATTATAGGGGTGCTCTGATGTGTTACTCTGACATTCCAGTTAAATAGTTAACCACTGGTTGCAGGTGCCACGCTTATCTCTGGACAGGGGAGGTACCTTATGGCTGCCTTGGCATCAGACAGGATTAGAAACTTCCAGATAGAGTGACATTTGCTACTCGTATGGCTGCTGTTATGTACTTCTTTTGGGTCAAGTGCTTGACCCATCTGTGATCTTGGCATTAGCTACAGTGCCTTCCTCTGTGGATCCCAGCAGTAATGCCTACTTTGGAAAATTAGTACCCAAAGTGATTTAGTGTAGTACGACTGAGGTTTGTGATGAAATTTCCACTCTACAGTTAATCATTAAAAGCTGTGTTTCAAATTCTGTCAGTTAACTATTGCTGTATAACGACCACTTCAAAAGTTAGTGGCTTAAAATAGTAATTACTTAGTTCATTCTATGGGTCAGTCATTTGGGCTGGGTTCAGCTGAGCAGTTCTGCTGTTCTCAGCTGGTCTCCCCTTATGCCTATGGTCAACTACAGGTCAGCAGGGAGCTCTGCTTTTGAAGTCCAACGGCTGTCAACTGGGGCAGTGGTAGGAGGTAGGAGCACAGAGCTATGCATCTCTCATCCTGCAGCAGGCTAGCCCAGACTTGTTCTCATGGTAGTTGGTCAGGTTTCTAAGAGTGAATAGAAGCAGCAAGGCCTCTTGAGGCCTAGGCTCTGAACTGGCACACCATCACCTCATACTGTACTCGATTGCCCTAAGCAAGCCACAAAGCCAGTCCAGATTCAAGGAGCATCCATAAGGAAAGGGCATGGATAAAGAATTGGGGCCATTTTTGCTATCTATCACACAGATACAAATTACTCTTTTTTAAGGCACCAGTCTACTCCTATAACACTTAAAAACACATGTGTTCTATGTGTTTGGAATTAAAGACTGACCAGAAGCAAATAGGAAAGTATTAAAATTGTTCACATGTCATGACCCTGATGATGGTCCTCTTGTGAAGCTAAATTGTTTTGAAGCTTGGATGCTCTGAGACCTGGATGTGTATCACATTTTAAATCAGTCATTAATCCTGGATCCTTGCAATAAAATGATGTGAAACCCATAAATGAAGGTTTAAAACACAGCTGCAAATTTTTTTATTCTCTTCTCCTCGGGAGGTAGGATCTGTGCCTCCTTCCACTTAAATCTGGGTGAGCTTGTGACTACTTCAATACAATAGAGTATGAGACTTCTGAGGCTAAATCATAAAAGGCAATCTGCCTTGTTCATTGGAACACTCATACTAGGACTCCTGAGCTGCCATGTAAGAAGTTTGACTATTGAGAAGCCACCTATGCCAGAGAGGCCTTAGATAGGCACTCTGGAGGTAGTCTCTGCTAAGCCCAGCCATCCCAGTCAAAGATGCCAGATGAGTGAAGACGTCTCCAGATGATCCAGCTGTTTGAATCTTCCCAACTGAGGTCCCATACATTGTGGAGTAGAAAAAAGTCATCACTGCTGTGCCTATCTGAATTCCTGACCCACAAAATTCATGAAGTGATAAAGTGGTGGTGGTTTTATGCCACTAAATTTTGCAGTTGTTTGTTGCACAACAGTCAGTAACTGGAACAGCATAAGTGAATGGTCATGGGTGTGTTCCAATAAAAGTTTATGGACACTGAAATATGAATTTCACATAATTTTTATATGTCACAAAATATTTTTTAAATTGTTTTCAACCATTTAAAAATGTAAAAACCATTCTTAGCCTCCAGGCCATACTAAAAATAAGCAGTATGCTAGATTTGGCCCATGGGCTGTAGTTTGCTGACCCCGATCTAAAAGGTTGTGTAATAGTCATAAAATTTAAACTTGAGGGCTTCTCGTCAAGATGGCTCTGATTTCATACTTTAAATTCATATCTCCTTTCTTTAAAAGTGATAATAAAGTAAAAAATTAGACATATCTGTGGTCAAGAAAGTATAAATCTCTGGACCAGAAACAGATCAGACAATAAGTGAGGATTATTAGTTACAGGCCTATAGTTATGGACATTCTGGACTCTTAGGTCCAGAAAAAGGTAGAGATGGCTGGGAATTGTATTTCTGTAGATAATGGGATTAAAACATTCAGTGAATGGAGGAAATGATCCCTGACTGTGAAGTCAGAGATTGCCCATGAACAGAGACAGTAAAAAGATGTTGCTTCTGTTCAGAGTGGCAGGCAGGAGAGCAGAGAGAGACTTAGGACCAGGGACAAATGTATTATTGGCTCACTGTCTAAATCTGGAAGATTTTCAAAGAGATAAAGGAAGAATAACATCCATTACAAAATTTTTAAAGTCCAGTCCATACCTGGTAGGAACTCATTCTCGGAGATTTGATAATATTAGTGGTTAAAAATACTTTAAGTTAGTGATGGTACTATACACAGGCCACTCTGAGAGCATACTGCTGTTGATTGTCAAAGTGTGGGTGAGTCATAGTAGGGGAGGCATCCTAGAAGAGATTTGCTGTGCCTTATAAGGATAAGGCTCCTGTTTGCTGAGCCTTATAAGAATTAGTTTATATGTTTTAAAAGTGAGGAAGCAAGAAGAGGGTCCTCCTGGGAGAAGGGATGGTATAAAGCCTAGAGGTAGGAACTGCAGAGGTTCAGCATTGTTTGAGCATAAAACTGGGGCAGAATGTGGTGAGGGATAAAGCTGCAGAAGTAGACATGGCTTGATTGTGGAGGGCTGTGTTGGCCTTGATGAGGACCTTAATAAAGATCCTAGGAGCAAAGGACAGCCATTGAAATCTCTTGACCGTGGAGGCACATGATCCAATTTGTGTTTTAGATAGGTCTCTGGCAGTTGGGTGGAGGGTAAATTTGGGGACAACAAGATTAGGACTTTTAAAGCCAGTTAGGAAACTGCTCTTGCATTCTAGGTTTGAGGAAATAGATAGGTCCTAAACTAAGAAAATGACAGCTGAGATGGGAAAGGAACATTGATTTGGAAGATTATTTTAGAGGTTAACTGACAGGGCTTAATAATTGATTGGATGTTCCAGGGTAAGATATAGGAAAGAGTTCAGAGATTTTTCTAGATTTTGTGATGGCATAGAGGAAGGTGCCAACTGAGACCAGTTAGAAGGTAGGAAGAACTAGTGGAAAACAGAACATAGTTTCCTCAGTGTTGATCGTCTTCCAGCTTGATGTATCTGGTTGTCAGGACTTTTTTCTTTTTGTTGATGTATCTTTCCTATTCTTTCTTCCTTCCTTCTTTGCTTTGCTTTTCCCTCCTACCTTCCTGTCTCTTTCGCCTTTCCTTTCTATCTCCAGCTCTGGACCAGAGGACCTTGTTTTGGGAGCCATAAGCATGTGGGTAGGGCACTTCAGGGAACCACCATCACCTACAAGATGGTTAGAGGAAGAAAAAAAGTGTTAGCAACACAGGGAACTTGAAAAAAGCTTCTGGAAGCCAAAGGAGTAGTTTCAAGAAGGCCAGAGTGATCAGCGTGTCAAATGCAGCATACAGATACTTAAAGATGAGGGTTGGGAAGTATGCACATTTTTCCAAGAATTCTGGTGAGATAGAAGCAATTAAGGAGAGATTGAGAGTAAGGAAGGAGTTACAGACTGTAAACTACTTTTTGAGGAGTTTGCAAGAGAAGGCAAAGAAAGAAAGAAAGTGGATATTAGCTAGAGAAAAATGAAGTAGGGTCAAGAGATGGTTTGGGAATAAAGGTAGAGAGGTTGGAACCTGTTAACAGAAAGAAATCCAGCATAAAGGCAGAATTTGGAAGTTAAAAGGCAGATTTTTTCTGTTCATAGAAAATCATCCATATGTTTAGAGCTGTCTAGACATTAGAATAAATTGCTTGTTAGATAGTGAGCTCCTGGTCACTGGAGTAGTCAAGCAGAGCTTAGCTGTTTTCTGGTCAACTGTGTAGAAAGATACATTGGTGAGTGCCTTCAGGAGTTTTAGCCTGTGTTCAATTCCTAACAGTTTTCCCAAAGTTGCTTTAAGCATTATAAGTTAATGAGTTATTCTGTGGATCTGCCTTGCCTGGCAGCTCTCTAGAGATTTGTGGAATCACTAGACCAAGTTAATTTATTTGCCTTTGATCTTGAAGGATGAAATTAAACTGCAGATTTTCAGATAACAAAATATTGAGGCTTAGGGTCCAGGAAAGTTTCATCACATTGAACAATCAATCATGCTGTAGGCTCACAGGTATTTTTTTGACAAGATGGTCACTTTCCACACACAGCAACAAAGAGTCTTTGTTTCAAAATTTTGAGTTTAATTTTTTATCTGTCCATTTTTGTAAAATGGCGTTAACTCAGAATAATTAAAATAGGGCTAAGATAATAGGAGAAATGAATAGAAAGGAAAAACCTGCTTTCTTCTGTGTTTCATATTCCTATCTGGATGTTTTTGGTTTTCTAGGGCCAAGGGGAGGTAATTAGGTTCCATCCATGACTTAGATCTTTTAGTGATCTCTTTCGTTAACATTTAAAACAATTCAGGGGTAACTTGTTGTTTTGTCTCAAATGACTCAGGTACTGTTTCCAAATCTGGCTTCCTGGGGCGGCTACTGGAGCATGAACAGCAAAAATGACTGAACTCAACTAATTCTCAGAAAGCCATATTTTAGTCAGTACTTTCCAGCTTTCTCACTCATCATTGCTTTTACAGAACTAACAAGTGTTGTAACTAACTGATTAGCCTTTTATTTCTTCTCGAGTTACACATTTTAAATTCTGTTAACCTTTCAGAATGCTAATAAGTAGTGAAATGACTAAAATCCAGGCAGGGAGACTAGAAAATGCAAGGACTGAGAAAACAGCTCCCCGCTCCCAAGGCAAAACCAGGAATACCAGGTGTGGTGAATATTTATCTTTTGAGGAAAAATAGATATACTTCCTTGTTACAAAGTGACTTGCTTTCTTCTGGGCCCACAGATAGGGGGTCAGCCTCCCAATTATCCCCAGGCTTGTAAGTTTTACCCGTTTCTTAGCCTGTTTGTTTCCTCACTCTGGAAGAGTACAGTAAGTGAAAATCTCACAAAATGATAGGTTGATTCTTTCTCTTTCTCAAATTAATACTTTCCAGATATGTAGGAACATTAATAAACTGCTCTTTTTATCATATACTTGCTTTTTTAATAGTTAATTTTTAAATTTTGAGTTAATTTTTTATTTTGAGTTAAGAGATTTTGAGATAATAAATTTAGACAGGAGTTGCAAAAATAGTGCAGAGAGCAAACTTCCCATTCCAGACAGGATGGAGTAGACACATTTCAGTCTATTCCAATTCAAAGTAATGATACAGTGAGTTTAAAGGTAAATGGAAAATTAACCAGGCACAGTAGTGCACACCTGTAGTCCTAGCTACCTGGGAGGCTGAGGCAGGAGGATTGCTTGAGCCCAGGAATTGGAGGTTATGGTGAGCTACGATTGTGCCACTGCACTCCAGCCTGTGTGACAGAGCAAGACCGTATCTCAAAATAAAAAGTAAATGGATGGAAAAAAAATATCATGCAAACACCAATCAAAAGAAAACTGGAGTGGCTATACTAATATCAGATAATTAGATATCACAGCAAAGAAAATTACCAGGGACTAAAAGAATGATACAAAGGGTCGATCCACCAAGAAGGCATAGCAATTTTAAATGTGTATGCACCACATAACAGAGCTTCAAAGAACACAAAGCAAAACCCAACAGACCTGAATTGAGAAATAGACAAACCCAAACCCACAATTATGCTTGAGAATGTTAATACCCCTCTTTCAGTAATTGATAGAACCAGTAGACAGAAAATCAGCAAAGATATAGAAGAAATAACACCACCAGTCAACCAGATTTAATTGACATTTATAGAATGCTTCACCCAACAACAGCATAATATACTTACTTTTCAAGTGCACAAGCAACATTCACCAAGGTTGACTACATCCCAGGTCATAAAACAAACCTCAACAAATGGAAAAGAAGTGAAATCATATAGAGTATATTCTCAGACCATAATAGAATCAAAGTAGAAATCAAAAACAGAAAGACGGCTGGGTGTGGTGGCTCACGCCTCTAATCCTAGCACTTTGGGAGGCCAAGGCGGACAGATCACTTAAGGTCAGGAGTTCGAGACCAGCCTGGCCAACATGGTGAAATCCCCTCTCTACTAAAAATACAAAAATCAGCCGGGCGTGGTGGCACATGCCTGTAATCCCAGCTGCTCAGGAGGCTGAGGCACGAGAATTGCTTTAACCCAGGAGGCGGAGGTTGCAGTGAGCTGAGATCGTGCCACTGCACTCCAGCCTGGGCAACAGAGTGAGACTCTGTCTCAAAAAAGGAAAAAAACAAAACAAAACAGAAAGACTACAAGAAGTTCTCCAAACACTTGGAAACTAAGCGTCACACTTCTCATCAGTACAGTGGCTTGAATGCCTGAATGTAGATGAAAATATACCATATCAAAACTCGTGGCAGGGCGCAGTGGCTCACGCCTGTAATCCCAGCACTTTGGGAGGCCAAGGCGGACAGATCACCTGAGGTCAGGAGTTCAAGACCAGCCTGGCCAACATGGCGAAACCCTGTCTCTACTTAAAATACAAAAATTAGGTGAGTGTGGTGGCAGGCACCCAGCTACTCAGGAGGCTGAGGCACAAGAATTGCTCGAACCCGGGAGGCAGAGGTTGCAGTGAGCCAAGATCGCTCCACTGCACTCCAGCCTGGGTGACAAGAGCGAAACTCCATCTCAAAAAGAAAAACTTGTGGGGCGTAACTTAAATGAGTGCTAAGAAGGAAATTTAGAGCACTGAATGCTTATATGAGGAAAAGATGAAAGGCCTCAAATGAATAATCTAAGCTCCCACTTTAACTAGAAAAAGAAGAGCAAGATAAACCCAAAGTAAGTGAAGGAAGGAAATAATAAAAGAACAAAAGTCAATGTAATCAAAAACAGAAAAACAGAAAAAGCAATCCATCTAAAAACTGGTTCTTCCAAAAGAGAGATTCTGACTTAATTGGTAATGGGTGCAATTTGGACATTGGGATTTTTGTAAGTTCTCCATATGATTCCCATGTGTAATGGGGGTTGAGAACCTCTGCTGGGGAGGCCAAATACATTTTTTTGGGATTTAACATGTATTGGCATTTATCTACCAGACCCTTTGATTTCTCCCCAGGGAAATTTGTTGCCATTTCATTTTCCCTCATTTTTTGTTGCCTTCAAAGTCAGTACTGACTTGTATGTTAACTTCCATGTCTGACTGCTCCTTTGCCATGGGCATTGATCTGACCAGAGGTGAGGGTTTAACAGTAACCCTCCTTCATGTCACACCCATATCCTATTTGATTGATCTTGGGATTAACTCAAACCCCCCTCTAATTGGTTTGTCACACATCATTGGTTAACAGTTTTAGGCTGTGATCACCCAAGCCACAGTGTTTGGTGCACCTGGTCCTGTGACCCTGGCTCTGTGGGAGCCAAAGGACTTGGTTTCTCAGTTTTTTCCTTGTCTGTCCTCTTTCTGGTGGCCAGTACAGTGCCTGCCCTCTGTTAGCACAGTATTAAAAGTTGGTGTGCAGTGGATTTGAACTTGCTCAGTAAGTTTGGGGTCATTTCTGTGTGTTTAACCTTATATGTGAGGTTTACATGCCTCACATATAAGGCATGTTACGTTGTTACGAAAACCTGGGATAAAGGTTGTTTTTCCTTCTAATAAATTGGGATGATTACTTTAAATCACATGAACGTTATTGTAAATGTATAATGGGTACATGTGGGTAAAAATTTCAGTGTGGAAACAACTCACAGCAGCAGATAAAACAATGGGAAATCGTTTTTTTAAATCGTTTGAGTTTCTATCTGGAGAAAGAATTGTGTATTTCATAGTAAAAGCATCTCTTATTGATTTACTTTACTCTTAAGAGGTCTTATCTGCAAATGGTATTTTATCTTAAAGGGACTTGTTTTGTACATGTATATATCTTTTTATTCTTAAGATACCAAGTTGACTTATCTGGGTAGTTGAAATTTTTTTTTTTTTTTTTTTTTTTTGAAACGGAGTTTCACTATTGTTGCCCAGGCTGGAGTGCAATGGCGCGATCTCGGCTCACTGCAACCTCTGCCTCCTGGGTTCAAGCAATTCTCCAGCCTCAGCCTCCCGAGTAAGTGGGATTACAGGCGACTGCCACCATGCCCAGCTAATTTTTGTATTTTTAGTAGAGACGGGGTTTCACCATGTTGGCCAGGCTGGTCTGAAACTCCTGACCTCAAGTGATCCGCCTGCCTCGGCCTCCCAACGTGCTGGGATTACAGGCGTAAGCCCCCGTGCCCAGCTGAAATTTTTGAATATATGTACATAAATTAAGAAAATGTACTGCAAAATTTTTAAAAGTTATTGGAACTGGGGGCCTTTTCTTCAAAAGACATAAAGCAGGCCGGGCACAGTGGCTCACGCCTGTAATCCCAGCACTTTGGAAGGCTGAGGCGGGCAGATCACGAGGTCAGGAGATCGAGACCATCCTGGCTAACACGGTGAAACCCTGTCTCTACTAAAAAATACAAAAAATTAGCCGGGCGTGGTGGCGGGCGCCTGTAGTCCCAGCTACTTGGGAGGCTGAGGCAGGAGAATGGCGTGAACCTGGGAGGCGGAGCTTGCAGTGAGCTGAGATTGCGCTACTGCACTCCAGCCTGGGCGACAGAGCGAGACTCCGTCTAAAAAAAAAAAAAAAAGACATAAAGCAGATTTTAATTTAGAAAGGGCTAGCACCATTAAAATCTGTCAAGATAACATTATAGAGTTGACCACCGAGTGAGGTCTATAGCAGCCAAACAGTGAGCTGAGAAATTAGGGATTGGGGTGGGGAGTGTTAGGAGAGTGATAATTCAATTGTATTCTTCAAATTTTCAATGTTCTTTCTTTCAGTAAACATTTTTTTTAGTTTAGACCGGAGGTTGACAAATCAGCGTGTGAGCTAAATCTAGCTTGTCACTTATTTTGATATGGCCTACAAGCATACAGAATGGTTTTTACATTTTTAAATCATTGAAAAATAATGAAAGGAAGAATAATATTTCATAACACATGAAAATTATATGAAATTCAAATAGTATAATAAAGTTTTTTTTTCTTTTTTGAGACAGAGTCTCACTCTGTTGCCCAGGCTGGAGTGCAGTGCATGATCTTGGCTCACTGCGACCTCCACCTCCTGGGTTCAAGCAATTCTCATGCCTCAGCTTCCTGAATAGCTGGGATTATAGGCATTCACCACCACGCCTGGCTAATTTTTGTATTTTAAGTAGAGATGTGGTTTTGCCGTGTTGTCCAGGCTGATCTCGAACTCCTGACCTCAGGTTATCTGTCTGCCTCGGCCTCCCAAAATGCTGGGATTACAGGCGTGAGCCACTGCACCCGGCCACAAGTTTTGATATGCTGTATTTTCATCTACATTCAGGCATTCAAGTCACTGTATTGAGAGAAGTGTGATGTTTAGTTTCCAAGTGTTTGGAGAACTTGTAGTCTTTCTGTTTTTTTCTTTTTTGAGACAGTCTCACTCTGTCGCCCAGGCTGGAGTGCAGTGGCACGATCTCGGCTCACTGCAATCTCCGCCTCCCAGGTTAAAGCATTTCTTGTGCCTCAGCCTCCCGAGCAGCTGGGATTACAGGCATGTGCCCCCATGCCTGGCTAATTTTTGTATTTTTAGTAGAGAGGGGATTTCACCATGTTGGCCAGGCTGGTCTCAAACCCCTGATCTCAGGTGATCCACTGCCTCAGTGTCCCAAAGTGCTAGGATTATAGGCGTGAGCCACCGCGCCCGGCTGGAATAAAGTTTTATTCCGAAGAGAGTTGTGTTCATTTGTTTATGTACTGTCTATGGCTGCCTTCATGCTACAATGGCAGATTTGAGTAGTTGTGACAGAGACCATGTGGCCCTCAAAGCCAAAGATATTTCCTATCTGGTCCTTTACAGAAAAAGTTGGGTGACCCCTGGTTTAGACACACTTCCCAACCTGGCCTTCTCATGCAAGGTGATTTCTACTCACAGAGTTTGAAATTCCCAAATAATTTGCTAACAAGTCTTTATATTAAAGAGGGTAAGCCTGGTTCCTGGTGACAGAGATAATTGTGGTTGACAAAGAAATACTTGTCTGTGGCAGGAATCTGCCTAGGTAAATTTGTATGTTCTTCCTTTATTTTTCCTTGGATGTTTTTTGAGGGCTTTGGAAAAGAGTTGACCTCCAGACTCCTCATCTGGTCACAAGATTCATGAGTCATATGGTATATCTTAATTTTAAAAAATAAGCTTTGAAATGCTGAGATAAAGTCTTCATTTAGAAAAGTTCATTATCCCAACTTCTGCTATCTCTTTCAAAGATTTGTTAGGGGTGAGGAGAAGCAGTGACATATGTAGAATATGTTCTCTTCTTATTTTTTGTTTATTCAATCTCTAGATAGATGTTTATGGCTTTAATTACTGGACTACTGAGAAGTGGTAGAAATGAAAGATACACAAGATGAACAGATTTGAAGGATAGAGTTTTGTTTCCATGACATTGAAGCAGGGATAGAATTGTTTTGTAGAGAGGGGTGAATTCTGAATTAAAGCACAGGCACTTAAACTGTCTTACTATAGAGGTTAGGATTGTTTGCCCCAAAGCAGAGGATAATCAGCTCAAGAAACACATTTATAGCATTCATGACTTCTATTTAAGAAATAGTTGGCCGGACGTGGTGGCTTATGCCTGTAATCCCAGCACTTTGGGAGGCCGAAGTGGGTGGATCACCTGAGGTCAGGAGTTCGAGACCAGCCTGACCAACATGACAAAACCCCATCTCTACTAAAAATACAAAATTAACCAGGTATGGTGGTGCATGCCTGCAATCCCAGCTACTAGGGAGGCTGAGGCAGGACAATCGCTTGAACCAGGGAGGCGGAGGTTGCAGTGAGCCAAGATTGCGCTATTGCACTCCAGCCTGGGCAACAAGAGCGAAACTCCATCTCAGAAAACAAAACAAAACAAAACAAAACAAAGAAATAGTTTGGGCCGGGTGCAGTAGCTCACGCCTGTAATCCCAGCACTTTGGGAGGCCCAGGCGGGCGGATCATTTGAGGTCAGGAGTTCGAGACCAGCCTGACCAACATGGTGAAACCCCGTCTCTACTAAAAATACAAAAAAATTAGCTGGGTGTGGTGGCGCATGCCTGTAGTCCCAGTCCTCGGGAGGCTGAGACAGGAGAATTGCTTGAACCTGGGAGGCGGAGGTTGCAGTGAGCCAAGATCGCGCCACTGTACTCCAGCTTGGGCGACAGAGTGAGACTCTGTCTCAAAAAAAAAAAGTTTGGGAGGTTCTTTGACCACATGGGCAGGAATTCACCCTTCGGGATATAAGAAACATGCTGCTCTGGTCTGACCAGTGGCTTAACTGAAATGTCTGTCTCTGATAATGGCTCTGAATATTTTCCTGAAAGCCTAAGGGAGCTAGACTTTCAGATGTTTCTTTCCTTAAGGATTACTTCCAAATACCATCACAGATTTATTCTGATTTTTATCTCAGTCCTTCTTGAACTTGTTTACATTTTCATTTTGTTTCACTTCTTGAACTGATGAGTTCTCTAAGTTAGTTCCCTAAGCATGGCTGAAAGTCCTGTTTTCCTTTTGATAAAATTGCCTTTAGGTTTCAGGGAATACCCCTTTGTTATTTAATTCTATAATTGGATGAATAAAATCAAGCTGATCATTTCTACACTCTTCTTAATAGCTCATTGATTTCTGTTTCATCCCTTTAGAGCAAGATTTCTCAGCCTTGGCACTGTTGACATTTTGAGCCAGATAAGTCTGCACATTGTAGGGGACTATTTCTGTGCCTTGTAGGATGTTTAACGGCATCCCTCCTGACCTCTATCCCTAGATGCCAGTAACATCAATTATTGTGATAACCGATAAATGTCTCCAGATATTGCCAAATGTCCCCTGGGGGGGGCAAAATTGTCTTCAGTTAAGAATCACTGCTTAGATCTTTGGCTTTTCCAAAATGCAAAGTCTGTGCGACTGTCTTTATGACACAGAGATGTCTCTGTTTAATTGATTATATTGCACTTTTCTGGATTTCTTTCAGCTCTGGTTAATGTCCATCTTGAATGACAGTGATGGCCACTTTTATAGTTTCAATGTTTCAAGTCAGCTGAATCATTTGGGAGTGACATGGGAACAGATATCTTGAAATCTTAGAAAAGTATTTTTTCCGGTTGTAAACGTCCTATATGTTTACTCTAAAACTGTGGGGAATGGAAAAATTCAGAAAGAATGTTTTTATCAACCAGAAATCTGTCACTTCAGTGCAACTAATGTTAGTAAATTGGTTTATGGTTTTTGCTTTCTATATATTTTATTTCATACATGTATAGTAATTTCACTGTAAAACCAATTTTTATACATTTTAAAACATCTTAGCATAAATGTTTCCCTGTATACCATGTTTAAATGACTGGATGAAATACCATAATATTAATGTACCTTAATTATTCCTCTTTTGTGTGATAGGTCGGTTTTATTTTTATTATAAAGTTTTAATGGACATTTTGGTTCATAAATCATTTTCCGTGTTTCAAATTATTTTTCTTTCTTTTTTCTTTTTCTTTTTTTTTTTTTTTTTTTTTTTGGGACAGAGTCTCGCTCTGTCACCCAGGCTGGTGTGCAGTGGCATGATCTCAGCTCACTGCAACCTCCGCCTCCCAGGTTCAAGCGATTCTCATGCCTCAGCCTCCTGAGTGGCTGGGATTACAGGCACCTGCCACCACACCCAGCTAATTTTTGTATTTTTAGTAGAGACGCGGTTTCACCATGTTGGCCAGGCTGGTCTCGAAGTTATCTGATCCTGGCCTCAAGTGATCTGCCCACCTCGACCTTCCAAAGTTCTGGGATTATAGGCGTGAACCACCGTGCCCAGCCTGTATTAATTTTCAAGGACGAATGTTAGAAATAGAATTCCTAGGTCAAACGGTGTGAATATGTTTAAAGTAGAGCATTATTTTTTAAACTGCTACATGGCCCTGCAGAGGGCAGTGAATAGGGGCCCCTTGCACTGACCATGCATTTCAAAAGTATGTCTCATGGGTATATAGTAGGAAAGGAAAGGGCTATGTTTGAGCTAATCACTTTTCCTTTCCTTGGCCTGCATGTTCTTCCGTGGGAATATTAATGGGGAGTCAAGTAGCCACCAAACCGCAGGCTTAGGTTCCAGTCCCAAATAATCCCAGTTGGGTTGACTTCCAGACAGTCCTCCTTTAAAAGGGTATTTTACTCAAGGAAGACATTTACTCCAGACATTTGTATTTTGCCTGGTTTGCAGTCACTGTTAAACCACTGTGCTGTTAATTATTGTACTTGAGATGATAGTAGGAATAAGATCTGAAAACTGCCATCAAATTACTGTTCCCAGTGGTGCAAGGTGAGGTCTAGTGTACATTTTGTTTCTGCCAAAATGAAGGTAAGGAAGAAAAGAATGCCTTTATAAAGTCTGTGCTCTGATCTGAGGACTAGAAAATAAACAGCTGAATAATATAACCAAGTGTAAGACATCGAGATATATCACAGTTACTCCAGGATTACACTATACTGATTTATGGTTTTGTTTAACAAAACATTTTATTCTAAGGTAATTTTTTTCATGGTACAAATAAATTTATTTGCTTGTTTTATGTTCCTTATTCCTCTTTTCTTCCCAAGAAGTTACTTTGACAATCACAGACCTTATTGGGCCTCTTTCCCTTCTAGTTCTTAAATGAATATTCATGACAGGGACATCACAGAAAACAATTGTTTGCCGTATGCTTTCAGGTGTCATCAAGCATCATGCTCAGCCCCTGGGCTGCTGTGACTTTGAGATCTGCCTGGTCAACTAAAGAGGGCTAGTCCTTCTATGGGGCTTTTCTTTCTTAAAAAAATTTTTTTGACATACAAAAAGCTGTACATAGTTAATATATACAACTAGATGAGTTTGGCTGGGTGTGGTGGCTCACGCCTGCAATCCCAGCACTTTGGGAGGCCAAGGTGGGTGAATCACTTGAGGTCAGGAGTTGGAGACCAGCCTGGCCAGCATGGTGAAACCCCATCTCTACTAAAAATACAAAAACTAGCCAGGTGTGGCAGAGCATGCCTGTAATTCCAGCTACTCAGGGGCTGAGGCATGAGAATCGCCTGAATCCGGGAGGCAGAGGTTGCAGTGAGCTGAGATTGCACCACTGCACTCTAGCCTGGGTGACGGAGTGAGACTCTGTCTCAAAAACAACAACAGCTACTAAATGAGTTTGGAGATAAGTATATACCTATAAACTATCATCACAATCTATGCCATAAACCTATCTATCACCCCCAAAAGTTTCCCTTTGCTCTATTCTTCTGTCGTGGTAAGAACACAATATAAAGGCCTATCCTGTTAGCAAACTTTTAGGTATACAATATAGTATTGTTAACTATAGCACTCTGCTGTACAAAAGATCTCTAGGACTTACCTTAAATTAAGTAGTACATTCTTAAAATTACCACTTAATAAGGATTCACATGTTAAGTAGGGGTGCCTAGAAGCAGAACCTGAGACAGTATTCAAATGCACATGATTTATTGAGGAGTGTTCTCAGGAGAAACCTGTAAGGGGAAGAGGGTAACCGGGTAAGGAAGGAGCAGCCAGTTAGGGTCTTAAGAAAATCTAGCCATAGCCTGTTTGAGGTGATGGCAGAACAATTATTGACTGCAGGCTGCCTCTGGGAGGGAGACTGGAAGAGTGTAATCCCCAGTTCTTGGGAAGAGAGGGGCCATTGTGAGCCATTAGCAGCCAACAAGAAGTAGCTGGAAAATGGGTACAGTATGCTAGCTAGGTAAACAGGATTGGGTGGGGGCAGCACAGTGTGTTATTCCTTTGCCTGTTTATTTTGTGCAGGATACTGTGCTAAGAGCTAGGGGTAAAAAATGAATGTGACACAGTCCCTGCTTTCAAGATGCTTGTGGTCTAGTGACAACAGGGCTGACCATGTAAAGCAGCAGTGTCCAATCTTTTGGCTGCCCTAGGCCACATTGGAAGAATTCTCTTGGGTCACACATAAAATGCACTAACACCTAACGATAGCTGATGAGCTTTAAAGAATCACAAAAAAAATCTCAGTGTTTAAAGAAAGTTTATGAATGTGTGTTTGGTGGCATTCACAGCCGTCCTGTGCCACATGCAGGCTGCGGGTTGGACAAGCTTGATGTAAAGAATATTGATGGTGCAAGTGAGGTGCTTCTTTGCATGTACTTGGATGGAAAGCAAAGGAGTGAATAATTGTGGGGGAGGGACGTCTGGGAAGCTTCATCGAGGACATCCAATGAATGAATAGAACCAGGGTTGGGGAAAATGGGCTGGTCAAGGAAAACATGGGGAGGAATTGTAGGTAGAAGGAAGAGCCCTGTGCAAAGGCTGGCAAGCAAGTATGAAACAAGACGAACGTGTTCCCGGAATCACATGGGGCATAGTATATGCCAAACAATTGGAGTGGATTGGGGGGAACAGCAGTTGATGAGGCCTGAGAGACTGGGAGCCAGAACTGGGCCTCGCAAGCCATGCTGAGGAGATTGGGCTTAGAAGGGGCACCATTCTTGCTGTCATCCCTCCAGCCTGTCCTCTGGCTTCTGGATCAACTTGGAGTGCTCATTGTCAATGTACCTGACTGCCCCCTGGTGGCCATGTTGCTCTAAGCATGTCGCTTTAATGCTTCTGAGCCCCAATTTCCTCATCTGTAAAATGGCTGCTGCTGCTATGTGTAGGACTGTTGTTGTGCTTAGAAATAATAAATAGAGATATAAAGATTTACCATCATTGAATTATTCTGCTGATATTTATTGTTTTCTGTCATTTTCCTACAATAATTAAAACAGCAGTATGTCACAGAAATGGACAGACAAATCACTGGACTTTAAACAGCCCATACCCAAAAATTAACTTGCTTTGTTTTCTTTTCTAAAAGTCATTGATGACTCATTTTCTTATTTCCCAGGACTGGTGTAACTCGTATTAGATAATCTGTTTCCTAGGCTTTTTACTGATAATACAAGATTTTTTGTTTCCATCTATAATAAAAAATAGTTGTTACTGTAATTGTTTTAAAAATGCCAAATTTTGCCTATTCTTTAAAATCTCCCTCTGTCAAGAACAGTTTGATAACTCTTTTACTTAAAGAACAGAATATTATAGAAAATGGAGAAACTGTTTTATCCAAAGTACACATACCCAGAACTTCAGATGAGAGGAGTATCCATCTCACAAGAAGTCTTAGGTCTTCTGAAACTCTCAGGGAGGTGAGGAGAGAGGGTCCATGGTCAGTTGGCTTTCTTCACTGAGATTTTTAGAGAATAAAACTGTTTTTTCTATGACATTTGTTGCCCTTGATCCCATCATGAGTCATCCATATGGAGGTTATATTCAGTGGGAACATAAACTTTCATTTCTCTGGGATAAATGCCCAGGAGTGCAATTGCTGAGTCATAGTTGCATATTTAATTTTTAAAGAAATGACCGAAATATTTTCTAGAATAGCTATACTATTTTACATTCCCACAAGCCATGTACGAGTGATATAGTTTCTCTACACTTTCTCCATGATTTGATATTTTCACTATTTCTTTATTTCAGCTATTGTAATAATAAGTATGTAATAATATCTTGTGGTTTTAACTGGCATTTCCCTAATGGCTGGTGATACTGAATGTCTTTTCACGGGCTTAAATGCCATTTGCGTTCCTCTTTGGTAAAATGTCTGCTGATTTTTTTTTTTTTTTTTTTTTTTTTTGAGACAGAGTCTCGCTGTCACCCAGGCTGGAGTACAGTGATGCAATCTAGGCTCACTGCAACCTCCGCCTCCCAGGTTCAAGCAATTCTCATGCCTCAGCCTCCCGAGTAGCTGGGATTACAGGTGCATGCCACCACACCCAGCTAATTTTTGTATTTTTAGTACAGACGGGGTTTCACCATGTTGGCCAGGCTGGTCTCGAACTCCTGACCTCAAATGATCCGTCCGCCTTAGCCTCCCAAAGTGCTGGGATTACAGGTGCGAGCCACCATGCCCGGCCCATCTCTTGATTTTTAATTAGGTCATTTGTTTCCTTACTGTTGAATTTTTAGAGTTCCTTATGCATTCTGTAATATAAGTTCATTGTCAGATATGTGTTTTATAATAAATATTACATGTATAATATTTCTAAGAAATGACCAAAATATTTTCTAGAATAGCGATTCCTTTTTACATTCCCACCAGCAATGTATGAGTGATAGTTTCTTCACATCTTCTCCAGCATTTGATATTACACGTGTGTGTAATATGTGTAAATATTCTGTCCCATTCTGCTTGCTTTTGCGTCTTCTTAACAGGGGCTTTCTCAGAGCAGAAGTTTTTTTAAAAATATAAGTAGATAGTTTATTTGGGCCAAGTTTGAAGACCACAACCCAGCAGCATAGATTCAAGTTGCCCTGGATATGCTTCTGAGAGCAAAAGTCTTTAATTTTGATGAAAACACATTTTTCTTTGCCAATCATGCTTTAGGTATCAAGTCTGAGAACTCTTTGCTTAGCCCTAGATCCTGAAGACTTTCTCTTATGCTTTTTGTAAATATTTTATAATTTTACATTTTTCATTTAAGTCTGTGATCCATTTTGAGTTACATTTTGTATATTAGGTTGTGGTAGGCAGAGATGTCCGTGTCCTAATCTCTGCAACCTATGAATATGTTAAGATTGCTATTTAGCTGACTATAAAATAGGGACATTATCCTGGATTATCTGGGTGGGTCCAATGTAATTACATGGGTTCTTAAAAGTGGAAGAGGGAAGCAGAACAGAAGGGTCAGAGAATGAGATGCGATGACAGAAACAGGATCAGAGAGATTCAGTGTTGTTTGCCTTGAAGATGGAAGAAGACAGCCAAGATCAAGGGAGTAAGAGTGTCCTCTAAAAGCTGTAATAGGCAAGGAAATGAGTTCTCCCCTGTAGCCTCTAGAAAGGAACGCAGTCCTGATGACATCTTGATTTTAGCTCTGTGAGACCTGTGTCAAAATCCTGACCCACTAAACTATAAGATAGTAAATTTATGTAGTTTTAAGCCACTGAGTTTGTGATAATTTGTTACTGTAACGTTAGAAAACTAATAGGTGTTTTAGAAAAGCTTCTATTAAAATAGGATTTTATACATTTGGGTATACTGTGTATCTGAACAATTTTTATATATGCAACATCCCCATGATATCAGATAAATGAAGTGCTACTCTAAGTAGATCTGTGCATTCAGTGGGGAATAGTTAGAAAATGTATTACTTTTATTTCTGCTTAAATTTCTACATTCATTGTGACTTTAAATTCCCCACTACTACTTTTTAATAGGAAGTGTCTTGTTGTTACTGTTGGTTTTGTTTGCGTTTCAGAAGAGATTTGAATGAAATTTTGCACCAGAGAGCCAAATGTAGCCCCAAAAATTTATGTGATGGGAGGCTCTTTTTTAAAAATATTCAATTGACTTTGACTGTAGGACAAACAGAACCTTAGTTAATGGTTCTGATTCTTGTACTAATTTTATTAGTTTTTTAAATGACAGCTTTGAGATATAATTTGTATACCATGCAGCTTACCCACTTAAAGTATACAATTCAGTTATTTTAATATATTCACAGATATGTGCAACCAATCACCAAAGGACACAATATGTTTTCACACTGTCTTCTAATTTTGTTTCTGAGAAATTAGCTGTTAATTTTATTGGAGTTCTCTTGTAAGTGATGAGTTGTTTTTTTTCCCGGGCTGCTTTCAAGATTTTCTCCTTGTCTTTGGCTTTCAGTAATTTTACTATGAGGAATCTCTTTCTGGATCTCTTTGCATTTATCCTACTTGGAGTTCTTTGAGTTTCCTGAATATGTAAATTAATGTTTTTCAGTAAATTTGGGGAGTTTTTCTAATATTTTTTCTGCTCCTTTCTCATTCACTTTTCCTTTTGGTACTCCCATTATGTATATGTTGATGAACTTAATGATGTTCTACATTTCTCTGAGGCTGTTTCTTCTTCTTTTTTCCATCTGTTCTTCAACTTGCCTAATCACTGTTGACCTACTTCAAGTTCATTAATTCTTTTTTCTGCTTGTTCAATCTACTGTTGAGGCCCTTCAGTGAATTTTTCATTTCAATTGTGCTTTCATCACCAGAATTTCTATTTGGTTATTTTTTATACTTCCTATTTCTTTATTGATAGTCTCTGTTTTGTAAAATATTGTCATCATACCTTCCTTTACTTCTTTAATCATGGTTTTCTTTAGTTCTTCGAACATATTTATATGGCTAATTTGAAGGTTTTGCCTGTTAAATCTGACATGTGGTTGTATGGGTCATACTTTCCTGTTTCTTTGCATATCTCTTAAGTTTTTGTTGGAAACTGGGCATTTTGGATAATATATTGTAACAATTGTGGGTACTACCCCTCCACCAGGGTTCTTTATTATTATTTGCTTGTTTACTGCTTTAGTAACTGCCTGGATTATTTTATTGAAGTCTATTTCCTCAACCCCCATTCTCACCCTGCAGTATGAAGCCTCTAATGTTGCTCTTCGGGGGTACAAGCTTGTGTATGCCCACAGTCACCCTGGGATGACAGTGGGTTTGGTGAGGCTCTCCTTGGCTGTCTCTTTACTTGACCACACCATGCTGTTATGGTCTACTAATTGTTGACTGGTTGCTCTTGTTTTGTTTTTGTTTTTTTGAGATGGAGTTTCACTCTTGTCGCCCAGGCTGGAGTGCAGTGGCGCGATCTCAGCTCACTGCAACCTCCACCTCCCGGGTTCAAGCAGTTCTCCTGACTCAGCCTCCCGAGTAGCTGAGATTACAGGCGCCTGCCACCATTCCCAGCTGCTCTGTTGTTTTAATCATGTCCTGGAATATAAATTGCTCCACAAACTGATCCAATCAAATTAGGGCTCCTTTGAAGATAGTTCCTGAGATCTGTGTTTGAGATTTCTTCTGACCGCAAGAGGCTCTTTCCCTGCTGTCTCTTTCTCTGGTTCTCTCTGGCATATTAGGCAGCCTAGGCTTGAACTTCTGTACACTCAGTTGCAAATGAAGTCAGTTTCATTGCAGGAGAATTGAAGCCCCCTATTCTATGCCCTGCCTCTCTCCCTGGGAAAAATCTTTGAGCCACAGCTCTGGCGCAGTGGATGGAGATAAATGGTGAGCTTCCCTCTGAGTGTCAGCCCCAGGTCTCCCAGGTTTGCCTCTTCTGGTATAGAACCCCCACCCCACAAGGTAACGCCAGAGCAATCAAGGCTCTGGTATTCTTGGTGGCACAACACCCAAGGCATAGCCTCCATCCCATGAGTTGGGGGCTAGGTGGAAGAAGGGAGCCCCCACCTCTCAGCCACATTCTCCTGGAACGTAGCCTCAGCAAAAGTAGCTGGGAACGGGATAAGAGATGCCGACATCCTGTTCTTCCCAGGAAGAAAGGAGCTTGGAGCTGGGGTAGAAGGAACCCTGTGTTCTTGGCTACTGTACTCTGGCATGAGATCTTTGCTGGGAGGGAAGATGGAGGAAGTGGTTCTAGATCCAAATACTGCAGACTTTGACTTTACTTTATGAATTTTAGTAGATTTTCTCGAATAAGTACTTCATTTGCTGTATGCCCTTAAAACCATTTCCAGAGACTTTAAATGGTTGGTTTTTTTTTAATTGAAATAACTTTCACCAATTTTGCTGGGAAGAGGGTCGTCCATGGAGCTGCTCACACTGTTATGCCAGAAGTGGAACTCTGTGAGCTTTTTAATGTAAAATTTTGTTGCTGCTATTCTTAATTGCTCAGAGTGGCCTTGTATTTGGATTTCTACCTCCTCAGTAGATTGTAAATAGCTTGAAGGCAGTAGCCCTGACCTTTATTCATTATGGAATCATGATAGCCCCTGGTAGCATGTTGTATGTTGTGGCACATAAAAGAATGTCAGTCACTGGCTATATTGCTGTCTTTTCAAGTTTACATTTTCAGCACTTCGTTTGTGACTTAAAGTGCTTAACTGTGTCTTCCTTTTTTCTTACACTCCAGTGCTAGTGTGTTCCCAGAAGGGTGATGCTTCTTTTTTATCTGTCATTGGCCATACTCAGGGAAGTACACTTGAACCGTTGGAAGTTTTAGTCCAAAGCATTTTTATTTACCCTTCACAATATAGGAGCTTTGTTTAACATTCCTTGTAGTGTATATATAATTTTGACTTTAGGCTACTTATTTGGGATATGGGGACAGGAAGAGAGTGAGAGAGGGATAAAGGGCAGGCAGAAAATCAGTGTGGTCGTGTTCTTAAAGGTGGATGTGCCTCACTTGTTCTTTCTTCAGCCAACTATGTCTCATGCTTTTCAACCTTGGCTCTTGATGGCCCTGCCCTCATGACTGACCTGTTCGTCTCTTATTGGGGATCACTGGCTGGTTATGGCCCCATGGCTGCCCCACCCTTTGTTTTGGTGGACAGTGGCCATGTGGCCACATCTGAGGCTCCAGTTAGTGCTGTACCACTCATTTGTGGCTTGGGCTTCCTCCTAAGGCTAATGTGGCCTTTCTTAGTCTTTGACATGCTTTGTATTGAAAGATCTGGTAGTACTCTTCTGTCATTATTCTAAGTCATTTGAGAATATTCTTGACAAAAATCATTCAGTTTGTATGATTTGCTTGCTGCTATTTCTGGGATCCATGGGACAGTGTTGACTGCCCTCTGGGATGGGTGTGTGTGAACTGTTTTATTCAGTGTTTTTCTTTTTCCCAGGATGCTCCAGGATGAAACGCCATAGGCCTGTCAGCAGCAGTGACAGTTCAGACGAAAGTGAGTAGAACCGGCTGGCAGCTGGTAACCTTTCTATCTATATCCCTTGAGGATTTTTCCTTTCATTTGAGGATAAACCATTTCATGCTTTTTTCAATGGTTGAAAAATGTTTCTGAGAAGGAAAATTCAGGGCACCATTATCTTATTTAAATTTCATTAGAGATAGATAAATTAGAAGAATTGATTGTGTGTGGCATATAACTTTTCACTTTTCATTTACCTAAATAACAAAAGCCAGATCTAGTAATGCTTTAACAGAGCTTCTCTAGAAAGAAGAAAAGTACAAGAGCATAAATTGTAGGCCCTGATTCTAATTGTAGCTTAGGTACTAAGTGTTTGACTGTGAGTCAATCATCATTTGTAAAAGGCAGTAACCTTATTAGCAATAGCCTTTGGGGAAGTGCTGAAGGATACACAGATTACTTGCTCCACATTTGTAGTTTTTCCAGTTGTTTTTGGAGATACTTTTTCTTCAAGTGGAATATGAATTGTGTTATTGCAGAACATTATGAGGTGTGATTATACCAAATCAGATAATCTCATCCTTAGCATTGTTGAAGCTTTTGCACTGTAGGAGATCATCTATAAATGTCACTAAACTCCATTATGAGGCACTCTTCAGTGCAGTTTGACTGTTTTCTTCAGTGGTATGAGCTCTCTGGTTTCTCCATCATATTTTTCATATTCTCTTGGGTGACATTTAGTTTTATGACATTTAGTTATATTAATAGGTAATGTGTCTCAGTATTTTTTTCTAATTATCTTTCACAGGTCCTTCCACTTCCTTTACTTCTGGCTCAATGTATAGGATCAAGTCAAAAATTCCAAATGAACACAAGAAACCTGCTGAGGTGAGATCGTATTCTCAATTTTTAGACTTAAGCTATAGTTTGGATGCTTGTCTTCCAAAACCTCATGTTGAAATTATATCCCAATGTTGGAGGTGCAGGCCTAATGGGAGATGTTTGGATCATGGGAATATATCCCTCATAAATAGATTAATGCCCTCCCAGAGCAGGGGGGTAAGTGAGTTTTTCACTCCGTTAGTTCCCTTCAGAGCTGGTTGTTACAAAGAGTCTGGCACCTCCTCCCATTCTCTCTTGCTTCGTCTCTGGCCATGTGATCACATATGCTAGCTCTCCTTTGCCTTCCACCATGAGTAGAAGCAGCCTGAGGCCCTTACCAGCTGCCCAGTCTTGAACCTTCCAGCCAGCAGAACCATAAGCTAAATAAACCTCTTTTCTTTATAAATACTTAGCCTCAGGTATTCCTTTATAGCAATACTAAATAAACTAAGACAACTTTTAAAAATATAAATGTCTGCCTCCTAACTATATACCAACAATACCCAGAATCTGAAGATGTGAAGAATAAAGAATGTGTCAGTGGGTAGGCTTGTTTTCTGATGAACTTATTTGTTTTCCAAGAAAGATTTCATTTTCTATCTCCTTTAGGAGAACAATAATCTTCACACTGTGATTTCATTTTGTGATTTCAATCATCTTCACACTGTGATGACACATAGTGCCTGGCTTTAGAATATTCCTCCCCTAACCAGGAAGTCAAAGAGAGCCAGACTAGGGGAACTGGGAAGGACCTAGAGATCTCCTGGCCTATGATTGGGAAAAGCTAAGTTAGCAGGTGAGGAGAGATAGTACAGAAAGGTATAGGTGAGTAGGTTGTAGATGGACTACATTAAAGATCATATGGGTCATGGTCTGTGAAGCTGTGATGGGTCCTTACAGCCTTTGGATCACTGCTGGCCCAGAAAGAGTAGGTCAATCCTTATCAGGCTGGTCATCTTTTCCACAAAGGGCAGCAAAGTGCCAGCGTTCCTCTTGGACTTGATAATGGTTTAGTGGATCCTACAGACTTTCCTCTGTGATAATTAAATGATAAAATGACTTTGTATATCTTCACTTCTACTATGAGTAGACTTCCTTAGCTGTAAAGGAACAGAGAATATATTAGTTATGTATTGCTACATTACAAATTATCACAAAATTCGTGTCTTAAAGCAGCACACACTTATATCTCAGTTTCTGTGGGTCAGTAATCTGGGCATGATGTGACTAGATTCTTTGTTCAGGATCTTTCAGGGCTGAAATCACTGTGGAAAATGGGATGTGTTCTCACCTGGAGGCTTGCCTAGGGAAGAATTTGCCACCAAGCTCATGTTGTAGGCAGAATTTGTCTCCTTGGAGCTGAAGGACTGAGGTTTCTGTTTTCCTTCTTGCTTTTGGCAGAGAGCACTCTCAGTTTCTAAAAGCCACTTGTAGTTTCTTGCCACATGGCCTTTTCCATAGATCCTCTCACAACATGGTAGCGTACTTATTCAGCGCCAGCAAGGAGAGTCTTTCCCTCCAGTCAGCTAAGATGTAGTGTTACATAACATAATATAATCATGGGAGTGGCATCCCCACCACATTTGCTATATAATGTGACCTAATCAAAGGAATGACATCCCATCATGTTTGCCATATTCTGTTGTTTAGAAGCAAGTCACAGGTCCCACTGCCTTAGTAGAAAGGGAGTGACTCTTTGTGGGTTACTTTTGGGTGTGTCCACCAGAGAGCATTTCTCTCTTCCTTGGAGGTCACTTTTCATTTGTTTCTTTTGCCAGGGATTTTTCTGGGCACAATAGAATGTAAGAGTTTATTTATATATGTCCATGTCATACAGAAAGACTTAGGGAATATAACACACATAAACAGGAGTGGAAGAAATTTCCCACCTGTCTAGAGGAGACTTTGACTACAGAATGGTGAGAAAGAAACCTCGCTACCTACCCTTTTAGGACGACAGCTGGTTCTAGGACATAAGGCAATTCAAGGGCTTTGGGTTTTGAGGCCTACTGCCTCCCAGGCAGTGGTAATAGTAGTCTTTTTTGTTGCAAGGGATAGGGGACCTGGGCTGCTGAAAGCAAATTGTTTTCGTTTATATTTAATATTCTGTTATAAAAAGGAAAACCTGGTGATATTGTAGGACAAAACTAGCCTTTGCATTAGAAGAGCTTGATCCCATGTTCTGCTTTGCTGGCTTATTTCATCTCTCTGAGATAATTTGTCAGCATAACATGGACATTATCATACCTATCTCTCATACCTATCATTTATTGAAGTTTTATGTGCCAAAAGCTTTACATTAAATAGTTTGTTTCCCAAATTTAAACAATTATGAGACTCTCCTTGGATGCCTGTTTAAAATAATGATTCCAGACTTACCCCACCCTGTGACACTACTGAATTAGTATTTCCAAGAAAAGTGCCTGGGATCTGGATTTTAAAAAGTGACTCAGGTGATTTTTATAATCAAGCACGTCGGGGAAGTAATATACTCTTGTTCTATTCCTCCAGTAACACTATAAAGTAGGTACTTTCCGGTTTTTTGTTTGTTTGTTTTGCAGGTGATGAGGCTCAGAGAAGTTACTTGCCCAGGGTCATTAAAAAAAAGCAGAACTGACATTCAAGTTTTTATTCATCCTGAATCTTGTTTTATTAACCAGTATGCATTGGACATATTATGTAGGGTACAATAAGTATATAGTAAACATTTGTTGAAACTTTGGCAGTTAAGAAATATGGGACAGCACCAGTGTTTTCTCATGAGTAGTTATAATCAAAGTTTCCATAATGGAGTGAGAGCAAAACTCAAGATTAGAGAGAACAAACCTGGAATTGAACAGGGGCTGGGAACCCAGGCAGCAAGGAGAATATGGTAGGAACCCTTGGTAAAAGAAGAAAAGTAAAAGTTAAGTGGGAATTGGCAAAGGTGACAAGCACACACTACTCACAGGTGAGTCTGAAGGCAGCCTTTGAGGAATCAGATGGAACCACTGTGAATTCTTTCTTCCTATTTGGCCCCTGAAACTGAAGCAATATTGCCATTGGCTGCTTTTTATTTATTTACTTATTTTGAGACGGAGTCTCGCTCTGTCGCTCAGGCTAGAGTGCAGTGGTGCGATCTCAGCTCACTGCAACCTCCGCCTCCCAGGTTCAAGCGATTTTCCTGCCTCAGCCTCCCAAGTAGCTGGGAGTACAGGTGCCTGCCACCGTGCCTGGGTAATTTTTGTGTTTTTAGTAGAGACAGGGTTTTACCATCTTGGTCAGGCTGTTCTTGAACTCCTGACCTCGTGATCCACCCACCTTGGCCTCCCAAAGTGCTGGGATTACAGACGTGAGCCACTGCGCCCTGCCGCCATTGGCTGCTTTTTTCAAAGCGTCAGTTTATGCCCTATTTCTGATAGCAGACTATCACTTTTCTCTCAATTTCTGATTTTCCTGGCCTTACTTGCTGCACCTGTTTGCTTCAAACAGTTGTTTTAAGGTTCACTTAAGAAATATGACATATTTGTATGCTTCTTTATTTCTGATGTTCCCATTTTTCTTTTTTGTTCATTTGTTTCTGTTTGAAGAATTTCCTTTAGCTGTTATTTTAGGATAGGTCTGCTGGTGATAAATTCGCTTAGTTTTCCTTCATTTGAGGATGTCTTGATTTCTCCTTCATTCCTGAAGGATATTTTCACTTGATATAGAATTCTGGTTTCACAGTACTTTTCTTTCAGCACTTGGAAAATGTTGTGCTACTTCCTTCTGGCCTCCATGGTCTCTGATGAGAAATCTGCCCCCATTCAAATAGGTTGTTCTCCTCTAGGTAGTCATTTCTTTCCCAGTTGTTTTTGAGATTTTTCTTTGTCTTTAGTTTTTAAAAGTTAGATTATGATGTACCTGGGCATGGATTTCTTTTGGCTTATCCTCTTTGGGCTTTAGTCAGCTTCTTGAATCTGTAGATTTATATCTTCCACTAAGTTTGGGAAATTTTCAGCCATTATTTCTTCAAATATTTTTCAACTCCACCTTCTTTTTCCCCTCCTTTTGGGGCTTCAGTTGCATGAATGGTAGATCTTTTGTTATTTTCCCACAGGTCCCTCAGGCACTTTTCTTTTTTTTTTCAGTGTATATTCTGTTGAACAGATTGAATAATTTCTCTTGTTCATTGGTTCCATCTTCTGTTTGTTAATTCCATTCATTAGTTGAGCCTATCTTATGAGTTTGTTATTTCAGTAATTGCATTATTCCATCCTAAAATTTCCATTTGGTTATTCTTTATATATATATTCCATTTCTTCACTGAGACTTTCTGTTTTTTGTTTCAAAAGTGTTTGTAATTTCTTGTTGAAACATTTTTATCATGGATGTTTTAAAATCCTTGTCAGATAATTCTAACATCTGTGGATCTCAGTGTTGATGCCTGTTGATTGTCTCTTCTCGTTCCCAGTTCTTAGTATGATGAGTGATTTTCAGTTGTATCCTGGACTTTTTTAGTATTATGTCATTAGACACTGAGTCTTATTTAAATCTTCTGTTTTAGTAGTCCTCTGCTATAACCAGGCAAGTGGGGAAGAGGGGTCCTGACTCTCTACTACCTGTTGTAGAATTCCTGAGCTCCCCATCCTAGCTCTTTCACTCTCTGGGAAGCAGCACTGGGGAGTCTCTACTGCTTCATAGAGGTGGAAATTCCCACCACTTTGTTGCCCCCACTGATGATGGAGGGTATGGTGGTAGTGAAGGTACCACCTTATTGATCAGTGATGGTGACAGCCCAGGCTCCCTACCCAGTCTGCCAACATCACATTGAGGAGGAGAGGTGCCTCATTATTGCTGGGAGAGAGTGAACATCAAGACCTCTCATGTGGTGTACATTGACACCCCAATAATCACCCTCTTTTAAAAACCATTTTTAACATCTTTTCTTGAAATATAATTCTTGTAGCATACAATTCACCCATTTTAAGTGTATAATTCAGTGGGTTTTAGTATGTTCAGAGTTGTGTAACCATTACAATCATAATTTAGAACATTTTCATCATCTCAGAAAGAAACCCCTTACCCATTAGCAGTTACTCCCCAATCTCCCTACCTGCAACCCCTGGCAACCACTAATTTACCTTCCTTCTCTATGGATTTGCCTATTCTAGACATTTCATATAAATGGAATCATACAATACGTGCCCTTTGTGTCTGGCTTCTTTCACTGAACATAGTGTTTTCACCTCTCATGTTGTAACATGTATTAGTTCCTTCCTTCCTTCTTTCCTTCCTTCCCTCCCTCCCTCCCTCACTCCCTCCCTCCCCCCCCCCCCCCACTTTCTTTCTTTCTTTTGGCAGAGTTTCACTCTTGTTGCCCAGGCTGGAGTGCAATGGCGCAATCTCGGCTCACTGCAACCTCCGCCTCCTACGTTCAAGCGATTCTCCTGTCTCAGCCTCCTGAGTAGCTGGGATTACAGGCATGCACCACCATGCCTGGCTAATTTTGTATTTTTAATAGAGACGGAGTTTCTCCATGTTGGTCAGGCTGGTCTTGAACTCCCGACCTCAGGTGATCCACCCACCTCAGCCTCCCAAAGTGCTGGGATTACAGGTGTGAGTCACTGCACCTGGCCACTTCATTTCTTTTTATGACTGAATGATATTACATTTTATCAGTACACCACATTTTGTTTATCCGTTCATCAGTTGGTGGACATTTGGGTTGTTTCCACTTTTGGAGTATTATGAGTAATTCTGCTATGAACATTCAGGTACAAGTTTTTATGTTGACGTACGTTTTCAGTTGTCTTGACTATACACATAGGAGTGGAATTGTTGGGTCATATAGTAACTCTACTTAACCATTTAACTACTTAAAGAACTACGAGTCTGTTTTCCAAAGGGGCTCATCATTTTTCAGTCACACCAGCAATATATGAGAGTGTTAGAAATTTGTTATTGCTGTAACAGAGACTTCAAATTCTTCTAGTGACACTGTTTTTGTCTCTCCTCTTGGCTCAAGGTCTCTTTGTGCTTGTCCTCATAGGAATTTTGTTTCTTGCAGCTCTCCCAAGCTGTTAGCCAGTGTTATTATCCCTGGAGTCTTTAGCGTAGTAGAGGGTATGGGGGAGGGGCAGTATTCGCTAATCTTCTCATTAACTCTTTCTTAGTCTTTAGGGTGCATAGTGGTCCTGTTTCTGGGGGTGGAAGTGGTGGTAGGGAAGGTAGTCTTCAGGTAGAGCCTTTTTGCCACTGCCCCCTGTTCCCTCATTGGCCTGTAGCAGGTATCTTCTGATGTTCTCAGCCTTTGTCCTTGAGGTTCTCTCTCCTGTAGATTACCTTTTTGCCCGTTAGGTAACACAGGGAGGCTGAGGCTGGATGCTTTTCCCTTCTCCCAGCAGTAATGAAACTACACCATTGTCCTGACTTGATACCCTTCCCCTGCAGATGAAGCCTTTTGTTTGGTAAGGGAACCAGGGCACTAAGCACCAAGTACCCAGACAGCACCACTCTGGTGCTTTCTCCAGGTACCGCCCCCTGCCCCGGCCCTGCCCCCACCCCAGCTTCCCTGTGTGAGCCTAATTGGGTTCCTGAAGAAAAAGCTTGCAAGCGGGTGGGACCCCCCCCCCCATAACTACAGCCCCCAAGAACTTCATATTCTCATATCAGTCCCCACGCAGCATCCAGCGATTCAAAATTTCTAGTTTAATGTTCCTGCTGTGGCTTCTGCCACAGGTAACCAAATGCTCTGCCCTGTGTCTCCCTGCAGGCACCTGTCTCTCTGAATTGGGTATTTGTGCTGTGATTCACTTCTCTGATGGGTTCATGAAAATTTGTTAATTTGCTGCCTGTCCTGCCATTTGCTTCTTATAAAAACGGGAGGTTGTTTTGTTTTGTTTTTTGTTTTCTGACTACAGGTCTGAGACAAAACCAGAATTCTTGAGCCTTATGATTTTACTGGGAATTAGTCACTGACATGCAATATAAATTACCCCTTTTGCAGAGGATTAATTGGCTGCATTAAAAGATACATATTTTTCTTTGATATTTAGTGTATCAGTGAGATTCTTGTGCAAATCTCCCTCTAATTTATCCTGTAGAGAAGAGTTTCCTAGGGATATGTGAATCCCCTGTATGGTTCAGGGGCTTTGTGTACCTTCTGGAAATTGTATACAGATTTTTAAGGGTATGTTCTTTGTTAATTTTTTTTTCTGAGATAGTAGCCTTATCTGATTCTTAAAAGGGCCCATACTCGTAAAGTTGTTGTTGTTGTTTTTAATCCCTAGAAAAAGTACATAGTAACTGGCTGGGTGCTGTGGCTCATGCCTATAATCCCAGCACTTTGGGAGACTATTAAAAAGTCTTCCATTCTTTATCAAAAGCTAGGATATTTTTGACTACTAGTCTGGTGTGTAAAACATATCAACCTATCTTAAAACATTGACTGCATATCATCTGTAGGCCTGGAGTCTCATTATTATCCAAGACTTTCATAGCAACAGAATGAAAGCTCATATATTTTAATTCAGTGGAGAGCACTACATACTCTCTAGTAAAGCCTGTTTACATCATTGTACCTATATTTCTAACAAGCTTAATTACTTGGTTTTCTGACCTACAGCAGATAAAAAGCACTGAGCTACAAGTGCATACTTATTACACAAAAAGGGACATTGAGGGAAGGGAGAATAATTTGCAAAGCAGCCTTCAAATGTTATTTCTTGTGCTGAAATTGCTCAGATCTCTAAATCAGACTTTGTTGCTCCCCCTTCTCCGTTATACCTCTGTTTGATATGGGGGAAAGGGAATAATCCAACTTAAGCAACCCAAAGGTACATTGCTTTATGGTAATTGATGTTGCAGTTGGTGTTAGCCCATAGCCATCAAAACGTTCTGTTTATTCTTTATAAGAAACCTGAGAGTTATTTTAAACTATTTGAAAAATATTTCCATGGGTTTTAAAGTTTCAAATTTAGAAATTACATAAGCTTTTTGATTCATTGAAAAAAATCAATGTGGGATGCAATGTCTTGACAAAACAAGAACAGAGTTTTTAAGGGTTTTAGGCACAGTGTTCTTTGCTAAGTTTTCTCTGCTATTGATTTTCTGGATAACCTGACAACTTTTTTTGCCTAAAGATTGTATAATTATAATTAATTCCTTTTGCTTAAATATAATTACCAGTTTGTAGCTGTTTTATGCTTTTGGGGTGACATGTTAGTTTGTGGTCAGTTATGTGTAGCTTCAGATTTCAGTGACTGAATCAAAATTGTTCAATCTCTCTGCTTTATTCACACGGACCAGACAGTGTTACTCTTTGTGTCATACAGGAAGTTAATGTTTTGACTTTTCCTATGAAAAATGTCACACAAATGTTCAGAGGAGCTGTGCTTTAAAAAACTGCCAACTGAGAGATGTTAATGAGAGCAATAAAAGCCAGAGTTGTCTGCAAAGGGCATTTTCATTTTGTGGCTCTGGCAGGTTAAGCATTGATGTTCTAATTGAATTCATAGTGAGGCCTCCTTTGTTTCTGCAAGCATCTGACAGGCCAGATGTGCACACAGTGTTGGGCTTGGCATAGCTTCTGGACTGTATGTTAGCCAGTGAATCCCCTCTTTGACCATAAATGAACAGTTATCTGGTAAGTACAAAGCCTTTTTGTTTCAGGAACTTTTGGGAAAACTACCAGTGCATATAAAATAGACACACTATTAAGAACTTGTAAAACTTCTCAACTTCATTACCTAGAAAGGTCAGGGTCAGCATCTAGATCCCTCCTTCATTATCTTTAATTTAGCAACAAATGGCTGTGTTTTATTTTGTGAAGTTTCTACATTACCTTGTGGCCTTTGGAACGTTAGTTAAAGTTCTTGATGGGGCTCTTGCTTGGGAACTGTGTCTTTGGGAGCCAAACCATGCACATTTTAACTGAGCTGTGAACTCATATCTCTCTTACCCCATCAACAATTACTTTGTGGACTATAGAGAAGAACTCAGTTATATACTTGTTTCTGATTTTAGAAGGAATGCTATGGTGATGATAATAAAATAACACCATCTAGCATTTATTTGGAAATTACTGTGAGCTCCATACTGTGCTAAGTCCTTTATACAAGTTCACCCATTTAATCTTTACAACAACCCCTATGAGGTGAGTGTTATTATCCCCATTTTATAGATAAGTTGAGACGCAGAATTTGGATAACTTGCTGAAAGCTACAGTAGTGAAATCAGTATACCAATCCAGGTGGTCTGTCCCAGACCCATATTCCTTTAAGATTTTTTTTTTTTTTTTTTGAGATGGAGTCTTGCTCTGTCGCCCAGGCTGGAGTGCAGTGGTGTGATCTCAGCTCACTGCAAGCTCCGCCTCCTGGGTTCATGCCATTCTCCTGCCTCAGTCTCCCTAGTAGCTGGGTCTACAGGCACCCGCCACCACACCCAGCTAATTTTTTGTATTTTTAGTAGAGACGTGGTTTCACCGTGTTAACCAGGATGGTCTCGATCTCCTGACCTCGTAATCCACCCGCCTTGGCCTCCCAAAGTGCTGGGATTACAGGTGTGAGCCACCACGCCTGGCCTAAGATTTTTTAATTATATAAAGTATTTGCCTGCTTCAGACTTTAAACTGTAAAACAAAATATATTGAGAGATCCAGCTAGATTCAGCTCAACTATTTTGGTAACTTTTCTATAAGTCTCTCTCCCCTCCCTGTTTTCTCCTCACTCTGCAGAGTTAACCTTTTTTGTTAAGTTTTTGGTTTATTCTTTTATTGTTTCTTTATGAAAATATATACAAATATGTATGTATGTGTGTGCCACTTCTGTATATAAAATTCTCCTCACTAATCGGGATTTGCTATAGTTATTTTGTTTTCAGTTCAAAAACTTTAAAAATGCCTTTTCTTATCAAAAGCGGGTTAATGAGACCAGTCTGGTAAATATGTTTTATATCACTTTGCAGATATCTTCTGCCTGAGTACTGAACTGACATTCCCATCCACTCAGCATTTTATGTTCTGTCTCATGCTTGAGATTGACTTCCATAGCAAAATAAGGCAGCCTCTCACACTCTGCCTTAAGTAAAAATGCTTCTCTAGAAAACTTAGATCTGATGCTCTTTAATCTGGCTAGCTTGTAAAATTGAAATCAGGCTTATCATATGCCTGTTTTTCTCTAAAGGGGAAGGAAAAATTATAATAGTCATTGGATTCAGTTTTCATTTGCTTAAGAAAAACAGGTATGAATTGGTTGGTGGTTTCCCAGACTTCACCTTCGTGGAGGTTTGAGTATTTCTCTCTTTTTTTTGAGGCAGAGTCTCGCTCTGTCGCCCAGGCTGGAGTGCAGTGACGCGATCTCGGCTCACTGCAGCCTCCGCCTCCTGGGTTCAAGCAATTCTCCTGCCTCAGCCTCCCAAGTAGCTGGGACTACAGGCATGCACCGCCACACCTGGCTAATTTTTGTATTTTTAGTAGAGACGAGGTTTCACCATGTTGGCCAGGATGGTCTTGATCTCCTGACCTCGTGATCCACCCACCTCGGACTCCCAAAGTGCTGGGATTACAGGCGTGAGCCACTGCACCCGGCCAGGTTTGAGTATTTCTGAAGCCATAGACAAGGACCACATTTCATTGGCCTCTGCTTTTGTATACCTTTGTCTGTAGTCTTCAAGTTACTCTTCTGTTTGGTAAACATGTATATTAGTTTCCTAGGGCTATAATAAATTAACATAAACGAGGTAGCTTAAAACAGTAGGAATTTATTCTTTCACAGTATGAAGGCCAAAAGTAAAAAATCAGCCAGTCTGTGCTCCCTCCGTAGGTTTTAAGGGCGATTCATTCTTTGCCTCTTCCAGCTTTTGGTGGATGTCAGCATTGATTGATTTGTGGATCAATGAATCACTCTAATCTCTGCCTCCATGATCACACTACCTTCTCCTCTTCCATCTCAAATCTCCCTCCACCTTTCTCTTGTAAGGACACTTGTCAATGGACTTAGAGCCCACTTGGATATTCCAGAATGATATCTTCACCTGAAGATTCTTAACTTAATTACATCTGCAAAGACCCTTTTTCCAAATAAGGTAATATCCATAGTTTCTGGGAACTAGGATGTGGACATATCTTTTTGGAGGCCACCATTCAATCCACTGCAATATGTTTTCAGGTTAGGAAACTATGTAGAGCAGATTTCATAAGCAGTTATGGCAAGTATGAAGGTACGGCTTATGCTTTGTAATTAGATCATTTGGCATTATTCATTATTAGTCAAGCCCAAAGCATGATCTTGTAATCAATTGATATATTTTATAAAGACTATCACTTGGAAAATAATGAAATATTTTAGGATGTTGACACATACTTTCCAGAACTAAGGAAGGATTTCCCACAGCACCATCTTTCCCAAAGATAGTAGTTTAGCAAATTGGAAATTGCCACCACTACTTAACCACTGCCTCATTAAAGATACTCTGAGGCCAGGCACCGTGCCTCACGCCTATAATCCCAGCACTTTGAGAGGCCAAGGCGGGCAGATCACTTGAGTTTAGCAGTTTGAGACCAGCCTGGGCAACCTGTCGAAACCCTGCCTCTACAAAAATTACAAAAAAAAAAATTACAAAAATTAGCTGGGCATGGTGGTATGTGCCTGTAGTCCCAGCTACTCAGGAGGCTGAGGTGGGAGGATCGCTTGAGCCTGGGAGGCAGAGGTTGCAGTGAGCCAAAGTCACGCTATCGCACTCCAGCCTAGGTAACATAGTGAGACCCTGTCTCAAAAAAATAAAATTAAATTCTGGAACAGAAAGACATTAGGGAGAAAAATAGTGAAAATTTGAATGAATTCTATACATTAGTTAATAGTATTATAGCATTGCTACTTTCCTGGTTTAGGTAATTGAACTCTGGTTATATAAACTGTAAACAATTAGAGGAAACTAAGTGAAGGATATATGGAAACTTTACTATTTGATAACTTTTCTTTAAGTCTAAAATTATTTCTAAATAAATTTTAAAATGAAATGATGCCCAAATAATTATTAACTATCAGTGGATACTTGTTACTTAATTTAAGAAAGTTAAGGATTGTTTTATACAAACTGTTTTGAGTAACCTGTATTGTTGGTTTAAATTTAGAGAACCCAAGAAAATAATTCAGGAAGGACTGCATTACCCTTTATTAAATCCCAAATAAGCTGGCTTCCTTGTCAGTACTTCAAACCTTTCCAAACAGAAGTTGATCTGGCCATTTAGGAAGTTAGAGATGTTTCTCTTGTTGGAAGCAGAGTGGATGGGGATGGTCTTTTTAAAAGGAGAACATTGAATGGTATCAGTTGCATAGTGATGGTCTTCTCAAGATATGTGCAATATCTTTCCAGGTATTCCGGAAGGACCTCATCAGTGCCATGAAACTTCCAGATTCTCACCACATTAATCCTGATAGCTATTACCTCTTTGCTGATACATGGAAGGAAGAATGGGAAAAGGGAGTCCAGGTACCAGCCAGTCCAGACACCGTTCCACAGCCTTCTCTCAGGTATTTGCATGCTTGCACCTTTGACTTAGGGAATGAATGCTCTCATGTTTGTCTGCTGCTTGGGGAGAAACTTAGAGTGGCTAATTATGCATTTATAGTACAAAGTCACATACCATTTTCACCAATTCACTCAGACCAGTGGCAGATTTTACCAGGCTATAATAAGCAATAAAGTCAGGCTCATGTATTTAGGGACATAGTATGTGCCCATTATTCATAGGATAAAACCATTTGAAGTCCAATCTGAAATTATGATAAAATTTTGGAGACAAGAATTTCCAAGTCTTGACTCAACAGTCAGTAGCATTTATTAGTCTTCTGAGAGAAACAGAATTAATTACATAATGCCTGTCTTAGTCTGTTTACTGTTGTTATAACAATACCTGAGTCTGTTTTATTTATTTATTTGTTTGTTTGTTTGTTTATTTATTTTGAGATGGAGTCTTACTCTGTCACCCAGGCTGGAGTGCAGTGGCACCATCTTGGCTCACTGCAACCTCTGCCTCCCGGGTTCAAGAGATTCTCCTGCCTTACCCTCCCAAGTAGTTGGAATTACAGGCGTGCACCACCTTGCCCAGCTAATTTTTTTGGTATTTGTTTTAATAGAGACAGGGTTTCATCATGCTGGCCAGGCCGTTCTTGAACTCCTGACTTCATGATCTGCCCACCTTGGCCTCCCAAAGTGCTGGGATTACAGGCCTGAGCCACCGCGCCTGGCCGAGTCTGTATAATTTATAAAGAAATATTTGGCTCACAGTTCTAAAGACTGGGAAGTCCAAGGGCATGGCAGCAGCTTCTGAAGGGCTTTTATACTGTGTTATAACATGTGAGAAAAGAAGAAGGACAAGTGAACATGTGTTTAAGAGATCACAAGAGTGAGCCAAGCTCACTTTTATGATGACCCACTCTTGTGAGAATTAATTCACTCCTGCAGGAACTCATTCCCACAAGAACTAACTGCTGCTATAACAGCATTAGTCAATTCATGAGCACTCCACCCTCAATACCCAATTATCTCTTAAAGACCCCACCTCCCAACACCATCACATTGGGAATTAAGGTTCCAATACACAAACTTTTGGTGACACATTCAAACTATAGAAACACCTGTGGGAAGTTTTATATATATATATATAACATATATATACATATATAACATATATATATATATATAACATATATATACATATATAACATATATATATATAAAATAGGGTCTTAAAGTAATGGTATCTATAAATAGAGGGTCAAAAACATAGAGTAATGGTACCTGTAAATAGAGGGCCAAAAACATAGAGTTTGTAAATGCATAAACCCAAATAAAAGGGGATTACTGAATGATTGAGTTGACTCTAAGCACATGGCCTTCATTTGCATTAGACCTGAGAAGAAAATTGAAATAGGAGAGGGCTTTGGTTTTAGAAAGAGGAGAGAAGGACTTTTCTGCCAGAGGAAGTAATAAGTAATAAGTTCAGTTAAAGAGTAGCGACTGGTTTTGGAAGCCATTTTTTCTTTCTGGTCTTTGTGTTTCCAATACTTTACACAAAGGTTGGCATTAAACAAAATGCTGAGTAAAAGTTTGAGTGAATGAATGAATGGGTAGAATGTAGAGTGCCAAATAAAGGGGCTAGTGGGACCTACTGGTTACTGTGAGAAATTGCAGATCTTATTGTACACCCATCAATTTCTGTTACATATTAGATTTTTTTAAGGGCAGAGATAACATCCTTGAATTCTCTGCTCCTAGTACTAGGTTTTTAAGACCTAGTCATGCTCCAGAAATGCTTGTTGGAATCATTTCTAGAAACCCAGGCTGTCCTACCCACAGAGGCTGTCCTACCCACAGAGAGGCTGCCTATGCTCTGTTAAGGAAAGCTCCACAGCCTTGCTCAGCACATGTCCCAAAACTCACTGGTTCATCATCAACACCATCTCCTGCCCCCTAAAAATCAGAGTAGCATCATGAATGAACATATGAGTTGAGTGTTTTCATGTCCTTGTTGTCAGTATTTTTATACAAATATAGCAGCCCTGGTGCTGAGTTGACCATCACCATTCCATTGATACTCCGAGGATTATTGAGTGTGACTAGCATCTTGACTTTAGTCTCGTTGGTAAGTCAGTATCAATTATCTACTTATTGGAGGTGATTTTAATCTTTTAGGTTGAGTGGAAAATGTCCCCTGTACCACTTTAAAAATGTTATCTGATAAGTGAGCCATGGGTAAGTAGGGTAGCAAGAATGGAGCAACAGTTTAAGAACAGTAATTTATTTTCATTTTTTTAATTTTTTGAGATAGGGTCTCGCTCTGTCACTCAGGCTGGAGTGCAGTGGCATGTTGTCAGCTCACTGCAACCTCCGCCTCCTGAGTTCAAGTGATTCTCATGCCTCAGCCACTTGAATAGCTGGGGTTACAGGCATGTGCCACCATGCCTGGATATTTTTGTATTTTTAATAGAGACGGGGTTTCACCATGTTGGCCAGGCTGGTCTCAAACTCCTAGCCTCGAGTAATTTGTCCGCCTTGGCCTCCCAAGTGCTAGAATTAAATGTGTGAGCCCCCGCCCTCAGCCTAAGAACAACAGTAATTTTAGAAACTAAAAGAGTTTAACTTGTTTTCAAATATAGGGATGTGCGTTCCTAATTCATGTGTGGCTTCAGTGCTCTATTATTTGTTCCGAGGGCTTCACATATTTACCATTATAAGTGCTGTGAATTGTTGGTAAATCTCTTCTGTTTCCCATAGTTCTTTGCCTATCATACGAAACTCTTAATTTTAATGGAACAACAAGGCAGACTATTAAATTATTGATCATATTGAATTCCTTAATGAAATCCTTAACTGGTTGCTCTTGGTAGGTATATCAGTTTCTGTTTTTTAGAAAATATCAATAAGACTTGTACTGTAGTATGTAGCCTTTCCTATGGAACAGTAATTCTCAAATTTTAGGGTGCATCAGAATCATTTGGAGGGCTTGTTAGAACAGATTTCTTAACCTCACCCCTAGTTTTTGATTCAGTAGATCTGAGGTGTGAGGTCTGAGAATTTGCATTTCTAACAACTCCTGACATGATACTGATGCCACTAGTCTGGGGATGACACTTTGAGAACAATTTTGTTATGAAATATGTTTATCTCATTTCCTGAATTTAATGGAAATCTCCATACTTTTATCATCTTCCTTGGATTTCTCTTTTGGCTTTCAATATAAGCCAGCCATATTGGAGGCTCAACCTATTTAGGATTTGGTTGGAGTACCTAAACTTTGTTTGGAGTACCTAATTTCCTCAACCACAGCTGCTTATCACAGCAACCCTTAACTATCATCATTTTGCATGGGTCAAACTATGTCTTGTGATTTTTACTTTCTGAATTTTGTAAGTCACCTTAAAAATTAAATCTTTGTGATATGAAATTATATTGGAACATTAATAAATAATTTGTTTTCATGTCCTTCAACAGATTTTCAAAATCAAATGACTTCAATTAACATTTTTAAGTACTATATAAATTCAGGCCTATTTAGATACCCCATGGTATGAAGTTACTCTCAGACTTGCCTTTTAACTAGGAACTAGTCTTAAGGTTTTTTGGCAGAGCTTTCTATTTGCCATCCATATACCCTTTTCAGTGAAATATATCTTTGTCTTTTGCCTGTTTTCTAATCAGATTCTTTGTTTTTTTACTATTGAGTGTTGAGAATTACTTATAAATTTGAGATATGAATCCATTGTCAAATATGTGGTTTGCAAATATTTTCTCCCAGTCTATTTATAGATTGACTTTTCGTCCAGTTAAGAGGGTCGTTCACAAAGTATAAGTTTGTGATTTTGATGAAGTTCAATTTATTGATTTTTTTTTTCTTCTGGATCATGCTTTTAATGTCATGCTGTGAACTTTTCACTTAGCTCTATGTCTCAAAAATATTCTTCTATGTTTTCTTTTAAGAGTTTTATAGTTTTACATTTAAATGCGTGAACCATTTTGAATTAATTTTGTGTAAGATATGAGGCATAGATCAAAGTTCAAAATCAGGTAAGTTGATTCTTCCCACTTTATTCATTTTTCAAAATTGCTGTGGCTATTCCACTTTCTTTGTCTTTCCATTCAAATTTTATAATAAGCTTTCCATATGTACAAAAAATCTTGCTGGATTTTCATAAGGATTATATTAAACCTTTATCACTTGGGAAGAATTGACATCTGTACAAGTCCTGTACACATTTTGCTAAATTTATGCTTAAGTGTTAAAATTTTTTGAGCAGTTGTTAATGGTATTATATTTATAATTTAGGTTTCCACATGGTCATTGCTAGTACATACAAATACAACCAATTTTTGTGTGTTGATGTTGTGTTTTCTATAACCCTGCTGAATTACTTAGTTCTGGCAGTTTTATTTAAAAAAAAAAAAAAAAAAGAGGTTCCTTAGGATTTTCTGTGTAGACCATCATGTTACCTGCAAATAAAGATGGTTTTATTTCTTCCTTTCCAATCTGTTTACTTTTTATTTCTTTTCTTGCCTTATTCTAGTAGCTAAAATGTCTTGTAGTATGTCAAATAGCAGTGGAGAGAGCAGACATCATTGTCTTGTTCCCAATCTTAGGCGGAAGGCTTTCAGTCTTTCAATATATTAAGTATGATATTAACTATAGGGTTTTTCATAGATATTCTTTGTCAAGTTGAGGAAGTTCACCTCTACTCCTAATGTGTGGTAGTTTTTTTCATAAATGGGTATTGAATTTTGTCAACTGAAATGATCCCTATCAAATGATATGATCAGGTGATTTTTTTTCTTCTTCAGCCTGTTAATGTTATAGATTACATTGATTGATTTTTTTTAATATTGAACAAGCCTTGCATTGCTTGAGCAAACCTGAGTATTAGTCAGCTTGGGCTGCCATAACAAAATATCACAGGCTGGATAGCTTAAACAACAGAAATTTATTTCTCAAAGTTCTGGAGTCTGAAAGTCCTAGATCAAGGTCTTGCAGAGTTCAGTTTTGGTGAGGGCTCTCTTCCTTGCTTGCTACCTTCTCACTGTGTGCTCACATGGCCTTTCCCTTATGACCTTATTTAAGCTTAATTACCTCCTGTAGGCCTTGTCTCCAAATACAGTCACATTGGGGGTTAAATTTTGGGGGTGACACAATTCAGTCCATAACACCAAGTTGATCAGGGATTATATTATATTTTTATACTGCTTGATTTGACTTGCAAATATCTTGTTGGAAATTTTTATGTCTATGTATTTTTATGTCTTATTTTTATGTTCCCGAGGAATATTGACCTGTAGTCTTATATATATAAAAATAATTATATATAATTAATGTATATATATAAATTTATATATTTATATAGATATAAATTTATATATATATTAATTATATATTATAATTAATGTATATGTTATATATAATTAATGTATATATAAAAATTACAAATTATAATTAAATTTGTAATTTATATATAATTTATATATAAAATAATTATATATAATTTATATATGTTTTATATATAATTTTGGTGACATACACCAAAATTATAAATTTATATATATTTATAAATTTATATATATAAATTTATTTTTATATATTTATATTTTTATATATAAATTTATTATATATATAAATTTATAAATTATTTATATATATAAATAATGTGAGAGACAGGGTCTCGCTCTGTTGCCCAGGCTGGAGTGCAGTGGCACCACCTCAAGCTCAGTACAACTTCCACCTCCTAGGCTCAAGTGATCCTCCTGCCTCAGCCTCCTGAGTAGCTGGGATTACAAGTGTTCATCGCCACGCCCAGCTGATTTTTGTATTTTTTGTAGAGACAGGGTTTCACCATGTTGCCCAGGCTGGTCTCAAGCTCCTGACCTCAAGCAGCCCTCCAGCATTGGCCTCCCAAAGTGCTGGGATTACAGGCAGGAGCCAGTGCACCCAACCTCTCATGATATTTATATCTGTATTGTATCAGGGTAGTACTGGTCTTATAAAATTAGTTGGGAAATATTCCTTCCTCTTCTAGTTTTTGGAAGAAATGGTATAGAACTGGGGTTAATTCTTATTAAAATGTTTGATGGAATTCTCCAATGAAACACTCCAGACCTGGAGGCTTCTCTTTGGGGATTTGCTTAAGTATAAATTTGAGTTCTTTTTTTTGTTTGTTTGTTTGAGGCCTTGCTCTGTCACCCAGGCTGCAGTGAAATGGCACAATCACGGCTCACTGCAGCCTCAACCTCCTAAGCCCAAGCAATCTTCCCACCTCAGCCTCCCAAGAGCTGGGACCACAGGCCTGTGCCGCCATATGCGGCTAATTTTTTAAGAATTTTTTGTAGAGATGAAGTCTTCCTATGTTGGCCAGTCTGGTCTGAAACTCCTGGGCTCAAGTGATCCTCCCGCCTCAGCCTACCAAAATGTTGGGATTACGGGCGTGAGCCACTGCACATGGCAAATTTGAGTCCTTTAATAGATAATTTGAATAGCCCTGTAACTATTTCATGTTGAGTGACTTTGGTTAGTTTGTAGTTTAAGGTACTGGTTTGTTTCATCTAAGTTGTTGAATTTACATGTATAGAATGGCTCATAGTATTCCCTGTGTTGCTTTCATTTTAAAATTCAATCTTGGCTAGACTTCTACTTCCAAAAAGATGGAGTAGGTATGCTTTTCCCTATGCCTCCCACTAAGTACAATTAAAAACCCTGAGCATTTTATATAATGCAAACATAAGACTTTGAAAGATCAGGAGAAGAAAGCAGAACAGCTAGAGTCCTTGAGACCTGAGGAACAACCCAGTTTTATGTTCCCTGGGATTTCTTTTTGTTCCCAGAGTTGGTGCTGGAGAAGCTAGCAACCCAGAAGCACAAACCAGCAAAAACAAAAAACAAAAACTAAGAAAAGCCTGTCCTCTCTAGCCAAATGACCAGGAAAGGGACCGCCTATCAGACAGGAAACCTTTTTTTTATTATTTTATTATTTTTTTGAGACTGAATCTCTGTCGCCCAGGCTGGAGTGCAATGGTGCCATCTCTGCTTACTGCAACCTTCGCCTCCCTGGTTAAAATGATTCTCCTGCCTCAGCCTCCCAAGTAGCTGGGATTGCAGGTGCACACCATCACACCCAGCTAATTTTTGTATTTTTAGTAGAGGTGGGGTTTCACCACGTTGGCCGGGCTGGTCTCAAACTCTTGACCTCAAGTGATCCACCCACTTCGGCCTCCCAAAGGGCTGGGATTACAGGTGTCAATCACTGTGCCTGGCCAACATGGAAAACTTTTAGACAGAAAACTCTTCTCCAGTCAAACACCACAGAAAAATACTTTGGGCCACCCCAACCTTCTCCAGCAAAGATGGAGTAGGGAGCCTAGACAGCAATGATGTACCCCATTTGGGGTTGTGTTAGAGGAGACTGAGTGGACAGTCAGGATTTTCACCTCTGTTCAGCAGTGTCAGTGGAGGCCATGCAGGAAACAATAGCAAGGCATTCTCACCAATCCCAGTGATGGAGGTATCCATGGAAGCCTAGTGGGGGGCTGAAACTCTCAGCCCCACCCAACAGTAACAGGGATGTTGACACAGGCCAAATGGTGAACTAGGTCTTATACAACCACCTGGTGGTAACAAGGCAATGCCCCCAACCCTGATCTCCAGCCAGATAGTGTCATAGGAAGCCAGCCAAAATCGAAGGTTTGCATAAGATCCAGAGTCTCATAATGCCCCAAATGTCTAGGTTTTAGTAAAAAATTACTCATCAAGAATCAGGAAGGTCTCAACTTGACCAAAGACAGATGCCGACATCAAGATGCCAGATATTAGAATAGTTTAACGAAGATTTTAAAACAGCCAACATAAAAATGCTTCAGTGAACAATTGTGAACATACTTGAAATAAGTTAAAAAAAAATAGTATCCCTCTTTCATTCCTATTATTGGCAATTTTTGTATTATCTTTTTTTCTTGCTATAGGTTGGTCAGTTATCTTGATCATTTCACAGAACACTCTTCTTATTTTTGTTTGTTTTTAGAGACAGGGTCTTACTCTGTCACTCACGCTGGAGTACAGTGGCATGATCACAGCTCACTACAGCCTGGACCTTTTGGGCTCAAGTGATCCTCCTGCCTCAGCCTCCTAAGTAGCTGGGACTACAGGCGCATGCCACCACGCCAGGCTAATTTTTGTAGTTTTTTTTTTTTTTTTTTTTTTAGAGACAGGGGTTTCGCCATGTTGCCCAGGCTGGTCTTGAACTCCCGGGCTCAAGCAATCCGACCACCTCGGCCTCCCAAAGTGCTGGGATTACAAGTGTGAGCCAATGCGCCCAGCCCATTACTTTTCTGTTTTTAATCTCATTGATTCCTGGTCTTTATTATTTTTATCCTTCTGCTTACTTTGGGTTTATTTTGCTTTTTTCTCGTTTCTAGTGTTGAGAACTTAATTTATTGATTTGAAGCTGTTTCTCTTATCTAATGTAAGCATGTAGTACTATAAATTTTCCTCTCAGCACCTGCTTTAACTGTGTCTCATAAATTTTGATATGTTGAATTTCATTTTCGTTCTCTTAAGTATATATTTTTTTAACTTCTCTTGAAATTTCTTCTTTCACCCATGGATTATTTCAAAGTGTGATTTTTGGTTTCCAGGTGTTTGGAGGTTTTCTTGTTATCTTTCTGTTGCTGATTTCTAGTTTTCTTTTTTTTTTTCTTTTCTTTTAAGAGATGAGATCTCACTATATTGTCCAGGCTGGTCTCGAACTCCTGGGCTCAAGCAATCCTCCCACCTTGACCTCCCAAAGTGCTGGGATTATGGGTGTGAGCCACTGCGCGTGGCCAGTTTCTAGTTTTGATTCCACTGTGATCAGAAAACACACTCTATATAATTCCAGTTATTTAAATTTGTTGAGGTTTATTTTATGGCCCAGGATATGGTCTGTCATGGTACATGTTCCATGGGTGCTTAAAAATAAGTGTATGCTGCTCTTGTTGGGTAGAGTATTCCATAAATGTCAATTCGTTCAACTCTGTTAGTTGGTGGTAGTGTTGAGTTCTTCTGTACCCTTGTTGATTTTCTGTTTGTTGGTTCTATCAATTATTGAGAGAGGTTGAGGTCTATAGCTATAATCATGGATTTGTCCATTTCCACTTTGAGTTCAGTTCATTTTTGCTTCACGTTTTGGAGCACTGTTGTTTGGTGCACACACATTTATGATTGCTATGTCTTCTTGATGACACTTTTATCATTATATAATATTCCTCTTCATCTCTGGTAATTTTCTTTACTATGCAGTCTACTTTATCTGATGTTAGTATAGTCACTTTTGCTTTCTTTTGAGTGATGTTTGCATCATATGTCTTTCTCCATTATTTTACTTTCAACCTACTTATATCCTTATATTTTAAGTATGTTTTATTTAGACAGCATATATTTGGATCATATTTTTAAATCTGCTGTATCAATCTGTCTTTTAATTGGTTTAGACCACTTATATTTGATGCAATTATTAATATGTTAGGACTTCAGCGTGTCCTTTTATTTTGTGTGTGTGTGTGTGTGTGTGTGTGTGTGTGTGTGTGTGTGTGTGTGTTCTCTGTTTTTCATTTCTCTGTTTTATTTTTCCTACCTTCCTTGGAGGTTCCCTGAACAAACTACCAAACTCGATCCATGTGAAATAGATCATTTGAATAGCCCCAAAGCTATTAGTAACATTGAATTTGTAATTAAAAACTTCCCCTAAAAATACCTCCAGGCCCAGATGGTTTCACTGAGAATTCTACCAAACATTGAAAGAAATAACAAGTGATAACAGTAGAAGAGAAATTTGAATCAAAGATGAATAGAGTTATAAAAGAAATAGCTAACCATGGGAATATGGGGATATGCTGCTGTTTTAGAAGCTCTAGGTTTACAGCCAAAAAGAACTTAGTGAAGGCAAACTTATCAACATAAATGAAGAAAATGGTTATGGTGAAAAGAATGAAGATGTCCCAGAGGAAGTGATACTAGTGAAAAAGTGCACATTAAAGGAATTCTTGGAAGTATTTTACAACATTGAAGGTACAAAGAACAAAATGTTGAAAACTAATCCACACTTAGAAGGGAATATGACAATTTGCCAAGGGGTAGAAAAGGTGCTTGCTCCATGTTGTAAGTTATGCAATGAAAAGGAGTTAAGCATTGTAATCTTGATAAGTTTTTACAAATAAATAAAAGTGTAATTCTCAATGTTTCTAGTGTTTCAAATTATATTATATTAAATACATATTGGTTTTATTATTTTTTATTTCACTATATGTTTATAGTCAATGGGAAGATAGCTTTTTAATGTTTTGACAAAATTTTTAAAGGTCATTAATGACAGTTTTCCCCATTGTTTATTAAGATTGCTTTTCACAGTTTTAGCTTGCACAGTCATTTTTACAGTATCATACCACCATGCAAAGCAAGGACTATCTGTAATCTTTAGTGACAGAAAGCAGATCATTGGTTTTCTGGGAGGAGACAGGGAAGCAGGAGGATACAAGGAAACTTTTGGGGGTGATGGACACATTATCTTGGTTGTGATGCTAGTTGTACAAATGTATGTAGATGTGTGTGTCAAAACTTTATACATTTAAGATATATACAGTTTATTGTATACCCAAATCATGTATATGATGAATATAATACTTTTATATTCATATATACACATAGATACATTATAAGTATATGAACAATCATCACAAGTAGAGATGAGTATATGTATAGATGGGTAAGAAAATGTGATAGTGGGGTCGAGTGTAGTGGCTCACACCTGTAATCCCAGCACTTTGGGAAGCCAAGGCGGGAGGATTACTTGAGCCCAGGAGTTCAAGACCAGCTTGGGCAACATAGTGAGACCTCGTCTCTACAAAAAGTAAAAAAATTAGCTGGGCATGGTGGCATGCGCCTGTAGTGGAGCTGCTCGGGAGGCCGAGTTGGAAGGATCGCTTGAGCCTAGGAGGTTGAGGCTGCAGTGAGCCACTGCAGGCTGCAGAGAGTACCACTACACTCCAGCCTAGATAACAGAGCAAGACCCTGTCTCAAAAAGAAATGTGATAGTGGCTACATGAAGACACAATCATGGGTGGTTAGAAAAGGAGAAAGACAAGATGTGACTGTAAACTACCTAAGGGCAGAACCCCTACTGTTCAGATAAAAAGGTTTTCAGTAAATATGTGTTGTAAGGAGAATAGGAAAAGAAAACAAAGAGGAAAATGGTGGATGTTAATTAAGAAAATTTGAGAAGGGCCAAAATATAAGTCAGAAAAACAAAGATGAGAACAGGAGGAAACTAAGCCTTCCATTTTCACCATTTGCATTCCTTTCTTTTTTTTTTTTTTCTTTTCATTTTTGAGACAGGATCTTACTCTCTTGCCCAGGCTGGAGCATGGTGGCACAATCACAGCTCACTGCAGCCTCGACCTCCCAGGTTCAAGGGATCCTCTCACCTCAGCCTTCCAAGTAGCTAGGACTACAGGCGCACACCACCGTACCTGGCTAATTTTTGTATCTTTTGTAGAGATGGGATCTCCTTGTGTTGCCCAGGCTGGTCTCGAACTCCCAGGCTCAAGCAATTCTCCCACCTCGGCCTCCCAAAATACCGGGATTACAGGTGTGAACCACTATGCCTGGCCCACTTGCCTTTCTTATACTAAAATAAAAAGATTTTTTTGGCCGGGCATCTCAAAAAAAAAAAAGATTTTTTCACTTTCTCAAGTGCTTGATTGAAAGAGTTTAATGTAAGTAGACATAACATTACAACTAATAAGTGATGTTTTAAATCAAAATAGGGGAATGGGAGGTAGGGAAATTTTACTAAGTTCCTCAGTCAGATCAAGTTTTAAGTTTGTCACATGACCTCTGTGGTTTTCATAAATGTGCAGCTTGCTTTTCTTAGATTTTTTTAAGTGAGATAATTCACCTATTATAAATTTTTATTTTTATTTATTTATTTTGAGACGGAGTTTCGCTCTTGTTGCCCAGGCTGGAGTGCAATGGTGCGATCTAGGCTCACCACAACCTCCGTCTCCCCAGTTCAACCGATTCTCCTGCCTCAGCCTCCCGAGTAGCTGAGATTACAGGCATGTGCCACCACAACTGGCTAATTTTGTAGTTTTAGTAGAGACAGGGTTTCTCCATGTTGGTCAGGCTGGTCTCGAACTCCCGACCTCAGGTGATCCGCCTGGCTTGGCTGGGATTACAGGCGTGAGCCACCGCGCCCGGCCATGTAAATTTTTAAATCAAGATAGAATTCACATACCATAAAATTCACCCTTTTAAATTATATGGTGGTTTTTAGTATATTCACAGAGTTATACAATCATCATCCCTGTGTAATTCCAAAACGTTTTTATCACCCTAGAAAGAAATCCCACATCTGTTAGCAGTTACTAGTCATTCTCCGCTTCCCCCAGCCCCTGGCAACCACTGTATTAGTCTGCTAGGGCTGCCATAACAAAATACCACAGACTGGGTGGCTTAAAGAACAAAAATTTGGACTTTTTCAGACGTTTCTCTTTCTCTCTCTCTCCCTCTCTTTCTCTCTCAAAAAAAAATTATTTTTTCATAGTTCTAGAGTCTAGAAATCCAAGATCAAGGTGTCATCAGGGTTGACGTCTGGTGAGGCCTCTCTTCCTAGTGTGTAAACAGCCACCTTCTCACTGTGTCCTCACATGGCCTTTCTTCTGTACGTGCACAGTTTGTGGGGGTGGAGCTCTGGGGTGTCTCCTTCTAAGGACACCAGCCCTATCAGACTAAGGCCCCATCCTTATGACCTCTCATAACCTTTATTACCTACTTATAGGCCCTGTCTCCAAATAAAGTCACATCATGGGTTAGGTCTTCAACATGAATTTGAGAAGGGCCTATTGAGTTCATAACAACCACTAGTCTGCTTTCTGTTCTTATGGAACTGCCCACTCTGGACATTTCATATAAATGGAATCATACAATGTATGGCATTTTGAGTCTGACTTTTTTCATGTAGCATAATGTTTTGGAAGTTCATCCGTGTTATATGTATCAGTATTCATTACTTTTATGACCAAATAATATTCTGTTATATGGATACACCACATTTTGTTAATCCTTTCAGCAGTTGATGGATATTTGGGTTGTTTCCACATATGGGCTGTTACGAATAATGGTGCTATAAACATCCTCATACAGTTTTTTTTTAAATTTTAATCAGGTCCTCTAGAAGAAAATTCATACAGGTTTTTGAGTGCACATATGTTTTCATTTCTCTTGGGTACATACCTAGGAATAGAATTATTGAGTCATATGGTAACTCTATCTTTAACATTTTGAGGAATTGTCAAACTATTTTTTATAGCATCTGCAACATTTTACATTCCTGTCAGTAATGTGTGAAGGTTACATTTTCTCCACATCCTCACCAATACTTGTTATTGTCTGTCTTTTTGTTATAGCCTTTCTAGTGGGTATGAAGTGTATTTCACTGTGATTATGATTTGCATTTGTCTAATGGCTAATGATGTTGAACAGCTTTTCTCGATGTCCTTCTTAGCCATTTATATATCTTTTGAAGAGACCTTTTCTACTTTATCACACAAAAAAGCCTTTATGAGGTCAGAAAACACAAGATTTTATCTTTGTCTTCTATGAAATGCTGCTGTTCACACAGCCAGAATGAGTCGTCTTAAGTCCCATCACATTCATTTGAGTATGTATGTCCTTGGCTGCTGAAAATCTGACCCTTTAATGAATAGGGCAGCAAAGTTCCCTGACCATCAGTGTTCTAGAATGTCCCATTTTTTAATACTGCATCCATGCACACCTCCTATGTTGTCTTTGGAGAAATTATTCAGATCCTTAACTCAATTTTTTTAAACGGGCAGTCTTTTTATTGAGTCATAAGAGTTCTTTACATATTCTGGATACAAGTCTCTTATCAGAAATATGATTTGCAAATATTTTCTCCCATTCTATTGATTCTCTTTTTACTTTCCTCATGGTGTCCTTTGAGGAACGACAGTTTTTAATTTTGGGCCAGGTGCAGTGACTCACACCTGTAATCCCAACACTTTGGGAGGCTGAGGTGGGAGGATGGCTTGAAACCAGGATCTCAAGGCCATACTAGGCAACATAGCAAGTCCTCATCTCTACAAAAAATAAAAAATTAGCTAGCCATGGTGGCGCATACCTATAGTCCCAGCTGTTCAAGAGACTTACGTGGAAGGATTGCTTGAGCCCAGGAGTTTAAGGCTGCAGTGACCTATGATCACACCACTGCACTCCAGCCTGGGTGACAGAGTGAGACCCTGCCTCAAAAAAAAAAGTTTTTAATTGTGATGAAGTCCAGTTTATCTGTTTTTTTTTTTGTTGTTGTTGTTGTTGCTTGTCCTTTTGATGTTATATCCAAGAAATAGCAAATATTGCCTAAGCCAAGGTCAAGAAGTTTTATACCTATATTTTCTTCTAAGAATTTTATAGTTTGGCTATTACATTTAGGTCTTTGATCCATTTGAATTCATTTTTGTATCTGGCTTGAGGTATTAGGGGTCCAAGTTCATTTTTTTTTATGTGTGGATATCTAGTTGTCACAACACCATTTGTTGGGTAGCTTCCTTTTTGAAAATGATGAACACTGTACCCCAAACCCACCTACCTTGGTTCCATGTATTCCTTATAAGTCAGGCTGCTATGAAAGAAAGCATAGTTATTGAATTAGCAAGAAATCCTAGTTTTATATTTTGAAATCTTAGTTCTTTTTTCAGAGACAGCGTCTCGTTCTCTGTTGCCCAGCCTGGAATGCAGTGGCACAATCATAGCTCACTGTAATCTTGAACTCCTGGGCTCAAGCAATCCTCCTGCCTTAGCCTCCCCAATTAGTTGGGACTACAGGCACATGCCACTGTACCCAGTTATTTTTTATTATTTTTTTAGAGATGGGATCTCGCTATGTTGCCCAGGCTGGTCTCAAACTCCTGGCCTCAAGCAGTTATCCCATCTTGGCTTCCCAAAGTGCTAAGATTACAAACATGAGCCACTGCACCCAGCCAGTTTTATTTTTTTAATCTCCTGTTTCACAGATCTACCAAAGTGACTTAAAATTTTTTTATCTAGTTTGAGATGCTAATTTCTGTACTTTATGCTTCACTCTGTCCAAATATAAGGGAACTTTTTAAAAGTTAATGGAATAATGGAATTAAGTGATGAAAATTAAAAATATAAACTTCATTTCTCAACGTAAGCTCCATCAAGGTCAAGACACTTTTGTAAGCAATGATACCAGCCATTTAGTTCTTCCCTAGAGAACTGAGCGTCCTGGGAATTTAACCATGTCAGTGCAGTCTTTTTTGCATTATTAACTGAAGGAAAATGGGTACCCTTAAAGATTTTTTAATATTAGGACACAAAAAGAAGTCAGAAGGAGGCAAAACAGGACCGTAAGGTGGATGCTTAATGATTTCCCATTGAAACTCTCACAAAATTACTCTTGTTTGATGAGAAGAATGAACTGGAGCATTGTTGTGATAGCAAAAGACGTTCTGGTAAAGCTTTCTTGAGCAGTTTTCTGTAAAGCTTTGGCTAACTCTCTCAAAACACTCATAATAAGCAGATGTTATCATTCTTTGGCCCTCCAAAAAGTCAACAAGCAAAATGCCTTGAACATCCCCAAAAACTGTTGCCATGACCTTTACTCTTGACTGACCCACTTTTGCTTTGACTGGGCCACTGCCGCCTCTTGGTAGCCATTGTTTTGAATGTGCTTTGTCTTCAGGATTGTACTCATAAAGCCATGTTTCATCTCCTATTATAATTCTTCAAAGAAATGCTTCAGGATCTTGATCCCACTTGTTTAAAATTTCCATTGAAAGCTCTGCACTTGTCTGTAGCTGATCTGGCTGTAACCAGTTTCAGCACCCATTGAGTGAAAGGTTTGCTTAACTTTAATTTTTCAGTCAGAATTGTGACTGAAGAACTGTGACTGTATGCTGAACCAGTTGAGATGTCTGTGGTGTTGGCTGTTGTTTGTGCTGTTAATCATCAGTCCTCTTTAATTAGGGCATGAACAAGATGAATTTTTTCCTTGCAAATTGATGAGATGTAAAAATGATGTGAATGTGGGCTTTATCTTCAACTTTGTCTCTTCCCTTCTTAAAACAAGCTATCCATTTGTAAACTGCTGATTTCTTTGGGGCATTGTCCCCATGAACTTTTTGTAAAACAGCGATTTCTCCTTTCTTCTACCCAGATTTCACCATAAATTTGATGTTTGTTCTTGCTTCAGTTTTAGCCAAATTCCTATTGCTCTAATAGGGGCCCTTTTCAAACTGATGTCTTATCCTTCTTAGTGCCTGTAAAAGTTAGTATGAATTTATTTTTGTGTAAATTTTTGAAATCTACATATAGTTTTTTATTTTCCATGAACTTTTTGAAGACCTCTTATATGTTACTGTTTTCCCACCCTACATGACAAAACAGCATTATGTTAATTTTTATTGGTTAATTTTATAACTTTTGTGTTAGTTTTCCTTTTGTGTATTTTAAACAGTTTTTGAAATTAAAAATAGCTTTATTCTCAAAAACCATAAATAAAAATGTTCTCTTCCAATGTAATTGCCAAGTTTAAATAAATGTAAGTGTTCTATAACAAACCCTTGCAATAATTATTTTTAGATTTAAAACTCTTATCTTCAGTGATTATGTATTACTATGTTAATAATTGTTGAATTGTAAAAATTATCTCCACCTTCCAAATTTTAAAAATTGTAAGTCAGAGTGCATTGAAAGCATGATGACATTCCTTAATTCTGCACTGAAGGTTTTTAATAAAGAATGTTATAGCAATTCACAATAACATGTGGAAAGTATCAGAATGTAAAAACAAAAAATTATGAATATATTATTTTGGGCTTGCTACTTCATATTAGTTTTGGTAAAATTAAAACCCAATTGGTTAGTTTCTGCTGATGGAAATCTCACTTCTATGGAGAAAATATTACAAAATGTAAATCTGTTAGAGAAATTTAAGAATGAATCTGGCCGGGTGTGGTGGCTCACGCCTGTAATCCCAGCACTTTGGGAGGCCAAGGTGAGTGGATCGCTTGAGATCAGGAGTTCGAGACCAGCCTGGCCAACATGGTAAAACCCCATCTCTACCAAAAATACAAAAAAATTAGCTGGGTGTGGTGGCTTATGCCTGTAATCCCAGCTACTCGGGAGGCTGAGGCATGAGAATCGCTTGAACCTGGGAAACAGAGGTTGCAGTGAGCCAAGATTGTGCCACTGCACTCCACCCTGAGTGACAGAGCAAGACTGTCTCAAAAAAAAAAAAAAGGAATTGATCTAATGTAATACAATAGTAAATTAAGTTAAAATGTACTTGAAAATATTTGGAAATAATTATTATGTATTGGGATACGCCATTTGTTATAGCAAACATCCTCAAAAGTCTCAGCATCTTTTTTTTTTTTTTTTTTTTTGAGACAGGATCTCTGTCACTTGGGCTGGAGTGCAGTGGCATGATCATAGCTCACTGCAGCCTCGATCTCCCAGGCTCAAGAGATCCTCCTATCTCAGCCTCCTGAGTAGCTGGGACTACAGACGTGAGCCACTGCACCCAACCAGTCTCAGCATCTTAATACAATGAAGTCTTTATTTTTCGCACATGTCTCCATCCAATGTGGGTTTGAATGTGGATCCCCTCTGCCCCACACAGTTATTTAGGGACACAAGCTCTTTTTATGAATGGCGCTTTTATTTACTACCCATTCTCTTTTCTACTCTCTAACTTCTCAATCCAGTCAGCATGAAAAGAGTGGAGGGTTATACAGTTGGGGTTTTTTTCTGGTGGGGGCAGCGGGGGTAGGCTTTGAAGTGACTTACCTACCTACATATCATTAGCCAGAACTCACTCCTGTGGCCCACCTAACAGCAAAGGGGGCTGGAGAACGCAGTCTTGCTATGTGTGCAGGTGGAAATGGAAATAGGGTTTGGTGAACACCTCGCACTTCTCTGCTGCTCTTTGATAGTGGCATTACAAAGTCAAAGCTATGAGATCACAGGAACCTTATTGGTTTTATTCACCACTGTAACCCTGTAGTTGATGCTATGGTCTACACTGCACAGATTTCCATATAGTCTTAGGATCTTTCCACCTAGTGTCTCAGCAGGATAGTCTGACTTCTTACAGACAGTTCAGGACTCCAAGAGTGAATGTTTTAAGAGGTAAGAAGTGGAAGGTGCTCATTTCAAAGCCTAGGCTCAGAAACTGACACAGTATTACTTGCACTATATTTTATTAGAGCAGTTGCAGAGGGCTTCCAAATTGAAGGAAAGGAAAATAGGCCCCATTTCTCAATAAAAGGCATATCAAAGGATTTGTGGCCGTCTTTGATCTACCACGTCATAATATTTTTAATGTTTGTCTTTTTTTTTTTTTTTAAGAGACAGATCTTGCTATGTTGCTCAGGCTAGATTCAAACTCCTGGGCTCAAGCTATCCTCCCGCCTCAGCCTCGTGATGAGCTGGAACTACAGGCACAAGCTACCATGCCTGTCTTGAGTTACTTGTTTTGTTGCCTATAGACAGATTAGTCAGCTAGAGAAACTTTACTAATAAGACTAAAGTACACTCTTGCTTTTTATTTATTAACTAATTTATAAGGTTATCAAAATGCTTTAGCATCTTATTTCCTAATGGACTTAGAGCAGTAATTTTGGATATATGTATAAATTAATTGACATGATCCTTGGGTGCTAGAATTACTCTACTCGAGCTATAGTAACTGAAAATGGATGAGGGAGAAATAAGAATAGATAGAGCACATCCTTTCAGAATCTTTGTTCTGGCTTTCAGATGAGGTTTTCCCATCTGTTTCACTGTCCTTTCTGCAGTTTCCCTGTTAGTTCAGTATAGTGTATATATGTGGTGATTGAGGGGAGGGGTACAGAGATTACAGAGCCATCTTGCACTGTAAGTTATAGCTGCTTAGGTAAGTACTGATGACCAAAAGAAATTTTTCGACAGTGAGTTCAACAAATAAAGATGGTGTTAACCCTATTTACATGTCTCTAGGTAGACTGAAGGATTTTGAGTCATTAACAGTGAGCTTCAGATATTTCTTTTTGGGTATTCATTTATATATTTTAATCAGTTTCTATTGCAGTAAGATTCCAATAGAAGGAAAACAATGCTTCATTTTTTGTTGAAAGCAAACATACATTATAAGTTGTATAATACACAATGATTAATGAAGTTTTACTGTGTGTGTGTGCATGTGTGTATGTTTTTAAAATTACGGATGAACTATCATACAAATAAAAACAATCAGAATACAAAAAAATTAACTGTGTAGTGTATGCTTATACACATGCATATATGTATATATAAATGGGATTGTTCTATAACTTGCTTTTTTCACTTAATATATACTTCTGCATCGTTAATAAAACTGAAAGAGGAAATGATTGGATATAGATAGGTCCCTATTTCCCCTTGCAATGTAAACTCTGGACTTACTGGGCTATGGAGATCAGTGCTTTCTTTACTAAACTCTAGACTCAAATATACAACTGTCAATTCAACAGTTCCACTTGGATGTCCAGTAGACATCTCAGACTAAAAATGTCCCAAACTGAACTACTGATCTTCCCAAACCAGTTCTATTTGTAGTTCTCTAGCTTTAGCTGATAGAAAAATCTATCCTTCTAGCTGTAACTCTGTCTTTTCAGTTTAAGCCAAAATTCTTAGTCATCTTTGATTCTTCATTGTCTTATATCCCATATTCAATATAACAGGATATCCCATTAACTCTACTTTCAAAATATATCCATATTTCATATAGTAAAAGAACAACCCCTAATGATAAATGGAAACACATGCCTGCCTCCCACTCCACTGCTGTATTTGGTCATCTAGGCCCCTCCCATCTCCCCTTACTCTCCTCACCCCATCTCCTTCTTCCCACACCTCCTTCTTCCCACACCTCCTTTTTCATCCCATTTTAGGCAGCAGCATTCTATCACTTTTACTTTCAATTATGAGAATTCAGTAAGGAGCACAATGTACAGAGCACTTTCTTTTTTTTTTTTGAGATGGAGTCTCGCTCTGTCACCCAGGCTGGAGTGCAGTGGCGCGATCTGGGCTCACTGCAAGCTCCGCCTCCCGGGTTCATGCCATTCTCCTGCCTCAGCCTCCCGAGTAGCTGGGACTACAGGCACCTGCCACCACGCCCAGCTAATTTTTTGTATTTTTTAGTAGAGACGGGGTTTCACTGTGTTAGCCAGGATGGTCTCGATCTCCTGACCTCGTGATCCACCCGCCTCGGCCTCCCAAAGTGCTGGGATTACAGGTGTGAGCCGCCGCGCCCGGCCCAGAGCACTTTCCTACACATTTATCTTATTTAAAATTTAAAACAGTCCTTTTGCAGTTTTCCAGTTACTATTGCTGATGATAATTTGCCCCCAAACTTAGCAGCTTAGAGCAGCTGTGTTATACCCATTGATTCTGTGGGTCAGGAAATCAGATAGGGCACAGTGGAGATGGCTTCCCTCTGCTCCATGATGTGTCTAGGGCCTCATCAAGGAAGACAAAGTTTGAGAGTGACCCAACAGCTGGGCACTGGAATCAACTGAAGGCTTATTCACTGCGTGTCTGTGTAACAGCCCATCCCTGGGCTTGGATAACATAGACTACACATGGCCTTTCCATTAGTTTGGCTTCCTCATAGCCTAACAACCTCAGCATAGTCAGATTTCTTACAGGAGTCAGGCACAGGGCTCCAAGTGCATGCGTTCCTGCAAACCAGGAGGGAGCTACATTCCATTTTATGACCCAGCCTTGCAGTTCTCATGGCATCACTTCTATTGATCAAAAACCATCACAAGCCCTCCCCTATTTAAGGGGAAGGGAGATAGACTTCACTACTTGATGAAGATGACAAAGTCACATTGCAGAAGAATGTGGGATTTGGAAAATACCATCTGTCGCAGGGGTTATCATTGTCCTTTGTTTTGAGTCATGGAGACTTGGAGAGAAGTGATTATCCCAGAGTGGTAGGATGAACAAGGGTCATCTTGGGAAATGATTCCTAGAGTTGTTATTACAGTAACTACTATCTAGTTAGTTTTATTTGTGTGTTTAGAGATAGGGTCGCACTCTGTCACCCAGGCTGGAGTGCAGTGGTGTAATCATAGCTCTCTACAGCCTCAAATTCCTGGGCTCAAGTGATCTTCCTGCCTCAGCCTCCTGAGTAGCTGGGACTATAGGAACATACCACCACACCCAACTCTATCTAGTTCATTTTTAAGGCATTTATTTCAAACCTTTACAAAACCTATGAGGTTTTGGTTTTATGCAGTTTCTGCAGTGTTCACAAATGATTCTAATCCACTTATTAGGAAATGTAGCATAGTCTGTACCTGCCAAATATTTAGATCAACTGAAGAGACACTGAGGGGTCTCTGTACATAAGACACTGGAGGAGGCCATAGATCAGGTTAGAGTGACTGCAGTTACCTTTTTATTGCCTCCTTAGTTGGCACAGCAGTATCCACAAAGGCCAGAGGTAGTAGTGTTCCAGCCACTGGTCTCCCCTGGAGAGCAGATGTGATTGTGGGTCCTTTCACCAAAGGCTAGTCATCTGGAAAGTTATTACAACATTCATTTACATGCAAGCATCCAAATTGAAAGTTGAGGTTACCTCATCCTAACAAAATTGCTCATGCTTCTGGGCTTGCGAGCTTTTGCTGATTTGGTCAATGGTCTAGTGACCATTTAAAGAGTATCAGGCCGGGCGCGGTGGCTCACGCCTGTAATCCCACCACTTTGGGAGGCTGAGGCAGGTGGATCACCTGAGGTCAGGAGTTTGAGACCAGCCTGGCCAACATGGTGAAACCCCATCTCTGCTAAAAATACAAAAATTAGCCTGGCATGGTGGCATGCACCTGTAATCCCAGCTACTTGGGAGGCTGAGGCAGGAGAATCATTTCAACCTGGTAGGCAGAGGTTACAGTAAGCTGTGATCATGCCACTGCACTCTAGCCTGGGCAACAGAGTGAGACTTGGTCTCAAAAAAAAAAAAAAAGTGTGTCTATCCATAGTACATAGCCAAGAAAGAAAATCACCCATCCAGGGAGGATAATCCTGGGATTTCCTCCAGCTTTAGCCATGTTATATATACTCGAAGATATTGAAGCTGCATTTAAAAAATCCCAAACATATTTTTTTTCACTAATTCTCACAGCCCTTCCCCCTCTATCATTATAAGTACAATAATTTCTCCTTGTGAGTTTATATTAACTTCATCTTTTACCCATGTATTTTCTTGTAGTTGGTGTTACTGTTTTAGTATATAATTTATTGTCATGGTCTTGGTCCTTAGATGCAGACCTTTAGTTCAAGATACACGAGGAAAGATGAGTGAGATGACATTGCTGTCATTATCATTATTGTAAATTTTGCATCGAAGTATAATATCCACACAGAAAAGTACACAAAGCTGTACAGCTGAATGAATTTTCACAAATTAAATGCACTCATTTATCTGCCACCCAGATGGGGAAATAAAACATGGCTGGGCACGGTGGCTCATGCCTGTAATACCAGCACTTTGCAAGGCCAAGATGGGAGTATCACTTGAGCCCAGGAGTTCAAGACTAGCCTGGGCAACACAGTGAGACCCCATCTCTACAAAAGATTTTAAAACTAGCCATCGTGGTGGTGTGTACCTGTAGTTTCAGCTACTTAGGAGGCTGAGGTGGCAGGATCACTTGAGCCCAGGAGGTTGAGGCTGCAGGAGCTTTGGTCATGCCACTGAGAACTACCTAAAAAAAAAAAAGAAAATATTACCAACACCCAAGAACCCCTCCTTCTTCTCCCTGCCAGTAACTGACCTCCCTCACCCAAGGTATCAGTTTTGCCAGTTTTTGAGCTTCCTATGAATAGACTCCTACAGTGTAGTCATTTGAGACTGAATTGTTTTGCTCATCAGTAGGATTTTGCCATCCATCCATCCTGTTGCATGTAGTAATTCATTAATTTTCACTTCTGTGTCATGCATTGTGTGAATATGCCACATTTTTTATTCTGCTCTTGATATATATTTGGGTTGTTTCCAGTTTTTACCTACCATAAAAATGCTGATATGAGCCTTTTTATTTATCATTTGGCATGCATCTGTGTACACTTTTGCTAAGTATATACCTAGTGTGGGTTTGCTAGGTCATGGGTATGTGTACGTTCAGCTATAATATCTGCTGCCAAAGTGGTTGTTCAAATTCACACTCCCACCAGCAGCATAAGAGATAATCTATTTGCTCCATTTCCTTACCAACATTTAGTATTTTCAATTTTTGGACAGTCTTTTTAAGTTTAATTATTCTGGTAGATAATAGTGATTGTAATTTCAGTTTGCATTTCCGTGATAACTAATGAGGTTGAGAACCTTTTAAAAGTTTATTTGCCATCTGGATAGCCTTACTTGTGAAGTATCTCTTTAAGTTTTTTTGCCCAGCTTTTAATTGGGTTGTCTTTTTCTAATTAATTTGTAAGAGTTTATTATATATTGTAGATGTAAGTCCTTTGTTGTCTATGTGCAATTGCAAATATCTTCTCCTGTCCCATGGATTGCCTTTTTATTCTCTTAATTGTCTCTTTTGATAACCAGAAGTTCTAGTTTCATTTTTCAGTCTCTTCCTTTATGGTTAATGGCTTTTGTGTCTTATTTAAAATATCTTTGCCTGCCCCAAGGTCATAAATATATTCTCCTCTGTTTTCTTCCAGAAGCTTAATGAGCATATTGGTATAGAAAAACATTTATAGCCTACCTTGTTCCATGTAGAATTTGAGGCGATTGAGATGAATAGTTAGCAAAACGGTCTTCCTTTTAGAAGAAGATAACTCTTGACAAAAAATTGGGTATTCTCCCTTCTAGGCCATGCACTAAAGAAACATGACATATTTAATCTCATAGTCTCTAAAGAATTCATATGTCTGTCCTACCCTTTTTAGTTGGGTATGTTTCAGTTGGAAGCAGGCCTCTAACAGCAATTCCCAAAATTTTAGTTTCAATTAGTATTTGAGGTTTCTGCATTTTTCCTCAAATATTTGTTCCCTTTGGCTTTAAAAACTCCATATAGTAGAAAAATTAAAATGTGCAAATGTGTGTCGTTGTTATTAGCTTTATTCAGGTTCATTATTTGGAATCAGGCTTTTGGAAGAATGCTTATTAGGAGGCAGTATTCTCTACATTTATAGGGTGGACTATGCCTGTATATATTTTATGTTTATTCATTGGAATATGTTTGTGTTTGTAAATCCTTCCATATATGTGATGACTCTAGAGTAAAGAAACTGGCTCTAGAAGCCTTCCGGAGAAATGATTTTCATTATTTTATGATGACATACGTGTGTTTATTTCTTTTTTTAGATGGACCACCTTGTTCTTTAAAATTGCCACAGAATAATAATCCAGATTTTTCTCTTGGTTAAATTTTCTGAGGCCTCATACAGTATTTAAACCACCAATAATAACTTGTTGGCATGAAAAAAATTTATTTTTTTCTCTGGTTTCCTTGCCTTGAGCCCTTGGATGTCAGGAAGGGTGAGGGGAAATATCAGTCTGCTTGGGCTTAGATTTATGGTTGCTATTGTTTATGGTTGGGAAATGGATTGAGTGTGCATAGCTCCATGGCCTCTTGGCTTTAACTCATTTGCATAAATAGTGAAAATAATAAGGAATATAAAAACAATAACAATGACGTTATTGAGCATCTATTTTTACTGTACACTAAGCCAAACACTTTCTGTTTTTTTCTATATAATTGTTATAATAGTCCTACAAATTTGGCATTTTTTCCCTTCAACTTTTAAGTTCAGGGGTACATGTGCAGGATGTATAGGTTTGTTACATAAATAAACGTGTGCCATGGTCGTTTGCTGCACAAATCATCCCATCACCAAGCTGTTAAGCCTAGCATGCATTAGCTATTCTTCCTGATGCTCTCCCTCCCCTCACTGACAGGCAGCAGTGTGTGTTGTTCCCCCTACCATGTGTTCATGTGTTTTCATCATTCAGCTCCCACTTATAAGTGAGAACATGCAGGTTTTGGTTTTCTGTTCCTGCGTTAGTTTGCTGAGGATAATGGCTTCCAACTCCATCCATGTCCCTGCAAAGGACATGATCTCATTTTTTTTTGGCTGCCTAGTATTCCATGGTGAATATGTACCACATTTTCTTTATCCAGTCTATCATTGATGGGCATTTAGGTTAATTCCATGTCTTTGCTAGATATTATTTTTATCATATTTAATGATTGTTATCCTTACATTTTAGCTAAGAAAACTGAACCTTATATAAAGTAAGTGGCCAGGCACAGTGGCTCACGCCTGTAATCCCAGCGCTTTGGGAGGCCAAGGTGGGCGGATCATGAGGTCAGGAGTTCGAGACCAGCCTGGCCAACATGGTGAAACCCCTTCTCTACTAAAAATACAAAAAATTAGCTGGGCGTGGTGGCACTTGCCTGTAATCCCAGCTACTGGGAGGCTGAGGCAGGAGAATCACTTGAACCCGGGAGGCGGAGGTTGCAGTGAGCCGAGACCATGCCACTGCACTCTACCCTGGGCAACAGAGCAAGACTCCATCTCAAAATAAATGAATAAACAAACAAACAAATAAAGTAATAGCCTGAGATCACCATGTAAGTGAGTGACAGAAAAAAACAAGCCTCTGTGAGACTAAAGCTTGTTTTCTTTACCACCATCCAGTATTGTCTCCGTGACAGAAAATTATTAATTTGGCTGAAATATATCTTTGGTATGGGATCTGGCTGTGCCTTTGTGCAGATATCGCCCCCTCCCAGGTTGGTTTCCTCTTCTAAATAAACTTGGTGGCCATTGTACCAAGAACACACTAATGTGACGACATTTTATTAGAATGAATGGGCCAGTCGTGGTGGCTCACGCCAGTAATCCCAACACTTTAGGAGGCCAAGTTAGAAGGATTGCTTAAGGCCAGGAATTCAAGACCAGCCTGGACAACATAGTGAGACCCCATCTCTTACCCAAAAAAAAATTTTTCAAACGTTAGCCAGGCATGGTGGCATGTGCCTGTAGTCTCAGCTACTTGAGAAGCTGAGGCAGGAGGATCACTGGAGCCCAGGAGTTCAAGGCTATGGTAAGCTATGACCTTGCCACTGCATTCCAGCCTGGGTGGTTGAGCAAGAGCTTGTCTCTAAAAATTTTTTTAAAAATTAGAATGTTGGGAACCAGGATCCATGAGGGTGAATAAAGAATATTGTAAGCAGTCAGTGAGTTAACAGCACATGACAAAACTAAATTTGTAAAACCATTTGCTTTCTAGAAAGGAATCTGCCATACCTCCCAGAGGGCATTTAGCCATCCATTCAGTGCCTGAAATCTGTCATTTGTTGATTGTTATCATTGTCTTTCTGTTGCTTTTCTAGGATTATAGCTGAGAAGGTAAAGGACGTTCTGTTTATCCGACCCCGGAAGTATATTCACTGCTCCAGCCCAGACACCACAGAGCCTGGCTACATCAACATCATGGAGTTGGCAGCATCTGTTTGCCGCTATGACCTAGATGACATGGACATCTTCTGGCTTCAGGAACTCAATGAAGACCTTGCAGAAATGGGTAAGTTCTTTTCTCACAAGTAAGTTGTGACTTAATTCATGTTTTTTTTTTAAGTTATCAGAACCCTTTAGCTTGTTTTTATTTTTGTTGCCTCCTTTCTTTTCTGGCCTTTTCATTTATTTTTCTCATTGATTTTATCTTATTTCAGTGAGATATTTCTTCAAATGCATACATAGAAATAAAGCAATAATATTTAAATATGACCTTTTCTTTCCTCATTCATAGTTAATGGCACAGATCAAGGATAGCATATAGGTCTCATGAAGTTGTTTCCCAATTCAGGAAGTTTGAGAATGGCCATAGCTGATTGGCCATAGCTGATTGGACTTCTGGTTGAGAATTCTGAGGCAGGTTCCTGGCCTGAAAAGCAGTGTGATCAGTGAGCAGGGCCAGAGGTAGAGGCCCCTCTGGCAGGGGCTTGGAGAGAATCTCCAACTTCAGTATTGAGCAGCACCACTGCAACTGACAGATTGCTGTGACAGTACCCCTTAATGCAGGACTTGCTACCTGGAAGAAAAGTTGCAGGCCTAGAGCAAAACATTCACAAAGCAGTTCTTAGCTACTTCCACGGAGTTCTAGAGTTGTCATACAATATTCAAAAGATAAAATGAAACAAAAACAAGCAAATAAATTTATGTTTACATATGGAAGTAAACATAATTAATAATTTTAAAGTAAATGTGTGCCATACAATACCATACCAACAATACTGAGAAATGCTAGGCTGAAAGATAACTCATTTTATACTTACACACAGTTCTTGTTCATCTGTTTTCAGTCTAAGCAGTGTTCACGTCCAAGTTTTCCTGTAGATCTGTGGGTAGTTTTTAAGACTCCGTATAAGATATGGTGAAGGATACATTTGATCTCATTTTTGTTTGAATCACATTTTATTTCATTTTTGTTTGAATCACATTTGTTCATTGTTAGTATAAGGATCAGTGGTTTTTCTTTTCTTCCCGCCCTCCCTTTTTCCTTTCTTTCTTTTGAGGCTAGTATCTGAATGCACATGAATAAAAAACTGAAATTATATTAAAGCAGTTTGGCATGGGAATGATAGTTACTCTGCCAGTAACCAATCCTTATTCCTTGATTTTTAAAGCTTTTTGTTTTATGTCTTTTCTTGCTCTGCCCCCTAAGAGGAGAGGGGAGTGGTAAATTTAGGGTGGCAACCACAAAGAGAAGGGAATGAAAGACTGACAGAGAAGTAAAATCAGAATATGAGGACATAATCAAATGGATTCATGGCTCAATGTGCGCTTGTGTTCATAATGCATATAATATCCATAGCTATCACAATCATTGCAAGGCTGCCTTTGGCATGAAACTACCTTATTATGAGGTTCCTTTGGTATTTTGTAATTAATTCTCCTTGGGTGAGTTTTTTAAATAAACTTTTTATTTTGGAATAGTTTGATTTACAGAAAAGTTGCAGTTAGTACAGGGAGTTCTCATATACACCTCACAGTTTCAGTTCCCCTAATGTTAACATCTTACTTTACCATGGTACATATGTCAAAACTACAAAACCAATACTGGTACATTACTGTTAACTTCAGACTTTATTGGGATTTCAAGGTTTTTTTTTCCACTTACAACCTTTTTCTGTTCCAGGATCCCATCAAGTATACCACATTGCATTTAGGCTTGTAAGAATTTTAAAAGAGGATTGCAGTATCTCAAGCTTTTCTTTAGGGTGAATGATATTGCAGTGAGGTGTCTAAGAGCTTAAAGTAAACTTTTTAAAAACAATATTAAGCGTATTATGAATTAAGAACTTTTTAAGTTGAGTGCTGACTACATATTAAGCACCATACTAAGCAATGTACCAATATTACTTCATCTCAGCTTCACAACAAATCAGTGGGTTTCTTATTATTATACTAATTTCATAGATAAGAACACTAAGCCCTAAAGAGGATAAATAACGTGTCAAAGTTTACATAGCTAATATGAGGTAAGGTTGGAATTTTAATCCAAGTTTTCTTGTAACCAGACACTATATTCCTTTACTCCAAAAAAAAAATGTGTAACTTGTCTTGGCTGGAAAAATGAAACATAAGGCCTGGGCAGTTTTTGGTTTCATAAGTAGCCACACCTTAAAATGGTAGTTTATGTGGAATTCTAAAGTTTCTTAGGACATCTTATATTACAAATGAAGTGGAATACTTGGGTACATTTGTTTTGGATCATCTTGAGGATTATTCCGGAGTTTACAAGTTGTTAGAATAAATACATAAGTGCTGTCACAAAATTTGATTAATAAGTGTGGAAGGCTAAGATAAAGTTATAGCTGAGAAAAGGAATCAGGAAGCAAAGAAGGTAATTCCAGAATTGAAGTTAGACCTTTGTGAATATTAACAGGTTTATATGTTGTTATAGTTTGCCATTGAAAAATATTATTAGATTTTTTAAAAGTCATATTTGAAAAACAAAATATTTTATATGTGTAATCACCTACACATGGGACCTAGAATTTTCTTTTATGGGCTTCATACATTTTTATATGAAAATTTCCTTGTATAATCATTAGATATGCTCATTGAAGCTAACTTGCTAAGAATGAATTATTATATCCAAATAGTTATGTGATTTTAATTACTATGCTACAAATTATCGTGTCCAGAATTATAAAGCTTGGTGAAAGTCCTCCTACAGTGAGAATAAGAGAAAATATAGAGATTTAAGAGGAGACTGGCAAGGATTTGGACAAGAAATCGAAAGGGTCAGTAATATATCTTCTAAGGAACATGGTGAAATATACATCTCCTTTCATGTGTCAAACACTAATATATGATTATAGGTAAATGTTAGAGTAGCACTAGCAAAAGATTTTTTGAAATCTGGTTGTTTTAGAGCAGGAAAGAGATGTTTTTATCCTTTAGAATCCTACCCACTCCTGCACTGGGCTCACAGTAGGTGTTTTGGGAATGACAGCTGACTGATGGGTTGATTGATTGTTTGTATTTCTGTGCAGGTTGTGGGCCAGTTGATGAGAATCTTATGGAAAAGACAGTAGAAGTCCTGGAACGCCATTGCCATGAAAATATGAACCATGCTATTGAGACAGAGGAAGGGCTAGGCATAGAGTATGATGAAGATGTGATCTGTGATGTGTGCCGGTCTCCAGACAGTGAAGAAGGGAATGATATGGTGTTCTGTGATAAGTGTAACGTCTGTGTGCATCAGGTTAGTGAGAGTGGAGACCGTCATCTCCCTACGGTCAGCCTTTCTGAAGCTCAGTGATGATCTCCAGCACGCATATCTGGGTAGCAGCTTGCATTTAAGGGTGAAAATAAAGATTTGGCCTGGTTGTTCTTCAGTATTTCCTCTAGAAACAATGCTTCTTATGACCCCCAAGATGACTTGCTGACTAACTTTACCCCATGGGGCTAAACCCAGGTCTTTATTGTGTCACTTTATGCCCAGACCATTGGGATTGCCTTGTTCAGCTTGCCCCTAGGCCCCTGCCCCAGGGGGATCTCATTGCTGCCTGTCTGAGGTCTCTCCTCTTCCTTCAAATCTCCATGGCCTCATGAGGTTACACCCATGGTCAGTAACCTTGGTGAGTTTACACTTCCTACAAATAGAAGTCCAGACTCCTTATCCTGGCACTTGTAACCCTCCCCCATCCCCTAAACATGCCACTCCTAAGAATGTCCACCCCACTTTTAAAGATCACAGAATTTTAGGACTGCAAAAGACTGTCTAACTCCTCAATTTTACACAAATACCGGGAGAGGTGAAGTGACTTTACCCAAGCTGGTTATTTGTCATTCTTTCTACTATACTGCCTTTTTAATTAATAATGATGATTATGATATCAACCCTCCTTTCAGCTCTTTCCATTTTTTCCCCCACAAGCACTGTGTTCCAACAAAATAAGGTTACTCAAGGTGCAGTGATGAATATTCCTGACACTGTCCTATCTCCCATGTTTCAGCCACACTCCAATTTGTAAATGCCTCCTCCTATGTCCCAGCTATCAAAAATCTATATATTTTTCAAGGTCTAGTTCAAATCCTTTCTTGAACTCCCTTACCCTAAGTGATTTTTCATTCTTCTGAACCTGTTGTATATTTCATTCATTTTGTTAATTTGTCTAGCAAATAGGTACAGTACTCCGTGGGCCAGGATTGTGATGCATGCTGAGGACACAGTCAGTGATGAAGAGGCAGACATGGTCTGTGCCCCCAGGGAGATCATAGTCTGGTGAAAGAAATATAAGGAAACTGCCAATTTAGCATCATATGCCAAGTGTTTTTATAGATATAAGTCCAAGCTGCTGTGGAAATGCATCTGTGAGAAACGAGGGTCAGGGACAACTTCCAGGAGGTAGCACCCAAGCTAAATCTTAATGTCCAAAAGGAGATGTCAAGTAAACCAGCAATGTGTGTTCAGGCAGAGAGGAGAAATGTTCAGACAGGGTAGTGAAAGCAGGCAAAATATGTCAGAGGCAACTGAAGCCTTCAGAAACTGTAAAGTGGCAGAGTAGAGTAGGGAAGGCATGGAAAGTGAGGGTAGAGAGGGATACAAGAGACGTGTGTAAAGGACCGTCTGACAAACTAAGGAACTTCAGTTCTGTCCTGTCAACCCTGGAGGATATGATATGTATTTTAGAAAGATCATTCTGGCTACAAAATGACTAAAGTAATTAGAATAGATAACATAGCAGATAGAAACCAGGGCTTAAGATTATTTTAATTCCCTGGGCCTCTTAACCTAACCACCCTGTATGTAAAAGGTACTCAGAATTATTCTGTGACCAATTGGGTCTTTTTCTTCATTTACCTTTAACAAAGTGAATTTTGAAAATTTGTCTTCACTTTACCAATTATTGGCATTTATATCAGACTTTAAGTGAGAGCAGAAAATCTTTACCATTTAACTATGAACTTAAGTATTATATCTCACAATACAAGCCCAGAGTCCTTTCTCTGCAATTCCAAAATTATAAAGTTCTGAAAAACGCATGTTTTTGCTGAAGTTTCACACCAGAACTGATTTGAGGACAATACCACAACCCACCCAGTATGAGGCCATTTGTAGTCCTTATCCATTTTGTTTAAATACTCATATATTTTGTTAGAGAACTATTAATGTGTTTGGTTATATGGTATTGCCCCTGGTCCCACTGGGGGCTTAGGTCATATACTATATATATATATATACTTTCCTAAGATCTGAGCAATTCTGAATTTCCTAATTTTTCTTACCCTAGAGGTTTCAGATAAATGATTGTGGATCTGTAGTAGGCTTAAAAGGAATAGCATAAAGGTCATCTGTATATATTTCCTATGTTTGTCCTTTACAGTTGGGACAAAATAGTAAGTATTCTCAGGTTCTTTAACAAACTCAAATGTAGCATAATTATCTCCAATGCTATTTATTAGTCTTAAAAACGATTCCGGTAATGAATATAAATGATACCCCTTTCTCACATAGAAAGAGATGAGATGGCAATAACTGACCAGACCTTGCAGTATGTAAACTGGTATGTATTAAAGCTGGGACATTGGTACCCTATAAAGTTTCACATAAGAGATTCTTCCAAAGTGAGTATATTTACTTGGATTCTAAAGAGATACTTGGCTTAGAGCTCCCTCTGTTGGCTGAAAAGTGACTTAAAATACCTTGGAAGATTTGGTTTACTCCCTAACAGAATGGGGACATGTTGACATCTGAATTTATTAAACATGATTTTTCTTCTTTAGTGACACCATATTACATTTCAGTGTTTGTTCCTCAGTGACAAAAAATACACTTATGTGTACTTTAGAAGAGATGTGTACATAAGTAGCCTTTAGATTTTAACAATGAATTTAACATTTTTTCTTTAAAAAATGTGAAAGTTGGGCCGGGCATGGTGGCTCACGCCTGTAATCCCAGCACTTTGGGAGGCCGAGGCGGGTGGATCACGAGGTCAGGAGTTCAATACCAGCCTGGCCAATATGGTGAAACCCCGTCTCTATTAAAAATACAAAAATGAGCTGGGTGTGGTGGCATGCACCTGTAGTCCCAGCTGCTCGGGAGGCTGAGGCAGAAGAATTGCTTGAACCCAGGAGGTGGACATTGCAGTGAGCCAAGATTGCGCCACTGCACTCCAGCCTGGGCGACAGAGTGAGACTCCATCTCAAAAAAAAAAAAATGTGAAAGTTAGGGCCATTCTAAATCCTTTTACATGTATCTATGATCTTATGACTGTGAGTAAGTCCACAAAAGGGCTCAGTAAATGATGTTCTGCCCTATAGACTGGCCAGGAGCTAAAGGATATTCCAAGAGCCAGTCACTGACCTGACCTCTCTTCTGCCAGTCTGAAAGAGACTCTATTTTAGGGAGGAAGCTTGCTTTCATTTCCTAGCAAACATTCTGGGCCTCAGACAAAGAGCTTTAAAGGTTAGAAACCTTATAAAATGATGCCTTGCTCTTGTGAGAGGAGCCTACCTAGAGTCCAGCTTCAGTTCTTGAGCTAAATACATTTGTTTTATCCAACCACCTACTCAAGCTCAGCATAGGGGGCATTCCAGGTAAATTGATGATAACAGCTCTACCTCTAGTGACTTTAAAATCTCATTGAGTTCTGTAGGCCAGGGTTAATTAAAAGAAAAAAAAATACTAAAAATGTCACTGAGGAGAAGAAACACAACAGCAAATGTAGAGAAAAAGAATACATGATGCTGGCCGGGTGCTGTGACTCACACCTGTAATTCCAGCACTTTGGGAGACCAAAGTGTGGATCACTTGAGCCCAGGATTTTGAGAGTAGCCTGGGCAGTATTGCAAAACCTCGTCTCTACAAAAATTAGCTGGGCAGAGTGGCACATGCCTGTGCTCCTAGGTACTCGGGAGGCTAAGGTAGGACGATTGCTTGAGCCCAGGAGGTTGAGGCTACAGTGAGCCAAGATCATGCCACAGCATTCCAGCCTGGGTGACAGAGCAAGACCCTGTCTCAAAAAAAATAATAATAAAATTAAAGAACACATGATGCTGACTATGTACTTGGTGAGGGAAATTGCATGGAGTGGAGGATGGGAGTCAGGCAGTGGGACAAACGCAAGGGGCTACAGTGACCTGAGCAGGATTTTTGGAGGGGCCTGGAGTTTGAACCGGGTCTGGAAGGGTGAGAAAGGTCCAACTATGCAAACAACAGTTGACCATGTAGAGCAGGGAAGCTGCTTAGACACATGGATGTGAAAATAAGAATGACCAGTTATGGAGAAAACCAGGAGGCCTGCCTGTCCAAGTCAGAAGCCCTGTGTTTGGGTATAGTGGGGCATGAGATCAGATAGTGAAGTACAAGGAACAACAGGCTTTAGATAAGGAACCGGCAAACTTTTTCTTTAAGGATCCGCTGTAAATATTTCAGTCTTTATAGCCACATACAGTCTCTGTTACATGTTCTTCTTCTTCTCTTTACAACCCTTTAAAAATGTGAAAACCATTCTTAGCTTGTTGGCTTTATAAAACAGACCTTGGAAAATAGCCAACCCCTAGTTTGGATAGTGGGGAGCAGGTAAGAGCAGAAGGAATATCTAAAGGGCTTGCCACTGTACAATGGTATGAATTCTTTTAGTGAGGAGAATCTGGCAGTCAAGTAGAAGAAGGGTTGAAGGCGTGCAGGGGGAAAAAGAAAATGTAGAAATTAATCAATCCAGGCATGGCATAATGAGAACTTGGATAGAGCAAGTGGTGAGGACGGAGAGGAACGTCAGAGTCTTGGGGCCACTGTAGGGAGAATAGCAAGTACCAGGTCAGCAGATGAAAGAAAGTGAGTAATACAAGTCTAGGAATTTGGATCTGGAAGATAGGAAGTATGGTGGTGACACGGAAAGAAGGAGCTTGGAAAAGGACCAGGTTGTGGGGGGACCGATATTATGGTAACTGTTATAACTTGAATCTGAGTTGAGGGTGAATCTCCTGAGGCAGACAGAAATTTTGAAGCTGCCATATTGAATCAGTTAGTCTCTAATAGAGTAGAGCAGTAAGGAGGAAATGATGGGCAAAATTGGGGATAGCAAAAAGGGAGTCTAGAATGTTTCCCAAACTAATCTCCAGTTTCTCACAGTAATTATTTGTCCAACTTCATTCCATAAAGGATTTGAAGCACCTTCCAGAACTCATTATGAATTATTGTGATTAGTGTAATATTCTATTCAAGATTCATTCACAAGTCCCTGTTTCTTCAACCCAAGCAAGCAATTGCTACGATTTACTGAGTACTTTTTATGCACCAGGCGTTAATAGGCTTTTTATAAACGTCAGTTCATTTGCTCCTCAGAAGTTTCATTCTCTTTATTTTCTAAAACTTTTTTCTTGATCACAACAGTGTATGACTTTTAGGAAATGTTCAATAAGTGTTTGACTAATTATAATACATAGTCATTGAAGAAGCTTTAGAAAACAGACCAAAAAATGCTGTAATCACAACACTCAGATAACAGTTGGGTTAACGGTTGGCTGTATCTCCTCGTCTTGTTCTATCATCCTTAAAGTCAGTTCTCATGGACAGACATGCTGATCTTAGGAGAGATGCTGGAAGTTGCTTTTTTGAGTATTTTTAAATCACTCGATACTGGATATAAGCTTGTTCGGCTTTATTTGCCTTTCTCCCAAAAGCAGAGGATACTCTGTGACTGTGTATCAGAACAGATACCAACCCTGGTGAGAAGGTGCTGACCATTCTCCCCTCTCCTCCTCATACCTCCAGGCCTGCTATGGCATCCTCAAGGTCCCAGAAGGCAGCTGGCTGTGTCGCTCCTGTGTCCTGGGCATTTATCCGCAATGTGTGTTATGTCCAAAGAAAGGTGGAGCCCTGAAGACCACCAAGACAGGGACTAAATGGGCTCATGTCAGCTGTGCCCTGTGGATCCCAGAGGTAAGAATTCATCCAGGCCCGTGAGACCATTTGCTCCAGGGTGTCCCTGTTCCCCACAGCATTCAGACTGACTCAGGCTCAGTATGGAAATGCTTCATGCTTGCCCATGTTTCTGAAGTAATAGTACTTCCACTTGAGCTACCTCAGATCCTTATTGGATGCACACTTGCATGTAAGCCCATGGTGATTAATATATAGGTGGTATTCCCAGTGGTATTTGGGATAATACCCGAATATATACACGATATTTGGGATAATACCCAAATATATACATGATATTTGGGTATATCATGTATAAATTGATAAATTTGTATGAGAGGAGAGACACAAAAGACCAGGGTGTGAGCAGCAGAATTTTTTAAGGTAAAACTTATATTTAGATGCCAAATTTTAAGTGTAGAGTTTTGTGATATTTTACACGTTTGTATCTGTAACCACAACTCAGACCAAGACATGAAATACCCTAAAAATAGACATAAAGCACCCCAGAAAGATCCTCTATACCCACTTTCCAGTCTCTATCCCCCAAGAATAACCACCATTTTTGTCTTGATCATGATAGATTAATTTTATCTGGTTTTAAACTTCATACAGTATGTATTTTTTTCGGTCTGGCTAACACTCCATGTTGTGGTGTATATCAATAGTTTATTCCTTTCTATTGCTAATATTCCATTGTATGGATATACTCTGATTTATTCATTTTCCTTTGATGGGCATTTGGGTTGTTTACAGGTTTAGGCTATTACAAATAAAGTGAGCAGTAACTCTTTGTCTACTGTGATGATGCCCTTTACTTTTTTATTTTTATTTATTTTATTTTATTTTTGAGACAGAGTCTCGCTCTGTCACCCAGGCTGGAGTGCAGTGGCGCTATCTCGGCTCACTGCAAACTTCACCTCTCAGGTTCACGCCATTCTTCTGCCTCAGCCTCCCGAGTAGCTGGGACTACAGGTGCCCGCCACCATGCCTGGCTAATTTTTTTTTTTTTTTTTTGGTATTTTTAGTAGAGACGGGGTTTCACCGTGTTAGCCAGCATGGTCTCGATCTCCTGACCTCACGTGATCCACCTGTCTAGGCCTCCCAAAGTGCTGGGATTACAGGCGTGAGCCACTGCGCCCGGCCGATGCCCTTTACTTTTTGAAGCTCTTTTTAGGGCTTACACTCAACACCTGCCAAAGACCTTCTTTACTCAAAATTCAATTTTTTATCATTATCTAGCCTGGTCCTTCAGTTGCTGGTATTTCCTGAGTGGCTACATGTACACTAACTTAATTAAAATGGGGCTTGAAGACATTTCTTCTTATGGCTGCCTTTTTTTTTCTTTAGCTGTGTGGATATCCCACTCATGCCCTCTCTCCCCAGCCACTATCCAAACCAGCAAATTTGTTAGGCAGTTTAACTGCATGACAAGAGAGACTGCAGAATCTAGTTAATGGGGAGCTGACATTATATCAGTAACTCATTCTCCTTTAAGATTTTCTTGTTTTTAATCTTGTTAATATTGGTTCCAGGGGAGTTATTGTCTAATAAAGAAGCTCAGAGTTACACTAAAAGTCCCATATATATACTTTTGTATTCCTATGGCTATAGACATCAGTATTTTAAAAAAATATTTGAATAGTAGTTTCTTTTTCTCACTAAGAACATCTAGACATAAAATAAACTCAGGTTTCTGGCTTGAGAATGACTGTTTTCCAACAGCAAATCCCTCAGCTAATAGAGTAGGCTCTCTCAGCTTATAAAAGTCCAGAACATGACTCAGGAAGAGCTCTTTAAAAACAAAATAGACTTTCTCAGTTATTGACATTCTCTTATGATTTCTAGTTCTTGGTTTCCAGTGCCTTCTGGACTACTCAAGATCTGTTAGTTTCCTGATGTGGGCAGAACCAGTACTAGTTTGGCATCCTTATTTGACAGTTCTTCACCTTTTAAAGCTGTATCTCTCTTAGAAACTCATGTATATATTTGGCGGGGTGGGGGGAATGAAAATACTTTTTACCAGCAGTTGCTTGACCCCTTATTTTCACATGGAAAAGAATATTTCCATCTTTTTAAAAAACATCCCTTTCTGCTGGGTGTGGTGACTCACGCCTATAATCCCAGCACTTTGGGAGGTCGAGGCAGGCAGATCACTTGAGTCCAGGAGTTTGAGACCAGCCTGGGCAACATGGCAAAACCCCATCTCTACTACAAATACAAAAAATTAGCCAGGTGTGGTGGTGCATGCCTGTAGTCCCAGATATTCAGGGGGCTGAGGCGGCAGGATCACTTGAGCCTGGGAGGTCGAGGCTGCAGTGAGCCCTGATCCTGCCACTGCACTCTAGCCTGGGTGACAGAGTGAGACCCTGATTCAAAAAGGAAAACAGAAAAAGCATCCCTTTTTTGATGGGGTTGTTTGTTTTTTTCTTGTAAATTTGGTTGAGTTCATTGTAGATTCTGGATATTAGCCCTTTGTCAGATGAGTAGGTTGTGAAAATTTTCTCCCATTTTGTAGGTTGCCTGTTCACTCATGAACAGACACTTCTCAAAAGAAGACATTTATGCAGCCAAAAAACACATGAAAAAATGCTCATCATCACTGGCCATCAGAGAAATGCAAATCAAAACCACGATGAGATACCATCTCACACCAGTTAGAATGGCAATCATTAAAAAAGTCAGGAAACAACAGGTGCTGGAGAGGATGTGGAGAAATAGGAACACTTTTACACTGTTGGTGGGACTGTAAACTAGTTCAACCATTGTGGAAGTCAGTGTGGCGATTCCTCAGGGATCTAGAAGTAGAAATACCATTTGACCCAGCCATCCCATTACTGGGTATATACCCAAAGGACTATAAATCTTGCTGCTATAAAGACACATGCACACGTATGTTTATTGCGGCATTATTCACAATAGCAAAGACTTGGAACCAACCCAAATGTCCAACAATGATAGACTGGATTAAGAAAATGTGGCACATATACACCATGGAATACTATGCAGCCATAAAAAATGATGAGTTCATGTCCTTTGTAGGGACATGGATGAAATTGGAAATCATCATTCTCAGTAAACTATCGCAAGAACAAAAAACCAAACACCGCATATTCTCACTCATAGGTGGGAATTGAACAATGAGATCACATGGACACAGGAAGGGGAATATCACACTCTGGGGACTGTGGTGGGGTAGGGGGAGGGGGGAGGGATAGCATTGGGAGATATACCTAATGCTAGATGACGAGTTGGTGGGTGCAGCGCACCAGCATGGCACATGTATACATCTGTAACTAACCTGCACAATGTGCACATGTACCCTAAAACTTAAAGTATAATAAAAAAAAAAAGGAAAAAAAAAAAGCATCCCTTTCTTTTCAGCACTCTCCCAAAGACTTAATTTCACTTTGAAGCTACTTTGGCTGAGGGAGTAGGGTAAGCTCATGATAGTTATGTGGTTTTAAAGACTTTTGTTTTAAAATGTCATCCTCCTCCTTTCTACTTACATTCTGCAGTCTCTTCATTACACGGATGTGCTGTTTTTCAACAATATCATGGTTCCTTTGTAAATCAAATGGAAAGACTTGTCACTCCCTCTGTTTTTTATCCTTAGTTGATTAAATGAAACAACAAGGCATGTAGCACCATCTCTTAACATAATAGATACTCGATTTAGTTACTTTCAGTAGCTTTCTTTGGTTCCTAAGTAAAAGTGTCCATTACGGTAACCTTGGCTGGGCGCAGTGGCTCATGCCTGTAATCCCAGTACTTTGGGAGGCCAAGGCAGGAGGATCACTTGAGGCCAGGAGTTCAAGACCAGCCTGAGGTAACATAGCAAGACCTGGTCTCTACAAAAAAAATAATAATAATTTTTAATTTTGTGGGTACATATTAGGTGTATATATTTACGGGATGCATGAGATTTTGATACAGGCATGTAATGCCTAATAATGACATCATGAAACATGGGGTATTCATCCCCTTCAAGCATTTATCCTTTTTGTGTTACAAACAATCCAGTTATGTTCTTGTAGTTATTTTTATATGTACAGTTAAGTTATTTTGACTATAGTCACCCTGTTGTGCCATCAAATAGTAGGTCTTATTCATTCTTTCTGACTATCCTTTTTGTACCCATTAATTATCGTCACCCTCCTCCTGCCCTGTTCCCCCCACTACCCTTCCCACCCTCTGGTAACCATCCTCCTACAGTCTATCTCCTTGAGTTCAGTTGTTTTTATTTTTAGATCCCACAAATAAATGAGAACATGCAATGTGTGTCTTTCTGTGCCTGGCTTATTTCACTTGACGTAATGACCTCCAGTTCTGTCCACGTTGTTGGAAATGACAGGATTTCGTTCTTTTATATGGTTGAATAGTACTCCATTGTATATATGTACCACATTTTCTTTATCCATTCGTCTGTTGATGGACACTTAGCTTATTTCCAAATCTTGACTATCGTGAACATTGCTGCAAAAAATATGGGAGTGCAGATACCTCTTTGATATACCGTTTTCCTTTCTTTTGGGTATATACCCAACAGTGGGATTGCTGGATAATATGGTAGCTCTATTTTTTGTGTTTTTTTTAGAATCCTCCAAACTATTCTCCATAGTGGTTGTACTAATTTACATTCCCACCAACAGTGTATAAACATTTCCTTTTCTCCACAGTGTTTGAGGGTTCCCTTTTCTCCACTCCTCACCAGCATTTGTTATTGCCTGTCATTTAGATAAAAGCCAAAAATATTTTTTTTTAATTAGCCAGGTGTGGTAGAGGCTGTGGTGGGAGGATCACTTGAACCCAGCAGTTCAAGGCTGTAGTAAGCCATGATTGCACCACTGAACTCTAGCCTGAGTGACAGAGGGAGACCTTGTCTCTAAAAAAAAAAAAAAAAAAGAAGAAAGAAAGAAAGAAAAGTAAAAGGTAATCATGCCTAGTCTATACTCCTGCTCTCTCATCCCATATGTGAATTATTTACATTACTGGAAATGAGTGAAGGACTGAGCAGTGGAAATAAGTTTTGTTTATTCTTGATTCCATATTAACCTTAAGAGATGTGACTTACCTCATTGTTTTGATGTTCTTAGCTTTATGTAACATCGTTTATGGTTTGTGAAAGGTACTTCTGGGATGCCTTGGTACTTCTGCCTTATGGTGGTATTTTATTTGTAGGTCAGCATTGCTTGTCCTGAGAGGATGGAACCGATCACGAAGATCTCCCACATCCCACCCAGTCGGTGGGCCTTAGTCTGCAACTTGTGCAAGTTGAAGACGGGGGCTTGTATTCAGGTAAGTCCCCATGAGAAGTGGTAGAGTGGGCTAACACCAAATTAGCTGGACTCACCCTCCCAGTGAGAGTGTCCTGTCGACTGAAAGGTCACTCAGGAGATCGCCCACCCACTCTTAGGGCTCTGCCATTGTACGGACCATTTCTGGAAATCCCTTTTTTGGATATTGCCTCTGGACCATTCAGCTTATTCTTTTCAATATTCGTAGTGATAGTTTATCTTCATCCTTTGCTGTCAGAGCTGATGAATTAAGTGAGTTCTAAAGCTAGTTGATACCATCCTGGGTGGAAATCGGCTATAATTCTGAAACAACCAGGCCCATGTTCTTTTTTTTTTTTTTAATTTCAACTTTTATTTTCAATTTTGGGGTTACATGTGCACATTTGTTACATGGGTATATTGTGTAATGCTGAGGTTTGAAATACATTTGGTTGTATCACCCATATAGTGAGCATAGTAAGTACCCAATAGGTAGTTTTTTAACCCTTGTACTCTCCCTCCTCCCTCTAGTAATCCCCACTGTCTATTTTTCCTGTCTTTATGTCTGTGTATACCCACTGTTTAGCTCCCGTTTGTAAGTGAGAACATGTGGTATTTGGTTTTCTGTTTCTGAATTAATTTGCTTAGAATAATGGCCTCCAGCTGCACCCATGTTGCTGCAAAGGACATGATTTCTTTTTTTGTTTTTTCTGTCTTTCCAACTTTTATTTTCTGTTCAAGGGTACATGTCCAGGTTTGTTACATGGGTAAATTGTGTGTTGCAGAGGTTTGGTGTACAGATAATTTTCTCACCCAGGTAATCAGCATAATACCCAACAGGTAGTTTTTCAATCCTAACCCTCAAGTAGGCCCCAATGTCTGTTGTTCCCTTCTTTGTGTCCATGCCTACTCAATGTTTAGCTCCACTTATAAGTGAGAACATGCAGTATATGGTTTTCTGCAATTAGGGGAGACGTGGATGGGATTGGGAAGGGCCAGTTACCTCCAGCAAAGGCACAAAGGTTGCTTTCTCTTTCCATGTTATTTCTCCTTCTATCCCAAATGTAATAAGATGGCTCTTCTGGCTAGAGGGATGGAAGGGCTGACCTTTCACCTCTCAGACCTCCTACATGTGAACTGCAAGCTGGTTGGAGTTATATTTGCCTGCCGACCTTCTTTGGTGAAGAGGGGACATTGCACAGTGCAGGGGTCCGCAACCTGCCACAGACAGGTACTGGTCCATGGCCTGTTAGGAACCGGGCCGCACAGCAGGAGATAAGTGGTGAGCAAGTGAGCATTACCACTTGAACTCCGCCTCCTGTCAGATCAGCAGTGGCATTAGATTCTCATAGGAGTGTGAACCGTGTTGTGAACTGCGCATGCGAGGGATCTAGGTTGAGCACTCCTTATGAGAATGTAATGCCTGATGATCTGTCACCGTCTCCCATCACCCCCAGATGGGATCGTCTAGTTGCAGGAAAACAAGCTCAGGGCTCCCACTGATTCTACATTATGGTGAGTTGTATAGTTATTTCATTATATATTACAATGTAATAATAATAGAAATAAAGTGTACAATAAATGTAATGTGCTTGAATCATCCCAAAACCATCTCCCTCCAGTCCATGGAAAAATTATCTTTCACAAAACTGGTCCCTGGTGCCAAAAAGGCTGGGGACCACTGGCTTTAGGGATAATGACTCTAGGTGCTTTGTGACATTTCTTGCTGTCTGGCATGATAATATTTTCCAGGCTTATCGTGTAGATTTCTTGCTCTAGACCTGGGATTAGCTATTCTTCCAAGGAACCCAGGGTCTTTTACTGGGAAGTTGTAATTGAAGAACACAATCTGGACCCCCAAAGGCCCTTTTAATTTTTTGAATTCATTCTTATATTTGACAGAATTGGCTACTTCTTCTTTTTTTTAACCTTTCTTGGATGATTTTATTTATTTTAACTATGGCACTTTAAAAATCATAAAGGAAAAATATTTAAAGGAAAACTCTTTCCATGGAGACTACTACCCTAGGACATTGCCTGTGTGTTTATCTAAGCTCTCTCCTGGTTGCTGCCCATGTGTGAGTCCCTTGAGGGCCAAGATTGTGCATCATTTTTCTGTGAATTTCCCTGGCACAAAGTAGAGAGCCTGCCCATTGTTAGTACTTAATTATGGTTTATCAAATAAATACATTCATGTTTTATTGTACCATGGATTCATTTGTGATATGCATTTCCCCCTCTAAAAATAATATATTTTTCATTTTTCAGTTATTGGTCATTTTATAGTAGCACATTGGATTTATATCCAGTAACTTATTTTCTTTATTGTGGTCACTGTAGTTTCCCCCATTTTTGCTTTTGTTGTGGGACAGGGTCTCACTCTGTCACCTAGGCTGGAGTGCAGTGACACAATCATAGCTCACTGCAGCCTTGAACTCCCGGGCTCAAATGATCCTCCCGAGTAGCTGATACCACAGGTACACGCCACTACACCTGGCTCATTTAAAAAATTTTTTTTTTGTAGAGACAGGATTTCGCTGTGTTGTCCAGGCTGGTCTCGAACTCCTGGCCTCAAGTGAGCCTCCTGCCTTGGCCTTCCAATCCAAAGTGCTGGGATTACAGGCATGAGCACTGTGCTCTTTTTTTTTTTTGGTCCGAGTCTCTCCTTGTTGCCCAGGCTTGAGTGCAATGGCGCAATCTCAGCTCACTGCAACCTCTGCCTCCTGGGTTCAAGTGATTCCCCTGCCTCAGCCTCCCAAGTAGCTGGGATTACAGGCACACACCACCACACCCAGCTAATTTTTTGTATCTTTAGTAGAGATGAGATTTCACCATGTTGGCCAGGCTGGTCTCGAACCTCAGGTGATCCACTCGCCTTGGCCTCCCAAAGTGCTGGGATTACAGGCATGAGCCACCACACCTGGCCTTTTTTTTTCTTTTCTTTCTTTTTTTCTTTTTTTTTTAAAGAGAGACAGAGCCTTGCTTTGTCACTTAGGCTGGAGTGCAGTGGTGAGATCATAGCTCACTATAACCTTGAACTTCTGAGCTCAAGCAATCCTTCCACCTCAGTCTCCCAAGTAGCTAGGTCTGTAGGCACATGCCACCATGGCTGGCTAATTTTTTTGTTTTGTAGAGATAGGGTCTTGCTGTGTTGCCCAGGCTTATTTTTTTCTACAATAATTAGTAATTGGCAATAAGACTTTGGTGAGAGAAAATATTGGCCTTGACCTTAACAGACCTGGATTTGTATTACAGCCCTGATGTACCACATTCTGCCACTATTATGGTTATTTATCTATGAGTTTTATCTGCCCTAGTAGACTGTAAACTTAGACTTTCATCCTTAGATCCCCTATACCCGAATCTAGTAGACAGACAATTAATAGATTGATGGATGGATGATGGATGAACAGTTTGAGAGATGAAACATTCTGGTGTAAGTTTCTCATTTGCAGAGCAATGATTCTTACTTTCATTACTTGAGTTCAGCTTCTTTATTTTATAAAGGTCTTACCAAATTGAGACTCTTACAATTTTGATTATAAGGAATTTCATTACAGAGACTCCTCTGCATGAGGAAAGGGGAGGAAACGTAGAAAGGACTTTGTCATACAGCTTGGGTGCCAGCTCAGCCACAGTAGAAGAAAGCATCAGATAAGATTCCTAAGGTTCTTGACTCCAGGCCTTGGGTCCCAGATAGTATCTCTGGACCCACCCAAGGCCAGGAGGAATTCGCCACCCTGAAAGGAAGGACACAAGCCTTGCTGGATTTGCCACCTACTGATTGTAGAGCCCTTGGGATGTGAACGAACATAGGTAGTAGCCAGGCAGTGATCACTGCAGGCCTTGGGCGAGACCCAATGCTGTGCTGGCTTTAGATCTGACTGGGTGCAGTCCCAGTGGTGGTGGCCATAGGGGTGCTTGTATTAGCCCTCCTCCATCTCCAGGCAACTCAGCACAGAGAGAGACTTCATTTGTTTAGAGGGAAGTAAGGGAGAAGAACAAGAATCTCTGCCTGTTAATCCAGGGAGTTCTTCCAGATATTACCCAGTAACACCAACGTAGTATATCTACAAGTCTGCAAGAGCCATGGCATTACTAGGCTTGCAGTGCCTCCTAAAGCAGATATGGCCGTAGTGACCAAAGACTTAGATCACAACACCCAAGTCCCTCTGAATACCTGGAAAGTCTTCCGAAGAAGGATGGATACAAACAAGCCCAGACTGCAAAGACTACAATAAATGCTGACTCTTCAATGCCCAGACACTGATGAACATCCACAAGCATCAAGACCATCCAGGAAAACATGACCTCACAAAATGAACTAAATAAGGCAACAGTGATTAATCCTGGAGAGACAGATATATAACCTTTCAGATGGAAAATTCAATGTAGCTATTTTGAGGAAGCTCAGCAAAATCCAAGATAACACAGAGAAGGAATTCAGAATCCCATCAGGTAAATTTAACAAAGACATTGAAGTAATGGAAAAGAGGCTGGGTGCAGTGGCTCACGCCTGTAATCCCAGCACTTTGGGAGGCCAAGGCGGGTGGATCGCAAGGTCAGGAGATTGAGACCATCCTGGCTAACATGGTGAAACCCCGTCTCTACTAAAAATACAAAAAATTAGCCAGGTGTGGTGGTGGGCGCCTGTAGTCCCAGCTACCCGGGAGGCTGAGGCAGGAGAATAGTGTGAACCTGGGAGGCGGAGCTTGCAGTGAGCCAAGATCATGCCACTGCACTCCAGCCTGGGCGACAGAGTGAGACTCTGTTTCAAAAAAAAAAAAAAAAGAAAGAAATAATGGAAAAGAATCAAGCAGAAATTCTGGAGCTGAAAAATGCAATTGACAGACTGAAGAATACATCAGAGTCTCTTAACAGCAGACTTAAGCAGAAGAATTAGTGAGCCTGAAGACAAGCTATTTGAAAATGCACAATGAGAGGTGACAAAAGGAAAAAGAATGAAGCATGCCTACAAGATGTAGAAAATAGCCTCAGAAGGGCAAATCTAAGAATGACTGGCCTTAAAGAGGAGGTAGAGAGAGAGATCAGAGTAGAAAGTTTATTCAAAGGGATAATAACAGAGAACTTCCCAAATGTAGAGAAATGTATATCAATATTCAAGTACAAGAAGATTATAAAACATCAAGCATATTTAACTGAAATAAGACTACCTCAAGACATGTAATAATCAAACTCCCAAAGGTCAAGGATAAAGAAAGGACCCTAAAAACAGCAAGAGAAAAGAAACAAATAACATACAATGGAGCTCCAATACATCTAGCAGCAGACTTTTCATTGGAAACCTTACAGGCCAGGAGAGAGTGGCATGACATATTAAAAGTTTTGAAGGAGAAAAACTTTTATCCTAGAATAGTATATCCAGTGAAAATATCATTCAAACGTGAAGGAGAAATAAGGACTTTCCCAAATAAACAAAAGCTGAGGGATTTCATCAACACCAGGCCTGTCCTACAAAAAATGTTAAAGGGAGTTCTTCAGTCTTGAAAGAAAAGGATGTTAATGGCAATAAGAAATCATCTGAAGGTGCAAAACTCACTGGTAATAGTACACAGAAAAACATGGAATATTATAATATTGTAATTGTGGTATGAAAACTCCTATCTTGAATAGAAAGACTAAAAGATTAGCCAGTCAAAAATAATAATTACAACAACTTTTGAAGACATGGACAGTATAATAAGATGTAAGTAGAAACAGCAAAAAGTTAAGGGGATGAAGTTGAAGTGTAGAGTTTTTGTTTTCTCCTTGCTTCTTTGTTAATTTGTTTATGCAATCAGTGTTAAGTTGTCATCAGTTTAAAATAATGGGTTATAAGATATTATCCGCAAGGCCCATGGTAAACCTCAAATCAAAAACATACAACAGATACACACAAAAATAAAAAGCAAGAAGTTAAGACATACCACCTGAGAATATCACCTTCACTAAAAGGAAGACAAGAACAAAAGAAGGAAGGAAGAAAAGACCACAAGACAACCAGAAAACAAATAAAATGGCAGGAATAAGTCCTTACTTATCAATAACATTGAATGTAAATGGACAAAACTCTCCAAAAGACACAGAGTGGCTGAATCAATACAAAAAACAAGGCCCAATGATCTGTTGCTTACAGGAAACATGCTTCACTATACATACACATATAGGCTGAAAATAAAGGGATGGAAAAATATATTCCATGCAAATGGAAATCAAAAAGCAGGAGTAGCTATACTTAATAGAAAAAAACTATAAAAGGAGACAAAAAGATCATTATATAATGATAAAGGATTCAGTTCAGCAAGAAGATAGAACAGTTGTAAATATATATACACCCAATTCTGGAGCAACCAGAAATATAAAGCAAATATTATTAGAGTTAAAGAGATAGACCTCAATAAAATAATAGCTAGAGACTTTAATACCTTGCTTTCAGCATTGGACAAATCATCCAGATAAAAAATGAAGTATCAGACTTAATCTGTACTGTAGACCAAATCAACCAAGTAGATATTTACAGAACATTTCATCCAACAGCTGCAGAATATACATTCTTCTCCTCAGCACATGGAGTATTCTCAAGGATAGACCATGTGTCAGGTGCCAAAACAAGTCTTAAAATAATTTTTAAAAATTGAAATCATCAATTATCTTCTCTGGCCACAGTGGAATAAAACTAGAAATCAATAACGAAGAATTTTGGAAACTATACAAACACTTAGAAATTAAACAACATGCTCCTGAACGACCAGTAGGTCAATGAAGGAATTAAGAAGAAAATTTAAAACTGTCTTGAAACAAAAAAAAAAAAATGGGAACACAACATACCAAAACCTATGGGATATAGCAAAAGCAGTACTAAGAGGAAAGTTTATAACAATAAGCATGTATATCAAAAAAGTAGAAAAACTTCAACCTTATGATGCATCTTAAAGAACTAGAAAAACGAGCAAACAAAACCCTAAATTAGTAGAAGAAAGGAAATATAAAGATCAGAGCAGAAATAAGTGAAGTTGAAATGGAAAAAAAAGATCAACAAAACAAAAAGTTGGTTTTTTGAAAAGATAAAATCACCAAACCTTTAGCCCAACTCACTGAGAAAAAAAAAGAGAGAAACCCCAAATAAATAAAATCAGAGATGAAAAAGGAGACATTGCTACTGATACTGCAGAAATTCAAAGGATCATTAGAGGCTGCTATGAGCAACTATATATGCCAACAAACTGGAAAACCTAGAAGAAGTGAACAGATTCCTAGACACATACAACCTACCAAGATTGAACCATGATGAAATTTAAAATCTGAACGGACCAGTAACAGATGGTGAGATTGAAGTCGTTATAAAAAGTTTCCCTTCAAAGAAAATCCTGGGACCCAGTGGCTTCTCTACTGAATTTTACAAAACATTTAAAGAAGAACTAGTACCAGTGTTACTCAAACTATTCCAAAAAATAGAAGAGAAGGGAATACTTTTAAACTCATTCTACAAAGCCAGTATTACCCTGATACCAAAATCAGACAAAGACACATCAAAAAAAGAAAACTACAGGCCAGTATTCTGGATGAACATTGATGCAGAAATCCTCAACAAAGTACTGGAACACCAAATTTAACAATACTTTGAAAAGATCATTCACCATGACCAGTTTATTGAGGGTTTTTATCATGAAGGATGTTGAATTTTATCAAATGCTTTTTCAGCATCAGTTGAAACGATCATACGGTTTTTGTCCCTCATGCTGAAGATACGATTTTTCACACTGCTTGATTTGCATATGTTGAGCCATCCTTGCATCCCTAGGATAAATCCCACTTGGTCATGATGAATGATTGTTTTAAAATAACTAAAAGGGTATAATTGGATTGTTTGTAACATAAAGGATAAATGCTTGAGGTGTGGGATAGAAATTGAATAACATAGAGTGGCTAGAATAAAAATCTTGAAAAAGAACACCAGAGACTGATTTAGGAATTAAGGCATATCATTCCTCTTTGAAGAAACTTTGGGTTGGATGCAGTGGCTCATACCTAAAATCCCAGTGCTTTGGGAGCCCGAGGCAAGAGGATTGTTTAAAGCCAGAAGTTCAAGATAAGCCTGGGCACGGAAACTCTTCTTATAAATGTGGATTTGTAAAAGGTAGCATTTTTCCTCTAGTGAAAGCATTTGAAAAAGTATTTTTCTTCTACAATTCCTGAAGAATATGTAGAAAATTGTTTTTCCAGCTGGGCACGGTTGCTCATGCCTGTAATCCCAGCACTTCGGGAGGCCAAGGTGAGCAGATCACCTGAGGCCAGGAGTTCAAGACCAGCCTGACCAACTTGATGAAACTCCGTCTCTACTAAAAATACAAAAAGTAGTTGGGCATGGTGGCATGTGCCTGTAATCCCAGCTACTTGGGAGGCTGAGACAGGAGAATCGCTTGAACCCAGGAGAGGCAGAGGTTGCGGTGAGCCGAGATCGCACCATTGCACTCCAGCCTGGGCAACAAGAGCGAAACTCCATTACAAAAAAAAAAAAAAAGTAAATAAACCACAGTGAGATACCATTTCATACCTACTAGGGTGGCAGTAATAAGAAAGGCAAACAATCAAGGATGTGGGAAAATTGGAACCCTCATGCATTGTTGGTGGAAGTAAAAACGATGCAGCTGCTGTGAAAAAAGTTTGGCAGCTCCTCAAAATGTTAAACATAGAGTTACCTTATAAACCAGTAATTCTACTCCTAAGTATATACTGCAGTTTAAGAGATCACCAAGACCATTCTCAGGTTCAGTAATTCACTAGAAGGACTCACAGAACTCAGAAGAACAGTTATACTCACAGTTATAGTTTATTATAGTGAAAAGATACAGATTTAAAATTAGCCAAGGATAGAGGCACATAAGGCATGGTCCAGGAGAGACCTGGAATGCAGCTTCCAGTTACCCCTGCCAGTGGAGTGGTGCAGATAGTGCTTATTTCTCCCAGCAGCAATGTATAATACACATAGAGTATTGCTAGCCAGGAAAGCTCACCCTTGGTGTTCAGCGATTTTATTGAGAGTTGGCCACGTAGGCATTGCTCACCATCCACGTGGCTGATGTTACTCTCCAGTCCCTCCAGAGGTCAGGCTGATAGAAGGTGCCCCAAAGTCTCTACCATAAATCACATCGTTAGCATAGACTATCTCACTTGGCCCAAGGACCCAAGGTAAACAAAGACACTCTTATCAGGCAGGACATTCCAGGGGCTTAAAGGTTACTTCTAAGGAGCTAAAGACAAACAGCCAAACTTTTTTTTTAGACAAGGTTATCCTTTACCGCACAATACCCAAGAGAAACAAAAACATATATCCACACAAAAACTGCTGCATGAATTTTCATAGCACCATTATTTCATAACAGACAAAAAGTTAAAACAACCCAAATGTCCATCAACTCGATGAAATGGGGTATATCCATACAATTATTTTTTGCCCATAAAAAGGAATGAAGTTCTAATACATGCTACAACATAGAGGAACCTGAAGAACATGCTAAGTGAAAGAAGCCAGACTCACACAGCCACATATTGTTGTAATTCCACTTATATGAAATGTCCAGAATAGGCACATCAATAGAGACAGAAAGTAGATTAGTAGTTGCTTGGGGCTGGAGTTGGTAACAGGGAGTAACTACAAATGGACACAAGATTTGGGGTTGGTGGTGATGAAAATATCCTGGGATTAGGTAGTGGCAATGGTTGCATGACTGTAAATATATTGAAAACCATTGAAATGTACACATTAAACTGGTGAACTTTATGGTATATAAAATATATCTTAATAAAGCTATTTCTGTCATTTCAGTGAATGAATATAATGACCATGCTGTAATGCACGTAGTAAAGTGTTTAAAGACACATGTATAAAAGATGCTTTGTACAAGTGCTATTTGCTTGCCACAATGAGAACAGTGCTATCTCAATTTTTTATTTTAAATTTGTAAAGATAAAAATATTTTTTAAATGGGCATAATAAAACCTCTCTATCACCTTCCGTGGTTACAGTGGAAATAAGTGAGATGTATGCAAAGGCATTTTGTTTAATAGAATGCGCCAGACATATGTTTTAGAAGAAAACAAATAGGTATCTGGTATCTGACTGGCACCTTTCTTCTTCTTTTTTTTTTTTTTTTTTTTCCCTGAGACTGAGTCTTGCTCTGTCGCCCAGGCTGGAGTGCAGTGGCGCGATCTCGGCTCACTGCAACCTCCACCTCCCAGGTTCAAGCAATTCTCTGCCTCAGCCTCCTGAGTAGCTGGGATTACAGGTGCCCGCCTGTAATTTTTAGTAGGGATGGGGTTTCACCATCTTGGCCAGGCTGGTCTTGAACTCCTGACCCATGATCCAACTGCCTCAGCCTCCCAAAATGCTGGGATTATAGGCGTGAGCCACCGCGCCCAACCCTTTTTTTTTTTCAGGGTCTCACTCCTATCGCCCAGGCCGGAGTGCAGTGGCACAATCACGGCTCACTGCAGCCTCAACTTCCCAGGCTCCCACCTCAGCCTCCCTAGTAGCTGAGACCACAGGTGTGCACCACCACACCCAGCTAATTTTTGTATTTTTTGTAGAGACAGGGTTTCGTCATGTTTCCCAGGCTGGTCTTGAACTCCTGGACTGTAACAGTCCTTGCGTCTTGGCCTCCCAAAGTGCTGGGATTATAGGCGTGAGCCACTGCGCCTGGCTCTTCTTCTTCTTTTTTTTTTTTTTTTTTTTTTTTGAGAGGGAGTCTCGCCCTGTCGTCCAGGCTGGAGTGCAATGGCGCGATCTTGGCTCACTGCAACCTCTGCCTCCTGGGTTCAAGCAATTCTCCTGCCTCAGCCTCCCAAGTAGCTGGGATTACAGGCGTGTGTCACTGCACCCGGCACTCTTCTTCTTTTTTTTAATGGTAATATTATTGTACGTTTTTTGTTGTTTTACAGTCTAGCTGGAGTGCAGTGGCACAATCGTGGCTCCTTTTAGCCTCGACCTCCTGAGCTCAAGTAATCCTCCCACCTCAGCCTTCCGAGTACCACAGGCGTGCACCACCACACTCTGCTAGTTTTTTTATTTTTATTAGAGACGAGGTCTCACTATGTTACCCAGGCTGGTCTCAAACCTTTGAGCTCAAGCGATCCTCTTGCCTCAGCCTCCCAAGGTGCTGGGATTATAGGCATGAGCCACCATGCTCAGCCCAAGTTTTATCTTTTAAATTGCAATTTTTATTAACACATTGTAGTTGTACATATTTGTGGGGTATAATTTGATGTCTTTATATATGTTGTATAGTCAAATCAGGATATTTAGCATATCTGTCATCTCATGCGTTTATCATTTGTTTATGGTGAGAACATTCAAAAGCCTCTCTTCTAGCTATTTTGTAAAATATAATACCCTTCTGTTAACTGTCGTCACCCTGTGCAATGGAACACCAGAACTTATTCCTCCCAATTATAACTTCGTACCCATTGACCAGCATTTTTCACCACCAAAATATATAGATCTCCAGCTATAAATACCACAGAATTACCTTTTTTTGAAAAGAGTTGGATTTTATGGCAGTTTCCTAAAAGGTATTATATTTTTCATATAAGTACCCAATTCTTACCTATGCATTATCTTTTATTTTGAGTAATTTATGTTTATATTTGTCTCTACATTCTATAAACATTCTATAAATTTGACCTGAGAAGATCTGTTTTTAGCTTCCCAATAATAGTAGTTTGATGTCACTTACTCATTCCCTTGAATAGAAAATCATTTGCTTTTTCTTCCCATATCTTTAACAGTTATTAAACAGCAAAAGAGTACTGTGCCCAACACTTTAAATCTTTTACTAAAGAATACCTTTTACTTTGTTTTTCAAACGTCTGACTAGTTTCTTAGCCAAGTGATAACAAAAGGTACCCAGGTAAAAGTACATCTTGAACTTTCATCATCCTCATTTTCGAGAGGCTTCAGTGTAATATAACAAACTTTTCTGATAGTGGTGTTAAAAGCCGGGGTGGACCATCTTAGGAGCTTCTTATCTGGAAGAATTCAGTAAGTGGCTAGATTACCACTTAATTGGAAAGTGGAGGGGGAGGTGTATAGAGTGGGGGATGGAGGCAGAAAATCAGGTACTCTCGAGGAAATTCAAGCAATAATAAATGTAAGGCTGGATTAGATGATCTTAGAATTATATTTCATCCCTGGAATTCTTTATCATATGAAATTAGTTTAAATGAAATATGGAATATGCCCCTTTAAAACTTTGACAGTTGCCAGTATCCTCTTAGGTGTTGAATTTCTCAATCTAAGATGATCTATTGGGCCTTTGCATTCTTTTTGTCTTTATTCATATGTAAGAATTAACACTTGGCTTTAACCATAAGAATTCCCAATATTTCCTTAGAAACGAATCTTCCCTTACTTTCCCCACTTCCTCTACATAAACACATAGATGCACTCATGCATTTTAAATCTTTGGGCAGCAGGGTGCAGTGGCTCATGCCTGTAATCCCAGCACTTTGGGAGGCCAAGGTGGGCGGATAACTTGAGGCCAGGAGTTCAAGACCAGACCAGCCTGGCCAACATGGTGAAACCCCGTCTCTACTATAAATACAAAAATTAGCCAGGCATGGTGGTGCACACCTGTAGTCCCAGCTACTCGGGAGGCTGAGGCAAGAGAATCGATTGAACCCAGGAGGCAGAGGTTACAGTGAGCCGAGATCACGCCACTGCACTCCAGCCTGGGCAACAGAGTGAGACTCTGTCTCCCAAAAAAAAAAAATTAGGCCTGGCACAGTGGCTTATGCCTGTAATCCCAGCACTTTGGGAGGCCGAGGTGGGCAGATCATTTGAGGTCAGGAGTTTGAGACCAGCCTGGCTAATTGGTGAAACCCCGTCTCTACTAAAATACAAAAATTAGCAGGACTTGGTGGCGCACGCCTATAATCCCAGCTACTCACAAGGCTAAGGTGGGAGGATCACTTGAGCCTGGGAGGCAGAGGTTGCAGCGAGCCAAAATCGCGCCACTGCACTCCAGCCTGGGCAACAGAGTGAGACCCAGTCTCAATCAATCAGTCAGTCTTTGGAAGGAAAGCTGTAACATTGTAACCATAACAAATAGTAATTAAGGCTAACTGAAGCACAGGAGTATAGTAGTCATGGGCCAGGTCCTTCCCCCTTTGCCCCCCCCTATGAATAGTCAGTACATACTGCATAGTAATGCTTAATAAATGTGTTAAATCTATGACTGAATGGCAGAATATTATAAACTTAATTTCAGATTGTCTGTAACCATATTGTTCAATAGAACTTTCCACAGTGGGCCAGGCACAGTGGCTCACACCTGTAATCCCAGCACTTTGGCATGCTGAGGCGGGCGGATCACCTGAGGCCAAGCATTCGAGACCAGGCTGGCCAACATAGTGAAACCCTGTCTCTACCAAAAATACAAAAAAATTAGCCAGGTGTGGTGGCAGGCACGTGTAGTCCCAGCTACTTGGGAGGCTGAGGCAGGAGAATCACTTGAACCCTGGAGGTGGAGGTTGCAATGAGCCGAGATTGTGCCACTGCCCTCCAGCCTCAGCAACAGAGTGAGACTCTGTCTCAAAAAAAAAAAAAAAAAAAAAAAAAACTTTCCACAGTGATGGAAATGTTTTATGTCTGTGCTGTCTAGTGTAGTTAAAATGTGGCTACTGTGACTGAGAAACTAAATTTTTTAATTATACATAATTTTAATTAAATTTAAGGCTAAGCGCAGTGGCTCACACCTGTAATCCCAGCACTTTGGGAGGCTAAGGCAGTCAAATCACTTGAGGTCAGGAGTTTGAGACCAGCCTGACCAACATAGTGAAACCCCATCTCTACTAAAAATACAAAAATTAGCCGGGCATGGTGGCACATGCCTGTAATCCCAGCTACTCGGGAGGCTGAGGCAGGAGAATTGCTTGAACCTGGGAGGCAGAGGTTGCAGTGAGCCGAGATTGCACCACTGCACTCCAGCCTGGGTGACAAAGTGAGACACCGTCTAAAAAAATTTTTTTAAAAAATGAAATAGCCACTCATGGCTACTTGGCCACCAAGTTGGACAGCTCAGTTCTATAACAACAATTTCACGGGGCATGGTGGCTCACACCTGTAATCCCAACGCTTTAGGAGGCTGAGGCTGGTGGATCACTTGAGCCCAGGAGTTCAAGACCAGCCTGAGCAACATAGATTCTCTATTTTTAAATATTTTAAAAAATTCTTTTTGAGATAGGTTCTCACTCTGTTGCCCAGGCTGGAGTACATTGGTGTGATCTCGGCTCACTGCAGCTTGGACCTCCCGGGTTCAGGCAATTCTCATGCCTCAGCCTCCCAAGTAGCTGGGACTACAGACATGCACCACCATGCCCAGAAAGCTTTTGTATTTTTAGTAGAGACAGGGTTTCGCCATGTTGCCCAAGCTGGTCTCGAACTCCTGGCCTCAAGTGATCCACCTGCCTTGGCCTCCCAAAGTGCTGGGATCACAGGCGTAAGCCACTGTGCTCTGGCCTAAAATTTTTATGTTTAAAAAAAAAATTCAAGAAGTTAGGTTACTTAGATATTGGAATTCCTATGACTTTTTTAGAACCAGTGGATGCTCTAGCAATAATACTCACTTTGTGTGTTTTCTTTTGTTTGTTTAGAAACATTTTCTGAGCAACTGCTTCTTCAATAGTTAATGACGATGCAAAATGAAAGACACAGCTTCTGTTTTTAAGATCTATCCCTAAGGACTTGACAATTGTTATAGGTACAGTGTGAAAAGTACCATTTTAAAAGCATTCATAGGGTGATGTGGGAGACACAGAGAAGAGACTACATGACTGTTTACAGGAGCCCAGGAAAGCATCTCAGAAAACTTGATGCTTGAATGCTTGAGCTGAAACCTCAAAAGGAGTGTTTGAATTATTTTTGGCCTCTGTGTTTGCTGTTTTCTGTAAGAACAGGTTTCTTGGGTTACTTGTAAAGCATCTGTTATGGTCAGTTTAGGACTAACTTTCTCCCGGTCTTTCTTTTGCTTCCTACAAGCTATCAATTTAGGTCCAGAAACATAGGTCTCTCCCTTTTCCTCCAACTCTGCTACCTTGACACCTATTTTCTTCCTACAGTGCTCTATAAAAAGCTGCATCACTGCCTTCCACGTCACCTGTGCCTTTGAGCACGGCCTAGAGATGAAGACCATCCTAGATGAGGGAGACGAAGTGAAGTTCAAGTCATATTGCCTCAAGCATAGCCAAAACAGGCAGAAACTTGGAGAAGCTGAGTACCCCCACCACAGGGCTAAAGAGCAGAGCCAGGCCAAAAGTGAGAAAACCAGCCTGCGGGCACAGAAGCTTCGGGAGCTGGAGGAGGAGTTCTATTCCTTGGTACGAGTGGAAGATGTGGCCGCAGAGCTGGGTATGCCCACGCTAGCTGTGGACTTTATCTATAACTACTGGAAACTGAAGCGGAAAAGTAACTTCAATAAGCCATTATTTCCTCCAAAGGAGGATGAAGAAAATGGGCTGGTGCAGCCAAAAGAGGAAAGCATTCACACTCGAATGAGAATGTTTATGCATCTACGCCAGGACCTGGAGAGGGTAAGGTGACCAGCTGTGACTAGTATATAGGCCTCGGTCTGTGTAGAAATGGAGGTCCCACTTCTGGTTTAATAATGGTCAGTCAGCTCATAATAGTGTGGGCTTCTGTGTCCTTGCTTATCTTCTGATCTCTTTATGGCCCCAGACATTGGGCTCTGTGTAAATTCTGACAGGCACATCCAGGGGATTTGGGAGGCCTCGGGTATATGCTCTATGAACTTTACATTTGAAATAAACTCTCATTTGGTTTACTTTTTATTCACTGTTGAGCCTAAATTGGCCCATCCATATTTTACTGACATATTTATGAGACTTTAGGCTGAAGAAAGAGTGAATTTTGTTCAGGAAAACACCAAATTAGAGTTTCACAAACTTGGCACTGTTGACATTTTGGACTGGATAGTTGTTTGTTGTTAGGGGGCTGTCCTTTGTTGTAGGGGCAATTTAAGATGTTTACCAGCATCCCTGGCCTCTACCCACTAGATGCCAGTAGCACCCGCACACACACCCCCAGCGTGACAACCAAAAATGTCTGCAAATTACCAAATTTGCTCTCCAGTTGAGAGCCACTCCACATGATAATTCAATATAACTCATGGTATATTTATCAGGTATCTACTAAATGAGATACTGCAGGGCTTCAAAGGTAAGTTAAGCCCTGTGTTTATCCTAGAGAATTTTCTAATTAAATGTAAATCTATAAATGGCTTGTGTTTTTTTTTCTCTGCTACCAGAATTTGAAAGAGAACTAATAGATTTGGCTCACTTTTAAAAATTTAAGACACTCACATATAGCACCTACTATTACTATTATTGCCAACACTGTCCTAAGCATTTTATAAATATTAATTCATTTAATTCTAACATGCCCATGAAAAACTATTATTATCATCATCACTATTTACAGATGAACAAACTGGGGCAAAGAAAGTTTGTGTAACTTGCCTAGGTAGGGAGTATGAGAGAGAGAGTATTTCACCTTTGTGGCTGTGGAAACTTGGTTGAGCTGAAAGTGTGAGCAAAAAAAACACTTCTAGTCTTCCCAGTGGAACTGTATCCTGCTCGTCCGGCACTGATTAGAAAATTGTACTGGATACAGCCAGCATTGCCATCATTCGTACTCAGGGATCTAAAGGGAAGGCTGAATTGTTAAACCATTATTCAGCTTCCCAACCTGGCTGTGCAAATAAATATCAAGCCCATGACACTGCAAAGAGAGTAGGTTTCAGAAGGCAGATTTGGAGCATTTTGCTTTTACTATTGGTTGATAGATCCCAGAATTGACCATGCTGTGTGAATTCCTGTGGAGTGGGTCTCATTCTGCAGCTCTTGGATTCTGTCTTCTCTCCTCACCCCCACCTGACTTTAGGTCTTTATTTTAGCCAAACAATTTCAGTTGTCAGGTTTGCTTAACATGACAAACATCTCTATTTGTTGGGGATTGGGCTTTCAGGTCCGAAATCTGTGCTATATGATAAGCAGACGAGAGAAGCTGAAGCTGTCACACAACAAAATACAGGAACAGATCTTCGGTTTGCAAGTCCAGCTTCTTAACCAAGAAATTGATGCAGGTAACCTGTATATTTAAAATGTCCTAACAAATATGTAGACTCTGGTTATATCCTATCTTAACAATTTAAATTTCATGCCAGTCATTCCACTTAAAAATCTTTTAAAATTCTTGTCAGATATCTCATTTGCTTCAGTCTAATCTTAATATAACCTGGCCCATTTCACTGTCAGTTCATAAGGCAAGAAATCCCAGGGTGGGGTAGGAGGAGTTGCAGGTCTAGGGCAGGTAATCTAGGTCCCAAACAGATATTCGAGGCCATTAGTGGAAGCCATGAAATTATTCTGTAATTATCAAATTCATTTAGAAATTGACGGGATAGGATCTAACACGTTTCCAGAAAACACTTAATTCTAGGGTTACTCATCTTAACAATAGTCTATTAAAACAAATCCTTAGCCAGAAGTAAGTTTGGAGATCTGAGTTGTTATCTTTTCATTTATTCACTAATATTTGTTGAGCACCTACAGTGGACTAAGAGCTGAGCTACAAGATACAGTAGAAAGCAAGACAAAATCCCTGCCTGTAGGGTACACTGCCCACTTGGTGAGCAAGACAGGTGAGCATAATTATAGTGCCCTAAGCATAGGGAGCTGGGCTGGAATGATGACAGTCATATTCAGTGACACCTGTAAACTCCCTGTGCCTCATTTAACACAGAGGTCAATGGCAGAGCCTGGGCAACTAGGGGTCACTGGACAGGGTGTGCAGAATCAGCTCCTGCCAAGGGAGGGTCAGCCATGGAGCATGAGAGAGACTCAGAAATGAGGTGACAGGTGGGTGTCAGAGGCCTTGGGGTATCTGAGTGTCATGGGTCTCAACAGAGTAGTGTAGCAGGAGGCAGCAAGACTGCTCAGCCACAAAGGGCAACATGACAAGCAAAACAAGGAGAAGCAGAGGACAACAGGGAGAGTCCCTGCATGCCAAGGAAATTGGCTCCTACCCACATGCCTTCTGATGTGTAGGAGTCAACCTCATTATGACTTGCAGCATCAGCAGGTGACAGCTCCTGACAGAGATGGGGGTTGTGGGTGTTCAAGGTGGACCTTTGGGGAACAAATGCTGCCCACTGGGATACCTAAGAGCTGTCCTCTTGATATCTCATTTTTGTGAGGGTACAGTAAGATGGTAATGGGCAAAGGTCAAGTCCATATACAAGGAGGAATTGTTTGATAGTGCTTTTTAAATTTCAAAGTACTTGAAATAATAGAAGAAGACCTGCTCTGACTGTGATTGTAGGATGACTTAACTGAGAAACTGATTGCCGATACTCCCCAACCAATCCTATAGCAGGCTGGTTGGCAGGAATGTTATGATTCTTTTCTGCTGGCCTTACCACTACAAAACCTCCCACCACCATAATGTTCATTTGTAGTCAGGAAATTATTCTAGGTTAAGGATATAAAATTTATGGGAACCACCCAACTATCACCTCTAATGCCAAGTTCAAACACATACATACTCTTCACCCACCAAAACCCTTGCAACGTTTCTGAAGGTTTGTGTTTGCCTTGCTTCAGGAAGGCCAGAAGAGATTAGAGGATGGGGCCTGAAATGTGTGTGTTTAAGACACATACTAAGTGCTGTGCCATACCAACACATGCATGCACAGACACACAAATAGGAAGACCCTATTCTAAACCATTGCTAGAGACATTCTTCTCAGAAATGGAAGGGCAGAGATGGGACGCAGGAGGCAACACACTAGTTTGTGATCATTTTACAGACTGAAAGAGCAGAGGTGAAGAGGTGTGGAGCCATATAGCAAACAGTGGCATTGCTGAGTTCATTCTTGGCCCCAACCTCTAGTTCAGCTCACTCCAGCTGCTACACCATGATATACATACATAGCAGAGCCAGGTGCTTGTTAAACATTTGGAAGAGTAGGTATGTGAACTCACTCTGCCATAAGCACAAAAGCCATTATTTAAATCGGTTGTTAAAACGAATCTTTCTTTTTTATCTCAGGGCTTCCTTTGACAAATGCACTTGAAAACTCACTGTTTTACCCACCACCAAGAATTACCTTGAAGTTAAAAATGCCCAAATCAACCCCAGAAGACCACAGAAACAGCTCCACAGAAACCGATCAGCAGCCCCACTCTCCTGACAGCAGCTCATCTGTTCACAGTATAAGGAACATGCAGGTGCCTCAGGAGTCACTAGAAATGAGAACAAAATCGTATCCGAGATACCCACTAGAGAGCAAGAATAACCGTTTGCTGGCCAGTCTCAGCCATTCTAGGAGTGAAGCAAAGGAGTCCAGTCCTGCTTGGAGAACCCCGTCCTCGGAGTGCTATCATGGGCAGTCACTGGGAAAGCCTCTGGTCCTTCAGGCTGCCCTCCATGGACAGTCTTCCATTGGGAATGGGAAAAGTCAGCCTAACTCCAAGTTTGCCAAATCCAATGGCCTGGAGGGCAGCTGGTCTGGGAATGTCACCCAAAAAGACAGCTCGAGTGAGATGTTCTGTGACCAGGAGCCTGTGTTCAGCCCCCACTTGGTCAGTCAGGGCAGCTTTAGAAAATCCACTGTAGAACACTTTAGTAGGTCCTTTAAAGAGACCACCAATAGGTGGGTGAAGAACACAGAGGACCTCCAGTGCTATGTGAAGCCAACCAAGAATATGAGCCCCAAGGAGCAGTTCTGGGGTAGACAGGTTCTCAGGCGGTCTGCAGGGAGAGCTCCATATCAGGAAAATGATGGCTATTGCCCAGATTTGGAGCTGAGTGATTCAGAGGCAGAAAGTGATGGGAATAAAGAAAAAGTCAGGGTAAGGAAAGATAGCTCAGACAGGGAAAATCCTCCCCATGACTCTAGACGGGATTGCCATGGTAAAAGCAAGACACATCCCCTTTCCCACAGTTCAATGCAAAGGTGATTAGAAACTTCCAAGGATGACCCAACCTTTGCCTTTGCCCCATATATTGGGGAAAACCCATACACCAAAAGGATTTTAGCATATGTTAAGAGGAATTGCAGTGAAAAGGATAACATTTTTCCATAGTAAATTGTCTTGCAGTTTTTGAAAATGTTTCAAGTCTAGTTTTTACAAGCACATTACAGTAATTGCAGGTTGTCCAGAGGTTGGTTTGTCAGAGGCTATTGGGAACAGCTGGGCCCAGGGTATTTGCTCAGTAAATATTTTGGGGCAGCTTTCCGGTTATATAACACATTGACAAGTATATGTATTAAGAGTCCTTGCATTGTTAACTGATTTGCAAGAGACCATGATTATCAGACACTAAAACTACTTATCTTTTGAAGCTACAGCATGTGACTCCCCAGAGCTCCTGTCTGTAGGAAGTTTCTAATTCCACTGGTATCTATAAACCCTTTTCAGGGGAGAGACCAGGAGACCACCATCTTAGATACTGTCAAACTCACTACTGTCTTCCTTTGTTCTGCACAAGGTTGAGTTTCTTTCACAGTATCTTAACTTACTGAGTCAATACTCCTCATGCTTATCAGTGTCCAGTGCCTGTTCCTAAACTTGCTTGTTGGGGACACACTCATAACTATTTCACCTGACTGACAAGCATAAAAGGCTAACTTGTGGATAGTGTTTACAAAAGTACAAAAGTACTACTTCCAAGGAAAATGCTCTGATTCTCTGTTTAGGCATTTGTGAAGGATTCCAGAGCCTTTCCCAAAGTGAGACCATTTCTGGGGTATTTGTACCAGGTCAGGGTTTTTGTGTTGTTTTCAAATAAGTTTGACTAAAATAAGTTTGGCTGACAGTTTTTGTATACCTGCTTTAATGTTTATAAAATTTTTATTGAGGTATAATTAAAATATAGTAAAATGCACAGAGGTTAAGTATTCTTACCTGCTTTAATTTTGAAACAGATTTTTATTGTCAAACAGAATTTGAAAGCATGTGTTTAACACATGGATATAATTTAGCTTTGTGTCACCTTTGAATCTGAGGCAGTTTCCCAAACAAAAAGGCTGGAGCCATTTTTCAGAAGTTGCTTATACCCTGTTCCCAAACTATCAGCCTTGATTAATTTCTAGTAGGAAGAGAATAATTACATTTGCGGGGGGGGGGGTGGATAAAAACATGTCTGCTTCTCATTTAAATAAGAGAGAAATGATGCCGTTTTTTAAATGTGAAGCAGACTATAATTCTCAGCTCTCTTTTCTTCTTAGCCTTAAATTAATATTCTCTTTCTTCTAGTTTTGGAAAGTGTAGTGGGAATATTCAGACAAAAGAGGCCATTTTCCATTTTTAAAGCTTCTTACTGGTGAAACAGCCCAGTTGTAGTAGGTGCCAGTCAGTCAAGGCAGGGGCCCTCTCTCCGTCAATATGGAAAACTCAGCAGTTTTCCTCTCCCCCAGTTGTGTTCTTGTAACGTTGTTAATGGGTTCCTTTGCTTTTTGCTTTCTCCTTTTCTGAAAATGTATGTGTTTTGCCTCTCTTTTGGCTACATCTTCAAAATATTTCTTTTGTGCCTATGTACATGTGTAAACATGCCATAGCATGTGTGGTAGGTGTCCTGTATTTTGTTTGGGAAAAAAACTATCAAAATGAGGAAGAGAATTTCCCCTATTTATGCACTAGGTTTCTGTGCTTTTTCTTTGAGTTCTCTGGAGTAGATATTAATTTGATACCTTCATGGTAATGAAATTATGATGGAGCTGTGTTATAAATTCCTTATGTCAGAGGCCAGTGCGGTAGCCTTTGTCCCTTCATGCCTTTCAATTCTGAGTGGGAGGAAAAGCAAACATCAAAACAGTGCTTCAGCCAAATTCCATATGTAATGCCATTGGGAGAGTATTGACTAAAATATCATTCGTCAGGGAAATATAGTTGTAATATTTTTACAGGATATTCCTAGGTAAATGAAGGAGCCTTCAGTTGTAAATTTCAATTACCCCAAAATGTATTTGCTACATTTTGTTGTTTGAAGTATTACCTCTTAACCTTCTTTGTTAATTTTTTTCATTTTGTCTTATATAGTCCAGTTTTCCAAGATAAGCTCAGTCCTTTTTCAAATGTCCCCTTTTTACCAATACTTTTTCATTAAATTATGAAAACTGCTACCTACTGTCAGTGTGTTTTTTATTTTGGCATATTGGTTACACATGTTCCTTTTATATTTAAAAAATTATATTCACTGAACAAAACAGATAGTGTGGGGAGAGGGAGGAGGAAGAGGAGGAATTGAATGTTTAGAAGCACACATTCAACATTCGAGTCAATACCGGGGACCCAGGAGAACTCTGGATACTTGAACTTTACCCAGAAATCATGATTTTATCAGACTGTTAAGATAAAGGCCTTAGGATCATCATAAAACATCACCAGAGAGATAGATCCTATCTAAAGTGACAAGATTGAAAAGGCTTCAGTCAGGCATCTCTATTTGGAGTCTTGTGAGTATGTTGATGTCATGGGGTTATGTGGTGTCAAGGGGGGCTTTTAGGCATTATAAACATTTTCATGATTGAAAAATGTACTTGCCAAAGGTCATTGGGTAAATCAGTAGTGAAGATAGGTAAAAGGTGAAGTTGGTTCTCTCTCTCTCTCTCTCTCTTTCTCTCTCTCTCTGCTAGAGAACTGAAACTACAGGTATACCCTGTTATAGCCAACAAAAGCTATTGAGTTTATACTAATGTGTACATTTCCAATGGGAGATGAATCTTTGTCCTTGTGTTGAAGCAACTTTAAATTCAGAGGATAAGCCAAAGAATGCACAATCCTGGGTTATTTTCCTTCTAGGACTTTAAAATCCTCAGTATGCTTGCTGACCTTTCAGAATTGAGGAAAAGTACATGATAGAAATGAAAACTTATTTACCACTGAATAGCTTTCATGTGATATTTTCCAAAAAATCTAACTTATTTATAAATTTTATTAGATTTTCACAACCTTAATTCAGCTATTTTCAAGTTTAATATTAATAGAAAGCAGCAATTGTGTGGGGTTTTTTTATTCTTTTAACTAACAACCATGCAAGCTTGGATTTTTTTAAGTAATTTTTAGTTAATAAAGACCCACCCTGAGGCTATCACTTCTATGTGGGAGCTTTATAACAATCTAGCACTGTAAAAGAAGTTCCTTTGAATACGGTTAATTATACTATACAGATTGGAACAAATTGCATGACCTGAAGATGTGAGGATAGTTGTTCTTCAAATAAATCAAGGTTAAGGAGGATCAAGCCCCAGACTAGTGTCCCCTACTCTATGTAGTCACTGATCATCTTTTTTTTTCTTGAGTTGGGGTCTCGTTCTGTCACACAGGCTGGAGTGCAGCAGCATGATCAGAGCTCACTGTAACCTCCAACTCGTGGACTCAAACAATCCTCCCGCCTCAGGTCCAGAGTAACTGGGGACTACAGGAGCATGCCACCATGCCTGGCTACATTTTTCTATTTGTAGAGATGGAGTCTCACTATATTGCCCAGGCTGGTCTCAAACTCCTGGGCTCAAGCAATCCTCACGCCTCGGCCTTCCAAAGTGCTGGCATTACAGGCATATGAGCCATGATGCCTGCCACTGATGATTTTTTTTTTTTTAGGGTCTTAGAGCATCCATCATTTCTCATTTTGTTAAGATGGATTTGGATATGAGCAGTCCAGCCTCAAGGCTTGAATGCCCCAAGCTTTAAATTTCTTTCCCCTCCTCTCACTACTTGCACTCTTCTTCTCAATTTCATTTATTATAACTGAATATCAGGTTATAAACAAGGTGGAAAGATGGAATTGGTCTGTTCAAGCTGTACTGATTACAGCGAGTTATCTGAATTGGGAGGCCATTTGCGGAACCACTTTTTGCTCAACATTGCTTTCTAAAGTATTGCCATAATGTAATGACACTGCTTTCATACACCACACGTGGAAATGGATCTCGTTATTTTATAGTCATTTCTCACATGAGAAAACTTCATTCGAAAAATTGCTGAAATTTTGAAAATTATAATCACTTCAGCCTCACAACAGAAAGACACTTCGGGTTGGACCAGTACCATTTTAGATCTTTCAGCTGCTGCTTAGGGAAAAAAACATTAAATACGTATTCCTGCTTCAGATAAGCCTGGCATAGGTGCCAGTGTTCTGGTAACAGATTTTTCCTCTCTTCACCTTAACTTTTCTACTTTACAAAACTGGATCTCTGGTTCTTTCCCCTCCCCCTAGCTCTTCAAACAAAGGTGGCTCTAGGGGTTAAGCAACAACAGTGTTCACAAAGTGGTGGTTAGCTGTGTGCAGTACTGTGGCCACTCAGTCTTTTCAGTCATATTTGCCTTCAAGGACAACAATGAACAAGATCAGACAGTGCTGCCTGCATCTTTGGGGCAGAATTTGTGCCCGTGTCTTGTCCTCCAGTCCTTAAAGATGGACTGAGAGCTGCATGAGCAGTTTCAAGCTAAAGGTCAGTTTCAAGACAGCTACTTGGGGCCGGGCATGGTGGCTCATGCCTGTAATCCCACCACTTTGGCAGGCTGAGGTGGGGAGGATCGCTGGAGCCCAGGAGTTCGAGACCAGCCTGGGCAACATGATGAAACTCCATCTTATTAAAAAAAAATAAAAATAAATAAAAAAAAACCTTGGTCGGACAAGCCAGGAAACTTGTTTGGGACCAGTCAAGCCTTCAAATAATAAAAGTTACAATATTCATCAAGCCCTTAACCTATGGCAGGCCTTTTGCTAAGCCTTTTACATGGGGCTACCTTATATTTAGTTCTCACAACAACCATATGAAGATAATACTATCAGCTGCATTTGATACGTGAAAACTGAGGCCAAATGTTTAAGACAGTTGTTCAAAGCTAGAACCTGTGAGCTTGCCTCTACAACTCATACTTTTAGTCACTTTGCTTGACTCCTGTGCCCAAAGCCCCCTCTCTAAACACTCTTACTCAGTTTCTTCCTGAGGAAACCAACCTGAGTTGGGGTTTGGTTGTAAGGATTCTGTACCACTTTATCCGTGATGCCTGGACAGAGTTGATTGGACCACAATTAGTCATCTAACACAAAGTCAGTTTAGAGGTTCACATCCAAAACACAAGATACGTCACACAAATCTGAACAGTACAGACCTCACAGATCTAGGACCTGGTGGATTTGCCTTCTCCGTAGCTAATCTAACTTGCAACTGGGCATAGTAAAGATAGATAATGCCCCCCCAAAGATGTCCATGTCCTAATCCCTGGAGCCTGCGAATATGCTACCTTGCATGGTAAGAGGGGTTTAGCAGATGTAATTAAAGTTAAGGGCTTTCGACCCCAACCATTACACATGTAGCACACAAGCACATATACCCCCGACTCTAAAATAAAAATTTAAGGGCCTTAAGATGGGGAAGTTATCCTGGATTATCTAGGTGGGCCCAACCAATATAGTCACAAGGGTGCTTATAAGAGGGAGGCAGGAGTATCCAAGTCAGTAATAAGAGATGTGACAATGGAAGCGGGAGGTTGGAATGATGCAAAGAAGAGCCATGAGCCAAGGAATGCAGACAGTCTCTAGAAATGGAAAAAGACAAGAAACAGACCCCACCTCAGAAGGTTTTCAGAAACAACTCAGCCCTGCCTATGCTGTGATTTTAGACGTTTGACCTCCTGAACTCTTAAGAGAATATATTTGTGTTGTTTTAAGCCACTAAATTTGTGGTAATTTTTACAGCAGAAATAGAAAACTAATACACTAGGCATACTGCAAGTGCTCCCTACCCTTTTGGGGGAATGTTCCTTTCCCAGTATGTCCATCTCTGCTGTGATACTCTAGGTTGGTCCTGTACTTTCATTAGTTGAAACTCTTTCCATTAAATGGAAAACCAGTGTTTTTTTTTGATCAATAGAATCCTCCCCTAGAGAAATTAGTTTTCTCTTTCTCGTCCCATCCCCCCAACACTTTTTCCAAGGTAGCCTTTGGTACTTCTTAGGTAGCCTTGGATAATCCTCCATGGGCCTGCTGGATCCACCGTGGCTGAATCTGGCACTGCCTGAGGAGTTGCCCATAGGTTTGTATGGTCCTGTTGTCTGAAAAACTGTCCTGGGGAAGTAGAAATAATTCCTTGAGTGTTACTCCACGGGGGAAGTTATAGAAGGCACATGTAGCTCATTATGATAAATGCTTTCGTTATCAGAGCTTCCTAAAAGGAAGTGAATGGCCTGAGAGTTGAGTTCTTAAAACACCCCAGATACCTGAGCCAAGCTTGGAGGTTAAAGAATGCAACTCTATGCTGCCTACAAGAAGCCCACTTTAAATATTGGCCGGGCACAGTGGCTCACGCCTGTAATCCCAGCAGTCGGGGAGGCCAAGGCGGGCAGATCACCTGAGGTTGGCAGTTCGAGACCAGCCTGTAATCCCAGCTACTCTGGAGACTGAGGCAGGAGAATCGCTTGAACCCAGGAGGTGGAGGTTGCAGTGAGCCGAGATTGTGCCATTGTACTTCAGCCTGGGCAACAAGAGGGAAACTCCGTCTCAATAAATAAATAAATAAATACAAACAAACATACAGGCTGGGCGCGGTGGCTCATGCCTGTAATCCCAGCACTTTGAGAGGCCAATGTGGGTGGATCACCTGAGGTCAGAAGTTCGAGACCAGCCTGGCCAACATGGTGAAACCCCATCTCTACTAAAAGTACAGATTGCTACTAAAAGTACGGGCATGGTGGTGCGCACCTGTAGTCCAGCTACTCAGGAGGCTGAGGCACGAGAATCACTTGAACCCAGGAGGCAGAGGTTGCAGTAAGCCGAGATTGTGCCGCTGCACTCCAGCCTGGGTGACAGAGTGAGACTCCATCTCAAAAAAAAAAGGAGATAACCTGAATAGCTCCTTATTATTAAATGAATTGAATTTGCAGTCAAACTTTCCTTTGAAGAAACTCTGCCCAGATGACTTCACTGGTAAATTCTAACAAGCTCTTAAGAAACAGATAATACTAATTATACATAAACTCTTCCAAAAAATTGGACAGGAGAGAATACTTCTCAACTCATTCCATGAAGCCAGCATTACCCCGATACCAAAACCAGACAAATACATAAGAAAACTAGAGACCAATATCCTTCATAAAAATTAATGCAAAAAGTGGCTGGGCGTGGTGGCTCATGCTTGTAATCACAGCACTTTGGGAGGGCAAGGCAGGAGGATCACTTGAGGCTGGGAGTTCAAGACCCAACCTCGCCAAGATGGTGAAGTCCCTGTCTCTACTAAAAATACAAAAATTAGCTGGGCGTGGTAGTGGGTGCCTGTAACCCCAGCTGCTTGGGAGACTGAGGCAGGAGAATCACTTGAACCCAGGAGGCAGAGGTTGCAGTGAGCTGAGATCATGCCACAGCACTCCAGCCTGGGTGACAGAGTGAGACTCCCTCTCAAAAATAAAAATAAAAACAATGCAAAAGTTCTTAACAAAACGTTAGCTAATTTAATCGAAGAATATATCAAAAGTAAGATTTATCCCAGACATGCAGGTTGACTTAACATTTGAAAATCAATCAGTGTAATTTACCATATCTCAATAGATACATAAAAAGCATTTGAGGCCAGGTGCTGTAGCTCACACCTGTTATCCCAGCACTTTTTGGGAGGCTGAGGCGGGTGGATCGCTTGAAGCCAGGAGTTTGAGACCAGTCTGGCCAACACGGCAAAACCCCGTCTCTACTAAAAATACAAAAATTAGCCGGGCGTGGTGGCAGGTGCCTGTAATCCCAGCTACTTGGTAGGCTGATGCATGAGAATCGCTTGAACCCTGAAGGCAGAGGTTGCAGTGAGCCAAGATTGTGCCACTGCACTCCAGCCTGGGTGACAGAGCGAGACTCTGTCTCAAAAAAATAAAATAAATAAATAAAAACATTTGACAGTATCTACTGCTGATAATAGTGTTCAGCAAACTGTGAATAGAAGCTGAATAAAGGATATCTACCCAGAACCTTATAAAGAACACCTACAAAAAACCCTACAGTTGGCCAGGCACATTAGCTCACACCTGTAATCCCAGCACTTTGGGAGGCCGAGGTGGGAGGATCACTTGAGCCCAGGAGTTCCAGACCAGCCTGAGTAACACAGTGAGACCCCATCTGTACAAAAAAATTAAAAATTAAAAATTAGGGTGTGGGGGCATACCCATTTTTTTTATCAGATCATTAGATTTTTTTCCTATAGTATGAACTCCTTATATATTCTGGTTATTAATCCCTTGTCAGATGGGTAGTTTGTGAATATTTTCTCCTATTCTGTGGGTTGTCTCTTCCCTTTGTTGATTGTTCCCTTTGCTGTGCAGAAGCTTTTTAACTTGATGTGATCCCATTTGTCCATTTTTCTTTGGTTGCCTGTGCTTGTGGGTTATTACTCAAGAAATCTTTGCCCAGACTAATGTCCTGGAGATTTTCCCCAATGTTTTCTTGTAGTAGTTTCATAGTTTGAAGTCCATTTTGATTTGATTTTTGTATATGGTGAGAGATAGGTTGTTTTTTTTTTTAATAGAGACAGAGTCTCATCATGTTGCCCAGGCTGGTTTTGAACTCCTAGACTCAAGCAATCCTCCCACCTTGGCCTCCCAAAGTGCTGGGATCATAGGCGTGAGCCACCATGCCCAGCCGAAACCACTACTTTTTGCAAGATGCTATTAATAGACTGAAAAGAGAAATCACAGACTGGGAGAGAAGAATTTCAAAGTAATTATGCTCAGCCAGACAAAACAGAATACATACTGTATAAATATAATCCCAGGTACCAAAAAAACTACAAAATAGGAGCAAATCTGGAGTGACAGAGAGCAGACTAGTGGTTGCCTGGGGGTTAGGAGCAGGGAAAGGTGGGAGGAAGGGATAATAAAAGGGCAGGAGGAAACTTTTGGGGGTGACCAGAATGTTCATTATCTTGGTGGTGGAGATAGTTCTAGACATGTATACATATGTCAAAACTAATCAAATTATACTCTGGCCAGGCGTGGGTGACTCATCCCTGTGATCTCAGCACTTCAGGAGGCCGAGGCAGGAGGATCGCTTGAGCCCAGGAGTTCAAGACCAGTCTGGGCAACATAGCAAGACTCTGTCTCTACAAAAATTTTAAAAATTAGCTGGGTGTGGCAGCATGCATCCGTGGTCTCAGCTACTAGGGAAACTGAGTCAGGAGGATCACCTAAGCCCAGGAGGTCAAAGCTGCAGTGAGCCATGATCACACCACTGCACTCTAGCCTAGGCAACAGAGTGAAACCCAGTCTCAAAGTTAAAAACAAACTAATCAGCCTGGAATCAGGAAGTTTTACATGGCCTCTTGACGGGTAATGATTGGCCTTCAGCCAGGTTCCATAGACACAAAGTTGCCCAAGCGTCATCATTACAGCCCATGAACATTCACATGGGGTCTTCCAAGTCTAAAACTGCAAGTCTTTGATACTAAATACCTGCTTCCTTCATGTTTTCCTACTATAATATTCACCATATGGCAAAATTTCTCTAGGGTCAGTTTGAAATTACTGCGGCCACATTGGGGAACTTTTGAGATGAACAAGATTGTTCATTTAAGAGGCATCTTAGAACAAAGAGTGAAGAAAACCTTATTAGGAGATTATTTGGTTTTGCCTAAAAGAAAAATTATTTTGGGGGGTAGGTGACCCCCCCTCCTTTGTTTCCACATTTCAAGGATTAATGAGTGGTAGCTTTAAAATTCTTTACATGGATAAAACTGTCAAAGGCCCAAGTTATTGTCTAAACCAATAACTTGGTTTAGACAATACTGTACTCTGTACTCTGTCTCCCTCCCCACCCCCCAGTGTGCTTGTCAAAATGGTCTTTCTATGTTTATATATTCTTCCCTGTCCTTCAAGAAAGAACAAAATTAACCTTTTATTATGTTGATGCAAAAGTAACTGTAGCTTTTGCCATTAAAAGTAATGGCAGTTCCTTTTGCACCAACCTAATAAATGATAATTTCATATTTGTCTGAAGCTGGCTTTTTGTTGTTGTTGTTCCTCTCCCTCTCTTTTACTCCCTTGGGAAACTTTAAAGATTAACTGATCAAAAAAAAAAAAAAAATTCAGGGCCAGGCACAGTGGCTCACGCCTGTAATCCCAGCATTTTGGGAGGCCAGGGCAGGTGGATCATTTGAGGTCAGGAGTTCAAGACCAGCCTGGCCAACATGGTGAAACCCCGTCTCTACTAAAAATACAAAAATTAGCCAAGTGTGGTGGTGGGCACCCAGCTACCTGGGAGGCTGAGGCAAAAGAATCCCTTGAACCCAGGAGGCGGAGGTTGCAGTGAACCAAGATCACACCACTGCACTCCATCTTGGGCAACAGAGCGAGACTTTGTCTCAAAAAAAAAAATTTAGTTGTTCTGCGTACACTCTAGAAATATCTAGTCTGGATAAACTGTCAAAAGTGTCTAAAGGAAAGAAAAAGTTATTGAATGTGTTTCTTTTCGGGGACACTAGAAAGTATATTTAACACAATAGTCTTTGTTATTATACTTATGAAAAAATAAGAAAAGAATTTAATTTCAAGATAAAGAAGAGCTTTCAATTATGATTGAAGATCTTTAAAAATAGTTTACCATTTTAAAGTAATGTCAGAACAATATTTTTGCTTGTACAAAAATCAGGATTAAATTACTTAAGCTTTCTAAATTTCCTACACTGATTTTATGGGTTAAGTAAATTACCATTGTTTCTATAACTTCATATATATATGAACGACTGAAAGGAATAATACTAACAGGTGTCTTTTTAAATAGTTTAATTTTATGAAAAAAAAAATTTTTTTGAGACAGGGTCTCACTCTGTCACACAGGCTGGAGTGCAGTGGTGCAATCATAACTCACTGCAGCCTCGACCTCCTGGGCTCAAGCGATCCTCCCACCTCAGCCTCCTGAGTAGCTGGGACTACAGGCATGAGCCACCAGGCCTGGCTAATTTTTTTTCTGTTTTATTATATTTTGTCATTCTGCACCTTCATGAAATAATTTTTGTTGTTGTTTTTGTTTTTGTTTGTAGATACAGTGTCTTCCTATGTTGCCCAGGCTGGTCTCAAACTCCTGGGCTCAAGTGATCCTCCTGCCTCAGCCTCCCAAAGTGCTGGGATTACAGGTGTGAGCCACTGCACCCAGCCTGAAAAATTCTTAAATTTCTACAAATCATAAGGATTTAATGTATTGGCTAAAATTGAAATCTCTAGATCCCAACTTTAAGACTTAAGACAAAAGATTAAGTTCATTAATAAATAATCTTTGGACACATAAGAAACTGACAGTTTCTGAGTAAGGAATAGATAGAAAACACTAGTCACTGAAGGTGATTTTTTATTCTCATTTCCTAAAGTGGCACGGTCCTTATCAACTGTCAATTCAGAAAAATTGCAAAGAACTGGCCAGGCATGGTGGCTTACGCCTGTAATCTCAGCACTTTGAGAAGCCAAGACAGGCTGATCACCTGAGGTCAGGAGTTCGAGACCAGCCTGGCCAACATGGTGAAACTCCGTCTCTACTAAAAATAAAAAAATAAAAAAAAAAATTGCCGGGCGTGGTGGTGCACGCCTGTAGTCTCAGCTACTTGGGAGGCTGAGGCAGGAGAATTGCTTGAACCTGGGAGGTGGAGGTTGCAGTGAGCCGAGATTGCACCACTGCACTCCAGCCTGGGTGACAGAGCGAGACTCTGTCTCAAAAAACAAAACAAAACAAAACAAAAAAAAACAGAGAACTCTTGGAATTCGAAAACCACAATAATCAAAGCTCTTAGAAACCCCTTGAACTTCCATAGCCTCAAGTATTGCCATTATTTTTCATGGCAATAAGATCTGCATCCCCCCCCAAAGGATTCACAAGTTATCTGCTTCTGAGATAATAACAGGTTTCCCTATGCATTTGGAAAGTATTCCCAATGCTAGACTCCACTCTATTACAGGCTGATATGACTCATTACTGCAGGGGACTCCTACAATACCTCCAGCTTTCTCACCAACAGGTATAAACTGCATTTTCTTTTTTGTTTGTTTTGAGACGGAGTTTGGCTCTGTCTATTGCCCAGGCTAGAGTGCAGTGGCCCAATCTCCGCTCACTGCAACCTATGCCTCCCAGGTTCAAGTGATTCTCCTGCCTCAGCTTCCTGAGTAGCTGGGATTACAGGCGTATGCCACCACGCCCGCCTAGTAAATTGCGTTTTCAAAACCCCCACCTCAGCAGCCTCTGCAGGATCTCAAACCTGAAGGTTTGGTTTTCTGAAAAGACATCAGAGAAAAACTACTTGAGTCTCCGTGGAAAAGACCTTATCAGGGACTGTTAGCAACTTGCACAGCAATAAAACTCCAACGGGACACTTAAGTTCCCATTTCCCAACTTAAAAAGTCAGTTTATCCTGACTCCTGGATGTCCATTCCATCGGGACACTTTAAATTAAGACATTCTTAGAAGCCCTCCAGAAACTGCTGACTGCAGAAGTGGCCAGCTTCAACTCAAGGTTAATTTTCTGATTCTTAGCAGCCCTTTTCTTTCCTTTCACTCTCCTGCTCATCTTGCCTATTGTGCTTTACACTCTCTCTATGATACTAACAGACGAAAAGGCTTCTCAGTGTGTTCTCCCTTACCCTCATCCTGTGACTTCTGAACCCTTACAGTCCCCTCTCACTTAAGAAAAAACACAGCCTGGGCAACATGGCAAAACCCCCTCTCTACAAAACAAGTACAAAAATCAGCCAGACTTGGTGGAGTGTGCCTGTAGTCCCAGCTACTTGGGAGGCTGAGGTGGGAGGATCACTTGAGCCCAGGAGGTTGAGGCTGCAATGAGCCGTGATCGTGCCACTGCACTGCAGCCTGGGTGACAGGGCAAGACCCCATCTCAGAAATAAATTAAAAAAAGAAAAACAAAGCATCCTGATAGATTTTTCTCAGAGCATAGCTACTGCTCTGAATTTAACTGTTTGCTGACAAAAAAAATTAATCATTCTTCCTTAAACACTACAGAAGGTACATTTCCTTTAGTAAGCCCCTTCTGGTTCTTAAGTTTCCCTTGCATCATTAACCCCAAACTTTGGTCTTATAAAAACTGGCCAGGCACAGTGGCTTGCGCCTGTAATCCCAGCACTTTGGGAGGCTGAGGTGGGAGGATTGCTTGAGCCCAGGAGTTCGAGACTAGCGTGGCCAACATAGTGTGACCCCCATCTCTACAAAAAATAAGAAAAAAAATTAGCCAGGGGTGGTGATGTGTGCCTATAGTCCTAGCTAATCACAAGGCTGAGATGGGAAGATTGCTTGAGCCCAGGAGGTCAAGGCTGCAATAAGCCACAGTCCTGCCACTGCACTCCAGCCTAGGTGACAGAGCAAGACACTGTCTCAAAAAATTTTTTTAAAGGGTGGGGAGACTAACCCTTGTCCTACTACAGACAATTTTCTTGGAGCCACCTGTAGATCAGCAAAATCCTGGTAAATGGTGAAGATCAGAAAATCATCGATTCACATCCTATGGCCTTTACTTAATCTGACCTTGGACAAAAGGGGAAATTAAAAATGCTCATCATCACTGGCCATCAGAGAAATGCAAATCAAAACCACAATGAGATACCATCTCACACCAGTTAGAATGGCAATCATTAAAAAGTCAGGAAACAACAGGTGCTGGAGAGGAGGTGGAGAAATAGGAACACTTTTACACTGTTGGTGGGACTGTAAACTAGTTCAACCATTGTGGAAGTCAGTGTGGCGATTCCTCAGGGATCTAGAACTAGAAATACCATTTGACCCAGCCATCCCATTACTGGGTATATACCCAAAGGACTATAAATCTTGCTGCTCTAAAGACACATGCACACGTATGTTTATTGCGTCATTATTCACAATAGCAAAGACTTGGAAACAGCACAAATGTCCAACAATGATAGACTGGATTAAGAAAATGTGGCACATATACACCATGGAATACTATGCAGCCATAAAAAATGATGAGTTCATGTCCTTTGTAGGGACATGGATGAAATTGGAAATCATCATTCTCAGTAAACTATCGCAAGAACAAAAAACCAAACACCGCATATTCTCACTCATAGGTGGGAATTGAACAATGAGATCACATGGACACAGGAAGGGGAATATCACACTCCGGGGACTGTGGTGGGGTGGGGGGAGGGGGGAGGGATAGCATTGGGAGATATACCTAATGCTAGATGACGAGTTGGTGGGTGCAGCGCACCAGCATGGCACATGTATACATCTGTAACTAACCTGCACAATGTGCACATGTACCCTAAAACTTAAAGTGTAAAAAAAAAAAAAAAAAAAGATCAACAGCCAAAAAAAAGAAAGAAAAGCAGTCTGTGACATCCAAAATCCGCCATGGCACCCACAGCTAGGCCTTGGCATTCTCCTGCTGAACATGAACAATTTCAGAGGTCACCAACATCAGACAAGGCCATTCTGGGACTGCAATGGATCAAGACAAAAACAAGATTAATCATAGACTGACCAAATGACAAAAATGGACTGGACCTGATGGCTCATGCCTGTAATCCCAGCATTTCAGGAGGCAGAGGTGGAAGAATCACTTGAGCCCAGGAGTTCGAGACCAGCCTGGACAACACAGGGAGACCTCATCTCTACAAAAAATTAAAAATCTGGGCCAGGTGTGGTGGCTCACACCTGTAATCCCAGCACTTTTGGAAGGCTGAGACAGGAGGATTGCTTAAGGCCAGGAGCTCGAGACCAGCCTGGGCAAAACAAAGTGAGACCCCGTCTCTACTAAAAAAAAAAAAAAAAATCACAGGCCGGGCACAGTGGCTCACGCCTGTAACCCAGCACTTTGGGAGGCCAAGGTGGGCAGTTCACGAGGTCAGAAGATCGAGACCATCCTGGCTAATACGGTGAAACCCCGTCTCTACTAAAAATACAAAAAATTAGCCAGGTGTGGTGGCACGTGCCTGTAGTCCCAGCTACTCAGGAGGCTGAGGCAGGAGAATTGCTTGAGCCCAGGAGGTGGAGGTTGCAGTGAGTGGAGATCACGCCACTGCATTCCAGCCTGGGCAACAGAGCAAGATTCCGTCTCAAAAAAAGGAAAGAAAGAAAAAGAAAGAAAGAAAGAAAGAAAGAAAGAAAGAAAGAAAGAAAGAAAGAAAGAAAGAAAGAAAGAAAGGAAGGAAGGAAGGAAGGAAGGAAGGAAGGAAGGAAGGAAGGAAGGAAGGAAGGAAGGAAGGAAGGAAGGAAAGAATGAATCACAAAAATGACTCAACATCGCCCCATCCTGGCTTATCTGAGTGAGGGCTGCTTGTTCTTCAGCCCATTCTCCTTGTCTTCTAGATGAAAATTAAAATGCCCAATCATGGAGTCACCCCTACTCCCTGACAGCATTCAATCCTTGGACTCGCCCCAAAATCACATCACCTAATACAAGGCCAAATTCTATAGTAGTTTCTTTTTAAAAAAAAAAAACAACTTTTTTTTTTGAGACAGAATCTCGCTCTGTCACCCCAGCTGGAGTGCAATGGCACGATCTCCGCTCACTCACTGCAACCTCCACCCACCAGATTCAAGCCCCAGCCCCCCAAGTAGCTTGGATTACAGGCATGCACCGCCACATGCACTAATTTTTGTATTTTTTGTAAAGACAGCGTTCCCTATGTTGGTCAGGCTGGTCTTGAACTCCAGACCTCAAGTGATCCACCCTCCTCTGCCTCCCAAAGTGCTGGAATTACAGGCATAAACCACTGTGCCTGGCCTATAGTAGGTTCTTTCTAACAGCCTGTTACTGAGATGTCCCAGGGTACCCTGTGGTGTGTGTTCTCCCTCCTCACTGTAAAGAGTCAATGAACCCAGATGTGTTTGACTGCAGGTGGTCTGCGAATAAAGAGCACTTATATTGTAATAAAAGATCCCTATGTATCCTCAGAGAGCTCCTGATAAAGCAGGAGAGACACATAAACCAATGGATCTCAGTGTGATGAGTAATGTAATAAAACATAAAGAGGCGCTCCTGGAAGAGCAATAGGTCAGAGAGCGAGGAGGGTCAGCGAAGTCTTCCTGATGGAGGGGACATTCAACTGACTCTTAGTTAGAAGTTAGTCCAGTGCAGAAGGAAGCATTGGATTAGTGGTCAGAGAGAAGTGTTCTAGGCAGAGGGAATAGCAAGTTCAAAGTCAAGAAGCAGAGAACATGGCTAGAACATGAGAGAGGTCAAGAAGGGACTCCCCACAAATTCGAAGAGCCTTGTGTGCTCGGGGTCCATTGCAGGGTGCTATGACTACACTTTTTTTTTTATTTTATTTATTATTATTTTTTGAGACAGTGTCTCACTCTCTTGCCCAGGCTGGAGTGCAGTGGCATGATCTTGGCTCACCGCAACCTCCGCCTCCCGGGTTCAAGCAATTCTCCTGCCTCAGCCTCTCAAATAGCTGGGATTACAGGCACACGCCACCATGCCCAGCTAGTAGAAATGGGGTTTCACCATGTTGGCCAGGCTGGGACCTCAAGTGATCCACCCGCCTCGGCCTCCCAAAGTGCCGGGATTACAGGCATAAGCCACCATGCCCAGCCAATTTAAAAAGATTCATAACCACATATTATGATCAAAGTTAACAAATCAACATTCGTTTGCCTGCAGATGGTGAGGATACAGCATCACTTTTGTAGCATTGCCAAAAAGGCATAGCCTGAATTGACCATGAGGAAAAATCAAGGAATCCCAAATTAAGGGACATTCTACATTTTGAATTCCAAAAATGTCAATGATGTCAGGAAACAAAAATAAAAGGCTGAGGAGCTGTTCCAGGTGAAAAGCAACTAAATGCAGCTAAATGCAATGCCTCGCCCTGGATTGGGTTTGGGCATGAAACATCTTTTTTCCTTTTATTATAAAGGACATTAGTTGGACAATTGGTGAGACTCCAATAGATAATCCTGTATCAATGTTAATTTACCTGATTTTGACCATCGTGCTGTGTTTATGGAAGAGAATACCCTTGCTTTCAGGAAACACACACTGAACTACAGTATTTAAAGGTAAAGGAGCATCATGTCTGCAACTTGCTCCCAAACTGGTCAGAAAAAAATTATATATAGATGTATATGTAAATAAGAGAGAGAAGGGTAAAGCAAATGTGGTAAACTTAACATTTGGGGAATCTGGGTGAAGGGTAATCATGAATTTTTTCTATTATTCTTGCAGCTTTTCTGTAAAACTGAAATTTTTTTCTAAATAAAGGTACCCCTCTCAGCAAAAAAAAAGAAAAAGAAAAAAAAGCATATAGTTTTTGTTGTTGTTGTTTTGTTTTTAGAGACAGGATCCCACATCCCACTCTGTCACCCAGGCTGAAGTGCAGTGTCGCTATCACGGCTCACTGCAAGCTTGATCTCCCAGGCTCAAGCGATGTTCCCACCTCAGCCTCCTCAGTAACTGGGATCACAGCCACCACGCCTGGCTATTTTTTTTTTAATAGAGATGAGATCTTTCTGTGTTGCCCAGGCTGGTGTCAAACTCCTGGCCTCAAGTGGTCCTCCTGCCTCAGCCCCCCAAAGTGCTGGGATTACAGGGGTGAGCCACGGTGCCCAGCCTGAAAAGCATATAGTTGAACAACCTCTATGTGTCAGCACTGTGGCAGGACCCAGGGAGGTGAGGGTGAATAAGATACATCCCCTCCCCTGCAAGACTCACGGTCTAGCAGGTCATTTTGGCAGCAGATCCACAGGGATGAGATGAGGCCTCCGGGAAGATTAAAACAATCTAGGCAAGAAATGGGGAAAGCCTGAATGAATTAAGGCAGTGCCAACATAGAAGGACATTAAAGGGACAATTCTATGACCTGGTGACTAACTGGACTTGAGTTAGGGACCAAGAGGAGGCTCGCGAGGTGTCAGGGCTTCTTGCACAGCCAGTTGGCTGCACCACAGCCCATTTCCCAGGACAGAGTGCTCAGGAGGTTGGTGGGAAATGATGTGATTGGTTTGGGTCAGCTCAGTTAAGCTGCTGGCCTGTATCCTGGGGGCGACATCTGGGCTGAGATAAGGTTAGGGAGACATCAGCACTGAGGAAGTAGAGGAAGAGAGTTATTTTTGTTTGTTTGTTTTTGAGACAGTCTCACTCTGTCACCCAGGCTGGAGTGCAGTGGCATAAACTCAGCTCACTGTAGCTTCAACCTCCTGGACTCAAGTGATCCTCTTGCCTCAGCCTCCTGAGTAGCCGGAACTATAGGCATGCACCACCACACCCAGAAATACATATATATGTTTGAGAAGTAGTTTCACTCTTGTTGCCCAGGCTGGAGTGCAATGGCACAATTTCAGCTCACTGCAACCTCCGCCTCCCGGATTCAAGCAATTCTCCTGTCTCAGCCTCCCGAGTAGCTGGGATTACAGGCATGTGCCACCACGCCCGGCTAATTTTGTATTTTTAGTAGAGACGGGGTTTCACCATGTTGGTCAGGCTGGTCTCAAACTCCTGACCTTAGGTGATCTGCCTGCCTCAGCCTCCCAAAATGCTGGGATTACAGGCATGAGCCACCACACTTGGCCAGTTTTGTTTTGTTTTGTTTTGTTTTGTTGTTTTTTGGGTTTTTTTAAATTTTTAGTAGAGACGAAGTCTCACTTTGTTGCCAGGTTCATCTCAAACTCCTGGGCTCAAGCGATCCACCCTCCTCGGCCTCCCAAAGCACTGAGATTATAGGCCTGAGCCACTGTGCCGGCCCTGGCCATTTTTTTTTTTAATATGGGTTATTTGGAGAAAGCCCAGACTGTCAGATGGCAGGACCAGGAATACATTTAGGCTGAGAATGGGGTTGTGGAGCTGTGTTGTTGAGGAATGTGTTTTCCATATGATTTGAAAATGAAATCGAGCCTTTCCTCTTCCCCCACCAAAAACGTTTTTGCAAGAGTTGGCCTTCAGCCACCAGGGTCTTCTCCACTAGGATGGAGAGGAGCTTTGTTCTTTCCTTTTTAACCTGTTTGGGTTTAACCGTCCCAGTCTCTCTCTGTTCGGCATTTAACAACTTTTCTTGGTTGAAGTAAGAGGTAAACTAGCTATTCGTCCAAACTCCAAAGCTCAGGTTCACTGGGCCGTAAGCCTGTACCCACCATCCCCGGGCCTGCCAGGGGCGGCTTTGCAGGATTCTTCCAGCCGCGGGGGACGGGGACGGGGACGGGGCGGGGTCCCAGGCCCATGCCATCCACCTGCCAAGCCGCCGGGTCCCGGGAGGCGTTTCCCCTCCCCTCGGCCCGCTGCCTGACCTTCGAGCCGCCTGAGAAATCTCCATCCTGGCGAGTGCCCGAGCCAGGCCGGCCTCCCCGCCCCCTCCCTGGAAAGGAAAGGCCCCGGCGACAACAGAGCCAGACCCGCTCATCCCGATCTCCCAGAAGGCGACTGACAGCTGACTGCCAGAAGGAGATCGCGCCAGGAGACTGACTGCTCTGTGCCCACCCGGGGACCCGGGCCCGTTCAGCCGGGCTGGCTGGTGCGCCCTCTGCAAAGCCTGCGCCAGGGAGGAGGCAGGCTCAACCTTCAGATTCCCAGGGCCTCTCTGTCGCTGTCGCCGTCGCCGTCGCCCGAGGTCCCAGCGGCTCTACCAGATTGTTGTGGAGGCCTCTCACCCGCACAGGTACCCCGGGTGCAGCGCGGGCACCTGAAGCCCCGTCCCCGCTCCCTGCTGCCCAGCCACCCCTTTGTGGTCACGGGCCGGGCCTAAATGGAACATTTGGCACCCCCGTCCCCTCCCCACCGGCTTCTACTAGGGAGCATGGGGTTAAAAGTCGCTATTGCAAAAGTCGTGCCACTGCTCTTGAGCCTTATCTAAGACTGATAGGATGAAGGCCTTTGTAGTCTGAACACTGCCCCCCACCCCCGCTTTTTTTTTTTTTTTTTTTTCCGAGACAAGGTCTCAGTCTGTCGCCCAGGCTGGAGCGCCATGGCCCAATCTCAGCTCACTGCAACCTCCTCCTCCCAGGTTCAAGCGATTCTCCGGCCTCAGCCTTCCTAGTAGCTAGGACCACAGGCTCGAACCACTAAGCCCGGCTAATTTTTTGTATTTTTTGTAGAGACGGGCTTTCACCATGTTGCCCAGGCTGGTCTCAAACTCCTGACCTCAATGTTCCTCCCACCTCAGCCTCCCAAAGTGCTGGAATTACAGGCACGAGCCACCAGCACCGGCCTGAGCCCATTTTTAATAGCCAAAAAACATTTCAAATGCTGCTGCAGATGCAGGCAGTTTGTATTTGGGACCAGTTTGGGCTGAGGTTTTTTTGTTTGTTTTTTTTTTTGTTTTGTTTTGGTTTGGTTTGGTTTGGTTTCTGTTTTTGTTTTGTTTTGTTTTGTTTTTTTGTTTTTTTGGTTTTTTTTTTGAGACGGAGTCTTACTCTGTCGCTCAGGCTAGAATGCAGTGGCGCAATCTCGGCTCACTGCAACCTCTGCCTCCCGGGTTCAAACGATTCTCCTGCTTCAGCCTCATGAGTCGCTGGGATTACAGGCACCCGCCACTGTGCCCAGCCAATTTTTTTGTATTTTTAGTAGAGATGGGGTTTCACCATGTTGGTCAGGCTGGTCTTGAACTCCTGACCTCATGATCCACCCAGCTCGGCCTCCCAAAGTGCTGAGATTACAGGCATGAGCCACCATGCCCGGCCTGTGTTTCTTTTTTAAAATGTAGTTTATTGAAGGAAATATTAGATCAAACATTATTTTTCTTTTTTCCCTCTCTATTCATTTGCCCATCATGTGTAGGACCACTTACTTCAAAGCAGATAGCTACCCTGGGAGAAGGATGAAGATGCAGGCCATTTTTATTTATTTATTTAGAGACAGGTTCTCGCTCTGTTGCCCAGGCTGGAGTGCAGTGGCATGATCACGGCTCATTGCAGCCTCCACCTCCTGAACTCAAATGATCCTCCCACCTCAGGCTCCCGAGTAGCTAGGACCACAGGCATGTGCCACTACACCCGCTAATTTTTTGTTGTTTTGTAGAGTCAGGGTCTCACTATGTTGCCCACACCAGTCCCAGACTCCTGGGCCCAAGCAATCTTCCTGCCTCAGCCTCCTAAAGAGCTGGGATTACAGGCCTGAGCCCCTGTGCCTGACAAATGCAGGCAGTGTGGATCATTCCTGGAAACCGCCTACTCAGGGCAGAGGTACAGAAAGAAAAGATTGCTCTTGAAAGTTGCCTGTCTTTCCTCTCCCACATGGGATTCTTATCTGATTTTTTCTCCTTTTCAGATAATTTTTCTCTGTCTTCTCCCAGTTCGCTGGTCATGGTCTCTGGCCTAAAGTCCCAGCATAGACTGTTCCTCTCCTGTGGAGTCTAACACTCTTTGCCAAACTGGCACGGTGTCTTCCTGGGAAGCAAGAAATCACTGAGGGCCTGTCAGTTCCTGCCAGGGTGGTTCGATGCTGTCCTTTTCTCCACTCCTTCCATGGTCTGCGTTGGAAAATGTGTGTTAGTTCGAATTCAGCGAGTTCTCATTGGGGTGAACATAGTCCTAAAAATGCAGTTCATAAAAATCAACCACACAGAGAAGAAAAATAAATAAATCAGTAAAGCAGCTCAGAAAAATGCAGGTGTGGCGGGCCCTGGCCTCTGCACCCTCATAGAGGGGCTCAACAGCATCAACAGAAGGTGGGGGAGCAGAAGGTGCCCTGCAGACACCCAGAGGGGCCACCAATGAGCAAACTGCCAGCTCCCTGACCCGCCCTGGGGCCCAGGGTATTGACATAAAGGACGGCCTTGCACTATTTCAACAGCCAGTTCTCTGAGGGTCACAAACACCAAGGAGTGGAGGTCAGAGTGTCACTTTTTTGTTTTCTTTTTGAAAGATCATTCGAGAAACACGTCACTGGTAAGTTGGTTGAAGATGTTTCATGGTCCCTGTTATCAGCTCTTTTCTTTTGCCTATGTGTCTCTCCCTGTCACATTGCATATCCTGCTCTGATCTGGGGGAAGTGTATCCAGCCTTGCCAGTTCTTAGCCAGGTGTTTTACTGTATTTGTTCTGTGCGATGACCTTTCACTCACCTCTGTTACCTTCAATAGATCTCCCCTGCGACCATGTCTTCCATTAAGATTGAGTGTGTTTTGCCAGAGAACTGCCGGTGTGGTGAGTCTCCAGTATGGGAGGAAGTGTCCAACTCTCTGCTCTTTGTAGACATTCCTGCAAAAAAGGTTTGCCGGTGGGATTCATTCACCAAGCAAGTACAGCGAGTGACCATGGGTAAGGATGAAGGCTGGACTCAGATCAGCCAGCTACCTTTTCCCAGGGGAGGGGCGGTCACCACGGCACCCTTCTTGTTAAAGCACACTGACTACACTTGTCACGCTGTCTGTCCCCACTCCATATCCTCCCACTTTGACCCAGGGTTTAATTATGGATGGTCAATACTTTCCTCTTCCTCTTTGAATGAGGGGCAACATTCCTAGTTTTTTTTTGGGGGGGGGGGTGTTTTTGTTTATTTTTTGTTTTGTTTTTGTTGAGACAGGGTCTCACCGTGTTGCCCTGGCTGGAGTGCCATGGTGTGATCACGGCTCACTGCAGCCTTGATCTCCTGGGGCTCAAGGGATCCTCCTGCCTCAGCCTCCCTAGTAGCTGTGACTACAGGTGCGTGCCACTATGTCCAGCTAGTTTGTATTTTTTGTAGAGATGGTGTTTCACCATGTTGCCCAGGCTAGTCTCAAACTCCTGGGCTCAAGAGATCCACCCACTTCGACCTCCCAAAGTGTTGGGATTACAAGCGTGAGCTACCACGCCCAGCCCATTCCCAGTTTTGTTTGGATGCTGGGGCACTCTAGTTCCTGTCTTTCCTTAATACCTTCAGATAACCATGGAAAGTTAAAGACCCAGTTATCTGCCTTGGGTCAGGCCAAGACCTTAATTTTCAAACAAAACAAAACAAAACAAAAACAGGTGCCTCTCTTCCTTGAAAGTGAAAACTAGCTTTTGGATGTATAAAGCATCAACCAGGACCGTCTTTGTTTACTGCACAAAATAGAATTCATGATGGAATTTCATGTGCATTTGAGTGTGATGCGTTTATGGCCCTGCGAATTCTAAAGAAGGGATTTATCACTTTCTATGGCCCAAGGGAATAGGCTTAATGTAATTACTGATAGAGAAAGAAGTTTCTTGTTTTCACTGAGCCCATGGGAAAAAATATCAGGAATTCCTATAATCTTGGGACATTCTTTCTCAACCCAGAACTGGGACCTCAACTTTTTTTTTTTTTTTTTTTTTTTTTGAGACAAGGTCTGGCTCTGCCACCCAGGCTGGAGTGCAATAATGCAAACATGGCTTACTACAGCCTCAATCTCCCAGGCTCAAGCGATCCTCCCACCTTAGCTTCCTGAGTAGCTGGAACCACAGGCATGTGCCACCACACCTAGCTAATTTTTATTTATTTTTTGTAGAGACAGGGTCTCCCTATATTGCCCAGGCTGGTCTTGAACTCTTGGGCTCAAGCAATCCTCCTGCCTTGGCCTCCCAAAGTGCTGAGATTACAGGTGTGGGCCACCACGCCCAGCCTTAAACTTCTTTATTTTTAAATGAAAGGGAACAAATTTTTAATTCACCCAGAAGTATGACTGTGGTAAAGTGACTGTGACCTCTGAGGGTAGAATGGGGATGGGGTCCCCTTGCCTTTTCTAGTCTCTTTTGCAGCAGACACACATGCCAACCTGTGATCTGAAAAGCCCGCCCCCACCACCACCCGCCCCCAACCCATGGAAAAAGCTGTGGTGTCAGCAGTAGCTTAGAGAGCTACCAAGAGAAGTCTCAGGCTGCAGGTTGGGATCCCCAATGAGAGTGTGTCCTACACATTCCTTGGGACCCTTGATGGCTCCAATCAAAGTGTGAGCAGGGCTTTGAGCTAAGGGTGGCTCCTGAAGCTCCCATTATCTTACACTGAAGGGGTGCTTAGGAAATGCTTTCAAAATCTATTCTGATAAATTTATTTCCTGTGACCATTCACCACAGCAATCAATCTCTCCACTTAAAAAAATAAAATAAATTTAAAAAAAAAGCTTTCTTGGCCGGGTGCAGTAGCTCATGCCTGTAATCTCAACACTTTTGGGAGGCTGAGGTGGGTGGATCACTTGAGGCCAGGAGTTCAAGACCAGCCTGACCATCATGGTGAAACCGTGTCTCTACTAAAAATACAAAAATTAGCCAGGCATGGTAGCACAGCCTGTAGTCCCAGCTACTAGGGAGGCTGAGGCAGGAGAATCCTTTGAACCTGGGAGGCGGAGGTTGCAGTGAGTCAAGATCACGACACTGCACTCCAGCCTGGGCAACAGAGCAAGACTCCATCTCAAAAAAAAAAAAAGTTTTCTTATACATGGAAAAATATTAAATGAAGAAAACCTAAAATTTAAAAACATAAAATGTAGTAATATAATGAAGAGATGTGATTGTACTATCTCTGCATCTACATTCCTATCTGTTTATTATTTTTTACCATGCTTACTTCCAAAAAAGGATCTGAGAAACAATTTGCAATTAAATACATATAAAATAGGGCCCCTTAGAAAAGACGAATCCTGGGCCTGGCGTGGTGGCTCACGCCTAATATCCCAACACTTTGTGAGGCCAAGGCGGGTGGATCACCTGAGGTCAGGAGTTCGAAATCAGCCTGGCCAACATGGTGAAACCCCATCTCTACTAAAAATACAAATAAAAATTAGCTAGGCGTGGTGCATGCCTGTAATCCCAGCTACTCAGGAGGCTGAGGCAGGAGAATTGCTTGAACCCAGGAGGCAGAGGTTGCAGTGAGTTGAGATTGCACCATTGCACTCCAGCCTGGGAAACAAGAGCAAAACTCTGTCTCAAACAAAACAAACAAAAAAAAAAATGCAAATCCTGGATTGGAGAGGGAGAGAGATGTCACAAAACCTAGTTGCTGTAAATAAACTCGGTTTGTGTCTCTGAATTTTCTGGAGCATTTTCTGGCAAAATGGGGCATCACTCGCTCTGTGATGACTGTCCTGGTGCCCCTAGATTAGAAACTCCTCCTCTGAACTGGATGTGGCACCTGCCCCATATCATGGCCACTGGGCTTTCACTTCTCTGCTTTTCCCACAAGACTGGGAGCTTCCAGAGGAGTTGGGTTTTTTTCACATTTCTATCTATTGCTGCCCAGATCAGCACACAAAATTCATACTCAACAAATGTACTAGGTTACATAGCCTTCCCTACTCAACAGAAGGAAGAGAGCGCTCCCATTGTCACGAGAGCTGGGCTCCCGCTCTAAGAGATGCCAGGTAGCACAGTGATCTCAGTGGCCTCAGCCACTAAACTGGTACTGTTTTTTAACTGTTGCTTTACCTCTACAGATGCCCCAGTCAGCTCCGTGGCTCTTCGCCAGTCGGGAGGCTATGTTGCCACCATTGGAACAAAGTTCTGTGCTTTGAACTGGAAAGAACAATCAGCAGTTGTCTTGGCCACGGTGGATAACGACAAGAAAAACAATCGCTTCAATGATGGGAAGGTGGATCCCGCCGGGAGGTACTTTGCTGGTAAGATTTCTCTTAACACCTACTTATTACTGAGCCTTGGAGGAAATACTTTGACATACAAAGTTCTCACTACTGACCAGGGTGGTGGCTCCCGCCTGTAATCCAGCACTTTGGGAGCCAAGGCGAGTAGGTCGCATGAGCCCAGGAGTTCGATAACTGCCTGGGCAACATAGTGAAACCCTGTCTCTACCAAAAATACAAAAAATTAGCTGGGCCTGGTGGCATGCATCTGTGTTCCCAGCTACTCAGGAGGCTGAGTTGGAAGGATCATCTGAGCCCAGGAGTTTGAGGCTGCAGTGAGCCAAGATCGTGCCACTGCACTCTAACCTGGGTGACAGAGTGAGACCCGGTCTCGAAAAAAGAAAGAAAGAAAGTAAGTAAGTTAGTTAGTTCTCACTACCTCAAAAGTGTTATTTATAATGAATCTTGGGTTCTTCTTTTATTATTGCCTGAGTAAGTTGTAGGACAAAAAAAAAATTCTATGATAAAATCTTCATTTGCATTTCCATCTCTAGCAGAGACTAAAATCTGTATGGTATTTTGGTGGTTTAAATGAGTTTTAAATACAGGGGTTTTGTTGTTGATGTTTAAATCAGAAATATTTTCAAATTTACAGAGAAAAATAAGAATAGTACAGGCCAGGCGTGGTGGCTCACGCCTGTAATCCCAGCACTTTGGGAAGGCCGAGGCGGGCAGATCACGAGGTCAGGAGATTTGAGACCATCCTGGCTAACACGGTGAAACCCCGTCTCTACTAAAAATACAAAAAATTAGCCGGGCGTGGTGGGCGCCTGTAGTCCCAGCTACTCGGGAGGCTGAGGCAGGAGAATGGCATGCACCTGGGAGGTGGAGCTTGCAGTAAGCTGTGGTCGCACCACTGCACTCCAGCCTGGGCAATAGAGCGAGACTCCATCTCAAAAAAAAAAAGAATAGTACAAACAACACTTGTATACCTTTTACCCGGGTTCACCTATTGCTAACATTTTGTTCCATTTGCTTTATCATTTGCTGTCTGTATATATCTAAACATCTTTATCTCCAGAGTCCTTTATTTAAAAAAAAAATAGAGATGAGATCTCACTATGTTGCCCAGGCTGGTCTCAAACTCCTGAGCTCAAGTGATCCTCACACCTCTTCCTCCCAAGTGCTGGGATTACAGGTGTGAGCCACTGCACCTGGCCTATCTCCAGAATCATGTGAGAGTAGGTTGCATGTATATCCTATGTGCCTTTACCCCTAAAATGCTGCAGTGTGAATTTCCCAAGAAAGACGACATATTCTTACATGACCACAGTTACAGTGATCAACTTAGAGAAGTTTAGCATTGACACAGTCATTTTATCTGATATACTATCTAAATCCCAGTTTTGTCAATTGTACAAAAAGTGTTCTTTCTCACATTTTTCCCTCCAGCACAGGATGCAGTCTAGGCTCATGGATTGCATTTCCTTTTCATATCTCTTTGATCTTTTTTAAAACTGGAACATTTTCATAGCTTTTTTTGTTTGTTTTTTATAACATTGCCATTTTTGAAGAATACAGCCAGGCCTACCCAACTCCCCCTTTTTTAATAGGGCATTCCTTATTTAGTATTTGTCTAGTGTTTGTTTGTGATTAAGTTGATGTTATACATTCCTGACTGGAATACCGCATAGATAATGTTCTGTTCTCAGGGTAACCCATCTGGAGGTACACGATGTCCGTGTGTCCCCTCGTTAGTGATTTTGATCACCAGGTTAAGGCCCTGTCAGATTTCTCTACTGAATAACTATTTTTAATGCAATTTATAAGCAATTTGTGGGGGTTGTTAGTTATCTATTGCTGGATAACAAATTACCCTGAAACTTAGAGGCTTAAAATAAGAAATATTTATTATCTCAGATGGTTTCTGAAGGTCAAGAATCTGGGTGCAGCTTAGCTGGATGGATCCAGTTCAGGCTATCTCATAAGACTGTAGTCAAGCTTTCCACAGGGGCTGCAGCCTCGGAAAAGGCTGGATTCTCTGCAGAGGTCTGAAAGATCCACTTCCAAGCTCATTCACATAGGGGTTGGCAGGAGGCTTCAGTTCCTTAGCTGGTGGGTCTCTCCACAGGGCTGCTCAGGACATGGCTGCCCCTAGAACCAGTGATAACAGGAGAGAGAGAGAGAGAGAGAGAGAGAGAGAGAGAGAGAGAGAGAGAGAGAAAGAGAGAGAGAACGCATGCACCCAAGATCCAAGATGCAAGCTACAGTCTTTAACCAATCGGAAGTGACATACCATCACTTATGCCATATGCTATTGGTCACACAGACAATGACAGAGGGAACTATCCAAGGGTGAGAATGCTGAAAGGTGGGAATCATTAGGGGCTATCTTGGAGGCTGGCTACAACATGGGGAGATACTCTAAGTCCACACAAATATCCTGGTCCTCATCAAAATTTCTTCCTTAAGTTTTACATTCATTGATGATTCTTTCTTGAACCAAAGTTTACTATGATGGTTGCAGAATGACTTACATGCAGGTTTAAAAGAATTTTATCTACAGTTTTAAATTAGATACTGCACTTCACATATATTTCTCATCATAATAACCTTCTGAGTTAGCCGAAGTTGATTCTCCATCTCTACTATTCCCACCTTCCCACACTGCCGCCTCACATTGTTGGCCCTGCTGTCCTGGCCCTGTGCAACTTCAATATGGAAGGCAGGAGAGGTCAGAGCAGCTGACTGTAGACTGCTTCCCATCTTCCTGGACTTTATACAACCACAGATATGGTCCGGGACAGGTTGAAAGATTAAAGATGAGAATCTGTTGGAAGCCCTTCTGCAGTAATTTCTGCAAGATAAAGATATGTGATTGGATATTTCACCTCCTGGTGAAATTGATTTTCTCTCCTTCTTTTAAGTAGAAGTTGACAGTTCTGTGCTCGCTTCAGCAGCACATCTACTAAAGTTGGAACGATAGAGAGAAGATTAGCATGGCCTCTGCACAAGGATGACATGCAAATGCATGAAGAGCTCCATATTTTTCTTACAAAGTTTACAGTTCTGAGGCACTCTGTGAGACAAAAATAAAGATGGCCTCCAAGGCCTCCATTCTAAGCATGGAGTCTCTGGGCCATCAGGAGACCTCTTAAAATTGCAGGTGTCATTGTAGGTGTAACTATTAGGTATTACTATAGTATTCTATAGTACTAATACCAATACTATAATATTATACTTATAATAATATATAGTTTTACTTTATGTATTATCATATATAATTTTAAATTATATATTATAATATAGTATTATAATTATATAAGCATATATAATATAATCATATTATATATAAATATAATTATATATTATATAATATATAATACAACTATATATATTATATTAATATATAATATTATATTATATATAATTATAATATAATACTGTAGTATTCTGGCAGATGCATAACACTAGTACACTAGTATATACCTGTTAGGTATATACTAGTGCTATGCATCTGCCAGAAGCACCTGAGACTCTTTCTCAAGAGAGGTCATAGCTCTTGGCAGGTGCTCGGAGGTGCCCCAGGCCCAGAAAAAGGTGGGGTTATCTTATAGTCTAGATGGATTCTCAAGGTGATCGCACCCTGAATATATCACCACACCCAAGATCTGACCTGTCTATGCTTGTTACTAGATAATGAAGCCAGGGCTCTAGATTATTCTATCCACCAAGGAAGAGGCTTTCCAAGCAGCAGGAGATTCACATGCATGTTCCAGGCCTCTTTTTCTGTGAGGCAGATAATGTGCAGGGAGAGTCATGAAATAAACCCAACTGCCCTAGAGCAGGAAACTGCCGAGGGAACATCCTTCTCCCCAGGGAGGGAGGATCGACCCTGTCTTGCTTGCTATTCAGGCTTCCCATCTACATTGTCTCTGGCATCTGTGCCATCTCATTTTCGGCATCTGTTGATTCTCTTCTCCTATGTGAGTTGAGATTTCCATGTTTCTTTGTGTTGCCAAGTAATCTGGGGTTGTGTTCTAGACATTTTGAATATTATGAGGCCCTGAGTCTTGTTGAAATCCTTTGGCCGGGCGCGGTGGCTCAAGCCTATAATCCCAGCACTTTGGGAGGCCGAGGCAAGTAGATCACTTGAGCTCGGGAGTCTGAGACCAGCCTGGGCAACACAGTGAAACCCCGTCTCTACAAAAAAAATAAAACAAATGAGCCAGGCATGGTGGCTTACTCCCATAGTCCCAGCTGCTCAGAGGCGGAGGTGGGAGGAATGCTTCAGTCCGGGAGGTTGAGGCTGCAATGAGCTGTGATCACGCCACTGCACTCCAGCCTGGGCAACAGAGCAACACTCTGCCAAAAAAAAAAAAAAAAGAAGAAGAAGAAGAAGAAGATAGAAGAAGAAGGAGACGGAGAAGGAGAAGGAGGAGGCTTGGCATGGCAGCTCATGCCTGTGACCCCAGCACTTTGGAGGCCAAGGCAGGTGGATTGCTTGAGCTGCTTGAGCTACTCGGGAGGCTGAGGTAGGAGAATCACCTGAGCCTGGGGGAGGTGGAGGCTGCATGAGCCGAGACTGCATTACTGCACTCCAGCCTGGGCAACCAGGCTTTTCAGAGTTCCAAGATGGCTGTGCCATGTATTTTATCCAGGTTTTATAGCTGTGCTCAGTGGGAGAAAATGAGGTTCGTGCATGTTTACTCCTTCTTATCTTGAACCAGAACTTCTAGGCACAGTTTTAATTTGCATTATATGCAAGATAATTGTCATTTTATATATATATAAGTATATATAATATAAAATTATATTATATAATTATAATATAATATAATATATAATCATATAATATAATTTATATAATATTATATTATATAAATATAATATAAAATTATATATACATATATTATATATACTTATATATACATATTATATATACTTATATATACATATTATATATACTCATATATATACATATTATATACACTTATATATACATATTATATATACTTTATATATATATATATATATACACACACACACACACACACACACACACACACACATATATATATATGGCCCAGATTGGAATTGTATAGTGATTTCCTTTGATTTAATCACTGGAAAGGATCCCTGGTGAGAAAGGATGGTGTCGTGCATGGGGTAAGATGCTATGGGGCAGAGCTCAGTGCTCTTTGGTTTTTGTAGGCACCATGGCTGAGGAAACAGCTCCAGCAGTTCTTGAGCGGCACCAGGGGGCCCTGTACTCCCTCTTTCCTGATCACCACGTGAAAAAGTACTTTGACCAGGTGGACATTTCCAATGGTTTGGATTGGTCGCTAGACCACAAAATCTTCTATTACATTGACAGCCTGTCCTACTCCGTGGATGCCTTTGACTATGACCTGCAGACAGGACAGATCTGTATGTATTTTTCATTATTTGTCTCAGTGCTGCCACTATTGTTTTCATATGTTTGTGACTAGTAAGGCGCCTCTCCCTCGCCTCATGTGAAGAAGTCTTCACTTAAATGGAGAGCTTTCTGATGCTACTATTCTAATATAGTAACGACAGCACAGACTTGACTGTGCTGCCAATCAAATCATGGTCCTCAACATATTTAAATATGGCAAGAGTTTGGCATAATATGGATAGATCTGGGGAAGCTAATAAAAAATAATTAATACAAATATGGGTAGATTCTCAATCCTTTTCCTTGCCATCATCACCAGAAAGAGGTTCACTGCAAAAGAGATCCTATTCTACCAGGAGGTGCCTAAAGGCAGATAATACTTAATGGAGTATTGGCGCAAAAGAGCAGAAAACTTGAGGTTTTTGATTGCTATTTCTTGTTTGTACTTTAGTTAACCATAGGCAAGTACTCAGAAGCTAATTACCAACCTTTCAAAATGGAAAAGCAAAAAAAAAAAGTAATTGCACGTTGTCCAACTCCATCAATACGCTTGAAAGGAGCCATAGTTGGAAACTGGGAGGGAAGGAATTATTTAGAATCTAGAAGGGAGTCCTTGAAACTGTTTCATGAAAGGTGCCAAACCTTTTATGAAACAAAAGAGCAACATTAATAATAAAAATGACTTGGAAAAAATATCCCCAGAACTCTGCATGCAGATTTAATCAGAGGCAAACTATTCTGGTGCAGATGTTTTGCTTTGAAATATGTAGTGCTCGGGAGGCTGAAGCAGGAGAATCGCTTGAACCCGGGAGGCAGGGGTTGCAGTGAGCCGAGATCGCGCCACTGTACTCCTGCCTGACGACAGAGCGAGACACTGTCAAAAAAAAAAGAAAGAAAGAAAGAAAAGAAGAAGAAAGAAAGAAAGAAAGAAGAAGGAAAGAAAGAAAGAAAGAAAGAAAGAAAGAAAGAAAGAAAGAAAGAAAGAAAGAAAGAAAGAAAGAAAGATGTAGTGCTCTTTTTTATGACAGTTTTTACCCATTGTCATTGTATGTGGTTTTAACATTTTTCCATTATACCTCAATCTAATGACTGTAGTGACCTGGACTTTGTAGTATAAAGTTTTGGATTTTGATATTTGTTTTTTGTATACCACGGTTACCCCCCTTTAAGGGCACCTAGTTTGTTTCTGAGTGCCCCTCCTGCAAGAAACAGGCTCTTCTAATATTTAGTCTTGAATTTGGAGCACTCAGTCAGGCAGAAAAAGAATTCATGTATCTTGCTAGTTTTTGTGCATGAACTGTTCACGTGGTACCATTAAGTTGCCTTGCGGATCTCAAGAGTTTTGTAACTGAAACAGCAAAGGTCTAACCACAAGCTGACATGTACTTGACATAGACATGCAGGGCCCCAGTTCAGGTCAGCTTCAAAAAGAAGTATTATTGGTATTTTAGTAAGAATTCTGCTTTCTTTTTTCTCTCTCCATCTGAATGCTTAAACAGATATGCCTGTACCCAAACAAAAGACAATGAATCCATCCCAATCATGTGGTAAAAATCCTTTGTTCACATGCCAGACACTGGATAAGCTGAAGTGATCTGTATTTATAACCAGCTTGAGAGCTCTCGGTTTGATTCTCAGTATTTAGTGGCCTGTTGTTTTGTTGTGGTTCTGTTTTTGTTTTTGCCTTTTAACCATAGCCAACCGCAGAAGTGTTTACAAGCTAGAAAAGGAAGAACAAATCCCAGATGGAATGTGTATTGATGCTGAGGGGAAGCTCTGGGTGGCCTGTTACAATGGAGGAAGAGTGATTCGTTTAGATCCTGTGACAGGTAGGCCTGCAGCAAAATGAAAAATCCTTGTCATGGCTAGGCAGAGATATAGCCCGAAAGTTACAGTCAGAATTTCTTTTCCTGTAGAGGTGCGACTTTTTGCTCAAAATAAATTGTCAGGGAAAGTAGATTAAATATTAAATGCACAGATGAATCCTGACCTCCACAGTCTTCTTAGATCTTCCCTAGAAACAATACACAGGTTGGAAATTGCTACAACTAAACTTAAAATAAAATATTTGGTGGTCTAGGGAAAAGACTTCAAACTGTGAAGTTGCCTGTTGATAAAACAACTTCATGCTGCTTTGGAGGGAAGAATTACTCTGAAATGTATGTGACCTGCGCCCGGGATGGGATGGACCCCGAGGGTCTTTTGAGGCAACCTGAAGCTGGTGGAATTTTCAAGGTGATATGGCTATTTCTTTTATTTTGGGGGTGGGGGATCCCAAATACTTACAGGGGTAAGTAACTGAGTGATTGGTACTTTTGCATACTTCCAAAGCATAATCCTATTTAGCATGTTAAGCTCATCATACTAGACTGAAAAACATTTTATTTCAATTTTCTAGAGAGTAAGTTATCTGAAGTCCAAGATGATCTGTTTAGCCTACTTTGTACATTAATTTTTTTACTTCCTGTTTATTGAAATTCTTCAGATCAGTAGAATGAACTTGGAAAGCCAGTATTTACAACATGCCTAGAAGATCAGTTGATTGTTTTGATGTCTTAAGGATTTTTCAGATTTTAAACATCTTTTGGCAGCAGAATAAACACTGATAAAAATCGTAGAGCTTTTGAGCTGAAAAGAAATACATAATGTAGAAACCCCTTTCTTAGCAGGCGGCAGATGATAGGAGTAATCCAGTTTTAAATCTAAGTTAGTCGTAAATGATTGCTAGTTGAATTATTAACTATATGAATAATTGGGTTGGACCATAAATATCCAGTCAGGTAATTCCTTTTTATGATAGGAGATAAAACAAAGATAATAGGTGGCTAAGTATATTACTACAAATCATAAAAATGCTTTTGAAGAATACTTGTGAATTACCTTTCACCTGAGATTCCCTCTTTTCTTTTTCAACAGATAACTGGTCTGGGGGTCAAAGGAATTGCTCCCTACTCCTATGCGGGATGAGGACAGGTCTTCTTTCCTGCCAGAGGGAGCTCTGAAGACAACTAGAGAATTCTGGGCCTGAAATTTCAATCTAGTTAGAAAGAAAAATGAGGCAATGATTTTATTAACAGCGTTAAGTTTTAATTTACAACTTTTAAAAGGCAGAGCATTTTTAACAAGGGGTGACAGGTGGTTTTGATAACACACTTATAAGGCTTTCTGTAAAAGGTACTATAGAAGGGCGAAGAATCGTTCAACTGTCAATCAGCCTCTTGATTCTTTGTAAATTGCCAGGGTGGGTGGGTACATATCTCTTCTTGATTCTGCATTTCATACTTAACTATATTAAAGCTTCAAGGAACAATAAATAGTAACCTGGTAATGACCTATTATGTTCCTTTTTATTTTCATCACAATCTTATAAAATATACCACAATGCTAACTAACCTACATAGATATTTCATCTCCTATATGTTATTTTACAAACTAAAATACGGCTGGAGGGTTAGACTCAAACATGCTGTCAAAATCCATGGTTCCAGCTGCCACCTACTGGATGTAAAAGTAATATGTCTCTTTGGAAAGAATACTTATTTTAAAAATAGCTTTATTGAGTTATAATTGGCCTGTACATATTTAAAGTGTATAATTTGACAAATTTGTCACATATATACATTCATGAAACCAACACCACAAACAAGATAATGAATCTATCCACTACCCCAAAACTTTTCTTGTCCTGTCATAATCCTTTTCTTCAGCCCCTCTGCCTGCCTGTCCCCTGCTCCCAGGAAACCACTGATCTGCTTTCTGTCACTATAAATTAGTCTTAAAATTAGGTAGTGTGATTTCTGTAACTTTGCTCTTTTTCAAAATTGTTTTGGCTATTTTAATTCCTTTGACCTTCCATATAAATTTTCAAATCAGCTTGACGATATCTACAAAAGAAATCAAGCTACAATTTTTTAATTGGAATTGCTTTTTTTTTTTTAGACAGGATCTACTCTGTCACCCAGGTCGGAGTGCAGGGGCACGATCATGGTTCATTGCTGCCTCTACCTCCCAGGCTGAAGCAACCCTCCCACGTCAGTCTCCCGAGTAGCTGGGCTGAGACTGCAGGTGCGTGCCACTATGGTCATTTTTTCGTTTGTTTGGTTGGTTGGTTTTTTGGATTTTTTGCTTTTCAGAGACGAAGTCTTGTTATGCTGCCCAGGCTGGCCTCAAACTCCTGGTGATCCTCCCGCCTTGACTTCCCAAAGCTCTGGGATTACAGGAATGAGCCACCGCGCCAGGCCTGAAATTGCTTTAAATCTGTAAAACGATTTGGAGATAATTGACTTCTTTACTATTCTGAGTCTTATCCATGAACAGGGCATGTCTCTCCCGTTATTTAGGCCTTCTTCAATTTTTGTCATCAGTGTTTTGTAGGTTTCAGCATACAGATCTTGTACATGTTTTGTTAGATTTATATCCAAGTATTTCACTTTTGGGAGCTATTGTAAATGTTATTATTATTATTATTTGAGACAGGGTCTTGCTCTATGGGCCAGGCTAGAGTGAAGTGGCACGATCATAGCTCACTGCAACCTTGCACTCCTGTATTCAAGCGATCCACACACCTCAGCCTCCCAAAGTGCTGGGATTACAGGCGTGAGCCACCACACCCAACCTTATTATTATTTTTTGGATTTGTTTCCAGTTGATCATTGCTTGTTTATAGAAGTGTGATTGGCGTTTATAGGTTGACTTTGTATCTGATGAGTTTGCTAACCTCACTAATTGGTTCTAAGAGTATTTCTGTAGCTTCTCTGAGATTCTTTGGGTGTATAATCATGTCTTCTGTGAATAGAGACAATTTTCTTTCTTTCTTTCCAGTTTGTATGTTTTTATTTTTCTTGCATTATTACACTGGCTAAAATTGCCACTATTATGTTGAATGGAAATAGTAAGAGTAGACAGCCTTGTCTTGTTCCCAATCTCAAGAGAAAAGCATGCAGTCTTTTATTATTAAATATGATATTAGTTATATGTATTTTTGTGGATGGCCTTTCTCAAATTGAGGAAGTTCCCTTCTCATTTACTTTTCTGCATGTATTAATGTGATTATGTGGTTTTCCTTCTTTAGACTGTTAATATGATCAATTCTTGCATTCCTGAGATAAACCTCCCTTGGTCATGACATATTACTACTTTTATGTGTTGCTGAATTCCATTTTCTAATATTTTGTTGAGGATTTTTGCAGCTACTATCTTTTGTCTGTGGTTGACATCAGGGTAATTCTGGCCTTATAAAATGAATTGGAAAGTATTCCTTCTTCTACTATCTGGAAAAGAAAATGTATAATTATTATTCTTCTTTAAATATTTGGCAAAATTCATCAGCGAAAACATTTGGACCCGGAGATTTCTTTTTCAGAAGCTTTTTAACATTCCTTAATAATGACAAGGCCACTTGGTTGCCTTACTTAATTTTGGTGAGGTCTGTTAGTTTGCGGCTTCCAAGGAATTGATCCTTTTCATCTAAGTTGTCAAATTTATGTATGTAGAGTTATTAATAGTATTTCCTTATTATCCTTTTAATAATGCCTGAGAGGTTTGTAGTGATATCCCCTTTTTTACCTGCTATTGGTTATTTGTGTCTTTTTTCTTTGTCAGTCTTGCTAGAGGTTTATCAGTTGCATTGATCTTTCAAAGACCTAGCTTTTGATTTCATTTTTTGGTTGTCAATTTCATTGATTTATCCTTTTATCTTTGTTATTCCTTCCTTCTGCTTTATTCTGATTTATTTTGCTCTTTTTCTAGTTTCTTAAATTGGAATCTCAGATTATGGATTTGAGACATTTCTTCTGTTCTAAAATAACATTTAATGCTATACATTTTCCTCTCAGTACTGCTCTTTCTGCAGCCCACAAAGTCTGATATATTGTATTTTCATTTTTGTTAAATTAAAAATATTTTCTAATTTCCTTGGAGACATTTTCTTTGACCCATGGATTATTTAGAAGTGTGTTTAATTTCTAAATGATTGGAGATTTTATTATTATCTTTTTGGGTATTGATTTCAGATTTAATTCTATTATGGTCAGAGAGCATATTTTTTATTTCAGTTCTTTGAAATTCAAGTTGGATTTGTTTTTTGTTTTTGTTTTGAGATGGAGTCTCTCACTCTGTTGCCCAGGCTGGAGTGCAGTGGTGTGATCTCAGCTCACTTCAACCTCCACCTCCCGGGTTCAAGTGATTCTCCCACCTCAGCCTCCTGAGTAGCTGGGATTACAGGTGCCCACCACCAAGCCCAGCTAATTTTTGTATTTTTAGTAGAGATGGGGTTTCGCCATGTTGACTAGGCTGGTCTCGAACTCCTGACCTTGGCCTCCCAAAGTGTTGGGATTACAGGCATGACCCTTTCTCCTTCATGTTACAAGTGTATTATATATTCTGTATACATTGAAAACTCATCAGTGTTAAAAACTTTTGCTTTGAACTGTCAAACATGTTTTAAAGAACTCAAAAGGAGAATAGTCCATTATATTTACCAAGATGTTTACCATTCCTGTTCTTCTTCCTTCATTCCTGATGTTCCAAGTTTCCTTCTTGTATCCTTTTTATAGTTTACAGAACTTCCTGGCTGGGAACGGTGGCTCTTGCCTGTAATCCCAGCAGTTTGGGAGCCCGAGGCAGGTGGATCACCTGAGGTCAGGAGTTGAAGACCAGCCTGGCCAACATGGTGAAACCCTGTCTCTACTAAAAATACAAAAATTAGCCGGGCATCATGGCGGGAGCCTGTAATCCCAGCTACTCAGGAGGCTGAGGCAGGAGAATGGCCTGAACCCGGGAAGTGGAGGGAAGTGGAGGTCGCAGTGAGCTGAGATCGCACCACTGCATTCCAGCCTGGAAAATTCGATTTAAAAAAAAAAAAAGGAACTTCCTTTAGCAATTCTTTTAGAACAAGTATCCTTTAGCAATTCTTTTAGAACAGGTATCCTGGCTATGAATTCCCTTAGTTTTCTTTTCTTTCATATGAGAATGTCTTTATTTCACTCTTTCATATGAGAATGTCTTTATTTCACATGAAGGCTATTTTCACTGGATATGCAATTCAGGGTCAATAGTTCTTTTCTTTCAGCCTTTTGGCACTTTAAAAGTGTGTAATTTCCTTCTGTCTGTCTGAATCTGTTTTGTATTGCTATCATAGAATACCTGGGTCTGGGTAACTTACGAAGAAAGAGATTTATTTGGCTCACAACTCTGGTGGCTGGAAAGGTTAACAGCATGGTGCTGGCATCTGCTTAGCTTCTGGTGAGGGCCACGTGCTGCATCACAAGATAGCAGAGAAGGCAAAGGGGCAGCAGGTGCATGCAGAGAAACCAAACACAAGAGACAACCTCACTTTATAACAACCCGCTCTCATAGGAGCTAATGCATTTCAGAGAGAACTAATCCATCAGAACTAATCTAGTCTCACGAGAAAGACATTAATGTATCTTAACAACCTAATCATATCTTAAAGGCACCATCTGCCAACATTGTTGCACTGGAAACTAAGGTTCCAATGTGAGTTTTGGTGGGTATGCTCAAACCATAGCACTGGCCTTCACGGTTTGTGATGAGAAATCCATAGTCATTGAAATCACTGTTCTCCTACAGGTAATGAGCCATTTTTCTCTCACTGCTTTCAAGATATTTTATTTTGCCGTTAGTTTTCAGCAATTTGATTATGTGTCTGGATGTGGATTTCTTTAGCTTTATCCTATTGGGGGTTTGCCCATCTTCTTGACTTTATGTCTTCACCTAACTTGGAAAGTTTGGGGCCATTATTGCTTTAAATATGTATATTTTTTGAGACAGGGTCTTGCTCTGTCACCCAGGCCTGTAGTGCAGTGGCACAATCACAGCTCACTGCAGCCTTGACCTCCTGAGCTCAAGCAATCCTCCCACCTCAACCTCCCAAGTAGCTGGGACCACAGGCAAATGCCACCACGCCTAGCTTTTTTTTTATTTTATTTTTTTATTTTATTATTATTATTATTTTAGAGACAGGGTCTCCTTATGTTGCTCAGGCTGGTCTCAAACTCATGGGCTCAGATGATCCTCCCGCCTTGGCCCCCTCTGTAGTGCCGAAATTACAGGCTTGAGCCACTGCCTTCACCCGGCCTCAAATATTTTTTCTGCCCCACACTCCTCTCTTTCTGGGACTCCAATAGCTTGAATATTAGACTTTTTGTTGTTACCCCACAAGTTCCTCAGACTGTTGTTGTTTTTCAATCTTTTTTTCTCTGTGTTGCTCAGGTTTCATATTTTTTATTGATCTATTTTTAAGTTCACTGGCTCTTCACTCTGTCATCTCTATTCTGCTGTTGTGCCTACCCAGTGATTTTTTAAAATTTTATCTTTCAGTTTCAAAATTTCCATTTGATTAGTCTTTATGTCTCCTCTTTTCTATTCCAATACTTTCCATTTTAATATTTGTTTCAAGGATGATTGCTCATTCAATCATTTTTATAAAGCTGCTTTAAAGTGCTTGTCAGATTATTCCAACATCTGCATCATCTTATTCTTGGCATCTACTGGTTGTTGTTCCCCATTTGAATTGAGCATTTCATTATTCTTTGCATGCTGAGTAATTTTGGATTGTATCCTGGCCATTTTGAATATTGTGTATTCATAATACATAATATGGGCCTTGTTTAAATCATATGAAGAATGTTGATACATTTGTTTTAGCATGCAATCTATACGGTTAGGTTCAGGCCACAAGTTCCATCCTGCCTTCTGTTGGTGTGGGTTTTTTTTCCATTCAGTTTTTACAGACTTTACAGTGTTATTCAGGTCCATCCCATTGTGTACCACCCAGTAGTTAGTCTAGGACTTGGACGGAGCATTAGCTCAGCTCACAGTCTTTGGTATGTAAATCAGGATCCAATCCATGCACATGAGGTCAGGAGCTGGGGAAAGCAATGTCATAAAGTTGTTTATGAATTCCTGGGCTCAACCCTAACCTACAAAGGCCATTTCATTGGAGCTCTCCAAGGTACCAGGTGGATATGATGGTCCAGGCTGGCCTCCTCCTCCCCATCCCCAACCCTCACTGTGGCCTACTAGTTGTCTGATCTCTACTTGGTTCTTTTTCATCCCCATTTCTCAAAAGAGGGTATTGAGAGAGCAACAGGGCTGGCACAGGGAGGTTCCCAAGGCTCCAAAGAGAGTATAGAGGTCTTTATTGAAGACCCTCAGAAGACCAGGGATGATCCGAAGCCTAAAATAGGGAACCGTCCCCCACCGCAACAGAACTGGCTAGCCTCCTAACCCAGTCACTTCCAGCCCATTTCTCAATCAAGGTAGAGGGGAGAGGAGTGGAATGGTTCCAGGGAGCTCCAGGGGCCACAGTGGTGTGTTCTGAGAAGTCTGAGGAGGAGATCACCAGGAATTACAGGTAATCCAAGGCCCCCAGTGTGGCTCTCTTGCCCTCTCTGGAACTCCTGGACCTGGGAACTCAATCTATTGGGGCACAGGCTCTAGCTCCACTCCCCAGTGGTGGAAGCCTCCGCCCTGACAAACATTAAAGCCCAGCACTATCTGAGTCTTTTTTGGCCAATTATCTAAATGGACATCTAGTCAACCAAACTTCTAAAAGGAACAGTTGGTTGAATCAAGACATCTGGTCAACCTGTGAACCCAGACTTATGGTCAACCCCCAAATCAGAACATCTTATCAAATCACAAAGCAGGCCATTTGGTCAATCTGACTTACCAAAAGGCAATGCGCCGTGGTTCCTGAGGGTCCCTGCACATTTGTGCTAGGCATGCCAAGAATGCGAGTCCCTGACCACTCTTTACAGAGGCAGTGGCTCAATGAGCTCCCTTGAGAAATCAGGTAATATCTCCTTCCAGACAAAAGCAGAGCTTGTCACTGCTCATTATAAAAGCAATGAATCCACCACATTCAGTGTACCTCTCCTATAACACAACCCCACTATGTGCGCACACATGCATCTAGGCCCACCTGCATACCCCTCTGAGACCTGGGGGCATGGCAAACCAGCCCAAACATCATGCTGATACTCTGGCTACTGCTTTTGCTGTGAATAGTATAATCCTTTATCTCTGACCAAGGAATCTCTTGTCTTCTGCTTGCCTCCATGATATAAGACATCTTGTTGGCTTGAAAATAGGGTAAAACCTCAATCCCTTTACAGTTCTAGACATTGATTCTCACCCATCAGACACTGAGTTTAGGGTCCTCAGGCAGGCACTAACACCAGACTCCTCACACCAGACACTAAGTCCTGCCTTCCCCCTGCCAGATACTATGTCGCCTACTACTAGGTCCCCAATTCCCCCTTCAGAAGCTAACTCCACATTAATAGCTCTAGGACCTAAGTCCTACTTTATGCTTCAAGGCTGAGTCTTGACCTATCTTGCCAGAAAGCAAGTCGGGATCTCTGCCTCCAGAGGATAAGTCCCAATTTATGCCACCAGCACTAGGTTCCCCGAATCCCCCTCCAGGGACCAACTCTCCTCCACTGCCCCTACAGATGCTAAATTCTGATTTCAGCTCCCAAGTCTAAGTCCCCACTTCATAGTCCTGATAGGAAGTCTCTAATTTTCTCTGCAGAGGCTAAGTCCCAACTGTCATAAGCATTCACTGAAGCTGTCTTACCATTCGACCTCAGCCTGGGGATTTTGTGACCCCATTTCTCATGCAGGGGAGAAAGGAGAAGAGAGGGATTGACAGAGGTAGCCCTGGAGACTTCCACAGAGGATGCAGAGTCCTTTTAGAACAGACCTAAGGGAGGCCGGGCACAGTGACTCAACGCCTGTAATCCCAGCACTTTGGGAGGCCGAGGCAGGCAGATCACCTGAGGTCAGGAGTTTGAGACCAGCCTGGCCAACATGGTGAAACTCCATCTCTACTAAAAATACAAAAAAATTAGCTAGGCATGGTGGTGGGCGCCTGTAATCCCGCCTACTTGGGAGTCTGAGGCAGGAGAATCGCTTGAACCTGGGAGGCAGAGGTTGCAGTGAGCCGAGACGGCACCATTGCACTCCAGCCTGGGCAACAAGAACAAAACTCCACCTCAAAAAAAAAAAAAGAAAGAAAAAGAACAGACCTAAGGGAAAGCAGGAACAATAAGAACTCTGAGCAGGGATCCCCAGCCCTCTGTGTCTGTCTGGTCTTTAGATAATAACCCAGGCACCTGGTGGCCCTATTTCTTGGGTAAAGGAGTTTGGAGGGCAGCAAGACTGACATGGGAAAATCCCCAGGCGCTAACACTAAGGGTGCCCAGTCCCTTTAGGGAGGACCCACTGGGGAACAGAAGCAAAGCCAAACACCAGTACATGCTTTCCCAACACAGGTGGCTAGACACACAACCTGACTCGGGCACTTAGTGGCCCCATCTCTTGGGCAGGGAAGAAAAGAATTGGGGAGAATGGCACAGATCAGCACTGGGGTTCTCCGTGGTGAGTGCAGTGGCCTTTCAGGAGGGGCACTACAGGAACTGAGGGCATCTGATATCCCAAGAAGCCTCCCTACCCACTCCATGCAGCCAGCCGGCTTTCCAATAACTACCAGGGACTTACGGCCCAGTTTATCACATGGAGGAGGCTGAAGAGTGATGGAACCCCATGGGATGACCCCAGTGGCCACTGTGAGGGGGGAAGGGAACTTTCAGGGAGACCTTCTGTGGAACAAGGGCTCTTTGAAAACCCATCTGGGCTCCATCCTCTCCAGCCAATTGGCCACCTGCAATCGTCCTGGTCACTCTCTCACACCATGGTCTGGAAGCCAGATTGACTTGCTCAGCCCCCAGGGGCTTCTGCATAAAGTGCAAAGGCCTTTCTGAAGGTCCCCTCCAGATACCTATCTCTAGGTGTACAAAAGCCCCAGATCAAGCTCCTCACACCTCAGGAGGCTGTTTTGGGGTTTTTTGTTTGTTTGTTTCGATATAAGGTCTTGCTCTGTTGCCTAGGCTGGAGTACAGTAGTACAATCTCAGCTCACTGCAGCCTCAAATTCCTGGCCTTAAGCGACCCTCCCGAGTAGCTGGGACTACAAGCACACACCATCATGCCCAGCTAATTTTTATATTTTTTATAGAGATGTGGTCTTTTCATGTTGCCCAGGCTGGTCTTGAGATCCTGGCCTCAAATGATCCTCCTGCCTCGGCCTCTTAAAGTGCTGGGATTACAGGTATGAGCCACTGCACCCGGCCAAGACTAACTGTGTGACCCCCACCCCATGGCTTTCCAGCTCCAGCTCTCAGCAGGTGAGGTCAGAGAGAAGTAGGACAGGCTTGCTGGTCCTTTCGAGGCTCCCATGGAGAACAGGCATGCTGGGCTCCCAGGCTCCTTCCTCAGCAATCAGCAGGACTAGCACCAGCAACCTCTGGAGGTTATAGAGGCTTTTTTTTTTCTTTTCTTTTCTTTTGAGACAGGGTCTCACTCTGTCGCCCAGGCTGGAGTAAAGTGGCGCAATCTCGGCTCACTGCAACCTCTGCCTCCCAGATTCAAGCAATTCTTGTGCCTCAGCCTCCTGAGTAGCTGGGATTACAGGCATGCACCACCACACCCGGCTAATTTTTGTATTTTCATTAGAGACAGGGTTTCTCCATGTTGGCCAGGCTGGTCTCAAACTCCTGACCTCAGGTGATCTGCCTGCCTCGGCCTCCCAAACTGTTGGGATTACAGACATGAGCCACCATGCCCAGCCAAATTTTTATATTTTTAGTAGAGATGGGGTTTCACCATGTTGGCCAGGCTGGTCTTGAACTCCTGACCTGAGGTGATCCACCCACCTTGGCCTCCCAAAGTGCTGGGATTACAGGCGTGAGCCACTGCGGCCAGCCAAGAGGCCTTTTTGAGGGATGACCCAACATCCAGGGCTGGTCCCTACCTCTAGACCAAGCTCCTCCAACTGCAGCAGGTTAAGCATGCTATTTCAAGCCAGCCTTTACTCAGCTGGGAGAAATCAGATAGCAGCTAGAATGACTTCATGAACACCTGAAGGCCTCCACAGTGAAGAAAGAAGCCTTTTAGGAGGGACTACAGCAGACCAGGTTGGGGGTGGGGGCATCCATCACTGCATACTGTGCTTCCCTGTATGTAGATAGCTTGCTATTTCGCATAGTCCCAGTTGTCTCCAATCCCCATTCATAACATGGGGACATCAGAGAGGAGCGAGACCAGCACCAGAAGGTCCCACGGATCTGTGCAGAGGGTGCAGAAGCTGTTTGTGAGGGACATCTCTGGGAAGTCCATAACAGCCAACACAGAGTTCAGAGGCCTTTTAGAAGAGGTCTTCCATGGACCGGGCACAGTGGCTCACGCCTATAATCCCAGCACTTTGGGTAGGCCGAGGCGGGCAGATCACCTGAGGGCAGGAGTTCAAGACCAGCCTGGCCAACATAGTGAAACCCCATCTCTACTAAAAATACAAAAATTAACCAGGCGTGGTGGCACATGCCTGTAATCCCAACTACCAGGAGGCTGAGGCAGGAGAATCGCTTGAACCCAGGAGGTGGAGGTTGCAGTGGGCCAAGATTGTGCCACTGCACTTCAGCCTGGGCAACAAGAGTGAAACTCCATCTCAAAAAAAAAAGAAGAGGTCTTCCTTGGAATGGAACGAGGGTGATCCAAATCCCCTGGATGTGCTCCTCCAATCCCAGCTGCAGTCAGCTAGTTAACCAACCTCAAGTAGGGAACCCCAGCCCTGTTTCTAACCCACACCTAATTCTGGCCCTAACCCTGAAATTGAACAACTGAACATTGACCTCAACTTAAACGTAACCCTAACATTAACCCTGACCATGAACCTGACCCTCCCATTAATTATAATCCTAAACCTGATTATAAACCTGACTATAAACCTTAATGCTAGGCCAGGCATGGTGGCTTATGCCTGTAAGCCCAGCACTTTGGGAAGCCAAGGCAGGCAGATCACTTGAGGCCAGGAGTTCAAGACCAGCCTGGCCAACATGGCAAAACCCCCGTCTCTACTAAAAACACAAAAATTAGCTGGGCGCAGTGGTACATGCCTATAATCCCAATTACTAGGGAGGCTGAGGCAGGAGAATCGCTTGAACCCAGGAGGTGGAGGTTGCAGTGGGCCAAGATCGTGCCACTGCACTCCAGCCTGGGTGACAGAGCAAGACTCCATCTCAAAAAATAAAAAAATAAAAATAAAAAAATAAACCTTAATGCTAACGCTGACCATAAACTAGATCCTAAATATGACCTGGTCATGACCCTGACTTCAACCATAACCCCTAACTTAACCATAAACTTGATCTTTACCTTAAACATTTCCCTGACCATGAAGCTGACCCTGACCTAAACCTAACCAGAACATTGACCATGACCCAGAACCTGCCCTGACCCTAATCCTGACCGTGATGCTAAACCCTAATCTTGATATCGAAAACTAACTTGACTCATCGTGACATCGATTCTGAAATTGATACTCAAACTCTGACCATGAACCTGACCCTAATAGTGAAATTAACTGTTTCCTGGCCAGGTGTCTTGCCTCACGCCTGTAATTCTAACACTTTGGGAGGCTGAGGTGGGCAGATCGCTTGAGCCCAGCAGTTAAAGACCAGCCTGGGCAACATAGCAAGACCCCATCTCTATTTATAATTTAAAAATTTTTTTAAAAAAAAGAAATTAACTGTTGCCCTGGTCCTGAACCTTACCTTGATCCTAAACCTAACCATAACCCTAACACTAACATTATCCCTTAACCTAACCTTCATGCTGACTTTGTAGGAAAATGTGTTATTCTGACTGATCTTGTTTATTTGTTTTGTTTCGTTTTTGTTTGTTTGTTTGTTTTTGAGACAGAGTCTCGCTCTGTAGCCCAGGCTGGAGTGCAGTGGCGTGATCTCGGCTCACTGCAACCTCCGCCTCCCAGGTCCCAGTTCAAGCAATTCTCCTGCCTTAGCCTCCCAAGTAGCTGGGATTACAGGCTCAAACCACCACGCCCGGCTAGTTTTTGTATTTTTAGTAGAGACAGGGTTTCACCATGTTGGCCAGGCTGGTCTCTAACTCCTGACCTCAAGTGATCCACCCGCCTCGGCCTCCCTAAGTGCTGGGATTACAGGCGTGATCTGTAATCACGTGCCCAGCCGTGATCTTGTTTTCGTATACACTGTTTATAATAACAAGATTTCTGGCTAGGTGCAGTGGCTTATGCCTCTAATCCTAGCACTTTGGGAGGCCGAGGAGGGCAGATCACTTGAGGTCAGGAGTTCAAAACCAGCCTGGCCAACATGGTGCAACCCCATCTCTACTAAAAATACAAACAAAAATAGCCGGGCGTGGTGGCGGGCACCTGTAATCCCAGCTACTTGGGAAGCTGAGGCAGGAGAATCACTTGAACCCGGGAGGCGGAGGTTGCAGTGAGCCGAGATTGCGCCACTGCACTCCAGCCTGGGCCACAGAGCGAAGCTCCATCTCAAATAATAATAATAATAATAATAATAATAATAATAATAATAATAATAATATTTTCTCCAATTAGCCATAAGAAGTTACTTTGAGAAGAATGTGTTATTTTGGTCTTTTCACTGAGCTTATTCTCACAAATACTCTGATTTCATCTAAGTTTATTCCAACTCACAGTAAAAAGTTACTTTGGGACCAGGCGCAGTGCCTCACGCCTGTAATCCCAGCACTTTGGGAGAACAAGGTGGGCAGATCACCTGTGGTCAGGCGTTCAAGACCAGCCTGGCTAACATGGTGAAACCTGTCTCCACTAAAAATACAAAAAAAAATTAGCCGGGTGTGGTGACACATGGCTACTTGGGAGGCTGAGGCTGAGGCATGAGAATTGCTTGAACTCGGGCAGTGGAGGTTGCAGTGAGCCAAGATCGTGCCACTGCACTCCAGCCAGGGTGACAGAGCGAGACTCTGTCTCAATTAAAAAAAATAAAAATAAAAACAAAGAGAGAAAAGTTAATTACTTTGGAAGAAGAATGTGTGAGTGATTTTGGCCAGGCGCAGTGGCACATGCTTGTGATCCCAGCACTTTGGGAGGCCAAGGCGGGGGGATCACTTGAAGTCAGGAGTTCGAGACGAGCCTGGCCAACATGGTGAAATCCTGTCTCTACTAAAAACACAAAAAAATTAGCCGGGCATAGTGGCACATGCCTGTAGTCCCAACTATTCCAGAGGCTGAGGCAGGAGAATCACTTGAACCCAGGAGGCAGAGGTTGCAGTGAGCCAAGATCACGCCACTGCACTCCAGCCTGGGCAACAGAGCAAGACTGTCTCAAAAAAAAAAAAAAAAGGAAGAAAGAAAGAAGAAAAAGAAAGAAAGAAAGAAGAAAAAGAAAGAGAAGAAAGAAAAGAAAGAAAGAAAAGAAAGTGTGATTCTAAGCACATCTTTACTTATAATGCTTATGCTTAGACTAATCTAAATTTGCTCAAACTTTCAAGAATTGGTTTCCTTGCCAAAGAAGGTGAGGTTCTGAGCTTGTTTTAAGACATGCTGCTTCTTTTCATCTAATTTTGCCCTAACTCACAGTGGGAAATTACTTTTGAGAAGAATGTGTCATTCTAAGCTTGTTTTCATTTATATTGCTTAATTTTACCTAGAGTTGCACTAAGTCACCATATGCAGTTATTTTTTAGAACTATGTCTGATCTTGTGCTTGTTAGTACATATACAGCTTAGTTTCATCTTCACATACTCTTAACTCTCCATAAGATATTACTTTTGAGAAAAAAATTGTGATTCTGAATATTTTAAAATAAAGCTCTTAGTTTCACCTAGATTAACTCACTATAAAATTTTATTTAGGGAAAATATGTGATTCTAAGTTATTTTATACATAAATTGCTTAATTTTGCTGGATTTATTCTAACTCATTGAGAAGTTACATTGGAGTAGAATGTGTGATTCTGAGCTTGTTTTCACATCAATTACTCAGTTTCATTTAGATTTACTTTAATCAGTTAAGAATTTTTTAGGGCCCAAGTTATTTGAAAGTAAACTGCTTGACCGGGCACAGTGGCTCACACCTGTAATCCCAGCACTTTGGGAGGCTGAGGCGGGCAGATCACAAGGTCAGGAGATCCAGACCATCCTGGCTAACATGGTGAAACCTTGTCTCTACTAAAAATACAAAAAAATTAGCCAGGCGTGGTGGTGGGCGCCTGTGGTCCCAGCTACTCGGGAGGCTGAGGCAGGAGAATGGCATGAACCCGGGAGGCAGAGCTTGCAGTGAGCCGAGATGGCGCCACTGCACTCCAGCCTGGGTGACAGAGCGAGACTCCGTCTCAAAAAAAAAAAAAAAAAAAAAGGTAAACTGCTTAGTCTCATCTAGATTTCTTCTAAATCATATTGAGATATTGAGAGGCTATACTGGAGAAGAATGTATGATTCAGATTTGATTGTCCCAAAGATGGACAGGGATCAGATTTACCCTCCCACCTGAAACAACCAAATAAACCAAAAAAAAAAATAAAATACATGAAACAACAGGTTTTGAACAATGGACAGCAGGCAACCAAGGGCTGAGAGATGGGAAACAAATGAGATGAAGAGTTACCATTCCCCAGTTTACTGCCTTTTTTTTTTTTTTTTGAGACAGGGTCTCGCTATGTTGCCCAGGCTGGAGTGCATGTGGCATGATCACGGCTCACTGCAGCCTCGACCTCCTAGGCTCAAGGGATCCTCCTGCCTCAGCTTCCCGAGTAGCTGGGACTAAAGGGGTGCACCATCATATGCAGCTAATTTTTTTATTTAATTTTTAGTAGAGACAGCATCTCCCTGTGTTGCTCAGGCTGATCTCAAACTCCTGGGCTCAAGTGATCCTCCTGCCTTTGTCTCCCAAAGTGCTAGGATTTAGAGGCGTGAGCCACCACACCCGGAAGACCAGTTTGCCCCCTTGAGAAAGTGTTCAGGCTATGGCACAAGATGGGAGAACTGAGGTAGAGCCCACCTGACTCCCTGAGTTGAGGATTTGGAGCTAAGACTTCTGGGAGATCAAAATAGCTAGAGTTGATAGAACAGCGTACCAGAAAGCAAAAAGCTACACAAAGAGTGTGATGGTTAATTTTATATGTCAACCTGGCTAGGCCTTGGAACCCAGATATTTGGTGAAACATTATTCTAGATGTTTCTATGAAGGTAGTTTTTAAATGAGATTCACATTGAATCAGTAGACTTTGAGTAAAGCAGATTACCCTCCATAATGCACACGGGCCTCATCCTATCAGCTGAAGACCTTAATAGAAAAAGACTGATCTCCCCAGAAGAGGGAATTCTGCCAGGAGACTGCCTTCAGACTCACACTAAAGCATCAATGCTTCCCTGGGTCTCCAGCTTGCTGGTCTACCTTGAAGATTTTGAACTTTGCCAGCCTCCACAATCATGTGAGCCAATTCCTTAAAATCTTTGGGGATGGATAGATAGATAGATAGGTAGGTAGATAGGTAGATATAGATACATATATCCTAATATATCCCATTGGTGCTGTTTCTCTGGAGAACCCTAATAGACAGAGAACCCTGGAGATCTGAAGAGCATACCCTTCAGTATTCAAAAGAGTACTTACTGATCAGTATATGCGTGTGAGGAAACTGCCTGGGGCCAGGGAGAGAACACCTGAAAGGATTAGAGGGAATAGTGCCTCATGCTCACACAGAGCCAGTAATAGTGCCTGCTCCCACCAGTCAGATTGGAAAAAACGCATAATTTATGAGGTATTGGGTAGAGTCCTCAGGAAGTTCTTTTCTCAGTTGTGGAGAATAATTAGCCCTACACAAAGCACTGCTCGACTCCATCAAACAGATCATAAAAGCTAGACCTTAAAGGATAAAAATATTTCCAAGGAAACTTAACTGCAACTCAACAAAGTTCAAGAAGATTTATATTGAATACAAAAATATCCAGCACCCAAAAAGAAAAAAAAAATCACAATGTTTGACATCCAATCAAAACTTAATAGGGCCGGGTGCAGTGGCTCACGCCTGTAATCTCAGCACTTTGGAAGGCCGAGGTGGGTGGATCACCTGAGGTCAGAAGTTCAAGACCAGACTGTCCAAAATGGTGAAACCCTGTCTCTACTAAAAATACAAAAAAATTAGCCAGGTGTGGTGGCGCATTCCTGTAATCCCAGCTACTCGGGAGGCTGAGGAGAATCGCTTGAACATGGGAGGCGGCCACATCAGTGAGCCGAGATGGCGCCACTGCACTCCAACCTGGGCGACAGAGTGAGACTCCGTCTCAAAAAAAAAAAAAGAAAAGAAAAACTTAATGGGGCCAGGCACAATGGCTCATGCCTCTAACCCAGTACTTTAGAAGGCTGAGGAAGGTGGATTATTTGAGGCCAGGAGTTCCAGAGCAGCCTGGGCAACATAGCAAGACCCTGTCTCTACAAAAAATTCAAAAATTAGCTAGGTGTGGTGGCGCATGCCTGTAGTCCTAGTGTGTCCGGAATTGGTGGTTTCTTGGTCTCACTGACTTCAAGAATGAAGCCGCAGACCCTCGCGGTGAGTGTTACAGCTCTTAAGGTGGCGCGTCTGGAGTTTGTTCCTTCTGATGTTCGGATGTGTTCGGAGTTTCTTCCTTCTGGTGGGTTCGTGGTCTCGCTGGCTCAGGAGTGAAGCTGCAGACCTTCGTGGTGAGTGTTACAGCTCTTAAGGCGGTGCTTCTGGAGTTGTTCATTCCTCCCGGTGGGCTTGTGGTCTCGCTGGCTTCAGGAGTGAAGCTGCAGACCCTCGTGGTGAGTGTTACAGCTCATAAAAGCAGTGTGGACCCAAAGAGTGAGCAGTAGCAAGATTTATTGCAAAGAGCGAAAGATCCAAGCTTCCACAGTGTAGAAGGGGACCCGAGCAGGTTGCCACTGCTGGCTCGGGCAGCCTACTTTTATTCTCTTATCTGGCCCCACCCACATCCTGCTGATTGGTAGAGCCGAGTGGTCTGTTTTGACAGGGCGCTGACTGGTGCGTTTACAATCCCTGAGCTAGACACAAAGGTTCTCCACGTCCCCACCAGATTAGCTAGATACAGAGTGTGGACACAAAGGTTCTCCAAGGCCCCACCAGAGTAGCTAGATACAGAGTGTCGATTGCTGTATTTACAATCCCCGGGCTAGACATAAAGGTTCTCCAAGGTCCCACCAGAGTAGCTAGATACAGAGTGTCGATTGCTGTATTTACAATCCCCGGGCTAGACATAAAGGTTCTCCAAGGCCCCACCAGAGTAGCTAGATACAGAGTGTCGATTGCTGTATTTACAATCCCTGGGCTAGACATAAAGTTTCTCCAAGGCCCCACCAGAGTAGCTAGATACAGAGTGTCAATTGGTGCATTCACAAACCCCGAGCTAGACATAAAGGTTCTCCAAGGCCCCACCAGAGTAGCTAGATACAGAGTATCGATTGCTGTATTTACAATCCCCGGGCTAGACATAAAGGTTCTCCAAGGCCCCACCAGAGTAGCTAGATACAGAGTGTCGATTGCTGTATTTACAATCCCTGGGCTAGACATAAAGGTTCTCCAAGGCCCCACCAGAGTAGCTAGATACAGAGTGTCGATTGCTGTATTTACAATCCCTGGGCTAGACATAAAGGTTCTCCAAGGCCCCACCAGAGTAGCTAGATACAGAGTGTCGATTGCTGTATTTACAATTCCTGGGCTAGACATAAAGGTTCTCCAAGGCCCCACCAGAGTAGCTAGATACAGAGTGTCGATTGGTGCTTTCACAAACCCTGAGCTAGGCATAAAGGTTCTCCAAGGCCCCACCAGAGTAGCTAGATACAGAGTGTCGATTGCTGTATTTACAATCCCTGGGCTAGACATAAAGGTTCTCCAAGGCCCCACCAGAGTAGCTAGATACAGAGTGTCGATTGGTGCTTTCACAAACCCTGAGCTAGACACAGCTAGGGTGCTGATGGTGTATTTACAAACCTTGAGCTAGATACAGAGTGCCGATTGGTGTATTTACAATCCCTGAGCTAGATATAAAGGTTCTCCACGTCCCCACCAGACTCAGGAGCCCAGCTGGCTTCACCCAGTGGATCCCGCACCTGGGCTGCAGGTGGAGCTGCCTGCCAGTCCCGCGCCGTGCGCCCGCACTCCTCAGCCCTTGTGTGGTCGATGGGACTGGGCGCCATGGAGCAGGGGGCGGTGCTCATCGGGGAGGTTCTGGCCTCACAGGAGCCCATGGAGGGGGTGGGAGGCTGAGGTATGGTGGGCTGCAGGTCCCGAGCCCTGCCCTGCGGGAAGGCAGCTAAGGCCCGGCGAAAAATCGAGCGCAGCACTGGTTGGCTGGCACTGCTGGGGGACCCAGTACACCCTCCACAGCCACTAGCCCGGGTGCTAAGCCCCTCATTGCCCGGGGCCGGCAGGGCCAGCCGGCTGCTCCGAGTGCGGGGCCCGCCAAGCCCACGCCCACCCAGAACTCCAGCTGGCCCGCAAGCGCCACGCGCAGCCCCGGTTCCCGCTCACGCCTCTCCCTCCACACCTCCCCGCAAGCTGAGCGAGCCGGCTCTGGCCTTGGCCAGCCCAGAAAGGGGCTCCCACAGTGCAGCGGTGGGCTGAAGGGCTCCTCAAGTGCTGCCAAAGTGGGAGCCCAGGCAGAGGAGGCGCCAAGAGCGAGCGAGCGAGGGCTGTGAGGACTGCCAGCACGCTGTCACCTCTCACTAGGTATTCTAGAGGCTATTTGGGAGGATTGCTGGAACTCAGTAGTTCAAGGAGGCAATGAGCTATGATGGCATCACTGCACTCCAGCCTGAGTGACAGAGCTGACCCTGTCTCTAAAAACAAACAAACAAACAAAAAACTTACTAGTCAGGCCGGGCATGGTGGCTCACGCCTGTAATCCCAGCACTTTGGGAGGCCAAGGCAGGTGGATCATGAGGTCAGGAGTTCAAGACTAGCTTAGCCAACATAGTAAAACCCCGTCTCTACTAAAAATACAAAAATTAGCTGAGTGTGGTGACGGGCACCTGTAATCCCAGCTACTCGGGAGGCTGAGGCAAGAGAATTGCTTCAGCCCGGGAGGCGGAGGTTGCAGTGAGCTGAGATCGCACCACTGCACTCCAGCCTGGGCGATAGGGCAAGACTCCATCTTGGGGGGGAAAAAAAAGCTTACTAATCATGCAACAAGGCAGGAAAATATGAAGACAACAGTCAATCAAGGAAAACCAACCCAGATTTGATGCATAAATTAATTAGCAGATAAGGACATTAAGAGTTATTAAAGCTATGTTCCACAAGTTCATAAGAGTTCAACAAGAGACATAGAAGATATAAAAATGACCCAATGGTGCAACATTTTTAAAAGAATGAATTTTAAAAACTGTCAACCTAGGGAGCAAGATGGCTGAATAAAAGCCTCCTGATCATCCTCTTCACAGGAATGCTGAATTGAACACCTATCCACACAATAAAGCACCTTCATAAGAACCAAAAATCAGGTGAGCAATCACAGTACCTGGTTTTAACTTCCTATCACTGAAAGAGGCACTAAAGTGGGTAGGGAAGACAGCTTTGAATCACCTACACCACCCCGCCCCCATCCCCTGGTAGTAGGTGTGTGGCAGAGAGAGAGAATCTGTGCACTTGGGGGCAGGAGAGCACAGCAATCGTGAGACTTTGCGCTGGAACTCGGTGCTTCCCTGTCACAACAGAAAGCAAAAACCGGAGAGAACTAAGCCGGCACCCATAAGGGGAGCACTTGGACCAGCCCTAGCCAGAGGCAAACTGTCCATCCCAGCAGTCAGAACCTGAGTTTTGGCAAGCCTCACCACCGTGGGCTAAAGTGCTCTGCAGTCCTAAATAAACTTGAAAGTCAGTCTGGGCTACAAGGACTGCCGTTCCTGGGCAAGTCCTGTTGCTGTGCTGGGCTTGGAGCCAGTGGATTTGGACACACAACCCAGTGAAACATCAGCTGGGGTGGCCAAGGGAGTGCTTGAGCCACCCCTCTCCCAACCCCAAGCAGTGCAGCTCAAACCACTGAAAGAGATTCCTTTCCTCTACTTGAGGAGAGGAGCGGGGAGAGTAAAGAGGACTTTGTCTTGCAACTTGGAAGCCAGCTCAGCCACAGTAGGATATGGCACCAGGCAGAGTCCTGAAGTCCCCATTCCAGGCCCTAGCTCCCAGATGACATTTTTCACACTTTTTTTAGAAGGAGTCTCATTCTGTCACCCAGGCTGGAGTGCAGTGGTGCGATCTCGGCTCACTGCAAACTCCGCCTCCCAGGTTCAAGCAATTCTCCCTGCCTCAGCCTCCCAAGTAGCTGGGATTACAGTCACGTGCCATCACGCCTGGCTAATTTTTGTATTTTTAGTAGAGACGGGGTTTCACCATGTTGGCCAGGCTGGTCTCAAACTCCTGGCCTCAAGTGATCCGCCCACCTCGGCCTCCTAAAGTGCTGGGATTACAGGCGTGAGCCACTGTGCCTGGCCCCAAATGACATTTCTAGACACACTTTGGGCCATAAGAGAACCTGCTGCCTTGAAGGGAAGGCTCTAGTCCTGGTATAATTCAACATCTGCTGACTAAAGAGCCCCCGGGCCCTGAATAACAAACAGTGGCACCCAGGTAGTACACCATGGGCCTTGGGTAAGACACTGAAACATGCTGGCTTTAGGTGTGACCCAGCATATTCCCTGCTGTGGTGGCCACAGGGAAAGACCCCCTCTGCTTGAGGAAAGGAGAGGAAAGAGTAAAGGGGACTTTGTCTTGCAGTTTATGTTCCACTTCACCACACGGGGGTAGAGCACCAAATAGGCTCTTGGGGTCCCTGATTCCAGGCCTTGGCTCTTAGACAACATTTCTGGACCTTCCCTGGGCCAGAGGAAAGCCCACTAGCCTGAAGAGTGAGTTGCAGGCCTGACAGCATTCACAACAAGCTGAATAAGGAGCCCTTGGGCCCTGAGTGAATAGCAATGGTAGCCAGGCAATATTTGCCAAGGACCTGGGTCAGTTTTGGCCATGGAGAGAGACTCCTTTGCTTATGGAAAGGGGAAGGAAGAGTGAGAATGACTTTGTCTTGTGGCTTGGGTGCCAGCTCAGCCACCATAAAATAGAGTACCAGGTAGATTCACAAGGTTTCCGTGCCCAGGCCCTGGCTCCTGGATGGCATCTCTAGGCCTGCTCAAGACTGGGGAAACTTGCTGCTCTGAAGGGAAGGACACAAGCCAGGCTGGCATTGCCACCTGCTCATTGTAGAGCTCTAGGGCCTTGAGTGGACATTAGTGGTAGCCAGGCAGTGGTTACCATGGGCCTTGGGCACGACTCAGTACTGAGCTGGCTTCAGGTTTGACCTGGTGCAGTCCCACTGGTGGTGGCCACCGGGGTGTTTGTGTCACCTCTCCCCTAGCTCTAGGTGGCTCAGAACAGAGAGAGAAACTGTGTGTTTGGGAGAAAGTAAAGGAAGAGAACAAGAATGTTTCCCTGGTAATCCAAAGGAATCTTTTGGATCTTATCCAAGACCACAAAGGTGGTACCTCTATGAGTCTACAAGAGCCACAGTGTTATTGGGCTTGGAGTCCCCCCAATGCAAATATGGCTTTGATGACAAAAAACATAGATCACAACACCCAAGTCCCTTTGAATGCCTGGAAAGGCTTCCCAAGAAGGTTGGGTACAAACAAGCCCAGGATGCAAAGATTGCAGTAAATACCTAACTCATCAATGCCCAGGCAAGCATTATGACCACCCAGGAAAACATGACCTTACCAAATGAACTACATAAGACACCAGGTATCAATCCTGGAAAGACAGAGATATGTGACCTCTCATACAGAGAATTCAAAATAGCTGTCTTGAGGAAACTCACGGAAACTCACAGATACTCAAGATAACATAAAGAAGGAATTCAGAATCCTATCAGATAAATTTAACAAAGACATTGCAATAATGAAAAAAGAATAAAGCAGAAATTCTGGAGCTGAAAAATGCAATTGACAGACTGAAGAATGCATCAGAGTCATTTAATAGCAGAATTGATCAAGCAGAGGAAATAATTAGTGAGCTTGAAAACAGGCTATTTGAAAACACATAGTCAGAGGAGACAAAAGAAAAAAGACGCCAGGCGTGGTGGCTCACGCCTGTAATCCCAGCACTTTGGGAGGCCGAGGTGGGCGGATCACAAGGTCAGGAGTTTGAGACCAGCCTGGCCAAGATGGTGAAACCCCACCTCTACTAAATATATAAAAATTAGCCAGGCCTGTAATCTCAGCTACTCAGGGGGCTGAGGCAGGAGCATCACTTGAGCCCAGGAGGCAGAGGTTGCAGTGAGCTGAGATCGCGCCATTGCACTCCAGCCTGGGTGACAGAATAAGACTCCGTCTCACAAAAAAAAAAGAAAGAAAGAAAGAAAGAAAAAAGAACAAAAAAGAAAGAAGAATGCCTACAGAATCCAGAAAATAGCCTCAAAGGGCAAATCTAAAAGTTATTGGCCTTAAAAAGGAGACAGAAAGAGAGATAGGGAAAAAAGTTTTCTGTTAAGGGCTAATAACAGAGAACGTCCCAAACATAGAGAAAGATTTCAATATTCAAGTACAAGGTTACAGAACACCAAGCAGATTTAACCAAAATAAGACTACCTTAGGATATTTAATAATCAAACTCCTGGCCAGGCGTGTCAGCTCATGCCTGTAATCCTAGCTTTCTGGGAGGCTGAGGTGGGTAAATCACGTGACCCCAGGAGTTTGAGACCAGCCTGGGCAACATGGCAAAATCCCATTTCTTTCTACCCAAAAAAAAACCCACAAAATTTAGCCAGATGTGGGGTCATGCGCCTGTAGTCCCAGCTACTTGAGAGGCTGAGATGGGAGGATCACTTGAGCTCAGGAAGCCAAGGCTGTAGTGAGCCATGATTGCACCACTGCACTCCAGCCCAGGCAACAGAGCAAGATCCTGTCTCAAAAATAATAATAAAACCCCAAGGGACAAGGATAAAGAAAAGACCTTAAAATCAGCAAGAGAAAAGAAACAAATAACACTATGGAGCTCTAATACATCTGGCAGCAGACTTCTCAGTGGAAACCTTACAAGCCAGGAGATAATGGCATGACATATTTAAAGTCCTGAAGGAGGCTGGGCACAGTGGCTCACGCCTGTAATCCCAGCACTTTGGGAGGCCAAGGCAGGCAGATCACCTGAGGTCGGGAGTTCAAGACCAGCCTGACCAATATGGAGAAACCCTATCTCTACTGAAAATACAAAATTAGCCAGGCATAGTGGCACATGCCTGTAATCCCAGCTACTCGGGAGGCTGAGGCAGGAGAATCGCTTGAACCCAGGAGGCAGAGTTTTTCGTGAGCCGAGATCGTGCCATTGCACTCCAGCCTGGGCAACAAGAGGGAAACTCCATCTCAAAAATAAAAAAAAAAAACAAAAAAACACTAAAAGATGTGCCAGTTGAAAATGATAACTACGACAGCATTTCAAGACATAGTACAATAAGATAGAAATAGGAACAACAAAAAGTTAAAAAATGGGGGATGAGGTTAAAGTGTAAGAGTTTTTATTAGTTTTCTCTTTGCTTGTTTGTTTGTTTGTTTGTATGTTTATACCATCAGTGTTACTTTGTCATGAGTTTAAAATAATGGGTTATAAGATATTTGCAAGGTTCATGGTAACCTCAAACCAAAAAACATACAACAGATACACAAAAAATAAAAAAGCAAGAAATTAAAACATACCACCTGAGAAAACCACCCTCACTAAAAGGAAGACAGAAAAAAGGAAAGGAGGAAGAGAAGACCACAAAACAATCAGAAAACAAACAACCAAATGGCAGGAATTGATAAAGCTCAACATCCCTTCATGATAACAATCCTCAAAAAACTGAGTGTAGAAGGAACATATCTCAACACAATGAAACCGTATATGATAGACCCACAGCTAGTGTCATTCTGAATGGGGAAAAACTGAAAGCCTTTCCTCTAAGACCTGGAACAAGACAAGGATGCCCACTTTCACCACTGTTACTCAACATAGCACTGGAAGTCCTAGCTAGAATAATCAGACAAGAGAAAGAAATATGGCGGGGCAGGATGACTCACAAGTGTAATCCCAACACTTTGGGAGGCCAAGGTGGGCGGATCAACTGAGGTCAGTTCAAGACCAGCCTAGCCAACATGGTGAAACCCCGTCTCTACAAAAAATGCAAAAAAAATTAGCTGGGTGTGGTGGCGTGCGCCTATAATCCCAGCTACTCCGGAGGCTGAGGCAGGAGATAATCGCTTGAATCCAGGAGGCAGAGGTTGTAGTGAGCCAAGATCGAGCCACTGCACTCCAGCCTGGGTGACAGAGCGAGACTTCGTCTCAAAGAAAAAAACGAAAGAGAGAGAGAGAGAAAGGAAAAAGGGCATCCAAAGTGGAAAGGAAGAAATCAAATTATACTTTTTTGCAGATGATCTGAGCTTATATTTGGAAAAACCTAAAGACTCCACCAAAAAACTATTAGAACTGATGAACAAATTCAGGAAAGTTGCAGGATACAAAATCACCATACAAAAATGAGTAGCATCGAGACCCCCATCTCTACAAAAGCATAAAATAATTAGCCAGGTGTGGTAGCACATGCCTGTAGTCACAGCTATTTGGAGACTGAGGAAGGAGAATTGCTTTAGTTCAGGAGGTTGAAGCTACAGTGAGCCACACTATAAGAAATGTTACAGAAGCCGGGCACGGTGGCTCATGCCTGTAATCCCAGCACTTTGGGAGGCCGAGGCAGGCGGATCACGAGGTCAGGAGTTCAAGACCAACCTGGCCAATAAGGTGAAACCCCATCTCTACTAAAAATACAAAAATTAGCTGGGTGTGGTGGCATGTGCCTGTAGTCCCAGCTACTTGGGAGGCTGAGGCAAAATAATCGCTCGAACCCAGGAGGTGGAGGTTGCAGTGAGCCAAGATCACGCCACTACACTCCAGCCTGGGCAACAGAGCGAGACTCCATCTCAAAAAAAAAAAAAAAAAAAAAAAAAAAAGAAATGTTACAGAAATGCATCAAGCAAAAGGAAAATTCTCCAGTTGTAAATAAATAAATGGTAATTATATGGATAAATATATGTATTTTCTATTATTTAAATATTTTTAAAATATAATTGGCTCCTTAAGATTTACAACATATATAAAAGTGGAACGCATTAACTAATAGCATAAAGGCTAAAAGGAGAGAGATAAAAGTATAATATTGTAAGGTTTTTTTATACTACACATGAAGTGATATACCCCTTGAAAGTGGACTCTGATAAGTTAACAATGTATACTATAAACCCTATATGTATAAATATAGTAACAATATATACTATATAGTATAACAATGTATACTATATAAGGCAACCACTAAAGCAAAAAACAAAGACTTATAGCTTATTAGACAACAAAAGACATGAAATAGAATCATAAATGTATTTAATTGATCCAAAAGAACACAGAAAAAAATTAAATTTGGAACAAAGAACAGACGGGACAAATAGAAAACAAATAGGAAGGTGATAGAATCAAATCTAACTACCACATCAATATGACATTAAATATAAGTGGTTTAAACACTCCAATACAAAGGCAGACATTGCCAGATTGGATAAAAAAGCAAGACCAATCTCCATGCCCCCTACAAGGAATGCACTTCAAATACAAAGACGCTAATTAAAAAAAGTAAAAGGATAGAAAAAATATATCATGCTCATATTTTCAAAAAACTTGGAGTGACTATTAATATTGAAAAAGGTCAATTTCAGGGATAAAGAAAGTCAAGAAGATATTAAGAGCCTTAACATTTATAGCCTGAAAACAGAGCTCAAAATGCATGAAGCAAAAACTGATAGAACTGCAAGAAGATATAGACAAACCCACAATCATAGTTGGAGCTTTCAATAAGCCTTCGTGTTTTTGTTTGTTTATTTGTTTTTGTTTTGTTTTTTGTTTTTGAGATGGAGTCTTGCTGTGTTGCCCAGGCTGGAGTGCAGTGGCGCAATCTCGGCTCACTGCAACCTCCGCCTCCCAGGTTCAAGCGATTCTCCTGCCTTAGCTCCCTCAGTAGCTGAGATTACAGGTTCCCACCACCATGCACAGCTAATTTTTGTATTTTTAGTAGAGACGGGGTTTCTCCATGTTGGTCAGGCTGGTCTTGAACTCCTGACCTCAGGTGATCCACCCACCTCAGCCTCCCAAAGTGCTGGGATTACAGGTGTGAGCCACCTTGCCGGCCTCAATAAGCCTCCTTTTTTTTCTTTTTTCTTTTTCTTTTTTTTTTTTTTTTTTTGAGATGGAGTCTCACTCTGTCGCCCAGGCTGGAGTGCAGTGGCGCGATATTGGCTCACTGCAACCTCTGCCTCCTGCATTCAAGCAATTCTCGTGCCTCAGCCTCCCGAGTAGCTGAGATCACAGATATGTGCCACCATGCCCAGCTAAATTTTTTTTTTTAATTATTTTTAGTAGAGATGGGGTTTCACCATTTTGGCCAGGCTGGTCTTGAACTCCTGGCCTCAGGCGATCCGCCCTCCTCGGCCTCCCAAAGTGCTGGGATTACAGGCATAAGCCACCGCACCCGGGCAATAAGACTTCTTAATAATTAACAGAATAAGTAGTCAGTCAATATCAGCAACGACATAGTAGACATGAGCAACACTACTAACCAACTAAACCTTAATAACATTTGTAGAATACTCCTTCAACAACAGCAGAATACACATTATTTTCAAGTGCACATAGAAAGCTTACAAACGTATATTCTGGGCCATCGACAGGCCTCAATACATTAAAAAGGACTCAAGTCAAATGAGAAATGTTCTCTGAACACATTGGAACTAAATTTGAAATCAATAATGGAAAGATTCTTGTAAAATCCCCAAATAAAGGGCTTCTACAAAAATCCTACATCTAACATCATACTTAATGGTGAAAAACAATGCTTTCCTCGTAAGATCTGGAATAAGACAGGAATATCTACACTTATCACTTCTCTTCAATATTGTACCCAAAGTTCTAACTGGCTTCACCAGTGAATTCTAGCAAACATTTAAAGAGGAAGAAAACACTAATCCTAGGCCAGACACAGCGGCTTACACCTGTAATCCCATCACTTTAAGGAGGCCAAGGCGGGAAGACTGCTTGAGCCCCAGAGTTTGAGACCAGTCTGGACAAAACAGCAAGACCCCATCTCTACAACAAATTTTAAAATTAGCCAAATGTGGTGGTGCACACCTGTGGTCCCAGTTATTCAGGAGGTTGAGGTGAAAGGATTGCTTGAGCCCAGGAGGTTGAGGCTGCGGTGAGCCATGTTCACACCACTGCACTCCAGCCTGGGCGACAGAGTGAGAACCTGTCTCAAAAATACATAAAACACCAATCCTACACAAACTTTTCTGGAAAAGATATCACAGACCTGAGGTTGCACAAATAGTATAAGGAGGAATTTATTGCATCAGAAATAATTTTATATGAAGGAATGTATCCTCTCCTTCTGGACAAACTCATCTTTTCCCAAAGTCTCAACAACCATCCACTTTTATTTTTCTTGAGATGGAGTCTCACTCTGTCACCCAGGCTGAAGTGCAATGGCATGATATTGGCTCATTGCAACCTCCACCTCCTGTGTTCAAGCGATTCTCATGTCTCAGCCTCCTGAGTATCTGGGATTACAGGCACCTGCTGCTACACCTGGCTAATTTTTGTATTTCAGTGGAGACAGGGTTTCACCATGTTGGCCAGCTAGTCTCGAACTCCTGGACTCAGGTGATGCACCTGCCTCGGCCTCTCAAAGTGCTGGGATTACAGGCGTGAGCCACTGTGCCCAGCCACAACCATCCACTTCTGAACATGCATCCCAGGCCCCTCTGCAGAGCCCAGACACACATATCCAATTGCCTACTGGATATTACCAATGGGATAGATAGATAGATAGATAGATAGATAGATAGATAGATAGATAGATAGATAGATATACCCAGAATGTATTTTTTCTGTCCATTGGCACTCCATGAGGGCAAAGACTTTGCCTGTCTTGTTCCCACCTGTATATTCAGTGCTCAAGATACACAGTAGCTGACTAAGAGTTTAGTTCCTATTCAAGAAATACCTTCCTGCAAAGAAAATAGCCCAGAGGGCTTTGCAGTTGAGTTCTACGAAACACTCAAGGAACAGATTACTTTAGTACTGCATAAACTCTTACAGAGAAGCGGAAAAAAGAGGCTTAAATCTCCAATTCATTTTAAGAGGATAGTGTATTAGCTCCATAGAAGTGCCATTATAGACGACCACCAACTGAGTGGCTTAAAACAACAAAAATTTATTCTCTCACAGTTCTGGAAGCTGGAAGTCTGAAGTCAAGGTGTCTGCAGGGCCGTGCTCCCTCTGAAACCTGTCGGTGAATCCTTCCTCTCCTCTCCTAGATTCTGGTGGTTTGCCAGCAATTTTTGGCGTTCCTTGGCTTGCAGCTGCAAAACTCCAATCTCTGCCTCCGTGGCCACATGGCATTCTCCCAGTATGTTTCTGTCTTCACATGGCCATCTTCTTATAAGGACATCATCCTAACTAATTACATCTGCAACAACCTTATTTCCAAACTTTACATAAGATCATATTCTGAGCTACTAGGGGTTAGGACTTCAACATCTTTTTGGCGGGGAACACAATTCAACCCATAAAAGATAGCATAACAAACAAGGATCACTTGAGGCCAGGAATTTAAGACCAGCCTGGGCAATATGGTGAGACTCTGTCTGTAAATAAATAAAAATTTAGCCAGATGTGGTGGCGTGCACCTGTAGTTCCAGCTACTGGGGAGGCTGAGGTAGGAGGATCACTTAAGCCCAGGAATTCAAGGCTGCAGTAAGCCATGATCGCATCACTGCACTTCAGCCTGGGCAATAGAATGAGACCCTGTCTCTAAAAAATAAAAGTAATAATAAAATTTTTTTAAATAAAGGAAATTTTCAGGTTTATCTCCTTCATGAACATAGATGCAAAAATCCTAAATGAAATACTAGTAATACATAAAAATGTTAATATATTATAAACAATAAACAAGTTGGGTTTATTCCTGGAATACAATGTTAGTTTAATATTGGAAAATTAAATAATGTAATTTACTTTTTTTTTTTTTTGAGACAGAGTTTCGCTCTTGTCCCCAGGCTGGAGTGCAGTGGCATGATCTCAGCTCACTGCAATCTCTGCCTCCCAGTTTCAAGCGATTCGCCTGCCTCCCAAGTAGCTGGGACTACAGGCATGTACCACCACACCTGGCTAATTTTTTGTATTTTTAGTAGAGAGGGGGTTTCGCCATGTTGCCCAGGCTGGTCTCAAACTCCTGGTCTCAAGTGATCCACCTGCCTCAGCCTCCCAAAATGCTGGGATTACAGGCATGAGCCACCTTGCCTGGCCAATTTACCATATTTACAGATTAAAAGATAAAACTCTTGTGGTTGCCAAGAAAGACACAGAAAAAGCATCTGACAAATCTTAACATCCATTTATAATTTTTTTAATTAAAGAATTAGCCAGGTGTGGTGGTGCACACCTTTAGTCCTAGCTACTTAGGAGGCCAAGGGGGGAGGATGACTTGAGCCCAGGAGGTCGAAGCTGCAGTGAGCTATGATTGCATCACTGCACTCCAGCCAGGGTGACAGAATGAGACCCTGTCTAAAAAAAAAAAAAAAAGCTGAGCATGATGGCTCACACCTCTATTCCCAGCATCCTAGCCCTTTGGGTAGCTGAAGCAGGCAGATTGCTTGAGTCCAGAAGTTCAAGACCAGCCACGGGCAACATGGCAAAACCTCGTCTCTACAGAAAAAAAAAAAAAAAAAAATTAGCTGAGCATGGTGGTGTGAGCTTATCCTACCTACTTGGGAGGCTGAGATGGGAGGATCGCTTGAGCCCTGGGAGGTCAAGGCTGCAGTGAGCAGTGAGCAATGATGGCGCCACTGCACTCCAACGTGGGCAACAGAGCAAGACCCTGTCAAAAAAACAAACTCCTATCAAACTAGGAAAAGACAGGACTTTTTTTTTAACGTGATAGTCTCTACAAAATATGTTCTCAATGGGAAAAGTTGAAAGATTTTCCTTTAAATCAGGAAAAAGACAAGGGTTCTAGTATCAATATTGCCATTCAACATTGTACTGAAATTAGCCGGGTGTGGTGGCAGGCATATGTAATCCCAGCTTCTCAGGAGGCTGAAGTGGGAGAATCGCTTGAACTCGGGAGGCAGAGGTTGCAATGAGCCGAGATCACGCCACTGCACTCCAGCCTGGGCGACAGAGTAAGACTCCGCCTCAAAAAACAAACAACAACAACAAAAAACACATTGTACTGAAGAATCTAGCCAGTTCAGGAAAACTAGAAAAAGAAACGAAACTTTAAGAATGAGTAGTCTGTGGAGGTCAGTGATTGTGGAGGGCAGGGGGCATCTGTGAGGCTCAGGTCAAGAGCTCAGGCTGCAGGATGACAATGTCAGGGTTACTTAAAATAAAGCTCCTGAATATTTCAGTGCGCATCCTGGGCAACCTACACTGCCTACCCTCTGCTGACAAGATTACAAACTTCTCTGCTGACAAGATTACCTGCCTAGGCCGAAAACCAGGAGATCTGTCCTAGGACTGTCTCCATGCTAGCCTTTCTCTGAGTCAAACTGTGAACCTGGTAGGACACGTGAAGGTCGGATTTGTCCGAGGGAGTGGAAGTACCTCACAGGATACATGGAGATAGGATTTACCACAGAGAGGTGGGGGAGCAGCTGCCCTGCAGCAAAGCCAGTCCCCATTCATGATCTCCCCACCTCTCGCCCTGCAAGTCCTGAATCCACAGGGGTGTATCCCAGTGTGTCACTGCCCCTATTCCCACAAATCTTCTATGGCTTTGCGCTATGGAAAGGACTTTCCACAACAATACTAGGACATTGTATATATTATATACTATATATATTACAGTATTATATAGCATATGCATTCTATATTATCTCCATTTTCTAGATAAGGAAACTTCTGAGGCTCAGAAGGAATCAGAAACTCGACCAAGGTCATACTATGTTAGTAAGTAGTAGAGCTATGTACCAAATAAATGTAGGTCTGAATCTAAAGGGAGACTATTACCTAAAAAATTCAACTCTGTGCTTTCCTGGAGACCCATTCCCACCTGCCTGGGGCAGCTGTTTCCCACAGGGTCCTCCAAAGTCTCCAAACAGTAATCACACATAGGCCCAATCACTGACCCTCCAAGAATCCAATTAAGGAACCAAAGAAACCACAATCAAGGCCGGGCACTGTGGCTCATGCCTGTAATCCCAGTGCTTTGGGAGGCCAAGGTAGGGGACCTCTTGAGTGGAGGAGTTTGAGGCTGCAGTGAGCTATGATTGAACCACTGCACTCCAGCCTGGGTGACAGATCAAGAAAGAAAGAAGAAAGAGAAAGAGGCCGGGGGCAGTGGCTCATGCCTGTAATCCCAGCACTTTGGGAGGCTGAGGTGGGCGGATCACTTGAGGTCAGGAGTTTGAGACCAGCCAGGCCAACATGGTGAAACCTCATCTCTACTAAAAATACAAAAATTAGCTGGGCGTGCTCGCTTGAACCCAGGAGGTGGAGCTTGCAGTGAACTGAGATTGTGCCATTGCACTCCAGCCTGGACAACAGAGCGAGACTCTGTCAAAAAAAAAAAAAAAAAATAGAGAGAGAGAGAAAGAGAAAGAATGAAAGAGAGAGAAAGAGAAAGAATTAGAGAAAGAAAAGAAAGAAAGAAGAAGGAAGGAAAGGAAGGAAGGAGGGAAGGAAGGAAGGAGGGAAGGAAGGAAGGAAGGAAAAGAGAAAGAAAGGAAGGAAGGAAAAGAGAAAGAAAGAAAGAGAGAGAGAGAAAGAAAGAAGAAAGAGAGGGAGGGAGGGAGGAAGGAAGGAAGGAAGCACAGAGCGTCACTCATCACTGGCTCACACGAACACTACCACTATGGCCCCTCTCCCAATGATTGACAGCCACAGACCCTCAATCAGTAGCCTCAAAGGCCTCCAATTATTAATTACCTCAGGATTCGAGTCCCTGGAGCCTCATCCTGACACCACTGGCAACCAATCACTGATCTTCCAAAACTGTGGCCAGACCATAGAGACTGTCAGAGCATAAAGAAAAATCCCTCCACTGTTGATTGTCAGGGTCTGCGAAAGGTCTGAGACTTCACCCTCTTACAAGCTAACATGTTTTAGAGATGCTGACAGAAAACATGAGACTCCTGAGGCTGAGACAAAGGATTTTCCTGCTCCTAGGACAGCAAGCAGCTTGCACGTCACGTGGGCACCTGCTCCCCATGTCCTCCAAGTCCCACAGCAGTGATGCAGAGGGTCCCTGGTGGACATTGCACACACAATAGGTTTACATCACAGCCAAGAAACACTGAGCATGGGTGATCCAGCCTGTTTTTTGCCCCAGAGGGAGACATTGCCTCATCCCACAGGGTTGCTCGGTGTCATCACAACCCTGAGAAATGGCTGGGGTAATCAGTGATTGGGGCCTTGTATCTTTAGGCAGCTACAAAGTAGTAAAACTAAGGCCAGGTTACTATACGCTACAACCCACACAAAGGAATTTAGACTGATGCGCTGACGTTTGGCATACTGTCAATAATTTAGGGGGCAATACATGGGCCCCAAAGCAAACCCTGTCCCAGTGGAGAGACATTCTGTTACCTACTGTTCCCCCCATATACAAATATACCATCCAAAGGGGAACAGTTCATTTCACTTCAGCATTTGTTGTTCAACTTGATTGGACTCACCATTACATTGGTTTGGTAAAGTGTTATGAGCAGTAGTCTATTCAGGCTGCTATAATGGAATACAATAGACAGGGTAGCATATAACCAACAAGTTTATTTCTCACACGTCTGGAGGCTGGAAGTCGAAGATCAAGGTGCCAGCAGATTTCTGCATCTGGTGAGGGTCCACTTCCTGGTTCACAGATGGCCATCCTCTCACTGTGTCCTCACATGGAGAAAATAACAAGGGAGCACTCTGGGGCCCCGTTTATAAGGGCACTAATTCCTTTCATGAGGGCTCTGCCCTCAAGACCTAATCACCTCCCAAAGACCCTACCTTCTAATACCTTGGGGCTTAGGATTCCAACATATGAATTTTGAGGTAACATAAACATTCCACCTATAGCAAGTAGCATCTTAGTGCTTGTACTTAAATCTCTAAACGTGGCATAATCCAAGGCCACTTGGGTGCCAGGAGAAGCAGATGAATTTGGATCAATCAGATCTAAACAAGGTTGTGCTGGCCCACGTATGTCTACAGGTATGAGGGAAGCCTGTGTTTAGGAGCTGCTGTTGATGGCATCAGGCACAGCAGAGTAATTCAGGAGCAGCCATACTCACATGCTTTTTTCTGGTTTTGTCACCCAAGGACGGTGATGGCAAACCTAGCAGCAGGTTAGATTGCCAGCTGCACCTGCTGCTTGACTCCAGCAGAGCAGATGATTGTTTTGTTGGGCTGTGAGTGCTCGATCTAGGGGACAAAGAGAGCATTCATTTTCTCCCCATCTTGCACCTCTCAGGGTCTAAGATATTCCCTCCCTGTATTAGTCCATTTTCACACTGCTATAAAGAGCTACCTGAGACTGGGTAACTTACGAAGAAAAGAGGTTTAATTGACTCAGAGTTCTGCATGGCTGGGGAGGCCTCAGGAAACTCACGATCATGGCAGAAGGTGAAGCAGAAGCAAGAACCTTCTTCACAAGGTAGCAGGAGAGAAAGCGAGGGAAGAAAGCCACCCACTTTTTTTTTTTTTTTTTTTTTGAGACAGGGTGTTGCTCTGTCACCCAGGCTGGAGTGCAGTGGCGTGATCTCGGCTCACTACAACCTCCACCTCCCAGGTTCAAGACATTCTCCCGCCTCAGCCTCCTGAGTAGCTAGTACCACAGGCACACACCACCACGCCCAGCTACCTTTTGTATTTTTAGTAGAGACAGAGTTTCACCATGTTGCCCAGGGTGGTCTCAAACTCCTGAACTCAGGCAATCTGCCCACCTTGGCCTCCCAAAGTGCTAGGATTACAGACGTGAGCCACCGTGCCCAGCACCATGCACTTTTTAAACCATCAGATCTCGTAAGAACTCATTCACTCACTATCACAAGAACAGCATGGGGGAAACTCCCCCCATAATCCAATCACCTCCCATCAGGTCCCTCCCCTGACACAGGGGGATTACCATTCGAAGTGAGATTTGGGTGGGGACACAGAGCCAAACCAACCATATCACTCCCCAAATGCTCTCCTTCCACACCTCATGAAATCAATGTATCCCATCCCAGAGCCTGTAACTTCACTTTTTCCCAATCATCCCCTATTTGTACCCAGACCTTTCATCCAGAAGGGTCAAGTACAAGAGGGCCAAAGGCATTTTTATAAAATTTACAGAGATTTTTTTTTTATGTCTTCTATCTTAGTCAGTGTGAGCTGCTGTATGGGAACTTGGTGAGTGGTGTACTCAATCAAGTGGTCATTGTCATTAGGATCTAGGACCGTGTCCACCCAACAAGAGAATTCAGGTGACTGACCAGAATTAACTTTAAGTCCGAGCCAGGCATGGTGGCTCACACTTGTAATCCCAGCACTTTGGGGGGCCAAGGTGGGCAGATCACCTGAGGTCAGGAGTTCGAGACCGGCCTGGCCAACATGGTGAAACCCTGTCTCTACTGAAAATACAAAAATTAGCCAGGCGTGGTGGTAGGTGCCTGTAATCCCAGCTACTTGGGAGGCTGAGGCACGAGAATCACTTGAACCCAGGAGGCAGAGGTGGCAGTGAGCTGAGATTGCGCCACTGCACTCCAGCCTGGGCAACAGAGCGAGACTCAGTCTCAAAAAAAAAAAAAAAAAGTTTAAGTCCCCTAGGGCTCTTTTGGGCTGGGCTGCTGCCTGGAGGGTTACCAACTAGGCTAGCCTGGAACCTGTGATTACTGTTAAAGGAAAGAAAAATACATCACGTCCAGGAACGGCCAGGGCAGAATCCCAAATGCCTCTATAGCCCACCCCTTTTGTTCCGACCATTATCTGAGGTACCCAATGGGAGATAATGCCATTCTTGGGACAGCCACATTTAGTGACCAAACTGCCTTACTAAGGTGAGTGGACCAGGAGAAGGAGAGAGAGGTAGGTTCTGCAATCCTTTTGAGTTCATTTTTGAGGAGGCCATTTCAATATTTAACAATATCAGATACCTGCCCATGGTAGGGCACATAGAACATCTATGGAAGGCTTTGACTACTGACCCATAGTTGGGTGGCCTTTGCAACAAAAGGCACACCACTGCCAGACTGCAAATGGTCTGTGTCAGAAACATAGAGTCCTTTACTTTGTGCCCAGTCTATGATGGTGGATGCATTGCCATGTTCAGGGGGCAGTGAACTAGAAGTGCATCAGCTGTTTGATTCCAGTCGGCCTCATCAGAGAATAGGCTCTTACTATGGGCGTCTACATGGGTGACCCAGACTGACCAATTCCACCAGTAGCTCTCTACCCGCTTATCTGTTAAAAAGGCATATGATGTTTTAAAACGTTTGAAAGTCTCAGCTTTAGAACAGTTTAGCTTTTCCACTAACCATCTATTACTGATCTCCACAGACCCCAATATTGTCCCTAGAACCCTTCCATCACTCACCCCAGAAATCTTCTATCAGAAACACCCGCCCTCCATTGTAGCCTCTCAGGCCTAAAATCTCAAATCAAATTCCAATCCTAGGCCAACTCCCCAACCCTAAGACTGCCTTTTCTGGGGCGGCTCTTTTTTCACAGGTGCAGTGAGGCCATCGTTTCTGTACAGCGCGGAAAAGCTAAACTGTTCTAAATCTGTGACTTTCGAATTTTTTAAAGCATCATATGCCTTTTAAAAAACAGATAAGGCCGGGCGCGGTGGCTCACGCCTGTAATTCCAGTACTTTGGGAGTCCGAGGCGGGCGGATCAATTGAGGTCAGGAGATCGAGACCAGCCTGGCCAACATGGTGAAACCCCGTCTCTACTAAAAATACAAAAATTAGCCGGGCGTGATGGTGGGCGCCTGTAATCCCAGCTACTCAGGAGGCTGAGGCACGAGAATCGCTGGAACCCGGGAGGCGGAGGTTGCAGTGAGCGGAGATCGTGCCACTGCACTCCAGCCTGGGCGACAGAGCTAGATTCCGTCTCAAAAAAATAAAAAATATAAAATAAAAAACAGATAAGCGGGTAGGGAGCTACCGGTGGAACTGAGTTTCCTCTTTAAGGGAAACGAGGACAAGGACAAGATCCCGTCTTTTCTGCACTCAGTCGCCCCGCCCCCAACGCAAGTAGGCATGTTTATTGGATGATAAGAGGGTCAGTCAAAGTAAGGACCAACCCTCTACTGCCAAAAGACACATACTACTCAAGGGCCCCTGACTCAGACGTTCTCACTGGTCGGAAATGCCATCAATCAAGTTTCAATCCCCGCCCCCTTCTCGCGGAAGAACTATGGGTGCTAACCTCTCTCTCAGGCCTGCTGTCAATCGGCTCCGCATCCTCTAGTTCTGCACATCCCCGGCCATCAGAGCACGAACTTCTGGTCGGTCCGCCTGCCGTTCTTTCACCTATAGAGCCCACCCTCTAAAGGTGTCCAAGCTGCTCCAAAGAACAATTGATTAACCCAACGGCTGTCTTTGGCCCTCAGAACTGTCACACCTGGCTCCGCCTCTTCCCGGACATCATCTGTTGCACCAGAGACTGGCGGGTCTGGAAAGAAGCTCTGAGCCCATCCGCGTTTCTCTGTTGGACCCTGTCAGGTCTCTTGTTCCGTGTCCAATGTCAGTCGGGTAGGGAGGCAGTGGGGCAGTCTTGGTTCTCATCCCACCCCGGAGTCTCTGCGCAGCCACAATTCAGGAAAACAATCTGGAGGCGGGTTCAAAACACTAAGATTGATTGAACGCGCTGATGGTTTGGTTTTCTCCTATAGCGCTTTGGTAGTGGCTTTTATCCAGACCGCCCCCCCCCCACCCCCCCGGAATGAACCCTGGTATAGAAATGTTACCCGTATGTGTGCATATGATTGTTTTTAATATATTTCAATTTGATGAATCAGCCTTTTTCAAGGTCAGATTCCAGACCGACCCTTCTGGCGCCCACCCCCCGCTTTTTTTTTTTTTTTTTTTTTTCCAAAATGAAAGCTTTCCCAAAGAGGCCACGTTTGTAGGGCTAGTGGAATTTTTTGGAAAAGGGAGAAAGCGGATTCTGGATGAGGACAATGGTGGCCCAGAAGTCGCTATGACTTAAGAGTCTTGGCAGAGGCAGAGGCTGGGGAAAGCGAGCAGTGTTTTTCATTTAGGTGGCATCTGTACGAATCCTAGTTTGGAAAGGTGCGAAGGTTATGTGCCTTTGTTTTTAATATTTTGGATTTTTAATTTTCTGTTTCTTTTTTTCACTTAGTTTTTATCTTCGAAGTTTAATTTTGCTGTTTTTTTATTTCATATTCTTAAAAATTGTATAATTAAATTTTATTGCTACTGGCTTTTAATTAATTCATTAATTAATTTTGAGACGGAGTCTCGCTCTGTTGCCCAGGCTGGAGTGCAGTGGCGCGATCTCAGCTCACCACAACCTCCGCCTCCCGGGTTCAAGCAATTCTCCTGCCTCGGCCTCCCGAGTAGCTGGGACTACAGGCACGCGCCACCATGCCTGGCTGATTTTTGTATTTTTAGTAGAGACTGGGTTTCACTATGTTGGCCAGGCTTGTCTCGGACTCCTTACCTCATGATCCACCCGCCTCGGCCTCCCAAAGTGCTGGGATTACAGGCGTGAGCCACCGCGCCTGGCCTTACTTATTTTTAAAGCAAATTCTTCTAGATCCTGAGTTTCTGGCTTTTTAAATTAAAATTACAAGAAAATGTATTGATTCCTCTGGTGTTAACAGGTCTGGAGACATACATTTATGATGCTTTGGAGCTATTGATAATATATAGAGTACTTTATTCATTAATTATTTCATTCTAAAAACCCTGCTTTATATATCCCCAGAATACTAAGGCCTGGTGGGGAATATCTTATAAATAATTAATGGTTATTACTAATTATTAATAATAACCGTCAATGAAAGTAAGATAGAAACTGTTAAGAGATTCAGTTAAGTACTGTGTAATTTTGTGTTGATTATATCTGCCAGTAATATTCATCATGCATTGCATAGAAGTGGGATTGTCTTTCTTTTTCTCCTAGCTGGTTTGTGAGAAAATTGTGAGCAATTTTGCACAGGGAGACTTCGATGTCTGACTAACATTTATTGACTGCTTGTATGTACTAGGAATAATTCTAAATGCTGATCATGTGTTATTTTTTTCTCTTTTTTTCTTTTTATTTGTCATTCTAAATGCCCTTCATGTATTGTCTCATTTAATCCTCACAAATAGGCACATTTATTCTCGTCATACTACAGATGGGGAAACATCCGTAAGTGGCAGAGATGGGATTTGAACCCAAGCCGTCTTAAGGACTGCACTGGAACGGTGTTTTTTGTTTTCTAAAATGGGGGTAATAATACATGTAAAGTGATTAGAACATATAGTTAGCTCTGAATACATGGCAGAACTTACTGCAGTTATGGCCTTGTTTAAGGCTCCCAGCCACCCTGTGAGTTAGGGATCAACATGATCCCCCTTTTCTACAAGAAGAAACAGGTTCTGAGAGAATAAATGACTTGCCCAAGGCCACTCGGTACATGGCCTAGCTGGGCTCATGCTGTGGTCATTTTCCTGCTATAAACCCTTCCCAAGTTCCACACCCTACTCTGGATGAACTCTTGGTGCATTAAGGCTTTTGATTCATAAAATTTAAATATATTTCTAAGCTGGGTACGGTGGCATGCACCTATAGTCCCAGCTTCTCGGGGGGCTTAGGTGGGAGGATTGCTTGAGCCCAGGAATTCAAGTCCAGCCTGGGCAATATAGCAAGAACCCATCTCTAAAAATAAACAAATAAGTTTCTGAACACACACATGTCAAACCCCTGTGTGATCTGGCCCCAACCCACCAGTCCTGCCTTATCTTAATGGATTTAGGGGTTTTTAAAATTTATTTTTATTTTATTAGTATTATTTCAGTAGTTTTGGGGGAACAGGTGGTGTTTGGTCACATGAAAAAGTCCTTTAGTGGTGATTTCTGAGATTTTGGTGCACCCATCATCCGATGTGGAGTTTTTTACCCCTCACCCCCTTCCCACCCCCTCCCCCCAGTCCCCAGAGCCCATTGTATCATTCTTATGCCTTTGGGTCCTCATAGTTTAGCTCCCACTTGTAAGAGAGAACAGGGCGGACGCGATGGCTCACGCCTGTGATCCCAGCACTTTGGGAGGCTGAGGCGGGTGGATCAATTGAGGTCAGGAGTTCCAGACCAGCCTGACCAACATGGCGAAACCCTGTCTCTACTAAAAATACAAAAATTAGCCGGGCCTAGTGGTACACACCTGTAATCCCAGCTACTTGGGAGGCTGAGGCAGGAGAATCGCTTAAATCCGGGAGGCAAAGGTTGCAGTGAACCGAGATCACGCCACTGCACTCCAGACTGGACGACAGAGCGAAACTCCATCTTAAAAAACAAAACAGAACAAAAAAGTGAGAACATACGATGTTTGCTTTTCCATTCCTGAGTTACTTCATTTAGAATATAATGGTTTAAAAAAAAAAGAATATGATGGTTTCTTTCCTTCCTCCCTTTCTTCCTCCTCCTCTTCTTCTTTCTCTCTCTCTCTCTCGCTCTTTCTCTCTCAGTAAAATAACCTAATTTATTTTTTTAAATTCCCAGTACCATGTCTTAAACTTATGAGTAAGGAAAATAACGATTGTTATTCGGGGTGATGCCCGAATCCTCACTGCTAATGTGAGACGAATTTTTGAGCTGGTAAAGGTCGCCCCTAAGGTGACCAGCCTACTTTGCGGGATGCCTAGGAGTCGCGATCTGCCTGACACCTTTACACCTAAAAAGTAGACTGGGGGCCTGGCGCGGTGGCTCACGCCTGTAATCCCATCACTTTGGGAGGCTGAGGAGGGCGGATCACGAGGTCAGGAGATAGAGACCATCTGGCTAACATGGTGAAACTCCGTCTCTACTAAAAATACAAAAAGAAATTAGCCAGGCGTGGTGGCGGGCTCCTGCAGTCCCAGCTACTCAGGAGGCTGAGGCAGGAGAATGGTTTGAACCCAGGAGGTGGAGCTTGCAGTGAGCCTAGATTGCGCCACTGCACTCCAGCCCGGGCAACAGAGCGAGACTCCGTCTCAAAAAAAAAAAAGAAGTAGACTGGGGCCGGGTGCCGTGGCTCACACCTGTAATCCTAGCATTTTGGGAGGCCAAGGTGGGTGGATCGCTTGAGGTCAGGAGTTCCAGACCAGCCTGACCAGCATGGTGAAACCCGGTTTCTACTAAAAATACAAAAATTAGTTGGGTGTCGTGGCACACACCTGTAATCCCAGCTGCTCTGGAGGCTGAGGCATGAGAATCACTTGAACCCCATAGGCCGAGGTTGCAGTGAGCTGAGATCGTGCCACTACCCTCCAGCCTGGGTGACAGAGTGAGACCCTGTCTCAAAAATAAAAAAAATAAAAAATTTCCCAGTACCATGACTATAACTAAAAGGACACCATGCCTAATGCAGTTTGTGTGTGATATGCAGGGAAAACATTTGGAGAGTGAGTAATAAAAGGGGATTGGAATTTTAAATAAGGAAAGTCCACTTTAAGAAGGTGATGTTTACCAACGACTTGAAGGAGGTGAAGGAGTTGGAAAGAAAACAAAAAGACAAGGCTGGCTGGGCACAGTGGCTCTCACCTGTAATCCCAACACTTTGGGAGGCCAAGGCGGGGAGACTCCTTGAGCCCAGGAGTTCCAGACTAGCCTGGGGAACATAACAAGACTATGGAGACTATTTTTTTTTTTTTTTTTTTGAGACAGAGTTTCGCTCTTGTTGCCCAGGCTGGAGTGCAGTGGCACAATCTCGGCTCACTACAACCTCCACTTCCCGGATTCAAGCAATTCTCCTGCCTCAGCCTCCCAAGTAGCTAGCATTACAGGCATGTGCCACCACGCCTGGCTAATTTTTTCTATTTTTTGTAGAGATGGTGTTTCTCCACATTGGTCAGGCTGGTCTTGAACTCCCGATCTCAGGTGATCCACCCGCCTTGCCCTCCCAAAGTACTGGGATTACAGGTGTAAGCCACCATGCAGGACCAAAAAAATCTTTTTAAAAAAGAACAAATAATAATTTGGGGTAATGATAATAGCTAAATAAGTAAATATATACCACTTTTTTTTTTTTTTTTCGAGACAGGGTCTCACTCTGTCACCCAGGCTGGAGTACAGTGGCATAATCATGGCTCACTGCAGCCTCGAATTCCCGGGCCCAAGCAATCCTTCCACCTCAGCTTCCCAAGTAGCTGGAACCACAGGTGTGCGCTACCACCTGGGTAATTTTTTAAATTTTCAGAGACGAGGTTTTGCCATGTTGCCCAGGCTGGTCTCGAACTCCTGAGCTCAATCAATCTATCCGCCTTGGCCTATCAAGTGCTGGAATTACAGGCATGAGCCACCATATCCTGCCCCACCACTTTCAATAACAGAGCCAAAACTTCGAAGTAGTGACTGCCAGGGTTCCAAAACCACCTTCCATTTTGGGGTCCACAATTTGAACATTCCCCAAACCATTGTCCCACAATCTCATTTTTGAAGAAGTTTTTTTTAATTTAAAAACTTCCATGATTACTGTATTAATATGAAGATTAATTCATTCAGCCAGCCAATGTTTACAAACAGCTAATCTGTGTCAAACAACATTGTAAGCACTCAGATTAATCCTCTCGATATCCTTACGAGGTAGTTAACATCATTAGCCCCAGTTTACAGAGGGGGAAAATAGGAGTATGAGGTCACACATTTAGTATGGAGGAAGCTGGGATTTGAACCAAGGCAGTATGGCTCCAGGGGACGTTACCCTAACCCCTGTGTTAGACTGTCTTGAAAGTTTTACTCGTCTTTCAAAGTTCTCTCTTCAATTAGACACTTCCCTCAGATCTTCATCAAACGTCATTTTTAAATTTAATTTTTTTTTAAGAGATGGGGGTCTTGCTCTGTTGCCCAGGGTGGAATACAGTGGCAGGGATCATAGCTGACTGCAGCCTTGACATCCTGGGCTCAAGGGATCCTCCTGCCTCAGTAGCTAGGACTACAGGTGTGCGCGCACATACAAACACATACACACAAATACTATATTCTTCCCTGCTTCATTTTTCTCCTCAACATATATCACTATCATATTATATATTTTACTTTTTTTTTTTTTTGAGGCAGGGTCTCACTCTGTCACCCAGGCTGGAGTGCAGTGGCACAATCTCAGCTCACTGCAGCCTAGACCTCTGCGATCCTCCCACCTCAGCCTCCCAAGTAGCTGGGACCACAGGCACATGCCACCATGCTTAGCTAATTTTTTGTATTTTTAGTAGAAATGGGGGTCTCGCCATGTTGCCCAGGCTGGTCTTGAACTCCTGAGCTCAAGGGATCTGCACCCCTCAGCCTCCCAAAGTTCTGGGATTACAGGCATGAGCCATGGTCCCCAGCCTGTATTTTACTTATTTAGCTATTATCTTTACTCCAAATTGTTAATTATTCTTTAAATTTATTATCTGTCCCCTACAGATAATAAATAAGCTTAATAAATCAATAAGCTTCCTTCCTCTTGAAGGAAGCCCCAAGAGGGCAGGAATTTTTGCCTGTTTTATTCACTGCTGTATCCCTGTCACATAGTAGGCACTTGATCAATATTTGTGAGATGAATGAATAAATGATTGAATGAACAAATGAATCCTTCTTCACACTTATGTATAGGTAATGGTTGTTGATTCCCAGCTGCTTTGCCTGGGTCCTGCGCCTTCAACTGGCCCTGGATTCACCCCTCTGACTCACATGCACTTGACCTCTAAAGTATTGGCTCTGCTTACGAATACTAACATTTAAAATTGGAATCAGGCCAGGGGCGGTGGCTCACGCCTGTAATCCCAGCTCTTTGGGAGGCTGAGGCTGGTGGATCACTTGAGGTCAGGAGTTTTAGACCAGCCTGGCCAACATGGTGAAACCCCGTTTCTACTAAAATTACAAAAATTAGCCCAGCATGATGGTGCTCAACTGTAGTCCCAGCTACTTGGGAGGCTGAAGCACGAGAATCGCTTGGACCAAGAAGGCAGAGGTTGCAGTGAGCCAAGATCGCACCACTGTACTCCAGCTGGGATGACAGAGTGAGACTCTGTCTCAAAAATTAATTAATTAATTTAATTTAATTTAATTGGAATTAAGGCCAGTCGTGGTGGCTCATGCCTGTAATCCCAGCACTTTGGGAGGCCAAGGCGGGTGGATTGCTTGAGCCCAGGAGTTTGAGACCAGCCTGGGCAACATGGTAAAACCCTGTCCCTACTAAAAATACAAAAAATTAGCCAGGCATGGTAGTGCACGACTGTAGTCCCAGCTACTCTGTCAGCTGAGGCACAAGAATCGCTTGAACTCGGGAGGTGGAGGTTGCAGTGAGCCAAGATCTTGCCACTGTACTCCAGCCAGGGCGACAGAGCGATACTCCATCTCAAAAAAAAAAAAAAAAAAAAAGGCCGGGGCGGTGGCTCACACCTGTAATTCCAACACTTTGGGAGGCCGAGGCAGGCAGATCACAAAGTCAAGAGATGGAGACCATCCTGGCCAACATAGTGAAACTGTCTCTACTAAAAATACAAAAATTAGCTGGGTGTAGTGGCACGCACCTGTAGTCCCAGCTACTCGGGAGGCTGAGGCAGGAGAATCACTTGAACCCGGGAGACAGAGATTGCGGTGAGCCGAGATTGTGCCACCACTGCACTCCAGCCTGGTGACAGAGCAAGACTCTGTCTCAAAAAAAAAAAAATTTAAAAAAAAATTGGAATTAGACCAACTCAACTCAGGTGAATTTTTACTGAGCAACTTTGAACCGGAGTGAATTCTCCTGAGCCAATTTAATTCCTTGATCAATGCCATACAGTGGTGCAGTTAACCCAAAACCAATTTTGGCTGTCTCATTTCTCTGAAGTTATTTTCATCGTGATCATTTTCTGGTTAATTTTTGCAACGATGATTCAATCCATACATTGATTCTCTTATCTGTGTCAAATTCAAGCAGTAACAGCTTCCCTCAGATAGCTCCTTGGCCTCAGGCTGCTCCTTGACCATCTCAGGCACATACATTCTTGCTTCTGGAACTTGGTACTTATTGTTCCTTCTGCCAGAAATGCTCTTGCATCTGTGTAGTTCATCTCTGGCTTCCTTCACATTTTTTTCCTTCAAGTAATCACCTTTGCTGACTATCCTATTTAAATTCAGGTTCTCCTCTCCCCCCAACTCCCTGACACCCCCCTTACCAGATTTACTTATTTATTTATTTTTGGGATAGGGTCTTGCTCGGTCACCCAGGCTGGAGTGCAGTGGCCCGATCTCAGCTCACTGCAACCTTTGCCTCCCGTGCTCCAGCAATTCTCCACCTCAGCCTTCCGAGTAGCTGGAATTACAGGCGTGTGACACCATGCCCAGCCCAGTTGCCCAGGCTGGCCTCAGGCTCCTGGCCTCAAGTGATCTGCCCACCTCAGCCTCCCAAAGTGCTGGGATTACAGGCGTGAGCCACCACACCCAGCCTCTGGATTTATTTTTAACTTAATCCATACTTATCACTTCCCTACATACATATAACACACAAATTGTGCTGTTTATTTTCTGTCTCTCCCAGCTGGAATACAGGCTCCATGAGGGCGGGCATTTTTAAATCTTTTGTTCCCTGCTGTATCCCCTTTGCCTGTAACAGTGCCTGGGCAGGAGGATCGCTTCAGTCCAGGGTCCAGGCTGCAGTGAGCCATAGTCATGCCACTGCACTCCAGCCTGACCAACAGAGCAAGACCCTATCTCAAAACAAAAATAAAAACAAAACAACAGGAACAGTGCCTAGGACCCTGTAGGCACTTCAATAAATATTTGTTGAATGAATACCTCCTGTCATTCTGAGCTTTATTTGTGGACAGTTTCCATTGAGTCTAATATTTCAGGATCAAAATTTGCAGGTCCACATTTTGTTGAGAACATCAAAAACTTCCATCAATTTTCCCTCAACACAGTTTCAGGTTCACAGTTTTGGCTGCTGTCAGTTTATTCTGTGGTGCTTATGTTTATTGGTAATAGTCACTGTTAATCTGGTAAGATGTTCTATTTTTATTTTCTGGGTGATGTCCTATTAGATTGAAGGATAAAGGAGGCCAGTATCTATTATGTGGGCAGAACAAAGTTGCGTCCAAAATATGAAAGTTCAAAGGTCCCTGGGGTCGAACAGTAGGGTGAAAACATTGTATTAAGGTCTCTGATCACTCACACCAGCCTCTGCCCTCATCCTGGGAAATTCCTAAGGGCAGGGACCCTGATATCCGCCAGTGCCTGGCACACTGTTGGGGCTTGGCACTCAGTAGGCACTCCCTCCCTCTTCATCCCAATGTGGTCCTTAAAAGGTCAGTCATCCCCAGCCTGGCCAACATGGTGAAACCCTGTCTCTACTAAAAAAAAAATACAAACAAAATTAGCCGGGCGTGGTGGTGGGTGCCTGTAGTTCCAGCTACTCAGGAGGCTGAGGCAGGAGAATCGTTTGAACCTGGGAGAAGGAGGTTGCAGAGAGCCGAGATCATGCCACTGCATTCCAGCCTGGGCAACAGAGTGAGACCCTGTCTCAAGAAAAGAAAAAAAAAAAGGTTAGTCATCCGCCAGAATGGCTGCAGTGAAAAAGATGGGAAATGCCGAATGATGGGGAGTCAACTCTGGGAAAGTGTAGATTGGAAAATTGGCATGATTTACTGAAGCTGATTGGTCACATGTCTACGCAATGACTTAGCAATTCCATTCCTAGGTTATATACCCAAGAAATGAGTACATATGTCTATCAAAAGATGTGTACAAGAATGTTCACAGAATTATTCTTAGCCAGGCACAGTGGCTCATGCTTGTAATCCCAGCACTCTGGGAGGCCAAGGTAGGTGGATCACTTAAGATCAGGGGTTTGAGATCAGCCTGGCCAACCTGGTGAAACACTGTCTCTACTAAAAATACAAAAATTAGCTGGGCCTGGTGGGTCACGCCTATAACCCCAGCTACTCGGGAGGCTGAGGCATGAGAATCACTCCAACCCAGGGAGGTGGAGGTTGCAGTGAGCCAAGATCGCACCACTGCACTCCAGCCTGAGCGACAGAGCAAGACTCTGTCTCAAAAGAAAAAAAAATTCTTAATAGCCCCAAATATAAAACAACTCAAATGCTCAGCAACGTAAGAATGGCTAAAGTCTGGTCTGTTCATACAATGAAATGGAATACAGCAATGAGGATGAACAAACTACTCATGTATGTGACGATGTTGATCAGTCTCACAAACGTTGTACAGAATGAAAGAAACTGGACACAAAACCAGACCAAAGTAACCTAACATTGTTAGAAGTCAGGAGAGTGGCTACCTTTGGTGGGGAAGAGGGAAGACCTGAAGGGAGCTTCTGGGGTTTGCCATGTTGTGATTTTTGTTTGTCTTTTTGTTTTTGAGACAGGGTCTCGCTCTGTGGCCCAGGCTGGAGTGTAGTGGCACGGTGCGATCTCGGCTCACTGCAACCTCTGCCTCCTAGGCTCAAGCGATCCTCCCACCTCAGCACCCTTACTAGCTGGGACCATCATGCCTCGCTAATTTTTGTATTTTTTGTAGAGACGAGGTTTCACCATGTTGCCCAGGCTAGTCTCAAACTCCCAAGCTTGAGACACCAGTCTGCCTCTGCCTCTCAAAGTATGTTTCTTGACCTGAGTGCTGGTTATATGGGTGTGCCCAATTTATAAAAAGTAAATGAGCTTTGTGAGCTTTTCTGCATGTGTATTTTAATTCAATGATTTATAAAGAGTCAGTCAGTGTGGCTGGGCCATGATGAGGGAGGGGAAGGTAGTATTGTCAGAATGGGGCCAGGGCTCGGATTTTAGGATTAAGTCTAAGTGCAGCCTTCTGTTTGACCAGAATGGAGGCTTCTGGAGAGCCCTGGAGCTTGATGAGGCAGAGCAGAAGGGAATGAGAAGTGTTCATCCTCAGGGGGGTAAGCCAGAAGGCAAGGATGGGTATGGGATGTCACCTACACAGGAGGTATCAATACCAAATGTTTATCAAGCACATACCATGCCAGTCACTGCTCTAAGTGAACAGAACATATGTGAATACCTGCCCTTCTGGAATTTACATCCTGGTGGGTGGTGAGTGGAGAGAATGTGCTCTCTAGGCACCAGGCTGAGGCTTATTATAGGGGTTATTGCACCAATATACCCAGGTACTTGGTGGCTGGGGTAACATGCCCCTTTCACTTCCATAGTCCCACTAACTGCAGGGGGAGGGTAGAGAGTGCTCCCTTTATACATTAGTACTCTCTGCTTTGGGGTACACTCGAGTTGGGAGACTGGCCCCACAAAGCAGCACTGGGGCAGGGGAAGCCCTCAGGGTCTTCCTCACTTGCAGGAAGGCTCATGCAGATATGGCTCCCGCCTCAGCCACATGTAAGTGGATTTGGGTTCTCCTGAGACCCAGTAGCTAGAAGTAGGGCATTGCCTCTAGTGGTGAATTTGGCAAGCCAGATTTTCTTCCTGTAGCCAGTGGCTGGAGGCTCCCACACCCTCCAAAGCCCCAGGCAGGGACAAGCACAGAGATGGTAGCAATGAATATATGAGGTGGTGATTTGAATGTGGGAGCTGTGGAAGGAAGAGATGCCAAGAGGGTGAAGGGAAGCCCACACTTAACAGAGATGCTTTTGAAAGAAACAAACTCAGCCAGGGCCAGAACAAGTCCCCTACTCCATCTGCCAGACTGAGAGACAGCAACCCTGGTGCAAGGAGACAGCCTATTTCCACAGAGGAAGAAAGTAAGGGAGAAAAGACTTCTTGATTTCGAGACACAGAAAGACAAAGAGAGGAAAGGGGGTGAGGAGAGAAACAGACACACGTGCACACACATACACACACACAGATGCATATCTTGAGTTAGAGGTCATCCAGATTTGGGGCAGAAGGGAATACAGGCATCCAGACTCACCAACACACAGGACAGGGGCAAACCCTAAAGCCCAGAGAGAAGCAGAGAGGACAGGGAGGGGAGACAAAACACCCACCCTTAGAAAGAGAAAGCCCTGCACTCACCCTCCACCTTAATCCCTGGTCTCCCTGGCTTCTCTTCAAACGTAGGAGGTCCCAGTGAGGTGGTCTGGCTCTAAAGATAGCTGCCAACAATTTCTTCCCATGTGCCACGCTGTCATCCAGAGGAGCCCCAAGCCGTCATGTAAGAAGCTGAGGTTAGGCTGGGCACAGTGGCTCATGCCTGTAATCCCAGCACTTTGGGAGACCGAGGCAGGTGGATGACCTACGGTCAGGAGTTCTAAACCAGCCTGGCCAACATGGTGAAACCCCATCTCTACTAAAAATAGAAAAATTAGCTGGGCATGGGGCGGGCGCCTGTAATCCCAGCTACTCGGGAGGCTGAGGCAGGAGAATTGCTTGAACCTCGGAGGCAGAGGTTGCAGTGAGCCGAGATGGTGCCACTGCATTCCAGCCTGGGTGATAAGAGTGAAACTCCTTCTTAAAAAAAAAAAAAAAAAGGCTGGGTACGGTGGCTCACACCGCTAATCCCAGCACTTTGGGAGGCCGAGGCGGGCGGATCACGAGGTCAGGAGATTGAGACCATCCTGGCCAACATGGTGAAACCCTGTCTCCACTAAAAATACAAAAATTAGCCAGGTATGGTGGCGGGCACCTGTAGTCCCAGCTACTCTGGAGGCTGAGGCAGGAGAATCGCTTGAACCCGGGAGGTGGAGATTGCAGTGAGCAGAGATTGTGCCACTGCACTCTAGCCTGGGTGACAGAGCAAGGCTCCATCTCAAAAAAAAAAAAAAAAAAAAAGTCAAGGCTGTTCTGCTGGAGAGAGGCCATATGGAAGAGGACTGAAGTGCCAGACATGTGAGTGAAGAAGCCATCTTAGATACCCAGCCCAGTTGAGCCTTCAGATGACTCCAGTCCCAGCCACCATCTAACTACAACTACCTGAGACCCCTAGAAGAGCCACCTTACTGAGCCCAGTCAACCCACAGGGCCATGAAAGAGAAGACTGAATTGTGGTTTTAAGCCACTAAGTTTTTAGGTGTTTGCTACACAGCAATATACAGCCAGAACACCCAGGGAAGGTTGCAGCAGCCCTTTTAAAGCTTTTGACACCCCCATCCCATATCCCCTTCACAACACAATCAACACTAGCGAGTCAGACTTTCAGCCCCTTTAATTAGGTGCTCTGAGAAGAGGTCAGAATGGCAGGCAGGGGGTGGGGAAGGCGGTGCTTCTTGAGCCCCACTTAGCAACTGGTCACTCATCCTCTGGCAGCTGGATCTTGCTGGGGTCGAAGCAGTTGGATTCCATGATGGGAAGGCCATTGGCCTCTCGGTATTTCACAAGCCTCTCAGCTTCGCGGCGGGACCACTCTTTCATCCTGGTAGTGCAAATAGCAGGGGTAGACGTGAGGGAGCCTCAACTGATACCAATCCCTCATCTCAGCTCCCCATTCCCAATGGTGCAGGAACAAAACTCCTGGCAGAATCCCCTTCAACCTCCATCCCTGCCTCTGCCTCTTACCCATCCCACGCTCTTGGACACCCTGTGCACCTGTAGTCAGGCAGATAGGCCACAAAGGTGCTGCCAAGGACCAGGATGATGGAGACGCCAAAGAAGAAGACAAGTCGCATGTTCCAGACGTCCAAAACGGGGTCCTTGTCATAACCATGGGAGTCTGGGTTCTGTGGAGAAATAGAGGTCAATGAGGGCTTCCTGCTGCTCCACAAAGCCTTATTCTGGCCCTGCATAACTTGGTCTCCATGTGCCCCTCTCACTAAATTCCTCTGTTTCCATTCTTGGGATATGTCAAGCTCCTTCCCACTGCAGGGCCACTGCACTTGCTGCTCTCTCTGCCTGGAAAGCCTTTCTTCCAGCTCTAGTCATGGCTGGATCTGTCTCCTCATTCAAGGTTTTAGATTCATCACCACTTCCTTCAGGAGGCACTCCCTAGTTACCTTGTCTTTCAAAGTTGAAGCATAGGAAACTGCTATTTTTATAGGTCACAAATGGTTGAATACTGGCAATTTCTTATAGCTCAAGCTAATGAAATAGCCCCCTACACCCAAGTCATTCTCTATCCACTTATCTTGCTTAACTTTGTCTTCACATCCTCTCTTCCTTCTGTCTCTTTCTAGTCTATGTTTACCTAAGTAGCATACTTTCCCCATTCTCTGTATATCATACATTCTCATGTTATATTATCTATTATACTACTTTGTATTATTGTTTTCTAATATTTTACTGTTTATTTTCTGTCTTCCCCACTATCATGTAAGCTCTATGAGAGCATGGGCTTTGTCTGATTTCCACACTGCTGTATCCCCAGGGCCCTGAACTGAGCCTGGCATACAGCAGGCCCTCAATACATATTTACAGAATGAACAAGCATCCTATATATCCAAGCCCCTTAACCAGAGGTTAGTATTGATGAAGTACTTATTATGTGCCAGTCTTTTCACATAGAAACACCTCACAATATCTCAGTGAGGTGAAACATGGCAATAATAAACACATTCTAGTGCTGAGTACATACTTACGAAGTGCCAGCTGCTGTTCTGACCATTTTTACTCATTTAATTACATGAGGCAGGTGGGGTGTCCTATTTTTTAGAAGGTGTCCTATTACTGTTCCCATCTTACAGACAAAGAAACTGAGGCACCAAGGGTTTATGCTACCAAGATCACACGGGTGGGTAACCGTCAGTGCTGCCTGATTTCACAGCGTCTGCTATTAATACAGCACAGCAGACCTGGTAGCCCTAAATTCAAATACCAGTTCCACCTCCACCATGTATTCAGTTATGTGAGCTAGGGCAATCCACTTAACATCTCTGTGCCTCAGTTTCCTCATCTGTAGGATGAGTATAATAATAGAGCCCACCTCGAAATGGGGTTTGTTTCGAGTATAAGATGAGCTAATGCATGTCAAGTGTTTAGAACACAGACGGGGCCCGGAGCGGTGGCTCATGCCTGTAATCCCAGCACCTTGGGAGGCCGAGGCGAGAGGATCGCTTGAGCCAGGAGTTCGAGACCAGCCTGGGCAACATAGCGAGATCTCGTCCCTATAAAAAAAAAAAAAAGAATGCAGACGGCAACGAGCAAGTGCCATATCGGTGTTTAGTATTATCGTTGTACTATACTGCTTCTAACGTGTTTTGAGCGCTGTCCACTTGAGGTGTGATTTCTGTCTGCAAAATAAAACCAATCCTGCCTCTGGCCCTGGAACGAAGATACCGAGAGACAAAGGAGGAACACAAGGTAGGCAAAATTCCCAAGTCTTCTAGGCTTTCGCCGGCCGCGCAGTCCTCTACTGCCTAAGAACGTCCTCTACAGCGCCCCATCTGCCGATCCCGGACTGACCCCTTCGGGGTTCCGTCCCCACTACCCCCCCCCCCCCCCCCGCCTCTCACCTTCTCATACAAGTTTTCGTCCTCGGGTTCTGGGTCCTCTTGCCACGGTGTGGTCGGTTCTGGGGGCCGCTTTCCCGCCACAGCGGACGGGGCGACCACAGTCCTGGAGAAGCTAGATTCCCAGCGGACGCGGGCGGCCGGGAGCCCTCGCGTCGCCGCTGCCGCCAAAAGACGGCGAGCGCTCAAACCAAACAGCCCAGCCGCCATGACAGATGGTGCTGCAGGGTCTCAGGGGCGGGGAAAGAAATGCGACTGTGCGCAGCTGCAGTGGGTGCGAGCGCGACAATCATCGCCCCGCCTCCGCCACGCTATATAGGTCCCAGATCTGATTTGGTTTTCCAATGAGGCGGGGCGTTGAGCAACCCTCTTTGCCTCCAGTTGTCGTGGCTTCGTGGGGCCAACCATTTTCGGCCAGGCTGAGAAATTTCTTATTGATGGGTCTGCTCATTTCCTGCATAGGAAGAAATCGGTGACATTTGGGTGGATACAGTTCCCAGCCAATCGCCCCGAGTTCCCTCGCCCACTGGGGAAAGAGGCAGAGCTTCCGCTAGTCTTTCATCTTCAAAGGAAATCAAGCTTCTAAAAAGCGGGCCCTGCCGAATTGGCTAATAGCTACTCCTTTTCTCCACTAGGGGAGCGTTCGCAAGGGGTGTGGGGAGGTGGCCAGCGCTTGCCAATCAGAGGAGGCCAGGGCTGTCCCCTAGCGGGCGGTGACCAATCGCCGGGGCCGGCCAGAGCGCGCTTCCTTAGTAGGTGGATGGTGGTCGGAGCGCCGACTCCCTTCTCGTCGTCGCCATTTTGAGCTGGTGACTGTGGCCGGCTGGGAGTAGGCGGCAGTGAGTTTCCCTGGGAGGGCAGCGCGCTTGGCGCTTCTCCCCTCCCCCCGATCTGCCTCCAGTCTCGGACTTGGTTGTTGCGCGCTCCGGCTCCGGCTGAGCTGGGAGAGTTGGAGGAGGTGGCGGCGGGCAGAGGTGATGTCTGGGAGCCCTTCCTTGACAGCCCGGGCCGAGAAGGTGAGCGTCGACGCTGGTCGTGGGGGCGGAGGTAAGGGGCCCGGGGCGGGGACGTAGAGGAGGCGCGAGGGCGGACTTCGGGTCGGGGGAGATGCGCGGAACGGAGGGGTTGGTGCAATGTCTCAACCCGGGAGGGTTTTTTTTTTTTTGGTTTTTTTTTTTTTTTTTTTTTTTTTTGGTGTGAGCAAAGGCGCGTGCGCGACTGGGACATGGGATGGGTGCATGCGGGTTGGGGGAAGGGAGGGACGGATGGGAGTGGGCTACTGTGGATCACTGTGTCGGCTACATCGAAGTTTATCAGTGGGGAAGCGGTTGTCTGCGACTTTGAGTTTGTGCATAGGAGAGGGGATGCTGCTCTGTGTTACTCTGGTGTTTATCGGTCCATGGGGAAATATTCTGTGGTTCTGGTCTCTATTCCTGGGGGATCGGAGGGGGGATGTGACTCTGGTCTTTACCCTTTGAGGGGGGGCGGTCTGTGACTCTGATCCTTATCCATGGGGCGGGGCTTGGGGGACGACTGTCTTTTGATTGACCCTAACCCACTTATTGGGTGGGAAGGGGCATGCAGGGAATGTGTGTGTGACTCATTGCCCCTTCTTTTGGGGAGTTTGTATCTGTGACACTGACGCTCATCCATGGAAAGGGGACCCACTGTGTAATTGTGGTCCTTACTGTGTGTTCCTTCTGTGATGTGGGCCCGTAGTTATTTGGGGCTCGTGTCTGTGACTGGCCCTTGGCTGTGGTGGATGTTACTGTGTGACTCTGGCCCCTTTGCCAGAGTCTCTTGAAGGTTTTTGTGCTCTCAGACGCCAGTGCCTCTGTGTGATTCTAACTCTTGCCCACCTGGGAGCAGGTAACTCGGGTTCCCTGTGGCTTGAGGAGGAAGAGAAAATTGGAGTGTGTTTGTCTGTGTATGTGTGTGCACGAGCATAGAGCAAAGGTGTGGCAGCAACCTAGTGTTGAGCAGGTGCTATTATTGCCTGGCTTTACCTGCTTCTTATTCAGAGGGTGGGGCCTGAAGATCTGGGATTCATCCTGACCTCTGGCTGGGTCACAGGGTTCTCAGGACTCCCTGAGTTCTCACCACAGCCCTGAGGGTTGGATGAAGTGGCTGCTGCTCCATCCCAATAGAAGAGCACAGTGGTTCAGAACAGCCTCCAAAAGGGCCCCTTTTGCCTCTGGAAACCGGGCTTGAGCCCTGGGGAGGGAACCACCTTAGGACCGGGCTGCACATAAGAGACAGGGCTCAGGGCTGAGCCAGTTGCTGTGTGAGGGCCAAGGCTGTGTTGGCCAGGAGCCCAGGGAGGTGGCAGCTGTCTCGTCGCCAAGTTCGCCCCTTCACACACCCCCCCAAGAGCCTTTCATGGTCTTTTGCTGCCTTATAGGGGACAGCCAGCAGCTTGTTGGGAGGATGAGATGGTCCCTTGGGGCCTGTGGAAGGAGCCTGGGGCCCCCATTGTTGTGAAGTCTTGTCTGATGTGCTGAATCTCAGGCAAGACTTTCAGCCCTGAGAGTCCCCTACCCCCACCCTGGGATGCAGCCCCAGGCTTGAATTTGTCTACCTGTCTTAGGTGGCAAAGCCCTGATCACACTGTGGGTGGCCCCGCCAGGTCTCTCTGCAAGATGCCCCCTGTCTGCTGAAGTCCTTGCTGTTTTCTAGGGCAGTGGGCTCTAGCCTTATGTTTGCGGGGAAAGGGAGGAGCAGGCCAAGTAGGGGCTACCTTCATACTGTGATGCACAGGAGTGCTGGGAGCTGGAAGACAATGTCCCTGGGCTAAGGGGCAGCGGAGAGCCTTGACAATAAGAGTTTCTCAAGGAGGCCCTCTCAGTCCCAACAGTTTTGACCCCTTTCTTCCCTCCACTCTCCCCAGAGTCCCTGCAGGAAGCATCACCCAGGCTGGCAGATCATGGTAGCAGCAGCGGGGGTGGCTGGGAAGTGAAACGGAGCCAGCGGCTGAGGAGGGGCCCCAGCAGCCCCCGAAGGCCCTATCAGGACATGGAGTATGAAAGACGGTGAGTTATCTGTTCTCAGCTTCCCAGACAGCCTAGGCTTGCGTCTATGTGAGAATTGATCCAAGAAGGTGCTAGGATGGGGCTTCTGGGTAGAGGAAACAGCATAGCAGATGATGGGTTTCTTTTCAGCAGACAGGTGTTTGGCACCTGTTGTGAGCCAGGACCTGTGCTAGGCTCTGATAGTGCAGTGATGAATGAGACATGAGATTGCATCCTTCTCAGTACTCAGGGTGTCACAGGGACGCTATGCAGTTAACGGGTGGGAGGTTGAGGTTGGGGCTATAGCCTGGGGTATGAGGGATGGGTGGGAATGGCACCATCAGAGTCAGGATTTGCCCGGGACCACTAGGGGACAAGCCAGGTCAGATAGTGGAAGACTCCAGGGACAGTATGGGCTACAGTTGGCATGATACTTGCTGGGAATGGATACTCTCAGACAGTTATTTCTTCAGCTCTGCTATGAACAAGGAATAGCTGGAACACTGGGTAAAATACAGAAATCCTGAGTAAAATTCAGTGATCCCTCGCCATCCAGGTGATTCCGAGGCAGGTGACCCAGCCATGACACTTGAAGATTGCCTAGAAAAGCAGACCTAACTCTCTCAGAAAGCCTCTATTAAGACTCAAGAGTCAATAGCTTTATAAAAAGAGAAAATAATTTTTAAAATGTTTTACGAAGTGTTTCTTCTACCACCACTCCTTTTAAAAATGTAGAATTGTAATATTTTGTTTTCTGAAAAGTGAGCCCAAATTTGAGATAAGGTCATCACCTAGTGTTATTCAGTCTTGGCTTTCATTAGAAATGTTTTTTGAAAGACATTTGATTTTGGACGGTATTCACTAGAAGTGCTCTGTGGCCATTTCTGAATTTGAGTAGCTGACATACATACTTTGTTCAAACTTTATTACCAAGTAAAACCATTGACTTTTAAAAGCCCTCAAGTGCAGAGGTTTGAGTTCATCATACTTTCCAGTTCAAGGTAGGTTTCTGTCATAGGTCAGCAAAAGGCTTCCTCTTGTCATGTTTATTTTTTCATTTTTATTCCCAATTCCCACCTCTGTGGGCAGCTGCTCTGTCGTGTTTGATATGTATCCTTCTATGATACATATCATAGAAAATGTATCCTTCTATGATACATATCATAGAAAATGTATCCTTCTATGATACATATCATAGAAAATGTATCCTTCTATGATACATATCATAGAAAATGTATCCTTCTATGATACATATCATAGAAAATGTATCCTTCTATGATACATATCATAGAAAATGTATCCTTCTATGATACATATCATAGAAAATGTATCCTTCTATGATACATATCATAGAAAATGTATCCTTCTATGATACATATCATAGAAAATGTATCCTTCTATGATACATATCATAGAAAATGTATCCTTCTATGATACATATCATAGAAAATGTATCCTTCTATGATACATATCATAGAAAATGTATCATAGATTTATCATATAGATCATTTTCATATAAATGTATCATATAGATACATGTATCATATAAATACATACATAAATGTATCATATAGATACATTTTCATAGAAAATGAAAATATGAAGTGTTGTTTTGAGTGACTGTGTTTTCAGTTGACACACATGGCATGGTGCCACAGTCTTCGTTTTGTTTCCTGAACTTTGTATTACTCAGAGTGGGAGGTTTTTTTTGTTTTTTGTTTTTTGTTTTGAGACAGGGTGTCTCTATGTTGCCCAGGCTGGTCTCAAACTCCTGGGCTCAGGCAATTCTCCTCCCTTGGCCTCCCAAAGTGCTGGGATTAAAGGCATGAGCCGCTGTAACTGGCCAACAGTGCTGTTTTTTTTTGTTTGTTTGTTTTGTTTTGTTTTGTTTCTTTGTTTTGAGAAAGAGTTTCACTCTTGTTGCCCAGGCTGGAGTGCAATGGCGCAGTCTTGGCTGACCACAACCTCTGCCTCCCGGTTTCAAGCGATTCTCCTGCCTTAGCCTCCCACATAGCTGGGATTTCAGGCATGTGCCACCACGCCTGGCTAATTTTGTATTTTTAGTAGAGATGGGGTTTCTCCATGCTGGTCAGGCTGGTCTCGAACTCTCGACTTCAGGTGATCCTCCCATCTTGGCCTCCCAAAGTGCTGGGATTATGGGCATGAGCCACCACACCCGGCACAGTGCTGTATTTTTAACATCTGTCTGTATTGCCATGTATATGTTACTACTTTGTTTCTAATTGCTGGCAAGGGCATCATGGGGCATGTCTACTGAGTTTTACTTAATACTTCCCCCAAGAGTAGATGCCTGTTGTTAATTTTGATGTGCTAGCATCATTTTTTTTTTTTTTTTTTTTGAGACGGAGTTTCGCTCTTGTTGCCCAGGCTGGAGTACAATGGCGCGATCTCGGCTCACCACAACCTCCACCTCCCAGGTTCAAGCAATTCTCCTGCCTCAGCCTCCCAAGTAGCTGGGATTACAGGCATGCGCCACCACGCCCAGCTAATTTTTTGTATTTTTAGTAGAGATGGGGTTTCTCCATGTTGGTCAGGCTGGTCTCGAACTCCTGACCTCAGGTGATCCGCCTGCCTCGGCCTCCCAAAGTGTTGGGATTACAGGCGTGAGCCACCGTGCCCAGCCCAACGTCACCTTTTTTGCTTTATCTGTTAATGTATAGTGTTTTTTGTTTGTTTGTTTGTTTGTTTTGAGATGAGTCTCGCTCTGTCACCCATGCTGGAGTGCAGTGGCACGATCTCGGCTCACTGCAAACTTCGCCTCCCGGGTTCACACCATTCTCCTGCCTCAGCCTCCCGAGTAGCTGGTGCTACAGGCGCCCGCCACCACACCTGGCTAATTTTTTGTATTTTTAGTAGAGATGGGGTTTCACTGTGTTAGCCAGGATGGTCTCGATCTCCTGACCTGGTGATCCACCCGCCTTGGCCTCCCAAAATGCTAGGATTACAGGTGTGAGCCACTGCGCCCAGCCTAATGTAGTTTTTACCTTTTGCATTCAGATCTTTAATCCATCTAGATTCCACTCTTGAATATGGCATACGGTAGGCTCCGGTTTTATTTTCTTCCATATAGTAGGCAGTTTTTCCAGTACCACCTCCTAAATAGTCCATTCTTTCTTTATTGATCTGTGGTACCTCATCTGATTTCAGGTTCCCTCATGTACATGGATCCGTCTTGAGTGATGTGATTTGTTCCATTGGTCTATTTGCACATTCTTGTGCCAGCACCTTACTGTTTTTATTATTATGGCTTTATAGAATGTCTTAGTAGCTCCTTTGCACTTATTTTTCAAAGCTGGTTTAATCATTTATGGGGCTTTATTATATATCAAAAGTTATCAAAGTCCCTCAAAAACAACAAGAATTTTGATCGATGTTACACTGAACTTCTCTATTAATTTGGGGAAAATTATCTTTGTAAGTAGTCATTTCATCTAAGACCTTTGTAGAGAATATTTTGAAATTTATGTAAAGAGCATAAAAAGCTTTCATTTTCATAAATGGAAATACAGGTCTTATGTATTCTTTGTTAAAGTAATCCCTAGGTACTTCAGTCACTTTCATTATCTTTTTTTTTTTTTCTCGAGACTTGGTCTTGCTCTGTCACCCAGGCTGGAGTGCAGTGGCGACCTCCACAGGCTCAAGTGATCTTCCTACCTCAGCCTTCCAAGTAGCTAGGACTACAGGCACGCACCACCACGCCCAGCTAATTTTTTGTAGAGACGGAGTTTCACCATGTTGTCCAGGCTGATCTTGAACTCCTGAGCTCCAGCAATCCACCCACCTTGGCCTCCCAAAGTTCTGGGATTACAGGCCATTATCTTATTTTTTAAAAAATATTTTTCATGCTGGTATTTGCTGGGGTAGAGGAAAGCTGTTGATTTCTGTAAGTTACCCCTGCTGTATGCCCTTATTATTTCTAATACTTCATTGTTGATTCTGATGTTCTTTCTAAGTAGTTGGTCATATTGTATGCAAATCTATCCTGTCACTTATTTATTTTTCTTCATTTATAGTATTGTCCAGGACTTTTAGTACCATATTAAATAGTATAAGTGATACTGGGTACACAAATTAAGATTTACTTTGGCTGGTTGTGGCAGAAAGTCCAAAGGATAATGGCTTAGACAAGATAGTTTACTTTTCTTTCCCATAAAGGCAGTCTGCAGAAGAGCAATTAATCTAGGGCTGACAGGCAGCCCCTTCTGTGTAGCCATCCTCAGCACATGGCAGTTGAGACAGTAGGAAGAAGGGAGAGGAATAAAAGGGAATGTGTCTAAAGTTTCTCCATTAAGTATGGTGCATGCAGTAAGTTTTTAGAATGTATCCTTTAATAAATCAAGAAAATTATCTAATCTTCGTTTGCTAAGATTGACCATAAATAAGTATTGAACTTCAAAATCCTGTGCTTTTTTTCTCCCTTTGTCCATTAATTTCATAAATTGTGGCCTGGCATGGTGGATCACAGCACCTTGGGAGGCCAAGGTGGTTGGATCGCTTGAGGCCAGGAGTTCAAGACCAGCCTGGCCAACATGGTGAAACCTCATTTCTACTAAAAATAAAAAAATCAGCCAGGCGTGGTGAAGCATGTCTGTAATCCCAGCTACTGGGGAGACTGAGACATGAGAATCGCTTGAACCTGGGAGGTGGAGGTTGCAATAAGCTGAGATCGTGCCACTGCACTCCATCCTGGGCAACAGAGTGAGACTCCATATCAAAAAAATAAATAAAAATTTTGTAAATTGCATTAAATGATATCCTTGGCATTCTTGAGCTATACCCCACTTGATCATGGTATGTATGTATATGTTTATGACTTCTTACTTTGAAAATATCTCAAATTTACAGAAAGGTTGCAAGAAAAAGTATAATGAATTCCCATATATCCTCTACTCAGAATTACTTGTTTTAAGTATTTTGCCACATTTGCTCTATCACTCTATATCTTTTTTTTTTTTTTTTTTTTTTTTTGAGACGGAATCACTCTGTCACCCAGGCTGGAGTGCAATGGCGTGATCTTGGCTCACTGCAACCTCCGCCTCCTGTGTTCAAGCAATTCTCCTGCCTCAGCCTTCCAAGTAGCTGGGATTACACGCGCCTGCCAGTACGCCTGGCTAATTTTTGTATTTTTATTAGAAACGAGGTTTCACCATGTTGGTCAGGTTGGTCTCAAACTCCTGACCTCAGGTGATCCACCTGCCTCAGCTTCCCAAAGTGCTGGAATTACAGGCGTGAGCTACCGCGCCTGGCCCACCCTATAGCTCTATATCTTTACATAGACACACACACACACACACACACACACACACACACACACACACGTTTTTTTTAATCGTTTGAGTTGGTGGCAGCCATGACTTTTCTTTTTGAGTCAGAGTTTCACTCTTGTTGCCCAGGCTGGAGTGCAATGGTGCAATCTCGGCCCACTGCAACCTCTTCCTCCTGCATTCAAGCGATTCTCCTGCCTCAGTCTCCCAAGTAGCTGGGATTACAGGCATGCGTCACCACACCCAGCTAATTTTGTATTTTTAGTAGAGACAGGATTTTTCCATGTTGATCAGGCTGGTTTCAAACTCCCGACCTCAGGTGATCCGCCCATCTCGGCCTCCCAAAGTGCTGGGATTACAGGCATGAGCCACCACATCCAGCCTGACATGACCTTTTAAGTCTGGCAGCATGTACGTCTTAAGAACAAAGGTGTTCTCTTCCATAACCACAATATACTTATCAATATCAGGAAATTAAACAATTATATAGTACTTTTATTCTATATAAAGCCCATATTCAGATGTTATCACTCTTCTCAATAATGTCCTTTATAATGGTTTTCCCCAATCCAGGATCCAGTCCAAGATCATGTATTGCATTGAGCTCCTTGTCTCCTTTAATCTGAAACAGTTATTCTATCTTTGTCTTTTATGACCTTGTCATTTTTTTTTTTCCTGAACCTATGGATTATATTGAAAGCATGTTTTAAAGTTAGTTGTTTTATAGAATGTTTCTCAGTTTGGATTTTTCTGATGCTTACTCATGAGTTTTTGGCAGAAATGTTATTTAAGTGATTTATGTATATTTTTAAAACCTTGTTAGATTTTATTAGCCATTGTATCATCTAGGATATCTACACCTGTATTTATCAGTGAGGTAGTCCAATATTTTTATTTTCAGTATTTATCTGGCATTGGAATCAAGGTAGCCTCATTACATGAATTGGGCAGCCTTTGTTATTCTCTCTTTATTGGAGAAACTTGTATAAGAATTATCTGTACCTCGAAAAACTTGGTAGGACTCACCTTTAAAAGCATCTGGAGGCTGGGCGCAGTGGGCTGAGGCAGTTGGATCACTTGAACCCAGGAATTCGAGACGATCCTGGGCAACATGGCGAAACTCTGTCTCTACAAAAAATACAAAAATTAGCTGGGCGTGGTGGCAGGTGCCTATAGTTCTAACTACTCAGGAGGCTGAGGCAGGAGGATTACCTGAGTCTGGGAGGTTGAGACTGTGGTAAGCCATGATCATGCCACTGCACTCCAGCCTCAGTGACAGAGTGACACCCTGTCTCAAAAAATAATAAAATAAAAGCATCTGGAGCTGGTTTTTGATTACCATTTCATCTCTTCTGCCAATTTTAGCATTTTATATTTTCTAGAAATATACTCATTTTGTGAAGATCCTCATATATGATGATTCAGTCCAGCATCCTAGAAATGCTTTATAAAAGGGATATGCCTTTGGAAGGTGTTTGTTCAGAGTGCTTTGGTGGCCAATTAAAAATATTCCTTTCTATCCAAATATGTTCCCTTCCTGAGTTTAGATAGCAAGAGTTCAATACCTGAATTTATTTGGTTTGGATATTGGATGTCAAGAGAGTTCAGGATAATTTCATCTGAAAATTTATAAATTTATTCATATCTGTTCAGTTCTTGATTTTTTTTCCTTTTTTTTTTGTTTGTTTGTTTGTTTGTTTTTGTTTGTGGAGATAGTCTCACTCTGTCTTCCAGGCTGGAGTTCAGTGGTGCGATCTTGGCTCACCGCAACCTCTGCTTTCCAGGCTCAGGGGATTCTTGTGCCTCAGCTTCCTGAGTAGCAAGGATTACAGGCCCGTGCCACCACACCCGGCTAATTTTTGTATTTTAGTAGAGACGGGGTTTCACCATGTTTGCCAGACTGGTCTCGAACTCCGTACCTCAGGTGATCCACTCGCTTCAGCCTCCGAAAGTGCTGGGATTACAGGTGTGAGCCACCATGATGGCCCAGTTCTTGAATTTTGATGACTACAGTTCAAATTGATTGTATCAAGAACCTTATAACTACTCATACCACTGACAGTGATTTCTTCTCTAGGCATTTACGGTAGGGAAACAATTTGGGGCCAGGTGTGGTGGCTCACGCCTGTAATCCCAGCACTTTGGGAGGCCGAGGCGGGTGAATCACGAGGTCAGGAGTTTGGGACCAGCCTGGCCAACATGATGAAACCCCATCTCTACTAAAAATACAAAAAATTAGCTGGGTGTGGTGGCAGGCACCTGTAATCCCAGCTACTCGGGAGGCTGAGGAAGGACAATCGCTTGAACCCAGGAGGTGGAAGTTGCAGTGAGCCAAGATCACGCCACTGCACTCCAGCCCGGAGGACAGTGCGAGACTCCCTCTCAAAAAAAAAAAAAAAAAAAAAAGAGTTTGGGTTCCAAGCTGAGTTCGTGGGGACAGGGACTTTATTTTGTTCACAGCAGTATCCCCATTACCTAGAACAGTACTTATCGTATAGCCAATGTTAGGTTAATATTTGTTGAATGAATGCATGAACAAATAATTGTTTAAAAAAATGGAAGTCAACCAAAATGTTTGAAAACATGTTTAATGGATATTTGCCCCATTTGTTACTTATCTTTATGGTGTTTTCCATAGTTTAGTGTGAAATTTCAAGCATGTAGCAAAGTTTAAAGAATTTTACAATGGGCCTGGTGCGGTGGCTCATGCCTGTAATCCCAGCACTTTGGGAGGCTGAGGTGGGCAGATCACGAGGTCAGGAGATCAAGACCATCCTGGCTAACACAGTGAAACCCCATCTCTACTAAAAATACAAAAAAATTAGCCGGCTGTGGTGGCGGGCGCCTGTAGTCCCAGCTACTTGGGAGGCTGAGGCAGGAGAATGTCATGAACCCGGGTGGCGGAGCTTGCAGTGAGCCGAGATCGCCACTGCACTCCAGCCTGGGCAACAGAGCGAGACTCCATCTCAAAAAAAAAAAAAAAAAAAGAATTTTACAATGAACACCATATATACCCATCCACTAGATTCTTTTTTTTTCTTCTTTCTTTCTTTTTTTTTTTTTTGAGATGGAGTTTTGTTCTTGTTGCCTAGGCTGGAGTGCAATGACACAATCTCAGCTCACCGCAACCTCTGCCTCCTGGGTTCAAGTGATTCTCCTGCCTCAGCCTCCCGAGTAGCTAGGATTACAGGCACGCGCCACCACACCTGGCTAATTTTGTATTTTTAGTAGAGACGGCGTTTCTCCATGTTGCTCAGGCTGGTCTCAAACTCCCGACCTCAGGTGATCTGCCTGCCTCGGCCTCCCAAAGTGCTCGGATTATAGGTGTGAGCCACCGTGCCCAGCCCACTAGATTCTACTATTAACGTTTTACCATACTTGCTTTATTACATATTTACTTCTAAGTTTCTCGTATTTTTTACACTCTATAGAGATTTATAATTTTTACAAAGCCAGATTTATTCATTTTCCTTTTATGACTGCTGGGATTTGTCTTGCTGAGGAAGGCCTTCCCCACTCTTAAGGTGATACATTTTTTTCTTATGTTTTCTAATATTTGTTTTCTTTTTTTAAAAGTTCAACTTTTATTATAGATTAAAGGATACACATACAGTTTTTTTTTTTAACTCAGTGAAGATGTCTGCACAGCAGGAATCATGTGGGATGGGATGGCCCTTTTTCCTAACGCTGGACCACTTGATGTTCTCTTCCATCTTCCCCCAACCCTCATTTAGATCATGACATCAGAAAATCAGGTTAAAGTTAAGAAAAAGAAGAATCAGATCATTGGGGATTCTTAGTAGTAGCATCGCCATTGGGAGCTGCTAGCCCAGCGGGTATTCCCCATGCCACCCCTCTGGATCTTGGCTCCATGGGTACTGGGAGGAGGCCTTGTTGGCCAGGGAGGCCACGCTGTGCTGCTAGAAGCTGGGCGACATACTGGTGGTGCAGCAGAGTCTCGGGTGCGGCAGCTTGGAGGTACTACCCACATAGGCATTGGCCTTCCAGGGTGCATCCTGGCCCATCATGCTGCTGCAGCAGCTGTGGCTGGTGCTGCATGTCTGCTTGCCTGCTAGGCTGCTCGCCGGCTTGGCCAGGAGCTTGCTGTGCCTCAGTGGGGCCACATCCCCTGTGGCTGCTGTGGCTGTGCTCTGGTCTTGGAAAATGGTGGCGATGTGGTTCCAGAGGTCTGTGAAGAACCTGCTCACACCCTCGTAGGCTGGGAAGGCGTTGATGTCGATGACGGCATGCTGCCCCATCTGGTTGTTGATGATGATGTCGGTGCCGAACAGCAATACTCCCAGTGCCTGCCGCAGGGCCCGGGGGAGTTCCCGGATGACCTCTTTGCTCGGCTGCTCTTGAACAGACCAGACCCCTTGATCTTGTCCAGCTCCATCAGGACCAATGATGACTCTGGCTTTGACACACTGTGGCTATTGAGGAAGATGGATTCGTGGTCACATTGTGTCCGCGGAGAATTTCTTGAGCAAGGGCCTCTGGACCACGGTGTAGGACTTGCTGACCACGAACACCTTGTACAGAACGGTGTTGTGGTTGATGAAATTCTAGACCACACAGGGTGGCTGTATGCCATTCAGGCCCTCCTGATTGAATACAGTAGACATCTCGTGAGAGTTGGTGCCGTGAGCCACTCTAGTTTTGCACATGAACAGGAAAGCCAGGCTGTTCTTCTCCAGCAGCCACATGGTGTCATCCCCGCACAGGCTTGTGACCTCCATGAAGGGCAGCAAGCAGATCCTGCCGCCTTCCATGTAGATCTCAATCTTCCAGATGAGTTTGCAGGACTTGGAGCGGTCGAGCAGGGTTCTGACGGCAGGGAAGGAGTCCAGGACGATGGTTTCAGGGTGGGCATCGATGTAGTCCTGAAACCTGTGCACCAGCTCCAGGGACTGGCTGTCATTCTGGTCGGCTTCAAGGATGACATCAGTCAACTTGTGAATGATGACGTCCAGGGGTCCCTGCTCCTCGATTGGCCGGCTGAGGTTCAGCTGCATGACTTTTTTTTTTTTTTTTTTGAGATCAGTCTCACTCAGTCGCCCAGGCTGAAGTGCAGTGGTGTGATCTCAGCTCGTTGCAACCTCTGCCCCCCAGGTTCAAGCGATTCTCCTCCCTCAGCCTCCCGAGTAGCTAGGATTACAGGCACTTGCCACTACGGCTAGTTTTTGTATTTTTAGTAGAGACAGAGTTTCACCATGTTGGCCAGGCTGGTCTTGAACTCTCGACCTCAGGTGATCCACCCGCCTCGGCCTCCCAAAGTGCTGGGATTACAGGCGTGAGCCACCGCGCCCGGCCTCAGCTGCACCACTTCTATCCCTCACTTCCTGCACACCTCCGCTAAAGCCGGGAAATTGAGCTTCTTGATTTTCTTCTCATGCAGCCAGTAGCCAACTCTCTTCCCTTTCATAAAGGTCTATATCTTCCTCCTCGGGCAAGGAGCCTGGGTCCTGAGGAAATTGCCCATAGGCTGAGTCTGTTGGCCAGTGAGCGCTGGGAGCGTGCGGGCACCCCCTGGTGGCAGGGGTGTGGAAAGGGCTCGGGGTGCGGGGTTAGGGCCGCGTGGTGTCACGGTCTCCACAACCCCCCCACCCCTGGCCACCCAGCTGGAGCTCACGGCCCACATACAGGTTGTTCTTTTTTTCATACGCAGTTTCACTCTGTCGCCCAGGCTGGAGTACAGTGGTGCGATCGGCTCACTGTAACCTCCGCCTCCCTGGTTCAAGCAATTCTCGTGCCTCAGCCTGCCCAGTAGCTGGGACTGTAGGTGTGCACCACCATGCCCAGCTAATTTTGGTATTTTTTAGTAGAGACGAGGTTTCACCATGTTGCCCAGGCTGGTCTCAAACTCCTGACCTCAGTGATCTGCCCCCCTCGGCCTCCCAAAGTGCTAGGATTACAGGCATGGGCCACCGCATCTGGCCTGTACAGGTTTTTTTACATGGGTAAATTGCGTGACACTGAAGCTTGAGGCCCCGTTGATCCCATCACCCAAGCAGTAAGCTTAGTTCCCGACAGATGGTCCTTCAGCCCATGCCCCCCTTCCCACCTTCCCGGTCTAGTGATCCCCAATGTCTGATATTCCAATATTTACATTCATGTACATTCAACATTTAACTCCCATTTATAAGTGAGAACATGCAGTACTTGGTTTTCTGTTTTCGTGGCAGGTGGCTTAGGATAACAGCCTCCAGCTCCATCTATATGGCTGTGAAGGACATGATTTTGTCTTTTTTATGGCTGCATAGTATTCCATGGTGTATATGTACCACATTTTTCTTTATCCTGTCCACTATTGATGGGCATTCAGGCTGATTCCATGTCCTTGCTATTGTGAATAGTGCTGCAGTGGCCAGGCGCCATGGCCCATGCCAGTAATCCCATCACTTTGAGAGGCCGAGGTGGGCAGATCACCTGAGGTAGGGAGTTCGAGACCAGCCTGACCAACATGGAGAAACGCCATCTCTACTAAAAATAAAAAATTAGCCAGGCGTGGTGGCACGTGCCTGTAATCACAGCTACTCGGGAGGCTGAGGCAGGAGAATCTCTTGAACCAGGAGGTGGAGGTTGCGGTGAGCCGAGATTGCACCATTGCACTCCAGCCTGGGCAACAAGAGCGAAACTCCGTCTCAAAAAAAAAAAAAAAAAAAAGTGCCGCTTTGAACATGGGTGCATGTGATAGAATAAATTATTTTCCTTTGGGTATATACCCGGTAGCAGGATTACTGGGTCGAATAGCCAAAGCAATCCTAAGCAAAAAGAACAAAGCCAGAGGCATCACATTGTCCAACTTCAAACTATACTGTAAGGCTACAGTAATCAAAATAGCATGGTCCTGGTGCAAAAACAGACACATAAACCAGTGGAACAGAGTAGAGAACACAGAAATAAACCCGCACACATAGAACCATCTGATCTTTGACAAAATCAACAAAAGTAAGCAAGGGGGAAAGGACTCCCTGTTCAATAAGTGCTGGGATAGGTGGCTAGCCATATTCAGAAGAATGAAACCGGACCCTTACCTCTCACCATATACAAAAATTAAGATGTAAGACCTCAGACTATAAAAATCCTAGAAGGCCAGGCGCGGTGGCTCATGCCTGTAATCCCAGCACTTTGGGAGGCCGAGGCAGGCGGATCACCTGAGGTCGAGAGTTCGAGACGAGCCTGACCAACATGGAGAAACCCCATCTCTACTAAAAATACAGAATTAGCCAGGCGTGGTGGCGCATGCCTATAATCCCAGCTACTTGGGAGGCTGAGGCAGGAGAATCACTTGAACCTGAGAGGCGGAGGTTGCAGTGAGCCAAGATTGTGCCATTGCACTCCAGCCTGGGCGACAAGAGTGAAACTCTGCCTCAAAAAAAAAGAAAAAAAATCCTAGAAGAAAACCTAGGAAATGCCCTCCTCGATACAGGGTTTGGCAAAGAATTTATGGCTAAGTCCCCAAAAGCAATTGCAACAAAACCAAAAATTGACAATTTGGACCTAATTAAACAGCTTCTGCACAGCAAAAGAAACTACCAACAGAGTAAATGGACAGCCTACAGAATAGGAGAAAATCATAAGCTACACATCTGACAAAGGTCTAATATCCAGAATCTACAAGGAAGTTAAATCAATAGGCAAAAAGCAAAATTTCCAATTAAAAAATGGGCAAAGGACATGAACAGATACTTCTCAAAAGATAACATACAAGTGGCCAACAAACATGAAAAAATGCTCATCATCACTAATCATCAGAGAAATGCAAATCAAAACCACAAGGAGACACCGTCTCATGCCAGTCAGATGGCAATTATTAAAAAGTAAAAAAAAAAAAACATGTTAGTGAGGCTGCAAAGAAAAGAATGCTTATATACTGTTGGTGGGAATGCAAACTAGTTTGGTCATGGGAGAAAGCAGTTTCGAGATTTTTTTTTGGAGAGAGAGATTTCTTTAATATTTTTATGGTTTCTATTTGGGAATTTAAGTTTTCACCCATCCATAATTTATTTGGCGTAAGAAGTGAGGTAAACTTTGTTTTCTTAGTGGGCAACACTTTTCTGTGAAGGATCAGATAGTAAATATTTTTGGCATTGCATTGCAGGACTGTCTCTGTTGCAACTAAACTGAAAGCAGTCACGGACAATTTATGAATGAATGAATATAGCTGTGTTCCAGTAAAACTTTATTTAATTAATTTTTTTTTTGAAACAAGGTCTTGCTGTGTTGCCCTGGCTGGCTGGAGTGCAGTGGCGCGATCAGAGCTCACTGCAGCCTCTGTCTCCCTGGCTCAAGGGATCCTCCCACCTCAGCCTCACACACAGCTAATTTCTTTCTTTCTTTCTTTCTTTTTTTCTTTTTCCAGTAGAGACGAGGTCTGACTACTGTGTTACCCAGGCTGGGTCTGGAACTCAAGGGTTACTCCTGCCTTGGCCTTCCAAAGTGTTGGGATTACAGATGTGAGCCACTACATCTGGCCTCCACTAAAACTTTATTTAAGGAGACTGGATTTGGTCCACTGGCTATAGTTTGCTGATTCCTAGGCCAGATAGTTATTGTAACTATTATTTATTGACTAATTTGTTTTCCCCTTGTTAGTTTGAAATATAACCTTTGGCTTATACTGAATTTCCAAGTGTGTTTTTGTATGCTGTAGATTCTATTCTATTTCACTGATCTGTCTATTCATGTTTTAATTAATTTACCTTTATAATGTTTTAATATTTGCTAGAGTTCCTCTCAACTCATTAGTTTTTTTTTTTTTTTTTTTTAGTGAGAGAGAGAGAGAGAGAGAGAGAGGGTCTGGCTTTGTCGCCCAGGTGCAGTGGCGCGATCATGGCTCACTGCATCCTTGACCTCCTGGCCTCAAGTGATTCTCCTGCCTCAGCCTCCCAAGTAGCTGGGGATACAAACACGCACCACCACGCCTAACTACTTTTTGTATTTCTTTGTAGAGATGAGGTTTTGCCATGTCACCCAGGCTGGTCTTGAACTCCCGGGCTCGAGCGATCCGCCCACCTCATCCTCCCAAAGTGCTGGGATTAGGGGCATGAGCCACTGCTCCTGGCTTATCCTTTGTTTTTTGTTTTTGTTTGTTTTGAGACAGAGTCTCACTCTGTTGCCAGGCTGTAGTGCAGTGGCGCAATCTCGGCTCACTGCAATCTTTGCTCCCTGGGTTCATGAGATTCTCCTGCCTCAGCCTCCTGAGTAGCTGGGATTACAGGCACGCGTTACCACACCCAGCTAATTTTTGTATTTTTAGTAGAGACGGGGTTTCACCATGTTGGCCAGGCTGGTCTCCATCTCCTGATCTCGTGATCCGCCTGCCTTGGCCTCCCACAGTGCTGGGATTACAGGCGTGAGCCACTGCGCCCAGCCTGTCCTTTGTTTTTTAAAACAATGCTACAGTAACTTTTTTGTACATGTGCAAGTATGTGTATACTTTAAATTCCCAGAAGTAGAACTGTGGGTCAAAGGGTATATAGATTTTTAGTTTTGTCAGCTATTGCCGAATTCTCCTCTATAAGGATTATTCCATTTTTAACTCCTACCAGCAATATGAAAGTACCTGTTTTCCATACAGTCTTGCTGTTTGTTTTCAAACATTGGACTGTTGTAAATCTGTTAGATTAAAAATGTTCTATCAAATCTTCCTTACTAGTGATTATTGTATAGTACAATACTATATTATTTAATAGTTATCATAAATAATAATTTTAATATAACTCCAAATAATGTAGATACTCCCTCCTCTAGGAGGTAGAGCTTAATTACCCTCCTTTTGACTGTGGGCTGGTCTTAGAGACTCACCTCTAAAGAATAGAGTATGGAGGCCGGGTGTGGTGGCTCACGCCTGTAATCCCAGCACTTTGGGAGGGCGAGGGGGGCGGATCGTGAAGTCAGGAGATCGAGACCAGCCTGGCCAACATGATGAAACCCCGTCTCTACTAAAAATGCAAAAATTAGCTGGGGGTGGTGGCAGGTGCCTGTAATCCCAGCTACTTGGGAGGCTGAGGCAGGAGAATCGCTTGAACCCGGGTGGAGGTTGCAATGAGCTGAGATGGCGCCACCGCACTCCAGCCTGGCAACAAAGCGAGACTCCATCTCAAAAAAAAAAAATAGAGTATGGAGAGAGAAATAGAGAAATTTTACAGGGAAGAAACCTGGCAGACAGCACCTTAACTAGGTGATCATGGTTAACATCACCAGAGATAAGTCATGTTGTTATCATGTACTCTTCTGTGATATGATCAGAAGGGCATTTCACTATCTCACTTCTGTTGTATGCTTCTCCAAAAAAAAAAAAAAATCCATAATCTTAGGTCTAATCATGAGAACACATCAAACAAAACCAGTTAAAGGGCATTCTACAAAATACCTGGCCAGTGCTCTTCAAAACTGTTAAGGTCATTAAAAACAAACAAGGACAGACTGATAAACCTTCACAGGCCAGAGGAGACTGAGGGAACATGACAACTACATGTAATGTAATATTTAGGATTAAATCTTGGATCAGAAAAAGGATATTAACGAGAAAATTGGTGGAATCCTAATATAATCTGTAGTTTAGTTAATTCCTTAGTTTTGACAAATGTGCCTTAGTTTTGTTAATATTAGGGGAAGCTGGGTGAAGGGTATACAGGGATTCTTTGAACTTTTCTGCAAATGTAAAATTATTTCAAAATAAGAAGTTTGACTTCATCAAAATTAGAAACTTTTGTTTATTTTTGTTGGTTTTATAGCGATGAGTTTTCGGTATGTTGCCCAGGCTGGTCTCAAACTCTTGGGTTCATGTGATCCGCCCGTCTTGGCCTCCCAAAGTGCTGGAATTACAGGTGTGAGCCCACCACGCCTGGCCACAATTAGAAACTTTTGGAAGTCTCTCTGAACCTATTCTGGTTCAGGGACTGCTGGTAACAACAACAAAAGATTAGAAACTTTTTTTTTTGAGACGTAGTCTCACTCTGCTGCCCAGGCTGGAGTGCAGTGGCGCGATCTCGGCTCACTGCAAGCTCCGCCTCCCAGGTTCACGCCATTGTCCTGCCTCAGCCTCCCAAATAGCTGGGACTACAGGCGCCTGCCACCACGCCTGGCTAATTTTTTTTTTTTTTTTTTTTTTTTTTTGAGACGGAGTCTCACTCTGTCGCCCAGGCTGGAGTGCAGTGGCGCGATCTCTGCTCACTGCAAGCTCCACCTCCCGGATTCACGCCATTCTCCTGCCTCAGCCTCCTGAGTAGCTGGGACTGCAGGCGCCCGCCACCACGCCCGGCTAATTTTTTGTATTTTTTAGTAGAGACGGGGTTTCACCGTGTTAGCCAGGATTGTCTCGATCTCCTGACCTTGCGATCTGCCCACATTGGCCTCCCAAAGTGCTGGGATTACAGGCGTGAGTCACTGTGCCTGGCCGATTAGAAACTTTTATACTTCCAAAGACACTATCAAGAAAGTGAAAAGACAACCCACAATGGGAAAACATATTTGTAAATAATATATCTGGTAAGGGATTAACATCCAGAATATATGAACTCTTACAACAACAAAATTATCCAATTTAAAAATGGGCAAAGGATTCATGACCAGCTTGACTTAACATGGTGAAACCCCTGTCTCTACTAAAAATACAAAACATCAGCCAGGTGTGGTGGCAGGCGCCTGTAATCACTGCTACTCGGGAGGCTGAACCTGGGAGGCAGAGGTTGCAGTGAGCTGAGATCATGCCACTGCCCTCCAGCCTGGGTGACAGAGTTGTACTCCATCTCAAAAAAAAAAAAAAAAATTGGCAAAAGGACTTGAATAGACATTTCTCCAAGAAAGATATACAAGTGGCCAGTAAGCACATGAAAAGATGCAAAATAACAAGTGTTGGTGAGGATGCGGGGAAATTGGAACCCTTGTGCAACACTGGTAGGAATGTAAAATGGTACAGCTGCTGTGGAAAACAGTTTGGCGGTTCCAGAAAAAGTTAAACACAGGATTACCATATGATCCAGCAATTCCACTCCTAGATATATACCCAAAAGAATTGAAAGCAATAATTCAAACAGATACTTGGACACCAATATTCATAGCAGCGTTATTCACAATGTCCAAAATAACCAAGGGGTGGAAACAACCCAAGTGTGCACGAACAGATGAATGAACAAAATATGCATACTACAATAGAAGAGTATTATTCCACCATAAAAAGGAAGGAAATTCTAACATACTGCCTTGTGGATGAACCTTGAAAACATGCCAGGTGAAATAAGCTAGACACATAGGGACAAATATATGATTCCACTACTATGAAGTACCTAGAATAGGCAAATTCATTGAGACAGAAAGTAGAATAGAGGCTGTGGGGTGGGGTGAGAATTGTTTAATGGGTACAAAGGTTTTGTTTGGGATGATGAAAAATTCCTGGAAAAGGTGATGGTTGCATAACATTGTCAGTATACTTAATGCCACTGAATTAGATAATTAAGAATGGTTGGCTGGGCGCGGTGGCTCATACCTGTAATCCCAGCACTTTGGGAGGCCGAGACGGGCGGATCACCTGAGGTAGGGAGTTCGAGAGCAGCCTGACCAACTTGGAGAAACCCTGTCTCTACTAAAAGTACAAAATTAGCCGGGAGTGGTGGTGCATGTCTGTAATCCCAGCTACTCGGGAGGCTGAGGCAGGAGAATCGCTTGAACCCGGGAGGCAGAGGTTACAGTGAGCCAAGATTGCGCCATTGGACTCCAGCCTGGGCAACAAGAGTGAAACTTGTCTCAAAAGAAAAAAAAAAAAAAAGAGGCTGGGCGCGGTGGCTCACACCTGTAATCCCAGCACTTTGGGAGGCTGAGGCAGGCGGATCACCTGAAGTCAGAAGTTCGAGACTGGCCTGGCCAACATGGTGAAACTCCATCTCTACTAAAAATACAAAAATTAGCCAGGCATGGTGGCACACACCTGTAGTCCCAGCTACTCGGGAGGTTGAGGCACAAGAATTGCTTGAGGCCCGGCCCAGTGGCTCACGCCTGTAATCCCAGCATTTTGGGAGACCAAGGTGGGCAGATCACGAGGTCAGGAGTTCGAGACCAGCCTGGCCAGCATAGTGAAACCCCGTCTCTACTAAAAATACAAAAATTATCCGGGCGTGGCTGCGTGCATCTATAGTCCTAACTACTCGGGAGACTGAGGCAGGAGAATCGCTTGAACCCAGGAGGCGGAGGCTGCAGTGAGCCGAGATTGTGCCACTGCACTCCAGCCTGGGTGACAGAGCGAGACTCCATCTCAAAATTTAAAAAAAAAAGGATGGTTAAATGGTAAATGTATATTTTACCACAATACAAAATGATCTAGAAAAAATATACAAAAATTAAAATTTTAAGTTTATTTTAGGCCATGTGCAGTGGCTCCCGTCTGTAATCTCAGCACTTTGGGAGGCTGAGGCGACAGGCTCACTTTAGTCCAAAAGTTCAGGATCAGGCTGGGCAACATAGTGAGGTCCTGTATCTACAAAAAATTTGAAAATTAGCTGGATGTGGTGGTGCATTCCTGTAGTCCCAGCTGGTTGGGGCTGAGATGGGAAGATTGCTTAAGCCCAGGAGGTGGAGGCTACAGTAAGCTATGATTGCACCACTGCACTCAGCCTGGGCAACAGACCGAGACCTTGTCTCAAGTAAAATAAAATTTATTTTGAAACAGTCTATCCAATGTAGTTTTAATTCTCATCTTTCTCTCTCTCTTTTTTTTTTTTCTTGAGATGGAGTCTCGCTCTGTCACTCAGGCTGGAGCGCAGTGGTACAATCATAGCTCACTGTAACCTAGAACTCCTAGGCTCAAGCAGTCCTTTCGCCTCAGCCTCCTGAGTAGCTGGGACTATAGATGTACACCACCATGCCCAACTAATATGTTGTGGTGGTGATGGTGGTTTTGTAAAGACGGGATCTTGCTATGTTGTCCAGGCTGGTCTTGGCCTCGAGCAATCCTCCCACTTTCACCCCGCAAAGTGCTGGGATTACAGGATGAGCCATCTCACCTAGCAAAATTTTCTTTTTTTTTTTTTTTTGACTGAGTCTCGCTCTGTCGCCCAAGCTGGAGTGCAGTGGTGCGATCTCGGCTCATTGCAACCTCCGCCTTCTGGGTTCAAGCGATTCTCCTGTCTCGCCCTCCCGAGTAGCTGGGACTACAGGTGCGTGTCACCACACCCAGCTGATTTTTTTTATTTTTAGTAGAGACGGGGTTTCACCATGTTAGCCAGGATGGTCTCTATCTCTGGACCTTGTGATCCGCCTACCTCACCCTCCCAAAGTGCTGGGATTACAGGTGTGAGCCACCGCGCCCGGCAAAATTTTCATCTTTCATTATGAGTGAGATAGAGCATCTTTTCAGATACACATCATTGATATTTTTATCTGTGAATTCTGTTTACTTCCTTTCCCCATATTTTTTCCTAGTTTATTGTCTTTTGACTTGGTTAATGATGTTTTTTATTTTTCTGTTTTTTTCTCCAAGCAAAAGTATTTTATTTTTATGTAGTTGAATTTAGTAATCTTTTCTGTGGCTTCTGGATTTGGATTATAGGTTTCCCCATTTCAAGATTATAAAGAAATTATTCAGTTATTCTATATTTTCTTTTATGATTTCATTTCTTTTTTTTTTTTTTTTTTAAGACAGAGTCTTACTCTGTCACCCAGACTGGCAGTGGCTCACCGCAGCCTCCGCCTCCCGGGTTCAAGCGATTCTCCTGCCTCAGCCTCCCAAGTAGCTGAGATTACAGGCGTATGCCACCACACCCAGCTAATTTTTGTATTTTTGGTAGAGATGGGGTTTCACCATGTTGGCCAGGCTGGTCTCGAATTCCTGACCTCAAGTGATCTGCCCACCTCGGCCTCCCAGGGTGCCACCCACGCCTGGCCTATGGTTTCATTTCTTATGTTTAAATCTTTGATCTATTTCAAATATATCCTGGTATATATGTGAAGTATAGTCATAATATCTTGCACATGTCTAGGTATTTAACCTTTTTGATGAATTGTACTTGGGACCTTTCTATTTTCTAAACAGTGGTTACATTAATTTGTACCCAGCATCCTTACTGATTTATTATTTATAACAAGTTTTTCAGTTGATTCTCTTAGGCTTTGCAGGTATACTCTCATATCATTTACAAATAATGGTAATTTTACCTTCTCCTTTCCAGCTTTTAACCTCTTTTCTTCCTTCCCTGTTTAATTGCTTTAGCTAGTGTCTTTAGAATAATGTTAAGAATGCTGTTGATAACGGACATTCTAATGTTGTTCCCGACCAGAATTGGAATCCTGTTAGTATAGTAGCATTCTTCTGTGGCATCTAGTTTTTTCTATTTTAAATAAACATATATTGGTTGCTCTTAGAATGCTTTTTTAGTCATTATTTGTTCAAAATAATTGTTGAGCGCCTACTGAGTGCTAGGGAATATGGCAGTGAGCTAAGGGTCCCCTCATTTCCTGGAGCCCATATTCTAGTAATTTTTTAACTCACCAAAGAAACACAGATTAGGCCATGCACAGTGGTGGACGCCTGTAATCCCAGCACTTTGGAAGGCTGAGGTGGGTGGATCACTTAAGCCCAGGAATTTGAGACCAGCCTGGCAATGTGGTGAAACCCCATCTCTACAAAAAATACAAAAATGAGCTGGGCGTGGTGGTGCGTGCCTGTGGTCCCAACTACTCAGGAGGCTGAGGTGGGAGGATGGCTTGAGCTTGGGAGGTTGAGGCTGCAGTGAGCCCTGATAATGCCACTGCCCTCCAGCCTGGGCAACAGTGCCAGATCCATTCTCAAAAAAAAAAGAAAAGAAATGCAGATGAAATCAGCTTTGAGATCATTATTTTACAGTTATTGCGGTAGGAGAAATTTTAATGAAAGAGCTGCTAGTGTCGGCAAGGTGACAGTGAAGCAGGGGCAGGGGACGTGGTGCAAGACAGGGAGGAGGAGCCTCACCCCCGGGGATCCTGCAAGCCGAATGAGACCTTGGTGAGCATTTTGGTATTTGATCCTGAGACTGAGGGGGAGCCACTAAAGGGAGTGAGATGGGTTTGAGTGGCTTTGCCTTAGAAAGCACTCACATTTGGGATTTGGGATGTAGAGACTGAACTGGGGAGGTCCAGGTAGAAGTGAGGAGAACAGCCAGGCCACAACCAAGGTGCCCCATGAGGGAAGCCAGTGGCATGGACCAGAGAGTGACATAGGGATGGAGAGAGGCAGGTTGCACTTCAGAGATGTGGAGCAGGGATTTAGGAATCCCTGTATGGGGGCGGGCCTGAGGGCTTCCAAAGAATAGAGTAGGGGGAGGGAAAAATAGAAAGTTTACAGGGTGAGAAACCTGGCAGACACTGCCTTAACCAGATGACCATGGTTAACATCACCAGAGCTAAGTCATGGTGGTATCATGTACTTCTTTCTCTGATAGGATCAGAAGGGCACCTCACTTCTGTTGTATGCTCCTCCAAAAAAACCAAAACCCTACGAGAACACATCACCTGGGCCTCTTGCACCTTTTAGAAAGGGCAACCTTCTGATCCCTCCCCATCCTTCTTCCTCCACTAGTGGTGGTCGTGGTGACAGGACTGGCCGCTATGGAGCCACTGACCGCTCGCAGGATGATGGTGGGGAGAACCGCAGCCGAGACCACGACTACCGGGACATGGACTACCGTTCATATCCTCGCGAGTATGGCAGCCAGGAGGGCAAGCATGACTATGACGACTCATCTGAGGAGCAGAGTGCGGAGGTGAGGAGGGGGCGCGCTGCGCCAGGCCTGGCTGGGATGGGCTCCCAAGGGCCCTCTGTGTCTGGCTGCAGCACCGTGTGCAGGCAGCTCTCCACTCCCGTGCCTTCAGACTGTGCTCGGTGGCTTTGCCTCACCTGGAGGGCCTGTTCCCACTCCCCTCTCTGAGGGCTCCTCTCCCAACCTGGGTCTCCCTGGCTTCCACATGCTTGGCTCTGTACTTCTGAGGGCCCCTGGCCACCACTCTTTCCCTTTCTCCCTGTTGTTCAGTTCGGGCCCATGGCTCACTGTGAACCCTGTACTGCCCGCTCCCAGCCAACTTGGGCACTTGAAGAGCCTCTTCCATGGGACCCGGCGTCTGGGGTTGGGAGGACAACAAGGGGACTGCAGACCACCAAGCTGAGGAGCTCTGGGAGGCCAGCCATGGGCATTCCCAGTGGTGATAGAGCCCCTAGACAGAAGGGAAGGACCCTTCTGGAGAAGCCAGTGCCATGTTGGGTAGTTCACCCTAGCCTGCGGGATGAGGCGCGATGTTTACACCATCAGGGAGCCCCCACCCGAGGGGAAGAAACAGGCTTGCCTTAGGGGAATCCCAGTTGGAGGGGCAGTCAGGGACCTGGTCCATGCGAGCAGGCAGCTCTCCTGTCCAGCAGGCTGGGAAGGGAGTTCTTGCAAGCCCAGCCCTGGGGGGCAGTCTGTGAGCTGCCCACTGCCCTCTGGAGGGTCCAGGGCAAAAACCCCTTTGGTGGACTGCCAGGCTTCTCCAGTGGCAGCTGTCAAGCTGTGCCCAGACGTCTCCAGGAGCACTGGGCCCTGGCCAGGGTGGGAATGGAGCACCAAGTTATCTGGTGCTTCCCCACTGTGGGCGGGAGGGCTTTGGCCCCAGGCCTGCTCTGCTTAGTCCTGGAATGGATGGATTGGGCAACAGCCCAGAGCCCAACAGCCATACCGTTTTGAGCGTGGTGTGTGGTGGAGGACTGGCCAAGGCTGAGGATCAGGGACTGAGGAGGGAGTGTCTGCAGCCCTCACACCACCTCCACCAGCTCCTGCTGCCTGGCTCTGGCTGAGATCTGAAGCTGTTCTTATGCCCCCAGCTTGGTTGCAGGGTGGAACCGTAGGAGACATGCAGCCTTCGGTGGTACAGTGAAGCAATTGAGCACACCCCCTGAGCTGGCCAGAGAGGAGAGGAAAATCAAGGGTGGGGTCTGGTGTGCTGACCCCAGGCCATCTTGCCCCAAGGAGGTTTAAGCTGTGTCTTGTCAGCTACCTTTGGGAGTTCCCCCCACACCAATACTGTCACCTACCTCTCCCCACCCACTGAAGGCAGCCCCCAAAAGGACCCCATGGAGAATTTACAGTCCCAGAAAGATTGCAGGCCGGGGCCTGCCCACCCTGCCTGCCTGAGCCTTTAGCCGGAGCCCGCACATCCCTGGCTTTCAGAGCCTGCCTGCCTCACAGAGCCAGCGGCCAGCTCCTAGGCCTGCCCAGACTGACTGCCCGTCTGGTGTCACTCATCTCATTCTGTCGGCCAGGATTCCTACGAGGCCTCCCCGGGCTCCGAGACTCAGCGTAGGCGGCGGCGGCGGCACAGGCACAGCCCCACCGGCCCGCCAGGCTTCCCCCGAGACGGCGACTATCGGGACCAGGACTATCGGACCGAGCAAGGGGAGGAGGAGGAGGAGGAGGAGGATGAGGAGGAGGAGGAGAAGGCCAGTAACATCGTCATGCTGAGGATGCTGCCACAGGCAGCCACTGAGGATGACGTACGTGCCCCCCATGGCCCCGGGCAGGAGGCCAGGCTGGGTCTCCTCCAGGGCCCTCAACTTCTCCCCACCCCTCCCTCACCTGCAACCTCAGCGCCTTTCATCCCTTCTCCCCCTCCAGCTCCTATCCCCCAGCACTGATCCGTCCTCTGTGGGCAGGTCCCATCGGCCCCCCGGTCTGGAGGGAGGAGTGTCAGAGAGGCCGGCTTGGCCAAGGGACATTGGCCATGGGTGTCTGGTAGTGGTGGGTATGGGCGGGAGAAGAGCAGTCCTGCACATTCCACTGGTCATCCAGCCATTTTGCATGTGTGCATCATGGGCCAGACGCTCACCGGGCCAGTGCTGGCTATTGCTGGTAGCAGAGATGACACTGGGGCCCTGTAACCATTGGGGGAGGGATGGGATTTTCTGAAATTTCCTTCTCTTTTTCCCCCATCCTTTTTTGTCAGCAGCCTGGCCTGGCCTCAGAGCCTTGGGTGGCTGCTAACAGCCTCCACGCCTGCCTCCCTTTCCTCCTGTTTCCTTTTCATACATACTTCTCATGACAGCCACACTGAAGCCCCACGAGGCCTACCAGAATAACCTCCAAGAATAGTGTCCTGATCTTGGTCCTTCTTAGTCTACTCCGCCGCCCCTCACCCCCTACCCCCATGAATTCTCTGATCAGCCCTCCTCTGAAATCTGCTAGCTGCTCATTTTGTAACAGAGAAAATCCCACTTGTGTATTTGAGGGTTTCTAAGGTCTGGCCCACCTGCCCTGTTCAGGGTCAGACAGTAGCTGGTTGCTGACATTTGTTGAGAATGTATCTCAGGGTGGGCCATGTGTTAGGTATGATTCAGTCCCCATGGCAGCCCAGCAGGGAAGGTACTCTTTGTATTCCATCCTTCGGATGAGGAAACCAAGCCCTGAGTGGGAATGTGACTTGCCCCAGGTCTCATAGCCAGTGAGTGGCAGAGCAGAGCTGGAGTCTGAACCCGGGCAGCTGGACCCTAGAGCCCACTTTTTGCTGCTTCCTCAGCCTTCCCTGAGTTTGGAGTCCTGATAAGCTCTTCTGTGTGTTTTTCCTTTTCACCCTGTGTATGGGTGTGTGTAAGGCTAATGTCCTGTCTGTTGTTTAACCTGGTGGGGAAACTGAGGCCCAGAGACATGAAGACTCCTTCCCAAGAATGGCTGGCATAGGCTCCTGGTCCTCAGTGAGAGACCTCACTGGCCTAGAGACCCTGCCTCACCTGGGCCAAATCCTGAATTGCCTCTGCAGTTTCCCTCTGGCCTACTCCATCTGGGAAGCAATCCCCAGGACTACATCTTTTTGCTTTTTGTCTCCACCCTAAGTTATTGCTACAGTCATGGTCTAGGGCACATGGCTGGGATTTGCTCAGACTCCTGTCCTCCCCAGTTTGACATTTATGTCATGGATCTCTTTTGACGCAAGCTGCAGGTCAGCAGGGCAGGGGCGGGGGTGCGGGTTATCCCCTTGCCAAGGGCAAGAATTGCATCCCAGGTTTCCTTACTTCGTGGCTGCCAGCGAGCCCTTTGTCAGATCACCCTGCCCACCGTTCTTAAGTGGCTGGCTCACTTGCTCTCTTGTTCTCTGTGCCCCTGAGGGTCGTCCTGCTGCCATGCTTTACCTTGCTCTGTGCCCATTTCTTCATTTGATTCACTTTCTGCAAGTCTGGGGCTGAAAGTCAAGACTGTGAACTGGTGTGGGCCTGGGGCTGTTGTCACTCAGGGAAAAGCTGCGAAAGAGGCGGAGGAGACTGTGTGCACATCACCGATGACCCCTCGGGATCCAGAGGCCTCCAGCCAGCCTCAGGTACCCAGCGGCCCCATTGTGCTGAGCCTGCCCTACTCTGTATCTCCCCGTATAGATCCGTGGCCAGCTGCAGTCGCACGGCGTGCAAGCACGGGAGGTTCGGCTGATGCGGAACAAATCTTCAGGTGAGCTTTTGTTCTAGTGCCCTCCCCTTCAAGTGGCCAGCCTCAGCCTCCGAATCTCCCTCCTGCCTCTGCCTTCTCCCCCACTCCCTCCACCACCTTCCTGCCACAGCTGGGAATGGGCAGCGTGGGGGGTGCCCTCTCTTCTCTCCCACTCCCCACACTCTCCTCACAGCTCCAGCCAAAAGCCTCTTCAATGGGGCTGTCGGGGCAGGGGTGCAGCTCTGAGCTGAGCTGGGTGCTCCCTGGGGTCAGGGCCAGGGCCAGGCTCCCAGGCACCTCCTCTCTGGGACTCTGAGTATCTGAGATGGTAACCCCCTCCCATACACTCCCTTCCCTCTCCTTTCTTCTCCTTCCTCTGCCCCTCACTTTCCCCCACATTTTTTGGTAACAGCCTCTGACCAGAAAGTAGCTCTGACGTGGTGGTCCCACATGTGTGTCCCAAGGGGGAAGCAGGGGATGGCTCTTATCCAAGGACACATCCCAAGGAACAGCCAGGACTTCCTGGCCTCGCCTGTTCCCTCCCTCCCTCCCTCTTGCAGGCTGCTTGGAGCTGGCCTGAGGTTAGCAGGGTGGTGGTGGGGGGAGTTGTCTCTACAGGACCTCTGCCCAGGCTCCCCAAGGCAGGCACAGTGGGGCCTCACTCTGCCTGGGCTTCTCTCTCCATCTCTCAGTCTCTCCTCCCCACACCTCCATCTCTCTCTCTCTCTCTCTCTCTCTCTCTCTCTCTCTCTCTCTCTTTCTCCCTCTCTCTCTTTCTCTCTCTCTGCCCCCCCCAACTATATTATTCATTCCATCCTCCTATGCATCCTAACGGTTATTCTTTTGAACATTAAGCATGCCCCCCCAAGCCCCTCTCATCCAAGCCCTCCCCATGTATCTGCCTCTAAAGGACATGCTATCCTGAGGCCTCAACCCTGAATCCCTTTCCCAAGCCTGGAATCTTGGTTGCATGTAGGTCTTGCTCTGCATCACCCCAACTACACCACACACGGACAGCTTCTGGGTCTCTCTCTCCACAAGGAGGTGTTCCAGGTGCGGCCTTCTCAATGGCCCTGGGCGCTTCTCCCAGGCACCCATTGATTCTTACCTCTAAGGTCCTCCTGGCCAATCCTGGCCACCATTCTCCTTTTGTCCAGGGGAACCTGGACTGTTTGTGGCTGTAGTCTCCACCCTGTGGCCCTGAGGTGGCTCCCTAGCGAGGCCCGCCTCCCCTGCGCTGCGGTGAGGCTGAGATGAGGTCGTGTCTTTAACCGCCCCTGGTTTCCAATGGGCCAAGAGCCTTCCTAGCCTCGCAGAGCAGCCTGGCCCAGCTTCTCTTTTGCTCCTGTGATTCAACACCTGTTACAGGACCCCTCCTGGGCACCCCTGGCCTTGAGCTGGGCCCGCCCTGGAGTTACGTATTGTGGCTTGTGTGGAGCCAGCAGCCTGCCCACCATCCCCTCCCTCCTTCTTTGGAGGCAGATCTCTCGTATTCTTTCCCTCCCAGCTGCTTCTCTCCGTCTCTGTCACCCCAGGCTGGCTGGGCAGGTCTGCCCGAGCCCCATCTCTCTCTTCCCAGTTGGTGTGTGTGTCTCTCCCCCTACCGACCTCTGGCCTCTGTTTTTCTCCCTCCACCTTCCCTGCCCCACCTGGCCATCTACCTTGCCCCCCACGCCCGCTAGTCTTTCTCTCTCTGATTGCCTCTTTCTCTTTCTTCCTTTTTCCTCTTCCCCTTTCCCTCTCTGCCCCCCGTCCTCTCCCCTCGGGTCCCGCCCCCGGGAACGCCGTGTGTCCAAAGCTGTTGACTAACCCACTGCGTCTGTATCTGAATGCTGTCTCCAGGTCAGAGCCGGGGCTTCGCCTTCGTCGAGTTTAGTCACTTGCAGGACGCTACACGATGGATGGAAGCCAATCAGGTTGCTTTGCCGCACTTGAACCCCCCCCCAAACAAATACTACTTTGTAATCGAGCGCTCCCCATCGCCTGATTCTTATGGACACAGTTCCCTGCCCTGTGGCCCTGTGTCCCATCCCCCCGCCCCCTCTCTCCCCTTCCTGACCCTCACTATCTCCTCTTCCCATCTCTCGCTACCCCACTGGGCTTCTCATCCAGAGCCCACACTCACCACTGGCCCCTTCCTACCACCAGGCACTAGTGCTGCCCCTTCACCTCTCCCAGCTGAGCGTTCAGAGAAAGAGCTGCCAGGGTGGGTTCTTTCACCTAGCTTCCCACTCCCCCGGGGCTGGTGGGGGGGGCACCCCTCTCTGGGGTTAGCCAGAGCCAGGACCTCATTCCACCCTCAGGACCACTGGAAGTCCTGCCAGTGAGGAGCTTAGCTATTGGCACAGTCACTAGCAAGACTCATTTTGTCAGCCCCATCCCTGCATGTGAATTTGGCCCTTTGATTTTCATGCAAGGGGACAGCACTGCTCTGTTGATCTCAAGTTCCCGTCGAGTATGATAGTTTTATCGACACCCTGGCCTCACTTCGCCGCCCCTACCCTTCCTATCACATCTCCACACTCGCAGGAGGCACCACCTCAGGCAGCTCTGTCTTCTCGGCAAGGACCTGTGCACAGTCAGCCCTGGGGGGAGCCTGTCCCCCAAGCCTGGCACGGGATCCCAACTCAGCAGCTTTGGGACCTCCGAGACCCAAAGATCTGCCTGGTCACCCACCCCTGCCCAGATCCCTGGTGTAGGGCACTGGAGAGCAGTTTCAGGGGAGGAAGGGGCAGAGGTGGTAGAATGGGGGATCCCGGCAGAGGCAGCCCTGGGGCCGTCTCCTCGGGGTTGGTAGGCTAGTGCCATGGGCCCAGGACCCAGCCATCCATGGGAAGACGGCCTCATGGCAGAAACTTCCATCTGTTCGAAATGGCTCTTTCTTTTTCCCCTTCTCCAGCACTAGCGCACCTGCGCTCTCTTTCTCTTTTTCTCCCCTCTCCCTCCCCCTCCCTGTCTCCCCTCACCCCCCAAGTGTAGCCTGTGTAGTCCTGGCCCTGGGTGTGGCCTGGCAGTGTCAGGGCCGAGTGGGGGTTTCTCCCCACTGTCCGGCAAGCGTCGGTCAGCCGAACACTGTGTGCCTGGTGGTGTGTGTTCACATGTGTGCGTGCGTGTGCCCGGCAGAGCAGCAAACAGCTGCGCCCGAGAGCTGTGGCGCTTTCCCTCCCTACCTCCCTTCTTCCCTCCATCCGCTCTCCGACCTCCCTCCGTTCCCTGTCCCTCATCCATCCAGCTGAAGGGCTCGCTCACTCTCTTCTCCTATGCTGAAACGGTGCGTGGGGCACTGCTGCCTGGACCTCACTGTGCTCTGCTTTTTCCCGCAGCACTCCCTCAACATCCTGGGCCAGAAGGTGTCGATGCACTACAGTGACCCCAAGCCCAAGATCAATGAGGACTGGCTGTGCAATAAGGTACAGGGGCGGTGGGCAGCAGTTGTCATGGACAGAGACAGCAACAGCAGTGGCGGCGATCTCTCCCTTCCTCTCCCGCTCTTTCTCCCTCCATCTCTCCCCCTCCCCCAATCTCTCCTCTCCCTCTGTCTCTCTCTCTCTCTCTCTCTCTCTCTCTCATTCTCTATCCCTTGCTAGCTCAGCTTGAGTAGTCACCATTCCTAGCCAGCCATATACAAATGTGTAGTGAGCGTTCACTTGGTGCAGGCTCTGTCCTCCTAAAATGCAGTCTTGCCTGGAGTTCCAGTAGACTTTAAGGAAATATATACGTGGATGATGAATTAGTGACAGTGTAGACTTGAAGTGGTGGTGTGGAGAATGTGGGCTTCAGAGCCAGACTGGCTGAAATGAGACTATCCCAGATCGGCCTTGATTTTGGCCAAGGTGCTTAGCCTCTCTTTGCCTCACTTTCCCCATCTCTAAAATGTGAATATTAATGACACCTCTCCCAAAAGGTGGTTGGGAGGATTCAGCTGTGTTAATGAGAGAGTAACACTCAGAACAGTGCCTGGCCCACATTTAACACAGTCGAATTGTTAACTGTAATCATGAAAGAAAAGCACAGAGCGTTCTGAGAGCCCATAGCAGGTAGCTCAAGCCTGAAGGCCACTCTGACCAGGCCAAGTCAAACCTGAAACTGGAGGCTGTGGTTTTGTAGTCACCTCTGTCTTCCCTGAGGGGAAGCTGAGGCTCAGAGAGGTGGAACCATGGGTGAACCTTTAGCTGTGCCCTGTGCCTTGCTCCTGATCACAGGGACTTGGATGCCACAGTGGCTTCAGGTCTGCCCTGGGGCCAGCATTGTGATTCCACAGTTTGTAGAGGCCCCAACCCTCTCCCCAGGAAGTACTCTGCCTAGTCAGGGAGAGTGGTGCATCTGTTTTAAAAAAAAAAGTCCCATCAGAGGATTGGTGCTTAACATTTCTGGAGAGATAAAGACAAAGTGACAGTGGAACTCCTTCCTGTGTTTCCAGATAGCCTCAAAACCAGGGAATTCTCTTTTTTTTTTTTTTGAGACAGGATCTGGCTCTGTCGCCCAGGCTGGAGTGCAGCAATCTGGGCTCACTGCAACCTCTGTCTCCAGCGCTCAAGCCATCAGCCTCCAGAGTAGCTGGGACCACAGGCGCATGCCACCACACCCACTAATTTTTGCCTTTTTATTTTTATTTTTTTTGGTAGAGACAGGGTTTCGTCATGTTTGCCAGGCTGGTCTTGAACTCCTGAGCTCAAGCAGTCCTCACGCCTCAGCCTCCCAAAGTGCTGGGATTACAGGCGTGAGCCACCACGCCCAGCCCAAAACCAGGGAATTCTCTTGAACTCCTTCCCCTCCCCTGCATCCTGTTGGCCACCAGGTCCTGTCACTTCCATCACAGAAACGCCACCTTCCCTCCCTCGCCATTCCCGCTGCTCATGCCAATCGTCACGCTCTCACCCACTCACTGTGGAGCCCTCTCTGGTATGCTGGCCTCTTGTCCTCTTTCTCCCACGCCCTCACCTGGAACATTCCTCAAAACCACCTCTGACTACCCACGCCTCTCCTCCTCTGCTTAACCAGCCCCAGCTCAGCTTAAGCATAAGATCCTCCATTACCTAACTGGCTTCCTTCCCCGGCCTTGGCTTTTGCTTCTCCCCTTACTCTCCCACACCAGTTTCGGAAAGTCCATTGTTCCCTCCGATAACAATCCCTCCCCAGCAAGGCTTAACAAAATGAAACTTCTGGGCATCCCAGGTCAAACCTCCCTGCTTCTGTGCAGGGACTGTCCCTGCCGAGTAAATGGCACCCCACCCCCAGCCCATTTCCCTCCCCGAGCCCCTGCTGGATGGTCCATGCAGACCGACCTGCCCCTCTTCATGCTGCATCTGCCCCTGTGCTATTAGGCCATGAGGGCAGAGACCATGTTCTGGCCATGTGCAGCAGGGCCTGGCCCAGGAGTGGTGCTTAGTACCTGAGTCTGGAACAGAGATGGAGTGTGGTAGAAGCTGGGTCTCCAGATGCTGGAACATTCAAGGAAAATTTCTCAAGCGTAGCAGGATCCAACCCAGTCCTAGAGCTAAGAGGAGGGGTGCGGGTCTGGCTACTGACTTCTAGGGCTGAAACACTGAAAGGTTTCTGAATAGAGGAGCAAGTTTCAGGGAGAGGAACCTAATAAAGGGATTGAATACCTGAGGCGGGGAACAGTCCTGGGAGTTGGTGGCCTTAAGAAGGCAGAGGAAGGAGAGGAGGGAGTTGTTGTACCAAATGGGGGAGTTGTTTATTCCTGAGCTGAGTGGGTTGGCACAGAGGACAAATGAGAGTCTGGAAAGGGAAGATGCACAGTACTGAGAACAACATCAGAAGGTTCAGAAGGCACCTGCCACCATTGCCTAGGGGCTTTCCTTCCTGGGGCACTGCGGGGTCCCTGGGAGATCTCTTCATCCAAGTTTGGAGGGTGCAGTGGGAAATCCCTGCTCCCTCTGACGGCCTGGCCTGTGCCTCACAGTGTGGCGTCCAGAACTTCAAACGCCGAGAGAAGTGCTTCAAATGTGGCGTGCCCAAGTCAGGTGAGGCCCACCTACCTCTCGTGCTCTCCAGGGCGGAGCGGTTGGGGAGAAGGGAAGGGTGAGGGGTCTGTGCTCAGGGCTTGGTATAGGGAGGAGGGTGACCAGTCGTGGAGCCTTCCCCTTATCACCAGCCTGTCTCCCACTGCCCCTGACAGAGGCAGAGCAGAAGCTGCCCCTCGGCACGAGGCTGGATCAGCAGACACTGCCACTGGGTGGCCGGGAGCTGAGCCAGGGCCTGCTTCCCCTGCCGCAGCCCTACCAGGCCCAGGGAGTCCTGGCCTCCCAAGCCCTGTCACAGGGCTCGGAGCCAAGCTCAGAGAACGCCAATGACAGTGAGTCAGTTGTTCCTTCTTCCTCTGTGCCCTAGGGTGTCGGGCTGGGCTCACCAAGACCAGAGAAATGGCAGTGAGCAGGACCTCATCCTCATGGAATCTCCACTTGGTGCGGGGATAGACATTTGATGTAGGGAGAACAGGGGGAGTGGCAACATCCCACCTGACTTTGGGGGTGTGTCGGGAAGGTTCTCAGCAGACAGGCAGCCAGGCTGGCACCTGGACCGCCAAGCAGAGTTGATCCTGGAGGAAGCAGTGAGGGAAGCGGCAGTTGCAAAGGCACGGAGTGAGTGGGGGCAGAGGAAAGGGAGCAGTGGGGGCATTGAAGGGCAGGGCTGGCAAGAGTGCCAGGGGTGTCCTCTAACATTGGGCCCCTTCCCACAGCCATCATTTTGCGCAACCTGAACCCACACAGCACCATGGATTCCATCCTGGGGGCCCTGGCACCCTACGCGGTGCTGTCCTCCTCCAACGTGCGCGTCATAAAGGACAAGCAGACCCAACTGAACCGCGGCTTTGCCTTCATCCAGCTCTCCACCATCGTGGTGAGGGCGGCACAGTTGGGGGCCGGGCAGCCAGGGTCCCGGCCCCCGGGGTGGAGACGAGGGTCCTTTTCCCCAGCCTCCCACCGCGGCTGCCAGCCTGGAAATCGGGCAATGGAGCCGGGGGCCTCCCCGGGCCTGACCCTTCTGTCCCTGCCTCCCCTCCTCCCACAGGAGGCAGCCCAGCTGCTGCAGATCCTGCAGGCCCTGCACCCACCACTCACTATCGACGGCAAGACCATCAATGTTGAGTTTGCCAAGGGTTCTAAGAGGTCAGGGCCCCACCTGTGTGCCTTCCCACCCTTCCCCTCCCCACCCTCCCACTCCCCCCTACCGCTTGGGGCCTCCTATCTCACTCCCAGTCTCTAACATCCTCCTCAGGGACATGGCCTCCAATGAAGGCAGTCGCATCAGTGCTGCCTCTGTGGCCAGCACTGCCATTGCTGCGGCCCAGTGGGCCATCTCACAGGTACTCAGACCCCTTGTGCCTCCCAGCGTCCTGAGACCTGGGCTTTCTCAACCCTCCTGCACCCTCTCTGAAGCAGGAAGGCTGGCTTGCTATCCATGGATGCAAAACCCTCTCCCAGTAGCTGGCATGGCTATTCTACCTTGCTCCTGGCTCTCTAGACCCCCTGGGACATTCCCCTTCATCATCACCGCAGCTTTCTTCCCAATTGCCTCCCATGCGCTCATGTACGACGCCATTGTGCCTGGCATTCTGTGCTGTTTGGTGGGGTTTTTATTGTCCTGAATAGGTATGATATACACATATCCTTATATGTAATATATACATATATGATATACACGTATCATATGTTCCTGAATAAAAATAACGTATAAGTGGTTGAGAGAAAATTGGGAGAAGAGAATAAAGAAGTAAGAAGATGGTGTCTTCCTTGGCCTGACACCCAACACACACGCCACACACAGCAGAATCAGCAGAATCAGCCCTGGAACATTTTGGCGTTCATCTGTTTTTCTGTCTTGTGTTTGCCACTGGCCTATTTGTTCTCTTGTGGCCAGGCAACCCTCGCTTTCCACTTGTCTTAAGGCTGCATGCTTTGTCTGTCAGGTAGAAATACTAGCCCCACGTGTGGGACAGATGCTTCTAGCAGGTTCCCCACCCCCCACCCCCACACCTTCCTGTTCTAATGAACCCCTCCCACCTGCCCTTCAGGCCTCCCAAGGTGGGGAGGGTACCTGGGCCACCTCCGAGGAGCCGCCGGTCGACTACAGCTACTACCAACAGGATGAGGGCTATGGCAACAGCCAGGGCACAGAGTCTTCCCTCTATGCCCATGGCTACCTCAAGGGCACCAAGGGCCCTGGCATCACTGGAACCAAAGGGGATCCCACTGGAGCAGGTGAGCCCCAGCATCTCTCTCTGCAGCTGTGGTGGGGGCCAGCAGGCATAAAGTCCCCGGCCCCATTATTCACAGGCATTGTCCCTGCCCTGTCCCTCCTTACAGGTCCCGAGGCCTCCCTAGAGCCTGGGGCCGACTCTGTGTCGATGCAGGCTTTCTCTCGCGCCCAGCCTGGTGCTGCTCCTGGCATCTACCAACAATCAGCCGAGGCGAGCAGTAGCCAGGGCACTGCTGCCAACAGCCAGGTGAGTGAGCCCTGTGGGTATGTATCCCGGGGAGGCAGGCAGGCGGCAGGGGTGGCATGGGCAGACACTGAGCCCTGTTCTCCTGTCTGGCCCCATGACCAGTCGTATACCATCATGTCACCCGCTGTGCTCAAATCTGAGCTCCAGAGCCCTACCCATCCTAGTTCTGCTCTCCCACCGGCTACCAGCCCCACTGCCCAGGAATCCTACAGCCAGTACCGTGAGTAGCCACAGCCTGTGGGTAGGGGTGGGGAGTTCTTAATAAAGCAGGGAATAGTGTGACCCCGTTCCCCTCACCCCCTAGCTGTTCCCGACGTCTCTACCTACCAGTACGATGAGACCTCCGGCTACTACTATGACCCCCAGACCGGCCTCTACTATGACCCCAACTCCCAGGTAATAGGGCAGCCCAGGGAGGGATGGGATCGGGTCAGGTCGCGTCAGGAACAGCTAGCCCTGCAGGTTCCCTTCACAAGGTCTTCCCTCACATCCCCTCTTCCCTCCTCCTCCCTCAGTATTACTACAATGCTCAGAGCCAGCAGTACCTGTACTGGGATGGGGAGAGGCGGACCTATGTTCCCGCCCTGGAGCAGTCGGCCGACGGACATAAGGAGACAGGGGCACCCTCGAAGGAGGGCAAAGAGAAGAAGGAGAAGCACAAGACCAAGACAGCTCAACAGGTGAACACCAGGGTCCAGCAGTCACTGGCTGGCTGTGTGGTGTCTTCCAGCAACGGCACTCTGTCAGCTCTTGCCCTCTCCTGCCAAGGGAGATGGCGGGCAGGTGTGGATGTGGGCAGTGACTGCTTAGCAGACCATGCTCTTGCCCCAGCTCTGCTCTTTGCTGAATGGCCTTGAGCCAGAGCAGTCTCCTCAGTGTGTGGCAGGGTTGCCCAACTCCAGGAGGTGGCTTGTGCCATCCGAGTGAGCCCTGTCAGGTGTCTTCTGTCCCATGGTGGGGACCCTCACATTCTGCTGGTGAATATACATGTATGCCAGAGAAATTCTCACAGGCCATAAGGGGGTGGGCAGGAAAAAAGCCCTGCAATGTTTTGTGGGAGTGGGCAGATGGAGGGCACCTCAGTGTCTCTCTGTGGAGAAAGGGTGTGACACTGTGAGCGTAGCGTTTACAAGCAAGCACTAAGTGTTACCTTAGCAACCTGATGAATTCTAAAAATGGTGCTGTGCTGGGGGGAACATGGAAATATAGAATGTGGCATTGTGTCATGCATATAAAGTTATACACAAATAAACATTCCTATGCATTTTTAAATGATAAAATGGAAATGCACAACAAATGTGACAGCGTGGGTGTATGTCAGGGGAAGAGGAGTGTCTTCATCCATTTGCTGCTCCATAACAATACCACAGACTGGGTAATTTATAAGGAAAAGAGATTGATTTGGCTCACAGTTCTGTAGGCAGGGAAGCCCAGTGGTGTTGGCATCTGGTGAGGGCCTTCTTGCCGCATCATAACATGGCAAAGGGCAAGAGAGCATGCATGAGAGCAAGAGAAAATTGGGCCAAACTCCCCCTTTTTATCTGGAACCCACTCAGTGATGGCATTAAATGGAGACTCAAAAGGTGGAGGGGGGCCGGGAGCCGTGGCTCATGCCTGTAATCCCAGCAGTTTGGGAGGCTGGGGTGGGCAGATCACCTGAGGTCAGGAGTTTGAGACCAGCCTGGCCAACATGGCGAAACCCCGTCTCTACTAAAAATACAAAAATTAGCCAGGCGTGGTGGCAGGCGCCTGTAATCCCGGCTACTCAGGAAGCTGAGGCAGGAGAATCACTTGAACCCAGGAGGCGGAGGTTGCAGTGAGCTGAGATCGTGCCATTGCACTCCAGCCTGGGCAACAAGAACGAGACTCCTTCTCAAAATATATATATATTATATATATATAAAGGTGGAGGAGATGGGAGGGGGTGAAGGATGAAAAATTACTTAATGGGTATGATGTACATTATTTGGCTGATGGATGCTCTAAGAACCCTGACTTCAGCACTATACAATCTGTGCATGTAACAAAAGCACTTGTTTATTTTATTTATTTATTTATTATTTTTTTGAGATGGAGTTTCGCTCTTATCATCCAGGCTGGAGTGCAGTGGTGCAATCTCGGATCACTGCAGCCTCCACCTCCTGGGTTCAAGCAATTCTCCTCCCTCAGCCTCCCGAGTAGCTGGGATTACAGGCATCCGCCACCATGCCCAGCTAATTTTTTTGTAATTTTAGTAGAGACGGGTTTTCGCCATGTTGGCCAGGCTGGTCTCAAACTCCTGACCTCAGGTGATGTGTCTGTCTCGGCCTCCCAAAGTGCTGGGATTATAGGCATGAGCTACCGCGCCTGGCTACAAAAGCACTTGTTACCCCATAAACTTATACAATTTCTTTAAAAAGCAGCCGCGATCTCTTGAGGAGGGCAGAGCCTTTGTGACCTAATCACCTCTGAAAGGCCCTGCCTGTCAACACTGTTGCATCAGGGATTAAATTTATCTTTTGAGATGGAGTTTCACTCTTGTTGCCTGGGCTGGAGTGCAATGGTGCAATCTCAGCACACTGCAGCCTCCGCCTCCCGGGTTCAAGGAATTCTCCTGCCTCAGCCTTCCAAGTAGCTGGGATTACAGGCATCCACCACCACGCCCAGCTAATTTTGTATTTTTTTAGTAGAGCTGGGGTTTCACTGTGTTAGCCAGGCTGGTCTCAAACTCCTGACCTCAAGTGATCCACCCGCCTTGGCCTCCCAAAGTGCTGGGATTACAGGTGTGAGCCACTGCACTCAGCCGGGATAAAGGCTCCACCTGTGAACACTGTTGCATTAGGGATTACATTTCTGACACATGAACTTTGAGGGACAAAAAACATAGCAGAGAACACAGCCAGAGAGGGGCTTGGCAAGAAGCACTGGTGACTGGTGACAGAAAATAGGAACTTGCACTACTGTGTCCCTCACCTTCTGATTGTTCTGCCTCAGCTTCCACTCATCTGCCTCCCAGATGGGCCCGCCACTCTGTCCACACTGCTTCTGCCACCTCACCATTGCAAACCAGTGGGGGTGGGGGCACAGGGTGTGTTCAGTGATGAGGTCAGGAGTAGCCAGGTGCCAAGTGCCTTGCAGGCTGTGGTTGCGAGTTTGGGTTTATTCTTGGTGTGATGGGAGGCGAAGGAAGGGTTTTAAGGACATTGTATTTGGGGGTGGGAGTGGCTTATACTTCATGAAAGAGCGCTCTGCTGGGAAAGGTGGTCAGGAGCCGTAGCCCAGAGGCCAGATGAAGCCTTCTGCAGTGGTTCGGACTAGGGATAGTGGCTGGCCCGTGTTTGAGGATGCAGGGCAGTGGGTCAGCAGATAGAGTTAGTAGCCCCAGGGTCATGAGGGTTCTGGGAACCTCACCTCCACCCTCACCCCCAGATTGCCAAGGACATGGAACGCTGGGCCCGCAGTCTCAACAAACAAAAAGAAAACTTCAAAAATAGCTTCCAGCCTATCAGCTCCCTGCGAGATGACGAGAGGCGGGAGTCAGCCACTGCAGATGCTGGCTATGCCATCCTCGAGAAGAAGGTGTGTTGGGGCCACCCCCCTGCACCCTGCCCCACAATCTTGTCCTTCCTTTGGGCCCTCTGTGGAGTCCCTGAATTTCTGTGTCCCTCCACCCCAGGGAGCACTAGCCGAGAGACAGCACACCAGCATGGATCTCCCGAAATTGGCCAGTGACGACCGCCCAGTGAGTGCCCAAGGCAGAGAGGGGCGGGGGCTCTGATCTGGCCAGGCCTGACCGCCCACCCTCACCCTCTACAGAGCCCTCCGCGAGGACTGGTGGCAGCCTACAGCGGGGAGAGTGACAGTGAGGAGGAGCAGGAGCGTGGGGGCCCTGAGCGGGAGGAGAAGCTCACCGACTGGCAGAAGCTGGCCTGTCTGCTCTGCCGACGCCAGTTCCCCAGCAAAGAGGCGCTCATCCGGCACCAGCAGCTCTCAGGGCTCCACAAGGTAACAGCGGATGGTTGGCAGGGCATGCTGGGGCCTGGCCCACTGAGGCTCATCCTCTTCACTTCTCATCCTGTCCCTCTTGCAGCAAAACCTTGAGATTCACCGGCGAGCCCACTTGTCAGAAAACGAGCTAGAAGCACTAGAGAAGAATGACATGGAGGTGAGGTGTGACCTGACCCTGGGCTCCCTCCCCTGTGTCCCTTCCAAGTCCCCATCACCTCAGGCAGCTGGAGTTCAATTTCTCACGTGTTAACCCCGTGAGCCTTCTTCCCCATTTTCCTATCCTGGCTGCTTGTGCCTGTGATGGCCTGACCCTCAGGACCTGAGCCTCATTAGCCAGATGGCATGCCCTGTGGGACCCCACTCCCCATGCCTGTGTTGCCTGAGAAAAGAGACCAGCTCCCCAACATTCACATACACATACAAACTTTCAGCAAATGAAGTACCGGGACCGTGCAGCTGAACGCAGAGAAAAGTATGGCATCCCCGAGCCGCCAGAGCCCAAGAGGAGGAAGTACGGCGGCATATCCACAGCCTCTGTGTGAGTGGCTGGGCCAGGTGAGGGGGTCTGGAGCCCGGGGCCGGGGCCGGCAGGCCGACCACTCATGCTGTGCACCGCCCCTGCAGAGACTTCGAGCAGCCTACTCGGGACGGGCTGGGCAGTGACAACATTGGCAGTCGGATGCTGCAGGCCATGGGCTGGAAAGAGGGCAGCGGCCTGGGCCGCAAGAAGCAGGGCATTGTAACGCCTATCGAGGTGAGTCTCAGGCAGTCCTGTCCCATCCCCCAGCACCCCTCACAGCATCCCCCACCAGCCTGACAGAGCCTGCCTCCCTCACACAGGCCCAAACACGGGTGCGGGGCTCCGGCCTGGGTGCACGGGGCAGCTCCTACGGGGTCACCTCAACCGAGTCCTACAAGGAGACACTGCACAAGACAATGGTGACCCGCTTCAACGAGGCCCAGTGAGCAGCTTCAAGAGCAACTTCTCCACATGTTGGGTGTCCATCCTGGGGCAGGGAAGGACAGAGTGTTGGATGGCTGGGACGGGGCCTTGCTCTTGTCGGCCAGCCCACTCCCCAGCCAGAGAGGGCTTGACCAAATCAAATTGAGGTGGTGACTTTTGTTGGAAAATTGGGCTGGGATCACGTCCTGTTTTGTAATAAAAGCTGAAAAGTCTGCATGTTGGCCTCTCCTCTTTCTCGTGCTCTAGCACAGTTGTATAGCCTATACAGACACGGGGACCCAAGCAGATGGACAGGGGACCTTATCAGGCCAAGGTGGATGGCAGTGGTGGCATTCAGTGTCTGGAACATAATGGCTACTAGAACATGGGGTTCTGACCTGTACCCCGACCCATAATATCCTGGTTATGGCCCCTCTCCCTTGTTGGTTCCAGCAGGTTATGTTGTACCAGGAAATCTAGCACCACCAGGCATGAAGCGCCCCCTGATCAGAGCTAGGACTGGGAACCCCCATCCCCTGTCCTTGCTGCCCCCTGGCTTTACTTAGCCTGCAGTCCCAAGGCTAAACTGCATTTTGCCATCCCTAGATCTGGAGACAATGCCCTCAGGCATCTCCAAGTAGAATACAAGAGGTACTCAGGTTCCAGTTGGCCCAGAGCCCTCAACAGGCTGATGACAGAGGGGTGGAGGTGGAGCTTGGCCTGCAAATCCAAGGCCAGGTCCCAGGGATGCCCTTTGAGAACCATTCAGGCCTACCTTCTCTGTTGTTACCACAGTGCCCCACCCCTCTAGTCACTGCAACCCATGATTCCCAAGTATGTGCTTGTGCTCTCGGCAGAGGTTCTGGGTACAGTGGACCGTGACGCTGGGGCTGCCCTCTTCCAAGCCTCAGAGGGCCACAGCGTGAAAGGGGGATGGTGCTAGAAGACCAGTTGGTGCAAAGCCCCTCCCCCATTTATTAATATACATTGTGACACCACCCTGCAACAGTCATAGGAGGTGGGGTTAGAAGGGGACCCCTAGAGGTAGGATGGTGCTGATCTGGGGTGGTGGGTGTTGCCCAATGAAGGAAGGGGATGGGAGAAAAAAAGGGTGAAGGAAACAGGATTAAAAAGAGGCCTCCTGGGCCTGGGCACAGTGAGTTGCACCTGTAAGTAATCCCAGCAATTTAGGAGGCTGAGGCAGGCGGATCACTTGAGCTCAGGAGTTCAAGACCAGCCTGGATAACATAGCCAGGCCCTGTCTCTACAAAAATAAATAAATAAATAAAATTAGGCTGGGCGCAGTGATTCGCGCCTGTAATCCCAGCATTCTGGGAGGCCGAGGCAGATGGATCACTGGAGCTCAGGAGTTTGAAACCAGCCTGGGCAACAAGGTGAAACCCCGTCTCTACAAAAAAAAAAGTACAAAAATTAGCCAGCTGTAGTGGCACACACCTGTAATCCCAGCTACTCAGGAAGCTGTAGTGGGAGGATTGCTTGAGCCCGGGAGGTGGAGGTTGCAGCGAGCCGAGATCACGCCCCTGCACCCAAGTCTGGGGGACAAGAGTGAAACCCTTTCTTGAAAAAAAGAGGCTGCCCTAGTCTCAGGATGGGTGTGTCTTTTAGCAGAGACGCCTCCACATTCCCTTCCCTCTTCCCACCCCAGAGCACTGCTCCCAAAATCCCACAAGGAACCCTCAAAGCTCAACTGGCAGGAGTGCAAAATGATACAGCCACTCTGGAAAACTGGCTGCTTCCTATAAAGTTAACATATGCTTAACCTATGGCCCAGCAATTCTACTCTTAGATATTTAGCTCCAAATACATGAAAACATGTCAACAAAAGACTTGCATACATATATTTGTAGCAGCTGTATTCCTAATAGCCAAAAACTGGGAACAACCCAAATGTCCAACTAGAGGAGAATGGATACAGTGTGGTATATTCAAAGGATGGACTACAGCTCAGCAATCAAAAGGAACACAATGCTGATACAGATATCAAAGGATGAGTCTCACATGGTGAGATTGTTCACATGGTGAAAGAAGCCAGACACAAAAAACACATAATGTTTCATTCCATTTATATGAAGTTCTAAGGCAGGCAGAACAATTTTATGGTGATAGTAGAAGAGGGTTGAGGTGAGGAGGGTGTCACTGGAAAGGGTTGCAAGGTAGCTTTCTGGAATCATGAAAAGTTTCTATGTCTTGATTGGGGTGCTGGTCACATGGGTGTATACCTATTTAAAAGTCCAACAAGCTGTATAACTAAAATCTGAGTGTTTTATTGTATGTAAATTATACAAGAAGTTGGAAAATCACCACCACAGCAAACCTCAATAAATAAGAAGGAAATAATGAACAGAAATTGATGATATAGAGAACAAAAAATGACAGATTAATAGAAACCAAAAGCAGAATCTGAAAACAAAAATTAAGAGGAAACACTTTTGGCAAGACTGGTCAATTGAAGAAGATAGAAGATGCAAATGCAACAGAGCTTTTAAAAATAAAGAATGTATCTGAAAATCTAGATGAAATGAATATATTCCTAGAGAAATATCAAATGCCAAAACTGTTCCATGGAGAAACTGATTACTCAAATGGAGCAATTAGTAATATAGAAATTGAAATGGTTGTCAAGATCTTCCCTTTCCCCACAAAAAAAAAAAAAGGGCCCAGATGATGTGTGTATGTGTGTGTTCCTTTCTTTCTTTCTTTTTTTTTTTTTAGATGGAGTCTTACTCTGTCACCCAGGCTGGAGTGCAGTGGTGCGATCTCAGTTTACCGCAACCTCCACCTTCTGGGTTCAAGCAATTCTCTTGCCTCAGCCTCCTGAGTAGCTGGGATTACAGGTGTGCACCACCACACCCAGGGAATATTTTGTATTCTTAGTAGAGATGGGGTTTCGCTATGTTGGCCAGCTGGTCTTGAACTCCTGACCTCAGGTGATCCACCCTCCTTGGCCTCCCAAAGTGCTGTGATTACAGGCATGAGCCACCTCGCCTGGCCCAGATGGTTTTTATAAGAGCATTCTACCAAACTCCCAAGGATTCCTTTCTTATTAAAGTTAATTCCTTTCTTATTAAAGTTGTTCTAGATATTAGAAAAAAGAAAAGATGTCTATTTTAACAGGCTAGTGTTAGCTGAAGCTGCGAAGGAAGAGGCACTCTCATACATCGCTGGAGGCAATGCAAAATAGTACAACCCTCTCTTCCACCCTCCCTCTCCCTCTCCTTTGTCTATTTTCCTGCCTCCACAGGGCTCACTGTGGGACCACAGATGCACCCCACTATGCCCAGCTAATTCTTTGATTTTTTGTGGAGACCAGGTGGTGGTGGTGGGGTGTGTGTGTGTGTATGTTGGGGCGTGGGGGGGTCTCACTTTGTTGCCCAGGCTGGTCTTGAACTCCTGGGCTCAAGCAATCATCCTGCCTCAGCCTGCCAAAGTGATGGGATTATAGGCGTGAGCCGCCGCGCCCGGCCAAGACTCCATTTATTAAAAGGCTAAAGAATTTTGCCAGGCGCGGCGGCTCGCGCCTATAGTCCCAGCACTTTGGGAGGCCGAGCGGGCGGTATCGCCTGAGCTCAGGAGCTCTAGTCCAGTCTGGCTAACGTGGCGAAATCCCGTCTCCACTATGGTAACATGTAAACATAGAAAAGATAACAGTAAAATTTTTTCTGTGTTATAGGACCGTTGACCAAAATGTTATGCAGCACATGATTGTATATCCATAATTTATATTACTGTATATAGTCACAGATATCTATTATAATACGGGTTTGTATGTGAAACTATAATTTTACTTATTGTTATGTTTATGGTCTGTGTATCTTGCTAGAATGTCAGCTCCATGAGCCCAAGGAAGAATTTCCAGCACCTGGCCCATGTCAAATGAACTTTTTTGGCCACCTGAGTCTCGGTCTCCCCATCTGTAGGATGGGTGTGCCTTTCCATGTGGAGGCACCCACACGTTCCGTTTCCTCTTCCCACCCTACAGAGCACGGCTCCGGCAATTCCACAGCTCAGGCTTACATTTTCCCATATTCTGGACGCTGGTGCCCACCACGTGCACCAGGCACTGGCCAGACAGAACTACCACCCCCAGCATGCCGCGCGCATTTGGGCCGTACCACAACCTGTAGGGTCATCTGGGTCTGAAACGGGCACCAGCGACGCGGGAGCAGGGACTGACGCCCCTCTAGCAAAGCATCTGTGGTACATCCCAGACCCGGGGCTCTCCAAGGCCCCGCGCTTCCGAGCTCCGCGCAAACTCTGGCTTCTCTTGTACGACAGAGGTGGTTTGCTCTTCCGTTGCCCCGTGGCTTCAGCTCATCTTTGGCAGGAAGGCGAGGCTTCCGCCCGGCACAGGGGGTGAGCTGGAGCACCGTGCCCCCAAGCCTCTGGACAGCATTTGGAGGAGGGTGCTTCCCTAATCCCAACTTCGGGGAAACCCCTCATGGGCGTATTTGGAGCCTCCGGGCCCGGGGTGATATTTAGGGGGCGTCTGCTTTTGAGACCCTTAAGGGGTGCCGTTTGGGGACTTCGGGGTGGGATTTGGGAGTCTGTTTCGGGGAGCACCCCTCGGAGGCAGGGTTTGGGGGGCTTTGGGGAGATTCTTAGGGTCCGTGTATGGGCACCCTTGTCCGTGGAGCAGGATTTGGGTTATTCTTCAAGGGGAGAAGCAAAGCTTGAGGTTACTAAAGTCAAGGCGGGACTGGGGGAGGGCTTGTTTCAGGACGGGGTCCTGGTGACAGAACAATCGGGACCGACGTGGCATTGTGGAGGTGTCAGGCCTTTGTGACCTCTGGTTTTGTGATGAGGTCCTCCCCGCGCCTGGAGGCTCAGGACTGCGAGACTGGACACGTCGGGGGCCCAGATGTTTCTAGGGAGAGGAGCCTCCCAGCTCAGGCTAGGGAAGGGACACCGGAGCCCAGCTCTTCCTGAGCTGACGAGGCGCCACCCGGCCTTTATTCATTATTCATAATAAGGTGGGGCTGTGGTAGGCGGCAGTTTTTTTGCCTCTTTCGCACCTGGTCCGCTGAAGGTTCTCGGCTTGTGAATTATTCACGAGGGGCGGATCAGCGTGCCGAAGGGACGTGCTGAAGGGGCGTTCTGAAGTCTGCCGCGCAAACGAGTTCATTGATGATTCGCAAAAGTTAAGTAGCACCCTGAGTTTTCAGTGGCTTTTCTAGGGGTTCCGTGCTTAATTCATGAGGAGCGTGGCTTTTGCAGCTTTGTCTGCGTGATCCGCGGTTAGCTTTCCCTTGCAGGTACCAGAGTTAAAACCTGGCGTCTAGCAAAGGGATGAGGCCTCCTACATTGTTCATTTCTTATGGCCTGGTAATCCCAGATAATCAGCCGGCTCTGGATTCAAATCCCATCGATCCTTTCCAGTTGTGTGATCTTTGGCAAATCGTTTTGTAAGCCTGAATAATGGGTATGAGGATAACGATAAGATTAGCTTACACTCGTTTAGCTACTTAGCGCATTTAATCTTCACGACAATCCTAGGAGGTAGGTCATTATTACCCCCACTTTATAGATAAGGAAACTGGGACACAGGAAGGCTAAGTAATTTGCCTAAGGTCACACAATCAGTGAGTGGCTGGGCCGGGATTCAAATTGGGGTCTAGTTCCGCAATCTGTAGTCTTAACCAGATGCCATAATGTCTCCCCTCCCCATTCCCCTGCGCCGCCATTTGATAGTACTACTACTACTAATATAACACTTAGCATGTGCCAGGCACTGGTCTAAGCCCTTTCTACTTATTTCTTCATTTAAACTCCATCGCAAGGTAAGTTGCTGTTATTCCTATTTTATGGATGGGGAAGCAGTGGCCCAAGTTGGGGGTTTCTCTAGTGGCTGAGTATTCATAACTAATTTTATATTAATGTAAATATATATTTACATATCTTAACATATTACTTTTATATTAATATATAATATTTTAAAAATTTAACAGTGCCTTGTGCCAGCAATGTTCTAAGGCTCATCCCATAATTTATATTCTCTGATTTTCTTTTGTTTGAGACGGAGTTTCTCTCTTGTCGCCCAAGCTGGAGTGCAATGGCGCGATCTCGGCTGACTGCAACCTCTGCTTCCCGAGTTCAAGCGATTCTCCTGCCTCAGCCTCCCCAGTAGCTGGGATTACAGGCGCCCGCCAACATGCCCAGCTAATTTTTGTATTTTTAGTAGAGACAGGGTTTCACCATCTTGGCCAGGCTGGTCTCCAATTCCTGACCTCAGGTGATCCACCCGCCTCGGCCTCCTAAAGTGCTGGGATTACAGGCGTCATCTGATTTTCATAATAACACATTACTATCCTCATTTTACAGTTGTGGAAACTGAGGCACCTGCCAAAGACATGTAGTGAGTTTGGGTTTGATTGGACCAAGGCAGCCCTTGTTCCTGAGGCGGGGAGAATGGAGGGAGGCGTGGAGAGGGGAGGTGGGGGCAGGGAGTACACGTCCCCTGGGTTTTCTGGTGGCACTGCAGTGACATCTTTCATTATTCATGAACAGGAAGGCGTGCTCACTTTGCCTTGGCTATAGCATCGTAATCCCTATTTGCTGGGCAGGGCAGTCTTGGGTGTTTCTTCGCCTTATGCATAATTCATAAATTGGGTGGAACCTTTCTTGACCTCTCTGAGTTTCCAGGTTGAGCTACTGCAGCAGCATAATTCATTATTCAGGACCTGGGAGAGTGTGTTTTCCCTGCAGCAGCCCCATTTCCCTGCTTACAGTGTATTAGATGCAGCAATAGGCGGGCGTGCCCCTTTTATTCCAACCCACTGGGCCTCATGCATTATTCATGAGTAAGTTGTGGCCTGGGTCTCCTTGGCTTCCGGGCCCCTGCAAGATCATCATTATTCATGAATGGGGGTGTGTGGCTTCCATGTTTTAACATCTGCTTTCTGGTTGCTGGTTGTTAGTCTACCAACCACTCAACTTCATGCATAACTTATAATCAGGAAGCATGGCCTTAACGGTTTTTCTTCGCTTCCTTGACAGCCTGGCTGCAACAATTCATTCATTAGTCGCATTCCATGAGGCGTGGCCTCTGTTTTACCTGTTTTCGTTGTTACTGCCACAATGTCCACCAGGTGGTGCTGTTCCACTTCTAACCGAATGAATCGCAACCGAGTAGGGAACTTTATGCATGATTCATAAGTAGGCGCGGCCCGCTTGCATCCGGGTTTCTGGGGGTGGGGCCCAAGGTTTTGTTCCGGCCCCAGGCTCAGCGTCCGCCATCTTGTGTCGGCGGCTCGGCTGTAAGGAGGTGGCAGGGACAACCACAACCACAACGGCCGGGGGAGGAGAAGGCGGCAGCGGCGATTCTAGGCGGCCCAGGCGGCGGGGAGGAGGAGAAGGAGGAGGGTGGCGGCCGGGCTTGGCTTCGGCTCCTTGAGGAGTTGGCGGCGGCGCGACCCGGGGAACCGGCATTGGTAAAAAAACGTCCTTTCACTGCGCCTCGCCCTGGGCAGGGGTTTCGGGGAGGCACTGGAGGGCCCTGAGCCACGCTGCTGTCGGGGCGGGCCGCGGTGACTCGGGAGCCAGGAATCAGCGGAGTAGGGAGGGGGAGCGGATCCTGGGGCGGGGCCGACTTTCCCCGGCCAGGACCACTCCGGCTCCCTCTGGTTGCAAAATCTGACCTTGGAGTCGGACCCCCAGGATGTGCTTTTAGAGACTCACGCCCAACATCTCTAGTCTGGGACCTGACTCCGTCCCGAACCTTGTATCTCAGATCAGAACTCTTCCCCAGTCTCCAATAGAGATTTACGTGGATCAGCATTGCTGATCAGAGCTCCTCACCATTGAATGCCGTTAAAGACCTGCCCCAGAATCTCCTTTGAGACACTTCCTAGCTTCTCAGTATTTGTCCTCAAGGCTTCCAGGACGGGCTAGATCTCGAAGGGGTCCATAGGCCCTTTATCTCTGTAAGAGAGTCCTCTTTAGCATTTTCCTTCAGACCCCCATCCCACACACATGCTAGCCGCGCTCAGAGCTTCCAGGGGTACTAGACCCTGTGAAAGGCCATTTGGGCCTGGCCTTTGTGTCGGGGGCCCCTCTTCGCCACACGTCAGGTCTCCTAACCCCACCCTGGCCCTAGCATCTTCCATCAGAGACTCTGCCCAGTATTTCTACTCAGAGACCCCTCTTACCATCTGCCTTGAGAGACTCTTCAATTCCTAGACTCTGTCCTTTGACACTTTCTCTACTTTTATGGAATTTCTCGCTTTTTATACTTCCAGTATTCAGAGACTACTGAGAGGCCTCAGCATCTTCCCCATCAGGCACCTTGAACCCCCAGAGCCTTCCAGTGCACCAGATACCAGGGAGGAACTGTTTGGATACATAATCCTCCATCAAAGAGCCCCTGCGAGCATCTGCTCTTGCAGATCCCGTTGGCTTCTAGCCCCTTCCATCAGAGACTCGCCTCCCCAACCCCACCCTAGACCCAGCCTCTGCCTTCAAAAACCAACCTGGGTTCTAGCTGCTTTTTTCACAGATCCCTTATCCTCACATCAGGCCTCAGAATCTGCCCTCAGATCGTTTCAAGGTCCCTAACGTCTGCAGTCAGGGGTTTTCAGCTTCTGCTTTCAGCCTCCTTGGACCCCAGGATCATTGTCAGATGTCCCTTCCCCCCACAGGCCTTCTTGTTTTCTTTTTCTTTTTCTTTTTTCCGAGACAGAATTGTTTCACTATGTCGTCCAGGCTGGAGTGCAGTGGCGCCATCTCAGCTCACTGCAACCTCCACCTCCTGGGTTCAAGCGATTCTCCTGCCTCAGCCTCCCGAGTAGCTGGGATTACAGGCATGCACCACCACGCCTGGCTAATTTTTTGTATTTTTAGTAGAGATGGGGTTTCACCATATTGCCCAGGCTGGTCTCGAACTCCTGACCTCAGGTGATCCACCTGCCTCGGCCTCCCAAAGTGCTGGGATTGCAGGCGTGAGCCACCGCGCCTGGCCATGGCCCTCTTGTTTTCTACTGCAGTAGAAAACCCTCTTCTCAGCATCTACCTTCAGCGCCTCCATGGGGTCCTACATAATTGGTCAGAGAAACCCAACCCCATTTGGGGACCTAGCCAGTGTTTGCTTATTAACCTTTTTAAGGCCTGCACTATCTGGGCCCAGCTTCCCGTTTCCACACCCTCAGAGCAGCTGTGATACCTAGCATGTCCTGTCAGAGATTGACACAGGGCCTTTGTGTTCCATTAGAAACCTCTCCCAGCCCCTCACCATCCACCCTCACAGCCTCCTGGGACTCTGTAGTAGGAATGTCAGATACACCTCTCCTCTTGCATGTCCCTATCTATTATTTTTGGTTAAAGATTTCTCTCTGCTACCAGCATCTGTCTCCAGAGTCCTCCAGAGCCTCAACATCCTCCTGATGGAGGCTGCCTCTCCCCCCAGACCCCAACATCTTCCTGCTGCCTCCTCAGACTCTAGAATCCCCCACCCATTCCCTTTGCAGCTTCCATGGGGCCCAGCAACTGTCCTCCTACCTCCTTGCAGCCTTGGGGGCCTCCACTGCAATTTTTCAGCCTTTCTCCAAAAGATCCTTTTCCAGAGATCCGAATTTGAGTCTTTTCCTAATACCCTAGCCTAGTCCTTTCCCTCCCAGGACTTCTAACATCTCCTTTCCCATTTGTCTCAGAGCCTCCTTGCTCTTAGACACCCACTTCCTGATTCTCCTCTCACGTTCCCATGGACTTCTCAGTTAACCCCTCCCAGAAAGCTTGACATGCTCCAGCCCCCCTTCTCTATGCCCTAGCTTCTCCATCCTGCTAACCTGCCTCCTCTCACACCTCCAAGACTCCTCCCTCAAACCCTCTGGTTTGGGAATAGAGAATGCTTACGCTTGAAAATCTTCAGTTTGGAGACTCAGGTATGTTTAGAAACTAAGCCACAGCTCAGCTTTGCCAAACAGTTCACAGTGTGTATGTTATGGTGGGGGCCTGAGCAAATGTTGAGGTAGGAAGGGTGTAGATTGTTTTTCTGCTGGGGGTGGGGGATCTTTAGCTCCTCTGCAGAGTTTCTGTCCCAGACTCCTGCTTGCCTTGAGACAGGGCTGTTCCAAACCTTTGCAGTCAAAATCCACTTGAACAATCATCTGAAACTTCTTAGACTCTTGCTGCCTGCACTGGGGATCCAGAGGTGAAATGTCCAGATATTAAAGTGCTCTCTGGCCCTGGATCATCTCTAATTTATGGAGTGAGGAAATGGCATGTCCCAAACAAACTGACCAATGACAAGGCAAGGAGATAACTAAGTAATAGAGGCCACTACACGTGCCCAGGGAGGAACTCACATCCTCAGGTCAGTGAGTTCTGACCACAGACCTTGGCTTCTTTAACCCTGCCAGCAGCCCCTTGAAGACAGTTTCATTTGTCCCAGCTTTTGGAGAAAATGAGGCTCAGAGGAAATGAGATCTCTACCCCAGGTCAGTCAGAGAGTCAGTAAATGGAAAATATGGTTCACCTTTGTCTCTACTAACTCACCAAGCCTCTTGCTACCCAGGTTGGCTCTTAGCATTCTAAGCAATTCACCTGGCTATCTCAGGGGCTCCAGCCAGCCTGCTGCCTCCCCTCATCTCCCATTCCTTAGCCCTGTGGACTGGGCCCTGAGCCCAGGGGCATTTGGCAAACAGTCCCCCACCAGCTGCATGCCTCTGGGCGAGTGAATGGGGTTCTCTAAGCCTTTCTTTTCCCATTTGTGATTTGGGCATAGGGTTATCTGGGTCATGGGGATTGTTAAGATTAGACAAAGCCCTTTCCTCTTTGATTGACACACAGTATGCTCTTGGTAGATAGTAGGGAGCTCTTGTCATTGTGGTTGGTGCTAGTGACAAGTGCCAAGATGGAATCTTAGGTACATTGGGATACTTAGTGTCATAAAAGTCTCAGTGTGGGAGGACTTGTGTGAACAGAAGACTCAGTGCCTAGAGGAGCACTTGGGGTGAGGGGAAGTGACGCTGGGTCCTCCCATCTCCAGCATGTGGACCCAGTCACCCCCACCACCAGATTTCACTTCCACAGCAGGCTTTATTGTTCTGTCTCTGGGACCTAGCAGGTGACCCTGGGCAAGTTACTTCTCATTTGTCCGGCAAGGACACTAAACTCTGCCTTGCTGGGTCAGGGTCATGGAGGGGATGAAACGTGATAACACGAGGAAGCAGCCTGGGCTTCAGAGTCAGCAGATCCTGGTCTGGTCCCAGCTCAGTGTGTGGGAACCTTGGTCACCGAACGTCCCTGAGTGAATTTTTTTCCATCACTTTAAAGTTGGGGGTATTATTGATAGCAGTCCAAACCCCACAGGAGTACCCTGAGGACAGAGTGAGACGAGGTTTAGAGAAGTGCTTACTATGGCATCTGGCACAAGGAGGACTCCTGATCAATCTAATACTCATTTATCATTGTGGTTAACCTGTTTAAGGGACTCCGCATGCAGATGAGGCTTGGGATGTGTTTGTTTTCTATCTTTTTGCAACCTCTTTTATTGGTCTGTGTCGGTTTTCCCCTCCCAAAGCTGGGGGCAGGGTTGGGCTTTATAAAACTTGAGCCCCTCTGGGGACTGGGTTCTCAGCAAGTTACCGCTCCTGCCATCATGCCACCCTGATGGATGTCCAAGCCTCACTTCCCTCCTGCACTCCCCGCTCCCGCCGCCATCCCTGGGATTAAGGGAGAGGAGAATGGCTGCTTGTTACTGCCTACCTACTCTGTGCCAGGTTCTATGCTCTGTGTTATTTATCATCTCGATAACCCCGTGGGGAAGGTAAGTGGTATTATCACCCCTGTTTCACAGGTGAGAAAACTGAGGCCTGTGGCGGTTAATTATTACTGTTAGTGCGTGGCAGGCTCAAGATTTGAAACCAGGTCTGTCCTGAATCCACATCCTTCCCCTGACCTCGACACAAGTACATTCTTGTCATTCCTTTCACTCCAGGATTGGAGTCTCTCCCTCATTATGCTGGGCTGGGAAGAAGCAAATGGCTTAGTGGTCAGCAGTGTGGATTTGCAAATCAGACCACCTGGGTTCAGATCTTAGGTCTGACAGCTGTGTTACCCTGGGCAAGTCCTCACCTTTCTGTGCCTGTCCCCTCTTTGCTGTAAAATGGGGGTACTAATACTTAAGTCTTCCCTTCCCCCACAGTTGCTACTAACAAACAGAAAAACGGTACCCATGTGCTCCAGGGTCACCTCTGACCTTTTTTTCCTCCAGATGTCCAGCTCGCCGCTGTCCAAGAAACGTCGCGTGTCCGGGCCTGATCCAAAGCCGGGTTCTAACTGCTCCCCTGCCCAGTCCGTGTTGTCCGAAGTGCCCTCGGTGCCAACCAACGTGAGTGTCCTCTCCGTGGAGACTGGCAGACGAGGTGGTGGGTGGGAAAGTCTTTTGTATCACTGTCTGTCTATCCATGCTCCACTCCTGTGTGTCTCCCTAAACTTGTTCTTTTCCTCTATTCCTAGGGAATGGCCAAGAACGGCAGTGAAGCAGACATAGACGAGGGCCTTTACTCCCGGCAGCTGTAAGTGGGGCCAAGGCCGGGCTGAGGGGTGTGGAATGGGACATTGAGAGGATAAGGTTGGGTGGGGCAGGCCCTGACCTAGAGTACCCCCTAACCTGGCAGGTATGTGTTGGGCCATGAGGCAATGAAGCGGCTCCAGACATCCAGTGTCCTGGTATCAGGCCTGCGGGGCCTGGGCGTGGAGATCGCTAAGAACATCATCCTTGGTGGGGTCAAGGCTGTTACCCTACATGACCAGGGCACTGCCCAGTGGGCTGATCTTTCCTCCCAGGTACCTCTTCCTAGCACCCTTCCCCCTTTCCCCCTTCCCGAGGCACCACTGTTCCCGGTGCCACAGCCATTTCATCTTTTTCCCTACTGCACACCCTTACAGTTCTACCTGCGGGAGGAGGACATCGGTAAAAACCGGGCCGAGGTATCACAGCCCCGCCTCGCTGAGCTCAACAGCTATGTGCCTGTCACTGCCTACACTGGACCCCTCGTTGAGGACTTCCTTAGTGGTTTCCAGGTATCTTGGGGGTACTACCCAGCCTTCTGCCCAGTTTTCTCAGAGCCCATCTCTGGTTTATTCAGTAGTGTTCAATATTGATTTAATGGGTCGGCCTGAATGTCAGGTTTTGTGCTGGGGGACTAGAGTATGCAGGCAGCAGTTAGCCCCTGGCCCTGCCTTTTCTTTTCTTCTTTTTTTTTTTTTGAGACGGAGTCTTGCTCTGTCGCCCAAGCTAGAGTGCAGTGGCGCGATCTCGGCTCACTGCAAGCTACACCTCCTGGGTTCACGCCATTCTCCTGCCTCAGCCTCCCGAGTAGCTGGGACTACAGGCGCCTGCCACCACGCCCGGCTAATTTTTTTTTGTATTTTTAGTAGAGACGGGGTTTCACTGTGTTAGCCAGGGTGGTCTCGATCTCCTGACCTTGTGATCCGCCCGCCTCCGCCTCCCAAAGTGCTGGGATTACAGGTGTGAGCCACCGCACCCGGCCTGGCCCCGCCTTTTCAAGTGGGGAAGATGTGTACAGACAGTACAGCATAGTGGTTGTGGGCACAGACTGTAGAGCCATACTGCCTTGCTGCAGGCCTCCAGCCTTGGTAGTGTGACTTCAAGCAGGTTGTTTCATCTCCTGTACCTTTGTTTTCCTGTTTGTAGTCAGTGCGTGGTAGCAGCACTGACTTCATGGACTTTTTGTGAGGGTTAAACACGTGGAATTGCAGCTGGCATATAAGGACTGGATGGGTGTTTGTTAATTAAAAAGTCCAGGCCGGAAAGAGGTGCTCTGGAAGCTGAGAGTTGTCCCTGGAGTATCCCAGGTTGCCAGGGCACTGCAGCTAAATCCTGATGGAGGAGTAGGAGCTCACCCTGGTGGGGAAGGATGGACATTCAGGCAGAGAGCAAAATCCCAAAGATCATGGCGGAGCAGGCGTCGTCTTGAGAATTGGAAGCAGGTGGGTGTGGTAGGAGTGAGCTCAGACTTTGGCTGGAGACAGAGTTTTACTCCAGTGTCTCACAGGGCATGGCAGACAGACAGCAGCGGGTGTTTGTCAAATAAATGAGTCAGCTCTTCTCCAAACTCCCTCCTCCCAGCTACCTCTTCACCTTTCCTGGTATAGTCCAGGGGTTCATTTTCGACCCCCACAGAGTCTGATACACAGTAGGTGCTATGTGTTTGTGAAAGAGGCTGACCCAGCAAAGCCTGGATGTGTTTGCCTTGAGGACTGCCTGAGTCCTCCACACCAGCCCTCCATTTTTTCCCCTTCACCCCAATGCTGGGCCTGAGCCTCCATCTCTCCACAGGTGGTGGTGCTCACCAACACCCCCCTGGAGGACCAGCTGCGAGTGGGTGAGTTCTGTCACAACCGTGGCATCAAGCTGGTGGTGGCAGACACGCGGGGCCTGTTTGGGTGAGTGGCAGCCCACCTCCCTCCCTGTCCCCTTTTCCCCCAACTCCTACCAAGCCCAGGCCAAGACTCTAGGCTCTCCCTGCCCTCATCCCTTCTCAGCTACCCAGGTTTTGGGTTCTGTGTTTTCATCTCTCCCCATGTGGCACAAGTACCATCTTACATCCCAGCAGTGATAGGCTGAGTTTGCTCAGCAAGTTTTCACTACATCTTGAGGGACCCGTGGGACCTGTATGTGCATGGGACACAGGCACCAGCCCTATTGCTTCCCTCTACAGGCAGCTCTTCTGTGACTTTGGAGAGGAAATGATCCTCACAGATTCCAATGGGGAGCAGCCACTCAGTGCTATGGTTTCTATGGTTACCAAGGTAAGGAGACCAGCCCTAGGGTTCCTGGCAGGCAGGTGGGCTGCAGTAGTCCTTCCTGTCTGCTCTTGGTACCCTGGGCCTGTTTCTGAGACTCACTCTTCCTTTAACCAGGACAACCCCGGTGTGGTTACCTGCCTGGATGAGGCCCGACACGGGTTTGAGAGCGGGGACTTTGTCTCCTTTTCAGAAGTACAGGGCATGGTTGAACTCAACGGAAATCAGCCCATGGAGATCAAAGTCCTGGGTGAGCTGCGACCATGGGGGAAGCAGAGGGGAACTAGAAGATATGTTCCTGGGTTCTGGCCGGGGAGTTGAAGGGAGAAGACATGGCCCTTGGTTCAGAGTTGGGAAGACACATCCTGGTGTTTGAGATGAACTACAGACAATCCTGTGGGGTCCAATAAGAGCTGGTGGGCATGGGGGAGAGGTACTGTGTTTGAGCTATTCCTGGGAGAATGTGTCCCTGGTATCTGAGCTGAGTGGGGAAAAAGTCTCTGGTGTTTGAACAGGGCAGATCAGCGGATCTACTTGTGTGTGAGCTGATTTGGATGGGAAGCAGAGAAGGTCTTCCCGTGTAGACTTGGAGCCAGGGACACAGGGTCTCACGGGGTCTGAGCTGAGTCTGGGGCACAGGAGAGATGGTTTCTGATGTCCAAGTGGAGCCTGGAGCTGAGGGAAGACAGCTTCTGATGTCTGAGCTGAGTCGGGGCAGGAGGTTCCTTATCTTGCAGGGGTTGTGGATTTTAGGGAGAATGGGTAGACTGACAGCTCTCTTCCTGCCCTCTGTAGGTCCTTATACCTTTAGCATCTGTGACACCTCCAACTTCTCCGACTACATCCGTGGAGGCATCGTCAGTCAGGTCAAAGTACCTAAGAAGATTAGCTTTGTGAGTGTGTCGATGGGATCAGTGGGCTGTGGGGGGTGGTTCTAGGCATTCCCTAGTTCTCCATTCCTCTCTTCTGGTTCTGATGACCTCTCCCCCCGCCACAGAAATCCTTGGTGGCCTCACTGGCAGAACCTGACTTTGTGGTGACGGACTTCGCCAAGTTTTCTCGCCCTGCCCAGCTGCACATTGGCTTCCAGGCCCTGCACCAGTTCTGTGCTCAGCATGGCCGGCCACCTCGGCCCCGCAATGAGGTGGGTGAGTGGGCGAGCCAGCCAGCGCAGACATGCCTGGCACTGCAGGCTCACCATGCCTCTCTGCGTGTCCACACTCCCTGCCCTCACTGTGGCCTGACATATCCTCTCTTGGTTCTTTCTGGCCCACCAGGAGGATGCAGCAGAACTGGTAGCCTTAGCACAGGCTGTGAATGCTCGAGCCCTGCCAGCAGTGCAGCAAAATAACCTGGACGAGGACCTCATCCGGAAGCTGGCATATGTGGCTGCTGGGGATCTGGCACCCATAAACGCCTTCATTGGGGGCCTGGCTGCCCAGGAAGTCATGAAGGTCAGCACGGGTGGGGAGAGGCAGGATTGGGGTGGGCCAGGTTCCTCCATGACTCTGTCACTTGCTCTCTGTCTGTGTCAGGCCCCTGTTAACCACTGACCACCCCCTCTCTCCCTTCCCCTCTCCAGGCCTGCTCCGGGAAGTTCATGCCCATCATGCAGTGGCTATACTTTGATGCCCTTGAGTGTCTCCCTGAGGACAAAGAGGTCCTCACAGAGGACAAGTGCCTCCAGGTATGTGGGTGGGACCTGTGGGGAGGGCATCATTGGGGACATTTCTGGGGAGGCCTCTCTAACCCTCCTCCCTTTGCATTCCTTAGCGCCAGAACCGTTATGACGGGCAAGTGGCTGTGTTTGGCTCAGACCTGCAAGAGAAGCTGGGCAAGCAGAAGTATTTCCTGGTAAGTGGTCCCCTTGGATGTCTGCTCCCCTCATCTTGGCCTCTGGCCATCACCCCTGGGGCTTCCTTCGGCATCTCAATGCAACCGGTGGCGCATTCTCTTTGCCATTCTCCTTATCTTGAAGGGAAGCCCAGTGCATCCCTCGTTTCCCCTTCTGGTGCCTCCTTCCTCACATGACTGCGTGTCATTTCTTAGAGTCCTGCAACCTGAAGATGTGGTGTTAGCCCCTCTCCCCGTCTCTCAGGGGAGTGAGGGGTGATGGGTAGCTTCACACTAACCTGCATCACCCTGACCAGCCTCTGCCTGTCTTCTTGGTTGCTTCTTAGGTGGGTGCGGGGGCCATTGGCTGTGAGCTGCTCAAGAACTTTGCCATGATTGGGCTGGGCTGCGGGGAGGGTGGAGAAATCATCGTTACAGACATGGACACCATTGAGAAGTCAAATCTGAATCGACAGTTTCTTTTCCGGCCCTGGGATGTCACGGTGAGTAGGGTAGGAGGTTGGGGCTTTGTCGTCTCACTTTCCTCCTTTTTCTTTTTTTTTTTTTTTTTGAGACGGAGTTTCGCTCTTGTTGCCCAGGCTGTAGTGCAGTGGCGTGATCTCTGGCCCACCACAACCTCTGCCTCCTGGGTTCAAGCGATTCTCCTGCCTCAGCCTCCTGAGTAGCTGGGACTACAGGCATGCGCCACCACGCCCGGCTGATTTTGCATTTTAAGTAGAGACAGGGTTTCTCCATGTTGGTCAGGCTGGTCTCGAATTCCCGACCTCAGGTGATCTGCCTGCTTCAGCCTCCCAAAGTGTTGGTATTACAGGCGTGAGCCACCACACCTCACCCCTCCTTTTTCTTGTTCCCATTCTTTCTGTCAGAGATCTTTCTGCCTCTGCCAGAAGCCCTTCTTTTTGGCCTTTCTTTCCCTCAGCTTCTGTTTTTTTTTTTTTTTTTTTTTTTTTTTTGCCTTAACCTCTTTTTAGTGCTGGTTGGGACAGTGTGTCTGGGGTCCTCAAAACTACTCTCAAGCTCAATTCACCTAGAGTACTTACAGGACTCAGCATATAGTCGTGCTTGTGGCTACAATTTATTACAGCAAAAGGATACAGACCAAAATCAGCAAAGGGAAAAGGCTGGTGCAAGTTTCTAGGAGTCTTCTCCCAGCGGGAGTTAAACAAGGCGGCCTTTATTTCCCCAGTAGCAACAGTAACTACAGAAATAACAGCAACAAGGTGTAACAAGACATGAAATGTTGCCAACCAGGGAAGCTTGTTAGACTCAGCACCACCTCTTTTACTTGGGGCTGGTCATGTAGGCGCCCCCTTCCTGGCACATAACAAAATTTCCAGACTCCCAGAAGGAAAGGTGTTCAGCGTAAACTGTATTGTTTGCATGAACGGTTTAGGCACAGTGAACCACTGATACCAGGTAGGGAGCGGTGGGAACCTTCCTGAATTCCAAGTTCCCAGACACCAGCCAAGGAGCCGACCTTGGAAGCAGGCCTTTCCAAGGGTTGTAGTTTCAGTCTCCTAGGCTTACACTTCTCTGCACATATGGAAACTGGGTTGGTTATGCAGGGTTCTCTGAGAAGCTTTCTGTAAGGAGCAGTGTCGTTTTTGCTTACCCAGGATTTATTCCCCCTTTCATTTATTTCATTTATTCACCAGATAGTTTTAGTACTGTTTTAGGTATTGGGGATATACCAAGGAATAAAACAAGATTCCTGGAGGGAGAGGGGAACGGACAGCAAACAATAGACACAATACGATCGTGAGGTATATAGTTAATGTTGGTGATGAGTGCTCCTCAAAGGAAACAACTAAAACCAGACAAGGGAAGTCGGGGTGTCAGGGAGAATGGTTTGTAGTATTGATGACAATGGTTAAGGAAGGCCTGAGTTCTGCAAAGACCTCAAGGATATGAGGGACTAGAGTGCCCTCTGCTGTGGAAGAGCCTGCGCAAAGATCCTGAGGTGGGAGGGGTCAGGGAGCCAACTCATTTTACGGTAAGTGGAGGTGGGATCCAGGGGAGGATTCTGAGCAGAGGAGGGACGTGGCCCAATTTGGGCTTTGAAAGGATCCTGCTTGTCTGTGTGCCAGCATCCTGGTGGTGGTTGGGGGAGTCTGCATCAATCCTGGGTGCTGTTACCTGAAAAAATAGCAGGTGTTAGACGAAAGAACAGATGTCTGGCCCATTGTCTCCAGTCTGTTCCTGTCCACAGCTTCCCTTTATGCTGAGCCCCTGCCACATGCATCATCATCCTGGCCATGTGGCATTGTCACAGACCGTCTCTCCTGCTAGCCTCCTAACTCAGGGCCTGGGTCTTCCCCAGCATTAAGTAAATCAGTCTCAGGCAGACAGCCCTTTATAGGTGTTTGGGCCAGGTGCGGTGGCTCACGCCTGTAATCCCAGCTCTTTGTGGGGCCGAGGTCTTTGAGCTCAGGAGTTCAAGACCAGCCTGGGCAGCATGACAAAACCCTGTCTCTACCAAAAATACAAAAATTAGCCACGCATGGTGGCACACACCTGTGGTCCCAGCTACTCGGGAGGCTGAGGTGGGAGGATCGCTGGAGCCTGGGAAGTTGAGGCTGCAGTGAGCCGTGATCATGCCACTGCATTCCAGCCTGTGTGATGGAGAGAGACCCTGTCTCAAAAAAAATAAAGATGTTTGTTGGGTGAATGCACAAATAAGTGAGCTTTGTTCCCCCATCCCCACCCTGGAACTGCACTTTCTTAACCCTTTAGAAGTTAAAGTCTGACACGGCTGCTGCAGCTGTGCGCCAAATGAATCCACATATCCGGGTGACAAGCCACCAGAACCGTGTGGGTCCTGACACGGAGCGCATCTATGATGACGATTTTTTCCAAAACCTAGATGGCGTGGCCAATGCCCTGGACAACGTGGATGCCCGTGAGTTTGGAGGCGGGTGAGGTGGTCACGGGCAAAGTTGTGTGTGTTTCGGTGTGTATATACCAAGAGGGGTGTCCGTCTTTCTGTCCTCTCCTGATGTTTCTTTCCTAGCTCTCGCTTTGTGCTCCCCACAGGCATGTACATGGACCGCCGCTGTGTCTACTACCGGAAGCCACTGCTGGAGTCAGGCACACTGGGCACCAAAGGCAATGTGCAGGTGGTGATCCCCTTCCTGACAGAGTCGTACAGTTCCAGCCAGGACCCACCTGAGAAGTCCATCCCCATCTGTACCCTGAAGAACTTCCCTAATGCCATCGAGCACACCCTGCAGGTGATAAGCTGTGGGAGAAGGGAAAGAGGCCAGGCATCTGGCCAGGCTGCTGCCTCTCCGCCCCCAGGCCCTTGCCTTGCCTTCAGATGTTGCATGCCTAAGTGTAAGATGTGCCTTTTCTCCAAACCTCCCTCCCTCACTTCCCACCAGGCAGCCTAGGTTTCTAGAATGACTCATTCTTTTTTCACTTTTATTTTGATTTTTTTTTCAACACATAGACAAATATTAAGAATATTATGATGAATACTCAAATACCATTCCTCACCTAAATTTAACAATTCTTAATGTTTTGCCACATTTTCTTCTTAGATTTATGTAGATTTTTCTTCTTTGTGCTTAAATGTGTCACAGACATCACAGCCCTTTACTCCCTACTATTTCAGTGCCTCTGCCAAGTGAGGATATGTTGCTGTAGAACAGGGTTTCTTAGCTTCAGCACTACTGACATTTGGGGCTGGTTATTTATTTGTCATGGGAGAGGGGATGCCCTGTGCACTGTAGGATGTTTCTCAGCATTCCTGACTTCTGCCCACTAGATGCCAATAGCACTCTCCCTCCATCATGACATCTCAAAATGTCTCCAGACATTGCCAGATGTCCCCAGGGGTGCCACATCACTCCCAGTTGAGAACTACTTCTGTCTAACAGAAACATCATTTTCATGCTCAGCAAAATTAACAATCATTCTTACCATCTCTTCTAGTTATTTATTTGTCTCTAATGGTCCATATTCAGGTTTTCCCCAGCTGTTACTCAAAATGAGTTTAACAGCTGGTTTGTCAGGATGATTCTGTGTGTATGGTGCATTTATCTACAGAACAGTGCATATATTATCTAGCTCGGGGTGTCCAATCATTTGGCTTCCCTGGGCCACATTGGAAGAAGAATTGTCTCGGGCCACACATAAAATATACTAATACTAACGATAGCTGATGAGCTGAAAAAATAAAAGAAAAAAAGATCCGTGCATAAATCTCATAATGTCTTAAGAAAATTTACAAATTTGTGTTGGGCAGCATTCAAAGTCATCCTGGGCTGCATATGGGCCACAGGTTAGACAAGCTTGATCTAGCTGAAGTTTTACAAAGTGAACACACAGGTGACCACCACCTGGGCCAAGAAACAGAACCTAGGGATTACCATTGTGCTGTCAGAATAATTCTTAGTGCAGTGTTTGAGGCCAAACCATTTAGAATAGTAGGAGTATGAGGGTGGGAACAAAATAGGGAAGGGAAAAAAAAAACAGTTCCATCTGTCACTTTCTCCCTTCTGACACTGCAGTTCCAGAGTGGGTATGTTTGTATTTGTGCACCAACCACAGTCTTGCTAGGTCATGTGTAACCTTGAACTTAACCTCTCTGTGCCGCAGATTCCTGTTCTGTAAAATGGGAATGACAGCATCTACCTCACAGGACTATTGTGAACCACTTGGCATTTACTGTGTGCCTGGCACTGTTTTAACCAAGCTTTAAATATATATGTATTTGCTCATTTCTTCCTAGCAACCCCATGAAGGTAGGTATCACTGTTGTAACACCTGTTTTAGAGACAAGGCACAGAGGTAAAGATGTTATCCTGTGTGCCTGAAGTCACAAAACTAGGTAATACGTGGCATAGCTGGAATCTGAACCTGAATTTCTAACATCTGTACACTCCAAACCACCTCGCTAATGACTGCGAACTGTCCTAGGAATTCTCAGAGGCCAGAAGTTCTGTCTTGTTTGCTATTTTATTTTTTGAGACAGGTCTCATTCTGCCATTCAGGCTGAAGTGTATTGGCACAATCATAGCTCACTGCAACCTTCCAACTCCTGGGAAGTGTCTGTACGTGTGTGTGTGTGTGTGTGTAAGTGTCTGTGTGTACGTGTAAGTGTGTGTACGTGTGTGTGTGTGTGTGTGCGCACGCACGCGTGCCCGTTACGTTGACCAGGCTGGTTGTAAACTCCTGGGCTCAAGTGATCCACCTGCCTCAGCCTCCAAAAGTGCTGGGATTACATGTGTAAGCCTCTGTGTCCGGCCTCTGTCTTGTTTTCTGCCAAGTCCTCAGGGCCTGGATAGGGATCATTGTTGGTTTGGTCTGAGTTTTTTGTGTTTTAAAAAACTGTGGTAAGATATACCTAATTGAAGTTTTTATTTTTTATGGAGGCATAACATATCTAGAATAAGGTACACAGATTTTTTTTTTTTTTTTTTTGAGGTGGAGTTTTGCTCATGTTGCCCAGGTTGGAGTGCAGTGGCGCAGTCTCGGCTCACTGCAGCCTCCGCCTCCCAGGTTCAAGCGATTCTCCTGCCTCAGCCTTCCAAAGTGCTGGGAATACAGGCGTGAGCCACCTCGCCTGGCACTCAGATCTTAATACATTTTTAGGCTGGGCATGGCGGCTGACACCTATAATCTCAGCACTCAGGAGGCCAAGGAGTGAGGTTTGTTTGAGCCCAGGAGTTCAAGACCAGCCTAGGCAACATAGCAAGACCCTGTCTCTACAACAAATCTTAAAAATTAGCCGGGTGTGGTGGCATGTGCCTGCTGTCCCAGCTATTCGGGAGGCTGAGGTGGGAGGATCGTTTCAACCTGGGAGGTCAAGGCTGCTGTGAGCCGTGATTGCATCGCTGCACTCCAGCTCGGGTGACAGTGTGAGACTTTGTCTCAAACAACAAAACAAAACAGTTTTCCACATACACAGCACTATTGTAACCACTGCCCAAATCAACTTCATTGATTTTTCTTTTTTTGAGACAGTCTTCCTCTGTCACCCAGGCTGGAGTGCAATGGCATGATCTCGGCTCACTGCAACCTCCGCCTCCCGGGTTCAAGAGATTTCCTGCCTCAGCCTCCTGAGTAGCTGGGATTACAGGCATCTGCCACCACGCCCAGCTACTTTTTGTATTTTTAGTAGAGATGGGGTTTCACCATGTTGGTCAGGCTGGTCTCGAACCCTTGACCTCAGGTGATCCATCTGCCTTAGCCTCCCAAAGTGCTGGGATTACAGGTGTGAGCTACTGTGCCTGGCCTGGTTTTTCAATTGAGGTGGGGGAATGGGGAAGGCTAGAGGGCTTCCCCACTTCCAGAGTAGCTGTGCGCCTTGTACTTGCTTTATTCACTGATGGTCCTTCTAATAATGCCTGCGGAAACCCATTTTGTCAACTGTGGCCACATGTAATCTGTTTGCTCTGTCTGCAGTGGGCTCGGGATGAGTTTGAAGGCCTCTTCAAGCAGCCAGCAGAAAATGTCAACCAGTACCTCACGTGAGTAACTCGAGTGCCCTCTCGCCCTGTCCCTGTCCACCAGCCAAGGCATCCCGGCTGCTTTCCTCATGACAGTAACACTTGGCACCAGGCACACTTTTCACATGAATGAGTGGCTGTTGGGGCCTCATGTTGTTTGGGGTCGGGACTAGTTTTCCATGGAGAAAGTAAGATTGCTCTGGAGCCCACTCTTGAGGCTGACATGTAATCCTATCCTCTGTCCTCTTCGATTCCTGATAGAGACCCCAAGTTTGTGGAGCGAACACTGCGGCTGGCAGGCACTCAGCCCTTGGAGGTGCTGGAGGCTGTGCAGCGCAGCCTGGTGCTGCAGCGACCACAGACCTGGGCTGACTGCGTGACCTGGGCCTGCCACCACTGGCACACCCAGTACTCGAACAACATCCGGCAGCTGCTGCACAACTTCCCTCCTGACCAGGTAATGCCCAGTTGTTGGGTCCATTTGGCAGAATGTGTTTCCCTGAAATGGGAGCCTGCAGTGTGGGTCCTCCCACTGTGGAGTCCAGCTGTGGCAGGTGCCCTGAGGCATGGGGATCTGAGAAGAGTGATTGATCCTGACCTGCTTTTTCCTCACCCTAGTTCCTTTGAGCAAAGAGGCTTGGTTGCTATTGCCCTTGACTGTGGTGTGGGCTGCGTCATACCTGATTCCCAGTCAGGGCTGTAGGGATTATGGGGGAGAAATTCTGGAGTTAAGAGCACAGGAATCAATATGGGTTCAAATCCAAACTCTACTTGAACTTAGGCAAATCACGTAACTTCTCTCTGTACCTCAGTTTCCTCGTCTGTGAAGTAGAAATAATAGTGATCTATCTCATGGGGGGTTTGGGGAGGATTAACTGGTATTTATTAAAATGAAGTTAGTACAATGCCTGGTAATCCATGAGAGTTTGTTAAATGATGGGCTGTTTAGCACAAAATGGCTACCCAGTGATTGGTAATTGTTCTCTCAGCCAGATCTCTGGTTCAACCTGTGGGACCCTACAGTTGAGGTATTTTGTGATTGGCTCCAGTCCGCATCGAGTGCCCAACCCAAGATAGTGAATTGGGGGCACATCTGGGGCCTAGGTGAAGCGTGAAGATTGTCAGAGAGGCCTTCACTCTCAGGTCCTGTTCTCAAAAATCTCTCCATCCCTTAGCTCACAAGCTCAGGAGCGCCGTTCTGGTCTGGGCCCAAACGCTGTCCACACCCGCTCACCTTTGATGTCAACAATGTAAGTCTCCTTTCTAGGGTCTTCTGGGGTCAGGTGGAGGGTGAATAGGTGGGAAGGAGGTGGCGGCTCCCCACTCGAGGGCTGATGTGCTCACCCTTCCCTGCCCTGCCTTCTCCTAGCCCCTGCATCTGGACTATGTGATGGCTGCTGCCAACCTGTTTGCCCAGACCTACGGGCTGACAGGCTCTCAGGACCGAGCTGCTGTGGCCACATTCCTGCAGTCTGTGCAGGTCCCCGAATTCACCCCCAAGTCTGGCGTCAAGATCCATGTTTCTGACCAGGAGCTGCAGAGCGCCAATGCCTCTGTTGGTGAGGGTGTTTGGCCAGTTGGCCAGGAGTCACCCCACATGTCCCCGGCCTAGTCCAGCCTCCCCACCAGTCCTCTACCCCTGGTTCTGCTCTGCTCTGTGACCCCAGGCCTGAGGTTTACCCACACCTTCCTTTGAGCCTCCCTTTGACATGAAGAGGGTAGGTTGGGGCAAATTATCTCCCTCCCTCCTCCTCCTTCCCACTATCTGGCCCTCAGGAGAACTTGCTGTTTTACTCTTGCTCTGTGTATTTCCCTTAGTTTTGTTCTTTCTTCTGTTTCTTCTTGATCTGTTCATCTAGGAGGTATGATCTCTACCAGCAGTCTCTCTCCCTTGATACTTTCCTGCCTTGTCTCCTTCCAGATCCGCCCCCATCTGTACATCTACCTGCATGTTTCTCTGTGCATCTTCACCCTCCATAGTTTGGGGCTGCGGTTTACTGACACCCCCACCCCACCCCATCTGCATATTTTTTCACCACCCCTCCCTTCTGTATATGATGCTTCTGTAGCTCTGTAACGCCCCCTACATTTACCTTCCTTATATCTCCCCCGTCTTCCTCTCCATAGATCTCCTCCCATTTCCCCTTCCATGGTCCCCATCTTCCTTCTGAAATGTCTACTCCTTCATGTTCCTTTATGTATGTCTTCCAATCTTTCCTTCCATAGCTCTCATCACCTTCATATATTTCTTCCATCTTTCTCCTCCCACCTGCCTCGCCCTCTGTATATACCCCCACTCTCCCCCTTTTATATCTTCTCCATCTCCCCCCATATCTTTCCTCTATGTCCACATCTGTGTATTCCCCCCAACTTCCCCTCCATATATCTTTTTTACTCCCCTTTTCCTCCCTGTATCCTCTGTGTTCCCCCCATCTTGCTCTACATCATTCTTCCCAAGATCTTTACGTCTCCCATCTTGATCTCTCCATCTCCACTTTCTCCTAACATTTTCATTTCCGTTCCTTAGTGTCTCTAGAGAGATCATTCTTGATAGCCTCAGCTCTTTCTCTGTGTTTTTCAGGTTTGTATTCTGCTCTGCTCTACCTCTCCTCCTTGCCCCTTTTCTCTCCCAGGATGTCTCTCCTTTCCAAATCCTTTTTGTACCTGAATACCTTTTGCCCCACCCTGGGCTCTCATTTCCATCTCAGACCTTAGCCTGGGATCTAAAGGGCTGACAGTGTCCCTTTCTTCATGCAGATGACAGTCGTCTAGAGGAGCTCAAAGCCACTCTGCCCAGCCCAGACAAGCTCCCTGGATTCAAGATGTACCCCATTGACTTTGAGAAGGTATGGGGTGGGGCTCAGGACAGGGAAGGAGGATGGGCAAAGCATAGACAGGCTGGAGAAAACAGGAGTATCTGGAGCCAGCCCCGGGCCTTTGTGGGGATCAGATTGTGGGCCTGCCATATGGCTCTGAATGAGTAGGTGTTCCCAGCCATCCCTTTGTGATCTGGGAGAGTCCAGCAGGCAATTGCAGTGGAGGATACACATCTTCTTTATCTGATCCTCTCCCCACTGCCTTCACACCCTCCCCACTCATAACAGGATGATGACAGCAACTTTCATATGGATTTCATCGTGGCTGCATCCAACCTCCGGGCAGAAAACTATGACATTCCTTCTGCAGACCGGCACAAGGTGAGGGGAATCTAAATCTGATGTTCCACCCTCCTCCAGGTTTGAGTTACCCACACTTAGCCCCTCTGTAGACCCTGAGGCTCTTGTACTTAACTACCACCTTCTTTTGTCCCTTCTGTCTCTCAGAGCAAGCTGATTGCAGGGAAGATCATCCCAGCCATTGCCACGACCACAGCAGCCGTGGTTGGCCTTGTGTGTCTGGAGCTGTACAAGGTTGTGCAGGGGCACCGACAGCTTGACTCCTACAAGAATGGTTTCCTCAACTTGGCCCTGCCTTTCTTTGGTTTCTCTGAACCCCTTGCCGCACCACGTCACCAGGTGGGGGCCTGCATCCGAAGCAGGGTTTGGGTGGGGTGTATCTGTGTAGATCTGGTTCTGATTCACGTCATACCCTGTCACCAGGTGAGGGTTTCTGTCTGTGTACCTACCCTTTTTGTGTATCCTTTTTCACTTATTCATTAATCACATTATTTGAGTACGTGCGAAAAGATGGGATATTTGAATTGTGCCCTGGGAGATTATTAGTAACTACACAATAATGGCAGCCAAAATTTATTGGACGCTTCCTACACTTAAGTGCTTTGCTTGCTTCATTAATGAATTCACTCAAATATTTATTGAGCACCTTTTGTGTGCAGGGACTCTTCTAAGTTATGTTCCTCAAGTAGATTATATAAATAACCTATTAAATGATTTTGGAATCAAAAAAGGATAAAAAGAGGCCGGGCGTGGTGGCTTACGCCTGTAATCCCAGCACTTTGGGAGGCCGAGGCACGTGGTTCACCTGAAGTCAGGAGTTTGAGACCAGCCTGGCCAACATGATGAAACCCTGTCTCTACTAAAAATACAAAAAATTAGCCAGGCGTAGTGGTAGGCACCTGTAATCCCAGCTACTCGGGAGGCTGAGGCAAGAGAATCACTTGAACCCGGGAGGCGGAGGTTGCAGTGAGCCAAGATGGCGCCATTGCACTCCCGCCTGGGTGACAGAGCGAGACTGCATCTCAAAAAAAAAAAAAGATAAAGAGGACTTGAGAATACCAGGGGGCGAGGGGATGTATTTGAGATTTTGTGTAGGATGGTCAGAAAAGGCCTTGCTGAAAAGATGACATTTGAGATCAGACTTGGAGGATGTAAGGGGACAAACTGTGCAGGCTTGGTGGCGAGTGGGGACACATTCCAGGCAGAGGGACCAGTTCTTGAAAGGGTACCAAGATAGGGGTGTGCCTGGCAAGTTGGAGGAATTCAAAGTCCCCAGAGTGAGTGTGAGATTGAGGAGGGTAGGAGATGAGAAGAAAACAGAATTTCATTGCTTAGGGTGAGATAGGAACCACAAGAGGATTTCGAACAAAAGAGGGTTGTGATCTGACTAAACACGTCTGCATGGGGGTAGGGGGGATGGAGACAGATGGGGGCTGGACCCTCTGGGATGGTCTCCATCTTACACTCCCCTCTTTGTCTTGCAGTACTATAACCAAGAGTGGACATTGTGGGATCGCTTTGAGGTACAAGGGCTGCAGCCTAATGGTGAGGAGATGACCCTCAAACAGTTCCTCGACTATTTTAAGGTAAGGCCCCTCCCTTACTCTGTCACCCCACCTCAGGGGGCGAGGTGTACACGGTGACTTGCTGGCCTGTCCACCTCCATGACCCTGCTGTTCCCCCTCCCTCTCCAGACAGAGCACAAATTAGAGATCACCATGCTGTCCCAGGGCGTGTCCATGCTCTATTCCTTCTTCATGCCAGCTGCCAAGCTCAAGGAACGGTTGGATCAGCCGTGAGTTGGACACTGGCCAGGCTAGGGGAGGCCCTGTATGGGTTGGGGAGCCTCATCATCCAGCTGTCCCACTCCAGTTCACTGCCCCTACCTACCTGCCCATCCTCTCTTGCTTTCTGCCCTCCTGACCCTATACTCCCATCCCCCTATCCCCAGGATGACAGAGATTGTGAGCCGTGTGTCGAAGCGAAAGCTGGGCCGCCACGTGCGGGCGCTGGTGCTTGAGCTGTGCTGTAACGACGAGAGCGGCGAGGATGTCGAGGTTCCCTATGTCCGATACACCATCCGCTGACCCCGTCTGCTCCTCTAGGCTGGCCCCTTGTCCACCCCTCTCCACACCCCTTCCAGCCCAGGGTTCCCATTTGGCTTCTGGCAGTGGCCCAACTAGCCAAGTCTGGTGTTCCCTCATCATCCCCCTACCTGAACCCCTCTTGCCACTGCCTTCTACCTTGTTTGAAACCTGAATCCTAATAAAGAATTAATAACTCCCACATCGCCTGCCCTGCTGGTTCCAGGGAAGGAAGGGACTTCCTGGAGCTGTCTGGTTCAGATGATAACTCAGAGGGCTCAACCCCACCACACCTGCCAGTTTTCTGGACAAAGAAAATGTAATTGCCACCTCTTCCTGCCCTCTCTGCCTAGGAAGAGATGGAGGCACCAGTGAGGCCATAGTGAGCAGGTACTTGGGTCCATGTGACTGTTAATTTGAGCTGGGTTCAATTCTCACCTTCTCCATGTCCTAACTCCTTGCTCTGTGAAGAGGAAAGTTACGGTGACCAGGCTGCTAGGGCATGGCCAGCGTGCCTTATGTCCTTAGGGCAGATCCCCTCCCACCTGGCTCAAAGCACTCAGACCCTGGGCAGCCTTTTGTGGTCATGGTTCCCAGCACCAGGAATGCCTGTGCTGCTCTTAGTTCAATTTCCTTGCTGCAGGGGTGTCTTAAACAGCTCTGCCGAATGCCAGTGCCTGCAGGCATACTTCGTGATTTTTATGGAAATACTTGAGAACATCTGTAGAGGAAAAGCCCGTTGCTTGCCTTACGCTTCCCCCGGCCCTGCCGCCGCCCCAGCCCCAGGTCTGCCTGTATTCCCCTTGAGGATCTTCAGCCTCCTACTTTGGAGAAGACAGCTGGCTGTGGGGACTGAGGGGTGTTCATCGCTTAGAGCAGGTAGCAGGAGGCCTAACACCAGCCCCACCGGGACTGCAGAGTTACCGTGCTCTGTCCTTGGTCTTGGCTGAGTGCTCCAGACAATTGAAAGCACCAGTCTGGCCACTGCTACATCTTTGCCTTCTTCTATTGTACTGGCTCCTGGTGCCTGAGGAGTCCATTCATACTTCTGTTCCTCAACTAACCAATAATTTATCTACCTTACTTAGAAACAAGATCCCTCACTCTTCTACTCAAACCTGAGTGTAAGGAATAGCTCAACCTGTTCTGAACTGGCTTGATTCCCATCACAGCCTGTGCCCACATCTGCTGCCTCCTGGGCCAGTAGTTCCTGGTCCTGGGCACAGTATATGCCCTTGTCCACCTCCTTCTGATCATTTTATTTTCTTGGCCTGCTCTGCTTGGGTGACCTTATCCTTCCACAGTTTCTTCTTCCCCACTAGGACGTTGAGGACAGAGGCATTTTCCCTTTGGTATCTAGTGGTGATACTGTCAAAGGGAAAGTTTTTCCCACCACAGGAACTTTCCCATTATTGCTCTAGAGTACCCTAGACACTCCACACCGCAGTCCACTGGCCACACCACTACAGCAGCTGAGGCTTGAACACAACTGTTGTCTTCTTTCTCCAGTATGCCAGCTCCTTTGCGGATACTCTATAGACACCTTGTTCACTGCACCTCCCCCATTACGGCTCCATGTCTTCCCCACCACAACTCCTGGATCTCCTTGACACCTTATTCGTGCCTGACACCCTTCTCCATCAAAACAAGCTTTTGAGTCATGCATGAATCCTGGTTGCATCTTAGTTGTTCCCCCTCCACCTCATTCCATTTTACTTCTGCGGTTTGTCTACCAGTCTACCATTGTTAACACCAGCCAGATGGGAGATCAGGGCTTAGCAGGCGGGGGTTGCGTCATTGCACCGAGCCCCCTGCACCCAGCAGCCACAAAGGATAGGGTGGGACAAAGGTTTCTCTTGTCACTGCCTGGAACTATTTGCCCACCTCCTTCTGATCATTTTATTTTCTTGGCCTGCTCTGGCAGGCATTCAACAAACATTTGTTGTGTGCTGTGTGCCAGTCACTTTCTAGGCACGTGAGACAGCAGTGGATAAAACAAAGATCCCTGTCCTCTTGGGGTTTTACGTTCTGCTAGGTTGACACCCAGAATAGATTATAAACACAGTAAGCAAATTGTACCTTAGAAGTTGATCAGTGCTCTTCAAAAGGCGAGGAATAGAGCCCGATCTGGGGATCTGGAATGATGGCAGTGCAGGTAGGAATTTTTAAATCGGAAAGGCTTCATGGAGATGACTTTGAAGCAAGCACCTGGAAGAAGTGAGAGAATGAGGCACGTGGATGTGGGCCAGCAGCATTCCAGGCAAAGGGAACCACAGCAAATGCAAAACCCCTGAGGCTGGATTGTGCCCGTTTCACTCAAACAGCTAGAAAGAGCGCTAGTATGGTGGCAGTGAGTCAGGGGAAGAAGAGGAAGAGATGAGGTCAGAGAAGTGATGAGCCTGTTCTATGCCAAGGCGAGGACTTTTATCTTTGTCAAATATTTCCACTCCCATCATGGCCCGGGAAATCTCACTAATGTAAACCTTACTGAAAATCCTAACTGCTGTGATCAAGGCTGCCATAAAGGGAAGCCCGGAAGAGGCGGGGAGGCTGCCTTGGAACAGGGTAGTGTAAGGATGTGCCAGAAGGCCTGCTGGAGGTTGCAGCCCTTTGAGCTGGACTTGGGGATAGTGTGGTTTTCCAGGCAGAAGGAAGTGAAGGATTAGGTCGGCCTGGTAGTACTTGGCACACAACATGCGCCCAATAAATAAAATGGAAATAAAACCGCGGAGTGTTCTACTTGTGTTGACTGACATCAAAACAAAACAAAAAACCCTCAGAGTGAGGGGAGGCACGGGAGGGGCTGTGCCGGGCAAGAGAGGTGGCAGGAAAATCCAACGCACGGCGCCTATGCAAATACTCGTGTGAGGCAGAAAAGAGGCTCCGCCCCGCTCGAAGTTCCAAGCATGCGCAGTAGCGGCTCCTGCGCCTCTAAGGATCCGCCTCTTTCCTTCTTTCTCAGCCTGGGTTCCACCCCGGGAGGCCCGCTGTATGAGATGGAGGGCGGGCTAAAGGCGGGACGAGACTCGATTGAGCGCAATTATGACCAATCACCTTGCGGAATATTCGGCCTATAGCGAAGGAGGAGCTCAGAACAAAAAGGAGACCCCACCCCCGCCGACGGTGAAAACCTATGAAACCTGGGCGGAGGCGTGCGGAGTCGGGTAGAGAGCGAAATCACGCCTCTTCAGTCAGCCACGCCCTTTATTCTTGCTCGGCCTCGCCACAGAGAGCAAATCAGATTGGCTGGGCGACAACCTCAAAGGGCGGGGCTGCACACGTTCACTACGGGAATGAGGTAGCGGTGGAGGGGGCAGTTGGGCGGGGATAGGCCGTCCTAGCTAAGGTGGTAAAGGCCAATAACTCTTCAGGCTGCCTCTCCTCGAAAAGTCATCTTCTCGCGAACCTTTAAAATGCCTTCCTCCCCAAGCACCTCAAGGGACTAGAACTGAGTGCTTCATTTGTCTTTTTTCCTCCTTGCAAAAGTCCCGTTTGCCACCATGGGGATGTACCAAGTGAGACCGAGTAGGGGGAACGAGTGGTGATTGACGCGCCAGGTTACTGGCCACTGCTCACCTAGGCGCTAGCAAACTTCTGCCAAGATCGGAACTGAGTACTAAACAGCCTCCACAGTTCTCCCTGGTGCCGTCTCCGGCTTGGCGCCGCATCCTCCTCTGGGCTCGCGATGGCCGCGTCCCCTCCCGCTGCGGACGGGTCCTTTGGTACATGCAGTCCGAGGTGAGTCCCCTCCTTTCCACTTCACCCTTCCGAGCGCCTGCGTGCGCATGCGCGGAGCGCGGCGCGCGCGGCGGTTGGGCCGTTGGCTGTTCGGCCCTGGGATCCGCCGCCACTCCGCGATCAGACCGCTCTGTGCCGCGAGCCGCCGTGAGCACTCGGATTCAAGCCGGCGCCAACGAGTCCGGGGGCATCGCCCGCAGCGGCCAAGCTCATGGCCGGCTGAGCGGGACGCCGCCTCCGCCTCAGCCACCGCCGCCGCCGCCGCCTCCTCCTCCTCAGCCGGCGGCGGCCCGGGCCCAGCAACCATGGCTGAAGACTACTGGGACGGGCGCCTGCGGCGAACAGGAGGAGAAGGAGGTCGCGCGGCCTCATCCCGGGCCGCCGCCCCAGGCGCCGCCGCGCCGGCCCCGCGGCTCTGAGGTTGCTCGCGCGCCCCCGCCGGTGAGCGCGTCCCCGAGGCGTGGAGGCTGCCCCTCCTCCTTCAGAACCCACCTCGGGCGGTGCCCAGGGGTCTGGGCTGCGGGGCTGGCAGGTGCCCCCACCCCCGGCGAATTTCCCAGAATGCACCGGGGCGGGGGGTCATTTGGGGCCTCCCTGACCTTGGCCCCGCCCTGGGCCTGTCCTGGGAGCTGGGGTTGGGTAGTGCTGTGGGTGCTAATGGGGACCTGGGGGAGTCAAAGGACCAAAGGGTGTGGAAATGGGTGACAATGGGGTGAAAGACTTGGGGGGGTTGCTGATGGGGGTCGGAGCATGTGGCAGTAAGCCTCACGCCAATAAGTCGTGTAAGGTTCAAGGCCCCGTGTGTGCTTGTGGAAGGAGGGCGGGGTGCGGAGCGGGTGAGGGACCCGAGGGTGTATAACGGGGGGTAGGGTGTCGAGGAAGTTCTAAGACATGCTCATAGGGATTATGTCCGCAGAGAGGCCCGGTGTGTGTTCATGGGGGACAGGGTGGCACAGGTACCAGAACGTGTGTTGGTGGGGTCAGGGCTCTGAGGCCTGGTGCGTGGCGATGAGGCCCTGGATGGTGTTAATACTGCGTGTCTGTCCGTGGGGCCTGCAGTGTGTGAGAATGCAGTGTGTGCTTGTGGAGGGCAGGTAGCTGAAGGACTCGAGTGTGGTGTGTGCGCCAGTGGGGGTCATGGCTGTAGAGGGTGTATGCCTGTGGCCTCGAAGGTCTAGGTAGTTTGGGACCCAGTATATGCTAATGAGGGCAGAGTGGAGGAAGGACCTGAGGGTATCTAACGGAGGAAGGACTGTGGAATACCTGAGCCTGGCCTAAAGGAGATGAGAATTGCGTGTCTGTCTGGGCCCAGGAAGGAGTGGTGGGGAAGTGTCTTAGCACTGTCAGAGGCTTAGTGGACGAAGGGTAAAGGTGATGTGAGGTGTGAGTGTGTCCATGGACACAGGGAATGTGAGTCTCGAGGGCACACTAGGAAGGAGCAGGGTAATAGAAGTACTGGTGGTTGCTAATGTGGGTTTAGAGACATAGAGGCACTTCAATGTGTGCCATTTCGAGAGTCAGCTGTGTGAAGTCTGGAATATGCTAATAAGCATCAGAACCTTGTGAAGATTGTGCCCTTGTGTCCGCGGAGGACCAGAGTATGTTGAGGTTCCAGGGGGTGCTACTCGGGGGTAGGGCTGCGGAGGGGATCTAGTGTGTAATAAGGGGGATCAGGGCTTTCATGAAGGGATCTAAGTGTGAACCAACAAGGATTATATCTGTGGAGATATCTCTGAGCAGAGAGCAATAGAGGACAGGAATGTGTGATGATCTCGGTGTGCTAAAGTGGATTACAGCTAGGGAGGGCTGAAGTGTGTGCTAATGGGAGTCAGGGCTGAATGAGACCTGTGTGCACTAATGAGGGTCAGGCCATGGTAGAACAGTGTGTTTGTGTGTCCCTGCGGAATAGGGCTGAGTAAGGGTTCAGGGTGCACTAATGGGGAGGCAGGACTGTGTGAGGCCCGGCGTGTGCTAATAGAAATCAGGCCTGAGTGAAGACTCAGTTTGTGCTGACAGAGGGGACAGGACAGTGGAAGGACTGGAATGTGTGTTAAGGATGGTCGTAGCTGTGAAGGGGCCTGAGTGTGGGTAACACTGGTTAGAGATCTATCTGTAAGGTTCACTTTATGTTAATAGCATTCAGAGCAGCATGAAGAAGGTCCAGTGAGTGCTAATGTGGGTCAGCTATAGAGTACCCCAAGTGCATGTTAATAGAGGTCAGAATCATGTAGGGGGAACAGTACGTTAATGAGGGGAGTCAGTACTATGGAGAAGGTAACAAGCAGCTAGGCCAGGGAGGGGCCCAAGAATGTGGTGGCAAGAGTTACTTAGAGGAGGCTAAGTGTGTGCTGACAGAGTTCAGGGCGGTATGTTATGTGTTAGGGCTTTGAATGCTGATGGGTATATGAGATAATAGCAGGTAAGATGTAGTGAGGCCTCCTTGAGGGTCTAGCGTGTATTAATGGGGATCAGGACATAGGGTGCGATGACCAAGTCCTTAGTGGTTGGTGTGTTGAGTATCCTTGAGTATGAGAGTAGTCTGAGGATGGGTGTATGTCTTTGGGGATCAGGAAGGGTCAGGCAGGACATGTGCCTTTTTTGGGGTAAGGTTTTATGTCCAGTTTCTTGCTCCCTCCTTTTTTGAAATCTAAAAAGCTCATTCAACTGAAATGATATTTAAAAGTTTCCTTGCGTATAAATGTTCAATTATCTCTGTTCACAGGGGCATGTCTGAGACCCCCATCCCCCTTTCTGGGAGTGTTATGTGATATACAGATTTTACACCCCATCTTCCTAAAATCCCAAAAAACTGAACTCCAGAGCATGTCCAGCCCTTGGGGTTTCCAGTTAGAGGTCGTGGACCCATGGCTCCTCCTGGCTTCCTCCCCATCCTCCATTCAGCCCTACTTCCAGTCTCCCCCAGCCCCTCCCCTACTCCCTGTCACAACATGCAAAGCAACTGGGTATCTGTGCCATATGGGGACACAAGGTTGTCTTTGGGAGCTGGCCATGCTTTACCTTCCTTGCCTTAGGCCCAGTATTCAGCCTCCCAGGTCAGGATGTTTTGTGGTTATCCTGGGTTCTCCATGGATGGACCTCATCCTGTATCTGAGGTCTTTCTGCTAGGGTGGCCCCTACCCCTCCTGGGGATAGTGAGTTCAGCCAGGTGGGGGCGAGAACTGCTGGGGGAAGCACCTGATTTCAAGGTAGCAGATGACCCATTTCTCTCCTCAAATCCAGCCCCAGTCTCATCCTCGACCTCCTATCTAGCTCTACTTCCCTTGGGCCCAGGGCCATCTTAGGCCCTGCTGTGAGTCCAGATGGTTCCTGGGTCAGGTCTTTCCCCCTCCTTGCTGGCCCAGAGCCCAAGAGGAAGCAGAAGACGGCTGGCCTAAGCCTTTTGGTGGCCCCATTCCCTTCAGCAATCCATCTAGGTCATCTTCCTGTCGATGCCAGCATCCCTGGGCTACCTTGTTTAGGGTTGTTCAATGAATAGCAGGGACTCATCACCTCAGCAGAGGTTGGTCCTAGGCCCTCAGCCCCCTGATTCACTTATTTCTGCCATAAGCACTTTTTGAGCATCTACTCTGTGTCAGTCACTATTCCAGGTCCTCAGGATATAGCCGTGACCTAAACACAGAAATCTACCCTGGCGGAGCTGATCTTCTAGTTGTGGCGGTGAGGAGATAGACAGTAAAGACTAAAGAAACCAATAAGTAGGTGGTGTCATTTCTGAGGAGGTAATGAGTGCTGGGGGGATAACTGGCAAGGTGAGGGAGTTCGGGATGGTTGAGATTTTAAATAGGGTTATTCACAGAGGCCTCATGAAAAAGGTGACCTTTGAGCAATGGCCCAAAGGGAGAGGGGAGTGAGCCATTTCGAAATTTAGGGGAAGGGTGTTCCAGGTACCAGGAACAGCCAGTGTAAAGGCCCCGAGGTGGGACTCTACTGGGTGTGGTTGCAGAACAGCAACTAGGAATGATGGCGGGGGGGTGTGGGGGTGGGGGGGGGCCGTGGGCAAGAGGCAATAGGGGCAAATGAGGTAAAGAAACACCTGTGGGCCACATTGAGGACTGGGGCGTGTATTTGGGGTGATGAAAAATGTACATTCTTGAGTAGAGGAGAAATGTGACTTGGCTTGTAAAAGTCTAGATTGGACCCTAGGGGTCCTAACCTGATCAAACCGTTCTGGCAGCCCTGAGAAGAGCTGGTGTACACTGAGACCCCCCCGCCCTCCACACAATCCCACCCAGTGGTTGGGTCTGGGCAGGACACCCTGACACACGCTCCCCTCCCCCCCCCCACCTGGGTAGATGAATGGGATGATGCAGTGGTTGTCATGACGATGAGTGCTAGAGAAGTCAGGAAGAGGGTCCCTGTGGCCACAGGGAATAGTCTGCCTTGGCCTTTGAGGGTGGTGCTAGGGGAACTATGCCACTCTATGGCCGTGCTCGAGACCATGTCACCCATCCTTCAATTCTGGGCACACGCCCTGGCCGACCCATGGCTGGGCCCATCACTGCAGCTGTACCTGAGAAGATCTGCAATGGAGCCTTCTGCTCCTGCAGTGGGGCTTTTCCCCTAGATCCCAACAATCCATCGTTAGGGCCCTTGCCCTCAATCAGCCACCTAAATCTGAGAACTCAGGTGGGCTACGTAGGAGCAGGGTCCCAGTGGGGCTGGCTGTGTGGGTGGGCAGGTACTGACAAAGATCCCCATCCATGCTGGGTTTCCAGAACTCCTGAGTGGCTCTGGGGTCCATAGTGGTTGAGTGAGCACTGACAAGTTCATGTCAGTGCCCCCTGCTAGGCTGTGGGCTTTAGGGAACCCATGGTGATCAAGCAAATGCTAATAAGAGACCCATTTCCATCCTTGTCCCTTGCTCAGATCGCCATGGATCGGATGAAGAAGATCAAACGGCAGCTGTCAATGACACTCCGAGGTGGCCGAGGCATAGACAAGACCAATGGTGCCCCTGAGCAGATAGGCCTGGATGAGAGTGGTGGTGGTGGCGGCAGTGACCCTGGAGAGGCCCCCACACGTGCTGCTCCTGGGGAACTTCGTTCTGCACGGGGCCCACTCAGCTCTGCACCAGGTGGGTCCACTGGCTATCCCCTCTCCCATATGGCCCCAGGCTGCTTCCCAGGTGTTGCCTCCTGGTCACATTCCTCATTTTCCTCTAAATTTTCTGCCCTTTCTCTGCCCCCCATGTGCTCTCTTCTCCCCCTTCCCTCCCATCTTCTCTCAACACCGTCTGTCTATCTGTCCATCTGCGCTCCTCTTCTTGCCTTTCTGCCCAGGCCCCGTGGTGGGGGACAGAAGGTGCCTTGCCTGTCACAGCTGCCCCAAGGCTCCCTCTGCCCTTCTGCCCTCTATGATGGCCTCCTCAGTCCTCTGGTACCTGCCTGCCCTGGGCCTGCCTTCCCAGGACCCTTGGCTTCCCCTGCCACCACCTAGCTGCCGGCTCTGAGCTCAGCTTGCCCTTGGAAGGAAGGGTTCCACTAGGTGACTTTTGCTTCCCCACCCCCCAGTTCAACCTGCCCTAGATGTACCTGAGCTTCCCTGGGCTCAGGTACATCACCCTCTCCCCGAGGGACTCCAGGTTTCCTGTGGGGGCCACGTGCACACATGTGTGATGATGGAATATGTTTCGTGGGGGATGGGGTGTCCTGTGGTTCCTGACCCCACCTGGCCTGCCCTACCCCTCTCCCTGCCACCAGAGATTGTGCACGAGGACTTGAAGATGGGGTCTGATGGGGAGAGTGACCAGGCTTCAGCCACGTCCTCGGATGAGGTGCAGTCTCCAGTGAGAGTGCGTATGCGCAACCATCCCCCACGCAAGATCTCCACTGAGGTGCTTGACCCCGTCTGGATGGTGGAGGAACTGGAAAAGGGGGTTGGACCTGGGGAGGTGGAGCTCATGATCCTGTTTCTCTCTTGCCTTACCTGCTAGGACATCAACAAGCGCCTATCACTACCAGCTGACATCCGGCTGCCTGAGGGCTACCTGGAGAAGCTGACCCTCAATAGCCCCATCTTTGACAAGCCCCTCAGCCGCCGCCTCCGTCGTGTCAGCCTAGTAAGCACCTTCTGTTCCCGTCCTCTCCTTTTTCTTCTCTCCCAGACCCTTCTCCTGAGCCAGCTTTAACCTGCCTCATTTGTCCCACAGTCTGAGATTGGCTTTGGGAAACTGGAGACCTACATTAAGCTGGACAAACTGGGCGAGGTGAGAGGCAAATAGGAGGCCCATGGTGGGGATGAAGGTCAGTGGGAACTCCTGGAATCTCATAGCACCTCTCCTGTCACACTTCCTCACATTCCAGGGTACCTATGCCACCGTCTACAAAGGCAAAAGCAAGCTCACAGACAACCTTGTGGCACTCAAGGAGATCAGACTGGAACATGAAGAGGGGGCACCCTGCACCGCCATCCGGGAAGGTACACACCCCCATCCCATCTGCCCCAGGCTTCCCCAACCCACCCCTGGCGCACACACTCCATAATGAGAACAAAGACTGGTTCTAAGACCCCCCAAAACACTCTGGCTTTCATGGGAATGCCTGTCACCCACATATCCAGGTAATAATCAGGGTAACCAGGAATCTGTTCCCATTTGGATAAAAGGTAGATGAATTGCAAACCAGGGTTTGGTTCTGAGAACACCCCTGAAAGTGCTCACCAGTTTATTTACTGTAACAATTTCTAGTCAGAATATCACATGGAATGAATTTGAATTGCACTGAAATTTAGTGTGCAAATTCGATTTCACGCGATGCTGCAGGCCTATGTACTGAGGGTTGGAGCCAGGCCCCTTCCCAGAAACCAAAAACAGGTTGTGAAAATCTAGTGTCACATGAGCCTGGGGCTGCAATCCCAGGTTCTTGCTCCATACTCTCCTCTGAGTCTTATTTTCCACATCTGCAACATGGAGACACAACTTTCTTCTGGCATGAGGCGGGTTAGAGCTGGTGGCTCCGAGGCATTACCCTGAACTGTCTAGAGAAAGAAAGAAAACCTGGGCTTGTCCCTTTCTAGTCCTTGTCCTCACCTCTGTCCTGAGGGTAGGACCCTGACTCTTCCCCTGTCCCACTCCCATGCTTCCTGCAGTGTCCCTGCTCAAGGACCTCAAACACGCCAACATCGTTACGCTACATGACATTATCCACACGGAGAAGTCCCTCACCCTTGTCTTTGAGTACCTGGTAAGGTTGAGTGGCAGTAGGTCCCAGGGGGAGGTGAGGAGAAGGCCAGGAGCCATAGGAAGTAACCCTCATTCCTGTACCACCTCTTCTTTCCTCAGGACAAGGACCTGAAGCAGTACCTGGATGACTGTGGGAACATCATCAACATGCACAACGTGAAAGTGGGTGTGGGGCAGGAAGCAGGGGCACAAGGGGGCCCCCACTCACCCACTCCAACCCACAAATCTCCCAGAAACGGACTTTTCCCTTTGGCTTTTTTTGCTAGGAGCCCTTGGAGGGCACTGGGACCCTGTCCTCTTTTGTGTGACAAGGCTCTGGGCCTAGTGTCTGTGTTTGGGAGGGGAGCAGTGCCTGCTGGGGGTCGGGCTAGTGGATAGTCTTTGACCTCTGCCTGCCATTCCTGGGTCCCCAGCTGTTCCTGTTCCAGCTGCTCCGTGGCCTGGCCTACTGCCACCGGCAGAAGGTGCTACACCGAGACCTCAAGCCCCAGAACCTGCTCATCAACGAGAGGGGAGAGCTCAAGCTGGCTGACTTTGGTACCACTGGCCTCCCCTTTCTTATTGGCTCCCCAGCCTCCTACTTTCCCATGACCACTTAGTCTCACTTCCCTTCAGCCTTGCCAGATTTTGCCTAGGACACCCTCAGTCTCAACTGCACTCTCCCCGAGACTTTGCCCATGACTCCCTCATTCTAGCTGTCCTTTCTCTGATTTCCAGGCCTGGCCCGAGCCAAGTCAATCCCAACAAAGACATACTCCAATGAGGTGGTGACACTGTGGTACCGGCCCCCTGACATCCTGCTTGGGTCCACGGACTACTCCACTCAGATTGACATGTGGTAAGGACAGGTGGAAGTGTGGCAGGGGCCATGTGGTAAAGGGGGTGGCTTGGTCACAACAGCCACCCAGCCAGCTGCCTTTCTATTCACTGTGCCCTCCCTGCCCAGGGGTGTGGGCTGCATCTTCTATGAGATGGCCACAGGCCGTCCCCTCTTTCCGGGCTCCACGGTGGAGGAACAGCTACACTTCATCTTCCGTATCTTAGGTGAGGAGGCATGGGCCCTAGGCGCTGTGGAGACACACGGGGAGGACCTGTGAAATGTTTGGGATAACTCCTCTTCCCTACTAGGAACCCCAACTGAGGAGACGTGGCCAGGCATCCTGTCCAACGAGGAGTTCAAGACATACAACTACCCCAAGTACCGAGCCGAGGCCCTTTTGAGCCACGCACCCCGGTGAGGCTGGTGGGTGGGTGGGCGTTAGGGGCCAGAGTGTCCAAACTCATTTTAAATCAGGTCTCTTTGTCCTTGTGGCAGACTTGATAGCGACGGGGCCGACCTCCTCACCAAGCTGTTGCAGGTGAGACCACCTTGGGTCAGCCTTGGGGGTATGGGATTCCAAGTGTGGGGAAACAGGGACCCCCCCCCTCAAACCAGGGGCAGGGTCTGAGGTGGGCAGAGAGACCTACTTGTTGAAGATATCAATACTATCCCCCTCCCCGCACCCCCACTCAGTTTGAGGGTCGAAATCGGATCTCCGCAGAGGATGCCATGAAACATCCATTCTTCCTCAGTCTGGGGGAGCGGATCCACAAACTTCCTGACAGTGAGTGGAGCTGGGGAATGGACCGGCCAGCGTGGGGACTGGGAAACAGGACTGCTGGGGCCAGCTGGCGGGTTGTGTAGGATTCTGGCTGTGCCACCTCTACGTGGGGGGACATCTTGTTCACGTGTGTGATGGGTTGTATTTGTTATGAAAACATTTTTTAGTTTTCAGTTCCTTTTACCTTTCATGAAAAATTTAAAACATACATAAAAATATATGCAATAGCACTTTACTTTTTTTAAAGTAGACATTTCCTTACATGTGCTAAAAAATGCACAAATCATAAGTATACTATACAATGAATTTTCATAAATGAAACACATCCTTGTAACTAGCACAAAAGTCAAGAAACAGAATGTTAAAAGCTCCCCACCCCCAGCTCCCTTGCATCTCCTTCAGTTATTCCCAGCCCCTTCCCAAAGGGTGGCCACTGTTTTGACCTCTAACAGCAAGGATAAGTTTTTTCTGTCCTTGTACTTTATAGAAATAGAATCACATGTGATGTTCTTTTTATATCTGGCTTTTAAAAACTTTTTAATATGGATATTTTCAAATATATGTATTTATATATTAGTCAAAGTAATATGATGAGTCCCTAAGTACTCCAGTGAGTCATCAATTCATGGTCAATCTGGTTTTATCTATATTCTCTCTGATTATTTTGAATCACATCCAATCCCAGACATCATAGCATTTATCCTTAAATAATTTCAGCATATACCTATAAAAGATTTTTTTAAAACAACAATATTATTATCAAACCTACAAAAAACATTTGCTCACTTTCCCTATCTTCCCACTGGATTAATATATAAAGCAAACCCCAAACACCACCCATCACCTAGACTTAACAGGTGGTAATTGCAATACCATAATTCACTTGACAAAGTTAATAATGATTTCTTTGTGTCATGTAATAGTCTATATTTCATCTTCCCTGGTTGTAGCTGGTTTGTGTATGGAATTGTTTGACAGATAAAGGTCAAGCCTCTCAGAGAAGGGGCAGCTTTTTCTAATTCTTCCCATGGGGTCATATGGGGCTGGTCCTAGATGACCTCATGGGTCATCCCCCACTTCTATGTCTCCCCCATCTGTAGCTACTTCCATATTTGCACTAAAGGAGATTCAGCTACAAAAGGAGGCCAGCCTTCGGTCTTCGTCGATGCCTGACTCAGGTAGGTATAGCCCCTTGTCTTCCTCCCTGCCCCACCCACCTACCTGCTTACCCACCAACAGCCATCTGCTCTGCTTTCCCCCACAGGCAGGCCAGCTTTCCGCGTGGTGGACACCGAGTTCTAAGCCACAGACCGAGGCCCCAGCAGGCAGCGGCTGGAGGGATGCCACACCCCTCACAGGGCAGCCCCCAACTACATCTTCCCTGCTTACTCTCTGCCTACCTGCCTGAGCCATGTTCACCTGCCCACTTGTCCCCTGCTGCCTGCCCAAACACCCCACCATTGGCCTGTCAACCCACCCATTGGCCTGTCTGCTGGGTGCTAACAAAGCTCTCATCACTCCTTCACTTGGTCTGTCTGTCTCTGTCTTGGTAGTTGCCGGTGGACAGCATGGCCGTGCCAGCCTCCCACACTGAGGCCAGGTCTACCCCCCATCATACCAGCCCCCAGGACCACTACCCCACGGCCAGCCAGGGGTCCAGAGCTAGCCCAGGCTGGGGATCTCGACTCAGACAAGATGGTGACAATGCCTTGAGTCTGAGGCATCCTCTGCCTGCTTTCCTGCCTGCCCCACCTGCCTCATATTGTGTGGGCCTTTTTTTGTTTGTTTCATTCATTGTTTTTTTTTTTTTAATTATTTTAAATGAGATTTTTGTTTTTTTTAAATGCAATATCTCTGTATACAGACTGGCTGGGCCCCACCCCCTGCGTGTGGCCCTCCCACAGTATTTTGTGCAATGAAGCCCTGCTCCCAGCCTTTCAGAGACAGGGACACAGCCCCTATTTGGAACCCTGATCATCACCAGACCCTGGGATTGGCTATGGGAAAGCATGCCACAGCCACTCGCCTTCCTACCCCCGCCCGCCATCCCCAGTTGCAGGGGGATCTGGGGACTACCAGAGACTCTGGGAAATGGACAAGGTGGGGGGCCCCACTCTTTCTCTCCTGCAGTCCCGTAGCTGGGGCCTCCTTCCTTCTCAGGGTCTCCCCAGCCCAGTCCCCTTGCTCCCATCCCACTCGGTGCTGTTGGGTAGGGGCCCTGCCAGGAACTGACCAGCTCAGCGAGGAGCCATAATGTGCATATGTGCACAAGCAGGGTTGGGGGAGGGGGGTGTGAGGGGTTGTGCCCAGGTGTTGCCCCCTATCTCCTGGGGAGGGTGAGGCAGGGCAGGGACAGTCTCCAGGGTCAGTCCCTGGATGGGTGGTTACCTCCCCTTCCTCCACCCTAAGCCCTGGGGCCCTGAAATGGGGTGGGAGGGCAGGGGTGGGAGCCCTCCTAGTGGGTTTGGGGGGTTGGGTTCCTGAATGCACCATAATCGCTGTATGAAATATTAAAAAGTCTAAAGTGAAAAGCCTGCTTGCAAATCCCTGTAGGGGTGGAGGGTGGCCGAGCTGGGGTGATTATTGGGACCTTGGAGAATTCATACCTCATCACCACTGTCTAGGAAAACACTGGGAGTGGGCCAGGGACACGTCACGACTATGAAAAAGGCATCTAAGGTATTGCATATGTAACAGTAGAACATGGAGTTGAAGCAGGTAGGGCAGGCTGAATGGTGTTGATGGGTTGAGAAGCAGAAAGGGGAGTTAGATTTGCCCAGGAATATGAGGAAGCCTGATAAGAGGGTGGAGGCAGGGAAGTGGAGAGACGATGTTTGAAAGACACTGGACGGCCCAATAGAACCATGGATGGGAAGATGAGGCAAAGGCCCAGTATGGCCATCTGACTAGGAAACCATGAAGAGGAGGGAATGTTCAGGACGGTAGGGGGTAGATTTTGGACCACTGAGTAGGTAGAGAAATCCTTTAATACATGGATCAAATTAAGCAGTGGGGCCATAGATGGACCTGGAAATTTCAATTATTAGTGTCCAGGAAGTAACAGAAACCATGGGCATGGGTGAGAGAGTTTGCAAGAGGCCAGGGATCAATGACACAACCTGGGGTTTGCCCTCAGATATGAGGATAATTGAAACTTATTTTCTTTGTCCTGTGAGTTCCAGCCCCAGTCCCACCATCTTGGGCAAAGCCAAGGATTGTTTTCTAAGCAGAAGAGGGGGTGAGCAGGGCCAGGCAAATACTGCAAGTAATGGCAACCCTAATTAAGTGGCTGTTTACTAAAGCCCAGTGGTGGGGGCCCATGAACTTCTAATCACTCTACTGTGTGTGTTTGTTTTTTGAGACAGAGTCTCTGTCGCCCAGGCTGGAATGTGGCGGCACAATCTTGGCTCACTGCAACCTTTGCCTCCTGGGTTCAAGCGATTTTCCTGCCTCAGCCTCCTGAGTAGCTGGGATTACAGGCGTGCACAACCACGCCCACCTAATTTTTTATTTTTAGTAAAGATGGGGTTTCACCATATTGACCAGGTTAGTCTCGAACTCCTGACCTCAAGTGATCCACCCACCTCGGCTTCCCAAAGTGCTGTGATTACAGGTGTGAGCCACCAAGCCCAGCCTCTACCGTGTCTTTCTAAGCACTTTAGTGATGTTTCAGCTTGCAGCCTCATGGTGCCATGATGACTGCCATGTCCCCAGAGATGGAAAAGCAAGCAGGGAAGACAGAACACCTTCCTTACCTGTCTGTGTTCTTTTAACGGCTGGAACTTCCACAAGCTCCTCAGCAGACTTCCTGTGCCATTTCTTGGCTAGAATCAGATGACATGGCCACTTCTGGCAGCAAGGGAGGATGGGAAAAGGAGGGCCTTGCAAAGGGGGACAGGATTGCCAGGCTGGATTTAAAAGGTCTAGAACTCACCCAACTGCTCTGGGAAGTGGTAGGGTCACTGGTGTGGGCAGAGGTTGGCCTCTGGAAGGTGGAAAAAAAAAAACGGTCTAGGGCTGGGAAAGGAGGTCTCTTGGATTTACCTGGCTGCCCAGATAAATGGGGAGGGGGAGTCTGCAGAGGGGCAATGGGGAGAATCAATTCAGAGAATCTGACAAGATTCAACTGGGCTTGAAGAGCAGCTATCTGCCATGTGTCTGACTCAACTCAAATGCCACTTTCTTTGGGGACCCTTAAGTGAAAGGCCTGCTCCCTTTCCTCACCCAGAGCTTACACAACTGAGTTTGTGACCCCTCATCTATGCCAGGTCTGGGCTGGGGGCTGGAATCACAGTAATAAAGACACAATCCCTGCCCCGCAGAGATTAACTGAAAATAGGTAAATTATGAAATTGTGAGGGGGAAGGGAGGTTCGAAATTAAAGTCATCATCAACGGGGCTGGCAGCCCCAGCAGAGGAAAGAATAGCATAGCCTAGAGCAGTGGTTCTCAACCAGAGACATTTTTCCCCCAAAGGACATTTGGTAATGTCTGGAGATACTTGGTTGTCCTGAGGGGTACTACTTGGTATCTAGTAGGTAGAGGCCAGGGATGCTGCTACATATCCTGCAATGCCCACAACAAAGAAATGACAGTGCTGAGGTTGAGAGACCCTGGCCTAGTCCAAGGGTTCTCAAACTTTGGGTCTCGGGATTCCTTTATGTTCTTAAAAGTTTAAGATATTCAAAAGAGTTTTTGCTTATGTCATATAGCCTCTGGATTCAGAAGCCTCTGGATAATCACACTGTACACCCCTGAGAGAATGAGAGTGAAAAAGTATTGTGAAAATAGTTTTCATTTTGTGAAACCCCAAGAGGATTTTTGGACCGGTAGACAGGCTGGGACCACTGGGACCACACGGTTGGAGAATGTTTGGCCTGGTGTTTAAGGTCACAGCTCTGAAACCAGATTTCTCAAGTCTAAACTGCAGCTCCACCACTAATTAGCTGAGGGACGTTTCTGGTACTCAGCGTCCCCATTGTTACCCATGGGTGACAAGGACAGTACCTGCTGCCTGAGGCTACTATTTTAGTCCAATAAAGCACTTAAACTGGGCGGACAGCTAGTTTAGTTATGATTGCTATGACTCCAACAAACATAGGGCCTGGGGCTAACTTGTCTTCAACACCTTGTCTAGTGAATAAATCTAGTTCAGGAAGAGAAACAACAGCCCGCAGGCCTCGGTGGGTCTCTGGAGGTGGAAACCTCTTTTGCATTGGGTTTTGATGGTACAATGAAGGGCATTCTGATCAGGCTAACAAAAACACTGCTCCCAGGGTAGGAGTCCTAGCCCACCTCGGGAACCTCAGCCTCCACTTTCCATGCCACCTGTGCCCTAAGTCTACAGGGCGTTAGGACCCCACAAGGCACTTTTGTCTTTCTTGGTTCCCACTGAAGATTTTACCCCACCTAGCCCTTCGACGCGTCTGTGCACGGGGCCATTTCCAATATGGCAGTAGCCCCGCGACTGTTTGGGGGGCTCTGCTTCCGTTTCCGGGACCAGAATCCGGAAGTGGCTGTTGAGGGGCGTCTTCCAATCTCGCACAGCTGCGTTGGCTGTAGAAGAGAACGGACGGCGATGGCGACGGTCGCAGCAAATCCAGCTGCTGCTGCGGCGGCTGTGGCGGCGGCAGCGGCGGTGACTGAGGATAGAGAGCCACAGCACGAGGAGCTGCCAGGCCTGGACAGCCAGTGGCGCCAGATAGAAAACGGCGAGAGTGGGCGAGAACGTCCACTGCGGGCCGGCGAAAGCTGGTGAGGCTGGGCTGCGGTGGAGCCTCGGCAGAGGGAACGGTGGGGGCATTGACAACCGCTGGGGATTCGGCGGCCGAGGGCCGCGGGAAAGCTGCTGCGGGGTGCGGGGGCGGGGGAGTGGCCGGCGGGACAGCGGGCTAAAGGGGCGGGGAAGTGCCTTTGAATGAATCGCAACGTCTGGAAAAGGGGCGGGGCCTGTGTGGTGCAGTCTGACGCCTGAGAACAAAATGGGGTTTGTTGTGATGAGACCAGTTTCGGTCCTGGAGGTGGGGCCGGGCCTGCGTAGTGAAACTGCGTAGGAACCTGGGAAGAAGGTGGGTTCTGCTACATAAGGCGGGGGCGCGGCCTGCGCTGCGTAATGCAACTTTTGGGGGCGAGGAGCGGTTTCCGATTGCTCCGGGGCGGCTGGGAACGAGGCGAGCTTTGTGACGTCAGCAGAAGAGCGGGATGGAGCCGAACGGTCCGAGGGAGGGAGCGGGGACCTCCGTGGGGGAGGGGGGAGGAGCCTGGAGCCTGGGAACGAGGTTAGGTTGGTGACGTGAGCTGAGGGGCGTGCTCTGAGGCCGAGGGACGACAGTGGAGGGGAGGTGGTGCCTATGAGGCAGAAAATGGCGCCTGCGAATAAGCAAAGTTTATGACGCGCCGTGGTTTTTGATTCTGGCGGAAGCCTTCCCGAGTCGAGAGAACGTGCAGGTGATTAGCACCGGAGGGGCCTTCCATGTTTAATTGGTTTTCTGTGTTGGTACTGTTTTGTTTTTAGAATCAAGAAAAAGTCGTTTTTTTAAAAAATAGAATTTTGATAAATCGGCTTGTTTTACTGATTTCTTGCTAAACAGTCCTTCTTGAAATTTACTGCTTCTGAGTTCATTTTATTTCTCGCCGAGTTGCATCTCGTTTTTTAATTGTGAAATACGTAAGACTTAAAAAGATTATATAAAACATTTACGCAGCCCAGATTGACGGACATCCTGTTAAAATAAACGGCCTACACTCTTCAAAAATGTCAGGATCATGAAAGACAAAGGCTGAAGAACTGTTCCAAATTGAAGGAATTAATGCAATTTAACGAGTCATGATAACTAAATGCAACATGTGATCCTCGATTGGATCCTGGAACAGAAAAAAAAATTATTTTAAAAATCAATTTTTTATCATAAGATTATTTTTGTCTCTTTTACTGTAAAAGGCAATGGAAACGTCGGTGAAATTTTATTAAAGTGGGTAGATACTAGTACTACTAATAATTGTGATCATTGTGGCTGTGAAAAATAATATCCTTGTTTATAGGAAATACTGAAAAATTTAGGGATAAGAACGCATCGTGTAAGCAGTTTATTCTCAAATGCCTGAAAAATTAGCATATATAAATTTATATATGGCGAGGGGAAATAAAATTGGGGAGATGTTGGTCAAAGGATACAACATTTCAGTTAGACAAGAAAAATAAGTTCAGATCTATTGTACAACTATAGTTAATAAATTCATTGTATACTTGAAAATTACTGAGAGAAGATTTTACATGTTCTACCACCCCCCAAAAAATAAGTATGTGACGTAATGGATGTGTTAATTGCCTTGACTTAGTCATTCCACAATGTATACATAAGTCAAAACTTCATGCTGTACACTCTAAATATATGCAATTTTTGTCCATTTTAAAATAAATAAAAATACCAAAAAATGCATGTAAAGAAACAACGATTGAGCAAATGAGTAAAATATTAGATTTGGAGAATCTGGATGAAGGACATATGGGGATTCTCTGTATTATTTTTGCCATTTTTCTCAATCTATTTCAAAGTTTAAAAATTAAATAATAAATAAAAACGTGTGAATTCACCATCCATGTTAAGATTCAGAACACTGTCTTAAGAAATCCTTCTGTGCCCCTCCCAGATGGAAATTCCCCTCCTTGCTCCATGGGAAACTGTTATCCTGAATTTTGAGTTAACAGTCTCTTCCTTTTCTTTAATGTTTTACCACAGCTGTATGCATCCCTAAGCGGTATGTATTGTCTAAGCTTTCACTTTATACATATATGGAATACATATATATAAAATTCTACTGGATGCATACTGTGAGCCCTTATCTTCGCATCGGGTAATACATGGTATCCACATGGCATCATTGGTGATGTTAACCTTGATCACTTGGTTATGGTAGTGTTGGCCAGCTTTCTCAACTGTAAAGGTACCATTTTCCTCTTTACATATGCAGTAATTATTTTTAAAACATGTATCATGTCCAGCCATTCCTCAAAATACTCTTAACAGCTTCCCATCTCTTGCAGCGTAGATGCTAAAATCCTTACAATGAATTGCAAGCCTTTATGAAGCTGGTCTCCTGCTTGCATTCTGATGTCTTCCCATATCTCTCCTCTGATTACGCACTCCCTCCCTGTCTCCATCCAGGCCGGCCATATTGGACTCTTGCTGTTCCTCAAACACATCTAACCTTAGGGCTTTTTCGAGTGAGGTTTACTCACTACAGAGTTCTTTAATAACCACACCAGTGAAATGTGTATCTCTGTTACTGGGGAGATGAGTTGAGATTTTCCAAATCGGGAATACAAACCCAAGCCGTGTTTTTCTGCCATTACGTCACACTTTTCCAGCAAGAAAAAGCCTCATTTCATCCTGAGAATAAACAAAATAACCACAGTGTTTTGTAACTCATTTGAAGATGTTCAAAAGGGCCTTGAGGCTTTGATCCTTGCCTCTTCCTACCTTTGTAGCCTTGTGATTGTGTCACTGGTAGGACATGACATCCTGTCATCCTTGATAATACGCTTTAAAATTACCCCACCAGTACTGGGTTTTCTTTTGGGATGATGAAATATTTTGGAACTAGGGAGAGGTTGTGGTTGTACAACATTGTGAATGTTCTAAATGCCGCTGAATTGTTCACTTTAAGATGGTTAATGTTATGTTATGTGAATTTCACCTCATTAAAAAAATTACCACACCAGTGTTGGTTCAGTGTTGAAGCCGGTTTGTCTCTGCTGTCATGGGTATTATCATGAAGCATTTTTGCTAAACTCCACTTTGTTAATGCTTCTCTAGTAAGAGCAAAGCATCTCAAGGTTCTTTATTGCTGTCCATTTTCCATTTTACAGGGGTTTGCTTAAGTGGCCAGGATATATGTGTTTATAAAGCATTTTGAAGTCATGGACTAACCCCAAATCATATATCTTGTATCAGTATTAATATTTGCACCTTCTGTCTTTTGTCAGCTGGCAGATTTGGGTGAGGGTAGTTAATTAATTTGGTCATCACAACTGATTTAATTTCTGGGAGAAGCTTGTATTTTAAGGCAAATTCAAATCTGTAATAATATAGCCTCCTTGGAAATTTTCACTTTTTCCTTTTGTGGGATGAACCATCTTCAAACACAAATCAGACACAAGAGAAAACTAGAAGACAGAAAATAAAGAATTGTTTAGCAACTTTTTTCCATAAGCACATATTTCATATCATTTCAACAAATTTGAGGAAGCACGAATAAACCTAAGTGACTTTAGCAAGATCAGTTGTACCTGTATATACTGGCAGCAAGAAACTAGAAAATTAAAATTTATGATACCATTTATGATAGCATCCAAAAAATTGAATACCCAGCTGTAAATATAATAATTTGGGTGTTATTGATACAGACCATGACACCTTTGTTGTGACTGCCACCTGGCCTGACAGAGATTGTGAGACATCCTGATTTCAGAGATGTTAACAATGATTTTTTTAAAGTGTCTTTGACTTGAAGCAATATGGTAATAATTTTCTGTGAAAAATTATGTAAAATGTCAGTCCTCTATGAAATCTATAGAAGTTCAGCCTGTGACCAGGTCTGGAAGTTTTGCTTACCACTCTACAGCGTGATTTTAATGTTATTTTTTGTTCAAAATCTGCTCTTAAAAAGAAGTTGAGCAGTGCCTACCTTTGCATTGGAAGGTACTGTTAACTATAGCTTTACTGAACAAATTAACTTCATAGACTGGCTATGGAGGCAAGTAAAGCCACAAAGGGTGGATGGTGGTGTGTGGGGTGCAGGGTTGGGTCTGAGCATTGAGCCACCGGCACAGAAGGGTTTGTTTCCCTGGTGTGAGTGATATGGGGCAGGGTCTGTGGGGGTCAGTGCAGCAAAAAAACAAAACCAACAAAAAACCCACAGAAATGTTTGCCTATCTAGGTGACTTGTGACTATTCCAAGATTTGTCTGTCCCTCCATCCTCCCACCTCTCTGATCCTTTCATGAACAAGGGAAAGTTGACATTTTAAAGAATCACATTGATGAGGTTAAATTGGGAGAATCGCTTGAACCCGGCAGGCAAAGGTCGCAGTGAGCTGAGATTGTGCCACTGCACTCCAGCCTGGGCGACAGAGCAAGACTCTGTCTCAAAAAATGATAATAATAATAATGAGGTTAAATTGCTTGAAAACCAGCCAATATAATGTTATGTGCATTTCATCAAATTTGGTTATTTTTTAAAAAGCATTTATTTGAGGCTGCTCAGTATTTGGGATAGCCTTTTATGTGTCAGAAATGCCACAGCAGAACAGGTGTGTGTGTATGTGTGTGTGTGTGTGTGTGTGTGTGTGTGTGTGTGTGTGTTTAGGCAGGAGGAGGTTTATGTCTGTGAGCTTTTATGTCCAAGTCCTGAAGTCCAAGCTGTCAGAACAATGACAGCTAAAATTCATTTAGCACTTATTATATGTCAAGTATTTTCCAAACTTCAGGATTTCTCACAAAGGTAGATTTCAATATAGTTCTAAATGGTTATCCTTGTAGTACATATAAGTTTCACCTTTAAAAGAGAGCTAGTTGAACTGTATACTGAAAAATGCTTGATGGTAAGTTTTATGTTACATGTTTTTATCACAGTTTTTAAGAGAACCATAAGCTCAGGAATTTACTATAAAGCCAAAGTAAATTCTAAATTAAAAAATGATGAACAATAGCAATATGCAGTTCTTTTTTTTTTTTTTTTTTTTGAGATGGAGTCACTCTGTCGCACAGGCTGGAGTGCAGTGATGCAGTCTCGGCTCACTGCAACCTCTGCCTCCAGGGTTCAAGTGATTCTCATGCCTCTGCCTCCCAAGTAGCTGGGATTACAGGCACGTGCCAGCACACCTGGCTAATTTGTTGTATTTTTTAGTAGAGACGGTTTCACCATGTCAGCCAGGCTGGTCTTGAACTCCTGACCTCAGGTGATCCACCCGTCTTGACCTCCCAAAGTGCTGGGATTACTGGCGTGAGCCACTGTGCCCGGTCTTTTTTTTTTTTTTTTTTTTTTTTCAGTATGCAGTTTTTGAAGGAAAACCTTATGATTCTTTTTAGCATTTTAAATTCTTTGCTCCTTTTAAAAGCAGATTTTTCACCATTTATCAAATCTAGTTCTTAGCTGAAGAATTATGCTTCCATTGATAGATCCTTTAGAAACAAACACATAATGAATGGCTAAAGCCTTATAAAATTAGCTGCAGATGGCACATATCTTGAGCCTAACTTAACTGGGTTATCCCACAGACTAATTCAAATGAATCATCTTTTATTCTATAATAAAACCTCATGTTTCCTAGCACTATAAGTATGGATTTTTTGTTGGTTTGTTTGCCATTGTTAACCACATTTTCTGTTTTTAATCAGATTTCTTTTTTAATACTAAGAAGTTATCTAACATACAAATCTGAGTTTCACTGAATAAATTTTGCTTCGAATTTATTTTTATATGATGCTGAAACTTTTCATCTTAAATTATAATGTGTCAATACTTTCAGTCTGTTGGGCATGGGAAGTTGTATAGCTAACCCTCAGCTACCCATGTAACACCCTTGTTACCTGTCTGGGCCCCAGGTTCCTTGTGGAGAAGCACTGGTATAAGCAGTGGGAGGCATACGTGCAGGGAGGGGACCAGGACTCCAGCACCTTCCCTGGCTGCATCAACAATGCCACACTCTTTCAAGGTACAAGGCCTTTGCCTCCTTCTCACCCTAGCCCTGGAGTTCTTGTCCCTTCCGTCCCTACAGATGATCATAAGCCCATTCTGTGTGCTAGGTCACTGGTGGGGTGGCCAGAGTCATTCGTCAGTTTCCTTTGTTGATTCTTCCTCTGCCACCTCCACCCCCGCCCCACAGATGAGATAAACTGGCGCCTCAAGGAGGGACTGGTGGAAGGCGAGGATTATGTGCTGCTCCCAGCAGCTGCTTGGCATTACCTGGTCAGCTGGTATGGTCTAGAGCATGGCCAGCCACCCATTGAACGCAAGGTATAATGGATGGGGAGGGTGCATGGCGGGGAGTGCGTAGTAAGAAAGCCTTGTAGGCCCAGCATGGGTACAGATCCATGTATGCTGGGTAGGTACACATATGTCTGCTCTCTTCCCCCTCCTAGCTCATCATACAGGTATCTTTGTCTGCTGTGTGTGTTCCCCTGTGTGGCTCTCTTTACAGACCATTGTATATGTGTGTTTGTATGCTATGTTTGTAAGGCAGAGTGTGTGCTCCTCTCATTTGAGAGGTCACAGCGCTGTGTCTGTGTGAGTACACCTGTGTCTGCACCCCTCTACTCTTACAGGTCATAGAGCTGCCCAACATCCAGAAGGTCGAAGTGTACCCAGTAGAACTGCTGCTTGTCCGGCACAATGATTTGGGCAAATCTCACACTGTTCAGTTCAGCCATACCGATTCTATTGGTGAGTCTAAGGGTCACGCAATGGGTTGGTGTTCCTAGCTACTAGTCCCAACTCAGTGACTTGAGGTTGCATAGGGTTAAGCTGAAGCTGACTGAGAAGGCACTGGTCAGACTTTGGAAGACCCAGAAGGCATTGGCTAAGTTGGGTGGAGGCACTGAGGGGATCTACTAGAGCCCTGAGGGTATGTGAGCTACATTCTAGTGGCTTACGTGGTGTGGCAGAGGATATTTGCTGGAGATCTCCAGTCTGGAGTGTGGGCCAGTCATTTGGAGACTGATTGAGGACACAGGTATTGGCCAAGCATGTGAGGTCCGTAGGGATGAGTCAGGTATGCCCAGATGGATTGATCATTTTGGGTCTCACAAAGATCTTGAATGTACTCCATCACCCCGCACAGGCCTAGTATTGCGCACAGCTCGGGAGCGGTTTCTGGTGGAGCCCCAGGAAGACACTCGGCTTTGGGCCAAGAACTCAGAAGGCTCTTTGGATAGGTTGTATGACACACACATCACGGTTCTCGATGCGGCCCTTGAGACTGGGCAGGTAAGGGTGGGGAGGGCTTTTCTGTTCAGGTGGACTGGCAGATAGACTCACCTGGCAGTACTCGGGGGAAATGAAGGCTAGGTACCCATAATGTCCTCCATTAATACCTTTCCTTCTTTCTCTTTCTCCAACCCAGTTGATCATCATGGAGACCCGCAAGAAAGATGGCACTTGGCCCAGCGCACAGCTGCATGTCATGTGAGCCCTTGGGGTATCTGGTCCAGAGCGGGGGCGTCCCACAGTAGGCAAAATGATTTAGCCCATGAGCACATTGCACCCCCATGCAGCAGGCCCTCAGCTGACAGTTTCTCATCTAACCCCAGGAACAACAACATGTCGGAAGAGGATGAGGACTTCAAGGGTCAGCCAGGCATCTGTGGCCTCACCAATCTGGGCAACACGTGCTTCATGAACTCGGCCCTGCAGGTTGGGCCATTATAGTTGTGTCTGGCACAGCCACGTGGTTGGGCTTCAAGAGCTGAGGATTGGGGACAGAGCTGGGGTCCTGAGGGGACTACAGGGCAAGGGGTCAGGATGAAAGCTGAGGCCCCACAAGTCTGAAGTGGCACGCCCACGTTCATTCCTGAACTATCAGCCTCTTCTCTCAGCTTGCCCTCATTTTCCCTCTTCTCTTCCCTGTTCCCACGTTCTTCCTTCTCGTGAAATCCTAATGCCTTCTCTCCCCTACTCTCCTGCTCCTCTCTCTCCTCCCTTCCCCTTCTCTCTTGTTTTCCTCTCTCTTTCCTCCTGGCTTCTTTTTGTGTATCCTCACTTTGAACCTTCTGTCTCCCCTCTGCCTCATTCACCTGGTCTCTGGCCTCTGCAGTGCCTCAGCAATGTGCCACAGCTCACCGAGTACTTCCTCAACAACTGCTACCTGGAGGAGCTCAACTTCCGCAACCCACTGGGCATGAAGGGTGAGATCGCAGAGGCCTATGCAGACCTGGTGAAGCAGGCGTGGTCTGGCCACCACCGCTCCATTGTGCCACATGTGTTCAAGGTGTGACTCAACCCTGGGCACCCCCGACCCCCTACGTCTCTTGGCTCTCCTAACTCCCTCTCTCTCTGATGACCCTGCCCATCTTCTTAGAACAAGGTTGGCCATTTTGCATCCCAATTTCTGGGCTACCAGCAGCATGACTCTCAGGAGCTGCTGTCATTCCTCCTGGACGGGCTGCATGAGGACCTTAATCGGGTGAAGAAGAAGGAGTATGTGGAGCTGTGCGATGCTGCTGGGCGACCGGATCAGGTAGGCTGCCCCCGCATTTGCAGTCCAATTAACATCACCAAGGCCTCTGCCTCGGGGATTTTCTGGCCTCCCTGGGGTATCTAACACGCCACCATTTTCTGTTAAGTTTCTCTACCTGACCTCAACTCCAGCCTTACTCTTAACCTTAGTTGCAATACCATATCTGCCCCCACAGTCAACCCAGAGTAAACCCCAGCGCAGTCTCCTGCCCTAAATGACCCCCAGTCTTGACCGTGAACATAGTCTCTGTGTATCCCTAGCTGGAGCTCTGCCTCTGGACTTTAGCAGTGGCCTTCCGCTTCACCCCATTTGAATGCACCCCAAGCCATGGTTTCCTCTTACCCTGGGCAAGCCCCACCACCCACCATGACACTATCAACAGGAGGTGGCACAGGAGGCATGGCAAAACCACAAACGGCGGAACGATTCTGTGATCGTGGACACTTTCCACGGCCTCTTCAAGTCCACGCTGGTGTGCCCCGATTGTGGCAATGTATCTGTGACCTTCGACCCCTTCTGCTACCTCAGTGTTCCACTGCCTATCAGCCACAAGAGGGTCTTGGAGGTCTTCTTTATCCCCATGGATCCGCGCCGCAAGCCAGAGCAGGTGTGGGGCAGTGGGGGCCTGGGGAGATGATGATGGACACATAGAGTTTGATTAGCTGCCATAGCTCAAGGCTTCTTGCATTAACTCACCACAAGCCCTTTTGGTCTTTTGTGGATACCGTTTTTCCCTTAGCACCGGCTCGTGGTCCCCAAGAAAGGCAAGATCTCGGATCTATGTGTGGCTCTGTCCAAACACACGGGCATCTCGCCAGAGAGGGTGAGACTGCAGAAGGAGGCTGGATGGGATTCCAGGGCAAGGAGGCAGAAGGGCCTGGGAGGCCGTGCAGACTAACAGTCCCCTCTCCATATCCCATTCCTAGATGATGGTGGCTGATGTCTTCAGTCACCGCTTCTATAAGCTCTATCAGCTAGAGGAGCCTCTGAGCAGCATCTTGGACCGTGATGATATCTTCGTGTGAGTGGGGATGGCAGGGAGGTGGTGGTTCCTCAGGAACTTGGTCCACTTCCTTTTGTATGGTCCTGCCTTAACCACCTTCTCTCTTCCCTGCCTCTGCCTCGTTCACTGGGCACCTGCCCTGCGCAGAGCTTCAGCCACATGCCTTGGGAGGCTGAGGCAGGAGAATCACTTGAACCCGAGAGGTTCAAGTGAGCCAAGATCACGCCACTGCACTCCAGTCTGGGCGACAGGGCAAAACTCCATCTCAAAAATAAATAAAGCCGGGCGCGGTGGCTCACGCCTGTAATCCCAGCACTTTGGGAGGCTGAAGCAGGCAGATCACGAGGTCAGGAGATGGAGACCATCCTGGCTAACACGGTGAAACCCCGTCTCTACTAAAAATACAAAAAATTAGCCGGGCGTGGTGGCAGGTGCCTGTAGTCCCAGCTACTCGGGAGGCTGAGGCAGGAGAATGGCATGAACCCGGGAGGCGGAGCTTGCAGTGAGCCGAGATCGTGCCACTGCACTGCAGCCTGGGCAACAGAGCGAGACTCCGTCTCAAAAATAAATAAATAAATAAATAAAAATAAAAATGCCTTCAGGCTGTGAGGATGAGTGGGTGGGGCAGCCAGGGCAGAGTCAGGGAGTCTCTGGGGGCCCTGATCAGGTGTGCCTGCTGTCCACCCCCCACAGCTATGAGGTGTCAGGTCGCATTGAGGCCATTGAGGGCTCAAGAGAGGACATCGTGGTTCCTGTCTACCTGCGGGAGCGCACCCCTGCCCGTGACTACAACAACTCCTACTACGGCCTGATGCTTTTTGGACACCCCCTCCTGGTATCAGTGCCCCGGGACCGCTTCACCTGGGAGGGCCTGTATAACGTCCTGATGTACCGGCTCTCGTAAGTGTCCTCTTCCCCGGGGGTGGGGGGCGGAGGGGTCTGAACTCCGACTTGGGTGTTTAGCTGCTTATTTGACACCTCCCCTGTAACAAACAAAAGACAGTCCAAACTTAACATGGCCATAGAAGAACTTGTAGGGTTTTTTCTTTCTCTAGACCTCTGGCTTTGCTACTGCCTGTCTTGGGTGCTAGGGATACAGAGGTGAACAAGATGCACAAAACAGACAACTTCATCTTGTCTTCAGTTGTCTCTCCTGGAGACTGTTGTCCCTCCTGGGAGAGTCTTGGTTTTTTTGTCTTTTTGCTGACAAATTTTCATTTTGCCTAAAATCTAGAGTCTTTACTGTGGCACACAAAGCATTGTGTTATCAGAATTCTCCCCCCTCATTTTGCATTCAAAAGTCATTCCCCAGAGGCTTTCCCTGATGGGAAGTTACAGCCGGTATGTGTCTTGTCTAGCAGTGGCTTATTAGAGTAAAAGTCCACGCTCCATACCTTTTTTTTTTTTTTTTTTTGAGATGGAGTCTTGCTCTGTTGCCCAGGCTGGAGTGTAGTGACATGATCTTGGCTCACTGCAACCTCCATCTCCCGGATTCAAGCGATTCTCCTGCCTCAGCCTCCCAAATAGCTGCAATTACAGCCGCGCGCCACCACGCCCAGCTAATCACACTCCACACCTCTGACTGGGACACAAGTTCCTTCATTCTCAGGCCACTGCTGACAGCCTTGGCCTCTTCATGCATTTACGCGTCACCCCTTCAGCCCTCTCACACCTCAGATTCAGAACGGTTTACATGTGGATCTACCAATGGCTTCCCATTATCTTAAGTAAAATCCCGGGCTCTATCCCCACTGTCCTTGTACCCGTCTTGGGAGTCTCCTCTGCTCTGTTGCAGACGCTACGTGACCAAACCCAACTCAGATGATGAGGACGATGGGGATGAGAAAGGTGAGGGGGCTAACAGTCAGTGGGCGGGGGCTCTGGGTTAGGTCTGACCCACGTAGGGTTCGTCTAGGTGTGCATTGCAGCTTAGCACTTGAGGCTCACACCTTCCCATCTCTGACATCCTCCTGTCCTAGAAGATGACGAGGAGGATAAAGATGACGTCCCTGGGCCCTCAACTGGGGGCAGCCTCCGAGACCCTGAGCCAGAGCAGGCTGGGCCCAGCTCTGGAGTCACGAACAGGTGCCCGTTCCTCCTGGACAATTGCCTTGGCACATCTCAGTGGCCCCCAAGGCGACGACGCAAGCAGCTGTTCACCCTGCAGACGGTGAACTCCAATGGGACCAGCGACCGCACAACCTCCCCTGAAGAAGTCCATGGTATTTCCTTTGGCTATCAGCGAGGGCTGGGGAGGCTGGAGGGGAGATTTCCTGGCAGCAGGATCCATGACCACCTCTCCCTCACCCCCAGCCCAGCCGTACATTGCTATCGACTGGGAGCCAGAGATGAAGAAGCGTTACTATGACGAGGTAGAGGCTGAGGTAAATGAGATCCCAGGGATGGGGGGTACTTCCAGCTCTTGCCCCTCAACTCTTCGTACATCCTCCCCACAACTCCTCTAGCTGGGAACAGAGCCAAGAGATCCAGGTCAAGCTTGGCCTTGGGGCCTGAACACCTACTGAGAGCTCCAGGGCCTGAGGTTCCTAGCTTCAAAGTCGGTGCTCTGACCCACTCAGTGTGTGTCTCCCCCGCTGGGCCCCCACTCCCCATTTCTCCATCTGTCCTCACAGCCGGCCATCTGGTTGTCTGTTCACCCAATCCTAGGGCTACGTGAAGCATGACTGCGTCGGGTACGTGATGAAGAAGGCTCCCGTGCGGCTGCAGGAGTGCATTGAGCTCTTCACCACTGTGGAGACCCTGGAGAAGGAAAACCCCTGGTGAGGGGCCAGAGCGGGGCCTGTGTGTGGGGGTTTCATTGGATGGAACTACTATATTTAGCTTTTTTTTTTTTTTTTTGAGACAGAGTCTGGCTCTGTCAACCCAGGCTGAAGTGCAGTGGTACAATCTCGGCTCAGTGCAACCTCTGCCTCCCAGGATCAAGCTGTTCTCCTGCCTAAGTCTCCTGAGTAGCTGGGATTATAGGCACCCACTACCATGCCTGGCTAATTTTTATATTTTTAGTAGAAACAGGTTTTGCCACGTTGGCCAGGCTGGTCTCGAACTCCTGACTAAAGATGATCCACCCGCCTTGGCCTTCCAAAGTGCTGGGATTACAGGCGTGAGCCACCACACCTGGCCTATATTTAGCTCTTTAAGTATACCTTCCTCCTCCCTCCTCCACACTCAAACCCTTCTTGCCAACCTGGCCACCAATCTCCTGAGCAGACTCCTACCCCAGAGCCTTGGCCTGTGCTGTTCCTTCTCCAGGAATGTTGTTCCCAGTGATCTACAGGACTTCACTCCTTACGATGCTCAGGTCTCCGATCAAATGTGACCTCATCAGAGAGACCTCCTCTGACTACCCTGTTAAAAATCACCCTTCCCCACCATCCCTCTCCATCCCCTCTCTGCTCTTTTCTTCCTAGCCAAGCATTACTTTCTAGCTCAGCGATGCCACTTGATGTGATGTCCTGTATCCACTTTTGTGTTATTTGTCATCTTCGTTAGAGTCAACTCCTCGAGGGTGAAGACTTAAGTTCACTGTGTGTTGCTTCTACCTGTTTATAATAGTGTTGAGTGTTCGGTTGATGCTCAGTAGACACTTGCAGAATAAACAAAAAGAGAACCAAAACCACACTCCCTAGTCTCAGAAATAAGAGCAGCATGTCCGTGGAGCAGAAATGGAACAGAAATACAAAATAGTTCCAAAGGGTTAAACAAGCAATCAATAAATACTGGGGAGTGAATGAATGACTAAAATACGAAGAGAGGAAACTAGAAGGATAGAGGTGGGCTCTAAAATAAGACTAGCATCTCATGGAACAGAAATCAAACAAAAATACAAAAAATAGTATGAGCACATATACAAAAGATAGTAAGCACTTGACGAGTGAGTGAAAGGATTTTAACAGGAACAGAGCAAACTAGAATACTAGATGGGCTAATAGTAAGAGCAGTGTTTCTGTGAGCCAGACATGGCACGTGAGAGGCAGTACAAAGGGCGCACAGTAGGTGCTCAGAAAAAGTCTGTTTTGGCTGGGCATTGTGGCTCATGCCTGTCATCCGAGTACCTTGGGAGGCCGACACGGGTGGATCACCTGAGGTCAGGAATTCAAGGCCAGCCTGGCCAACATGGTGAAACCCTGTCTCTATTAAAAATACACAAATTAGCAGGGCATGGTGGTGCATGCCTGTAATTCCAGCTACTCGGGAGGCTGAGGCAGGAGAATCGCTTGAACCCAGGAGGTGGAGGCTGCAGTGATCCGAGATCGCGCCACTGTACTCCAGCCTGGGCAACAGAGCGATTCTCTGTCTCAAAAAAAAAAAAAAGAAAAAGTCCGTTTGCTGACTCGGGCTCTGTCTGTAGGTACTGCCCTTCCTGCAAGCAGCACCAGCTGGCAACCAAGAAGCTGGACCTGTGGATGCTGCCGGAGATTCTCATCATCCACCTGAAACGCTTTTCCTACACCAAGTTCTCCCGAGAGAAGCTGGACACCCTCGTGGAGTTTCCTATCCGGTCAGGGGCCAGGGAGAGGATGGCTGGGGGAAGGCAGGGAAAGGAGGGGGTGTACCAGTATTAACCCTCTCCCCACCCACAGGGACCTGGACTTCTCTGAGTTTGTCATCCAGCCACAGAATGAGTCGAATCCGGAGCTGTACAAATATGACCTCATCGCGGTTTCCAACCATTATGGGGGCATGCGTGATGGACACTGTATGTGCCAGGCTGTGGGTGGGGCCTGCCCTGGGGGTTCTGGGCAGGGGGGCGATCAGGACCTTCCCAGTGAGTGACTAGGGATGTGAGCCAGTGGTGAGGTTATCGTGGTGGGAGGAGTGACAAGAGTGAATCTGGACACTTCTGAGAGGCAGGAAGGGTAGGCGAGGATAACTCTCCTTCCCTTTCAGACACAACATTTGCCTGCAACAAGGACAGCGGCCAGTGGCACTACTTTGATGACAACAGCGTCTCCCCTGTCAATGAGAATCAGATCGAGGTGTGACTTCCATCCTACCTCCTCCCCTTCTTCCTTTCTGATTCCACCTCCCCACCCCCACAATCCACACTGACTCCTGTCCTCTCCCCACAGTCCAAGGCAGCCTATGTCCTCTTCTACCAACGCCAGGACGTGGCGCGACGCCTGCTGTCCCCGGCCGGCTCATCTGGCGCCCCAGCCTCCCCTGCCTGCAGCTCCCCACCCAGCTCTGAGTTCATGGATGTTAATTGAGAGCCCTGGGTCCTGCCACAGAAAAAAAAAAAAAAAAGCCCTCTCTGCAATCTCGCTTCTCGTGTCCGCCCCGCTTCTCTTATTCGTGTTAGGTGCCCCCGCCAGGCATTGCAGGCTTAGTCGTGGCTACTGTTCTCCTGTGCCGCTGCATCGCTCTCTCCCGGGAAAGAACAGGTCGTGTCTCCTCCTAGCAGTGCGCGCCCCGCCTGTGTTTGCCCTTCCAGCAGTGACCCTCCCTTCTAGTCTTTATTTATGGTCGTGCCCTTCCCTCTCCTCAGCCCAGAGTGTTCTGCGTGGGTGGTGATGGGGGTTCACCTGAACACAGAGTGTATTTTCTTATTGAGGCCCTGTACCTTCTGCTGTGTGTGTGTATATATAAAGCACCAGTCTGCTCCCCACTCAGCAGTGTGGTTTTTTCCTCCATGGACTTAACTAAGCACCAGTTTTGTGCCTGTGTTCTGTGTTCTTATCAAAGGCCAGATGTGTGATGGGTGCAGCTCTGAGTGGTTAGTGAGCACCAGCTGTGGGCTGGGTACTGCTGTTCTAAGTGCTTTGAAAGCACCCTCTGTGTGCCAGGCACGATTCCAAGCACCAATGGCATGCCCAGTTTTTTCCAAAATATTTTCCAAATATTGATACGTAATCCTCACAACAATCTCATGCAAGAGTTGTCATCTCCAGTTTCGGATGGGGATACTGAGGTACAGAGGTCACAGAATTGCTCAGGGCTTGTCAGGAGGTCAGTATACCTCATGTGCTACCCGAGTCGGTCCCTGGAGTGGGTGCTTGGCTTGTCTGGACCCAGGACTGCTACTCAATCTGCAGACATGAGCTGCCCTACAGGCAATGTGGAAATGGAGCACGTGGGACGGATGCATCCATGTGGGCAAATTTGTGGTTTGGGGACATAAAAATACTCCTCTCAGGCCAGGTGCCACCTGTTATCTCAACACTTTGGGAGGCCAAGGCAGGAGGATCACTTGGGCCCTGGATGTTGAGGTTGCAGTGATCTATGATCGTGCCACTGCACTCCAGTCTGGGCCACAGAGCAAGACCCCATCTCAAAAAAAGGATGCTATTCCCCAGACCACCTCACAGACCCCCAGTAGTGTCCTCTGAGAAGATTTTGTCCCCCTGAGACCTCCTTTGGAGATGGTACATGCATTTGGCAGACCAGCCAACCTGCCAGGACAAATGTGCTGTCTGTGTGTGGCCCCTGTAGTCAGCCCCCTCTCCCATCATGACCCCAGCTCCCACACCAGGCAGGTTCCCTCCAACCTCACCCCAGACGACACTGAACACCTGCCGCAGGAATTTGGACATAAATAAGCCATCCAACCCTTCACACTGATGGGTGAGGGGAATCCTGATCGGTGGCAGCTGAGAGGCCATTCTCATGGCCAGGGCCTCAACACTCCCCCCAGCCTTCTGCCTTTGCACTGGGTCTGGGCAGACCCACTGTGAGGGTCACTCAGCCCCAGCATCGCCACCCGCAAACCTCCCAGTCACTCTGCTGACACAGGCAGAAGTCAAGGCAGTTGCTGTGAGGAGCCCAGCTCAAACTGACTTAGCAAAAGTAAGAACAGAAATACTAGTTTCAGGTATGACTGGATCCAGGAACTCAGAAGCTGTCATCGAAGGCTCGTGAAGACCATATGACTGAAGCACTACAATCACCCCATTTTGCAGATAAGGAAGCAGGCATAAAGAGCTGGGTGAGAATGGGCTGTAAGGGCCAGGCGCAGTGGCTCATGACTGTAATCCCAGCACTTTGGGAGGCCGAGGTGGGTGGATCACCTGAGGTCAGGAGTTCGAGACCAGCCTGGCCAGCATGGCGAAACCCCATCTCTACTAAAAATACAAAAATTACCCAGGCATGGTGGCACATGCCTGTAATCCCAGCCACTTGGGAGGCTGAGGCAGGAGAATTGCTTGAACCCAGGAGGCGGAGGTTGCAGTGAGCTGAGATTGCGCCACTGCACTCCAGCCTGGGCAACAGAGCAAGACTCCATCTCAAAGAAAAAAAGGATATCATACTAAAGAACAGAAAAATAGTAAGTTTCAAACAAACGGGGAGAATAGAATGAAGAATAATAATCCAGAAGAAGGCAAGAATAAAGAAATAGAGAACAGGTGGACAAATAGCACGTACACAACAATTTGCAGATAAGATCTCTGCTCCCTCCAGTTCAAGGGAGGGAACTGGGAATGAGGCAGCTGCTTTGAGACTGATCAAGACTGCCATCGTGCCAGGCAGACAGTGGGGGAAGGGCAAGTAAAAATGCCACAATACTCCCATTTTGAAGATGGCTTTTTCTTGGTTGGACAGTTGCTGTAAACTTTTTTTTTTTTTTTTTTTTTTTGAGATGGGGCTCGCTCTGTTGCCTAGGCTGCAGTGCAGTGGCGCGATCTCCGCTCACTGCAAGCTCCGCCTCCCGGGTTCAGGCCTTTCTCATGGCTCAGCCTCCCGAGTAGCTGGGACTACAGGCGCCTGCAACCACGCCTGGATAATTTTTTGTATTTTCAGTAGAGACGGGGTTTCACCATGTTAGCCAGGATGGTCTCGATCTCCTGACCTCGTGATCCGCCCACCTGGGCCTCCCAAAGTGCTGGGATTACAGGCGTGAGCCACCGCGCTCGGCCTGCTGTAAACTTTTGACCATTGTATTTGTCTGTTCTCGCACTGCTGTAAAGAAATACCTGAGACTGGGTAATTTATAAAGAAATACCCGAGACTGGGTAATTTATAAAAAAGGCTCATGGTTCTGCAGGCTGTACAGGAAGTATGGCTGAGAGGTCTTAGGAAACTTACAATCACAGTGGAAGGTGAAGGGGAAGCAGGCACGTCTTACCTGCCCTGAAGCAGGAGGAAGAGAGTGAAGTGGGGAGGTGCCACACACTTTTAAACAACCAGATGTCATGAGAACTCACTATGGTGAGAAGAGCAAGGGAGAAATCTGCCCCCATGATCCAGTCACCTACCAGGCCACTTCTCCAACAATGGGGATTGCAATTTATATGAGAGTTGAGCGGGGACACAAGTCCAAACCATATCAACTATTTTCCAGCACTCTGACACAGTTAGCTCTAACAATTCTGTTTGCTTTTTGATGTTTCTGTTAAGGAGCCAGAGCCTGGAGCTTCCTAGTCTTCCATTTTGGTGACATCACTCTTTTTTTTGAGATGGAGTCTCACTCTATTGCCCAGGCTGGGGTGCAATGGTGCCATCTTGGCTCACTGCAAGCTCTGCCTCCTGGGTTCATGCCATTCTCCTGCCTCAGCCTCCTGAGTAGCTGGGACTACAGGTGCGTGCCACCATGCCCAGCTAATTTTTTGTATTTTTTTTTTTTTTTTTTTTTTTTTTTGGAGATGGAGTCTTGCTCTGTCGCCCAGGCTGGAGTGCAATGGCATGATCTTGGCTCACTGCAACCTCCACCTCCCAGGTTCAAGCGATTCTCCTGCCTCAGCCTCCTGAGTAGCTGGGATTACAGGCACGCGCCACGACAACCGGCTAATTTTTGTATTTTTAGTAGAGACAGGGTTTCACCATCTTGGCCAGGCTGGTCTCAAACTCCTGACCTCGTGATCCACCCGCCTCAGCCTCCCAAAGTGCTAGGATTACAGGCGTGAGCCACCATGCCCGGCCTAATTTTTTTGTATTTTTAATAGAGACGGGGTTTCACCATGTTGGCCAGGATGATCTCAATCTCTTGACCTCATGATCCACCTGCCTTGGCCTCCCAAAGTGCCGGGATTACAGGCGTGAGCCACCATGCCTGGCTGACATCACTCCTCTTCTGTGTTATGGGTTTTTTTTTTTTTCCACACACAACATGGATTTTTATCTTTTCTTTTTCTTTTCTTTTCTTTTTTTTGGGGGGGTGGTATAGGATCTCACTATGTTGCCCAGCCTGGTCTCAAACTCCTGGGCTCAAGGGATCTTCCCTGCCTTAGCCTCTCAAGTGGCTGGAATTATAGGCCTGAGCCACTCCACTATGCCTAGCCCGCTTTATCTTTTCTTGGCTTATCAACTATAACTCTTAGATTTTTGGTTTGGGTTTCTTTTTTTTAAAAAAAATTATTATTATTATACTTTAAGTTTTAGGGTACATGTGCACAATGTGCAGGTTAGTTACATATGTATACATGTGACATGCTGGTGCGCTGCACCCATTAACTCGTCATTTAGCATTAGGTATATCTCCCAATGCTATCCCTCCCCCCTCCCCCCACCCCACAACAGTCCCCAGAGTGTGATGTTCCCCTTCCTGTGTCCATGTGTTCTCATTGTTCAAGTCCCACCTATGAGTGAGAATATGTGGTGTTTGGTTTTTTGTTCTTGCGATAGTTTGCTGAGAATGATGGTTTCCAGCTTCATCCATGTCCCTACAAAGGACATGAACTCATCATTCTTTATGGCTGCATAGTATTCCATGGTGTATATGTGCCACATTTTCTTAATCCAGTCTATCATTGTTGGACATTTGGATTGGTTCCAAGTCTTTGCTATTGTGAATAGTGCCGCAGTAAACATACGTGTGCATGTGTCTTTATAGCAGCATGTTTTATAGTCATTTGGGTATATACCCAATAATGGGATGGCTGGGTCAAATGGTATTTCTAGTTCTAAATCCCTGAGGAATCGCCACACTGACTTCCACAATGGTTGAACTAGTTTACAGTCCTGCCAACAGTGTAAAAGTTGGGTTTCTTGTTTAATTTTTAGAGACGGGGTTTTACTCTGTTGCCTAGGCTGGAGTCCAGTGGTGCAATCATGGCTCACTGCAGCCTTGACTTCCTGGGCTCAAGCGATCTTCCCAGTTCAGCCCCCCAAGTAGCTAGGACTACAGGCGTGTGCCACCATGCCCAGCTATTTTTTTTTTTATTTTTTGTAGAAATGGTGTCTCGCTATGTTGCCAGGGCTGGTCTCAAACTTCTGGGCTCAAGTGAGCCTCCTGCCTCAGCTTCCCCAAGTGCTGGGGTTGCAGGCATGGGCCACCACGCCCAGCCAACTGTTGGTTTTATTTTAGCGATTGCTTTAGGGTTTATATTATTCACCTCTAACTTATCATAGTCTACCTTCAAGTGATATATACCACTTTGCATACAGTATAAGATGTTTAGTGTACTTCCATTTCTTCTTGCTCAGCCTTTATGCTGTTGTATCATGCATTTTACTTTTACGTATGTTATAAACCCCAAAATACACTGTTATTTTTATTGAAACAGTCCATTTTCTTTTTTCTTTTCTTTTTCTTTTTATTGTGAGACAGGGTCTCACTCTGTTGTCCAGGCTGGAGTGCAGTGGCAAAATCATAGCTCACTGCAGCCTTGAACTCCTGGGCTCAAGCACTCTTTCCACCTCGGCCTCCCAAAGCACTGGGATTCTGTACACATGAAATACAATTTTTTGGCCAGGCGCGGTGGCTCACACCTGTAATCCCAGCACTTTGGGAGGCTGAGGTGGGTGGATCACCTGAGGTTGGGAGTTTGAGACCAGCCTGACCAACATGGAGAAACCCCATCTCTACTAAAAATACAAAATTAGCCAGGCTTGGTGGCACATACCTGTAATCTCAGCTACTCAGGAGGCTGAGGCAGGAGAATCGCTTGAACCTGGGAGTCGGAGGTTGCGGTGAGCTGAGATTGCGCCACTGCACTCCAGCCTGGCGACAGAGTGAGACTCTGTCTCAAAAAAAAGAAAAAAGAAAAAAGAAAAAAAAAGAAATACAATTTTTTGTAGAGAGGAGGGTCTCTGCAAAAAGCTACTGTGCCCTGACTCACCTTATTTTTTTAAAGATATTTTCATGAGTATAGAATTTTAGGTTGACAGTTTTTAAAAAATTTTTTATTACTTTGAAGATTTTTTGTTTTTGTTTTTGAGATGGAGTCTTGCTCTGTCTCACCCAGGCTGGACAGCAGTGGTGTGATCTCGGCTCACTGCAGCCTCCACCTCCTGGGTTTAAGCAATTCTCCTGTCTCAGCCTCCTGAGTAGCTTGGACTACAGGTGTATGCCACCATACCTGGCTAATTTTTGTATTTTTAGTAGACACGGAGTTTCATCATGTTGGCCAGGCTGGTCTCAAACTTCTGACCTCAGGTGATCCACCTGCCTCGGCCTCCCAAAGTGCTGGGATTACAGGCGTGAGCCACTACGCCCGGCCGCTTCCCAGTCTTCTTGTTTGCATTGTTTCAAGTGAGAAATCTGATGTCATCCTTCTCTTTGTTCCTATGTATATAACATGTCCCATTTTTCCCACTGGCTGCATTTAAGATTTTCTCTTTAGCGCTGGTTTTGAGCAATTCCGTTATGGTATACCTTGGTGTAATTTTCTTCATGTGTTTGAGGTCGTTTGAGCCTTCTGGATATGTAGGTTTCTGGTGTTCATCAAATTTGGAAAAATTTTGTCCAGTATTTCTTCAAAAACAATTTTTTTTTCTGAAGTTCTCCTCTATTTTCCTTCATGGATACAAATTACTCATAAATTAGACTGCTTGAAGTCCCGTGGCTCATTGATGCTCTTTTGAATTTTTGGAGTTTTTTTTCTCTGTGTGTTTTGTTTTCAATTGCTTTTATTGCTATGCTTTCAAGTTAACTAATATTTCCTTCTGCAATGTCTAATGTGCTATTAATTCCATTCAATGTATTTTTTATATCCTCAATGTCTCTATTTAACTTTTTTAACATATGGCATACTCTGAATTGTTTTTCCTCAGAACACTTCTGACACCAAATGTGTGGGTTTTTTCCATACCAACAACCAGTTCGCCAACTCTCCAGATGCCAACTGGGTGTCCAACAATTCAATTCAATTCTAACACTAACTACCTGGCATTGGTGTCAGACCCCACAAGTTAAGGGCTTGGTCCCACATAACTGCCTCCACTTGAGACACCAATTGAAAACCCTAGGCCTCCCATACTTCTGATTGATCGGCTGTAAATCAGGGGTTCCCACAACCCCTTCCTCGGGTTGGATAATTTGTTAGAATGGCTCACAGAACTCAAGAAGGCACATTATTTACTATGACTGGTTTATTATAAAGGATACGACTCAGGGACAGCTAAATGGAAGAGATGTATAGGACTAGATATGGAAGGGGCACCCTCCCAGCATGTTGATGTGTTTACCAACCCAGAAACCCTCCAAACCCTTCATTCAGGGGTTTTTATGGACTTTCCATCATGTAGGCATGATTGATGAAGCCATTGGCTGGAGATGGATGATTACCTCAATCTCCAGACCCTCTCCCCTCCCCAGAGGCCCAGGGTGGGGCTGGCAAACAGCCCTTATTTGAAGCTATCTAGGGGCCCTCCAAGAGTCACCTCATTAGCATAAACTCAGGGATGATCATAAACTCAGGGATGATTGAAAGAGGCATGTTATGAACAACAAGATGATCCTCTCACCTCGCCATTCAGGAAATTGTAAGAGTTTTAAGAGCTCTGTGCCAGGAACCAGGAACAAAGACCAAATATATACTTACTCTTATATCACAATATCACACATAAAGTTATAATAATAATTGTATTAATGTCCTTCACTGCTAATTCTAACATCCTTGTTGGTTCTGAGTCTGTTTTGATTGATTATTCTCCTCATTATGGGTCCTTTTTCCCTTCAAAGGCATTCCTGGTAATCTTTGGTTGGATCTCAGACATTGTGCATTTTACCTTATGGTTGCTGGATATTTTGTATTCCTATAAGTATCCTGGAGCTTTTGTTCTGGGATGCATTTCATTGTTTCTTTCTTTCTTTCTTTCTTGGCTGTTGTGAATAGTGCTGCAGCAAGCATGGGAGTGCAGATATCTCTTCAACATGATTTCATATCCTTCGGATATATACCCAGTAGTGGGTTTGCTGGATCATATGGTGGTTCTATTGTTAACTTTTTGAGGAACCTCCATACACTTTTCCATAATGGCTATACTAATTTACATTCCCACCAACAGCCTGCAAGTGTTCCCTTCATGCCATATCCTCACCAACACTTGTTATCTTTTGCCTTTCTGATAATAGTCATTCTACCAGGTGTGAGGTGGTATCTCATTGTGGTTTTGATTTGTATTTCACTGATGATTAGTGATGTTGAGCATTTTTCTCATATACCTGTTGACCATTCATATGTCTTCTTTTGAGAAATGTCTATTCAGTTTCTTTGCCCTTCTTTTTTTCTTTTCTTTTTTTTTGAGACGGAGTCTCACTCTGTCGCCCAGGCTGGAGTGTAGTGGCACAATCTCGGCTCACTGCAACCTCTGTCCCCTGGGTTCAAGTGATCCTCCTGCCTCAGCCTCCCTGGTAGCTGGGACTACAGGGGCACTCCAACATGCGCAGCTTTTGTATTTTTAGTAGAGATGGGGTTTCACCCTGTTGGCCAGGCTGGTCTCGAACTCCTGATCTCAAGTGATCCACCTGCCTCGGCCTTTCAAAGTGCTGGGATTATAGGCGTGAGCCACCGTGCCCGGCCAACTTTATTCTTTTTGCTCAAGATCTCTTGGCTTTTAGGAGCCTCTCTCTCTCTCTCTCTTTTTTATTTTCCTTTTTCCTTAGATCCAGGGACAGACTGGATGTTCTGGGTCTTTTGTGATTCCATATAAATTTTAGGATTGTTTTTTCTATTTCTGTGAAGAATGTCATTGTTTTCTGGGTTTTTTTTTTTTTTTTTTTTTTTTTGACACAGCGTCTCACTCTGTCACCCAGGTTGGAGTGCAGTGGTGTGATCTGGGCTCACTGCAACCTCTGTCTCCCAGGTTGAAGCAATTCTTATGCCTCAGCCTCCCGAGTAGCTGGGATTACAGGCGCCTGCCACTATGCCCGGCTAATTTTTGTATTTTTAGTAGAGACGGGGTTTCACCAGGTTGGCCAAGCTGGTTACGAACTCCTGACCTCAAGTGATCCACCCGACTCGGCCTCCCAAAGTGCTAGGATCACAGACGTGAGCCACTGCGCCCGGCTGGTATTTTTTGTTTTTTGAGACAGAGTCTCACTCTGTTGCCCAGGCTGGGGTGCAGTGGCATGATCATGGCTTACTGCAGCCTTGATCTCCTGGGCTGAAGGGTTCTTCCCACCACAGCCTCCCAAGTATCTGGGACCACAGGTGTGCACCACCACACCTGGCTATTTTTTAAAAATATTTTTTGTAGAAACAAAGTCTTACTGTATTGCCCCGGCCAGTCTCAAACTCCTGAGCTGAAGAGATCATCCCACCTCAGCCTCCCAAAGTGCTGGGATTACAGGTGTGAGCCACCACGCCCAGTCAAATTCTTTCTTCTGAGGAGGCAAGAATTGAGGTTGCTGTAGACCTGGACAGATTTGCCACTGCTAACAGGCTCACATCATTTGTTTCCACTGTCCTCCATTTTCTGATGTTATTGTTTTGAAAGCTGTCATTGCATGTATTTTGTGTAAATCTATTGTTTGAAGCAGGTAGTAAGTCTTGTCCCTGTTACTCCATCTTGACCAGAAGCAGAAGTGCTTTCCCACAACTTTTACAAATGTACTTTGCTCTTCTTCTTTTTCATTTCTTGAGATAGAGGCTTACTTAGCTCAGTACTTATTCAAACTTTTTGCCTTGATATGTTTCTAATCATAGATACTAAAAGACAGCAAAAACTCCATATACATATATTTATTACTTTTAACACTGTTGGATTTTTATAATTCTTTATATCCAAAAAATGTAATCCATTTTGTGAAATGCTTACAGTCTTTTTTGTGTGTGCCATCACAGCTCTCATCATTAAAAATGTTTCCTTAGCAACCGGACAAAAATTGATATCAACATGGGTACCTATATGATTTTAAAGTTTTTCTTACTGCACCTTTTAAAAGTTGCACATTCTGGCCGGGCGCGGTGGCTCACGCCTGTAATCCGAGCACTTTGGGAGGCTGAGGTGGGCGGATCGGTTAAGGTCAGGAGTTTGAGACCAGCCTGGCCAGCATGGTGAAACCCCATCTCTACTGAAAATACAAAAATTAGCTGGGCGTGGTGGCGTGCTCCCGTAATCCCAGCTATTCAGGAGGCTGAGGCAGGAGAATCGCTTCAACCTGGGTGGCAGAAGTTGCTGTGAGCTGAGATTGCACCACTGCACTTCATCCAGCCTGGGCAACAAAGTGAGACTCCATCTCAAAAAAATAAAAAAATAAAAGGCTGGGCGCAGTGGCTCACACCTGTAATCCTAGCACTTTGGGAGCCTGAGGCGGGCAGATCACGAGGTCAGGAGTTCGAGACCAGCCTGGTCAATATGGTGAAACCCCGTCTCTACTAAAACTACAAAAATTAGCTGGGCATAGTGGCAGGCGCCTGTAATCCCAGCTACTCGGGAGGCTGAGGCATAAGAATTGCTTCAACCTGGGAGGCAGAGGTTGCAGTGAGCCCAGATCACACCACTGCACTCCAGCCTGGGCGATATAGCAAGACTCCATTAAAAAAAAAAAAAGTTGCACATTCTTTCAGTGTAATAAGGAGATAGGACAGAGAGAAATACAGAAATTAAAAAGAGAAGAAGGCAGATGAAAACAAGGAGAAGGAGGAATAGAAAAGTAGGGAAAATGAGTAGCACATGGACGACCTTTACAGAAATGGCGTGTAATCCCTCACCATTTCTGAATCTTTAGTTAAAGTTTCCATAGAATGCAATGCATAGCTGATCATGGTCCACATGCATTTGCCACCCACCCCACTGATCTGATCACTACCTGTGTTAGCTACTCTATAAAATGGTAAAAACAATATGTAACAACACCATAGAAGAAAACTTAAGTATGAATATAGCTTTTTGGTATTGTTAAAAATGAACAGTGTCTGAAACCAGGGTTCCAAGGGACCACCCAGTTTTTTCCCATTGTCATAGACAATCTATGTCCTAACTTCTGAGCAGCTCTAGAATCTTGTTTCTTTTCATCCTAGAACCCAACAACATTTTGGTGTTGGTTTGCTATAGCACTACCCTGGCTGAGGGTATTTTCTGCTTCTTTCTTTCCCAGGCAGTAGGCTTCTCTGTGCCTAGCTGGTAATGGGGCAGAGGTGGAGAGGACTCTTCTCTTTCCAAAAGGAAATTGTTCTGAAGGCAGCAGATTTTGTGTCCTCTTGGTAACACTACTGCCTCTTCCCAAACTCCTGTCCTTGTCTCCAGCTTTAAACTCATCTCTTTTCTTTTCTTTTTTCTTTTCTTTTCTTTCTTCTTCCTCTTTCTTTCTTTCTTTGTTTTTCGCTCTCTCTCTTTCCTTCCTTCCTTCCTTCTTTTCTTTTCTTTTTTTTTTATGAGACAGTGTCTCGCTCTGTTGTCCAGATTGGAGTTCAGTGGCACGATCACAGCTCACTGCAACCTCTGCCTCCCAGGATCAGGTGATCCTCACATCTCAGCCTCCCAAGTAGCTGGGACTACGAGCGTGTGGCACCATGCCAGGCTAATTTTTATATTTTTTGTAGAGACAGGGTCTCGCCATGTTGCCCAGGCTGGTCTGGAATTCCTGGGCTCAAGCTATCCTCCCACCTTGGTCTCCCAAAATGCTGAGATTACAAGCATAAGCTACAAAAATACTTTAATAATTATTAAAAACTGTGGACTGCTGGCTGGGCACGGTGGCTAACACCTGTAATCCCAGCACTTTGGGAGGCCGAGGGGGGCAGATCATGAGGTCAGGAGTTCTAGACCAGTCTGGCCAACATGGTGAAACCCCGTCTCTACTAAAAATACAAAAATTAGCTGGGCATGGTGGAGCATGCCTATAATCCCAGCTACTCTGGAAGCTGAGGTAGGAGAATTGCCTGAACCCAGGAGGCAGAGGTTGCAGTGAACTGAGATCACGCCACTGCACTCCAGCCTGGGCAACAGAGCGAGACTCCGTCTCAAAACAACAACAACAACAAAAACTGTGCACTGCTCCAATGACATAAAAGCAATAATGTATAGGGGACTTCAGAAATTACAAAGGGCGGCCAGACACAGTGACTCATGCCTATAATCCCAGCACTTTGGGAGGCTGAGGTGGGCAGATCATCTGAGGCCTGTGTCTACTAAAAATACAAAAATTAGCTGGGCGTGGTGGTAGACGCCTGTAATCCTAGCTATTCGGGAGGCTGAGGCAGGAGAATTGCTTGAACCCGAGAGGTGGAGGCCGCAATGAGCTGAGATTGCACCACTGCACTCCAGCCTGGACAACAAGAGTGAAACTCCGTCTCAAAAAAAAAAAAAAAAAAAAAAAAGAAAAGAAAAGAAAAAGAAATTGCAAAGGGCTTTCAGGTAGATTCTCGTTTGTCCTCTGTGATAATGCTCTGGGATGTGGAGCAGCCGCTTGGGAGGTTGGGCATCTCGCCCAAGGTCATGTAGCACGTAAGGGGTATCTTTAGCTAGGTCTTCTCTCCAGAGCCACACCCTTTCTACTGTGTTGCTTCTAACATGTACCTAAAAGCAATTTTATTTGCTTACAGTAAAAGAAACTACTTTTCAGTCCTCCTAACGAATATGATTATATGTAAGCTTAAAAAAAAAAGGAAATGTGAGCCAGACATGATGGCTCATGCCTGTAATCCCAGCACTTTGGGAGGGGCAGGTGGATCCCTTGAGCCCAGGAGTTGGAGACCAGCCTGGGCACATAGTGAGACCTCATCTTTACAAAAAAAAAAAAATTACCAGGTGTGGTGGGGTGCATCTATAGTCCCAGCTATTTGGGAGGCTGAGCCAGGAGGATTGCTTGAGCCCAGGAGGTTCTAAGCTGCCATAAGCCGAGATGGTGCCACTGCACGCTATCCTGGGTGATAAAGTGAGACCCCTGTCTCAAAAAATAAAAATAAATAATTTTTTTTTTTTTGAGGCAGGTTCTCGCTCTGTCACCCAGGCTGGAGTGCAGTGGTGCGATCTCGGCTCACTGCAAGCTCCGCCTCCCGGGTTCATGCCATTCTCCTGCCTCAGCCTCCCAAGTAGCTGGGACTACAGGCACCCACCACCACGCCCAGCTAATTTTTTGTATTTTAGTAGAGTCGGTGTTTCACTGTGTTAGCCAGGATGGTCTCAATCTCTTGACCTCGGGATCCGCCCGCCTCAGCCTCCCAAAGTGCTGGGATTACAGGTGTAAGCCACTGCACCCGGCCAATAAAAAAATTTTAAGAGGCCGGGCGTGGTGGCTCATGCCTGTAATCCCAACACTTTGGGATGCCAAGGCGGGCAGATCACGAGGTCAGGAGTTCGAGACCAGCCTGGTCAATATAGTGAAACCCTGTTTCTACTAAAAATACAAAAATTAGCCAGGAGTGGTGGTGGATGCCTGTAGTCCCAGCTACTCAGGAGGCTGAGGCAGGAGAATCGCTTGAACCCGGGAGGCGGAGGTTGCAGTGAGCCGAGATTGGGCCACTGCACTCCAGCCTGGGAGACAGAGCGAGACTGTCTCAAAAAAAAAAAAATGTAAGAAAAGAAATGTATTCCTATTATTCAAAGGGGTGAGCCATGTGAATAGGGTCAACTCTTTAGAAATCAGTTAGTTATTCTAGATCAGCAGTCCCCAACTTTTTTTGGCACAAGGGACCGGTTTCATGGAAGATGATTTTTCCATAGACCAGGGGTTGGAGGGGGATGGTTTCAGGATGATTCAAGCCATTACATTATTGTGCACTTTATTTCCATTATTATTATTACATTGTCATACACAATGAAATAATTATACAACTCACTATAATGTAGAATCAGTGGGAGCCCTGAGCCTATTTTCCTGCAACTAGGCAGTCCCATCTGGGGCTGATGGGAGACAGTGACAGATCATCAGGTATTAGATTCTCATAAGGAGAACCTGCATAGTTAACAATAGGGTCTGAATTCCTATGATAATCTACCGCCGCCACTGCTCTGATGGGAGGCGAAGCTCAGGCGGTAATGCTGGCTCACCCACTGCTCACCTCCTGCTGTGTGGCTGGTTCCTAACAGGCCATGGACTGGTATGGACCCACGGACCAGGGATGGGGACCCCTGCTCTAGATCATCTTATTCTTTAGCTTTACTTCTTTCTACCCTGCCATGGTGGGATTAATGACATCTTAGCTTGTGAAGGGCATTCCATCACAGGATGGGCAAGGCAGCAGATGTTGCGAATTTGCTGGGATTGCTACTTTATTTGTGGCTCTGGCATGAGGTTTGAAAGCAACCAGTAACTGACTTTCTCTAGGATTTTTGTTTTCAAATTTCAGCTATTTGCAGTATCTCTTTGTCTTAATCCGGAATCCAAAAACTGGAGGTTTGTTATTCTGTTGCTGGAACAAAGAGAGAACATCACCTGCTTTGACTGGTACAATGTATTTCATCTATGTCTCCATTCCTACCTCCCATAACCACCAAGGTCACAGGACTGCCTCCCCATTTTTACAGGACATAGAAACACCAAAAGCCTCAGATTGTGCTGTTGTGGAAATAGCCAGAGTTCAGGTGAACGCTGACAAGAAAAGAAGCTAAAAAAGATTATTTTTTGTATTTGGAGAATGAAGAGAGTTTGTAACAATCATATTCCAAAGCTTACATCTCTTCTGATGTTAAAACAGCAGAAAGCTGCAACAGAGGCTGGGCGCAGTGGATCACACCTGTAACCCAGCACTTTGGGAGGCTGCAGCAGGCGGATAACTTGAGGTCAGGAGTTCGAGACCAGCCTGGCCAACATAGCAAAGCCCCGTCTCTACTAAAAATACAGAAAATTAGCTGGGCATGGTGGCAGGCACCTGTAGTACCAGTTACTTGGGAGGCTGAGGCAGGAGAATGGCGTGAACCCGGGAGGCGGAGCTTGCAGTGAGCCGAGATCGCACCACTGCACTCCAGCCTGGGCGACAGAGCGAGACTGTGTCTCAAAAAAAAAAAAAAAAGCTGCAACAGAAACTTGGAGATTGTAGGCCAGAGAACTGCCCAGTAGCATCAGACCCCAGCAAGGAGGCTACTTTGATGGGATTTACTGAATTAAATAGATAACAAGGAAATGTATCCAGTGCATGTGTTACTTGTCGTTGACTACATCTGAAGCCCTAATGTCAGCAAAGGGGTCTGAGCATGCAAGGAGAGAGTGCACTGAATCCACAGCTGCTGTGTTCTCCAGGGAGGTTTTTTTGTTTTGTTTTGTTTTGTTTTGTTTTGTTTTGTTTTTTTTGAGACAGAGTCTCTCACTCCGTTATCCAGGCACAATCACGGTTGCAGGCTTGACCAGCCAGGCTCAAGCAATCGCCCCCACCTCAGCCTCCTGAGTACCTAGGACTACAGGTGTGCACCACCACATCTGGGTAGTTTTTTATTTTTGTAGAGACAGGGTCTCCTTCTGTTGCTCAAGCTGGTCTCGAACTCCTGGGCTCAAGCAATCCTCCTGCCTCAGCCTCCCAAAGTGCTGTGATTACAGGTGTGAGCCACTGCACCTTGCTCCAGAGAATTTTTTTTTTTTTGACGGAGTTTGGCTGTGTTGCTCAAGGTGGAGTGCAGTGGCATAATCTTGGCTCACTGCAACCTCCGCCTCCCAGGTTCAAGTGATTCTCCAGCCTCAGCCTCCCGAATAGCTGGAATTACAGGCGCCCACTACCACATCCAGCTTATTTTTTTTTTTTGTATTTTTAGTAGAGACAGGGTTTCAACATGTTGGCCAGGCTGGTCTTGAACTCCTGACCTTGGGTGATCTGCCTGCCTCGGCCTCCCAAAGTGCTGGGATTACAGGTATAAGCCACTGCACCTTGCTCCAGAGAGCTTTTTGAGGGAAGAAGAGACATCTTTAATTTCTTCTTCTTCTTTTTTTTGAGACAGAGTTAAGCTCTTGTCACCCAGGCCTGAGTGCAGTGGTGCGATCTTGGTTCACTGCAACCTCTGCCTCCTGGGTTCAAGCAATTCTCCTGCCTCAGCCTCTCAAGTAGCTGGGATTACAGGCGCCCGCCACCATGCCCAGCTAATTTTTGTATTTTTAGTAGAGATGGAGTTTCACCGTGTTGGCCAGGCTGGTCTGGAACTCCTGACCTCAACTGATCCGCCTGCCTCAGCCTCCCAAAGTGCTGGGATTACAGGCGTGAGCTATCCCGGCCGCCATCTTTAATTTCTTATTGGACTGCTGTGATGTTTCTCATTTCTCTCCCTTCTAAGCATTCCATCTGCTCCCTTCCCCCACTTTTCCTCCAACAGTCTCCTGAGTAGGATTTATGGAAAATATGTTTGCGTCTTTCTAAGTTAGAATTTTATGAGTATTCCCAAGAAATCAGGAGTTATGTGTCTATTTTGGAAGCACAATTTTAAAAACTACAGCATTCACTTAACACTTTCACTGAAAGTATAGCTTCAAAAAGTGATATTTGCACTCTTAAAACATTTAGATGAGTGAATTAGACATAAAGGAACAATTCACATCCCAGAGCTCCGTAATGTCCTGAAAAAGGTGCTTTATATGTCATAGACATCATTCTCAAATGTCACCGAGTCTTTCCTTGGTCTGAAGGTCGCATTTCCCTGGTGTCTCTTCCATGCCGTCTTGCTCTCAGGTAAAGGAGCATACTTGGGTTCCGGTCAGAGCCCTCCTCCTAACCTCCATTTCTGGCCTTGATCTCATTCTCTACAGCTGTAAAAGTAATAAATTGAATGATCCTATGAACAGAGAGCTCCTGTAGCTCTGAGTTTTCATGGTTCCAAGAGCACAAATGAAATCACAGCATAACCTAAATTTTATAGGAACGTGACACTCACTTGACTGTATCTAGCCTGTGTGTGTGTTTTAGTATTCTGGGAAGACAAGAATTGCAGTGAATGTGCTTCCAAGCAACGATAAACAATAAAACTGGGCGCAATATGGCTGACCATCTCTATGGCAACCTCTGTTGACCCTGTGTATGCATGTTTTACTCATTTTGGTGAATCACATTTTAAAATATAAATGATCTTATGTTGATGATCATGATTTTGTGACCATCAATTATTTGTGGCTGTGATAATTCCGCTATTGTTTCTGCTCTGGAATCAGAAAAGCTGTGGAGGAGGTTGGGGGAGGACACACCGGGAGAGAGATGACTCATTTTAACCTTTTCTGGAACAAACAAGTGATTACTTCAGAAAAAGATGACTTCAGTATGTACTTCCTCCCACCACCCCCATGAGCTGTTCATGGTGATGTAGACATGCCTGTCTGCGTTGACCCTGTCCTTTAAGCACTGCCATCAGGCTGGGGCTTCTGTTCTTTTGTTTTTGAGACAGGGTCTCACTCTGTCACGCAGGCTGGAGGACAGGGGCACAATCACAGCTCACTGCAGCCTTCATCTCCCAGGCTTAAAGGATCCTCCCACCTCAGCATCCTGAGTAGCTGTGACTACAAGCATGCACCACCTTGCCCAGCCAATTTTTAAATTTTTTGTAGAGATATGGTCTCACTACTTTGCGCGGGCTGGTCTTGAACCCCTGGGCTCAAACAATCTTCCACCTCCACCTCCCAAAGTGCTAGGGTTACAGGCTTGAGCCACTGTGCCCGGCCAGCTTCCGTTTTTTTCTTTCTTTCCTTCTTTCTTTTTTTTTTTTTTTTTTTTTGAGACAGAGTCTCTCTCTGTTGCCAGGGCCGGAGTGCAGTGGTGCAATCTCGGCTAACTACAACCCCCGCCTCCCGGGTTCAAGCAATTCTCCTGCCTCAGCCTCCTGAGTAGCTGGGACTACAGGTGCCCTGCCACCATGCCAGGATAATTTTGTTTTTTGTTTTTGTTTTGGGTTTTTTTTTTTTTTTTGAGATAGAGTCTTGCTCTGTCACCCAGGCTGGAGTACAGTGGCACAATCTTGGCTCACTGCAACCTCGCCTCTCGGGTTCAAGAGATTCTTCTGCCTCAACCTCCCGAGTAGCTGGGAATACAGGAACCCGCCACCATGCCAGGCTAATTTTTGTATTTTTAGTAAAGACAGGGTTTCATCATGTTGGCTAGGCTGGTCTTGAACTCCTGACCTCAGGTGATCTGTCCACCTTGGCCTCCCAAAGTGCTGGGATTACAGGCATGAGCCACTGCACCCAGCCAATTTTTGTATTTTTAATAGAGGCAGGGTTTCACCACATTGGCCAGGCTAGTCTCAAACTCCTGACGACAGGTGATCCACCCCTCTCAGCTTCCCAAAGTGCTGGGATTATAGATGTGAGCCACCACACCCAGCTCAGCTTCTTTATTTAAATGAGTCTGGAGGAAATTTTTTGGTGAGACACTGGGTTGTACTATGCTCGTTGGGGACAACTCTTTGAGGGCCTCAATTGCTAACATCTCATGATGGGAGTTTAAGAACTGCTAAGAAGCATCTTCATCAGCCCCATTAAACCAGATGGCCATGCAAAGTCTAACATGACAAATCTGAGGCTTCCTGGGGTCACAGCTAGGACACTGAATTATAGATTCAGACCCTGGCTGGGTGTTGTGGCTCACAAATGTAATACTAATGACTTGGGAGGCCAAGGTGGGAGGTTTGCTTGAGGCCGGAAGTTCAAGACCAGCCTGGGCAACATAGTGAGACCCTGTCTCTACAAAAAATTAAAAAACTAGCCAGGCATGGTTACATGCACCTGTAGTTCCAGCTACTTGGGAGGCTGACGTGGGAGAATTACTGCCTGAGCCCAAGAAGTTGAGGCTGCAGTAGGCCAAGTTTGCACCACTGCACTCCAGCCTGGGTGACAGAGCTGTCTCCATGGCCTGGCACTGGTTTTCATCCTGGTATTAGAAATGCATCAGTGCTCCCTGGGGAAGGGGCCAGTTTCACCAGCTCCTGCCCCATGAGCTGTGAAAATGCACATTCTAAGAAGGAGCCAGGCAGGGCCTGAGTCCCTCTGTGACCCATGGGCCATGATAAAGGTGTTGGAACAATCGTGCCAATATGGCCACAGGAAGCACGATTGTTCTCTCCTTGCGCATTGCAAGGGCTGGAGGTTGAAGGTGTGACCTGTGCTGTTGTCCCAGGAGCCGGGGCTTTCTCAGAAGCCCTTTTCTTGTGATGCCCAAACAACCACGCAGAAAATGCTAATTGATTACTCACCAAAACGACTGTGAAAAAATGATGCTTTGAGCTTCAAAGCCCCATCACAGCTTTTATCTAACCAAGAAACCCTAGGCCAAGCTTGTGCACAAGCTGGGCCACATGTGGCCCAGGACGGCTTTGAATGAGGCCCAACACAAATTCCTACACTTCCTTAAAACATTACAAGATGCTTTTGCCATTTATTTTTTAGCTCATCAGCTATCATTAGTGTTAGCGTATTTTATGTGTGGCCCAAGACAATTCTTCTTCTTCCAGTGTGGCCCAGAGAGGCCAAAAGATTGGAAACCCTGCCTGGGCTTTTCCGATTTAGCCCTCCCACATTTCCCAGAGCAGGACAGTCCCTCACACCAGTCTCAAAGGCCAGCAGGGCTTTTCCTCACAGACTGAGAGCTATGGTCGCTAAAGTGATCAGAAGTGATGATAACATAATCAAGACTCTTCCTTAGGGCTTGAGGGTTCCAGCAAACATCTCTGCCATCTGTCTGCCTGCTTTTTCTGTCACTTCTGAAATTCTGGTATCATGCCCGTGGTCAAAGCAACTAACTTCTGTGGCTACTAGAACTTTCTTCCTGCTTTTCTCACTCTGCACTTCCTGCTGCTGTCAATGAAACTCAGCTTCTTATTCCCAGGCACTCTCAGAGTGAGGATCCATAGGAGGCTTTGATTCTCAGGACAGATAACCCCATCTTTCCTCTGGTTCTGACCTATTTTTCTGTGTCCTTGTTACTGTGGTCATACCCAGAGAAGTAACATTTTGTCTTGAATTTGTAAAAATCTCTACCTTTCCCCACAAAGGGATTTCAGCACAGTGGCTATTTTAACAGATACCGTGCAGCACGTACCACACGTTCCCTTCCTGAGTCCTTGAAAGTAATTTTCAGCTTTTGATCGGCTATATTGTTCTTCCCAGCTACATTTTGGGAAGTCCAGCAGAATAACTTGCTACTCTTTTAAAGGTCCTAATGATAAAACGAAACAAAACATCCCCTTTTTATCATCACCCACAAAGCCCTAATGCGTGCAACAAAGATTGTGAAACGTCCAGGGAACAGTTTGTGAGACAGAAAGGATGGCTTTGTTGATTAGCAAAAAGCTGGAACGTGGACACCGGCAACACAACAGGATTGGGACCCGCCTTCTTCAAGTGAAACAAAGTTGGAATTATTTTCAATTTTAATGTTAAATGGTTTTTTTGTTTGTTTCCAAATTATTTGAAAAGTTACTAATCCAAGCGTGGTATGAGTGGTATCATTTTGGTAATTAGATTAATGCACTACCAGATCCTAGAATTTCCCACTTTACCAAATAAAAGAATGTTCTGTGGAATTCTCCTAGACCAAGACAGGCTTTTCCCCTGAGCAATAGTGATAAAGTTGTCTAAATACATGAACTGGTGGCATTTTTCAAAAAGTAATAATGTTATAATCAAGAGGTGGTGTTGCTATGTTGCCCAGGCTGGTCTTGAACTCCCAGTCTCAAGTGATCTGCCAGCCTTGGCCTCCCAAAGTGCTGGGATTACAGGCATGAGCCACCGTGCCTGATGGTGGCATTTTGTCTTCTTCACAGAAAAAGTTAAAAGATGAGTTGGATGACATTGTGAATTGTGAACAACATAGTGAGATCCCGTCCCTTAAAAAAAAAAAACAAAAATTAGCCACGTGTGGTGGTGTACCCCTGTAGTCCCAGCTACTCAGGAGGCTGAGATGGGAGGATCATCTGAGTCTGGGAGGCCAAGGCTACAGAGAGCTGAGATTGCATTGCTGCGCTCAAGCCTGGGTGACAGAGTGAGACCCTGTCTCAAAAACAAAACAAAACACTGCCTATTTTATTTATTTATTTATTTTGTAGAGATTAAGGGGGGGGTCTCACTATGCTGTCCAGGCCGATCTCAAATTCCTGATGTCAAGTGATTCTCCTGCCTTGGCCTCCCAAAATGCTGGGATTACAGGGGTCTTTAAATGCTGGGGATTGGCATCTTTAAAATGAACACACTGTTTTAGTTTAAGAGACTAAAGAGGTGCATGTGTATGGAATAAATGAGCCTGGACTGAATCTTGTCTTTTAAAAAAGTTATAAAAGATGTATGGGACAACTGGGGAAAATTAAACATGGACTGGATATTAAGTGATATTAGGGAATTATTGCTAATTGTCTTAGGTGTGTAAACGTAACATGATAATGTAAGAGAATGTACTTACTTTTAGGAGATGCATGCTGAAGAATTTAGAATTGAAGGAGATTGCTGTCTGCAACTTACTTTCAAATGGCTGGAGGCCGAGCACAGTGGCTCATGCCTGTAATCCCAGCACTTTGGGAGGCCCAGGCAGCGAATCACCTGAGGTCAGGACTTAGACACCAGCCTGGCCAACATGGCGAAATCCTGTCTCTACTAAAAATATAAAAAATTAGCTGGGCATTGTGGTGGGCACCTGTAATCCCAGCTACTCGTGAGACTGAGGCAGGAGAATTGCTTGAACCCGGGAGGCAGAGGTTGCAGTAAGCTGAGATTGCACCACTGCACTCCAGCCTGGGCAACAAGAGCGAGACTCAGTCTCAAAAAATAAAAATAAAAATAAAAATAAAAAATAAATAAATAAATGCAACCTTGCAGGAAAAAGTACAGAAAAGACTGTAAGTCATGTACAGACACATGACTGAAATTAAACTACATAAACATTTCCTTATATCTGTACAGAGGCAGTTTCACGTAGTAATTAAGATTCTGGAGCTGGCTGGGCGTGGTGGCTCACGCCTGTAATCCCAGCACTTTGGGAGGCCGAGACGGGCGGATCACAAGGTCAGGAGATCGAGACCATACTGGCTAACACGGTGAAACTCCGTCTCTACCAAAAATACAAAAAAAGAAATTAGCCGGGCATAGTGGCGGGTGCCTGTAGTCCCAGCTACTCGGGAGGCTGAGGCAGGAGGATGGCGTGAACCCGGGAGGCGGAGCTTGCAGTGAGCCAAGATTGCGCCACTGCACTCCAGCCTGGGTGACAGAACGAGACTCCATCTCAATAAAAAGAAAAAAAAAAAAAGATCCTGGAGCCAGACTGCCAGGGTTCAAAGTCAAGCTCTGTCACAACTAGCCGACTGTGTGGCCTTGGGCACGTTATTTTTCTTTGCTGGACCTCACATGACCCCAGTGCTCAGTCTGGAAATTTTTGCCTGATGACATTTTAATAATTATTAAATCTAGATGGTGGACATATGAACATTTATTGTACTAGTCTCCGTACAAAACCTTTTTTTTTTTTTTGAGATGGAGTCTTGCTCTGTCGCCCAGGCTGGAGTGCAGAGGCACTATCTGGGCTCACTGCAAGCTCCACCTCCCGGGTTCACGCCATTCTCCTGCCTCAGCCTCCCGAGTAACTGGGACTACAGGTGCCCACCACCACGCCCGGCTAATTTTTTTTTTTGTATTTTTAGTAGAGACGGGGTTTCACCGTGTTAGCCAGGATGGTCTCGATCTCCTGACCTCATGATCCACCCACCTCAGCCTCCCAGAGTGCTGGGATTACAGGAGTGAGCCACCGTGCCCAGCCATGTGCAAAACCTTAAGTAAGCTGGGCTCAGTGGCTCACGCCTGTAATCCCAACACTTTGGGAGGCTGAGGTGGGTGGATCATGAGGCCAGGAGTTCGAGACCAGCCTGACCAACATAGTGAAACCCCCATCTCTACTAAAGATATAAAAATTAGCCGAGTGTGGTTGCAGGGGCCTGTTATCCCAGCTACTCTGGAGGCAGGAAATTGCTTGAACCCGGGAGGCAGAGGTTGCAGTGAGCTGAGATTGCACTCTGGCCTGGGCGAAAGAGTGAAACTACCTCTCAAAAAAAAAAAAAAAAAAAAAAAAAGTGTGCAGATAACCTTGGTTAGTGTTTTAGAATATATTACTTTAAAACAATCCCAAACTTACAGAAAAGTCACAGGTATAGTACACATAACTTTTCTCTCTGAACCACTTAAAGTTAAGGTGCTTAGTCACATACTTTGGTTGAAAAAAATAATTGTTAACCTGATGCCTGATCATCCCTGAATGCTGTAGTGTGTATTTCCTACAAATGAGAACGTTGGCCAGGCGCAGTGGCTCATGCCTGTAATCCCAGCACTTTGGTAGGCGGAGGCCGGTGGGTCACCTGAGGTTAGGAGTTCAAGACCAGCCTGACCAAACATGGTGAAACCCCATCTCTACTAAAAATACAAAAATTAGCCAGATGTGGTGGCGGGCGCCTACAGTCCCAGATACTCAGGGGGCTGAGGCAGGATAATCACTTGAACCTGGGAGGCAGAAGTTGCAGTGAGCCGAGATCACACCACTGCACTCCAGGGTGGGTGACAGAGGGAGACTCTGTCTCAAAAAAAAAAAAAAAAAAGAACATTCTCATATAACCAAAATATAGCCATCAAAATGTAATATGTTATTACCATCTAATCTCAAACCCCATTTAAGTTTTATCAGTTGTCTCAATAAGGTCCTTTCTAGTCAGGCATGGTGGCTCGCGTCTGTAATTCTAGCACGTTAGGAAGTTGAGGTGGGCAGATTGCTTGAGCCCAGGAGTTCCAGACCAGCTAGGGCAACATAGGGAGATCCTGTCTCCACAAAAAATACAAAAACCATCTGAGCCTGTTGGTTCGAGCCTGCAGTCACAGCTACTCAGGAAGCTGAGGTGGGAGGATCCTTTGAACCCAGGAGGTCAAGGCTGCAGTGAGCTGTGATTGCGCCACTGCACTCCAGCCTGGGCAACCGAGGGAGAACCTGTCTCAAAAAAAAAAAAAAAAAAAAAAAAAGGAAGAAGTCCAGGCCCGGTGGCTCGTGCCTGTAATCCCAGCAGTTTGGGAGGCTGAAGCCGGTGGATCACCTGAGGTCAGGGATTCGAGACCAGCCTAGGCAAAATGGTGAAACCCCGTCTCTACTAAAAATACAAAAATTAGCTGGGTGTGGTGGTGCACCCCTGTAATCCCAGCTACTGAGGCATGCGAATCACCTGAACCCAGGAGGCGGAGGCTGCAGAGAGCCGAGATTGCGCCACTGCACTTCCAGCCTGGGCAACAGAGTGAGACTGTCTCAAAAAAAAAAAAAAAAAAGAAATTCTGGACTTTCATGACCTTGATACTTTTGAAGGTTAGAAGCCTGTTATTTTGTAGCCTGTCCCTCAGTTTGGGTTTGTCTGATGTTTCCTTCTGGCTAGGTCAGGTTCTGCATCTTCTTCTTTTTTTTTGCATTCCACAAGTATTTACTGATCTTGCTGCATACCAGGCCCTGGGCTGGGGACACAGCCACGAATGAAGCATGGTCCCTGCCACCACAAGGTCCTCTTCACTCACACACACACTGAGGACTACTGTTCCATCACCCTTTCAGAAGCAGCTGAATGGGGCTATGTAAGAACTCATGGATGAGAGCAGAGGGTGACCACCAAAAGGTCACTGAACTCCCCCAAGAAAACTGTTGAGTCGCACACATGTCCAGTTTTCCAGGTCCAAGACATACAACAGTACTGCTTTATAATAGCCACCAGGGGTGAAGCCAGGAAGAACCAGAGGGAAACAGGGTTTTCTCACATGAAGGAAGAGCAGCCTGCATCACTTAATGGTTGGCCTGAGTTAATGGAGGACCTAGGCCTCTTAAAAGGCACCAATGAGAACCCTTACTTGGACCCATTCCCCACCATGGTTGATCTCTCATCATGCTGAGCATGTCTCTTGGAAAGGGGCAACTGGGAGAAAGGATAGGAATGTGCTTTGGGCTATGTCAGATGGCAGACAGATCCCAGTTCTTATTCTCAGGCCCTGGCTTTGCTAGAGACACCTGCCGAGGCCCTATGGGCACACCCATTTGGACATATATTCAGGAGCCAGCTCAGAAACTGAGAGACTCAGGCTGCCCAAATCTTCAGCTTTGCTTCCTAGGCAGGCAGCAGAAGAGTTTAGACAGGAAATTTTCTTTTTATGGCATAACACAAAGGGAAAGAAAGTCACTAGGGGACACACAGGAAGAAATAAGGTTTCTGTTTCTTCCTCAAGTATCCCAAGTGCCATGGCAGCAATGGCCTTCTGGGTCCATACATGGAGCACGTTCTAGTAGGTCAGCCCAGCCCAACTGCACTGAGGTGAAGGAGCAGGCAGAAGACAGGAGAGTGCATGTTGGCAGGAGGGGCAGAGGGCACTCAGGGATTCTTAGTAAGTACAACTGACTGGAGTGTTTTTGGGTAGAAGGAAGAACTGAGTTGCAGCCAGGTGAAGACAGAGTGCCCCCTTGCCAGGAGCTCATGCTGAAGCAACACAGTCAGCCCCGGAGAATCTTGAATCTGTGAATGCTGCCCAGACAGAACAGGCATGCAGGCAACACTTGGAATGCACAGAAAACACATTTCGGCCTCTGGTGGCCCAAACCAAGTCTGAGTGGGCACAGAAAGGCCAACATCTTGGCTAGGAGCCACCACTCAAGTGTAGGAGAGTAAGTTCAGGTCATAACAGCCATCTACATCAAAGTGGCCTATCCTCGCGGAGGTGTGACTGGCCCGGATCATCTCTGTCAGTGCCCACATCTGCTGCACCTCAGAGGATACCCTGCTGGGGTCTGGGAGACCCTCATGGAGGAGTGCAGGTTGCTCACAGGGCACTGGGTGGGAGAGCCACTTGGGGAAGATCATGGAGGGGCTCTTTGGTCCCTGCTGATAGATCTGCAGCTCCTCCACTGTGAAAGACAGCCACAGTGGTGATGGCTGCTGCAGAATCAGGTGTAGCTCCGATATTCTGGCCATGTCACACAGTATCTGTTGCTTGAACAGCGACACATACTCCTGGGCTCCCTCCTCACTGTGTGGGTTGGGCATCAGACAGTAGTCCCACAGGCAGGTCACCCACTTGGCCGGTGTGTGTGCTGAGGTGTGCTGACAGACAGGATGCTCAAAAAAGCTGTGTAGTAATTCTTTTTATTTTTTTTTGAGATGGAGTTTCGCTCTTTTTGCCCAGGTTGGAGTGCAATGGTGCGATCTCGGCTCACTGCAACCTCCACCTCCCGGCTTCAAGCAATTCTCCTGCCTCAGCCTCCCAAGTAGCTGGGATTACAGGCATGCACCACCACCCCGGCTAATTTTGTATTTTTAGTAGAGACGGGGTTTCTCCATGTTGGTCAGGCTGATCTTGAACTCCCACCATCACACCTGGCTAATTTTTGTGTTTTTAGTAGAGACAAGGTTTCACCATGTTGGCCAGGCTGGTCTCAAACTTTTGACCTCTGGTGATCCACCTGCCTCGGTCTCCCAGAGTGCTGAGATTACAGGCGTGAGCCACCATGCCCGGCCGCTGTGTAATAATTCTTAAATGTGATCCCCTCGAACGGAGTGACACAGGGGAAGGTGACATCAATGACCAGCACACTAGGCCGGCCTTGGGAGGTCCATACGTCCCCCACCTGCAGGGCTACGGTGCCTTTCACATGGCAAGGCACCAAAACGCGGGACATGGTGCTAGCAGCCGCGATTAAGTGCAATAGCTGCTCCAGGCCCCGACCTCCAGCCCTTCCTGCCATCCTCAGGTTCTCATCTTGGATAGGAAGATCATAGAGGTGATGCTGTGTCCTCATTTCAGCCTATGAGGTGGCACAGGATTTGAATACTGATGATATTCACTTTGATTCCTTCGTTAAGATGGTATTTGCCATGTTTCTGTACTTTAAAGTTATTATTTTCCTATTTCAGTTCGGAGTGGGGAGGTACTTTGAGGCTATGTCAATATCCCATTCCTCATCAAACTTTCCATTTATTCATTAATTTATTTATGGCAGTATGGACTCACGGTTTTCTAATTTATTCAATAGGTTATATAATTCATTCCTTTCATTATTTATTTTGATTCTTTTTTCTTTTTCTTTTTCTTTTCTTTTTTTTTTTGAGACGGAGTTTTGCTTTTGTTGCCCAGGCTGGAGTGCAATGGCACGATCTCGGCTCACCGCAACCTCTGCCTCCCGGTTTCAAGCAATTCTCCTGCCTCAGCCTCGTGAGTAGCTGGGATTACAGGCATGTGTCACCATGTCCTGCTAATTTTGTATTTGTAGTAGAGATGGGGTTTCTCCATGTTGGTCAGGCTGGTCTCAAACTCCTGACCTCGGGTGATTCACCCACCTCGGCCTCCCAAAGTGCTGGGATTACAGGCGTGAGCTACCATGCCCGGCCTATTTTGATTTTTAACTTTTTGTTTTAAAATAAGTATAGATTCACATGCAGTGGTAACAAAAATTATAAGGGAGGACCCATGCACTCCACTCAATTCCCCAAATGGTAACATCTGGCATAAATTTAGTACCATGTCAAAACCAGGATATTAACGTTGGTGCAATCCAGAGTGTATTCAGATTTCACCAGTTTTGTGTGCACTTATGTGTGTGAGTTTAATTCCATTCAGTTATTTCACGTGTAACCACTACCACATTCAACAGAGAAGGCTTCCATCCCCACAAAGCTCTCTTGTGCTACCCCTTTATAAACGGAACAGACACCTACCTTCTCCACCACCCTAATCCCTCGCAGCACCTAATCTCTATTTTCTTATTTCAGGGTTATTGTATAAAAGAAATCATACAATACTCAGTTTTTTCAGATTGGCTTTTTCACTCAGCATAATCCCGTGGAAATCCATCCAAATCGTTGCATGTATCAAGGGTTTGCTCCTTTGTATTGCTGAGCACTGTTCCATAGTATGGACATATCACAGAGATAAACATTCATCCCTAATGTTGAAAAGGCATTTGGGCTGTTTCACTTTGTGGCTATTACAAATAAAGCTGCTATGAACATTCATGTACAGGGTTGTATTTTTTGTGATCCTCCCACCTCAGCCTCTAGAGTAGTTGGGACCACAAGCGCAGAACGCAACGCCTCGCCTCGTCCCACCCCAAGCCGCCCCGCCTCGCCTTGCCTCGCCTCATTCTTTTTTTAGATGGAGTCTTGCTCTGTTGCCCAGGCTGGAGTGCAGTGGTGCGATCTCAGCTTACTGCAACCTCTCCCGGGTTCAAGTGATTCTCCTGCCTCAGCCTCCCAAGTAGCTGGGATTACACGCACCCACCACCATGCCCAGCTGTTTTTGTATTTTAGTAGCGATGGGGTTTCACCATGTTGGCCAGGCTAGTCTTGAACTCCTGACCTCAGGTGATCCACCTGCCTCGGCCTCCCAAAGTGCTGGGATTACAGGCATGAGCCACTGTGCCCGGCCTTTTTTTTTTTTTTTTTAATAGAGACAGAGTCTTTCCATATTGCCCAGGCTGGTCTTGAACTCCTAGGACCAAGCGATCCTCCTGCCTCCCAAACTGCTGGGATTATAAGCGTGAGCCAGCGCACATGGCCCATAGAATATATTTTCTCTTTTTTTTTTCTTTTTTTGAAACGGAGTCTCGCTCTGTTGCCCAGGCTGGAGTGCTGTGGCATGATCTCGGCTCACTGCAGCCTCCGCCTCCCGGCTTCAAGTGATTCTCCTGCCTCAGCCTCCTGAGTAGCTGGGATTGCAGGCGCCTGCCACTGCGCCTGGATAATTTTTGTATTTTTAGTGGAGAAGGGGTTTCACCATGTTGGCCAGGCAGGTCTTGAACTCCTGACCTTGTGATCCACCCACCTCGATCTCCCAAAGTGCTGGGATTATAGGCATGAGCCATCATGCCTGGCCATCAAAGCCATCCTTTCTGTCTCACAAACTGTTCTCTGGCCATTTCACAATCTTTGTTGCACGCATTAGGGCTTTGTGGGTGATGATATAAAGGGGATGTTTTGTTTCATTTTATCATTAGAACCTTTAAAAGAGTAGCAAGTTATTCTGCTGGACTTCCCAAAAATGTAGCTGGGAAGAAAAATATAACCAATCAAAAGCTGAAAATTACTTTCGAGGACTCAGGAAGGGAATGTGTGGTACGTGCTGCATGGTATCTGTTAAAATAGCCACTGTGCTGAAATCCCTTTGTGGGGAAAGGTGGAGATTTTTGCAAATGCAAGACAAAATGTTACTTCTCTGGGTATGACCACAGTAACAAGGACACAGAAAAATAGGTCAGAACCAAAGGAAAGATGGGGTTATCTGTCCTGAGAATCAAAGCCTCCTATGGATCCTCACTCTGAGAGTGCCTGGGAATAAGAAGCTGAGTTTCATCGACAGCAGCAGGAAATGCAGAGTGAGAAAAGCAGGAAGAAGGCAGGGCACAGTTGCTCACGCCTATAATCCCAGCATTTTGGGAGGCCGAGGCAGGCAGACCACCTGAGGTCAGGAGTTCGAGACCAGCCTGGCCAACATGGTGAAACCCTGTTTCTACTAAAAATACAAAACATTAGCCAGGGATGGTGGCACGTGCCTGTAGTCCCAGCTACTTGGGAGACTGAGGCAGGAGAATCGCTTGAACCCAGGAGGCGGAGGTTGCAGCGAGCAGAGATCCGCGCCATTGCACTCCAGTCTGGGCGACAGAGCAAGACACCGTCTCAAAAAAAAAGGAAGAAGAAAGTTCTAGTAGCCACAGAAGTTAGTTGCTTTGACCATGGGCATGATACCAGAATTTCAAAAGTGACAGAAAAAGCAGGCAGACAGATGGCAGAGGTGTTTGCTGGAACCCTCAAGCCCTGCACTCCAGCCTGGGTGACAGAGTGAGATTATGTCTCAAAAAAAAAAAAAAAAAAGAATGGCTTTGTTGATTAGCAAAAAGCTGGAATGTGGACACTGGCAACACAACAGGATTGGGACCCTCTCTTTTTTTTATTTTTGAGATGGAGTCTTGCTCTGTCGTCCAGACTGGAGTGCCGTGGCGTGATCTCAGCTCATTGCAACCTCCACCTCCTGGGTTCAAGTGATTCTCTTGCCTTAGCCTCCCGAGTAGCTGGGATTACAGACGCCTGGCTGTAATCCACATCGCCTGGCTAATTTTTGTATTTTTAGTAGACACAAGGTTTCACTATGCTGGCCAGGCTGGTCTCGAACACCTGAGCTCAAGTGATCCACCTGCCTCGACCTCCCAAAGTGCTGGAATTACAGGTGTGAGCCACCGTGGTGGTCATAAATAACTTTTTTTTGAGACAGGCTCTCTATCTCCTAGGCTGGAGTGTAGTAACGCGATCATGGCTCACTGCAGCCTCAACCTCCTGGGCTCAAGCAATTCTCCTGCCCCAGCCTCTCAAGTAGGACTACAGGTGCACCCCACCATGCCTGGCTGATTTTTGTATTTTTTGTCGAGACGGGGTTTCACCATGTTGGCCAGGCTGGTCTCGAGCTCCTGGGCTCGAGCCATCCTCTTGCCTTGGCCTCCCAAAGTGCTAGGATTACAGGTGTGAGCCACTGCCCCTGGCTGGATTGCTTCATTTTAAACACTATAAAATAAATATCTCACCCTCACCGGTAAATACACATATCTCCCCCTACTCCGTTTTTAACACTACAGGGCAACATTCTGAATTGAAATGTTCCATAATATTCATTTTTGTCACTCACCTGTAATAGTGTAGACACTGGCCGGGCGCGGTGGCTCATGCCTGTAATCCAGCACTTTGGGAGGCCAGGGCAGGCAGATCACCTGAGGTCAGGAGTTCGAGACCAGTCTGACCAACATGGGGAAACCCCGTCTCTACTAAAATACAAAATTAGCTGGGCGTGGTGGCGCGTGCCTGTAATCCCAGCTACTCAGAAGGCTGAGGCATCCCTCAGAATTGCTTGAACCCAGGAGGCAGAAGTTGCAGTGAGCTGAGATCGTGCCATTGCACTCCAGCCTGGGCAACAAGAGCGAAACTCCGTCGCAAAAATAAAATAAAATAAAATAAAATAAAATAAAATAAAATAAAATAAAATAAAATAAAATAAAATAAAAAGAAAAGTAAAGTGTAGACACTAGATTGTAGTTGTAGAATTACATCATAATGGAAATATGTTCAGGCTGAGTCCTTCCTTTGGCATGTTTGCATTGTGTGAACAGTGGAATGAATCAATTTCTGTTACCATTACCATATGTTTTTCTCATCCCGTATGGTTTTCTCAGTACATAGCATCGTGTAAGCTACTCTAACACTGGAGTTCAGAGAACTGGTTTGAGTTCCAGCTTGCTAACCAGGTGGTGCTCAAAACACAGCCATGGCCACAAAAGCCCATTCTCTGAAGTTGGTGTGTGATGTATAAATTCATAGCCTAATTCTCCTTTTGACTTCTCCTCAATACACTGTTTCATAAAGATGGTAGCTGCCCACCCTTTTGTGGTTCATAAGTATGGTGGTTCGGTTTTCATGCTTATGTGTGAGACATGCCTCTCTCCAACCTTGTTACAGCACAGGCACATTACCCATCTGACATGAGGGGAAAAAAGGTTATGGTTCTAAATGCCATTTTTGGAAAAGAAAAAGAAATCCGGCCAGGAGCAGTAGCCCATGCCTGTAATTCCAGCACTTTGGGAGGCCAAGGTGGGCAGATCACTTGAGGTCAGGAGTTTGAGACCAACCTGGTCAACATGGCGAAATCCTGTCTCTACAAAAAAAACCAAAAAACAAAAATTAGCCATGCATGGTGGTGGGCACCTATAGTCCCAGTTACTCGGAACTCTGAGGTGGGAGGATCGCTTGAACCTGGGAGGCGGAGGTTGCTGTGGGCTGAGATCGTGCCGCTGCACTCCAGCCTGAGTGACAGAGTGGAACCCTGTCTCAAAAAACAAAACAAAACAAAACAAAACAGAAAAGAAAAGAAATCCAAAGACTGTGATACTTTCTTCATAATTCCCAAGTTTTAACATGGAGGGTATATATTAAAATATATTTGTATTTCATATTATATATGTTATATATGACACACACATAAAGCATATGCACATGACAAGAGATAGGCCAGGGTAGCGTAGACTTCAGTACTTCAGATACAACCATCACTTTTGCCATATCCACGTACCAAATGAACATTATTTACTTAACATGTTTCTTTAAATTGGTGCACATTTTATTTATTATTTATTTATTTATTTTTATTTATTTGTATTTTTGAGATGGAGTCTCATTCTGTCGTCCAGGCTGGAGCGCAGTGGCGTGATCTTGGCTCACTGCAACCTCTGCCTCCCGGGTTCAAGCGATTCTCCTGCCTCAGCCTCCTGAGTAGCTGGGACTACAGGTGGGTGCCACCATGCCCAGCTAATTTTTTGTATTTTTAGTAGAGACGGGGTTTCACCATGTTAGCCAGGATGATCTCGATCTCCTGACCTCGTGATCTGCCCGCCTCGGTCTCCCAAAGTGCTGGAATTACAAGTGTGAGCCATCGCGCCTGGCCTATTTATTTTTGAGACAGGATCTTACTCTGTCGCCTAGGCTGGAGTGCAGTGGCGTGATCTCAGCTTACTGCAACCTCCACCTCCCAGGTTCAAGTGATTCTCCTGCCTCAGTCCCCTGAGTAGCTGGATTACAGGTGCCCACCACTGCGCCCAGCTAATTTTTGTATTTTTAGTAGAGACGGGGTTTCACCATGTTGGCCAGGCTGGTCTCGAACTCCTGACCTCAGGTGATCCACTGGCCTCGGCCTCTCAGAGTGCTGGGATTACAGGTGTGAGCCATCACTCCTGGCCCACATTTTAAAACATAAGTAAAACTGCATTTATTTATCTCTGATGGAACTAATGGGCACAGCAGGAAACAGACGGTACCTTCCCCAGTTTCCTTCAGCCTCCATGGTGTATATCTTTTTTTTTTTTTTTTTTTTTTTTTTTTTTTTTTTTTTAAAAGGCAGGAGCCAGGCAAGGTAGCTTACACCTGTAATTCCAACATTTTGGGAGGCTGAGATAGGAGGATGACTTGAGGACCGGAGTTTGAGACCAGCCTGCACAATTTAGTGAGTCCCCTGTCTCTACAAGGAAGGTATGGTGGCTCTCACCTGCAGTCTCAGCTACTTGGGAGGCTGAGGTGGGAGGATCACTTGAGCCCAGGAGTTCGAGCCTGCAGTGAGCTATGATTGCATCACTGCACTCCAGCCTGGACCAGAGATTGAGACCTTGTCTCTTAAAAAGAGAGAGAGAGTCTCACTGTCATCCAGGCTGGAGTGCAGTGGTGCAATCATAGCTCACTGAAGCCTGAAACTCCTGGGCTCAAGGAATCCTCCTGCCTCAGCCTCCTGGGTAGCTGGGATTACAGGCATGAGCCACCGTGCCTGGCCTAGTACATCTTTTGACAACAGAGGAGCAGATTTCAGGCCCAGAGCTTCTACCAAACAGTAGTATTCAGCTGAAATTCAGTAACTTTTGTTTTTGTAGTGCTGACCCCAGTATAGAAAGGAAAAAAACAAACAAAAACAAACAAACAAACAAAAAACCCAATAACTTGGAAAAATGTTTTGTGATTACACAAACATTCTCTTTTAAGGACACAAATTATGAAATAAAGTTAATTTTCTTTAAAAAGATATAAGTTAACATGTTAAACATCAACATGTTGCTATCACTTTAATTTAATCAAAGTGATTCAGTTACTGTAAGGATATTTTCTAACAGCCACATTGCAACTTAGAAAAGAAATAAAAAAGCCAGGTAGAGAAGGCAGATCTTTCTAGTATTTTGCTTCTTATTCGAATATTGAGACTATGTTTGTTATGTAACTCACTATAAGTAGTGCAAAAAGTGTGATTAATGTGTATAATCAAAAACTGCAAATAAAATAAACTTTTGGTTATCTTGTTAATATCCCTCTACAAACCCAGATAGACATCTGAATATGCAACATGCAAGGGTGGGGTGATGGCCTCAGAACAGAGATCAGGAGTGAGAGGGTGGCCAGCCATAGAGGCGAAATCATTACAAACACTGGCACAGTGGCGCGCAGGCAAGTGATGCCCTTCACGTGTGAGTACCGAGAGAAAGACTATCACTTGCACGCTAGTATTGCACCCCCGAAACTACCAGTGCTATAGACTAGCATTTGCCACATTCCCAGAGCACCCCAGATAGTCACATTTTTAGGGCATATGTTTTCTTTTTGTTGTGTTTTTTTGTTTGCTTGTTTGTTTTGAGACAGTCTGGCTCTGTTGCTCAGGCTGGAGTGCAGTGGTGTGATCTCGGCTCACTGCAACCTCCACTTCCCAGGTTCAAGTGATTTTCCTGCCTCCGCCTCTGGAGTAGCTGGGACTACAGGCACGCGCCAACATGTAGGGCATACACTTTCTATAAGAGTGAAAAATTTCATCTGTTGGTCTGCTTCAAGATTTTGCTTAATGCAACAATATGCTTTAACTTTTCTTTCTTCCCTTCCCTTCCCTTTTCTTTCCTTCCTTCCTTCCTTCCTCCTTCCTTTCTCCCTTCCATCCTTCTTCCTTTCTCCCTCCCCTCCCCTCCCCTCCCCTTCCCTTCCCTTCCCTGTCTGTCTCTTTCTTTCTTTTTGAGACAGAGGCTTGCTCTGTTGCCCAGGCTGGAGTGCAGTGATGTGATCTCGTCTCACTGCAGCCTCAACCTCCCTGGCTTAAGTGATCTTCCCAGCTCAGCCTCCCAAGTTGCTAAGACCACAGGCACGTGCCACCACACCCAGCTAATTTTTTTTTTTTTTTGTACTTTTCGTAGAGACAGGCTTTCACTATGTTGTCCAGGCTGGTCTCGAACTCCTGGCCTCAAGCGATCTGCCCACCTCGGTCTCCCAAAGTGTTGAGATTACAGGCTGTCCTAACTTTTCAAAGGGGAAGAGAATTGCAAACTAAAGACTAAGAGCATATTCTTTGTTGTAGGTGTACGTGTTTGTTCACAGCCCCTTACACAGCTTGTGTAAGGAGACCAATTTTTGATGGAAGAAAGGGAAACTGTCAGTCTCAACTGCACAAGTGAGATATTGGATAAGTTACTTTACAGTTTGGTGTTTCTGTTTCCTGACCTGTATGACAGACACAAGACTATGGACCCATTTGGTTTAGTTTGGTTTTGGGCTTAACTGATCTCCAAATACCCTTTTTTACTGTGAAATGTTTGTGATCTGCAATCTTAGGTTACACTGATGCAGTAATTTCTTTGCACTGCAGTTTTTTTCTAGTAAGAGTACAGTTATGGTTTCTTGTCTTCCTTTTTAGAATATCTTAAGTAACGCCCCACATCCAAGCTCCCAGTGGGTTTCCAGTCCTAATATGGTGCAGGGTTCCTTAGTGCTCACGGGTATTGATATATTAGGGCAATGTGACCCAGGAAGCTGCTGCGGGAAATTGTAAAGTAAGGTGACATTAGAAAGATATTTCATCAAAATGCCGAAGTGTGCGAGAGCATATCCTCCCTCACATTTCTGCACATTTGTGTCAAGTGGTCAAACAGTTCCTAAGCAACGGTGCGGAGGCGGTTGCTAGGCTGGCTTGTCACGTGTCCACGGATTCAGCCGCTAAAGAAATGGTGAGCCCAACTGCATTCAGACAGTTTATTGCTTAAAGAGACAGTAAGACCATCATGGTGTCAGCTCCAACATCCTTAGTCCCACAGGATGACACTGAACCAGAGGGGCCAGGTGACATTGAAGGGCCAACTCAAAAACGACCACAAGCAGTTTTGTAATAGACTTACACAGAAGCCTGCAGCTGGAAATTAAGTCTGGGCAAGGTAGAAAGCCCGATACCACACCAGAGCCAGGGAGGCCGATGAGAAACTGCCTCACGGTGGCTCCTCACCAGGCTTCTTGTCTTGCCCACTTCCTGGAAAAAAATCACAGGACGTTCTGCCAAGACTCAAGTCAGACTTCAGGTAAGCCTTTGCCTTCGCCCACGTGGAGATGTGCAAGGTCTCCATGGCATCATGGCAGACCTGGTCCCTACAACTGCACTGCCTGGCCTTTTGTGTAACCAGCTAAGAATTTGTTTTCAAGAAGCACAGGCCAGGTCAGGTGCGGTGGCTCACACCTGTAATCCCAGCACTTTGAGAGGCTGAGGTGGGTAGATCACCTGAGCTCAGCAGTTCGAGACCAGCCTGGCCAACATGGTGAAACTCCATCTCTACTAAAAATACAAAAAATTATCCAGGCATGGTGGCGGACGCCTGTAATCCCAGCTACTTGGGAGGCTGAGGCAGGAGAATTTCTTGAACCCAGGAGGCAGAAGTTGCAGTGAGCCGAAATCGAGCCACGGCACTCCAGCCTGGGCAACAAGAACATAACTCCGTCTCAAAACACACACACACACACACACACACACACACACACACCCCAAAAATACAAAAATCAGCAGGCATGGTGGCACACACCTGTAGTCCCAGCTACTCGGGTGGCTGAGGCAGGAGAATCACTTGAACCCAGGAGGCGGAGGTTGCAGTGAGCCGAGATGGTGCGACTGCACTCCAGCCTGGACGACAGAGCAAGACTCTGACTAAAAAAAAAAAAAAAACACAGGCCACCCTATCAGATGCCCCAATTAATTGTACTGTGACAGTGGCATGGATGAAATCCTTTCTATTGGCGTTAAGTGACATCAGATGAGAATAACTGTGGCTATGATCAAGTAGAATGATCAGACCCACCTGGAGAACAGACCACAGTCAGGCTCCTGGTCAAAGCCAAGCCAGCTAAGTCGGTCATTAATCCAGGTGCAGCAAGAGGTGTCGGCAACTGCACACAGCCAGCCCTGGCCACCAGCAGGAAATCCAGGGCAATATGACTGCTCCTCACCATTCATGTTGGAGAGCTTAGTCTGGTCTGTGTGTGCAAGCAAGTGTAGGCCTGATGTCCTTGTAAGACGAGGTCCCCTCTTGGGGCATGAACTGTAGCTAGAGTTTAAGACCCTGGATTTTTTTTGTTTTTTTTTTGAGGGTGGGGACGGGTGGTGGGGTGGAGTCTCACTCTGTCGCCCAGGCTGGAGTGTAGTCGTGCAATCTCGGCTCACTGCAGCCTCTGTCTCCTGGGTTCCAGTGATTCTCCTGCCTCCGCCTCCCAAATAGCTGCAATTACAGGCACCCACCACCAGGCCCAGCTAATTTTTTTTTTTTTTTGAGACGGAGTTTTGCTCTTGTTGCCCAGGCTGGAGTGCAATGGTGCAATCTCGGCTCACTGCAACCTCCGCCTCCTGGGTTCAAGTGATTCTCCTGCCTCAGACTCCCGAGTAGCTAGGATTACAGGCATCCGCCACCATGCCCAGCTAATTTTTTGTATTTTTAGTAGAGACGGGGTTTCACCATGTTGACCAGGCTGGTCGAGAACTCTTGACCTCAGGTGATCCATGCACCTCGGCCTCCCAAAGTGCTGGGATTACAGGCATGAGCCATTGCGCCCAGCCCATTTTTGTATTTTTAGTAGAGATGGGTTTTCGCCATGTTGGCCAGGCTGGTCTTGAAATCCTTACCTCAAGTGATCTACCCTTCTCGGCCTCCCAAAGTGCTGGGATTACAGGCATGAGCCACCTCGCCAGGGCTTCTTTTTTTTTTTTTTTTTGAGACAGGGTCTTGGTCTGTCACCCAGGCTGGAGTGCAGTGGTATGATAGCTCACTGCAGCCTCTGTAAGAATTAAAGAAAGAGGAGAGAAACATGAAGGGTGGCTTGACAGTCAACAGATTTATTTTAAACCTGGGAGGGACTTCTGACCCTTCTGAGTTACGTCAGAAGCCGCACTCTCTTACAGACTAAGAATTTTTAAGGATTTAGGGTGGGAGAGTTTATCAGAGGCTTGGACTGCTTCTGTGTCTCTTTGTTGTGCTTATCTGGGAGGGAGAGTTTTGTGTCTGTTCCAATACATCTTCCTGCAGTTGCAGGCATCCCGAGTCTGCCTTTAGCTTCCCTATCTTAGTGCACCTGAAGGGAAAGGAATGTGCTTATTAAGGCCCACTGTTTCACTGGGGCCCCTTGTATGAAGGTGAAGTTTGGCAGTTACCCAAGAGACTTTCTCCCTGCCTTCCTCTGTGCCTGAGCTGTCTTATCTGTGTTTTATTGTCTGTTCTTTTCTGGCTGCTTGTAGTTAGAAGAGAAGTGATTTCCTTGAAATGCGTGA